>NC_000023.11:50278964-55078964 GCF_000001405.40 Homo sapiens | reverse complement strand
AAGATACAATTCTCAAGAGTATTAAAGATCCAGAAATAAATTTAACAAAACTGTGTAAGGATTCTTTGCAGAAAACTTAAAACTTTATTAAGAGAATATTATCAGTCAAATTTCCAGATTAAGAATAACGTTCTTGGTTTCAGTCTTCATTTGTCTTGCTTGAAACCTATGGTTGCGCATCACCTATAAAATAAATATTAAATTAGGGCCCGTTACTCAGCAGATTTTTATTCATATGACACTAGAGGTATACAACTACCGTGTTGATGAACTAATATCAGAACCCTGAGGGTGAGTGACCCTTTAGCTTACAGCCAGTTAGCCTCTGAATAAACTCTGAAGGTAGACTTCCAGGCATATTAACAATATTTTTAATTCATGCCACTTTTTCTAGTAGAATAAGGAAACGAAGAGACTGTTCAAGTTCAGAATGAATTAAATCAAGTGTATTTTGTATGTATAAGTGGAAAGCAAAAAAAAAAAAAACACATATACTTTAAATGAAAATTCAACGAAATAAAATCCTAAGGGAAAAAGATATTTTAAAGTATCATTTAAATAGTCTGATATGAAATGACACTCTGAATATAGAATATGCTTAGAACGGCCTAAGTGAAGGAAATAGAAAAGTCAGTATTACATTTGTTTTGTCTCTCTTGTGAAAAAGTGTAAAAACGTTACTTTGGACTAGTGTAGCCATCATGTAGTTGCTTTAAGTAGGGCGAACATTTGTCACTATTTTCACGGGTACTCCTGCCTCTTTACATGCCTACAAGCAGTTCAGTTTATACAGTAAACTGAATATCCACGCTAGCTTTAAGCCATTACCAACACAGTTAACATCACAATATAAACTGATGCTTATTATAAACATGTTATGTATTTGTTAAAAACAGGCCTCTATAAAAATATTTGAAAATTATTGGCTGTTGGTAAAATGACTTACATTTAAAAGTCAGAACACGTTTTCATCTTTCTTTAAAAATGACACATAAAATTGTATATATTTATCATGTAAAACATGACGTTTTAAATATATATATATACACATTGTAAAATGGCTACATCAAGCTAATTAATATATGCATTACTTCATATAGCTGTGAAGACACTTGAAATCTACTGTTTTAGCATGTTTCATATCTTTCATATCGTAATCCAATTAGCTTTGACCCAATTTTTCTCCATCTCTGGAAGTCCTGGCCTCAAGTGATCTTTCTGTCTCGGCCTCCCAAAGTGCTGGAATTAACAGCATGAGCCACCACACCTGGCCCTCTATCCCTGATAGTGTGTAAGGCAGCCATTTGGGGTCTGAACTACATTCAAAGAACCTTCAGACGTGAAGTATGATATTAAAGTAGCAGTAATTTTACCTCTGTGTCACACAAAATACTGTGAAAATAGAAATACAATAGTTTGCATCTTAAATGAATAACAAACCTGCTTCCAGCACTTTAGTGAGATCAAAAGTGGGCATAATCCCCTCCCTGACATCAGGACCATCTCCAGGCTCATCCTCTATCTTAAGCAGAGCCAGTTCCTGTTGAAAAGCTTCCATGTCAGGCCCTTAAAAGATAAAAAGGTCATCAGTTTACAAATTAAAACATGAACTATGAACAAGGAAATGATAATATTTATTCCCTCATCATTATGAAGTAAAAACCTGTAGGCTAATTATTTCAGGAATCTGCTGCCAGGAAAACAGGAAAGCAGAGATGTTCAAACATTGCCCTTTCCTTTCCCAAGGCTGGCCCTAGACAACTTACTTGTCCCTTTTGTACTCATTTGTTCTTATTCTTATCACATTAAATCAGCGATTTGTTTGAGTCAATCTGACTAGACTATGAGCTTTAGGCAAAAATTTGGCACTGACATCTCCAGCACTTAGTATATTACGTGGTATGAGGAAGCATCAATAAAGGTGTGTTAAAAAGTTTCTTAAAAAATACATGACGTGTCCACAGATGGCAGACTAGGAAGCTGCAAGCTGCCATTCTTCCACAGCAACAAAAAACAGAAAATGGCTGAACAAAGCATACAGGAGCTCTGGAAAAAGGTTTATGGCAACCATGAAAATACCCAATCAATAAAAAGCCTCCGTCAAAGTGGTAGGAAAGCTTAGTGGCTTTTTATGCGTCCTTGTCCCACCCCTCCACACAGCAGCAGTAGGAAATGTTTAAGATTCCTTCCTAATGCTTTCTGTCCTCCTGTTACTGGTATGTCATAAAATACAATGCATAAATAGACCTCCACCACCCATAAGCATTATTCTCCACTCTCCCTTCACCTTGAACGGCAGGTGCTCCTTCATTTTCGATCTCCCCACTAGGTGCAATACCCTGATTATCAGTTGGTGGTTCCTCTTCTTGACGTTTTTCCTCAGTGGGCTCCTGGACCTAAGGGTGTAAGTGTGTGTGTGAATAAAAAGTCAATAATATAAATACACAAATGCATATGTGCATCGAATCACACATCTAAAGACATTTTTCCAACATATATAAACACATATATATGTATATACATATATGTATATATACATACATACGTATATACATACATATATACACATACATATATACATACATACATACATATATACATATATACATATACACACACACACACATATATATATATAGAGAGAGAGAGAGAGAGAAATATCCATATCCATACAGGTAACACCAGAATATAATATTCCTGAACCAACGTTTCCTTCATGAGATGCCATCATCATTTTTTATCAGCATGGAACACCTGTATCAGTGCGTGTACACTAGCTCAAAAATATTTCTTAAAATAAATTGTGTTAATAGGAAACATCAAATGTTAAAGGACTCACAATCACAGATCCAACTGGCTGGGAAGACTCTTGGTCATTTCCTCTTTCTGAGGATTGGGATCTTGTTCTCACATGCTCACTCATATTTCCCACTGAAAATAGAATACTGTTATTTGGAAAAAGTGTATAAGAACTTAGCTATATATATGAACATTCCATGGCAAAATGGTGATTTGTATTTTTTTAATTTTGAAAATATTTTCAACGTAATTCACAGAGCATTGATAAGTACCCACGCTTTCCAATCAAACTAAGGACAGATTTGTTTGTATCATAGTCGAAGAGGCATAGAAATCCCCTTAACGCCATAGCAAAAGACAGAGGACATTTCTGCGTTTTGGTTTCACAATTAGACTCTCCATCATGAAGACATTTGGGGGAAAAAAGGGCAGAGAATTGAAACTGAAATGACTACTGCTTTTGTCCCACTCTGATTTGCTAGGCCCATTTCACCCCCACACCTCTCTCAAAATCAAGTCTTGTTGGAAAGCACAGCCTCGCCCATTCCTTCCATGGCGTCCATGGCGGAGGTGAGAAATTGTGAAACAGAGTGAACGTTATGCTCCTCACGGGACACCTCTGCCAGGCACTCTACAGACCTCGGGGCCACAGTCACCGGCCCACAGCGTTCCCAGTTCCCAGGCCCCTTCCTTACTGACCACATGGTCTCTTCCCGCGTCCCTACCGAGGAGTCTGGAAACTGTCCTCTCTCAGAGGGTTCCAGGAGTTTTCGAGACTCAGACACCTCTAACAGCACCCCCAGCACTCGCCCCATCTTCACGCGATCCCTCCCCTCTGTGGCCCACCTTCCTCCCTCGTCCCTCGTCCCAGCCCAGCCACGACGACAAGTCCCACGGTGGCATCCCGACCTGGGAGGGGCCGGACGACGACCGCGAGGCCCTTTTCCCTCGGAAGCCACGGACTGTGCCGCAGGACCTGTCCAAAGCCAGCTGGCTCCTCCACACATTCACCCACAACTAAATTCCCAGGAAGACCGCTCTGCGGACCTACCGGCTGAGTCTCGGTCAGTGACAAAGAATCAAGATGGCGGAAAGAATGAAGACACTCTCCTTGCAGAGCTGTGTGTGGACAGAAGGCGGGCAGCAAGGCGCATGCGCAACAACAGACACGTGTAGCAACAGACATGCGTAACAACAGACAAGTGCAGCAACAGGTCTGTGCAGCATGCACACTGACTGGGACATTCGCCTCGTGACTGATGTTTTCCTGCGTCTGTGGAGAACCTAAACCACCAGCGCTCCTGACAACGAAAATGAACTTGCAAAGCACTTTTCTTTTTCCCCCGCCCACCCTTTCTTTCACTTCCAGTGGCTTTGGAGAATATGAGCCCCAGGTTACTCTAATAATGTGTTTCAGAAAACTTCACCATCATAGAAATAAATCTTAAATATTTTAATATCTGTTTTATATACGCTTCCATAAATCATTTTCTTGCCTCCTTCACGAGTTTGCTGTCATGCTTGCAATTGTCTAACCCATTCCAATATAAGACATTCATAGTTTTTGGTTGCATTATTGTACGTTCAAAATCTTTGATCCATCTGGACAAAATTAAAGTGGTAGGAACTCAACATTATTTGTTGAATCCCTGTTGCACCCACTGTTTTGAAATGGCTCTTTTATCATCACCTACATCCCCACTCAATTTTGTATGTAACTCTCTTCTTTTAATTTTCTTCCATTGAGTTGTTTATACCTGTACCACTACTACACTATTTTAATTGCTGTAGCTTAAATTATATTTGAAATGTGAAATAATGCTTGCCCTCCCTCATTGATTTCTCCTTTTCTATCAATTCTGACACGTTGGTCTTTCAGATGAACTTCAGAATCATTTGATCAGGTGCTAAAATATTCCTGTTGAGATACTAGTTATTATTTTTATATTACATGTTAACTCTGGGACAATAGCCATCTTCCTATTTTAGAATCTCTCTATCAAAAAAAAGCCACTCCTCAATTCCTCAAGTCTTTTAACATATCCCACACAATGACTGTGTTATTTGCTTCATATTAGTTCTTCACATTCAAATTAAATTTATTCATGGGCACTTTTATTTTTCTATTCCATTGCTGACACGTGTTTGCTTCTACTCCACTATGTTTTTCACACAAGTCAAACAATCTGTTTGGAAACCATGTGATTCTATACCTAGAAAATCCCAGAATCTCTGCCCAAAAGCTCCTTGATCTTATAAACAACTTCAGGAAAGCTTCAAGATACAAAATTAATGTACAAAAACCAGGAGTGTTTCTGTACACCAACTACCTTCAAGCACAGAGCCAAATCAGAAACACAATCCCATTCACAATTGCCACAAAAAGAATAAAATACCTAGGAATACAGCTAACTAGGGAGGAGAACAATCTCCACTATGAGAACTACAAAACACTGCCCAAAGAAATCAGAGATGACACAAATGGAAAAACATTCCATGCTCGTGAACAGGAAGAAGCAATATTTTCAAAATGGCCAAACTGACCAGGGAAATTTATAGATTCAGTGATGTTGCTATTAAACTACCAATGACATTCTTCACGGAATTAGAAGAAAACTACTTTAAAATTCATATGGGATGGTTGCGGGGATCTGGCAAGATGGCGTAATAGGAAAAGCTTTGGTCTGCAACTCCCAGCGAGACCAACACAGAAGGCAAGCACTTTCTGCATTTCCAACTGAGGTACCCAGTTCATCTTATTGGGACTGGTTAGGCAGTGGGTGCAGCCCATGGAGGGTGAGCAAAAGCAGGGTGGGGCATCGCCTACCCGTGAAGTGTAAGGAGTTAGGAATCTCCATCCCCCAGCCAAGGGAAGCTGTCAGGTACTGTGCTATCTGGCCCAGATACTACGCTTCTCCCACAGTTTTTGCAATCTGCAGACCAAGAGATTCCCTCTTGTGCCAACATCAGCAGGGCCCTGGGTTTCAAGCACAAAACTGGGCAGTTGTTCGGGCAGACACTGAGCTAGTTGCAGGAGTTTTATGTTTTTTTGGTACCCCAGTAGCACCTGGAACCCGGTGTGACACAACTGTTCACTCTCCTGGAAAGGGGGCTGAATCCGGGGAACCAGGTGGTCTTGCTCATCAGGTCCCAGTCCTATGGAGCCCAGCAAGCTAAGAAGCACTGGCTTGAAATTCTCATTGCCAGCCCAGCAGTCTGATGTCTACCTGGGACTATCGGAGCTTGGTGGGAGGAGGGGCATCCACTATTACTGAGGCTTGAGAAGGTGGTTTTCCCCTGACAGTGTTAAGGAGGTCTGGAAGCTCGGAATGGGTGAAACTCATCACAGCTTGGCAAAGTGGCTGTGGCCAGATTGCTTCTCTAGATTCCTCCTCACTGGGCAGGGCATCTCTGAAGGAAAGGCAGAGGCCCAGTCAGGGGCATATAGATGAAACTGCCATCTCCCTGGGATAGAGCAACTGGGGGAAGAGGTGGCTGTGGGTGCAGCTGCAGTGGACTTAAATGTTCCTGCCCGCCGTCTCTGAAGAGAGGATAGATCCTGACAAGGAGGTTTCTCCCAGCACAGTGCTTGAGCTCTGGTAAGGGACAGACTGCCTCCTCAAGTGGGTCCCTGACCCCTGTGCCTCCTGACTTGGAGAGACCTCCCAGCAGGGGTCCACAGACACCTCATACAGGACAGCCCTGGCTGGCATCAGGCCAGTGCCCCTCTGGGACAAAGCTTCCAGAGGAAGAAGCAGGAAGCAATCTTTGCTGTTCTGCAGCATCCACTGGTGATGCCCAGGCGAACAGGGTATGGAGTGGACCTGAAGAAGATGGGCCTGGCTGTTAGAAGAAAAACTAACAAACAGAAAGCAATAACATCAACATCAACAAAAAGGACCCCCAGACGGAAACCACATCCAAAGATCATCAGCCTCTAAGATCAAAGGTAGATAAATCCATGAAGATGAGGAAAAACCAGTGCAAAAATCCAGAAAATTCCAAATGATCGCAACTTCTCCTCCAAATGATGCCTCTTCTCCTCCAAATGATTGCAACTCCTCTCCAGCAAGGGCACAAAACTGGACAGAGAATGAGGTTGACAAACTGACAGAAGTAGGCTTCAGAATGTGGGTAACAACAAACTCTTCTGAGCTAAGGAGCATGTTCTAACCCAATGCAAGGAAGCTAAGAACCTTGACAAAAGGTTACAGGAACTGCGAACTAGAAGAACCCATTTTAGGGAAGAACAAAAATGGCCTGAGGGAGCGGAAAAACAGAGGACTACATCTTCATGAAGCATACATAAGAATTAATACCTGAATCGATGAAGTGATTGAAGTGATTGAATCAGAGATTGAAGATCAACTCAGTGAAATAAAGCGAGAAAACAAGGTTAGAGAAAAAAGAGAGAAAAGAAATGAACAAGGCCTCCAAGAAGTATAAGACTATGTGAAAAGACCAAATCTATGTTTGATCACTGTACGTGAAAGTAACAGGGAGAATGGAATCATGTTGGAAAACACTCTTCAGGATAATATTCAGGAGAACTTCCCCAACCTAGCAAGGCAGGCCAACATTCAAATTCAGGAAATACAGAGGACACCACAAAGATACTCCTCGAGAAGAGCAACTCCAAGACACACAATGGTCAGATTCACCAAGGTTGAAATGCAGGAAAAAATGTTAAGGGCAGCCAGAGAGAAAGGTCAGGTTACCCACAAAGGGAAGCCCATCAGACTAACAGTGGATCTCTCAGCAGAAACCCTATAAGCCAGAAGAGAGTGGGGGCCAATATTCAACATTCTTAAAGAAAAGAATTTTCAAGCCAGAATTTCATACCCAGCCAAACGAAGCCTCATAAGAGAAGGAGAAACGAAATCCTTTACAGACAAGCAAATGCCGAGAGATTTTGTCACCACCAGGCCTTCCCTAAAAGAGCTCCTGAAGGAAGCACTAAACATGGAAAGGAACAACCGGTACCAGCTACTGCAAAAAAAACAAACAAACAAAAAAAACTAATCGTAAAGACCAACAACGCTATGAAGAAACTGCATAAACTAATTGGCAAAATAACTAGCTAGCATAATAATGGCAGGATCAAATGCACATATAACAATATTGACCTTAAATGTAAATGGGCTAAATGCCACAATTAAAAGACACAGACTGGCAAATTGGATAAAGAGTCAAGACCCATCAGTGTGCTGTGTTCAGGAGACCCATCTCACGTGCAAAGACACACATAGGCTCAAAATAAAGGGATGGAGGAATATTTACCAAGCAAATGGAGAGCAAAAAAAGGCAGGGGTTGCAATCCTAGTCTCTGATAAAACAGACTTCAAACCAACAAAGATCAAAAGAGACAAAGAAGGGCATTACATAATGGTAAAGGGATCAATGCAACAAGAAAAGCTAACTATTCTAAATATATATGCACCCAATACAGAAGCACCCAGATCCATAAAGCAAGTTCTTAGAGACCTACAAAGAGACTTAGACTCCCACACAATAATAATGGGAGACTTTAACACCCCACTGTCAATATTGGACAGATCAAGGAGACAGAAAATTAACAAGGATATCCAGGACTTTAACTCAGCTCTGGACCAAGCAGACCTAACAGACATCTACAGAACTCTCCACCCCAAATCAACAGAATATACATTCTTCTCAGCACCACATCACACTTATTCTAAAATTGACCACATAATTGGAAGTAAAACACTCCTCAGCAAATGCAAAAGAACAGATATAACAAACAGTCTCTCAGACCACAGTGCAATCAAATTAGAACTCAGGATTAAGAAACTCACTCAAAACCTCACAACTACATGGAAACTGAACAAGCTGCTCCTGAATGACTACTGGGTACATAACGAAATGAAGGCAGAAATAAAAATGTTCTTTGAAACCAATGAGAACAGAGACACAACATACCAGATTACTGGGACACATTTAAAGCAGTGTGTAGAGGGAAATTTATAGCAGTAATTGCCCACAAGAGAAAGCAGGAAACATCTAAAATCAACATCCTAACATCACAATTAAAAGAACTAGAGAAGCAAGAGCAAACACATTCAAAAGCTAGCAGAAGACAGAAATAACTAAGATCAGAGCAGAACTGAAGGAGATACAAACACGAAAAACCCTTAAAAAAATAAATCCTGAGCTGGCTTCTTGAAAAAATCAATAAAATATATAGACCACCAGCCAGACTGATAAAGAAGAAAAGAGAGAAGAATCAAATAGATGCAATAAAAAATGACAAAGGGGATATCACCACCGATCCCACAGAAATACAAACTACCATCAGTGAATACTATAAACACCTCTACGCAAATAAACTAGAAAATCTAGAAGAAATGGATAAATTCCTGGACACATACACCCTCCCAAGACTAAACCAGGAAGAGGTAGAATCCCTGAATAGACCAATAACAGGCTCTGAAATTGAGGCAGCAATTAATAGCCTACCAACCAAAAAAGTCCAGGACCAGATGGATTCACAGCCGAATTCTACCAGAGGTACAAAGAGGAGCTGGTACCATTCCTTCTGAAACTACTCCAAATAATAGAAAAAGAGGGTATCCTTCCTAACTCATTTTATGAGGCCAGCATCATCCTGATACCAAAGCCTGGCAGAGAAACAAAAAAAAAAGAGAGAGAATTTTAGATCAATATCCTTGATGAACATTGATCCAAAAATCCTCAATAAAATGCTGGCAAACTGAATCCAGCAGCACATCAAAAAGCTCATCCAGCACGATCAAGTTGGCTTCATCCCTGGGATGCAAGGCTGGTTCAACATATGCAAATCAATAAACGTAATCCATCACATAAACAGAAGCAATGACAAAAACCACATGATTATCTCAGTAGATGCAGAAAAGGTCTTTGACAAAATTCAACAGCCCTGCATGCTAAAAACTCTCAATAAACTAGGCATAGAAGGAAGGTATCTCAAAATAATAACAGGTGTTCATGGCAAACCTACAGCCAATATCATACTGAATGGGCAAAAACTGGAAGCATTCCCTTTGAAAACTGGCACAAGACAAGGATGCCCTCTCCCATCACTCCTATTCAACATAGCATTGGAAGTTCTGGCCAGGGCAATCAGGTAAGAGAGAGAAATAAAGTGTATGCAGGTAGGAAAAGAGGAAGTCAAATTATCTCTCTTTGCAGATGACATGATTGGACATTTAGAAAACTCCATCATCTCAGCCCCAAATCTCCTTAAGCTGATAAGCAACTTCAGCAAAGTCTCAGGATATAAAATCAATGTGCAAAAATCACAAGCATTCCTATACACCAATAACAGACAAACAGAGAGCCAAATCATGAGTGAATTCCCATTCACAATTGCTACTAAGAGAATAAAATACCTAGGAATCCAACTTACAAGGGATGTGAAGTACCTCTTCAAGGAGAACTACAAACCACTGCTCAATGAAATAAGAGAGGACACAAACAAATGGAAAAACATTCCATGTTCATGGATAGGAAGAATCAATATTGTCAAAATGGCCATACTGCCCAAAGTAATTTATAGATTTAATGCTATCCCGATCAAGCTACCACTGACTTTCTTCACAGAATTGGAAAAAACTACTTTAAATTTCGTATGGAACCAAAAAAGAGCCCTCATAGCCAAGACAATCCTAAGCAGAAAGAACAAAGCTGGAGACATCATGCTACCTGACTTCAAACTGTACTACAAGGTACAGTAACAAAAACAGCATGGTACTGGTACCAAAACAGATATATAGACCAATGCAACAGAACAGAGGCCTCAGAAATAATGCCACATATCTACAACCAACTGATCTTTGGCAAACCTGACAAAAACAAGCAATGGGGAAAGGATTCCCTATTTAATAAATGGTGTTTGGAAAACTGGCTAGCCGCTGAAACTGGATCCCTTCCTTACATCTTATACAACTCAAGATGGATTAAAGACTTAAACGTAAGATCTAAAACCATAAAAACCCTAGAAGAAAGCCTAGGCAATACCATTCAGGACATTGGCATGGGCAAAGACTTCATGACTAAAACATCAAAAGCAATGGCAACAAAAGCCAAAATAGACAAATGGAATCTGATTAAACTAAAGAGCTTCTGCACAGCAAAAGAAACTGTCATCAGAGTGAACAGGCAACCTACAGAATGGGAGAAAAATTTTGCAATCTATCCATCTGACAAAGGGCTAATATCCAGAATCTACAGAGAACTTAAACAGATTTATAAGGAAAAAAGAAACAAACAAACCCACCCAAAAGTGAGCGAAGGATATGATCAGACACTTCTCAAAAGAAGACATTTATGCAGCCAACAAACGTATGAAAAGAAGTTCATCATCACTGGTCATTAGAAATGCAAATCAAAACCACAATGAGATACCATTTCATGCCAGTTAGCATGGTGATCATTAAAAACTCAAGAAACAACAGATGCTGGAGAGGATGTGGAGAAATAGGAATGCTTTTACACTGTTGGTGGGAATGTAAATTAGTTCAACCACTGTGGAAGACAGTGTGGTGATTCCTCAAGGTTCTAGAGCTAGAAGTACCATTTGACCCAGCAATCTCATTACTGGGTATATACCCAAAGGATTATAAATCATTCTACTATAAAGACACATGCACACGTATGTTTATTGCAGCACTGTTCACAATAGCAAAGACTTGGAACTAGCCCAAATTCCCATCAGTGATAGACTGGATAAAGAAAATGTGGCACATGTACACCATGGAATACTATGCTGCCATAAAAAAGGATGAGTTCATGTCCTTTCCAGGGACATTGATGATGCTGAAAACCATCATTCTCAGCAAACTAACACAAGGACACAAACAAACACTGCATGTTCTCACTTATAAGTGGGAGTTGAACAATGAGAACACATGGACACAGGGAGGGGAACATCACACACCGGGGCCTGTCAGGGGTGGGGGGCTAGGGGAGTGATAGCATTAGGAGAAATACCTAATGTAGATGACGGGTTGATGGGTACAGCAAACCACCATGGCACGTGTATACCTATGTAACAAACATACATATTCTGCACACATACCCCAGAACTTAAAGTATAATAAAAACAAAGCATAATAGAACCTAAAAAAAAGAAAGAAAGAATTAGTCAGCTTGAAAATAGGTTATTTGAAAATACACCATCAGAGGAGGCAAAAAAAATTTTAAGCATGCCTAAAAGATTTAGAAAATAGTCTCAAAAGAGCAAATCTAAGAGTTATTGACCTTAAAGACGAGGCAAAGAAAGTGATAAATATGAAAAGCATATTAAAAGGGATAATATCAAAGAACTTCCCAAACCTAGAGAAAGATATCAACATTCAAGTACAAGAAGGTTATAGAACACCAAGCAGATTTAACCCAAAGAAGAGTACCTCAAGGCATTTAATAATCAAACTTCCAAAGGTCAAGGAAAAATAACAAGTCTTAAAAGCAGCAAGAGAAAAGAAACAAATAACACACAATGGAGCTCCAATACATCTGGCAGCAGACCTTTCAGAGGAAACCTTACAGGCCAGGATAGAGTGGCATGATATATTTAAAGCGCTGAAGGAAAAAAATTTTTTATCCTAGAAGAGTATATCTGGTGAAAATATTATTCAAGCATGAATGAGAAAGACCTTCCCAGACAAACAAACGCTGAGGGATTTCATCAACTCCAGACATGTCCTACAAGAAATCCTAAAGGGCATTCTTCAATATGAAAGAAAAGGATGTTAATCAGCAATAAGAAATCATCTGAGGCTGGGCATGGTGGCTCACACCTGTAATCCCAGCACTTTGGGAGGCCGAGGTGGGTGGATCACCTGAGGTCAGGAGTTTGAGACCAGCCTGACCAACAAGGTGGAACTCTGTCTTTACTAAAAATACAAAAATTAGCTGCACGTGATGGCACACGCCTGTAATCCCAGATACTTGGGAGGCTGAGGCAGGACAATTGCTTGAATCTGGGAGGTGGAGGTTGCAGTGAGCCGAGATCATGCCATTGCACTCCAGCCTGGGCAACAAGAGTGAAACTCTGTCTCAAAAAGAAAAAGAAAAAAGAAGAGAAAGAAAGAAAGAAAAAAGAAATCATCTGAAGGTACAAAACTCACTGGTAATAAGCATACAGAAAAACACAAAATGTAACACTGTAGTTGTGGTGTGTAAACTACTCTTATCTTCAGTAGAAAGACTAAATGATAAACCAATCAAAAATAATAACTCCACCAACTTTTCAAAACAGAAACAGTAAAATAAAGATAAACTACAAAGAGTTACAAAGTGATGGGATGAAGTTAAAGTGTACATTGTTTATTAGTTTTCCTTGTACATGTTTGTTGGGTTTTTTATGCAATCAGTGGTAAGTTGTCAACAGTTTAAAATAATTGTTATAAGATAGTATTTGCAAACCTCATGATAGCCTCAAATTGAAAAACATATAATGGATACACAAAAAATAAAAAGGAAAAATTAAAGCATACCACCACAGAAAATCACCTTCACTAAGAGGAAAACAGGAAGGTACAAAAGAAGAAAGAGAAGACACACAAAACAACCAGAAAACCAAAAACAAAATGGCAGGAGTAAGATCTTACTTATCAATAATAACATTGAATGTAAATGAACCAAACTTTCTAATCAAAAGGCACAGAGTGGTTGAAAGAATGAAAAAACAAGACCCAATGATCTGGTGCCCACTTTACCTATAAAGACACACGTAAAGTGAAAATAATGGGATGGGAAAAGATATTCTATGCCAATGGAAACCAAAAAAGAGCAGGAGTAGCTATCTTAATATCATACAAAATACATTTCAAGACAAAGACTATGAGAAGAGACAAAGAAGGTCACTATATAATGCTAAAGGAGTCAATTAAGCAATAGGATATAGCAATTATAAATATATATGCACCCAACACAGGAGCACCCAGATATATAAAGCAAATATTGTTAGCGCTAAAGAAAGAGATAGACCACAATACAATAATAGCTGGAAACTTCAACACCCTATTTTCAGCATTGGACAGATCTCCTGGACAGAAAATCAGCAAAGATACATCAGCTTTAATCTGCACTATGGACCAAGTGGACCTAACAGATATTTACAGAACATTTTATCCAACAGCTTCAGAATACACATTTTTTTTCCTTAGCGCATGGATCATTCTCAAGGATAGACCATATGTTAGGCCACAAAAGAAGTCTTCAAACACGCAAAAAATTGAAATAATATCAAGCATCTTCTCTGACCAAAATGGAATAAAACTAGAAATCAATAGCAACAGGAACTTTGGAAACTATAGAAGTACATGGAAATCAAACAATATGCTTCTGAATGACCAGTGGGTCAATGAAGAAATTAAGAAGAAAATTGATAAATGTCTTGAAACAAATGATAATGTAAACACAGCACACCAAAACCTATGGCATACAGCAAAAGAAGTACCAAGAGGGAAGTTTATAACTGTAAGTGCCTATATCAAAAAACAACAAATACATCGAATAAAAAAAAAACCAACATTGCATCCAAAAGTACTAGAAAAGCAAGAGTAAACCTAACCAAAAATTAGAAGAAAAGAAATAATAAAGATCAGAGTAGAAATAAATGAATTTAAAATGAAGAAAATATACAAAAGATCAATGAAACAGAAAGTTGGTTTTTGAAGAGATAAACAAAATGGACAAACCTTTAGCCAGACTAACAAAAAAAGAGACAAGACCCAAATAAGTAAAATCAGAGACGAAAAGGGAGACATTACAACTGATACTACAGAAATTCAATGGATCATTAGTGAATACTATGAGCAACTATATGCCAATATTTTGGAAAATCTAGAAGAAATGGAAAAATTCCTAGACACATTCATTCTGCCAAGATTGAACCATGAAGAAATCCAAAACCTGAACAAACCAATAACAAGGAAGGAGATCCATAATGAAAAGTCTCCCAGCAAAGGAAACTCAGGATCCAATGGCTACACTGCTGAATTCTACCAAGCTGTTAAAGAAGAACTAACACTAAACCTACTCAAACTATTCCAAAAAATAGAGGAGGAGAGAATACTTCTAAACTCATTCTACAAGGACAATATTACCCTGATACCAAAACCAGACAAAGACACATCACAAAAAGGAAACTATAGGCCAATATCACTGATGAATATTGATATAAAAATCCTCAACAAAATATTAGCAAACCAAATTCAACAACACATTAAAAAAAAGTCATTCATCATGACCAAGTGGGATTTAACCCAGGGATGCAAGGATGGTTCAACATATACAAATCAATTAATGTGATAAATCATATCAACAGAATGAAGGCCGAAAACCATATGATCATTTCAATTGATGCTGAAAAAGCATTTGGTAAAATTCAACATCCCTTCATGATAAAAACCCTCAAAAAACTGGATATAGAAGGAACATATCACAAGATAATAAAACTATATACAACAGGTCCATAGCTAGTATCATATTGAATGGGGAAAAACTGAAATCCTTTCCTCTAAGAACTGGAACAAGGATTCTCATTTTCACCACTGTTATTCAACATAGTACTGGAAGTCCTACCTAGAGCAATCAGACAAGAGAGAAATAAAGGACCTCTAAAAGGGGAAGGAAGGAGTCGAATCATCCTTGTTTGCAGAGATGTGATTTTATGTTTGGAAAAACCTAAAGGCTCCACGAGAAAACTAATAAACTGATAAACAAATTCAGGAAAATTTCAGGATACAAAATCAACATACAAAAATCAGTAGCATTTCTATATGCTAACAGCGAACAATCAGAAAAAGAAATTTTAAAAAGTAATCCCATTTACAATATACACAAAATACAATACTAGGAATTTGCTTAACCAAAGAAGTAAAAGATCTCTACAATAAAAACTATAAAACATTGATGCAAGAAATTAAATGTTAATGGATTGGGAAAATCAATATTTTTAAATGTCCATACTACCCAAAACAATCTACAGATTTGATGCAATCCCTATCAAAATACCAATGATATTCTTCATATAAATAGAAAAAAACTCTAAAATTTATATGGAACCACAAAAGACACAGAATAGCCAAAGCTATACTGAGCAAAAAGAACAAACATGGAAGAATCATATTACCTGACTTTAAATTACACTACAGAGCTATAGTAACCAAAACAACACAGTACTGGCATAAAAACAGACACACAGACCAATGGAACAGTATAGAAAACCCAGAGATAAATTCACACATCTACAGCAAACTCACTTTTGACTAAGTTCTCAAGAACATACACTAGTGAAAGGACAGTCTCTTTAATACATAGTGCTGTGAAAACTGGATATCCACATGCAAAAGAATGAAACTACACCCCTATCTCTCACCATATACAAAAATCAAATCAAAATGTATTAAAGACTTAAATTATAAGACCTCAGACTATGAAACCACCAAAGGAAAACATTGGGGAACCTCTCTAGGACACTGGACTGCACAAAGATTTCGTGAGCAATATCCCACAAGCACAGGCAACCAAAGCAAAAATGGACAAATTGAATTACATCAAGTTTAAAAGCTTCTGCACAGCAAAGGAAACAATCAACAAAGTGAAGCGGCAACCCACATAATGGGACAAACATTTGCAACTTACCCATCTGACAAGGAATTAATAATCAGAATACATAAGGAGCTCAAAGAACTCTATAGGAAATAAATCTAATCGTCTCATTTAAAAATGGGCAAAAGACCTGAATGGACATTTCTCAAAAGAAGACATACAAATAGCAAACAGGTATATGAAAAGATGCTCAATATAATTGATCATCAGAGAAATGCATATTAAAGCTACAATGAGATATCTTCTCAACCCAGTTAAAATGGCTTTTACCTGAAAGTCAGGCAATGATAAATGCTAGTGAGGATGTGGAGAAAAGGGAACTCCCCTGCACTGTTGGTGGCTATGTAAATTAGTACAACCATTATGGAGAACAGTTTGGAGGTTCCTCAAGAAAACTAAAAATAGAGCTACCATACGATCCAACAATCCTATTCCCAGGTATATACCCAAAAGAAAGAAAATCAGGATAACGAAGAGATATGTGCATTCCCATGTTTACAGCAGCACTATTCTCAATATCCAAGATTTGGAAGCAACCTAAGTGTCCATCAACATATGAATGGATAAGGAAAACGTGGTACTTATACACAATGGAGTACTATTCAGCCATAAAACGAATGAGATCCAGTCATTTGCAGCAACATGGATGGAACTGGAGGTCATTATGTTAAGTGAAATAAGCCAGTTACAGAAAGACAAACTTCACATGGTCTCACTTATTTGTGACAGCTAAAAATTAAAATAATTGAACTCATGGAGATAGAGTAGAAGGGTGGTAACCAGAGGCTAAGAAGTGTAGTGGTGAAGTGGCAGGGAACTGGGGATGGTTAATGGGCGCAAAAATATAGTTAGAAAGAATGAATAAGACCTAATATTTGCTAGCACAACAGGGTGACTACAGTCAATAATAATTTAATCATACATTTTAAAATAACTAAAAGAGTATAATTAGATTGTTTGTAACACAAAGGATAAATGCTTGAAGTGATGGATACCCCATTTACCCTGATGTGATTATTACACTTTGCATGCCTGTAACGAAATATCTCATGTAACCCACAAATACATATACCTACTATATACTCACAAAATTAAAAATAAAAAATATTTAAAAAGAACAATGGACACTAGGGTCTGTTTGAGAGTAGAGAGCAGGAGGAGGGTGAGGATTGAAAAACTACCTATCAGGTACTATGCTGATTACCTGGGTGACAAAATTATCTGTACGCCAACCCCTACGACGCATAACTTACCCATGTAACAAACCTACAAATGTACCCCTTGAACCTGAAATAGAAGTTGCAAAGAATAAGAAAAGAGAAACAGGTGTTACAAATCACTATTTTAAAAGAAATCATATGAAAATAAAGTAGCTCATTCCTTTATTCTTCTTTCTCTTATACATTATATTGTGATTTTATAGAATATTTGGAGCCCACTGGACTTTCACTAGCAGCTACCCTCTGTACACCCTTACCATCCCACAGTTCCTCTCTTTCAAATAAGAAGACCATGTGATTTACTAAATAATTTTAAAGTAATAATATAATATTTTGAGATGTTAATTTACATTTCTTTTTCTGTCTGAGTTTCCTTGTGTTCATTGCCTCCCTACTCCCAACAGTTGAACAGTAGTGATATATTTCTACATGTCTTAGCCTAGTCAGGAATAAATAGACACACTTTTCAATTTGGTTATTGAAAACTTACTGAAAATATAATTTACTAAAACAAAAAAAATACACACAAAAAAAACCAGAGATCAACTCAAAATGGATTAATGACTTAAATATAAGACCTAAAACTGTAAAAGTACTGAAAGAAAACATAGAGGAAAGCTTATTAGCATCTGTCCTGGCAAAGATTTTTGGGATATTACCCCAAAAGCATAGGCAACAAAAGCAAAAATAGACAAATGGATTGCATCAAAGTAAAAAGCTTTTGCATGGAAAAAGAAACAATCGAGTGAAGATGCAACCTGCACAATGAGAGAAAATATTTGCAAACTACATATCTGATAACGGGTTAATATCCAAAATATATAAGGAAATCAGACAACTCAATAGCAAGAAAATAAATAACCTGATTTAAAAATGGGCAAAGGACCTGAATAGATATTTTTCCAAAGGAGACATCCAAATTGCTGACAGTTACATAAAAATGTGCTCAATATCACTAATCATCAGAGAAACACAAATTAAAGCCACAATGATATATCACCTCACACCCATTAGAATATCTACCATCATTAAAAAACAAAAGATAACAAGTGTTGGGGGGATATTGAGCACTATTAGTGGGAATGTAAACCAGTTCAGCTATTATGAAAAACGGTAAGGAGATTCCTCAAAAAATTAAAAATAGAGTTATTGTATGATTCAGCCATTTCACTTTTAGCTATATACCCAAAGGAAGTAAAGTCACTATGTCAAAGACATACCTGCACTTCCATGTTCATTGCAGTATTATTCACAATAGCCAAGATATGGAATCAGCCTAAGTGTCCATCAATGAATCAATAGATAGGGAAAATGTGGAGTATACACACACAGAGACGGGCACACACAATGGAATACTATTCAGCTTTAAGAAGGAAGAAAATCCTTTCATTTGCAACAATCCACATAAACCTGGAGGACATTATGCTAAGCGAAGTAAACCAGACACAGAAAGGCAAATGCTGCATGATCTCATTTATATGTGGACTCTAAAAAAATCTAATTGATAGAAACTGAGAGTAGAATGGTGGTTACCAGGGGTTGGCAGGAGGTTGTAGGAAATGGGGAAATGTTGGTCAAAGGGTTCAAAGTTTCAGTTAGGAAGGAGAAATAAGTTATAGAGCTCTATTGTACAGTATGGTGACTGATTATAGCAAATTATAATGTATCATATACTTGAAATTGCTAAAGAAGTAGATTTTAAATGTTCTTACTGCAATAGATATTATATGAGGCAATGGATACATTAGTTAGCTTGATTTAATCATTCCACATTGTACACATATGTCAAAACATCAAGTTACACCTCATATATATATAATTTGTATTTTTCAATTAAAAATTAATTAGCTAATTAATTAATTGAAGTGCTACTTGAGAAGCTCTAACTTCTATTACTCCAGAATATGACTGTAATTGGATATCAAGCCTATAAAGATGTGATTAAGTAAAAACGAAACCTTTAGGTGGCCCTAATCCAATCTAACTGATGCTTTTATAAGAAGAGGAAATTTGTATGCACAGAGAAACAGCAGGGGTGCATAGGTACAGAAGAAAGACTATGTAAGGACACAGTGAGAAGGTGACTATCTGAAAGCCAAAGAGAGAGAGACCTCAGAAGAAACTAAGCCTATATATACCTCGATCTTGGACTTCCAGCCTCCAGAACTGTGAGAAAATGAATGTCTGTTGTTTAAGTCACCCATTCTGTGGTATTTTGTTATTGCAGCACTAGCAAACTAATATACCATGCTAATGTCCCACGCTAATTTCATCAGATTTAGCTTCTCAATCCTGAAGGCATTCAATATTTCTCCTTTTTTTTTGTGAAGAGAGGACTGAATGGAGAAATGAGTGCTCAATTAGTGGGTGGAGGGCAGTTAATTTATATATATATAATGGTCCTTTTTGAGGAAGAATTGAGATATGTCAGGGTCTCCCTGGTGTTTCAGGAAATGTTTGTGCATAGCATCAATAAAATTTTCGAAGACTAACACTCCAGACTGTTCTCCGGTTTTACTACATAAGGGAGGCAGAAAAACACAGTCTTCAGAAACAGGAAGACCTGGGTTTGGGCTCTTCTCATCTCCAAGTACCTCAACTGTAAATTCAAGATAGTAATAGTATCTACATCAAAGTGTTTGTAGGAAGGGTTAAACGAAGTATTGCATGGAAAGCAAGCCTAGCCTGTGAGAATTAATTTCCTTATCAGAAGTTTCTCTAAACTACAAAGGGCTATGGCAACTAAAAGTGACAGAAAGATCTCAGTACCAATAACATTTCTGTTCACCCTGCTATCCACAAGGAATTAGCCTCATACAATTTAAAAAATGGCAGGTGAAAGGTTCAATGACTGCACCAAAACCCAACTTATTGCTTGTATGTAATACTCAGATAAAATAATGCAAATTATATCACACCTAGTAGTGCTCAATAAATATTGGTGCTTGTCAATTCTTATCACTCTACCTTTATGCCCCATCTACAAACACACACACACACACACCACTACTCAAATACAAGTTTTTTGTTTTTTAGGGAAAGTTTTCCAGTTGTAGAAGAGAGTACAGACAGATATGAACACCCCCCGACACTTTTTACTCCCTAATTAAACTTTAAATGCAGGTTCACATTAACTTCTAAGGTCTCAGTGGAGATCAATTATTACAACCGAGTTGACATCAGCATAAATATTCTGAAATCATATGGGAGTATACAAGCAGAGGATGATTTTTATTAAAATGCAACAATAGAGACTGCATCAGAAAGCAGTTGCCACAGAGCAGAATGTATTTTCCCATCAGAAAAATATTATGGCCAGTGGTAGGCTATCTGCTTCATTTCTCTATAATCAAAAAGATTAACAGAAATATTCAACTGCATATCTTAAAAAATACAGATACAAGTCTAAAACCCGTCATACAGCAGTGAAATGGAATAACTGGCTACAACTGTCAAGAGAGTGCAATCCACATGTGTTACACTAGGGGCAGCAGCGTATAAGGAATGGTGATGTATTCTAATTGCATTTTCGTAGAACTCTTTGATACTGGACCCAAAACAAATACATATTAATTAGACATTGAAAGACCAGTACTTTGGTTAGATTTGCTGGGATTTTTAGGTGGAATTCTAGGGAAAGATTTTGATGGTTGAGGTTTATCTCTCTGTTGCTTTTAAAGCTAGGTGAATTGATGCTTCCTTTTTCCCTTAGTTTCTTTCCCTGTAACTGACAGAGCCACGTACAGAGGCAATATCATTAGGACTCCATCATACTCAGACATAAGGCATGTTGGGAGACTGACAGCATGGGGCCAGCAGTGAGAATGGAAGGCGGCAGGGGCAGGATTCAAGGCCATTCCATAGACTGATTCTCAACTAAACATTTAGGAAAAGCTATTCATCTTTGTGGATTTATATATCTATGTACAATAATTATAAGGATGAATAAATCTTTGCTTATTTGGTTAATACCCATCCTCCATACAGTCTTGCATTTTGAGTAGCAATTTTGCTTTTATCTCACAAGCTCGTGAATCAAGCATACTCAGCTTCAGTTTCCCTGGTAACCGACCTCTGCTTCCTGTCTAGACTTCTGGTCATGAGAGGAGAGAAAAGGAAAAACACAAAACGGGGGAGGAAGGGCCAGAAAATGTTATACCTTATCCCCTCTCCCCTTTCCCACCACAGTCTATTTCTCTACCACTACAGCCATCCCCCACCAGAAATGAACAAAGTCTGTTGGTGAAGTTGAGTAAAATTAATCCCACCTGTGTATGCTCCTACCCCCTTGTCTTCCTTCCTCTCTGCATCAATTTGGTACTAACTAGTCAATTCAGCCATATGCGAGTAAATATAAGGTTATCTTGACAAGAGATCCAGAGACTGAGAATCTTCGGCAGAACAGGTATCTTTCTTTGTACCTCATCCTGCCTCTCTCTGTTTCTAGAATACAGTGGTTTTATTATTAATCATAGGCAAAAGGCTCCATCTTTTCTTCCTCTCCTGCCTCTACCCTATTGAAATAAATGAGGACAGGGAAGAAATTCACTACTACAAGGAAGAAATCTGGCACTACTTCTAGAATCCATAGTGGCAGGTATTCCAAAACTCAGGCTCTCGGGCACTGCAGCTGCTGCCTCCACATTGCACTCTGAAGGGAGGCTTTCTTGCTGGAACCCTTCCCCATCTTCTTCAGTCCAGTATTGTGTTCTTACTTTAAATCACCCCCAGGCCATCACTCCAATCCCCAACCTCCACCAGGAACCCTCCCACAATTGCCCACTCTGTGACCCTTATCCCATCTTAAGGGGCTTTCTAGAAATCTAACTCTAAGATAAGCCCTATATTTGTCCCTCAGATGGGCTCTCTGCAACTATCTGGCTTGCCTCAAGATTCTCCATTGCTGTAGTCTAATCCTTGGTTGCTACGAAGTTCAAGGAAATACTTGGGTCCTCTTTTCTTTGGCCTAAAAGACTCCTACCTCTTCTACTGACCTGGACTTCAGGGTTTCCATGTTCTCTCCCATTCCTCTCTTATCCTTTCTCTCCCACCACTCTCCCAACCTCAGGACCACAGGGCCTTGGGGGAAATGTAGAAGAAGGATATTGCTACTATTATCTTCTCTGTGGGAAACAGAGTAATTGAAAGGAGGGGACTCGTGGGTAAATTTTGAGGAAAGAGCTTGAAGAGCTAAGGATATGCCCCCCAACTTCTTCTCCACTCCCAAATGATCGAGGTGTCTCTACTCATACTCATCCACACCTGCTCTCTCTTTCAGAGGCCCAGCTGTCCATATTACTACACTGGTACTGAAACCCTGCAGTGCACTCCACATCAGCTAACATCACTCATATCCACAGATTAAAAACAACGAACTTCTCCTAAATTATCTTGAGGTAAAGCTGAAGTTTTTTTTTTTTTTTGGCTTCCATGACTGCATTTCTAGTTTCCAAAGACCTTTTCCCATATAAGAAATACAAAGACAGTTAGAAAGTCAAACAAATAGAAAGGATTTAATGAAGGATTGTGGGAAATAGAAAACAACCCAGGAATAAAGTTTACTGGATGCCAGGCAATTCAGCAACAATAGTCTTCAGAAACTGAGGTAGAAGACACTGCCAGGGCAAGCAATGAGGAAGAAGGTGATAGAGTAGAAGAAGACGGAAAAAGCAAAAGAAAGAATGAAAAAGCAGTCTAAAAGAAAAAATAAAGTCATACACTTCAAAGAAGCCCTCTAAACATTTCCAGAAATCTCCTGGAGATGAAGATGACAAAGAATGCAAAGAAGAGATAAAAGCAGATCTGAAGATGGAAATGCCTGCAATGACACAAGAAACACAGCTTCAAACTTGCAGAAAACCAGTGAAGGGACCTACCTACCATAATCAATGCTGCATATTAAAAGAAATCATAAGAAAATTAAATGTTTGGTTGTCTTATGTTTATATATATATACTTTTTTTTTTTTTTTCTGAGACGGAGTCTTACTCTGTCGCCCAGGCTGGAGTGTAGTGGCATGATCTCGGCTCACTGCAACCTTCACCTCCCCTGTTCAAAAGATTCTCCTGCCTCAGCCTCCGAGTAGCTGGGACTACAGGTATGCAGCACCATGCCTGGCTAATTTTTGTATTTTTAGTAGGTATGAGGTTTTGTCATGTTGACCAGGCTGGTCTCGAACTCCTGACCTCAGGCAATCCACCCACCTTGGCCTCTCAAAGTGCTGGGATTACAGGCGTGAGCCACCGCGCCTGGCCGATGTTCTTAGATTTTATATGAACCAACACATAGTCCTTGCTATTATCGACAGAACCCCAGTTTTTATGTACATTATTCATATTCCTCTCTGTTGTGGTTGAAAAAAATACGTTATCCTTTTTAAAGGTTATTGATTTAATTTCATGTCATTTGGTTGCATGAAGTTGCCCTTAACCATAAAGGATTATCAAGATTTTTGCACAGATTTGTGCATATCGAAGATCCTTTTATCAAGGCAGTTATATCTACCATTCTCTGGCCCCCACCATCACCAAATACTTAGTTAAAAATAAGTTTTTCTTTTAAATGACCACTCAACACAATGCTTAAGAATGGGGTTTTCTGTCTATGACAGAACTTAGGAAGTAATTCTTAAATATATAATGCGGCATACTGAAGATGAAATTATAATTCGATTTCAGTTTTGAGGCCATGTGTAAAGTTTATGTTGTAAAATATCTATTCAGTATTAGAAATAGTTAGCTGAAAGCTTTACTTCCCAAACTCATGTTGTTATGTACAACACAGACTCAGTTTCTATATGTGAAGTGAGTCTTTCTGTGTTATTCCAAAATAAAAGCAATGATTTATTTTTTCCCAATGCCAACACAATTTGAGCTAATCACTCAAAGTGGATACTTTACATTTTAATGCTGGAATTAGCAGCAGTCCTCTGGAAAACCAGACAAAACACTGACATGTAAATAGACTTTTAAAATGAACTGCTGTTTTCTTTGGAAAGTAGAATTAGAATAGTTAACATTGATCCATAAGTCACTATTATGTATGCATTATTGTCGCTACTGTGATAATAGATAATTTTTGTTGTTGTTGTTGGTTTGTCTTGTTTTTTTTTGTTTTTTTTAAGATGGAGTCTCACTCTGTCGCCCAGGCTGGAGTGCAGTGGCATGATTTCGGCTCACTGCAACCTCCGCCTCCCAGGTTCAAGCAACTGCCTCAGCCTCCCAAGTAGCTGGGACTACGGGTGCGTGCCACCACACCCAGCTAATTTTTGTATTTTTAGTAGAGACAGGGTTTCACTGTGTTAGCCAGGATGGTATTGATCTCTTGACCTTGTGATCCACCTGCCTTGGCCTCCCAAAGTGCTGGGATTACAGGCATGAGCCACCGCACCTGGCTGAAAATAGATAAATTTATTTATTTTTATGCCAGCTTATATTGTGAGAACCCATTTAGTCAATTTGGGTTTTATTAATCTCATTCTGCTTATTCTTGGAACATCTTTCAAGTAAGTATATGAGGTTTGTAGTATAAAATTTTACTGTGAAAAAATAAGAAATAGATGTATTGTTTTTGCAGAATCAATGCATTGGAATGTAGAAAAAATATGTCAGGATAGGGGACAGGGTAATAATTTAAAATGGACATGGGAAGAATTCCTGGGATGGTGACCATGTTGTTATTTCCTCTGTATGCTGATTATACAAGTATACTGAAATTGTGAAAATATATATTGAACTGTACATGTATGACTTATGCACCTCTCTGTATATGTGCTACATTTCAATAGAGTTTTTTAAAATTTTATTTTAAGTTCCAGGATACATGTGCAGGATGTGCAAGTTTGTCACATAGGTAAATGGGTGCCATGGTGGTTTGCTGCACCTATTAACCCATCACCTGGGTATTAAGCCCTGCATGCATTAGCTATTTATTCTGATGCTCTCCCTCCCCTCGCCCCCTTGACAGGCCCCAGTGTGTGTTGTTCCCCTCCCTGTGTCCATGTGTTCTCATTGTTCAGTGCCCACTTATGAGTGAGAACATGCGGTGCTTGGTTTTTTGTTCCTGTGTTAGTTTGCTGAGGATGATGGCTTCCAGCTTCACTTGTGTTCCTGCAAAGGACATGATCTCATTCCTTTTTATGGCTGCATAGAATTCCATGGTGTATATGTATGATATTTTCTTTATCCAGTCTATCACTGATGGGCATTTGGGTTGATTCCATGTCTTTGCTATTTAACAGAGATTTTAAAGAACATAAACATATGTAAAATGCAAACAACAACCTCAAAAATATTTGCCACATTGTAGAAGTACAAAAGATAAAAATTAGGAAGTTTTAAAATAACTACTAATAATCAATAAGCAAAAAACATCTCAGAAGAAAACTGTGGTGGAGCCAAGATGGCCGAATAGGAACAGCTCCAGTCTACAGCTCCCAGCATGAGCGACGCAGAAGACGGGTGATTTCTGCATTTCCAACTGAGGTACTGGGTTCATCTCACTGGGGAGTGTCGGACAGTGGGTGCAGTGCACCGTGTGTGAGCCGAAGCAGGGCGAGGCATCGCCTCACCCGGGAAGCACAAGGGGTCAGGGAATTCCCATTCCTAGTCAAAGAAAGGGGTGACAGATGGCACCTGGAAAATCGGGTCACTCCCACCCTAATACTGCACTTTTCCAACGGGCTTAACAAATGGCACACCAGGAGATTATATCCCGCACCTGAGTTGGAGGGTCCTATGCCCAAGGAGCCTCGCTCATTGCTAGCAAAGCAATCTGAGATCAAACTGCAAGGTGGCAGCCAGGCTGGGGGAGGGGTGCCTGCCATTGCCCAGGCTTCAGTAGGTAAACAAAACAGCCCAGAAGCTCGAACTGGGTGGGGCCCACCACAGCTCAAGAAGGCCTGCCTGCCTCTGTAGGCTCCACCTCTGGGGGCAGGGAACAGACAAACAAAAGACAGCAATAACCTCGGCAGACTTAAATGTCTCTGTCAGACAGCTTTGAAGAGAGTAGTGGTTCTCCCAGCACACAGCTTAAGATCTGAGAATGGGCAGACTGCCTCCTCAAGTGGGTCCCTCACCCATGAGTAGCCTAACTGGGAGGCACCCCCCAGTAGGGGCAGACTGACACCTCACACGGCCGGGTACTCCTCTGACACAAAACTTTCAGAGGAACGATCAGGCAGCAGCATTTGTGGTTCACCAATATCCGCTGTTCTGCAGCCACCACTGCTGATACCCATGCAAACAGGGTCTGGAGTGGACCTCCAGTAAACTCCAAAAGACCTGCAGCTGAGGGTCCTGACTGTTAGAAGGAAAACTAACAAACAGAAAGGACATCCACACCAAAAACCCATCTGTACGTCACCATCATCAAAGACCAAAGGTAGATAAAACCACAAAGATGTGGAAAAAACAGAGCAGAAAAACCGGAAACTCTAAAAATCAGAGCACCTCTCCTCCTCCAAAGGAACGCAGCTCATCACCAGCAATGGAACAAAGCTGGATGGAGAATGACTTTGATGAGTTGAGAGAAGAAGGCTTCAGAAGACCAAACTACTCCGAGCTAAAGGAGGAAGTTCGAACAAATGACAAAGAAGATAAAAACTTTGAAAAAAAATTAGACGACTGGATAACTAGAATAACCAATGCAGAGAAGTCCTTAAAAGACCTGATGGAGCTGAAAACCACAGCATGAGAACTACGTGACGAATGCACAAGCCTCAGTAACTGATGCAATCACCTGGAAGAAAGGGTATCAGTGATGGAAGATAAAATGAATGAAATGAAGCGTGAATAGAAGTTTAGAGAAAAAAGAATAAAAAGAAATGAACAAAGCCTCCAAGAAATATGGGACTATGTGAAAAGACCAAATCTATGTCTAACTGGTGTACCTGAAAGTGACAGGGAGAGTGGAACCAACTTGGAAAACACTCTGCAGGATATTATCCAGGAGAACTTCCCCAATCTAGCAAGGCAGGCCAACATTCAAATTCAGGAAATACAGAGAATGCCACAAAGATACTCCTCGAGAAGAGCAACTCCAAGACACATAATTGTCAGATTCACCAAAGTTGAAATGAAGGAAAAAATGTTAAGGGCAGCCAGAGAGAAAGGTCGGGTGACCCACAAAGGGAAGCCCATCAGACTAACTGTGGATCTCTCAGCAGAAACTCTACAAGCCAGAAGTGAGTGGGGGCCGATATTCAACATTCTTAAAGAAAAGAATTTTCAATCCAGAATTTCATATCCAGCCAAACTAAGCTTCATAAGTGAAGGAGAAATAAAATCCTTTACAGACAAGCAAAAGCGGACAGATTTTGTCACCGCCAGGCCTGCCCTACAAGAGCTCCTGAAGGAAGCACTAAAAATGGAAAGGAACAACCGGTACCAGCCAATGCAAAAACATGCCAAATTGTAAAGACCATCAAGGCTAAGAAGAAACTGCATCAACTAATGAGCAAAATAACCAGCTAACATCATAATGAAAGGATCAAATTCACACATAACAATACTAACCTTAAACGTAAATGGGCTAAATGCTCCAATTAAAAGGCACAGACTGGCAAACTGGATAAAGAGCCAAGACCTGTCAGTGTGCTATATTCAGGAAACCCACCTCACATGCAGAGACACACATAGGCTCAAAATAAAGGGATGGAGGAAGATCTACCAAGCAAATGGAAAACAAAAAAAGGCAGGGGTTGCAATCCTAGTCTCTGATAAAACAGATTTTAAACCAACAAAGATCAAAAGAGACAAAGAAGGCCATTACATAATGGTAAAGGGATCAATTCAACAAGAAGAGCTAACTATCCTAAATATACATGCACCCAATACAGGAGCACCCAGATTCATAAAGCAAGTCCTGAGTGACCTACAAAGAGACTTAGACTCCCACACAATAATAATGGGAGACTTTAACACCCCACTGTCAACATTAGACAGATCAATGAGACAGAAAGTTAACAAGGATATCCAGGAATTGAACTCAGCTCTGCACCAAGCGGACCTAATAGACATCTACAGAACTCTCCACCCCAAATCAACAGAATATACATTCTTTTCAGCAACACACCACACCTATTCCAAAATTGACCACATAGTTGGAAGTAAAGCTCTCCTCAGCAAATGTAAAAGAACAGAAATTATAACAAACTGTCTCTCAGACCACAGTGCAATCAAACTAGAACTCAGGATTAAGAAACTCACTGAAAACCGCTCAACTACATGGAAACTGAACAACCTGCTCCTGAATGACTACTGGGTACATAACGAAATGAAGGCAGAAATAAAGATGGTCTTTGAAACCAATGAGAACAAAGACACAACATAGCAGAATCTCTGGGACACATTCAAAGCAGTGTGTAGAGGAAAATTTATAGCACTAAATGCCCACAACAGAAAGCAGGAAAGATCTAAAATTGACATCCTAACATCACAATTAAAAGAACTAGGAAAGCAAGAGCAAACACATCCAAAAGCTAGCAGAAGGCAAGAAATAACTAAGATCAGAGCAGAACTGAAGGAGATAGAGACACAAAAAACCCTTCATAAAAATCAATGAATCTAGGAGCTGGTTTTTTGAAAAGATCAACAAAATTGATAGACCGCTAGCAAGACTAATAAAGAAGAAAAGGGAGAAGAAGCAAATAGACGCAATAAAAAATGATAAAGGGGATATCACCACCAATCCCACAGAAATACAAACTACCATCAGAGAATACTATAAACACCTCTAGGCAAATAAACTAGAAAATCTAGAAGAAACGGATAAATTCCTCAACACATACACTCTCCCAAGACTAAACCAGGAAGAAGTTGAATCTCTGAATAGACCAAAAACAGGCTCTGAAATTGAGGCAATAATTAATAGCCTACCAACCAAAAAAAGTCCAGGACCAGATGGATTCACAGCTGAATTCTACCAGAGGTACAAGGAGGAGCTGGTACCATTCCTTCTGAAACTATTCCAATCAATAGAAAAAGAGAGAATCCTCCCTAACTCATTTTATGAGGCCAGCATCATCCTGATACCAAAGCCTGGCAGAGACACAACAAAAAAAGAGAATTTTAGACCAATATCCCTGATGAACATTGATGCAAAAATCCTCAATAAAATACTGGCAAACCGAATCCAGCAGCACATCAAAAAGCTTATCCACCATGATCAAGTGGGCTTCATCCCTGGGATGCAAGGCTGGTTCAACATATGCAAATCAATAAATGTAATCCAGCATATAAACAGAACCAAAGACAAAAACCACATGATTATCTCAATAGATGCAGCAAAGGCCTTTGACAAAATTCAACAACCCTTCATGCTAAAAACTCTCAATAAATTAGGTATTGATGGGACTTATCTCAAAATAATAAGAGCTATCTATGACAAACCCACAGCCAGTATCATACTGAATGGACAAAAACTGGAAGCATTCACTTTGAAAACTGGCACAAGACAGGGATGCCCTCTCTCACCACTCCTATTCAACATAGTGTTGGAAGTTCTGGCCAGGGCAATCAGGCAGGAGAAGGAAATAAAGGGCATTCAATTAGGAAAAGAGGAAGTCAAGTTGTCCTTGTTTGCAGATGACATGATTGTATATCTAGAAAACCCCATCATCTCAGCCCAAAATCTCCTTAAGCTGATAGGCAACTTCAGCAAAGTCTCAGGATACACAATCAATGTGCAAAAATCACAAGCATTCTTATACACCAATAACAGACAAACAGAGAGCCAAATCATGAGTGAACTCCCATTCACAATTGCTTCAAAGAGAATAAAATACCTAGGAATCCAGCTTACAAGGGATGTGAAGGACTTCTTCAAAGAGAACTACAAACCACTGCTCAATGAAATAAAAGAGGATAAAAACAAATGGAAGAACATTCCATGCTCATGGGTAGGAAGAATCAATATTGTGAAAATGGCCATACCTCCCAAGGTAATTTATAGATTCAATGCCATCCCCATCAAGCTACCAATGACTTTCTTCACAGAATTGGAAAAAACTACTTTAAAGTTCGTATGGAACTGAAAAAGAGCCCGCATCACCAAGTCAATCCTAAGCCAAAAGAAGCATCACGCTACCTGACTTCAAACTATACTACAAGGCAACAGTAACCAAAACAGCATGGTGCTGGTACCAAAACAGAGATAAAGACCAATGGAACAGAACAGAGCCCTCAGAAATAATGCCGCATATCTACAGCTATCTGATCTTTGACAAACCTGAGAAAAACAAGCAATGGGGAAAGGATTCCCTATCTAATAAATGGTGCTGAGAAAACTGGCTAGCCATATGTAGAAAGCTGAAACTGGATCCCTTCCTTACACCTTATACAAAAATTAATTCAAGATGGAGTAAAGACTTACATGTTAGACCTAAAACCATAAAAACCCTAGAAGAAAACCTAGGCAATACCATTCAGGACATAGGATTGGGCAAGGACTTCATGTCTAAAACACCAAAAGCAATGGCAACAAAAGTCAAAATTGACAAATGGGATCTAATTCAACTAAAGAGCTTCTGCACAGCAAAAGAAACTACCATCAGAGTGAAACAAACAACCCCATCAAAAAGTGGGCAAAGGACATGAACAGACACTTCTCAAAAGAAGACATTTGTGCAGCCAAAAGACACATGAAAAAATGCTCATCATCACTGGCCATCAGAGAAATGCAAATCAAAACCACAATGAGATACCATCTCACACCAGTTAGAATGGCGATCGTTAGAAAGTCAGGAAACAACAGGTGCTGGAGAGGATGTGGAGAAATAGGAACACTTTTACACTGTTGGTGGGACTGGAAACTAGTTCAACCATTGTGGAAGTCAGTGTGGCGATTCCTCAGGGATCTAGAACTAGAAATACCATATGACCCAGCAATCCCATTACTGGGTATATACCCAAAGGATTATAAATCATGCTGCTATAAAGACACATGCACACGTATGTTTATTCACAATAGCAAAGACTTGGAACCAACCCAAATGTCCAACAATGATAGACTGGATTAAGAAAATGTGGCACATATGCACTATGGAATACTATGCAGCCATAAAAAATGATGAGTTCATGTCCTTTGTAGGGACATGGATGAAGCTGGAAACCATCATTCTCAGCAAACTATCGCAAGGACAAAAATCCAAACACCGTATGTTCCCACTCATAGGTGGGAATTGAACAATGAGAACACACGGACACAGGAAGGGGAACATCACACACCGGGGCCTGTTGTGGGATGGGGGGAGGGGGGAGGTGTAGCATTAGGAGATATACCTAATGTTAAATGACGAGTTAATGGGTGCAGCACACCAACATGGCACATGTATACATATGTAACAAACCTGCACGTTGTGCACATGTACCCTAAAACTTAAAGTATAAAAAAAAAGTGAATCTCTGCAAAAGTTATACTGTCTGACACATAGGAAGCAACTAGCAAATATTCTGTTCATTTAATTTCAATTCTCTTTATGAATTCCTTTTCTGTGTCTCCAAGGCCATTGTTGCAGTTCAGGCTTCATCATCTGCATCCTCCCCACTGGATGTTGGCATGATCTTTCTATCCCAGAAATATGGCCATGTCACTCTGCTGTTTAGACTCCTTCAGTGGCTCCTCAACGTTGCCAGGAACAACAACAAAGTATTTTACAAGATCTATAAAGTTGGTCATAAACTGTCTTCTGCTTATGTCCTGTGTCTTACCTGTTCACACTTTTCTGTAAGCTTCCTTTAGTCCACCTATGCTTGCTTTCTTCCTGGTCTTTACATTCTTTTCTCTGGCTAGAATTATCTTCTCCAATCCCTCTCTTTTTTCCCTTATATAATCCATAGGTTCACAGAATCCATCTTTGTTGTTGTTGTTTTGGTCTAGCTTACTAACTCTTGCTTGTCCTTTAAGACTCAATTCAGGGCCAGGCGTAGTGGCTCACGCCTGTAATCCCAGCACTTTGAGAGGCCGAGGCGGGCAGATCACCTGAGGTAAGGAGTTTGAGACCAGCCTGGCTAACATGGTGAAACTCCGTCTCTACTAAAAATATAAAATTTAGCTGGGCGTGGTGACAGGTGCCTGTAATCCCAGCTACTCAGGAGGCTGAGGCAGGAGAATTGCTTGAACCCGGGAAGTGGAGGTTGCAGTGAGCCAAGATCGTGCCACTGCACTCCAGCCCAGGCGACAGTATGAGACTCTGTCTAAAAAATAATAAAATAAAATAAAATAAATAAAAATAAAAGAGATTCAATTCAAATATCACCTATTCCAGAAATCTTCCTTAAGTTGCTCTCTTGTGATAGTGGCAGATGTTTCTCCTCCGTGCCTCTATGATTTCCTGTTTATGTGCCTGTTTCTCCTACAAGACCTTGAGCCCTTCAAGGACAGACTTCTTATGTTATTTGACTTCTTTGTATCCCCAGTAACCTAAAATAGACCGTGCAACGTAGCAGCCATTCCACAAATACTTGTTGAAGGAATGTATATTGAAAGGAACATGTAGTGTTTTTCTGTTTCTTGTTTTCAAACAGTGGGGGTACTGGTTAGCTAGCTGTGGCTTAGCAAAATTTACAGGGTTTTCTGGAGGTGACACTGCTTAGATGTCTCAGACTTGGGCCTCTATCTTCAGCCTCCATACATGTGTTCCTGTATCTGAGGATTTCCATCCTCTTAGGTTCCTAGGAACCTATTTCTGAGTTCTCAGAAGGTCCTGTCTAAATTTTTCCTGCAAATTCTCCTGTATGGCTAGGGATGGGTTTTAAGAGGGCTCAGCATGCCAAAGCCAATTACCACATATACCTATTTTTTTTTCAGATGATAAGACTGACAGCAAGAATTCTATTCCAAAGCAAGACATGTTAGTCATAGAAAAATGTCTAGAGATGTTACAAGCAGGGTCATTCCTTAGGCCCCCAACTCTGGAACAACTTCTGAGTATTAAGGCAAGTCAGAGTGCTAGGTTGAACATAGCGTGATATGTGTTTCCTTCCAAGAAAACTGTTTTGGTTCTGTCACTGAACAGCCAGTTCTTCCTGGGGGAGAGTTCCTGAAATAATATCCACGAGAAGAACTGAAGCCTTATGACCCAAAGGAGAGCAGCTATCGGCTAGAGAGTCTGGAGTAGAAATTCACAAAATTTTATCATCATACCGAACTCTGAATTTTTTAGGTAGTCAGATAATTAGTCTTAAGGAAATACATTAAAAGTATAACTAGTGTTTAAAAGCTTTTAGGCAGAATTCAATTCTTATTCTCCGCCAGAGAATTCACAGTAGGAAAAAGTCCTATAAATGCAGTGAATATGCAAGGATAATCATCAGGAGCTCTAAACATAAAAGAATCAATAGTAGAGACAAATCCTAGGGATATAGTGTCTATGGGAAAAACTTTTACTTGGAGCTCAAACTGTGTAAACTTCAAGATTATTCACAGTAGAGAGAAGCCCTTTGAGTGTCATCTATGCATCAGGGCCTTAATTTAGGCCTCAGGCCTGATTATGCATCAGCAATCTATAGCAGAGAAAAACTTTATGAATGTCATGCATATGACAAGCCTTAACCAGGACAACCTTATTAATCACCAGAAAATTCATGACAGAAGTCATTGTAGTAGATACTATGACTATTGATTCCTCCTAATTCAAGCCTGGTGTCTTGCCTGGACTAATCTCTTCACTGGTCTGTTTACCTCCAATTCTTACTCCTTGTTACACCAGAACTTTTTTTTTTTATTTTAATAGGTTTTTGGGGAATAGGTGATGTTTCATTACATGGATAAGTTCCTTAGTGGTGATTTCTGAGATTATGGTGCATGCATCACCCAAGCAGTGTACGCTGTACTCAATGTGTAGTCTTTTATCCCTCACCCCATCCACCCTTCCCCCCAAGTCCCCAAAGTCCATTGTATCATTCTTATGCCTTTGCATCCTCATAGCTTAGATCCCACTTATAAGTGAGAACATACAATATTTGGTTTTCCATTCCTGAGTTACTTTACTTAGAATAATGGTTGCTGTGAATGCCATTATCTCATTCCTTTTTATGGCTGAGTAGTATTCCATGGTGTGTATACACCACATTTTCTTTATCCACTCATTGGACGGTGAGCATTTAGGCTGGTTCCACAGTTTTGCTTTTGTGATTGTGCTGCTATAAACATTCATGTGCAAGTGTCCTTTTCATATAATGACTTTTTTTTTTCATTTGATCAAATGGTAGATCTACTTTTAGTTCTTTAAGGAATCTCCACACTGTTTTCCATAGTGGTTGTAATAGTTTACATTTCCACCAACAGAGTAAAAGTGTTCCCTTTTTACCACATCCATGCCAACATCTATTATTATTATTATTATTATTATTATTATTATTTAGAGACAGAGTTTCGCTCTTGTTGCCCAGGCTGGAGTGCAATGGTGCGATCTTGGCTCACCGCAACCTCTGCCTCCTGGGTTCAAGTGATTCTCCTGCCTCAGCCTCCCAAGTAGCTGGGATTACAGGCATACACCACCACACTCGCCCGATTTTGTATTTTTAGTAGAGCGGGCGTTTCTCCAGGTTGGTCATTCTGTCTCAAACTGCCGACCTCAGGTGATCCGCCCACCTCAGCCTCCCAAAGAGCTGGGATTGCAGGCAAGAGCCACTGCGCCCGGCCCTATTATTTTTTGATTTTTAAAATTATGGCCATTCTGCAGGAGTAAGGTGGTATCACATTGTGGTTTTGATTTGCATTTATCTGATAATTAGTGATGTTGAGCATTTCTTCATATGTTTGTTGGCCATTTATATATCTTCTTTTGAGAACTTTCTATTTATGGACAATACTTTCGGATGGGATTTTTTTTTTTCTTGCTGATTTGTTTGAGGACCCTGTAGATTCTGGATATTAGTCCTTTGTCGAATGTGTAGATTGTGAAGATTTTCTCCCACTCTGTGGATTGTCTATTTACTCTGCTGATTATTTCCTTTGCTGAGCAGAAACTTTTTAGTTTAATTAAGTTGCATCTATTTATCTTTGTTTTTGTCATGTTTGCTTTTGGGCACTTGGTCATGAAGTCTTTGCCTAAGCCAATGTCTAGAAGAGTTTTCCTCATGTTATCTTGTACAATTTTTATGGTTTCAGGTCTTAGATTTAAGTCCTATCTTGAGTTGATTTTTGTATAACGTGAGAGATGAGGACCCAGTTTTATTCTCCTACATGTGGCTCGCCAATTATTCCAGCAACATTTATTGAATAGGATGTCCTTTCCCTACTTTATGTTTTTGTTTGCTTTGTTAAAGGTCAGTTGACTCTAAGTATTTGGCTTTATTTCTGGGTTCTCTGTTCTGTTCCATTGATATATATGCCTATTTTTATACCAGTACCATGTTTTGATGACCATGGCCTTATAGGATAGTTTGAAGTCAGGTAATATAATGCTTCCAGATTTGTTCTTTTTGCTTAATCTTGCCTTGGCTATGTGGACTCCTTTTTGTTCCATATGAATTTTAGGATTGTTTTTTCTAGTTCTGTGAAGAATGATGATGGTATTTTTATGGGAATTGCATTAAATTTGTAGATTGCATTTGGCAGTATGGAAATTTTCACAATATTGATTCTACCCATTCATAAGCATGTGATGTGTTTCCATTTGTTTGTGTTTCTATGATTTCTTTTTTTTTTTTTTTTTTTTTTTTTTTTTTTTTTGAGACGGAGTCTCGCTCTGTCGCCCAGGCTGGAGTGCAGTGGCGGGATCTCGGCTCACTGCAAGCTCCGCCTCCTGGGTTCACACCATTCTCCTGCCTCAGCCTCCCAAGTAGCTGGGACTACAGGCGCCCGCCACTACGCCCGGCTAATTTTTTGTATTTTTAGTAGAGACGGGGTTTCACCGCTTTAGCCAGGATGGTCTCGATCTCCTGACCTCGTGATCCGCCCACCTCGGCCTCCCAAAGTCTATGATTTCTTTCAGCAGTGTTTTATAGTTTTCCTTGTAGAGGTATTTTACCTTCTTGATTAGGTATATTCCTAATTATTTTATTTTATTTTTTGCAACTGTTGTAAAAGGGGTTGCATTCTTGATTTGATTCTCAGCTTGGTCGCTGTTGGTGTATAGCAGAGCTACTGATTTGTGTACATTAATTTTGTATCCTGAAACTTTGCTGAATTCATTTATCAATCCTAGGAGATTTTTGGAGGAGTTAGTAGGGTTTTCTAGGTATAGGATCATATCATCAGCAAACAGTGACTGTTTGATGTCCTCTTTACTGATTTTGATGCCGTTTATTTCTTTTTCTTATTTGATTGCTCTGGCTAGGACTTCCAGTACTATGTTGAATAGAAGTGGCGAAAGTGGGCATCCTTGTCTTGTTCCAGTTCTCAGGGTAATGTTTTCAACTTTTCCCCATTCAGTATAATGTTGGCTGTGGATCTATCATAGATGGCTTTTATTACCTTAAGTTACATCCCTTCTATGCCAATTTTGCTGCCGGGTCTGAGCTCCTTCAGCTGCACCTGCTCCTCCAGGGCCATGGTTGTGAAGAAGATTGAAACCCGTGATGGGAAGCTGGTGTCTGAGTCCTCTGATGTCCTGCCGATGTGAACCGCCACGGCAGCCGCTCCCAGCCTACCCCTACTGTGGCTGCCCCAGAGCCTGTGGGGGAGACCACTGTGTGGGGGAGCATAGGGGACAGGAGACCCACCAGAGGCTCAGCCCTAGCCCTCAGCCCACATGTAGGGGCAGTTTACTGCCTGGGGTACTTGCCTTGCCCATGCCTTCAGCTACAAAACAATTCAGTTGGGTTTTTTCCAAAATAAAACCTCAGCTAGCTCTGCCAACTGTCAAACAACAGCAACAACAACAACGAAACAAAGAAATAAAATACCAGCTTAACCTTTTAACTTGTATATTATTAGGAAAAAATTGGAAATTATAAAAATAAACCAGTATTTTTAGCCTTTGTATTTCAATAAGAATTATTGAGGCCGGGCACGGTGGCTCACGCCTGTAATCCCAGCACTTTGGGAGGCTGATGGGGGCGGATCACGAGGTCAGGAGATCGAGACCATCCTGGCTAACATGGTGAAATCCCGTCTCTGCTAAAAACATAAAAAATTAGCCGGGCATGGTGGCAGGCGCCTGTAGTCCCAGCTACTCAGGAGGCTGAGGCAGGAGAATGGCATGAACCCGGGAGGTGGAGACTGCAGTGAGCCGAGATCACACCACTGCACTCCAGCCTGGGCGACAGAGAAAGACTCCGTCTCAAAAAAAAAAAAAAAAAAAAAGAATTATTGAACACCTACTAATGCTAAGTGTAACACTGTATGGGAGATTAAGTTCTACCAGAGATGCTGCCAGTCTGAATAGGTAAATAGCATTAAATACCATTTCACAATGTAGAAACTAAAGGTAGTTAAATAGATACAGCTAAAGTACTATAGAAGGTCAGACCTATCAGAGATCAGGTTCAGATTTGGGGGAAGAACGCAAGCAAACCTTACAGCATTTTATATAGGTTTTGTTGATTATTCTTTTTAGTCATGGTAAAATATACTTAACATAAAATTTACCATATTTAAATATAGTTAGTTGAGTGGTTAAGAACAATCACATTGTTGTACAACTATCATAATCATCTATCTCTAGAACTTTTTCATCTTCCCAAATGGAAACTCTGTATCCTTAAACAGTAACTTCCATTCTCCCCACCGCCCCGCCCCTGACAACCACCATTCTTTCTATCTCTATGAATCTGATTGCTCTAAGTACCTAACTTATGTAAGTGGAATCATACAATGTTCATCCTTTGTGACTGGCTTATTTCACATAGCATAATGCTTTTAAGATTCATCCATGTTGTAGCATGTGTCAGAATTTTCTTCCTTTTTGGATGAGTTCATGCCCTTTGTAGGGACATGGATGAAGCTGGAAACCATCATTCTGAGCAAACTATCACAAGGACAGAAAACCAAAGACTGCATGTTCTCACTCATAGGTGGGGATTGAACAATGAGAACACTTGGACACAGGGTGGGGAACATCACACCCCGGGGCCTGTCGTGGGGTGGGGGAGGGGGGAGGAATAGCATTAGGAGATATTCCTAATGTAAATGACGAGTTAATGGTGCAGCACACCAACATGGCACATGTATACATATGTAACAAAGTTGCACGTTGTGCACATGTACCCTAGAACTTAAAGTATAATAATAATTAAAAAAAAGAGAGAAGTAGCTAAAGTAGACATATCCTGATCCAAAATTTTAAAAATAGATTAAAATCCGCCTCTGGTTTATGATCTCTTCAAAAAAAAAAAAAGAAAATATTGAGTTCCTTTAAGTGAATTGACAGTAGTGGTGTTTTGTTTAATACGTAATATACTTAAGCTATATTTTCAATTTTTTTATTATTTTCCTGATGCTTTTAAACAAAAACACAAATTCCTACGTCATAAAGCATGGTCCATTGGCAAATGGAAAGCAATAAGCAAGTGACAGTGAAGAAGCTATTGAAAAGAACAAGGACATGGGCCAGCCCCGGGCTGAATCCCAGCCTGGCCCACACTGTCTATGTGACCTTAGGCAGTGACTCAGTTCTCTAAGACCAGGTTTCCTCTTCTGGAAAAGCAGTATTTGCAAAATCCCATGAGAAATCGACAAGATAATAATATTTGCAAAGAATCCACACTGCTCCGGGCACCATAAATAGTAACAGTAGCATGTAACAATAACATTCATCTCAGAAAAATGTGGCATCAGCAAAGAACTGGAAATGCTTGTTTTCAGGGTTAAAAAAATACCATTAGGGTTTCTTCACTAAATAAACTAGTAATTTTAGTGGCCCAATCTGGAGGCCTGTGGTTTAAAAAAAAAAAAAAAAGAATTTTCTTCCTTTTCAAGGCTGAACAGTATTCTTTGGTATGTATATACCACATTTTGTTTATCCATTTATCCTTCAATGGACATTTGGGTTGTTTCCACCTTTTGGCTATTTTGACTAATGCTGCAGACATTACTTTTAAATATATCTCAGTTCCATTCACTTCTGTCCATCTTCATCGCTACTGTGAAAGCTGATTATATGAATTGGGTCATTCTTGTCATACCCAACTAAAACAGAGTCAAGAAGCCAGGGGGGGAAAATCACTCAGGGCACATAACATTGCTCCAAAAATATAATTCTCTGCAAGCCTGGCTGCTGAAACTGCGTGCTGTAACCTGAAAGCAGTTTTATCTCATGGCTACTGAAACAGCCTGCTGCAACTTTTACCTACTACGACCACTCAACAATAAGAGCTTGCCACCTCCCCAAAAATCTTACTAGTGCCAATGTACTGTCTCAAAGAGCAATGTGTAGTATTTCTATTTTTAAATAAAACCTCTAAATTTCTCTTTGTTCTTTGGACATACTGAAGAACACCTGGTCTGCCTGTATACTCCAAATTGCAATTCTTTCTTCCCAAATTAAAAGTTTTAATCTCAGAGATTTGTCTCTATATTTTATTTGACGTCAGTGCTACCTCCTTATTCCAGGTTACCATCAACTCACACATGAACTAGTACAACAAACTTCTAACCATAAAATATCTAATTTTAAAATACTAAATATAAGAATATTAAATATCTAATATTGGATCTAAATGCATTTGAAGCATCATACCTAGTAAATTATGAAATTACAAAAACTTCAGAAAATTCAACTCCATCATCTTATTTATTTATACCTGCCTCTTCAAGGATAGGTCAATTTCACTGATTGAAAGTAAGAGACAGCTAAACCCTCATGTGCCATTCATACAAGTCCCTATTTAAACTTCCCCATTTAAAAGTTATCAACAAGTGTAAGTTGACAATTTGATTATTTCCAAAAACATAGTATCTCAGTAAATATATGCTAGGTCTAACAGTGTTGAGCCTATCATTTTATTGAGAGTAAATATAACGAACATATTCACATTTTATAACTTGTTGAGTCCAGTGATGTTTTTAATCCAGCCAGTTTAACCTAATCAGCTGCCAACTCATATAGGATGGGTGCTTTAAAAATTTCTTTATTGACAAATGATGCTTTTTTAGGCATAAAGTAAATATCACGCATCATTTATTAAATGGGGAAAGGCAAAATTTTTTTTACATATTATGAATATGTGAATTATATGGGTAGAGAGCAGAATTGGATAAGCTTTTTTCTTTCCAGGTTTTCTTGGGTGGTGGGGCAGGGAGGGATTTGCTGGGGATAGGGGAGGATGTGGATGGAATTTGTTGACAGTTTTCATCTTGCAGTTTTTCTTTTTTTTATTTTTATTTTTTATTAATATACTTTAAGTTTTAGGGTACATGTGCACAATGTGCAGGTTTGTTACATATGTATACATGTGCCATGTTGGTGTGCTGCACCCATTAACTCATCATTTAGCATTAAGTATATCTCCTAATGCTATCCCTCCCCCCTCCCCCCACCCCACAACAGGCCCCAGTGTGTGATGTTCCCCTTCCTGTGTCCATGTGTTCTCATTGTTCAATTCCCACCTATGAGTGAGAACATGCGGTGTTTGGTTTTTTGTCCTTGTGATAGTTTGCTAAGAATGATGGTTTCCAGCTTCATCCATGTCCCTACAAAGAAATGAACTCATCCTTTTTTATGGCTGCATAGTATTCCATAGTGTATATGTGCCACATTTTCTTCATCCAGTCTATCATTGTTGGACATTTGGGTTGGTTCCAAGTCTTTGCTATTGTGAATAGTGCCGCAATAAACATACATGCGCATGTGTCTTTATAGCAGCATCATTTATAATCCTTTGGGTATATACCCAGTAATGGGATTGCTGGGTCAAATGGTATTTCTAGTTCTAGATCCCTGAGGAATCGCCACACTGACTTCCACAATGGTTGAACTAGTTTCCAGTCCCACCAACAGTGTAAAAGTGTTCCTATTTCTCCACATCCTCTCCAGCACCTGTTGTTTCCTGACTTTTTAATGATTGCCATTCTAACTGGTGTGAGATGGTATCCCATTGTGGTTTTGATTTGCATTTCTCTGATGGCCAGTGATGATGAGCATTTTTTCATATGTCTTTTGGCTGCATAAATGTCTTCTTTTGAGAAGTGTCTGTTCATATCCTTTGCCCACTTTTTGATGGGGTTGTTTGTTTTTTTCTTGTCAATTTGTTTGAGTTCATTGTAGATTCTGGATATTAGCCCTTTGTCAGATGAGTAGATTGCAAAAATTTTCTCCCATTCTGTAGGTTGCCTGTTCGCCCTGATGGTAGTTTCTTTTGCTGTGCAGAAGCTCTTTAGTTTAATTAGATCCCATTTGTCTGTTTTGGCTTTTGTTGCCATTGCTTTTGGTGTTTTAGACATGAAGTCCTTGCCCATGCCTATGTCCTGAATGGTATTGCCTAGGTTTTCTTCTAGGGTTTTTATGGTTTTAGGTCTAACATGTAAGTCTTTAATCCATCTTGAATTAATTTTTGTATAAGGTGTAAGGAAGGGATCCAGTTTCAGCTTTCTACATATGGCTAGCCAGTTTTCCCAGCACCATTTATTAAATAGGGAATCCTTTCCCCATTGCTTGTTTTTGTCAGGTTTGTCAAAGATCAGATGGTTGTAGATATACAGCATTATTTCTGAGGGCTCTGTTCTGTTCCATTGATCTATATCTCTGTTTTGGTACCAGTACCATGCTGTTTTGGTTACTGTAGCCTTGTAGTATAGTTTGAAGTCAGGTAGCGTGATGCTTCCAGTTTTGTTCTTTTGGCTTAGGATTGACTTGGCAATGCGGGCTCTTTTTTGGTTCCATATGAACTTTCTCAATAGATGCAGAAAAGGCCTTTGACAAAATTCAACAACCCTTCATGCTAAAAACTCTCAATAAATTAGGTATTGATGGGATGTATCTCAAAATAATAAGAGCTATCTATGACAAACCCACAGCCAGTATCATACTGAATGGACAAAAACTGGAAGCATTCCCTTTGAAAACTGGCACAAGACAGGGATGCCCTCTCTCACCACTCCTATTCAACATAGTGTTGGAAGTTCTGGCCAGGGCAATCAGGCAGGAGAAGGAAATAAAGGGCATTCAATTAGGAAAAGAGGAAGTTAAATTGTCCCTGTTTGCAGATGACATGATTGTATATCTAGAAAACCCCATTGTCTCAGCCCAAAATCTCCTTAAGCTGATAGGCAACTTCAGCAAAGTCTCAGAATACAAAAGCAATGTGTAAAAATCACAAGCATTCTTATACACAAATAACAGACAAACAGAGAGCCAAATCATGAGTGAACTCCCATTCACAATTGCTTCAAAGAGAATAAAATACCTAGGAATCCAGCTTACAAGGGATGTGAAGGACTTCTTCAAGGAGAACTACAAACCACTGCTCAAGGAAATAAAAGAGGATAAAAACAAATGGAAGAACATTCCATGCTAATGGGTAGGAAGAATCAATATCGTGAAAATGGCCATACTGCCCAAGGTAATTTATAGATTCAATGCCATCCCCATCAAGCTACCAATGACTTTCTTCACAGAATTGGAAAAAACTACTTTAAACAGATTCACTCTTTTACACTTCATAAAAACACTATAAAGTAGATATTATCAGTATCTTCATATTACAGACAAGGAAACTGAAATTCAGACAGGTGAAATAACCTCCCAAAGTTCACACAGTTAATAAATGGCAGAACCCAGTTAATCTGGCTCGAGGGCTGATGTTCTTAATCACTGTTCATTCTTGCAGTAACATTTAGAAGAACCAAGTACCAGGATGAGATCTCATCTTCCATAAAGTGACGGAGCAAGTAATTCCAGACTCTTCCTCCTCCCTCAACATCTACAAAACTCACTGTTCCTGAAATGCAGTAAACATCTTAAGACCTCCCTGATTTTGTTGATATTGTACCCTCTGCCTGGATTGCCCCTTTCCCTGTGCTTTATCCAGTAAACTCATGCTTCATAACCCATTTAAAATATCATCTGTGCTCTGTAGTGTTTCCTGAAATACCTTAGGGACTTTTAAACTTTTTTCCTTTTGCTCATATTGCTTTCTCTGCCTGCTGAATAGGGGATTGAGAAAGAAAACACATTCTTCTTTACCAAAAGACAAAAACTATAAATAGTTACTAGCTGTATTAAGATATATGCCAGGTGTGATGGTTAATATCGAGTGTCAACTTGATTGGATTGAAGGATGCAAAGTATTGATTTTGGGTATGTCTGTGAGGGTGTTGCCCAAAGGAGATTAACATTTGAGTAAGTGGGCTGGGGAAGGCAAACCCACCCTTAACCTGGGTGGGTATCATCTAATTGGCTGCCAGCAAATATAAAGCAGGCAGAAAAACATGAAAAGGCTAGACTGGCTTAGCCTCCCAGCCTACATCCTTCTCCCATGCTGCATGCTTCCTGCCCTTGAACATTGGACTCCAAGTTCTTCAGCTTTGGGACTCAGACTGGCTTCGTTGCTCCTCGGCTTGCAGCTGGCCTATTGTGGGACCTTGTGATCATGTGAATTAATACTACTTAATAACTCCCATATATATATACATGTATATATATACATAAATATATATATGTATGTATATGAGAGTTATATATAAACTCACGTGTGTGTGTGTGTGTGTGTCTCCTATTAGTTCTGTCCCTCTAGAGAACCCTGACTAATATACCAGGACCTTTTTTAATTCTCCTAATAGGAAGATATTCCTACTAAGCATATAGATTACTTATAAAAGGAAGAGTATGAGCCTGACATTGAACATTTTAGCTCTAATTATAAGTGTTATTAAACAATGAAATAATATTTATAACACTCTGAGGGGTGAAAAACTGGACTTTGGAATTTTATACCTAACCAAAAATGATAAGAGAATTCTCTGTATTACTCTATGATATTTTGAAAAATATTGATTACTAAAATTGATATGGGAAGAAGTTTTTTAAAAAACGTATAAACAAATTATCATGGAAACCATTGGAAAAGCTGTCTAAGAACAACCCAGCTACCATCACCAAATGGTATTAGGGCAAATAATTATATTGGCTGGTATTACCAAAACTTACAAGAACAGATGTGTTATTTAAATTAAAATGGAAACTATAGACCAATCTTACATGAAGAAGAAACCACAGCACGTCTGGGACATAGCTATCATGCTACTCTCTGAGTTTCATTCCAGAATGTGGGTAAGGGATATAGCTAATGAAGGAGAGAGATGCTGATAGTGAGACCAACCCTTCAGGAAGTAACCCAACAAAGCCTGTATGTCTTCCTTAATCCCCACTCATCACAAGTGGTTGAGACTATCGTTAACTGGGACAACCTTTTACAGAGATATTGGATAAAATGTAGGAAAAAATCTTTAAAAGATCCATATCCTTTGGTCGAATAATCCCATTACTAAAAATCAATACTAATATTTGTGGTGATGGTTGCACAGTTCTGTAAATATACTAATAATCATTGAATTACACATTTAAAATGGGTGAGTTTTATGGTTTATAAATAAACTTTTAGAAAATCTATGCTAAGAAAATAACCTAAGATGCAGAGAAAACTTTAAGTACCATGATGTCTACTGCAGTGCAACTGCAAAGTAAAAAGTTGAAACTCCTAAGTCACCGAAGTCTATTCAATCAAACATTGTCTGAATAGTTACTTATTGTCAGGTTGACACTGGGGTTGCAGAAATGAATCAGACCTAGACTCTGATTCCAGAGGAATTCCCACATGGGTAGGAAGTCAGCCAAGACACAGAACAAATCAATGCAGAGAGAGAGAGGGGACTATGTAGAGAAGGGCCAGGAAAGTGTTTCCTTTGGACACGCTACATGAGCATATGGGACTGAAACTTACTTCTCCCTCCAGACTACATTGCCTCATAAAAAGGTGAGAATCACACAACCACCACCCAAAGAGAAAATGAGACATTTTCCTCTAAAGGAGAGGAGATATCAGGCACAACCACAGCCACCTACACTCACGGGCTCAGCTGGACCAGGAATAGTACAGAGAGGCACCACCTAAGTATCCTTCCCAATGACCTGGGAAGTCCCACACACTTTCCTCCATTAGGGCACTTCGAGTTTTTCTCTACGTCACCTCAGAGGTTTGTTAACCTCAGTAGATTTTATTCTTCCAGTTCCTTTTCTGGGTACAGGCAGAACAGAGTAGAAAGAACGGAGGAAATGCATCTGAATGCAACAGGCATTTCTGACAGCCCCCCTAGTCAATGGTTCCAGATTCCTGTCAGCAAGTTGCTCAAGGTCTGATGTGGGAGGAAGACATAAGACAAGGTGCCAGTAGTACAGTGTGATAAATTCTGAGAGAGAAGATGTGGGGGCCCAGAAGAGGGAACAAGATCCAGTGTGGGGGTTTAAAAGGGCCTCCCAGAAGTGATGACCTTTGAGCTCACTTTTCAAAGTGACAAATGGTTAGCCAGCTAAAGAGTTGGAGGTCAAGGTTATTGCAGCTGCATTTGAAATACCTTCTAGAAGAACTGGAATTAATCTTTAGTTTTAAAAATGGTTAAATACACCATGCTATACCCATACTCTCCAATTTACATGCCACTGCATCTCCACTACCTAGCACCACACCTGACATGCTATAGGCACTCAATAAACATTTGTTGAATTAATAAATTAATCCAGATGAAGCAGCAAATATCACAGAAAAGGAGTTAATATTAATATTATTCAAAGTTCTTCTCATCTCATCCTCACAATAATCCAATAGGGTAGGTTCTATGACTGTCCCATTTTATATATGAGAGATCTGGAGATAAGTGAACCAAATAGCTAAGGTGTTGGTGACTTGGTGACTTGGGTGAGTCTGACTCCAGAGTGCATGCTTTTAGTCCACTATATTTTACTGCCAACCCACCCCCAAAATGGGCAAAAAGTAGACCACTCAGAAGAGAAATAGACAACTGATAAAGAAACATGAAAAGACACCCAATCTCATTAATAATGAAAGAAAAGCAAATCAAAGCAACACTGATATACCATTTTTAGTGCCTATAAGATTAACAAATATTTTAAAAATTGAAAATAACAAATGGTATTGGTGAGTTTGTGAGAAAATAGATACACATTTACTCTTATACACCACTGGGTGGGGAGGGGTGTATAACACATGTATAGGACAAATTGGCAGTATCAAAAACTTTAAATGTCTATTACCTTTAGATCCAGGAATGCTTATATTTTAGGATGCCACCCTCTAAAAAAATGCTCTCACAAATGCCAAAAGATGTTCATTGCAACATTAATCATAATGGAGGGGGGAAAATCCTTGGGAATAACCTAAATTTATATCAATAAGGGAGTGTTTAAATAAATTACAGTGCATTCAGATTTTGTAACCTCCATGGTATATTGGCATATGGTTGAATGAAAAACAAACAAAAAAAAGAAATTGCAAATCAATATGTAGACTATGGTCTTATTTATGTAAATATAATATTAATGATGACAATCTGCTCTAAAGATGAAATTGTCTGGTTATAACATGGTCCTGCTGCCTTAGGATTGATAAGGGAAGGGGAAAAAGAGAGTGACAAAAGGGGAAGAAAATGAAAAAGGGAGGAGAAGGTAATAGAAAAGATAAGACAGAGAACTTCACATTTTTAATTGTATATTATGAGAGGAAGAGAAGAGTGTGGGTTCTGTAACTACATTGCCTAGGTTCATAGGCGGGCTCTGTACTTTCTAGTTGGGTAATTATCAACAAGTTACCTCACCTCTCTGAGCCTCAGTTTCTTCATCTGTAACATAGGGATAATAGTACCTATCTTTTAAGGTCCTTATGTGGCTAAATTAATTCATGTAAAGCACTTAGTGAAGGGTCTGGTGCATTGTAAGCACTCAGTCAACAGTAGGTGTTATTTATTTGGGCCAGGCACTGTGGTATGCGTTTTCCATACATGATATTACCAAATTGTTACAACAACCGGGGATCTAGTCTGTGGAAGCTGACTGTTTGAGCTCATAAGCACAACACTGTATTCTAGGTCTGACTCCAGAGCCCTCCCAACTTGTGCCACAGTCACTTCTGGGTTTTATTGCCCTCCTTTTATAGTTGAGGAGATCTATAGTCAGAGAGGTGGTTTTGCTCAAGGTATCCCAGCTCTATGTGGATGGTCTGATTCCAAAGCCCAAATGAGCTAATTTTACTGTCCTATAGAGAGAAGAAAATAGGGAAGAGCCAGAGCTGGGGGAGGGGGTACACTAGAGGGAGGGGCTACTTTGGGTTTTATCTCTAGCAAGGAAGGGACTGAGATACCTTTGGGGCCAATGCAGGGCCAGGCCGGCAGAAGGCAGGGTGGGTGGGGCTGAGTCAGAGGAGAAGGGATAAATGCCAGGTCCTAACCCAAGTACCCACCTGTCATTCGTTCGTCCTCAGTGCAGGGCAACAGGTAAGAGCTGCTTTCAGCCTGGCACCCTATCTCTGGTCTGCCAGCTGGTCTCTCAGGGCTGTACACACTGACTCTCTGGTCTGAGTAGATCTGACTTTTTCCTTTGTTTGTTTCTTAGAATCTGTCTCTTTTTCATTTTCTTTTTATCTCCCATGTCTCTTTCTGTCTTTCCTCATTTTCAGCTTTTTTCTCTCTTTTTCCCTTCGTTACTTTCTTTTGTTAGTTTTCAAGATCATTCATTTCATTTCATCATTCTCTGACACTCTTGCTTTCTCTTATTTTTCCCTCTGAATTCTAACTATCTTTTTCTCTAAATTTCTTTCTCTCCCCCTTTTTGTCTCTTTCCTCGGCTTTGTATCTCTCCGTCTCTGTGTTTCTGTCTCTCTCTTCCTCTCTATCAAGAACGATGGCTTAATATTTCTTCCTGCAATTCCCCATTCCTCTCTCCCTTTGACTCCCTCTACCTGCTGGGCTGACAGCAGAGCTCAGTGGGTCAGAGCCCATGGGGAGCCTAGGGGTGGGGGAAGAGCTAGGGAGGGAAACTAAGAGGATGTGGGGGTGATGGGAATGATGAATTGGGTAAGGAGAGATTTGGGGAATTGAGAGATGAATAATTAGCAGAAATAAGTGAAGAAAGTGGAAGAGGAATGTAGTGTCACTATACAGAAAGTAAACAGATTTCTATTCTCATCCTAATTCACTGTGAGACCCTAGGCAAGTCATTCACTCTCTGAAAAAAAGGCTTGGCCTGTAATTTCCACCACCCTTTCTAGTTTTGATTTTGTGATCTTCTAAATTTTCCTGTTTCTAAGAATTTCTGATTCTCTGATTACAGTTATCTAAAGTTCTGTATGATTCTTTCATGGTGGGAAAGGGGTACTAGGAAGAGAAGTAAGGCCTGATGTTTCCAACTCCTGAAGAGAAATTACCACTTCCCTTCCAGACCTAATTGACTTTTGCAAAGCAGGCCACAAAAGGGGTGGGGGGGTGGGGGACAAGGAATGCTGCAATGAGTGTTTTCTGGCTGTCTGCTGGGGTAGAGTTGCAGTTGGCCCTTTTCACCTCTGGGAGTACAGATTGGGTGCTGACACAAGAGAGGATTTTAAAGTCGTAGGGAAAAACTTTCAGTAATGATCTGTTACTTGGTCTCAAATTTCACCATCATCTCTTTGGTTAAAAGTATTGTTTTAAGAAGATGCCTGGCAAGCATTATCACACATTAGGTACATAAGTTATTGAATGGTAGAGTAAATGAATATTCAACAGTACCTGAAATTCCACTGTAGTTACAGATCTGTTCCTTTGGTAAGGCATTGGTGACAAATGGCATATGACCTGGAAAGAGGCCTATGTTAGTGCAGCAGAGGAGATAAATGTCTAGAGTCAGGCCCTCAGTCAAGAAAAAAAGGTAGTAATATTTGAATCACAGATCCATAATGGTTAAGTTAGGAATCTCTGGAAACAGATTGCCTAGGTTCAAATCCTGCTTCTCCTATGTACTAGCTTTCTGATCTAGACAGGTTACTTAATCTTTTTGGGATTCAGTTTCCCTATCATCACAGGGTTGACATGAGAACACGGCCTGGCACAGAGGGCTCTGTAAGTGTTTGACTATCAGAACTAGGCGGAATCTATGAAATTATCTAGTCCAATGTCAGTGGAGAAACGGAAGCCCAGAGAGGGGAATTACAGAGCCCAAGTTCACACAATAAATTGTAACAGGATTGGGACAAGAATCAATTCTCTAGCTTCCCAAACCCAGCCTGGTATATTCATGTGACTTCCCTTGGCTGTACGTTCATTTTTTCTACATGGGAAATGGAGAAAATAAAAATAATAAAGTCTATCAATTAAATATAATATTTAACACTTTTTTACTGTTTACTCTGGGATAGGTACTCTGCTAAATGCTTTATATGGATTATCTTACTGAATCTTCACAACATTCCTGTGATGCAGATTGTCCTTGTTATTACCAACATTTTCCAGATATAAGATGTACAGCAGGGAAGTGACTTTTCTAAGGTCCCAAAGCTAGTGAGTGGTGGAGCCAGGATTCAAACCCAAGTAGTTTGGCTCTAGAGCCTATACTCTTTATACCCTAAATTGACTAAAATGCTTCCTTGATTCAATTTTACTCACTCTAGTCTCTTGGTAGGTAATGAGATGGAATAGAAACAGAGCCCATGGTAACTAGACTACAAGGTCATGGGTATAATGATGGCCAGGCAGAGTGAGGCAGAGCAAATTTCAGGAAAGGAGTAACAGAACAAGAGAAATGAGAACAGGAGCTTGAAAGAACTTGAGAATTCAACAAATTCCAAGAAGTGGTCTATATTTTCCCAGGACCCTGAGCATATCATGGCCAAAAGCCCCCTAGTAATGATGTGTGTTAATTTCTCCTGTTTTTATATACAGGAGGTAGGTCTTCTCCACCATCCCAAGGCAGGACTGGACTTTGCCTCCAATATTGGGGGCTTTCCTTCCCACTACATACCCCAATGTTGTTGGCATTATTGTTGCCAGTATTGATGTTAGGGGAGTTTACAGGAGCCTGGAGCCTTGTCATCTGCCTTGCCTGCACTTCTGGGCCATCCATTTCTTACCACCAATAGCCAGGGCCAGCTCTAGCCAGATGCTCAGACGTGATTCCAGGAAGGGGCTCCTCTTCTCTCCCACGCCCTGGTCTCAGCTTGGGGAGTGGTCAGACCCCAATGGCGATAAACTCTGGCAACTTTATCTGTGGTCTGCAGGCTCAGCCCCAAGTGCTTTAGCTTTCACAAGCAGGCAGGGGAAGGGAAACACATATCTCCAGATATGAGGTAGGCACTGGATCCAATTCCTTACCTACCTTGTGAAGTGGCCATAATTACCTCACGTTTGACAGCTGATGAAGGCCAAGATCCAGAGAGGGGAAGTGATTTGAACAAGAACATCCAACAATGAAATTGGAGAGCTGGAATTTTAATAAGAAAAGCTAACATTTATTGAAGATTTACTATGTGCCAAAAACTATACTAAAGGCTTAACTTGGATTGTTTCATTTAGTCCCTCCAACAACCCTTCTGTCTTTTCCAATTTCAGGGCCCACATGCCTTGGCCCCACATACCAACCCAGGCTGCTGTGACAGCCCATGAGAGGGGGAGAGGTTGCTCTGGGATGGAACAAGAAAAAGAGGTTGTTTTGTGAGGTACGGGGAGGGTGCTTGTTCTATGAGATCAGGAAGGGAGGGAGATGAAGGAGGTTGCCATATGAGGGCAGGGCCATGAGCTGACCTGTCCCTCAAAACATAAGGCTGAGGGTGCTAGTAGATTCTACTCAGTAACTTTCTTCACAGTGTCAGTGCTTTAGTCTTCTCACATTCTCCCATGTCTCTCCCATTGTACTGTCCCTTATCTTGTCTCACTTTTTGACTCTGTCTTTCCAATTTGCCCTTTTTCTTTACATCTGTCTCTCCTTCTTGCTCTCTCTAGCTGTCTTTCTCTTGGTGTCTCTCAGCTCTCACCCCTCTTAACCCTCATCCCCCTGCTTTAGTCACCTCTCTGTCTCTATCCTTTGATCTTGTCATTTTCTCTACTCTCTTCTCTCTGTCCCTCAGTCTCTCTCTCATCTCCCTCAATTAGGGCCATGATTCTCTTCCCTAAACTTACTTAGCCTTTTGCAATTTCTGGCAGCATTTTTTTATGTTTGTGTCTGACTGACTCTCTACCCCTGCTGGATCCTCTCCACTCCTGTTCTCACTTCTATGAATCTTTGTATAATCCTCTAGACTCATTGATCCCTCCTCATGTCCCTTTCGTGCCCCTTGGTCTATCTGTCTCTGCCTTTATCCCTGTGTGCACTATCACCACCCCCTTTTTCTTTTTTCATTTTCTCTTTCTCTCGACTCAATCTCTGTTTTCATCTCTACCCTGCTCCCTTTCCCTCTACCTTTGATCTCTTTTTCCCCCTCAATTTCTGTTCTTTTAACTCTACCACCACCACCACATCTTTGTTCTCTCTCTACTTTCCTCCTTTTATCTTTCCTAAATTTTCTTTTCTTCTGGCTTTTCTCCTAGTCCCTTCTCCTTCCTCAATTTCAGACTCTGTTCATTCATCAATTTACCCCAAAATTCAACAAATATTTATTGAGTGCCTGTGTGTCATTTGCTTTCTCTTTTTCTGATCTCTTTGCCCCCTTTCTCTTCTCTGTCTTGGCCTCTGCCTGTTTCACTAATCCATAGACTATGTCTTTGTCCCTGTTTTCCAGCCCCACTGGGACTTGCTTTCACCTCTTCCTATATCTGTGCTTATCCAAGAGACAGGAGCAAATTCAAAGACAGCATAATATCAGGCTGGTGGTACACATTCTGTAGGACCTAGGGCCTACCCTTCCTTCCGGATCCCTTGATTTCCTTAAACTGATACATGTGACCTCAAGCTCCTTCTCCCCTCTGGCTGATCCTGCTTAGGAAACACCCTGGGCCAAGCCTCAGGAGCTCTACTCAATGACATATGTTTGCATTAGCAGGCTGAATCTTCACTTGGCTAAGACCAACATTCTTAGAAAGATTCTTGGCCTTAAGTATTGATCAAAGGGTTAGTGGGTTGGCAGTTCTCATCCTGCCACACAAAAACACATTTCAGTGATCCTCATCATCACAGAGGTAGTCAGTGCCAGAATGTGAGTCAGAATCCAGGCTTTCTGACCTCCAGTTAGAACTGTTTCCTTCACCCCTTTGCCCAGTAGTCAGTTTCCTATTTCTTCCTCCCTCATGTTTTATTGGTACATGTTAACATTGGGAAAGAAGTTCTTTCCCTGGAAGGGCAATAAGAGCATCTCGGAGGCAGCAAGTTTTGGGTGGGAAGCTGAAGACGAGGATCAAAGGCTTGGCTTTTTGCCAGGCCCTCATGATGGAACCTCATCTCTTCCATGTCTTCTGCAGGACTTTAGGTTCAAGATGGTGACTGCAGCCATGCTGCTACAGTGCTGCCCAGTGCTTGCCCGGGGCCCCACAAGCCTCCTAGGCAAGGTGGTTAAGACTCACCAGTTCCTGTTTGGTATTGGACGCTGTCCCATCCTGGCTACCCAAGGACCAAACTGTTCTCAAATCCACCTTAAGGCAACAAAGGCTGGAGGAGGTAAGAAGAGGCTGCTAGCAAAAGGGGAGAATGTTAGGGTCCTGGGGTAAAAGTTCCAAGTTATACTGGCCATCTTTGCCTAATAATTAGGACGGTTCATGTGAAAAGTGTCAAGATAGCATGAACTGGCCCCAAAATATACCCAGAATCTGTCTTCTGCCAGGTTCTCTAGAAAGAGTCTCATTCTCGGCCAGGCACAGTGGCTCACGCCTGTAATCCCAGCACTTTGGGAGGCCGAGGCGAGTGGATCACGAGGTCAGGAGTTCAAGACCACCCTGGCCAAGATGGTGAAATCCCATATCTACTAAAAATAAAAAAATTAGCCAGGAGTGGTGGTGGGCGCCTGTAATCCCAGCTGCTTGGGAGGCTGAGGCAGAGAATTGCTTGAACCCAGGAGGCGGAGGTTGCAGTGAGCCAAGATCATGCCACTGCACTCCAGCCTGGGCAACAGAGCGAGAATCTGTCAAAGAAAAGAAAAGAAAAGAAAAGAAACAGTCTCACTGTCATGTCCCTCACACACTATACTCCAGACATGCTGAAACTACTTAAAATTGCCTAAATCAACTATTCTGTCAAGAGTTTGTGCCTTTGCTCCTGTCAGATTACCCTCTCCTAGACCCTGTACTGGAGAATCTCATACTTCTCATTTGACACTAAGCTTGGCCATCATCTCCTCTGCAAAGCCTGCTTAGACCTCCAAACTGTCTAATTCCAATTCTGGCTCATTTCCCCTCCCTCTTCTGGACTTCTGTAGCCCATGTACTTCCTCTATCCCAGCACTGTTCACAATGTGTCTTCAGTGTATGCCATTCCCACCAGTTTAGTAGCTCCCCTAGCACAGGGACCAGACTCATCTATCTCTGTGTCTCTACAATAGCCTGAGATAGGGCTTTAGGGGTACATTAGATCTCAGCAATTATTGTTGAGCTGAACTTATGACTAGAAATGCACCCCAAATTACTCTCTTACCTTTGCATAGATTCTCCATCTTGGGCGAAGGGCCACTGTCCCTTCATGCTGTCGGAACTCCAGGATGGGAAGAGCAAGATTGTGCAGAAGGCAGCCCCAGAAGTCCAGGAAGATGTGAAGGCTTTCAAGACAGGTTGGAGTCAAGTTCCACCTTATGCAACCTTTACTCCTAATGCTTGAACACACTACGTCACAGTCCTGAGCTAGGCTAATACAAAAGCAGCCAGTACACATCCCATGATGAGAAGTCCAGTCTTTCCAGGGGAGCCATGGTAGGCAACAGTTTAGGCTGTATGCTGAAGCACACCATACCTGACAAACACATATGTACGGGCTCCTGAAACTTTTAGTCATTATTCTAAGATGAGCCCTCTAGAATTTTGACTCCTCTTTTTCAGGTGGCTAAACTGATCCCAACAGGCTGGGGTCCCACATTTCAGCAAGACCACTCTATGAGAATATGGATTTGCATGAAAGAGAAAGAGCTGGGAGTAGGTACCTCCTTTAACCAGGGTGCAGATCCCCAGGTCAACTTAATTAGTGCAGACCACCCAAGATAATCACCCTTGAGATATGGCCACACTGTTGACATCTTTCATAGGCCCCTTTGGGATATCATTAAGGACAAAAACTTCAAAATTGAAATTTAATGATGTTTAGAAAAGAAGAGTAAGGTACATTATCCTGCATCTACTTTCTAAATGCAGGACCCAGGGTGGCTGCTCCAGTTACCTGAGCCAAGGGAAAATCCTAGTGGAGAGAAGTATGATTCACCTTATAGAAGGTTTCCTAACAATGTAATAGTCTCCATTCGGGGGGATAAATAGAAGCTCACCTTGGAGAAGATTTCTTCTCGCTGTAGAAGCTGCCCTTACCTTATAAACTTGAATTTTCATGTGTTGCATTGAGCTTAAAGAGGACAACACATGCTTTCTTTTTCCCCCATTCTCTTCACGGCCAATGAATCTCACATTCCGTCTCAGATCTGCCTAGCTCCCTGGTCTCAGTCAGCCTAAGGAAGCCATTTTCCGGTCCCCAGGAGCAGGAGCAGATCTCTGGGAAGGTCACACACCTGATTCAGAACAATATGCCTGGTGAGTTTGCTGAGGTGGAAAAAAAGGGGACCGGAATAGGGAAGGCATTCTGAAAGGGCCTCTGTCACAGTAGGGGAAACAGTACAGAAGGGCCTTGGAACCAAAGGAAATTTGAGTTTAAAATTTAATGCTGGCACTTGCTGGATCTAGGTGTTTTGGCAAGTAAGACACTTTCCTTCAGTGGCATTTAATACCTACCTCAATAGGTTACCATGAGAAGAAAGTGAAATTACATTTATGGAAGTGTTTCTAATGAGGCTTCATTAAATATTAGGCTTATTTCCATTATTTCTTCTCTATGCTTCCCTCAAAAACTTTCACCCTTCATACAGCACCTTTTCCCCATTCTTATATGTGTTTATATTCCTTTCCATAATGACATTTACATTATTTTCTAATGTAAAAGGAATATGATTCATGGTAAAATATTTTTCAACATATACAGGAAAGTATAAGGAGGGAAATTTAAGTCATGCAGAGTTCCACCATTAAGTTTTTGTTATATTTTCTCCCAGATATTTTTCTATGGCTACACACACACACACACACACACACACACACACACCCTCTGCTCTCTTCACCACACCCATGCTTTTGTTAGAAGTGTGATCTTATTTTACCTGGAGTTCGTTATGCTGTTTTGTTCACTTAAAAATATGTCATGGGTATAGTATGGATTCAATATCATTCAGTTAATCAAGCATCTATAATTTAAGTTGTTTCCAATTTTTTGTATTCTCTCAGTTTAGATTGTAGGTTGGTTTTACATACATACAAATGTACTCAAAGAAAATGTATAGTATTACTTTTTTCAATTTTTATTTTTACCTAATAATATCTTGCTATATATTTTACTCTGTGCCCTTTTTTCACTCAACAATATACTGTGGAAATGCTTCCACTTTAACACATATGTATCTACCTTATTTTTCAATGCTTCAAAATATTTTGTAGTATAGATATAATAGAGATTATTTGGCTACTCCTCTATTTGGTTGCTTCCAATTTTTTCTATTACAAACAGTGGTGCAACAAACATCCTTGAATGTATCTCCTTGTGTACACAGGCAAGTGTTTCTCCAGGATAAACACTCAGTGGTGGAAATTCTTGGGATGTAAGGATGTGTACATTTTTGATATTAATACATTTTGTCAATTAGCCCTCCAACATGGCTGTACCAGTTATCAAGGAGGGTATCCATAGTCTCATACCCTTACCAGCCCTTGATATTATCAAACTTTAAATCTTTATCAATTGATAGGTGAAATTTTGTTTTCCCAGTTTTATTTTTCCTGATTAAGAATCTTTTTCTACATTTATTGAATTGTCTGTTCATATTCTATGCCCATTTTTCTACTGAGTTGAAATTTTTCATGTTAATTTTTCAGAGATTATATAATAAATTCTGAGTATCAATCATTTGTCTGTTAAGTATGCTGCAAATATTTCTCTAGATATGTCAGTATGTGCATTTAAAAAACTTTTGATATGTATTTCCAAACATCTCTGCAGCAAGGATGTTACCAGTTTGCACCTCCAGCAGCCATATAAATTGCTGTCTGCAACATGATTTCTGTCTCACGTAAAGAGTTCTAGAGTTTAACAAGCTCTTTGGCAAACGTTATTTCAATTTATCCTAGAAATAAAGTTACCCCATTTTGTAGTGGTAATGGTTAAAGAAGTGGGCTCTGAGTTACTTACTTGATGAACACTTACTTGCTGCATGACCCTGGTCAAGTTGTCTAACACTTAATGCCCCAGTTCCCTCATCTGTAAAATGGAGATACTAATAGAACTGTCCATGGAGCATTGTTGTGAGGAATAAATTAAATATTTATAAAGTTCCTAGGAAAGAACTTACATGTACTAGGCATTCATTAAATGTTAGCTATAATGATGTAATTGAATATTAGCTATCTTTATTAGTATTATTATGACTACTAATACTATAGCAGTAATAATACTACTATTACCATGTGCCATTTATTAGTTTGAATATATTACATGTTGTTGGTTGTCAGATGCTCACAACTCTCCAAGGAAAGTATTATTAGCCTCATTCTACAAATAAAGAAATTTAAAGTAAGAAAGAAGATTCATGACTTGTTCAAGGCCACACAGCTAGGAAGTGGCAAAGAGATCGCTAGAAACAAGATCTGTTGATACTCCTTCCAGTGAGACTGAAAGCAGTGATTCTAGTAAGGAGGCTGCCACACCAACCCGGGAAGAGAGATGAGGCCATAAGAAAGTCTAAATGAATGTGTGAATGAACTACTGAGTGAATGAGTGAATGAGTAAGCAAAAGGATGGCTGAATGAAGTAGTAGAGAGTTAATGTGGTCCATAAGTCAATGACTGAGCAAATAAATGAATATGTGGAAAAAGAGTTGGAGAACTCAAAATCAGCAACATGGGTAAAATACAGACTAGCCAGGGAGAGACTTAAAACGAATTCTTTTCATCCTCATATCTGCTCCTGCAGGAAACTATGTCTTCAGTTATGACCAGTTTTTCAGGGACAAGATCATGGAGAAGAAACAGGATCACACCTACCGTGTGTTCAAGACTGTGAACCGCTGGGCTGATGCATATCCCTTTGCCCAACATTTCTCTGAGGCATCTGTGGCCTCAAAGGATGTGTCCGTCTGGTGTAGTAATGATTACCTGGGCATGAGCCGACACCCTCAGGTCTTGCAAGCCACACAGTGAGTAGTAGGCTTTCAGCCATCAGCAGTGGCCAGAGGAGATGAAAAACCACACATGGAAAAAAAAAAAAGGCAGAGCTGGCAGTGGAAACTTGGGTTCTATCACCACTTCTTTTGTCCAAGGTCCTCCATCATATCTATTCCTTGGATATGAAATAAGTCAACACACCATGTTTCCCAAACTCTTCGGTGTCCAATGCTATGGAGGGGAAGGATGGGAGACCAAGCAAGGCCCACTCTGCCTGAGTTTTTAATCTAGCTGCAGAATTAGTATTGCCAGAGATGGAGTGTGACTTCCTCTAGGTCTTCCAAACTACTCAAGCTCAACCTAGCTTCTCCCTCTCTCCCTGAGTACCTCCAGTCCTAGAAGGAAGGCACATGTCTCCCTATCCTCCCCATCCTTCCCTCTACTTTGTCTCATAGGACACAGTTTATATAGGATCACTAACTCAACATTGACTCCCATCAAGGAAGAGAAACCTACCCAGTTCCTCGATGCCTGACAAGAGTTTCTTTTTCTCCTTTTCTCCTGTTTTCTCCTGGCCAGGGAGACCCTGCAGCGTCATGGTGCTGGAGCTGGTGGCACCCGCAACATCTCAGGCACCAGTAAGTTTCATGTGGAGCTTGAGCAGGAGCTGGCTGAGCTGCACCAGAAGGACTCAGCCCTGCTCTTCTCCTCCTGCTTTGTTGCCAATGACTCTACTCTCTTCACCTTGGCCAAGATCCTGCCAGGTAAGCCTGAGGCCTGAGCTTTGTTCAGGGCTGGTATCCTGCAATACAGCATCCAGTTTCACTGGTTCCATCACTCCTTCCCTGTATTTGGAGTTCCCTCACTCCCATTGTTCTTCCTTCTTATCCACCTTGCATATCCTCAACACTGGATAATTATATCCCTCTGCTTTCTCTCCTTCTGCACGTAGAGAGGACCATTACCGGGGAACATTACCCCACCTCACAGAAAGGAAACACTATAAATTCATCACCTCCCAACTCAACTGAGCTCTTAACACACATACATAGTTATTTTATGTCTCCACAGGAGCTTTTTCAAACTTCTTCTCCTCTTCTAAAACCTCTGACTACCTTCTCCTCCACACTTAGCAAATAACCTCACATCTTACTTCACAATAAAAACAGAAGCCCCAGACAGAGAATCCTTATTTATTGCCACCAAACCTACGAACTTATCTAATTGTTTATCTAGCCTTGCCTCATTCTTTCCTTTTACAATGGAAGGCATATCTCTCCTTCTGCCTAAAACCAATCCCTTCACTTGTACACTGGTTCCCATATTCCCAGTCTCCTACTCTCTAGTCTGTAATGTCCTCACCTCATACGCCTTGTTGTCCTTCCGCCAAGGCCCAATCCAGAATGAATACAACCCTCCATCTTCACTATATCAATTCCGGGCTCATACAGTTGCTCAGACAGGAGTCACTAAAAATTCATACTCTTAACCTCTACTGGGTTCTCCATGGTCTCTGACAATCCCATTTCCCTGGTCAGTTCTCGAAGTTTATGGGGCAGTTTTGCCAAACCACCATTATCCTCAGCCTTCCCACACCCCCTCCTCCCCATCTCCCTCAGCAGACAACTTCATGTTCTACTACATTCAAAATAGAAGATACCAGACAGCAATGTCCTTGACTCCCAGCCACAAAGCACCTACAAACTCATAAGCATCTTCAAATGTCCTCTCCTCACTCCTTCTCTTCTGTCATAGTGGAAGAAGTATCCTTTTTCTTGTGACTAATCCTTCCACTGTTGCTCTGTGCCCCATTCCCCTCTACCACCTTAGGAATCTTGACCTATTGGCTCTCTCCTCCTCTCCTGTATCTTCAGCCTCTCCCTCTCTTTAAACATGTTTTCAAGTCTCTTGTATCTTATAAAAAAACATTGCCTCAACCCCTGATCACTCTCTAGCTACTGCCCTCTTTCCTCCCTATAACAGGCAAACTGCTTGAGAGAAGTCTTCGCTCTTACTATCTACTTCCTCACCTCCTGCTGATTCTTCAGCACAGCAAAAATATTACCACCACTTCTCAGAAACTTTTTTTGAGTCCACCCATAAGCCCCAACTAAACTCAACATCTTTAAGTTGTTTTTAGTCCATCCCCTCCTCAACCATTAAACTTCTTTCCATCTCTACTGCCAGCATCCTAGCCTGATCCAACATCATTTTTTAAAGAAAATTTTACCTTTGCCCTCCGATAATCTATTCTTTACAACAGTCAGAATTTTTTTTAATGCAAAACTATCTTTGTCACCCCACCCTCAGCCCTGGTCAAAACCCTTTAGTGGACCCCCATTCCCCCAGGACCAAATCCAAATTTCTTATCACAGCTTCTAAAGTTCTCAATAATCTGGCTTCTATGTATCTCTTCGGTCTCACCTTTTTGCATCCCTCCTCTCACTATTTCATTCAGTAATACATTCATTCATATACTCATTCACTTACTTATAAATCTGTCATCAGTTTATTTATCCATTCATTTAATAAATGTTTACTTAGCATCTACTGTGTGCTTACTCTTATACTGGACACCAGAGACAGAGAGATAATAAGATGTTTTTGCTCCCATGCAACTCCCAGTCTGCTTGTCTTTCAAGCCATTTTCTCCAGAAAGCCATAACTCATTTTCTCAGGTGGAAGTTATCCCTTAATCTTATAATAAGGCCACAGTTCCTTGATGGCAGTGCAGTTGGTGGCAGGGGTTGGGGAGGTCCAGGAATCAACTCCCTCTACCAATTTCACATGCCCACCTGCCCCACCAGGATTGCCCAGTAAAAAGCCCTGCATTCTTCAAATCTTTCTGGACCTTAGCTTTCTCACTTGTATAGTAAAGGGATGAATCCCATGATCACTAACAGCCCTGCCAGCTCTGACATGCCATAAGCTTATGATTCCAACAGTAAAAGCCTGATAAATATCCATCCCTGTAACCACAAGCAGATGCTACCTGGAATGGATGGAATTTCATCTAGACTAGGAACAATCTAGCATCAGTCCGAGTCAACAAACATTCCCTGGGGTAATCCCTTTTTCAAGTCTTGATCTTATATATTGGGGAGAAGGAAAATAGGTCCCGTCCTCAAAAAACTCTGAAGCTTCTTGGGAAATTAAATGTTCTTCCACCCCAAGGCAGTCAGAGGCTAGACCAGGGTTACAAATGACTGGAGGGAAGGATGTAGGGGTCAGAATTTGGGAACAGTGAAGTCCTTCCAAGGGAGAAAGAAGTGTCACAAAAGTTCCCAGAGAAGGAAGAAGCAGAGCAAGGTCTTCAAAGGGAAGAAAGGGTTGGCCCTTTTCTTTGCCAGGTCAAACCTGAAGGTTGAAGTGGGAGTACTGGGACAGAAGCTTAAGGATTATACATCTGCTTCCTCAGGGTGCGAGATTTACTCAGACGCAGGCAACCATGCTTCCATGATCCAAGGTATCCGTAACAGTGGAGCAGCCAAGTTTGTCTTCAGGCACAATGACCCTGACCACCTAAAGAAACTTCTAGAGAAGTCTAACCCTAAGATACCCAAAATTGTGGCCTTTGAGACTGTCCACTCCATGGATGGTATGTATATGAGTGAGTGTATGTTTACTAGTGTTGGTCTCACAAAAACCATGATGATCATGATGATGATGATGACGATAACATTATAACAGCTAATATTTATAGTGTTTATTATGTGCCAAGCAAAATTATTAGTATTTTACATGTATTAATTCATTTAATTTTCTGAACAATTCTATGTGATAGGTGTTATTATTATTTTGATTTTTTACATGAGGAAACTGAGACATAAGAGTAATTTGTCCAAGGTCACACAGCTAGTAAATGCCAAAGAATGGAGGCAGCTATTACATTCATCTTATAGGTAAAGAAACTAAAGTTCAGAGTTGGCATCCAATTCATCTTGAGTGGCTCAGCAAGTTGGTGCTAAAGTGAGTATCTGCACCCTAACACATATAACTCCAATTCCTCGAGTAACACTTCTCTTGTTAGAAATGATATGTAAATCAATAATCCCAGTGTTTGGTTTTTATGAAGGAAATTTCAAAAACCATTGCCTAGGATTTTTTTCAAGGTCCAGTATGAAGCATTGGGGTCAAAACAGGTTTTCAAGTCAGAGAGACCTGGGTTCAAATCCCACCTTTGACAGTTACTGGCTATGACCATGGGTAACTCTTTAACTGTCTAAGCCTCAATTTTCCCAAAGGTAAAATATCTGGTTGTAAGAATTAGAGATGATAGAAACCATTCTAGTTATTATGCTTTAGTAGAATTAAATGATCTTCACACTCCTACCTCCTTTCTTTGCTCAATTGAAACAATGTCCAAAGCTTTCTATTGCTGGCCCTGTTGTGTAGAAATCATGTGTTTTAGGCATCCTCTTATGGATTTATTTAAGGGAAGAGGTCCTCAACTCATTTCAGTTTGTCCCTTTTCCAACTGAAACAAAAGAGTCCATAGTATTCCCTGATTTAGGTATCTTAAGTGGCATGTAATGACTATACACACAGGCTCTAAAACCAGACTATCCATGTTCAAATCCTAGCATGACCATTTACTAGCTTGGGCAAGCTTCTTAATTGCTCTGTGTCTCAGTTCTCAGTTGCTTATTTGAAAAATGTAAGTGATAATAATTAAATAGGTATGCAAATTAAATGAGTTAATATATGTAAGAAACTTACTATTATGCCCACTCCCACATTTCTAACACTAGCAATAAAGTAAAACTATCCTATCCCTTTTGTATATTTCTACCACTGAGACTATTCAAATTCATTATTTCTCTAGTGGAAACTATGTTGGTACCATTCTACCTCGTTACATTTGCAAATAAATAGTTATTTACCTATTTTTGGGGTGCAAACTCTGCCCAAACTGTTGATCCTTAGGCTGAATCTCTCCCATTGAAATGATGCTAGGCTGAACACAGCAGAAACAGGAAAATAGACATTGTCAGAATGAAGTAAAAACAGAAAGACAAAGAGTCAAGCCTTGATCCCAGGCTGGGGAACACACACACATGCGCACACACACGTACACACACACACACACACACACACACACACACACACACACACACACACACAGAGAGACAGAGAGAGAGAGAGAGAAGGCAGGGATGAGATACAGGCAATCGATCCATACACAGAGGTTTGTAATAGTTCTAAATGAAGGCGCACATCCTCCTTCCTCTCTACAACACCCTTTTCCAACCCAAAGTAGGCATGTATGGGAAATTCCACATTGGAGATGGAGCTGGGGAAGGGTTATGATGTCCTACCTCTATCCCTTGGCTTTGCTCAGGTGCCATCTGTCCCCTCGAGGAGTTGTGTGATGTGTCCCACCAGTATGGGGCCCTGACCTTCGTGGATGAGGTCCATGCTGTAGGACTGTATGGGTCCCGGGGCGCTGGGATTGGGGAGCGTGATGGAATTATGCATAAGATTGACATCATCTCTGGAACTCTTGGTAAGTGAATGCTTTGGGCCTTCTTATATACCCTCCAGAGAGGAGGCCCTTACAAAATTCTTTTCTGCCTCCTCCCCAAAGCTATAGGGGTTGTTTGGACAGAATTCACAGCCCCAGGCTGCTGCCATCCTGGACTCCCTCTCTCCACTCGCATCCCACTGCAGAGTTGATGAGAAAGTCTGGTAGAGTTTTTTGAAAAGACCTTGAACTAGGCCAAATAGTTAGATTCAACTTGAGTATGTGAAGAGCTGTGTTTCTAAACCCCTCCCCCACCCTAGCCCCAAGCTTCATCTTAGCTCCACTCCTGACCCTATCCAGCTAAAGGTCCCCACCCAGCTCCTGCCTATCTAGTCATTGCATATGGCAAGACTTGAAAGTCCTATCTCAAAGCAGCAGAATTATCAGCTACGACTGCCTTGTCATGGACAGATGAGCAGAGGCCTGGGAAGACAGCCTGGAGCCCCAACTTCTGGTGCACCCCCTTGTGTTATCTGGCACATGATCCTGTTGCTCTGGGACTGATTATGGGATCTGTGTATATCTTATTCCTTTCTGTCTCCAGGCAAGGCCTTTGGCTGTGTGGGCGGCTACATTGCCAGCACCCGTGACTTGGTGGACATGGTGCGCTCCTATGCTGCAGGCTTCATCTTTACCACTTCTCTGCCCCCCATGGTGCTCTCTGGAGCTCTAGAATCTGTGCGGCTGCTCAAGGGAGAGGAGGGCCAAGCCCTGAGGCGAGCCCACCAGCGCAATGTCAAGCACATGCGCCAGCTACTCATGGACAGGGGCCTTCCTGTCATCCCCTGCCCCAGCCACATCATCCCCATCCGGGTGAGAGCCCCACCATGCCCATTGCCCTCTCCACCTATTTATTCTGGGAGCCTCACGCTCCCAACAAACCTACATCTGTTGCTGTCTTCAATTATTTGCTTTCCTGCTAACCATTCCCTTTATTGCCAGCTTTGTTTCCCTTTTTGAAAAATTATCAGCCATTCTGGATTAACCAGTCTTTTCCTTGCATCAGCCATTACCTCATGCTTATTAGATTATCCTAACCCTAACAATAGCGAGTGCTCACAGCCTATAATTCAGAGTTTTTCAAACTGGATCAAGACAATTAATGGGTCACAAAATCAGCTTAGTGGGTTATCATTAGCATTAAAAAAAGAAAAGAAACAGAAAATGTTGGAGTACATCACATACTAAGGGTATCATCAATTTGTGAAAAATTTGTATGCATTTTGGGTATTTGCATATACACATGTATGTGTATGTGTGCGTTTATGGTCACGGTGTAAAACGTACTTCTTATTGAGAAATGAGGGCAGAAAAATAAAATCAAAAGCCATAGGATTAGCTGCTACTTTGGATCCTCAATATGAGCATTTACTGCCTTTAAAAATGAACTGCTACTTCTTTCTTAAATAACACGTATTTGTGTGAGTCAGTAAGCCAGGGCAGGGAAAGGACACTTATTTGTGACAATTTTGTGGATGAGAAATAGTCACTGCTCTTTAGACTAACCTAGTATTTCCTTTAAACACTCATTTTATGAATTAATTTAGTGACAGCACCCCAGAATTGGCTTGGCGGGGGTTCCAGAATTGGCTTGGTGGGGGGTATCTTCTCACCCAGAACCATCCCAAACTAAGATATTAGCTAAGTAAAATCAGTGTGCTTGCTCTGCAAACAGCTTCCAAACAGGGCTCCTGGTACCACCTCTGCTCCATCCTTTTCAAACCAAATTGCTAGCTCTGAGCTCCTCCTTGATAGAAATTCTGGAGCTGCCACTAAGCCCCTAATGGAAAAAAAAAATCTATCCCAAAATTCAGTGATGTTCCCTCATCTAGTTCCCTCCATCTGCTTAATGGAGCTAGTGATGGTGGAGCCAGAGTGGCAGGTACTGATTAGCCTTTCTCCTGAGTCCAGGTGGGCAATGCAGCACTCAACAGCAAGCTCTGTGATCTCCTGCTCTCCAAGCATGGCATCTATGTGCAGGCCATCAACTACCCAACTGTCCCCCGGGGTGAAGAGCTCCTGCGCTTGGCACCCTCCCCCCACCACAGCCCTCAGATGATGGAAGATTTTGTGGGTAAGTTCTCAACATGGGTGCCTACAGGACCTCCCTCCCCTCAGCCCCAGGATCTGAAAGAGAAGCTGAGAGGACAGAGACCACTGAGTTTACAAAATATTTCTGGAACATCTAATGTGTGCCAGCACCTATACTAGGGTCACAAATAAATGAGAAGCAGCCCCTACACTTGTAGGGCTCCAGTTTGGTTGGGGATACCATAGTGAACACAAACAATGACACTAAGGGATGATCAAAGCTCCACAAGGCAGTGCATGATAGAGTTGTCGGAGCAGAGAGGAGGGGCCTGACTCAGCCTGAGGGATGCAAGACCCACTTCCTAGTAGAGGTGACACCTGAGCTGAGTCTTGCAAAGTGAGTGGTATTAAAAGAAAGAGGGCATGGAAGAAGTATTCCTACCAGAGGGAAGAGCATGAAGATAGGTGAGGAGAATGAGAAGCAGCCAGGGATATATCAAGAACAATAAGCAGGTGGTATTGGAATGTAGGGTCATAGGAATGGAGTGGGGCAGGGGAGTATCAATCTATGAGTCTACAAAGACAACATGAGATAGAGACTGGATTGAGAGGCTTGTAGAGCTGAGTAGTTTGAGATTTACCCTGAAAATGCCAGTTTAGTCAATTCACCTAATGTTTGTTGGATTTCTGTTGGGTAGTTTTGTTTTTGTTTGTTTGTTTTTGTTTTTGTTTTTTTGAGACAGAGTCTGGCTCTGTAGCCCAGGCTGGAGTGCAGTGGCACGATCTTGGCTCACTGCTACCTCTGCCTCCCGGGTCCTGGCTCAAGCAATTCTCCTGCCTCAGCCTCCCAAGTAGCTGGGATTACAGGCACGTGCCACCATGCCTAGCTAATTTCTGTATTTTTAGTAGAGATGGGGTTTCACCATGTTGGCCAGGCTAGTCTCGAACTCCTGACCTCGTAATCCACCTGCCTAGGCCTCCCAAAGTGCTGGGATTACAGGCGTGAGCCACCATGCCCGGCCTGGGTAGTTTTTAATGCAGGGCCTGACATTGAATAGGTGCTCATTCCAGGCCTGTTGGATGAAAGACATGTAGGCAGTTGATGGTCTAGCAGAGGAGCCAGATATAGATGGTACTGGTCCAGTATGATGAGCTCCAGTATTCTGGGAGCTAGAGGGAGTGGACACATTATGGAGAGAGAGGGTGGGAAGGATGAAATTGGAGAGGCTTTGTGAGTAAGGAAGTTTTTATGATGCATGTTGAAGTACATGTGAATATGTTGTAAGAATATTCCAGAATAAGGGAATTCCACGAGCAATGACCTAGAGATAGGAAAGCAGTGGGTATGTATTGACAACATAATTCTGTTTGTCTGAAGCATGGGCAGTATGAGAATTCAAGGAAGACAAGCTAGGTAGGCGCCATTCATTCATTCAAAAACATTAAATAATGCTGGCTAACATTAAGTACTTACCATGTGCCAAGCACTGTTCTAAACACTTTACACGTATTAACTCATCTAATCCCCACAACAACCTCAAGAGTTAGAGATCCTCTTATCATTTCCATTTTGTACATGTGGAAATTGAGGCACAAAAATATATAGTCGCTGATCCAAGGTCACACAGCTTCTAAGTTGCAACTGGGAGGTCTGTCTCTACCTCCATGGTCATAACTGCTAGGTCTACCACCTCTCTGAGCTGATGACCCAGACTCCTGGGCCTTTTGTTCAGTATTCTCTTTTGCTCTGGGCTTCAATTGTAGAGCTCTCAGTATTCTTGGTTCTCTGAATGTCCACCTAGGCTAGGCTTTTGTAAGAATATATGAGGCATCCACGATGGCTCCACCAGTCCCTAAGTTCCATAGCCAATCCATCCTGAAATCCTGCAAAAGTTATCTATAATCTCTCTCAAACCTATTTGCTTTTCTCCCCTGCCACTTCTTTAATCCATGTCAACATGATTTTTTTCCTAATTTCTCTGCTTCTCTCTTGCTCCTCTCAAATCCTTTCTCGATGATGACCACTAGAGGGATTTTTCTAAAATTCTGACTATATTGCTCCCTTGCTTAAACCCCTTCATGTTTCCCTCTAGACTCTAAAGCAGTGACCTCCAAGGGGTATGCAAAATGATTACAGGGTGAAGGAACAGAATATGTATTAGAATTTTATGTTTTTTTATCTTAAAAATAGGAAATCAAGCATCACTGATACTGATCTTTAATATACAGACTGACAGTTATACATGTATATAATATATAAACAAATATAGAGATTGGAGGTACATGCTAAAACATTTGTACTGATAGGGATGTATAGTCCAAAATTTGGAAACATTGACATATAGGACAGAGTTGAAGCTCTTCAGCATAGCATTCAATGCCTTCCACATGGTGATCTCTATGCCCTCACCTCCTCCCCACATGCATTTTGTTTTTTCAGCTACACTGAAGGACTTGTCGTTCCCTCATTTTTTTCTGCTCTCTTACCTCTGGGACTTTGCTCATGCTGCTCTCTTTTGATTGGAATGCCCTCCCTCACACTTTCCTCTGGCTTACTTTCCTTCATCTTGTAGACTTAACTTAGGCATTCTTTCAACAAATATTTATTGAGTACCAACTGTGTACTAGATACTGTTCTAGGCACTGGGGATGCAGTAGCAAACAAATCAGACACAAAATTCCTACCCTCTGGAGCTTACATTCTAGTGGAAGGGGTAGTAAAAAAAATTACCAAAAATAAGCAAATTAAGTAGCACATTAGTTCTAAGTGCTATGGGAAAAAATAAAGCAGGATAAGGAGAATGGGATAAGGGGCCAGGGGCGAGTTCAGAGAAGGGTTGTAGTATTAGAGTGGCAAGGGTAGAAGACGCTGAGGTGAAACTTGAGCAAAAATTTGAAGGAGGTGAAGTTAGTGAGGCAGATATCTAAGGGAATGGCATCGCAGGCAGAGGGAACATCCTAAGGCAGGGAAGACACAGGAGTATTCCTTTTATATTTGAGGAACAGTAAGAAGATGGGTGTGGGTGGAATGGTATAAGCAAGTGGGAGACAGAAAAATTGAGTACATAGAGGCAATGTGGGACCAGATTGTATAGGGTATGGTAGGCCATTAGAAGGAGTTTGGCTTTTACTCTGAGAGCCCTTGAAAGGATTTGAACACAGGACTGATATTTCTGACTCGGGTTTTAACAAAATTGCTCCAACTTCTATGTAGAGAATACACTAAAAGGGAGCAAGGGTGGAAGCAGGGAGACCCAAGAGTGGGCTACAGTAATATCCCAGGTGAGAGATGATGGTGGCTCAGACTTGATCATAATGAAGGCAATAAGAAGTGGTCAGATTTTGAAGGTAGAGCCAAGGGTCTTTGCTGATAGATGGGATATAGGGTAAGAGAGAAAGAGAAAAATAAAGGATAGCTCTGAAATTTTTGGACTGAGCAACTGGAATTGCCATCCACTGAGATGGGAAAAGCTAAAAGTAGAATAGCTTGGTGGAGGGTAGGGACATGAGTAGCTCAGTTGTACTCCTAAGTTAGAAATGCATATTAGACATCTAGGTGGAGATGGAGAAAAGCCATTGGATATACAAGATTGGAAACCAGTAGAGTGGCGTGAGCTGGAGATTAAAATTTCTGAACCATCAGCATATAGATGGTCTTTAAAGTCATGTGACTAGACAAGATCAACAAGGGCATGAACACAGAAAAGGCCAAGAACAGAGCCCTGGAACGTACCTGGGGTACTTCCTCCAGCTAGGTCAGGTTCCCTTCTCTGGGTTTTCACACCCCCAGGTGGACCCCCTACCCCAGGTTTCCTGGTCATAGCACCAATGACACAGTATAGTTACTGTCATTATCATTGTCCTCATAGGGCTTAGAGTTCCCAAGCAGACAGTCATTCTTGGGCCACAGCACATCCTATACTTAGGGAGTGGTCCAGGCCAGGACAGTATGGCTTCAAATTGTGTCAAAGGAGAGCTTCCAAATCTTTTATAATATATATCCCAGCATCCAGATACAAATGGTAATATTCACGGCACACACAGAAGCAAACAGTAGGCTACTTCTGGCCCTGAGGTATCTTGAAGGGTTGAGGGGGATCAATATCTTGGCTCATCTGTACTGTGACAGATTTGGAAGATCTAGTCTAACCCATTTTTTCCCTCCCCTCCCCCTACCACCTTCAGAGAAGCTGCTGCTGGCTTGGACTGCGGTGGGGCTGCCCCTCCAGGATGTGTCTGTGGCTGCCTGCAATTTCTGTCGCCGTCCTGTACACTTTGAGCTCATGAGTGAGTGGGAACGTTCCTACTTCGGGAACATGGGGCCCCAGTATGTCACCACCTATGCCTGAGAAGCCAGCTGCCTAGGATTCACACCCCACCTGCGCTTCACTTGGGTCCAGGCCTACTCCTGTCTTCTGCTTTGTTGTGTGCCTCTAGCTGAATTGAGCCTAAAAATAAAGCACAAACCACAGCATGTGAAGCCTTTTATTGGACAGGGAACAGACAAGTGCATTCTGACTCCCTCAGACAAGTGGCAGATCTATGAGGTAACCATAGGTCACTTGTTGGTCACCATTCCATTTTACCAACAGGGAAACAGAATGAGAAAGAGGAAGGAAATGCCCAAAAACTACACAGTGAGTTGCAAAGAGCTAGGATACTTGGCAGATTTATTTGAGATGGCTCTTCTCCAATGGTTTCAATAAAAATCCAGGGATTGACGCTTCACTGGTAATCCGGGCCCTGGAAATCTGGGCCCAGGGTAGCCCCTGAAGCCAGGAAATGAGTCAGCCCTAACCAAATTCCCTAGAAAGGAGTGGTTCCCCAAAACCAAAGAGGTATTTTCCATAAGGGGATATGGATGTCTTCCTCAATCCATTATCCTCTCTCCCTCCCACGGCATCCCACAGAACAGGATTTACCAGTCCCATTCTTTTTCTTTTCTTTTTTTTTTTTTGGAGACTGAATTTCACTCTTGTTGCCCAGGCTGGAGTGCAATGCATGATCTCAGCCCACTGCAACCTCCGCCTCCCAGGTACAAGCTATTCTCCTGTCTCAGCCTCCTAAGTAGCTTGGATTACAGGCACGCGCCACCACGCCCAGTTAATTTTTTTGTATTTAGTAGAGACGGGGTCTCACCATGTTAGGCTGGTTGCGAACTCCTGACCTCAGGTGATCCACCCATCTCAGCCTCCCAAAGTGCTGGGATTACAGGCGTGCACCACTGTGCCTGGTCTACCAGTCCCATTTTCAAAGGTGAGAAGAGGCTTGGCTAGAGCAAGCACTGTGTTCAAAGCAATGCTCCCACTTTCCAGGTCACAGTATACAGGAAACATTTCCATGGCACACTTAGGGGTACTAATGATACTACTTGCTAAGGAGGCAATCGTCCCTGAAACTTGTGTGGTCCCAGGCCCTGCCTGGCAACTCTGAGGGCTGAGGACCGTTTCTTTCAACCCTGTAACCCACTGTGGCAGCTGTGGGACGCACTAGCTGGAAAGCTCTGGTTTAAGGCTACACAGCCCACCTTCCTTGCTGATTTCACCTTAGCCGTACAGGAAATTCCTACAACTGAGCAGAGAACCCTTTATGGTGAGCACTGCTGCTCACGCCTCACTATTCCCTCCTCCCCCCTCCCTCCTCCCCTTTCTCTGGGAATTACATCATTGGGCTACAGCCAGCCGGCAAACCAAGTATTGAGATAGCTTCTCTGACTCAACTTTATGGAGTACCTCCACAATGTCCAAAGTGCAACCCTGAAACAAATACACAGACTTTATTTATGCACAAATACACTTTCCAGCAAAGACAGAAGTGATTTAAAATCACACAACTTCCTGGGGCAGCTAGTGTCCGTGTACTTCGGACAGGAAGGTGGAAAGTGGTGTAAGGGGCTGGGTCACAGGATTAAGGCACAAGAAGCTCACCAACAAGGAGCTAGGTAGGAAGGAAAGCGAGGAAGAGAGGGCTTAAAAGAGGAAGAGAAGGGTAGGAGACTTTGAGGGAGAAGCAGGAGGCAGCTCAGGGAAGGGGAGCTGGCCTCAGATCATGTGCAGGGGTGACCATGCCAGATGTCCCCAGGCCTCCATTGGTTCAGCTGGGCCTGCTCCAGAGGAAGAAGTTGCACCGGGAGGAGGGGTCAGTGGGAGGACCCCGGGGCCTGGCACACATGTAGAAGCGGCGGCCCAAGTTGGGTCCTGGCTTCTTCACAGTACGCATCACACATGGCTCCCTGTGGCCCCCACAGAGGGGTGTGCGCAAGGGCCCCGCCAGCACAGACTTCCAGAATGAGGTCCGTAACTCCTTCTCATCTTTGGCTTCTGAAGTCTTGGCCTGCCCCTTCACCACTTTGGCCACTGCCTTCTCTTCTGGAGTCTTCGGGGTCATGAGGGCGCTCATCAGTGGTAGGCTAGGCAGCTCTATGTCAGGAGAGGCTTGGGGACAGCTAGGGGAGGGCTGAAAGTAGCTCTTCAGGTTTTTCTGGCCTCTGCTAGAGCCAACCTGACTGGGCTGAGGCCTGGTTGAGCGCACTTGGGCTTTGTTTTGGCATGTCTGTACCCGGGTTTGATTGTTGTGCTGCAGCGTCGACTGCTCCAACACAGGACTTTGTTCGAGAGGAACTAGGAAGCGAAGGATCTTGAGCTGGGTGCCTGCAAACTCAGGGAGGAAGCGGGTGCACAGAGGTGGGCACTGTTTTGCAGGCACAGAGGACACACTCAAGACTGCACCCACAGGGCAGTGGTCAGAGCCCATCACCTCAGGCAGCAGGAAAGAGGCCTGAAAGGTGTCTATGACCAGGGTCCTGTCCCCCAGCACATAGTCAAGCCGGGAGCCATAGTTGAGATGGCGGGCGCCAGTGACTGCTGACCAGCAGGTGAAGGCCCCCTCCTGCTTTGGTTGGAAGCAGCGGTAGCTATCGATGAAGGGCCCTACATGAGAGGCAGACTGGCACCCCAAGTTACTGAGCAAGCTGTCCATCCACTTGCGCCCTGGGTCCTCTTCAAAGCATTCCTAGGTGAGGAGGAAAGGGGGTTGGAAGAGAGAGAGACAGAACTAGATACCTAGAACTGGAAGGGACTTAGACTAACTGCTGCATTTTGCAAATAAGAAAATTTGGTTGTCCCAAGAGGACTACTGCTCAAGGTCACACAGTCCGGAATTGGCAGAGCTGGGATTCTGATTTTCATCCTTACTGATTTAAAAGACCATGCTTGTTTTTCCCTCTGCACGAGCTTGCATTTGTCTTGCATTGGTCCGTCAATGGCAAATCTGAAAGTTTGCTTACTCAAAGCAATTCCTGGAACTGCTTTTCAAAAGGATGGAAAACAGGAAGTTAAAAGTGTTTGCCTCTAGGAAGCAGGGCTGGGGTTAAGAGTTAGGAAGACTGTCAGCTTCTTCCTTTAAACCCTCTGGCACTATTTGGTTTATCTAGTGTGTCAAAGCCCTCAATGACCATTCCTACCTCCTGAGCTGAGGACCTGCAAGGATCCAGGTCTGAATACTTCCTTAGGCTCTGATCCCCAATCCATCATCCATCAGTCCATCCATTCAATCCACCTACCCACCCACTCATTCAATGCAAGAAATGTTCATGGAATACCTATTATGTGCCATGCATGATGCCAGGGACAAAGTAGGAACCTGATCTACTCCTGGGGACCAAGGAGGCTTCCTTTCGAGAAGTGATCTGGAGCTGAGGTGTGGGGGCTGAGTAAGAGTAACCTAGGTGGAGGGTGCTCCTAACTTTAAGAACAGTCTCTGTGCTGGGCCTGTGGAGGGAGTGTGCTGCGTACCCAAAAGACTTGAGGAAAGACCAGACTGGAGACCAGAATACCAGCAGGAAATGGCTGCCATAGTCACACAAGCAAGATGATGGTCACTTGGACTAGGGTGGGTGCCAGAGGAGACAGAAACATGAAATTATGAGATGATTTGTAGCTAGAATCAACAGTACTTGCTGACTAACTGAATGTGGGAAGTGGAGTAAGAAAGAAAGACAATACTAGCACAATTCCCAGGCTTTAAGTTGAAGCAATCAAGGGGATGATGGTGCCATTTACAGAAATGACAAGACTAAAAGAGCAAGCCTGGTAGAAAGTGGGTATGTTCTGCTATTTTGGAAAGACTGTGTAAGTCATCTGAGCTGGCACTATTAGTTCTCTTTTCCTGGAGGAGAAAATGAAAGAGGTATACATAAGAGATCTAGGATACCTCTGAACTAAGTAGAAAAGGCACAAAGATGTATGATGCTATCACAGGAATCTGAAAGAACACACTGAATGAATGCATAAGAGGAATGAGGCAGGGAGGGACTGAAGGCTCACACTTTGTAGCATTATCTCCGCTCCCCACCACACCACCACCACCATTCTCTCATTCTCTCACTTCTGCTCATTTTCCCAGCTGGGAGCCATATCTACATTTATGTAGCTCTTCTGTGAATTAATCAAGGAATATTCCCACGGTCCCTTCTCTAAGCCAAGCCCAGTGCTGAGTAGGACTGTACCAGCATAAATCACTGATCCCCCATCGTGAGACATAAGGCAAGAAAAGATGAGAGCTGGCTTGTGGATTCTAGGGCAGTGGTTCTCAAGCCTGGCTGCACAATAAAGTCACACTGGGGGCTTTTAGAACGTGCCACTACCCTGGCCCCACACTCGAGAGTTCTGAGTTCATTGATCTGGAGTAGTGCTAAGATATTGATATTTTTGTTCTAATATGCAGTTAGGGGCTGAAAACCATGGGCCTAGGGGAACTTAGAGATAAGAGGTTCATATAACAAAAAGACAGGGAGGGGGTCATGTCCACCAATTCAGGGCACAGTGAGAAAAGCCAGAATGAGAATAACTTTTACAACGGGCCGACAGGAGACAACCTGTCTAGAGAGGACAAAATGTGTAGGGACACTGAAGGTGGAAATAAGAGACAGGTCACAGACCAAGGAGAGCCTTGAATGCTAGGTCTCCATGTTTTCTCTGCATCACAGAGGTAACAGGGAGGTACTGAAAGTTCATAAACAAGAAATACAGTGTATTAAGGAAATGACCAAGGCAATGTGGAATTCACAGTCCTTGAAATCTGACCCCCAACAACTCTCCAGCCCCACCTTCTGCCACTCACCTCCCTTCCTGTGTCACTAAGAAGAAAGGGACTTGTGGTTCCCCATGCACACAATGCAAATTCTCACCTTGAAACCTTTGCCCATGCTAGAATGCTTTCTACTTCAAAGCTCTGTTCTACTCATCTGTTAAGATTCAGCCATTTTCAGCTGCCTGTCCTGATGTCCGAGCTCACCTAGGAATCCCATCTCTGAGCTCCTGTAGCTTTCTGGGATGCCATCTGTGCCTCTGCCCTGAGAATACCATCCTATAATTGGCTAGCCATGTGTCTGTAGCCCACCACCATGCTGGAGAGCTCCTAGGAGCCAAGGGCTGGATCTGACTCCTGAGTCCTCAGTATGTGGCTCAGGGCCAGGCCATGGGCAGAGTCAGTATTGTCTATTGAATGAATGACCAATCCTCAGTACTATAAGAATAGTATTGCAAGCCAAGCTCCGCTTTCCCATAAAGGAAGCTGTCCCTGGGCCAAAAACTCAGGGTTGGTTGGCTGGACAAACAGAATCAGTCAGGAGTGGGGCCAGGCACCTAGAGGGAGCCTTACCAGGTTGACTGCATCCCAGTGGTCAATGGGGCGGTGGGCTGTATTCAGGTCACCCAGAATGATCACATGGCTGAAAAACACAATGTGGGATTGTTAGAAAGGGGTGCAGCAGTCCTGGCCCATATACTTTTTCCTGGGCCCAAGAGCTCAGACAGGCCCTCTCCCATATTGAGGCTTCCTAGCCAACAGCAACTCATAACAGCCTACCTCTCCAATCTTACCACAAACTTGCTGCCTTTCATATCTGACCAACCCAATTCTGATCTCCAAAGGTGACAGTGTTCCATGTTTGACATGACTGCCTCACTAATCAGGAGCCAATGGGCATTTTTCTTGTCCTTCAAAGCTGAGCTCAGATACCACCTCCCCTTGATTGCTCTAACCCACCCTCACTTTCCTGTCCTCCGCTGGAACAAGACTTTCCTTTGCTCCCACGCACTTTACCATTCTCATCTCATTTTACCCTTAAAACTATTGTGTAGGGTAGAGATTCATATATTCATTTGACAAAAGAGAAAACAGAGGCAAGACTAGCCCTAGGGCTCACAATGAGTAAGAGCAGGAGCCTGAATAGGTGCTCAGAGTACAAAACCCATGTTTGTTTTGAGCAGAGCCTATTCAGGTGGGCATATTGGTGTTTGCAACTATGCTGTGAAAGAACTCAGAGACAAAGGGTCCATATCCCTTTCAATGGAGCTTGACACAGGGCTGGGCACCCAGGACCAACTCAAGGAAGCCTTACTGCCCAGGCTTGCAGTACCTGCCTGCCGCCAGGAGGGCTTCTGCTCGGATTTGCAGCAAACGATAGAAGCGCATCTTAAAGACTAGCCGCTCAGGCCTCCCAGGGTCCGCATGGGGGCAGTACACGTTGATTAGGGTCAAGGTCTTCTCCTTACCTTCCCATGTGCTGGAGAAAAGAGAAACCCCCAAAAGGGGTCAGTTTCAAACCTCCCCTTCTGTCCCTTCCCCATACCACATGGCTTCCATTTTGTGACTGTCTGGGATGGAAAAGAAAGGGGTTAAAGAGACACAAATGATCTGGCATGCACAGGACTTGGGGACTGACTACTGATAAGGCAGGGAGAGGGATATCTAAGGATTACCACCAGGTAATGGTGCTGCTATTCACACAGAACACCCAGAAAGACAGCAACCTGGGGCACTGAGTTCAGCACTAAGTTGCTTTTGAGATGTCTATGGTAATAAGAGCTGGATCACTAGGCCAGCCCCACATTGTAGAGATGGAAACTCAAGCTTCAGAGGGGGGAAAAATTTGCCAGGGTCACACACTGAGTAGCCCAGCCAGGACTAAACCAGGAAAGGCAAATTTGGGAACTTCTCCACGGTGCATGTATGTTTACATGGCAAGCCTTAGAATCTTCACACTCAAAGAGTAGCACCAGCAGTGCTCAGTAGCAGGGAGATATGAGCTATTACCGGATCTTATGCTGTGTGAGGAGGGCCCTGCCCTCACTATCCAGAGCCCGGAGTTCCTCTTGGGTAAACTCATCCATGTTTCCATAGCAACCAACATCCCCATTCTGGGTGGCAAACAGGCCACTCAGGCCTTCTTCAGCAGCCACTGGGGTAGCATTGTCCTTACAGAAGGTGGCTACACCTGGGAACAGACAGGGCACTCTGAGCAGACCTGGCAGTCAATAGCCTGTTGCACAGCCTGTCCCACTCCAATTGTCCCCACACAAGTCATCTAAGTCATCTTCATAAAGTGTGGTTCTTGGGCAACCTTATTCAAACCCTGGAGTCTCAGTTCCTACATCTAAAAAAGCCACAGAATGTTCTAAGTGTTTTACATTGATACATGGTGAGTGCTCAAGACGTATTAGCAATTATTATTATCACATGGATTAATTCATTTAATCCTTGTAACAGCCCCGGAAGGTAAACATTATCCTCATTTTCTAGCTGAGGAACCTGAGGCACCAAGAGGTAATGTAACTTGCCAGAGGGTGCACAGCTAGGAAATGAGCCATGATTCAAACCCAGGCTGTCTGGCTCCACAGTTCACACAATTAAGCACCACACTACTACTGTACTTCTGAGGTCCAGTAGGATAATTCTATCCATAAAAATTATATTTCATGTAATTTACTATTATGCAGCTTTAGCTCTGTAAACTAAATGTCTAAGATTTCTTATTACCCTCTCATCAAATATTGGAAACCCTTTTCCCCTATCTGCCTCCCTCACTAATTTAAAGTCCACAGAAAGCCCCATTTACCAGAATAGCCGCTACGGTTGCGGCTGAAGCTGAAATAGGAGTTATAACCCTCAACGATAGCCAGGGGCTCTGTCAGTGCATCCCCTGGAAAAAAAAAATGTAAGATTAAGTCAGAGGTAAAACTAGCATCCGAGAAACACAAAGGCCTGGAATTACAGTTGTAGGCTAATTCCTTGCACACATCAGAGCCAGAGTTGGGGGTGACGGGAATGAAATATCCATGATTAGAGGAGGACCTAGAAAGATGGGAAATGTCAGAGAGGAAATTGATATCAGAATTAGAAGGCTTGGTGGGGGGCGGTTAGAGACTATGAAGTGGAGGTGGAGAATTAGGTGGGAAGGGGAAAGAATCAGAGCTAAGCCTGGGGGTCTGAACGATAGGAGGAAGCTGGGGATGGGGATGGACATACGAGAGGATGGTGGGAATCTGAGCTAAGGGTGAGAGGTAAGAGAGAGGGAATTAGGGGATCTGAACTGGGGGTGGAGGGAAAAGGAATTAGGGGATTCTGAGGGGAGATAAGAGGGTGAAGAAATAAGAGGACATCTAAGCTTGGGGTGGGAAATGAGGTGGGAATTAGGGACTTTCCGCTGGGAGGAGAGATGGGAATAGATAAGGGGTACTGGGGTTCTGAGGTGGAAATGTGAAAAAGAGGAAATTAGACTGAGCTGGGGTCAAAGATGGGGTGGGAATTAGAGGATCTGAGCTTGGGGCAGGGATGAAGAATTCGGGGGTTTGACTTGGCGGCGGGGAGATGGACAGCGTATGGAAGGAGGAAATTCAGGGGACTGAGTTTGGGGCCGGAGAATGAGTGGGAATCTGACTAGATATGGGGTTTCGAGAAGGAGCTAAAGTTTGCTGAAGACAGGAGATGGAGTGCAATTAGGGGATCTAGCTAGGGTGGGAAATGGAAGTTTAAGAGGGAAGGGACCTGGGTCTAAGGACAGGACTCTAAGAATAGGAAACTGGGAAAGTAAAATTACATGGGACAGGGGACAAAAGTTAGCGGGAAAGAAAAAGTATGTAGGGATCCTGGAATCCAGAGCGCTCACTGGTCACTTTGGTTTCCTGGAGACAGACGATATCCGCATCCAGCTCGTCCAAAATGCGCCCCACGGCCACGGCGGCACAGTTGCTGGGTTCCTGATTTGCCACCCCTTGCAGGGGTCTCCGAATCCCATTGATGTTCCAGCTCACCACGCGCAACATCTTAAAGGGCTGGAACACCTCCCAGCCCGCGCCAACCTAGGCGCGAGCGAACTGCTTCCTGTTCAGAAGTTGGCCAGGCCCGCCTCCCGCGCGCGTTTGCGCAGGCGTTCTCGTGCGTACCACTAAAGCGCCTGACGCACGTCGGGCGGGGGCTTCAACTTCCTCAGCTCTCATTGGCGGGAGGAGGAACTGGGTGGACGCTGAAGGAAGCAAAGCGGAAGCCTAGGGGCAATGAATGGCGAGAGGAGTTTCCAGTTGGGCTCCCGCTCCTTCCGCTCGGACAGCTGAGTCTCAATGCGTTTTTCCTCTACTCAGAAGTCCAAGTGGTGCGTCCGGTTACTTACAAACGGCATTTTGCCACTTTTTAAGCGACGGAACCCTGAGCGGAACTGCTCAGCTGCCAAAGCCCCGCCCTCAGTGCGGCGGACCGCCCACCTAAGTTCACAGATGGCTGCAGCGCTTGCGCCCCAGGAATAGCTGGCGCTAAGTGCTCGCGTTGGACTGGGCAAAGGGAAGTTCATGGTTGGAGGAGGGAGCAGTAAGAGTCGCTCCACTGAGATAAGACTTAGGAGGAGGGCCTTTGGCTTTATTGGGGCAGAGGGGAGGAGGAGGAGGCTGTCTCAAGCCTGCCCTGTAGCTTTTGTCTTGGCTCTTAACATTCTGAAGGATGTAGCCGGACACATCCTTACTCTTGGTTCTGTTTCTCAGATAAGTGAAATCGAAGCCCAGGAAATGTAAGCTCGTGAGCAGCATTGTCTCCGGATGCATCCATGGCTCTTCTGTATATGTTATCTCATTTCATTCTCAAGACAACCCAGTTCGGGACATGGAGGCTAAGTTAGAGACGTCGAATGAATTCATTTCATTCTCACAGTTCACTCTCTCTTACACTGAAGTAGTAGAGCCAGGATTCACACCCTGTCTTAATTAGCTCAATAATTACTTTTCTGAGTGTTTTTACTGACCACACACCTCCCCAGTTAAGTCTTTTCCTCTGGGGCCCCACGGCACCCTATGGTCCATTCTGTCACAGTACTTATAATACACAGCTATCATTGACTTCTATTTCTGCTGCCATTAGAATGCCAGCAACTTGAGAGCAATGACCATGTCTGGTTCATCTTGTTAGCCCCATCCCCTAATACTGGACACAGCATATGTTGGGAAGCAATAGATATTTGTCAGGTGAATGAATGAACAAAGGATAATAGCAAGAGCATCGACAGGTTCATGGCTTGTTTTTGAGAGCACAAAAATTAGAAGTAATGGATATGCCCAATGTCCAGGGAAAAGCATAACGATGCATCTTTAGGTTCCTCACCCAGAATTGCAGCATAATTATTTGTTCCCCAGAATTTAAGTCTTAGAGCCATCATCCTCAATGGTTACAGCAAAGACGCAGTAAACTGCTTTTCCTCCTGGAGGACTTAAAAGGTTACCAGTTGTTGCTATCAGAAAATAGCTCTGTGATTAAAATAAAAATTTGCATGTCCTGAGCTTCTTCATGCTTTGGGAGTTATTGACTCAGGATTGACTCCCATGAGTGCGATAACTAGGACAAAGGAAATGAACATTTTTATTGCTCTTGCTTCATATTGCCAGATTGCTTTCCAGTAAGGGATTATGCCCATTTACACTGAAGATCGATCTGAAACTCAGCACCAGCGAAATCCAGAACTTGCCTGTCTCCATGGCTGGTTTTAATTTCCCCATTCTGCAGTGGCTTGTTAATATTAGTTCTGACCTTTGGGGCAAGGTGAACACATGGTTGGACTGAAGAGAAAAGGCTTCTGGTGGCTCAGGAACGTCTTTGGCAACTACAACAGCTGATATTTCAACAGAGCACATACATCCCCCACTTAACAAGGGTACGTCCTCAGCCTTCTCAGGGAACCAACGAACACCTCCAGGCTTCCTCTTTGATGCCACCCACTGGACCTGCCTTGGGGGTCTGTAAATGCAAGAGAACCGAGTGTTGGATAATTAGCGATGGAAGAAAAAACCTCTAGAATAAAAGGTAGGTGAGAAAGAAGGGAAAGTAGGCAGGAGTTGCACAAATCCACATCCATTCTTCAGGCCCTCTGGAAAGTTTTCTTTGCATAGATGGTTGGTTGTCGTGTGCATTAAAGGGCATGGGAAAGTGGGGGAAAAGATTATATCTATATGTAACCTATTTATCTGTCTGTATATTTTTAAAAGTCCATTCTGGCCTTTATGGGACACTGGCCCCCAGGGCAATTCACTAGCACCTGTGAAAGTCTCTCTAACTTGGTCAAGTCTGGTTTTGAATGAACTGAGTGATTGAGATTATAGCTCTTACCTCCCCACTGATGTGTAAAGTAGGGTTGATTTGCTGTGGCGCTTTGAACAAGCTCTCTTGCTTCTCTGGGCATCAGTAGCTTCCTCAGTAAAATGGAAATCAAAGTCTCTAGCCAACGTTCCTCAGAGGGCTGTCACGATCAAGAAGAGTGGAAAGGCAGAAACCAAAGCTCTTTGGAGACATTTCAGGACTTCCTCGCTCTAAGAGTAGTCATCTTGCTTTTTCTATAGGCTCCACAAGCAATCCCACCCAAAACCCTCCAGCTGCTGTGCGACTATAGTCTGTGGAGAGCCACTTCCATGACTAGGATTCAGTGAGGTTTGGGGCCCAGGCATGAGGCCGAAAATAGTGGAGAGATGGTGGGCCAGGACAGTGGGTGAGAAGGAAGGGGATCCTAGGCTGCTGTCACAGAAGGCCTGACACTCATATACATGCACCTAGCTTGTAAGTGTGTGGTCGATCTCCCCTCACACCTTCACTCTCCACAAATGCATTCATACCCAAACAGTCTGAGAGCTACCAATAGGGAGACCCCATTCGTGACTTTATTATCCATCAGCACTGTCATATGCTGCTTTACATGGTATTCTCCCCCGATACACATGCCCTATACTTTGGGAGGGGTATGGGGTCAGGATCTGGGGGCCTTGGGAAATCACATTGTAATCTTTTCTTCCCTAGAGATAGCCCCATTTTAGAATTTTAGACCAAGAGCTGCAGGTCAGAGCTTGATCTTGAATGAGAATCTGGTACTGACTGAACCCTTTCTCTGCCACGAGTTCATTGGCCCTTTTCAGAGAGGACTTCATTCTTTTATCTGTTTCTGTCCCATTCAAGGTAGAGAAACCTTTCTGGATGCCACCTCCTACCTCAGACAAATTAGTTCTCCCATCCAATTCCCTGCACAGCTCTCTGTTATAATATTTACCTTGTTGAACTAGGATTAGTTGTCCACAAGTTCATCTCATCTAGGGCAGAGAGATGTAGACTGCACAAACACAATAAGCAAGTGTCTTCTCTGTCCTCTGTGCCAGGGCCTGAGTTGGACACTGGAAACACAAATTACAGATCACTGAGATCTAGTCTCCATACTCAAGGAGTTCACAGTCTAGTGGGGAAGCAGACCAGGAAAATACTGGTGGATACTTGCTCAGATAGGAGCATGTGGGCAATATAAGAACCAAATACAAGGCCTGTCCCAAGGATACAGGGGTCACTTCCCAGAGGAAGTGAACATCAAACCAGACCTTGAAAAGTGGATCAGATTTTGTTGGGAATAGAAGGAGGAAAATGGCATTTCAGGCTGAGCAAAGGCCAAAAAACAGGAAAATACACCATGTATTTTGGGGCCCAGTGAGTCAGCCAGTGCAGTTTAAGGATGATCTAAGGAGAGATATGGCTGGACAGATAGGCTGAAGCTTGATTGAAAAGTCTTGAGTGCCAAGCTGAGGTCTTTCCATAAAGCTTGTTTTGGTCTCCTGCTTCTGGGATCAGAATTGGTAACAGTAGTGAGGAATCTCATAGCTAATTCCAGGCAATTTTAAGTTAGGCTTTCAAGCCTGGACCCCAGGTTTACCCTTTAAGACTTTGTCAAAAGCCTGCCAGCTTCTTATCTCAGATTTCCTGCTGCTAAAATTATCCTTCTGCCTGTTGGCAGGGCCATGAGGACAAAATTGTAAACATAAAAGAGATGTTCATGTGACCAGCTAGATTACCTTGAACATGCCACTTCCCCTCCCCAGACCTCAGTTTCCCTGTAAGGCTAACAAGGATGTTTGCAAGGATCAAATAAGATAAGGAATATGTTGTTGCTTTGTGGGCAATGGAAAACATACAGGGAAAGGGTTATAATTAAGATTATTAATATTAACAGATTTATACCAGTTAGGAAATTTATTAGAATTAAAAGAGTTGTATCTCTTACAAAGTCTAGTTCTGAGACTCTAGAGGTTCTGAGCTAACCTGTAAGACCACATTCTTAGATCAGGCTTGTTTGATTAATTAAAGAAAAGCCCTGGCCTGGGAGAAATTAGGTCCCTAGTGTTCTATTCCTGACTTGGCCACTGATTTACTACATGACCTTAGGAAAATATTTCTAGACCTCAGTTTTCTTACCTGAGAGGGTGAGATGAAATGATCTTGCAAGTCTTTACACAAAATCAAAAGAGTAAAACCAAATTCATCCTTCTAATTGATTTGCAGGAGCTCTTTGTGTATTATAAATGTTAACCCTTTCCCATAATATTGTAAGTTTCCTTAACTGAGAGTTTTCTGTATGGTCAGCATTATATTAGAAGTTTCAGATTAGTCAAGGAGGTGTCTGATCATTTACCTCCCAAAGGGAGTAACAGTGTTAGATAATATATTTTTAACATTTCACAGATTGCTTTACATTTTTTAACACATTGAATCTTCAACAGTCCTAAGGAGGGTAGGTACTCCTATCATTCCCATGTTCCAGATAAGAAAACTGAAGCACTGAAAAGTTTAGTCTTCTGCTCATTGCCTCATAGCCAACAAGGGGCAGAGGTAGGATTCCACTCAAGAAATATTGCTCCAGAGCCTATTGCTCTTAACCATCATGATCTGCTATCTCAGTTGATTCATTTAGATAGGTGGGCTCTGGAATGTATTAAAAATTTGGTATGATTTATACACAACAACTGGAGGGAATCTGACCCTTGTGTAGACTACGGCTTGCAAATGTATTTTAGGGAACTTCTTAAAAGGCAAAGTGGAACTGAGAGCATTTGAGGGCAGGGATTGGAAATTTCTGTCCCCAAGAGATTGCCCTTGTGTAGCCCAGCTCAGTGGAAGAAAGTTGAGCTTCTTCATAGCCAATCGTTGGAGGTTCATTGGGGGTGGGAAGGTTGCAAAAGAGTGAAGTAAGAGGACACTTGTGCATCTTCGAGGCAAGCTGTGCAGTTCTATGAGTTATACACATAAAAGCCTCAAAACAACGGGTCAGGGGAGCGGGAGAGGGCAGGTGAGAGTGAGTCATCTGGGCTGGATGACTCTGGCCTATGGACTTGTCCTACTTTGAGGCCATTGCTCTCTGTTCCCTGCTGCAGCCTCCACCCTCCTAAATCTCCATCCTAATAGCTTGGCATGAGGAACTTTAGTGAAATTTTCTATCAGTTCATGATGCCAGTGTCATTCTCCTTAGGGCATCTGATGGTGGCTAACAGCCATGTGGGCAGAGCTTACCATTCCCCCACCTCCAGCCCCAGGCAATGGCTGCACTCTTCCAAAGGTGTCAGTTTACTCCTATTTATTTAGCCCTTGGCTGGAGAGAGTAGAAAGATGATCGGATAGTGCCCATCTCTTCAAGAGTGCTCCAGGCAGCACATTTCAGGTGGGAGAGGCCCTGTGGCAAGGAAGGCAGCAGAATCCAGAGAAGACAAGGGATGCAATGCCATTTTGGGTCGGGGAAGCAGAGAAGTAGTGGACCTTCCATGTCCAGTTTGGGCCTCTAATTGCCAGCTCAAAACACTGCATTCCCCAGTAGGGACTTTGTGTTTGTGTTTTTGTCCTTGGGAACCTTGCATTTCTGATGTGAATCTTGGTTTCTGGGTTGGAGCTTGACATTCTACTTGGGCCCATTTTTTTATTTCAAAGCTGGGAAAGCCGCTGAGACCTACCTCCATCACCTTTGCCTCTATACCCCACACAGGCTGTAAGCACATGATCTTTGGTCTTTTATTTGCATACTCTATTAGTCTTGTCTTCATTGGAGGGAAGTGACTGGTCAGACCTGGGCTGTGTTGCTGGCTGCCTTCCTTGTTGGGCTCCAACTTACCTCCTATGTACACAGCCCTTGGAGTTCAGAGGCCTCTCCTGACCTCTGCCCAACCTCTCGCCCTCTGCACCCAATACCCCACTAGTACATACAGGAGCAGAGGCAGGCTAGGACCAGAGGAAAGAAGAGAGGGGACTGAAGACAGACTTTGAGAGGGCTCAGAAACCCAGTACACCCCCTGTCCCAGCCCTGTCCACCTGCTGCTGTGGCCACAGCGAGAGAAAAGACAGCTAGTAAGATAGGAAGTGAGGCCAGGTACCTTGTGGGCAGTGATGTCATTCGGTGCGACTCCTAAGATGTCTCCAGAGATGGGAGAGCTCACCCAAACCAGGTTGCAGAAGATCTGGATTCCACACAGCAGCGGCAGCAGCAGGCTGCAACGGAGAAGGGGCTGTAAGTGGGGTTTGCTTCCGTGGGTTTAAAGGTGGTGGTGGTAGAGTGGGTGTAGAAGAGCAAAGGATGCACCTCCCCTTGCCATCCACTCCTACCTCAACCTAAAAGTTGGAATAGATGAACAACTGGATGAAATAGAGGCTAGTGTCAAAAACGTGAGGAAAAGAATGAGAGAGAAGACAGGCGGAAAGAGAGATGAAGACAAAGGAGGATTAGGTTAAGACCATCTTAATCAGAGGGATCTTTAGGAACTTTTCCTTTCTTATGCAGAGCTTGTTTGGAATGCTTCTTGTTTGGAATTTAAGATTTCTAGTTTAGGACTGTTCAGTGATAGCCTAGTATGTTTCATTTTGGTGACTTCTGTGAAGTGTCTGGGAGTTGGTCTTGCCTGACTGATAGTGCCTGGGTGAAATAAGGTGATGGCTCCTGGCATCATCTTTCAGGGGACAGGTGCTGGGTACACAACAGTGCCATGTCACTGGTCAGTATTGCTCCTCTCCTTTCTCAGGCCTTTTCTGAGTCTATACCTGCCTAGGTTGGGAAACACTTAATGTCCTGTCTCCAGTGTTGCCTTCCTGGCACATATGGACTTCCTTGCTGCTCTGGAAATTTGAGAGAGGCAGTCTCTCAGGGCCAGCCCACTGGTGTGGTGCTCACTTTGGAAATTTAAGAAAGATCAAGGGCAAAACAAAACCTGTACATATTTAAAACAAAATCTGGAGTGTACCATTTCCCATAGATAACAGGCGACAGTGGTGGACCAAGGTGCATCCAGCCCAGGGATTGTGGCCTGAGTGGCCATAAGGTGGGTTAAGATAAGGCAGCTGTGGACTGTGGGACTCAGACACCCCAAAGGCCAGCTAACCAAGTTTCCAGTCTGCTAATGCTAGAGGAGGCCCAGGCTTAGGGATATTGGGGGTAGCAGTAGTTGCTTAGAGGATCTAGGAGCATATAGGATGTTAAATATAGTTATAATATACAGGAGGTAGGGTGTGGGTGGAGGAAGAGAGAGAAAAAAGACTAGGCTCCTATTCTCTCTCTTTCTTATCTCCACCAGCTCTCTCACTCACTCATCTGGAGATCTAGGAGCCTGGAGACTGAGAGGTACCCTCGCCCAGCCAGCCACTCTTGGCCTTTTCCAAGGGGCTGTTTAGTTGACAAACAAGCAAGCCATTCTCTGCATACACGGGTCCTCCAGAGCTAGAATGCTTATAGTCCTGGGAACTGTGTCTTTCAAGTTGGAGAGATAATATACATAAATCACCTAATATAGTCTCTATCAAATAGAAGGTGAAAAATAAATATGTGCTTACTTTTGTTTGGAGTGTCACTTTCCTCAGCTATAAAACAGGATTAATGCCTGCAACCCAGTGTTATTGGGAGTAATTCACTGATTCAGAGGTTCTGGATCCAGACTGCCTAGGTTTGAGTTCCAGCTCTATCTCCCCCTGTGTCTGTGACCTTGGACAACTCTCTTAACCTCTCTTGGCTTCTGTTTCCTCACTTGTAAAAGGAAGTTAATAACAGTGTAGTTGTGAAGATTAAATGAACTGGAGCATGGGATGTGCTTAGAAGAGTGTCCAGCACATAGTACATACGCAGTAATTGTTAATTATCCTAATTATTATTGTTCTTGTTATATAAACAAGAAAGCGGGTGTGTGGTCTTATTTACCATCATATCCTCAACATCAGGCCCTGATCCTGGCTCATAGTAGATGCTCAGTAAATGGTCACTCTGTGCTACTTCCACTCTACCACTCACCATAGCCAAGAATGGGGCTCTGTGTGTACAAGACAGTCACTCATTAATATTTGACTAAATTTTATCAGACCATAGATGCAAAAAACTTAGATAGTGGTTGCCAAGTCTGGACAATGTCTGGTTCACTTCTTGCTAGGGAGGCCAGTCTATTGGTCCCTGTAAGGTCTGAATCACCTTTTTCTTGGAGCATCCTCTCTAGCAGACACACAGTTACTTAATGTTATTTTGAAGATTAAATACATTAACATGTAAAGTACTTGAACAGCTGTGCATATTCTTTTCTCATCCAACATTATGTTTATGCGAACCACCCATTTTATCGTTGCAAGCAGTTGTAGTTTGTTTATTCCCCTTGTGAATATCCCACAGTTTATCCATCTTACTATTGTTGAGCATTTGGTTAGTTTCTAATTTTTGATTATGAAGAATAATCCAATGGGCATTCTTGTACCTTTATCCTGGTAGAGCAAGTCCCTTCATCTTGTCCTTCTTATGGAGTGTCTTGGCTATTCTTGGTCCAATGCCCTTCTCCATAAATTTTGGAATCAGCTTTCCAAGTTACACACATATACAAACACACACACACACACACACACACACACACACAGAGAGAGAGAGAGGGAGAGAGAGAGAGAGAACTTTTGGGATTTTGATGGAAATTACATTCAATCTGTAAATCAGTCAATTTGAGGAGAGTTGCCATCTTTGTGACATTGAGTCTTCCCTAAACACGGTATATCACTCCATATATTCAGACTTTTTCATGTTGAGTGAAGTTTTATAATTTAATCTATAAAAGGTTTGCATGCCATTGTAAGATTTTTTTGGCTTATTTTTTGTTGCTATCTTAAACAGTACCTTTTTAGAAAATTAAATTTTATAGCAGTATGTTGCTAATGTATACAACTGTATTTGTTTTTCATGTAATGAATTTGTAACTAGCAAACCTGCTAAACTTTCTTATGAGTTTTGATAATTTGTATGTAAATGACAGCTTTCATTTTCCCCACAACCCTCATTTTTATCTTTCTTATATTATTACACTGCTAAGACCTCCCGCCTTTAATATACACACACGAGATGTGCAGTACACGTTGAAAAGAAATGTTAATAATGTATATTCTTATGCTGATCCCGATTTTAAGTTTCACCATTGAGCAAATTTGCTGTAGTTTTTTTGGTAGATATCATTTAATAGGTTAAAGACGTTCCTGTTTATTCTGAGTTTGCCAATACAATTTTTAAAAGATGAATGAATATTGAATTTTATTAAACATGTTTTCTGTATTCACTGAAATGACATTAATTTTCTATTTTAACCCATTAATGTGGTACAATACATTAGAGTTTTTCTTGTGTTGAAATAATCTTGCAGTCCTGGGATAAATAAAAACTTCTGAATTTCTTTCACTAATTTTTTGTTTAGGATTTTAGCATTTTGCTCAGGAAAGAGATTGGCCTGTGATTTTTCCAAGAGTGTCAAGATTACACTAACCTCATAAAATCAGGTGGGAACTATTTCCTTTCATTCTGTCCTCTGACAGAGGTTGTCTGCAGAACTAGCCATTCCTCAAATATTTTACCTGGCAGCATTTCCAGGTAAAATATCTGGACCTGGTGTCTCCTTTAACATTTTAACTGATACAATCTCTTTTATCAGTTATAGAGTCCTTTCAGTTTGCTATTTCCACTAAAGTTAGCTTTCTTAAGCTTTCCTAAGTTATGGTTTTCTATGAATTTTTCTACTTCACATAGTTTTCAAATTTATTTTGTGTAAAGTTCTTATCTTTGTATCTTTTTTATCTCTGTTGCATTTGTAGTTATAGCTTCTCTTTCATTATAATATTATTTATTTGCACCTTTTTTCTCTTGATCAATCTTGCTATAAGTTTGACACTTTTATAATTCTAAAATAATCAACTTTTGACTTTTTGATCCTTTTTTATCTTTATTTTCTATTTAACTATTTTTTCATCATTATTCTGTTTCTCCTACTTTCTTTGGATTTATTCTGTTGTTCTTTTTTAACTCATAGAGTTGCCTGCTGCTCAGCTCATTCATTTTCAGACTTTCTTCTTTTCTAATTTAAGTGTCCAATGAGATAATTGGCCTACTAAACAGGGCTGATATTCCACAGATTCACAATCGTATGGCCATATGAATTTTCAGAATATTTCTAGTCCATTTTATAAATAGGCACTCTCCCAGGCTTTTTTAGTCTCTCCAACACTTACCCAGTTACCCTGGCCACCTCAATTCCTTTCCCAGGATAGCCAGGACCTACTGATTATCATCTAGCAACTAAAGGATTAATGCCTACCACAGCAGGAGGCCTCCAGTACTTGGTGCCAGCCCTTGGACCAGCTTCTGTTTTGATAGATCAGTGCTCTTGTCATTTCTATTTTAATTCCATTCTGGTCAGAGAACAAACTTTGTATTATTTCAGTTCTTTGAAATCTGTTGAGACTTGCTTTATGGACCAACTTATGGACAATCTGGTAAATGTTCCAAGAGCACTTGAAAAGAATGTGCGTTTTACAGTTGTGTTTAGTGTACTATATACCTCGATTAAGTTGTGTTTGTTAATCTGGCTCAAATGTTCTATATTCTTCTGGGGTTTTGGCTGCCTGTTGATATGGAAAATTTGTTAATGTTTCCTTGTAATTCTGTCAATCTTGAAAGTTCGTAGTTACAAACAAATTTAGAATTGCTATATCTTCCTTGTGAATTGAATATTTTATCACCATGTAAGGAAATTATTAACTCTGGTAATACCTGGTAATTTGGTATCATTGATGTTTTTGCCCTATAATCAATCTTTTTTCTCATATTAATATACCTACATTAGCTTTATTTAGCTTAATATTTGCCTGGTATGTGTTTTCCTACATTTAAAAAATTGTTTTTGATAGAGATATAATTCACATACCATAAAATTCACCATTTTGAAGTATACAGTGGTTTTGAGTATATTCACATAGTTGTGTAACCATCACCACTAATTCCAGGACATTTTCTTTATGCCAAAAAGGAATTCCATACTCTAGACTCACTCCAGATGACCCTCTCCCCTTAGCCCCTGGCAACCACTAATCTACTTTCAGTCTCAATGAATTTGCCTATTCTGGACATTTTATATAAGGGGAATCATACAATATGTGGCCTTTTGTATCTGGCTCGTTTCTTTGGGCATGTTTTCAAGGTTAATCCATGTTGTAGCATGCAAAGTCACAAAGATATATGCCTAGGCTTTTTTCTAAGAGTTTTATAGTCTTGGCTCTTACATTTAGGTTTTTCAATTTATTCTGAGTTAATATTTGCATGTGGTGTGAGATGGGAATCCAGCTTCGTTCTTTTGCATGTGGCTATCCAGTTGTCCTAGCAGCATTTTTTGAAAAGACTCTTCTTTCCCCTACTTAATTGTCTTGGCACCCTTGATGAAAATCAGGTGACTATAAGTTGAAGGGTTTACTTCTGGGCTCTCAGTTCTATTCCATTTGTTTATATGTATCTCTACCCTTATACCAGTACCACACATTCTTGATTATTGTAGTTTAATTGTAATTTTGAAATTGGGAAGTATGTCTTCTAATTTTGGTCTTTTTCAGATTGTTTTTATGATTGTTTTGGCTATTCTAGGTCCTTTGCATTTCCATATAAATTTTAAGACCAATTTATTAATTTCTGCAAAGAATTAAGCTGAAACTTTGACAGAAGCTGCATTTAATCTATAGATTAGTTAGGGAATATTACCATCTTAACAATAATAAGTTTTAGGTCCCTGAACATGAGATGTTGTTGCATTTACTTAGGTCTTTAATTATATTCACCAATGTTTTGCAGTTTTCAGAGTGTTTTACATTTTTTAAAGTGTTCTTTTAAGCATTTTATTGTTTTGATGCTATTGTAAATAAAATTGTTTTACTTAATTTCATTTTGTTTGCTCATGGCTACTTTATAGAAATGTAATTGATTTTTATATATTGATCTTATATTCTGCAACATTGCTGGACTCATTTATTAGGTCCAATGGTGTTTTTTAGTGCATTCCTTGGGATTTTCTATATACAAGATTATGTTATCTGCAAATAGAAATAATTTCATCTCTTCCTTTCCAATCCAGATGCCTTTTATTTTCTTTTTCTTACCTAATTACCTTGGCTATAACCTCTACTAGAATGTTGAAAAGATGAGATGAAAACAGACATCCTTCTGTTGTTACTGATCTTGGCAGGCGGCATGGGAGAAACTATTCAATCTTTCACCATTAAGTGTGATATTCACTGTGGGTTTTTCATTGGTGTCTTTTATTAGGTTTAGGGCCTTTCCTTCTAGTTTTAATTTGTTGTTGGTTTTATCATGAAGGGGTATTTAATTTCCCAAATGCTTTATCTGTGCCTATTATGATGATCATTTGGTTTTTTTGTCCTTAATTCTATTGATGTGATCTGTTGCATTAATTGATTTTCAAAGGTTAAATCAAGCTTGCATTCCTATAATAAATCTAACTTGATTGTGATGTAAAAAGTATAAGTATAATATATACATATATATAATGTATACATATAAATCCTTTTATACATTCCTGGGTTCAGTTTGCTAGTGTTTTGTGGGGATTTTTACATCCATATTCACAACAGCTATTGGTCTATAATTTTCTTTTCTTCTAATATATGTGCCTAACTTTGGTAGCACGGAAATACTGGCCTCATAGAATGAGTTGGGAAGTGCTTCTTCCTCTTCTACTTTTTGAAAGAGCTTTTGAAGAATCGTATTATTCTTTAAATGTTTGTAGAATTCACCAGTGAAACCATCTAATCCTGGACTTTTCTTTCTGGCAAGGTTTTTCATTACTTATTCAACCCCTTGTTATAGATCTATTTAGATTTCATTTCTTTTTTAGTCAGTTTTGAGAGTTTGTATCATTCTAATAATTTATCTATTTCACCTAAGGCATTTATTGTGTTGGCATACAGTTTATGATTGTTCATAATATTCCCTTATAATTCTTTTTATTTTCATAAAGTCAGTAGTAATGTCTCCTCTTTTTTTCCTGAATTTATTAATTTGAGTTTTCTCTTTTTTTTCTTGGTCAGTCTCACTAAAGGTTTGTCAAGTTTATTAATTTTTTCAAATAACCAACTTTTGATTTTGTTGATTTTTTTCTAATGTTTTCCTAGTCTCTGTTTTATTATTTTCACCTCTAATCCTTATTATATCCTTCTTCTGTTTCCTTTAGGTTCCCATATTTGTGAATTTCCCAAAGTTCTCTCTGTTATTAATTTTTTATTTTACTCCATTATGATTGGAGAACATACTTTATATGATTTCCATTCTTCCAAATTTATTGAAGCTTCTTTTATGGCCTAGAATATTGTCTCTCTTGGAGCATGTTTGATGTACACTTTGGAAAAATGTATAGTCTGCTGTTTGGAGATGGAGTGTTTTACAGATGTTTGTTATTACTACTTTGTGTTGAAGTCCTCTATTTCCCTGTTGTTGATCTTCTATGTAGTTGTTCTATCCATTATTGAAAGAGTGGTCTTGAAGTTTCCAACTATTGTCAGTGGATTGTCTATTTCTCCCTTCAATTCTGCCAGTTTTGCTTCATGTATTTGGCAGCTCTGTTGTTTAGGCATATACGTTTATACTTGTGATATATTCATTATGGATTGACCCTTTTGTCATTATTGAATGTCCCTATATATCTCTAGTAATGTTTTTGAACATCCATTTTGTCTCATATTAGTATGGTCACTCCAAATTTCTTGTGGTTGTTGTTTGCATGATGTATTACTTACGTTATTTTACTTTTAATCTATTTGCTTCTTTCTCTTTTTTCTTCTTTCTTTTTTAGAATAGAGATGGAGTCTCACTATGTTGCCCAGGCTGGTCTCAAACTTCTGGACTCAAGGGATCCTCCCACCTTGGTTTCCCAAAGTGCTCGGATTATAGGCGTGAGCCACCAGGCCTGCCTTGTATCTTTCAGTCTAAAACCTATCTTCTGTAGGCAGCATGCAGTTGGATCTTGTTTGTTTGTATTCAGTTAGATATTCTCTACCTTTTGATTGGGTTGATTAATCTGTTCTGATTTAAAATCATTATTGATATAGTTGGTTTAAATATGCAGTTTTATTTTTCCATAGAGCTCATGTCTTTTTCTCTCTATTCTTCCTTTACTGCTTTCTTTTGCATTAAATGAATTATTCTAGTTTAACTTTTTAATTCATTTGATCATTTTTTATTATATATTTTTTAGGTATATTCTTCGTGGTTGTTCTAGGGCTTTTCACATACATCATACATCAGTGTGCTTCAGATTTGTACTAATTTAATTTCAATGAGATATAAAAATTTTACTCATATATAGCTCTCTTTCACCTTCCTTTTTGAGCTATTATAATATATATATTATATCTGTATATGCTAAAAACTAAATAATACATCATTATAAGTATTATTTTATATAATTTTATGTTTTAAGGAAGCTGAGAAAATTAAGGAGAACATGTATGTATTTATTATTTTCTATTATTTTCATTTGTTCCTGTGGGTTTGAATTACCTTCTGGTATCATTTCCTTATTTCTATATAACTCTTTGCTTTGTGACTTGGCTAGGCTATTTTTAAAGTATGTTTCCCTGCAGTGTGAACCCTTCAGTGTTGCTTCTTGGAGTGCATAGTTTTTGGCTTGCAGGTAATTTGGGCTTTCTTTGACTTTTTCCCAGTCTCTCTATTAAGCTGTCAGCCCACATGGGGGTATTACACTCTAGGCTCCACTAATTACTAGCTGAATGCTGTATTTTGTTTTTGTTTTTTGTTTGTTTGTTTGTTTGGCAGTGTCCTGAAGCATGCATTGCCCAGCAGCCTTATCTAATTAAACTCTAGCAGGAGTAGTTTGTGAAGTAAGTCTTGGAGGTTTCTTCATACCCCAGAAGGGCTCTTCTTACCTGTCCCTCTCTCTCTTGTTCTCTCTGATGAACAAGCTGGCCTATGTTGCTGTTAGTTAAGTGAACTTGTAGTTTTTGAGAACATCCTTGGGCTTGAGCTTCTTTGTACTATGTTAAAAATAAAGTTAGTTTTGGGGGGAGAGTTTCAGAGCTCTCTCATCTTATGAATTTCTTCTCTCCATGGGTATACTGTCTGAGCACTGTTCTGGGTGCTGGGCGAGACAGCAGCTTCTGGTCTTAGTTTGCCTATCCTGGTGTGGAACCTACCCTGTGAGCAAGATGGAATGAGGGTAATCAGGACCTCAGTATTCTTAGCCTATTGCACCTGGTATATAGCCTCCATTCTATGAGTAAAAACTGGGAGGAGGAAGGGATCCTCCAACCTCTTAACCACACTTGCCAGGAATTTAGCCTCTGCAATTCTGAGCTGAAGGGAATGCTAAATGCTAGCTCTCTGCTCCTTCCAGTAAGATGCCAAAGTATTGATGGGACATTCTCTCCAAGACGAAAGGGAGCTTCATCTTGGCTATACACACCTTAAGTGGAGCTTCTATCAAGCTAAGCTTGGAGCCAGTAGTGAGGGGACAGTAGTAAGGTCGGGAACAGTAGCATGGCACATGTATCAAAGACTGTGTTCTTACCACATTTCAGTAGATTTTCTTGAATAAAAATATCTTCATGTACTGTATTCCATTAAGACAATTTCCAGAGATTTTAAAAGGTTGTTGTGTTGTAATTTTGCCAGCTGAGCTTGTTTTATTAGAGAATGGGTCTTTAGAGCTCCTCATGCTGTCATGCCAGAAATGAAAGTCTCAAGATTGTCTTTGTGTGTTGATCTTGTATCTTGCAGCCTTGATGAACTCACTTGTTAGTTCGAGGAATTTCTGTAGTTTAGGGGGATATTTCTATGTAGACAATCATGACATTTGCAAATAGGGATTTTTTAAAAATTATTTTCCAAACCGTATGCCTTTTATTTCCTTTTATTGCCTTATTGCAGTGGTTAGAACTTCTAGTACTATGTCAAAAGAGTGGAGAAGGTGGAAATCCTTACATTAGTCCTGATGTTAGGGGGAAAGCATTTAGTCTTTCACTTTTAAGTATAATGTTGGTGATAGTTTTTGTTTGCTTTATAGAAGTTTCTTATCAAGTTGAACTTAAACAAATTTACAAGAAAAAAACAACCCTATTAAAAAGTGGGCAAAGGACATGAACAGACACTTTTCAAAAGAAGACACACATACAGCCAACAAGCATATGAAAAAATGCTCAACATCACTGATCATTAGGGAAATGCAAATCAAAGCCACAGTGAGATACCATCTCACACCAGTCAGAATGGCTATCATAAAAAAGTCAAAAAATAACAGATACTGGTGAGATTGCAGAAGAAAGTGAATGTTTATACACTGCTGGTGGGAATGTAAATTAGCTCAACCATGTGGAAAGCAGTGTAGTGATTCATCAAAGAGCTAAAAACAGAACTACCATTCAACCCAGCAATCCCATTACTGGGTATATACCCAAGGGGATATAAATCGTTCTATTATAAAGACACATGCAGACATATGTTCATTGCAGCACTATTCACAATACCAAAGACATGGAATCAACCTAAATGTCCATCAGTGATAGACTGGATAAAGAAAATGTAGTATGTGTATGCCGTGGAATACTATGCAGCCATAAAAAAGAATGACATCATGTCCTTTGCAGGGACATGGATGCTGGAGGCCATTATACTTAGCAACCTAAAAGGAACAGAAAACCAAATACTGCATGTTCTCCCTTGTAAGTGGGAGCTAAATGATGAGAACACATGGACATAGAGGGGAACAACACACATTTGAGACCTACCTGAGGGTGGAGGGTGGGAGAAGGGAAAAGATCAGGAAGAATAACTAATGGGTGCTAGTTAATAGGTAATAGGTACACCTGGGTGACAAAATAATCTGTACAACAAACTCTTGTGACATTAATTTATCTCACTAAGAAACTTGCACATGTACCTCTGAACTTAAAATAAAAAATAAAAATATAAAATCTTAAGCTTAACCATTCAGAAACCACCAACTAACCTCTAACTATGGACTTTCTACTTTAAGCAATCAAATATTTATTTCGTCTTTCTTCTGAGAACACCTTATAAAAGTTTTCTCTTGATCCCCCTCAGTGGAGCCCTGAACTGCTTGTGTATTGTGCTTCCCAATTCACAAATTGCTGAATGCTCAAACTCATTAAAATTATTTAAAGAAAGGAGTGCCTATCAAGTTTAGGTAATTCATCTCTATTCCTAACTTGCTGAAAGTTTTTATCATTAATAGGTTTTATGAAGTGCTTTGTCAGTATGTATTTATTTTTCTTCTTTAGTTTGTTGATAGGGTGGATTACATTAATTGATTTTTTGAATTTTATTCTAGTCTTGCATACCTGTACTAAATCCCACTTAATCATTGCATATACAGTCATCCCTCAGTATCTGCAGAGGATTGGTTCTAGGAACCCCTGCAGATACCAAAATCCATGAATGCTCAAGTCCCTTTTATAAAATGGCCTAGTGTTTGCATATAACTTACACATATCCTCTCATTTACTTTAAATCATCTGTAGATTATACCTAACACAATGTAAATGCTATGTAAATGGTTGTTATACTGTATTGCTTTTTATTTGTAGTGTTTTATTCTTGTTATTTTTATTGTTTTTAAAAGTATTTTCTATCTGCTGTTGGTTGAATCTGCAGATGTGGAACCCACAGATATGGAGGACTGACTGTAATTATTTTCATGTAATGTTGGATTCTGTCTGCCAATATTTTGTTGAGGATTTTTTCATCTAAGTTTATGACAGAGTGGACTATAGAGTTTTTGGGTTTTTGGTAATTCATTTGTCTGGTTTTGATATCAGGGTAATTCTGGCCTCATAAAATTAGTTGAAAATATTCCCTCCTCTTCTTATTTCTTTGAAAATGTTGTTTAAAATTTGCATTAATTCTTCTTTAAAAGTGTTACAGACTTTTGAAGTAAACACATTTGGGTCTGGAGATTTCTATTTCTGGAGATTTTATGTTGAACTAAATTATTTTAATGTTTATAGGATTATTCGAGTGCCTGTTTTATTTTTGGTTGACTTGTGAGAGGCTGTGGTTTTCAAGGAATTGATCCATATATTCTAAATAGATAAATTTACAAGTGTAAAGTTGTTTGTAGTAGTTAAGTATTAAATAGCTTCTGGCATCCAGTGCTTTCCGCACGAGATAAGCAAATTTCAGATGCTTTCTCTCTCTCTGAAAGTGCCTGACTCTTCAGATTTCAAGGTAGTAGTTTTCTCTATGGCCTCAGTTCTCTAATGGGTCCCAGAAAAGTCATTGATTTTCAGTGTGACCCAATTTTTCTTATTGTAAAGATGAGAATAAGAACTCCCAAGCTCTTGGAACTGAAACTAGAAGTTCCTTGCTTAGTTGTTTTATAAACCCATGAAATAGACATTTTTATTGTTGTTTCTCAAGTCAGTGTTGGCTTAGTTTGACACACATGTTTACCATTTTACTTGCTCACCATTTCTTCTTGTCTCTTAGCCCTTTCTTTTGGTACTATTTTTCTTCTGTCTGAGGTACATTCCATAGAACCCTTATTGAGGGTCTGTTGGTGATAAATTCTCTTAGAGTTGTTTGCATGAAAATGTGTTTATGGCATCCTCATTCTTGAAGAGACTTATTTCTGAGTATACAATTCTGGGTTAAAAGTTATTTTCTCATAGAACTTCAGTAATATTATTTCACTATCTCTGGTTTTCATTATTGTTGTTGAGAAGTCAACTGCGAATCTAATTGTTACTCATTAGGTAAACTGTCTTTTATCTTTGATTGCTTTTTAAGATCTATTCAGCTTTAGTGTTCTGAAATTTTATTATGATTTTTCTAAATGTTGCTTGTTTTTTTTTGTTTGTTTGTTTTGTTTAAAGTTGGGCTTCCCTAACTTGAGGACTGGTATCTTTCATCAATTCTTTTCTTTCTGGAACTGTAATTAAACCCATGGTAGACTTTATCATTCTAGCCATGTGTTTTAATCTCTATTTTATATTTCCATATCTTGTTATTCCTACAGTACTTTCTATATAATTTCTTCAGATTTATTTTCCAGTTCATTAATTATCTCATCACCTCTGTTTAATTTGCTGTTTAACCCTCATACATTGAGTTTTTAATTTTAATGCTCTCATTTCTAATTTCTAGAAGCTGTATTTGATTCTTTTAAAAATTCATGTAGTCTTTCTTTGATAGTCTCACATTTCGTTGACATACTGTTGATACCTTCTTCATTTCTTTAAACATACAACCAATGCTTATTTCACAGTATAAATCAGATAATTCCAATTATAGCTTTTGCAATTCTGATTCTTTGGTTTGTTTCTGTGGATTCTTATTCATACAGGTTTTTCGTGTGTGTGTGTGTGTGTGTGTGTGTGTGTGTGTGTGTGTGTGTGTTGGCTTTTTTTCTTCCTACACGGGTAATGTACATCCCAGCCCCAAACCCACATAAATGCAGGACTGGGCTAGGAAATCTCAGGAACTGTTCACTCTTTTGTTTCCCTCCACGATTGAGCCAAGGTTGAGACAGTCTCAGTTAGGTGCTTCTTCTTCACCCGCTGATTACGTCACCTTTGTCTGGTCCACACTTTAGTCAGGCTCTCAGATCCAACTTCCTACTTTGAGCCCAAAGAGTTTTGTTTACTATCTTCTATACGTGCTATCTCTTAAAGCCCAAGTTTTAAGCCAGAAATGTGTCAATCCTTTGACAATGGCCCAGAGAAGAAACATTGTTTTTTACTTTGCCACTCAATAAACACACACGTTTGTGTGTGTGTGTGTGTGTGTGTATGTTAAATCAAAAAATATGCTTTTTATGATCCACTGTATTATTGTGTCAACTACTGTGTAATAAATTAACCTCAAAACGTAGTGGCTTAAAACAGCAAACATCTATTTTGTCTGTTTCTGTGGGTCAGAGATCAGTGCACAGCTCAGCTGGGTCCTCTGGCTCAGTATCTCTAATAAGGCTACAATCAAGGTATTGGCTGAAGCTTTGGTCATCTCAAGGTTCTACTGGGTAGGAGTGAGTGGATAGGGATCCACTTCCAACTTACTCACAAGGTTGTTGGCAAGATTCAGTTCCTCATAACATATTGGAATGAGGTCCTTAGTTTCTCACTAGCTCTTGACCAGAGATCATCCTCAACTTCTTGCCATGTGGGTCTCTCCCTAGGGAAGCTCACAACATGACAGCTGGCTTCCAACAGAGCAAGTCAATGAGAGAGCCAAAGAGGACCAACAAAATGGACGGCCAGTCTTTTTGTGATAAAATCTCAGGAGTGATATCCCATCACTTTTGCCTTATTTTATGGGTTAAAAACAAGTCACTAGATTCAGCCCACACTCAAAAGTAGGTGACTACACAATGTCATGAATAACAAGAGGTATGGATCATTAAGGGTGATATTGTATGCTGCCTATTGCACCCACTGAATTGATTTCATGTTTGTGAAACACTGCTCCAGGCTACCAGGGTAAACATGGATTTTAGTGCTTTTTTATCTCTTTAGATCAGTAATTATTTTCTCATTCCTGGCCTCTGAGGATTTCTGTTGGTTTCACACCAGCTCAGCCATGCTTTATTTGTTTTAAATCCATTATTTTTAGGTGTTTTGTATTTGGAAGGACTCTTTACAAATATAGCCTAAAATATCACCAGAAATAGAAATCTCTCTTCTATATTCTACCATATACAACTTGAGTAAGATACCGTACTACTTAAAATTACCTGAAAGTTTACAGAAGAGCTTGAGGAAAATGTGACCAGCTGTCATAAGATCCTTTTCTAAAAACATGATTAGGTGATAGGATAAATAAGAGTTTTATCCACCTGAAGTGTCTAGATAGGAAGGGAAAGCATTCAGGAAGTGAATGGCTACTACCTAAGTCTGTCCTGGGAGTAAGCTTTTTTATTTTTTAGCTTTTTATTTTTAAATAATTTTAGATTTACAGAACAATTGTAGAATTGCTGTATACCTTTCATTCAGCTTCCACCAATGTTATCACTTTACATAAGCATGGTATATTTGTCAAAACTAATAAATTAACATGGGTAAGTTACTATTAACTAAACTACATAATTTATTCAGACTTCTTCAGTTTTTTCACTAACGTCCTTTATATGTTCCAGGATCCAATCCAGCATACCACGTTGGGATTAATTGTCTTATTTCCTTAGAATCATCCAATCTGTGACAGCTTTTCAGTCTTTCCTTGTTTTTCATAACTTTGACAATTTTGGTCAAGTGTTTTGTGAAATGACCTTCAATTTGAGATTTTCTGATATTTTCTCATGTTTAGACTGGGGCTGTGGGTTTTAAGGAGAATACCATAGAGGTGAGGTATCCTTCTCATCACATCACATCAGAGGGAAGATGATATCAACATGACTTATTGCTGATGATATTAACCTTGAACTGTTAGATTAGTTGTGGTCTGCCAGGTTACTATTTGTCTTTCCCATACTGTATTCTTTGGAAGTGAATCATTATGTCCAGCCCACACTCAAGGGGAAGGAAATTAAATGCCACCCCCTAGAGGGAGAAGTATCAACTAATTTGTGGAAATTTATTAAAAACACTGTAATAATTTGGGTAAAATTATTTGAGCCTATGCAACTCTTCAGATTCTCCTTAAAGTTTCACTCACTAATTTTAGCATGAATCAGTGGATTGTGCCTGTGGCAATTATTACAGTAGTGTTCTAATGATGATTTTCTGCTTCCCTTATTTATTCTACATTTATTATTTGGAATCCCTCTATAAAGATTTTTCCTTTCTCCCCTACTTATTTATTCAACAATGTATATATATAAGTGTGTACTCATAAATATTTAATTATTTGGGTTATAATACTCAACTTATTTATTTTGTTGGTCACCTTGTCCCAGCTTTGCCCATTAGGAACTCTTTCATATTGGCTTCTGCGTTCTGTTCTATTTTTAGTAGACTTTATATTTTACAGTAGTTTTAGGTTTGCAGCAAAATTGAGCAGAAGGTACCAAGATTTCCCATATTCTCCCTTCCTCCCCTCCACATGCATAGCCTCTCCCATTATCAATAGCCACTGCCACAGGGGTATTTGTTACAAATGATGAACCTACATTGACACATTGCTATCACCCAGAGTCCATAGTTTACTTTAGGGTTCACTCTTGGAGTTGCACATTCTATAGGCTTGAGCAAATTTATAATGACATGTATGCAGTATTAAAGTAGTTTCCCTGCCCTAAGAATCCTCTTTGCTCCACTTATTCATCCCTGTCTTTTCCCCTCCTGTGTCCCTTTGATATACTTCTATTCTCCTTATTTTTCTAGCACTTCGTTACTTTTTTACAAGATAACACCAGCCTCTTCTCCAAGAAACCATGGTTCCTGTAATTGAAAATTGGTATTTGGAAACCAAGATCTGGATGCTTTTGTTACTTTTAGGGTATCATTAATTCTAGCCCGCTCAGCAGACAGAGCTAAGAAATATTTGTGTGCATGCTAACCCGTCTGTATTTTGATGTCTATTTATATATACGTTAAAAATAAACATGAGTTAATACCATTTCTGACCCTAAATTGCACTATAAGGCATCATTCTAGACCTTCTCCCTTGTTTACTATGAGCTTCTTTCTTAGACTGTGAAATACCTGACTCTCATTATCTACAAGTTATTTATTTATTTATTTATTTGTTTGTTTGTTTGTTTATTTATTTATTCCACCCTACTACACTGGTAGTTTCAGAATTGTTAACTCATACCCCTGGGAGAAACAATTTTATCAATTAGAGTACAGTGTCTACACACAATTACTTTCTGTCATTAGTCTTAAAATATTCAGCAAAACACTATTTTCGTGGTTATTTATTTCAGGTTTTCTTTCTCCACCCCATTTAGTGAGATTATGATATATATACTTGTAATATAGTTAGAACCATTTGTTGCAAACTGCATTCAATATTGAGTTGCTCAGACATTTTGGTTGATTTATAAAAACTTGAATGCAATAAAATTCAGTTTTGTGAGTTTTGACAAACGTATAAAGTCAGATATCCTCTTCCATAGTACCGTATAGAACAATTCCATCACCCTAAAAATTCTCCTGTACAGCCCATTATAGTCAACCCTTCAGACCTCCCCCAACCCCTGGCAACTACTGAGCAGTTCTCTGTTCCTATAATTTTGCCTTGTCCAGGATGTCATATAAATGGAATTATATCACATGTCAGCTTTTGGATATGGCTTCTTTCTCTTAGCATAATGCATTTAAGATTCATCCTAGCTGTATGAATATCAACAGTTATCTTAATTGCCGTATGGTATTCTAGTTTATGATTGTACCACAATTTGTTTATCCATTCACCAACTGAAGAGCATCTTGGTTGTTTCCAGTTTTTAGTGATTTTTAGTAAGGCTCCATAAATATTCTCATATACATTTTTGTGTAAACTTAATTTTTCAATTCCCTTCCAAAGGTATGTATGAGTGAAAATGCTAGGTCATATGTCAAGTGTATGTTAAATTTTAAAAGTAACTGCCAAACTGTTTTCCAAAATGCCTGAACCATTTTGCATTTCCACTAGCAATGAGTGAGAGTTCCTTTTGTAATACATCCTTGCCAGCATTTCATATTGTCATGTAAATTTATATGTGTATTTAATTCTAGCCATTTTAATAGCTGTATCTTGAAGTGTTTCTCATTACACATTTAATTTTCATTTTCCCAATGATTGATATTATCTTTTAATACACTTGTTTGCCATCTGTACATTTGGGTTGGTGAAATGTTTGTTCAGATGCTTTGCTAATTTTTAAAACTAAATTTTATCTTTTATTGTTCAGTTTTAAGTGTTATTTATATATTTTGGATATACCAGATATATAATGTACAAGTATATTCTTTCATTCTGTGGCATTTTTCATTCCTTTGTGTCTTTCACAGATAAAAAAATGTTAATATGTAAATATTTAACAATTTTTATTTTAAAATTTTTCGTAAATAAAAATGTTTAAATTTTTATAGTTCAATTTATCTATTTTTTTCTTGTGTGGATAATGCTTTTTGTGATGTAACTAAAAACTAATTGGCATATCCAATATTTTACATTCTCTCCCAAGTCCTTTTTTTAGAAGTTTTATAGTTTTACATTTTATATTTAGACCTATGATCCACTTTGAATTATTTTTTGGGTAAGGTTTAAGTATTCAAGTTCATTTTTTGCAGTGGACTTCCAATCGTTCTAGCACCATTTGTTGAAAAGACTCTATTTTCTCTATTGAATTGACTTTGTACCTTTGTCCAAAATTAGTTGACTTTGTCCAAAATTTGAGTGGGTCTATTTCTGGGCTCTTTATTCTATTTCATTGATCTAGATTGCTATCCTTTTTCCAATACCACACTGTCCTGAGTATTGTGGCTTTATAATAAGTCTCAAAATCATGTAGTAAAGTTCAGTCCACCAACATTGTTTTATTTATTTATTTATTTTCAATAGTTTTTAGGGTACAGATGGTTTTTGGTTACATGGGTAAGTTGTTTAGTGATGGTTTCTGAGATTTTGGTGCATCCGTCACCTGAGCAGTGTACACTGGCCCCAATGTGCAGTCTTTTATCACTCACCCTCCTTCCATCCTTCCCCGCAAGTCCCCAGAGTCCATTATATCATTCTTACCCCTTTGCATCTTCATAACTTAGCTCCCACTTATAAGTGAGAACATAACAATATTTGGTTTTTCATTCCTAAGCGACTTCACTTAAAAAAATGGCCACCATCTCCATCCAAGTTGCTGCAAAGGCCATTATTTCATTCTGTTTTATGGCTGAGTAGTATTCCATGGTGTATATATACCATGGTATATGATATAAAGAAAATGGATACATTTTCTTTATCCACTCGTTGGATGATGAGCATTTAAGTTGATTCCATAGTTTTGCAATTGTGAAGTGTGCTGCTATAAACATGCGTGTGCACATGTCTTTTTCATATAATCACTTCCTTTCCTCTGGGTAGATACCTAGTAGTGGGATTGCTGGATCAAATGGTAGTTCTACTTTTAGTTCTTTAAGGAATCTCCATACTGTTTTCCACAGTGGTTGTACTAGTTTACATTCCTACCAGCACTATAAAAGTGTTTCCTTTTCACCACATCCATGCCAAGATGTATTTTTTTTTATTTTTAAATTATGGCCATTCTTGCAGGAGTAAGGTGGTATCTCATTGTGGTTTTAATTTGCATTTCCCTGAAAGATAGTGATGTTGAGCATTTTTTCATGTGTTTGTTCGCTGTTTATATATCTTCTTTTGAGAATTCTATATTCATGTCCTTTGCCCACTTTTTGATGGGATTATTTGTTTTTTCTTGCTGAGTTGTTTTGAGTTTCTTGTATATTCTGGATGTTAGTCCTTTATCAAATGCATAGTTTGCGAATATTTTCTCCCACTCTGTTGGTTGTCTGTTTACTCTGCTGATTATTTCTTCTACTGCACAGAAGCATTTTAGTTTAATTATGTCCCATTTATTTATTTTTATTTTTGTTGCATTTGCTTTTGGGCTCTTAGTCATGAATTCTTTGCCTAAGCCAATGTCTAGAAGAGTTTTCCCAATGTTATCTTGTAAAATTTTTATGATTTCAGGTCTGAGGTATAGGTCTTTGATCCATCTTGAGTTGATTTTTGTATAAAGTGAGAGAGGAGGGTCCAGTTTTATTCTTCTATATGTGGCTTGCCAATTATCCCAGCATCATTAATTGAATAGGGTATCATTTCCCTACTTTATGTTATTGCATGCTTTGTTAAAGATCAGTTAGCTGTAAGTATTTGGCTTTATTTCTGGGTTCCGAATTTTGTTCCATTGCTCTATGTGCCTGTTTTTATACCAGTACCATGCTGTTTTGGTAACTATAGCCTTGCAGTATAATTTGAAGTTTCAGCAACATTGTTTTTATTTTGCAAATTGTTTTGGCCATTGTAGTTTCTTAGCCCTTCCATATGAGTTTCAGGATCAGCTTGTCTATATCTAAAATATCCTGATAGGGTTTTTATTGGTATTGTGTTACGTATATAGGTCACTTTGGGGAGAATAGACATCTTTACCATATTGAGTATTCCAGTCCATGAACACAGTATGTCTATTTATGTAGCTCTTTGATTTTTTAACAACATTTTGTAATTTCCAGCATACAGATCTTTTATACATGTTTTATTGGTGTTATACCTAAAGATTTTGTCTTATTAGAACTATTGTAAATTTTTTTTAACTTTGATTTTGAATTGCTTACAGAACTCTCCACCCCAAATCAACAGAATATACATTTTTTCCAGCACCACACCACACCTATTCCAAAATTGACCACATAGTTGGAAGTAAAGCTGTCCTCGGCAAATGTAAAAGAACAGAAATTATAACAAACTGTCTCTCAGACCACAGTGCAATCAAACTAGAACTCAGGATTAAGAAACTCACTCAAAACTGCTCACCTACATGGAAACTGAACAACCTGCTCCTGAATGACTACTGGGTACATAACGAAATGAAGGCAGAAATAAAGATGTTCTTTGAAACCAACGAGAACAAGACACAACATAACAGAATCTCTGGGACGCATTCAAAGCAGTGTGTAGAGGGAAATTTATAGCACTAAATGCCCACAAGAGAAAGCAGGAAAGATCCAAAATGGACACCCTAACATCACAATTAAAAGAACTAGAAAAGCAAGAGCAAACACATTCAAAAGCTAGCAGAAGGCAAGAAATAACTAAGATCAGAGCAGAACTGAAGAAAATAGAGACACAAAAAACCCTTCAAAAAATTAATGAATCCAGGAGCTGGTTTTTTGAAAGGATCAACAAAATTGATAGACCGCTAGCAAGACTAATAAAGAGGAAAAGGGAGAAGAAGCAAATAGACGCAATAAAAAATGATAAAGGGGATATCACCACCGATCCCACAGAAATACAAACTACCGTCAGAGAATACTACGAACACCTCTATGCAAATAAACTAGAAAATCTAGAAGAAATGGATACATTCCTCGACACATAAACACCCTCCCAAGACTAAACCAGGAAGAAGTTGAATCTCTGAATAGACCAATAACAGGCTCTGAAATTGTAGCAATAATCAATAGCTTACCAACCAAAAAGAGTCCAGGACCAGATGGATTCACAGCCGAATTCTACCAGAGGTACAAGGAGGAACTGGTACCATTCCGTCTGAAACTATTCCAATCAATAGAAAAAGAGGGAATCCTCTTTAACTCATTTGATGAGACGAGCATCATCCTGATACCAAAGCCGAGCAGAGACACAACCAAAAAAGAGAATTTTAGATCAATATCCTTGATGAACATTGATGCAAAAATCCTCAATAAAATACTGGCAAACCAAATCCAGCAGCACATCAAAAAGCTTATCCACCATGCTCAAGTGGGCTTCATCCCTGGGATGCAAGGCCAGTTCAATATATGGAAATCAATAAATGTAATCCAGCATATAAACAGAACCAAAGACAAAAACCACATGATTATCTCAATAGATGCAGAAAAGGCCTTTGACAAAATTCAACAGCCCTTCATGCTAAAAACTCTCAATAAATTAGGTATTGGTGGGACGTATCTCAAATAATAAGAGCTATCTATGACAAACCCACAGCCAATATCATACTGAATGGGCAAAAACTGGAAGCATTCCCTTTGAAAACTGGCACAAGACAGGGATGCCCTCTCTCACCACTCCTATTCAACATAGTGTTGGAAGTTCTGGCCAGGGCAATTAGGCAGGAGAAGGAAATAAAGGGTATTCAATTAGGAAAAGAGGAAGTCAAATTGTCCCTGTTTGCAGACGACATGATTGTATATCTAGAAAACCCCATTGTCTCATCCCAAAATCTCCTTAAGCTGATAAGCAACTTCAGCAAAGTGTCAGGATACAAAATCAATGTACAAAAATCACCAGCATTCTTATACACCAATAACAGACAAACAGAGAGCCAAATCATGAGTGAACTCCCATTCACAATTGCTTCAAAGAGAATAAAATACCTAGGAATCCAACTTACAAGGGATGTGAAGGACTTCTTCAAGGAGAACTACAAACCACTGCTCAATGAAATAAAAGAGGACACAAACAAATGGAAGAACATTCCATGCTCATGGGTAGGAAGAATCAATATCATGAAGATGGCCATACTGCCCAAGGTAATTTATAGATTCAATGCCATCCCCATCAAGCTACCAATGACTTTCTTCACAGAATTGGAAAAAACTACTTTAAAGTTCATATGGAACCAAAAAAGAGCCTGCATCACCAAGTCAATCCTAAGCCAAAAGAACAAAGCTGGAGGCATCACGCTACCTGACTTCAAACTATACTACAAGCCTACAGTAACCAAAACAGCATGGTACTGGTACCAAAACAGAGATATAGATCAATGGAACAGAACAGAGCCCTCAGAAATAATGCCGCATATCTACAACTATCTGATCTTTGACAAACCTGAGAAAAATAAGCAATGGGGAAAGGATTCCCTATTTAATAAATGATGCTGGGAAAACTGGCTAGCCATATGTAGAAAGCTGAAACTGGATCCCTTCCTTACACCTTATACAAAAATTAATTCAAGATGGATGAAAGACTTAAACATTAGACCTAAAACCATAAAAACCCTAGAAGAAAACCTAGGCATTACCATTCAGGACATAGGCATGGGCAAGGACTTCATGTCTAAAACACCAAAAGCAATGGCAACAAAAGCCAAAATTGACAAATGGGATCTAATTAAACTCAAGAGCTTCTGCACAGCAAAAGAAACTACCATCAGACTGAACAGGCAACCTACAAAATGGGAGAAAATTTTCACAACCTACTCATCTGACAAAGGGCTAATATCCAGAATCTACAATGAACTCAAACAAATCGACAAGAAAAAAACAAACAACCCCATCAAAAAGTGGGTGAAGGACATCAACAGACACTTCTCAAAAGAAGACATTTATGCAGCCAAAAAACACATGAAAAAATGCTCACCATCACTGGCCATCAGAGAAATGCAAATCAAAACCACAATGAGATACCATCTCACACCAGTTAGAATGGCAATCATTAAAAAGTCAGGAAACAACAGGTGCTGGAGAGGATGTGGAGAAATAGGAACACTTTTACACTGTTGGTGGGACTGGAAACTAGTTCAACCATTGTGGAATTCAGTGTGGCGATTCCTCAGGGATCTAGAACTAGAAATGCCATTTGACCCAGCCATCCCATTACTGGGTATATACCCAAAGGACTATAAATCATGCTGCTATAAAGACACATGGACACGTCTGTTTATTGCGGCATTATTCACAATAGCAAAGACTTGGAACCAACCCAAATGTCCAACAATGATAGACTGGATTAAGAAAATGTGGCACATATACACCATGGAATACTATGCAGCCATAAAAAATGATGAGTTCATGTCCTTTGTAGGGACATGGATGAAATTGGAAATCATCATTCTCAGTAAACTATCTCAAGAACAAAAAACCAAACACCGCATATTCTCACTCATAGGTGCAAATTGAACAATGAGAACACATGGACACAGGAAGGGGAACATCACACTCTGGGGCCTGTTGTGGGGTGGGGGGAGGGGGGAGGGATAGCATTAGGAGATATACCTAATGATAGATGACGAGTTAATGGGTGCAGCACACCAGCATGCACATGTATACATATGTAACTAACCTGCACATTGTGCACATGTACCCTAAAACTTAAAGTATAATAATAATAAAACTAAAAAAATAAAAAAATGAATTATTGATTGTATATAATATTATGATTGACTTTTATGTGTTGACATTGTATCCTGTGAACTTGATAAACTTGCTTATTGGTACTAGAAAGGTTTTTAAAAATAGATTTTGGGCCGGCTGCAGTGGCTCATGCCTATAATCCCAGCACTTTGGGAGACTGAGGTGGGCAGATCACTTGAGGCCAAGAGTTCGAGACCAGCCTGGCCAACATGGTGAAACCCCATCTCTACTAAAAATACAAAAATTAGCCAAGTGTGGTGGCACATGCCTGTAATCCCAGCTACTATGAAGGCTGAGTCATAAGAAGCCCTTGAACCTCGGAAGCAGAGGTTGCAGTGAGCCGTGATCATGGCACTGCACTCCAGCCTGGGTGACAGAGCAAGACTGTGTCTCAAAAAATAAAACATAAAATAAATTATAGATTTCCTGGGATTTTCTACACAGACAATCATATTATGGATGAACAGGGACAGATTTATTTCTTCCTTTACAATTTGCATGCCTTATATTACCTTTCTTGCCTTATAATATTGACTGGGAGTTACAATACTATGTTGAATGGGAGTCGTGAGAGTGGACATCCTTGCCTTGTTCCTGATATTAGAGAGAAAGCATTTAGTCTGTCAACATAAAGTATGACATTAGCTGTAGATTTTTTGTAAATATTCTTTATCTGGTTAAGGAAGCTCCCTTCTATTCCAAATTGCTAAGAGTTTTATTACGAATGGATATTGTATTTTGTAAAAAGTTTTTTTCATCTGCTGATATAATTTGGGGCATCTTAATCTATTTTGTGCTGCTAAAACAGAATACCACAGACTGGCTAATTTATAAAGAACAGAGATTTATTTCTTACAGTTCTGGAGGCTGGGAAGTCCAAGATCACGTGGCCACATCTGGTGAGGGCCTTCTTGCTGCATCATCCCATTGTGGAAGGTGAAAGGGCAAGAGAGAGTGTGCTTATGTGCGTGCCTGTGCATGCGAGTGTGGGGGCCAAACTTATCCTTTTATCAGGAACTGTTTTCTGAGTTAACTAAACCATTCCATTATTAATGCCATTAATTCATTCATGAGGGAAGAAGCCTCTATTCATGAAGGTAGAGCCCTCATGACCTAATCACTTCTTAAAGGTCCCACCTCTCAATACTGTTGCATTGGAGATTAAGTTCCAACACATGAACTTTGGAGGATGTATTCAAACCATACCATGGGGTTTTACATCTTTAGAATGGATTGCTTTGATTGATTTTCATATATTGAACCAGCCTTGTATTCCTGGGAAAAACCGTGCTTTCTTGTGGTATATTAATTATCTATTTTATATATAGCCAAATTTCATTTGCATTTTTTTAGGATTCTTATGTTCATGAGGGATATTGACTTGGAGTTTTCTTTTTTTGTATCACTTATTTTTCTGGTTTTTATATCAGGGTAATGCTGGCCTCACAGAGTAAGTTGATATGTATTTTCCTGTCTTCTAGTTTCATAGAGAGATTGTATAGAATTGATGCTATTTCTTCTTTAAATGAATGGTAAAATTTGCCAGTGAAACCGTCTGGACCTGGGTATTTTGGGGGAAGATTTTTAATTACAAATTCAATTTCAGTAATATTTATAGAAGGATTTAGATTATTTAGATTATTTGTTACATTTTGGATAAGGTTTGCCAGTTTGTTCTTTTTGAGGAATTTGTTTCATCTATGTTGTCGAATTTATGTGTTTAGAATTGCTATTATATACTCTTGTCATTGTAATACCTATGAAATTTCTATCTACTCTTTCATTCCTAAGTTTTTATTTCAGCTATTATATTTTTAGTCCAAAATATCCATTTGATTCTTTTTTTTTATTATACTTTAAGTTTTAGGGTACATGTGCACAATGTGCAGGTTAGTTACATATGTATACATGTGCCATGCTGGTGTGCTGCACCCACTAACTCGTCATCTATCATTAGGTATATCTCCCATTGCTATCCCTCCCCCCTCCCCCCACCCCACAACAGGCCCCAGAGTGTGATGTTCCCCTTCCTGTGTCCATGTGTTCTCATTGTTCAATTTGCACCTATGAGTGAGAATATGCGGTGTTTGGTTTTTTGTTCTTGAGATAGTTTACTGAGAATGATGATTTCCAATTTCATCCATGTCCCTACAAAGGACATGAACTCATCATTTTTTATGGCTGCATAGTATTCCATGGTGTATATGTGCCACATTTTCTTAATCCAGTCTATCATTGTTGGACATTTGGGTTGGTTCCAAGTCTTTGCTATTGTGAATAATGCCGCAATAAACAGACGTGTCCATGTGTCTTTATAGCAGCATGATTTATAGTCCTTTGGGTATATACCCAGTAATGGGATGGCTGGGTCAAATGGCATTTCTAGTTCTAGATCCCTGAGGAATCGCCACACTGAATTCCACAATGGTTGAACTAGTTTCCAGTCCCACCAACAGTGTAAAAGTGTTCCTATTTCTCCACATCCTCTCCAGCACCTGTTGTTTCCTGACTTTTTAATGATTGCCATTCTAACTGGTGTGAGATGGTATCTCATTGTGGTTTTGATTTGCATTTCTCTGATGGCCAGTGATGGTGAGCATTTTTTCATGTGTTTTTTGGCTGCATAAATGTCTTCTTTTGAGAAGTGTCTGTTGATGTCCTTCACCCACTTTTTGATGGGGTTGTTTGTTTTTTTCTTGTCGATTTGTTTGAGTTCATTGTAGATTCTGGATATTAGCCCTTTGTCAGATGAGTAGGTTGTGAAAATTTTCTCCCATTTTGTAGGTTGCCTGTTCAGTCTGATGGTAGTTTCTTTTGCTGTGCAGAAGCTCTTGAGTTTAATTAGATCCCATTTGTCAATTTTGGCTTTTGTTGCCATTGCTTTTGGTGTTTTAGACATGAAGTCCTTGCCCATGCCTATGTCCTGAATGGTAAAGCCTATTTATATCTTCTGTTTCTTCACTGAGTGCTTCTGTTTTAAATATTTGTTCCAAAATCGCTTGTTATTGTTCATTCAAGCATTTTTATTATAGCTAATTTAAGATAATTTAATGTAATCTCATCATTCATGTCTGTTGTCTTTTTCCATGTTAATTGAAATTTTTATGGTTATTTGCATGCTGATTAATTGTAGTTTGTATCCTGGACATTGTGAGTATTGTGTTGAGATTCTGTATCTTGTTTATATCCTATGGAGAAGGTCTATATTTTTGTTTTAGCCTTTTATATATTTTGGTTCCCACATCAATTCAATTTTCCAGCCTTTCTCAGTACTATATAGGTCTGTCCTGCATGTGTACCATCTAGTGGTTAGTCTGAGACTTGGGTGGAGGTGTAATTTGTAGTTGAGTTTCCAAATCTTTGGTATGCTAATGAAGATCAAAGGAGTCACAAGTCAGAGGTAAGCCCAGGGGTTCAAATCAACTTTACACTGTTGCTTTTTCAAAACTCTTCCCTTTCCTTTATCTTTTCAGTACTTTCCAGTTCCCTGGGCTCTCATTTCTGTTTTCTCTTCAAAAACTACCCACTGTCATGGTTGTAGCATTTCCAGAAACAAGTAGCAGGAGGAGAGAGTGAGGATGAGAGAGGGAGAGGGAGAGTGAGAACGAGAGGGAGAGGGAGAGGAAAAACTGGTATAAAGGTGTCTTCTTGACATCGTGGCTTCACCTAGAGGAAGGACCTTATCCCACAGTTTTGATTCCTGGAGGCTCCCATTCTGGGCCACTATTGCTTCTGAGCCACCTTTGCTTTTACTACCTCCACTGTGGAACCAAAGAAGGAGTAAATAAAAACCCAATGGATTTCCCCCACTCTCCGAATTTTAGTTCTCTTTTACATTCCTTGAGCCAAAACTCCAAGACTTCTCCTGCATCTCTGTCTGCTAAACAATGCTCATTTTGGATTGCACACCATGTTGAATTCAGGCTCAGGATACTGAATGGGGGAAAAGTAATGTTGAATTTGCAATTGTTTAGTTGGTACTTCAAACTCTGGTGTCTTCTCTGATCTACCTACTTAGATTTTCCTTTCAATTTTCATATAGTTGTCCATGCATTCTCTCAGAGTTTTATATTTGAGTTAGTGAGAGATAAAAGGTCTGAGAATTGGACCCAACTATATATGTTTTGTAAATGGCATGTAGTTGGATCCTACTTTTTAATCTAATCTGACCATCTCGGTCTTTAATTGGAATGTTTAGTCGATTCACATTTAAAGTGATTGTCAATATACTTAGATTAAAATCTACCATCTTTCTGTTTTCTTTTCATTATATTTGTTCTTGATGTTTTCTATTTACTGTATTTGGCTTTCGTTTCCTTTTTCCCTCTTTTTTTCTGCCTTTCATTATTTTATTTGTTCATTTTGTGTGATCCCATTTTGTCTCATGTATTTATTTATTATTTAGATATCTTATAAAGAAACTTTTTTAGTCATTTCCATTAAGTTTGTAATGTACATTTTTATATAATTTGGTTCACCTTTAAATAATACTATACTGCTTCATGTGTAGTACAAGACTATCCCCAATTCCTTCCTTCCATTCTTTGTTTCATTGTTGTATTCCATTATTTTTTTTACAAATGCAATAAACATATAATACATTGGTACTATTATTGCTTTAAAAGATCAGTTATATTTTAGAACAATTAAGAATATGATAGTTATATTTTTCTTCATTTATTCCTTTTGCAACACTCTTCCTTTAATTATGTACACCCAATTTTCTGACCTATATCATAACCCTCTTTCTGAAGAATTTCCTTTAATATTTAGACTGTAAGACAGTCTGCTGATGTTGAGTTTCCTCAGTTTTTGTTTGTCTGAAAAAGTATTTTATCTTAATTTTTGAAGGATATTTTTGCAGAACTTGGAATTCTGGATTGGCATTTTTTTCTTACAATACTTTAAAGGTTTCATTTCACTGTCTTTTTGCTTATGTGGTTTCTGACAAGAAGTCTGGTATAATTCTTCTCTTTGTTCTTCTGTGGGTAAGATGTTCCCCACCTACCGCCTTCTTCCTGGCAATCTTCAAGATTTTATTTCTGTCTTGATTTTCTGCAATTTGAATTTGATATTGTCTGGGTGTGGTTTTTGGTTTGGTTTTGGTATTTACCCTGGTTGGTGTTCTCTGAGCTTCTTGAATCTGTGGTTTGGTGTCAGTCATTAATTTGGAAAATTTTGGCCATTATGTCTTCAAATATTTCTTCTGCCTTATTCTTTCTTCCCCTTCTTGTGTTCTAAATACGTATATGTTATACTGTTTGATATTGTCCCACAGTTCTTGGATGTTTTGTTCTGGTTTCTTTTTTTGCTCTTTTTTTCTCTTTGCATTTCAGTTTGTGTGATCTCTATTGACCTATCTTCAAGTTCACTGATGCCTCAGCTGTGCGGAGTCTACTGATGAGCACATCAAAGATAGTCTTCAGATCTGTTACTGTGTTTTTTTCTCTCCCATTTATATTTGATTCTTTCTTATACTTTTCACCTCCCTGCCGAAATTACCTATCTGATCTTGCATGATAAACTTTTCCAATAGAGCCTTTAACATACTAATCATAGCTATTTTAAGTTTCCTATCTGATAAAGATGGAAACAGTAGACAAAGGGGACTCCAAAAGGGGGAACAGTGGGAGGGAGCAAGAGTTGAAAAACTACCTAGTGAGTACTATGTTCGCTATTTGGGTGATGGGTTCACTAGAAGCCCAAACCCCACCATTACACAATATACCCAGGTAACAAACCTGAACATATAACCCCTGAATCTATAATGTAAAAAAAGAAAGTAAAATAATCCAAATAAATAAACAAATTCCTTGTCTGATATTTCCAACATCTGTGTCATAACTTACTCTGGTCCTAATGATTGCTTTTCTCTTCAGACATTGTTTTTATTCCTTGCTTTGTTCGCCCTTTGTGCTACACCCTGGAGATAATATATCTCTTAAATCTCTTATAGATGTATTCCACTGTTATTTTTACTGATGCTTTTTAGCCTGGTAGTGGGGGAATGGGGACCTGGGACATTCTATGCTATGCTGATTAAGTCTCAGTCTTAGGCAGGCTTACCCTGGGTGTTGGAGGTATGACCTTCACAAGTGTTCCTGCCCCTCCTCCTATGTTCTAACCCAAGTGGGCTTAGCACATTTTCCTGCCCCTCCTGGGTTAGGACTTTTTTTTTTTTCAATTTTCTCCCCCAGCTGTAGTGAGTTTTCACCAGTGCCCTCAGTTTCTGTTGCCCTTTCTTCTGAGGACTAAGACTTTTTTCCCTTTGGGAAGATAAGGTAGATTGGTATGGGCAGAGTTTCAGTGATGTTGGCCATTCTGCTCTGCCAGCTGCAGTGAGTTTCTCCCAGTACTTTCAAGCTGGTTTTTGTTGCCTTTTCCCTGAATAGTAAGGCTTTTGCTCCATAGAGAATATAGGGAAACTAGTCTGTGCAGAATTTCAGCAACAGCTATTATACTGTTCTGCCCGAGCAGAACTACAGGATATCTTTCTCAGGATTCTTCTCAGTCTTTCTTGTCAGCACCTGGGGCAGTTCCTGGAGGAAAACTCTGCAAAGGGGTGCAAAATTGCCTATGTCTGCAGCCCCTACAGGCTTCACATTCTCACACTAGCCCATAACCAGCCTTTAGCAATTCATTATAATTTTTAGCTGAATCCTCTTATAAAGTTTGTATGTTGTTCAGTGGTATCTGCACCAGGTAAGCAAATGCCTGTTCCTGTGGCTCCCTTGAAGATGGTTGTTTCTACAGGTTTGTGGTACTGCAACCTCAGTTTTCTGATGAGTCTGAGAGAAGTTCTTAATTTTCACTTTCCCGGTTTTTTCGTTACTGTAATGGTGGGAGACATGTTCTTTACAACTCTACATTTCTGGCCTAATACCAGAAGAGCCTATGAATCTGAGGATAAGCTTTTGAGGGTCTGTTTATTTTTCAGCATCCATACCCCAGTTTACCAATTCCCCCACAATGGTGATCATGGTGGGTTTACCAGCTCGAGGCAAGACCTATATCTCCACAAAGCTCACACGATATCTCAACTGGATAGGAACACCAACTAAAGGTATGTCTCTGAAAGCCTTTGTTCAACAACCCCATAAAAGCTACTGGCTGAAAACCTTACTTAGGTAGAAGGCCAAAGTCCTCAATACCAGAAATGCCCCATCATTATTATTACCAGCATTAGGACTACTGCTACCACTATTACTACATTCTTATACATTTTATAACTTCTTGAGCACATACTTTGTGCCCAACACCACTCTAGGTGCTAAGCATAGGAAAACTAGTATTAAGATTAAATGTCTTCTCTCAAGAAGTTCCATGACCTCAAAACAATCCTGTGAGTAACATATTATTTTTATTGCCATTACTATTATTGCCATACCAATATTACTACTTTTATTAGCATTACCACTTCTTCACCATTTCATAGCTGAGGAAATTAAGGCCCAAGGAGTGAAGTGCCTTGTCTAAAGGCATATATCCAGTTACAGAACCAAGATATGAACCCAGGTCTATTTGATTCTAAGCCTGATATTCACTGTGCCAAGTCTAATGCATGATTCTACTGATTGGAAGAGAAAAGAATCCCATGTTAGCCCTATAGTCTCCTTTTCTTCATTCTTTTTGTCTCCTTCTTTTCCTTGTTAATCTCAACATCCTGTCTCTCTGCCCCACTTCACTCTATCTCTCCCCCTCTTCCTTCCTCTCCCCAATTTTTGTTTCTTTTTCCCATTTCTTCTTTCTGTTCATCTATGTTCTCTTTATCTAATTCACTGGTGAGGAGTTTCCCGATGGTTTACCATGTGCCCAAACTCCTGCTAGGCAGTGGGGATACAAAACTGGTTGAGACTCACACCCTGTCCTTGAGGAGTTCTGAGTCTAGCTGGGATGTATAAGAATACCTCATATCATCTAGGAATTCTAGAGCAGGAGCAGGGCGCTGTATGAAATCACAAAGGGATATGCCAACTGGAAGGCAAGGAAAGCTTCCTACATAGGATATGTTTGAGCTGAGTCTTGTGGGAGGAATAAGACATTGGCAGAAGGGAAGGAGAGAAGGAGCAGCTCTCATGGAGGACTGCAAGCTCTCAGGAAAATCTGCTGAGTGTAGAGGCACATGGGACACTGGCAGACGGGTTTCTGCCTTAAGGGCCCCATCATGGGTTCTGATTCCCCTGCTTTCTATCTTCTTCACTCAATTCTCTCAAAGGCCTCCAGAGTCATATTTCAAAGCACAAAGCTGAACATGCCTGTGGCCTCCAAAGGTCCCCTTGGCCTGCAGGTTTAAATCCAAGCTCCTTACCCTGTTGTTCAAGGCCCTCCACAATTGGCCCCTTCCAGCATCTCAGGCCTCAGCTATAGTGGATGACTCACCATCCTCCAAACATGCTCTTCCTTCTGCCAATGCCATACTCTTGCTCAAGCTGTTCCTCTACCTGGAATGCCTTTGTTCCTGACTCCCGCTGCCCATATCTGCCTGTAAAAGGTGCCTACCCTAAAAAGCCTGGTTCAAGTGGTGAAACCTTCTCAGATCATTCCAAGTACAATTAGTCTTTCCTTCTCTCTCACTGTCTTCCGTGGCTTAATATTGTCTTTGTCAGAGCATTGAACAAACTCTGTGGGAGCTCTCCATTTACTGGTTTACTCACTGTCTTACCTGTTGGACTGTGAGTGCCTTAAAGGCCCCATCATGAAGATCGGGCTAATCCCTGAGACCCAGAGCTCATATCCTGATTCACAGAGTAGGAGTCAAAAAGTATTTGTTAGATGAGTGAATGAAATATTAACTCTTTGGCTGCTTATCTTCTTTCTCCTCCTTTCCTTCCCTCCTCTCTAGTTTTTCATCATTGCAAGTGGGAAAGTATGGCCTAGAGATTTAGATTTAGAATCTTCCTCATAATATAGAAAAATAAAATAACTTTGGACTAGAAGTCAGGAGGTCCAGTCTATATCTGTCACCAGCTCACTCACTGTTTGACCCTTGGTGATTAATTTTACTCCCTAGATCTCCATTTCTTCATCTTTCCACTGGAGTAGGGCATTTTAAGGATTGGCATTTATGATAAAGTAGAATAATGGAAAGACCACCAGCTATGGAGCTAAATAGACCTGGGTTTGATCTCAGATATCCACAGATAGGAAATAACTTACACTGTGTAAGTTATTTCCTATCTCTGAACTTTCAGTTTCCTCATTTATAAAATGGTAATAGTGATCTCTACTTTGCAGGGCTGTTGTGAGGAATAAATAAACTGGTAGCCATAATTTGAAGTTTTAAAAGCACATTTTGTAGCTACAAATTATACCTTCTTCTACCTCTGAGGTCCCTCCCAGCAAGGACATTTTTTTGGCCACTGGGATCTTCCCAACCTCTTCACTGGCACTCCCTGCTTTCAGTGTTTAATTTAGGCCAGTATCGACGAGAGGCAGTGAGCTACAAGAACTATGAATTCTTTCTTCCAGACAACATGGAAGCCCTGCAAATCAGGAAGTAAGTACCCAATATTTTAGGAACCTGTGCTGTCTCATGGCTGAAAGGCCCTTGTTCAGATATTGGGGGAGTAGGGCAGAATAATCTGGACCAGAAAGGAGGCCCTCTAGACTCTCAAACAGTAGTTGGAACAGCCCTTCCATTTTCCTGCCCAAATCCTGTTTCTGGTCAAGAATAATCTGGACCAGAAAGGAGGCCCTCTAGACTCTCAAACAGTAGTTGGAACAGCCCTTCCATTTTCCTGCCCAAATCCTGTTTCTGGTCATAACCATCCACTTATCAAGAACCTTTAATGGTCTTCTACTTCTGACAGGAGAGAGTAGAAACTTCTCAGCTTAGCATTTGAGGCATGAATCTCAATACCTTGGCCTACTCTAGTTTCTGTAGTCTCATCAGTTCAACCTCAAGGTCTCTCTGCACTACAAGACTCTGAGTACTTGCAGAATAGAGCCTGTGCCTTATGCCTTCATTATAGAACCTGGCAGTGAGTAATCACTAAAGAGATTTTTGCTGAAAGCATAAATACATTGCCACTGTCATGCCTGTGTGTTACCCATGCCAGGAATGCCTTTTACTTCACAGACCACATGCTCTACTTGGGTCCATAAAACAGTTCAGCTTGAGTTCCATTAGCTCAAGGGTTGGAGCCCTTAATATTATGGCTTCTGTCATTGCTCAGCTTTTCCTGATTGTGTCACTTTATACCTGCCCGTAAACCGTGTAAGCTGTGCACACATAGCCACTTTCAACTGTTTGACCCCTCTGTGCTTAGCACGGTGCCTAAAGCGTAGGGCACCCTGTGTAGATGTTCAATACATGATAAGTTAGTCTAAGACATGAGAGATGGTACAGAAGATACTGCAGACAATGAGAGAGAAATCCATCCTGGGGGATAAGGGTTGCCTCTTTTTCTTTCCTGGTCTATTTCAGGCAGTGCGCCCTGGCAGCCCTGAAGGATGTTCACAACTATCTCAGCCATGAGGAAGGTCATGTTGCGGTAAAGAAATTTTTTATTTTTTCCTTGGGTAACTACTGGGAAGGGAATTAGCTAATATGTACTGAACATTTACCAATGTGTACAGAACATTATGTTCTGAGTATTTGCATATATTAATAATTTAATTTTATGCTCCCCCCTTGAGATAGGTGTTGTTATTATGCCCCAATTCAGAGCCCAGAAGAATGGTTCACAGAGACATTAAATAATTTCCCAAGGTGGTACAACGTATACCTGGCAGGGCCAGAAGTGGAATCCAGGTTGCATAGCTTCAGAATCCCCGCTCTTAACCACTATACACTACCAGTCTACCCCCAATAATTCAGCAGGACTATATTAGAATTTAAAACTGCAGTACAAACAGTTTTGAGTTATAGAGACTTACCTAAATATCTAGTCAATATTTTGGCTAGGATTTGCAAATTATAAAAGGGGAGGAGATTCTCAAATATGCAAATGGTCCAATCTCAGGTGCTGAGGTTAGGGAATTGTTTCCTGTTTTAGAGGACTTCTAAAGTGATAAGGAAGGAAGAAGCTTCAGCTAGGAATTGAGAGAACCAGTTCTAGCTCTGCTCTGTCAGCAACTCTCGGTGACTTTGGTCAAGCCAACTTCTTCTAGGCCTCAGTTACCTCACCTATAAAATGACCCTAATAAAAACCCACAATTTCCTCTTGCCTTATTACACTCACAGGGTAGCATACATTTCTGGACAGACCATAAGGGCCCAATATGTGCTTGTGAAATTGTCATAAGCCAATCATGAATCCTTCCTATCCTTCAAGACCTTGTTCAAGTTCTACCTCCATATGGAAGCCCTCCACTTAGCACAGGGATGGGCAAAGAGTAGGTGTTCTGTTAGCACCAGATTCAGAGTAAGCCAATCTCATTACCTGCCTCTAGGTTTTTGATGCCACCAACACTACCAGAGAACGACGGTCACTGATCCTGCAGTTTGCAAAAGAACATGGTTACAAGGTATGGTAACACTCCAACTCTTATCTAGAGCCTATTTCTCCAGCACAAACCCCAAAGAAAGGCAAACCAGGGGACTCAGAGCGGCCAAATCCGCAACCATAAGCTCAACATTTTAATTTGGTTCTCTAACTTTCCAGGATATAGTCAGAAGCAGCAAAGCAGAACAAGAAAGGAGGGGTGCCACATTAGGCAATGGAAGTTGACTGCAGACAGGCTGGCTATGGGGAAAGAGTGGAGAGAGTCACTACAAAAAACTTATATAAGACCTAAACCCAGTAAAGATATAAAACAACAGTCTGGGGTCATTCAGTTTAGAGCCAATTTGCCTCATGAAACTCAGAAGCCTGGAAGTACCACTGTATGAGAGCATTATGTTGTCAGAGATGCCCCTGGAGATGACTTAGAGCCATTGAAAAGGAGTAAAGCTATGTTCAGCTCCTACCAAACATAATTTCCTGCTGGAAATCTCTTTTCTGTTTCTTTTATAGGTGTTTTTCATTGAGTCCATTTGTAATGACCCTGGCATAATTGCAGAAAACATCAGGGTAAGGACCACCAGTTACTTTTCCACTTTGCTCTGCCTTAGGCTTAGATCATGCCTAAGGCAGAGGTGAGATTATGCCTAAGGCAACTCCATGAGATTAAAGAAAGTATTCCTCCCTGATCTTCTCTGAGTTTTCATAGGAAGCATTCCCTAACCATCCTGGCTTACAATGACTCTATTAATTTTAATGAAGCCAACATATATAGTGCCCTTTGTATGCTCCAGATATCAAACTTGACTGTCATTAATTTTCACAACAAAACTGCATATTAGAGATTATTTCCATGTTAGAGAGAGGAAACTGAGGTTCCAAAAGCATAAATGAATTGTCAAAAATTCATACAAAGGGATGGAAGTGGGACTGGACCTCAGGCTTGGCTGTCTGCCTCAAAAGCCTACATTTTTTATTCTGCCCCAAAATTCATACCAGAACTATCACTGCTCTTAGATTCTAGACATGTGGTCTAGAACTAGGTCATTTACCACATTTTGTTGTTCCCTACTTCATCAAATTACTGGAGCTCAAGAACAGAAGAGACCTTAAGGGTAATTTTCTTCTACCCTCCATCAGATACTTGAAATCTTACCTAAATGTATATCTATATTTTCTTTTTATACCTGCAATGACAAGGGGCCCATTGCTTTCAACAAATGCGGTCCAGTCAAGCTGGAATCTGCCTCCCTGTAATTTTTATTAATAGGTCATTTTTTTAACTTTTTGGGACATACAGCATGTCCATTTCCTCCCTTCCTTCTTCATCCTCCCATCTATCTATCTATCTATTGATTCAATAGAAATTGACTATATACCTGGTCTTGGCCATTCTGGGCATTAGAGACATATATATGGATAGTGGAGAGTCCTTCCCTTGAGCGCACAGTCTAGTAAGGAAGACTGGCAAGTATATATACAGAACTCTGAGAACTGAGGTGAGATGAGGGAACAGAGGAACTTTGGGAAGACAGTGCTGAGGGCCTAACTTTGCATGGGGGCAGAAATCAGGGAAGCCTTCCTAATGGAGGTAAAATTAAAATGAATGGTACCTTGAAGAACACATAAGAATTTGGTGGGTGAAGAATGGAAAATAAGGATATAAGCATATACTAAGTATGGCATCTCCAGAGAACTATAAGTAGCTTAAATTGGCTAAAGCCAAATGTGTGGAGGAATAAGGGAGCCATGGGAGATAAGGATGAAGAAATAATTTGGGGCCCAATCATGACAAGCCATGAGCCACCTGCTAAAATAATTCACACTTTTTTCTAAAAGGTATGACAAAATGTAGAAGGGCTTTAGGCAGGAGAATACTTTGGCCAGATGTTCATATTAGAAATACCCTTCTGGCTGCCAGTATGGTGAATACATTAGAACTAAAAAGAATATAGACAAAGTAATTGGGCACAAAGCTATAGTGAGCACAAGCAAGAAAGAATGGATATTTAGAGGAGATGATAGAGTGGAGAGGATTTGGTACCTGCTAAGAGGTGAGGGATGATAGAAAGACAGACATCTAGGATGACTCCCAGGTTCCATTTAGGATCATATGACTGGGTAGGTGATAGTGCCAGTACCTGAGATGAGGACTGTGGGAGGAGACGTGGGTATTGGTGGATTAGGAGAGGCCAGTCTTCAGAAATCCAAAGACAGCACATCATAATCTCCCGGTAAACACTTGATACATGTAAGTCATAATGACCCCTGGCCAAGATCTCTAGTTCCTCTTCTTCAGCCATTTCTCATATCACAATTTCTGGTCCTCTTATAAATGTTCTTCTTTTATAAGGAGTGTATTCTCTGGGACTGAGTATAATGTAACAGGCCTTGTTTGAGATTAGGAATGAGGAGTCACACAACCAGCTTCTTTTCAATTGGCTGATTTTTGTAAACTTGGGCAAGATGTGTTCTCCAGGTCTCAATTTCCTCATCTTTATAATGAGGCATCTTGTACTCAATGGTCTCTAAGGGAACTTCCAAAGAAAACCATCTGTCTCCCAATGTCTCCCTTGATACCTCTGTTCTCCCTGCTCCCAGCAAGTGAAACTTGGCAGCCCTGATTATATAGACTGTGACCGGGAAAAGGTTCTGGAAGACTTTCTAAAGAGAATTGAGTGCTATGAGGTCAACTACCAACCCTTGGATGAGGAACTGGACAGGTAAGAGCCAGCACCCCAAAGTCAAGGTCTAGATCTTTCACCCAGTTTTGATATCCTGTAGAACCTAGAGTAAATATCCTCCCTTGCTGGGCCTCAACTTCTCTATCTGTAATATCAGGAAACTGAACTTGATGATCTTTCTTCAAGGATCCTTTCAGCTCTGATTCCTTGATGTGTAAGGTGTTCCTAAGATGACTAAAATAGTGCTTTCCTGAGCAATATGAACAGTTCAGGACCCTGGGAACAAATGCCCCCCTCCTGTGGGTGTTGCGATTATTATTACAAAAGTGTTCTTCACACGTGAATGACACTTCAGTTTCCAAACATGTATACCTTCTTTCTTACATTTAATCCTCTAGGACTCCTGTAAAGGAGGCTGAGATAAGTCTTATGGTCATAAAATTTCAAGAAAAAGAAATTGAGTCTTAGAGAGTTGAAATTACTTTCCCAAGCTCCCACCACAAGGGGTAGAGCTAGGATTCTAATTACATGTTCTGTCTCCTAGTCATGTCTCTTTTCACAACACTCCCATGTCTCATCAATCAACAAGTATTTGGACCCTTTGGGCTGTGGTATATGTAGGGGGTATAAATAGGGGCAAAAGAGGTGGGTTCTATCCTCGGGTAGCTTCTATAGTGCTTTGACATATGAGAAGACCCATAAAAAAAAACAAGAAATGTTCTGTCATCATACCAACTAAAGATAGGAGAGAGCAGATGTGAGTTTTAGATATAGAATGTTCCCAGAACCCTACTCTCTTTGAAAATGTATTATGATGAGAAGAGACCCCAAGTGAGAAGTATAAAGAGGCTTCAAATGGTCATCACCACTCTAAGAAATCTAAAGAGTGGCCTTACCCAACTGAAGTACCAAGAAATGAGCACTGTTACTGCCCCACTCTTTAGATGGAGGAACTGAGACCCAGATCAAGTCAAAGTCTTACCTTGGGCTACACAATGAATGAGTCAGTAGCACAATATATACTCGAACCCATATCCCAGTTGTGCAGATTGTTCATTGTACAGGCACCCTGGTCAAGGGTACACTCGCTTCTCTCACCAAGATGTGTGCTGAAGTAGGGCTGTGTGACCCTGAGGAAAGTACGGCTTTTTAAAATTATCACAAAGGCACAATATGGGCTAACAGCATATGGTGAAAGGAGCCTGAAGGCCGGGGTGAAGGATGTAAGTGAAAGAACGGCATTGACAAAGCCCCAGCCCTGGGCCTAGACCCTGCAGTTGCTAGGTTGCTGTTTGATGAATTAGTTTGGGCCAGAAGAAGACAGATCTAGAAGGTCAGCTTTATGTCATCATTTCTCCATCAACAGACATTTACAGTCTATGCATCAGGTCCCAGCCCTGAACGTGGAATCAAAAGAGGAAAGGGCTGTCCCTGATTTGACAGAATGTCCAGTTAGTTGGAGAAGACAATGAGTACACAGTTGGTCACAACTCTGGTGACAGTAAACCAACTGGGCTGTAGGAACATAGGACCCAGTCCAGCTTAGAGGAAGAAGGTCTAAACGAGCTGGATTACCCAATAGGCAGACTACACTGAGGTTACCAGCAAGATAAGGGCTACCAAACTAAGAAAAAAAACTATCTTAAAAACTTTTATTTATTTATTTATTTTTAATTTTTGAGACAGAGTCCCGCTCTGTCACCCAGGCTGGGGTGCAGTTGCGTGATCTCAGCTCACTGCAACCTCTGCCTCCTGGGTTCAAGCAATTCTCCTGTCTCAGCCTCCTGAGTAGCTGGGACTACAGGTGCCCGCCACCGTGCCTGGCTAATTTTTGTATTTTTATTAGAGATAGGGTTTCCCATGTTGGCCAGGCTGTTCTCGAACTCCTGACCTCAAATGATCTGCCCGCCTTGGCCTCCCAAAGTGCTGGGATTACAGGCATGAGCCACCGCACCCAGCTGGCTTAAAGGCTTTTATAATATTGACTATTTCAAAAACAGCATCAAGGTAGTCAAAGTGGAAAAATATAAAACCAGAACTTGGGAGGACCTCCCCATATTCTGTAGTTTATAATTTTTATTTTAAATAAAAATTTAAAAATTTTTTAAAAAATTTTTAAATAAAATTAAAAGTTTGGATGAGGGTAGGCATTAGCTACTCTGCTATTTTTGGTGTGGAACACCTCTAAATGACTTCACATGATCCTGGTCTCAAAAAAGAGAGTGAATATGCCGGCTCTTGAGGTATAAATGCATAGCAGCTCAACTTTGGAAATCGGGCAAAGAGAATAGCACTTTGTAAGTGCCTAGTTAAATCTGAACAAGAGTAGAGAAATACAGAAAATATTCCAAGAGTAATAGCAAAGGTATGAAGACAAGAATGAAACAGAGAAGATATGGGTATGGGCATGGGACCATAAAGTGAGGCCAACTGGGCTCAGTGTGAGAAGGCAAAACCAGAAGATCAGACTAAGCTGAGGAATTTGGAAGCTCCTAGAGCCTCAAAGGACCTAGTGTTAGGAACAGACAGTAGCCAGGCAACAAGTTTACATCAGATATTTTCTATCCCTAGGCTCTGAGGGTTCTAGAAGAAATGATTGGAGAGGGGAGCATTCTGGGGTTCTTCTTCCCGAGAAGGTGGCCTTGGAGAAATCACTTTCTCTCTCTATGCCTCAGTTTCTTCATCTTTGAAACAGAGGTGATAATCTCTGCTCTGTAGCAATATTATGAGGATTCATGCGCTTAAAAGTTCCCACTCCCTGCCAGATGCACAGAAAGTGTTCAACAAATACAAGTGCCCTGTGGAAGCCATTAGGCACAGATGGGCATGATGAGTGTGGTGCAGCCATAAAGGGCTTCTCTAGGAAGAACTAGGGAGAGGCTTTCTGAAACCAAACCTATCAGCAACCTTACCTGCCTGGAGTTAGTGCAGTGCAGCTCTTTCCATTCACTCGGTTTTGTTACCATGCAACCAGGGCTGCTGGTGTCACCCCATTGCCCCAGCCTTCCACTCCTCTTCCCAGGGATTTCTCTGAACTCTGTACAGGCCAACAACTAAAGGATTTAATGCCTGGTACAGCGTAGGCCTCAGAAGTCTTGCTCCATGTTTCTAGTCTTCTGATTAGTCAGTGCCTATACTCCACCCTTCAGCTTCTACACAAACAGGTGGTTGAACAGTTTAAATATCATTCAGTATATAGGTATTAGTTCATGACAGAGCACAGAATTGAGGATACAGTAAGGAACTTGGGACAAGGACCACAAGTTCCCCAATAATGTTGTGGACCACCTCTGTATCCCCATGCCCCACTGCTTGGCACACCTTAGAGGGAGTGACTATTTATGGAATGAATGTTGAGCACTGATCATGTGTTTCCAAGTATTTGTTCCTGACTGGCCAGAGAGCTCCCAAAGCACAGACAGTGGGTCTCCATGCCAAGCACAATGCCTAGAACAGAGGAGTATGTTTGGAGTATGTTTGTTGACTGCATAGCAAATAGGAAAATAACCCAGGCCAACCCCACTTCTGAGTGAGGAGAGAAACACACACATGCACAGACACACATATGCACACAGAGGCAATCTGGTAGCTGTGTGTAGAGTATAAAAGACAATATGTAGCAGAGGCTAAAAAAAAAAAAAAGAGGAGTGAAGAGCTCAACTCAGGATCAGAAAGGGTAGAGGAGTGAACAAGTCAGGAGCTGCCAGTAAGACATTGGAGCTAGCCAGGGATGCAAAGGATACTGCTTCTCTCTGACTATGTTAGGGGTGTGAACCACAGAAGAGAGAACCCAGCTGCCTGTAACAGGATGAGTGAAGGTGAAAAGGCAGTTTGGCTCAAGTTGAGGCTGAAGGAAGGAGACAGGGGGAAATGGTAGCATGCAATGAGCTCCTTTGGGTGGCCAATAACCAAGTCTCTAGGACAGGTACTCGGTACAGGGCAAGGCATTGCATCACATTAGGTGACAGCTGGGTTGTGGAAGAGGTTTGAAAGGGTGTGTGGTTCGGGGTTTCTCTCGGGGTCAACCCTACCACCATTAGCCCCTGAGCTGCCCTTGCTCCTGCTTGGGTCTGGCCCAGCCACCTGTCCTACATCAAGATCTTCGACGTGGGCACACGCTACATGGTGAACCGAGTGCAGGATCACATCCAGAGCCGCACAGTCTACTACCTCATGAATATCCATGTCACACCTCGCTCCATCTACCTTTGCCGACATGGCGAGAGTGAACTCAACATCAGAGGCCGCATCGGAGGTGACTCTGGCCTCTCAGTTCGCGGCAAGCAGGTAGGGTGGGCCACACACACCCAGATGGGTTGGCTGGGCTGTCCTAGGTGGGCTGCAGGTGTAGTGGTGGCCACATTCTGGGTCCTGAGGTGGAATGACCCAGGGATGGGGGAGAAGCAGATTCCATCACTCCTGCTCTTCCACCCATCAGCTGCTCAGTCTGGACCCAGCCGCCGAATGGCTCCCAATGCCACCTGTTCTGCAGGTCTAAGAGCTTGGCCCTGGCACCCAAGGCCTGCCCAAAGCCAGCTGCTCCATGACAGTGACTCCCTTGGCCCTGCCTGACTGGTTCCCTCATCTTTCTCACGAGTTTGTGCCTTTGCTAGTGCAGCTTCCCCACCTGGTCTACCCTCTTCTGTCTCCTCTGTCAGTGGGTGACTGTCAGTGGCACATACAGCTGCCCTGAGAGACCCACCCTTGAATCACTCTTCTTCCCAATTCTGCCCTCCCGACCTTATCCCAACGCAGGTGTCACACTGGCAGCCCCTGTCCCCACTCATGACAGTGTCCTTCCTGCCCTCCCCACTCCCTTCCAAGGCCCAGCACCTGCTCCAGGAAGCCCTCCCCATCCTCTCCTCCCTCCCAGGCAGGTTGCCATGCCCTGGGCTCCAGCTCTCCCAGTTCTGGCCTATGTGTGGCTCTCCTGGCCTGAGTATCTTCTCCCCAGCCCGGCACAGTGACCTACTGGCTGGTTGCTGGCTGAATACAGGGATCCATTTCCACAGCATTTGGCCCTGTGCCTGGGCTTATTAGCACAGGTATTGTTCCTGCTGGCAGGACCGCTTGGGGATGGAACAGGTGGGAAATGAAGTGCAGGAAGGACAGTTGTTGTCATAATTGTCATTTATTGGACACCTATGCACAGTCACGGTGCCATCTGCTTCCGCATGTGTGGCTCATTTCATCTTCACCACAGGTCTGTGGGGTGGGCATTCCTGCCACAAGTTTATGGATGAAGAAGCAGAGAGCAGCCCCAGGGCAGGCGGCCAGGATGAGACAGAGCCAGGACTGAAAGCCGGGCCTACTGGCCTGCCCTCAGCTCCCCCACTGGAGATGGGGGGAGGTGCCCCAGGCAAGGCACTATCCTGGATGGCCACACCCTGGTGTCTCCCTTTCTGTTACCTCCAGACTGACAGCCTCCCCTCGAGGTAGACGCTGACCTGTGACTCCCTCATGTCCCACTCCTCAGAGCAGAGTCAGAGGCTGCTCGAGGTGTGACCCCAGCCCATGGCAGCCCCTGCAGCCAGGGCCCTCTTGGGTGGAGCCAGCCCGGCCCTGCCCACACAGCTCGGAGCCCAGCTGGACATGTGGCTGTCTCCACAGGGCACGCCTCCCTGCACACAAACCTGTGTGTGTGCATGCACACAGCTGGCGCCACCTTGACGCTTCTCACAGAGCACCAGGCCCAGTTTACAAAGCACCTCCCCGTCGAGGTAGCTCTCACTTGCGCAGCACCCACTGTGTACCAGGCTGTGGTCTGGGTGCTCCCCATCCACTATCTAAAGTGCAGCCCCCAGACAGCAGGCCAGATGAGACAATGCTCTTTGGATATGAGGCCAGAGAGGGGCAGGGATGTGTCCGAGGGCACAAGGGACCATGTAAGGGAGCTGAGGGAGTTTAACCTATGGCTCATACCTCCCTGTCAAGGGCTCCTTCCACCAGAGCACGCTGACTCCTGACTCAGGTCCATAATGAAATGTATGTATGAAACGCCTATAGCTGCATATAGAAATGTGTGCCTGGAACTTTGCACCTGTGCAGATGTTCCTAACACATGCCGTCAGCAGTTAACGACACACCTATACACAGAGGAGGAAATCACTAGCTCCTCTGGGCTCCCACAGCCCTTTATGGTTCCCCTCGGTGCTGCCAGTGTTTCCCTCACTGGACTGGCCATGTCTTGAGAACAAGAACACCCCAGCACCCAGCACAGGGCCACGAACACTCAATACATGTGTGAATGCCCTTAGAACCTGGGTACCAGGAACCCTGCTTAAGCAATAAGTGTTCACAGTGTCAAAAAGTAATGTCTCCCAAATCCCACAACCCCTACTTCCAGTCCATACTCTGGGTAACCCCAAACCTAGAATTCTTTGCCCTTTTTGTCTAGAGTCCGCTTTCAGTGCCTACATGGGCCTATCAGTGCCTACATGGCCTGTCCACTTGAGGTCAGGCCATATCACACGACCAAGGGGTTGCTGTTTGTGGAGCATGGGGATCAGTGGAGGTGGAAATGTGGACAGAACTTGGTCATGTGACTTGGTTATCCACAAGCATGTACTAAAGGCACGTAGAAGTGCAGGATAGAGCCAGAAATGGAGAGATAGACTGTGCATGGAGTGCCTCCATTGGTACTCTTGTCCCAGGCTCCACAAATGTTAGAGGTGGGCCTGTTTGAATGAATGAATAACCAAGTAGGGGCTTCGGTGAGCAATCGTCAAATAAGCGCTCTCTCTCTCTCTCTCTCTCTCTCTCTCTCTGTCATGCTCTTTTCTATTCCCTTGGCCCACCATCACATTGGAAAGAGTATGGCTTTTTATAAGTTTGGAACATTTAAACTCTTTGCTCTGCTTGTTCATCACCACTCAATTTGTGGCAGATCTGAGCTTGTTCTGATGGCCACCCTGCTCTCTCTCACCTCTCCTTTTCCCCTTCTCTCCTCCTCTGCATCCCCACATCCTAGTATGCCTATGCCCTGGCCAACTTCATTCAGTCCCAGGGCATCAGCTCCCTGAAGGTGTGGACCAGTCACATGAAGAGGACCATCCAGACAGCTGAGGCCCTGGGTGTCCCCTATGAGCAGTGGAAGGCCCTGAATGAGATTGATGCGGTGAGATGCATGGGGTGAATCTCCTGTGTGTGGGGGTGACTTGAGTCTGGGATTATCCCCTGGGTTGCCTCTGCTCCAGCCCCTATGGGGAGCCTAATTAATTCAACAAACTTTTTTGACAACTAGCCATGTGCTAGACCTTATTCTATGTCTTGGGGATCCAGTGAAGGCCAGAATAGACAAAGTCTCTGCCCTCATCCTAAAGACAGACAGTAAATAGGACATTACATCTCAGTGTGACAAAGGGCTATGAGAGGAGAAGTAGAAGGGATTATGGAGGATCAGAGGGTAAGGGTGCTCCTGACTCAACTTGGTGCTGGGGAATTTACAAGGAAAGCTTCCTGGAGGAAGCTAGAGGTGATATAAGAAGGAGATGAAATGGTCTGGGGAGTGGGGAAATAAATTTAATTCAGAGACAGAAAATAACTCATGTGAAGACCCAGAGATGAGAAGAGAGCATGGCAATTTCAGGGGATTGAAGGAAAGAATAGCACAGAGGCTGGGACAGCAATAGTGAGATCTGAAGAAAAGGGAGATGAGGCTAGAAAGGAAGCCAGGCCACCAGGCTTTATAGTTCATGTTGAGGGATTCAAATGCTGCCCAAACAACAATGAGATGTCATTGATGGGGTCCACATCAAGTAGGAGTAATCTGAATGTGTTGCACATTTTTCAAAAAAGCCCACTCTGGGCATGTGTGGAAACTTGGTGGGAGGAAGGCCAGAATGAACAAGTAGACCAGTAAGAAGTTGACTTCATTAGTCTGGCAAGAGGTGGGGGCATGTTGAACCAGAGTAGTGGCATCGGAGATGGAATGAAGAAGGACTTTGGGAATGTTTCAAAGGTGGAATCAGGCCAGGTGCAGTGGCTCATACCTATAATCCCAGCACTTTGGGAGGGCTAGGTGGGAGGATCACTTGAGCCCAGGAGTTGGAGACCAGCCTGAGCAACATAGTAAAACCCCATCTCTACAAACAATTTAAAAATTAGCTGGGTGCAGTGGTGCATGCCTGTGACCCCAGCTACTCTGGAGGCTGAGATAGGAGGATTGTTTAAGCCTGGGAGGTTGAGGCTGCAGTGAGCTGTGATCATGCCACTGCACTCCAGCCTGAGTGACAATCAAGGCCCTGTCTCAAAAAAAAAAAAAAATTAAGGTGGAATCAGCAGGGCTTGCTGGTGCACTGGCTGTAAGGGATGAGGGAGAGGGAGACATGAAGGACCCAACCCTGGTGGTATAGCAGTCTCTCTTCAGGGTCAGGTTCTTCCATGAGCTCTTTGAGAAAGGAGCTGTTTCCTCTCCATTGTTCACCTGCACTGTAGGTACAATGGCACTGGGCAGCAGTGCACAGGTTATGATTGTTAGGCGTCAACATAAAAGCTTCACCACTTGTGTAAATAACTTGCGTGTGGGTAGGTTAACTTACTTGCCTGCTAGATATGCCTCTATAGAAACAGACATATATGTGTGTGTACATTCATACATATGTGTATATAAATATAGAGGTACAGAAATACACATAGTTAGAAAAGGGCTATACAGCATTGTTCTGTATACCACATACATTTGCTGTAAAATATATGCAAGCAAATATGAAATTTCTTCATCATAAGTTTGGTGGCTTCTTATTTCTGGCCCACATGTGGTATAAACATTTATTGAACCCCTCCTTGTTTCAGGTTCTGGAGTGATGCTGGAGGTGGAAATTGATCTAATTCATTCCTGTCTTCACTGAATTTTCAGGCTAAATAGGGTAGACAGAGGAATAAACAGAGAAATAGAGAACAGCATGTGTGATACAGGCTCTGATAGGTAAGACTATGGGTGCATAGACTTTGGGGCAGGACACCTAACTCAGCCAAGATCTACCTGGAAGAAGTGATACCTAGCTGAAGCCTCAGGTTTGAGTAACAGTGAACCAAGTAGAAAGGATCAAGAATGACATTCCAGGCAGAGAGACAGGGATAGGGAGCTTCATAAACAAAGAGGGTATTGTATGTGTGTGGAAATGCTAAGGTTGTAGTAGTACAAATGGAGAGGCTGGAAAAAAGGAATCCATTTGAGAGAGCTTTAGGAGGTGGAATCTCAGGAATTGGCTATGAGGGGTGAGTGAGGAAGAAGCAAGAATTTAGGATGAAGATAAAGCAAGAATTTACGTTTCTGGTTTATTTTCCATGAGTAATAAAATATTAATACTTCATTCTAATGATTGAGTCTTTAAAATGTCCCTTGCGCATTCTGTACTAGTATGTTTTACTTACATTTTCCCAATATTCAAAACACTTCTGTGAAGTAGTTCTAATTCTCCACATTTTGCAGATAAGGAAAGTAAAATTCGGAGAGGTTAAGCAATTTGACTCAATAAGGAGTCAATGACCATTTCCATAGGCGACAGGCTCCTAGTACTCCTCAGAATAGAAAGTTGAAGCCAATCTTGAACGACCTCGTGTACCCAGTAGGGTGCACTTTCTTCCATGGGCAGTGTGGGTTGGAGAAGTTTCACACTGCAGAGATGTTTGTGGGTTGGGGTAGGGGTTCACTTCCTCACCCCTGATGGGGGCATGGTAGATGGGCCCAATAGACAACAACCAGAGGCCACTGGCCCCCTACAGGGAGATTTAATTGGAATCCACATACCCAGAAGGAAACCTTAGAAACCCAACATCACTTTCCACCACCAGCAGCAGTCACCTCACCTCTGGGAGTTTCTCAGTAGACTTGGAATCTCTCATAAGCTCCTTAGGAACTCATTCTCTGAGTACTCAATTCCTTTTTTGAGTGAGGAGAGTGTATCTCCCCCAAATCCACTCTGAAACCATTAGGAATTTGTTAATTTTTCCTGTCTGAGATGTCTATGGATGCCTGTTTATCTGCCAGAGTTCCCAAAGTAGAGGTCTTCAGACACAGGCACACAGATACTCTCACATATACACCAGAGACATAATGAGGGACATATACATTAACAGACACACATGCCACAGACACACTGAGACCTGCATGGAAAGACCACATGGACACATTCTCAGATGCTTAGACACCCTATACACACACATACACACACACACGCAAGCACACAACATATGCTGAGACAAATACACAAACACAAGGCATAAGTCTTTAAACATACCACAAGTACATATCATAAGCATGCTGCACACAGACTTGTAAACACAGCCACAAATCCTTATGCCCATATATTTATAAAAATACATACTTATATGTATAATGTACACCTACAGACCTATCTGTACAATCATAGAAAAACATCATACACTCAGCCTGAACACATCTACTCACATACACTCACTGTCACATCTACACAGCCACACACCTCACACACACACACACACACACACGCACACACACACACACACACGCATACACACTTATGGACAACAGGCACAAACCCAGAGCTGTGTTCACAGAGACCCAGGTGCTCATGTGCTACTGTTTCACAATCATCGAAGAATTATGGCAAAGACTCTGTGGAATTTCATCTTGTGAATACTTTCGCCCCCAAATACTTTTTCTCAGGGTGTCTGTGAGGAGATGACCTATGAAGAAATCCAGGAACATTACCCTGAAGAATTTGCACTGCGAGACCAAGATAAATATCGCTACCGCTATCCCAAGGGAGAGGTAAGGTTTGCGGGGTGGCCTAATGCCTAGGACTACTCCCCAGTGTCTTCATTGCAACTGCTAGGATTCCACAATTGTCTAGACAGCTTTAGAAACAGAGTAAGCATATCTTGCAGCAGCTGCCATCCCACAAGGCACATGATTATCTGGCCCTTGGTTGTTTTAGATTCTTGGCTATAGGCAATAGATCCATCCCTTTCTTTTAAAAGCTACATAATTTTCTTGCTTATTCTCTTTCTGCTTCAGAAGTGCTGACTTTATCCTGGACCTTGTCTCTGGTATCCCTTCATGAAGACACTTTAAATAGTTCAACATACTCTGATTTCCTGATATTTTGTTGCCAAGTTGCCTAAAGCTCCAGCCTGTCTGGGCAGTTGGCATTGTCCCAAGGGACAATGGCTAATAATTTAATCAACTTCTTTGCCACTACATGAACCAGACCATCAGTTCCCTATCCCCATATGAGATGAATGCTCATTGCTTTTAATCAAGCCTCCACTTAACCAGTTCCACATTTTAGAGCATTTATTAGTCATACTTTATTTCTGATATAAATGGCTGGGAAAAGTTATTAGAAAAGAAGGACATCTGGGAGGATAAAACAATAGATATTCTATTCAGTTATACAACACTTTCACATTTTTAATCTTCACCCACAGAGATGACATTATAAAATTCATCTTAATTTGCCCTCATTTTCCTTTAGGTATTTAGAGGCTATGTTATTAGAGGTATACAAAATTAAAGCAATTATGTCTTCTCAGTGAATTGCACATTTTATTATTACATAGTGACCAAACCTCTTTCTCCTCGATAATCCTTTTTGCCTAAAAACGTATTTTATCTGATATTAATATAGCTGTACAAGATTCAGTGACTTCTGGTGACTCCTTACCTAGTTCACTTTTAGCTATTCATTTACTTTCAACTTCTCTGTGTATCTTTGTTTTGTGTCTCTTATAAACAGCTTATAGTTGGGTTTCGTTGTTTTTAATCCAAACTGAAAATATATGTCTTTTGAATGGTAAGTTTGGTATATTTACTTTTATTGTAATTACTAACTTTTTTAGTTTATTACTATTATCTTGTCTTGAGCTCTCTGCTTAGTTTTTTCTCTTTTCCTGCCCTCTTTAGGATTGATAAAGTTTTTATATCCATATTTAAGTTATATAATTTGTTTCCATTCATTTAGAGATTACCCTTAACATTTTAAAAATTTTTCATCATGATTCTTTCAATTTTTAGTTGATATCTCAATAAGGATGTAAGGTCAAAATGTATTTCAAAATCACTCATAATAATTTTTTGCTGAGTGCTATTATGCAACCAACTTGAATCCTTAACATTTTAATATTCATTATTAACAAAATCTAAAATCAATATCTCTACCCTCTACCTAAACAACAGAAGAACTTTAAAACCCTGGCCATTGTGTCTCCTAATTTACATGTTAATTGTTTGTATTTTAGGTCAAACTTGGTCTTAACCCCCAAGTGAATTATTCCTGTTGTTGTTATTATTGTATGCAGTCAATGTTTATTTAGATTTAACCACATGCTTACTAATTCCTCTGATCATTCTTGCCCCTTGCACCTCAAATCTTCCCTCTGAGTTCATTTTCCGTCTTTCTTTTTTATTTTTATTTATTTATTTTTTATTTTATTTATTTATTTATTTATTTATTTTTTGAGACGGAGTCTCGCTCTTTCACCCAGGCTGGAGTGCAGTGGCCCCATCTCGGCTCACTGCAAGCTCTACCTCCCAGGTTCACACCATTCTCCTGCCTCAGCCTCCCGAGTAGCTGGGACTACGGGCACCTGCCACCACACCTGGCTAATTTTTTGTATTTTTAGTAGAGACGGGGTATCACCGTGTTAGCCAGGATGGTCTCCATCTCCTGACCTCATGATCCACCCACCTCGGCCTCCCAAAGTGCTAGGATTACAGGCGTGAGCCACCACGCCCAGCCTTCCATCTTTCTTTAGAAGCTTTTTTAGTGAGTAAACACACCCTTCTTTTTGTCTAAAAATGTCTTGGTAGGAGGGGGTCCTCAATCCTAGTGATGCTTGGCTGGGTAAAAACTCTAGGATGACAGTTGTTTTCTCTCAGCACTTTGAAAGTATTACCCTCACTGTCTTCTGGCTTCTACTGTGGCTAGGAAATCTGCTGTCAGTCTAGTTTTCTTTCCTCTCTGGCTACTTTTAAGGTTTTTGTATCATTGTTGCTTTAAAGTTTCCCTCTAATATGTCTAGATGATAATTTCTTTTCATTTATTAATGTATAGCTTGGGATTAGTGAGACTTCCTGAATCTGAGGACTGGGATTCTTCTTCAAGTCTGGAAAACTCTCAGACAATTTATCTTTAAAAATTCATCTCTCACATTCTATTATCTTCTTCTGGAAATACAATTGGATGTATGTTACTCCTGCCTCTATTCTTCATGTCTCCTAACTTTTCCTTCCTATTTTCTATCTCTTTGTATCTTTTGCTGCATCCTGAGTAATTTCTTCAGCTTTATCTTCTAGTCACTATTTAAGTAGTATCCAATATGCTCCTTACCCCATACACTGAGTTTTCAATTTTAATGACTATTTTTTATTTCTGAAATTCTATTTAGTTATTTTTCAAATCTACATTGTATATTTGATGGCATCTTGTTTCTTCCTTACATTTTTTATTCCACCTTTTATTTCTTTAAAAGTTTCAAACATATTTATTTTATATTGTGGCATCCCTTATCTTAAGTTTTTAGGGTTCTCTTCTTGTTTCTGCTTATTCTCACTCATGGTAGCTTATTTCCTTGTGTGTTATATGAGCTCCAGCTTGTCAAGAATTTATCTATGGAAATCTCACGCAGCCTGAGTTGAGAGAATCCAGAGAGATTTCATTTGCTTCTTCTAAGCAGTCCTGGGAGCTAACGACTTGGGATCACTTTTTATTAAACTCTCAGCATAACATTCTTCAAACCAAATGGATAGTGTAGCTCTGAATCACCAGCCCACCTGAGGGAAGTCTGGTGGTTATAAATTCTTACAGGATTTTTTTATTATAATTTAAGTTTTAGGGTACATGTGCACAATGTGCAAGTTTGTTACATATGTATACATGTGCCATGCTGGTGTGCTGCACCTATTAAATCGTCATTTACATTAGGTATATCTCCAAATGCTATCCCTCCCCCATTCCTCCACCCCACAACAGGCCCCGGGGTGTGATGTTCCCCTTCCTGTGTCCAAGTGTTCTTAGTGTTCAATTCCCACCTATGAGCGAGAATATGTGGTGTTTGGTTTTTTGTCCTTGAGATAGTTTGCTGAGAATGAAGGTTTCCAGCTTCATCCATGTCACTACAAAGGACATGAACTCATCATTTTTTATGGCTGCATAGTATTTCATGGTGTATATGTGCCACATTTTCTTAATCCAGTCTATCATTGTTGGACATTTGGGTTGGTTCCAAGTCTTTGCTATTGTGAATAGTGCCACAGTAAACATACGTGTGCATGTGTCTTTATAGCAGCATAATTTATACTCCTTTGGGTATATACCCAGTAATGGGATAGCTGGGTCAAATGGGATTTCTAGTTCTAGATCCCTGAGGAGACGCCACACTGACTTCCACAATGGTTGAACTAGTTTCCAGTCCCACCAACAGTGTAAAAGTGTTCCTATTTCTCCAGATCCTCTCCAGCACATGGTGTTTCCTGATTTTATATTGATCACCATTCTAACTGGTGTGAGATGGTATCTCATTGTGGTTTTGATTTGCATTTCTCTGATGGCCAGTGATGATGAGCAGTTTTTCATGTGTCTTTTGGCTGCATAGATGTCTTCTTTTGAGAAGTGTCTATTCATATCCTTCACCCACTTTTTGATGGGGTTGTTTGTTTTTTTCTTGTAAATTTGTTTCAGTTCTTTGTACATTCTGGATATTAGCCCTTTGTCAGATGAGTAGATTGCAAAAATTTTCTCCCATTCTGTAGGTTGCCTGTTCACTCTGATGGTAGTTTCTTTTGCTGTGAAGAAGCTCTTGAGTTTTAATTAGATCCCATTTGTCTGTTTTGGCTTTTGTTGCCATTGCTTTTGGTGTTTTAGACATGAAGTCCTTGCCCATGCCTATGTCCTGAATGGTAATGCCTAGGTTTTCTTCTGGGTTTTTATGGTTTTAGGTCTAACGTTTAAGTCTTTCATCCATCTTGAATTAATTTTTGAATAAGGTGTAAGGAAGGGGTCCAGTTTCAGCTTTCTACATGTGGCTAGCCAGTTTTCCCAGCACCGTTTATTAAATAGGGAAGCCTTTCCCCATTGCTTGTTTTTCTCAGGTTTGTCAAAGATCAGATAGTTGTAGATATGCAGCATTATTTCTGAAGGCTCTGTTCTGTTCCATTGGTCTATATCTCTGTTTTGGTACCAGCACCATGCTGTTTTGGTTACTGTAGGCTTGTAGTATAGTTTGAAGTCAGGTAGCATGATGCCCCCAGCTTTGTTCTTTTGACTTAGGATTGACTTGGCGATGCGGGCCCTTTTTTGGTTCCATACGAACTTTAAAGTAGTTTTTTCCAATTCTGTGAAGAAAGGCATTGGTAGCTTGATGGGGATGGCATTGAATCTATAAATTACCTTGGGCAGTATGGCCATCTTCACGATATTGATTCTTCCTACCCATGAGCATGGAATGTTCTTCCATTTGTTTGTATCCTCTTTTATTTCATTGAGCAGTGGTTTGTAGTTCTCCTTGAAGAGGTCCTTCACATCCCTTGTAAGTTGGATTCCTTGGTATTTTATTCTCTTTGAAGCAATTGTGAATGGGAGTTCACTCAGGATTTGGCTCTCTGTTTGTCTGTTTTTGGTGTAAAGAATGCTTGTGATTTTTGCACATTGATTTTGTATCCTGAGACTTTGCTGAAGTTGCTTATCAGCTTAAGGAGATTTTGCGCTGAGACGATGGGGTTTTCTAAATATACAATCATGTCTTCTGCAAACAGGGACAATTTGACTTCCTCTTTTCCTAATTGAATGCCCTTTATTTCTCTCTCCTGCCTGACTGCCCTGGCCAGAACTTCCAACACTATGTTGAATAGGAGTGGTGAGAGAGGGCATCCCTGTCTTGTGCCAGTTTTCAAAGGGAATGCTTCCAGTTTTTGCCCATTCAGTATGATACTGGCTGTGGGTTTGTCATAAATAGCTCTTATTATTTTGAGATACGTCCCATCAATACCTAATTTATTGAGAGTTTTTAGCATGAAGGGCTGCTGAATTTTGTCAAAGGCCTTTTCTGCGTCTATTGAGATAATCATGTGGTTTTTGTCATTGGTTCTGTTTATATGCTGGATTATGTTTATTGATTTGCATATGTTGAACCAGCCTTGCATCCCAGGGATGAAGCCCACTTGATCATAGTGGATAAGCTTTTTGATGTGTTGCTGGATTCGGTTTGCCAGTATTTTATTGAGCATTTTTGCATCGATGTTCATCAGGGATATTGGTCTAAAATTCTCCTTTTTTTGTGTCTCTGCCTGGCTTTGGTATCAGGATGATGCTGGCCTCATAAAATGAGTTAAGAAGGATTCCCTCTTTTTCTATTGATTGGAATAGTTTCAGACGGAATGGTACCAGTTCCTCCTTGTACATCTGGTAGAATTCGGCTGTGAATCCATCTGGTCCTGGACTATTTTTGGTTGGTAAGCTATTAATTATTGCCTCAATTTCAGAGCCTGTTATTGGTCTATTCAGAGATTCAACCTCTTTCTGGTTTAGTCTTGGGAGGGTGTATGTGTCCAGGAATTTATCCATTTCTTCTAGATTTTCTAGTTTATTTGCGTAGAGGTGTTTATATTATTCTCTGATGGTAGTTTGTGTATCTGTGGGATCGGTGGTGATATTCCCTTTATCATTTTTTATTGCATCTATTTGATTCTTATCTCTTTTCTTCTTTATTAGTCTTGCTACTGGTCTATCAATTTTGTTGATCTTTTCAAAAAAACAGCTCCTGGATTCATTGATTTTTTGAAGGGTTTTTTGTGTCTCTATCTCCTTCAGTTCTGCTCTGATCTTAGTTATTTCTTGCCTTCTGCTAGCTTTTGAATGTGTTTGCTCTTGCTTCTCTAGTTCTTTCAGTTGTGATGTTAGGTGTCAATTTTAGATCTTTCCTGCTTTCTGTTGTGGGCATTTAGTGCTATAAATTTCCCTGTACACACTGCTTTAAATGTGTCCCAGAGATTCTGGTATGTTGTGTCTTTGTTCTCGTTGGTTTCAAAGAACATCTTTATTTCTGCCTTCATTTCGTTATGTACCCAGTAGTCATTCAGGAGCAGGTTGTTCAGTTTCCATGTAGCTGAGCGGTTTTGCATGAGTTTCTTAATCCTGAGTTCTTCTAGTTTGATTGCACTGTGGTCTGAGAGACAGTTTGTTATAATTTCTGTTCTTTTACATTTGCTGAGGAGTGCTTTACTTCCAACCAGGTGGTCAATTTTGGAATAAGTGCGGTGTGGTGCTGAGAAGAATGTGTATTCTATTGATTTGGGGTGGAGAGTTCTGTAGATGTCTATTAGGTCCGCTTGGTGCAGAGCTGAGTTCAATTCCTGGATATCCTTGTTAACTTTCTGTCTCATTGATCTGTCTAATGTTGACAGTGGGTGTTAAAGTCTCTCATTATTATTGTGTGGGAGTCTAAGTCTCTTTGTAGGTCACTCAGGACTTGCTTTATGAATCTGGGTGCTCCTGTATTGGGTGCATATATATTTAGGATAGTTAGCTCTCCTTGTTGAATTGATCCCTTTACCATTATGTAATGGCCTTGTCTCTTTTGATCTTTGTTGGTTTAAAGTCTGTTTTATCAGAGACTAGGATTGCAACCCCTGCCTTTTTTTGTTTTCCATTTGCTTGGTAGATCTTCCTCCATCCCTTTATTTTGAGCCTATGTGTGTCACTGCATGTGAGATGGGTTTCCTGAATACAGCACACTGATGGGTCTTGACTCTTTATCCAATTTGCCAGTCTGTATCTTTTAATTGGAGCATTTAGCCCATTTACATTTAAGGTTAATATTGTTATGTGTGAATTTGATACAGGAGGATTTTCACTTATTTCCCCTGAGAGCCAAGGAGAGACAGACACATTTTCTTGTTGTTTCTTTTTGCTTGTTAAGGAACTTTTTCTAGTTTGCACTTAGAGCGTAAAGATTTGGCCTTTGAGCATCTCAGATTTATGTGAGAGTCTCAGTCTTAACTCCCCACCTTGTGCACACCCAAGGCCTTGTCTTCTACTTCCGTACGGTTTTTAAAACTCAAAACTCTTAGTTACTATGATTGGCAAATGCCTGCAGGGCAGCTGTGGCTGCTACATCCACTTATCACTTGTTTTTTTCCGTTTTTCTCTATTTTGGGGCCCTATATTTATAAAATTTTCTTTATTTTTGTGAAAGGTCAGCAGTGCATTTAAGAAGACAATTTGCAGTGGGGAGTTGTATTGTTGTTATTGTTATTTAGTCCACTGTATTGATACATTTATTTGGTCCACTATATTGATAGCCCCCATTTAGCAGATAATGAAACTAAGACCCTAAGAAGGAAGTGAGTTGCCTAAGGTCATACTGGTGGGTCAACAATTGAACTGGCACTGGAACCAAATGTTCTTGATTCCTAGTTTAGAGTTCTTCCCCTCTGGGCAAATGTGCCTCATCTTCCTTTCTCACTCAAGTATCTCTCTTACGTTTAGTCCTATGAGGATCTGGTTCAGCGTCTGGAGCCAGTGATAATGGAGCTAGAACGACAGGAGAATGTACTGGTGATCTGCCACCAGGCTGTCATGCGGTGCCTCCTGGCCTATTTCCTGGATAAAAGTTCAGGTACTACCCTCATCTCTGCTTTGGGAATGTTTGATGGTATTTGAGACACTGACACCAACAATTAGATATCTATATCTTAGTAGTTAAGAGAAGAGTATCTAGAACAAGGATGCCTAGGTTCAGATTCTTTCTCTTTCACATACTAGCTGTACTGCCTTTCACAAATTTCTTTAACTTCTCTGGCCTCAGTGTCCTCATCTGTAAAATGGGGAGAATAATGATGAATTTTAAATAACATAAGTAAAAAGTTTAGAACAGTTCATGACACATTGTGTGGGCTATATATTAACTGCTATTATTAGTATAGTATTATTCTTAGCTAACATTTTCAAAGCCAACGTTAACAGTCTGCCTCAATCTGGAAAAGATGAGCTAGTATTTCTGTGAAGCATGCTACCATCAGGTGATAGTAGGGCCTTTCATAGCTTCATGATCCTGATTACAAGTTTCTGTCCTTGCTATAGGGGTAATTTCCCCAAGATAGTGATGTTTTCATTTTAAATTGTTTTTCAAATGATAATTTATTTTTAAAAAAATATGTAGGCATTGCATTTACAGAGTATTTACACACTGACTGCATAGGCTGAACTGCAAACTGGGGCAGCTGGCCTGGCAAAAAAAAAAAAACTGTTATATCACTTTCAGGCATGAGATTCCATTTCCAATGTGGATGCTGATGTGTTAGCATTTCCAGGATATTTTTAAGGTGTCTCAGAGCAATGCAAAATTATATTCAATGTCTACACTGTTTTACAGTCTTGGATCTTTTCTACGATGCTAGTTTGAAAATAAAGAACACTGTAATATGGAGTCATCCAGAATTGGAACCCAGGGCACTTGAGAACTTGACATTAAATAAGGAATTTCCTCTGCCTGGTCCTCAGTTTCCTCACTGGAAATAGGTGATAGGATGTGCGGTGGGGGTCCTTGCACTGGTAGATTTCTCTCTGTTCACATCTTTACTTTTCAGGGCAATGTTTTGAGACCATGAGGCAGGTGCTGTAACTCCCATTGTCCAGATGAGGAAATGGGAGACCCAGAAAGGTGAAGTGACTGGCACAAGGTCATGGGGCTCAGAGTGTGAGGGATAGACATTGATCCCAGGTACATGCCAGAGGACTTCCCGTCTCAGACATGTGTGGAGTGCTTTTTACACACAGGCTACCTGTCCTGGGAGCCAGACAGGGCAGCACTGGACAGATGTTCTCACCCCCCCACCCACCCCATTACTTAGGTGAATGCTGGAACAAGGCCCAGAGAGATGATGTGACTGAGAATGCAGACCCACAGAACATCAGGGCTGGGGCACCCTCAGAGTACATCTAGTCCAATCCTGTCCTGTGAAATGGGAACACTGAGGACCAGAGAGAGAAGAGCCCGGGCCAAGGTCATTAGTGGAGGCAGTGGCAGAGCTGGGTCAGAGATCTCAGGCAAGTCACTTCCCTTCTCCGAGTCTGTTTCCTCAAGTGTACAAGGAGGGTGTACAGTAGTACCTCAATCTAGCTTTAAGGGTGTCATGAGGTAGTGGGCAAAACACCCTTGGCCCAGGGCCTGATGATGACAAAAACAAGGAGGAGCAGCAGGATGGATGCCCAGGAAGGAAAAAAGCCAACCTAATGTCTCAGGAGGCTGGGAGGGCAGTGGCAGACCTCAGAAACCTAGGGTGGAACCTGCTGTTGAGGGAAGCCATGAGGGTCGGTGATCCTGCAAAATGAAGGGAAATGGGTAGCGTTATGTGCAGGTGGGCAGGAAAGTGGGTGTCAGGAGAGAGTGCCTAGCAGGTGGGTTTATCACCCCCAGGACACTGCAAGCCCCTGGATGGCAGGGGCAGTTGACAGTAGGGGCCAGTGCATGCATTCTGGCCTCACAGGGTCCCAGGTTCAAGGCCTTGCTCTGCTGCTTCCTGGCTGTGTGACTTGCGGAGAGCATTTTCCCTCTCAAGGCCTCAGTTGGCTGAGACCATGAAATGGGCTTACTGTCCCCACCTCTTGGGCTTGCCTGAGAAATGGAAACATAGACCCAGACAAGAATGCATATGAATATTCAGAACAACTTTATGCATAATGTCAATAACTGGAAACAAGTGAATGCACAAATGCTTGTCCATCACCAGGCCTGAGGCAGGGATGATCAGAGGGAGCGGGCCAGGCTGGGAGAAGGCTGTGGGAGCTGTCCACTGCCACAGCAGGGTCTCAAAAAACACTTGCTGACGTGAACTGTGGGCCTTTGTGGTGTGGGGTCTGCTGAAGGCCCCAGGCTTGGGGCGGGAGAGAAGCCTGCCTGGGTCTCATTTGTCCTGTGAGTGAGGTGGTGGCCGTCTCCAGGGTGGCCGGCCCAACCCTCCTGCAGGACACCCAGTCCAGTCTACCACCATTTTCCAAGGCATTCCTGCCTCCCTGCTCTCCTCCTCTCTTCCCAGGTGCTCTCAGTGCTGCCCCTGCAGGGTGTGGGGAGTGGGCCCCTGGTGAGGCCCCACCACGGCAAGGGGACATGGAATGGGGAGCATCCAGCAAGCCTGGGGGCCTGGGGAGGCTGTGTCCTGGCCAGCACCCTGCCTCTGAGGGCTGCTTCCTGTTCCTTTCTAGATGAGCTTCCATATCTCAAGTGCCCTCTGCACACAGTGCTCAAACTCACTCCTGTGGCTTATGGTAAGTACTCCCACCCTGATCAAAGGACAGGCATATAGAGGCTATGAGCATGGCCCTAGTGCCTACCATTTGCCCAGAAGAGTCCTGCAGGAGGTTTCCTGGGTGGGTGTCCTGCAGGAGGTTCCCTTAGTGGGTGGTGGGGGTGGGACTGATGGTAGTAGGATAACAGGGAAAGAGTAGGATGGTTTCTAAATCTGGGGCTGGCTCTGACTCTGTGTCTTTGCCAGAGCACCCAGCACAGAGCACCAAGCTGTGGAAGGGGGATTCCCCAAAGGGGACCAGAGGAAAATTATAGGTTAGGGCCGTATTGGAGAAAGAGCACAAAGACCAGCCTGGGCAGTTTAGGGTCTTTCTTGGGACATTAGCTATGAAAGGTTCATGAACAGGGGAGGGACAGAATCAAATCTATTCTGGGGTGCGAACAGGGCAGATGACCTACTGAAGCCTGGAGTAAGGTGCAGTCCACAGGGATGAAGCTAAGGGAGCTTCCACAGGCATTAGGCCCCCTCTGTCAGCCCCAAGCCCCAATGATGCACCCTCATCCGTCTTCAGGTTTCCTAAAACTCCCAGGTGAACTTCCATACTCCTGGTGTTGCCACAACCACATTGTCCTCCAGATAAACTTTGCCTGGCACTGATCGCCCAAGGCAGTGGCCCCAGGACTCTTCCACCTCTTCACCACCTAACACGGCTTGGAGGATCCGCAGAGCTACATCAATATTACATAGATGAGACTGCTGTCCTGCGGACCTCAAGAGCTGTGGGCAGCCAGAGTTCATCTCTCATCTCCATCCCCATTTACAAATGAGCACCTGAAGCTCAGCGAACTAAGACTGTTAGGGGCAGAGGTGACAGGATACCCTGTTGGCTGCCTCTTAGGCCTGGTGTCTTCCCCACACATCACATAGCTGTCTAAATTCTCCTCCATACAGGCGAGTCATGATCTGTACACAGTATGAAGCTGGGGGTGTGGCTGGTGATGGGGGAGGGGAGGTGATACCTCAGGGAAGACCTGTGCCTACCTTGGGGGCCTATGGACAGATGGATTGTTCTTTTCTAAGGCTGCAAAGTGGAATCCATCTACCTGAATGTGGAGGCCGTGAACACACACCGGGAGAAGCCTGAGGTAGGTGGGGGACTCCATGGCCCAAGCTGGCTGTGGACACAGCACATGGTGAAAGCACCTTATCCACAGAAAGGCTGCCCCAACCCCACCAAGCCTGGGTGTTTTGCACCAACAGATGGAGCAAACAGCACCCAGAAATGCAGAAACCACAACCCAGACACGAGGCACCATGGAGATGCAAGGCTGGGGCAATTCCCGCCTAAAAGGCCTCAGGCTGAGATTCCCCCAGGCCTACCTGAGGGTCAGGATCCGGGCCTGGCTGAAAGAGGGGAGCCTGGCAATGAAGACAAGAGGCAGGGGAGAGGTTGGGGCCCTGCACTGCTGTCTCCTTCCTATTAATCCTGCGCTCTCTCCTCAGAATGTGGACATCACCCGGGAACCTGAGGAAGCCCTGGATACTGTCCCAGCCCACTACTGAGCCCTTTCCAAGAAGTCAAACTGCCTGTGTCCTCATCGCCTTCCACCTTTAGGAAATGCTATCTTTGCTCTTCTCCTACTCTGCCTTGGCCTCACTGAGGCACCCCACTTCCAGTGAAGAAGTCCTCCGCAACTCCCAAACAAGCCTCGCTTGCTGGCCGCAACCAAGGAGCTATCTAGCTCTGGAGGAAACTTTCTTTCTTAATTCCTATTCTCTGACGAATAAAGACTTACTGCCTACAAGAGGAGAGGAGGAGGTCATGGCGAGGCTTTTCCAGTTGTTCTCAAGGTACTGACCCTAATCCTGACCCAGCTCTGCTGCTGTGAGGGCATGGAATGGGTGAGGATTTCCTGGAGGGAAAAGTTCTACAGTAGCACCTCCAAAGATGGGGGAGAAGATAGGTGCCTGTGAGTTCCTGTGGGCCTTGTTCCAGCAAGGTGGCTGTGGGCATGACACTTTCATCCTTATACTCAGGGAAGAATCTGGCACTTGAGCCAAGTGCTCCTTTCTTCTCCAACTCTTGCTGCCATCCTGAGTGATTTCACTGTTTATGTGAATGATCCAACCAATACTCTGGCCTCACAGTCCCCTGACCCCCTCAACTCCAGTGATCATCTTCTCCCCTTCAACCACCTACTCCATGGATTTTGGTATCATCTCCCTGGTCTGACTTCTTAAACGTAAGCATCCAACTGTCTGACCACTGCCCACCCACTACCCCAGTCCTTACAACTCTCTGTCATCCACTGAATCCCTAGCAGTGTGCCTCCATACAGTAGGCATATATGTAGTATTTTCTTCTTTTTTTTTGAGACAGGGTCTCACTCTGTCACCCAGGCTGAAGTGCAGTGGTGCAATCTCAGCTCACTGCAGCCTCAAACTCCTGGGCTTAAGCAATCCTCCCACCTCAGCCTCTCTCACAAGGAGCTGGGACCACAGGTGCACACCACCATGCCCGGCTAATTTTCAATTATTCTGTAGAGACGAAGTCTTACTATGTTATCCAGGCTGGTCTTGAACTCCTGGGCTCAAGCAATCCTCCCATCTTGGCCTCTCCCAAAGTCCTGGGATTACAGACATGAGCCACTGTGCCCAGCCCTGTAGTATTTTTTGAATGAACAATATTTGTTGCTGTACAGCATCAAGAGCAGAGTCCTTTGAATGCTCTATTGTCCCCCAATCTATCCTTAGTGTTCTGTCCCTAACTATGTTGGATACTATGGGCCATCTCTTCAGCCACTCTCCAGGCAGCTACCATAAGCCAGGTACCAGTGACCCAGTGGTAAAGAGACAGACTCATACACTTGCTGCCTTTGTTCCCTTGTCCTTCCATCACAACCACCCAGCAAGACCTAAACCTTGTATAATCCACCTCTCCTTTTGTTGTTGTTGTTGTCTACTACAGAAGTTGCTGATCCCTGCTTGAAGCAGATCTATATTTATCTGCATCCACAGCCACCCTTAAGTCTGTTCAAAGTCAGGGTTGTCTTCTCTGGTACCCTATTCCATCCCACCTTCTCAGGGATGGGCTACTTCAGTCAATTCCTGACTCTTCCATATCTATCTCCTGTTCCTGTTAGCTTTTGCCCCACAGTCTATACAATATGCCCAAGTTTTCCTCTCCTATCCCAATTAAACCCTCCCTTGTTCTTATGTCCACCCCTAGTGACCTCTGCCCTTCCCTCCATTCTTACACCAGTGATTCAAAATCAATCTGTACTTACTGTCCAGAAGCCTCTCCGTTTGCCTTCTGCTCCAGGCTTTCCCTCTCCATATCTTTCCTCAACCTGTTATCCTCTTGCCTGCCATGCTTTCCCCAGGCCTCTATCCTGCTGAAATCATATTTGCCTTTGAGCCAAAAGCTGGAGACCCACATTCTCCAAAGAGCTATGCTGATCTCCAGCTCTTCTACGAACCCAAGATGCCACTCCACAACTACCTAAGCACATTAAAAGACAGAAAAAACTCCAATTCATTTTGCAAATTTAATGTAACTCTGATACCAAAATATGACAGCACACAGAAAGCAAACAATAAAGCAGGAACAGCAAACAGATTTTTCCATCACATGACACCCTCAGCTGATTGGCCATAACTGCCTTGACTGCTGTGTGGACAAAGATTCCAAGGATGTACTTTGGCTCCATGGGAAGGACTACTGCAATTTATTAGCGGTATCTGTAAACATGGGGAATAAATCTGAAAACAAAACAAATAGGAACACATTTTAGCACCAAATACACTGTCTTCTCATAATTCCTTAATTGCCCTCACCTTTCCACCCTGCTGTCCTGCCTTAGTGTTTCTTACAACATCTCCCAGCTCTTGTACCCATCCCTGTGGGTCCTGGCTATGGAAATATTGCAGTTACCTGAAACCTCACTAGCCATACGAGAAGCCACAGGCACCAAGACTGGCGGCTCCACTGCCAAAGCCAGCACTGGTGCTCGGTCCACCACCAAAGCCAGCACCAGTGTTTGGTCCACCGCCGAAGCCAGCTCCTGTGCTCGGTCCACCGCTGAAGCCACTGGTGCTTGGTCCACTGCAGAAGCCAACACCAGTGCTTGGTCCACCGCTGAAGCCAACAATAGAACTGGGTCCACTACTGAAGCCCGTGCTGGTGCTGGGTTCGCCAGTAAAGCCAGTGCTGGTGTTGGAACCACTGCCAAAGCCAATGATGGTACTCAGTCCTCTGTCGAAGCTGGCATTAGGCCTACTGCCAAAGCCATCGCTGGTGCTGAGGCCACCACTAAAGCCAGCACTGGTGCCAAGTGTGCTGCCGAAACTAGCATTGGTGCCCAGTCCACCACCAAAGCCATCACTAGTGACCAGTCCACCACCAAAGCCAGCACTGGTGCCCAGTCCGCCACTGAAGCCAGCACTGGTGCCCAGTCCACCACCAAAACCAGTGCTGGTGCCTGGTCCTCCACCGAAGCCAGCGCTGGTACCTAGCCCACCATCAAAGCCAGAACTTGTGCTTAGGCCACCACTGAAGCCAGCACTGGTGCCTAGGCCACCACCAAAGCCAGCACTGGTGTTCAGTCCACCACCAAATCCAGCATTGGTGCTTAACCCATTGCCAAAGCTGAAACCGGTACTGGTGCTGGGTCCATCACAAAAACTAGGGCTGGTAGCACCACTAAAGCAGGCACTGGTGCTAGGAGGGCCACCAAAGCATAGGTTAGTATTAGATGCACTGCCAAAGCAGAGGCTGGTGCTGGGAGCTCCACCAAAACAGAGGCTGGTGCCATGAGCACCACCAAAGCTGACACTGGTGCTGGGAGCAGCACCAAAGCCAATGCTGTTGCTGGGAGTACCACCGAAGTCAGCAGCGGTACTAAGTGCCCCACCGAAGCCAGCACTGGTGCTAAATGCACCGCCAAAGCCAGGGTTGGTGATTGGTGCACCACTGAAGCAAGCACTGGTGCTGACAGCACCACTGAAGCTGGCACTGGTGCTGACGGCACAGCCAAAGCTGGCATTGGTGTTGAGTGCACCACCAAAGCCAGCACTGGTGCTGGGAGAGCCACCAAAACAGACGCTGGTGCTTAGTGTACCACCAAAGTCAGTGTTGGTGCTGACAGCACCACCATAACCAGCATTGGTGTTGAGTGCACTGCCAAAGCTGACACTGGTGCCAGGAGAGCCACCAAAGCAGACACTGGTGCTTAGTGTACCGCCAAAGTCAGCACTGGTGCTCATAGCACCACCAAAACCAGTACTGGTGTTGAGCACACTGCCAAAGCTGGCACTGGTGTTGAGAGCACCACCAAAGCCAGCACCAGTGCTGGGAGAGCCATCAAAGCAGATGCTGGTACTTAGTGTACCACCAAAATTGGCACTGGTGCTGGAAGAGCCACCAAAGGAGACACTGGTGCTAAGTGTGCCTCCAAAGCCAGTGCTGGTGCAGGGAGAGCCACCGAAGCAGATACTGGTACTGAGTGTACCACCAAAGCTACCACTGGAGCTGGGAGAGCCACCAAAACAGACACTGGTGCTGAGTATGCCTCCAAAGCCAGTGCTGGTGCTAAGCGCACTACTGAAGACTGTGCTCGTTGTGGGTGCACTGCCAAAGCTGGTGCTAGTGCTGAGTACACCACTAAAGCCAGCCGTGGTGCTGAGTGTGCCTCCAAAGCCAGAGCTGGCTCCACCACTGAAAGTGGCACTGGTGCTGAGTGGGCCACTAAAACTAGAGCTGACTCCACCACTAAAGCTGGCACTGGTACAAGGCATGCCACCAAAGCTAATGCTGGCTTCACTGCTGAAACTAGTGCTGGTGCTGTGTGCACAACCAAAGCTAATGCTGGCTGCGCTGCTGAAGCTGGAGCTAGTGCTCAGTGTACCACCAAAGCTAATGCTGGCTGTATTGCTGAAGCTGGCACTGGTGCTGGGTGCAACACCAAAGGTAATGCCAGGTCCACCACTGAAGCCACCACTGGAGCTGGGTGCACCATTGAAGCTAATACTAGCACCATCGCTGAAGCCAGCCCTGGTACTAGCTCCTCTGCTGAAGTTGACGTTGGTGCTGGCATCTGCATTTTCTTGGGCTCTGGCCTCAATTTCAAATGAAAATCTGCTCCAGGCCTGAGCATCATCGCCTAACTCTTCCCTTGTTAGGCAGTCGATATCCATGTCATCCCAATTCCAGGGCCCAGCCACAGCTTCCTCTCCAATCCCCATTTGGGCTCTTGCCTCAGCCCTGGCTTCAGCCTCAGCCACAGCCACAGCTGCAGCTTGGACTTCCATCTCCACTGCCTCGCGGTACTGCACAGCCCAGTCCTTGGGGTCTTTCTTCTGCACCTGAAATGGGGATGATAATCATAATAAGAAAACAACCCTAGTAATCATGTATTAACCTACGGGCTTTGTATTAAACTAGTAGCAATACTTTTTTAAACTTCTCAGTTATTGGGGCTCTATCATGGGTCAGTTCTGAACTCCAGTTTCAGCTCTGCTGACTTACGTGCTATATGACCTTGGACAAGTTACTTAACCTCACTTAGCCTAAGTGTCTTTATAATTACAGGAAATGATAGAGCGTAAATATGTTATGAACTGAAGGGTTGTGCCCGCCCCCAAATTCGTATGTTGAATCCCTAACACCCAGTGTGATTGTACTTGGAGATAGGGCCTTTATGGAGATAATTAAGGTTAAATGAGGCCATAAGGGTGGGGTCCTGATCAACAGGATTAGTGTCCTTATAAGAAGAGACACCAGAAAGCTTGCTCTCTTCTCTCTCACACACAAAGCCATGTGAGGACACAGCAAGAAGGCAGCCATCTGCAAGCCAGGAAGAGAGCCTTCAACAGGAACTGACCCTCGTGGACCCTGACCTAGGATTCTCGCCCTCAAGAACTATGAGAAAATAAATTTGTTTTTTAATCCACCCAGTCTATGGTATTTTGTTATGGCAGCCCATGCTGATTAATACAAAGTATGAAGAATGAATGAGATGATGTAAACTATATATCTAGCAGCACCCTGGGACATAAAGGAGGCTCCACATGTTTATATATGAGCTGCAGGCTGCTCTGTACCTGCCCATCCCTGTGCATTGCCTGCCCCAGCCAAGGGTATCCCATTGCCTTAATATGCCAAGCTCGGGCAGCTCTCCTCTTACCCTGCATGCAAACTTGAGGACTTTCATCTTGCTAGTCTCGTGGTAGGAGCGCAAGCCCCAGAAGAACTCATATTCAGGTGGTCTGCTGTTAGGGACCCTCTTGTACTCCAGGTACCTTGGAAAAAGGAAATGAAACTTGTTTCTAACCAAGCAACCCTGCTGTCTAAGCACTAGACACCAGGTGGCAACCTCCTCCAAACAAATACAAACAGCCCCTGGAGAGGGATTTCTAAGACCCTCCAGCCCCAGACTCACTACCAAACACAGTTTATGGTCTTGGCCTCCAATACTGAGCCATTTCCCACTGGCCCTGTGCAAAGCAGTCCCTTGGGCTTCTCCAGGGGAGACATGTATAGGGCATGATGTCACAGGAAGGCCAAAGTATCATGCCACCTGTGAGGAGTAAGCCCAGATTCCTGTTGGGTGTGTTGTAAACAGAGGAGCCATTCTTAAGGCCCTCTGCTCTGAGCGCACCCCACTGCAAGGGCCTTGTGTTGAGTCTGGCCCAGTCCTGGAAAGGTCTGCCCATGGGAATTTTAGACAGTATCAGTTCTAGGACACAGGATGCCCATCCCTCTAAAGCTAGTATAAGAAAGGCACTGACTAAGCACTTTCTGAACCAGATCAGTATACCCAGAACACTTCAGGGCCAGACAAAGCCCCAAACACCACTTACTTCTGCTTCACAAACTCGTCTGTGATGAGCTTCCTCACTTCCCCAAAGAGTGAATGCCTCACCCTGACAATGGGAAAAATAACCCATGAACACAGATCAGAACTGCCCAGATGAGGGCAGAGGCATTTCCCAACATGGAAGAGACCTCTCTAGCACATGGGGCAGTCTCAATGAAGTGAAGAAAGTAATGAGCACATGGCCACTAGAAGCAAGCAGTTAAGACCAGATGCCTCTTTGTCAGGGATCCCTGAAGGTCTATCTAACATCTCAGCTTAGAACAGACAGAGGACATTAAGGAGAGAGACAGCAGAGAGTTCAGGACCATTTGCCCGTCATCCACCCAGGTCAGAACCCTGGGCCCTCTACCCAGTCCAGCACCCCACCCGCTCCACCAGACCACCAGACTGATGCAATCCTAGGACCATCCTCTCTTGCCAAAGGACAACACGGACAGCAAGCGCTGAGAGAGCCCAGTCATACCCAGGGCGCAGCCCCAACTTGCGCAGCACCTCCCAGATGACAGCTGTGAGGGGAGGCAAGAGGAGACAGGGACAGAAATTGAACACATGGAATCCAGACCATGGCCGCCCATTCAGCTGCATGCCCAGCCACTCACCCTCACTGGCCTTGTTGCCATTCATAAAAATGACACTCAGAATCACCATGAGGAGACCCAGCTTGGGTGTGTCCTTGGTCCTAAGGGAATAACAGGACAGAAAGAAGGTTTATGTTTCAACAGGACAGAAAGAAGGTTTATGTTTCAGCAGCCATCCGCAAAAGATACACCAGCCAGCTCACCAGGCTAACCTCTCCCAGATTCCTCAGATACAGAATTCTGCCCAGTCTCTGCTTCCAGCTCTATGCCACCCTGGGCAAGGCACTTAGACCTTGCAAGCCTTGGTCTATTATTCAGTAAAATGGGAAAATCATATTCTCCCTTCCTCAGGTTGCCAAGAAGATGGAAGAATGGCTGTCAACCTGGTACAACACAAGCACTCAGTCAATGTGAGTCCCTTCTTTCTCTCCCAGAACCTTCAGCCCCACTGACACTCTTGCGCTTCATGCATACTGATCCAGCCACACCAGGAAGCCCTCCTTGAGAACCACTCTGTCAAAGCCAGGCCAGGCACTCCATCGGAAGAGGCAAGCAATGACAGGCCTGCTTTCCTGGGAAGCTTCTACAGAGACAGCAAACCTGACAGCAGGAATGTCCCACCCTAGGCTCCTATACCCTTCAGTCAATCATAATCAGGTGCCACTACTGTGAGCAGGGCTCCAACTATGTGCAGGTGCTGAGACAGGGCTTTTGAGACCCTGTTTTTCCTGACTCTCTAAGAGGATGGGGGAAGTAGGACAAAGAAGGGGTAGCAGCACAGATAAAAGCAGAAGCTTCCTTCCCACTCCAGCCCTTTCCCAGCTTACGTTCCCAGTATGCCTGCAGAGGATTCCTGAGTGCTGATGAGAATATACAAGCTACTTTGCTTATCAATTTCTTTCAGATTGACTCGAAACATCTGCCAAGTAAAAGAATAGCCTGTGAGATCACAAAATTCAGCTTAGGTATCAGTGAACTTTCCGGGCATCCTAAAACTCCCAGTGTACTTAGGGGGTCTGCATGTGTAAGAAGTCAGTGAGATAATGCACATAAAGCACATAGCCAAGTGCCTGGCACCCAGTAAACACACAGCAAATGTACTATTGTCATCAACATCATCTTTGTGATGAGCAGGAATCTAGGGAGACAGAAAATGGGGATACAAGGGAGAGGTGAGATCTGAAATACATGCAGAATATGTCCAACTATGAATAGAAGCTGAGACTAATTTGAGTGGCTTCTGTCCTAGCCATGTTTTCATCACTGACATGCTGTGTGACCCATGGCAAATCTACACCTCTCCCTAGGCCACTGTCTGCCCATTCACACAGTAATGGGGCTGGATTAGCATGTTTCTGTGATTCTCTCCAAAAGGGACATGTATGTCTTTGCTCGATTCAAAGCTTCCCCATTGCGCCCATCCGCCAGCACTGCCCCTTCACCTTCTCCAGAGTGTAGCTTGCTCGTTCAATGATTTCTGGGAAATATTCATCATATTCTTGGATGACATCCCTCAGCATGTCTGTAGAAAAGGAGAGGTGAGAGTAGCTGAGCTTAGCAGGGGCCACAGAGCTGCAGCCCTTTTGCCAGTCCTGTTGGGTCAGTGCAATCAGAGACCTGAAGTGAGTTAATGGGAGATGCCAGCCATGGCAGAGTGCAAGGAGGGCAGGTGTGGAGATATGACAGAACAAAGAGGCCATAAAGTGTTACTCCCAGACTATGGGAGGAGAGGGGAGTGGAGAGGAGAGCTCAAGGAGGAGGGTTGGTAGGACACTACCTGAGCGTTTGATGGGGATCTTTGTCTGGTCCTTAACCAACAGGTATTTCACCAACTTATTAGCCTGGGAGGAGAGGAATAGATGGAGAGATCTTAACATGCTTGCAGAAAACTTGGAAGGAGGCAGAGAAGAGGGCAAGTGAAGAAGAGAAGAGACTGGACAGCATTGGATTCTTACCCTTTCTTGTAAAATGGCCACATCTCGCGGTGGTGCAGGCCTCCGGCCCCATGGGATCCGCCTGTAATTACTGCCACTTCTCTCATCCCCATTCAGATGCTTGGACTTCATCATCAGAAAGAAGGAAGGTCCAGAGTCACCAGGTGAAAGAGATGGCTCTGTCTCCTCACCTTGCCTGCTCCAGACAGAAAGTCCCTCTAACCCCCTCCCTCAGCCTTGCTGTAGTGGAGCCTGATCCTGACCTTGCCATTGGCCACCCTGAGTCCTGAGCTTATCTTTCACTGTCTTCCAGGAAGGAGTTTCGTTCCTCTGCCAGGCCAGGAACAACTCAAGATAAGAGCCTAAGGGTCTTTCTCTTCCTCTGGCTACCACCAATTATGCTGGCTGGTACCTCTTGGACAAGTCACTTCATTTCTCTGAGACTCAGTTTTCTTAAGTGTAAAACTGGGACCTATGATCCCTTGTTGGTAAGAGTTACTTTCAAGACATTCAGACATACCCTGTGTAACTGTACCCAACACAAAGCCTGGCACGTGGTAACTACTATTTAAATACAAGTAGTATTACATACAGGTTGTAGCTGAGTGTATGGATGTCTTATTTCCTCACCAATCTGTGAACTGCTAGGGAGCAGAAACTATATCACCTTCTTCTCAGCATCTTCCACAGCCTATCTGAACACAGGGACTAGCTCAAAGTAAAACTTTTATAGAAGAAATGAACAAACTAGAAGGGTAGAAATGGAAAAGAAGCACAAAGTTAAGGATGGCAATGTCAGAGATCTCACCTTTCGGTTTCTTTTGCCCCGGGTCCTGGTTGTGGGCTCCAGGCTCAACTGAGCCAGATAGTCATCTGCCAGGGCCTGGACAGCAGCAGCAACCTGAGTCTCAAGGGCACTTACGTTGGTCTGAGCAGAGGCTATCTTGGCCTGGGCCCCTTGGTCAGCATTTGGAGTCTGGCTTTCAGTTGCCCGAGCCTTAGTGGCAGCCTTCCGAGCCCTAGACCCTCTCTTGACCCGCAGGGTGGCTGCCAGGGCTTGGTTTGTGACTATCTGAGTGGCAAGTGGGGCCTCAGAGATCTCAGAGACAGAATTTGGGCCCCTGCTGGCAGCCTTCTTGCCCTTGGATTTTTTGGGCCTGATAGCCACTACTGAGGCCTCAATCTGCCTGGTAGCTGCGTCAGTGACATTTAGAGCCTCTATATGCTCAGTGTCAGTATTTATGACCTTAGCAATTGTCTTCCTGGCTTTGGAGGCTTTCTTGGTTCGGATGGAGGCTGCTGTGGTGTGGATACTGGCTGTCTCATTGGTAATTTGGCCTTGGGTGGTAGCTGTATGGGTGGCAGTTGCAGCCAGCGAGACCTCGGTGGCACTAGCTATGGCCTTATTTGCAGCCTTCTTAGCCTTGGAAGCTTTCTTAGGCTTGATAGAGGTTATCAAGGCTTGGGAACTGGCTGACTCATTGGCAATTGGAGCGTGAATATTCTGTGAGATGACTGGTAGCTTTAGGACCTGCAAGGGTGACTTCAGCTGTATAGTGCCACCCTCATGGCCAGTTGGGGATTGGGAGCCTTGGGCTGCCTTGGCAGTAACTCTCTTCATCTTGTTGGCTTTCTTAGGCTGAGCAGTGACTGAAGAAGCCTGAGTATTGGTTACCTCAGTGGTAGGTAAAGCCTGGCTGATCTGGGTAATGACTGGCAGGTTTAAAGCCTGCCAAGTTATTTTGGGCTTGTTGGTGGCAATCTCATTGGCAGCTGGGACTGGAGGGGCAGCAGGTGCAGCCTTAGTAATAGTCTTTATAGGGGCCTTCTTGGTCTTGCTTTTCTTAGGCCGGTTGACAACTGGTGGGTCCATGGCCAGGGAGTCCTTGGTTGCCGCCAACAGGGTATGCATCAGCAGGACACTGTCCTCTTCTGTGGTCTCAGTCTGTATATCTGGAGGGAAGGGAAGCCCCAGGCTCCCCGGGGGAGGCAGAGGGCCCTACACACTTAGGATTACCATCCTCTGGGCCATTTGGCCTCGCTAAAGCCCATCCCTTTCCACAAAGGCCTTCCCTTCCTCTGAGCAGTGGTTAATTAAAATGGGGTAGGGAGCAAGGAAGGAATAGAGTCAGGCAGGTTTTCCTCTCCTCTCCTTCACCATGTAAGGGAGGACTGAGACGAGTTAGGCAGGGAATTATGAAACTACACGGTGGAAGGGGTCTGAAGAGCAGTAAGTGAACTCAGGATGGGGCAGATGGCCTAGAGAGAATGCAGAGAGGCCTCACCTGAAATAGAGGCACCCTATATCCGTAGTCATTTCTCCTATCCATCTTTCTGGGAGGCCGAGTAACAGGTGAGCCTGAGGGGAATGGGCCTGAGTTAGAGAATGAGAGGGAGGGGGAGATTCATCAGACATCTCACCTATCCTGACTTAGGGGAGTCTCATGTAACCTTGGGCCCTAATCCCTTCAACTCCTGGGTTTTCATACCTAAAAAACCCAGGCCATCTGGTTTCCAAGGCCCAGCTCCTTTTGCCTCCGAGAGAGTCAGTTCTACGACCCCACCCCTTTACACGCCCCCTCCGCAACTCGATAGTGCGCATGCGCACCGACTAGAGGCGCCCCCACCCCCCATCTTAGGCCCACCTCTATCCCAAAAGAACCATTCTTCAATGCCCTCCGCGCGCATGCGCCTTGGTAAACCGGACAGTTTCTAACCAGCTCAATCCCACATCTGCCCCCTGCTCTCAGAGCAACAGAACATCTTGGCGCCACCCCGACCCACTCTTTCTAACTGCATCACATCTCGATCCAACCCTTCCCCCAACACTAGCCCCCTCCCTCCGCTCTGCAGTACCACTCCGCACCGCCCCTACCCCAACACCGCCCATCTCTCCTCTGCGGTACTGCCACGCACCGCCCCTTCCCAATACACCCCCCTCCCTCCGCTCTGCAGCATTTCTCTTCATCTTCCCTTCCTTTAATAAGCCCCCTCCCTCCGCTCTGCGGTACGTCTCTGCACCACCCCTTCCCCAACCAACACCACTCCCCCCTCTTTCCACGTCTGCAAGTGTGCAGCTCCGCCCTTTCTGCAACATGAATACCTCACCCCCAAATCCAACTGTATGAACCTTCTGTGTATTCCTGTTCTCAAACCCTACCAGGTCCTGTCTCTTCCCTTTCAAACCGGAACCAACCGGGTCATATCCCCTCCTTTCTCCTGTCTGAGTCTGGTCCTTTCCGTTGCTCAAAAGGGATGCTGCCCACTCTTATCTCTGGGTCCCGATCCCTCCATTCTGTGGCCCAAACGGGGTACTGCCCCCTTTCTCCAGCCTAAACGGAGTCCTGCCGTCTCCTATCTCCCTCCCGAACTGTGTGTATCCTCCTCCCCTCTTGCTACCGTCTGAAGGATTTCTCGATCCTTCCTTTCTGCGGTCCCAACTAGGTCTGCATCCCTCCCTTTCACGGCCCGAACCGAGTCCAGATCGTTACTTTCTGTGGCCCAAAGGGGATTCTGCCTCCTACTTCCTCCCGTGCGAACTGGGTCCAGGCACCGCTAAAGGCGACTTTGATGCGGTTAGGTCCCAAACCTCCAGCAGGTTTTCTTCAAACCTTAGGGGCGTGTGGAGTCAGGCACGTCGAAGCCGCAGCCAGGAAGCCCCCACAGGGTCTTCACTAAAGCCAGGTACCTCAGCTCACCTCGTCTTCTTGAATCCAGAAGGCGTCTGCTCTCTCCAAGCCTCTCCTTGTGTCTGAGCCTATCCCCCTCCCTGGCCGGAAGTGGTCCTGCCTCTTTCCGCCTCCAGAGGGGGGTCTCCGTTCCTGCCTGTCAGTCTCCTCCCCTCCATACCTACTTTCAACTTTCCATTCTCCTCAATGTAGCTCCCTTTTTCTTCTTACTACCCCTATTCAGTTATCACTCCCTCTTATTCTCCATTTGACTTCTCTATTCCCCACTCTGTATCTCCGTTCCTATTTGATTCTCCTGTTTCCCCTAGGAGGAATGTAGTTCTCTGAACTCCCACACCAACCCTTCCTACAGACCCTCTATCCCAACACTATTTACATAGTGTTGTTATACCTTGTGTCTATGTCTCTCTTCCCTAGAGCTGCTCTGGAGCAGGGGACTAGGTCATATTCATTTCTGTTTTTCAAGTGTTACCACATTAAAACATTTAGAGGTTCTAAACACTAAAAGATAGGGTGCCCGTCCATCTTATGCAATTCAGAATAAAAACAGTAATGTATAAAAATCTATGAAAAGTTTTTATTGATCCCACAATGACTATATTGATGTTTTAACAATATCAGTTTGTACTTAGACTGTCTCTTGTGACATGGTGCACTGTGCCCCCATGCAGAAAACAATTCATGACATTTATCTATTCCATCAATCATTCAAAAGAGAGCAAGGATAACTACACATATGTCAAATAAAATAGACTTAAAGTCAAAAACCATAAAAGATCTTAAAGGTCATTATATAATGATAATGAGATAAATTCATCGTGAATATCGAATAATTATAAACATATTTAATATATGCACCCAACATAGAAGCACCTAAATATATAAAACAAATATTAATAGATCTGAAGGGAGAAGTAGACTGCAATACAATAATGGTAGGAGACTTCAAGACCCCATCTTCAACAATTCACAGATCATCCAGACAGAAAATCGATAGGGAAACATTGAACTTGAAATACACTTTAGACAAAAAGGACCTACGGAATATTTTATCCAATAGAATATATAATATTCTCAAGCACACATAGAAAATTCTCCAGGATAGATCATAAGTTAGGCCAAAAACAAGTCTTTTTTATTTTATTTTATTATTATTCTACTTTAAGTTTTAGGGTACATGTGCACAATGTGCAGGTTAGTTACATATGTATACATGTGCCATGCTGGGGTGCTGCACCCATTAACTCGTCATTTAGCATTAGGTATATCTCCTAATGCTATCCCTCCCCCCTCCCCCCACCCCACAACAGTCCCCAGAGTGTGATGTTCCCCTTCCTGTGTCCATGTGTTCTCATTGTTCAATTCCCACCTATGAGTGAGAATATGCGGTGTTTGGTTTTTTGTCCTTGCAGTAGTTTACTGAGAATGATGATTTCCAATTTCATCCATGACCCTACAAAGGACATGAACTCATCATTTTTATGGCTGCATAGTATTCCATGGTGTATATGTGCCACATTTTCTTAATCCAGTCTATCGTTGTTGGACATTCGGGTTGGTTCCAAGTCTCTGCTATTGTGAATAATGCCGCAATAAACATATGTGTGCGTGTGTCTTTATAGCAGCATGATTTATAGTCCTTTGGGTGTATACCCAGTAATAGGATGCCTGGGTCAAATGGTATTTCTAGTTCTAGATCCCTGAGGAATCACCACACTGACTTCCACAATGGTTGAACTAGTTTCCAGTCCCACCAACAGTGTAAAAGTGTTCCTATTTCTCCACATCCTCTCCAGCACCTGTTGTTTCCTGACTTTTTAATGATTGCCACTCTAACTGGTGTGAGATGGTATCTCATTGTGGTTTTGATTTGCCTTTCTCTGACGGCCAGTGATGGTGAGCATTTTTTCATGTGTTTTTTGGCTGCATAAATGTCTTCTTTTGAGAAGTGTCTATTCATGTCCTTCACCTACTTTTTGATGGGGTTGTTTGTTTTTTTCTTGTCAATTTGTTTGAGTTCATTGTAGATTCTGGATGTTAGCCCTTTGTCTGATGAGTAGGTTGCAAAAATTTTCTCCCAGTCTGTAAGTTGCCTGTTCACTCTGATGGTAGTTTCTTTTGCTGTGCAGAAGCTCTTGAGTTAAATTAGATCCCACTTGTCAATTTTGGCTTTTGTTGCCATTGCTTTTGGTGTTTTAGACATGAAGTCCTTGCCCATGCCTATGTCCTGAATGGTAATGCCTAGGTTTTCTTCTAGGGTTTTTATGGTTTTAGGTCTAACGTTTAAGTCTTTCATCCATCTTGAATTAATTTTTGTATAAGGTGTAAGGAAGGGATCCAGTTTCAGCTTTCTACATATGGCTAGCCAGTTTTCCCAGCACCGTTTATTAAATAGGGAATCCTTTCCCCATTGCTTGTTTTTCTCAGGTTTGTCAAAGATCAGATAGTTGTAGATATGCGGCATTATTTCTGAGGGCTCTGTTCTGTTCCATTGATCTGTATCTCTGTTTTGGTACTAGTACCATGCTGTTTTGGTTACTCTAGCCTTGTAGTATAGTTTGAAGTCAGGTAGCGAGATGCCCCCAGCTTTGTTCTTTTGGCTTAGGATTGACTTGGTGATGCGGGCTCTTTTTTGGTTCCATATGAACTTTAAAGTAGTTTTTCCAATTCTGTGAAGAAAGTCATTGGTAGCTTGATGGGGATGACATTGAATCTATAAATTACCTTGGGCAGTATGGCCATTTTCACGATATTGATTCTTCCTAGCCATGAGCATGGAATGTTCTTCCATTTCTTTGTATCCTCTTTTATTTCATTGAGCAGTGGTTTGTAGTTCTCCTTGAAGAGGTCCTTCACATCCCTTGTAAGTTGGATTCCTAGGTATTTTATTCTCTTTGAAGCAATTGTGAATAGGAGTTCACTCATGATTTGGCTCTCTGTTTGTCTGTTATTGGTGTATAAGAATGCTTGTGATTTTTGTACATTGATTTTGTATCCTGAGACTTTGCTGAAGTTGCTTATCAGCTTAAGGAGATTTTGAGCTGAGACAATGGGGTTTTCTAGATATACAGTCATGTCATCTGCAAACAGGGACAATTTGACTTCCTCTTTTCCTAATTGAATACCCTTTATTTCCTTCTCCTGCCTAATTGCCCTGGCCAGAACTTCCAACACTATGTTGAATAGGAGTGGTGAGAGAGGGCATCCCTGTCTTGTGCCAGTTTTCAAAGGGAATGCTTCCAGTTTTTGCCCATTCAGTATGATATTGGCTGTGGGTTTGTCATAGATAGCTCTTATTATTTTGATACATCCCATCAATACCTAATTTATTGAGAGTTTTTAGCATGAAGGTTGTTGAATTTTTTCAAAGTGACAGACAAAAACAAGTCTTAACAAATTTAAGAATATTGAAATCACATCAAGTAATATATGCACAGTGGTATGGAACTAGAAATCATTAATGATAAGAATTGTGGAACATTCATAAATATATGGAAATCAAAAAACATATTCCAGAATAACCAATACGTCAAGGAAGAAATTAAAGGGAAAATTTAAAATATCTTGAGACAAGCGAAAATGTATATACAACATACTAAAACTTATAGAATGCAGCAAAAGCACTTCTAAGAACGAAGTTTATAGCAATAAATACATACATCAAAAAGAAAAAAGATCCCAAACAATCTAACATCACACTTCAAGGAACTGGAAAAAAAAGAACAAATAAGCTCAAAATTAGTAGAAAAAAGGAAATAATAAAGATCAGAGCAGAAGTAAATGAAGTAGAGATTAGAGAAACAATAGGAAAAAAATCAGTGAAACCAAGAGTTGGTTTTATGAAAAGATAAATAAGATTGACAAGCCCTTAGCTAGATCAACTAAGAAAAAACAAGAGAAGACTCAAAATCAGAAATGAAAGAGGAGACATTACAATTAATACCACAGAAAAGCAAAAGATTTTAAGAGAATACTAAGAACAATTATATGCCAGGAAATTGGATAACCTAGAAGAAATGGATACATTCCTAGACACATAAAACCTACCAAGACTTAAGCTTGAAGAAATAGAAAATCTAAACAGATATGTAATGGGAAAGGAGACTAAATCAGTGATAAAAGTCTCTCATCAAAGAAAATCTCCAGACCTGGTGGATCCACTGCTGAATTTTACCAAACATTTAAAGAGGAATGAATATCAATCCTTTTCAAATTCTACCAATACATTGAAGAGAAAGAAACACTTCCAAAGTCATTTTACAGAACCAGAATTACCCTGACACCAAAACCAGACAAAGACACTAGAAGAAAAGAAAATTACAGACCAGTATCCCTGAGGAACATAGATGCAAACTCCTCAGCAAAATACTAGCAAACCAAATTCAACACCATATTAAAAAGATCGTTCATCATGATCAAGTGTGATTTATCCCAAGGATGCAAGGATGGTTCAACACATGCAAATCACTAAATGTGATAGAATACCTTAACAGAATAAAGGACAGAAACCACATGATCATCTCAGTAGATGCAGAAAAGGCGTTGATAAAATTCAACAATAATTCTTGATTTTAAGAAAAAGCGCTCAGCAAATTAGGTATAAAAGGAAACGTACCTCAATACAATAAAGCTCATATACAACAAACCTATAGCTAACATCCTACTCAATGGTGAAAAGTGGAAAGCCTTTTCTCTAAGGTCAGGAATAAAGCAAGTATGCCTGCTCTCACCACTTATATTCAACATAGTACTGACATCCTCAGCAAGAGAAAGAAATGTAATCCAATTTGGAAAAAAAAGAAGTTTAATTGTCCCTGTTAGCAGACCACATAACTTTATATGTAGATAAAGAATCCACAAAAAATAACTAAGAAACAAATTCAACATACAAAAATCAGTTGTATTTCTTTTTTTAATTTTAAATTCAATAGGTTTTAAGGGAAGAAGTGGTGTTTGGTTACATGAATAAGTTCCGTAGTGGTGATTTCTGAGATTATGGTGCATGCATCACCGAGCAGTGTACACTGTATCCAATGTGTAGTCTTTTATCCCTCAACTCCTCCCAACCTTTCCCCCAAGTCCCCAAAGTCCATTGTATTATTCTTAGGCCTTTGCGTCCTCACAGCTTAACATCCACTTAAGTGAGAACATACGATGATGTTTGGCTTTCCATTCCTGAGTTAACTTCACTTAGAATAATGGTCTCCAATTCCATCCAGGTTGCTGAGAATGTGATTATTTCATACCTTTTTACAGCTGGGTAGCATTCTATGGTGTGTATATATATATATATATATATATATATATATGTGTGTGTGTGTGTGTGTGTGTGTGTGAGTGTGTGTGTATATATAAATGCCCATCAATCAACAAGTAGATAAACTGTGATTATATATAATATAAAGTATATATTACTTAATATTATATATTATATAATATATCATGATATATATACTCTTTTACTTATTTTTAAATGTACAATTAAATTATTATTGACTATATATATAATATATAATATAACATATAATATATACCTATATATCTGACAAATAACTTATATCCAGATATATAGATATATATACTAGTGTGTATACTAATATATATAAGTGTATTAGTATATATACTAATATGTATAAGTGTATTAGTATATATACTAATATGTATAAGTATATTAGTATATATACTAATATGTATAAGTGTATTAGTATATATACTAATATGTATAAGTATATTAGTATATATACTAATATGTATATTAGTATATATGCTAATATGTATATTAGTATATATGCTAATATGTATATTAGTATATATGCTAATATGTATATTAGTATACATATTAGTATACATATAGTATACATATGTATATTAGTATATATACTCACATACATATTAGTATATGTATATATATACTAATATACGTATTAGTGTATGTATATATATACTGACATACGTATTAGTATATGTATATATATACTGACATACGTATTAGTATATAGTATATATATACTGACATACTTATAGTATATAGTATATATATACTACATACGTATAGTATATAGTATATATATACTGACATACGTATTAGTATATAGTATATATATACTGACATACGTATTAGTATATAGTATATATATACTGACATACGTATTAGTATATAGTATATATATACTGACATACGTATTAGTATATAGTATATATATACTGACATACGTATTAGTATATAGTATATATATACTGACATACGTATTAGTATATAGTATATATATACTGACATACGTATTAGTATATAGTATATATATACTGACATACGTATTAGTATATAGTATATATATACTGACATACGTATTAGTATATAGTATATATATACTGACATACGTATTAGTATATAGTATATATATACTGACATACGTATTAGTATATAGTATATATATACTGACATACGTATTAGTATATAGTATATATATACTGACATACGTATTAGTATATAGTATATATATACTGACATACGTATTAGTATATAGTATATATATACTGACATACGTATTAGTATATAGTATATATATACTGACATACGTATTAGTATATAGTATATATATACTGACATACGTATTAGTATATAGTATATATATACTGACATAGTATTAGTATATAGTATATATATACTGACATACGTATTAGTATATAGTATATATATACTGACATACGTATTAGTATATAGTATATATATACTGACATACGTATTAGTATATAGTATATATATACTGACATACGTATTAGTATATAGTATATATATACTGACATACGTATTAGTATATAGTATATATATACTGACATACGTATTAGTATATAGTATATATATACTGACATACGTATTAGTATATAGTATATATATACTGACATACGTATTAGTATATAGTATATATATACGATATACGTATTAGTATATCGTATATATATACTGATATACGTATTAGTATATATCTAACAAATAACTAATATCCAGAATCTACAAGGAACTGAAACCAATCAGCAAGAAAAAACAATCCCATCAAAAAGCGGACATGAATAGACAATTCTTAAAAGAAGATATACAGATGGCCAACAAACATATGAAGAAATGCTCAACATCACTAATTACCAGGGAAATCCAAATCAAAATCACATGCAATACCAACTTACTCCTGCTAGAATGGCCATAATCAAAAAAAATAAAAAATAATAGATGTTGGCACGGATGTGGTGAAAAGGGAACACTTTTACACTACTGGTGGGAATGTAAACTAGTACAACCACTGTGGAAAACAGTGTGGAGATTCCTTAAAGAACTAAAGGTAGATCTACCATTTGATCCAGCAATCCCACTACTGGGTATCTACCCAGAGGAAAAGAAGTCATTATATGAAAAAGACACTTGTGCACGCATTTTTATAGCAGTACAATTCACAGTTGCAAAAATATGGAACCAGCCCAAATGCTCATCAATCGATCAACAAGTAGATAAAGAAACTGTGATTATATATATACAATAACCATAAAAGAAGATCTTAAAGGTCATTATATATTATAATAATTATATATATTTGTGTATAAATATATAATTATTATTATATACTAATATATAAATATATATAATTTATATATTACATTATATTATATAGTATACTATATAATATATAGTATATTATATAGTATAATAAATATAATACATATTATATATTATATTATATTGTATTATATATTATATATACTATATATAATTTATATATAGTATATATTATATTATATATAAATATTTATATATAAATTTATAATATATATTACATTATTATATATAAATTTATAATATATTCTTATATTATTATAGATATTATATTATTATTTTATATATAATTATATAATTATATATTCATATATAAATGTATATATAATGATCTTTAAGACCTCCTTTTATGGTATTATATATATATATATATAAAATCACAATTTCTTTATCTACTTGATTGATGGGCATTTGGGCTGGTTCCATATTTTTGCAACTGTGAATTTTACTCCTATAAACATGCGTGCACACGTGTCTTTTTCATATAATGACTTCTTTTCCTCTGGGTAGATACCCAGTAGTGGGATTGCTGGATCAAATGGTAGATCTACCTTTAGTTCTTTAAGGAATCTCCACACTGTTTTCCATAGTGGTTGTACTATTTTACATTCCCACTAGTAGTGTAAAAGTGTTCCCTTTTCACCACATCCATGCTAACATCTACTATTTTTTTATTGTTTTGATTATGGCCATTCTAGCAGGAGTAAGTTGGTTATTGCATTGTGGTTTTGATTTGGATTTCCCTAGTAATCAGTGATGTTGAGCATTTCTTCATATGTTTGTTGGCCATCTGTATATCTTCTTTTGAGAATTGTCTATTCATGTCCACTTTTTGATGGGATTGTTTGTTTTTTCTTGCTGATTGGTTTCAGTTCCTTGTAGATTCTGGATATTAGTTATTTGCTGGATATATAGATTGAGAAGATTTTCTCCCACTCTGTGGGTTGTCTGTTTACCCTACTGATTAATTCTTTTGCTGTGCAGAAGCTTTTTAGTTTAATTAAGTTGCATGTATTTATCTTTGTTTTTGTTGCATTTCCCCATGTCTAGAATGTTTTCCCAATGTTATCTTTTAAAACTTTTGTGGTTTCAGGCCTGAGATTTAAGTCTTTGTTCCATTTGAGTTGATTTTTGTATAAGATGAGAGATGAGGATCCGGTTTTATTTTTCTACTTGTGGCTTCCCAATTATGCCAGCACCATTTGTTGAATAGAGTGTCCTTTCCCCACTTTATGTTTTTGTTTGCTTTGTTGAAGATCAGTTGGCTTTTAAGTATTTGGCTTTATTTCTGGGTTCTCTGTTCAGTTCCATCAGTTTGTATGCTTATTTTTATACCAGTACCATGCTGTTTTGGTGACTATGGCCTTATAGCACAGTTTGAAGTCAGGCAATGTGATGCCTGAGACCTCATTCAGCACCCATAAAATAGGAAAAATAAGCAAATCAGATTATGTCAACCGATGAGGGGAAACAAGAACCCTTAGGTACTTCAATTGAGAATGCAAACCAGTGAAGTCATCTTGAAGAGCAATCTGGCAGTATTTAGCGAAATTAAGAATCATTCACACTATAACTGAGAAATGCCACTCCAGAAAAGATCTCTTTCTGGCCTACTAAGTGACATGTACAGGATGTTTATCATGGCATTATTTGTGGTAGCAAAAAGTTTGGGCAACCTAGCAGTGTATAATCACAGAATAAATATGTAAATTGTTGTATGAGCATTTGCGTTTGATCTCTTACAATGATCTCATGCAGTGGGAAAAGATAATCGATTAAATCTGTATATAACAACATGGATAGTTATCAACATAATGTTAAATAAAGAAGTGAGAAATAGAATGAAATTTAAAATACAGTGCTCTTAGAAGTTCCCACTCAGCTATGGCAGTATAAACCCCCTACAGGCACCACCACACTGATTAATTATACCTAAAAATTCTGGTCAAATTTTTTTAAAGAAAAGAAAACCTGCCTAAGCACTCTGCAAGGTAACTAAAACCAGGCAGATTGTGGAAGAGAGTTAAAACATAGAGAAGTGACCTGCATAAGGGTAAGTTGTCCAGGGTTTTTTTTCTCCTCTCAGCCTTGCCATGAGTGTGTCCCACTCACAGACTGGAGCAGAGCACATGACTAAAACTCTGAGGGATTCTCTGCCATCTTTCTGGCCAGAGGAAGCAGAAAAAAGAACCTGGGTAGGATGCAGCATGAACAAGAAGTCTCAGAAGGAAAAGAGATAGAGAAAATATTCCCATATATGTGTATGAAACCACACAATTCTCACCCCAACCATTAAACAATGCATGTTCAAGAATTAACCAAACAAGTATTTAAAGGCTTAGGGAACTGAGCAGAGAATTAAATCGCCTACAAAAGTCTCAGCCTCAAATATATATATATATAAATATATATATATATAAATATATATATATAAATATATATATAAATATATATATAAATATATATATATTTATATATATAAATATATATATATAAATATATATATTTATATATATATATATAAATATATATATTTATATATATAAATATATATATATAAATATATATATACCAGTTTTAAGAACTATACTGAGATTTTAACTATAACCCAGAAAAGGCAAGACAGAACTGATGGCCAGAATCTAACTGGGTTGATTGCCTGCTAAAAGAAAAGCATCAACATTTTTCAGAAGATTATAACAACCCAGAGGCTACACAAAATAACATCTGCAATGTCCAGGATATGATAGAAAATTAGTCCATGTCAAAGAACCAGAAAATGTGCCCCATTCTCAAGGAAGAAGAAAATCAATATGTGACAAAACAAAAGAGACTTAAATGTTGGAATTATGAGACATAACTTGAAAGCAGCTATTGTAACTATACTCCATAAGGTACAGAAAACCATATTTGAAATGAATGAAGGGAAAAGAAACTTCGGAAGAGAAATAGAACCTGTAAGAAAAACACAAATGAAAATTTTAGAACTGAGGAATGCAATAAGTAAAATTAAAATACATTGGATGGGCTCAATAACAGAATGCCAGTTACAGAGGGAAAAAAATAGTTACCTTAAAGATAGAATGATAAAAATTATTAGATCTGAGTAACATGGAGAAAAATGTTGGGGAAAAAATAAACAAAACTCAGAGACCTGATGAACATTATCAATGCAACTAACATATGTATAATTGGAGTTCCAAAGAGACAGGACTTGGGCAGAAAATACATTTGAAGAAGTAAAAACTGAAAGCTTTCCAAATGAGGCAAAAGATAAATTTTCATATATGAGAATCTCAGTGACCCCAAGACAATATAAATTCCATGAAAGCCAAGTTGAAAAACCCATTACTTACTTTATTTATTTATTTATTATTATTCTACTTTAAGTTTTAGGGTACATGTGCACAATGTGCAGGTTAGTTACATATGTATACATGTGCCATGCTGGTGCACTGCACCCACTAACTTGTCATCTAGCATTAGGTATATCTCCCAATGCTATCCCTCCCCCCTCCCCCTACCCCACAACAGGCCCCAGAGTGTGATGTTCCCCTTCCTGTGTCCATGTGTTCTCATTGTTCAATTCCCACCTATGAGTGAGAATATGCGGTGTTTGGTTTTTTGTTCTTGAGATAGTTTACTGAGAATGATGATTTCCAATTTCATCCATGTCCCTACAAAGGACATGAACTCATCATTTTTTATGGCTGCATAGTATTCCATGGTGTATATGTGCCACATTTTCTTAATCCAGCCTATCATTGTTCGACATTTGGGTTGGTTCCAAGTCTTTGCTATTGTGAATAATGCCACAATAAACATACGTGTGCATGTGTCTTTATAGCAGCATGATTTATAGTCCTTTGGGTATATACCCAGTAATGGGATGGCTGGGTCAAATGGTATTTCTAGTTCTAGATCCCTGAGGAATCGCCACACTGAATTCCACAATGGTTGAACTAGTTTCCAGTCCCACCAACAGTGTAAAAGTGTTCCTATTTCTCCACATCCTCTCCAGCACCTGTTGTTTCCTGACTTTTTAATGATTGCCATTCTAACTGGTGTGAGATGGTATCTCATTGTGGTTTTGATTTGCATTTCTCTGATGGCCAGTGATGGTGAGCATTTTTTCATGTGTCTTTTGGCTGCATAAATGTCTTCTTTTGAGAAGTGTCTGTTCGTGTCCTTTGCCCACTTTTTGATGGGGTTGTTTGTTTTTTTCTTGTCAATTTGTTTGAGTTCATTGTAGATTCTGGATATTAGCCCTTTGTCAGATGAGTAGGTTGCAAAAATTTTCTCCTATTTTGTAGGTTGCCTGTTCACTCTGATGGTAGTTTCTTTTGCTGTGCAGAAGCTCTTGAGTTTAATTAGATCCCATTTGTCAATTTTGGCTTTTGTTGCCATTCCTTTGGTGTTTTAGACATGAAGTCCTTGCCCATGCCTATGTCCTGAATGGTAATGCCTAGGTTTTCTTCTAGGGTTTTTATGGTTTTAGGTCTAACGTTTAAGTCTTTAATCCATCTTGAATTGATTTTTGTATAAGGTGTAAGAAAGGGATCCAGTTTCAGCTTTCTACATATGGCTAGCCAGTTTTCCCAGCATCATTTATTAAATAGGGAGTCCTTTCCCCATTGCTTGTTTTTCTCAGGTTTGTCAAAGATCAGAGAGTTGTGTCATTATTTCTGAAGGCTCTGTTCTGTTCCATTGATCTATATCTCTGTTTTGGTACCCATACTTCCTTTTCTAAAAAAAATTTACTTTAAGTTCTGGGATACATGTGCAGAACATGTAGGTTTGTTACATATGTATACGTGTGCTATGGTGGTTTGCTGCAACTATCAACTTGTCACCTTGGTTTTAAGCCCTGCATGCATTAGCTACTTGTCCTGATGCTCTCCCTCCCCTCGCCCCCCAAGGACAGGCTGCAGTGTATGTTGTTCCCCTCCCTGTGTCCATGTGTTCTCATTATTCAGCTCCCACTTATGAGTGAGAACATGCAGTGTTTGGTTTTCTGTTCCTGTTTTAGTTTGCTGAGGATGATGGCTTCCAGATTCATCCATGTCCCTGCAATGGACATGATCTCATTCCTTTTTATGGCTGCATAGTATTCCATGGTGTGTATATACCACATTTTCTTTATCCGGTCTATCATTGATAGGCATTTGGGCTGGGAACTGTTCTATATGGCATTGGGGTGATGGATACATAACTCTATGCATTTATCAAAACCCATAGAACTATACATCACAAAGACTAAACATCAATATATGCAAAAAAAAAAAAAAAAGAAACAATTAGCCAGGATATACAGGGATCCCTGGATGACATATAGACAATGACAAATGAATCTAACTATATTACAAATATATGCTACAATGACATATATTTGCATAGTGAAGGTTGAAAAAGGAAGTGAAGGACAAAAAAAGGAAGAGCTTACCTAAGTAACTTTGTGAAGATGTGAAGAAAAGGAAGAGCTTACCCAAGTAACTTTGGAAAACTGTGTTTTGACTGGAAACTGAAAGGCTAAAAACAAAAGGAACTTTACATACATGCTGTAGTTTAGGTTATAAATTATTTTCATCATTGTAGTGTGGGTTAGTAATTTAGAAACTGCTTTACATGTATACTGGGGTTGAATAAATAAGTAAAGGGATGGTAGATGGTGGGAGCCAGACTTCTTACCATCAGAGAGAGAAGTTACAGATAAGTAAGATGGGTAGGCTAGAACTCAGCATGCAGTCCTGAATTGAAGTCAGAAACTGCAGTATGAAATTATGTTTAGTTGGCCAGGCACAGTGGCTCACACCAGCAATCTCAGCACTTTGGGACAAGGTGGGCAGATCACCTGAAGTCAGGAGTTTGAAACCAGCCTGGCCAATATGGCAAAACCCTGTCTCTACTGAAAATACAAAAATTAGCTGGGTATGGTGGCACATGCCTGTAATCCCAGCTACTTGGGAGGCTGAGGCAGGAGAATCGCTTGATCCCAAGAGGTGGAGGTTGCAATGAGCCGAGATCGCACCACTACACTCCAGCCTGGGCAACAGAAACAAAAAAAAAATGTTTAGTTTAATATATACACAGATGGATGAATACAGAAACAATTAAATATATCTATGCATGTATGGTTTAAGCATAAAGAAGAAATACATTCCCTAGCTCTCATTGAGAAGGCCTAGAAATAATAACACCCCCAATAACAATTAGTAAACCCATCACTTAGTGATTTCTAAATATTGTTTTCCAATAAAAGGAACCAGAGCCCTTTGGAGAAATGACTGATTCTAGGACTGGGCTTTAAAAAAAATACAAAGTGAACTTGTGACATCTTGTAGTACCAGAAAGTAAGGAAATACTCAAAAAACAAAGGAATGGGATATGTCAAAAGGTCACTAGAGCCCACTCAAAAGAGCTCCCAGTGGCCAAAGTTGAAACAATTTGAGCAAGAAAATAAATGATGTAGTATTGGATTTCAAAAAATATGGATAATAAAATAAAATTTAAAGCATATACATGTGGCCATACTGATAAATAATATAATGAATAAATCAATGTAGGAGAAGACACAAGTCTTTCCTAAAGAAGAATTTCAAGTAGAATATGTAGCCCCTCTGTACTAATAGGAGGTGGAGGTTAACTACCCCTTCATTGTAGATTGAACTTAGTGACTTAATTCTAAAGAACAAAGTATGGAAAGGGGAAAATAGTAATTGTATTGTGAATAGGGTTGTGAATAAATCTAGCAAACAGTATCTTAACCAAGTAATCAAAGTTAACATCACTAATGATGTCATGTGGATATCCTGTACTCCCTGTTATGATGTAAAATCCCATAAACCCAGTTTAATCAAGTAAACAAAAATAAGACAAACCCAAATTGAGGGACATTGTACAGAAAGGCTAACCAGTATTCCTCAAAACCGTCAAGCTCATGAAAACCAAAAATAGACTATCAGAGATCAAAGGATACTGCAAGACATGCCAACTAAATGGAATGTGGTATCCTGGATTGGATCCTGGAATACAAAAAGGACATTCATGGACAAACATGAAAGTGTAGAGTTCTGTTATATATCAGTGTTGGTTTCCTAGGTTTAGTGAATATAACATGGTAAAAATAAGATGATAAAATTAGGGGCGACTTAGTGAGAGGTATACAGCAATTATCTGTACTATTTTTGCAACTTTTCTGTAAATCTAAACTTACTCAAAAAGTTCATTATTTTTAGATGTTTTTATTTTTTATTTTTATTGGTAGATTGTGTATATATTTGTACGGTCCATGAGACATTTTGATTCAGGCATACAATGTGTAATAATTTCACCAGGGTAAATAGGGTATCCATCACCTCAAGCATTTCTTTGTGTTACAAATATTCCAATTATACTATTTTAGTTATTTTTAATGTACTATAAATTATTGTTGACTATAGTCACCCTGTTGTGCTATCAAACACTCGATCTTACTCATTCTATCTAACTATACTTTGTACCTAACTCCTAGTTTTTTTTTTTTTTTTATTATTCTACTTTAAGTTTTAGGGTACATGTGCACAATGTGCAGGTTAGTTGCATATGTATACATGTGCCATGTTGGTGTGCTGCACCCATTAACTCGTCATTTAGCATTAGGTATATCCTTAATGCCATCCCTCCCCCCTCCCCCCACCCCACAACAGGCCCCAGAGTGTGATGTTCCCCTTCCTGTGTCCATGTGTTCTCATTGTTCAATTCCCACCTATGAGTGAGAACATGTGGTGTTTGGTTTTTTGTTCTTGAGATAGTTTACTGAGAATGATGATTTCCAATTTCATCCATGTCCCTACAAAGGACATGAACTCATCATTTTTTATGGCTGCATAGTATTCCATGGTGTATATGTGCCACATTTTCTTAATCCAGCCTATCATTGTTGGACATTTGGGTTGGTTCCAAGTCTTTGCTATTGTGAATAGTGCCACAATAAACATACGTGTGCATGTGTCTTTATAGCAGCATGATTTATAGTCCTTTGGGTATATACCCAGTAATGGGATGGCTGGGTCAAATGGTATTTCTAGTTCTAGATCCCTGAGGAATTGCCACACTGACTTCCACAATGGTTGAACTAGTTTCCAGTCCCACCAACAGTGTAAAAGTGTTCCTATTTCTCCACATCCTCTCCAGCACCTGTTGTTTCCTGACTTTTTAATGATTGCCATTCTAACTGGTGTGAGATGGTATCTCATTGTGGTTTTGATTTGCAATTCTCTGACGGCCAGTAATGGTGAGCATTTTTTCATGTGTTTTTTGGCTGCATAAATGTCTTCTTTTGAGAAGCGTCTGTTCATGTCCTTCGCTCACTTTTTGATTGGGTTGTTTGTTTGTATTTTTTTATAATTTCAGCTTTTATTTAGATGCAGGCAGTTCATGTGCAGGTTTGTTATATGGGTATGTTGTGTGATGAGGCATGAATGATACCATCACCCAGGTATTGAGCATAATACCCAATAGGTGGTTTTACTGGCCCTTTCTCCCCACCCTTCTTCCCCTTCTAATAGTCCCCAGTGTCTCTTGTTACCATCTTTATGTCCATAGGTACCCAATATTTAGCTCCCACTTATAAGTGAGAACTTGCAGTATTAGGTTTTCTGTTCCTGCATTAGTTTGCTTAGGATGATGGCCTCCAGCTGCATCCATGTTGCTGCAAAGGACGTGATTTCATTCCTTTTATGGCGGCATAGTATTCCATTGTGTATATGTACCACATATTCTTTATCCAATCCACCATTAATGGCACCTAGGTTGATTCCATGTCTTTGCTATTGTGAATAGTGCTGCGATGAACAAACTAGAACATGTGTCTTTTTTGTAGAACAATTTATTTTCCTCAAAGGTTTATTTTTAAAAATTGCAGAAATTACAGTCTGGGTTTAATTTGCCCTCACATGTGCATTATTGCTGCAAAAATGTGTTTGTATACATTATATTATTTTTAAGAACTTTAAGTCTCACAGGTACTATAACCCTTACTTACCCCAGAGCAGAACTAATACTCTTAGGAATTTGAACACCAGGATTGGCAGTAGAATTTGAAGTTCTTGGGGGAAATTTTCAAATGAAACAACATCATTTTTGCAAAGGAGTCTGTAAAGTCTCTTGTTTATCATAGGTGTGCAATACCATGATCTCTTATTCCAAATTATTGCTTAAGTACTTAGAAAATGGTCAATAAATTTGAGCTAATGTTTGTAATAAGCCTTTTATTGAAGTATACATATAGAAAACTTCACAAAATCATGTTTGTACAGTTCAATGAATTTTCACAAACTGAACACATCCATGAAACCTCTACCCAGGTTAAAAAAAAGTGAACATTACCACTTCCAAGGAGAACCCTCATTCTCTCTTCCAGTCATTTTCTCTCCATTCCTGGTTTATCACTATCCTGATGTCTAATGGTATAGATTAATCTTGCCTCTTTTTCAAGTTTATATAAATAAAATAATGCAGTAGGTAATCTTTTCTCTCTGGCTTCTTTCATTGAACCTTACGTTTGTGAGGTTTACCCATGTTGTTGCATATAATGTTGATCATTCATTTTCATTACTGTATTCAATTGCATAAAAATACCACAGTTTATGCATGCATTCTACGGTTAATGGACATTTGTATTGCTTTCTGCTGTTACAAAATTAATAATGCTGCTATGATAATCTTTTTGCTATAGTAGTCTCTGGGGTACATATGAACACATTTTCATTTCACAGAAATAGGAGTAGAATTACTCATTCACAAGGTACACAAATTCTTCTTATCATTATTTTGTTGTTATTTTATACAAAATATTTTTCAATCATTGATATAGTTTCAAAACATCCCTGTAGGTGGGGTTCTCCACTGCCATGCATAACTCCCAGATCGTACTTTTTCACTTCTCAGCTGAAGTGAATAGGTTAGATTCGTTATTCCCAAACTTTCCTGGAAATTTCAAACTGAAAGTTCTGGGTAACTGAAAGGCTGCAGGTGTGCCACATCTCACCAAGATGTACAACAAACAGTTCTAGCAGTCCAGGACCAAGACATACAAAATCTAGCAGTAGCTGCAAAAAATACTGGTAGGATATAATGTAATAATAAGACAGCTGCCAATCCTCAAGGGGCTTCTAATTCTTCGGTAGTGTGAACACAATTACCAAGATAATAAAGACCTCTTAAAAAGAACTCTTAAAATCTCTTGTCAAGGACACACAAGACAAGCTAATGCAAAAGCGTGTCAGATTTGGTTGGTAGATAGAATGAGCTACTTTTAGATTTACAAAGTTTCTTACATACATTGACACTGAAAGGAAGAGTGTGGCAGCCAAAGATGCCAGCTCCTCATAGTCCTTGTCCCGCACACAAGAAAGGATGAAACCAAAACAAAAGGAGCCAGATGACTACAACATGAGCTGTGGGATAACCCAGTGCTGAGGAGCCAACTCCAGACTACAGCTAAGCGGTTTATATTTTGCAGCTCTATTCTTATAGGGGTGAGGCAGAAAGCTTTATACCTTTTCAGAACCTTAAAAGTAATGAAAAACTCTCATGACAGCCTCTCTGGAGGGATAGAGAGGCAAGTAGGAATTGGCTTTGTGACAATTCCTCCCACCACCTCACATTCTGGGAGAATCAGTGTGTTCAACCATGACTCAGATAAGCTGTGGTTCAAGCCTTTGCCTGTTTGGCCTGTGTGGATCCATGCAAGTCATTCAGAATTCAATTTTTCATGAGAAGTGACAGAAAAATATTCATCCTCACACGTTTAAATAATCCTATCCTAGCAAGATAGCATGCTTCTATTAATTCAGAGCTCAAAAATTGCAGTAAATCTTTACATTCTTGAGTGGAGCATATTGAGATATTTTATGTTTTTAAAGTTGGTTATCATAATTCAGGAGTTACTCCATATAAAAAATTGTAGACATGAAAAAGAGAATAGAGGACCACAAATCCAGGCTGGAGATGTAGATTCTGGGTAGGATTACTAATCATACTGATTTGCCCATGTGTAAGGAGGGTTCCCAGGATGTAAGGCTTTCAGCACTAAAATCAGACAAGTCCCTGGGAAACTGGGGTTAATTGGTCACCCAAAAAGGCTAAGATTTTGGCTAAGATTTTGCTCACTCTTAACCAATGCAGGACAGCCCAAAAAACTAGCTCCTGTTAGTATGATCAATTCAAACTTGTGCCTAGGAAAAATTACAAGAAGTAGCTAAAAGTTGTGAGATTACTTTGTAATAGACAGAGTGATTTTCACGTTGACTGTCCCATTTATTTATTTATTTATTTTATTTTATTTTATTTAGAGATGGAATTTCAGTCTGTTGCCCAGGCTGGAGTGCAGTGGCATAATCTCGGCTCACTGCAACCTCCGCCTCCGGGTTCAAGCAATTCTCCTGCCTCAGCCTCCCAAGTAGCTGGGACTACAGGTGTGTACCACCACGCCCAGCTAATTTTTGTATTTTTAGTATAGACAGAGTTTCACTATGTTGGCCAGACTGGTCTCAAACTCCTGACCTCAGGTGATCTGCCTGCCTCAGCCTCCCAAAGTGATGCGATTACAAGCGCGAACCACCGCACCCGGCCTGTCCCTTTTACATTTATCCTTATGACAGAGCTATTATTATTACCACATCTTAAAGATAAGGTTAAGTAATTAGCTCAAAGTTACATATTCAGTAAGCAGAAGACTCAGTATTCAAACCCAGCATACCAGACTTCTGGGACCGTGCTTTTCATCACAAGGCTAATATGCCGTAAACATTTAGATTCATTTGAAGCTGTGGAATGCATCGATTACAAGCTCAAAAATGCAAAGCATTTCTATATCTTGGTCAACCTGGGGTGGGGAGAAAGTGACTGGAAGAGAGAATGAGGGTTCTTTTTTCTATAAAGTTACTATATTTGTTGATTTAATTACTCTCAAATTGTTAAATACTTGAGGTACAGAGGTGAACAAGATTAGGACCTCCAGTAGGATGCTCAAGCCTGCTTGGAGGATAGACCACAACCAGGCTCCCCCTACAGAGCTAAGCCTGTTAAATATGTCATCCAGCTGCAGCAAGAAGTGTTGGCAACTGCACACACCCCACCTTGATCAACCAGCAGGAAGTCCTGGGCAATAAGATTGTCCACTACTGATCATTCTAGAGAGTTTAGCACAAACAGTATTCTGTGAAAAATGAAAAAAGTGCCCAACATAAAGCTAAAGAGAATCATATTGGTGTTCAGAAAGTTAATCTTGTTCTTTTGTTTAAAGTGGAGGCTATTCCTTTCTGGAGTCAGTGGATGTTGTGAAATTTCTGAGAAATCTTACACTTAGGTGTTTTTTTTTTTCTTGATCAGAAGTTGTGGGTTATGGAAGCAATCTGGGGTAAATTGGCCAGAAGCCTTGTGGACAAGGACTGAGGGATAAGAGAGAGAAGCTGATTGACTTTCTCCCCACTCTTGACCCTCCAGAGTTAAAGATGTTCTCTCTCCACCATTCGGGGTTGTTTTTCTCTTTCTGTAGCCACATGACCAGTAAAACCAATTCCAGTAGCAATCACTTCACTGTTTTCTGAATTCACCCATGTCTTACACATACTGTGTTCTTGATCTCATCCTTATGTGGCTCAGTAGTTTCTTTTTATAGTCTTTGTACGTTCTTGGAACATCTCTACTCCCTAACACGTGGGCCATGCCAGAGGACCACCTTAGGAGCTGTCACCTCATATTTATAATTATCATCAATATCCATAATTTCCCAAATTCAGAAAGCATAGCTGGGCAGCAAAAGAAGCATCATGTAGAATCACCCAAACACCCCCAACTTTTTATTTGATGCTTACAAATTCCATTAGCCCTGTTTCCCAGGGGTAGGTGTGAAAGGAAAAAAAGTAGAATGAGGGTTAATTCTCTTGAAGCCAGTTAGGACCTCTTCGCCCTCCCACCATGCCCACCAACCTCATAATTAAGCATTCTATTTAAATGAGAGGTACCCTTTTGGGCCACAGACCAAACTGCCTGACTTAAGTGTGTGCTCCACTGGAAGCTGACCCTTGGTTGTCCAGTTATCTTTTTCTGCTTCTCCTTTAAGAGTTTATTCTGTCTTTCAATGACGCCTGCTGCCTAGGATGATACGGGGCATAAAAGGTCCAATAAATATCTGTGTAGCTCCTCACTATTGGATACTTTTTGCTATAAAAGCAGTATCTGTGTCTAATCATGTGTTTAGAGTATCCAAATATGTAACATAGACCATCTAAGAGTCATTAAATGGTATGGCCCACATTTGCTAAGCAGATGGGGATGGCAATGTCATACCCTGAAAGTTATGGAAGTCAATGTCCAGCAGTACCCTCAAGAGGAGACTAGGGAGGTATATACTCTATCGATATGGTTAGGCTTTGTGTCCCCACCCAAATCTCATCTTGAATTGCAATCCCCAGGTGTTGAGGGAGGGACCTGGTGGGAAGTGATTGGATCATGGGGGCAGTTTCCCCCGTGGGTTCTTGTGATAGTGAGGGAGTTCTCATGAGATCTGATAGTTTTATAAATGGCAGTTTCCCCATGGGCTTTTCTCTCTCTCTCCTGCCACCTTGTGAAGTAGGTGCCTGCTTCCCCTTCCTCCATGATGGTAAGTTTTCTAAGGCCTCCCAAGCCATGTGGAACTGTGAGTCAGTTAAACCTCTTTATAAATTACCCAGACTTGGATATTTCTTTATAGCAGTGTGAAAATGGACTAATACATCTATTTTCCAGGACTAGCCAGGTATGCTACCTCTTGCTATATGCCCCAAAGCTCCCTTTGCCACTCAGCTATGTAGTTGTCAGTCTGGGCACATTCACTAGGCTTCCTAGTCTCATATTCTGAAATTATGAGCCCTTGTTTTTTGGGCCCAGTACTGAACTGTAGATGGATTACGATATCCTGAGTGATGCTGTATCCAAATGGATCTGTATCCATGTGTCCTTTTATGGGTAGTGAAGATTTCACCAGCTTGCTATTGTCATTGATGTTCATCCTCAAAGGGTCCTTTTTCATGGGCGTCCATGTGGGTCACAGAGGTTGTGAGTCTTGTGCAATGTGCTGCCATAATGTTTGTCTCCACAGAGGCTGAGACTTGGTCATCCAGTTATCTTACTGTCAGGCACTACTCTTCCAGCCTGTTGGTTCTTGCCCATGAGTAAGTGAAAATGTAACAGTGTATTTTCCAAGGCAAACATCATGGAAATACACCACTGAACAGAGGTCCCTTACTCATGCGCAGTTGTAGTGCACAATTTTCTTTGGGGCTGCATCACAGCAGTGTCCCAGCACAACCTGCTGGCCTTGAATGTATCCTATCTGTATGTGAACCAGGTCCCAGCATTCTCAAGAACCTCAGTGTACTGAAGCCCCCAAGACGCCCAAGGTGCTAGCACAGACCCCACATCTGAGACAGGCTTATCTGGAGTATTTCCAGCCACCTTTCGTTTAACTGTGAGATTCTATAATGACTACCTTATTTTTCCCTGAATATACCACTTCCATTTAATAATGATTGCTTATTGGACAACATCCACTTTGTTGGTGTTCTCATTTCTGACCCATCCTATGGTAGGGATGTCAGGTGTAACAACACCTGCTGTTGCTTTGTCAGTCTCTCAGAATCTACCAGCACACAATAACAAGCCAGTAATACTCTTTCAAGTGGGGTATACCATGTGATCATGTCAGGCAAGTGCTGCATCCAAAACCCCAGGGAGCACTATTGCTTAGTGGCTACATCTTTTTGTCACTTGCTTCAGTCTGTGTAATTGTCAATCACTGAGACTTGTAGCTCAAAGGTCTCCTTAAGGCTCACTGGCCCAAGTGTAAAGAAGTCTTTACAGCCTGTGGGGTAGTTTCCTTAAGCACTCCTATCTCTACTAGCTCTTTAATCAAGACCAAGATCTTTCTTTCTACTGTCTTCCCCTTCCCTGCTTCACTGACACCACATGGCTGGGCTAGGGGAGCCAGGTGGGCTCCCAGTTGTGTACTCATCCTTTTACCATTGCTCTAATTGTAAGATTTCCCCATTGGAAACATCCCTTATAAGCAAGAGAAGTATTACACATACTTAACACAACACATTCAGCAGTATCCATTACAACCACTTGAATGTGCATTGGCCCCAAAGGACCCACTCACAAAGTACATCAGTCCATTGTACAATCTAAGAGCTATTTCCAAATCCAGTTAAAATAATTTTTCAAACATGCCCATGTGTGCTACCCGGCACCATGATGGCTTGTGTCGCAATTTTCAAAAGAGCTGAAAAAATTTGGCAACCTCAGTTGTCATCAAGTCCTCAACATCAATATACCTTAACCAGAACATAAGGCCTCTGGTCCGTCTTAGAGAAGGAGGGACCTTGGCCTCTGTTCTAGTTTTGTTTTGTTAAAGGGGGTGCGATCTAGGTAGAGAGGGTGTGTTGAAGGCATTGAATCAACACCAGTTATACCAGCACGAACCTTAGTAAGAGTGTCTAGGTCTTCTTGGTCCTTCTCCTGTTTGTCCACAGTAAATGCTAGTCCTGCGTCCAAGATTCTGTTTTGTCAGTTTGTTTCTCAGGAGCTGAGTAGTTTTTCAGAGGCTATCTTTGGGGTTAAAATTTGTTGAGATTTGTTTTGTGTCGTAAAATATGGGCTATCCTGGATAATGTTCCATATGTTGATCAGAACAATGTGTATTCTGCGGCTATTGGGTGAAATGTTTTGTAAGTGTCTTTTAGATTCATTTGGTCTGAAGTCTAGTTTAAATCCAATTTTCTTTGTTAATTTTCTGTCTAGATGATCTGTCTAATATTGAGAGCCTGGTGTTTAAGTCCACAACAATTATTGTGTTGAAGTCTTATCTCTCCCTTTAGATCTAATAATATTTGCTATATATATGTGGTTACTCCAGTGTTGGGCACATATATTTTCAGAACTGTTATATCTTCTTACTAAATTGATCCCTTTTTCATTATGTAATGACCTTCTTTCTCCCTTTTTACTATTTTTGAATAAAGTCTGTTTTATCTTATATAAGTATACCTACTCCTCATCACTTTTAGTTTTTATTTGTATGAAATATCTTTTTCCATCCCTTTACTTTCAGTCTATATGTGTCTTTACAAGTGAGATAAATTTCTTGTAGTCAGGATATAGTTGGGTCATGTTTTTTAATCCATCCAGCCAATCCTTATATTTTAAGTGGAAAGTTTAATTCATTTACATTCAAAGTTATTATTTGATATGTGAGAGTTTATTCCTGTCATCTTACTAATTTTTTATTGTATTGGATATCAGTTGTTTTCTCCTGTTTCTCATATCATTGTGGTTAGGTGGTTTTCTGTAATTGTAACACTTGAGTCCTTACTCTTTCTTATTTGTGTGTTTGCTCTACATTGAGTTTTATACTTTCATGAGTTTTCATGATGGTAGATATAGTTCTTTTGCTTCCAGCTGTAGGACTCCCTTAAGCACTTCTTTTAGGACCAGTTTAGTGGTGATGAATTCCTTCAGCTTTTGCTTATCTGGGAAAGACTTTATTTCTCCTTCATTTATGAAAAATAACTTGGCTAGGTATAATATCTTTGGCTGGCAGGTTTTTATCTTTCAATACTTTGAATATATTGTCCTACTCTCTCCTAGGCTGTGATATGTTCCTGCTGTTTAAAAGGTCTGCTGTTCTATTCACAATAGCAAAGACATGGAATCAACCTAGGTGCCCATCAATGGTGGATAGGATAAAGAAAATGTGGTACATATGCACCATGGAATACTACACAGCCATAAAAAAAGAATGAAATCATGTCCTTTGCAGCAACATGGATGCAGCTGGAGGACATTATCCTAAGTGAATTAATGCAGAAACAGAAAACAAAATACCACAAGTTCTCGTTTATAAATGGGAGCTAAAAACTGGGTACTCACTAACATAAAAATGGCAACAATAGACACTGGGGGCTACTAGAGGCAGGGGAGAGGGAAAGAGAAAGGGTTGAAAAACTAACTGTTGGGTACTATATTCACTGCCTGGGTGACAGGATCATTCGTATCCTAAACCTCAGCATCACACAATGTACCCATGTAACAAACCTGTACATGTACCCCTGGAATCTAATATAAAAGTTGAAATTATATTTTTAAAGGTCTGCTGTTAGTCTGATGGGGATTCCCTTATAAGTAACTAGATGCTTTTCTCTTGCTGTTTTAAGAATTCTCTCTTTGACTTTTGACAGTTTGACTATAATGTGCTGTGGAGAAGACTTTGCATTATATCTATCTGGGGATGTCTGAGCTTCCTGTATCTGGAGGTCTAAATCTCTCCCTAAACTTAGGAAGTTTTCAGATATTATTTTGTTAAATAGGTTTTCTATGCCTTTTGTTTTCTCTCTGCCTTCTGGGACACTGAAATTTTGGATATTCGGTCACTTTATAGTGCCCCATATGTCTTGTAGGCTTTGTTCATTCTTTTGAATTCTTTATTTTTATCCGACTGGGTCATTTCAAAAGACTTGTCTTTAAGTTCTAAAATTCTTTCTTCTGCCTAATTTAGTCTACTGTTGAAGATTTTGAATGTATTTTGTATTTTATTCAATGAATTCTTAACTTCTAAAATTTGTTTTGTAGCTATCTCTCTGGTAAATTTCTTATTTGTATCCTGAACTGTTTGTCTGATTTCTTTGTAATTTTTATCTGCGTTCTCTTGCATCTAATTGAGATACTTTAATTTCATTATTTTGCATTATTTTCCTGGGATTTCATAAATTTTTTCATTGAAATCTGTTGCTGGAGAATGATTTTGTTCCTCTGGAGGTGTTATATTTCCTTGCTTTTTTATGTGTCTTTTGTCCTTACATTGATAACTGTGCATTTGGTTTACCAGTCACTTCTTCCAATTTTTTAAATTTACTTTCATATATGAGAAATTTTTCCTGAAGATGTATCTACGGTGTTGGTTGGATAGGGTATTTTGGTTGTGATTCTGGATGTATGCAGTAGTGTAGTCTCCATTATTTCTTCAATTATAAACAGCATCAGTGTTGTCTGTGATTTATTCAGTGGCTTAGGGTGCAGCTGTTTCTGGAGGCTGTGATGAAGTTTTGCTGGAGATGGTGTGCCAGGTGGGCCAGTCCACAGGTCCCACTGTTGGCAGCAACTGGCTGAGTATGCCTGTCCTTTGGCTCAGTATGGCATATATTAGCCCTGGTGTTAGCAGGTCCAGGCAAACTGATTCTTGGGCCTCCAGGTCACTTGTTTAGGTGCTGGCAGTGGCAGTGGTGATCCAGGCAGATGGGCAGGTCCTCAGGTACCTGAGCAGCAGGTGTGGCACGTGCGATGGCAGTAGCATTGGCAGTACAACTCTCTGGCTCCCAAGTAGTAGGCACTGGTGTTGGCAGTGGCTGCAACAGGCTGGGCAAGCCAGTCACCAGGACCACAGGTGGTGCATGCCAACTGTGGTGGTAATAGCAAGTTGGATGGGCATATCCTCTGGATTCTGGGAGGATTTCTCAGGTATCATTGGTAGTGGATGGGCCAGGGCAGTCCCCAGACTTCCAGATAGCATGCTTAGGCACTGAGAGGGTAGAGCCAGGCTGGGTGGTACGATCCTCAGGCCCCTCCGTAGTGCATGCAAGCAGTGCTTGTGTTAGGCATGGGCAGGGTGACACCCAGCCCCCCAGCAGAATATTCTGGTGAGGGAAACAGTGGCTATACTTTGGTCCTGCTCTTAGGGAGGGTGGGGTTGCTTTCAGTGGCAGCAGTTACAGGCAGGTGGCTGGGAAGTGTGTGTGTTTCAGCCCCAGGTGGTGGCTATGGTCGGGCAGCCTGTCCTTAGGGTGCTTGTAAATGCATGGCAGCCCCATTGCTGTGAGGCAGGCTTGCTACCAGTGGCTCATGCATCAGCCCTAGTGGCAGCAGCCAGCAGCAGTGGTGGCCATGGATGGGGGATGTCAGTGAGGTTCTAGGAATGTGGAGATACAGGGGCTATTGGGCCCCAGGGCAGGATGCAGTCTGGTGGGGGCTGGGCTCTCAAAATGGCACCTTTGTTTAGCTGCTTAGGACTCAGGGGGCTGTGTAGGACCCAGTGTGAGCTCCCTCTCTGAAGCAATGCCATCACACAGTCTCCAGATAGCTCCCTATGTTAGTCTCAGGGTCCATGAGGGCCGAGGGGCTCTCCTATGGCTAGGATTGCAGGTGTCTACGGTGGGAATGTGGACCACTGGGGATGTCTCACTTACCCTTTCCCCACATTAGGAAGACTCTCTGTGCTCCCAGCTGATCCTAGCCAAGCAGCCTGCCTTGCTTCCCGCTCCTTCCTTCTTTTAGGTGTTTCCTGTCATTTCTTTGCTGAATTCCAGTGTTCTCTCTTAGATGATCTGCTCCAAATGTGATTATCTACTCATTGTTTTAATTATTCTAAACTAAAAAAGAACTTTAGTTTAGAAGGAGGTGAGTACCAGATGCCTCTAGTCAGCCATCTTGAAGCCAGAAACTTCTCTCCAGAAGTTAAATACAATCCTGGTGAAAAGTAGAGGGTCACAGGAGAAGGGGTCTATAAATAGCTAAAATTTTATAAGTTTCTACCATCCAGTTCAGTAGAGATGGTAAAAGGGAAGATCAGTGTTAAAGAAAGCAAAGAAAGTAACATTTCTTACATTCTTAAGTTGGTGGGCTTTATTTTGAGCAAATATTTATGTAGGTAGGCTTAGAAATAGTTATAAGTAGAAAAGCCAACATATTTCATTTTTAACTTTTATTTTAGGTTCACGGGTACATATGCAAGTTTGTTATATAGGTAAACTCACGTCACGGGGTTTGTTGTACAGATTAGTTCATCACCCAGGTACTAAGCCTAGAACCCAATAGTTGTTTTTTTCTGTTTCTCTCCCTCCTCCCAACCTCCACCCTCAATTAGACCCCAGTATCTGTTATTCCCCTCTTTGTATCCATATGTTCTCATTATTTAGCTCCCACTTATAAGTGAGAACATACGGTATTTGGTTTTCTGTTTCTGTGTTAGTTTGCTAAGGATAATGGCCTCCAGGTCCATCCATGTTCCTACAAAGGACATGGTCTTGTTCTTTTTTCTGGCTGTGCAGTATTCCATAGCATATATGTAACACATTTTCTTTATCCAGTCTACCACTGATGGGCATTTAGGTTGATTCCCTGTCTTTGCTATTGTGAATAGTGGTGCAATGAAGATACACATGCATAGGCCTTTGTGGTAGAATGGTTTATATTCCTTTGGGTATATACCTGGTAATGGAATTGCTGGGTCAAATGGTGGTTTTTTTGTTTTGTTTTGTTCTTTTGTTTGTTTTGTTTTGTTTTGTTTTTTAGCTCTTTGAGGAATCACCACACTGCTTTCCACAATGGTTGAACTAATTTACCACCAACAATGTATAGGCATTCCTTTTTCCCCACAACCTTGCCAGCACCTGTTATTTTTTTTTTCACTTTTTAATAATAGCCATTCTGACTGGTGTAAGATGGTATCTCTTGTGGTTTTGAATTGCATTTCTCTAATGATCAATGATGTTGAGCTTTTTTTCATATGCTTGTTGTCCACATGCATGTCTTCTTTTCAGAAGTGTCTGTTCATGTACTTTGTCTACTTTTTAATGGGGTTGATTTTTTTTTCTTATAAATTTAAGTTCCTTATGGATGCTAAATATTAGATCTTTGTCAGATGCATAGTTTGCAAAAATTTACTACCATTTTGTAGGTTGTCTGTTTACTCTGTTGATAATTTCTTTTGCTGTGCAGAGGTCTTTGGTTTAATTAGATGCCATTGTCAACTTTTGCTTTTGTTGCAATTGCTTTTGGCATCTTCATTATGAAATCTTTGCCTGTTCCTATGTCCAGAATGGTTATCCCAGCACCAGTTATTGAATACGGAGTTTTTTTTCCCCCCTTACTTGTTTTTGTCAGCTTTGTCAAAGATCAGGTGGTTGTGAGTATGTGGCATTATTTCTGGGCTCTCTTCTGTTCCATTGGTCTATGTGTCTATTTTTGTACCAGTACCATGCTGTTTTGGTTATTGTAGCCCTGTAGTATAGTTTGAAGCCTCCTGCTTTGTTCTTTTTGCTTAGGATTGTCGTAGCTATTCAGGATCTATTTGGTTCCATATCAATTTTAAAATAGTTTTTTTTGGTTCTGTGAAGAATGTCGTTGGTAATTTGACAGGAATAGCATTGAATTTGTAAATTGCTTTGGGCGATAAGTCCATTTTAATATTGATTATTCCTATCCATGAGCACAGAATGTTTTTCCATTTGTTTGTGTCATCTCTAATTTCTTTGAAGAATGCTTTGTAATTCTCATTTTAGAGACTTTTCACATCCCTGGTTAGCTGTATTTCTAAGAATTTTATTTTTTGTGTATGGTAATTGTGAATGGGATTGCGTTCCTGATTTAGCTGTTGGCTAGTTAACCAGCCATACCAATGCCTCAGAACACAAGAATAAGACTCCTACTGCCACCTCGTGGCAGTATACTCTAAAGGGGAGGCTCTCATTAGTTTGGAGTGAAGAAATGCTTTCTCCCTCTATGCCATGCTGTATCATGTCCCTATGTATGTTGTATACTTCTACACATGCCATCTCTTCTAACCAGAACCATCCTTCCCTGAACCTTGTCGATTTAATGGATATTAGGTCTCATTTGTGTGTTATCTCAACCCAAGTAACCATTTCTCTATGAAGCCTTTTCTGTCTCTCCATCTTTCTCAACACAAGTAGAAATAACCTCTTCTTTCTTTGTGTTCCAATAAGCTTAAGTTCCAATAATCCACGTACAGATGTCTACGTGTTACCTAGACCAATTTACTACTGATTTTTTTTCACATACGTCCCTTCTCAAAAACTTAGCTGATCAAACATATGAATCTACGTGTGACTAATCTTAGGGTCTCCAAACTACAAAGCAAAAGGCAGACACAGATTATGAAAGCTCAATGATTGCTCTATGGCATGTTTTATGGATCTATGGAAAAAATGTGTGTATATATTTACATATGTGTGTGTAGATTTACCTATACACACATATATACTCAATTTGTAAATGTTTTAGTCAATTATTTTATGTCATTAATAATTTTTTTACTAGACATGCTCTATTTTGAAATAAGAATTAAAATTGTTAGTATTCCTTTCTTTTTTTTTTTTAACTTTAAGTGCCGGGATACATGTGCAGAACCTGCAGGTTTGTTACATAGGTATACGTGTGCCATGATGGTTTCCTGCACCTATTAACCAGTCATCGAGGTTCCCTCCCCTCGCCTCCCACCCACCAATAGGCCCTGGTGAGTGTTGTTCCCCTTCCTGAGTCCATGTGTTCTCATTGTTCAACTCCCATTTATGAGAGAGAACATAAGGAATTTGGTTTTCTCTTCCTGTGTTGGTTTGCTGAGAATGACGGCTTCCAGCTTCATCCATGTCCCTGCAAAGGACATAATCTCATTTCTTTTTATGGCTGCATAGTATTCCATGGTGTATATGTGGCACATTTTCTTTATACAGTCTATCATTGATGGGCATTTGGGTTGGTTCCAAGCCATTGATTTTTTGAAGGGTTTTTCATGTCTCTCTCTCCTTCAGTTCTGCTCTGATCTTAGTTATTTCTTGTCTTCTGCTAGCTTTGGATTTGTTTGCTCTTGCTCCTCTAGTTCTTTTAGTTGTGATGTTAGGATTTTGATTTGAGATCTTTCGAGCTTTCTGATGTGGGCATTTAGTGCTTTAAATTTCCCTCTTAACACTGCTTTAGCTTCATCCCACAGATTCTGGTATGTTGTCTCTTTGTTCTCAATGGTTTCAAAGAACTTCGTTATTTCTGCATTAATTTCATTATTTACCCAGGAGTCATTCAGAAGCAGGTTGTTCAATTTTCATGTAGTTGTGCGGTTTTGAGTGAATTTCTTAATCTGAGTTCTAATTTGATTGCACTGTGGTCTGAGAGACAGTGTGTTATTATTTCAGTTCTTTTGCAATTGTTGAGGAGTGTTTTTCTTTCAATTATGTGGTTGATTTTAGAATAAGTGCCATGTGGCACTGAAAAGAATGTATATTCTGTTAATTTGGGGTGGAGAATTCTGTAGATATCTATTAGGTCCACTTGATTCAGAGCTGAGTTCATGTCCTGGATATCTTTGTTAATTTTCTGTCTTGTTGATCTGTCTAATATTGACAGTGGGGTGTTAGTCTCCCACTATTATTGTGTGTGAGTCTAAGTCTCTTTGTAGATCTCTAAGAACTTGTTTTATTAATCTTGGTGCTCCTGTATTGGGTGGATATATATTTAGGATAATTAGCTTTTTTTGTTGAATTGACCCCTTTACCATTATGTAATGCCCTTCTCTTTTTTTATCTTTGTTGGTTTCAAGTTTGTTTTATCAGAGACTAGGATTGCAACCCCTGCTTTTTTTTTATTTCCATTTGCTTGGTAAATTTTCCTCCATTCCTTTATTTTGAGCCTATGTGTGTCTTTGCACATCTCCTGAATACAGCACATTGATGGGTCTTGACTCTTTATCCAATTTGCCAATCTGTGTCTTTTAATTGGGGCTTTTAGCTCATGTAAATTTAAGGTTAATATTGTTATGTGTGAGTTTGATCCTGTCATCTTGATGCTATATGGTTATTTTGCACACTAATTGATGCAGTTTCTTCATAGTGTCGTTGGTCTTTATATTTTGGTGTGTTTATTGCTTCTCAGCCTTTTGGCTAAGATCAAGTGTATATTTTGGTGTTTTTTCGCAGTGGCTGGTACTGGTTTTTCCTTTCCATATTTAGTGCTCTTGCAAGGCAGGCCTGGTGGTGATGAAATCCCTCAGTATTTGCTTGTCTGAAAGGGATCCTATTTCTCCTTCACTTATGAAGCTTAGTTTGGCTGGATATGAAATTCTGGGTTGAAAATTCTTTTCTTTAAGAATATTGAATATTGCCCACCCCTCTCTTCTGGCTTGCAGGGTTTCTGCTGAGAGGTCTGCTGTTAGTCTGATCAGCTTCCCTTTGTAAGTGACCTGGACTTTCTCTCTGGCTGCCCTTAATATTTTTTCCTTCATTTCAACCTTGGAGAATTGATTATTATCTGTCTTGGGGTTGGTCTTCTCATGGAGTATCTTAGTGGTGTTCTCTGTATTTCCTGAATTTGAATGTTGGCCTATCTTGCCAGGTTTGGGAAGTTCTCCTGGATAAAATCCTGAAGTATGTTTTCCAACTTGGTTCCATTCTCTCCATCCTTTTCAGGTACTCCAATCAATTGTAGGTTCGGTCTTTTTACATAGTCCCATATTTCTCAGAGGTTTTGTTCATTCCCTTTCATTATTTTTTCTCAAATCTGGTCTCCATGCCTCATTTCAGCAAGATGGGCTTCAAACTCTGATATCCTTTCTTCTGCTTGATCAATTCAGCTATTGATACTTGTGTATGCTTCACGAAGTTCCTGTGCTGCATTTTTCAGCTCCATCAGGTCATTTATGTTTCTCTTTGAACTGTTTATTCTAGTAGCAGTTCCTGTAACTGCTACTTTATCAAGGTTCTTACCTTCTTTGCATTGGGTTAGAACATGCTTCTTTAGCTCAGCGGAGTGTGTTATTACCTACCATCTGAAACCTACTTCTGTCAATTCATCCATTTCATCCTCTATCCAGTTCTGCACCCTTGCTGGAGAGGTGCTGCAATCATTTGGAGGAGAAAAGGCCTTTGGCGTTTTGGGTTTTCAGTGTTTGTTTTGTTGATTCTTTCCCATCTTCATGAGTTTGTCTAGTTTCGATCTTTGAGGCTGCTGACCCTTGGGTGAGATTTTTGTGGGGACTTTTTTTGTTGATGCTGTAGTTGTTCCTTTCTGTTTGTTTTTCTTTCAATGGCCAGGTCCCTTTCTATAGGTCTGCTGTGGTTTGCTTGGGGTTCTTTTCAGGCCCTATTCATCTGGTTCACTCCCACATCTGGAGATGTCACTCAAGGAGGCACCTCCCTTGGCCAGGGGATGGGGGCTCCCCTGGGGGCTCCCCTGCCCTGTGTGGCTCTCAGGTGGGCTGCTGCACCACACTGCTCTTCCTTCCTCTCCATGGGTCACACCAGCCACCTAGTCAGTTCTGATGACAGAACCTGGATACCTCAGTTGCCAGTGCATGATTCACATGCTGCTATGTTTCTTTTTGATGTGAGCCTCCCATCTCCACTGCTTCTAGTCAGCCACATTGGCCCCACTTATATAGTATGTTTCTATTTAGCATTCTGGTAGCTTTGGTGGTAGGTATTCAGCTCTTATATTGTTTATGACTACTTCATAAAATATGCTGTATTATTATTGATGACCCTCCTTATCCTATTTAGTGAATTTAAGTTTAAATTTAATCTTTTTTAATTCTAATATGGCTATATTTGTTTTCTTTTCATGTTTTCTGTACCAGTTACTTGTGAATAGAATATCTAGATATCTTAAGGTATTCGGGAACTTGTTTACAGTTTATATAGCTAGGAAGTACAAGAATAACTGTCAACTACATAGTCCATGCGTTTTCTACTTCTCTAGAGCACCTCAACTTCACGTCTCCAGTGATGTCCTTTATGGCCACATGGTGTTTGACCATGAAGTCTTCCATGATGACTGAACTGGAAAAGGCAGACTGGCCTCACAGTGATGAGTAGCAGATGATAGGTATACAAGCTTCTTCCTTCTTAATTCTGGTGGGTGAGAGTGAGCCATTCTCACCTGTAGAGGTGGGGTGAGGAAGCACAGAGGGATTACCAGACAGAAAAGCCAAGGAAAGGGCAGCAAATGGGGTGCTATCCGGGGAAGGTGAGAAGTCTAACTCCTACCACCACCTGCTGCTCCTGCCTACAATACCCTTCCACCTACCCCACACTCCTCTCCAAATCCAACATCCAGTTCCTGTCTGCCTCCTTCATCAAACCCAGCCTGACAGACCCATTCCAGGCCTCAGCTCTCAGGCCCTGGAAGTCTGACCCTCACTCACAATCTCACCCTGCCTCACTGCCCATGCAACCCAGGGCCCAGTCTCTGGAGGAAATATTAGCATTCCTTTTATCATAGCAGCGCAATTCACAGTAGCCAAGATGTGGAAACAAGCTACATGTCAATTGTCAGATAAATAGATAAAGATACACCTACAATTGATTACTATGTAGCCTTTCAAAAGAAGGAAATTCTGCTATATGCAACATGTATAAATCTTGAGGACATTATACTAAATGAAATAAACCAGTATGGAAGACAAATACTTCATGATTCCACTTATATGTGGTACCTAAAATAGTCAAATTCATAGAATCAAAGAGTGGAATGGTAGTTTCCAGCAACTGGTAGAAAGGTGAAATTGGAAGTTACTCATCAATGGGCATAAAGTTTCAGTAATGCAAGATGAATGTATAAAACATTATACATATAGTTAACAATACTGCATATATACACAAGTTTCTTACCTTAATTTTCTGCACTTAAAAATTTGTTATGAGAGTAGATCTCATGTTAAATGTGTTTACCACAATAAAATAGAAATTAATATTAAAAAGGTCATGAAACAAATGGATATCCACTTGCAAACGAATGTAAACACATACCTTATACTATGTACAAAAATTAACTCAAAACGGACTATCTACCTAAATGTAAGAGCTAAAACCATAAAACATTAGAAGAAAACATGGCGGTAAGTCTTGTGGCTTTGTGTTAGAAGGAATGAATACACAACAGAACACATATGTGTTAGAAAACCTTAAATATGACATAAAAACACAAGTGACAAAAGAAAATAATAGGTAAGGGATCGAGTGAAGATGGCCAACTGGAAGCAGCTACAGTACATGGCTCTCATGGAGAGGAACGAAAGGGGCGAGTAAATACAGCAACTTCAATGGAAATATCCAGGTTCTCTCCTTGGGACTCATCAGAAAAATAGCTCGACCCACGGAGAATGGAGAAAAGCAGGGCAGGGCGATGGCTCACCCAGAGTGACACGGAGCCAAGGGAACCTCCCCCGGCCCAGGAAGGCAGTGAGTGAATGTGTGACTCCGGGAAACCACACTTCTCCCAGGAATCATTGCAACCCTCAGGTCAGGAGATCCCCTCATGAACGCACTCTACCAGGGACTTTGTTATGACACACAAAGCTTCATAAAGTCTTAGTAGAGCAGCTGCTCAGGCACGCACAGAGTCCCAGGAACTTTACATACTCTGGCCTCGGGATCCCCAGCAGGGGTGACTGCAACTTATGCAAGTTGGGGGCATATGAGAAATGACTGCTAATGGGTAAGGAGTTTCTTTGGGGGCTAATGAAAATGTTTTAAAATTGATTGTGATGGTGATTGCACAATCCTGTAAACATACTAAAATCCATTGATGTATACACTTTAAATGGGTGAATTATATGCTATGTGATTTATATTTCAATAAGGGTTTACAAATAAGAAAAGAAAACCCAGAGAACTTAACATCTTGTATGCTCTCTAGCCAGTGTGCTTTTTTCTCTGCAATGGATTCTCTGCATCAATTGATACGATAATAGGGTATTTTTTTCTTTCTACCTTTCAGAGCCTTATCTTTCTTTAATGTATAATATCTATGGTTTTGAGTGGGATAGAGAAAATTACATTTAATTCATCTTGTCCTGTTAGCAGAACTCATTTGTTTTCAAAATTACCTTTTAACTTTTATTTTTAAAATTAGCTAATTATTAAAGTTTTGTTTATTGTCTTATAAACTTTAACACATATGTAGATTGGTTAACAACTACCACAACCAGGATACAGAACAGTACTATTAACCCCAAAACTGCCGTGTTTTATTTCTTTGTAGTCATGCCCTTTCCTCATTTCTAAATTCCGACAACCACTGGTCTGTTTTCTGTTACTGTATAAATGGAATTATAAAAAGAATAAGTGATTTTTGAGAATAGTTTCTTTTATTCAGTGTAGTGCCTTTGAGATTCATTGAAGTTGGTCTGTGTATCAGTAATTTGTTTCTTTTTCTTCTGGATTAGTATTCCATTATATGGATATACATACCACAGGTTGTCTATACATTCAGTCATTAAAGGATATTTGGGTTGTTTCCATTTTTGATGATTATGAATGGAGTTTTTTAAAACATTTGTGCTCCTATTTCTCCACAACCTCTCCAGCACCTGTTGTTTCCTGACTTTCGCTTTTACACTGTTGGTGGGACTAGAAACTAGTTCAACCATTGTGGAAGTCAGTGTGGCGATTCCTCAGGGATCTAGAACTAGAAATACCCAGCCATCCCATTACTGGGTATATACCCAAAGGATTATAAATCATGCTGCTATAAAGACACATGCACACGTATGTTTACTGTGGCACTATTCACAATAGCAAAGACTTGGAACCAACCCAAATGTCCAACAATGATAGACTGGATTAAGAAAATGTGGCACATATACATCATGGAATACTATGCAGCCATAAAAAATGATGAGTTCATGTCCTTGGTAGGGACATGGATGAAGCTGGAAACCATCATTCTCAGCAAACTGTCTCAAGGACAAAAAACCAAACACCGCATGTTCTCACTCATAGGTGGGAATTGAACAATGAGAACACATGGACATAGGAAGAAGAACATCACACACCGGGGCCTGTTGTGGGGTAGGGGGAGGGGGGAGGGATAGCATTAGGAGATATACCTAATGCTAAATGACGAGTTAATGGGTGCAGCACACCTACATGGCACATGTATGCATATGTAACAAACCTGCATGTTATGCACATGTACCCTAAAACTTAAAGTATAGTAATAATAAAATTTAAAAAATAAATAAATAAAAACATTTGTGTACAGGTTTTTATGTACATAGTTTTGATTTCTCTAGAGTAAATACTTGGTATGGGATTTCTGGGTCATATGTTAAGTATATGTTTAAGTTTATAAGCAACTGCCAAACTGTGTTCCAGAGCAGTTCTACCATTTTGCATATTTACCAGCAAGGTTTAAGAGTTCTAGTTCTCCCGCAACCTCACCAGAACTTGAAGGTGTTATATTTTTAAATTTTAGGTATTGTCATAAGTATATGGCAGTACTAATTGTACTTTTAGCTTTTATTTCCATAATGGCTAATTATGGTGAATATCTTTTCATGTGCTTATTTGCACCACTATATCCTTTTTGGTCAAGTGTCTGCTTGGGTCTTTTGCCCATCTTTAAATTGGGTTATTTGTTTTCTTATTATTGATTTTTGTGGATTCTAGCTACAAGTTTTGTGTTGAATATGTGATTTGCAAATATTATTTCTCACTTGGTAGTTCATCTTTTCCTTCCTTCAGCACTGACTTTCTAAGAGCAAAGGTTTTAAAATTTGAGGAATTCCAATTTATCAATTATATCTTATTTAGATTGTGCTTCAATATCTAATAACTCTTTGCTTATGCCCATGCCATAAAGATTTTCTTACATGTCTTCTTTTTTTTTTCTTTTTGAAACAGAGTCTCACTCACTCTGTCGTCGAGGCTGGAGTGCTGTGATGCGATCTTGGCTCACTGCAATGTCCGCCTCCCTGGTTAAAGCGATTCTCCTGCCTCAACCTCCCGAGTAGCTGGGATTACAGGCACATGCCGCCATGCCCAGGTAATTTTTGTATTTTTAGTAGAATCAGGGTTTCACCATGTTGGCCAGGCTGGTCTTGAGCTGTTGACCTTATGACATCTGCCCACCTTGGCCCCCAAAATGCTGGGATTACAGGCATGAGCCAGAGTGCCCAGATCATAGATACTTTTTATCAAGTTGAGTAAATCCTTTTCTATTCCTATTTGTTGAGTGTTTTATTTAAAGTCACGAATGAGTGTTGAACTTTTCCAGTTGATTCTCTGCATCAATTGATACAATAATATGGGCTTTTTTCTTCAATCTGTTTCATATGGTGGGTTACATTTTTTATTGAACCAGTTTTGCATTCCCAAGACATATCTGATTTGCTTTTGAAGTTTTATTATTTTTATATATTGCTAAATGTAATAAAGGAGAGATGGGAGAATTGTTGGAGTGATGTGTTGATTAAGTAAAAGGGCGGGGACCGAGCCAAGATGGCCAAATAGGAACAGCTCTGGTCTACAGCTCCCAGCGTGAGTGAAACAGAAGATGGGTGATTTCTGCATTTCCATCTGAGGTACTGGGTTCATCTCACTAGGGAGTGCCAGACAGTGGGTGCAGGACAGTGGGTGCAGTGCACCGTGCATGAGCCGAAGAAGAGCGAGGCACTGCCTCACTCGGGAAGTGCAAGGGCTCAGGGAGTTCCCTTTCCTAGTCAAAGAAAGGGGTGACAGACGGCACCTGGAAAATCAGATCACTCCCACCCCAATACTGCACTTTTCCAATGAGCTTAAAAAACGGCACACCGGGAGATTATATCCCGCACATGGCTTGGAGGGTCCTACGCCCACGGAGTCTTGCTGATTGCTAGCACAGCAGTCTGAGATCAAACTGCAAGGCAGCAGCAAGGCTGGGGGAGGGGAGTCCACCTTTGCCCAGGCTTGCTTAGGTAAACAAAGGAGCCTGGAAGCTCGAACTGGGTGGAGCCCACCACAGCTCAAGGAGGCCTGCCTGCCTCTGTAGGCTCCACCTCTGGGGGCAGGGCACAGACAAACAAAAAGACAGCAGTAAACTCTGCAGACTTAAATGTCCCTGTCTGACAGCTTTGAAGAGAGCAGTGGTTCTCCCAGCACGCAGCTGGAGATCTGAGAATGGGCAGACTGCCTCCTCAAGTGGGTCCCTGACCCCTGACCCCCGAGCAGCCTAACTGGGAGGCACCCCCCAGTAGAGGCCAGACTGACACCTCACATGGCCGGGGTACTCCTCTGAGACAAAACTTCCAGAGGAACGATCAGACAGCAGCATTCCGTTCACGAAAATCCGCTGTTCTGCAGCCACTGCTGCTGGTACCCAGGGAAACAGAGTCTGGAGTGGACCTCTAGCAAACTCCAACAGACCTGCAGCTGAGGGTCCTGTCTGTTAGAAGGAAAACTAACAAACAGAAAGGACATCCACACCAGAAAACCATCTGTATGTCACCATCATCAAAGACCAAAGGTAGAGAAAACCACAAAGATGTGGAAAAAACAGAGCAGAAAAACCGGAAACTCTAAAAAGCAGAGTGCCTCTCCTCCTCCAAAGGAATGCAGCTCCTCACCAGCAACGGAACAAAGCCGGACAGAGAATGACTTTGACGAGTTGAGAGAAGAAGGCTTCAGACGATCAAACTACTTCAAGCTACAGGAGGAAATTCAAACCAAAGGCAAGGAAGTTGAAAACTTTGAAAAAAATTTAGACGAATGTATAACTAAAATAACCAATACAGAGAAGTCCTTAAAGGAGCTGATGGAGCTGAAAGCCAAGGCTCGAGAACTACGTGAAGAATGCAGAAGCCTCAGGAGCTGATGCGATCGACTGGAAGAAGGGTATCAGTGATGGAAGATGAAATGAATGAAATGAAGTGAGAAGGGAAGTTTAGAGAAAAAAGAATAAAAAGAAATGAACAAAGCCTCCAAGAAATATGGGACTATGTGAAAAGACCAAATCTACGTCTGACTGGTGTACCTGAAAGTGACGGGGAGAATGGAACCAAGTTGGAAAACACTCTGCAGGATATTATCCAGGAGAACTTCCCCAATCTAGCAAGGCAGGGCAACATTCAGATTCAGGAAATACAGAGAATGCCACAAAGATACTCCTCGAGAAGAGCAACTCCAAGAAACATAATTGTCAGATTCACCAAAGTTGAAATGAAGGAAAAGATGTTAAGGGCAGCCAGAGAGAAAGGTTGGGTTACCCATGAAGGGAAGCCCATCAGATGAACAGCGGATCTCTCAGCAGACACTCTACAAGCCAGAAGAGAGTGGGGGCCAATATTCAACATTCTTAAAGAAAAGAATTTTCAACTCAGAATTTCATATCCAGCCAAACTAAGCTTCATAAGTGAAAGAGAAATAACATCCTTTACAGACAAGCAAATGCTGAGAGATTTTGTCACCACCAGGCCTGCCCTAAAAGAGCTCCTGAAGGAAGCACTAAACATGGAAAGGAACAACTGGTACCAGCCACTGCAAAATCATGCCAAATGGTAAAGACCATCAAGGCTAGGAAGAAACTGCATCAACTAACAAGCATAATAACCAGCTAACATCATAATGACAGGATCAAATTCACACATAACAATATTAACTTTAAATGTAAATGGACTAAATGCTCCAATTAAAAGACACAGACTGGCAAATTGGATAAAGAGTCAAGACCCATCAGTGTGCTGTATTCAGGAAACCCATCTCACCTGCAGAGACACACATAGGCTCAAAATAAAAGGATGGAGGAAGATCTACCAAGCAAATGGAAAACAAAAAAAGGCAGGGGTTGCAATCCCAGTCTCCGATAAAACACACTTTAAACCAACAAAGATCAAAAGAGACAAAGAAGGCCATTACATAATGGTAAAGGGATCAATTCAACAAGAAGAGCTAACTATCCTAAATATATATGCACCCAATACAGGAGCACCAAGATTCATAAAGCAAGTCCTGAGTGACCAACAAAGAGACTTAGACTCCCACACAATAATAATGGGAGACTTTAACACCCCAGTGTCAACATTAGACAGATCAATGAGACAGAAAGTGAACAAGGATACCCAGGAATTGAACTCAGCTCTTCACCAAGCAGACCTAATAGACATCTACAGAACTCTCCACCCCAAATCAACAGAATATACATTTCTTTCAGCACCACACCACACCTATTCCAAAATTGACCACATAGTTGGAAGTAAAGCACTCCTCAGCAAATGTAAAAGAACAGAAATTATAACAAACTGTCTCTCAGACCACAGTGCAATCAAACTAGAACTCGAGATTAAGAAACTCACTCAAAACCACTCAACTACATGGAAACTGAGCAACCTGCTCCTGAATGACTACTGGGTACATAACGAAATGAAGGCAGAAATAAAGATGTTCTTTGAAAACAACGAGAACAAAGACACAACATACTAGAATCTCTGGGACACATTCAAAGCAGTGTGTAGAGGGAAATTTATAGCACTAAATGCCCACAAGAGAAAGGAGGAAAGACCAAAAATTCACACCCTAACATCACAATTAAAAGAACTAGAGAAGCAAGAGCAAACACATTCAAAAGCTAGCAGAAGGCAAGAAATAACTAAAATCAGAGCAGAACTGAAGGAAATAGAGACACAAAAAACCCTTCAAAAAATTAATTAATCCAGGAGCTGGTTTTTTGAAAGGATCAACAAAATTGATAGACTGCTGGCAAGACTAATAAAGAAGAAAAGAGAGAAGAATTAAATAGATGTAATAAAAAATGATAAAGGGGATATCACCACCGATCCCACAGAAATACAAACTACCCTCAGAGAATACTACAAACACCTCTATGCAAATAAACTAGAAAATCTAGAAGAAATGGATAAATCCCTCGACACATACACCCTCCCAAGACTAAATCAGGAAGAAGTTGACTCTCTGAATAGAACAATAACAGGCTCTGAAATTGTGGCAATAATCAATAGCTTACCAACCAAAAAGAGTCCAGGACCAGATGGATTCACAGCCGAATTCTACCAGAGGTACAAGGAGGAACTGGTACCATTCCTTCTGAAACTATTCCAATCAATAGAAAAAAAGGGAAACCTCCCTAACTCATTTTATGAGGCCAGCATCATCCTGATACCAAAGCCAGGCAGAGACACAACCAAAAAAGAGAATTTTAGACCAATATCCTTGATGAACATTGATGCAAAAATCCTCAATAAAATACTGGCAAACCGAATCCAGCAGCACATCAAAAAGCTTATCCACCATGATCAAGTGGGCTTCTTTCCTGGGATGCAAGGCTGGTTCAATATACGCAAATCAATAAATGTCATCCAGCATATAAACAGAACCAAAGACAAAAACCACATGATTATCTCAATAGATGCAGAAAAGGCCTTTGACAAAATTCAGCAGCCCTTCATGCTAAAAACTCTCAATAAATTAGGTATTGATGGGACGTATTTCAAAATAATAAGAGCTATCTATGACAAACCCACAGCCAATATCATACTGAATGGGCAAAAACTGGAAGCATTCCCTTTGAAAACTGGCACAAGACAGGGATGCCCTCTCTCACCACTCCTATTCAACATAGTGTTGGAAGTTCTGGCCAGGGCAATTAGGCAGGAGAAGGAAATAAAGGGCATTCAATTAGGAAAAGAGGAAGTCAAATTATCCCTGTTTGCAGATGACATGATTTTATATCTAGAAAACCCCATCGTCTCAGCCCAAAATCTCCTTAAGCTGATAAGCAACTTCAGCAAAGTCTCAGGATACAAAATCAATGTGCAAAAATCACAAGCATTCTTATACACCAATAACAGACAGAGAGCCAAATCATGGGTGAACTCCCATTCACAATTGCTTCAAAGAGAATAAAATACCTAGGAATCCAACTTACAAGGGATGTGAAGGACCTCTTCAAGGAGAACTACAAACCACTGCTCAATGAAATAAAAGAGGCTACAAACAAATGGAAGAACATTCCATGCTCATGGGTAGGAAGAATCAATATCGTGAAAATGGCCATACTGCCCAAGGTAATTTATAGATTCAATGCCATCCCCATCAAGCTACCATGACTTTCTTCACAGAATTGAATCTAGAATCTTAAAAAGCAATCTTTAATATTCTGCCAGTCTTTGCACATAAACTTGTACATGCTTCTTTTAGCCTGAAAAGCATACTATCATTGAAATATATTTTATACATGATTCCCATATAATTGGGTCCATACTCAATTATGACTCAATTATGTCCGGACCCTTCATGAAGAAAAAGAAAAAAAGGTTTATACTATCTCTGCAACCCCAGCATTGGGAAGTATTGTAGAGATTTAATAAATACACAGAATCAATCTTAAAGCTTTTCCTGTTTTTTAAGCATAGTACAATATCATCATTGGAACACAGTAAAAGATCATTGTATAAGGAGAGAATCATAAGTAAATCTCAAATCCTTAAAGTCCCAGTCAGGAATTTCAGATAAATAAGGGAAGGTGTCAGTAAATCCCTGGAGCATAACAGTCCAGCTATATCATTGGTTTTCTCATAAGAAGTCAAATAAATATAAACTATCTGAATCCAGTGGGATGCTAAAAAGGCAGAACATAACTTTGCTACAATGAAGTAGGTGGCTTCTTGCAGTATTTAGGACAAAATATTTAGATTTGGGACTGACCACTGGGAAACAAAGAATCACAATCTTATTTTTAGACTTAAGGTCTTACACAAATCAATATCCACTCCCATGAGTCTTTTTAACAGGCAACATTGGAATATTACCTGGACTAGTGTGAGAAGTAACTAGTCATCATTTCATAAAACCTTCCACAAAAGGGGCTCAATCCTTCTTTAGTTTTAGGTTTAGAAGGTATCAAACAACTTTAGGGAAGAATTTCAAGAAGTCCTTTTCTACATTAGAAGTTTAATCCCTAGAATTCTTCTCACATCTGTAGAACTGCTGGAGAATAAGGAACCTCACATAAATCCTCAAACCCAGATTTGGTCAAGCTTATAAGGATAGTCAACTTGATATCTAACTGCACCATTAAAGAATCATGCATGGAAGAATAATGAGGTATTTTGAGAAGTAGTTCACCTGAGGAGCATTTGATTTGGCAATACATTTACATAAAAGATCTCTTTCAATAATTGGTGTCAGGGAGAAGAAATACATGTTGACTAATGAGGAGGCTGAGAGTTACAGTCACAGGTTGAGGTATTGGGAATAGTTTGAGGATTGTTTGAAATTCCTGTCACCAGAATAGTTTTATGACTCCAAGGAAAATGAGTTGCAATTGTAATGGGATTTATAGTCAACAGAGTAGTGCCCATATCTACCAAAAAAGTTTGTTTTTGTTTTTCTATTATTAAAGATAGTTCTCCTTGTGATTTAAGGGAATCCCCCGCAGAGCAGCTTCATATAATAATTCTTTAGAAAAAAGAGGGTTGGTAGTTCATTTTTCTTTTTAGTTAAGATGGGACAGTTATTTTTTCCAGTGTCCCATTTATTTATAGTATCAGCAAGTGTCTTTGTTAAAGGGAAAATATTTATTGTCCCTTGTGGATGAGAAATATCTATTTAAATGCTTTACTTATAATTGTATAAGGTTAGTTTGGGGTTTTACTTTCTCATTTGATATTTAAAGCCATTTAAAAATGTTTAGCCAAATGCTGAAGTTCAATTAGTGACATGGTTTGCCAGGCAATTTTTTTTATGTACCATATCTGCAATTTCTGGCTTTAATTTATCAAAGAAAGTGGAAAGAGTATTAGAAATGTCAACATTGGGGGTGAACCCTGAAAATTTTTTTAAGAATGCTTATTAGTCTGTCTTTGAGTATCTTATGGATCTATTCTGTCAAGGTCTGGTTTATTTTAGTGGGAAAGAGTTATGGTATAGTTTTCAAAAGGTTATGGCCTATTTGCTGTGCTTAAGGTGTCCTGATTGTTTTTGAAGTCACTTTCTAGGTCTTTCCAATTGGCCTTTTCTAACTAAGGTTTTGTATTTCCTGGCCCCACCAAAAGGTGAATTTGTTGGTAGAGGTCCATGAGGCCCGTGTTGTATGTGCCCATAATAAGTTTGAATACTTTATTGAATTTTCTCTTTTTATTTTGGAATTAGGGATGTATGTAACTATTGCAGTGAGTGTGACCCAGGCTTAAAATCTGTGTCCCGCTCACTGCCGGGATCTTTCTTCTGTTGAGGTTGCAATTTTAAGGGATTTTGAGGAAGAGGTAGTGCAACTTATTTAGAAAGAGAAGGAGACAAAAGGAAGAACTCCATGAAAGTTAAATAAGGTTCTGATGGTGAAGGCAAAGGAGGTAGAGGGAGAATGGGACACAGATAGGAAGAATTGAAATGGGATTTTAGTTGATCCACAAGGCAAATGGTCTTAGGTTGCTTATATTTTGCATTAGTTTTAGCTAGATGATCTTTTAGAAAGGCAATTTTTAGTGCAAATTTTATTCAAATCCCTCTTCATACCAATGAAAGAAAGCAAACCATTGGACAGTCAGCATTTCAATTCTCTTTTGTTCAAAGGCACCTCTCAAATGAACAAGTTTGTCTATATCAAAAGGTTCCCAAGCATCCACTGTAATTTCAAACTGAAATTGTGCCAGTTAGGTGTACACAGGAGTTCGTGTTGTACCAAGAAAAAATAAAGGAAACTGTCCATTCTGGAGGAGATACAGTTTTAGATTGAAAAGATCCTATGAGAACCTCAATATGCCTGTAAGAATGGTGGTCACGTGTCCTTGTATATCTAGATCTTAGTCAAAGATCATTACTCATCAGGGATGAGACAAACCTTCTGATTTCATGCAGATGAAACTCAAACAAAAGCAGTTCACAAAGACAAAAAAAAAGAATAAGGGAAAAGTCCTTATAAGGTTTGAAATGTTGATTATAGCAAAGTTTGTCCAAAAAATACCAGTCTAAAAAGAAATCTGAACTTCTCATCCCCCAAGCCTAGTTTGAGGATAAACTTATCAGGTCTCTTCCCATTATCTCCCCAAAAATGGTTCTTCTTGTAGAAAAACAAGATTCAAGACAATAGACAAGCAGACAAACAAGACAAGGCATTTGGCAAGCAAGCTGTAGATGCTAGAGAACAATGTCATCAAAGAACAACACAAATCTAATCAGAAAACCAAAATCCCAAAGGGGGGCCTACTTTTAAGAAAACAAAATAAACACAACATTGAAGACCTCCAACAAAATACCAGAGCTCAATTTATTTATTTATTTTTGAGACGGAGTCTCATTCTGTTGCCCAGGCTGGAGTGCAGTGGCCTGAGCAGAGCTCAATTTAGTATAAACGTATCTTCTAATCAAAAGTAGGTGGCACATTGAGCACATAAAGAAAGAAGGGGTCTCAAATGTCATGGAATTAAGCATTCTAGTCCAATGCAGTGAGGGTCTCAGCTGAATCTTTGTGAACCTCTAATTCTGTCAATGCCACCCAGCCAATTACACATTGGTAGCTGAAAATCTTTGGTTTATTTTTCATTGCAAGGAAGGAGAACACACATCATAGGGAATCATGGAATGTCTCAACAATTGGATGTTAGAATTATAGGATTTGGGCTTTGGTTGGCTGATTTAGGGAAAGGGTCTAAGGAAGGGTGGGTTCATTCTAGATTGGATGTTGTCATAAAGTAAGGGCAATCCTATTATTTACTATCTCAACAAATCTTATCTAGATACTAGAATGGAAATAAAGTTTTAATTAATAAAGAAGTAGCAGCCAGTTATTTTGGCCAAGGGACAAAGATGTTCAGTATTTTGCAGGTGGCAAAGGGAACTTGCTTATCTCTATGCTTAGAAAAAAAATTATGAAGTGACCTTTCTTTGTCTCATTTTTATCTTGGTCTCAGAATAAACTTATCCGAGGTGGCATTCTGTGATATCGTGGATATCTAACAAGAGAATAATATCGTCTACCTGTGAGTGTCAGGCCAGTTTCCGAATATTAGGAACTGCCCTTTTATTTCTTTCTCAAACCTAAATCTGAGAGTGGAGCAGACATTGAAAAACCCCTGTAGCAAATCAGCCCCATATTAAACACAAGGTAAAGCTAGAGGAAATAGAATCCTGTGGTGCTCTGAGGGTAACTACAACAACAGCAAAACCCAAACCCAGTTTAAGTCCTAACTAAACTGACTAAAGGCCTAGAGGAAAAGTAAGTATGCTCATTTCCAGGCATAAAAAATGTTTACATCAACCTCTATTATCCTATACAAGATGTCTAGCTTTCAACAGAAATGTATGAGTCATACAAAGAAGCAAGAAAAAAAATACTGGCAAGAGATAAAGCAAGAATCAGTAGCAGACTCAGATATGGCACAGATGTTGGACCTATCCAATAGGAAATATAGGTAGTTATAATAAATATATTAAAGGCTTCATTGGTAAATGTGAACAATATGCATGATTCCACAGGGGATTTCAGCAGAAAAGATAAAGCTATTAGAAAGAACCAAGTGGAAATGCTAGGAATGAAAAACATGCTAACAGAGATAAATAATGCTTTTGGCAAGCTCACCTGAAAACATAATATAGCCAGGGAAAGAATCAGTGAACTTGAAGACAAATTAATAGAAATTAACCAACTTAAACACAAAGAAAGGAGTGGGGGGAAAAAATCCAAGAATCAAAAAACAATATCAAACAATGTGTGCCTGTGTGCATTAGAATTCCAAAAGGGAGAGAATAAGGCAGAAAATAATATTTGAAAGACAATTGGTGAAAATTTTCCAAAATTAATAAGACACCAAACCACAGATCCAATAATGTCAGAGAACACAAAGAACAATAAATACTAAAATAAAATAAAACAAACAAAAATCACCTATACATATCAAACTGCTAAAAATCAAACAGAGAACAATCTTTAAGGCAGCCAGAAAATATGTACATTTTACATACAGAGGAAAAAAAGAATTACATCACGTTTCTCATTAGAAACTCTGCAAGTCAGAGGACAATTGAGGGATATTTTTAATGTGCTGAAAGAAAAAACTACCCAGAATTCCATACTCAGCAAAATAGATCTTTCAAAAATGGGAAAAAAAATGGACAGGGGATCAACTTCAGCATGAAGAGCTCCATGGGACATATTCCCCACTGAAACTGGTGAAAAAAATTAAGAACAACCATTTAAAGCCCTGAAAATGGTTGTAAAAGAATACAGTAAATGAAGAAGAAACTGCAAGAAACATTTTTTAATTTGGTAAGAAAAGTCAAGTCTGTGGAATTTGAACCAAGACTGCTCCCTCCCTGTCTTTTCTAGCTCAGTAAGATGGAAACTCCACTTCCAACTTATCTTATAAGGCCAGAACTACCCTGATACTAAAACTAGACATAAGAATTATAAAAGCATAATAAAACAGGCTAATATTCTTCATAAACAAAGACTCAAATTCTCAACAGAATATGAGCAAATCAAATTTAACAATATAAAAAAGGATAATGCATCATGACCAGTTGGGGTTTATACTGAGAATGAGAGTCATTCATCGTTTGAAATTCAATAATGTTATTCACCATATCAACAGACTAATGATAAAAAAAAATGCTCATCTCAGTAGATGTATGTGGTAGGCAGAGGATGTCTCCAAAGATTTCTGGCACCACCATCACAAGTGTACAAGTTGGTAAATTCCCTGAAATAGTGAATTTGATGGCTTTTACTCCCATGCTTAGGTTATGTTATATGGCACAGTTGACTAATAAAAGAGTATTCAAGTGGGCCTGATCTAATCACAAGAGTCCTTTAAAAGCAGAGCATTTTCTCTGGCTGGTCAAAGAAATCAGAGATTCAAAGCATAAGAGGATTTGACACTTTATTGCGGGCTTGAAGATAGACAAGGGCACATGGAAAGGATGTCAGTGGCCTCTAGGAGCTGAGAGCAACCCCGAGCCACCGGACAGCAAGAAAATAGGGATCTCAGTCCTACCACCACAAGGAATTGAAATCTGCCAGCAACAAGAAAGAGCTTGGAAGTGAACTTTCCCCCAGAACTTTCAGATGAAAAGTGAGCTGGCTAACAATTTGATTGCAGTCTTGTAAGATTCTGAGCAGAGAACCCAGCTGCAATGTGGCAGACTTCTGACCTACAGAATGGCTAACTAATAAATAGGTGTTGTTTTATGATGCTAAGACTGTGGTAATTTATTATGCAGCAATCAAAGACTAATATAATATAGAAATATTATTCTTCAAAATTTGACCAGTCATGATTTAAAAAAAAAAACCCCTTCAGCAAATAGGAATAGAGGAAAACTACTTCAATTTGATGAAGATCAACTACCAAAAAAACACCCATTAGAGTAACATCATACTTGATGCTGAAAGAATACTTCTTCCATAGACTTGGACAAATCCCTAACTCAAAAAATAAATTTCAAAAATATATTCTAAGGAAATAACAAAGCAAGGATGCCCATTCTCAGCACTCCTATTTAACATTGTACTTGCTAGCGCAATAAGGAAAGAAAAGGAAATGAAACGCATAAAGATGAAAAGGAATAATAAAATTGCCACTATTTGCCAATGATGTAATTGTCTACATATAAAATCCAAAAGACACTACTAAAGAAAAACCCCTAAAACTCCTAAAACAAATAAATAAGTTTTGCATAGTCACTAGATACAAACTCAATCTACAAAAAACAGTTGTATTTTGATTTGCTAACAAGGAAAAATGGAAATATATTAAAAACAATTGAAATCTTAAAAAATTACTATTTAAGATGTCTGGTGTAAAAAAAGGAAAATAAGAGAAATGCAGAATGATGGTGTAAAATAAATAAATAAATAAAATTTTTAAAAAAGGATGTCACCAAGAAGGTGAAGTAAGAGATACCAGTTTTCATTCCATCATACACACGAAAAAAAAACATCAAATATACACAGCTACCCATGAACAGAAATACACCTGACAGGATTCAAGGGCCCATTTAAGTATCTTCAGGAACACAGTGGAGCAAAATAAAACAGAGAATATATATACACACACACACACACACACACGCACACACACACACACAGGATAGCAGGTGAGATCAGCATACCCGAAATGAAAGGAGTTGGCTAGGAACAAAGATAAAAGACAGAGGCTATTGGGATCAGCCACACAGCAGGAACCATTATGGTTCCCCAGTGACCCGCTCCACAGAGAACACCAGCATCTTTGGTCAATTAGGTAATCAATGGCCATTCCATTGGGAAACCCAGAAAGGAAGAAATAGCTGCACACTCCTGCTCCTCAAGAAGCAGTTGCCAGTGTGGCACTCTAGGGATGGAGCTGCCACCTCTCCCAACCCCATGCAGGACCCTAATCCCTGAGCCATAGCCACTCTGCAAGTACCCACACTCCAGACACAATCTCTGTGGCTGCACTGTACCTGCCATACCTTGGACATTGGAGCCATGGCCATAAAAAGCTACTTCACACCCCAGGCCCCAGATCCAAAGTTTCTCTGCGTGTGACTGCACTATAGATACCAGTTCAGTTGCCATTAAGAGCCTGCACATTGGACCCAGGCTCCAAGGCTATGTTGCATGCAACCCCAAGTCACAAATCAGAGCCATGAGTATAGCAAACTAGCTCACACCCTAGGTCCTAGAGCTAAGGACTCCCTGTGCCTCACTCCAGATGCCACCTCAGCCACCATAGAGAGCAAGACCTCACCCTGACCCTGAAGTCACTGTAGTTCTATGCATGCCCATGCTCTAGTTCCCAGCTCCCTGACTGCTTTACAAGCACCTACATATAGCATAACATTACCAACTCACCAAGGGTATCTGCACCCTAGGCACCACTGACACTACCACCATGACCCCAGAGCTATAGTCCCTTCCATACGTGCCTGTGCTTCAGACCTAGGCTCCATGGCCACTCTACAAGCACTACTCATCAGATACCAGTGCTTCCACTACTAGGAGCAAGCCCACAGGCTGCATCCAGTGTCAGTGAGTAACTCACTCAGCCACAACCTCACAGTAGGAGCAAGAGATCAAGAAGACCCTAGAACTTATTGTCACTGAAGTTCTCAACAGTCCTCACTGCTACTGTAAACATCCGGAGGTTGATGAGTGAAGACCCTGCACTATACCTGCCATGCCTCAGACACTGGAGCCATTGCCATATGAGCTTTGTCAACACTAACCTCAGCTTACAGAGTTGCACAAAGACTGCATGGAGGTACATCTTCACTAATACCAGAACTACTGTACCTCACCCAACAAGTGGCTTCATACACCCCACCATAGGAGAAGGTCTTTCTACAGTGAAACTAGCCCATAATGTCTAGAAGAGGTGACTGCTCCACCAAAAGCACAAAAATCAGTGTAAGCTGACAAGAAACACAAAAAATAAAGGAGACATATAACCACCAAAAGAACACAATAATTCCCAGTGGCTGCCCATAAAGAAATGGAGATCTATATGCTGCCTGAAAAAAAAAATTGAAAATAGTTGTTTTAAGGAAGCATAGCAACTTAAGGAAAATATAGGGGGAAAAATTCAATGAAACCAGGAAAACAATAAATTTTAAAACTAAAAATTTAACAGAAAGATTTAATCAGTTAATCATCTCAGATTTTAAAAAAACACAGAAATTCTACAGTTGAAGAATACAATGAATAAAATAAAAACTACAATAGAGAATATCAACAGCAAAACTGATCAAGCAGAAAAAAGAATCTGTGAACTCAAAGACAGGTTATTTGAAATTACCCAGTCATAGAGAAAAATAAAAAATGAAAACAAATAAAGAAAGCCTATGGGATTTATGGGGCAGCATCAATAGAACTAATTTTAAAATTATGGACATTAAAAAGAAGGAGAAGAGAAAAAGGGAGGGATAGGAAGTTTGTTTTAATAAACAATAGTGGAAAAATTCCCAATTGGGGGAAAGATACAAATATTCAGGTACAGAAAGCTCAAAAGTCTGCAATCAGATTCAATCCAAATAAGACTGCACAAAGACATATGCTTGAACAGCCAAAAATCAAAGACAGAGCATCGTGAAATCAGCTAAAGAAAAGGATATCACATATAAGAGAATTTCAGTTGCACTATCAGTGTATTTCTCTGAAGAAAGCTGACAGGCCAGGAGAGAGTGGAATGATATATTCAAAGTGCTGAAGTCAGAAAAAAAAGACAAAACCTGTCAATTGGCCAGGCACAGTGGTTCATGCCTGTAATGCCAGCACTTTGGGAGGTGAAGGAGGGAGGATCACTTAAGGCCAGAAATCTGACACCAGCCTTGTCAACATAGCTCCCTATGACCCTATCGCCACAAAAAAATAAAATAAAATAAAAATAAAAATAAAAAAAGCAAAAGTAAAAAAATCAGCCAATAAAAAATACTGTACTCAGGCTAGATGTGGTGGCTTATGCCTGTAATCCCAGCACATTGGGAGACTGAGGCAGGTTAAGATTATTTGAGGTCAGGAGTTCGACACCAGCCTGGCCAACATGGTGAAACCCTGTCTCTACTAAAAATACAAAAATTAGCCGGGAATGGTGGTGCACGCTTGTAGTCCCAGCTACTCGGGGGGCTGAAACAGGAGAATTGCTTGAACCTGGGAAGTGGAGGTTGCAGTGAGCCGAGATAGCACCACTGCACTCCAGCCTGGGTGAGAGAGTGAGACTGTCTCAAAAAATAAAATAATCATAATAATAAAATAAATACTGTACTCAGTAAAGTTGTTCTTCAAAACATAAGGTATACTTTCCCAAACAAACAAAAGCTGAGGAAGTTCATCACCACCAAGCTTGTCTTACTAGAAATGCTAAAGGGAGTTCTTCAAGCTAAAAAGAATGGATGCTAATTAGCAACATGAAAACATATGAAAATATAAAACTCACTAGTAAAAGTAACTACAGTAAAATTTAGACCAGTCTAATATTATAATGGTGGTGAGTAAATTACTTATAACTCTAGCATAAAGTTTAAAAGACAAAAGTGTTAAAAATAATAATAGCACAATAATATGTTAAGAGACACACAATGTGAAAGTATGTAAATCATGGCATCAAAAATATAAGTTGTGAGGGTATGGAGTAAAAGTGTAGAGCTTTCACATGCAATTGAACTGAAGTTTTTATCAGCTTAAAATAGCCTGTTATAATTATGTTTTATGCAAACTTCATGGTAATCACAAAGCGAAAATCTATAGTAGATACACAAAAGATAAAAAGTAAAGAATCAAAGCAAACTAGAAGAGAAAATCAACTAATCACAAAAGAAGAACGCAAGAGAGGATGAAAGGAACAAAGGAAATACAAAACAATGAGAAAACAACAAAATGGCAATAGTAAGTCCTTACCTGTCAATTATTATCATGTATGTAAATGGGTTAAGTGCTCCAACCAAAAGATATACAGAGGCTGAAAATTTTTAAGAAATACAACAGCCCAATAAGTGTGCCTCCAACAGACTCACTTCAGCTTCAAAAATAGACAAGACTGAAAGTGAAGGGATGGAAAAAGTCATTCTGTGCAAATGGAGACCAAAAGACAACAGGGGTAGCTACACTTACATCAGATAAAATAAACTTTAAGTAAAAAACTGTAAAAAGGGACAAACAAGGTAGTTATATAATGATAAAGAGGGGTCAATTCATCAAGAAGCCATAACAATTTTAAATACACATACACCCAACATCAGAGCACATAAATATATAAAGCAAATATTAATAGATATAAAGGGAAAAATAGACTGCAACACTATAATAGTAGGGGCAATATCACAAAGAAGATGAGAAGAAAATACTGGAGGACTTCAATTCCTCACTTTAAACAATGGACATATTATCAAGACAGAAAACCAATAAGGAAACATTGGACTTGATCTAAACATTAGACAAAATGGACCTAACAGACATATACAGAACATTCCATCTAACAATAATAGACACACATTCCTCTCAAGGACAAACAGAACATTCCCGGATAAATCACAAGTTAGGCCAAAAAAGTCTTAACAAATTTAAGAATATTGAAACCATATCCAGTAACTTTTCAATCCACAACAGAAATCAATATGAAACTAGAAACTATAAATCAATAATGATAATAATTGTGGAAAATGCACAGGTATATGGAAATTAAACAACATACTCCATAACAACCAATATGTCAAAGGGAAATTAAAGTGAAATTTTAAAATATCTTGACAAGTGAAAATGTACATGCAACATACCAAAACAAATGGAATGCAGCAAAAGTAATTCTAAGAAGGAAGTTTATAGCAATAAATGTCTACATAAAAAAAGAAGAAAGAACCCAAATAAACAACCTAAAATTATATCTCAAGAAACTAGAAAAAGAAGAACAAACTAAGCCAAAATTAGTAGAAGAAAGGAAATAATAAAGATCAGGGCAGAAATAAATGAAATAGAGGCTAAGAAAACAATAGAAAAGATCAACAAAACTAAAAGTTGGTTTTTTGAAAAAGATAAACAAAATTGACAAACCTTTGGTGAGACTAAGGAAAACAGAAAGAAAAGTTAAATAAATAAAATCAGAAATGAAAGAGACAATATTACAACTGAAACCACAGAAATACAAAGGATTATGAGACTATTATAAATAATTATATGACAGTACACTGGAAAATTTAAAAGAAATTGATAAATTCCTAAACGAATACAATCTATCAAGACAGAATCAAGAAGAAATAAAATATCTGAATACACCAATAATAAGGCAATTGAATCAGTAATAAAAAATCTCCAATCAAAGAAGAGCCCATGATCCGATGGCTCCACAGCTGAATTCTAACAAACATGTAAAGAATAATTCTTCCCACTTCCAAAAAAATTGAAGAGGAGGGCATACTTCCAAAATCATTTTGCAAAGTCAGCATTACTCTGATACCAAAACCAGACAAGGACACCACGAAAAAATTACAGACTAATATCCCTGATGAACATAGATGGAAAAATTCTTAAGAAAATACTAGAAACAAAATTCAACAGCACATTAACAAAATCATTCACTATGATCAAATGGGATTTATCCTAAGAATGCAAAGATGGTTCAGCATATGCAAATCACTAAATGTGATATACCACATTAATAGAATGAAAGACAAAAACCATATGATCATCTCAATAGATGCAGAAAAAGCATTTTACAAAATTCAACATCCTTTCATGATTAAAACTCTCAATAAATTAGGTATGGAAAGAATGCACCGCAACACAATAAAGGTCACATATGACAAGTCCACAGCTAAGATCATATTCAATAGTGAAAAGTGGAGAGCTTTGCCTCTAAAATCAGGAACAAAATAAGGATGCCCACCCTCACCACTCCTATTCAACATAGTACCAGAAGTCCTAGTCATAGCAACTAGGCTAGAGTAAGAAATAAAAGGTATCCAAGTTGGAAAGGAAGAAGTTAAATTGTCCCTGGTGGCAGACAACATGATCTTATATACAGAATACTCTAAAGTATTCACAAAAAAAATCTTAAAACAAATAAGTAAATTCAGTAAAGTTGCAGGATACAAAATCAACATACAAAAATCAGTAGCACTTCTATATACTAACAACAAACTCTCTGAAAAACAAATTTTTAAAAATCCCATGTATGATAGCATCAAAAAATAATTTATACCTAAAACACTTAGTTATAAACTTAATCAAGAAAGTGAAATACCTGTACACTTGAAAACTTTACAGCATTGATTTAAAAAATGAAGAAAAATAAATAAAACAGTAGCCTGTGTTCTTGGGTTGTAAGAATTAATATTGTTTAAATGTCTACATTATCCAAACTGACCTACAGATTCAATGCAATCCCTATCAAAGTTCCAATGACAGTTTTAATACAAATAGGAAAAACAACACTAAAATTCATATGGAACCACAAAAGACCTAAAATATCCAAAGAATTATTGAACAAAATGAACAAAGTTAGAGGCATCCCACCACTTGATCTCAAAATCTACTACAAAGATATAGTAATCAAAACAACATGTTACTGGCACAGAAACAGAAACGTAGACAAAGGGAAAGAATAGATAGCCCAAAAATAAACCATGCTTTTATATGGTGCTATGGTTTGACTATGGTGTGTCCCCACCAAAATTCATGTAAAGGCTAGGTCCCAATATAATGGTGTTGAGAGATAGTGGGACCTTTAAGAGGCATTTGAGATGTGAAGGATCTGCCCTCTCGTAGGGATTAATACAGTCTCCAGGGAGTAAGTGAGTTTTCACACTTGAGTGACTAGATTGGTTGCCATAAGAGGATTGTTATAAAATGAGGTTGCCTCTCATGTTTGGTTTCGTTTTGCACATGCCCACTTCCCCTTCTGCTACTCCACCATGTTGTGATGCAGTATGGGACCCTCACCAGAAGTTGAGCAGATGCCAGAACCATGCTCTTGGACTTTTTAATCACCAGAATTCTCTTCAATAAGTAGTGTTAAGAAAACTGGATATCCACTTGCAGAAGAATAAAATTAGACCCTTGTCTCCCACTATATACACAAGCAATTCAAAATTGATTAATGACTTAAATGTTAGACCTGAAATTATAAAACTACTAGAAAATACAAAGAAAAAGCTTCATGACATTGGTCTGGGCAATGATGTTTTAGATATGACCACAAAGCACAGACAACAAAAGTGAAAATAGACAAATGGGATTATGTCAAACTAGAAAGCTTCTACACAAAAAGGGAACAAACAAAAGATGAAGAGACTTGCTAGCGGTCTATCAATTTTGTTGATCTTTTCAAAAAACCAACTCCTGGATTCATTGATTTTTTGAAGGGTTTTTTGTGTCTCTATCTCCTTCAGTTCTGCTCCGATCTTAGTTATTTCTTGCCTTCTGCTAGCTTTTGAATGTGTTTGCTCTTGCTTTTCTAGTTCTTTTAATTGTGATGTTAGGCTGTCAATTTTAGATCCTTCCTGCTTTCCTTGTGGGCATTTAGTACTATAAATTTCCCTCTACACACTGCTTTAAATGTGTCCCAGAGATTCTGGTATGTTGTGTCTTTGCTCCCATTGGTTTCAAAGATCATCTTTATTTCTGCCTTCATTTCATTATGTACCCAGTAATCACTCAGGAGCAGGTTGTTCAGTTTCCATGTAGGTGAGCAGTTTTGAGTGAGTTTCTTTTTTTTTTTTTTTTTTTTTTTTTTTTTTTTTGAGACGGAGTCTCGCTGTGTCTCCCAGGTTGGAGTGCAGTGGCGTGATCTCGGCTCACTGCAAGCTCCGCCTCCCAGGTTCATGCCATTCTCCTGCCTCAGCCTCCCAAGTAGCTGGGACTACAGGCGCCCGCCAACACGCCCGGCTAATTTTTTGTATTTTTAGTAGAAACGGGGTTTCACCGTGTTAGCCAAGATGGTCTCGATCTCCTGACCTCGTGATCCGCCCGTCTCGGCCTCCCAATTGAGTGAGTTTCTTAATCCTGAGTTCTAGTTTGATTGCACTGTGGTCTGAGAGACAGTTTGTTATAATTTCTGTTCTTTTACATTTGCTGAGGAGTGCTTTACTTTGAACTATGTGGTCAATTTTGGAATAAGTGCAGTGTGGTGCTGAGAAGAATGTATATTCTGTTGATTTGAGGTGGAGAGTTCTGTAGATGTCTATTAGGTCCACTTGGTGCAGAGCTCAGTTCAATTCCTGGATATCCTTTTTAACTTTCTGTCTCGTTGATCTGTCCAATGTTGACAGTGGGGTGTTAAAGTCTCCCATTATTATTGTGTGGGAGTCCAAGTCTCCTTGGAGGTCTCTAAGGACTTGCTTTATGAAATTGGGTGCTCCTGTATTGGGTGCATATATATTTAGGATAGTTAGTGCTTCTTGTGAATTGATCCCTTACCATTATGTAATAGCCTTCTTTGTCTCTTTTGATCTTTGTTGGTTTAAAGTCTGTTTTATCAGAGACTAGGATTGCAACCCCTGCCTTTTTTTGTTTTCCATTTGCTTGGTAGATCTTCCTCCATCCCTTTATTTTGAGCCTATGTGTGTCTCTGCACTTGAGATGGGTTTCCTGAATACAGCACACTGATGGGTCTTGACTCTTTATCCAATTTGCCTGTCTGTGTCTTTTAATTGGCACACTTAGCCCATTTACATTTAAGTTTCATATTGTTATGTGTGAATTTGATCCTGTCATTATGATGTTAGCTGGTTATTTTGCTCGTTAGTTGATGCAGTTTCTTCCTAGCCTTGATGGTCTTTACAATTTGGCATGGTTTTGCAGTGGCTGGTACTGGTTGTTCCTTTCCATGGTTAGTGCTTCCTTCAGTAGTTTTTTAGGGCAGGCCTGGTGGTGACAAAACCTCTCAGCATTTGCTTGTCTGTAAAGGATTTTATTTCTCCTTCACTTATGAAGCTTAGTTTGGCTGGATATGAAATTCTGGGTTGAAAATTCTTTTCTTTAAGAATGTGGAATGTTGGCCCCCACTCTCTTCTGGCTTGTAGAGTTTCTGCCAAGAGATCAGCTGTTAGTCTGATGGGCTTCCCTTTGTGGATAACCCGACCTTTCTCTCTGGCTGCCCTTAACATTTTTTCCTTCATTTCAACTTTGGTGAATCTGACAATTATGTGTCTTGGAGTTTCTCTTCTTGAGGAGTATCTTTTGGCATTCTCTGTATTTCCTGAACTTGAATGTTGGCCTGTCTTGCTAGATTGGGGAAGTTCTCCTGGATAATATCCTGCAGAGTGTTTTCCAACTTGGTTCCATTCTCCCTGTCACTTTCAGGTACACCAATCAAATGTAGATTTGGTCTTTTCACGTAGTCCCATGTTTCTTGGAGGCTTTGTTTGTTTCTTTTTATTCCTTTTTCTCTAAACTTCTCACTTCATTTCATTCATTTGATCTTCCATCACTGATACACTTTCTTCCAGTTGATGGAATCGGCTACTGAGGCTTGTGCATTCGTCATGTAGTTCTTGTGCCTTGGTTTTCAGCTCCATCAGGTCCTTTAAGGACTTCTCTGCAGTGATTATTCTCGTCAGCCATTCATCTAATTTTTTTAAGGTTTTTAACTTCTTTGCCATGGGTTCGAATAATAAAGAAGAAAAGAGAAGAATCAAATAGGCGCAATAAAAAATGATAAAGGGGATATCACCACTTATCCCACAGAAATACAAACTACCATCAGAGAATACTATAAACACCTCTATGCAAATAAACTAGAAAATCTAGAAGAAGTGAATAAATTCCTCAACACATACACCCTCCCAAGATTAAACGAGGAAAAAGTCAAATCCCTGACAAGACCAATAAAAAGTTCTGAAATTGAGGCAACAATTAATAGCCTACCAACAAAAAAAGTCCAGGACAAGACAAATTTATAGTCGAATTCTACGAGAGGTACAAAGAGGAGCTGGTACCATTCCTTCTGAAAGTATTCCAAACAGTAGAAAAAGAAGGAATCCTCACTAACTCATTTTATGAGGCCAGCATCATCCCACTACCAAAACCTGGCAGAGACACAACAAAAAAAGAAAATTTTGGACCAATATATCTGATGAATGTCGATGCAAAGATCCTCAATAAAATACTGGCAAACCGAATCCAGCAGCACATCAAAAAGCTTATCCACCATGATCAAGTGGGTTTCAACCCTGCAAAGCAAGGCTAGTTCAACATATGCATATCAATAAACATAATCCAGCATATAAACAGAACCAATGACAAAAACCATGTGATTATCTCAATAGATGCAGAAAGGGCCTTTGACAAAATTCAACAGCCCTTCATGTTAAAAACTCTCACTAAATTAGGTATTGATGGGATGTATCTCAAAATAATAAGAGCTATCTATGACAAACCCACAGCCAATATCATACTGAATGGGCAAAAACTGGAAGCATTCCCTTTGAAAACGGGCACAAAACAGGGATGCTCTCTCTCACCACTCCTATTCAACACAGAGTTGGAAGTTTTTGCCAGGGCAATCAGGCAGGAGAAGGAAATAAAGGGCATTCAATTAGGAAAAGAGGAAGTCAAATTGTCCCTGTTTGCAGATGACATGATTTTATATCTAGAAAACCCCATCGTCTCAGCCCAAAATCTCCTTAAGCTGATAAGCAACTTCAGCAAAGTCTCAGGATACAAAATCAATGTGCAAAAATCACAAGCACTCTTATACGCCAATAACACACAAACAGACAGTCAAACCCGGAGTGAACTCCCATTCACAATTGCTTCAAAGAGAATAAAACACCTAGGAATCCAACTTACAAGGGATGTGAAGGACCTCTTCAAAGAGAACTGCAAACCACTGCTCAATGAAATAAAAGAGGATACAAACAAATGGAAGAACATTCCATGCTCATGGGCAGGAAGAATCAATATCGTGAAAATGGCCAAATTACCCAAAGTATTTTATAGATTCAATGCCATCCCCATCAAGCTACCAATGACTTTCTTCACAGAATTGGAAAAAACTACTTTAAAATTCATACAGAACCAAAAAAGAGCACGCATTGCCAAGTCAATCCTAAGCCAAAAGAACAAAGTTGGAGACATCACGCTACCTGACTTCAAACTAAACTACAAGGCTACAGTAATCAAAACAGCATGGTACTGGTACCAAAACAGAGATATAGACCAATGGAACAGAACAGAGCCTTCAGAAATAATGCTGCATATCTACAACCATCTGATCTTTGACAAACCTGAGAAAAACAAGCAATGGGGAAAGGATTCCCTATTTAATAAACGGTGCTGGGAAAACTGGCTAGCCATATGTAGAAAGCTGAAACTGGATCCTTTCCTTATACCTTATACAAAAATTAATTCAAGATGGATGAAAGACTTACATGTTAGACCTAAAACCATAAAAACCCTAGAAGAAAACCTAGGCAATAAAATTCAGGACATAGGCATGGGCAAGGACTTCATGTCTAAAACACCAAAAGCAATGGCAACAAAAGACAAAATTGACAAATGGGAGCTAATTAAACTCAAGAGCTTCTGCACAGCAAAAGAAACTACCATCAGAGTGAACAGGCAACCTACAGAATGGGAGAAAATTTTTGCGATCTACTCATCTGACAAATGGCTAATATCCAGAATCTATGATGAACTCAAACAAACTTACAAGAAAAAAACAAACAATCCCATCAAAAAGTGGGTGAAGGACATGAATAGACACTTCTCAAAAGAAGACATTTATGCAGCCAAAAGACACATGAAAAAATGCTCATCATCACTGGCCATCAGAGAAATGCAAATCAAAACCAAAATGAGATACCATCTCACACCAGTTAGAACAGTGATCATTAAAAAGTTAGGAAACACCAGGTGCTGGAGAGGATGTGGAGAAATAGGAACACTTTTACACTGTTGATGGGACTGTAAACTAGTTCAACCATTGTGGAAGTCAGTGTGGCAATTCCTCAGGGATCTAGAACTAGAAATACCATTTGACCCAGCAATCCCATTACTGGGTATATACCCAAAGGATTATAAATCTTGCTGCTATAAAGACACATGCACATGTATGTTTATTGCAGCACTATTCACAATAGCAAAGACTTGGAACCAAGCCAAATGTCCAACAATGATAGACTGCATGAAGAAAATGTGGCACAGGGGGTGGAGCCAAGATGGCCAAATAGGAACTGCTCCAGTCTACAGCTCCCAGTGTGAGCGATGTAGAAGATGGGTGATTTCTACATTTCCAACTGAAGTACCAGGTTCCTCTCACTGGGGAGTGCCGGACAGTGGGTGCAGGACAGTGGGTGCAGGACAGTGGGTGCAGCACACCATGCGTTAGCCAAAGCAGGGCGGAGCAACACCTCACCCGGGAAGTGCAAGGGGTCAGGGAATTCCTTTTCCTAGTCAAAGAAAGAGGTGACAGACGGCACCTGGAAAATCAGGTCACTCCCACCCTAATACTGTGCATTTCCAATGGGTTTAACAAATGGCCCACCAGGAGATTATATCCCACACATGGCTCCGAGGGTCCTACGCCCATGGAGCCTCGCTCATTGCTAGCACAGCAGTCTGAGATCAAACTGCAAGGCAGCAGCAAGGCTGGGGGAGAGTCGCCTGCCATTGCCAAGGCTTGAGTAGGTAAACAAAGCAGCCGGGAAGCTCGAACTGGGTGGAGCCCACCACAGCTCAAGGAGGCCTGCCTGCCTGCCTCTGTAGGCTCCACCTGTGGGGGCAGGGCACAGACAAACAAAAAGACAGCAGTAACCTCTGCAGACTTAAATATCCCTGTCTGACAGCTTTGAAGAAAGTAGTGGTTCTCCCAGCACACAGCTTGAGATCTGAGAATGGAAAGACTGCCTCCTCAAGTGGGCCCCTGATCCCCGAGTAGCCTAACTGGGAGGCACACTGAAGTAGGGCAGACTGACACCTCACACGGCCGGGTACTCCTCTGCGACAAAACTTCCAGAGGAGCAAGCAGGCAGCAGCATTTGCAGTTCACCAATATCCGCTGTTCTGCAGCCACCACTGCTGATACGCAGGCAAGTAGAGTCTGGAGTGGACCTCCAGCAAACCCCAACAGACCTGCAGCTGAGGGTCCTGACTGTTAGAAGGAAAACTAACAAACAGAAAGGGCATCAATACCAAAAACCCATCTGTACATCACCATCATCAAAGACTAAAGGTAGAGGAAACCACAAAGATGGGGAAAAAACACAGCAGAAAAACCGGAAACTCTAGAAATAAGAGCACCTCTCCTCCTCCAAAGGAACACAGCTCCTCACCAGCAATGGGACAAAGCTGGACAGAGAATGACTTTGACGAGTTGAGAGAAGAAGGCTTCAGAAGATCAAACTACTCCGAGCAAAAGGAGGAAGTTCTAATCAATGGCAAAGAAGTTAAAAACCTTGAAAAAAAATTAGATGAATGGCTAACTAGAATAACCAATGCAGAGAAGTCCTAAAAATACCTAATGGAGCTGAAGACCACAGCACGAGAACTACGTCACAAATGCAAAAGCCTCAGTAGCCAATGCAATCAACTGGAAGAAAGGGTATCAGCGATGGAAGATGAAATGAATGAAATGAAGTGAGAAAAGACGTTTAGAAAAAAGAAAAAACACAAATGAACAAAGCCTCCAAGAAATATGGGACTATGTGAAAAGACCAAATGTACGTCTGATTGGTGTACCTGAAAGTGAAACGGAGAATGGAACCAAGTTGGAAAACATTTTGCAGGATATTATCCAGGAGAACTTCCCCAATCTAGCAAGACAGGCCAACATTCAAATTCAGGAAATACAGAGAACATCACAAAGATACTCCTTGAGAAGAGCAACTCAAAGACACATAATTGTCAGATTCACCAAAGTTGAAGTGAAGGAAAAAATGTTAAAGGCAGCCAGAGAGAAAGGTCGGGTTACCCACAAAGGAAAGCCCGTCAGACTAACAGCAGATCTCTCAGCAGAAACTCTACAAGCCAGAAGAGAGTGGGGGCCAATATTCAACATTCTTAAAGAAAAGAATTTTCAACCCAGAATTTCATATCCAGCCAAACTAAGCTTCATAAGTGAAGGAGAAATAAAATCCTTTACAGAAAACAAATGCTGAGAAGTCTTGTCACCACCAGGCCTGCCCTAAAAGAACTACTGAAGGAAGCACTAACCATGGAAAGGAACAACCGGTACCACCCAATGCAAAAACATGCCAAATTGTAAAGACCATCAAGGCTAGAAAGAAACTGCATCAACTAACGAGCAAAATAACCAGCTAACATCATAATGACAGGATCAAATTCACACATAACAATATGAACCTTAAATGTAAATGGGCTAAATGCTCCAATTAAAAGACACAGACTGGCAAATTGGATAAAGAGTCAAGACCCATCATTGTGCTGTATTCAGGAAACCCATCTCAAGTGCAGAGACACACATTGGCTCAAAATAAAGGGATGGAGGAAGATCTACCAAGCAAATGGAAAACAAGAAAAAGGCAGGGGTTGCAATCCTAGTCTCTGATAAAACAGACTTTAAACTAACAAAGATCAAAAGATACAAAGAAAGCCATTACATAAGGGTAAAGGGATCAATTCAACAAGAAGAACTAACTATCCTAAATATATATGCACCCAATACAGGAGCACCCAGATTCATAAAGCAAGTCCTGAGTGACCAACAAAGAGACTTAGACTCCCACACAATAATAATGGGAGACTTTAACACCCCACTGTCAACATTAGACAGATCAACGAGACAGAAAGTTAACAAGGATATCCAGGAATTGAATTCAGCTCTGCACCAAGCGGACCTAATAGACATCTACAGAACTCTCCACCTCAAATCAACAGAATATACATTTTTTTCAGCACCACACCACACCTATTCCAAAATTGACCACATAGTTGGAAGTAAAGCACTCCTCAGCAAATGTAAAAGAACAGAAATTATAACAAACTGTCTCTCAGACCACAGTGCAATCAAACTACAACTCAGGATTAAGAAACTCAGTCAAAACTGCTCAACTACATGGAAACTGAACAACCTGCTCCTGAATGACTGCTGGGTACATAATGAAATGAAGGCAGAAGTAAAGATGTTCTTTGAAAACAACAAGAACAAAGACACAACATACCAGAATCTCTGGGACACATTCAAAGCAGTGTGTAGAGGAAAATTTATAGCACTAAATGCCCACAAGAGAAAGCAGGAAAGATCCAAAATTGACACCCTAACATCATAATTAAAAGAACTAGAAAAGCAAGAGCAAACACATTCAAAAGCTAGCAGAAGGCAAGAAATAACTAAGATCAGAGCATAACTGAAGGAAATAGAGAAACAAAAAACCCTTCAAAAAATCAATGAATCCAGGAGCTGGTTTTTTGAAAAGATCAACAAAATTGATAGACCGCTAGCAAGACTAATAAAGAATAAAAGACAGAAGAATCTAACAGAGGCAATAACAAATGACAAAGGGGATATCACCACCGAGCCCACAGAAATACAAACTACCATTAGAGAATACTATAAACACCTCTATGCAAATAAGCTAGAAAATCTAGAAGAAATGGATAAATTCCTGGACACATACACCCTCCCAAGACTAAACCAGGAAGAAGTTGAATCTCCGAATAGACCAATAACAGGCTCTGAAATTGAGGCAATAATTAATAGCTTACCAACCAAAAAAAGTCCAGGACCGGATGGATTCACAGCCGAATTCTACTAGAGGTACAAGGAGGAGCTGGTACCATTCCTTCTGAAACTATTCCAATCAACAGAAAAAGAGGGAATCCTCCTTAACTCATTTTATGAGGCCAGCATCATCCTGATACCACAGCCAGGCAGAGACACAACAAAAAAAGAGAATTTTAGACAAATATCCCTGGTGAACATTGATGCAAAAATCCTCAATAAAATACTGGCAAACCAAATCCAGCAGCACATCAAAAAGCTTATCCACCATGATCAAGTGGGCTTTATCCCTGGGATGCAAGGCTGGTTCAACATATGAAAATGAATAAACGTAATCCAGCATATAAACAGAATGAAAGACAAAAACCACATGATTATCTCAATAGATGCAGTAAAGACCTTTGACAAAACTCAACAGCCCTTCATGCTAAAAAACTCTCAGTAAATTAGGTATTGATGGGACATATCTCAAAATAATAAGAGCTATCTATGACACAACCACAGCCAACATCATACTGAATGGGCAAAAACTGGAAGCATTCCCTTTGAAAACTGGCACAAGGCAGGGATGCCCTCTCTCACCACTCCTATTCAACATAGTGTTGGAAGTTCTGGCCAGGGCAATCAGGCAGGAGAAGGAAATAAAGGGCATTCAATTAGGAAAAGAGGAAGTCAAATTGTCCCTGTTTGCAGACGACATGATTGTATATCTAGAAAACCCCATTGTCTCAGCTCAAAATCTCCTTAAGCTGATAAGCAACTTCAGCAAAGTCTCAGGATACAAAATCAATGTACAAAAATCACAAGCATTCTTACACACCAATAACAGACAAACAGAGAGCCATATCATGAGTGAACTGCCATTCACAATTGCTTCAAAGGGAATAAAATACCTAGGAATCCAACTTACAAGGGATGTGAAGGACCTCTTCAAGGAGAACTACAAACCACTGCTCAATGAAATAAAAGAGGATACAAACAAATGGAAGAACATTCCGTGCTCATGGGTAGAAAGAATCAATATATTGAAAATGGCCATACTGCCCAAGGTAATTTATAGATTCAATGCCATCCCCATCAAGCTACCAATGACTTTCTTCACAGGATTGGAAAAAACTACTTTAAAGTTCATATGGAACCAAAAAAGAGCCTGCATGGCCAAGTCAATCCTAAGCCAAAAGAACAAAGCTGGAGGCATCACACTACCTGACTTCAAACTATACTACAAGGCTACAGTAACCAAAACAGCATGGTACTGGTACCAAAACAGAGATATAGACCAATGGAACAGAATAGAGCCCTCAGAAATATTGCCACATATCTACAACTATCTGATCTTTGAGAAACCTGACAAAAACAAGCAATAGGGAAAGGAGTCCCTATTTAATAAATGGTGCTGGGAAAACTGGCTAGCCATATGTAGAAAGCTGAAACTGGATCCCTTCCTTACACCTTATACAAAAATTAATTCAAGATGGATGAAAGACTTAAATGTTAAACCTAAAACCATAAAAACCCTAGAAGAAAACCTAGGCAATACTGTTCAGGACATAGGCATGGGCAAGGACTAAATGTCTAAAACAGCAAAAGCAATGGCAACAAAAGCCAAAATTGACAAATGGGATCTAATTAAACTCAAGAGCTTCTGCACAGCAAAAGAAACTACCATCAGAGTGGACAGGCAACCTACAGAATGGGAGAAAATTTTTGCAACCTACTCATCTGACAAAGGGCTAATATCCAGAATCTGCAATGAACTCAAACAAATTTACAAGAAAAAAACAAACAACCCCATCAAAAAGTGGGTGAAGGATATGAACAGACACTTCTCAAAAGAAGACATTTATGCAGCCAAAAGACACATGAAAAAATGCTCATCATCACTGGCCATCAGAGAAATGCAAATCAAAACCACAATGAGATACCATCTCACACCAGTTAGAATGGCAATCATTAAAAAGTCAGGAAACAACAGGTGCTGGAGAGGATGTGGAGAAATAGGAACACTTTTACACTGTTGGTGGGACTGGAAACTAGTTCAACCATTGTGGAAGTCAGTGTGGTGATTACCTCAGTGTTCTAGAACTAGAAATACCATTTGACCCAGCCATCCTATTACTGGGTATACACCCAAAGGATTATAAATCATACTGTTATAAAGAGACATGCACATGTATGTTTATTGCAGCACTATTCACAATAGCAAAGACTTGGCACCAACCCAAATATCCAACAATGATAGACTGGATTAAGAAAATGTGGCACATATACACCATGGAATACTATGCAGCCATAAAAAATGATGAGTTCATGTCCTTGGTAGGGACATGGATGAAGCTGGAAACCATCATTCTCAGCAAACTATCGCAAGGACAAAAAACCAAACACCACATGTTTTCCCTCCTAGGTGGGAATTGAACAATAAGAACACATGGACACTGGAAGGGGAACATCACACCCCAGGGACTGTTGTGAGGTGGGGGGAGGGGGGAGGGATAGCATTAGGAGACATACCTAATGCTAAATGATGAGTTAATGGGTGCAGGACACCAACATGGCACATGTATACATATGTAACAATCCTGCACATTGTGCACATGTACCCTAAAACTTAAAGTATAATAAAAAAATAAATAAATAAAAAATAAAATAAATAAATAAATAAATAAAAGAAAATGTGGCACATATACACCATGGAATACTATGCATCCATAAAAAAGGATGAGTTCATGTCCTTTGTAGGGACATGGGTGAAGCTGGAAACCATCATTCTCAGCAAACTATCACAAGGACAAAAAACCAAACACCGCATGTTCTCACTCATAGGTGGGAGTTGAACAATGAGAACACATGGACACAGGAAGGGGAACATCACACCCCAGGGCCTGTTGTTGGGTGGGGGGAGGGGGGAGGGATACCATTAGGAGATATACCTAATGTTAAATGACGAGTTAATTGGTGCAGCACACCAACATGGCACATGTATACATATGTAACTAACCTGCACGTTGTGCACATGTACCCTAAAACTTAAAGTATAATAATAAAAAAAAGAGATGAAGAGACAATCTACAGAATGGGAGAAAACATTTGAAAACCATGCATCTGATAAGGGGATAATATCTGAAATGCATAAGGAACTCAAACTCAATAGAAAGCGAACAAGTAACTTGATTTAAAAAAGGTCAATATACTTGAACAAATATTTCTCAAAAGAAGGCTAAAAACATCCAGTGAGTATATGACAAAATGCTCAACATCACTAATCATCATGGAAATGCAAGTTAAGAGTACAATGAGATATTATCCAACTCCTGTTAGAATGACTTTTACCAAAGAGACAAAAGATAACAAGTGTTGTCAAAGATGTAGAGAAGGCGGAACCTTGTACATTGTTGCTGGAAATGTAAATAAGTACAGCCATTATGGAAAACAGCATTGAGGGTCCTCAAAAAATTAAAAATAGAACTATCATATAATCCAGCAATCTTGCTACTTGGTATATAGCCAAAAGAAGTGAAATTGCTATGTAGTAGAAATATCTGTATTCCCACGTTCACAGTAGTATTATTTATGATAGTCAACATATGAATCAATCAAATTGTCCATCAACAGATGAGTGAATAAAGGAAATATAGCATATATACACAATGAAATACTATTCAGTCTTTAAAAAAGAAAATTCTTCTGTTTGCATTAACATGGATAAACCTGGAGGACATTGTTAAGTAAAATATGTCAGGCACAGAAAGACAAATACCACATGATCTTAATTATATTTGGAATAAAAAAAATAGTGGAACTTGGTTGCTCTGTCTATGGAGTGGCCATTCTTTTATTCTTCTCCCTTCTTAATAAACTTGTTTTCACTTTACTCTATGGACTTGCCCTGAATTCTTTCTTGTGTGAGATCCAAGAGCCCTCTCTTGGAGTCTAGATCAGGACCCCTTTCCTGTAACCTCTTTCTGGCAACCACGGAATGGACTATAGTGTGGAAACCCCTGACCCAAAGGCTAACTTTGGGTAAGTGGTGGGGTTCGGTAACATCTTTCTGGCAAATCCTGAAGGGACGATACTGAAGAGACTCCCAATCCAAAGGAAAATCATCTGCGTACACAAATTGGCTAACTTTGGGTAAGTGGACTGTGTATACCCGGGTAAAGAAGGATTGGGTTAGAGGCCCAACTTAGGGGAGTTAGAGTCTCTCCTAAAACAGAGAGGGTTAGAGGCTCCTCTCAATAAAATGCAGGGACGCTTGACCAACCTTGGGTTGGAGACCCAACTTAGGAAGGTTAGAGTCCCTTCTAAGATTTAGGAGGTTAGAGGCCCCTCCCAGTAAAATCCCTGTCGGTAAAGTCCCTTTTGGCTAAGAATGGATTTGGCACCACGGGATGTTAACTGCTATTCTCTTTGGATTAATCTGCCTTGCACTCTTTGCTGATGGCTGTGGGTGACGGGGTTAGGCATGTACAGGATTGCGGGACATGAGAAGCTTTTTCCTCCCTAAAAGGGGAAACCTGAGAGCTGATGGGACTGCTGGAAAAAATCCCTTCACGATAGCAGCCACCTGATCTTTTCAGTGTCACTACTATGGGTGGGTCTTTCTCTGGCCTCCCTGATCATTTTGCCTTCCCCACCCTGCCACAGGCAATGCTTTTCTCTCTCTCCTTTCCCTTTTTTATCTCTTCTATTACTCAGGGAGACCATCTTGCCCAGAGACCACATGTTGAAACTCCTGGTTGGAGGATGGATTAACGATTATGGGAGCAAGTTTGAGCCCTGCCAGTTTGATATTGGGTGCTAAGCAGAGTGGCTAATGTATATGTTTTGTCACACGTATTTTACTCTGGCCAGAATGGAAAGATATAATTTTTGTTTGTGTTGCAGCTTGGCCCCCAGGGCTGTGGTGCAGCCGTCTGGGTCACTAGGGCCACTCAGGGAAAGAAAACCCAGAAGCCTGGCATGCTAGCAAAAGGGTAAGAATTTATTACCACTCAGACTTCCGGCCTCTTTCTCTCTTTTTTTTTCTCTGTTTCTCTCTCTCTCTCTTTCTCTTTCTCTCTCTCTCTGTGTGTGTGTGTGTGTGTGTGTGTGTGTGTGTGTGTGTGTGTGTGTGTGTGTGTAAACTGGATGAGGTTTCCCTTTGGTCAGTCATGTCCTTGGGAGCTTGACCTTGTAACCACGTGGCAGTACTTTCTCTTGGTCTCCACCATCACAATGGTGGCCTGGGTTCTGGGGCTAATTCCCAGCCTAGGGGATGATCCTTTCTTTTCTGTCTGTCTATGTATTTATATGTATTATGTGTGTGTAATATAAAAGAGTTTTAATTAATTGGTTTAAAAATGAGAGCTTAAATCAAATATTTTCTCAAAAAAGCAAAAAGCATAATGCCTTTTAGTTCATGTGACCTAAGTAATCTTTGGGAAATACAGACACTTGTAAAAATTACTGGTAAAATAAAATATCTTCAAAAATGTAGACGTGTTCTAAGTTATGCAAGTCAGATATTAGGTTTGCATAAACTGCTTCTTTGACTTTTGAAAATTGTTCAATTTACCTACCTTGGAGACATTAGATTCTAGATAAAGCCTGGGGACATGTGGAATTAGCCATGCCCCAGCTATGCAAAGAAGGTTATGAAGAAAAGATATTTTATATAAGAAAATATGTTGTATGATAAATTCTTGTCCTAAAGCAAAATGACTGGTTGTTTAAAAAGAGGGATTTTTTTTTAATTATTATTATACTTAAGTTCTGGGATACATGTGCAGAATGTGCAGGTTTGTTACGTCGGTATACATGTGCCATGGTGGTTTGCTGCAACCACCAACCCGTCATCAACATTAGGTATTTCTCCTAATGCTATCCCTCCCCTTGCTCCCCACCCCCTGACAGGCCCCAGTGTGTGATGTTCCCCTTCCTGTGCCCATATGTTCTAAAAAGAGGGATGTTTAAGGCAAGTCTACACATGTCTGTGTAAGTAGCAAAAAAAATCATGAAAGGGAATTTATGCAAAAAAAGTTGTACAATTTAAAGGTGATTAGGCCTCCTAAATGCATCATAAAATGCCACTATGGCTCTAACTGTACAACTTCCCTGCTTTACAACTAGGTAAGGCCTGGGACATGTGGAGTTAGCCATGTCCCCTAGCTATGCTAGAAAAAGCCCTTATCTGCACTTCTGCCTGGTGTGTCCTAGGATAGGCTCCACACCTGGTACATAATTAAAATTGCTACTCATCAAGGTTTTCACCAAAAGTAAAAGTTACTAAGAGTTAACATTGTATCATGTAATTGAGAATACTGAAGAAATAGTTTTACATGCAAGGTGTGCAAGAGAAATGAAATGAGTTTTTGGTAAAAGATTATAAGAAGGCATGGGTATGTGGATTTTTCTTGCCTAGATTAAAGAGTTAAAGGATTGTTTTAAATCAGATAGAATAAAGCTGGAGGTTTAAGCTTTGTGGAAGGTTTGTAAAAATTAATTATAAAAGAAATTCTGTGTATGAACATATTGGGTAAAGTTAAAGGGGTATTATTCAGTTTTTTGTAAACGGAACATTTGAATAAAAGCACAACAGGTTTTTCTTAAAGCAAAAACCTGTTACAATCTGCTCTTTAACAAAAATTTGTAAAGGGTTATAAAAGATTTATGAAAATCTTACTTTATGGTCAAACTGATTAAGATTAAATACATTTTTCTATAAGGTTTTATTAAGAATTGGGTTTGACATCAATAACGTACTAATGCAACAGTGACATTTGGCTCTTTTGATACAAAAATCATACAGGAAGCATTCTCAAACATGAAATGGTGCTTAGTTTTCTGTAGGCTGTGTTTCTATAAATATGTTATTGGTATGTATTCCAAAATCATGGAAAATTCCTATAATTCTGATATAACTTAGCATATGTTGTTAATAATTGTTATATAAAATCATTGTATGCTACAGAGGTAACCAAATTTGTCAATTGTGTTTTTGACTGTGGCTGTCCTAAGACATTTTATCATCCACAGGCAATTACTGTCTTGTTTTAATTTTCTTCAAAAGGTGGTTTCTAATCAGCTATAGGACTCTAACAGGTGTTCTTACATGCAGATTTCTGATAACTTTGAAAATTGTGACATTAGAGTGAGGAAACAACTTTCAGAACTCTCATGGAGAGCTGAAGTGTTCACAAATATCAAGCAGAACAGGAGTTAACTGCATAAACTAAACTAAAAAAGTCTGAAGTAATATTTTTAACTTTGCTTAAAACATTGTTAATCCTTTTTTTGTTTTTCAGAGTCAAGGAAATTTTACTGTGAGCTATTTACAGCTTTTAGCAATTCAGTAAAGTATACTTCTGTGAACAAAATTTAGAGCATATTTGTTTCTACCTGATTTCTCCAGAATTTGAAAACTAGTTGTGAGAGTATTCTTAATTTATGGCAATATCATAATTTGCATAAGTGCAATAAGAGTCTATTTTCTTTTCCAACAGGACATAATTGGAGAAATCGGTTATTTCACCAAGGATTTGATTGGAATGACATGCTTTCCTTTTAGGAATCAAACTTGACTTGTAAAGCCAATAAAAGCCTTTTGAGGAACTGGCCTCATACCTTGCCTACACAGTCTCTGTACAGGGTATCTGACCTGAGGTAAGTAAAGAATGTCTCTTTCTAACAGGTCCAGAAGCCCCAATTTATCTTGGGACCACAAGAGGAGAGGAACTTACTCAACTCATAGGTATTTGAGGGTACAAACCCATGGCTGGGCTCAGCTTTTAAAAAGTCTTATCTAAGATTCCTTCTATGGAACAAAGTTCCTTCAAGGCCAGTTTACAAAGAGCTTATGTGAAAAAAATTATTCTTGCTGCACTTTATACAAATAATCAGGCCTAGTATAATAAAGCAAATTGATCTTATCATAATTTTTCTCTAGTAAAAATGGGAAACTGGCGAGAAATATGTTTCAATGACTGTGGTACACTTGTTATTAAATTCTAGTCTCATCAGTTGTTTTTAAATTTGTTTCTGGAATTTAGGGCTAACCTTGCTTGTTCCTGTGAACCAACAAGTGATCTCTAACTGCTGCTCAGAAGAAACAAGAGGGATGGGTAATGTAAAAATCTGGATCAGTATTCTAATCCTGGGCATGTATTGGAATCATCTAGAAGCCCCATATCAGCTTGGGTTCAACAGTTGCCCAGTTCATGGAAAGTCTTCTAATTTACTTTACTTGGGATAATTTTACTTATTTTGCTTTACTCTTGTGGAACATATTGCTGTTGTACTCTTCATGTAGGAATGCAGAATAAGCTTACTGAATTACATATATATATATATATATATATGCTTTAAGTTCTGGGGTACATGTGCAGAACGTGCAGTTTTGTTACATAGGTATACACGTGCCATGGTGGTTTGCTGCACCCATCAACCCGTCATCTACATTAGGTATTTCTCCTAATGTTATATCTCCCCTAGCCCCCCACCACCTGACAGACCCCGGTGTATGATGTTCCCCTCCCTATGTCCATGTGTTCTCATTGTTCAACTCCCACTTATGAGTGAGAACATGCAGTGTTTGGTTTTCTGTTCTTGTCATAGTTTGCTGAGAATGATGGTTTCCAGCTTCATCCATGTCCCAGCAAAGGACATAAACTCATCCTTTTCATGGCTGCATAGTATTCCATGGTGTATATGTGCCACATTGTCTTTATCCAGTCTACTGTTGATGGACTTTTGGCTTGGTTCCAAGTCTCTGCTATTGTGAATAGTACCACAATAAACATACGTGTGTATGTGTCTTTATAGTAGAATGATTTATAACCCTTTGGGTATATACCCAGTAATGGGATTTTGGGGTCAAATGGTATTTCTAGTTCTAGATCCTTGAGGAATCACCACACTGTCTTCCACAATGGTTGAACTAATGTATACTCCCAATAGTGTAAAAGTGTCCCTATTTCTCCACATCCTCTCCAGCATCTGTTGTTTCCTGACTTTTTAATGATCGCCATTCTAACTGGCATGAGATGGTACCTCATTGTGGTTTTGGTTTGCATTTCTCTAATGACCAGTGATGATGAGCTTTTTTTCATATGTCTGTTGGCTGCATAAATGTCTTCTTTTAAGAAGTGTCTGTTCATATCCTTCACCCACTTTTTGATGGGGTTGTTTGTTTTTTTCTTGTAAATTTGTTTAAGTTCATTGTAGATTCTGGATATTAACCCATTGTCAGATGGATAGATTGGAAAAATTTTCTCCCATTCTGTAGGTTGTCTGTTCACTCTGATGATAGTTTCTTTTGCTGTGCAGAAGCTCTTTAGTTTAATTAGATCCCATTTGTCAATTTTGGCTTTTGTCACCATTGCTTTTAGTATTTTAGACATGAAGTCTTTGCCCATGCCTATGTCCTGAATGGTATTGCCCAGGTTTTCTTCTAGGATTTTTATGGTCCTAGGTCTTACATTTAAGTCTTTGATCCATCTTGAGTTGATTTTTGTATAAGGTGTAAGGAAGGGGTCCAGTTTCCATTTTCTGCATATGGCTAGCCAGTTTTCCCAACACCGTTTATTAAGTAGGGAATCTTTTCTCCATTACTTGTGTCAAGTTTGTCATTATGACACTAGCTGGTTGTTTTGCCCATTAGTTGATGCAGTTTCTTCATAATGTCGATGGTCTTTACAATTTGGTATGGTTTTTCAGTGGCTGGTACCGGTTGTTCCTTTCCATGTTTAGTGTTTCCTTCAAGAACCCTTGTAAGGCAGGCCTGGTGATGACAAAAATCTCTCAGCATTTGCTTGTCTGTAAAGGATGTTATTTCTCCTACACTTATGAAGCTTAGTTTGGCTGGATATGAAATTCTGAGTTGAAAATTCTTTTCTTTAAGAATGTTGAATATTGGCCTCCACTCTCTTCTGGCTTGTAGGGTTTCTGCAAAGAGATCCGCTGTTAGTCTGATGGGCTTCCCTTTTTGGGTAACCTGACCTTTCTCTCTGGCTTCCCTTAATATTTTTCCATTCATTTCAACCTTGGTGAATCTGATAATTATATGTCTTGGGGTTGCTCTTTGTGGTGTTCTATTTCCTGAATTTGAATGTTGGCCTGCCTTGCTAGGTTGGGGAAGTTCTCCTGGATAATCTCCTGAAGAGTGTTTTCCATTTGGTTCCATTCTCCTCATCACTTTCAGGTACACCAATTGAACACGGTTTGTTCATTTCACGTAGTCCTATATTTCTTGGAGGCTTTGTTAATTCCTTTTAATTTTTTTCTCTCTAATCTTTTCTTCTCTCTTTATTTCATTAAGTTGATCTTAAATCACTGTTATCCTTTCTTCTGCTTGATCATTGCAGCTATTGAAACTTGTGTATGCTTCACGAAGTTCTCCTGCTGTGTTTTTCAGCTCCATCAGGTCATTTATGTTCTTCTCTACACTGGTTATTCTAGTTAGCAATTCATCTAACCTTTTTTCAAGGTTGTTAGCTTCCTTGCATTGGGTTAGAACATGCTCCTTTAGCTCGGAGGAGTTTGTTATTACCCACCTTCTGAAGTCTACTTCCATCAATTTGTCAAACTCATTCTCTGTCCAGTTTTGTTCCCTTGCTAGTGAGAAGTTGTGATCCTTTGGAGGATAAGAGGTGTTCTGGTTTTTGGAATTTTCATCCTTTTTGCGCTGGTTTCTCCCCAACTTTGTGGATGTATCTACCTTTCTTCTTTGATGTTGGTGGCCTTCAGATGGGGTCTTTGAGTGGACGTGCTATTCCTTTCTGTTTATTAATTTTCCTTCTGACAGTCAGGCTCCTCTGCTGCCAGTCTGCTGGAATTTGCTGGGGGTCCACTCCCGACCCTGTTTGCCTAGGTATCACCAGCGAATGCTCAACTGGAAATGCAGAAATCACCCACCTTCTGTGCCAATCTCGCTGGGAGCTGCAGACCGAAGCTGTTCCTATTCAGCCATCTTGCTAGCAAATGCCTGAATGTTTTCTTAAACTGAACACCTATTGATCTTCCAGATATCACCAAGAATCATGAATGGCCCTCACCATACTGATGCGTTCTGACTGAGCTTCTCTCTACCCTGAACACAAGAGACCCTAATAGGCAGGAATGTCATCACCCCTATTCAGCCTGAAGAAGTTATAGAAGATGGATCTTTTTCCCTCTGCAACCTTTAGGATTATGGGTTCTTTTATAAAAAGAGAGGGGGGAAATGTCAGAGGAGCGTGAACCAGAGCAACTCCATCTTGAATGGGAACTGGGTAAAATGAGGCTGAGACCTAATGGGCTGCATTCCCAGATGGTTAAGGCATTCTAAGTCACAGGATGAAATAGGAGTCGGTGCAAGATACAGGTCATGAAGACCTTGCTGATAAAATAGGTTGCAGTAAAGAAGGTGGCCAAAACCCACCAAAACCAAGATGACCACAAGAGTATCCTCTGGTCATCTTCTCTGCTACACTCTCACCAGAGCCATGACAGTTGACAAATGCCATGGCAATGTCAGGAAGTTTCCCTATATGGTCTAAAAAGGAGAGGCATGAATAATCCACCCCTTGTTTAGCATATTATCAAGAAATAACCATAAAAATGGGCAACCAGCAGCCCTCGGGGCTTCTCTGTTTATGGAGTAGCCATTCTCGTATCCTTCTACTTTCTTAAACTTTCTTTCACTTACAAAAAAATAGTGGAACTCAGAAGTAGAGAATAAAATGGTGGTTACCAAGTTCTGGAGAGGTGGGGGATTAGAAGATGTTGTTCAAAGAATACAAAATTTCAGTTAGGCAGGAAGAATGAGTTCCAAAGATCTATTGTACAATACAGTGATACATACTTAATGACAATGTACTGTATATGTGAAAATTGCTAAGAGCACATTTTCGGTATTCTCACCACAAAGAAATGATGTGAGGTAATGCATATGTTAAACAGCTTGATTTAGCCATTCCACACATATACATATTTCAGAACATCGTGTTGTATCCCGTTAAATATGTACAATTTTGTTTGTCAAAAAGTGAAAAGAGAAAAGAAGGTAAACTCTGTTATTGCATGCAGTGGTCCACAAATATCATTTATGTCAAACTGTTAAACATTCTTGTTCAAATTACCTATATCCTTAAAAATTTGTTAACTAAACTGTTTTATCAGTTACTGAATTATGTTTAAATCATTACTTATGACTGCAATTTTATTCATTTATCCTTTTATTTCTGTCAAATTTTGTTTTACATATTTCAACTATTGATAGGGTTGAATACAAATTTATAAATATGCCTTACAACTGAATTGATCCCTTTATCATTAAAAATATTCATCTTTATATAAGGTAATATCTCTTGATTCAAAGTATATTTGTTCTAGCATTAATACAAGCACAACAGCTATCTTTCTACTTTCAGTCCTACAACACTTGTAATATTTCACTTTACTCTCTTCTTGCTTCCATGATTTCAGAAAAGAAGTCTCATGCAATTCATATCCTCGCTCCTCTATAAATAAGGTACTTTTTTCCTCTGGATTTTAGAAAGATTTTCTCTTCGTCTTTCATTTTTCCATCATGAGAATATGATACGCCTAGGTTTGAATTTCTTAGTATTTATCCTGCTTATAGTTCCCTGAGGTCCTTGGACCTGAGGTTTGGTGTCCATAATTTATTTTGGAAAATTTGTATCTATTATTACTTCAAATATTTCTTCTGTTCCTTTCTCTCTTCTTTCTCCTTCTATTAGTCTCATAAAAATAATTACTATTCTCACAGTAATATGCATATGTTACACTTTTATAATTGACCCAAAATTCTTGGATATTCTGGGGTATCTTTGAATTTTTTTTTCTTTTTGGTTTTCAGCTTGAAGAATTTCCATGGACATACCCTCAAGTTCACTGATGCTCTCCCCAGCCATATCTAGTCTACTGATGAACCAATCAAAGACATTTTTCATTCCTGTTACAGTGTTTCTGATATCTAGCATTTCTTTTTTATTTTCCTAGCATTTTCATACCACTGCTTACATTACCATGAGTTGTCCTTGCATGTTGTGCACCATACCGATTAATGCCCATAGCATATAAATCATGAGTTTTTTTAAATTCTCAGCTTGATAATCCCAACATCTGTGACATATCAAAGTCTGGTTGTGATGTTTCTTTTGTCTCTTCAGACAGTGTTTTTCTCCTTTTAGCATGCCTTCTCATTTTAGGTTGAAAGCCACGCATGATGTATCAGGTAAAAGGAACTAAACTAAAAGGCTTTTAGTGTTGGGATTTACCAACACTAAAAGGCTTTTAGTTTTGGGATTACCTAACTCATTACCTAACTCTTACTAAGAGTTAGGTAATGTTTACTGTTTGGAACATTTATAGGTGACAGAGACTGAAATTATTTCTAGTGTCCATGTTTTTGTTGTTTCTGCTATCTTTGGTTTTCCCTAGGAACATTTTCTTAAACATGGTGTAGGACTTGTAGTTCTATCAGCTATAATACTCTATTATTGCCGAGGAGCCCAGCTGATGTGGTGATAATGTGTGGAGTGAGAGGAAGCATTCTATACTCTTATGAGGTGGTCTCAGTCTTTTAGTGAACTGGTGTCCCTGGGATAGAAACTTCACAAGTGCTTCTGAGATTTTACCCCTCTTCAGTGAGACAAGAAGGCTAGAAAGGGCTGGATTTGAGGAGATCTCTTCCCCTACACTGGGGCTTGGAAGCTGGCTTGGAGAACTACCCTTCTTTCCTCAGGTTGCTCAACTCTGGTAAAACAAACTCAGCCTTAGGTCCCAAGGGCTCTGTGGTTGAAAGATAAAGGAACAAAAGCTATAAAATCACAGGACACCTGAACAAAAGCTCCAGGGTATTATGGTATGAAATGCTGCTTGCAGAACTTTATGGATTCAGGGGCTAAAGTCAAAGCCTGCTTGGTCTACGGCCTCAAAACTCTGACCCATGGGCACAGTAGTAGAAGTGCAGCAAGATTAAAATTGATATGGCTCCAGACTGTATGGTTTCTAATTCTGTAATGCCAGTACTCTATACTATTAGGCCTTTAAAGTAAAATTTAAAAAACAATTATCAAACCCAAAACCCTGTGACCTCAGAAAGAATCAGAGCCTCTGTGACCTAAGGTTTTCTTGCTTCTGGATTCTAGGATCCCAGGATGCTCTAGCTTAAGAGTCCTATATGACTCTCGGCTTTTGTGGTTGAGGGTCTCAATGGTTTCAGTCCCCATAGAACAATGTGTCAATGTTCTTAGGACTCTGTGGCTCCAGGTCCACAGGCTCCTGTTAGGTAAGATATAAGGACCCTAGGGTAGGCCCAAGTCTGTAAGACTCAAGGGTCATGGGGTGGTGGAATCTCTCCTTCTAGGATCCCATTGTTACCACACTGTCTGATTTCTGGGCCTTCTGATGCTAGCACTAAGAAAGGTCTCCAGGATCCTTGTTACCTGTTTCATCTTGGTACCAAACATGAAGCCACTTATGTCAATAACAAAAACCACATTCTTCTCCATAGGTGGAAGGCCTCTGGGGGCAAAGTAGTGAATGAAATAGTCATTATAAATCTGGACAAAAAAAAAAGGTAAAACCAAGAAGGACTGTGAAAGCCAATCTAAATCAAGTCCCCTCTTATTTTACTGCATAACACTCTGTGTTTTGCTTCCCAGGACTACTCACTTTCTAAACAGGCATGTGTGTGACTTCTCGCTGTCCATCTCCTTCAGAACCGTGTCTCTGCCATTCAGACTTTCATCCCAGGGCCTCCCCCAGAGCTGTGGAGGGAATGAGACTGGCTTGTAGCCCACCACTCCAAGGATCAGGATCTCTGTAATATATGAGTTCCTGTCTGTGAGAGAGTTGGGCTTGCACAGCCTTGAGGGTCCCTAGGGATATTTTGCCTGGGCTGCAGGAACTCCAAGTATTGTTTTAACCTCCCTATATAGAGTGAGCCTGGGGCCCAGCTCTTTGCTGCCAGGGGCTGGGAGTTGTAGGGCCTCCTTCTCCTCCTAAAACCTCCTTTCTGCTGTTGCTGGGCAGAGCAGGGAGAGGAGGAGGGAACCTAAGCTGAGTGAGCTGTTTATTCAGAGGGGATTGGTTACACCAGGTACAGATGCCTTGGGCTGTCCTGGATGTGATTGGCTGCTGACTCCCCTCCCCCACTCCATTCCTCCCTCTGCAGAGCCTCGGGGCTGGGACAGCTGAGGGAAGGGGAGGGAAGCTGGGAGGGCCCCTCAGGACCAGTCTCAGCTCAGCTCAGGGATGTCTGCGCTGGCTGAGGGTCTGTGCTACCCTGAAGCTGAAGCAGGCTCTGCCCAGGGCCACAGGCTTTTGCTCCTCTCTGCCCTTCAGGCACTCTCTGACCATTAGGCTGTACACTACCTCTTCCCTCTCAAGAGGAAAGAGGAGATGGGAAGACATCTGCTCTTCCCCCTCCACCCCGGCCTTTGAATTAATTCACATGTGCAATTGCAGCCTCTGTCTCTTTTAATCCTGGCACTCTGGTACAGTTCAAAAAGGCCTGTGTCACCCACACTACAACTGCCCAAGCCAACAGCAGAACCCAGTGGCCTCTGCACACCACCCATACCTGGGCCGGTGAGCGCTCCTGGGAAAATCATGCCTACCTTTCCCCCACCCCATGCCCACCAGGGCCCCCACTTCCTATCACATAACTCAAGAGCAGGACCTTGCTCACCAACCTCTCCCAGTCACTTTAGCAGTCATTCCATCCTACCCACCTGACTCAGGAAAAGAATTAAGAGCACGGAGCCAGGGACTCTTTGCCCACTCCACCCATATAGAGGCTCCACATCACCATATACCTCCTCCCTCAGCCTAAGGACAAAGAGGTCCTGCCTTGGACCTCATGCACTCCAAGTGCCCAGCCTCTCCAGTACTCCTCAGGTCCCCTCTCTCCAACCCCCTTTAACATGTACCCCACTGGGTCTTCCTTGGAGTATAGAATTTTATTGTCTTTTCCATGCACTAAGACTAGCTCTTGTCCCCAGTCCACTCCCAAACTTCTCTCTAGCTTCTGTTTTCCCTGGAGCATCACAGACTGAGAAAGTAGGCACCCTCAATGGGCTCAAGTGCAGATCACTCCTGGGGACCACCACAGTCTGGCTCCTGTGCCCACCCCACATGAACACTTCCCTCACTAAAGGCAACTGTGACTAGTTGCCTCCAAACTCAATGGCTGGGAGAGAGGTGAAGCAAGATGGTAGACTAGAAGTCCCCACTGATTGCCCCCCCACCAAGGAAGGACACCAATTTAACAACCATCTACACAAAAAAAGCACCTTCAAATGAACCAAAAATCAGGTGAGCATTCAGTAGCAGATTTTAACTTCATATCAATGAAAGAGGCACTGAAGCGGTAGAAAGAAGTCTTGAATTGCTGATGCCACCCCTACCCCACCCTCCACCTCTGCCCCCAGCAGTGGTGGCATGGTGTGGAAGAGCATTTCTGTGTGTTGGGGGAGGGAGAGTGCAAAAATTGTGAGGCATTGACCTCAGTGCTGTCCTCTTAGAGCAGTAAGAAAAAAACTGAACCAAACTCAGCTGATGCCTGCACATGGAGAGAGGATTTAAAACGGCCCTAGCTACAGGTGAATTACCCATGTCAGCAGTTGAAACATGAATTCCCACAATCCTCGCTACCATGAGCTAAAGTGCTCCAGGGCTGTAAGTAAACTTGAAAGGCAGTCTAGGCCACAAGGGCTGCAACTCCTAGGAGAGTCTTAGTGCTGAACTGGGCCCAGAGAGAGTGGACTGAGGGGGGCAGACAACCTGAGACACCAGGTAGGGTGGCTAAGGGAGTGCTGGCATCACCACTCCTCTAACCCTAGGCTCCATAGCTTGTGGTTCCAAAAGAGACCCCTTCATTCTACCTGAGGAGATAAGAGGGAAGAGTGGAAAGGACTTTATCTTGCATCTTGTATACCAGCTCAGCTGCAGCAGGATAGAGCACCAATCAGGGTTGTGAAATGCACTTTCCAGGGCCTAACACCCAAACCACATTTCTAGACACACCCTGGGCCAGAAAGAAACCTACTGCCTTGAAGGGAAGGACCCATTCCTGGCAGCAGTCTTCACATGCTAAACGAAGAGCCCTTGGGCCCTGAATAACCAGCTATGATACCCAGGTACTACATTGAGGGCCTTGAGTGAGACTCTGAGACAAGCTGGCTTCAGGCAATGCACATTCCAAGCTGTAGTGGCTATTGGGAGAGAGTCCTTATGCTTTACAAAAGCAGAGGGAAAAGAAAATGGGACACTGACTTGTACTTTAGGTACCAGCTTGGCCACAAGGGTGTAGAGCACCAAGCAGGCTCTTGGGGTCCCAGGTTCTAGGCATTGGCTCTTGGATGGCCTATAATCCAACTTTCGGGCCTGCCCTAGGCTAGAGGGGTGCCTACTGCCCAGAATAGGCAGCATTCACCACAAGGTGACTGAAGAGCCTTTGGGCCTTAAGGGAACATCAGTGGTAGTCTGTCAGTACTCCCTGTAAGCCTGTGGTTGCAGCGGCCATGGGGTGAGGCTCTTCTGCCTTTGAAAAGGGAAGGGAAGAGTGGTAAGGACTTTCTCTTGTGATTTGATTGTCAGCTAAGCCGCAGGACAATAGAACACCAGGTAGAATTCTAAGGTGTTTGACTCTAGTCTCTGGCTCCTGGATAATACCTCTAGACCCACCTAGGGCCTGGAGGAACTCACTACCCAAAAGCAAAGGACACAGGCCTTGCTGGTTTTGACACTTTCTAATTGTACAGCCACAGGGTCTTGAGCAAACATAGGTGGAAGCCAGAACGTGGTTGCAGCAGGCCTTGGGCGAGAACTAGTACTGTGCTGGCTTCAAGTCTGACCCAGTGCAGTCATAATGGTGGTGGCCACAGGGGCACTTGTGTCAATCCACCCCCAGCTTCAGGTGGCTCCCAACAGAGAGAGAGAGAGACTGTTTGGGAGAAAGTAAGGGAAGAGAACAAGAGTCTCTGCCTGGTAATGGAGAGAATTCTCCCAGATATTGTCCAAGACCATCAAGACAATACTTCTATGAGTCTGCAAGAACCACAGCATTACTAGGCTTGGAGTGCCCCCTAAAGCAGATACAGCTTAGATCACAACACATACATACATTCAAATATCTGGAAAGCCTTCCCAAGACGGACGGGTACATGAAAGCCCAGCCTGCAAAGACTATAATAAATACCTAACTCTTCAATGCCCACCCACAGAAGAACAGCTAAAAGTATCAAGAAAATGCAGGAAAACATCATGTCACCAAATAAACTAAATAAGCCACCAGGGAACAATTCTGGAGAAACAGAGATATGTGACTTTTCAGATAGAGAATTCAAAATAGCTGTGTTGAGGAAACTCAAAGAATTTCAAGAAAACACAGAGAAGGAATTCAGAATTGTATCAGATGGAAATAACAAAGATATTGAAATAATTTTAAAAAATCAAGAAGAAATTCTGGAAGTGAAAAAAAATTGACATATTGAAGAATGTGCCAGAGTCTTTTAAGAGCAGAACTGATCAAGCAGAAGAAAGAATAGTGAGTTTCAAGACAGGCTATTTGAAAATATGTCGTCAGAGAAGACAAAAGAAAAAATAATAAGAAGCAATGAAGCATGCCTACAGGATCTAGAAAATAGCCACAGACAGACAAATCTAAGAGTTAGTGGCCCTAAAAAGGAGATGGAGAAAGAGGTAAGGATAGAAATTTTAATCAAAGGGATAATAAAAGAGAACTTCCCAAACAGAGAGAAAGATATCAATATTCAGATACAAGAAGGTGATAGAACACCAAGAAGATTTTACCTAAAAAGACGGCCTTGAGCCATTTAATAATCAAACTCCCGAAGGTCAAGGATAAAGAAAAAATCCTAAAAGCAGCAAGAGAAGAGAAAAAAATAACAGACAAGGAGTCTCCAATACTTCTGTCAGCAGACTTTTCAGTGGAAACCTTAAAGGCCAAGAGTGTGTGGCATGACGTATTTAAAATGCTAAAGGAAAAAATGCTTTTACCCTAGAATAGTATATACAGAGAAAATATCCTTCAAACATGAAGGAGAAATAGTTACCCAGACAAACAAGAACTGAGGAATTTCATAAATGCCAGATATGTCCTACAAGAAATGCTAAAGGGAGTACTTGAAACAGAAAGAAAAGGACATTACTGAGCAATAAATAATCACCTGAAGGTACAAAACTTACTGGTAATAGTAAATACACAGAAAGACACAAAATATTGTAACACCATAACAGTGGCGTGTAAACCACTCTTAACTCTAAGTAGACAGACTAAATGATGACCCAATCAAAACTACTAACTACAACAACTTTTCAAGACATAGTCTGTACAATAAGATATACATAGACACAAAAAAGAAATAAAAAGCAGGAGGATTAAGTTAAGGCACTGAGTTTTTATTAGTTTTCTTTTTGTTTGTTAGTGCAAACAGTGTTAAGTTGTTATCAGCTTAAAATAGTGAGTTATGAGATAGTATTTACAAGCCTCATGGTGACCTCAAAACAAAATCATACAAAGGATACACAGAAAACAAAAAAGTAAGAAACTAAACCATATCACCAAAGAAAACCTTTGCTAAAAGGAAGACAGGAAGGAAAAAAGGAAGGAAGAGCAGCCCACAAAAAAATAGGAAAACCAACAACAAAATGGCAGAAGTAAGTCCTTACTTATCAATAATAACACAGAATATAAATGGGCTAAATTCTCCAATCAAAAGACAAAGAGTGGTGGAATGGATTAAAAAAAAAAGACCCATCGATCTGTTGCCTACAATTAACACACTTCACCTATAAAGACACATGTAGACTGCAAATAAAGGGATGGAAGAAGATATTCCATGCCAGTGGAAACTAAAAAAGAGAAGGAGGGCTATACTGGGACAAAATCTGTAAGAAGAAACAAAGAAGGCAAAAATATAATGATAAAGGCGTCAATTTGGCAAGAGGATATAACAATTGTGAAAATATGTGTACCCATCACTGGAGTACCAAGATATATAAAGCAAATATTATTAAAGCTAAAGAGAGAGGTAGACTACAATATAATAATCACTAGAGACTTCAACACCACACATTCTGCACTGGATATCTTCCAGACAAAAAAATCAACAAGGAAACATTGGACTTCAACTGCACTATAGAACAAATAAACCTAACAGATATTTACAGAACAATTCATCCAATGGCTACAGAGTACACATTCTTTTCTTCAGCACATGGTTCATTCTCAAAGATAGACCATATGTTAGGTCACAAAACAAGTCTGAAAACATTCAAAACAATTGAAATACCATCAAGCATCTTCTCTGATCACAGTGGAATAATACTAGAAATCAATAACAAGAGGAACTTTGGAAACTACAGAAATCCATAGAATATGCTCCTAAATGAACAGTGGGTCAACGAAGAATATGCCCCTAAATGAAGAGTGGGTCAATGAAGAAATTCTGAAAGAAACTGAAAATTTTCTCAAAACAGATGATAATGGAAACACAATATACCAAAACCTATGGGATACAGTAAGAGCGGGACTCACAGGGAACTTTACAGCTATAAGTGCTTACATCAAATAAGAAGAAAAACATAAACAACATAATGATGCATCTTAAGGAACTAGAAAAGCAAGAGCAAACCAAACCCTAAATTAGTAGAAGAAAAAATAATAAAGGTTAGAGCACAAATAAAGAAACTAAAATGAAGAAAACAATACAAAAGATCAAGGAAAAAAGGGTTTTTTTGAAAACAAAAAAGGTCAACAAAATTGACAAACCTTTACCCAGAGTAAGAAAAAAAGAGAGAAGAACTAAATAAATAAAATCAGAATAAAAAAGGAGACATTGCAAAATGATACTGCAGAAATTCAAAGGATCATTAGTGGCTACTGTGAGCAACTATATGCCAATAAATTAGAAAATCTAGACGACAATAGAGAACCCATAAATAAGGCCACACACCTACAACTATCTGATCTTCAACAAACCTGACAAAAACAAGCAGTGGGGAAAGGATTCCCTATTCAATAAATGGTGCTGGGATAACTGGCAAGCCATTTGCAGAAAACTGAAACTAGAACCCTTCCTCATACCATATACAAAAATTAACTCAAGATGGTTTAAAGACTTCAATGTAAAACCCAAAACTATAAAAACCCTGGAAGACAACCTAGGCAATACAATTCTGGACATAGGAACGGACAAATATTTCATGATGAAGACACCAAAAGCAGTTGCAACAATAGCAAAAATGGACAAATGCAATCCAATTAAACTAATGAGCTTCTACATAACAAAGGAAACTATTAACAGAGTGAACAGACATGAGAAAATGTTTGCAAACTATGCATCTGAAAAGGCCTAGCATCTATAAGAAACTTAAACAAATTTTCAAGAAAAAAACAAACAGCCACATCAAAAAGTAAGCAAAGGGCATAAACAGACACTTCTCAAAAGAAGACATACATGTGGCTAACAATCATATGGAAAAAAGCTCAACATCACTGATCATTAGAGAAACACAAATCAAAACCACAATGAGATACCATCTCACACCGGTTAGAATGGCTACTATTAAAAAGTGCAAAAACAACAGACGCCAGCAAGATTGTGGAAAAACAGGGAACGCTTTTATACACTATTGGTGAGAGTGTAAATTAGTTCAACCACTATGGAAGACAGTGTGGCGATTCCTCAAAACCTAAAACACAAATACCATTTGACCCAGCAATCCCATTACTTGGTATATACCCAAAGGAATACAAATTTTTCTGTTAGAAAGACACATGGATACATATGTCCATTGCAGCACTATTTACAATAGCACAGACATGGAATCAAACTAAATGCCCATCAATGATAGACTGAATAAAGAAAACATGGTGCATATACACCATGGAATAGTATGCAACCATTAAAACAACGAGATTATGTTTTTTACAGGAACAGAGAAGCTGGAAGCTATTATCATTAGCAAACTAACACAGAAACAGAAAACCAAACACTACCTGTCCTCACTTATGAATGAGAGTTAAATGATGAGAACATATGGAAGCATAGAGGCAAATGACACACACTGTGGCTGGTCAGAGGTGGACGGCGGAAGAGAGAGAGAATCATGAAAAATAACTAATGGATAATAGGCTTAATACCAGGGTGACAAAATAATCTGTACAACAAACCGCCATGACACAAATGTACCTATGTAGCAAACCTGAACGTGTACTCTTGAGCTTAAAAGTTAAATTAACAGAAAGAAAACCTAGAAGAAATGGACAAATTCCTAGACACATACAAGCTACCAAGACTGAAGCATGAAGAAGTTCAAAACCAAGGCCAAGCCTGGTGGCTCATGCCTGTAATCCCAGCACTTTGGAAGGCCTAGGCAGGCAGATTACCTGAGATCAGGAGTTGGAGAGCAGCCTGGCCAACATGGTGAAACCCCATCTCTACTAAAAAAACAAAAATTGGACTGGTGTGGTGGTGGACACCTGTAATTCCAGCTACATGGGAAGCTGAGGTGGGAGAATTGCTTGAGCCCAGGAGGCAGAGGTTACAGGGAGCCGAGACCATGCCACTGTACTCCAGCCTGAACAACAGAACAAGACTCTGTCTCAAAAAAAAAGAAGAAGAAGAAAAGAAAAGAAATTCAAAACCTGAACAGGCCAATAAAAAGTAACAAGATCAAAGCCATGACAAAAAGCCTCTCAGTAAAGAAAGGCTCAGGACCTGATGGCTTCATCTCTGAATTCTACAAAACAGTTAAAAACGAACTAATACCAGTCCTACTCAAACTCTTCCAAAAAATGGAAGAGGACAGAATACTTCAAAATTCATTCTACATGGCCAGTATTGCCCTGATACCAAAACCAGACAAAGACACATCAAAAAATGACAACTATAGGCCAATGACTCTGATGAATATGGATGCACACATTCTCAACAAAATACTAACAAACTGAACTCAATAACACACTTAAAAGATCTTCATGACCAAGTGGGATTTATCCCTGAGATGCAAGGATGGTTCAACATATGCAAAGCAATCAGTGTGATACAGTATACCAACTGAATGAAGAACAAAAACCATATGATCATTTCAATTGATGCTGAAAAAGCATTTAATAGAACTCAACATTTCTTCATGACAAAACCCTCAAAACACTGGGGATAAAAGGAACATACCTCAACATAACAAAAGCCATATATGACAGAGCCACACCTAGTATCATACTGAAGAGAAAAACTGAAAGCCTTTCTGCTAAGGTCTGGAGCATGACACAGATGCTCGCTTTCACCACTGTTATTCCACAAAGTACTGGAAGGACTACCTAGAACAATCAGACAAGAGAAAGAAATAAAGGGCATCCGAATTGGAAAGGAATAAGTCAAATCATCCTTGTTTGCAGATGATATGATCTTATACTAGGAAAACCCTAAAGACCCCACAAAAAATATTAGAACTGATAACAAATGCAGGAAAGTTGCAGGATACAAAATCAGCAAAACAAAATCAGTAGTATTTCTATATGCCAACAGTGAACAATCTGAAAAAGACATTTAAAAAGAAACCGCATTTACAGTAGCCATGAATAAAATTAAATGCTAGGAATTAACCAAAGAAGTGAAACATCTTTATAATGAAAAGTGTAAAACACTGTTAAAAGAAATTGAAGAGGACATTTTTATATCTAAAAAATGGAAAGATATTCCATGTTCATGGATTGGAAGAATCAATATTGTTAAAACATTCATACTACCCAAAGCAATCTACAGATTCAATGCAATCCCTATCAAAATCGCAATGACATTCTTCACAGATTGAAAAAAAATCCTACAATTTATATAGAACCATGAAAGACCCAGAATAACCAAAGCTATCCTAAGCCAAAAGAACAAAACTGAAGGAATCACATTACCTGATTTCAAATTATACGGCAGAGCTATAGCAACAAAAACAGATTGGTAATGAGACAGAAACAGACACATAGACCGATGGAAAAGAATAAAAAACCCAGAAACAAATATATTCACCTATGGTGAACTGATTTTTAACACAGGTGCCAACAACAAACACTGGGGAAAGAACAGTCTCTTCAGTAAAAGGTGCTGGGAAAACTGGATACCCATATGCAGAATAATGAAACTAGACCTCTCCTCTCTCTCACCATATACAAAAATCAAATCAAAATGAATTAAAGACTTAAATCTCAGACCTCAAACTATGATACTATTAATACTACAAGAAAATCTTGGGAAAATCTCCAGAGCATTGGTCTGAGCAAAAATTTCTTGAATAATGCCCGATAAGCACAAGCAACCATAGTAAAAGTGGACAAATGGGATCACATCAAGTTAAAACGCTTCTACACTGCAAGGGAAATGATAAACAAAGTGAAGAGACAATCCACGGAATGGGACAAAATATTTGCAAACTACCCATCTCACAAGGGTATAATAACCAGATTATACAAGGAGCTCAAACAACTCCATAGGAAAAAAATCTAAGAATCCCATTGAAAAAGGGCAAAAGATTTGAATAGATATTTCTCAAAAGAAGACATACAAATGGCAAACAGATATATGAAAAGGTTCTCAACATCACTATCATCAGAAATGTGAAAATCAAACTACAATGAGATATCATCTCAACCCAACTAAAATGGCTTCTAACCCAGAGACAGGCAATAAGAAATGCTGGCGAGGATGTGGAGAAAAGGGATCCCCATACACTGTTGGTGGGAATGTGAATTAGTAGAACCATATGGAGAACAGTTTGGAGGCTCCTCAATAAACTAAAAATTAGAGCTTCATCATACAATCCAACCATCCCACTTCTGGGTATATACCCAAAAGAAAGAAAATCAGTGTATCCAAGAGATATCTTCACCCTCCTTTTTGTTGCAGCGCTGTTCACAACGGCCAAGACTTGGAAACAACATAAGTGTCCATCAACAGATGAATGGATAAAGAAAACATGGTACATATACACAATGGAGTACTAATCAGCCATAAAAAAGAATGGGATCTTGCCATTTGCAACAACATGAATGGAACTGGAGATCATTATGTTACATGAAATAAGTCAGGCACAGAAAGACAAATCTCACATGTTGTCACTCATTAGTGGGATCTAAAAAATGAAAGCAGTTGAACTCATGGAGATAGAGCATAGAAGAGTGGTTACCAGAGGCTGAGGGAGGAGGGGCAGCAGGCAGTGGGGAGATAGGTGGGAGGTAGGGATGGTTAAAGGGTACAAAGAAAAGAGAAATAATGAATAAGACTTAGTATTTGATAGCACGACAGGGTAACTATAGTCAATAATAATTTAATTGTACATTTAAAAATAAGTAAAAGAGTATAAATGGATTGTTTGTAACACAGGGATAAATGCTTGACGGAATGGGTACCCCGTGATGCGATTATTACAGATTGCATGCCTGTACCAAAACATCTCACTTATCCCATAAATATATACACCTACTGTGTACCCTCAAAAATTAAACATAGGAACTTTACTAAAACAAACAAACCCAATGTCTGTATTTTGAGTCTTTTGGGACTGCCTTCCCCACCCATATACATCACAGTTGAACACGGGTGACTTCTGCGGTCTTCAAAAGTCGTTTTCCCAATTCTGTGAAGAAAGTCATTGGTAGCTTGATGCGGATGGCATTGAATCTATAAATTACCGTGGGCAGTATGGCCATCTTCACGATATTGATTCTTCCTACCCATGAGCATGGAATGTTCTTCCATTTCTTTGTATCCTCTTTTATTTCATTGAGCAGTGGTTTGTAGTTCTCCTTGAAGAGGTCCTTCACATCCCTTGTAAGTTGGATTCCTAGGTATTTTATTCTCTTTGAAGCAATTGTGAATGGAGTTCACTCAGGATTTGGCTCTCTGTTTGTCTGTTATTGGTGTATAAGAATGCTTGTGATTTTTGCACATTGATTTTGTATCCTGAGACTTTGCTGAAGTTACTTATCAGCTTAAGGAGATTTTGGGCTGAAACAATGGGGTTTTCTAGATATACAATCATGTCATCTGCAAACAGGGATAATTTGACTTCCTCTTTTCCTAATTGAATACCCTTTATTTCCTTCTCCTGCCTAACTGCCCTGGCCAGAACTTCCAACACTATGTTGAATAGGAGTGGTGAGAGGGGGCATCCCTGTCTTGTGCCCGTTTTCAAAGGGAATGCTTCCAGTTTTTGCCCATTCAGTATGATATTGGCTGTGGGTTTGTCATAGATAGCTCTTATTATTTTGAAATACGTCCCATCAATACCTAATTTATTGAGAGTTTTTAGCATGAAGTGTTGTTGAATTTTGTCAAAGGCCTTTTCAGCATCTATTGAGATAATCATGTGGTTTTTGTCTTTGGTTCTGTTTATATGCTGGATGACATTTATTGATTTGCATATATTGAACCAGCCTTGCATCCCAGGGATGAAGCCCACTTGATCATGGTGGATAAGTTTTTTGATGTGCTGCTGGATTCGTTTTGCCAGTATTTTACTGAGGATTTTTGCATCAATGTTCATCAAGGATATTGGTCTAAAATTCTCTTTTTTGGTTGTGTCTCTGCCCAGCTTTGGTATCAGAATGATGCTGGCCTCATAAAATGAGTTAGGGAGGATTCCCTCTTTTTCTATTGATTGGAATAGTTTCAGAAGGAATGGTACCAGTTCCTCCTTGTACCTCTGGTAGAATTCGGCTGTGAATCCATCTGGTCCTGGACTCTTTTTGGTTGGTAAGCTATTGATTACTGCCACAATATCAGAGCCTGTTATTGGTCTATTCAGAGATTCAACTTCCTCCTGGTTTAGTCTGGGAGAGTGTATGTGTTGAGGAATTTATCCATTTCTTCTAGATTTTCTAGTTTATTTGCATAGAGGTGTTTGTAGTATTCTCTGATGGTAGTTTGTATTTCTGTGGGATCGGTGGTGATATCCCCTTTATCATTTTTTATTGCGTCTATTTGATTCTTCTCTCTTTTTTTCTTTATTAGTCTTGCTAGCGGTCTATCAATTTTGTTCATCCTTTCAAAAAACCAGCTCCTGGATTCATTAATTTTTTGAAGGGTTTTTTGTGTCTCTATTTCCTTCAGTTCTGCTCTGATTTTAGTTATTTCTTGCCTTCTGCTAGCTTTGGAATGTGTTTGCTCTTGCTTTTCTAGTTCTTTTAATTGTGATGTTAGGGTGTCAATTTTGGATCTTTCCTGCTTTCTCTTTAAAGTTCATATGGAACCAAAAAAGAGCCTGCATTGCCAATTCAATCCTAAGCCAAAAGAACAAAGCTGGAGGCATCACACTACCTGACTTCAAACTATACTACAAGGCTACAGTAACCAAAACAGCATGGTACTGGTACCAAAACAGAGATATAGATCAACGGAACAGAACAGAGCCCTCAGAAATAATGCCGCATATCTACAACTATCTGATCTTTGACAAACCTGAGAAAAACAAGCAATGGGGAAATGATTCCCTATTTAATAAATGGTGCTGGGAAAACTGGCTAGCCATATGTAGAAAGCTGAAACTGGATCCCTTCCTTACACCTTATACAAAAATCAATTCAAGATGGATTAAAGACTTAAACGTTAGACCTAAAACCATAAAAACCCCAGAAGAAAACCTAGGCATTACCATTCAGGACATAGGCATGGGCAAGGACTTCATGTCTAAAACACCAAAAGCAATGGCAACAAAAGACAAAATTGACAAATGGGATCTAATTAAACTAAAGAGCTTCTGCACAGCAAAAGAAACTACCATCAGACTGAACAGGCAACCTACAAAATAGGAGAAAATTTTTGCAACCTACTCATCTGACAAAGGGCTAATATCCAGAATCTGCAATGAACTCAAACAAATTTACAAGAAAAAAACAAACAACCCCATCAAAAAGTGGGCGAAGGACATGAACAGTCACTTCTCAAAAGAAGACATTTATGCAGCCAAAAAACACATGAAAAAATGCTCATCATCACTGGCCTTCAGAGAAATGCAAATCAAAGCCACAATGAGATACCATCTCACACCAGTTAGAATGGCAATCATTAAAAAGTCAGGAAACAACAGGTGCTGGAGAGGATGTGGAGAAATAGGAACACTTTTACACTGTTGGTGGGACTGGAAACTAGTTCAACCATCGTGGAAGTCAGTGTGGCGATTCCTCAGGGATCTAGAACTAGAAATACCATTTGACCCAGCCATCCCATTACTGGGTATATACCCAAAGGACTATAAATCATGCTGCTATAAAGACACATGCACACGTATGTTTATTGCGGCATTATTCACAATAGCAAAGACTTGGAACCAACCCGAATGTCCAACAATGATAGACTGGATTAAGAAAATGTGGCACATATACACCATGGAATACTATGCAGCCATAAAAAATGATGAGTTCATGTCCTTTGTAGGGACATGGATGAAATTGGAAATCATCATTCTCAGTAAACTATTGCAAGAACAAAAAACCAAACACCGCATATTCTCACTCATAGGTGGGAATTGAACAATGAGAACACATGGACACAGGAAGGGGAACATCACACTCTGGGGACTGTTGTGGGGTGGGGGGAGGGGAGAGGGATAGCATTGGGAGGTATGCCTAATGCTAGATGATGAGTTAGTGGGTGCAGCACACCAGCATGGCACATGTATACATATGTAACTAACCTGCACAATGTGCACATGTACCCTAAAACTTAAAGTATAATAAAAAATAAAATAAAATTTAAAAAAAAAAAGTCGTTTTCCCTGCAATCTGCTACAGTGAACTCTCCTTATTCTCCTACCACTTCTGTCTGCCCACTCCCTTCGCAGTGTTTCCCAGTATTTCTCAGGTCAAAGAAAATAATTATGCTGGTGCAGCTCAATGGAGTGAACTGCTGGGGACTGGGGCTCTGGGCAGGCTGTGCGCAGTTGATGGGGTGGCTGAAGGGATCCATAGCTGCTGGATTGGGCCACTCCACCTTAGCTGCTGCCTTGAAGGATCTTCCCTTCTGGCTCCACACATGCTCCCTAGGTGACCTCCCTCTGTCACTTGGTTTCCACCACAGAAGCCCTACCAGTCACTCTGAATCTCTTCTCCCATCTAGGGCTCCCACAATTGCCCCCTCACCAGTGGGTGCAGACTCACAGTTGGACATCTGCCCCGGAATGTTTCAAGAAGCCTCCAATGCATCCTGCCCAAACAATGAATTCGTTGTCCTGCCCCTACTTGGCCCTTTATGCCTTCGCAGTCAGGGGCACCATCATCCACATGGTCACTCTGGAGACAAATCTGAGTGTTGCCTTCAATCTTCAGGTGGCCCCCATTCCCTGCAGCCAATCAACTTCCAATTCTTATTGCTTTTCTCTGCTGGATGCTTCTCCAGGCCACCCTCCTCTTCATCCCTAACTGACCAAGCCCAAGCTTAGGCCTCATTTTTCTCAGTTTCCCTCTTCTACTGCGGCCTCTCCCATCCATGCTGCTCAGAGGCAGCCGCTGAGACCCTGTAAACATTACCTCACATGTCATTTTATCTCATGGCTCCCTGTTCAACTACAGGACAAATACCATATTCCTTGTGTTGCCCTGCAGGACTCTCCAGCCTTCTATGTGGCTCTTTGGGTTTTTCATCTCAAATCTCTGCTCCAGAACGCCAAGCTGTTTGCAATTCCCTACACATACTTGGTAAGTTTTTGCCTGTTTCTTTTCTCAGGCAGCCACTACATTGCTGGAATGCCTTTCCCTCCCACAGGCCCTCGCCTATGGCCCATTTTTATTAATTCCTTAACAGACAGGTCAGCCTTGGTCTCCCCCTGGGAACCTTCTGGAACTGCCTTTCCTCTTCATTATGGCTTCCATCCTACCTTGTGTGTCATGGAAAGGGCAATTCTACCCTAGTGCCAATATTGGGTTTCTGTGTCTCGCCCATAGACAATAGGTAGGCGGTGTGTGTGATACCCTTTGGGGTTCCCAACGTCAGCCAACACCAGGTATGACACAGATGAGGTGCTCAGTGAGCCCCAGCGGGGTGGATGATCTGATGATGTGCTGGGCTTTCAAAGAGGAGCACACTCAAATAGGAAGTGGGAGATGACCTGAGTGTTCCTGGCAGGGTGTCAGAGGGGGTCAGGGCTCACGGTGCTTGGGAGTTCCTGGTTGTACTAGTCAATGCTTAATCCCATGCCTCCATCCATCCGTATTTCAACTGCAGGCAGCTGTGGTGATGGTAAAGAATGAACCAGCAGAGGAATACCTCCATGAACTAAACACACCCACGAGACATAACACCAGGTTAAAGCCCCTGCTGCCACCTGCTGGCAAGGTACCCTTGGCTCCTATCCTGGCAGGAGAATAACTTTTACTCCCCCTACACAACAGACTGAGCCACACCTCTGTGCCTCTGCAATGCTGTTCCTTCTCACTGCATGCCTTTCCCTTCACCTTCTCGACCGACTTGCAGGTATATCCAATTCATTTTTCCCATGCTTACTTAAATTCCAACTCCTTTAGGATGACGGCCCTGAAACCCTCCTCCACTGGCACCACGACAGAACCCATGACACACTTAAACACAACACCTAGAACACTTGATGACTGTCAAGGCTCTGTGTATCTGGGTGCTTCAGGATGGGGTGATGGCAGAGGGAGATGAGTGGCTGTGTCTGACTCACTTCTGAGTTGTCAGAGTCAATGAGTACAAGACTGGCCTAGTCCACTTATTCATTCAACATGTGAATGAATGAATGAATGATGCATGAGAAGAGGTTTAACCATGGGACACTTTTAGTCCAGGGCAGACAAACGAATTGTTGGTGGACTGGAGTCATCAAGGAGGAGGTGTTTCGGCAGTGTTTCAGGAACACAAGGATGCTGAGCAGTGGAGCAAGGAGGAAGAAGTCATTCTCAGGGCAGTGGCCACCATGAGCAAATGCTCACACAGATGAGAGGCAGGCTCGGGTGTTTTGGAGAAAAGTGTGGTGTGGTGTGGTGTGGTTTGGGGCAGCTGGAGGGTGGTTTGTGTGCTGGGGTTGAGAGTTCTGTGGCGGGAGAGGCAGAGTGGAACCAGATGTCTCAGGCTGCCCCGCCATCCTTGTGCTCAAGCCAGGGCCCTGGGATCAGTGCTCTGTCCTTTCCCATCTGGGAGAGTGTGGGACCTCTGCTCTTTCTTCATGAATGTGGAAACTCAGAATTGAAGGGCTCCCTGTTTAGGCAGATGGCTCCACTGAAGCAATAAGGATTGTTAAAAGCCGAGAGAGAGCAAGGAAGCCCAAGAGAACACAGGAGAGTATAGGAGCTATAGAATGCATGAGAGCCCATGAACATGAGTGCCCAATTAGTGGCCAAGGGTTTACTTTGCAGAAGGACTGTTTTCGAGCAGGCTATGACTTGATTCAGTTAGGGATGGGTCCTTTGGGCACTTGATTCACTGGAGACAGTTCCAGGTCTCCAACCCTTTGGGGGATTCGATGTGCCTCCCAAGGTTGAAGCCATGTGTCTTTTCACATCAGCCTATCCTTGTTCGCTAGCTCTCACTTATCCCTAGGGAAACTGGAGTGACCAGCTGGAGAGACCCGAGCAGTGTGCTCAGGCCTGTCTGACTCCAGAGCCCATCCTCTCTCCTCTTCCCCAGGCCCCCTCACCTGCACGGCTCTAATGATGTCCTCCATGACCACATCGTACTGAACCGGGAAGTCAGCCATGATGCCTGAGCCAACTGGTCTTGCAATGTCGGGCAGTAGGTGGTGTGGTGTGGGGCTGCTGAGGGGTGGTTTGTGTGCTGGGGTTGAGAGTCCTATAGCAGGAGATGCACGATGGGACCAGATGTCTCAGGCTGCCCTCTCGATCCTGGTGGATGGGGGCAAATCAGCCTCACCTGTATGAGTGGGTACGATTGGGATGGGGTGGTACAGAGGGCTCACAAGACAGAAGAACCACAGAAAGGGCAGCACAAGGGGTGCTATCTGGGGAGGGTGAGAAGTCTAACCCCTCCCCAAACCTCCGGTGACTCCTGCCTACAACACCCTTCCACCTGCCCCACGCTCCTCTCCCAGTCCCACAGCCAGCTCCTCTCTGCATCCTCCATTGAGCCCAGCCGGACAGACCCAGCTTGGCCCTCAGCTCCCAGGCCCTAGCAGTGTGACGCTCACTGGCAACCTCACCCTACCTCATTGCCCATGCAACCTGGGGCCCAGTCTTTGGAGGCATGGCAAGTCTGGAGGTACACCAGCAGCCTGCGTCTCCTCCCAGAGAGGCAGTGCAGTCAGTGTGTGTCCAGGAGACAGACAGACACACAGACAAGGTCTAGGTCTCCTCCCATCCCCCCACTGCTGTGGAAACAGCAGCCTAGCAAGGTTATCCTCTGGATCGGATTTCATATTTCTTCTTCCCTCTCTGCCTTCTGACTCTGGGCATCATGTGTGTGAACAAGCCTTTTAGAGTCTCATGAAATCACAGATGACTCTCTAGTCCCGGATGTTTGCTGAGCTGGCCACAAGATCAACTCCTCTGGAATCCAAGACAAATGTCCATTTAGAAATGTCACTGTGCCTCCTTTTTTTCCAGAAAATGGAAACTTGGGAATTCTGCTCCCCCTTCTTCCTGCCACAGCTGTCAGGAAGCTCAGGGACACACTGAGCCCCATACTCTCTGAGGCGCCTGCTCACATACATTCCCTTGGCTTCCTTCCTCTCAGAGCTCTTTGTTCTGTTTTCTCCCCCACAGGATTGGTCCTACCCTCTGTTTTAACCTTTAAGGAGAATGGGGGAGGGACCTGCCATTTTTAGCTTAGGGCTGAAGAGTGCAGGCTGCAGGGACTCAGATGGCCTGTGGGCCCAGGTCCCCGCTGCTGCTGTGTGTCCCTGGACAAGAGACTCATTCTCTCTAAGCCTCTGGCTCCTCATCTACAGCACAGGCATGACCACAGCTCCTACTTCATAGGCAGTGCTTGTGGGAAATAAATGAGGCCATTCATGTAAAGCGTTTGGAGCCATACCTGCATCTCAGTGAGTGCCACCTAATGCTAATGAGTAGAATGATCGTGCAATCTTCTCTGCACCATGTAGTTGGGAGGGAGGAATTCTCTCAAAGTCTCACAGTGGTCCTGAGCTGTAGATGGCATCTCGTCCATTTTACAGATGGGAAAAGTGAAGTCGAGCAATGGAGTGACTGGCTTTGATCGTCCCACATTAGGGGAGTGTCAGCACTGGGATTTGGATCCAGTCTGTGTGTCTGTCTGTGTCTGTTACATCCACTGTCCACCCCAGTGCCTCTCTGGGTCAACAGAGTCGAATGAGTTGGGACCTCCAATGCTAAACAGCTTTGGAGGGGCTGCCACATGAGCCAGGGATTTCTCTGCACCTGTCCTCTCATCTCTCAGATGAGGTGAGCAGGCCAGCTCCGTGATTCTCCAACCTGGCTGGATGTCAATGTCCCCTGAGACTGGTTGATGACACAGCTTCCTGGGCCCCACCCCCATGCTACTGAACCAGACCCTGAAGGCTGGGCTCCAGGAATCTGCATTTCTAGGAGCCCATGTTGTGATTCTGAGGTAGCCAGTCTGGCCTTCCAAAACCTCTAGGTGAGATTTGAAGCAAGTCTGTGAGGCAGGATGCTCCTCTTCCCTCCAGGGTGTGAGACGGTGTCCTCCAAAGAGCCTGCACTTGCTGCACTCACTGACCTGCCATTCTCAGTGGGGATCCAGGGAAAAGCACGATTTGGCCAGTGTGGATTCTACAACCTCAGCAAAATAAACAAGGAAAGTTTCACACAAAAATTCCTCATTCACACTTGTTTTCTCATTCATTCATGCATTTACTTTCACCCACTCTTTCCTTCGCTCACATTTATTCATTCCTTTTTACACTCACATTCACTCTCTGTGTCAGGCAGAATGCTGTCCCAAAACACATGGCAAACTCCGTGGGCAAACTGATGGTAAACTCATGAGGACATAATTTACAGAGGTAGGTGGCATTAGAGGACCCACAAGGGATGGGCAGAGATGGGGGAACTGAATCTGCCAAAAGCCATTACCACCTCAAGCCCTGAAGGGTCAAGGTGCAATGGCAGTTAAAAGAAAGTGACAAGAGTCACAGCCACGGAAGAAGAGCGGCCCATGGGAACTGATGGCCCGAGTTAGGGGAGCCTCGTGACAGCTAAAGCACAACCCAGCAGATAGGGAGGCATAGGGATAAATACCCTAAAGCTCTCGTTGTGACCTCCGCGCATCGGGTGCCATTGTCTCTCACTTGCAGGACAAGGAGCCCAGATGATACAATCAGCAACGGTCAGTCTCCTGAAGCACAGAGCGGGACAGGCATAGATGGGGAGTGGATTTAGAAGGGCAAGTGGGGAGTAATGAAGAGAGCCCCCACCATTAGCCCCTGAGCAGCCCTTGCTCCTGCTTGGGTCTGGCCCAGCCACCTGTCCCACCTCAAGATCTTCATCGTGGGCACACGCTACATGGTAACTGAGTGCAAGAGCACATCCAGCCGCACAGAATACTACCTCATGAATATCCCATCACGCCCCACTCTATCTACCTATGCCAGCGTGGTGGGAGCAAACTCAACCTCAGAGGCCACATTGGAGGCGACTCTTGACTCTCAGCTTGCGGCCAGCAGGTAGGGAGGGCCACACACACAGATGGGTTGGCTGGGCTGTCCCAGGTGGGCTAGGGGTGTAGGGGTAGCCACTGCCTGGGTCCTGAGGTGGGAGACAGATTCTGTCACTCTTGCTCTTCCACCCGTCAGCCACTCAATCTTGCCCCAGCCACCAAATGACTCCCAATGCCACCTGCTCTGCAGGTCTAAGAGCTTGGCCCCGGCACCCAAGCCCTACCCAAAGCCAGCTGCTTCATGACAGTGACCCCCTTGACTCTGCCTGACTGGTCCCCTCATCTTTCTCATGACTCCATGCCTTTGCTGGTGCACCTCCCCCACCTAGACGGCCCTCCTCTGTCCCCTCTGTCAGCAGGTGACCATCACTGGTCACACAGACCGCTGCCCTGAGACACCCACCCTTGAACCACTCTTCTCCCCTCCTCACCCCAACATAGGTGTCACACTGGCAGCCCTGTCCCCACCCATGACTGTGTCCTTCTTGCCCTCCCCACTCCCTTCCAAGGCCCAACACTGGCTCCATGGTGTGGTCCAGGAAGCCCTCTTCATCTTCTCCTCCCTCCCAGGCAGGTTGCTGTGCCCTGGGCTTCAGTTCTCCCAGTTCTGGCCCATGTGTGGCTTTCCTGGCCCGAGTCTCTTCTCCCCAGCCCAGGACAGTGATCTGCACATTCTGGGTGCTGGCTGAATAAAGGGATCCATTTCCACAGCATTTACCCCTGCACCTGGGCTTCTTAGCACAGGTATTGTTCCTTCTGGCAGGACTGGTTGGGGGTGGGACAAGTGGGAAAATTAGTGCAGGAAGGACAGTTGTTGTCACAATTGTCATTTATTGGACACCTATGCACAATCATGGTGCCATCTGCTTCCGCATATGTGGCTCATTTCATCTTCACCACGAGTCTATGGGATGGGCATTCCTGCCACTGGTTTATGGATGAGGAAGCAGAGTGGCCCCAGGGCAGGCAGCTAGGATGAGACAGAGCCAGGACTGAAAGCTGGCCTACCCGCCTGCCCTCAGCTCCCCCATTGGAGAGGTGGGGGTGCCCCAGGCAAGTCGCTGCCCTGATGGATGGCTGCGTCCTCGTGGCTCCCTTTCTGTTATCTCTAGACTGACAGCCTCCCCTCAAGGTAGACTCTGACCTGTTACTCCCCCATGGCCCACTCCTCAGAGCAGAGTCAGAGGCCGCAGGAAGTGTGACCCTGGCCCATGGCAGCCCCTGCAGCCAGGGCCATCTTGGCTGGAGCCAGCCTGGCCTTGCCAACACAGCTTGGAGCCCAGCTAGACACGTGGCCGTCTCCACAGGGCATGCCTCCCTGCACACAACCCTGTGTGTGCATGCACACAACCGGCACCACCTTCATGTTCATCACAGAGCACCAGGCCCAGTTTACAAAGCACCTCCCCGTCGAGGTAACTCTCACTTGCGCAGCACCCCCCATGTACCAGGCCACGGTCCGGGTGCTCCCCACCCACTATCTAAAGTGCGGCCCCCAGAGAGCAGGCCGGGTGAGCCAATGCTCTTTGGATATGAGGCCAGAGAGGGGCAGGGACGTGTCCGAGGGCACAAGGGACCATGTAAGGGAGCTGGGGGAGTTTACCCTACGGCTCCTTCCTCCCAGTCAAGGGCTCCTTCCACGAGAGCACGCTGACTGCTGACTCATGTCCATAATGAAATGTATGTATGAAACGCCTATAGCCGCATATAGAAATGTGTGCCTGGACCTATGCACCTGTGCAGATGTTCCTAACACATGCCATCAGCGGTTAACAACACGCCTATACACAGAGGAGGAAATCACTAGCTCCTCTGGGCTCCCACAGCCCTTTATGGTTCCCCTCGGTGCTGCCAGTGTTTCCCTCACCGGATTGGCCGTCTTGAGAACAGGAACACCCCAGCACCCAGCACAGGGTGCTCACTACATGGAACCCTGCAGTCACTATACATGGCAGTTGAAGGAACAAATAAATGTCTGACAGATTGGGATGCTGTGTGGAGCCTGTGAGAAGCCCCATCTGGAGAATCATAGCGTGAGCTTCTAGCATTTTGGAGCAAAAGCCATGCTCTCTTCATCAAATAACCACTCACCTTTTGAGAAGTGGCACCTGGCACCTGACGATTAATTCAACAAGGTTGAACTACTGGCTCCTGGTAGAGTATGAGCACTTAACCACGGGACCCCAAGTGACCATGCACCTGAGCTGCTCACCCTAGGCCTGTGCCATCTTATCCACCAAACCATAAAGTCAGGCAGGTAATGACAATGCTTCATCACCAAAGGGCAGTGGTCACAGGAGATCAGACCGGAGCAGGTCCTGCAGGCACAAGTGAGTTACGGGAGGCTCACCCTCCCCATAACACCTTCTCCTGCCGCATTGCTTGCCCTCCCTCAGCTCACACCGAGGGCCTTGTACCGAGTTCCCAACAACCAGCTTCCCAAAGAAGGAAAAAAGCCCAGGAGCATGGTTTGCAAATGACACACATGGTAAGCAGGAACTAGCTGGAGGCTGAGCTGTGGTGCAACAGCCGCACTCAGGTGTGACCCTGACGGGAAGTAAAAAAAGGAAATCCTCTTCGGAGTCAAAACTCAACAGCCATGCATGTGGGTTGATCTCTGTCCAGAAAGCGACTTGGCCAGGGGCACTGATCAATACAGATTGTGTCTGCCAGATAGAGACTGGGAAGGAATGAGATTGGAGAATTGATAGCAATAATGACCATGTAATAAAATACTTAAGAGTACTCATTATGTGCAAGGCACAGTTCTAATTGATTTGCCTGCATATATATGAGGAGCAAGTGGACAGATCTCTCAGGATGGGTTGTGTGGGGATATTTGTGTCCCATGTGAGTGCTCACCAAAAGGTGCATGATTACCCAGCCCGTGGAAGTCTGTCAACCTCTTCTCCAGACACCCAGTGCTTGTTCAATGAGCCAATGAACAAAATTATCATAGTAGAAGGGATGGATGTTATGCACCAGTTCAACATTGATTTACCTTCACATTAACTTTTTACTTAAATATTTTATTCATTATTAACCCTGTATTGAATAAAAAGAGTAAGGTTTATTTTTTATGTATAAAGCACAAATATACATAGTTATTAAATAGATATCTACAGTATATCTGTGTAAATAAAACTACATGGGGAAGGACAATTAGGATAAAAATGTCTAAAAAGGCTTCTTAAAGGGTGATAATAAAAAAAAAAATGGGTGGAGCAGCTGCTAAAGGGGCTCTGGCCACCACTAGCCAAGGGGAAGATACATGATACAATCTACAATTATTTGGAATTTACTTAATAATATACTGAAGAAAAAACTGAAAATTGTGGGAGTTCATTCGTCACAGTAACGGCCTCCAGGCTGATAAAGATGGCAAAAACATGAACAAGGGTCTGTTCTCATTTCCCCTGCCACTCCTTCCCCCTGCTCCGAACACTCCCCTGCTTGCCTGGGACCAGACCTGCTCTCTCCTTCCCTGTCCCACCTGCCTTCAGTCTGACACTTGAGGAGCGGGGAGTGAGGAGTGAGGAAGAGCCAACCCCTTCTCCTGTCAAATTCTAGGCTTTGTGGGAAGGGAGGAAGAGGCGGGTGCTCTTCAAGCCCAGTGTCCTGTGGAAGGAAGGCAAGAGGAAAGAAGAGTTCTGCATGACTATGGGTCACACTTAACTCTATCAAACACTTGGAACTCATTTTTCTTAGCATCACAGTCCCTGAGTTCCTCACCACCTCATCATCGCCCACCCCTTCCATTTTCAGATGGACATCACCAGAGAATCTGAGGGGGCCCTAGACACAGTACCCACTGAGAGTCCTTCCTAGGAGGCCAAAGCTGCCTGTGATTTTGTCTACCTGTCCTGGGTACTACCCAGGCCCTGAGGAGACCATATCCTAATCTTCAATGGAAGAGCCTCTGTTTCTAGTGAAGATCACTTCAGCAGGTCTCAATTCACAGCCACAGGTAAGGAGCTGTCTTGCTGCACATGGAGCTGTGTTTCTCTTTTTAAAATTCTGTTCCCTAAGCAATAAACATCCTTCCTTTATTGCTTATAGATTCTACAGGAGAGGAGAGGTGGCCATTACCGGGGCCTCATTGTCCACAAGATCGTCCCAGTGATTAGAAGCCCAGTGATGTTGGGATTGGAGATGGCGAGGGCTTCGTGGGGAGAAAGGTGGTCCAGGGCAGTACCCCCCCAAAACAGGGAGGTGGATCTCTAATAGCCTGAGGGCCCTGTCCCTTAGTGAGCAGTGTAGCTGAGAGGACACCACATGTGGGTACTTTCGCACCTGGCTCATAATGCTCCCCTCTCTCCCACCTCCTGCCACCATCTGGGTGATCTCACTGTCCACGTGGATAACCCAACCAATACCCTGGCCTCCCAGACCACCGACTCCACATCCGCAGGAAGCATCTCTACCCTTCGACTACCCATTCCTTGAACCTCCCCATCACCCAGAGCTCTCTGTGCTGTGACTTCCTAAATACAATCATCCCACTGTCTGACTAGTCCCCCAGATCACACTTCTTATTCTCTCAATACCCCTTTCCAGATACCTGGAATGCTGCCAGACATATAGCAGGCACTCCTAATGAGGACTTCACTGAGACTTCTGCACTGTCAGATGCACATCACTCACACAGATATCCATCCACAGACTCCTGCACTGTCCCCAAATCTATCACACACTCTCCTCATCCCCCCTCCCCAAGCCTGCCTGGGTCCCATGGTCCATTTCTTCCACCACTCTGTGTACAACTACTACATGTCAGGTACCATGGACACAGTGGTGAAGGTACAGACTCATCCAGTCACTGCCCTGGTCCTGTGTTCTTTTTTTTTTTTTTTTTTTTTTTTTTTTTTGAGACGGAGTCTCGCTCTGTCGCCCAGGCTGGAGTGCAGTGGCGCGATCTCGGCTCACTGCAAGCTCCGCCTCCCGGGTTCACGCCATTCTCCTGCCTCAGCCTCCCGAGTAGCTGGGACTACAGGCGCCCGCTACCACGCCCAGCTAATTTTTTGTATTTTTAGTAGAGACGGGGTTTCACCGTGTTAGCCAGGATGGTCTCGATCTCCTGACCTCGTGATCCACCCGCCTCGGCCTCCCAAAGTGCTGGGATTACAGGCGTGAGCCACCGCGCCCGGCCCCTGTGTTCTTATTCCAGATCCAAACAGCAGAACCCAAACCTTGGAATAAACCAACACTCATCTTCATGGTTCCTATACCAAGATTACTGAGCACCTTGCTATGTTCCCCCAAAAATCATGGGCTCCATCCTCTACTGGGGCCTCCCTACTGCTCAACATCCTCTCACAGTCCCCCTCTCTGAGTCCTATCCGAGTAGTCCCTTCTCCCAGGCCTTCCCACAACCCAACTCCTCTCACCTCCTCCAGGACTGGGCTGCAAAAGTCAACATTCAACTTCTCCCTCTCCGTTGACTCCTCCCTACTCAAGTCTCTCTCTCCTTCCCCAAGAAAATGCTCCCTTGTTCCTGTATCTCCATTTAGCTCTGTACCCCTCTCTCTCCTCATTCAAATTTCTCAAAAAGGGATTCTATATTTGATGTCCAGTCTCCTCTACTTACACTTTCTGCTCTAGACTTGCCGACCTCAAGCCTCTCCTTCAAAGTGTGTCCTCTGTAACTACAATCTCTTGAACTCCACCCCACTAAAATCCCACCACCCTGAAGGCTAGACGTGATGCCCAATCTATCCCAGAAAGGTGTGTTAATCTCGCTCCTGGGAATCCAACAATTAGACGTGAGGCCCAATCTATCCCAGAAAGGTGTGTTAATCTCGCTCCTGGGAATCCAACAATATCACCTCAAACTAAACACAGACTGAGGTGGAAACTTTCCCAACTCACTGATTTTTAAATGTGATACCAAAATGTGACAGCCCGCCAAAAAAAGCAATAAACTCAGAAATGGCAAATAGATTTAATGCAGAGTGTCAACTTCAATTGATTGATAGTGGCTGCCTAGAGTGCTGTGTTGAGTAGGTTTCTGAGGATGCACCCTGGCTTGAAGAGAAAGACTGGCAGGATTAACAATATCTGAAAACACAAGTAAGAGAAAATAAAAGGGTCAATTGACATCCAGCAAACAGAAAGGAATAAAATGCCAAAAGCAGTGTCTTGGCACACTCTCCACATCATTCTCCAACTTGGGCCTTCCTAGAATCATCCAGCTCCTCATCCCAGCCCCATAAGCCCCAGATGTCCCCACTGAAACCAAGGCAGATACCTAAAATCTCACTTGTAGGAGAAACCACAGGCACCAGAGCTGCCACTGGTGCTGGCACCAGCTCCACCAAGGCCAGCGAAGAGCCCAAATGTGAGAGTGGCGGTCAGGCTGGCACCAGCACTGAAGCCACCACTGGTGCTGGCACTGGCACTGGCACTGTTATTGGTACTGGTACTGGCACCAGTGCTGGCACTGCCACTCTCTTGGGCTTTGGCTTTAGCTTCTGCTCCCGCCTGGATCCGGGCTTTGGCCCAGGGTCCGATATCAGCTTCGTCCCAGTTGCAGGGCCCGGCAGCATTCTCCGAGCCGAGCCCAATGCCCATTCGAGCTCTAATCTCGGCCCTAGCCTTGGCTTCAGCTGCAGCCTCAGCTGCAGCCTTCAAATCCGCTTCCATCGCCTCTCGGTACTGAGCTGCCCATTCCTTGGGATCCTTCTTTTGTACCTGAAACAAAAATAACCATCAGAAGGAGCATAGAGGGATTAAGCCATAGTAATAATACAGTATTACTATGTAAATAACCATCAGAAGGAGCATAAGAGGATTAAGCATCTACCTTTATGCTAGGCACTATGCTACATGCTTAGTATAAAAAGATAATAGTAATAATACAGTATTACCAGTAATTATGCACCTAATATTCCATCCCTGCTCTGACACTTCCTAGCCCCATGACTTTGGACATGTCACCTACCAACCTTTCTGGGCCTCGGTTTTCTCATCTGTAACAGGGCAATGACATATCAGGTTGTAAGGCTTAAATGATTCAGATAAAGTGCCTGTTACAGTGTTTTGACAATTAACAGAAGCACCAAAACATTCAGATTTGAACTGCAGGCTGCTCTGCACACAGCCTGCCCCAGCCAGGGGCACCCCATGCTCTTGACTTGCCAAGCTCAAGGAGCTCTCCAATTACCTTGCAGGCAAACTTGAGGACTTTCATCTTGCTGGTCTCATAGTAAGAGCGCAGGCCCCAGAAGAACTCATATTCAGGGGGATTGCTATTGGGGACTCTGGCATAGTCCAGGTACCTTGGAAAGAGAGGTTCAAAGCCTTTATTTCTAAGACCATTCATGGCCTACCCATGCATAGACTGGACAGGCTCCAGATGGCAACATCATCCACTAATTACTACAGTCTTTCTTCCAATATTGAGCCCTGTCCCACTGGTCTTGCCCAGAAGCCACATAGAGGTGTTGGGGGACGTTTGTTCATAGGGAAGCCACAAGTTTGACGCCCTCATCACAATGACCCCAGATTCCTGTTGGGTGTGTTGTAAACAGAGGAGCCATTCTTTGGGCCCCCTGCTCTGAGCACACCCCACTGCAAGTGTCTTGGCCTCAGCCTGGCCAAGCCCAGAAAGGTCCACCACAGAAAATGACCAGAAAGACTACAGAGGAAGAACAGCCAATAGCAGCATGCTTCACACATGCTGAATTCCTGACCCTTTGTGTGTGTTTCTGTGTGCACATGCGTGTGGCTGTGTGAGTGTTTGCATGTCCTCCAAGGACCAAGGATAGGTGAGCTTTGGCCAGAAATTCAAGAGGACTGGGCTCCAGGCCCATACCAGCTGTGGGCCATGCTCAGATCTCCCTTCTCGGAGCCCCAGGTCCCTCAACTGTAAAACGGGGATGGGATGACAGCTGCAGGGTAGTTATGAAAATGAAATGAGATGTACAAGTCAACTCCCCAGCATGGTACCTGGTTGCCTGAAGCTACCATTCTATGTCATTTCTTTACGGAAATTAATTTCTATGAAGCTCTAGTTAGCAGAATAAAAAGAACTAAGGCTTTGGAGCCAAGTTCTAAACATAACTCTTCTACTTGCTACCTGTGTAACCCTGACCAAATGACTTCACCTCTCTAAACCTCAGTTTCTGCATACGTACAATGATGGTAATGATAATCCCTCCCTTGCAGAACTGGTCTCAAGACAAATGTTGAGGTATATGTAACAGATCAGGAAACATGTGCTGCTCCTGTTTCCCATCACCGCCCAAGGAATAATCCCACCTGCATACATGCAAATATGCAAATACATACACACATAGACACATGCATCCATGCACCACGGCTTTATCACTCAGTTCTGAAATAGGCCAAATGCATGGGACACATGAACACCAGACAGAGATACTTACTTCTGCTTCACAAACTCATCAGTGATGAGCTTCTTCACGTCCCCAAAGAGTGAATGATGTATCCTGAGAGAAGAAAAAGAAAAATAAATAAACAAATAAATTCACTCAAGGCTATGGCACTTCCCAGATGTGGGCAGAGGCATTTCCAAGATGGAAAAGAGGTTTCCAGCACAAGAGGGAAGCTCCATAGAAGCCCAAGAGACACTGAGAGAGGGAGCAGAGAGTTCAGGACCATTCACCCATCATCCACCCAGGTCAGAACCCTGGGCCCTCTACCCAGTCCAGCACCCCACCCGCTCCACCAGACCACCAGACTGATGCAATCCTAGGACCGTCCTCTCTTGCCAAAGGACAACACGGACAGCAAGCGCTGAGAGAGCCCAATCATACCCAGGGCGCAGCCCCAACTTGCGCAGCACCTCCCAGATGACAGCTGCGAGGGGAGGCAAGAGGAGACAGGGACAGAAATTGAACACATGGAATCTAGACCACAGCCACCCATTCAGCTGCAAGCCCAGCCACTCACCCTCACTGGACCGATTTCCATTCATGAAGATGATGCTAAGAAGCACCATGAGCAGACCCAGCTTGGGTGAGTCCTTAGTCCTAGAGAAATAACAGGACAGAGAGGTTTATGTTCAGCAGCCATCTGCAACAGACACACCAGCCAACTCACTAGGCTAGCCTCTCCCAGATTCCTCAGATACAGAATTCTACCCAGTCTCTGCTTCCAGCTCTATGCCACCCTTGGCAAGGCACTTAGACTTGCAAGCCTCAGTCTACTCTTCAGTAAAATAGAAAAAATCATATTTTCCCTTCCCTGGGTTTCCAAGAAGATGGAAGAATGGCTGCCAACCTGGTACAACACAAGCACTCAGTCAATGTGAGTCCCTTCTTTCTGTCCCAGAACCTTCAGCCCCACTGACACTCCTGCGCTTCATGCATCCTGATCCACCCACACCAGGAAGCCCTCCTTGAGAACCACTCTGCCAAAGCCAGGCCAGGCACCCAGTAGGAAGAGGCAAGCAACGACAGGCCTGCTTTCCTGGGAAGCTTCTACAGAGACAGCAAACCTGACAGCAGGAATGTCCCACTCCAGGCTCCTACACCCTCCAGTCAATCATAATCAGGTGCCACCACTGTAAGCAGGGCTCCAACTATGCATAGGAACTGGGACGGGGCTTTTGAGACCCTGTCTTTCCTGACTCTCTAAGAGGATGGGGGAAGTAGGACAAAGGAGGAGTAGCAGCACATGGCCAAAGCAGAAGCCCCCCACACCTCAGCCCTTTCCCAGCTTACGTTCCCAGTATGCCTGCATCAGTGGGCTCTAAGGTGCTGAGAAGAATGTACAAGTGGTCATTCTTATCAATTTCCTTCAATTGAATCCCAAATACCTGTGGATGGGGAGAACAGCTTGTGAGATGACAAAATTCAGCTTCCGGGGCATGCTGCAGCTCCCTATGTACCTAGGAGTTTCGCATGTGTGAGAAATCAGTGAGATAATACGCACAAAGTACATAGCTAAGTGCCTGGCACCCGGTAAACACGCTGCAAATGTACTATTGTCATCATCATCTTTGTGGTGAGTGGGACTCTAGGGAGACAGAGAATGGGGAATGAAAGGGAGAGGTGAAATCTCAAATACATGGCAGGAGCTGCCATGGACGGACAGAAGCCAGGATTAAGTTGGGTGTCTTGGGTCCTAGCTGCACTTTTACCATTGACTTGCTGTGTGACCCATCGCTAATCTACACCCCTCCCTAGGCCACTGTCTGCCCCTCAGCATAGCGATGGAGCTGGATTAGCAGGTCTCTTTGGTTCCCGAGAAGGGACTTGTACATTTTTGTTCAATTCAAGGCTTCCCCACTGTGCCCATCCCCCAGGGCTGCCCCTTCACCTTCTCCAAGGAATAGCCTGCTCGTTCAATGATTTCGGGGTACACATCAGTGTATTCTTTGATGATGTCCTTCAGCATGTCTGCAAGGGGAGAGTGTTGTGAGCACCTGACTGAAGAGATGCCAGGTGGCCCTGATGCCCAAGCTATAGACTCTTTGCCAACCACACCAAGGGTGGCATAACCCGGTTCTGTGCTTATCAACAGAGATGCTAGCACTGCCAAATCAGAACTTTGGGAGGACAGAGACATAAGCATAAGAGCAGGGGATATCCCCAGCACAATGGTGTAAGGGCAATGGAGGGCAGAGCTCAGGGCAGAGGGAGGATTGGTAGGACTTTACCCGAGCGCTTGATGGGAATCTTCGTCTGGTCTTTAGCCAAAAGGTACTTCACCAAATCATTTGCCTGGCAGAGTAGAAAAAGATGGAAAGACCAAAACAAGTTTGCAGAAAACTTGAGACGATGGCAAAGAAAAGGACAGCCAAGGCAGTAGAAAAGGCAGAATAAAAACGACAGAGTTCTTACCCTCCCTTGCAAAAGGGCCACATCCCGAGGTGGTGGTGCTTCAGGCTCTTGGGATGACTGGAGCTTGGCAGCTCTACGGCGAGCCTTGCCCCTACGGGCTTTAGGTGATCTCAGGGAGAGCAAGGCTCTCCGGGCCCAAGCAGCCAACCGAGTCCTTGATGCCCTGCGGGCCCAAAAGGCTATGGGACCCCTTGAAGCCCTGCGGGCCATTGAGGCCATTAGGGCCTTTGAGACCCTTCGGCCACCTGTGGTTCCAGAAGCCTGACTCTGATCACTGCTGCCATCCTCTTCCCCATCCAGATGCTTCACCTGCATCAACAGAGAGGAAGCTCAACGTCACCAGATGAAGCAAGTGGTCCTTTTCCTCTCCCTATCTCTTCCAGGAAGCACCCGCTAATCCCACCCCTGTAGTAACAGCCTGACTCAATAGATGTTGGCCATGCTGAACCCTGGATTTGTTTCTCACTGACTTCCAAGCAGGTGTTTCATCTGCCTAGCAGGCCAGGAGCAAACCAAGGGTGGGTGGAGGCTGAGTCTTCTTCTCTTTCTGTGCCCACTACTGGCTCTGCTTGAACCATCCTAGACAAGCCGCTTCACCTCTCTGGAACTCAGCTTCCTTCTCCATAAAATTGGGGCTATGAGAATTACTTTCAAGATTTAATGAGATAACCTGCATAAATGTGCTTAGCTCAAGGCCTAATACAGGGCAGCTACTATGTAAACATAAACTGCATTACATTCAGATTGCACCTCCCCATCAGTCTGCAAGCTCTCTGAAGACAGGAATTACATCACATTACTCTCAGTGCCCCCCACAGCCCTGATGAGCACAGGGATCTTTCTAAATGTTTGTAGAACAAATGAATCAACTGAGAGAGGAGTAGAAAACCAAGGGTGGTGACTGCAGAGGTCTTACCTTTCGGGCTTTCTTGGCTTTGACCTTGGGCCGAGTATCCTGATTCTCCTGAGACTGGGCAGCTGCACTCTCAGGCTCAGGTTCATCTGCTGGGGCCTGAGAGGGTGCAGCCTCAGTCTCCTGAGCCTTTGTATTGACCTTTGTATCAGCCACATGGCTGACCTTTTTGGTCTCAGTGGCAGGCATTGTCACAGCCTGCGGGTCAGCATTCTGTTTCTTGGTGTCAGCTGCTAGACTCTTGTTTTCAGCTGCCAGAACCTGGGTATCAGTCAGCTGAGTAGTAGATGAGGCCTGGGTGGCAGGTGCCTCCCGAGCCTCTGGGGTCTTTGAGACCTCTGTGGCCTTTGAGACCCCAGAGGCTTTTGAGACCTTCACATCCTCTGAGACCTCCAGTGCCTTTGAGGCCTTCGGTGTCTCTGGGACCTCCACATTCTGGGTCACTGTCAACAGAGTCTGCATCATCGAGCTACTGTCCTTTTCTGAAGCTTCAGCCTGCAAGAGGAAGCAGGGAAGTTCATAGACCTTCTCCTCACCCCCAACTAAGCAAATGGCTCCAAAATTCCAAGGCCACACTTCTCTGACCTGTACTGACTCCTACCTGCGGTGTGCTCTGACCACCTCAGCCCAACAAGGCCTCCCTTTCCTCTGAGCAAGAACTGATGGCAGAAGAGGGGCCCGCCCACCTTCTCTCCCTCCCTCCACTGGGCAGGGGGACACCCAGGCAGGAAAGTAGGTGGAGAAGGACAAGGATGGGAGGGGAAGAGCCAAGGGACTTGGGGGCAGCAACAAGGGCTGGAGAGGAAAAGCAGCTGGGGAAAGGACAGAAAGAGGCCTTACCTGGAAGCGAGTTAGACCTGCACCACTCTCGCTTGTGTCAGACATGTCTCAATTTGGCCTGGCAAGAGCTGAGCCTGAAGGGGAGAAGGCCTGGGTCAAGTTGAAGCCCACTGAACGTCCTCTCCCCTGTTGTGCCTGGAGGCTGATCCTCACCTTCCGTAGGTCCCCAATTCCAACCCCCTCCACCACCCCCAACGACTCCGTTCTCAGATACAGGAATTCAAAGCTTCTAAGTCTCAATTCTCTGCAGCCGCACCCTCCCCTTCTCCAGGAAGATGTGCCAGCGCGGCAGCTCTGAGGACCCCGCCCCTTTTCCCAGTGCACCCCCCACCCAGCCGCAGGTCGATAGAGCGCATGCGCGTCGGCTGCAGGGCCGCTCTCAGCCCCGCCCGCTTTCCCAGCACGAGCCCTTTCTTTGATGTCCACCGTGCACATGCGCATTCAGCAGCTGGCTCTTCTCAGTGCTGGCCCTTCTCAACACGCCCCTTTCTAGCGAAACATAGTGCGCATGCGCAATGGTCGTGGTCTCAGTCTGGCACTCTGCCCCAACACACGCCCCTCTCCAGGTCCGCAGTACCATTCGGTCCCGCCCCCTGCCCAACAAGCCTTCCTCCAAAATTGTCGCAGTGTCTGGTGGACCCGGCCCCTCCCCTACTCACGCCCTACAGAGTCCAGTGTCTCTTGGCCCCGCCCTTCTTCCTAACACGCCCCCCTCCAAACAGGCGCATCTTGGTTCCGCCCCTTCCCTATTACACCCCCTCCTCAAATAAATACTGAGCTAGTGATTCCATCTTGGGCCCGGCCAAACCGGGTCCAGTCCCCTCCCTTCCCAGCCGGATGGATCCGGTACGATCCGGTCCTTAAGGCAGGTTTTCTCCAGATCCCAGAGGGTGGGGCCGACCCCTAGCGGGGCTCTCATCCAAAAGCCGACCCGGCTGCTCACCTCGTCCTCCTACAATTCCCGAGTGCGTCCACTCACTCCAAGCCCCTCCGAAACTCGGAGACTGCCCTCCCCTCTCTAGGCCGGAAGTGGTCCCGCCCCTTTCCGCCTCCCTAGGGGGCCTCCGTCCCAGCCTGTCTGCCCCTCCCCCGCTCCCTGCTCCTCATTCCTTATGCCCCCCTCCGTATTCCCTTAGCCTGGCTCCCTACTCCCTATTCCTACCTCACATTTCCTATTTACTCCAGAATTCCTTCTTCCCATTTCTTACATCCTCCTCCGTGTTACGTTTGCACACCCTGCCCCTCAGTATTCCTTAATCCCTCTCTGCATCCCCGATTCTCTTCTCTGGATCTTCACTCCCCCTCAGTGTTCCCCTCCCTCCTTGTATTCCTCGTCCCCCTCCCAACATTCCTGGTTCCCCGTTTTTCTCCCCTCCTCCCTCCGCTAGTCTCTGCTCCCAGTCTGTACAGCCTACTACTTTCTCAGTCGTCCTCATTGCCTACACCCCACTCCAGGTCACCTCTGCTTCAGCTGCAGTGGTGCAGTAAGAATTGCTCATCTGCCTGGCTATGGGTTCGAGGGGTCTGGAACCACTGTCTGACCTCCATAAAACCCCAATATCAACGCCCCTCACCTTGTCCTCCAGCGAGTTCGGGATGCGTCTGCCTTCTCTAAGTCCCTCTCGAAGTCTCAGCCTCCTGGACTAGAGCTGCAGACAGCCCAACCCAGCCCAGCCCCTTTCCGCAGCCCCCTGCCACCCCCCCTCGCCTTCCTCGGGGGTGGGGCAATGGGGCCCCGCTCAGGGCTGTCTGACGCCAAAGCCCATGTTTATGCCACTGTACCAGGCTCAGTCTGAAGCTCTTCCAACTCAAACCGCCCCCTGAAAGCAAGTCATTCATTGAATTTATTTTTATATCTTCATTTTTTCTTATTACAAAGGTAATATGTTGTTCTTTTGTTGTTGTTGTAAAAATTCAAACAATGCAGTAATATATAACACACCAATGAAAGGCCACTCATCTCCCAGAAATAACCACTATTAACATTTTGCTATCCAGATTTTTTTTCTATTCGTATACTAATTATTCAGGTTCTCTCTCCGACAAATGGTACACTATACATACCTTCTGTTCTGCGACCTGTTTTTTTCCAGTTATATATAAAACATCTTTCCGTTAGTGCACATTTTTCTAAACAGCTGCATGATCTTTTCTTGCATAGATGTCCCATAATTTATTGAACCAGTCCAGTACACATGTACATTTAGATTGCTTGGTGCACTTTTTGTTATTTATGGTATTTTTTGCTAGCTCAAATGCTACAAAAAAGTCTTCCATTTTGATGCAAAATTTGTCAACTTACTCCTAAAAAGTAAATGGATAACATTCCCGCCAGCAATGTCTCTCCTGTACATGTCACATATTACAAATATTTTTCATGTTATTTATGATAATTTTTGCCAAACAAAAATGTTTAATTATTATGTAGTCAAATATATCCATTTTTCCTTCATCACAACTGGATTCTGCTGCTTGCTTAAAGATGCTTTTCACACTCCTATAACAAACCCCGTTTTTTTTTTCAAGCACTTTTGTGGCTTTATTATTTACATTTAGATGTTTGATCATTTCAAAATTTATTTTCTATACGGATTCAGCTTGATTACTCTTCAAAATCATAGTCTCTTACCTCTACATCATGTGCAAACTAATCCATCTTTTCCCTCTCTGCTTTGAAATGGCACCTCTATCACATAATAAATTCACATAACCAATTGGATCTGTTCAAGAGAACAAAATAAGATGTAAAATAATAGGAAATAGACAAATCATCATTAATTACTGAATATATAAATGCAGACCTGGAAAACCCAAGAGCATCAACTAAAAAGTTATTAGAAACCATAATAAAATTCAGCACAACTGTTAGTTGCAGAAATAATATTCAGTGCCTTTCCACATATAAATGTAATTCAAATGGACACAAGTCTTCTGCTTTATGTGGTCACCTTTTACTATGTAAATAACATATAATGAATCCCTGTGTTCCATGGATAATTCAAGATAGACAAACACACAAATTTCTTGCATATTCAAGGCAGGCTTCTGTTTTCCTGTCTTTTCTCTTTCTCTGAATTATTGCTTTCTCCAAGTGTGTGATATCAGTTCACCATGTTCTTGCCTCCTAGATTTTCTCCCTTATCCACACTAGACATAGCCCCTCCTTTTCTTCTACTTCTGGCATCTCAAATTCCCCACCCCTTCCAAATCATGGCAAGTTGGCAAGTTTAGAATGCCAAGATGAGGACTTTGGTGTTGATCCTGAGAGCACCCAGGAGTTACTAAAGAATTCTAGGCAAGGATACAGCATAGGTTTGTGTTTTAGAAAGAACACCTAGCTGCTATATGGAGTGTGGATTAGGTGTTGTCTTGGAAACAGGGAGAGTGCTTATGACTTTTGTAGTCATCTAGGTAAGCAATGATTGTGCTTTGGCCTAGAGTGGTGGCAGATAGTGAGAAGTGATTGAATCGAGGAGATAGTAAAGAAGTAAAAAGTAACTGGACTTGAGTAACTGGATTGTGAAGAGAAGGGCAAGGAGGAGGGGAGTGTCAAAGGGAACTCTTGGCGATCTGATTTGAGAGATTGTGTGAATGGTAACCCCTTTCACTGAGATCAGGAATACTGAAGGAAGAGCGGGTTTGAGGAGCAGGTTAGACAAGAACTGAACATTGCTTTTGAGGCACCTGTGGCATGTCCAGGTGGAAATGTACCACAGGCAGTTGAATATACATATCTGAAGCTCAGAGAAGTGGTCTAGGCTGAGGTTATAGATCTAGGAGTCATCAGTACATAAATAGTTCTTGAATTCCTGAGAAAGGGTAACAGCACCCCGGTGAATGCGTAGTGCTAGAAGAGACATGGGCCCACGGAAGAGCCCTGCAGTCCAACAGCATCTTTGGTATAGGTGGAGGAAAAGAAACTCATGAAAGAGGCTGATAAGGAGTGACCAAAGAGGCAGAGAGAAAAACAGGAGAGGGCCGGGCATGGTGGCTCACACCTGTAATCCCAGCACTTTGGGAGGCTGAGGTGGGCAGATCACCTGAGGTCAGGAGTTCAGGACCAGCCTGGTCAACACGGTGAAACCCCATCTCTACTAAAAATACAAAAATTTAGCTGGGTGTGGTGGACCACACCTGTAGTCTCAGCTACTCGGGAAGCTGAGGCAGGAGAATCGCTTGAACCTGGGAGATAGAGGTTACAGTGAGCCGAGATTGTGCCGCTGCACTCCAGCCTGGGTGATAGAGTGAGACACCATCAAAAAAAACAAACAAACAAACACAAAAAAAAAAACCGGAGAAAGGAGTGTCACAAAAGTAAGGGAAGAGATTGTTTCAAAAGGAGGGAGGAGTCAAGGTCAATAGTGATGAATGGTGCCAAGAATCAAGAAAAGTAAGACCTGAAAAAATGTCTGGGGATTTTGACGATCAAGTGGTGGTCTCTGGTGACCTTGGAAGGAATAGTTTCAGTGCACATGTTTGTGGCATAGCTTGCTAATTGCTTACCCTAGTATTCATCCTCCTCTTCTTCCTTAGTAATAAGTCACCTGATTTTTAGCTAGATACATAGCCTCCCAGAATAAAGGCCATGAGGACTAGGGTCACACTCTAAGGATACTGGATTAGTAAACTAAAAAGAACCTGGATCCGTAACAATTTCATGAAGCCAACGTGAACTGCCTACCTCTGGATTTCTTTTAGGTGAGGCAAATAGATGTATGTCTTATTTAAGCTATTGTTATTTCAGAGTCTATTCCATGCAACAGTTTCCTGATTGCAGTGAGTTGAGATATGAATAGCAGGTGAGGTATACATGACAATGGGTATGGAATGCTTTCCCAAGAAACGCCTGAGCTTGATTTCAAGGCTCTCCCAAAATCCAGCCCTGACTGCTTTTCCAGCCCTTTTCCTGCTGTTTTTCTGAGAGTACTAGATATAGTTGCCTATATTCCACCTAAACAGAACACTTCACTATTACCAGATATGCCCTGCCTTCTCTTGCCTAGGAGCCTTTGTTATGCAATTTTGTCCCCATGGGGAACACCCTCTGCTACAACTACCCTTCTGGTATATCTATGCTCGGTTACAACCTCCAACATTTTAAGTTTCACAATGTTTTAGGTCCCAGTTGTGGTCTTTGGGATCCTGGGGTAATTTAAAGGAATACAGAGTCAGAACGTTAGGAGATATTATTGGATTCAGGAAGTCAGAAGAAATCTCAGTCCAAATCCATCAGAGAGGCATTCCCAAAGATTGTCAAACCCAAACTTCCCCAGACCCCTCTCAATTCCACCACCTTCATAACATAATACCATTAACAACCTTATCTTATGACCTGGGGATCAGAGGATAGGAGGCAGCCTTATCGGGGGAGAAAAGACAAATTAGTTCATAATCTTTACCCTTTGACCAGAGAGATTTCCTCCCACCTTCTCCTTGTGAACTCTTGGAATCTTGATCTTCAGCATTCACCCATAAACTCTGAAGAACCTAGGTCACTGGGTCTCAGGCCCATTTCTAGCACCCATAAATCAGTAGAGAAATATCTGAGACCATATAGATCCTACATATCAACTAAGAGGAAAGATGAAAAGCCGTTATCATCAGGCAGCTCTGTTCTGGAGATAAGGAAAGGCAGGCTAAGGATTGCTTAGTGCAGAATGTAGAGATGGAACTGTCTAGTCCCACAGGCATCCAAGACTCCAGACTCCTGAAGCTCAAATGGAAAGCCCAGAATATCCCCACCACCAATCCTATCCTAGCACATTTACTTTCTCCTAAACTATACAGAATCCGTATCTCTGAATTTTGGAAAATTTGGGAGAGGGTAGCAAAGGTTTCCTTTTAAGGCTGCCTGTCATTTCTTTAGTCATTTAAACCATGCAGCTCAGCATAGAAATCAACTTTAAATTGGACATCAGACTTTCTTGTTCTTCAGATTTCCATAACCATTCCCACCACTGGGAAAGGCCTAATAATTGTTCCTTCTCCTAGGCCCCATGCCCCACCCCTGTTGGACCCTTTCTGTCCCCCAACATGCTGGCAACTTCTCTCCTTTCCATTTCCAGGCTTCTATATCCTCTCTCTCTCTCTCTCTCTCTCTCTCTCTCTGTCTTCCCCCCACCTCCCCCAGGGTCTCACTCCGTCACTCTGGTTGAAGTGCAGTGGTGTGATCCCAGCTCACTGCAACCTCCACCTCCTGGGCTCAAGCGATCCTCCCACCTCAGCCTCCAGAAGTAGCTGGGACTACAGGCACATGCCAACACGCCCTACTAATTTTTGGGGTTTTGTTTGTTTGTTTGTATTTTTGGTAGAGATGGGGTTTCACCATGTTGCCCAGGCTGGTCCAAAATTCTTGGACTCAAGCGATTCACCCGCCTCAGCCTCCCAAATTGTTGGGATTACAGGCATGAGCCACCGTACCTGGCCTATGTCTTCTTTCTTGAGCTGCTGGTGAAATCTCATTTTTTCCCCTTTTATATGTAGGGCAATTTAGTTAACTTTGTTTCACTCTAAGCCCTAAGGGTTACCTTTCCACAGCAAAAATGACATTTTGTCAAACAAAAGACAAATTTCCCATAGATGAGGAAACCTGCTACCCACTTTTGGACTAACCCTCATTCTCCCCTGTTCTCTGTATATTGAGTCCTTCCTCAGCACAAGCTTGTGAGCTATGATTAGGCCATTCAACAGAAAATGAGCACCAACTATGTATTAGACACCTCTCCAGAGGTGGCCCTTGCTCTTAAGGGGTTTATTTTTATACTGTGTGAACATTAGCCTCATTTCACAGATGGCAATATTAAAAGTGAGAGGGGTAACTTGCCCAAGGCAAGGCGACCAATGAGTGGCACAGAGAGGACTTGAACCCGAGTCAGTGGAATATCAAATACCAAAGACTTAACCACTACACTATACTTTGTCCAATGATTTAAGTCCCAGAATATCCTTTCCAACAGTCTTCACAGACATATGCTAGGCACATTACAGTATGTTTTTCATCTATAGAGGCACGTCTAACTGGATATCCATATGCCCATTTAGATATTGTCATAAGCATCATAGGAAATATAATTATTTCATTGTTTTGAGATCAACATGCAGTTTTTAACATTTGATTTTTATGAATTTCATGCTTGTACATGACAACAAATGAAATAGTACAGAAGATCATATGATAAAAATGAATAGTCCCCTGCCTCAACCCTCCCCATCTCCCTCCCACCCCCTCAAAGCCAACTTTTAACAGTTTTTAGTTTTAGCTCTACTGTTGGTTCCCTTTACAACTCTAGATAATATGTATGTAATGTTTCTTTTTTAAAAAAAATTAGACAATATCCTATTGACTCCCAGAGATGGCAGTAAGGATTTTGTTTATGTACTGTGCCTCACTTTTCCCTCTACTCCCCTGCAATGGTTAACACTGATGTTCCTTTTTTGTTTTTGGTTAATTTTATAACTTGAAAAAAATATACTCAGACCTCTATTTTGTATTCCATCCATTTTGACAGATAATTTGACTCCCCATTTTTTAAGACAAGGATATTATGGCTACAACCCTCCCCCTGCCCATTCAATGTCCCACATTGTCAGTTTTATCTTTCCTTTTACATTGCCCTGGTTATTAACATTTACATTCTGTTCTGCAGCCACAATCAGATCTTCCCTGCTTTGTCTCCCCAGGTTGACTCTATGACCTGAAACCCAATAAACAGCATTCACATTATCATGGCTATGTAAATATTTTTCAAAATCTAGCCAAGCAGTGAGCCTGGAATACGCTTCCTTCTCTTCAAGTTCAATGTCACAATCTTTGGGCCTCTCAGAGGAGAATGTTTCTAGCATCAAGGTCAAATGGAATCTTTCTTATACTCTTATCAGCTGCTCATAATCATATTACATTTTATTTTGCTTTGTATTTGGCCAAGACTTTCTTGAATAATTACACACACACACACACACACACACACACACACACAGAGTTTCTAAAAGCCTTTCTTTTTTCCTTGAATTATATGCTTTTATTGTATTCACTCATTCAACAAGTATTTTTTGAGTGTCTACTACGTGTCAGGTACTGTTCTAGGAGATTAGGCTAGGCAGTGAAGAAGACAGATAGCAATCCTTGGCCCCCATGGAGCTGATTCTAGTAAGGGAGAGAGAAAAGATAATAAGATAAATCAGTAAAATGTATCCAAATTAAAATGTGTGATAAGTGCTATGGAGAAAAATTTCAGTTTTAAATAGGCTTGTCATAACAATGTGTTGTATATTTCAAAATAGCTAGAAAAGATAAGTTGAAATTTTCCCAACACATAGAAATGATAAATACTCAAGGCAATGGATACCATAAATACCCTGACTTGATTATTACACATTCTATGCATGTAACAAAATATCAGTGTATCCCATAAATTTATACAAATATTATGTATCAATAACAAAAAAGTTAAAAAATAAGTAAATAGGTTGGTCAGGGAAACACTCACTGAAAAGGTAGCATGTGGGCAAAGACTAGCATAAGGTGAGAGAACTAGTCAAGTGGATACTTGGTGAGAAAACATTCCAAGCAGAAAGAACAGTCATTGCAAAGGCCATGGGACAGGATCATGCCTGGCATTTTTTCCCCATGCCTGGCACTTTTGAAGAACACAATGGCCAGAGTTGCTAGAGTGATGGAGGAAGGCAGGAAGGGAAGTAATAGGAAATGGGGTCAGATGGGTAATGAGGGCTTGCCTCACTGACCCCTCTCACATAGGGCCATGTAAGCCACAAGCAGGATCCACAGGAGAGTTTTGAGCAAAAAGGGGACAGGATCTGACTTGGGTTTCAAAAGGATCCCTCTGGTTGTTGTAAAAATATACTGGTGGGAGGCAGAAAAGGGGATGATGAAGGCTGAAGCAGGAGGACCAGTAAGGAGGCTGCTGCAGTTATTGCTTGAATTGGATTCACTGTTTCCTGGCTTCACTGTTTCCTGGATTCACTGTTCTGGGCACCTGTCTGGAGATCCTTCTTCAGGTGTAGGAAATTATTATAACTTCTAATATATCTATTTTTTTGAGACAGGGTCTCACTCTGTCTCCCAAGCTGGAGTACAGTGGCACAATCATGGCTCGCTGTAACCTCGAACTCCTGGGCTCAAGCAATCCTCCCGCCTCTGCTTCCCAAGTAGCTGGGATTTACAGATGAGAGCCATCACGACTGGCTATTTCTTTTTACTTTTTTTTGTAGAGTCAGGGTCTCACTATGTTAGCCAGGCTGATCTCAAACTCCTGGCCTCAAGCGATCCTCCCGCCTCAACCCCCCAAAGTGCTGGGATTACAGATGTGAGCCACCACATCTGGCCTAATATGTTTTCAATAAAGTTTCCTTCATTGTTTTGTTTTCTCTATCTAGAACTCCTATTATTTGAATGTCTAATTTGCTAGATTAATCCATCTCTCTTAAATTTTCTCTCACATTTTCTGTTGCCTTGGCTTTTTTGCCCTACATTCTGGAAGATTTCCTCATTTCCTGGTCCTGGAAAATGTATTATTTCAGTAACATATTTTTAATTTCTAAGGAATCTCTGTTTTCTCTGATTGTTCCTGTTTTATGGCATCTAGTTCTTGTTTTATGCATGTTATATCTTCTTGAATCTTATTCAGAATAGTATCAATTTTTCCCCTGAAGTTCTCTTTTGTTTCCCAGATCCTCAAATTGCTCTAGGGTCAGTTGTTCTATTTGTTTCTTTTAGTATTTTGCTTTCATGCTACAGGCTTCCTTAATTTGCTTGAGGCTCCTTGGCTACTCATTCATATTTAAGAGAAAAGGACTGGGTAGCCGATGGGAGTTTTCTCTGTTGCTGTATAAGCAGAGCTGTTCTCTAGCTAGGACTCTCCCTCGTGAGGAAATCCTGAGAGGAAACTTGGTGCGGACTTGTGCGAGGTGGCAACTGACAGGTTTTGGGACCCACAGATGCCAGAATGAGAAGACTTTGTTGGGATGCCAAATGCCCTAGGACAAATCTGAGTGTTCCTGGGGCAGTTTGTAAAATGTCATCAGAGATTTTGCCCCTGAGAGTAAGTACTGGAGCTGTCTATGCTCCCTGTGTGGATGGGTAGAGGCCGGAGGGCCAGGGTCGGCAGGATTCTGACTGAGGCTGATAGTCCTTGTGCAGACCTTCAAGTACTTTCCTTTTTCTCAGCCCCATTCCTCACCCCCACCCTCCACAGGACCTGCAGATCCTGAGTCCAGAGCACCTCAGCTCCTCCCTTCTCCCTCCACTCAGGTCTCAGAGGACAGGGAGCTTTCCAGACTTTTGATCTCTGTCATGCCTCATCCTGCCCTCCTCCTAGCAGCTATTTACTGATCACTTACCATGTGCCAAGCATTCTAAAAGTACAAACTCACTTAATCTTCATAAGAACTTTATGAAGTAGGTGCTATTACTATTCTTATTTTATAGATGAAGAAACTGAGGCTACAGAGAGGTTAATTAACTTGCTCAGTATTATACAGTCAGTAAGTGGCAGAACTGAGATTCAAACCCATGTGGTCTGGGTCTGGAGCCTGTATTTTGAAACCACTGTGTTATATTCTTTCTCAGTCCTGCCCCAGCCTGTCTTGGCCTCTGGCTATTCTAGAGATTGTAAGTCTTATTATGTCTATGGGACCCCTAAATTGTTATAGGATCCTGAGTAAGTCCCTCCCGGCACTAGGCTAAAGTCAATAATACCAGGGAAGACCAGTATTGGGGGCTTGCCTTGCCAATCCCTCTCTCATCGCCACTACCTTTTTAAGATGATCAGTGCTAAGTGACCTTTCTCTGGCCCCAGTTACTGGGCTCCTGTGGATGTTTATAGGAAAGAAAAACCCCACCCTGAGCCAACACAGCAAACAGACAGACCCAGCACTCTGGTATGTTTAGTTTCCATTCATCTTACAGCTGGATGAGGGGAAAAAAGGAAGCGTAGAACTGGCCCTTCTCCAGGCAAGATGCCAGCCCCAGCTCTTGGACAATCCTGGCTTGTGTGAGCCTCAATGCCACATTCAGAGCCTTCCCCACCCTTCAGGATGGTCCCTCCCTCTCAAGAGAAGGGATACCTGGAGGTTTAAAAGAGCAAGGGTTTGGAGATCGGGCTCAGATCTTCTGGATGTGAACAACAGATCCAGGCCAGAGGTGGCATCATGTCTGGGTGGAGGTACCTCATCTGTGTCAGCTTTTTGCTGACCATTCTTCTTGAACTGACATACCAGGGACCCCCTGTCCCCGCTTCATCAAGCACAAAGGTCAGTTCTGGGATGAGGGAAAAAAGCTTGGGGATTTGTGATAAAATTAGCTTCTTGGGGGAAATTTGGGAAGGTTATTCAGTGTGTTTCTTCAGTCCTATGACTGAGAAACTAGAGCCAGAGAAAAGAGGTACTATTTGCTGAGCACATGTCAGGTGCTGCACCAGGGGTCCCAGAATTATTATTTCATTTAGTCCTCACAGCATCTCTGTGAGCTGGGCTATATTATTATCCCCATTATAGAGAAGAGAAAACAGAGGTTCCAAGGTTAAGACACAGTTAGGAAGTGGCAGAACCGTCTGATCTCAAATCATCCTCATTTCCCACTGCCCCACACTGGGAAGGAACTAGCTCTGCATCACGTGTGGGTAGATAGAGGGACCATTGCCTCAAGAAAGGAGAGGAAGAAGATAGATATTGTACTTGCTGTGTGCCCTCATCATGGATGCCAGATACTTACCATGCTTGCAGTGCATGATTGTGCTTATAAGTGCAACTCTTTACACCTGAGATCCTAAAGAAGAAAAAAATCAGTATTTATCACAGTGCCTTGGACAGAGTAGGATTCAATGAATGGCGGATGCTCTGCTATATTCTAAAGCCTTGCTACTCAAAGTGAAATCTGTGGACTAGCAGCAGCATCATTCCATGGGAGCTTTTTAGAAAGATAAAATCTCAGCCTTCACCCTAGTCTTGCTGAATCAGAATCTTCATTTTAACAAGCTTTCCAGGAGATTCATGTGCACATCAAAGTTAGAGAAGTGCTTGTCCAGAGAGGTCCCTTGATCTCTAATCTTCTGTGAGTCTTGGGTTCTGAGACTTGATAAAGCTTGCTGAAGTAATCAGGCAGATCCACCAAATGGATGACAGAGGTTGTTTTCCCTCTCTAGGCCTTAGTTTATCCACCTGTATACTTTGAGGCCTGTGTAGGAATCTTGGGTTCCCAAAGACTAGCCCATCTAGGCTGAGGACATAGTCTACCTAAAACACCTCCTCCTGTCTTCTCTCTCAGTTGTTAATGACAAGCTATTCTATGCGCTCCACGGTGGTGTCTCGCTATGCCCACACCTTGGTCACCTCTGTCCTGTTTAATCCACATGCTGAAGCCCATGAAGCCATCTTTGACCTGGATCTGCCTCATCTTGCCTTTATCTCCAATTTCACTATGTAAGTCTGCTTCCAAAGTCACCACTTCATTCATTTGTGCATATATTTGTTCGTTCTTGTGCTTATTCTGTCAGCAGAGCATAGTGATTAAGACAATGCACTCTGAGATCAGACTTCTTGAGTCTGAATCCTGGCTCTGCCAGTTTGGGACCCAGGGCAAGTTACTTCATTTCTGGGAGTCTCATTTTACATATCTACAAAATGGGGATAAAATTAGAACCCACTTTCTTTTTTTCTTTCTTTCTTTTTTTTTTTTTTGACATGGAGTCTCGCTCTGTTGCCCAGGCTGGAGTGCAGTGGCACAATCTCAGCTCACTGCAACATCCACCTCCCAGGTTCAAGCGATTCTCCTACTTCAGCCTCCCAAGTAGCTGGGACTACAGGCGCATGCCACCACACCCGGCTAATTTTTTGTACTTTTAGTAGAGACGGGGTTTCACCGTGTTAGCCAGGATGGTCTCAATCTCTGACCTCGTGATCTGCCCACCTCGGCCTCCCAAAGTGCTGGGATTACAGGCATGAGCCACCACACCCGGCCAGAACTCACTTTCAAGGATTAAATGAACTAATATACATGGAAACATATGCTAAAATTAGCTCCAGGCACATATTAAGTAGTTGATAATATTAGCTTTATTGCTTTTTAAACAAACATTTCCTGGTGCTGAGTGTGTGACTTACACTGTGCTGAGTCCAACAGAAAGAGGAAGGTGAACTGCATATAGTCCCTAGCCTCAGAGAGTTCACAATTTAAGGGGGGATATAAAAAAGGAAACTGGCCCAGCACAGTGACTCACACCTGTAATCCCAGAGCTTCATGAGGCTGAAGTGGGAGGATTGCTTGAGGCCAGGAGATCAAGACTAGCCTGGGCAATATAGGGAGAACCCATCTTTAGAAAAAAAATAAAAATTAGCAGGGTGTGGTGGTGCATGCCTATAGTCTCAGCTACTCAGAAGGCTGAGGCAGGAGGATTGCTTGAACATGGGAAGTTGAGGCTGCACTGTGCTATGATCTCTGCACTCCAGCCTGGGTGACAGAGTGAGACTGTCTCTAAAAAAGAGCATTGGGTTGGGGAGCAGTGAGCAGATTACTTTAATAAAGTATGCTGGGGAAAACTGAAGTCTGAATGTGGAATGGTTGGAATGGTGAGGTGGACCAGAAGACAATGGTGGGTTTCCTATTCCCAGGCTGGTGGAGAAAACCTCAGAGAGATAACACCTAAACTGAGGCTTGAAATAGGACATCTTCACCAGGCAACCAGGGTGAGGGCAGGACTGGAGGAATCCAGGAAAAAGGAATAAAGGCACAAATGTTCCCTTAATTAGGGGAACTGCAAGTACTTCTGTGTCACTGTACTGTCAGGGACAGACAAGAGGTAGAAGAGTGGTAGAAGAGTGAGATGTGAGAGGCAGAGAAAGACTAGGCTGTGGAGGACTTTCAATGTTAGAGCACCTCCTTGGGTCTCACTTAATGGTCTCCAAACCATCTTATGTGTTTGCACACCTATCAGGAAAAACTTGATCCTATACTCTCAAAACATATATACTTATTCATTTATGCATTATATAAATATACTGCTGAGCAAATATATTAGGTACATTATGAAGCATATAAATATTAATCCCTAAAGGATAAGGAAAAAGCCCTAAAATAGAGTATGAATATTATTTTTCCACTCCCTTTCGATTTGTCTCCAGCATCCCCTGGGACATGTGCACCCCTCTTTAGAAATAAGTGTGGGCCATAATAAGGAGACATGGCAAGGTGTTAAGCAAGGAGAGGTGATTGTGAAGTGGTAGCAGACTGGAGGGGCCGGCTAGGTGGCCAGGAGCTGAGTAGGCAAACAGGGGCAGAATCCACGTAGGAGTTGCTGAAGGTGGGAGCAGGACAGTGGTGGTGGATCTGAGAGACTATCGAAAGAGAAACAACCTGACTGTAGTGGAGAGTAAGTAAATATAGATGGTGTTTACCTTTTTTCGGCTTGTTAGACCTGGTAGATGACAGTACCCTGTTGAGGTGATAAACAAGGGAGCTGGAGCAGATAAAGGGAAAGCTTAGTGGGGCCTCAGTAGCCAGTATCACACTTTAGTGTGAATTACAAAAAGGCCCCTGGATTTGGGTAGAGGGACTATCAGATTTACCAGATAAGTGAGCCCAGCACAAGCAGAATATCCACCCTTGTTCAGCCCCGCTTGTCCCTGTTAGTTGGGAGGAGGTTCTTGTGCCATCAATAATCTGTACAACCTCAAACAGCAGCCCTGGGGTGGGCCTAGGCTGTGCCATCAAGAACCTCCTGGCACTTCCCCTGGAGAAGGATTGGGTTAGAGGAGGGGATTGGTATGGAGTCAGAGCCAGGGAATTTGGGGGAGAAGTGCTGAGGCAGTCAAGGAGGGCTCCCTGAAAGCAGGATTTCCATATGGGTAAGATTTGAAGGGACCAAGATCATTGCATGTTGGGACCCAGGGGAATCAAGGACCAAAAAGAGCAGGCGTGGGTTTGGACTATGGGGGGCTAACCAGAGAAGCTGGCAGTCAAATGATGTAAGGGCCAAGTAGTCAGGCAGAATTTGGATTTTTGCTTCAGTTGAAAAAAACACCAACAGATTTTTTTAAAAAAAATTAAGCAAAGCAGGCTGGAGGAAATGTTCTTGGGCAGACTCTGTGGAAAGTATGCTGGCTGGAGGCAGCACACACACAGAGGCCCCAGTGTCCTGCTGCCAGACCAGCTCCACCCTACCCCCCTCACCCCCCAGGAGACCTTGGGGAGGTGCCAACTCGGCCCACCCCCACACTAGCCCAGCCACAGCAATACTCTGTTTCAACTGCCTAGAAACACTTCTTCCCTGAGTGGTCTCTTCTGCCACCAGCCTATCTTCCCCCAGTGCTCCTGGAAGCTGCTGCCTTGGTCAAGCAACTTCCTGATACCTGTGCCTCAGTTACTCCACTTGTAAAATGGAAACTGTTGTACTTGCGTCCTACAGAGTTGCACTAACTTTCTCTAGGACACCCAACTATCACTCCTCAAAGGCCAGCTCTGATCCATCCTTCCCCTTTTCAAGATTTGTCCAAGACTCTCCATTCTCCACGGCAAAAAGTCTTTGCTGCTGTATGAGCTCATTGAGTCTTGTGTTCAAAGCCCCCTATTCTCTAGGCCCACTCAACCACCCCAACTTTCTCTCCATACCTCCCTTCCCTGCCCCTCCACTCCAGTCAAATTTAACTACTTGCTGTCCCCTGAAACACATTCTGTGTTTTCCTGCTGTCTGTCCAGGATGTCCACTCCACAAATAATTGTTGAGCACCTCCTCTGTGCCAAGCCATATTCCAGACACCAGGGGTACAGCAGCAAATAAAGTGGTAAGAAGTCAGTCAGATTGTGGATGTCTTCTAAAGATGGAGCTGAAAATCCCTGATGGATTGGATGTGGATTGTGAAACAAAGAGGAGAATCCAACATGACTCTAAGATTTTTAGCTGAGCAACTATGTCCTGAAACAAAGATACCAGAGGAGGAGCAGATTTGGGAGGGGAGAGTTGTCAGGAGCTCAGTTTTGGATCTGTTCAGCTTGAGGTGTCTATGGAACATCCTAGTGGAGATGTCAAGTAAGAAATTGGTTTTTTGTTCCTGTGACAGTTTACTGAGAATGATGATTTCCAATTTCATCCATGTCCCTACAAAGGACATGAACTCATCATTTTTATGGCTGCATAGTATTCCATGATGTATATGTGCCACCATATGTAACTAACCTGCACATTGTGCACATGTACCCTAAAACTTAAAGTATAATAATAATAAAATTTAAAAAAAAAGAAATTGGATGGGTCTGAAGTTCAGGGCACAAGTCCACACTGGAGATACATATTTGGGAGGCATCTGTATATAAATGGTATTTAAGGCCATGGTGCTAAATGACATCACCTAGAGAGCCAATGTAGAAAGAATAGAGGACAGAAGGGGAGAGGGAGGGAGGGGAGAGGATAAAAGGTTGACAACAGAGCCTTGGAGTGTTCCAAAGATTTAGAGGTTAGGAAGAGAAAGAGCCAACAGAGGAAACTGAGAAGGCATGGCCAGTGAGGATTATTTATCCATATCCTCCCTGTCTTTCAGGCTTAGCTTCAAGACTACCTTCTCTAGGACCCTTTCCTGAAGACTTGGGCAAAAGTGTTCTCTCCCTTCTTTGAGCTTCTTTTCACTTTATTACCTTCCTTAGAGAAATGGGGAGAATGGGGGTAAGCAAGTCTGCTTGTAACTCATCAGTCTCTGAGCTCCCTGAGGACAAGGCCTCCTCCCTAGTCAGGCCCAGAAGACTTTGCAACAATTTGCACACTTCTTTCACAATTTTTACCACTTTTACCACCCACAGTATTTACTTAATATATTTTTATATTAATATGGCCATATTATTTACCCAATATATTTTTTCAATAGATATACTTTCTGAGATGATCTGAGTTAGTTTTATTCTGAGCAACAATATCTATGAGATCATGGGTTTAATGTGCTAGTTGTAATTTAAGAAACATTACTGTAAATACATAACAATTATAATAAAAATATTCGGTTATATCGTACCTAAAATTATGCTGTGTGCCAAAAGGTAGAATTCATTCAACACTTTGGGAAACACAAGACTCTAACAACCAGATCCACCATATGCTGTGTGGCCTCTATTTCCCCATCTGACAAATGGAGATAATGATAACTACTTCACTCTGTTATCTCCCTCTCCTTTCCTCTTCTTCTCTTCTTGCCGCTCACACTGGGGCTTTATGGCACTGTGTTGTTCTTTCTCTTTCCCTATCTCTACCCTCCTCTTTCTACCTCATGTGTCTCTTTCTCTGTCTCTGACCAACTCTTTATTTTCTCTGTCTCTACTGTCCCTCCTCTTTCCTGCCCCATTAGGACCATCAACAATAAAGTCTACATTGCAGAAGTCAAAGAGAAGCACCAGGCAAAGAAAATCTATGAAGAAGCCCATCAGCAGGGAAAGACAGCTGCTCATGTAGGCATCAGGTAAGGCCCCATCCAGTCCAAAACATGACTTAATCATCTTAGCTGTGTGATCAGGGGAGATGCACGTTCTCTCTGGTCCTCAGTCTCCATCTCTGCAGAGTGGGGACATGACCTCTACTTCACAGGATCATGTGAAGATGATGTGAGTTAATGAATATCAAAGCCTGTAACAGGGTGGGTGTTCAATAAATGGAAATTTACTTCCCCATTTCTACTTTTCTACTGTCAGCAGATTGTGGCTTATTTAAGAATTGGCACCTTCCAGGAAGGTTATATGCAAGTGAGATTTTTCTAAATTGAATTTTGTTTCCTGAGTTCCATTCAGCGGGCAGAAATGTATTGTCTTCCTTCAGTGTTTCCTCCCAGCTTCCAAGAGAGTTTCATGGAGCAAACACTTTAGCTTTGGCTCCAGCAAACTGAGTTACTGCCATATAAACAAGCTCCTTCAAAAGCATAGGGGAGAGGATAGTAGGAGGGTCTATTTGAAGGGGCTGAGGCATTGTATGTAAATTGAAAACTCTTTTGTAAAATGAATCATTAGACCCTAGTTGGTCTGTTATATATTCAGATTTTGATGGACTAAGTTCCCTTAAGGGTGGACCACCTGTGAGATAATTTCTCAAGCAGAATATTTAGGAGGCTGAATGAGGGAGGGAGGGAGAGAGAGACTGATAAGTGGATGCATGGATGACGGACCATGAGCCAGTGACTCAGTTGAACCAGAAGCCTAGTCAGGTCGGCTGGGACCAGGGTTGGGGGGAGCAAAACTAGGTCATCTAACAGCCCCTGTACTCCTCTGAAGGTCCCTTTCTCTTCCCACCATCCTCCCTTTCCTGCCCAGGGACCGGGAATCAGAGAAGTTCCGCATCTCCACCAGCCTGGCAGCAGGCACAGAGGTGACTTTTTCCCTGGCCTATGAGGAACTGCTTCAGCGGCACCAGGGCCAGTACCAGCTGGTGGTGAGCCTGAGGCCTGGCCAATTGGTGAAGAGGCTGAGCATAGAGGTTACAGTGTCAGAAAGGACAGGCATCTCCTATGTGCACATACCACCCCTGAGGACCGGCCGTCTGCGCACCAATGCCCATGCAAGTATGTGGGCAGCACTATGGGTCACCCATCAGACTGGCCTTCACTGAATGAAAACCTTATCGATTCCACTGGGTTTCCCTCTAGTGCCACTTCTGCTCTGTACTCACTGCCAAGTTCCTTCCTGATTCAGTGAGAAGAGGGCATGTTTGAAGGTGAAAATATTTGGATTTTAACCTTGGCCTGGTCCTTACAGGCTATATGACCTGGCACATTAGAAACTTCCCAGACTCTTGATTTCCCTAAAAAAAAAAAAATCAGTGATAAGGGAGGGTTTGTTGGGTGGGCTAATGAAATTAAATCATATGTTAACCATGTTGAAGGCTGTAGAAGCCACACTGGCCAAATCACGCTTTTCCCTGGATCCCCACTGAGAATGGCAGGAGAGTGAGTGCACAGCAAGTGCAGGCTCCCTGGAGGACACCATCTCAGGCCCTGGAGGGAAGAGAAGCATCCTGCCTCAGAAGTTTGCTTCAAATGTCACCTAGAGGTTTTGGAAGCCCAGACTGGCTACATCAGAATCACAACATGGGCTCCTAGAAATGCAGATTCCTGGAGCCCAGCCTTCAGGGTCTGGTTCAGTAGCATGGGGGTGGGGCCCAGGAAGCTGTGTCATCAACCAGTCTCAGGGGACATTGACATCCAGCCAGGTTGGAGAATCACGGAGCTGGCCTGCTCACCTCATCTGAGAGATGAGAGGACAGGTGCAGAGAAATCCCTGGCTCATGTGGCAGCCCCTCCAAAGCTGTTTAGCATTGGAGGTCCCAACTCATTCGACTCTGTTGACCCAGAGAGGCACTGGGGTGGACAGTGGATGTAACAGACACAGACAGACACACAGACTGGATCCAAATCCCAGTGCTGACACTCCCCTAATGTGGGACGATCAAAGCCAGTCACTCCATTGCTCGACTTCACTTTTCCCATCTGTAAAATGGACGAGATGCCATCTACAGCTCAGGACCACTGTGAGACTTTGAGAGAATTCCTCCCTCCCAACTACGTGGTGCAGAGAAGATTGCACGATCATTCTACTCATTAGCATTAGGTGGCACTCACTGAGATGCAGGTATGGCTCCAAACGCTTTACATGAATGGCCTCATTTATTTCCCACAAGCACTGCCTATGAAGTAGGAGCTGTGGTCATGCCTGTGCTGTAGATGAGGAGCCAGAGGCTTAGAGAGAATGAGTCGCTTGTCCAGGGACACACAGCAGCAGCTGGAACCTGGACCCACAGGCCATTTGAGTCCGGGCAGGCCGCACTCTTCAGCCCTAAGCTATAAATGGCAGATCCCTCCCCCATTCTCCTTAAAGGTTAAAACAGAGGGTAGGACCAATCCTGTGGGGGAGAAAACAGAACAAAGAGCTCTGAGAGGAAGGAAGCCAAGGGAATGTATGTGAGCAGGCGCCTCAGAGAGTATGGGGCTCAGTGTGCCCCTGAGCTTCCTGACAGCTGTGGCAGGAAGGAGGGGGAGCAGAATTCCCAAGTTTCCATTTTCTGGAAAAAAAGGAGGCACAGTGACATTTCTAAATGGACATTTGTCTTGGATTCCAGAGGAGTTGATCTTGTGGCCAGCTCAGCAAACATCCGGGACTAGAGAGTCATCTGTGATTTCATGAGACTCTAAAAGGCTTGTTCACACACATGATGCCCAGAGTCAGAAGGCAGAGAGGGAAGAAGAAATATGAAATCCGACCCAGAGGACAACCTTGCTAGGCTGCTGTTTCCCACAGCAGTGGGGGAATGAGAGGAGACCTAGACCTTGTCTGTGTGTCTGTCTGTCTGTCTCCTGGACACACACTGACTGCACTGCCTCTCTGGGAGGAGGCGAGGGCTGCTGGCGTACCTCCGGACATGCCACGCCTCCAAAGACTTGGCCCCAGGTTGCACGGAAAATGAAGCAGGGTGAGGTTGCCAGTGAGGGCCACATTGCCAGGGCCTGGGAGCTGATGGCCAGGTTGGGTCTGTCCGGCTAGGCTCAATGGAGGATGCAGAGAGGAGCTGGCTGTGGGACTGGGAGAGGAGCATGGGGCAGGTGGAAAGATGTAGGCAGGAGGCACCAGAGGTTTGGGGAAGAGTTAGACTTCTCACCCTCCCCAGATAGCACCCTTTGTGCTGCCCTTTCCCTGGTTCTTCTGTCTTGCGAGTCCTCTGTACCACCCCGCCCCGATCCTCCCCACCCATACAGGTGAGGTGGATTCACCCCCATCCACCAGGATCGAGAGGGGAGAGACCTGTGTCCGAATCACCTACTGCCCGACATTGCAAGACCAGTCGTCCATCTCTGGGTCAGGCATCATGGCTGACTTCCTGGTTCAGTACGATGTGGTCATGGAGGACATCATTGGAGACGTGCAGGTGAGGGGGCCTGGGGAAGAGGAGAGAGGATGGGCTCTGGAGTCAGACAGGCCTGAGCATTAGGCCTCTCCAGCTGTTCACACCAGTTTCCCTAGAGATAAGCAAGGGCTAGGGAACAAGGATAGGCTGACGTGAAAAGACACACGGCTTCAACTTTGGGAGGCACATCAAATCCCCCAAAGGGTTGGAGACCTGGAACTGTCTCCAGTGAATCAAGTGCCCAAAGGACCCATCCCTAACTGAATCAAGTCATAGCCTACTCGAAAACAGTCCTTCTGCAAAGTAAACCCTTGGCCACTAATTGGGCACCTAAGCTTATGGATTCTCACGCGTTCTGCAGCTCCTATACTCTCCTGTGTTCTCTTGGGCTTCCTTGCTCTCTCTCGGCTTTTAACAATCCTTATTGCTTCAGTGGAGCCATCTGCCTAAACAGAGAGTCCTTCAGTTCTGAGTTTCCACATTCATGAAGAAAGAGCAGAGGTCCCACACTCTCCCAGATGGGAAAGCACAGAGCACCGATCCCAGGGCCCTGGCTTGAGCACAAGGATGGCGGGGTAGCCTGAGACATCTGGTTCCACTCTGCCTCTCCCACCACAGGACTCTCAACCCCAGCACACAAACCACCCTCCAGCTGCCCCACACCATATCACACCTTTCTCCAAAACACCCAAGCCTGCCTCTCCTCTGTGTGAGGATTTGTTCATAGTGGCCGCTGCCCTGAGAATGACTTCTTCCTCCTTGCTCCACTGCTCAGCATCCTCGTGTTCCTGAAACACTGCCGAAACACCTCCTCCTTGATGACTCCAGTCCACCAACAATTCGTTTGTCTGCCCTGGACTAAAAATGACCTATGGTTGAACGTTTTCTCATGCAACATTCATTCATTCATATGTTGAATGAATATGTGAACTAGGCCAGTCCTGTACTCATTGACTCTGACAACTCAGAAGTGAGTCGGACACAGCCACTCATCTCCCTCTGCCATCACCCCATCCTGAAGCACCCAGATACACAGAGCCTTGTCGGTCATCAAATGTTCTAGGTGCTGTGTTTGAGTGTGTCATGGATTCTGCAGAGGTGCCAGTGGAGGAGGGTTTCAGGGCCGTCATCCTAAAGGAGTTGGAATTTAAGTAAGCATGGGAAAAATGAATTGGATATATCTGCAAGTCAGTCAGTCAGGTGAAGGGAAAGACATGCAGAGAGAAGGAACAGCATGTGCAGAGGCACAGAGGTGTGGCTCAGTCTGTTGTGCAGGAGGAATAAAAGTTATTCTCCTGCCAGGATAGGAGCCAAGGGTACCTTGCCAGCAGGTGGCAGCAGGGGCTTTAACCTGGTGTTCTGTCATGTGGGTGTGTTTAGCTCATGGAGGTATGCCTCTGCAGGTTTATTCTTTACCATTAACACAGCTGCCTGCAGTTGAAATACAGATGGAAGGCATTGACTAGTACAACCAGGAACTCCCATGCACCGTGAGCCCTTACCCCTCCTGACACCCCGCCAGGAACACTCAGTTCATCCCCCACTTCCTACTTGAGTGTGCCCTTCGTTCAAAGCCCAGCACATCATCAGATCATCCACCCCGCTGGGGCTCACTGGGCACCTAATCTGTGTCATACCTTGAGTTGGCCAACGTTGGGAACCCGGAAGGGTATCACACACACAGCCTACTTATCGTCTCTGAGTGAGATGCAGAAACCCAATACTGACACTAAGGTAGAAGTGCCCTTTCCATGACACACAAGGTAAGATGGAAGCCATAATGAAGAGGAAAGCCAGTTCCAGAAGGCTCCCTGAAGGCAACCAAGGCTGACCTGTGTGTTACGGAATGAATAAAAGTGGGCCATGGGAGGGGGCCTGTGGGAGGGAAAGGCATTCCGGCAAAGTGGGGGCCGCACGAGAAAAGAAACAGGCTAAAACTCACCAAACGTGTGTATGGAATTGCAAATAGCTTGGCGTTCTGGAGCAGAGATTTGAGATGAAAAACCCAAAGAGCCACATAGAAGGCTGGAGAGTCCTGCAGGGCAACGAAAGGAACATGGGATTTGTCCTGTAGGTGACCAGGGAGCCATGAGATAAAATGACATTGTGAGGTCGTGTTTACAGGGTCCCAGCCACTGCCTCCAAGCAGCATGGATGGGAGAGGTCGCAGTAGAAGAAGGAAACCTGAGACGAATGAGGCCTGAGCTTGGGCTTTGTCAGTTAGGGATGAAGAGGAGGGTGGCCTGGAGAAGTATCCAGCAGAGAAAAGCAACAGGAGGCTGATTGGCTGTGGGGAATGGGGGCCACCCGAGGATTGAAGGCAACACTCAGATTTGTCTCCAGAGTGACCATGTGGATGATGGTGCCCCTGACCAGGAAGGCATAAAAGGGCCACGTGGGGGCAGTACAACGAATTCACTGCTTGGGCAGGATGCATCAGAGGCTTCTTGAAACATCCTGGGGCACATGTCCAACAGTGAGTGTGCACCCACTGGTGAGGGGCAACTGTGGGAGCCCTAGACGGGAGAAGAGATGCAGAGTGATTGATAGGGGTTCTGTGGTGGAAGCCAAGTGACAAAGGGAGGTCACCCAGGGAGCATGTGTGGAGCCAGAAGGGAAAATCCCTGAAGGCAAAGCTAAGGTGAAGCAGCCCAATCCAGCAGCTATGGATACCCTCAGCTGCCCCATCAACTGCACACAGCTGCCCAGAGCCCCAGTCCCCAGCAGTTCACTCCACTGAGCTGCACCAGCATAATCATTTTCTTTTCATGCTTTGACCTGACAAATAATGGGAAGCACTGCGAAGGGAGTGGGCAGACAGAGGCGGTAGGAGAATAAGGAGAGTTCACTGTCGCAGATCGCAGGGGAAACGACTTTTGAAGACAGCAGAAGTCATCCATGTTCAACTGTGACATTCATGGGCCGGGAAGGCAGTCCCAAGAGACTCAAAATACAGACATTGGGTTTGTTTTTTAGTAAAGTTGTTACTTTTAATTTTTGAGGGTACACAGTAGGTGTATATATTTATGGGTTAAGTGAGATGTTTTGGTACAGGCATGCAATCTGTAATAATCACATCACACGGTACCGATTCCCTCAAGCATGTATCCCTGTGTTACAAACAATCCACTTAATACTCTTTTACTTATTTTTAAATGTACAATTAAAGTATTATTGACTATAGTCACCCTGTCTTGCTATCAAATACTAAGTCTTATCCATTATTTCTCACTTTTCTTTGTACCCATTAACCATCCCTGCCTTCCCCACCCCCCATCTCCCCGCTACCCCACTCCCCGCAGCCTCTGGTAACCACTCTTCTACTCTCTATCTCCATGAGTTCAACGGCTTTCATTTTTTAGATCCCACTGATGAGTGATCTAAAAAATGCGAGATTTGTCTTTCTGTGCCTGGCTTATTTCAAGTCACATAATGATCTCCAGTTCCATTCATGTTGTTGCAAACGACAGGACCTCATTCTTTTTTGTGGCTGAATAGTACTCCATTGTGTATATGCACCACGTTTTCTTTATACATTCGTCTGTTGATGAACACTTAGGTTGTCTCCAAGTCTTGGCTATTGTGAACAGCACTGTAAGAAAAAGAAGGGTACAGACATCTCTTGGATACACTGATTTTCTTTATTTGGGGTATATACCCAGAAGTGGAATGGCCGGATTGTATGATGAAGCCCTAATTTTTAGTTTATTGAGGAGCCTCCAAACTGTTCTCCATATGGTTCTACTAATTTACATTCCCACCAACTGTGTATGGGGGTCCCTTTTCTCCACATCCTCGCCGGCATTTCTTATTGCCTGTCTCTGGGATAGAAGCCATTTTAGCTGAGGTGAGATGATATCTCATTGTAGTTTTTGACTTTCACTTCTCTGATGATCAGTGATGTTGAGCACCTTTTCATATGTCTGTTTGCCATTTGTATGTCTTCTTTTGAGAAATATCTATTCAAATCTTTTGCCCTTTTTTGATTGGATTTTTAGATTTTTTTCCTATGGAGTTGTTTGAGCTCCTTATATATTCTGGTTATTAATCCCTTGTGAAATGGGTAGTTTGCAAATATTTTGTCCCATTCTGTGGGTTGTCTCTTCACTTTGTTTATCATTTCCCTTGCAGTGTAGAAGCTTTTTAACTTGATGTGATCCCATTTGTCCACTTTTACTACGGTTGCTTGTGCTTATTGGGCATTATTCAAGAAATTTTTGCCCAAACCAATGCCCTGGCGATTTTCCCAAGGTTTTCTTGTAGTATTAATAGTATCATAGTTTGAGGTCTGAGATTGAAGTCTTTAATCAATTTTGATTTGATTTTTGTATATGGTGAGAGAGAGGTCTAGTTTCATTATTCTGCATATGGATATCCAGTTTTCCCAGCACCATTTATTGAGGCGACTGTTCTTTCCCCAATGTATGTTCTTGGCACCTGTGTTGAAAATCATTTCACTATAGATTAGTGTATTTGTTTCTGGGTTCTCTATTCCTTTCCATCGGTCTATGTGTCTGTTTCTATCCCAGTACCAATCTGTTTTTGTTGCTATAGCTCTGCCGTATAATTTGAAGTCAGATAATGTGATTCCTCCAGTTTTGTTCTTCTGGTTTAGGATAGCTTTGGTTATTCTGGGTCTTTTCTGGTTCCATTTAGATTTTAGGATTGTTTTTTCAATGTCTGTGAAGAATGTCATTGCGATTTTGATAGGGATTGCTTTGAATCTGTAGATTGCTTTGGGTAGTATGGACACTTTAACAATATTGAGTCTTCCAATCCATGAACATGGAATATCTTTCCATTTTTTAGTGTCCTCTTTGATTTCCTTTAACAGTGTTTTATACTTTTCATTATAGAGATGTTTCACTTCTTTGGTTAAGTTAATTCCTAGTGTTTAATTTTGTTTGTGGCTATTATAAATAGGGTTTCTTTTTAATTTTCTTTTTCAGATTGTTCACTGTTGGCATATAGAAATGCTACTGATTTTATTTTGTTGATTTTGTATCCTGCAACTTTCCTGCATTTGTTTATCAGTTCTAATATATTTTGTGGGATCTTTAGGGTTTTCCAAGTATAAGATCATATCATCTGCAAACAAGGATAATTTGACTTATTCCTTTCCAATTCAGATGCCCTTTATTTCTTTCTCTTGTCTGATTGCTCTAGGTAGGCCTTCCAGTACTTTGTGGAATAACAGTGGTGAAAGTGAGCATCCGTGTCGTGCTCCAGTCCTTAGGGGAAAGGCTTTCAGTTTTTCCCCATTCAGTATGATACTAGCTGTGGGTCTGTCATATATGGCTTTTATTATATTGAGGTATGTTCCTTCTATCCCCAGTGTTTTGAAGGTTTTTGTCATGAAGAAATGTTGAGTTTTATTAAATGCTTTTTCAGCATCAATTGAAATGATCATATGGTTTCTGTCCTTCATTCAGTTGATATAATGTATCACATTGATTGCTTTGCATATATTGACCCATCCTTGCATCCCAGGGATAAATCCCACTTGGTCATAATGATCTTTTGAGTGTGTTATTGAGTTAAGTTTGTTAGTATTTTGTTGAGGACATGCACATCCATATTCATCAGAGTCGTTGGCCTATAGTTTTCATTTTTTGATGTGTCTTTGTCTGGTTTTGGTATCAGGGCAATACTGACCATGTAGAATGAGTTTGGAAGTATTCCATCATCCTCTATTTTTTGTAATAATTTGAGTAGGATTTGTATTAGTTATTCTTTAACTGTTTGGTAGAATTCAGTGGTGAAGTCATCAGGTCCTGGGCCTTTCTTTACTGGGAGATTTTTTTATCATGGCTTTGTTCTTGTTGCATGTTATTGTTCTGTTCATGTTTGAATTTCTTCATGCTGCAGTGATGGTTAGGTTGTATGTGTCTAGGAATTTGTCCATTTCTTCTAGATTTTCTTTTTGTTAATTTAACTTTTAAGTTCAAGGGTACACATAAAGGTTTGTTATATAGGTAAATGTGGGTCATGGGGGTTTGTTTTACAGACACCCCATGTTGTCACCCCAGTATTAAGCCTAGTACCCATTAGTTATTTTTATTTAATTATTATTATTATTATTTTGAGACAGAGTTTCGCTCTTGTTGCCCAGGCTGGAGTGCAATGGCACAATCTCGGCTCACCACAACCTCGGTCTCCTGCGTTCAAGCGATTCTCCTGCCTCAGCCTCTTGAGTAGCTGGGATTACAGGCATGCACCACCACGCCCTGCTAATTTTGTATTTTTAGTAGAGATGGGGTTTCTCCATGTTGGTCAGGCTGATCTCGAACTCCTTACCTCAGGTGATCTGCCTGCCTCAGTTTCTGAAAGTGCTGAGATTACAGGCATGAGCCACTGTGTCCAACCCCATTAGTTATTTTTCCTGATTCTCACTCTCCTACCACCCTCCAGAGGGTGCTCTGACAGGCCCCAGTGTGTGTTATTCCCCTCTATGTGTCCATGTATTCTCATTATTTAGCTCCCACTCATAATTGAGGACATGCAGTATTTGGTTTTCTGTTCGTGTGTTAGTTTGCTAAGGATAATGGCCTCCAGCTTCTTCTCTGTTCCTGTTAAAAACATAATCTCATTGTTTTGAATGGTTGCATACTATTTCATGGTGTATATGTACCATATTTTCTTATCCAGTCTATCACTGATGGACATTTAGGTTGATTCCAAGTCTTTGCTATTGTATATAGTGCTGCAATGGACATACATGTGCATGTGTCTTTATAATAGAAAAACTTACAATCCTTTGATTATATACCCAGTAATGGGATTGCTGGGTCAAATGCTATTTCTGATTTTAGGTTTTTGAGGAATTGCAACACTGTCTTCCATAGTGGTTGAACCAACTTATGCTCTCACCAACAGTGTTTAAGCATTCCCTTTTCTCTGCAATCTTGCCTTCATCTGTTGTTTTTGGACTTTTTAACAGTAGCCATTCTGACTGGTTGTGAGATGGTGTCTCATTGTGGTTTTGATTTGTGTTTCTCTAATGATCAACGATGTTGAGCTTTTTTTCATATGGTTGTTAGCCGCATGTATGTCTTCTTTTGAGAAGTGTCTGTTCATGCCTTTCCTTACTTTTTAATGTGGCTGCTTGTTTTTTTTCTTGTAAATTTGTTTAAGTTCCTTATAGATGCTGCATATTAGACCTTTGCCAGATGCATAGTTTGCAAACATTTTCTTATGTCTGTTCACTCTGTTGATGGTTTTCTTTGCTATGTAGAAGCTGTTTAGTTTAATTGGATCCCACTTGTCTCTTTTTGCTTTTGTTGCAACTGCTTTTGGCGTCTTCATCATGAAATCTTTGCCCTTTCCTATGTCCAGAATGCTATTGCCTAGATTGTCTTCCAGGGTTTTTATAGTTTTGGGTTTTACGTTTAAGTTTTTAAACCATCTTGAGTTAATTTTTGTATATGGTATGAGGAAGGGGTCCAGTTTCATTTTTCTGCAAATGGCTTGCCTGTTATCCCACCACCATTTACTGAATAGGAAACTCTTTCCTCATTGCTTGTTTTTGTCAGGTTTGTTGAAAATCAGATAGTTGCAGGTGTGTGGCCTTATTTCTGGGTTCTCTAGCCTCTTCTAGATTTTCTAACTTATTGGCATATAATTGCTCATAGTAGGCATTAATGATCCTTTGAATTTCTGCAGTATCATTTTGTAATGTCTACTTTCTCATCTGATTTTATTTATTTGGATCTTCTCTTTTTTTAACTAGTCGGGGTAAAGGTTTGTCAATTTTGTTAAACTTAAAAAAAAAACTCTTTTTGTTTCCTTGATCTTTTTATTGTTTTCGTCACTTCAATTTCTTTATTTGTGCTCTAATCTTTATTAGTTGTTTCCTTCTACTAATTTAGGGTTTGGTTTGCTCTTGCTTTTCTAGTTCCTTAAGATGCATCATTATGTTGTTTACATTTTTCTTCTTATTTGATGTAGGCACTTACAGCTATAAAGTTCCCTCTGAGAACTGCTTTTGCTGTATCTCATAGGTTTTGGCATGTTGTCTTTACATTGTCATCTGTTTTGAGAAATTTTTTAATTTCTTTCTGAATTTCTTCATTGACCCACTGTTCATTCAGGAGCATGTTGTTTAATTTCCATGTATTTCTATATCTTCCAAAGTTCCTTTTGTTATTGATTTTTAGTGTTATTCCATTGTGGTCAGAGAAGATGCTTGATGGTATTTCAATTGTTTTGAATTTTGAGTCTTGCTTTGTGACCTGATATATCGTCTGTCTTTGAGAATGAACCATGTGCTGAAGAAAAGAATGCATATTCTGCAGCCATTGGATGAAATGTTCTATAAATATCTATTAGGTTTCTGATCTATAGTGCAGATTAAGTCTGATGTTTCCTTGTTGATTTTCTGCCTGGAAGATGTCCAGTGCCAAATGTGGGGTCTTGAGGACTCTAGCGATTATCATGTTGGAGTCTATCTCTCCCTTTAGCTCTAATAATATTTACCTTATATATCTTGGTTCTCCAGTGTTGGGTACATATATTTTCACAATTGTTACATCCTCTTGCTAAATCGACCCCTTTATCATTATATTGCTACCTTCTTTGTCTCTTCTTATAGATTTTTTCTCTGTATGGCTCCTCCTCATCTTTTTTGTTTGTTTCCACTGGCATGGAATATCATCTTCCATCTCTTTATTTGTAGTCTATGTGTGTCTTATAGATGAAATGTTTTTCTTATAGGCAACAGATCAGTGGGTCTTATTTTTTTTAATCCATTCAGTCACTCTATGTCTTTTGATTGGAGAGTTAAGCCCATTTACATTCGATGTGATTATTGACAAGTAAGGACTTACTCCTGCCATTTTGTTATTGGTTTTCCTACTTTTTGTGGTCTGCTCATCCTTTTTTTTCCTTCCTGTCTTCCTTTTAGCAAGATTATTTTCTTTGGTAATATGATTTAGTTTCTTACTTTTTTATTTTCTGTGTATCTGTTGTATGTTTTTTGTTTTGAGGTTACCATGAGGCCTGTAAATACTATCTTATTAATCATTATTTTAAGCTGATAACAACTTAACACTGTTTGCACTAACAAACAAACAAAAAGAAAACTAATAAAAACTCTATGCCTTAACTTCATCCTCTTGCTTTTTATTTCTTTGTTGTTTCTATTTGTAACTTCTTGTACTATGTCTTGAAAAGTTGTTTAGTTAGTACTTTTGATTAGGTCATCATTCAGTATTTCTACTTAAGCATGAGAGTGGTTTATACACCACTGTTACAGTGTTATAATATTTTGTGTTTTTCTGTGTACTTACTATTGCCAGTAAGTTTTGTACCTTCAGATGATTATTTATTGCTCAGTAACATCCTTTACTGTCTGATTCAAGTACTCCCTTTAGCATTTCTTGTAGGACAGGTCTAGCAATGATGAAATCCCTCAGCTCTTTTTTGTCTGGGAAACTCTTTATTTCTCTTTCACGTTTGAGGGATATTTTCTCCAGATATACTATTCTAGGGTAAAAGTAGTTTTTTCCTTCAGCATTTTAAATACATCATGACACTCTCTCAGCCTTAAAGGTTTCCACTGAAAAGTCTGCTGACAGAAATATTGGAGATGTCTGTTATTTGTTTCTCTTCTCTTGCTGCTTTTAGGATCCTTTCTTTATCCTTGTCCTTTGGGAGTTTGATTATAAAATTCCTCAAAGTAGTCTTTTTTGGGTAAAATCTGCTTGGTGTTCTGGTAGCTTCTTGTATCTGGATATTGATATCTTTCTCTCAGTTTGGAAAGTTCTCTGTTATTATCCCTCTGAATAAACTTTCTACCCCTATCTCTTTCTCTATCTCCTCATTAGGGCCACTAACTCTTAGATTTGCCTATCTGTGGCTATTTTCTAGATCATGTAGGCATGCTTCATTGCTTCTTATTCTTTTTACTTTTGTCTCTTCTTACTGTTTATTTTCAAATAGCCTATCTTGTAATTCACTAATTGTTTTTTCTGGTTGAACAATTCTGCTTTTAAAAAACTCAGGTGCAGGCCGGGTGCAGTGGCTCATGCCTTTAAACCCAGCACTTTGGGATGCTGAGACGGGTGGACCACTTGAAGTCAGGACTTTGAGACCAGCCTGGACAACATAGTGAAACCTTGTCTCTACTAAAAATACAAAAATTAGCCGGGCATGGTGGTGCATGCCTGTAATCCCAGCTACTCGGGAGGCTGAGGCGGGAGAATCGCTTGAACCCAGGAGGCAGAGGTTGTAGTGAGCCAACATCGTGCCACTGCACTCCAGCCTGGGTGACGGAGGGAGACTCTGTCAAAAAAAAAAAAAAAAAAAGACTCTGGTGCATTCTTCAGTATGTCAATTGCATTTTCCAGAATTTCTGCTTGATTCTTTTAAATTATTGCAATCTCATTGCAATCTCTTTGTTACTTTCATCTGATAGAATTCTGAATGCCTTCTCTGTGTTATCTCAAATTTCTTTGAGTTTCCTCAACACAGCTATTTTGAATTCTGTGTCTGAAAGGTCACATATCTCTATTTCTTCAGAATTGGTCCCTGGTGACTTATTTAGTTTATTTGGTAATGTCATATATTTTCCTGGATTGTCATGATACTTTTAGATGTTCTTCTGTGTCTGGACATTGAAGAGTTAAGTATTTATTATAGTCTTCACAGTCTGAGCTTGCTTGTACCTGTCCTTCTTGGAAAGACTTTCCAGATATTCAAATGTACATACATGTTGTGATCTAAGCTGCATCTGCTTTAGGGGTCACCCCAAGCCTCGTAATGCTGTGGTTCTTGCAGACTCATAGAAGTATTGTCTTGATGGTCTTGGACAATATCTGGGAGAATTCTTTCCATTACCAGGCAGACTAATTCGCTTTCCTTACTTACTCCCAAACAGAGTCTCTCTCTCTCTCTCTCTGTTGTGAGCCACCTGAAGCAGGGGGTGTATTGACACAAGCACTCCTGTGGCCACCACCTATGACTGCGTTGGGTCAGACTTGAAGCCAGCACAGTACTGGGTCTCACCCAAAGCCTGCTGTAACCACATCCTGGCTTCCGCCTATGTTCACTCAAGACCCTGGGGCTGTACAATCAGAAAGTGTCAAAAACAACCAGGCCTGTGTCCTTCACTTTGGGATAGTGAGTTCCTTCAGGCCCTAGGTGGATCCAGAGGTGCCATCCAGGAGCCAGAGACTAGAGTCAAACTCCTTAGAATTCTACCTGGTGTTCTATTGTCCTGCTGGTAAACTGGCAGTCAAACCACAAGATACACTTCCTCTCACTCTGCCTTTCCCTTTTCAAAGGCAGAAGAGCCTCACCTCATGGCCATTGCCACCACAGGCTCACAAGGAGTACTGACAGACAACCACCGATTTTCCCTTAAGGCCCAAAGGTTCTTCAGTCAGCTTGTGGTATACGCTGCCTATCCTTAGCCTCACCTTTCAGGGCAGTAGGCTCTTCTCTGGCCTAGGGCAGGCCCGGAAGTTGGATTCTAGGCCATCCAAGAGCCCATGCCTAGAATCTAGGACCTCAAGAGCCTGCTTGGTGCTCTATACCCTTGTGGCCAAGCTGGTACTTAAGCTTCAAGACAGTGTCCAATTTACTTTCTCCTCTACTTTTGTAAAACATAAGCACTCTCCCAATAGCCACCGCAGCTTGGAATGTGCATCACCTAAAGCCAGCAAGTCTCAGAGTCTCACCCAAGGCCCTCAATGTAGTACCTGGGCATTATTGCTGGTTATTCAGGGCCCAAGGGCTCTTCATTTAGCAGGTGAAGAATGCAGCAAGAACTGGGTCCTTCCCTTCAAGGCAGCAGGTTTCCTTCTGGCCCAGGGTGTGTCTAGAAATGTGGTTTGGGAGTTAGGGCCTGGAAAGGGGGCCTCGCGACTCTTACTGGTGCCCTATCCTGCTGCAGCTGAGCTGGTATACAAGATGCAAGACAACGTCTTTTCCACTCTTCCCTCTCCAGTCTTCAAGCAGAATGAAGGGGTCTCTTTTGGAGCCACAAGCTGTGGAGCCTGGGGTTAGAGGAGGGGTGATGCTAGCACTCACTTAGCTGCCCTAGCTGCTATCTCGGTAGGTTGTGTGCCCCCTAAGTCCACTGTCTCTGGGCCCAGTTCAGCACTAGGCCCCTACTAGGAGTTGCAGTCCTTGTGTCTAGGCTGTCTTTCAAGTTTATTTAGAGCCCTAGAGCACTTTAGTCCATGGCGGTGAGGCTTGCAGGAACTCAAGTGCCAACAGCTGACATGCTGACATGGGTAATTCACGTGTAGCTAGGGCTGTTTTGAATGCTCCCTCCGTATGCAGGCATCAGCCGAGTTTGGTTCAGTTTTTTTTTTTTACTCCTCTAAGAGGGCAACACTGAGGTCAATGCCTCACAATAGCTGCACTCTCCCTCCCCCAACACACAGAAATGCTCTTGCCCACCGTGCCTCAGCTGCTGGGGGCAGAGTTGGAGGGTGGGGTAGGCGTGGTGTTGGCAATTCAAGACTGTTCTTTCTACCACTTCAGTGCCTCTTTCATTGATATGAAGTTAAAACCAGGTACTGAGCTTTTGGTTCTTTTGAAGGTGCTTATTTGTGTGTAGATGGTTGTTAAATTGGTGTCCTTCCTAGGGGGATGACGATCAGTGGAGCTTTTATTCCACCATCTTGCTTCACCCATCTTCCAGCCATTGAGTTTGGAGGCAAGTTAGTCACAGTTGCCTTTAGCAAGGGAAGTGTCTATGCGGGGTGGGCACAGTAGCCAGTCTGTGGTGGTCCCCAGGAGTGATCTGCACTTGAGCCCATTGAGGGTGCCCACTTTCTCAGCCTGTGATGCTTCAGGGAAAAAAGAGGCTAGAGAGAAGTTTGGGAGTGGACTGGGGACAAGAGCTAGTCTTAGTGCATGGAAAAGACAATAAAATTCTATATTTCAAGAAGACCCAGTGGGGTACATGTTAAATGGAGTTAGAGAGAGGGGACCTGAGGAGTACTGGAGGGGCTGGGCACTTGGAGTGCATGGGGTCCAAGGCAGGACCTCCTTTCCTTAGGCTGAGGGAGGAGGTTTATGGTGATGTGGACCCTCTAGAAGGGTGGGGTGGGCAATCAAAGTGTCCCTGGCTCCATGCTCTTAATTCTCTTCCTGAGTCAGGTGGGTAGGATGGAATGACTGCTAAAGTGACTGGGAGAGGTTGGTGAGCAAGGTCCTGCCCTTGAGTTATGTGATAGGAAGTGGGGGCCCTGGTGGGCATGGGATCGGGGAAAGATAAGCATGATTTTCCCAGAAGCACTCACCGGCCCAGGTATGGGAGGTGTGCAGAGGCCACTGGGTTCTGCTGTTGGCTTGGGCAGTTGTAATGTGGGTGACACAGGCCTTTTTGAACTGTACCAGAGTGCCAGGATTAGCAGAGACAGAGGCTGCAATTGCACATGTGAATTAATTCAAAGGCTGGGGTGGAGGGGGAAGAGCAGATGTCTTCCCATCTCCTCTTTCCTCTTCAGAGGGAAGAGGTAGTGTACAGCCTAATGGTCAGAGAGTGACTGAAGGGCAGAGAGGAGCAAAAGCCTGTGGCCCTGGGCAGAGCCTGCTTCAGCTTCAGGGTAGCACAGACCCTCAGCCAGCACAGACATCCCTGAGCTGAGCTGAGACTGGTCCTGAGGGGCCCTCCCAGCCCCCCTCCCCTCCCCTTCCCTCAGCTGTCCCAGCCCCGAGGCTCTGCAGAGGGAGGAATGGAGTGGGGGAGGGGAGTCAGCAGCCAATCACATCCAGGACAGCCCAAGGCATCTGTACCTGGTGTAACCAATCCCCTCTGAATAAACAGCTCACTCAGCTTAGGTTCCCTCCTCCTCTCCCTGCTCTGCCCAGCAACAGCAGAAAGGAGGTTTTAGGAGGAGAGGGAGGCCCTGCAACTCCCAGCCCCTGGCAGCAAAGAGCTGGGCCCCAGGCTCACTCTATACAGGGAGGTTAAAACAATACTTGGAGTTCCTGCAGCCCAGGCAAAATATCCCTAGGGACCTTCAAGGCTGTGCAAGCCCAACTCTCTCACAGACAGGAACTCACATATTACAGAGATCCTGATCCTTGGAGTCCTGGGCTACAAGCCAGTCTCATTCCCTCCACAGCTCTGGGGCAGGCCCCGGGATGAAGGTCTGAAGAGCTGAGACACGGTTCTAGTGAAGGAGATGGACAGTGAGCAAACAGTCACACACATGCCTGTTTAGAAACAGTGAGAAGTCCTGGGGAACAAAGCACAGTGTTATGCAGGAAAATAAGAGGGGACCTGATTTAGATTGGCTTTCACTGTTCTTCTTGGTTCTACTTTTTTTTTTTTTTTTTTGGTCCAGATTTACGATGACTATTTCATTCACTACTTTGCCCCCAGAGGCCTTCCACCTATGGAGAAGAATGTGGTTTTTGTTATTGACGTAAGCAGCTCCATGTTTGGTACCAAGATGGAACAGGTAACAAGGATCCTGGAAACCTTTCTTAGTCCTAGTATCAGAAGACCCAGAAAGCAGAGAGCGTGGTAACAATGGGGCCCTGGGAGAAGAGATTCCACCATCCCATGACCCTTGAGTCTTACAGGCTTGGGCCTACCCTAGGGTCCTGGTATCTTACCTAACAGGAGCCTGTGGACCTGGAGCCACAGAGTCCTAAGAACATTGACACATTGGTCACTGTGAAACCATTGAGACCCTCAACCACGAAAGCCCAGGGTCATATAGGACCCTCAAGCTAGAGCACCCTGGGATCCTAGAATCCAAAAGCAAGAAAACCTTAGGTGAGAAAGACTCTGAGTCTTCCTGAGGCCACAAGGTTTTGGGTCTTTGTAATTTTTTTTTTTTTTACTTTAAAGGCCTAATAGTATAGAGTACTAGCATTATAGAATTAGAAACCATAGAGTCAGGAGTCATATCGATTTTAATCTTGTTGCACTTCTACCACTGTGCCCATGGGTCAGAGTTCTGAGGCCGTAGACCAAGCAGGCTTTGACTTTAGTCCCTGAATCCATAAAGTTCTGCAGGCAGCATTTCATACCATAATACCCTGGAGCTTTTTGTACCGGTGTCTTGCAGTTGTATAGCTTTGCTCCTTAATCTTTCAATCACAGAGCCTTTGGGACCTAAGGCTGAGTTTGTTTTACCAGAGTTGAGCAACCTGGGGAAAAATGGGTAATACCCCAAGCCAGCTCCCCAGCCCCAGTGTAGGGGGAGGGATCTCCCCAAATCCAGCCCTTTCTAGCCTTCTTGTCTCACTGAGGAGGGGTAAAAATCTCAGAAGTCCTTGTGAAGTTTCTATCTCAGGGACACCAATTCACTAAAAGATTGAGACCTCCTCATAAGAGTATAGAATGCTTCCTCTCACTCCACACATTATCACCACATCAACTGGGCTCCTCGGCAATAACGGAAAGTTACAGCTGATAGAACTACAAGCCCAAACCCTATTGAAGAAAATGTTCCTAGGGAAAACCAAAGACAACAGAAGCAACAAAAATACAGACACTAGAAGGGGAGCTGAGGTAGGTGGATCACTTGAGCCCAGGAGTTTGAGACCAGCCTGGGCAACATGGCAAAACCCTGTCTCTACTAAAAATACAAAAATTAGCCAGGTGTGGTGGTGCGCACCTGTAGTCCCAGCTACTCAGGAGGCTGCATTTGGAAAATGGCTTGAGCCCAGCGAGTGGAGCTTGCAGTGAACCAAGATCACACCACTGCTCTCAAGCTGGGGCAACACAGCAAGACCCTGTCAAAAAAATAGTAGTTTTAGCCTCTGACAACTAAAACTGCCCCAAACAAGAAACATTACCTAACTCATAGCCAGATAAACTTAAAACCCCACACTAAATGCCTTTTAGTTTATTTCCTTTTACCTGATACATCACGTCTGGCTTTCAACCTAAAATGAGAAGGCATGCTAAAAGGAGAAAAACACTGTCTGAAGAGAGTAAACAAACATCACAGCCAGACTTCAATATGTCAGATATGTCGAAATTATCAAACAATTTTATTTTTGATTGAAATTTTTTTTCCAACTTTTATTTTAGGTTCAGTGGATACATGAGCAGGTTTGTTACATGGGTAAATTTAGTATTGCAGGTTTTTGGTGTACAGATTATTTTGTCACCCAGGTAATAAGCACAGTATGTAATACATCATTTTTCAATCTTCACTCTTCTCCGAACTTCCACCCTCAAGTAGGCCCCAGTGTCTCTTGTCCCCTTCTTTGTGTACATGTGTGTTCAATGTTTAGCTCCCACTGATAAGTGAGAATATGTAGCATTGGTTTTCTGCTCTTGCATTAATTCACTTAGGATGATTGCCTCCAGTTCCCATCCCTGTTCCTGCAAAGGACAGGATTTCATTCTTTTTTATGGCTGCATAGTATTTCATGGTGTATATGTACCACATTTTCTTTATCCAGTCCACTATTGATGAGCATTTAGGTTGATTCCATGTCTTTGCTATTGTGAATTGTGCTGCAATGAACATACATGTGCATGAGTCTTTATGGTAGAACGACTTACATTCCTTTGGGTATATACCCAGTAATGAGTTTGCTGGGTCAAACGGTATTTCTGTTTTTAGATCTTTGAGGAATTGCCACACTGTCTTCCACAATGGTTGTACTAATTTACACTCCCACCAACAGTGTATAAGCGTTCCCTTTTCTCCACAACCTTGCCAGCATCTGTTGTTGTTGTTTTTTTTTAACTATTTAATAATAGCCATTCTGACTGGTGTAAGATGGTATCTCATTGTGGTTTTGATTTCCATTTCTCTAATGATCAGTGATGTTAAGCATTTTTTTCGTATGCTTGTTGTCTACATGTATGTCTTCTTTTCAGAAGTATCTGTTCATGTCCTTTGCCAATTTTTTAATGGGTCAAACCAAGAATTTAAAAACCCATGATTAATATGCTGTGGGCACTAATGGATAGAGTGCACCACATATAAGGACAACACATGGTAATGTAAGCAGAGACATGAAAACCCTAGGAAAATAAAAAGGAAATGCTGGATATCAGAAATACTGCAACAGGAATGAAGAATCCCTTTGATTCACTCATCAGTAGACTGGACATGGTTGGGTAAAGAACCAATGAGCTTGAAGATACGTTCATAGAAATTCCTGAAGCTAAAAAACAAAAATAAAAAGAATTTTAAGAAACACCCTAGAATATCCAAGAATTGTGGAACAATTTTAAAAGTGTTACATATGCATCATGGAAATAATAGAAGGAGAAGAAAGAGAGAAAGGAACAGAAGAAATACTTGAAGTAATAATAGATACAAATTTTCCAAAATAAATTATGCACACCAAACCTCAGGTCTAAGAAGCTTAGGAGAACACAAAGCAGGATAAATACTAAACAATCTACACCTAGGCATATCATATTCAGACAGCAGAAAAATCTTTTAAAAAGCCAGAGGAAAATGTACCTTACCTATAGAGGAGCAAGGATATAAACTATATCAGACTTTTCTTCAGAAACCATGGGAGCAAGAAGAAAGTGGAGTGAAATATTACAAGTGTTAAAGGAAAAAACCCACCAGCCTAGAATTCTGTATACATCAAAATTATTCTTCCAAAGTGAAAAAAAAATAAAGACTTTCTCAAACAAACAAAAATTTTGGGAATTGTCACCAATAAACCTGCTTTGCAAGAAATGTTAAAAGAAGTTCTACATAGAGGAAGAAAATGGTATATCTCAGATACTTGGATCTACATAAAGAAAGGAAAAGTGTTGGAGAAGGAATAAATGAAGGTAAAATAAAATAGTTTTCTTATTAACTGACCTAACAGATAATATTTTTTCAAAATAACAATGTATTTAGTGAATGTAGCTTAGGAATAAGTGAAATTAATGAGAGTAATATTGTATAGGATGGGAGGGAATAATTGGGAATACTCTGTTACAAGGTACTTGCACTATGCATAAAGCTGTATAGTGTTATTTGAAAGTGGATTTGGATTGGTTGTAAATGTATACTGCAAACTCTAAGGGAACTGCTAAAATTTTTTAAGTCTAATGCGTATGCTAAGAGATAAGATAAAACGGGATCATGTAAAATGCCCAGTTAAAACTAGAGAAGCCAAAAAATAAGTGGAAGACATAAGAGTAAAGAATTTTAAGGGGAGGAGCCAAGATGGCCGAATAGGAACAGCTCCGGTCTACAGCTCCCAGCGTGAGCGACGCATAAGACGGGTGATTTCTGCATTTCCATCTGAGGTACCGGGTTCATCTCACTAGGGAGTGCCAGACAGTGGGCGCAGGCCAGTGGGTGCGCGCACCATGCGCGAGCCGAAGCAGGGCGAGGCATTGCCTCACCTGGGAAGCGCAAGGGGACAGGGAGTTCCCTTTCCGAGTCAAAGAAAGGGGTGAGGGACGCACCTGAAAAATCGGGTCACTCCCACCCGAATATTGCGCTTTTCAGACCGGCTTAAAAAACGGCGCACCATGAGACTATATCCCACACCTGGCTCGGAGGGTCCTACGCCCACGGAATCTCGCTGATTGCTAGCACAGCAGTCTGAGATCAAACTGCAAGGCGGCAGCAAGGCTGGGGGAGGGGCGCCCGCCATTGCCCAGGCTTGCTTAGGTAAACAAAGCAGCCGGGAAGCTCGAACTGGGTGGAGCCCACCACAGCTCAAGGAGGCCTGCCTGCCTCTGTAGGCTCCACCTCTGGGGGCAGGGCACAGACAAACAAAAAGACAGCAGTAACCTCTGCAGACTTAAATGTCCCTGTCTGACAGCTTTGAAGAGAGCAGTGGTTCTCCCAGCACGCAGCTGGAGATCTGAGAACGGGCAGACTGCCTCCTCAAGTGGGTCCCTGACCCCTGACCCCCGAGCAGCCTAACTGGGAGGCACCCCCCAGCAGGGGCACACTGACACCTCACACGGCAGGGCATTCCAACAGACCTGCAGCTGAGGGTCCTGTCTGTTAGAAGGAAAACTAACAAACAGAAAGGACATCCACACTGAAAACCCATCTGTACATCACCATCATCAAAGACCAAAAGTAGATAAAACCACAAAGATGGGGAAAAAACAGAACAGAAAAACTGGAAATTCTAAAACGCAGAGTGCCTCTCCTCCTCCAAAGGAACGCAGTTCCTCACCAGCAACGGAACAAAGCTGGATGGAGAATGATTTTGACGAGCTGAGAGAAGAAGGCTTCAGACGATCAAATTACTCTGAGCTACGGGAGGACATTCAAACCAAAGGCAAAGAAGTTGAAAACTTTGAAAAAAATTTAGAAGAATGTATAACTAGAATAACCAATACAGAGAAGTGCTTAAAGGAGCTGATGGAGCTGAAAACCAAGGCTCGAGAACTACGTGAAGAATGCAGAAGCCTCAGGAGCCGATGCGATCAACTGGAAGAAAGGGTATCAGCAATGGAAGATGAAATGAATGAAATGAAGCGAGAAGGGAAGTTTAGAGACAAAAGAATAAAAAGAAATGAGCAAAGCCTCCAAGAAATATGGGACTATGTGAAAAGACCAAATCTACGTCTGATTGGTGTACCTGAAAGTGGTGGGGAGAATGGAATCAAGTTGGAAAACACTCTGCAGGATATTATCCAGGAGAACTTCCCCAATCTAGCAAGGCAGGACAACGTTCAGATTCAGGAAATACAGAGAACACCACAAAGATACTCCTCGAGAAGAGCAACTCCAAGACACATAATTGTCAGACTCACCAAAGTTGAAATGAAGGAAAAAATGTTAAGGGCAGCCAGAGAGAAAGGTCGGGTTACCCTCAAAGGGAAGCCCATCAGACTAACAGCGGATCTCTCGGCAGAAACCCTACAAGCCAGAAGAGAGTGGGGGCCAATATTCAACATTCTTAAAGAAAAGAATTTTCAACCCAGAATTTCATATCCAGCCAAACTAAGCTTCATATAAAATACTTTACAGACAAGCAAATGCTGACCGATTTTGTCACCACCAGGCCTGCCCTAAAAGAGCTCCTGAAGGAAGCACTAAACATGGAAAGGAACAACCGGTACCAGCCGCTGCAAAATCATGCCAAAATGTAAAGACCATCGAGACTAGGAAGAAACTGCATCAACTAACGAGCAAAATCACCAGCTAACATCATAATGACAGGATCAAATTCACACATAACAATATTAACTTTAAATGCAAATGGACTAAATTCTCCAATTAAAAGACACAGACTGGCAAGTTGGATAAAGAGTCAAGACCCATCAGTGTGCTGTATTCAGGAAACCCATCTCACGTGCAGAGACACACATAGGCTCAAAATAAAAGGATGGAGGAAGATCTACCAAGCAAATGGAAAACAAAAAAAGGCAGGGGTTGCAATCCTAGTCTCTGATAAAACAGACTTTAAACCAACAAAGATCAAAAGAGACAAAGAAGGCCATTACATAATGGTAAAGGGATCAATTCAACAAGAGGAGCTAACTATCCTAAATATATATGCACCCAATACAGGAGCACCCAGATTCATAAAGCATGTCCTGAGTGACCTACAAAGAGACTTAGACTCCCACACATTAATAATGGGAGATTTTAACACCCCACTGTCAACATTAGACAGATCAATGAGACAGAAAGTCAACAAGGATACCCAGGAATTGAACTCAGCTCTGCACCAAGCGGACCTAATAGACATCTACAGAACTCTCCACCCCAAATCAACAGAATATACATTTTTTTCAGCACCACACCACACCTATTCCAAAATTGACCACATAGTTGGAAGTAAAGCTCTCCTCAGCAAATGTAAAAGAACAGAAATTATAACAAACTATCTATCAGACCACAGTGCAATCAAACTAGAACTCAGGATTAAGAATCTCACTCAAAGCCGCTCAACTACATGGAAACTGAACAACCTGCTCCTGAATGACTACTGGGTGCATAACGAAATGAAGGCAGAAATAAAGATGTTCTTTGAAACCAACGAGAACAAAGACACAACATACCAGAATCTCTGGGACGCATTCAAAGCAGTGTGTAGAGGGAAATTTATAGCACTAAATGCCCACAAGAGAAAGCAGGAAAGATCCAAAATGGACACCCTAACATCACAATTAAAAGAACTAGAAAAGCAAGAGCAAACACATTCAAAAGCTAGCAGAAGGCAAGAAATAACTAAAATCAGAGCAGAACTGAAGGAAATAGAGACACAAAAAAACCCTTCAAAAAATCAATGAATCCAGGAGCTGGTTTTTTGAAAGGATCAACAAAACTGATAGACCGCTAGCAAGACTAATAAAGAAAAAAAGAGAGAAGAATCAAATAGACACAATAAAAAATGATAAAGGGGATATCACCACCGATCCCACAGAAATACAAACTACCATCAGAGAATACTACAAACACCTCTACGCAAATAAACTAGAAAATCTAGAAGAAATGGATACATTCCTCGACGCATACACTCTCCCAAGACTAAACCAGGAAGAAGTTGAATCTCTGAATAGACCAATAACAGGAGCTGAAATTGTGGCAATAACCAATAGTTTACCAACCAAAAAGAGTCCAGGACCAGATGGATTCATAGCCGAATTCTACCAGAGGTACAAGGAGGAACTGGTACCATTCCTTCTGAAACTATTCCAATCAATAGAAAAAGAGGGAATCCTCCCTAACTCATTTCATGAGGCCAGCATCATTCTGATACCAAAGCCAGGCAGAGACACAACCAAAAAAGAGAATTTTAGACCAATATCCTTGATGAACATTGATGCAAAAATCCTCAATAAAATACTGGCAAACCAAATCCAGCAGCACATCAAAAAGCTTATACACCATGATCAAGTGGGCTTCATCCCTGGGATGCAAGGCTGGTTCAATATACGCAAATCAATAAATGTAATCCAGCATATAAACAGAACCAAAGACAAAAACCACATGATTATCTCAATAGATGCAGAAAAAGCCTTTGACAAAATTCAACAACCCTTCATGCTAAAAACTCTCAATAAATTAGGTATTGATGGGACGTATTTCAAAATAATAAGAGCTATCTATGACAAACCCACAGCCAATATCATACTGAATGGGCAAAAACTGGAAGCATTCCCTTTGAAAACTGGCACAAGACAGGGATGCCCTCTCTCACTGCTCCTATTCAACATAGTGTTGGAAGTTCTGGCCAGGGCAATCAGGCAGGAGAAGGAAATAAAGGGTATTCAATTAGGAAAAGAGGAAGTCAAATTGTCCCTGTTTGCAGACGACATGATTGTTTATCTAGAAAACCCCATCATCTCAGCCCAAAATCTCCTTAAGCTGATAAGCAACTTCAGCAAAGTCTCAGGATACAAAATCAATGTACAAAAATCACAAGCATTCCTATACACCAACAACAGACAGAGAGCCAAATCATGAGTGAACTCCCATTCACAATTGCTTCAAAGAGAATGAAATACCTAGGAATCCAACTTACAAGGGATGTGAAGGACCTCTTCAAGGAGAACTACAAACCACTGCTCAAGGATATAAAAGAGGATACAAACAAATGGAAGAACATTCCATGCTCATGGGTAGGAAGAATCAATATCGTGAAAATGGCCATACTGCCTAAGGTAATTTACAGATTCAATGCCATCCCCATCAATCTACCAATGACTTTCTTCACAGAATTGGAATAAACTACTTTCAAGTTCATATGGAACCAAAAAAGAGCCCGCATTGCCAAGTCAATCCTAAGCCAAAAGAACAAAGCTGGAGGCATCACACTACCTGACTTCAAACTATACTACAAGGCTACAGTAACCAAAACAGCATGGTACTGTTACCAAAACAGAGATATAGATCAATGGAACAGAACAGAGCCCTCAGAAATAACGCCGCTTCGTGAACCCAGGAAGCGGAGCTTGCAGTGAGCCGAGATTGCACCACTGCAGTCCGCAGTCTGGCCTGGGCAACAGAGCGAGACTCCGTCTCAAAAAAAAAAAAAAAAAAAAGAAAAGAAATAATGCCGCTTACCTACAACTATCTGATCTTTGACAAACCTGAGAAAAATAAGCAATGGGGAAATGATTCCCTATTTAATAAATGGTGCTGGGAAAACTGGCTAGCCATATGTAGAAAGCTGAAACTGGATCCCTTCCTTACACCTTATACAAAAATCAATTCAAGATGGATTAAAGATTTAAACGTTAGACCTAAAACCATAAAAACCCTAGAAGAAAACCTAGGCATTACCATTCAGGACATAGGCGTGGGCAAGGACTTCATGTCCAAAACACCAAAAGCAATGGCAACAAAAGCCAAAATTGACAAATGGGATCTAATTAAACTAAAGAGCTTCTGCACAGCAAAAGAAACTACCATCAGACTGAACAGGCAACCTACAACATGGGAGAAAATTTTCGCAACCTACTCATCTGACAAAGGGCTAATATCCAGAATCTACAATGAACTCAAACAAATTTACAAGAAAAAAACAAACAACCCCATCAAAAAGTGGGCGAAGGACATGAACAGACACTTCTCAAAAGAAGACATTTATGCAGCCAAAAAACACATGAAAAAATGCTCATCATCACTGGCCATCAGAGAAATGCAAATCAAAACCACTATGAGATATCATCTCACACCAGTTAGAATGGCAATCATTAAAAAGTCAGGAAACAACAGGTGCTGGAGAGGATGTGGAGAAATAGGGACACTTTTACACTGTTGGTGGGACTGGAAACTAGTTCAACCATTGTGGAAGTCAGTGTGGCGATTCCTCAGGGATCTAGAACTAGAAATACCATTTGACCCAGCCATCCCATTACTGGGTATATACCCAAATGACTATAAATCATGCTGCTATAAAGACACATGCACACGTATGTTTATTGTGGCATTATTCACAATAGCAAAGACTTGGAACCAACCCAAATGTCCAACAATGATAGACTGGATTAAGAAAATGTGGCACATATACACCATGGAATACTATGCAGCCATAAAAAATGATGAGTTCATGTCCTTTGTAGGGACATGGATGAAATTGGAAACCATCATTCTCAGTAAACTATCGCAAGAACAAAAAATCAAACACTGCATATTCTCACTCATAGGTGGGAATTGAACAATGAGATCGCATGGACACAGGAAGCGGAATATCACACTCTGGGGACTGTGGTGGGGAGGGGGAAGGGGGGAGGGATAGCATTGGGAGATATACCTAATACTAGATGACGAGTTAGTGGGTGCAGCCCACCAGCATGGCACATGTATACATATGTAACTAACCTGCACAATGTGCACATGTACCCTAAAACTTAAAGTATAATTAAAAAAAAAAAGAATTTTAAAAGAATAGAAAATATTTACAACTATGGCAAATATTAATCCAACTATGTCAGTAATGACTGCAATCATAAATGGTTTAAATATACCAATTAAAAGACAGATACTCTCAGTGTGGATAATAAAATAAGACCCAATTGTAGGTTGTTTATAAGAAAACCACTTTAAATATAAAGATGCAGATAAATCAAAAGCAAAGGGATAGAGAAAGATATACCATGCTAACACAAATTAAAGAAAGCTGGCTGGGGTAGCTGTATTAGTTTTGGACAAAATAGACTTCAAAGCAAGGAAATTTTCAGCAATAAATAGTTGCATTATATGATATAACAATAAAACAAATATAATGGTAAAGGGGAAATTCTCCAAGAAGACAAACAATCCTTAATGTGCATGCAACGAACAACATACCAAAATATATGAAGTAAAAACTGACGAAACTGGAAGGTAAAAATACATGAATCCACTATTATAATTAGAGACTTCATCATCGCTTTATCAGTAATTGACAGATTCAGCAGGCAGAAAATCAGTAAGGACATAGTTGAACTGAACAGCACCATCAATTAACTGGATCGAATTGACATTTCTAGAATACTTTATTCAACAACATTACACATTCTGCTCAAGCAGATTACACATTCTTCTCAAGCTCACGTGGAACATTTACCAAGATGGACCATATCCTTGGCCTTAAAACATACCTTAACAAATTTAAAATAATATAAATTGTACCAAGTATGCTCTCAAATCAAATGGAATTAAACTAGAATTCAATTACAGAAAGATAGCTGGGAAATCTCAAAGTAATTGGAGATTAAACAGCACACTTCTACAGTCTATTCCCGGTCAACAAGAGGTTCTGACTTCTAGGACCTCATAGGCTCTCACTTTTCTACAGCTCTTCTCAGGAAAGGCAATCCTATTAAGTCTCTTCCCTCTCAATGGAAACAAGAGTATGGTGCTTAGCTCCCTGTCCCAGAATATACGACCTATCCCCAGAGCTCTCCCTATGGCAGGAAAGACTCTAATCCACTTAGAAGCATTCAAGATATTTCCTATCCGTTTAAGTTATAGAGAAAGGTGGGTCTCAAGTGTCCTTCCTGTGGTCTCTGAAATCCATATCTATATAAAGGATTGAAAGCATAATATTGTGCTTAGGGTCACTGGATTTAAAACCTCCCAAATGTGTATTTGAATCCCTTGTCCATCAATGACTAGCTGTATGACCTTAAGCAAGCACCCACCTCTCTGAGTCTCAGTGTCATCACCTGTAAAATGAGGATAGTATTAATACCTTCTTCATTGTGTTGCTGTGATAATTAAGTGAGCTGATGCATCAAAAGGGTTAAGCACAGTGCCTGGAACATAGCAAGTGTCCTGTAAATGATACCTAATAGTAGATCCTACACACTCTATTCCCTGAACCTCCTATGGGCCTAGCCCTATGCTAGTATTGCCATGGAGAAGGGAGACAAGAAGCAGCAACATTATAAGCCCTTCTCTCAAAGGGTTCAATATTTGGATAGAAAGTAAAAATATTTCATGTAAAACAGTCAGTTAACAGACTGGGACAGGGAATATCTAAGTGAGAAGGGCAGGGGTCAGGGTTGGCAACTTAAGGAAGAACTTTCCAGAGAAGGAGCAACTGAAAGAACAGTAAAGATGTGAATAAATAAAGGGAAGTTGGAAAGTATGCTATCTAAAGAGCATAAAATAGCAAGGTTTATGGAGTTAAACTGGAACCTGAGTTTTCTAGGGGCTGGTGAGACCAGCCTGGAAGAAATGGAGGGTGAGGCAGAAGAGCAGATTACAGCAGAACCAAAGCATGCAAAGTCATTGAAAGGCAGCTATAAAGACCTGGGATCCTGTTTGCAGATGACATGATTGTATATCTAGAAAACCCCATTGTCTTAGCCCAAAATCTCCTTAAGCTGATAAGCAACTTCAGCAAAGTCTCAGGATACAAAATCAATGTGCAAAAATCACAAGCATTCTTATACACCAATAACAGACAAACAGAGAGCCAAATCATGAGTGAACTCCCAGTCACAATTGCTTCAAAGAGAATAAAATACCTAGGAATCCAACTTACAAGGGATGTGAAGGACTTCTTCAAGGAGAACTACAAACCACTGTTCAATGAAATAAAACAGGACACAAATAAATGGAAGAACATTCCATGCTCATGGATAGGAAGAATCAATGTCGTGAAAATGGCCATACTGCCCAAGGTAATTTACAGATTCAATGCCATCCCCATCAAGCTACCAAGGACTTTCTTCACAGGATTGGAAAAAACTACTTTAAAGTTCATATGGAACCAAAAAAGAGCCCACATTGCCAAGTCAGTCTTAAGCCAAAAGAACAAAGCTGAAGGCATCACACTACCTGACTTCAAACTATACTACAAGGCTACAGTAACCAAAACAGCATGGTACTGGTACCAAAACAGAGACATAGACCAATGGAACAGAACAGAGCCCTCAGAAATAATACCACACATCTACAACCATCTGATCTTTGACAAACCTGACAAAAACAAGAAATGGGGAAAGGATTCCCTATTTAATAAATGGTGCTGGGAAAACTGGCTAGCCATATGTAGAAAGCTGAAACTGGATCCCTTCCTTACACCTTATACAAAAATTAATTCAAGACGGATTAAAGACTTAAATGTTAGACCTAAAACCATAAAAACCCTAGAAGAAAACCTAGGCAATACCATTCAGGACGTAGGCATGGGCAAGGACTTCATGTCTAAAACATCAAAAGCAATGGCAGCAAAAGCCAAAATTGACAAATGGGATCTAATTAAACTAAAGAGCTTCTGCACAGCAAAAGAAACTACCATCAGACTGAACAGGCAACCTACAAAATGGGAGAAAATTTTTGCAATCTATTCATCTGACAAAGGGCTAATATCCAGAATCTACAAAGAACTCAAACAAATTTACAAGAAAAAAAGAACAACCCCATCAAAAAGTGGGTGAAGGATATGAACAGACACTTCTCAAAAGAAGACATTTATGCAGCCAACAGACATATGAAAAAATGCTCATCATCACTGGCCATCAGAGAAATGCAAATCAAAATCACAATGAGATACCATCTCACACCAGTTAAAATGGCAATCATTAAAAAGTCAGGAAACAACAGGTGCTGGAGAGGATGTGGAGAAATAGGAACACTTTTACACTGTTGGTGGGACTAGAAACTAGTTCAACCATTGTGGAAGACAGTGTGGCGATTCCTCAGGGATCTAGAACTAGAAATACCATTTGACCCAGCCATCCCATTTCTGGGTATATACCCAAAGGATTATAAATCATGCTGCTATAAAGACACATGCACACGTATGTTTATTGTGGCACTATTCACAATAGCAAAGACTTGGAACCAAGCCAAATGTCCAACAATGATAGACTGGATTAAGAAAATGTGGCACATATACACCATGGAATACTATGCAGCCATAAAAAATGATGAGTTCATGTCCTTTGTAGGGACATGGATGAAGCTGGAAACCATCATTCTCAGCTAACTATCTCAAGGACAAAAAGCCAAACACCACATGTTCTCACTCATAGGTGGGAATTGAACAATGAGAACACATGGACACAGGAAGGGGAACATCACACACTGGGGCCTGTTGTAGCATGGGGCGGGGGGAAGGATAGCATTAGGAGATATACCTAATGTAAATGACGAGTTAATGGGTGCAGCACACCAACATGGCACATGTATACATATGTAACAAACCTGCATGTTGTGTACATGTACCCTAGAGCTTAAAGTATAATAATAAAAAAGAGACCTGGGATCATAAAGGTCCTAAACATCATTGAATCCCGGGTCATGGAGCCCAGGAACCATATAGCAAATGAATTCTAGAGCTCTAAAAACAGGGAGCTTGAACCTTTTAGATGACCAGTGTCCAATATGACTTTCGTGATGATGGAAATGATCTAAAATTCTGTGCTATCTAATATAGTAGCCACTGGCAACATGTGGCTATTGAACACTTGAAATGTGGCTACTGCAAATAAAGAATTAAATGTTTGAATTTTTCTTTAATTTTAGCTAGTTTATATTCAAATATAAGTAGCTACATGTGACTATTAGTTCCCATATTAAACAGTGCAGTTCTATGCCTTGGAACCCATAGAGTCTTTTCACCTGAGAATCCTAGATTCACAGAGTCCTGCAGTCAGAGAGTCTTAAAACCATATAACACTTAGATGTTAATGCCTTGTGTAGAAAAAGCCTTTCAATCTCATAGACCTCAAGTCTTGTCCCATTCTCTTCATTTCATCCATATCCCACAGACTAAAACGGCCATGAATGTGATCCTCAGTGACCTTCAAGCCAATGACTACTTCAACATCATCTCCTTTTCTGACACAGTTAATGTTTGGAAAGCTGGAGGCTCAATCCAGGCCACCATCCAGAATGTCCACAGTGCCAAGGACTACCTGCATTGCATGGAAGCCGATGGCTGTAAGTGTTAGATCTACCCACCCAAATGGGCAGGCTGTGGTGATATGGGAAATTCCTGAAACCCTCTCTTCATTCCCCCATCCTCCTCAACTCTCACAGTTCCTGAAATATCAAGACCACATTTCACACAAATATGGTCCTTTGTCCTCTGTGTTCTCCCATCACCCTTTCCTTGTAGAAAGAGCACAGCCGATTCTCCATGTATCTTAGGGCACATTTCTTTTTGGCCTCAGTTTCCTCTTCTTTAAAGCAAACACTTGAAAGAATTTGCTAAACTTTCTTTAAATCAATAATCTAGATATTTATTTCCAAGCATTTGAGGAAGCTGCTGCCCTGATTCTAGCTTTTAAGCAATCGTCTCTGACAACTACTGAAGTCTCCTCTACCCACTGCCTCCTGTCAACTCTGTCCTTTCTTCCCCTGTAGCAAGAAGGTTGGAGGGGGGGGTGCTAGCCTTGGGAGCCTGCCAGTCTGGCTCGGGAATGAGACATCTCCCCCCTCGACCCTGCACCACCAAGGAAACAGACAAAGAACAGTGTGAGACAGAGAGTGATAAAAGCCAAGGACATGTGGGCCCCAATGTCAGATCTCAGCAAGTCTGGGTGGGAGTGGAGAAGTTGGGAAGGAGAAACAGTGGATACAGCCTGAGCAAAGATAAGGAGCTGTGAGCCTGGGAAGTTGATGAGGTGCCCAGTGTGTCTGCAATGGGGGTAGAAGTGACCAGAGAAGATGGTCTCACAATCTATTCCCCAATTAGGGACAGACGTCAACTCAGCTCTGCTGGCAGCTGCTTCAGTGCTGAACCATAGCAACCAGGAGCCTGGGAGGGGCCCCAGTGTGGGGAGGATCCCTCTTATCATCTTCCTGACGGATGGGGAGCCCACGGCCGGCGTGACGACCCCCAGTGTGATCCTCTCCAATGTCCGTCAGGCGCTAGGCCACAGGGTATCCCTTTTCAGCTTGGCCTTTGGGGATGATGCTGACTTTACACTGCTGCGCCGCCTGTCCCTGGAAAACCGGGGAATAGCCCGGCGCATATATGAGGACACTGATGCGGCCCTACAGCTGAAGGGCCTCTATGAGGAGATCTCCATGCCTCTGCTGGCAGATGTGCGTCTGAACTACCTGGGTGGCTTGGTTGGGGCCTCCCCTTGGGCCGTTTTCCCCAACTACTTTGGTGGCTCTGAGCTGGTGGTGGCAGGACAGGTGCAGCCAGGCAAACAGGAACTGGGCATCCACCTGGCAGCCCGTGGCCCCAAGGATCAGCTTCTTGTGGCCCACCACAGTGAAGGGGCCACCAACAACAGCCAGAAGGCCTTTGGTTGCCCAGGGGAGCCAGCCCCCAATGTGGCCCACTTCATCCGCCGCCTCTGGGCCTATGTCACCATTGGAGAACTGCTGGATGCACACTTCCAAGCTCGTGACACCACCACTCGCCACCTGCTGGCTGCCAAAGTCCTCAACCTGTCCCTTGAATACAACTTTGTCACACCTCTGACTTCACTGGTCATGGTGCAACCCAAACAGGCCAGTGAGGAGACCAGGAGACAGACTTCCACCTCTGCTGGGCCAGACACCATCATGCCCTCATCCAGCAGCAGGCATGGCCTAGGGGTAAGCACAGCTCAGCCAGCCTTGGTGCCCAAGGTCATCTCCCCCAAATCAAGGCCTGTGAAACCAAAGTTCTACTTATCCTCAACTACTACTGCCTCTACCAAGAAGATGCTAAGTTCCAAAGAGCTGGAGCCATTGGGAGAGAGCCCTCATACCCTGTCAATGCCCACATACCCAAAGGCCAAAATTCCAGCACAACAGGATTCTGGCACCTTGGCCCAGCCAACTCTCAGGACAAAACCTACCATTCTTGTGCCCTCAAATTCTGGTACTCTGTTGCCTCTGAAGCCCGGCTCTCTATCACACCAGAATCCTGATATATTACCCACGAACTCCAGGACACAAGTCCCACCTGTGAAACCTGGCATCCCAGCCTCGCCCAAAGCTGACACTGTGAAATGTGTTACTCCACTGCATTCCAAACCTGGTGCTCCATCGCACCCCCAACTTGGGGCACTCACATCACAGGCACCTAAAGGCCTGCCACAGTCAAGACCTGGAGTCTCTACACTTCAGGTTCCCAAGTACCCACTACACACCAGACCTAGGGTTCCTGCTCCCAAGACCCGAAACAACATGCCACACCTGGGGCCTGGAATCCTCTTGTCCAAGACCCCTAAAATCTTATTATCTCTTAAACCGAGTGCCCCACCACACCAAATTTCCACAAGCATATCACTTTCCAAGCCTGAGACCCCAAACCCCCATATGCCTCAAACCCCACTACCTCCTAGACCTGACAGACCAAGGCCCCCACTTCCTGAGAGCCTAAGCACATTCCCAAATACAATCTCAAGTTCCACAGGTCCCAGCAGTACCACAACCACCTCTGTCCTTGGAGAACCCCTCCCCATGCCCTTTACTCCCACTCTGCCCCCTGGAAGGTTCTGGCATCAGTATGACCTCCTCCCGGGTCCCCAGAGGACCAGGCAAGTTCTGGGACCATCTAGGCCAGGAGTTCCAACAATGAGCCTACTCAACAGCTCCAGGCCTACACCAGAAGGCAGCCCTCCAAACCTGCCAATCTTGCTGCCTTCTAGCATCCTCCCTGAGGCCATCAGTCTGCTCCTTCTCCCTGAGGAGCTAGAGCTGCTGTCTGAATCAATGGTGGAATCCAAGTTCGTGGAGTCCTTGAACCCACCAGCTTTCTATACCTTCCTCACTCCTGATGAAGATGGTGAGTGCCATGGGTAAGAGGTCGAGCCATGAGGGTGAGGTATGAATGGACAGTACCAGGAGCTGGGAATCTACAAGGCTTATGCAGACTCCAGTGATGGGACAGCTGCTTCCTTGCTTGCTTGCTTGCTTGCTTGCTTGCTTGCTTGCTTGCTTTGGGACTTTGGACAAGTTACTTAACTTCTCTGGGCCTCAGTATACATGCATGGAATTAGAGGCCTTGGGAGAGGAGGAGTGTTGAGACTGGGAAGGCTGAACAGAAACAAATTGGCCAAGGGTTAGCTTTGACATTTGTTTTGTTGGACAAAAGAATTGCTGATGCTTCCTAAGCAGGGGAGGAATGCATCATTGGATGAGGCGGGTCTTATTGGTTTTTCTGTGCTCTGTGAATAGTCCTGCTTAATGACAGGGGTAGAAGAATTGGGGAAGATAATTAAAATTATCTTTAATTTCCAAAAAAAGTATGAAATAATAAGTTAACATTTGTGAGCTCTTCCTATGCACAAGTACTGCTCTACATACTGTACTTGTCCCTCATTTAATCCTCACAAGAAACATCTTTCTTTCTTGACATCGTCATTTTACACGTGAGGAGAATGAAGCACAGAGAGGTAAAATAAGTTTCTCAATGTCACACAGCTAGTCAGAGAGTTGAACTCATACAATCTGGTCACAGAATGAATGTGATTCACCACTCCAGTATCCTGCCTTCCTAAGAGAAGGAGTGACATTTCCTAGGTGACCTTATAGGGCAGGATTAGAACCCACTGAGAGTGCCTAAGTCACAGGGATGCAAATTTGGGTATGACATCCTCTACATGCCTCTCTCCTCAGACACCCCTCCAATATCCTATCCATCCTCAGTTATTGACAATGCTACCTCTAATATATTTACCAAATCCATCCACTTCCCACCACCCCAAGTGTCACTGTGCTACAGCAGACCACCATTGTGTCTCACCTAGAAAACTGTTCCAGGCTCCTCACTGGTTTCCCTGCTTCCTCTCCTGTCCTGTTACAGGCCAGTCTCTCCCAGCAGCCAAAGGGATCCTTTAAAGACACAAATCACTTCATGCCCCTTCCCTACTTAAAATCCCTCAAGGGTTTCCCATCGTACTTAGAATGAAGTTAAAAGTCCTCTTCATGGCCAGCAGGCTCTGCATGATCTGCTCCCTACCCCCATTCCTCTATGACCTCACTCTCTCCCACCCATTCTCTGAACTCCAGCCCCACTGGTCTCTATTTTGCCCCTCCAATGAACACCCTACCCCATCTCCACTCAGGGACTTTTTTCAAGCTACTGTCTCTGCTTCATAATCATCTGACCTGCTTTGTCCTACCCCTTCCTGCTGCCCTTATCCCTTCCATTGCCCTTCGAACTCCAGCTCATGCCTTAGATCTCAGCTCAGATCTCCTTACCCACCCTCCCCCAAGCAGGCTACTTCAGGTCTCTGTTTAACTCCCACAGTCACCTCATTATTTTTTTCCAATAGCATTTATCACCATTTGTGATAAATTATGATTTCATTCATGTCTGCCACCCCCTACTAAACTATGAGCTTCACCAGGTCAGAAACTATGTCTTTATTTTTCACCACCATATACCTAATACCTAAGCAATGCCTGAATGAATGAATGAATGAATGAATGGACAAATGAATGTATAAATGCTATAAGGAAGAACTTTGAACATATCTGAGCTTGAGAGATTAAGAGGCTGTGGAGAGCATAAGGTCCCAGTCCTGGAGATGGGCAGGTCAACCTGCAGAGCCAGTGAGGGCTCTCCTTGTCAGAAAGATTTTGAGACTTTGCCCCTGGAATTTGAAGGGTTTTCTTATTTCTTTTGTGCTTGGCAGGAAGTCCAAACTGGGATGGCAATTCTGAGGAGATCCTGGGAGGAGCTGGAGGCAGCATGGAATCTCAAGGAAGTTCTGTGGGGTTAGCAAAAGGTGAGCAAGGAGCTCTCCTGACAAAGATCCCCTGGGCCTTCATTTCCATTCCATTAGAATTCTTATTGACATTGTGGGAGACCAGAGGGAAGTAATGTATTAGTTTTCTATTGTTGTGTAACATTTATCACAAATTTAGTAGCTTAAAACAACACCAATTAATAATCTCACAGTTCTGTTAGTCAGTAGTCTAGAAATAGCTTAGTTAGATTCTCTGCTCAGGATCTCACAAGATTGAAATCAAGGTGTCTGTCACACTGAGCTCTCATCCTCTTCCACACTCATTCACGTTGTTAGCAGAATTTAGTTATTTGTGTTGCTGGGACTGAGGTTCCCATTTTCTTGCTGGCTGTTGGCTGGAGGATCGCTCTCAGCTGCAAGAGGTTACCTGGGGCCACTCTCAGTACCTAGAAATCTCCTGCATTCCTTGCCATGTGGTCCCCCTCCATCTTCAAAGGCAGCTATGGAGCATTCCCCTAATGCCAAACCCTTCTCACACTTTAAATTTCTCTGACTCCTCTGTCTCTGACCTCTAGATACAAATATTAAGGGCTTACGTGATTAGGTCAGGCCCCACCTGGATAATATACCCTTCATAAGTTCAATAGGGTCACATGAAATAACCTATTTCTGGGAGGATATTTCATCATATTCACAGCTCTGGAGATTTTACAGAGTGTGTACACCAAGAGATCCTGTGGGCCATCTTAGAATTCTACCTACCACAGGCAGAGAGCAAGAGAAAAGAGCATTTGGGCTGGCCTTGAAGGATAACTAGAAATTCATCCTTGGTAGTTAAGGGAAAGGAAAACATTCCAGGTGGCAGGAAAAACAGGAGTAAAGGGTCACTAGGAAGAGAAGGTAGGACACTCATAACAATAGTTTGGTTGGGCTAGAGCACAAAGACTGGAGAGCTAGGCAGGGACTAGATTTCAGAAAAGCCTTAAATGCTGAACACAGGAATTTGGCCCTTATCTGGGAGTATGTCCCAGAATTCCTAGGAATGTGATACATTAGTCCCTTCCCAACACAGTCTCTCTCTCCTTTGCAGGCACATTGCCTAGCATCTTCACCTTCTCCTCCTCAGGTAAGCCAGTCACCCCCATGGCTCCCCTGTTTGAGTACAGGGCAGCTTGTGCACTGGGACTGGGGCTGGGGAAATAGACATAACCTCTTCCCTTTCCCTCCTCTCTCTTTCCCTCTCCCTTCCATTTATTCCTTTAACTTTAGAGTTGTATCTTCTGCCTTGCAGTGGACGGGGACCCCCACTTTGTGATCCAAATCCCACACTCAGAAGAGAAGATCTGCTTCACACTGAATGGGCACCCTGGGGACTTGCTGCAGCTCATAGAGGACCCAAAGGCAGGTAAGAGCCCCAAGAACTCCATCACCATACACCAAAGCTGGATATATCCATGTCAATACCCCTAGACATTTGTGGGTTAATACCCCAGACACATAGCAATGCACCTCACTAACACACGGTAACACACAAGAACACACCAAGACACACAAAAAAACACACATGAATACACTCAAACACCAAGATACTCACAGATACACGCACAAAAGGGCATAGAGTAAACTCACACAAATATGATGGAACTTCAAAAAGTTTGTGGTAAAATGGAATTAAACGATAAAAAATTAAAAACATAAACATTGTTTCTCAACATAAGCTCCATCAAGTACAAGATAAGCAATGATAGCAGCCATTTAGTCCATCCCTAAAGAACTGAGGGTCCTGGGAATTTAACCATGTTAATGCAGTATTTTATACATTATTTAAAAATGAAGAAAACTGGGTGCCATTTAAAGATTTTTTAAGATTAGGAAACAAAAATAAGTCAGAAGGAGCCAAATCAGGACCGTAAGGTCAATGCCTAATGATTTCTCATCAAAACTCTTGAAAAATTGCCCTTGTTTGATGAGAGAAATGAGCAGAAGCATTGTCATGGTGGAGAATTCTCCGGTGAGGCTTTCCCAGGCATTTTTCTACTAAAGTTTTGGCTAACTTTCTCAAAACATTCTCATAATAAGCAGATATTATCATGCTTTGGCCCTCCAGAACGTCAACTAGTAAAATGTCTTGAGCATCTCCCAAAACCAGTTGCCATGACCTTTGCTCTTGACAAGTCTGCTTTTGCTTTGAATGAACCACTTCTACCTCTTGGTAGCCATTGCTTTGATTGTGCTTTTGTCTCCAGGATCATACTGATAAAGCCATGTTTCATTTTCTGTTATACTTCTTTGAGGGAATGCTTTAGGATCTTGATCCCACTTGTTTAAAGTTTTCATTGAAAGCTCTGCTCTTGTCTGCAGGTGATCTGGGTGCAATGGTTTTGGCACCTGTCAAGTTGAAAGTTTACTCAACTTTAATTTTTCCATCAGAATTGTGTAAGCTGAACCAATTGAGATGTCTATGGTGTTGGCTATTGTTTCTGTTGTTAATTGCCAGTTCTCTTCAATTAGAGCATGAACAAGATGAATTTTTCCTCGAAAATTGATGTAGATGGTCTGCACTGCAGCCTTCTTCATCTTCAACATTGTCTCATCCCTTCTTAAAACGAGTTATCCATTTGTAAACTTCTGCTTTCTTTAGGACATTGTCCTTATAAACTTTTCATAAAATGCCAATAATTTTACCATTCTTGCACCCAAGCTTCACCATAAATTGTTCTTCCTTCAATTTTAGCAGAGTTCATGCTGCTCTGATAGGGGCTCTTTTCAAACTGATGTCTTGTCCTTCTTAATGCTTCAAACTAGATCTGGTTCATCCGTGTTGTAACAAATTAGTATGAGTTTATTTTGGTGCAAAAAATTTTGAAATCCATCCATAGTTTTTCATAAAATGCATTTTCCATGAACTTTTTGAAGACTCCTCATACACACCATGGTGTACATATTTTGACACTCCTTTCACCCACAAATATGCAAATATGCACCTAGACACATGGTGACACACAACACATGCCCAGATATACACAATGGCATGGACATCAACACACTCGGGCATACAAGTACTGAATACCCCAAGGTTAATCCCAATTTCCAGGTATTCAACACATACAGGCAGCAAACATACTCTGCTACACTAGTTATATGAAATACACTGATGCATGGAAATACCTGCCAAGCCAAACAATGACACTAATCCAGATGCACACACTGACACTCCATATACACATCAGCACAGACCAACACATAACCAGGTACACACAACATACACTATTGCACCAAGACATATAACACCAACATATCCAGAGGCGCATACATAAATATACAAGCAAAAATACGCACTCTAACATACCACCTTCTCCAAACATGCAGATGTACTGATATGCCCAGACTTACTCATATGAACATAACCAAACACACATATTACACACTCAGAGGCAAACACACATATATATGCAAACAACCACACTGGGGTAAGCGTGTGCACACATACTACATGCCCCCACTCCACACACTGCTCAGGAAGGAGCAGCCAGGTGGACCATGGTAGAAGTAGTTCTCTCAGGAGTCGGCCCTCTAGCCACAAATCTGCACTACTTCATCTGCCCATGCTGTGGGTGACCATGTAAATGACCATGCAAAAGCCCCCGCTCCAGGCCCACACTCCCCTCCCTCCAGGGCTGCATGTGAGTGGGAAGCTGCTTGGCGCACCACCAAGGCCGGGCCACAAGGACCAGACTCGCACCTACTTCCAGATCATCACAGTCACTACAGACAAACCCCGGGCCTATACTATCACCATCAGCCGCAGTTCTATATCTTTGCGAGGCGAGGGTACCTTGCGCCTGTCCTGGGACCAACCTGCCCTGCTGAAGAGGCCCCAGCTGGAGCTCTATGTGGCTGCTGCAGCCCGCCTTACCCTCCGCCTTGGGCCCTACCTTGAGTTCCTAGTCCTCCGACACCGCTACAGGCATCCCAGTACCCTGCAACTACCCCACCTGGGGTTCTACGTGGCCAATGGCTCAGGCCTCAGCCCCTCAGCCCGTGGCCTGATAGGTAAGTGCAGCTGAGGCTGAGAGGGGCCAGGGAGCACCAGCCACCAAAAAGACCCTGCCAGGGTGAAAGGCATGTATATCCCCAACAAGGAAGAGGAATCAGCAACAGACTCTTCCCTTGGGGAGCTCCTCATCTTGGGAGAGGACAGACCCAGATATGGATAGTGAACACAGGAGGGGATCATTGCTGGACAGAAAGCTGCCCAGGGAGCTAGAGAAAACCAGAGTGGGGGAATTTGCCCAGCCTCAGAGCTCAAGAAGGACTTCCTGGAGGAGGTAGACACACCCACGCTGAGTCTGAAAGGCTAAACAAGAGTGTGGAGGAAAGGAATGGAAGTTGGAGGAAATAGAGTTGAGTGGTCAGAGTTGAATGCCAGGATGAGGAATTGGGCTTTATCCTGAAAGCAATGAGGAGCCATGAAGGGTTGTAAGCCGAGGAGAGACACAGTCATATCTGGGTGTTACAAAGATCCCTCTGGAGACTGCTATGAAGGGAGGTTGTAGGAAGCCAGGCTGTAGGTCAGGAGACACTGGCAGAACCTGAGGCAGAGGCTCACATCAAAGAGTGACAGTGGGTTAAACAGATATTTTTACCTCCTCTGGGCCTCCTCCCTCCTCTTGTCTCCTTCTTTCTAATCTTCCCTGTCTTCTCCAAACCTGGCTGTCCCCCTTTCTCTGCCATCTCATGTACTTTGGCTCCCTACTTCCATATTACACTCCAGCCCCATCTGGCTCCTGTACAGTTCCCACAATGCCAAGCCTCTTCCCTCTGGTCTTTTGCTGCCCCTCCTTCTTCCTCCTTTAAATCCCTCTGGATTTCCTGCTGGGCCTCCTTGCAGATCTCTGAGCAGGGACTCAGGCCACCTCCCTGACTAGCACTGCATCTCTCTCCCTCAGGGCAGTTCCAGCACGCAGACATCCGACTGGTGACAGGACCTATGGGGCCATGCTTACGAAGGCACCATGGCCCAGATGTGCCTGTGATTCTAGGCAAGAGGCTGCTGAAGGACTCACCAAGGCTGCTGCCCCGCTGGGCTTCCTGCTGGCTGGTGAAGCGCTCTCATGTAGAGCTGCTTCTGGGCCACCCCTACCTCTCCTATGTCCTGTGATGGCTTCTGAATTCCAGAGCCAGGAGACCTGAATTTGGGAGATCCAGAAACCAGGGCATGGGGTGAGCCAGGGACAGAGACCCAAGGACATGGAAGCACACACAGGGACACACAGACTCACGCATGTTCTAAGGAACACATATACAAGGGTATACAAACACATAGACATGCAGAGACATAGAGTCAGGGACTCCTGCATCTTCATGGTCCTTCACATCTCCAGTCTCACCCTCTCCAAATCCATGCTCCTCACCAGCCCTACAAGCCACTTTTGTAAAACGAAAAAATGATCAGTAGTTCTGCTCACAGCTTTCCCTAACTCCTATGGCATATTCAAGGCTCTCAGAGTTTCCCTAACAAACCATGCTCACTCCTACCACTGGACCATTGCATGTGCTTTTCCTTCTGCATGAAACACTCTTCCTTTGTTCCTGTAGGTGAGTATAATTCATCCTTCAAATCCTAGTTGTTACCTCTTCTAGGAGGCCTTTCCTGATGCCTGCCCTAGATTGAGTTTGGTCCTGTCCTCTGGGTTCCTATAGCCCACCCCCAACCCTCCACGCTCACAGTATTTATACTGTGTAGTAATCATCTGTTTACTTGTCTGGATCCCTGACTTAGACTGTGAGATCTTTGAGGGCAAGGACCTTTTCTGAATCATCTATGTATCCCCAGTGCCTCTCACATAATAGGTGCTTAGTAAATATTTGTTAAAAGAATGAATTAATTAATTAACAAAAAAGGATCCCATAACATAGCAATAGACACACATATATACATACTCACAACCAAAGACACAGGATCACACCCGGAAAAACAGTGACAAGGGCACAGATATGGATGGATAGAGGGACAGACATTTATGGAAACACAGGAATCACAAAACAAACATGGACATAGGGGTATAGAGACATAAAAAGATGGGGACAGGGAGCCAGAGTGGCAGAATCAGGGACATAAACTCAGAGAAAAAGGAACAGATGCTCTCTGGCTGCACCTCTGTGTCTTCGTGGTTTTCAGTTACTGTCCCTGTCACAAAGAGGCAAAGAGTAAAAAAGGTCACTTAGGTACAGACACATAATGAGTAATGTAAAGACACTGATACATAACTATATACAAACTAAGAGATAGATAAACATAGAGATTCAGACACAGGAGCAGAGGTATTAAGACACACAGAGACATGGGGACATAGGTAACCAAGGAGACACTGACCAGGACCACAGTCCAAGACACCAAGGTCAGAGGGGTAGAAACTCAGAGATACACAGACATGCTGATTTGCAGACATGAGGCAGAGAATAGGAGAAGAACAGAGAAACACAGGGCCAGAGACATATAAAGATGTAGAAACAGAGATGTTACACAGACTGAGGCTTGGTGACAAAGATAGGGATATAGGCAAAGGAATACACTAAGAGTGAGACAGGAGCACAGACTCATATGTTCACAGATCCACAGATAAAGACATGGAGACTCGGATACTTGAACAGTTACAAGAAAAGAGATAAGGTTCAGGCCAGAGACATAAGGAGAGGCAAGATGCAGACCCAGGTAAAATGGGGACATGGTGACACAGTGAGAGGCACATTGGGAATTCAGAGACAGAGAACCCAGAACAAGTAGACATAGGGATGTGAACCCACAAACACAGTCATATGGACACAGGCTAGACACAGAGACAGAAACACAGGGACATGTCTGGTAAGATAGAAACAGGAACAAGGAAACCTAAACACATAGATCAGACAGACAGAATATAAGCAAATGGGCATAAACATGTGACAAAGAAGTATATCCAGAGAAGCAAGGGTGCAAAGACACCGAACCAACATGCACCTGGCAACACCAGAAAAAGTTACACACAGACAGACAACCAAGGCCACAACAGAAGGCATGGGAACAGGGAATCAGACCCAGGTACACAGAGATAGTGGCTTAAAGATAAAAAGATATGGAACCAGACACCAGACGCAAACAGAGAGGCAGGAACACAGAGGAGGTGAGCCAGACCAAAACAAAACCAGGGGCAGAGTGACACAGAAAGAGAAACAGATGCGGAAAGACACCCTGACAAACAGACTCACAGAAATGTCAACAGTCATGGGAACCCAGAGAAAAAGACACAGGAACTGAAAAAGAGAGGGACTGAATCACAGAACAACTTAAAACACAACCACAGTAACATAAAGAAACAATAATACAGAGATATCGACAAAAGCTGGGGAAAATAGATGGAGAAGAGGATAAATACAGAAACACAGAGACACAAACATGGAAAGTAAAGTTCCAGAAATGCACAGACTCGGGGACTCACTAACACAGGGCATATGGAAAGAGGCATATGCAGATTTATGAACATGCAGACCCTGGAACACAGAGCCTCAGAGACACCCAGACAGAAGAATACAGAGGGAGGCAGTGTAAGATGGCGGAATAGAAGGCTCCACCTATCATCCCCTGCCTTCCCCTCAAGGACACCAATTAAACAACTATCTACACAAAAAAAGCAACTTCTTAAGAACAAAAAATCAGGTGAGCACTCACAGTACCTGGTTTTAACTTCATATCACTGAAAGAGGCACTGAAGAGGTAGGAAAAACAGTCTTGACTCACTGACACCACCTCCCCATCCCCTAGCAGTGGCTGAGGGGTGTGGAGAGAGAATCTGACTACTTGGAAGAGGGAAAGCACAGCAATTGAAGTGAGGCATTGAACTCAGTGCTGCCCTGTCATAGCAGAAAGCAAAATAACGAACTCAGCTGACGCCTGCACACAGAGGGAACATTTAAATTAGCCCTAGCCAGAGGGCAATTGCCCATCCCAGCAGTTGAAATTTGAGTTCCCACAAGCCACACCACCTTGGGCCAAAGTGTTTTGGGGCCCCAAATAAACATGAAAGGCAGTCTAGGACACAAGGACTGCAACTCCTAAGCAAGTCCTAGTGCTAAACTGGGCACTGAAACAGTGGACTGGGGAGGGGAGGCCACTCAACCGACAGAGACATTAGGCAGGGAGGCAAAGGGAGTACTGGCACAACACCTCCCCTAACCCCAGGCTGCATAGCTGGCAGCTCCGAAAGAGACTTCTTCCTTCCACTTGAGGAGAGAAGAGGGAAGAGTGGGGAGGACTTTGTCTTGCATCTTGGATACCACCTAAGCTACAATGGGACAGGGTACTGGTCAGAGTTGTGAGGCACCCTTTCTAGGCCCCAGTTCCCAGACAACATTTCTAGACACACCCTGGGCCAGAAGGGAACCTGCTGCATTGAAGGGAAGGACCCAGTTGTGGCAGGATTCCTTGCCTGCTAACTGAAGAGCCCTTGGTCCCTGAATAACTAACAGTGATACCCAGGTACTACGTCAAGAGCCTTGGGTGAGACTCTCAGACTTGCTGGCTTCAGATGAGACTTAACACATTCCCAGCTGTAATGGCTATGGGGCAAGACTCACTCCTTCCACTAAAGTGGAAGGAAAAGTAAAGGGGACTTTGTCTTGCACCTTAGGTACCAGCTCAAACTTGCAGGGTAGAGCATGAAGAGGGCTCTTAGGGTTACCAATTCCAGGTATTGGATCTTGGATGGCATTTCTGGACCTGCCTTAGGCCAGAGGGGAGCCCACTGCCCTAAATGGTGAGTCCCAGGCCAGGCAACATCTAACACACGCTGATTGAAGAGCCCTTGATTCTTAAGGGAACATCAGTGGTAGCCTGGCAGTACTCCCTGTGAGTCTGTGGTGGCAGTGGGCATGGGGTGAGGCTCCTCTGCCTTTAGAAAAGTGAGGGAAGATTGGGAAGGACTGTGTCTTGTGGATTGAGTTTCATCTCAGCCACAGTACAATAGAACATCAGGTAGATTTCTAAGGTTTTTGACTCCAGTACCTGGTACCTGGGTGGCATCTCTGGACCTATTCGGGGCCTGAGGGAACTCACTGCCCTGAAGGGAAGGACATAAGCCTGACTGACTTTGCCACCTGCTGATTATAAAGCCCCAGGGCCTTGAGCAAACATAGGTGGTAGCCAAAGAGTGGTTATGCCAAGACTTGGGTGAGGCCCAGTGCTGTGCTGACTTCAAGTCTGACACAGTGCAGTTTTAATAGTGGCGGCCACAGAGGTGCTTGTTTCACTCCACCCAGAACTCCAGGTGGCTCATAACAGAAAGACTTGTTTGGGAGAAAGAGAGAGAAGAGAAAAAAGAGTCTCTGCCTGGAAATCCAAAGTATTCTTCCAGATCTTGTCCAAGACCATCAAGACAATACCTCTACAAGTCTGCAAGAACCACAGCATTACTGGGCTTTGGTTGCCCCTAATGCAGATACAGCTTAGATCACAACACCTAAGTCTTTTCTAATATCTGGAAAGCCTTCCCAAGAAGGATGGGTACAAACAGGCCCAGACTGTGAAGACTAGACTAAATACCTAACTCTTCAATGCCCAAACACAGGCGAACATCCACAAGTCTCAAGACCATCGAGAAAAGCATGACCTCACCAAATGAACTAAATAAGGCACCAGGGACCAATCCTGGAGAAATAGAGATATGTGACCTTTCACATATTAAAGAAATGTGATATCAAAGATAATTCAAAATAGCTGTGTTAAGGAAACTCAAAGAAATTCAAGCTAATGCAGAGAAGGAATTCAGAATTCGAAGAGATTGAAATAATTTAAAAGAATGAAACAAATTCTGGGGTTGAAAAATGCGATTGATATACTGAAGAATGCATTGGAGTCTTTTAATAGCAGAAATGATCAAGCAGAAGACAGAATTAATGAGCTTCAAGACAAGCTATTTGAAAATTCACAGTCAGAGACAAAAGAAAAAAGAATAAAAAACAATGAAGCATGCCTGCAGGATCTAGAAAATAGCTTCAATAGAGCAAATCTAAGAGTTATTAGCCTTAAAGAGGAGGTAGAGAAAGAGATAGGGGTAGAAAGTTTATTCAAAGGGATAATAACAGAGAACTTCCCAAACTTAGAGAAAGATATCAATATTCAAGCACAAAAAGATTATAGAACACCAAGCAGATTTCACCCAAAGAAGACTACCTCAAGGTATTTAATAATCAAACTCCCAAAGGTCAAGGTTAAAGAAAGCATCCTAAAAGCAGTGAAACAAATAACAGACGATGAATCTCCCATGTGTCTGACAACAGACTTTTCAGTGGAAATCATAAAGGCCAAGAGAGAGTGGCATGGCATATTAAAATGCGAAAGGAAAAATACTTTTACCCTAGAAAAGTAAATCTCATGAAAATGCCCTTCAAACATGTAGGAGAAATAAAGACTTTCCCAGACAAACAAAAGCTGAAGGATTTCATCAATAACAGACTCATCCTATAAGAAGTGCTAAAGGGAGTACTTCAATCAGAAAGACAAGGATATGACTGAGCAATAAATAATCACCTGAAGATACACAGAAAAACACAGAATATAACACTGTAACTGTGGTGTGTAAACTACTCTTATCCTAAGTAGAAAGACTAAATGATGAGCCAATCAAAACTACTAACTACAACAACTTTCCAAGACATAGTACGATAAGACCTAAATAGTAACAACAAAAAATTAGAAAATGAGGAGATGAAGTTAAGGCATAAAGTCTTTAATAATTTTCTTTATGTCTGTTTGTGCAAACAGGGTTGTTATCAGCTTAAAATAATGGATTATAAGAAAGTATTTGAAAGCCTCATGGTAAACTCAAACTGAAAAACATGCAACAGACACACAAAAAATAAAAAAGCAAGAGACTAAATCATATCTTTTTTTTTTTTTTTTTTTTGATACTGAGTCTCGCTCTGTCACCCAGGCTGGAGTTCAGTGGTGCGATCTCAGCTAGCTGCAAGCTCTGCCTCCTGGGTTGATGCCATTCCCCTGCCTCAGCCTCCCAAGTAGCTGGGACCACAGGCACTCGCCACCACACTTGGATAAATTTTTGTATTTTTAGTACAGATGGGGTTTCACTGTGTTAACCAGGATGGTCTCAATCTCCTGACCTCATGATCCACTCACTTCGGCCTCCCAAAGTGCTGGGATTACAGGCATGAGCCACTGCACCTGGCAAAATCATATCATTATAGAAAATCATCTTCACTAAAAGGAAGACAGGAAGGAGAAAGAAGAGAAGACCACACACACAAAAAAAAACCCAGGGTTATAAGATAGTATTTACAAGCTTCATGGTAACCTCAAAGCAAAAAACGCATGACAGATACACAAAAAACAAGAAAATAAGAAACTAAATCATATCACCAAAGAAAATCACCTTTGCTAAAAGAAAGACAGAATGGAAAAAAGAAGGAAAAGCAGACCACAAAAAAATAGGAAAACCAATAACAAAATGCCAGGAGTAAGTCTTTACTTATCAATAATAACGTTGAATGCAAATGGGCTAAATGTTCCAATCAAAAGACATAGAGTGGCTGAATAGATTAAAAAAAAAAAACAAGATCCATTGATCTGGTGCCTACAAGAAACACGCTTCACCTATTAAGACACACATAGACTGCAAATAAAGGGATGGAAAAAGATATTCCGTGACAATGGAAACCAAAAAAGAGTAGGAGTAGTTGTACTTGTATCAGAAGAAAATAGATTCCAAGGCAAAAACTATAAGAAGAGACTATATAATGATAAAAGGGTCAATAAGCAAGAGGATATGACAATTTTAAATATATACGCACCCAACAATGGAATACCCAGATATATAAAGTAAATATTATTACAAGCAAAGAGAGAGATAGACCCCAATAGAATAATAAGTGGAGACTTCAACATCCCACTTTTAATATTGGACAGATCTTCCAGACAGAAAATTAACAAACTCAGACTTAATTTGCACTATAGACTAAGTGGACCTGATACATATTTACAGAATATTTCATCCAATGGCTGCAGAGTACACATTATTTTCCTTAGCACTTGGATCATTTTCAAGGAAAGACCATATGTTAGGTCACAAAACAAGTCTTAAAACATTCAAAAAACTGAAATAACATCAAGGTTCTTATTTGACCACAATGAAGTAAAACTATTCATTTCTAAATCAATAAGAGAAATTTTGGCAACTATAGAAATACATGGAAATTAAACAATATGCTCCTGAATGACCAATAGGTCAATGAAGAAATTAAGAAGGAAATTAAAAATTTTCTTGAAAGAAAAGACAATGGGAACACAACATCCCAAAACTTATGGGATACAGCAAAAGCAGTACTCAGAGGGAACTTTATAGTATAAATGCCCACATTAAAGATGAAGAAAAGCTTAAACAACCTAATGATACATCTGAAGGAACTAGAAAAGCAAGAGCAAACCAAACCCAAAATTAGCAAAAGAAAAGAAATAATGAAGATCAGAGAAGAAATAAAGGAAATTGAAATGAAGAAAACAATACAAAAGATCAATTAAACAAAAAGTTTTTTTTGAAAAGTTCAACAAAATTAACAAACCTTTAGCCAGACTAAGAAAAAAGAGAGGTGATCCAAATAAATAAAATAAGAGGAGAAAAAAGAGACATTACAAAATGATACTGCAGAAATTCAAAGGATCATTAGTGGCTACTATGAGCAGCTATATGCCAATAAATTGGAAAATCTAGAAGAAATGGACAAAGTCCTAGACACATACGACCTACCAAGATTGAACCATGAAGAAATCCAAACGTGAACAAACCAGTAACTATTAATAGGATCAAACAAAATGTCTCCCAATAAAGAGAAGTCCGGCCAGGCGTGGTGGCTCACGCCTATAATCCCAGCACTTTGGGAGGCCAAGGCGGGCAGATCACGAGGTCAGGAGATCGAGACCATCCTGGCTAACAAGGTGAAACCCTGTCTCTACTAAAAATACAAAAATTAGCCTACGCAAATTATTCCAAAAAAATAGAGGAGGAGGGAATACTTCCAAACTCATTCTATGAGGCCAGTATTGCCCTGATATCAAAACCAGACAAAAACACATCAGAAAAAAAAAAAAAGAAAGAAAGAAAGAAAAGAAAAGAAAACTATAGGCCAACAACTCTGATGAGTGTGGATGCAAAAATCCTCAACAAAATATTAGCAAACTGCCAGGCGCGGTGGCTTACACCTGTAATCCCAGCACTTTGGGAGGCCAAGGTGGGCGGATCATGAAGTCAGTAGATCGAGACCATCCTGGCTAACACAGTGAAACTCTGTCTCTACTAAAAATACAAAAAATTAGCCGGGAATGGTGGCAGGCAACTGTAGTCCCAGCTACTCAGGAGGCTGAGGCAGGAGAATGGCATGAACCCAGGAGGCGGAGCTTGCAGTGAGCTGAGATTGCACCACTGCACTCCAGCCTGAGCAACAGAGCAAGACTCCATCTCAAAAAAAAAATAGTAAACTGAATTCAACAACACATTGAAAAGATCATTCATCATCACCAAGTAGAATTTATCCCAGGGATGCAAGTATGGTTCAACGTATGCAAATCAATCAATGTGATGTATTATTATCAACCAAATGAAGGACAAAACCATATAATCATTTCAATTGATGTTGAAAAAGCACTTGATAAAATTCAACATTCCTTCATGATAAAAACCCTCCAAAAACTGGTTATAGAAGGAACATACCTCAACATAATAAAAACTATATATGGCAGACCCACAGCTAGTATCATACTAAATGGGGAAAAACTGAAAGCCTTTCCTCTAAATTCTGAAACACAACAAGTATGCCCACTTTCACCACTGTTACACAATAGAGTACAGGAAGTCCCAGCTAGAGCAATTAGATAGGATAGAGAAATAAAAAGTATCCAAATGGGAAAGGAAGAAGTCAAATTACCCTTGTTTGCAGATGATTGAATTTTATATTTGGAGAAACCTAAAGACTCCACAAGAAAAGTATTAGAAATGATAAATTCAGTAAACTTTCAGAATACAAAGCCAACATACAAAAATTAGTAGCATTTTTATATGGCAATTGCAAACAATCTGAAAAAGAAATTAGGATAGTAATCCCATTTACAGTAGCTACAAATAAAATACCTAAGAATTAAGTTAACTAAAGAAGTGAAAAATCTCTGCAATGAAAACTGTAAAACATTGATGTAAGATATTGAAGAAGTTATTTAAAAATGGAAAGATATTCCATGTTGACATGTTGGAAGACTCAATATTTTTAAAATGTCCATGCTACTCAAAGCAATCTACAGATTTAATGCAATCCCTATCAAAATCCCAATGACATTCTTCACGGAAATAGAAAAAAAAATTCTAAAACTTGCATGGAACCACAGAAGACCCAGAAAAGCCAAAGTTATCCTAAGCCAGAAGAACAAAACTGGAGGAATCACATTACCTGACTTCTAATTATACCACAAGGGTATAGTAACCAAAACAGCATGGTACTCGTGTAAAACATACATATAGACCAATGGAACAAAACAGAGAACCCAGAAACAAATCCACACAACTACAGTGAACTCCTTTTCAACAAAGGTGCCAAGAACATACATTGGGGAAAGGAAAGTCTCTTCAATAAGTGGTGCTGGGAAAACTGGATATCCATATGCAGAAGAATAAAACTAGACCTCAATCTCTCACCACATATAAAATCAAATCAAAATGGATTAAAGACTTAAATCTAAGACTTCACACTATGAAACTACTATAAGAAAACATTGGGGAAAATCTTCAGGTCATTGGTCTGGTCAAAAATTTCTTGAGCAATATCCCACAAGCACAGGCAACCAAAGCAAAAATGGACAAATGGGATCAACGCAAGTTAAAAAGCTTCTGCACAGCAAAGGTACAATCAGCAAAGTGAAGAGACAACCCACAGAATGGGACAAAATATTTGCAAACTACCCATCTGACAAGGGATTAATAACCAGAATGTATAAAGAGCTCAAACAATTCACCTGAGGTCAGGATTTCGAGACCAGCCTGGCCAACATGTGAAAACCCCGTATCTACTAAAAAATATATATAAATTAGCTGGGCGTAATGGCAGGCACCTGTAATCAGGAGGCTGAGGCAGGAGAATTGCTTGAACCTAGAAGGCGGAGGTTGCAGTGAGCGAAGATCACGCCATTGCACTCCAGCCTGGGCAACAAGAGCAAGACTCTGTCACAAAAAAAGAAAAAAAAAAAGATGCATACAGCCATTGGAAAACATAGACACCCACTAAAACACATAGAGGCACTGGCATGCACTAATACTTAACACACATAGACATTAGAACAGATGTCAGAACACACAGGGACACTGACACATGAAGATAATGGGATCAGACACTAGTACACAGGTACCGGTATACACAGACACTGCAAAACACAGAGAGAGAAACATACAGAACCTAGGACATACATGCCACTGGGACACCAGAAACTGAGGTACAGAGACTGAAGCACACAAAAACTGGAACTCAGAGACACAACAACATGCTGATGCAGAGACACACAGAACCTCAGTCCCACAGTGACAAGGACATGAAAAAAAACACTGAGATACACAGACACTGGGGCTCACAAAGAGTGGAAGAAGCAAATACTGGGATATACATAAAGTGAGGTACACTGGTGCTGGGGCACACAGAAACGGGGGCATACATTCATTGAGGCATATGCAAAGAGTTATGCATGCAGACTTGGGACTACACAGAAATGGGCCACACAGAGGTGGAGCCAAGATGGCTGAATAGGAAGAGCTCCAGTCTACAGCTCCCAGCATGAACGACGCAGAAGAGGGGTGATTTCTGCATTTCCAACTGAGGTACCGGGTTCATCTCACAGGGGAGTGCCGGATAGTGGGTGCAGGACAGTGGGTGCGGCACACCATGGGTGAGCTGAAGCAGGGCGAGGCATCGCCTCACCCGGGAAGCACAAGAGGTCAGGGAATTCCCATTCCTAGTCAAAGAAAGGGGTGACAGACGGCACCTGGAAAATCAGGTCACTTCCACCCTAATACTGCACTTTTCCAATGGGCTTAAAAAAACGGCACACCAGGAGATTATATCCTGCACATGGCTTGGAGGGTCCTACGCCCATGGAGTCTTGCTCATTACTAGCACAGCAGTCTGAGATCAAACTGCAAGGTGGCAGCAAGGCTGGGGGAGGGGTGCCTGCCATTGCCGAGGCTTGAGTAGGTAAACAAAGCAGCCCGGAAGCTTGAACTGGGTGGAGCCCACCACAGCGCAAGGAGTCCTGCCTGCCTCTGTAGGCTCCACCTCTGGGTGCAGGGCACAGACAAACAAAAGGCAGCAGTAACCTCTGCAGACGTAAATGTCCCTGTCTGACAGCTTGGAAGACAGTAGTGGTTCTCCCAGCATGCAGCTTGAGATCTGAGAATGGGCAGACTGCCTCCTCAAGTGGGTCCCTGACCCCCGAGCAGCCTAACTGGGAGGCACCCCCCAGTAGGGGCAGACTGACACCTCACATGGCTGGGTACTCCTCTGAGGCAAAACTTCCAGAGGAACGATCGATCAGGCAGCAGCATTTGCGGTTCACCAATATCTGCTGTTCTGCAGACACCACCGCTGATACCCAGGCAAACAGGGTCTGGAGTGGACCTCCAGCAAACTCCAAAAGACCTGCAGCTGAGGGTCCTGACTGTTAGAAGGAAAACTAACAAACAGAAAGGACATCCACACCAAAAACCCATCTGTACGTCACCATCATCAAAGACCAAAGGTAGATAAAACCACAAAGATGGGGAAGAAACAGAGCAGAAAAACTGGAAATTCTAAAAATCAGAGCGCCTCTCCTCCTCCAAAGGAACACAGCTCCTCACCAGCAATGGAACAAAGCTGGATGGAGAATGACTTTGACGAGTTGAGAGGAGAAGGCTTCAGATGGTCAAACTTCTCTGAGCTAGAGGAGGAAGTTCGAGCCCATGGCAAAGAAGTTAAAAACCTTGAAAAAAGATCAGACGAATGGCTAACTAGAATAACCAATGCAGAGAAGTCCTTAAAGGACCTGATGGAGCTGAAAACCACGGCACAAGAACTACGTGATGAATGCACAAGCCTCAGTAGCCGATTCGATCAACTGGAAGAAAGGGTATCAGTGATGGAAGACGAAATGAATGAAATGAAGTGAGAAGAGAAGTTTAGAGAGAAAAGAATAAAAAGAAATGAACAAAGCCTCCAAGAAATACGGGACTATGTGAAAAGACCAAATCTATGTCTGATTGGTGTACCTGAAAGTGAGGGGGAGAATGGAACCAAGTTGGAAAACACTCTGCAGGATATTATCCAGGAGAACTTCCCCAATCTAGCAAGGCAGGCCAACATTCACGTTCAGGAAATACAGAGAATGCCACAAAGATACTCCTCAAGAAGAGAAACTCCAAGACACGTAATTGTCAGATTCACCAAAGTTGAAATGAAGGAAAAAATATTAAGGGCAGCCAGAGAGAAAGGTCAGGTTACCCACAAAGGGAAGCCCATCAGACTAAGAGCTGATCTCTTGGCAGAAACTCTACAAGCCAGAAGAGAGTGGGGGCCAATATTCAACATTCTTTTTTTTTTTAATTTTTTTAGTATTTATTGATCATCCTTGGGTGTTTCTCAGAGAGGGGGATTTGGCAGGGTCATAGGACAATAGTGGAGGGAAGGTCAGCAGATAAACGTGAACAAAGGTCTCTGGTTTTCCTAGGCAGAGGGCCCTGCCACCTTCTGCAGTGTTTGTGTCCCTGGGTACTTGAGATTAGGGAGTGGTGATGACTCTTAACGAGTATGCTGCCTTCAAACATCTGTTTAACAAAGCACATCTTGCACCGCCCTTAATCCATTTAACCCTTAGTGGACACAGCACGTGTTTCAGAGAGCACGGGGTTGGGGGTAAGGTTATAGATTAACAGCATCCCAAGGCAGAAGAATTTTTCTTAGTACAGAACAAAATGGCATCTCCTATGTCTACTTCTTTCTACACAGACACAGTAACAATCTGATCTCTCTTTCTTTTCCCCACATTTCCCCCTTTTCTGTTCGACAAAACCGCCATCATCATCATGGCCCATTCTCAATGAGCTGTTGGGTATACCTCCCAGACGGGGTGGTGGTCAGGCAGAGGGGCTCCTCACTTCCCAGACGGGGCGGCTGGGCAGAGGCACCACCCACATCCCAGATGGGGCAGCGGCCGGGCAGGGGCTGCCCCCCACTTTGGCCAGGCGGGGGCTGCCCCCACCTCCCAGACGGGGTAGCTGGCCAGGTGGGGGCTGCCCCCCACCTCCCGGATGGGGAGGCTGGCCGGGCGGGGGCTGCCCCCCACCTCCCGGATAGGGCGGCTGCTGGGCAGAGACGCTCCTCACTTCCCAGACGGGGCGGCTGCCGGGCAGAGGGGCTCCTCACTTCCCAGACGGTGTGGCTGCCGGGCGGAAGGGCTCCTCACTTCTCAGACAGGGGGGCCGGTCAGAGATGCTCCTCACCTCCCAGACGGGGTGGCGGTGGGGCAGAGACACTCCTCAGTTCCCAGACCGGGTCGCAGCCGGGCAGAGGCGCTCTTCACATTTCAGACGGGGTGGTGGGGCAGAGGCGCTCCCCATATCCCAGACGATGGGCAGCCGGGCAGAGACGCTCCTCACTTCCTAGATGGGATGACGGCCGGGAAGAGGCGCTCATCACTTCCCAGACTGGGCAGCCAGGCAGAGGGGCTCCTCACATCCCAGATGACGGGCGGCCAGGCAGAGACACTCCTCACTTCCTAGATGGGGTGGCGGCCGGGTAGAGGCTGCAATCTCAGCACTTTGGGAGGCCAAGGCAGGTGGCTGGGAGGTTGAGGTTGTAGCGAGCCGAGATCACGCCACTGCACTCCAGCCTGGGCAACGTTGAGCAATGAGTGAGCAAGACTCCGTCTGTAATCCTGGCACCTCGAGAGGCCGAGGCTGGCAGATCCCTCGCGGTCAGGAGCTGGAGACCAGCCCGGCCAAAACGGCGAAACCCCGTCTCCACCAAAAAATACGAAAACCAGTCAGGCGTGGCGGCATGCGCCTGCAATCCCAGGCACTCGGCAGGCTGAGGCAGGAGAATCAGGCAGGGAGGTTGCAGTGAGTCGAGATGGTGGCAGTACAGTACAGCCTTGGCTCAGCATCAGAGGGAGACCGTGCAAAGAGGGAGGAGAGGGAGAGGGAGAGGGAGAGCTCAACATTCTTAAAGAAAAGAATTTTCAACCCAGAATTTCATATCCAGTCAAACTAAGCTTCATAAGTGAAGGAGAAATAAAATACTTTACAGACAAGCAAATGCTGACTGATTTTCTCACCACCAGGCCTGCCCTAAAAGAGCTCCTGAAGGAAGCACTAAACATGGAAAGGAACAACCAGTACCAGCCACTGCAAAAACATGCCAAATTGTAAAGGCCATTGAGGCTAGGAAGAAACTGCATCAACTAACGAGCAAAATAACCAGCTAACATCATAATGACAGGATCAAATTCACACATAACAATATTAACCTTAAATGTAAATGGGCTAAATGCTCCAATTAAAAGACACAGGCTGGCAAGTTGGATAAAGAGTCAAGACCCATCAGTGTGCTGTATTCAGGAAACCCATCTCACGTGCAGAGACACACATAGGCTCAAAATAAAGGGATGGAGGAAGATCTAACAAGCAAATGGAAAACAAGAAAAAGGAAGGGGTTGCAATCCTAGTCTCTGATACAACAGACTTTAAACCAACAAAGTTAAAAAGAGACAAAGAAGGCCATTACATAATGGTAAAGGGATCAATTCAACATGAAGAGCTAAATATCCTAAATATATATGCACCCAATACAGGAGCACCAAGATTCAGATTCATAAAGCAAGTCCTTAGAGATCTACAAAGAGACTTAGACTCCCACACAATAATAATGGGAGATTTTAACACCCCACTGTCAACAGTAGACAGATCAATGAGACAGAAAGTTAACAAGGATATCTAAGAATTGAATTCAGCTCTGCACCAAGTGGATCTAATAGACATCTATAGAACTCTCCACCCCAAATCAACAGAATATACATTCTTCTCAGCACCACACCACACCTATTCCAAAACTGACCACATAGTTGGAAGTAAAGCACTCCTCAGCAAATGTAAAAGAATAGAAATTATAACAAACTGTCTCTCAGACCACAGTGCAATCAAACTAGAACTCAGGATTAAGAGACTCACTCAAAACAGCTCAACTACATGGAAACCGAACAACCTGCTCCTGAATGACTACTGAGTACATAAAGAAATGAAGGCAGAAATAAAGATGTTCTTTGAAACCAACGAGAACAAAGACACAAATACCAGAATCTCTGGGACACATTCAAAGCAGTGTGTAGAGGGAAATTTATAGCACTAAATGCCCACAAGAGAAAGCAGGAAAGATCCAAAATTGACACACTAACATCACAATTAACAGAACTAGAGAAGCAAGAGCAAACACATTCAAAAGCTATCAGAAGGCAAGAAATAACTAAGATCAGAGAAGAACTGAAGGAGATAGAGACACAAAAAACCCTTCAAAAAATCAAGGAATCCAGGAGCTCGTTTTATGAAAAGATCAACAAAACTGATAGACCGCTAGCAAGACTGATAAAGAAGAAAAGAAAGAAGAATCAAATAGATGTAATAACAAATGACAAAGGGGATATCACCACCGATCCCACAGAAATACAAACTACCATCAGAGAATACTATAAACACCTCTATGCAAATAAACTAGAAAATCTAGAAGAAATGGATAAATTCCTTGACACGTACACCCTCCCAAGGATAAACCAGGAAGAAGTTGAATCTCTGAGTATACCAATAACAGGCTCTGAAATCCAGGCAATAATTAATAGCTTACCAACAAAAAAAGTCCAGGACCAGATGGATTCACAGCCGAATTCTACCAGAGGTACAAGGAGGAGCTGGTACCATTCCTTCTGAAACTATTACAATCAATAGAAAAAGAGGGAATCCTCCCTAACTCATTTTATGAGGCCAGCATCATCCTGATACCAAAGCCGGGCAGAGACACAACCAAAAAAGAGAATTTTAGACCAATATCCTTGATGAACATTGATGCAAAAATCCTCAGTAAAATACTGGCAAACTGAATCCAGCAGCACATCAAAAAGCTCATCCACCATGATCAAGTGGGCTTCATCCCTGGGATGCAAGGCTGGTTCAACATATGCAAATCAATAAATGCAATCCAGCATATAAACAGAACCAAAGACAAAAAACACATGATTATCTCAATAGATGCAGAAAAGGCCTTTGACAAAATTCAACAATGCTTCATGCTAAAAACTCTCAATAAAATAGGTATTGATGGGACCTATCTCAAAATAATAAGAGCTGTTTATGACAAACCCACAGCCAGTATCATACTGAATGGGCAAAAACTGGAAGCATTCCCTTTGAAAACGGGCACAAGACAAGGATGCCCTCTCTCACCACTCCTATTCAACATAGTGTTGGAAGTTCTGGCCAGGGCAATCAGGCAGGAGAAGGAAGTAAAGGGTATTCAATTAGGAAAAGAGGGAGTCAAATTGTCCTTGTTTGCAGATGACATGATTTAATATCTGGAAAACCCCCTTGTCTCAGCCCAAAATCTCTTTAAGCTGATAAGCAACTTCAGGAAAGTCTCAGGATACAAAATCAATGTGCAAAAATCACAAGCATTCTTATACACCAGTAAGAGACAAACAGAGAGCCAAATCATGAGAACTCCCATTCACAATTGCTTCAAAGAGAATAAAATACCTAGGAATCCAATTTACAAGGGATGTGAAGGACCTCTTCAAGGAGAACTACAAACCACTGCTCAATGAAATAAAAGAGGATACAAACAAACGGAAGAACATTCCATGCTCATGGGTAGGAACAATCAATATAGTGAAAATGGCCATACTGCCCAAGGTAATTTATAGATTCAATGCCATCCCCATCAAGCTATCAATGACTTTCTTCACGGAATTGGAAAAAACTACTTTAGAGTTCATATGGAACCAAAAAAGAGCCCGCATTACCAAGTCAATCCTAAGCCAAAAGAACAAAGCTGAAGGCATCACGCTACCTGACTTCAAACTACAGTACAAGGCTACAGTAACCAAAACAGCATGGTACTCGTACCAAAACAGAGATATAGATCAATGGAACAGAACAGAGCCCTCAGAAATAGTGCCATGCATCTACAACTATCTGATCTTTGACAAACCTGACAAAAACAAGAAATGGGGAAAGGATTCCCTATTTAATAAATGGTGCTGGGAAAACTGGCTAGTCATATGCAGAAAGCTGAAACTGGATCTCTTCCTTACACCTTATACAAAAATTAATTCAAGATGGATGAAAGACCTAAATGTTAGACCTAAAACCATAAAAACCCTAGAAGAAAACCTAGGCAATACCATTCAGGACATAGGCATGGGCAAGGACTTGATGTCTAAAACACCAAAAGCAATGGCAACAAAAGCCAAAATTGACAAATGGGATCTAATTAAACTAAAGAGCTTCTGCACAGCAAAAGAAACTACCATCAGAGTGATCAGGCAACCCACAAAATGGGAGAAAATTTTCACAACCTACTCATCTGACAAAGGGCTAATATCCAGAATCTACAGTGAACTCAAAGAAATTTACAAGAAAAAAACAAACAACCCCATCAAAAAGTGGGCAAAAGATATGAACAGACACTTCTCAAAAGAAGACATTTATGCAGCCAAAAAACACATGAAAAAATGCTCATCATCACTGGCCATCAGAGAAATGCAAATCAAAACCACAATGAGATACCATCTCACACCAGTTAGAATGGCGATCATTAAAAAGTCAGGAAACAACAGGTGATGGAGAGGATGAGGAGAAATAAGAACACTTTTACACTGTTGGTGGGACTGGAAACTAGTTCAACCATTGTGGAAGTCAGTGTGGCGATTCCTCAGGGATCTAGAACTAGAAATACCATTTGACCCAGCCATCCCATTACGGGGTATATACCCAAAGGATTATAAATCATGCTGCTATAAAGACACATGCACATATATGTTTATTGTGGCACTATTCACAATAGCAAAGACTTGGAACCAACCCAAATGTCCAACAATGATAGACTGGATTAAGAAAATGTGGCACATATACACCATGGAATACTATGCAGCCATAAAAAATGATGAGTTCATGTCCTTTGTAGGGACATGGATGAAACTGGAAACCATCATTCTCAGCAAACTACGGCAAGGACAAAAAACCAAACACCCCATGTTCTCACTCATAGGTGGGAATTGAACAATGAGAACACATGGACACAGGAAGGGGAACATCACACTCTGGAGACTGTTGTGGGGTGGGGGGAGGGGGGAGGGATAGCTTTATTAGATATACCTAATGCTAAATGACGAGTTAATGGGTGCAGCACAGCAGCATGGCACATGTATACATATGTAACAAACCTGCACGTTGTGCACATGTACCCTAAAACTTAAAGTGTAATAATAATAAAATTTAAAAAAAAAAGAAAAGTTGATGTTCACTCTAATTTGGGTGCATGTCCATTTCAGAACCAATCATTGTGTCCTAGGATATGAGTTTGTGCTAACTGGCTTAGGCCAAATATGGGCCCATTCTTGGATATAAAAGTTATGTCAACCCCACCTAACTGCATAGCTGCTGTATATTGGATGAGGGGTAAAATTGATGCTGGATAGACCACCAAGCATGTCACTACATTAGAATAAATGGTTTCGCTATAATAAACACTGTAAACCAGTTCAAAGGTATAAGTACCCACTAATAATGGAGTAGCACTTGTACCAGAAGATCAAGTCAAGATAAAGCTATTGCAATGCAGCCAAAAATCTTGACCTTCATAGAAGCCATGGCACAAAATGACAACATAGAGATGAGCTCTGACAGATCCTCATGTAGCTGTTTCTTCATGGCAGAACCAGGACTAGAATCCCCAATGTGTCAGTTCTTGGTTATAAGCAATAGGAATAAGCTCTGGCTGATTTAAGTAGAAAGGAATTTGCTAAACAGGTATTAGATAGTTCACAGAGTCTGAAAGAGCTGGAGAACCAGGTACAGAAGCAACACAGCCAGGAATGATGCCCAAAATCTCACCTCGGAAGTTTCCAAGAGGAAACACTGTTCACAACACCACTAGAAACTGGATGCCACCATTTGTAGTGGTGGACTGGACACTTCCATTGCCTCTGGAAACCAGATTATCTCATCTTCAGCTGCATTCACCCATCACCAGAATAGATTCCATGCATTCCCTGCTTCTTTAAGCATTAACTCCTGATGCCAAGGGATATACTAATGTAACTGGTGGAGTCTGGTCATGTGCCCAAGCCCTAGTTTCAAAGAAGTTTGGGTAGTGAGTAGGTGGCTTTTTCAGCTTCTCGAGTGGCAGATAGGCTCTGCCTCATAAGATAGTGTATTATCAAGCACAAGAAAAGAATTGGTGACCAAAAATAGAAGTAAAATACCCACTATATCTGGCCTTACTGTCACTCTACCCAGGGTTTCTACAGTGGAACCACATACTCTACTACCAGTTGCTCAATAAGCATTTCCCAAGTATGGTAAACTAGCAACACTAGGAGAAAAATGTGGAGATTATGAGAGAGATGTCCTCCCTGTCCTCCTTCAAGGCTGATTGGAGTGAGTGCTTCACCCACATAGGAGGAACGCTTAGGAAAATAGCACCAAATCCTCTGGAACAAGGTTTAAGACTGGGAGGGCTTCTTGAGGAAGTGAAGCTTCTGGACCTTCAGAGATGGATAGACTTCAAAAAAGCAAGAGAAGAGGAAGAGAGCATTGCATTCGGTCTCTACCCTTAATCCTCTTCTTTCTTATCTGGTCCCTACCTAGTCACTAACTGTCTGCTCACATTAGAGCCAGAAGATCCTTAGGATGCATAGGGGATGGTTAAACCTGTGCCTCCAGGATTCCAGGGCTAGAGCTCAAGAACCACTAGGGCTAAGAGCAAACAGACATATGGTACAAAAGGCTGATGGTACAGAACAGAGTGTCCAGTCTCCTCTACTGTCATCCACTCGAGTAGGTGTGGGCACACATCATTTCCTTCTCCCCTGCTATGTGACTACAGGTCAGTCAGCTCTCCCCTGTAAGTCTGTCTCTGCTTTGTAAAATGGAGAGAATCAGTCCTATTTTGCAGGGTTTTAAGGATGAAATATATGTATTTGTATGCACATATATGTATTCATAGTACCCAATGCAAGTTCCAATACATAAATGGTATTTAATGTTATTATTCCTTACAGACAAGCAGAGGTAGGAGGTACCTTAAAGACTCTCCACTCCAATGTTCTCCTTTCTCAGATGCAGTAGCTGAGACCTAGAGAGGGAAAAGACTTTGCCTGGGATCTCACAGTAAGTTAGTGGCAGAGAAACTTGCCAAGTCCTTCTCCAAGGCTGTTTTTCATCCTGTCTAGCTGAGTCATGCTGGGAATAATCCACACTGTGGGGATAATGTCAGTGGGTCACACCTCCAGTGAGTCTCTTCCCCAGTTGGTGGATTCATTCATCTTAACATTTACAGAAAACTTCTCTGTGCTAGGCTATTGCTGAAGAAGTTTGGGAATCAGAGAGCACTCAGACCTCATCCCTAGGCCTGAGACATTCCAAGACCTAAGAGGAGACAGATATAAACAGACAATAGCAAACAAAAAAGAGAGATTTGTGTGTATACCAGGTAATATAGAGGCTTAGGGGTGGCTTTGTGGAATATTAGTCTTTCCCAGTATAAGCTCCATCAACTGCTCATCCATCCCACATAAATTGAATGATAATTAATTAAATTCTTCAATATAGATAACTGCAGTTTCTCAATTTTATGTAGTGTGACTAAAATAATCCTGAGAGATTTCCTGCTATGGCTAAATAAGGAGATCAGCAAATCCTGCTACCAAAAAAAAAGTAACTATAAAGCTAGACAAAATTGATGAAACACAACTCTTTCAGAACCCAAAGGCATACAACAATCTAAGAAGTGTTTATACTTTAAAAACTGCTGAACTTGGAACGAGAACGGTGGAAATCTATGGCATTCTGGCCTTGGGTTACTCCCATCCCCATCCCTTAGCTAGGCAAGCGAAGAAGTTCTGCAAGGGTGGTGCAGGCAATGAGCACCTGCAGTTTCCCTACCACTGTCAATGGGAGCTCACTTGACTTGGAACAGTAGACAATGCCCATGACAAGACTCATTATCAGTGGAAGTGACTGCTTGACAGTGGGCAAGTGGGTGAGAACCTAACAATTCAGGCTCTACTATCCTGAGGCTGTCGTCATGGTTGGGACAAGCATATTCCTGGGTGGAGCCTGAGAGGTCACAAGCATCCTGCCCTGTCCTGAGGCTGTGTGCATGCACCTACGTGACTCAAAAGATAAATTAAAACCTGGAGTGGCTTTGGAAACAGTCTGAACTTTGCTTTATTTAATTAGTTTTTAAATGTATAATTGACACAAAATAATTGTACATATTTCTGGGGTACAGTGTGATGTTTCAGTGCATGTATACATTGTATAATGATCAAATGAGAGTAATTATTGGGGTAATTCCTATATCCATGACTTTGAACATATATCATTTCTTTGTGGTGACAACATTCAAAATCTTCTCTTCCAGCTATCTTGAAATACATACTACATTGTTATTTGCTATAGTCACCCTACTGTGTTATAGAACACCAGAACTTATTCTTCCTGTCTAACTGTAAATTTGTACCCATTGATCAACTTCTCCTGGCGCCCCTCTCTACACTTCCCAGCGTTTGGTAATCACTAGTCTACTCCCTACTTCTATGAAGTCAACTGTTTTAGGTTTCACATATGAGAGAAATCATGCAGTGTTTGTCTTCCCGTGCCTGGCTTATTTCACTTAACATAGTGTCCTCCAAGCTCATCCATGTTGCTGCACATGACAGGATTTCATTCTGCTTTATGGCTTAATAGTATTCCATTGTGTGTGTGTGTGTGTGTGTGTGAGTGTGTGTGTGTGTGAGTGTGAGTGTGTGTGTGTGTGTGTGTGTGTATAAATGGATAAAGACATTTTCTTTATCCATTCATTTCTAGATGAGGATTTGGGTTGATTTCTTATCTTGGCTATTGTCAATAGTGCTGCAATAAACATGAGAGTACAAATGTCTCTTTGATATACTGATTTCATTTCCTTTGGATACACGCCCAGTAATGGGACTACTGGGTCAAATGGTGGTTCTATTTTTAATTTTTTGAGAAACCTACATACTGTTTTCCATAATGGTTGTACAAATTTACATTCCTACCAACAGCGTGTAAGAGTTCCATTTTCTCTGCATCCTCACCAGCATTAGTTATTTTTTGTCTTTTTGATAATAACCATTCTAATGAAGGTAAGGTAATATCTCATTGTGGTTTTGATTTGCATTTCCCTGATGATTAGAGATGTTGAACATTTTTCACATAGCTCTTGGTAATTTGCATGTTTTCTTTAGAGAAATGTATATTCAGGTCTTTTGACCATTTTTTATTTAACTTTTAAGTTCAAGGGTACATGTGCAGATTTGTCACATAGGTAAATGTGTGTCCCGGAGGTGTGTTGTACAGATTATTTTATCACCCAGGTACTAAGCTTAGTACCTAATAGTTATTTTCTGCTCCTCTATCTCCTCCCACCCTCAAGTAGACCCCAGTGTCTGTCGTTACCTTTTCTGTGTTCATGAGTTCTCATTATTTAGCTCCCACTTATAAGTGAGAACATGCCATATTTGGTTTTCCGTTCCTACATTAGTTTGCTAAGGATAATGACCTCCAGCTTCATCCATGTCCCTACAAATAACATAATCTCATTCTTTTTTATGGCTGCATAGTATTCCATGGTATATATGTACCATAGTTTCTTTATCCAGTCTATCACCGATGGGCATTTAGGTTGATTCCATGTCTTTGCTATTGTAAAAAGTGCTGCAATGGACATACATATGCATGTGTCTTTATAATAGAAAAATCTATATTCCTTTGGGTATATACCCAGTAATGGGATTCCTGGGTCAAATGGTATTTCTGTTTTTAGGTCTTTGAGGAACGGCCACACTATCTTCCATAGTGGTTGAACTAATTTACACGCTCACCAACAGTGTATAAGTGTTCCTTTTTCTCTGCAAACTTGCAAGCATATGTTGTTTTGGGACTTTTTAATAGTAGCCATTCTGATTGGTGTGAGACAGTATCTCACTGTGGTTTTGATTTGTTTCTCTAATGATCAGTGATGTTGAGCTTTTTTTCCATATAATTGTTGGCTGCGTGTATGTCTTCTTTTGAAAAGTGTTGGTTCATGTCCTTTGCCCACTATTTAATGGGGTTGTTTGTTTTTTCTTGTAAATTTGTTTAAGTTCCTTATAAATTCTGGATACTAGACATTTGTCAAATGGGTAAATTGCAAAAATTTACTCCCATTCTGTAGGTTCTGTTTACTCTGTTGATAGTTTCTTTTGCTGTGCAGAAGCTCTTTATTTTAATTAGATCCCATTTGTCAATTTGTGCTTTTGTTGCAATTTCTTTTGGCATCTTCATCACGAAGTCCTTGCCCGTGCCTATGTCCTGAATGGTATTGCCTAGGTTTTCTTCTAGAGTTTTTATAGTTTTGGGTTTTACATTTAAGTCTCTAATTCATCTTGGGTTAAATTTTGTATATGGTATAAGGAAGGGGTCCAGTGTCAATTTTCTGCATAAGGCTAGCCAGTGATCCCAGCATCATTTATTGAATAGGGAATCCTTTCCCAATTGCTTGTTTTTGTCAGGTTTGTTGAAGATCAGATAGTTGTAGGTGTGAGGTGTGAGGTCTTATTTCTGCATTCTCTATTCTGTTCCATTGGTTTATGTTTGACCACTTTAAATTGGATTATTTGGGTTTTTTTGCTATTGAAATGAGTTTCTTATATATTCTGGATATTAACTCCTTGTCAGAGGCATAGTTTGCAAATACTTTCTCTCATTCTGTAGGTTGTCTCTTCACTTTATTGATTGTTTCCTTAGCTGTGCAGAAGTTTTCAGCTTGATGTAATCACATTTGTCCATTTGTCTATTTTTGTGTTTTCATTGCTTGTGCTTTTGAGATCTTACTCAAAAAATCCTTGCCCAGTACAACAATTCCACTGCTTGATATACTGAAAAGAAGCTAAAGCAGGCTATTGGAAAGATATTTGACAGCCATGTTCACAGCAGCATTATTCACAACAGCCAAAAGATGAAAGTAACCCAAGTGTTCACTGACAAATGAATGGATTAACAAAATGTGATATATACATACAATGAAATACTATTCAGTGGCTAGCCATATGCAGGAGAACGAAACTGGACTCCTACTTTTCACCATATACAAAAATTAAGTCAAGATGAATTAAAGACTGAAATGTAAGGCCTCAAACTGTGAAAATCCTAGAAGAAAACCTAAGAAATACCCTTCTTGACCTCAAGCTTGGCAAGGAATTTTTGGCTAAGTTCCCAAAAGCAATTGCAACAAAACCAAAAATTGACAAGTGGGACCTAATTAAATTGAAGAGATTCTGCACAGCAACAGAGTAAACAGACAACCTACAGAATCAGGGGAAAATATTCACAAACTATGCACCCAACAAAGGTCGAATATCCAGAATCTATAAGCAATGTAAACAAATCACCAAGCAAAAAACAAATAACCCCATTAAAAAATGGGCAAAGGACATGAAAAGACACTTCTCAAAAGAAGGCATACAGGTGGCCAACAAACGTATGAAAAAATATTCATCATCTTCATGTCCTTTGCAGGGACATGGATGAAGCCGGAAACCATCATTCTCAGCAAAATATCACAAGGACAGAAAACCAAACACCACATGTTCTCACTCATAAGCGGGAGTTGAACAATGAGAACACATGGACACAGGGAGGGGAACATAACATACCAGGGCCTGTTGTGGGGTGGGGGGCTGGGGGAGCGATAACGTTAGGAGAAATACCCAATGTAAATGACGAGTTGATGGGTGCAGCAAACCAACATGGCACATGCATACATATGTAACAAAACCGCACATTGTGCACAAGTACCCTAGAACTTAAAGTATAATAATTAAATAAGTAAATAAATACTCATCATCACTAATAATTAGTGAAATGCAAATGAAAACACAGTGAGATACCATCTCACAGCAGTCAGAATGGCTATTATGAAAAAGTTAAAAAATAACAGATGCTTCTGAGGCTGTGGCAAAAAAGGAACACTTATACATTGTTGGTGGGAATGTAAATTAGTTCAGCCAATGTGGAAAGCAGTTTGGAGATTTCTCAAAGAACTTAAAACAGAGCTATGTTTAGACCCAGCAATTCTGTTACTGGGTATATATCCAAAAGAAAATAAATCATCCTACAAAGCAGACATATGCACTCATATGTTCATTGCAGCTCTATTCACAATAGCAAAAACATGGAATCAACCTAGGTGTTCACCAATCATGGATTGGAAAAAGAAAATGTGATACATATATACGATGGAATACTATGCAGCCATAAAAAAGAATAAAATCATGTCCTTTGCAGCAACATGGATGGAGCTGGAGGCCATCATCCTAAGTGAATTAAAAGAGGAACAGAAAACCAAATACCACATATTCTCACTTATAAGTAAGAGCTAAACATTAGGCACTCATGGACATAAATATAGCAGCAATAGACACTGGGGACTACTGGAGCAGGGAGGGAGGGAGAGGGGTAAAGGTTGAAAAACTGACTATTGGGTATCATACTCATTACCTGGGTGATGGGATCATTCACATCCCAAACCTCAGGATCAGACAATACACCCATGTGACAAGCCTACACATGTACCCGCTGAATCTAAAATAAAAGTTGAAATTATAAAAAAGAAATACTATTCATCAATAAAAGAAATGAAGTACTGATGCACACAAAAGATTACTTATTATATGATTTATACACAATTCAGAGAAAGGGCAAATTTATAGAGATGAAAATCAGATCAATCGTTGCCTTGGGCTGGAGGTGGGAGTTCAGATTAAATGTAAACAGACAGGAGGGAATTTTTGGAGGTGATGAAAATGTTCTAAAACTGGATTGCAGTAATAATTACACAACCCTATAAATTTACTAAAATTTTTGCATTGTATACTTATAACGTGAATTTTATGGCATGTAAATTATACCTCAATATAGCTACTTCTAAAAAGTCATCCTAAGAAGACTTGGCTGAATTTTCAAGTCAGTAATATCCCAGATGAGTAAATCCATTGGCTTTGGTGTACATATACAACTGTAAGAAAGTCTTAACACACTCCTCCTTCCAACTAGATTGCTGTTCATAAACCACACTGTTCTCTTCAGTCAGGAAGGAGTAGGGATTTTCTCAGTGCCAAGGCAAAGTAATGGTATCCCAGGCAATGGAAACAACATGAATGAAAGTATGTGGGCTTTCAAAAGCCTGGAGGATTCAAGAACTGTACGCAGTTTAGTACGTCTTCTGAATTAGAGGGTTCAAGTTGGGGAGAGGGGAAGGGAAGCCAAAAACAAGCTGTGGACTGTCCATGCCCACAGTTCCTGGAGAGCCTTGAACACTGGACTGAGAAGCTTTGACTTTATCCCAGGGACAGTAAGAGAGCCTGTAAAGATTTTAGGCAGAAGGTTGACATCGGATTTGCAGATTAGGAACAGCCCTTTAGAGGCTGCTGTACAAGGTGGATTGGAGGGGACTAGCCTGGAAGTTCCTATTATGTTCTGTGCATTGTGCTGGCCTCTGGGGTTAGAATAGTGAACTAGACAGACAAAAGTCCTGTGTTCATGAAGTTAGTAGCAGAGAGAACAGTAAATAGCCACATAAGAAAAATAAAGATAATTAATTTCAGAAAGTAATAGGTGTTATGGAGAAAATGAAATAGGATAAAAGAACAGTGACTGCTGGGGCTTATTTGGATAGGTAAGTCAGGGAAAGTCTCCCTGAGGAGGTGACATTTCAGTTGAGACCCGAATGAAACAATGGGCCCACCCACAACTAGATCTGGGGACAGAATGTTCTAAGCAAGAGGGAATAAATAACTAAAGCAAAGCCCTGAAGTTAGAACCAAATTGTAGCGTGATGAGTTTGATCTGTTTTAAGAGTCAGTGCTTTAGAGGTATTAAGGCCTAATCTAGAGCAAGGACAATGGGGTTTAAAGAAGAGAGGAATACAAGAGGTATTAAGGAGGTCGGATTGCCAGGATAAACAGCTCAAAATTACAGAGTGGAACCTAAGCCATATTTACATTTAAATGACAGGTCAAACCCTGTTAGTAGGGCACCTGGCAGAGTAAATGATCGCCAGTAGCCATGACAGGTAGTAAGTCCTCCTAGCCTTGCAGTTCAGCAATTTTTTAAAAAACAAAAATATCTCGAGCTTTCTAGAAGCAAACTGGATGAATGTCAGGCAACAGTAGGTATCGATTGCTTGTTATGTATCAGGTACTGTTCTATGTGTTAAGGATATATTAGTGACAAGATAGAAAAAAATTCCACCTTCATAGAGCTTACACTGCAACCAGGGAGACTGAAAATAAGCAAACAAACAGAGCTGAAGTGGAAAAATAAAGTAAGGTAAAACAAAAGAGATTGTGGGGAAGGGAGTGTGCATTATTTTAGACAGAGTGGCTGGTCAGGGGAAGCCCTCCGTTAAGTAGACAATTAAGCAACTGGAGTGATCAACCACCTGGTTTTCCCAGCACTGTCTTGGTTTTGGCACTGAAAATCTCATGCCCTGGGCAATCCCTTGGTTATAGGCAAACCAGGGCAGTCACTCACTCTAGGAAATAAAGGAGCTAAGGAAGGGAACCATTCAATTATCTGAGAAAAAAGTGACCCAGATAAAAGGAATAGCCCCATTCCACCTCACTCTTTCTCTCTTCCACTGCAGCAGGATGGGGAGGTAGCTTTTCCCTCACAGCACTTGTACCTACATACAACTCAGCTAAAAGGGAAGGAAACTGGAAGGAGTGAGTCTGAAAACACTGGGGAACACAAATGGTGCCTAGGCTCAACGTAATGTGTTTGTGCCCTCTCTCCTTACACTGGTGCTAGAATAGCTCAGAATTGAATAAACAGATAGCAAAACAAGAGTGCATTCATACACCTGATGTTCAGCAAATCTATAGATAGTTACTCAATGCAACGTTGAAATAAATTATTGGCTGGCATCTTTGTGGCACTTTCATAAACTTGCATCCATGGACCTATGTCCTCTCTTCGCTATGCCCTTGCATGAATGCCAGGCTAAAGAATGCGGATATTACTCTGTCAGCAATGAGTCACCACTAAATGGTTCTGAACAGGGGCAGGATATGATGGCAGAGAAGAGTTTTCAAGGGAATCAGGTGGTATTGTGGATGACAGGATAAGGAGTTTAAAGCTCAAAGAAGACAGATCAATCAGGAAAAACCACAGGAGGGAGTTCTCAGTTGGCAGTCTGTATTACTGGATCTAACCGAACACAAATCTGGAAGCCAATTCCATGTCAGCCTAAGGCCCTGACCCCTGGAATGATGGTTTCCATCCATGGAGCTATATAGGAGTGTGGATTATTCCTTGACTGGAACCTTGGGGGAGGAGTGGAAGGCAGTCCTTCTTTAGGTCGGCAGTTGGTTTCACATAAATTCCAAGGTATTTTCCAGTCTTGAGATGCTGGGCTCATGATGTTATCAATTGGTCTTTCCTCCTGTCTGCCTCTAAAAAAACACTGGAAGCTCTATTATTGGTCTCAATGGGGTCTGTTAACCTACAGGACCTGGCAGAGGTTTTGAGTTGTTACTCGCACTGGACTATATCCTACCTGGGACCTGGGCTCATCTTACCACACCATCTGCTACCCTTCTAACCTCTGATGCCATTCAACTTCCTTGAGGAGCCCCGGGAGCAAGAGAGAGAATTGCAACTGCATGACTGCTGAATACCCAAAAGATACTCTATGATGCATGACTCTGACATGGGGAATGGGGTAGGGCAGGTCAAGGAATGGAGGATTAATATATTTGGAGCTTACTTTCCCTGGTACCTAAGTTGCAAGTGACCTCAATAAGTAACTGAATATTCTCATTATCCCCACTCCAGAAGCAGAACAACTGGAAAATAAATGATAGGTTATATTCCAGACAGAAAGGTCGGTTTATCCACAAAGGGAAGCCCATCAGACTAACAGCTGATCTCTCGGCAGAAACTCCGCAAGCCAGAAGAGAGTGGGGACCAATATTCCACATTCTTAAAGAAAAGAATTTTCAACCCAGAATTTCATATCCAGCCAAACTAAGCTTCATAAATGAAGGAGAAATAAAATACTTTAGAGACAAACAAACGCTGAGAGATTTTGTCACCACCAGGCCTGCCCTACCAGAGCTCCTGAAGGAAGCACTAAACATGGAAAGGAACAACCAGTACCAGCCACTGCAAAAACATGCCAAATTGTAAAGACCATTGAGGCTAGGAAGAAACTGCATCAACTAATGAGCAAAATAACCAGCTAATATCATAACGACAGGATCAAATTCACACATAACAATATTAACCTTAAATGTAAATGGGCTAAATGCTCCAATTAAAAGATACAGACAGGCAAATTGGATAAAGAGTCAAGACTCATCAGTGTGCTGTATTCAGGAAACCCATCTCACCTGCAGAGACACACATAGGCTCAAAATAAAGGGATGGAGGAAGATCTACCAAGCAAATGGAAAACAAAAAAAGGCACGGGTTGCAATCCCAGTCTCTGATAAAACAGACTTTAAACCAACAAAGATCAAAAGAGACAAAGACGGCTGTTACATAATGGTAAATGGATCAATTCAACAAGAAGAGCTAAATATCTTAAATATATACGCATCCAATACAGGAGCACCCAGATTCATAAAGCAAGTCCTTAGAGACCTACAAAGAGACTTAGACTCCCACACAATAATAATGGGAGAATTTAACACCCCACTGTCAACATTAGACAGATCAACAAGACAGAAAGTTAACAGGGATATCCAGGAATTGAACTCAGCTCTGCACCAAGCAGACCTAATAGACATCTACAGAACTCTCCACCCCAAATCAACAGAATATACATTCTTCTCAGCACCACACCACACTTACTCCAAAATTGACCACATAGTTGGAAGTAAAGCACTCCTCAGCAAATGTAAAAGAACAGAAATTATAACAACCTGTCTCTCAGACCACAGTGCAATCAAACTAGAAATCGAGATTAAGAAACTCACTCAAAACTGCACAACTACGTGGAAACTGAACAACCTGCTCCTGAATGATTACTGGGTACATAATGAAATGAAGGCAGAAATAAAGATGTTCTTTGAAACCAACAAGAACAAAGACACAACATACCAGAATCGCTGGGACACATTTAAAACAGTGTGTAGAGGGAAATTTATAGCACTAAATGCGCACAAGAGAAAGCAGGAAAGATCCAATACTGACACCCTAACATCACAATTAAAAGAACTAGAGAAGCAAGAGCAAACACATTCAAAAGCTAGCAGAAGGCAAGAAATAACGAAGATCAGAGCAGAACTGAAGGAGACAGAAACACAAAAAAACCCTTCAAAAAATCAATGAATCCAGGAGCTGGTTTTTTGAAAAGATCAACAAAACTGATAGACTGCTAGCAAGACTGATAAAGAAGAAAAGAGAGAAGAATCAAATAGACGCAATAAAAAATGATAAAGGGGATATCACCACCGAGCCCACAGAAATACAAACTACCATCAGAGAATACTATAAACACCTCTATGCAAATAAACTAGAAAGTCTAGAAGAAATGAATAAATTCCTCGACACATACACTCTCCCAAGACTAAACCAGGAAGAAGTTGAATCTCTGAATAGACAAATAACAGGCTCTGAAATTGAGGCAATAATTAATAGCTTACCAACCAAAAAAAGTCCAGGACCAGACAGATTCACAGCCAAATTCTACCAGAGGTACAAGGAGGAGCTGGTACCATTCCTTCTGAAACTATTCCAATCAATAGAAAAAGAGGGAATCCTCCCTAACTCACTTTATGAGGCCAGCATCATCCTGATACCAAAGCCTGGCAGAGACACAACAAAAAAAGAGAATTTTAGACCAATATCCCTGATGAACATCGATGCAAAAATCCTCAGTAAAATACTGACAAACTGAATCCAGCAGCACATCAAAAAGCTTATCCACCATGATCAAGTGGGCTTCATCCCTGGGATGCAAGGCTGGTTCAACATATGCAAATCAACAAACGTAATCCAGCATATAACAGAACCAATGACCAAAAACACATGATTATCTCAATAGATGCAGAAAAGGCCTTTGACAAAATTCAACAGCCCTTTATGCTAAAAACTCTCAATAAAATAGCTATTGATGGGACGTATCTGAAAATAATAAGAGCTATTTATGACAAACCCACAGCCAATATCATACTGAATGGGCAAAAACTGGAAGCATTCCCTTTGAAAACGGGCACAAGACAGGGGTGCCCTCTCTCACCACTCCTATGCAACATAGTGTTGGAAGTTCTGGCCAGGGCAATCAGGCAGGAGAAGGAAATAAAGGGTATTCAATTAGGAAAAGAGGAAGTCAAATTGTCCCTGTTTGCAGATGACATGATTGTATATCTAGAAAACCCCATTGTCTCAGCCCAAAACCTCCTTAAGCTGATAAGCAACTTCAGCAAAGTCTCAGGATACAAAATCAATATGCAAAAATCACAAGCATTCTTATACACCAATAACAGACAAACAGAGAGCCAAATCATGAGTGAACTCCCAGTCACAATTGCTTCAAAGAGAATAAAACACCTAGGAATCCAACTTACAAGGGCTGTGAAGGACCTCTTCAAGGAGAACTACAAACCACTGCTCAATGAAATAAAAGAGGACACAAACAAATGGAAGAACATTCCATGCTCATGGATAGGAACAATCAATATGGTGAAAATGGCCATACTGCCCAAGGTAATTTATAGATTCAATGCCATCCCCATCAAGCTACCAAGGACTTTCTTCACAGAATTGGAAACAACTACTTTAGAGTTCATATGGAACCAAAAAAGCCTGCATTGCCAAGTCAATCCTAAGCCAAAAGAACAAAGCTGGAGGCATCATGCTACCTGACTTCAAACTATACTACAAGGCTACAGTAACCAAAACAGCATGGTACTGGTACCAAAACAGAGACATAGACCAATGGAACAGAATAGAGCCCTGAGAAATAACACCACACATCTACAACCACCTGATCTTTGACAAACCTGACAAAAACAAGAAATGGGGAAAGGATTCCCTATTTAATAAATGGTGCTGGGAAAACTGGCTAGCCATATGTAGAAAGCTGAAACTGAATCCCTTCCTTACACCTTATACAAAAATTAATTCAAGATGGATTAAAGACTTAAATGTTAGACCTAAAACCTTAAAAACCCTAGAAGAAAACCTAGGCAATACCATTCAGCACATAGGCATGGGCAAGGACTTCATGTCTAAAACACCAAAAGCAATGGCAACAAAAGCCAGAATTGACAAATGGGATCTAATTAAACTAAAGAGCTTCTGCACAGCAAAAGAAACTACCATCAGAGTGAACAGGCAACCTACAGAATGGGAGAAAATTTTTGCAATCTACTTATCTGACAAAGGGCTAATATCCAGAATCTACAAAGAACTCAAACAAACTTACAAGAAAAAAACAAACAACCCCATCAAAAAGTGGGTGAAGGATATGAACAGACACTTCTCAAAAGCAGACATTTATGCAGCCAACAGACACATGAAAAAATGCTCATCATCACTGGCCGTCAGAGAAATGCAAATCAAAACCACAATGAGATACCATCTCACACCAGTTAGAATGGCGATCATTAAAAAGTCAGGAAACGACAGGTGCTGGAGAGGATGTGGAGAAATAGGAACACTTTTACACTGTTGGTGGGACTAGAAACTAGTTCAACCATTGTGGAAGACAGTGTGGCGATTCCTCAGGGATCTAGAACTAGAAATACCATTTGACCCAGCCATCCCATTTCTGGGTATATACCCAAAGGATTATAAATCATGCTGCTATAAAGACACATGCACACGTATGTTTATTGCAGCACTATTCACAGTAGCAAAGACCTGGAACCACCCCAAATGTCCAACAATGATAGACTGGATTAAGAAAATGTGGCACATATACACCATGGAATACTTTGCAGCCATAAAAAAGGATGAGTTCATGTCCTTTGTAGGGACATGGATGAAACTGGAAACCATCATTCTCAGCAAACTGTCTCAAGGACAAAAAACCAAACACCACATGTTCTCACTCATAGGTGGAAACTGAACAATGAGAACACATGGACACAGGAAGGGGAACATCACACACCGGGGCCTGTTGTAGGGTGGGGGGAGGGGGGAGGGATAGCATTAGGAGATATACCTAATGTAAATGACGAGTTAATGGGTACAGCACACCAACATGGCACATGTATACATATTTAACAAACCTGCACGTTGTGCACATGTACCCTAAAACTTAAAGTATAATAAAAAAATAAAAAACATAAGAAAAAATTAAAAATAAATAAATAAAAAGATAAAAAAGAAAACACAGCTTGCACAAAAATGCTTATACTCTATGCAAAATATTATGTAATATTTGCTGAATCCTATCACAATGAGTCGTTTACCTCAGGTAATTTGAAAACCATTGACTTATAAGAGCTCAGCACTACAGCTAGTAAGAAATGTCTCTCCCTGTCAAGCCATGAACTTTAGCAGGTTAGTGGCGATAAAAATTCACACATTTATGTGTAGTCGAGGTGAAACCTGATGGAGATAAATTTCTTAGTTTTGGATACTACTGTGGTTCACACCACATCATCAATCCACAGATATTTCTGAAAAATCTCCAGTAGAAGTTTGTAAAACTCCCTTGCCCAGCACAGGATCCTCCTCCCTGCCCCTCAGTCCTGGAGCTAGTCCTCCATACAAACCTGGCCCTGAAGTATTCTTCACATGCATCAGGACAGCCCCTAGTCATATGAAGGGCCCTTTACTTCTTTTCTGCTCATATCTGTGACTATCCCAGTCACACCCAGAGACACACAGTCTTTGTTCAGGCCCGTCACATACCAAAGCCCTTACTCCACCCAGTACACATAAAAGATTACACTTAACCTGACCCTGCTTGACACAACCTGCCACTCCTCACTTATTTAAACAGAAACCCCTACCCATACCCCAGGGTCCTCTTCATTACTTTCAAGCTTCTGGTCAGCCATGCTCTGGCTCAGGTCCTTTTTTGCCTCACAGGCAGAACAGACACAAATATAGTTACCTGAGTCCACATCAAGATACATTCCATTCCTAAAAGCCGGCCTAGAATCTGCCATGCTCAGGCCAGGGTCCTTCCCAACATATAGGCAGCTACATAGTAAGACTCAAAGCATCAGAAGTGGAAGTCTTTCTAGTCTATACAGACAGTTATCTATTCAGTGTTGGCTATGCCAGTTATCTTCTCTGTAATAGCTCTCTCACTAGTTCGTAACACAAGACCTTTCTCTTTTCTAGCTCCAAATCCATGTATCCAACTGCAACTGCCTGCTACACATCTCTGCTTGAATGTCCCACAGACATCTTTAATTTGGTAGGAGTATAACAACTCATCTTCACTAGAACCTTGCTTCTCTTTGAGTCTGTTCTTTATGCCCTCTTGCCAGTGCATAGAGCCAACATCATTCTCACCCATCCCCAAACTATTGTCTTCTCAGCCTTCATCACACTGGAGTTTACTCATCACTTCATGCAGACCTTTCCACACATCTCTGCTCCAACCTGAGTAATTCCTTTCAATTCAAGTAAACTCACTGCCTTAAAGTTTAGACTACTACATTAGTAACAGTAGGCTTATTGTAAAACTAATTCATTTTCATAATTCCATGATAGACATAGAAAGGATTCCTTAGAGCTACATTTATACCAATGTTTGTCAAATGTGTATGTGCTGTAAAATGGCTTCTACACTGATCACATCTAATTTATTTTGTTCTTTTGTTAATTGAACACTGTTTAATGAGAAAACACATTGGATGTTAGCATTGTGAACCAGTATACTGAACATGGACTGGCATAAAGTTAACAACTCTGATAATTTCTCTTCAAATTTCATTTGTTGAAGTATTATGTACTTCCTGCATAATGAAGATGTATGAAGTGCATAATACCATCTTTCACAGCATAATTTCTTTTTCCATTCTTCAGGATTAAATGGCATGTGTTAACAATTTTTTAAAATGTTGTCCACTGATAAAAATAGCATTATCATCAATTTTTATTCCCTTTCTCAAGACTACATATGATGACTCCACTTGTTCCTATGCTGGAAGAGTATTTGGTAATATCCAAGTAAAAGAATCAAATTCTTCAAGGGATGAAATTCATCTCAAAAGATAGTCATGGCAGGTACTATAATAATTATCCACTTCAAGTCATATTTTTTCCTGTTTATAGATAACATTATCCCTTTCAAGAATAGCTTCTAAACGTAAATGGAAAAGTTTTTGATTAATTTTTTCTTTAATGCAATCAAATCCCTTTAAGCAATGTATTACTTCAATAACACTATCTGCTCTTCTTTCAATTTGCAATTCTATTGTTACAGAGATATTGACAACTATGAACACAAAGTAAGTAGGCTTCACTAAATGGGTTATTAAAACAGTCAACGAGAATTTGGGGTAGGGCTCTTCTTCAAAATTAAAGTATGGTTTAAGGGCTTCAAATAAACTGAAGATTTTCTCAACTGTATTTGTAAAAGAGAGCCAACAGATTTTTGAATGCATGAGAGTTGAAGAATACTGGATGCCAATAATTTTTTTTTAATTAAAAAAAATCATGGCTGGGTACAGCGGCTCATGCCTTTAATCCCAGCACTTTGGGAGGCTGAGGCAGGCGGATCGCTTGAGCCCAGGAGCTGGAGACCAGCCTGGGCAACATGATGAAACCCGATCTCTACAAAAAATACAAAAATTAGCTGAGCACAGTGGCGTGCACCTGTAGTCCCAGCTCCTCAGGAGGCTGAGGTGGGAGGATCGCTTGAGTCTGGGGAGGTCAAGGGTGCAGTGAGCCAAGATCGCACCACTGCTCTCCAGCATGGGTGACAGAATGAGACCCTGTCTAAAACTAAAATAAAATATAATATAATATAATAAAAATTTTTAAATCTTGTATTTGCTAAATTTGAACAGTGTAAATGCCAAAGTAAGAGAAGAATTTCATGACAATTACTTCAATGTTAACAGAAAGGACATCAGATGCTAGTGGAGTGTCATTATGCAAAATATGGGCAGGACATCTTCCCTAGAATCATGCAGGCTTTTTTCCAACCTTGAATAAATATAGTCTGCACCTTTATGCAAACATCCGCTAAAGTTTGTATCATTTCCACCAAAAGTGGTACATTTTTCTCATTAACTCCTAACTCAATAAGAGAGTCTCTGCAAAAATTTGCTCATTTCTGAAGTTTGATCTGGAAGGAATTATACTCACAAGACTTTACCCCAAGAAAAATATTGCACAAGCAAAGGGAAAGGTTTTTATTCTGTTGAGAATAGGTGCTTCAATGGCTTTGCTGTAAAAATGATGAGACATTAAGATCTTGATAATCTCTGTAATATTAAATGGAGTTATTACATTTTAGATTATTGCAGTAGATTTCATCTTGGCACTTGAAAATTTGCTTTTAATTTTAGAATCAGAAAATTTGAACATACTGGTAGCAGTATGTTCAAATTGTCATTTGAGATGCAAGATTGATGATAATAAACAGAGTAGAAGACTATTACAGCTTCTGCTTTATTTTTTTCACCTGATTTTTTCTTAACAAATGTCTGCTATTTTATTATTTTCTTTGGTACCAGTTCATGAAATCATATATCTTGTGCTTAGCTGTTATATGCTGGTTTATATCTGATTTTCTACCATTTTTGACATTAAATGAACAATTATATACTAAACCAAGATCTTCAAAAGGACTTTTCCCTCATTTAATAAATGTACACTCTTAAATATATCATGGAATATATCATGCTTGTGTTTTGGCATTTTGAGATTCAAATATACACAAATTTTAAAAATTGATAAAGCAACCACTCTAAGAATTGAAAAGTATGTCTGTCACTAGGAAGTTGTAACTTATAACCAACTGTAAATAGAGGTTGGGCTGTTGAATGGGATGTGAACTTGTGAACTAACAATAAATTGAACTTGAAATCTGATGCAAAAAAAGAGTAACTTCCTGTACGCCTACAACAGAGATCTGTATTTGTAAGTCACAGTCTTCCAGAACAAAGCCAGAGCTTTGAGAAGGTTATGGGAAGCCTGGAGTTCAGGGATTGACCAGCATTGATAAGCAGGAGTGTGGAGGGCCTAACAGACTTTCAGTGCATTGCTGTGCTCACTGGACTAAAGCTGCTGTCAAGGAGTGACTTCTAGAACATGGCAGCTGGATCGAGTGCTCAATGATTGGCTGATGTCTGGAAGTGTGGGGCTGTCTCGGATTGGCTGACTTTGGGGAGTTATCACTGATTGGCTGAGTTTTAGGACTGGGCATTTCTGATAGACTTTCAGAAGTTTTGGGCTGTCATTAATTTGCTCTCAGAACTGCAGTTACTGAAGTGAGGCTATTGCTTGCTGATTGGCTTTCAGTGTATACACACACACACACACACACACACACACACACAAAGTTATCACTAATTAATACTGTTCACAGCTTGAGACTTTGGCCAAAGAACAGTCTTTTCCTTTCCTGAATATGAAAAATAAGTACTTTTAGGCCAGGCACGGTGGCTCACGCCTGTAATCCCAGAACTTAGGGAGGCTGAGGTGGGAAGATCACTTGAGACAGGAGTTTGAGACCAGCTTGGCCAACATGGTGCAACCCCGTCTCTACTAAAAATACAAAATTAGCGGGGCGAGGTGGCGCATGCCTGTAATCCCAGCTACTCGGGAGGCTGAGACACGAGAATCACTGGAACCCGGGAGGCGAAGGTTGCAGTGAGCCAAGATCGTGCCACTGCATTCCAGCTTGGGCGGCAGAGCAAAACTCCGTCAAAAAAATTTTTTAAAAAGTACTTTTAATTCTTTCACTCCTTTTGGTCTTCCTTCAGCCAAACCTGCAGAAAGACAGTCGTCTGAACAATTTACAGATTGTCTTTATTTGGGGAGGTAGGATTTTTTTTTTTACATTGCAAAAAGTAGTGTTCCCCTTTAAACTGGCAATTTAAGAGCCAATTACTGTGGCTGAAAAGTAACTCCAACTACCAAGTTTTTAGTAATTTATTTTAAAAAGCTGAATCTGGTACATTTAGGAGGTCTTGATAGTCAATACAGTATGCAGAATAGAATCACTGAATGCAGGACATGTATTTAATGTCCTCTGTCTGCAGCCCTGCCAAGTTCTCCAACATTTCTCTGGGTCCAGGAGGCTGTGGCCTGGCCTTATCTCAGCGAGGTCATCTGCTTCATGCCTATGAGCCTTACAGCTGCCACAGAAATTTCCTGTGCATCTTTCAAGACCCACTCCGTGTCTCCTCCTTTCCCAAGCCATGGCTATAAATTTTAAGACCTCCCTCAGAGGGTGTTTGGAGAGGAAGAGGTCAGGGCCCTGAGAATGTGGATGTTTAAGGAGGAAACAGAAGCAAAGAAAAATGCCAGCAAGGAGCCAGAGAAGGAGCTGCCAAAGGAGTAAAAGAAAGGCAGGAGCAAATGGTGTTCTGGCAAGCAGAGGAAGACAGGGTTTCAAGGGAGGAGCTGGATAAATGGTCCTATGTCCATGAACAGACATCAGAGGTCATGATTCACCGAAATTGAGGGCAGAATGCCCTGTGGTGTGTTTTTTAGGGGGAAGAGGGTTGGGGCTGCAGCTTCCTCAGAGTTTGAAGGAGTAAGAATATGGCTGAGGCTGGTGGTTGAGACAACAAGGGCAAATGAGTTTACCCAGGGGGATTATGCAGAGTGGGGAGAGGAGAGAAGAAAAAGAGGCTCTGGCATGGCCCTGAGGAACTTCAGTGGTGGGATTGGGCAGAGGAGGAGAAGAAGGGGGAGAAAAAGGGATGGGAGAAGAAAGAAGGGGAGAGAATGAGAGAAAAAGGAAAAGCGTGGAATGAGAGGGTCCCTCAGGAAGAAAGAATTAATGGATACGAGATCAAGGAGCCCTTACTACCTGTCCTGGAGTAGATTGAGCAGAGGAATCAGGGTGAGGCTGCTTGCAGTGGGCTGAAGATGTTATAGGACCAACAGGCTCATATGCCCAATGCACAATAACTAACCAATTACACTAAGACAGCAAAAATGCAGCAAAAAAAGAATGTAATCATCACAGGGCACCCCACATCAAGCAAGGAGATGGGAGGAGAACCTCAAATCCATCTCCCCAAGGAGTTCTGGGCTGGAGTTATTTATTAAGGGGATCGTGGAGGATGAGGGGTTGTTGATTTGTCGGGGCAAGGGGGATGAAATCATCAGGATATGGAAACTGCATTCTTTGGTGAGTCAGCTTTTCATGGAGTCCTTCAGGTCAGCTGGCATCAGTGGGGTCCTTCAGACCAGCTGAAATAGTAGTTTCTTCAGTATGCAGAACCTGCAGGAATATCTCAAAGGGAAAACAACATTTCATAATGTTCAAATTGTTATCTGTAGAGCAGTTAAGAGGAACTGTAATCATGTAACAGGGTCTACATGATTCTAAGACAGTAGGCACAAACAGCTATGTGGAAACAGGCCAGAGAGTAAGTTGACTTGATTAAAGCTGAATATGCTGCAAGCTTGGTTTATTTTACTTTTTCCCCTCCTTTCTTCCCTAATTTTATGAAGTTTATAGGGGAGGTTTCAAGGGTTGAAGCAGAGATGAGATGAGTCCAATCTCCAGAGTATACATCTCTCCTGTGAGAAACTTGGCTATGCTCTGGGTTGAGATTGGGTGAAGGTTATATGCTGGCAAGGTATGCATAGTCCAGGATCAGGTATTTTGTTTGTCCAAACAGCATGGTGCAGTTTTGGAACCGATGGGGAAGGAGCCAGAAAGGTAGAGCCAAAATTACAGAAAGACACAGAGAGAAATTGAAAGAGCAATAGAGATGTAAAGTGATACAAATATTTAGAAAGATGGAAAATAATGACCCAGAGAATAAAGAGATAATGAAGGGACAGAAAATAAAGATACAGAGAATGAAGATAATGATAAAGAAAAACAGGGAGAAGGCCCTGTCTGCATTGCTTGGCTGCTTCAGGGAAGGGGGCAAGGGAGACTGAGTGGAGGGTAAGAGGGTGTCAAAAGAGCCTACGAAGGGATGTGCCCTGGGGTCTACACTGGACAAAGGCAAAGCTGTAACATAGATATATTATTATTTTGTTTTTCTTCTTGTTACCTTTGTAACTATGAATTCTATGCCTTTATTCCTTAATTTTTCATCTAATTAATTTATGTTGCAATCTTTAGCATTCTGTCCTGCTTTCTCAGGTTTGTTTTCTTTTTCTTTTCTTTTCTTTACTTTTTTTTTTTTTTTTTTTTTTTTTTGAGACAGAGTCTTGCTCTGTCACCCAGGCTGGAGTGTTGTGGTGTGATCCCAGCTCACTGCAACCTCCACCTCCCGGGTTCAAGCAGTTCTCCTGCCTCAGCCTCTCGAGTAGCTGGGATTACAGGCATGCACCACAATGCCCAGCTAATTTTTTTGTATTTTTAGTAGAGACAGCGTTTCACCATATTGGCCGGGCTGGTCTCAAACTCCTGACCTCGTGATCCACCTGCCTCGGCCTCCCAAAGTGCTGGGATTACAGGTGTGAGCCACTGTGCCCGGGGGTTTAACTGTTTTCTAACTTATTGATTTAAAAGCATAATTCATTTATGTTTGTTTCATCACTGGCAATCAGTATCGCAATTCTATCTACATAAGATGAAGATATTAGAGGTTTTTATTTTCCTATCACTTTCTGACAGTCATTGTTTTGCTGTTACATTTTCGATGCTGATAACATTCCTATTCTGTTCTGTAAATATAACTAGGTCTACCAGACCTTGTATATGGATTGATTCTAAAACTGAAAACCAGTACACGTCATTTACATTATTGACAAAATGAATCAACAGAGACTGAGAACATTACCAGGACATCTGGCAGCCTATATGATGGTCTTGTGTACCTAAGAGAAAGGTGACCCATTTAGACAGATGAATATGGAAAGAGCCTCCTTTTTGGATGGCTGCAGCCCTGTGTGGGTGGGACTTGACAAGTAGAGCATAGCCTGGATTTCAGCCCCAACTTGTACTTTTGACTCTGCAACTTTGTGCCCTGCACGAATTTCACAACCCTATAACAAAGCTGACCTGAGGCCACCCTGAATGTTTCCCCCTCAGGTCAGCTGGTGCTTAGACACAGGTTGACTCTGAAACTGAGCTCTCTGTATTCAATCTGGAATGACCTATACCGACCTGGTTTAGGGCCTGAGACTGAGTATCTCAAGGCAAAGAATAAGGGTAACCCCTGGAATTGCTGAAATTAGAAAACAAAAGGCAGAGTGAAATCCACTACCTAGACTTGGTGTCCTGATGTCCTATAATTTCTATTCCACTGTGGTGAAAAAATAAAAATTGTGTTTCATCTATGGTGGACTGTCATCCTCAATTTTAAGGACAGACCCTTAAAACAGTGTGAACATAGTACCAACCCCATTGTGGTTTTGTAAGGGTTAAGTAAGATATATAAAGCACTATTGACTAGCAATGAGTGCTCAGTAAATGTCAGCAAATTAGCGGGAGTTAAACAAGTATAGTGAGTGAGAAGTTTAGTGGAAAAGGAAAGGACAGAGGATGGGGCTGCCTGGCATGATGTTGGGAAGCCAAGAAGTCTTCAATAAGTACTTGCTGATGTCTGACTGATTAGGACGGGAGCTTGCAAGGCAATGTGGAGTGGTCCCAAAAGCTCAGACCTTGGGGACAAGGGACCAGAAACATTGGCTGTGACTTTTTGGACAAATCACTCTTCCCTCTCTCTGGGCCACAAGTTCTTTATCTGCCACAGGCAATATCAATCCTGCCAGCCATAAATAGATCCCTGGGCACTGGCAAGAAGGAAATGTATGAGAGAACACTTTGGAAAACCAAATGCATTTTCTTTAACAGTATATTGATCACCTAGGAGTTACACTAAGTCTATTAGGCACACAGCCTTCAAACTGGGGGATGGTTACTCCTGGTGGCACACAAAGAGGTTGCAAAGGGTTCATAGGAACGTGTCATTTTAAGGGAATCAATTTCCACATCCTCAGCTTCAATACTTACTCTTTTCTAAAACCGACCTGCCCAAGTACCCGTTCTCCCTCACCACCTCTACTTTTACAATCCTTCCTGTTTACAAAAGAAAGGCAAGCCTCACACTACCCTAGAGCACTAGTCACAGAGTGTCAAAAACCTCCAGGCATCCAACAAAGGGGAAATTCCAAATACTGATTTTGTTGTTGAGAAAGTGAGTGATTGTGTTAGTAGGAAATAAATCCTTTTGTGAACCAAATGCTTTCTAATTATTTGCTTTCAACAAAATGGATAAGAAGAATGTAATGGAGTTGGCAGCTAGTAAATCATTATGAATAATTTTGATGATGAATCAGTATATGATTTTTAGCATAAGGAGTTCAAAGAACTGAGTGACTTTGTTATAACAAAATGTTCATTCATTCTTATCTACTTATTTATTTCCCAGTTCTTAAATCTATATAAATGAAAAACAGGAAGAGCAGTGTCTCTTAATGCTGTCTCATTCTAACAGTAAATTATATTGACCTGTGGATACCTCAACTAGTTTTAGAAGTTCCATTGATCTCATGGGGATATGTTTCCAATAAAATTTTACCTTCTGTGTTTTTTCAAATATGTAATTTATGTTTTTTATCAGTTACATACTAATAATTATAACTCAATCTTGAAGAAAAATTTAATACTTAGATCCTTATAGCTCTGAGAGATAAAAATATTTAATTTCAGTCTATATATAGATTTTTATTGTGAGAAGTATGACAAGGTAATCAAGAAATGATGCCAATTTCTCAAACAACATACAAATGGCAAACAGGTATATGAAAAGGTGCTCAACGTAATTGATCATCAGAGAAGTAAAAATCAAAACTACAATGAAATATCATCTTACTCCAGTTAAAATGACTTTTATCCAAAAGACAGGCAATCACAAATGCTGGTGAGGGTGTGGAGAAAAGGGAACCCTTGTACATTGTTGGTGGGAATGTAAATTAGTACAACCACTATGGAAAACAGTTTGGAAGTTCCTTGAAAAATAAAAATAGAGCCACTGATCCAGCAATCCACTGCTAGGTGTGTACCCAAAAGAAAGGAAAAAGAAAGGAAATCAGGATATCAAAAAGGTATCTACACTCCCATATTTATTGCAGCACTATTCCCAATAGCCAAGATTTGAAAGCAACCTAAGTGTAAATCAATAGATGAGCGGATAAAAAAAAGTGGCACATATACACAATGAAGTACTACTCAGCCATAAAAAGAATGAGATCCTGTCATTTGCAACAACATGGATGAAACTGGGGTCATTAAATAATCCAGGCACAGAAAGGCAAACATCACATGTCCTCACTTATTTGTGGGAGCTGAAAATTAAAACAATTGAACTCATGGAGATAGAGAGTAGAAGAATGGTTACCAGAGGCTGGGAAGGGTAATTGTGGGGTGATGGGGAAGTGGAGATGGCTAATGGACACACAAAAAAATAGAAAGAATGATTAAGATCTAGTGTTTCATAGTGCAACAGGTTGACTGTAGTAAGAAATAATGTAATTGTACATTTAAAAATAACTAAAGGAGTATAATTGAATTTTCTGTAACACAAAGGACAAATGCTTGAGGTGACAGACACCGATTTACCCTGATGTGATTATTACACACTATACACCTGTATCAAAATATCTCATATACCCCATAAATATATGTACCTACTATGTACCCACAAAAATTAAAAATTAAAAAAGAAATGATGTCAAATATAAAAAATTCATTAAGACAAAATTCTTTGGAGAAATGAAATGTAAGTTCTACCAGAATTTGTGTTCTCACATCTGGCTGGTGTGAGCATGACAAAAAAGTCAGCCTGTACATCAAACTAATTAGAAAAGTGTATAATATTGTTTTTCAGGTTTAATTGGATTCAACTTTATCTGCTGAGAGCTTCTCATGGAGTACTTTTGCTATGCAAGTGTTACTTATTGTGCAAGCAATTGTCTGAGGAATAGTGTTTGAAGAGTCCTGAGCATGTGATGCATGTGGGTATTTTGTTTAACTAAAAAAGAGTTTGGATATATCATCAATATTTGTGATGAACAGAAATAACTTTGTTTGTTATATTGAGACATATTACTGGTAAACAACTTTATGCTATCTAGGGTAGATTTAATTTCTTAAGCTAGCCTATTTGGCTCTTTCCTCTAATTTCCACTGGAAATTGGATACGTTCAGCATTTTATCCAGTAAGCAGATGAGAGGATGGGGAATTGCCAAGTGGTAGAATTTCAGGCTTGATCCAACAACCCTAGAAGATCCTCGCTTGTTCTCTGTTGGCAGTGATTATATTCAAAAGGAGTTTCTGTAGTGGATTTATCAATTGGCCTGACTAGAGAAAAGAACATAAGGTATGGGAACTGTCACAAATGGGGAACATTTGTACAAATTCAAGATGAAGAGTCAATTCTAATGCAGACAAAAGTCCAGACAATGAAGACTTCCTAGAGATAACACTGTTCAAACTTGTCCTTGATCGGATACACTCTGCTCTGCCAAGAACACAACTCATATATCATAGTTATTCCCAAAAGCATAGATCTTAGCAGGCAATACAAGTTTTACCTTCTGTAATTATATTGATATATTGTTTGCATTCTGTGAAAAATGACACTTAATGCTAATTTTAAAATGTACATGTTTCTGTTATCAAGTCAATGTAGTACAGCTTTATGAGCCATTGGGTCAAAATCTGAACTTCTTGGATGAAAACGAAGACATTGGGTGATTGCACTGGTTCTGCTATTCTAAATGTACTAGATACCAATAAGTTGACTAAAATAAATAAGTTCAGGAACTATGAAAATGTAGATGCATTGGCTCAAAAATATATCGACAACTGTAAGCATTTAATATCAGGAAATTTGTAGTATGTGGAATAATATTAACTAGGTAATATTAACTAGGATCATTGGAATATTAACTAGAATCATTGGAAACAAGTGACTGTAAGTTGGCATTCAAATGGAAATGTTTCTCAAGCTTCAGGTTGTGCCACATAATCCATGAGCTTATATTGATAACATAGGCTGACAGTGAGCTTTAGAGCTAAGATTTTCAGGACTCAGATGAACAGAACTGGAAAATGGAAACCACTGTAACACACTAGTCTTTCTTAGCTTTGCACTGAGCTCTTCTTCTCTCACCTCAACATATAATAGGGAATAATTTAAGACCACTCTGGCACAAATCAATTTGGGTAATGGCACTACATGATGTAAGTCTGACCTCGTTAGTGGACTTAGATTGGGAGGGCAGAGGAATGCAAGATGACTAGAGCATGGCATCAAAGGAACCAACCAATAGACTGATCCTCCACCTCTGAGGAATATTTAGAGATTTGTAACTGTACAAAGAGAAATGCATCCCAGTATAAAATGAGCTTGTTTGTATTAACAACTTTTAAGGACAAGTGTGAGATGTTTGCTCACTGAAAAGTGTATATTGAAAAGTGGAGGTAAAGCTGTTCAGCTTGTGGCATATGAGATGCCACCAAGGAAGGCGCATAACATTTCTAATATGCAGCTTTTTAATAGCTGAAAGGCAGTTAGCAAAAAGGAGTCGCGTCCAATAGGGCTCTAAGATAAATGTAAAATGAAGAGTTCAATAAAAACTTATGTGCATTGCCTTGTACATAAGTATGTGAGACCCGAATGTGAGTATGAATTATTAGTCATGAAATAGTGATCTGGTAACCAACATCTTCCGAAATCTGTTTTATTTAGTAATTACGTGACAGTGTCCTGGTTGATGCTAGCCTATCAAGGGTCAAAAGGAGACAAAAAGGCTCACCCCTACCCCCACCAAGGATTAAGCTCAAAGCCAGATGGGTCAAGTGTTTGTGGGAGCCTGTGCTGACCTGTAAATGAAGAAAGACCTACCATGGAACTAGCTTGAGAAAATGAAATTTTCCTGGTAAAGATGGAGGAAAAAGAAATGCTGGCTTGTTGAGAAAATGAAGCTTCCAAGAGTAGCAAATTCTTTTATCTCCTTGTTCATGCTTTTCCTTTGTTCAGTAAAATATTTCAAGCATTCAAAATCACAGGGAATAATACTACACTCCTCACTCAGACTTGTCAAATCTTGGAATTTTGCCTAATTTGATTCAGATATCTTTCTTTTTAGGAAATAAAATATTGCAGATATAGTTAAAATCTCTGTGTACCCCTCCCAATCCTTTCCCTCTCCTCTCTTTCTCTCTGTCCAGTGGTCACCACTATGCTGAATTTGTTGTTTGTTATATTCTTGGAAGTTCTTATACTTTCACTACATATTAACCTATTCATTGACAACATAGAGTATTGTCTTATAGGTTTTGTAATTAATTATAAATAGTATCATAGTAAATATATCACTATCTTGCTTTTTCACTCAAGATTTAGTTTTGAGGGGGTTTTTTTGGCCTTTTTAATATAAATTTAGGGAGTACAAGTGCAGTTTTGTTACATGAGTATATTGTGTAGTGGTGAAGTCTGGGCTTTTAGCATACCTATCAGCCGAATAATGTACATTGTACCCATTAAGTAATTTCTCATCATCCACTCCCTTCTATCCACTGGCCCTTCTGAGTCTCCAATGTCTATTATTCCACTCTCTATGTCCATATGTACACATTATTTAGTTCTCATATATGAGTGAGAACATGTGGCATTTGATTTTCTGTTTCTGCATTATTTTACTTATGATAATGGCTTCCAGTTCTATCCAAGTTGCTGCAAAAGATATAATTTCGGCCAGGCGCGGTGGCTCACACCTGTAATCCCAGCACTTTGGGAGGCCGAGGTGGGTGAATCACGAGGTCAGGAGATCGAGACCATCCTGGCTAACACAGTGAAACCCTGTCTCTACTAAAAATACAAAAAATTAGCCGGGCATGGTGGCAGGCGCCTGTAGTCCCAGCTACTCGGGAGGCTGAGGCAGGAGAATGGCGTGAACCCGGGAGGCGGAGCTTGCAATGAGCCAAGATCACGCCACTGCACTCCAGCCTGGGCGACAGTGAGACTCTGTCTCAAAAAAAAAAAAATATATATATATATATATATATAATTTCATGCTTTTTACAGCTGAATAATATTCCATGGTGTATATATGTCACGTTTTCTTTATCCAGTCATCCATGGATGGACATTTCAGTTGATCCCATATCTTTGCTTGTTGATTCCACAGTGCTGCTATGAACATATATAAGTGCAGGTATGTTTCTAATATAATGATTTATTTTCCTTTGGGTAGATATCCAGTAGTAGAATTGCTGGATCGAATGGTAGCTCTATTTTTAGTTGCTTGAGAAATCTCCATACTGTTTTCCATAGAGGTTGTACTACTTTACATTTCTACCAAAAGTGTATAAGCATTCCCTTTTCTTCACATCCTCACCAACGTCTGTTATTTTTTGTCTTTTAAATAATAGCCATTCTGACTTGTGTGAGATGATATCCCATTGTGGCTTTAATTTATATTTCCCTGATGATTAGTGATGCTGAGCATTTTTTCATATGCTTGTTGGCCATTTGTATGTCTTCTTTTGGAAAATGTATCTTCATGATATTGATTCTTCCTAACCATGAGCATGGAATGTTCTTCCATTTGTTTGTGTCCTCTTTTATTTCATTGAGCAGTGGTTTGTAGTTCTCCTTGAAGAGGTCCTTCACATCTCTTGTAAGTTGGATTCCTAGGTATTTTATTCTCTTTGAGGCAATTGTGAGTGGGAATTCACTCATGATTTGGCTCTCTGTTTGTCTGTTATTAGTGTATAAGAATGCTTGTGATTTTTGCACATTGATTTTGTATCCTGAGACTTTGCTGAAGTTGCTTATCAGCTTAAGGAGATTTTGGGCTGAAACAATGGGGTTTTCTAGATATATAATCATGTCATCTGCAAACAGGGACAATTTGACTTCCTCTTTTCCTAATTGAATACTCTTTATTTCCTTCTCTTGCCTGATTGCCCTGGCCAGAACTTCCAACACTATGTTGCATAGGAGTGGTGAGAGAGGGCATCCCTGTCTTGTGCCCGTTTTCAAAGGGAATGCTTCCAGTTTTTGCCCATTCAGTATGATATTGGCTGTGGGTTTGTCATAAGTAGCTCTTATTATTTTGAGATACGTCCCACCATTACCTAATTTATTGAGAGTTTTTAGCATAAAGGGCTGTTGAATTTTGTCAAAGGCCTTTTCTGCATCTACTGAGATAATCATGTGTTTTTGGTCATTGGTTCTGTTTATATGCTGGATTACGTTTATTGATTTGCATATGTTGAACCAGCCTTGCATCCCAGGGATGAAGCCCACTTGATCATGGTGGATAAGCTTTTTGATGTGCTGCTGGATTCAGTTTGCCAGTATTTTACTGAGGATTTTTGCATCGATGTTCATCAGGGATATTGATCTAAAATTCTCTTTTTTTGTTGTGTCTCTGCCAGGCTTTGGTATCAGGATGATGCTGGCCTCATAAAATGAGTTAGGAAGGATTCCCTCTTTTTCTATTGATTGGAATAGTTTCAGAAGGAATGGTACCAGCTCCTCCTTGTACCTCTGGTAGAATTCGGCTGTGAATCCATCTGGTCCTGGACTTTTTTTGGTTGGTAAGCTATTAATTATTGCCTCAATTTCAGAGCCTGTTATTGGTCTATTCAGAGATTCAACTTCTTCCTGGTTTAGTCTTGGGAGGGTGTATGTGTCCAGGAATTTGTCCATTTCTTCTAGATTTTCTAGTTTATTTGCATAGAGGTGTTTATAGTATTCTCGGATAGTAGTTTGTATTTCTGTGGGCTCGGTGGTGATATCACCTTTATCATTTTTTATTGCGTCTATTTGATTCTTCTCTCTTTTCTTCTTTATCAGTCTTGCTAGCGGTCTATCAATTTTGTTGATCTTTTCAAAAAACCAGCTCCTGGATTCATTGAGTTTTTGAAGGGTTTTTTGTGTCTCTATGTCCTTCAGTTCTGCTCTGATCTTAGTTATTTCTTGCCTTCTGATAGCTTTTGAATGTGTTTGCTCTTGCTTCTCTAGTTCTTTTAATTGTGATGTTAGGGTGTCCATTTTAGATCTCTCCTGCTTTCTGTTGTGGGCATTTAGTCCTATAAATTCCCTCTACACACTGCTTTAAATATGTCCCAGAGATTCTGGTATGTTGTGTCTTTGTTCTCGTTGGCTTCAAAGAACATCTTTATTTCTGCCTTTATTACATTATGTACTCAGTAGTCATTCAGAAGCAGGTTGTTCAGTTTCCATGTAGTTGAGCAGCTTTGAGTGAGTTTCTTAATCCTGAGTTCTAGTTTGATTGCCCTGTGGCCTGAGAGACAGTTTGTTATAATTTCTGTTCTTTTACATTTGCTGAGGAGTGCTTTACTTCCAACTATGTGGTCAATTTTGGAATAAGTGCGGTGTGGTGCTGAGAAGAATGTATATTCTGCTGATTTGGGGTGGAGAGTTCTGTAGATGTCTATTAGGTCCGCTTGGTGCAGAGCTGAATTCAATTCCTGGATATCCTTGTTAACTTTCTGTCTTGTTGATCTGTCTAATGTTGACAGTGGGGTGTTAAAGTCTCCCATTATTATTGTGTGGGAGTCTAAGTCTCTTTGTAGGTCTCTACGGACTTGCTTTATGAATCTGGGTGCTCCTGTATTGGATGCATATATATTTAAGATATTTAGCTCTTCTTGTTGAATTGATCCCTTTACCATTATGTAACGGCCTTCTTTGTCTCTTTTGATCTTTGTTGGTTTAAAGTCTGTTTTATCAGAGACTAGGATTGCAACCCCTGCCTTTTTTTGTTTTCCATTTTCTTGGTAGATCTTCCTCCATCCCTTTATTTTGAGCCTATGTGTTTCTCTGCAGGTGAGATGGGTTTCCTGAATACAGCACACTGATGGGTCTTGACTCTTTATCCAATTTGCCAGTCTGTGTCTTTTAATTGGAGCATTTAGCCCATTTACATTTAAGGTTAATATTGTTATGTGTGAATTTGATCCTGTCATTATGATGTTAGCTAGTTATTTTGCTCTTTTGTTGATGCAGTTTCTTCCTAGCCTTGATGGTCTTTACAATTTGGCATGTTTTTGCAGTGGCTGGTACTGGTTGTTCCTTTCCATGTTTAGTGCTTCCTTCAGGAGCTCTTGTAGGGCAGGCTTGGTGGTGACAAAATCTCTCAGCATTTGCTTGTCTGTAAAGTATTTTATTTCTCCTTCGCTTATGAAGCTTAGTTTGGCTGGATATGAAATTCTGGGTTGAAAATTCTTTTCTTTAAGAATGTCGAATATTGGCCCCCACTCTCTTCTGGCTTGTAGAGTTTCTGCCGAGAGATCAGCTGTTAGTCTGATGGGCTTCCGTTTGTGGGTAACCCGACCTTTCTCTCTGGCTGCCCTTAACATTTTTTCCTTCATTTCAACTTTGGTGAATCTGACAATTATGTGTCTTGGAGTTGCTCTTCTTGAGGAGTATCTTTGTGGTGTTCTCTGTATTTCCTGAATTTGAATGTTGGCCTGCCTTGCTAGATTGGGGAAGTTCTCCTGGATAATATCCTGCAGAGTGTTTTCCAACTTGGTTCCATTCTCCCCGCCACTTTCAGGTACACCAATCAGACGTAGATTTGGTCTTTTCACATAGTCCCATATTTCTTGGAGGCTTTGTTCATTTCTTTTTATTCTTTTTTCTCTAAACTTCTCTTCTTGCTTCATTTCGTTCATTTGATCTTCTGTCACTGATACCCTTTCTTCCAGTTGATCGAATTGGCTACTGAAGCTTGTGCATTTGTCACGTAGTTCTCGTGCCATGGTTTTCAGCTCTATCTGGTCCTTTAAGGACTTCTCTGCATTGGTTATTCTAGTTAGCCATTCGTCTAATTTTTTTTTCAAGGTTTTTAACTTCTTTGCCATGGGTTTGAACTTCCTCCTCTAGCTCAGAGAAGTTTGACCATTTGAAGCCTTCTCCTCTCAACTCATCAAAGTCATTCTCCATCCAGCTTTGTTCCATTGCTGGTGAGGAGCTGTGTTCCTTTAGAGGAGGAGAGGCGCTCTGATTTTTAGAATTTCCAGTTTTTCTGCTCTGTTTTTTCCCATCTTTGTGGTTTTATCTACCTTTGGTCTTTGATGATGGTGATGTATAGATGGGGTTTTGGTGTGGATGTCCTTTCTGTTTGTTAGTTTTCCTTCTAACAGTCAGGACCCTCAGCTGCAGGTCTGTTGGAGTTTGCTGGAGTTCAACTCCAGAGCCTGTTTGCCTGGGTATCAGCAGTGGAGGCTGCAGAACAGGGAATATTGGTGAACAGCAAATGTTGCTGCCTGATTATTCCTCTGGAAGTTTTGTGTCAGAGGGGTACCTGGCCGTGTGAGATGTCAGTCTGCCCCTACTCGGGGGGGGGGTGCCTCCCAGTTAGGCTGCTCGGGGGTCAGGGACCCACTTGAGGAGGCAGTCTGTCCATTCTTAGATCTCAAGCTGTATCCTGGGAGAACCACTACTGTCTTCCAAGCTGTCAGACAGGGACATTTAAGTCTGCAGAGGTTTCTGCTGCCTTTTGTTTGGCTATGCCCTGCCCCTAGGAGGGGAGTCTACAGAGGCACGCAGGCCTCCGTGAGCTGCAGTGGGCTCCACCCAGTTCGAGCTTCCTGGCCACTTTGTTTACCTACTCAAGCCTCAGCAATGGCGGGCACCCCTCCCCCAGCCTCGCTGCCATCTTTCAGTTTGATCTCAGACTGCTGTGCTAGCAATGAGCGAGGCTCCGTGGATGTAGGACCCTCCGAGCCAGGCGTAGGATATGATCTCCTGGTGTGCCGTTTGCTAAGACCATCGGAAAAACGCAGTATTAGGGTGGGAGTGACCCGATTCTCCAGGTGCCGTCTGTCACCCTTTTCCTTGGCTAGGAAAGGGAATTCCCTTACCCCTTGCACTTCCTGGGTAAGGCAATGCCTCGCCCTGCTTTGGCTCATGCTCAGTGCACTGCACCCACTGTCCTGCACCCACTGTCTGACAATCCCCAGTGAGATGAACCCAGCACCTCAGTTGGAAATGCAGAAATCATTCATCTTCTGCATCGCTCACGCTGGGAGCTGTAGACTGGAGCTATTCCTATTCGGCCATCTTGGAACTGCCGCAAGCTGTGTTTTCATAAATGAGTGAATGCTGTTCATTATGGATAATCATATTACTATGGTACCAAGGCTATCATGTGTGAAACTTCTGTTTCTGTGTCATCCAATCTGGTGGAGAGTAAGAAACCATATCTGGCCCAGCCTTAGTCATATGCAGCTCAAAGACACACGATAAAAAAAATCATGACAATGGTCACAATGTAGCAAATTTAACTTCTGTGTAAAGGAGGTTGATATCAACATAGACACATCATCAGTTTCCATAGAAACAGGATGTCAGAGTTACAAAGAACCCGCAAGTTGAACCCCCTCACTTTTCAGATGAAGAGACAGGCCCAATTTCACAGGTTCTTACTTAATTGTGAGAGTTAAAAATTAAAGTAATTGAACTCATGGAGATAGAGACTAGAAGGATGATTATTAGAGGCTGGGAGGGGTAATTCAGGGTGGTGGAAAAGTGGGGGTGGTTAATGGGTACAAAATAGAAAGAATGAATAAGATCTAGTGGTTGATAACACAACAGGGTGACTATAATCAAAAATAATTTAAGTGTACATTTTTAAATAACCAAAAGAATATAATTGAATTGTTTGTAACACAAAGGATAAATGCTTGAGTAGATAGATACCCTATTTACCCTGATGTGATTATTATGCATTGCATGACTCTATCAAAATTTATCATGTAACCCATAAATATATACACCTACTGTGTACCCACAAAAATTTTAAAAAGAGACAGTCCTGGTTTAGTTTTGCTTCACAAGCATTTACTGACATCTGTTATGTTCTGGGTGGTATTCAGGATGTATGGGTGACACAGATGATGCAGAGAGTCCCTGTCCTTGAGCAGCTAGCTCATAATGTTGAGAGGGAAACACGTGGACAGACAATTTCAATCATAGCCTTGATCAAATCTCTAATTGGTGCTGGACTTTTTACATATGTCATTCCACAGAGATCCTGAGAGGTAGGTCTCGACCTTGTACAGATGTAGACACAGCTGATGGTGGTTTGGTTATTGATCTAGTAGGGGGTAGAGCTTGGAATACACACTCAGGTCTGTCTGACTCCAAAGCCAGTCTCTTCCCGCTTATCATGGCAACACTTCACTTGTTTTACAGATGCTGAGATGTAGATGTCATTTCTGTTTACACAGCCACCCTGTCCTAACATGATTCAGAGCAGGACAATCCAGCACCCAGTAAGGCAGAACATCGTTGTGAAGTACTAAGTCAGAGCACTGAATCAGATCTCAGAGGATCTGTACTGACGCCAACAGGACTGGGCTCATGTTGTCTGGCCGTTTACGATTCTATAAGGACAGGCAGTTAGGAAAATGACAGCTTCAAGGAAGATAGGATCTTTCATAGCCTGAAGGGTTTTTAAGCTGGGGCTACCCCTACTGTTCTGGCCCTTTAAGTGGGATCTATTTCTAAGAGACAGTAGCTCCCCAGAAACTGATGTTTACTAGGAAAGAGGAAGTGAAAGGCTTGCCTCCAAGCCATGTACCTCTCTCAGCTGGGCAGTTTCACCTGCAGAGTTCCCCTGTGGGGAGAAAAATATCAAAAGACTTGAAGTAACCTTTCCGTGGAAGTTGTCTCCTAATGACAGTCTAAACAGTATTTTGCAGATTTTAAGAATACAGGGGCAAGTAGAGCCACAAGAAAAGAAGGTGGAGCCTGTGAAATAAAATATACAACATTATTATGAAAGAATGTGGTTTAATGGAAAGAGTGTGGGGCTGAGGAATCAGGCAGACTTAGGGCCTTGGGACCTTGAGCAAGGAACCTAACCTCTCTGACCTTCAATTTCTTCATTGGTAAAATGGGGTTAAGGAGTTTAATTAAGTTTGTAATGGGACTAAATATTAATCAAAGGCTCCATAAAAATGTATTGCTAACATTTTCTAGACTTATACATATTATAGTATGACAAGATCTGAAGGCAAAATTTAAAATCTTAAGTTTGACTCACTGGGAAGAATCAGAGGACTCAGCATATAGTCATACTTGTGGCTAAAATTTGTTACAGTGAAAGGATACAAACAAAATCAGCACAGGGAAAAGGCGTACAGAGCGCTCTCTGGAGGAAATCAGGTACAAGTTTCTAAGATTCCTCTCCCAGTGGTGCCATACAGGACATGCTTATTTCCTCCAGCAACAAAATGTGACAATACATGTGAAATCTTGTCTGCCAAGGATACTCCTTAGAGACTCAGTGACCAGGGTTTTTATTGAAGATGGGTCATATAGATACCCTCTGCCTAGCATGTACCAAAAATTCCAGACTCCCATGAGGAAAACAAGTATTCAGCATAAAACCACATTGTTTATACAAACAATTTAGGCACAGTGAGCCGCTCTTATCAGTCCTAGGAAGGGTGAAAAAACTCCTGAAATCCAAGTTTTCTGATGTCAGCCAAGGGCCAACCTTGCAATACGGCCTTTCAAAGGATCGTTGTCAGACCTGCTATGTTAACTCTTTTAACTCTGCCCACTTATAAATTATATCTCCAGCCCTGGTGGCCACCCTGAATTCCCATATATCCAACTGCCTACTTGATAACTCTACTAAACTCTCAAAGGTATTTCAGATTTGACATCATAGCTACTAATTATTGAAAATTTACTCTGTCCCTGGTGCTATTCTAAGCACTTTACATATACTGTTATTTAATCCTCAGGAAAATCACATAAAGTAGTATTAGCTGCATTTTGCAGATAAAGCTCAGGCACAGAGAGGGTTAACAACTCACCTCTAGATTATGCATGTAGTAATTTGTGGGACCAAGATTCAATCCGAGCCAATCTGACTCAAGAACCCATGTTTTTTTTTTTAACTTTTAAGTTCGGGGTACATGTGCAGGATGTGCAGGTCTGTTACAAAGGTAAACCTGTGTCACTAGGGTTTGTTAAACAGATTATTTCATCACCAAGGTTTTAGGCCTAGCATCCGCTAGTTATTTTTCCAGATCCTCTCCCTCTTCCCACCCTCCACCCTCTGGTAGGCCCCAGTGTGCATTGCTCCCTTCTATGTGTTCATGTGTTCTCATCATTTAGCTCCCATTTATAAGTGAGAACATGCCATATTTGGTTTTCTGTTCCTATGTTAGTTTGCTAAGGATAATGGCCTCCAGCTCCATCCATGTACCTGCAAAAACATGATCTCACTCTTTTTATGGCTACATAGTATTCCATGGTGTATACGTACTATATTTTCTTTATTCAGTCTATCACTGATGGACATTTAGGTTGATTCCATGTCTTAGCTATTGTGAACAGTACTACAATGAACATACGTGTGTGTGTCTTTATAATAGAATGATTTATAGTCCTTTGGGCATATTCCCAGCAATATGACTGCTGGGTCAAATGGTATTTCTGTCTCTAGGTCTTTGAAGAATCACCACACTGTCTTCCACAATAATTAAACTAGTTTACACTCCCAACAGTGTAAAGGCATTTCATTTTCTCCAGAACCTCGCCAGCACGTTATTTTTTAACTTTTTAATAGCCATTCTGACTGGTGTGAGATGGCAACTCATTGTGGTTTTTGATTTGCATTTCTCTAATGATCAGTGATGTTGAGCTTTTTTATATGATTGTTAGCCACATGTATGCCTTCTTTTGAGAAGTGTCTTTTCATGTCCTTTGCCTACTTTTTAATGGGGTTGCTTTTTATTGTATATTTGTTTAAGTTCCTTATAAATGCTGGATATTAGACCTTTTTCAGATGCATAGTTTGCAAAAATTTTCTCCCATCCTGCAGGTTGTCTATTTACTCTGTTGATAGTTTCTTTCACTGTGCAGAAGCGCTTTAGTTTAATTAGATCCCAATTATCAACTTTTGCCTTTGTTGCGATTCCCTTTGGTGTTTTTGTCATAAAATCTTTGCCCGTGCCTATGTCCTGAATGGTATTGCTTAGGTTTTCTTCTAGGGTTTTTATAGTTTTGGGTTTTACATTTAAGTCTTTCATCCATCTTGAGTTAACTTTTGTATATGGTGTAAGGAAGGGATTCAGTTTCAGTTTTCTGCATATGGCTAGCCAGTTATCCCAGCACCATTTATGAAGTAGGGAATCCTTTCCCCATTGCTTGTTTTTGTCAGGTTTGTCAAAGATATGATAGTTGTAGGTGTGCTGTCTTATTTCCAGGTTCTCTATTCTGTTACATTGGTCTACATGTCTGTTATTGTACCAGTACCATGCTGTTTTGGTTACTGTAACCCTGTAGTCTACTTTGAAGTTGGGTAGCATGATGCCACAAGCTTTGTTCTTTTTGCTTAAGATTGCCTTGGCTATTCAGGATCTTTTTGGTTTTGTATGAATTTTAAAATAGTTTTTTCTAGTTCTGTGAAGAATGTCAATGGTAGTTTAATGCAAATAGCATTGAATATGTAAATTGCTTTGGGCAATATGGCCATCCTCAGGATGCTGATTTTTCCTATCCATGAGCATGGAATGTTTTCCATTTGTTTGTGTCACCTCTGATTTCTTTGAGCAGTGGTTCATAGTTCTCCTTGAAGAGGTCCTTCACTTTCCTTGTCAGGTGTATTCCTCAGTATTTTTTTTGGTGGCAATTGTTAATGGGAGTTCATCCATGATTTGGCTCACTGCTTGACTGTTGTTGATGTATAGGAATGCCAGCGATTTTTGCACATTGATTTTGTATCCTGAGATTTTGCTGAAGTTGCTTATCAGCTTAAGAAGTATTTGAGCTGAGATGATGGACTTTTCTAGAATTGGGATTAGAAAATAAAAGCCATAAACATCTGCAAACAGAGATAGTTTGACTGTCTCTCTTGCTATTTGAACACCCTTTATTTCTTTCTCTTGCCTGATTGCCCTGACCAGAACTTCCAATACTATGTTGAATAGGAGTGGCAAGAGAGGGCATGTTTTGTCTTGTGCCAGTTTTCAAGGGGACTGCTTCCAGCTTTTGCCTATTCAATATGATATTGGCTGTGAGTTTGTCATATATGGCTCTTATTATTTTGAGGTATGTTCCTTTAATACCCACTTTATTGAGAGTTTTTAACATGAATGGATGTTGAATTTTATCAAAAGGCTTTTCTACATCTTTTGAAATAATCATGTGGTTTTTGTCTTTACAGAACCCATGTTCTTAATGACTACTCAGTATTATCTCAACATATTCAAAATCAAACTCATGATCTTTTTCCTCAACTCTGTTCCTCTTCCAGCTTTCCCTGTCTCTATGACAATCATCACCATCTACTCTTAACAGGTAGAACACATCCTTGGTAACTTTATGTCTCTCACCTCATCACCCCTCATAACCAATCACCATTAAGTTATGTCTATTTTTCTCTTAAACAGCTCTTGAATCTATTCAGGTTTCTCCATCTTTACCTTCACTGGGCTAATCCAAGCTAACATCATTTGTATCAACACAATAGCCTCTGCACTGATCCCTTATCTTATGGACCATTTGCATGTAGTCAATTGCCTAGGGATTGCAGAGTAACAAGACAGAAGAAACCTGAGCCCCAGATAGACTTCATAGAGCCAAGCTTCCATATCAGCTTGGAACTTCTACATGACAGAGAATTCTATTTCTGTCTTGTTTAAGTTTCTATTATTTTGAGTCTTTGTCAACTGTGGTCACAGTTATAGTCTTACTGATATGAAGTGTTTGTACCTTATGGTAACATGCTTGGGACAGATCACAGGATTATGCATTAAGAGGCATTAAAAATATTATGTTTGCATGACAATAACACTGATATAGCATGAAGGATAATACAAAACTTAAATAAATTTTTAAGATAAAACACATGATCTCGAAGGGACCTAATTTCCCACTAGTAGCAGGCTCCTTCTAGCTCTATCCCCAGATTCTCCTAGGTTTCAATTCACTCTGCTCATTCGTCATGGTGGTAAAGTTGGAGTATCCCTTTCTGGGACACAGAGTTATCAGTACCTGAAGGCCACACAGGTTCCTCTTCTTACCACTGATTTGGAGATAATGAAGCCACTTAGATAAGTTTAGTAAAAATCAGATTTCATGGGTAGCATTGCTAAGGATGGAAATATATTAAAATAAGGAGAACTTGTCAGATTCAGAAGTATATATGGGACAAGTACTTGTAAGAGATTCTATGCAATCAAGCATTTTGAGAATGTTTCATACATTATGTTTCACTGGCAGAAGCAAAATATATTGATTTGGGGGGATTGGATGAATATGATTTGGTCAACAAGAACATGTCTCAAAGCAATAAGATGTTTGGAAATGCAGGAGTGATGAAAGAATAATAACAATAATAAAAGAGCCAGCTAGCATGGAAGTTGTCACTCTATCCTAACAAAAAGTAAACAGGTGAACAAATGGAAAAATCACCAACTCATCTTAGATCTTCCAGAGAAGTTAAGTTAGACAACAAATCATTTTCCCAAAAATTGGAGAGACAGACAGGCAAGGACAAAGAATCACAACTTACCAAAGCAGAAAACCATGAGCTGAAACCACCACGGGAACCAGTACAGGGGTAGAAAAACCTGAATTTTAATTGACTAATTGCTAAAGTTCAACATAGACAAGTTTGAAAGTAAAAAACCTGAGAGGGGCCCAAGCATAGAGAAGATTCTACGCTTTTGTGAGTTTTACCTCCAGGAACTCAACTGGACTAGCCTCCATAATCACATGAGCCACTTTCTTATAATAAAGCACGTGCACGTGTGTTTGTGTGTGTGTGTGTATATCTCCTATTGGTTGCTTCTCTGGAGAACCCTATTACCTATGCTAAGGGCTCTAATGGGTAAAGTACAAAACATGCAGGAATAGATGGGCAATGCAAGTACAGAGAAGGAAATTCTAAGAAAGAATTTTTAAAAGCTAAAAATAAAAAACTATAGCAGAAATAAAAAATGTCTTTGATGGGCTCATTAGTAGACTGGACATGGCTGAGGAAAAGAATTCTGAGCTTTAGGATATATCAATGGAAACTTCCAAAATGAAAAAGTGAAGAGAAAAAAGACGTTAAAAAGAACAGAATATCCACGAACTGTGAGACAACTACAAAAAGTGTAACATACACATTAGTAAGTACACCAGAAGGAGAAGAGAGAAAGGGACTCAATAAATATTTGAAACCATAATGATGGAAAATTTCCCCAAAATTAAAGTGAGACACCAAACCACAGGTCCAGGAAGCTCAGAGAACACCAAGCAGGATAAATGTCAAAAACCATACTCGGGTATATCATATTCAAACTGGAGAAAATAAAAAATAAAGAAAATGTCAATGTCAGAAAGAAAAATATATTACTTGTAGAAAAGTTAAGAGATATATCTGACCTCTCAGAAGCCATGCAAGCAAGAAGAGAGTACAGTGAAATGTTTAAAGTGTTGAGAAGAAAAAACAACAACCTAGAATTCTCTACCCTGTGAAATTATCCTTCAAATGTAAAGAACTTCTCAGACAAAAAGATATGAACGAATTTTCTTGCCAGTAGACCTGCCTTGCAAGAAATCTTAAGAGATAATTCTTCAGAGACAAAAAAAATGATCTAGGTCAGAAACTCAGATCAGCATTTTAAAAAGGAGAACTGGAGAGGGAATAAGTAAAGGTAAAATAAAAACTTTTTTATTCTTAATTGATTTAACTAATGAAACAGTTTGTTCAAATAATAATTGTAACAATGTACAGATGGTCCCCAACTTAGATGGTCTCATTTATGATGTTCAACTTTATGATAATGTGAAAGTGATATACATTCAATACTCTTAAAACGTGACCCCATCATAAGTCAAGGAGCATCTTTATTCAATTATGTATGCTTGTGTGTAGGGATGGGTGTATGTGTGTGTGGGCATGCATATGTATAAGTGAAATGAATGACAGTACTGATACAAAGAATGAGAAGGAGGAATAGTATTTTTATTATATTTGATTATAAGGTATTTGCACTACCTGTGAAGTGGTATAATGTTATTTGAAAATGGACCTGGATTAGTTTTAAATGCATATTGCAATGTCTAAGGCAACCACTTGAAAAAGCAGAAAACCTAACGGTAAAACTGACATACTAAGAAAGTTGAGAAAATAGAATCATCAAATGCTGAAGTAGTAGTGCAAAAGGCAGAAAAAGAGTAGAAGACAAAAATAGGAACAAAGAGCAAAAGCAACAAATAGAAAATAGTTTTAAAAAGTAGTAGATATTAATACAACTATATCAATAAACATCAACTGTCTAAATATATCAATAAGAGATATTAAGCATGGATCAGAAAATAAGGCCCAACTATATGCTGTATACAAGAAACCCACTTTATTTTTTTAATTTTTATTCTAGGTTCAGAGGTACATGTCCAGATTTTTTATATAGGTAAACTCATGTCATGGGGGTTGGTTGTACTGATTATTTCATCACCCAGGTACTAAGCCTAGCACTCAGTAGTTGTTACTTCTGATCCTCTCCCTCCTTCCACTCTTCACCCTCTGATAGGCCCCAGTGTCTGTTGTTCCTCTCTTAGAATGCATGTGTTCTCATAATTTAGCTCCCACTTATAAGTGCGAACATGTGGTATTTGGCTTTCTGTTCCTGTGTTAGAGAAACTGACTTAATAGATTTTTTAAAGGGATGGAGAAAGATATACTATGCTAACACTAATCAAAAGAAAACTGGAATAGCTATACTAATTTCAGACAGAAAAGACTTCAGAGCAAGAAAAGCTATCAGGGATAAGGGGGAATATTACATACAATAAAGAGGTCATTTATTCAAAGAGACATAACACAATCCTTAATATGTATGCACTTAATAACAGAGCATCAAAATATATGAGGAAAAACTGATAGAACTGCAAGAGAAATAAATGAATCTACTGTTATAGTTGGAGACTTCAACACTCATCTATCAGAAATGGACAAATTCTGCAGATAAAAAGTCAGTAAGGACAGAGTTAAACTCAACAGCACCATTAATAAAGCTGAGTATAATTGACATCTATCAAGCTTCATCCAGCAACAGTGGACACATTCTTCCCAAGTTCACATGGAACATTCTTCAAGATAGACCACATTCTGAGCCATAAAATACATCGTGACATTTAAAAGAATAGAAATCATATAATATTTGCTCGCAGACCACAATGAAATTAATCTGGAAATAAATAAGGAAAGATAGCTGGAAAACCCCCAAATACTTAAGAGATTAAATGACATAGTTCTAAATAATACATAGGTCAAAGAAAAATTTCCAAGATAGATATAAAAATATTTTGAACTAAATGAAAATGAAAGTACCACATATAAAAATCTGTGGGGTGCAGCAAAAGCAGTACCTACAGGGAAACTTATTAGCATTAAATGCATGTTTTAGAAAAGAAGATCTAAGATCAATAATCTCAGTTTCAACCTTAGGAAACTAGAAAAGGAAGAGTAAATTAAATCCAAAGTAAGAGAAGATAATAAACAATTAAAAATTAGAGCAAAATCAATGGAATTGAAAACAGAAAATCAATAGAGAAAATCAATAAAACCAAAAGCTGGTGTTTTGAAAAGATAAATAAAATAAGCCTCTAGCTAGGTTAAGAAAAAAAGAAAGAAGACACAAATTATTAATATCAGACATGAAACAGGGAACATCACTACAGACACCATGGACATTAAAAGGATAATAAAGAAATATTATGAGCAACTCTACATCCACAAATTTTGTAGCCTAGATAAAATGGACGAATTTCCTGAAAGATACATCTACCAAAGCTCACACAAGAAGAAACAGGCAATTGGCATAGACCTATATCTATTAAAGAAATTGAATAAAAAAGTAATAACTTTTTAAAACAGAAAGTACACTAATGGGTTCACTGGTGCATTTTACCAAATAATTATGAAAAAATTACAGCATTTCCTTACAATCTATTCCTGAAGATAGATGCAGAGGGACTACTTTCTAACTCATTATGAGGTCAGCATTACCCTAACACCAAAAACCAGACAATGACATACAAGAAAAAAATCCTCAGACCAATATCTTTTATCAGTTTTATCTTATGAACATAGATGCAGAAAGCCTCAACAAAATATTAACAAATTGAATCCAACAATGTATAAAAAGAATTATACATCATGACCAAGTGGGATTTATCCCACATATGCAAGGCTGGTTTGACATTGGAAAATCAGTTTTTGTAAGCCATCACATCAACAAGCTAAAGAAGAAAACCAAATGATCATATCAATAGATGCAGAAAAAGCATTTGACAAAACCAACACCCATTCATGAGGTACTTTTTTTTTTTTTTTGAGACAATCTTGCTCTGCCACCCAGGCTGGAGTGCAGTTGGCATGATCTCATCTCACTGCAACCTCCACATCCCGGGTGCAAGTGATTCTCCTACCTCAGCCTCCCAAGTAGCTGAGATTACAGGTGTGCACCACCATGCCCGGCTGATTTTTGTATTTTTAGTAGAGACAGGGTTTCACCATGTTGGCCTGGCTGGTCTCAAACTCCTGATCTCAGGGGATCCGCCCACCTCAGCCTCCCAAAGTGCTGGCATTACAGGCATGAGCCACCACGCTCAGCCCCATTCATGAGTTTTTTCAAAAAACTCTCAGCAAACTAGGAATAGAGGGAAACTTCCTTAACTTGATAAAGAACATCTACAAAAAGACTACAGCTAACATTATGCTTAAGGGCGGGAAAGTAGAAACTTTCCCACTAGGATCAGTAAAAAGGCAAGGATGTCCCCTTTCACCACTCCTTTTCAATATTATGCTGGAAATCAATATTTTTAATGCAATAAGATAAGGAAAGAAAATAAAAGGTATACATATTGGGAAGGAAGAAATAAAGCTGTCTATCTTCACTGATGATGTGATTGTTTATGTCGAAAATCCAAAAGATTCATTAAACAATCTCCTGGAACTATAAATTGTCAAAACCCTGTGAATTGACGAAACAAAATTCATAGCAACAAGAGGCTGGTGTGACAGTAGTGTTGAGCAGTACTATTATTACTATTATTAAGGCATCAAACATCGTTTTGTCCAAAGCTCCCTGCTGCCATTAAACAGAAGACACTGTTGGAGCACTCTGTCAAAAAGTGCTGCATAACCAGTACTCTTGACAACACCGGGGCAGACATTGTGCGAAAAAATGTAGACATCAATGACTGTGGTTTGAAAAGTGAGTAAGAAGAGTTGGACTCAGGATATGAAGTTATAATTATGACTTAACCAATTTATTTCATACATTTTCTTTACATATGCACAAGACTGATGTGATAAAAATCTGTTTAACTCAAAGTGCTGTTTCAACAAATATAAATAAATATTTTCTGTGATACAAAAAAAAGCAATCTCCTGGAACTAATAAGTGATTACAACAAGATTGCAGGATATAAACTTAATATATAAAATTCAATCATTTTCCTATATACCAACAATGAACAAGTAGAACTGGAAATTTAAAACACAACATCATTTACATTAGTACACAAAAGAATGAAACACAGGTATAAATCTAACAAAATCTGTAAAAGATCTGTATAAGAAAAACTGCAAAACCCATAGCCAGACGTGGTGGGTCATGCCTGTAATTCCAGCATTTTGGGAGGGAGAGGTGGGTGGATCACTTGAGGTCAGGAGTTCAAGACCAGCCTGGCCAACATGGTGAAACCCTGTCTCTACTAAAAATACAAAAATTAGTCAGGCATGGTGACACACACCTGTAGTCCCAGCTACTCGGATCGCTAAGGCACAAGAATACTTGAACCCAGGAGGCAGAGGTTGCAGTGAGCTCGGATCACGCCACTGCACGCCAGCCTAGGTGACAGAGTAAGACCCCATCTCAAAAAGAAAGAAAGAAAGAAAGAAAAAGAAAGAAAGAAAGAAAGAAAGAAAGAAAGAAAGAAAGAAAGAAAGAAAGGAAGGAAGGAAGGAAGGAAGGAAGGAAGGAAGGAAGAAGGAAAGAAAGGAAGGAAGGAAGGAAGGAAGGAAGGAAGGAAGAAGGAAAGAAAGAAAAAGAAAGAAAGAAAGGAGAAAAGGAAAGGAAAGGAAAGGAAAAACGTCTAAACCCTGATGAAAGAAATCAAAGAAAAACTGAATAAATGAAGAGATATTCCATGCTCTTGGGTAGGAAGACTCAATATTGTGAAGATGTCATTTCTTCTCAACTAGTTCCATAGGTACAAGGCAGTCCTAATTAAAATCTCAGCATTTTATTTTATGGTTATTACTAAACTTATTCTAAAAATTATAAGATGAGGTGAAAGACCCAAAATAGCTAGCATAGTATTGAAGGAGAACAAAGTTGGAGTACTGGCGCTACTAGACTTCAAGACTTACTATAAAGCTATAGTAATCAAGACTGTGTGGTAATGATGAAAAAATAGACAAATAGATTAGTGGAATATAATGGAAAGCCCGGAAATAGACCCACATATAGTCAACTGATCTTTGACAATGAAGCAAAGGCAATAGAGTGGAGCAAATAGGGCCTTTTAAACAAGTAGTGCTGGAACAACTGGACACCCATATGCACAAAAAACCCACAAATACAGATGCAAACCTTACATCTTTCACAAAAAAACTCAAAATAAATCATAAACCTAAAAATAAAATGCAAATGCAAAACTATAAAACTCCTAGAAGATAACACAGGAGAAAATCTAGGTGACATTGGGTATGGGGATGACCTTTCAGGTACAAAATCAAAGGTATAATACATAAAAGAAATAACCAATAAGCTTGACTTCATAAAAATTAAAAACTGCTCTGTGGAAGACATTGTCAAGAGAATGAAATGACAAGTCACACACTGGGAGAAAATACTTGTAAAAGAGACTGTTATCCAAAATACGCAAAGAACAGTTAAAGCTCAACTATAAGTAAATGAGTAACCCTACTTTAACAATGGGCAAAATACCTGAATATACATCTCACCAACAAAGATATGGCAAATAAGCATATGCAAAGATGCTCAATATCATAGGTCATTAGGGAATTACAAATTAGAACAACAATGAGATACCATTATACCCCTATTAGAATGACCAAAATCCAAAACACCAACACTATCAAATGCTGGCAAGGATGTGGAACAACAGGAACTCTGATTCACTGCTTGTGGGACTGCAAAATGGTACAGCCACATTGGAAGACAGTTCGGCAGTTTCTTCCAAAATTAAACAAACTTTTACCGTATGATCCAGAAATTGTGCTCCTTGGGTTTACCCAAATGGGTTGAAAATTCATGTCCACACAAAAACCTGCACACAAATATTTATAGCAGCTTTATTTATAATTGTCAGTACTTGGAAGCAATTAAGATGCCCCTCAGTAGATGAAGGGATAAATAAGCTGTGGTAAATCCAGACAATGGAATATTATTTAGCACTAAAAGGAGGTAATCTTTGAAGTCATGAAAAGATATGGAGGAACCTTCAATAGATATTGCTAAGTGAAGGAAACCAATCTGAAAAGACTACCTATTATATGATTGCAACCATATGACATTCTGTAAAAAGCAAAACTATAGGAACTAAAAGATCAGTGGTTGCCAAGAGTCCAGGGGAGCGAGATGAATGGGTGAAGCACAGGGAATTTTTGGAACAGTAAAATTATTCTGTATGATACTTAATGGTGGCTATACGACATTATATGTTTGCTCAAACCCATAAAATGTACAATACAAATAGTGAACTCTAATGTAAACAATGGACTTCAGTTAATTAAAATAAGTACGCTAAAAATTGGAAGCTCATCAAAAACCTCTGCACATGAATTATTTTTGAAAAGAGGTAAAGGAAGCATCAGCAATCTGCCTTTTATCAATGGTTTGTGATGAGGAGTAGTTTAGGAAAAAAGTTTGTATAAACAGAATGGATTCCCTATAAGGGCTTGAAACTAAAATCATTCCACCGATACAAAATGTTCTCTGTCTCCACACATTTAAACTCTTTATTTAATGCTTTTCCAGTACAAGATGTAAAGATGGAATTTAATGGCTTGGAGGTAATAGTAAATGTAATAAGAGGAGAAAAACTTGCATATGCAGGGAGGCGCTATGAAAAAAAAAATCTATAAATTACCTTGGGCAGTATGGCCATTTTCATGATATTGATTCTTCCTACCCATGAGCATGGAATGTTCTTCCATTTGTCTGTGTCCTCTTTTATTTCATTGAGCAGTGGTTTGTAGTTCTCCTTGAAGAGGTCCTTCACTTCCCTTGTAAGTTGGATTCCTAGGTATTTTATTCTCTTTGAAGCAATTGTGACTGGGAGTTCACTCATGATTTGGCTCTCTGTTTGTCTGTTATTGGTGTATAAGAATGCCTGTGATTTTTGTACATTGATTTTGTATCCTGAGACTTTGCTGAAGTTGCCTATCAGCTTAAGGAGATTTTGGGCTGAGACGATGGGGTTTTCTAGATATACAATCATGTAATCTGACAAATGGGATCTAATTAAACTAAAGAGCTTCTGCACAGCAAAAGAAACTACCATCAGAGTGAACAGGTAACCTACAAAATGGGAGAAAATTTTTGCAATCTACTCATCTGACAAAGGGCTAATATCCAGAATCTACAATGAACTCAAACAAATTTACAAGAAAAAAACAAACAACCCCATCAAAAAGTGGGTGAAGGATATGAACAGACACTTCTCAAAAGAAGATATTTATGCAGACAAAAGACACATGAAAAAATGCTTATCATCACTGGCCATCAGAGAAATGCAAATCAAAACCACAATGAGATACCATCTCACACCAGTTAGAATGGCAATCATTAAAAAGTCAGGAAACAACAGGTGCTGGAGAGGATGTGGAGAAATAGGAACACTTTTACACTGTTGGTGGGACTGGAAACTAGTTCAACCATTGTGGAAGTCAGTGTGGTGATTACCTCAACGTTCTAGAACTAGAAATACCATTTGACCCAGCCATCCCATTACTGGGTATATACCCAAAGGATTATAAATCATGCTGCTATAAAGACACATGCACACGTATGTTTATTGTGGCACTATTCACAATAGCAAAGACTTGGAACCAACCCAAATGTCCAACAATGATAGACTGGATTAAGAAAATGTGGCACATATACACCATGGAATACTAGGCAGCCAAAAAAAATGATGAGTTCATGTCATTTGTAGGGACATGGATGAAGCTGGAAACCATCATTCTCAGCAAACTATTGCAAGGACAGAAAACCAAACACAGCATGTTCTCACTCATAGGTGGGAATTGAACAATGAGAACACATGGACGCAGGAAGGGGAACATCACACACCGGGGCCTGTCGTGGGGTGGGAGGAGCGGGGAGGGATAGCATTAGGAGATATACCTAATGTTAAATGACGAGTTAATGGGTGCAGCACACCAACATGGCACATGTATACATATGTAACAAACCTGCACGTTGTGCACATGTACCCTAAAACTTAAAGTATAATAAAAAGAAAGTTGGAGATAAACAGAAAAAAAATCAAACACTGACATTCCCCATATTAACAAACTGAGAAAAATCACATAATCACATGATTATACTAATAAATACTGTAAAACCATTTGATAACATAAAACACTCATTTCTGTTTTTTAAAAACTCACAGAAAAATAAGAATAGAAAGGAATTTTCTCAACCTGATAAAGGACATCTTCAAAAAATCTGCAGCCAATATCAGGACCAATACAGGGATGTTTACTTTCACTACTTCTTTCCAACATCGTACTGAAGGTGGTAGCAAGTGCAATCAGGCAAGAAAAAGAAATAAAAGGCATTCAGATTAAAAAGAAAGAATTTAAAATGTATTTATTAGCAAATGATGCAATCATCTACACAGAAAATTTGATGCACTTTATAAAAGAGCAACTAAAACTAAAACTAAGATGTGAGTTTTGTGAAGCTGCAAAATACCAGGTTAACATTGAAAAAATGTTTTTCAGAGGGGCCAAAATGCCAATTGGAAGCAGCTGCAGTCTGCAGCACTCATGAAGAGGAATAAAAGGAGTGAATGATTCCGTTGAATTTTAAAGTAGATTTTTCTAATTCTGTGAAGAATGTCAATGGTAGTTTGATGGAAATAGCATTGAATATATAAATTACTTTGGGCAGTATGGCCATTTTCATGATATTGATTCTTCCTATCCATGAGAATGGAATGTTGTTCCGTTTGTTTGTGTCCTCTTTTATTTCCTTGAGCAGTGGTTTGTAGTTTTCCTTGAAGAGATCCTTTGTGTCCCTAGTTAGCTGTATTCCTAAGTATTTTATTCTCTTCATAGCAATTGTGAATGGAAGTTCACTCATGATTTGGCTCTCTGCTTGTCTATTATTGGTGTATAGAAATGCTTGTGATTTCTGCACATTGATTTTGTATCCTGAGACTTTGCTGAAGTTGCTTGTCAGTTTAAGGATTTGACTTCCTCTCTTCCTATTTGAATACAATTTATTTATTTCTCTTACCTGATTGCCCTGGCCAGAACTTCCAATACTATGCTGAGTAGGAGTGGTGAGAGAGGGTATCCTTGTCTTGTGCCAGTTTTCAAAGGAAATGCTTCCAGCTATTGATTATTCAGTATTGGCTGTGGGTTTATCACAAATAGCTCTTATTGTTTTGAGATATGTTCCATCAATACTTAGTTTATTGAGAATTTTTAACATGAAGGGATGTTGAATTTTACAAAAGGCCTTTTCTTCATCTATTGAGATAATCGTGTGGTTTATGTCGTTGGTTCTGTTTATGTGGTGAATTATGTTTACTTATTTGCATATGCTGAACCAGCATTGCATCCAAGGATGAAGCTGACTTGATCATGGTGGATAAGCTTTTTGATGTGCTGCTGGATTCAGTTTGCCAGTATTTTATTGAGGATTTTTGCATTGAGGTTAATCAGGGATATTGGCCTGAAGATTTCATTTTTGTTGTGTCTCTGACAGGTTTTTGTGTCAGGATGATACTGGCCTCTTAAAATGAGTTAGGGAGAAGTCCCTCCTTTTCAATTGTTTGGAAAGATTTCAGAAGGAATGGTACCAGCTCCTCCTTGTACCTCTGGTACAATTCAGCTCTGAATCCATCTGGTCCTGGGCTTTTTTTGGTTGGTAGGCTATTTATTACTGCCTCAATTTCAGAACTTGTTATTGGTCTGTTCAGGGATTCGACTTCATGGTTTACTCTTGGGAGGGTGTATGTGTCCAGGAATTTATCCACTTCTTCTAGATTTTCTAGTTTATTTGCATAGAGGTGTTTATAGTATTCTCTGATGGTAGTTTGTATTTCTGTGGGGTCAGTGGTGGTATCCCTTTTATCATTTTTTGTTGCATCTATTTGATTCTTCCCTCTTTTCTCCTTTGTTAGTCTAGCTAGTGGTCTATTTTATCAATTTTTTCAAAAAAACAGCTCCTGGATTCATTGATTTTTTTAAGGGTCTTTCGTGTTCTATCTCCTTCAGTTCCTCTCTGATCTTAGTTACTTCTTGTCTCCTGCTAGCTTTTGGATTTGTTTCCTCTTGCTTCTCTAGTTATTTTAAGTGTGATGCCAGGATATCGATTTCAGGTCTTTCTAGCTTTCCAATGTGGGCATTTGGTGCTATGAATTTCTCTCTTAACACTGCTTTAGCTGCATCCCAGAGATTCTGGTATGTTGTGTCTTTGTTCTCATTGGTTTCAAATAACTTCTTGATTTCTGCCTTAATTTCATTATTTACCCAGGAGTCATTCAGGAACAGGTTGTTCAATTTTCATGTAGTTGTGTGGTTTTGAGTGAGTGTCCTAATCTTGAGTTCTCATTTAATTGCACTGTGGTCTAAGGGATTGTTTGTTATGATCTCCATTCTTTTGCATTTGCTGAGGAGTGTTTTACTTCCAATTATGTGGTCGATTTTAGAGTAAGTGCGATGTGGTGCTGAGAATAATATATATTCTGTTGTTTTGAGGTGGAGAGTTCTGTAGATATCTATTAGGTCCACTCGAGCCAGAGCTGAGTTCAAGTCCTGAATATCCTTGTTAACTTTTCTGTCTCATTGATCTGTCTAATATTGGCAGTGTCGTGTTAAAATCTCCCACTATTATTGTGTGGGAGTCTAGGTCTCTTTGTAGGTCTCTAAGAACTTTATGAATCTGGGTGCTCCTGTATTGGGTGCATAATATTTAGGATAGTTAGCTCTTCTTGTTGCATTGATCCCTTTACCATTATGAAATACCTTTGTCTTTTTTTTTAATCTTTGTTGGTTTAAAGTCTGTTTTGTCAGAGACTAGGATTGCAACCCCTGATTTTTCTGCTTTCCATTTGCTTGGTAAATTTTTCTCCATCCCTTTATCTTGAGCCTATGTGTGTCTTTGCAAGTTAGATGGGTATCTTGAATACAGCCTGTATAGCCAAGACAATCCTAAGCAAAATTAACAAAGCTGGAGGCATCACACTACCTGACTTCAAATTATACTACAAGGCTACAGCAACCAAAACAGCATGGTACTGGTACCAAAACAGACATACAGACCAATGGAACAGAATAGAGACCTCAGAAATAACACCACACATCTATAACAATCTGATCTTCTACAAACCTGACAAAAACAAGCAATGGGGGAAGAATTCCCTATTTAATAAATGGTCCTGGAGTAACTGGCTAGCCATATGCAGAAAACTGAAACTGGACCTCTTCCTTACACCTTATACAAAAATTAACTCAAGATGGATTAAAAGCTTAAATGTAAAACCCAAAACCCTAGAAAACTTAGGCAAAGATTTTATGATGAACCGCCAAGAGCAATTACAACAAAAACTAAGATTTACAAATGGGATCTAATTAAACTAAAGAGCTTCTGCACAGCAAAAGAAACTATCATCAGAGCAAACAGGCAACCTAGGGAATGGAGAAAATTTTTGCAATCTACCCATCTGACAAATGTTTACTATCCGGAATTTACAAGGAACTAAAACAAATGTATAAGAAAAAAACAAACAATCCCATTAAAAAGTGGGCAAAGGACATGAACAGACAATTTTCAAAAGAAGACATACATGCAGGCCAACAAACATGAAAAACAGCTCAATATCACTGATCATTAGAGAAATGCAAATCAAAACCACAATGACATACCATTTCATGCCAGTCAGAATAGAGATTATTAAAAAGTCAAGAAACAACAGATGCTGGCAAGACTGTGGATAAATAGGAATGCTTTTACACTGTTGGTGGGAATGTAAATTAGTTCAACCATTGTGGAAGACAGTGTGGTGATTCCTCAAAGATCTAGAACCAGAAATACCATTTGACCCAGCAATCCCATTACTGGGTATATACCCAAAAGAATATAAATCATTCTATTATAAAGATACATGCACACATATGTTTATTGCAGCACTATTTACAATAGCAAAGACATGGAACCAACCCAAATGCCCATCAATGATAGATAAAGAAAGTGAAGTAGCTCAGGAATGGAAAACCAAATATCGTATGTTCTCACTCATAAGTGGGGGCTAAACTATGAGGATGCAAAGGCATAAGAATGATACAATGGACTTTGGGGACTCAAGGGAAAGGGTGAGAGAGGGATGAGGGATAAAAGACTACAAATTGTGTTCAGTGTATACTGCTTGGTGATGGGTGCACCAAAATCTCACAAATCACCATTAAGTAACTTACTCACATAACCAAATATCACCTGTTCCCCCAAGACCTATGGAAATTTTAAAAAATATATTTTTAAGAGACCCTTAGGAATTTTGTTCCAAGGATGAAGTGTTGAGGATAAGGGGGAAATGAACTGGCCTTTTACAAGGAAACTCTCGAGGAAAAGTGGAAGAAATCGCTGACATTTGTTGATGATATAGGGCCCACAAAGCAAGGAGAACTACATATATTTAAAAAAACTATAGAAAACGGTAAGGGGAAGTGATGAGGATAAACAATAAATGATGTTCCAGCTCTTCTGACCCTTCTTTAAAGAAGCAGCTAGGTTCTTAAACTGTGACTATTTTTGAGTGCTAGAACTCATTATAAACACTATTTTATTGAGAGTAACTCTGTTTTTAAAGTGTGTGTTCTTAATTTTTATCTGCTTGCTAGCAAGTATCTAGATCTTCGAAGTATAAGAGTAAATATAAGAGGTTCTGACATTGAGTTTGTGCCATGTACAAAAGCAATTGAAACTAATTAATTGGGTTAAAAAAATAGTGTTCATAGGCTTCAAAGTATCTACATTAATCCTTTGCTTGGAAAGGCATCTCTTAAGCAAACAATTAATAATATTTAACTGAGAACACAACATTTTCATTCTTTTTTAATTTAACTATTAAGTTCAAGGGTACATGGGCAGGTTTGTTATATAGGTAAACATGTGTCATGGAGGTTTGTTTTACAGATTATTTCATCACCCAGGTATTAAGCCTAGTACCCATTAGCTATTTTTCCTTATCCTTTCCCTCCTTCCATCCTCCCTCCTCCAATAGGCCCCAGTGGGTGTTGTTCCCCATTATGTGTTCATGTGTTCTCATCATTTAGCTCCCATTTATAAGTGAGACCATGTGGTATTTGGTTTTCTGTTCCTGTGTTAGTTTGCTAAGGATAATGGCCTCCAGCTCTATCCATGTTCCCACAAAGGACAAAATCTTGTTCTTTTTTTATGGCTGCATAGTATTCCATGGTGTATATGTACAACATTTTCTTTATCCAGTCTATCATTGATAGCCATTTAGGTTGATTCCATACCCAGCAATGGGACTGCAGGTCGAATGGTATTTCTGTTTTTATATCTTTGAGGAATGGCCACACTGTCTTCCACAATGGTTGAAGACAGTTTATAAGCATTCTTTTTTCTCTGCAACCTCACCAGCACGTTATTTTTTGACTTTTTGATAATAGCCATTCTGACTTGTATGAGACAGTATCTCATTGTGGTTTTGATTTGCATTTCTCTAATGTATCAGTGATGTTAAGCTTTTTTTCATATGATTGTTGGCCACATGCATATCTTCTTTTTAAAAGTGTCTTTTCACGTCCTTTGCCCACTTTTTAATTGGGTTGTTTGAGGTTTTTACCTTGTACATTTGTTTAAGTTCCTTATGGATGCTGAATATTAGACCTTTCTCAGATGCATAGCTTGCAAAATTTTTCTCCCATTCTGTAAGTTATCTGTTCACTATGTTAATAGTTTCTTTTGCTGTGCAGAAGCTCTTTAGTTTAATTAGATCCCATTTGTCCATTTTTGCTTTTGTTGCAATTGCTTTTGGTGTCTTTGTCATGAAATCTTTGCTTGTTCCTATTCCAGAATTGTATTGCCTAGGTTGCCTTCCAGGGTTTTTATAATTTCAGGTTTTACATTTAAGTTTTTAATCTATCTTGAGTTAATTTTTGTATGTGGTATAAGGAAGGGGTCTGGTTTCAGTCTTCTACTTGTGGCTAGCCAGTTATCCCAGCATCATTTATTGAATAGGGAGTCTTTTCCCCATTGCTTGTTTTTGTCAGCTTTGTCAAAGATCCAATAGTTGTAGGTGTGTGGTCTTATTTCTGGGTTCTTTATTCTGTTTCATTTGACTTTGTGCCTGTTTATGTACTAGTACCATGCTGTTTTGGTTACCATAGCTCTGTAATATAGTCTAAAGTCAGATAGTGTGATGCCTCCAGCTTTGTTCTTTTGCTTAGGATTGCTTTGCTTATTCGGGCTCCTTTTTGGTTCCTCATGAATTTTAAAATACCTTCTTCTGTTTCTGGAATGAATGTCATTGGTAGTTTAATAGAAATAGTGTTGAATCTATAAATTGCTTTGGGCAGTATGGCCATTGTAATGATATTGATTCTTCCTATCCATAACTATGGAATGTTTTTCCATTTGTTTGTATCATCTCTGATTTCTTTGAGCAGTGTTTTGTAGTTCTGCTTGTAGAGATCTTTCACCTCCTTGATTATCTGTATTCATAGGTATTTTACTTTGTGTGTGTGGTAATTGTGAATGGGACTGCGTTCCTGATTTGGCTTTCAGCTTGAATGTTGTTGTATAGGAGTGCTAGTGATTTTTGCATATTGATTTTGTATACCGATAATTTGCTGAAGTTGTTTATCAGCTTAAGGATCCTTTGGGCTGAGACTATGGGGTTTTCTAGATATAGAATCATATCATCTACAAACAGGGGTAGTTTGACTTCCTCTCTTCCTATTTGGATGCCCTTTATTTATTTCTCATTCCTAATATTATTTCAGAAACTGTTTTTTGAAACTTCTTTTTGAAATATATGTGCTTAACCTAGAAGGGTTCTATGCATGGAAAGTTACAAAGTTATAAGCACTACCAGTTCTGCTATGATCCATAAATATCTAAGTTATTGAAGTTGAATAATCATGTGACAATTAAACTAAAGTGTTACCAGAAATAAGGTTGTGAAATTTTGTATTTTAGTATACTTTTTTTTTTTCAGAGAAAGATTTGGCCATACTGGGATGGGAGCTAGTAGTGTGTCAATAAGTTGTGTAATTTTCATATTTGGGGCACTGATTTTTCTTTTAAAGAAATATGACCTTGCTGGACTGAAACTCATAATACTTCAATAGCAGATAAAAGAGAAAGATCCATAAGTGATAACATGCTCAGAGATGGGGCTTTTAACAGTTCTTTTCCAAGTCTAGGGTTCCGAGTTTTTTCCTCTCATCTGAGCCCATTTTAAATCTTCACTAGAAGTCACTGCTTCTGCGCTGAGAATAGGGCTACACAGTTCCCATATCTTTGGTAAATATCCTATATTAAATGATTCTTAAAGATTTACATTTATACATAGACAACTGGAAATTTTCGTACTAAAAACCTTTTCTTTAGACAAAACTAATAAAGTATGAAAAAAAACCTTGTTAGGTGCATAAATCTTTTGGGGTTGGCTTTAATTCTTCAAAAGTAACTATAGGTTTTATACCTATGGTAAACAAATAATAATTTCTATATCTATCCCCAATGCAAAGTTGGGGATACAGTTCTAGAATATTTAGCAAAAATATGGATATTTGCACCAAACCTGGAATTGCTGAGGTTCTCTACAACTGTAATTTTATCAATTTTCCATTTGCTTTCATGTGGAAAAAAATGCCAGCCTCAGTATATGCCAAATATGACTGAAGCTTATTTGAAATGGTGTCAAGAGTTACCTGGGCATATTAAGAATGTAAAATTGTAACTATAATGTGGATAATTCAATTGTGCTTTTGTCTTTTTTGAATTGGTCTTCATGAAGCACACCCAGTGTTGTGAAAATTATAGGACCTTATTGAAATTGAGCCACATGAGGTTAGTAAGTAGATTTTAAAATTATTATTTGGCACATTTTCATCACAATTTTGTAATTGTACATCACTCCTTTATTATACTGATCTGGAAAAAAATATTTAGTATATTTATGCCCAAAATGAGTACTGGGCCCATGTGGCAGGGCCAAGCAACTAGAACATGATTCAGAAATCAGGCAATGAAAAGGCATAAGAATGACATAATGGACTTTGGGGACTCAGAGGGGAAGACTACATATAGGGTACAGTGTACACTGCTCGGGTAGCAGGTGTACTAAAGTCTCAGAAATCACCACTAAAGAACTTATCCATGTAACCGAAAAACACCTGTATCCCAAAAACAATTGAAATAAAAAAGAAAGAAAGAAAAGAAATCAGGCCATGAAAAACACACTGAAACATGATCAAGAGGCATTTCACTGCCTCAAAACAAGGTGGTGGGGGGTGTATTAATCTGTTCTCAAATTTCTATAAAGAACTACCTGAGACTGGGTAATTTATAAAGAAAAGAGGTTTAATTGACTCATGGTTCTGCAGGCTGTACAGGAAGCATGGCTGGGAAGGCCTCTGGAAACTTACAATCATGGCAGAAGGTGAAGGTGGAAGTAGGCACATCTTACATGGCTGGAGAAGGAGGAAGAGGGAAAAGGGGAAGGTGCCATACACTTTCAAACAACCAGGTCTTGTGAGAACTCACTCACTATCATGAGAACAGCAAGGGGGAAATATGCCCCCATGATTTAATTACCTCCCACCAGGCCCCTTCTACAACATTGGGATTTACAATTCCACATGAGATTTGGGCAGTAACACAAATTCAAACCATATCGGGAGGAATTCCAAAATACACAGCAGGATGTATTCCTATCCCTTACAAGTCAAGGAGATTATCTGATATTGGTGTGAGGAAGGGCTTATTTTCTGATAACCACATGTGGGACTATTTCAACCACCACTAGAAACCCCAGGAGGGTTTTTGTTTCATATTATTTCTATACTTTTTTTGTAAAAGTAAATGCAACAAAAATTTAATTCAGGATTGATCTCAATCTTCAAGTGGAGCCAGCTCCTCTGGGGTCAGGAAGGAAACAGGGTTTTTTTGTTTGGTTTGGGGATTTTTTTATTTTACATCACCATGCAGGTTACGTTCATCTTCCACTGGAATGACTAGAGTACCCCAGTAAGTGGCCTGACTACAGAAGAACACAAGATTGCCTCCTAAGGGCAAACAGGCTCTCTTGCTTCTCCTCATCGGCCATGCCTTAGCATGTTTTCTTCCTATCCCTTACTAAAGCAGGTCCTTTGCACACAAAACCCTGGTAAAAACCTGAGTCACTACCTCTCAGCCCTCTTGGATAAGTGGAGATTTCCCTGGGCTTGGACTGAGCCCCTTGCCCCAGAGGTGCTATCCTGTCTGGATTGTTTGAAGAGAGTGGGTGCAGGAGACAAATGGCTGAAATGAAAATGGGAGCCATCAGTCCCCATCTGCATCTACAACTTCAGATGCCTACAGATGTGGTCAATGTGACGTACAGGAAGTAGGGGCAGAAGAAGGGATGGGCAGGGAGGGTGCTTCTGAGGACACTAGTCTGCCTGATGGTCTTCACTTCTTGGCCTTGCCCTGGGCAGCCACAGCTTCCATGGCTTTACACATAGCCTCTTCATCCCCTAAGAACTGCATGGACTTGATGGGGTTCAAGTTCTCGGCCAATTCATAGGCAATGGGAATACCAGTAAGCAGGTTCAGTTCCATGATAGCCACTTCAGAGAGACCCTCCAGATGCTTGATAATGCCTGTAAGGCTGTTGTCATGGGCTTCAATCAATATCCAATTCCTCTTCTTTATCTGGGGAACTATATCTTCATTCCAAAAGGCCAGAGCTCTTGCAATAGTATCCTTCAGACTCTCACAAGAGGGTAGTTGATCTTCAGTGAGGTCTGTATACCTGCAATCCTTACTAATGCTGCTATAGAAGGGGTGGTAGGGCTCCATCAGAGGTGGTGAGACATCATAAGAGCACATCTACATCTTTACCTAGGCCTCACCATTCTTGGCAGCAGTTTCTGCTTTATGGAGTCTGGTCAGACCCCCATAGTGCCATTCACTGAGGCGCCAAGTCCTCACTACAGGCCACTACATTGGGTCAATAGCATGCACAGTGTCCAGAGAGTCCAGATTGCTCTCTTCTGCGCTGATGGGAAGCCAGCATCTGGCAGCACCTGCCCACCCTGATTCACCTCCTCATGGTCTGCTGGGTGCTCTTGCTGTGGAACCTGGAGTGGCCGTGGCCGTGGGCTCACAATTCTTGATAATGTATTTTCTGGGATTTTTTTTTTTTTTTTTACTGTCTTAGATGGCTTTAAACTAGGACAACCTTGAAGTCATTCAAGTCAACAAAGAAGTCAAGGTCCTATGAAAAATTGAAGTTCAGTGCTCAGACTGCCTATAACAAATAAATGAGCAGCAGCATCAGTGAAGAAAAATATGAAAAAAAAAAAAAAAAACAAGTTGAAGTAGTGAGGCTCAAAGGAAAAAAGCCAAGACTGTTTTGGCACGTGGGAAAGAAAAGCTGGAGGAAGGTTTTAGTTAAAAACCTCACAAGCCAGTGTTTGCTTAGCTGTCCTTCCCATTAACTTCCATTAAGTGCATGGGGACTCTATTTTGATGCTGGGTGCCCTATGCCCTCAGAATTCCCTGAGACTCCATGGGCAGGAGGTTAAAATTTCTTTCCACGGCCAGTTCTGTGTTTGGATGGTGTGGTCATAAAGGATTATCTAAACTCGTATGCTTTGAAACCTATCTTGTCAGGGAGCAGAAAAGAAATAGGTATTTCTCAAGCCCAGAACAGTATTATAATTTAAATACATGGTTTGTTATGACAATATGCAACATAATATATTTGAGTTAGTAGAAGAAGATAAATAAAAGAGCATTAAAGATGGTAGCACAAATGAAAAGAAAAAGAATAAATTATTTAAATTTCTCATAACAGCAGTAAGCAAGAAAGGACTTGAAGTTAAACTGGAAACATCAACATGAACTCGCACCCTTAAAAACTTTCACTTTGTTACTTAAATCATTCAGATTGCCTCTCCCTACCAACAGTAGTCATGTAGAAAAATCTAAAACCCCCCCTAATCCCCCAGATCTTTTTTTTTCTGCCAAACGGAATCAGGGTTCCTTGAGCAGTAGACGAAAGAAAGCAAAATGTTCCTACAAACATCTTATTGTCATAAAGCAAGGATGCTTTCACAAATATCTCTGGGACATTTCAAAAAGACAAAGACAAATTTTAAAGCTATATATTGGTCAGGCATGGTGGCTCACGCCTGTAATCCCAGCGCTTTGGGAGGCCAAGGTGGGTGGATCACTTGAGGTCAGGAATTCAAGACCTGCCTGGCCAACATAGTGAAACCCCGTGTCTACTACAAATCCAAAAATTAGCTGGACATGGTTGCGGGTGCCTGTAATCCCAGCTACTCGGGAGGCTGAGGCAGGAAAATCGCTTGAACCCGGGAGAGGCAGAGGTTGCAGTGAGCCGAGATCACACCACTGCACTCCAGCCTGGGTGACAGAGCAAGACTCTGTCTAAAAAAAACAAAAAAAAGAAAAGAAAAGAAAAGCTACATATTCTTTGAACCAACAACTGTACTTATAGGAATTTATATCACAAATACACTCAAACATGTACAAAAGGTGAAGAAATTCACTGCAGCAATATTTGTAGCAGAAAAGGTTGGAAACAACCTAAATGTCCATCAATAAGAAACTGGTTAAATAAATTGCAGTGTATTAATACAACAGAATACTGTAAAACCACCAGAAGAAAAAAGGTAAGATCCTATGTCCATTGAAATGGAATATCGCCAAGATATATTGTTAAATGAAAAAAGCAAGATACATGTCAGTACACATAGAATACTGCCATTTCAGTGACAGTGAAAGGTATATATGCTTGAATATACCTATAATATATCGGAAAGAATGCAAGAAACTAGAAACAGTAATTGCCTCTAAGGAAAGGAAGTGGGTAGCTGGGGGACTGGAGAGTAAAGGAGACTTATTTTTCAGTGAATACTCTTTTGTGCTATTTGACATTTTTGTTACTATGTGCATGTATTACTTTTTAAAAATAAGATTTAAAGATTTCTTTTCATTATGTCAATGATTTTAGTCTAGAGATACCTTCCAATAATCAAGTAGTAAACAACTTTAACATTAAAATGAATGATTATAGTCAACAGAAACAGAACTCTGCAAAAACAGCCTTGAGTCCATCACATGAGCTAAGACAACTAAATTCCTTTGAAAATGATTATGCACTGATGTGACCACAATCCAGATAGGCGCCAGAGCATAGTTTGTGCCAGTCACAATTTCATAGTTACATTACATTTATGTGTTTTTAATATGGCTAAATATCAATCCACAGGCAACTTTAACACAATCCCAAACTCTACTAAATGATAGTAAAAGAAAAAGAACCATAAAAGCCCATGGGGGTAAAGGGAGTGGGAAATAAAACAATAATAGATGAGATTTCAGCAAGTTCTGGAGAGACAAAAAGCAGATTGATAAGCAATAATTAACTTAGCAGAGGAAAGGAAGGAAAAATTTGAATGCCACCAAGGAACAAGTCATTTCGCCCCCATAGAACTGAGGAAGAATTGTAGCCTTGTGGTATAGTTTGAAGTCAGGTAGCATGATGCCTCCAGCTTTGTTCTTTTGGCTTAGGGTTGACTTGGCGATGCGGGCTCTTTTTTGGTTCCATATGAACTTTAAAGTTTTTTCCAATTCTGTGAAGAAAGTCATTGGTAGCTTGATGGGAATGGCATTGAATCTATAAATTACCTTGGGCAGTATGGCCATTTTCACAATATTGATTCTTCCTATCCATGAGGATGGAATGTTCTTCCATTTGTTTGTATCCTCTTTTATTTCATTGAGCAGTGGTTTGCAGTTCTCCTTGAAGAGGTCCTTCACATCCCTTGTAAGTTGGATTCCTAGGTATTTTATTCTCTTTGAAGCAATTGTGACTGGGAGTTCACTCATGATTTGGCTCTCTGTTTGTCTGTTATTGGTGTATAAGAATGCTTGTGATTTTTGCACATTGATTTTGTATCCTGAGACTTTGCTGAAGTTGCTTTATCAGCTTAAGGAGATTTTGGGCTGAGACATGGGATTTTCTAGATGTATAATCATGTCATCTGCAAACAGGGACAATTTGACTTCCTCTTTTCCTAATTGAATACCCTTTATTTCCTTCTCCTGCCTGATTGCCCTGGCCAGAACTTCCAACACTATGTTGAATAGGAGTGGTGAGAGAGGGCATCCCTGTCTTGTGCCCGTTTTCAAAGGGAATGCTTCCAGTTTTTGCCCATTCAGTATGATATTGGCTGTGGGTTTGTCATAAATAGCCCTTATTATTTTGAGTTATGTCCCATCAATACCTAATTTATTGAGAGATTTTAGCATGAAGGGTTGTTGAGTTTTGTCAAAGGCCTTTTCTGCATCTATTGAGACAATCATGTGGTTTTTGTCTTTGGTTCTGTTTATATGCTGGATTACATTTATTGATTTGCATATATTGAACCAGCCTTGCATCCCAGGGATGAAGCCCACTTGATCATGGTGGATAAGCTTTTTGATGTGCTGCTGGATTCGGTTTGCCAGTATTTTATTGAGGATTTTTGCATCGATGTTCATCAAGGATATTGGTCTAAAATTCTCTTTTTTGGTTGTGTCTCTGCCCGGCTTTGGTATCAGAATGATGCTGGCCTCATGAAATGAGTTAGGGAGGATTCCCTCTTTTTCTATTGATTGGAATAGTTTCAGAAGGAATGGTACCAGCTCCTCCTTGTACCTCTGGTAGAATTCAGCTGTGAATCCATCTGGTCCTGGACTCTTTTTGGTTGGTAAGCTATTGATTATTGCCACAATTCAGAGCCTGTTATTGGTCTATTCAGAGAGTCAACTTCTTCCTGGTTTAGTCTTGGGAGGGTGTATGTGTCAAGGAATTTATCCATTTCTTCTAGACTTTCTAGTTTATTTGTGTAGAGCTGTTTGTAGTATTCTCTGATGGTAGTTTGTATTTCTGCGGGATCGGTCGTGATATCCCCTTTATCATTTTTATTGTGTCTATTTGATTCTTCTCTCTTTTCTTCTTTATTAGTCTTGCTAGCGGTCTATCCATTTTGTTGATCCTTTCAAAAACCCAGCTCCTGGATTCATTAATTTTTTGAAGGGCTTTTTGTGTCTCTATTTCCTTCAGTTCTGCTCCGATTTTAGTTATTTCTTGCCTTCTGCTAGCTTTTGAATATGTTTGCTCTTGCTTTTCTAGTTCTTTTAATTGTGATGATAAGGTGTCAATTTTGGATCTTTCCTGCTTTCTCTTGTGGGCATTTAGTGCTATAAATTTCCCTCTACACACTGCTTTGAATGTGTCCCAGAGATTCTGGTATGTTGTGTCTTTGTTCTCACTGGTTTCAAAGAACATCTTTATTTCTGCCTTCATTCAAAAAGAAAGAAGAATCAAATAGACGCAATAAAAAAATGATAAAGGGGATATCACCACCGATCCCACAGAAATACAAACTACCATCAGAGAATGCTATAAACACCTCTATGCAAATAAACTAGAAAATCTAGAAGAAATGGATAAATTCCTGGACGGATACACCCTCCCAAGACTAAACCAGGAAGAAGTTGAATCTCTGAATAGACCAATAACAGGCTCTGAAATTGAGGCAATAATTAATAGCCTACCAACCAAAAAAAGTCCAGGACCAGTCGGATTCACAGCCAAATTCTACCAGAGGTACAAGGAGGAGCTGGTACCATTCCTTCTGAAACTATTACAATCAATAGAAAAAGAGGGAATCCTCCCTAACTCATTTTATGAGACCAGCATCATCCTGATACCAAAGCCTGGCAGAGACACAACAAAAAAAGAGAATTTTAGACCAATATCCCTGATGAACATCGATGCAAAAATCCTCAATAAAATACTGGCAAACCGAATCCAGCAGCACATCAAAAAGCTTATCCACCATGATCAAGTGGGCTTCATCCCTGGGATGCAAGGCTGGTTTAACATACGCAAATCAATAAACGTAATACAGCATATAAACAGAAACAACGACAAAAACACATGATTATCTCAATAGATGCAGAAAAGGCCTTTGACAAAATTCAACAGCCTTCATGCTAAAAACTCTCAATAAATTAGGTATTGGTGGGACGTATCTCAAAATAATAAGGGCTATTTATGACAAACCCACAGCCAATATCATACTGAATGGGCAAAAACTGGAAGCATTCCCTTTGAAAACTGGCACAAGACAGGGATGCCCTCTCTCACCACTCCTATTCAACATAGTGTTGGAAGTTCTGGCCAGGGCAATCAGGCAAGAGAAAGAAATAAAGGGTATTCGATTAGGAAAAGAGGAAGTCAAATTGTCCCTGTTTGCAGATGACATGATTGTATATTTAGAAAACCCCATCGTCTCAGCCAAAAATCTTCTTAAGCTGATAAAGCAACTTCAGCAAAGTCTCAGGATACAAAATCAATGTGCAAAAATCACAAGCTTTCCTATACACCAATAACAGACAAACAGAGAGCCAAATCATGAGTGAACTCCCAGTCACAATTGCTTCAAAGAGAATAAAATACCCAGGAAACCAACTTACAATGGATGTGAAGGACTTCTTCAAGAACTACAAACCACTGCTCAATGAAACAAAAGAAGACACAAACAAATGGAAGAACATTCCATGCTCATGGATAGGAACAATCAATATGGTGAAAATGGTCATACTGCCCAAGGTAATTTATAGATTCAATGCCATCCCCATCAAGCTACCAATGACTTTCTTCACAGAATTGGAAAAAACTTTAAAGCTCATATGGAACCAAAAAAGAGCCCACATTACCAAGTCAATCCGAAGCCAAAAGAACAAAGCTGGAGGCATCATGCTACCTGACTTCAAACTATACTACAAGGCTACAGTAACCAAAACAGCATGGTACTGGTACCAAAATGGAGATACAGACCAATGGAATAGAATAGAGCCCTCAGAAATAATACCACACATCTACAACTACCTGATCTTTGACAAACCTGACAAAAACAAGAAATGAGGAAAGGATTCCCTATTTAATAAATGGTGCTGGGAAAACTGACTAGCCATATGTAGAAAGCTGAAACTGGATCCCTTCCTTACACCATATACAAAAATTAATTCAAGATGGATTAAACACTTAAATGTTAGATCTAAAACCATAAAAACACTAGAAGAAAACCTAGGCAATATGATTCAGGACATAGGCATGGGCAAGGACTTCATGTCTAAAACACCAAAAGCAATGGCAACAAAAGCCAAAATTGACAAATGGGATCTAATTAAACTAAAGAGCTTCTGCACAGCAAAAGAAACTACCATCAGAGTGAACAGGCAACCTACAAAATGGGAGAAAATTTTTGCAATCTATTCATCTGACAAAGGGCTAATATCCAGAACCTACAAAGAACTCAAACAAATTTACAAGAAAAAAACAAACAACGCCATCAACAAGTGGGCGAAGGATATGAACAGACACTTCTCAAAAGCAGACATTTATGCAGCCAACAGACAGATGAAAAAATGTTCATCATCACTGGCCATCAGAGAAATGCAAATCAAAATGACAATGAGATACCATCTCACACCAGTTAGAATGGCAATCATTAAAAAGTCAGGAAACAACAGGTGCTGGAGAGGATGTGGAGAAATAGGAACACTTTTACACCGTTGGTGGGACTGGAAACTAGTTCAACCATTGTGGAAGACAGTGTGGAGATTCCTCAGGGATCTAGAACTAGAAATACCATTTGACCCAGCCATCCCATTACTGGATATATACTCAAAGGATTATAAATCATGCTGCTATAAAAACACATGCACATGTATGTTTATTGCGGCACTATTCACAATAGCAAAGACTTGGAACCAACCCAAATGTCCAACAATGATAGACTGGATTAAGAAAATGTGGCACATATACACCATGGAATACTATGCAGCCATAAAAATTGATGAGTTCATGTCCTTTGTAGGGACATGGATGAAGCTGGAAACCATCATTCTCAGCAAACTATCAGAAGGACAGAAAACCAAACACCGCATGTTCTCACTCATAGGTGGGAATTGAACAATGAGAACACTTGGACACAGGAAGGGGAACATCACAAACCGGGGCCTGTCGTGGGGTCGGGGGAGTGGGGAGGGATAGCATTAGGAGATATACCTAATGTAAATGATGAGTTAATGGGTACAGCACACCAACATGGCACATGTATACATATGTAACTAACCTGCACGGTGTGCACATGTACCCTAGAACTTAAAGTATAATAAAAAAAGAAAAAAGAAAGGAGAATTAGTCACAGAGCACTACATAACTCAACAGTAAACAGTATTTACATATTTATAATAATGTAAATACAAGTTATTGACGGTGAAAAATTAAGATACAACATTTTTGGAGGGATGGGAGGACAGGAAATAATGGGAAGGGTGGGATATACAAGCTCTTACTTATTATGGATAAAGTCTAAAATTGATAAATCAAGAAATAGAAATATACTCCCCAAACTAATACAGATTCATTGAAATACATATCCAAAACCCCAGCTGTAATTGCCAAAGCTGATTCTAAAATTCATGTGAAAATACAAGGAACATAGAATAACCAAGACAACCTTGAAAAAGAAGACCAAAGTTGGAAGACTCACACTTCTCAATTTTAAAACTTACTAAACAGCTACTGTAATCAAGACAATGTGGTACAGGCATAATAATAGGCATATAGATCAATGGAATAAAAGTTGAGGTCCAGGAATTAACTTACATATCTGTGATCAATTGGTTTTCAACAAGGATGCCAATACAACTCAATAGGAAATAATAGTATTTCCAACAAATGATGCTGGAGGAATTGGAGATCCGCATTTAAAAATGAAGATGTATCTCTACCTCACCGCCTTTAAAACTTAATTCAAAGTGGATCAAAGACCTAAATGCAAGAGCCAAAACTCCCAGAAGAAAACCTGTGCAAGAATCTTCATGACTTTGAACTAGGAAATGTTTTCTTAGATATGACACCAAAGGCAAAAATGACAAAAGTGAGATAAATTGCTTGGACTTCATAAAAACTTAAAATGTTTGTGATTCAAAGGATACCATCAAGAAAGTGAAAAGATAATACACAGAATGGGAGAAAATATTTGCAAATTATATATATAATAAGGAATTTGTACACAGAATATATAAAGCACATACCTTAACAATGAAAACATATCACCCAATTTAAAAATGGGCAAAGAATTTGAATAGACATTTCATCAAAAAAGATACAAAAAGATATCCAAATGGCTACAGCCATATAAAAAGACACTCAATATCATTAAGACATCTGGGAAATACAAATAAAAACCATAAAGAGATATCACTTTACATTACTAGGATGGCTATAATAAAAAGGAGGAATATTAACTAGTATTGGTGAGGATAAGGAGAAATCGCAACCCTCATACATGGCTGGTGGAAATGTAAAATGGTGCAACCACTTTGAAAAAGTTTGGCAGTTGCACAAAAAAGTTAAACATGTTATCACATGACCAAGCAATTCCATTCCTAGGTATATAACAAAAAGAATTGAAAACAAGTATTAAAACAAATACTTATACATAAACATCAAAGGCATAATACAGGAAAAACATAATTGATAAGCTGGTATTTATTAAAATTTAAAAGTTCTGCTCAGTGAAAGAAACTGTCAAGAGAATGAAAAAACAAGCCACAGACTGGAAGAAAATACTTGCAAAAGACACATCTGATAAAGGACTGTTATCCTAAATATACAATGAACTCTTTAAAATTCAACTATAAGAAAATAAACAACTTGATTAAAAATTAGATAAAAGAGGCCAGGCGCAGTGGCTCACGCCTGTAATCCCAGCACTTTGGGAGGCCGAGGTGGGCGGATCACCTGAGGTCAGGAGTTCAAGACCAGCCTCAACATGGAGAAACCCCATCTCTACTAAAAATACAAAATTAGCCAGGCGCAGTGGTGCGTGCCTGTAATCCCAGCTACTTGGGAGGCTCAGGCAGGAGAACTGCTTGAACCTGGGAGGCAGAGGTTGCGGTGAGCCAAGCTCGTGCCATTGCACTCCAGCCTGGGCAACAAGAGCGAAACTCCGTCTCAAAAAAAAAAAAAAAAAAAAACTCACCAGAAAAGATACACAGATGGTAAATAAGCATATGCAAAGAAGCTCAACATCATATGTCATTAGGGAACTATAAACTAAAACAACAATGAGATACCACTATACACCTATTAGAGTGACCAAAATCCAGAACGCTGACAACATGCTGGTGAGAATGTGGAGCAACAAAATTCTCATTTATTGGTGGTGGAAATGCAAAATGGTACAGTCACTATAGAAGACAGTTTGGCAGTTTCTTCCAAAACTAAATATACCATATGATCCAGCAGTTTTGCTCCTTGGTATTTACACAAATGAGTTAAAATCTTATGTCTACATACACACACAAGAAAAAAAACAGCTTTAAGGCCAGGTGCAGTGGCTCATGCCTGTAATCCTAGCACTTTGGGAGGCCAAGGCAGGTGGATCACTTGAGCCCAGGAGTTCAAGACCAGCCTGGGCAATATGGCAAAATCTCGTCTCTACAAAAAATACAAAAATTAGTCAGGCATGGTGGTACGTGCCTGTGGTCCCAGCTACTCGGAAGCTGGGGCAGGAGGATCGCTTGAGCCCAGGAGGCAGAGGTTGCTGTGAGCCAAGATAGTGCCACTGCACTCCAGCCTACTGGGTGACAGAGTGAGACCTTGCCTTAAAAAACAAAAAAAAAAGCAAAAACAGCTTTATTCATAATTGCCAAATCTTGGAAACAACCAAGATGTCCTTCAGTAAGTGAATGGATAATTAAACTACAGTAAATCCAGACATTGGAATGTTATTAAGCACTAAAAGGAAATAAGTTTTCAAGCCATAAAAAGATATAGAAACTTAAAAGAAGACAATCTGAAAAGGCTATATACGATTCCAACTATATGACGTTCTGAAAAAGGCAAAGCTATGAATACAGTAAAAAGATAAGTAGTTACCATGATTTGGGGGAAAGGGAAGGATAAATATACAGGACACAGAGAATTTTTAGGGCAGTGAAACTATTTTGTATGACACTATAGTGCTGGATATGTGTCATTATATGTGTGTGTCAAAACCCATAGAATGTACAATGCCAAGAGTGAATCTTAATATAAGCTATGGACTTTGGATGATAACAATGTACCAATGTAGGTTCATCAGTTATAAAAAATGTACCACTCTGGAAGAGGATATTGATAATGGGAGAGGATAGGCAAGCGTGGGGACAGAGAGTAGGTGGGAAATCTCTTCCACTTAGTTTTACTGTGAACCTAAAACTCCTCTAACAAATAAAGTCTATTAAAAATAAAAATAAAGTATATTAAAAACAAAAGAAAAATGGTCTAAATACACAAATTAGATGGCAGACATTGAAAAAATGGAGCAAAATAATACAAATATCTGCTGGTTACAAGAAACTGACTTGAAACATAACATTAGAGGCAAGTTAAAAGTTAAAATAGGGAAAATATAAAAATACAAATATAATGAAAGAAAGCAGTAGGATGAAATAAACAACAGAATGACAGAATAAGGAGTTCCAAAAATCTGCTCACCATAAAAGCAACAAAAACACTTCCAAAAATTATCAAAAACAACTTTTTCTTAACTCGGGAAATTTTCTTTTTTTAAAAAGGCATGCCAACAATTCGAGGAGCATTTATTCAATAAAATAACAGAATCTTGGTAAGAATATTGAGCTGTGTGACTTTCTAACTTGCCCTATTCTCATCACCTTTCTCCAGCTCCATGGTAGCCTTGAAAACCAACAGCCTCACAATCATTGTAGCCATGAAATCCAGCAGCTTAGTAGCCATCTGATGAGAAATACAGGTTTTGCTGCTCCCCAAAGCCCCATCTCAAGTGTATTGTCACTATTCGACCTGTCAGGACATTATCTGGAAACCCCAATTACAGGACTCTGTCTTATTTGACCTGACTCTGACCTTTCTTCATGTGTACAGCCTTTTCCTCAGGGAGTTTGTAGAAAACAATCAGCTGCAATTATTAAACATCACAGTTGTCTGAGGTGGAGAATCACAGTTGGGACAAACAAGCTTACTGAAAAACTTAAAAGGAAAACTTGGGAAACAAGATGTCCATGGAAGGCTTTGAAAAGCTCCAACATATTCCTGGGAATCTAAAAGGCTATGTGCATGTGCAGGGCTGCAAAAATGTCCAGGAAAGACCTGAGAAATCTAATCTTTCACATCTGCTGTAAGTGGAGATTCTGTGCAATCAAAAAGTGAAGGCTAATGCAGTGTTGTAAAGTGCCTGTTGCAGTGTTAAAGATATTCCCAACACTCAAACAGAGCCCCTTGGCAAAGTCTAGGAGACTTAGTGGTGCAATGAATTTAAGAAAATCTCTGGCCAGTCATTACCTGACCATTAAGCTATCTGAACAGAGATTTCAGTGGCCACACATGACAAAGAACACAAACTTTACAGAATTAGTTCAGGAAAGTCATTAAACAGACAAACAGCAACATAACCATCAACAACAACAAATAACAACAAAAGACCCTGGGAATAGGAGGGAGGAAAATCTGATTTACAGAATTGTCACTTTATTATTTGAAATGTCCAAGTTTGTTCAAACAACTATAAGACATGCAAAGAAACAAAAAAGTATGGCTCACACATAGGAAAAGGTAAAGTCAAAAGAAGTTGACTTTGAGGATACTTGCACTTAAAATTACTAAAGATTTTTAAACGGCTTTTATAAATATGTTCAAAGAACTAAAGAAAATTATATCTAAAGAACAAAAGGAAAGAGAACAAGTAGAAAGTAGAATATATCAATAAAGAGAATTTTTAAAAGACCAAATAGAAATTCTAGAGTTGAAAAATATAATAACCAAATTTTAAAATTCACTAGACAAGCTCAACAGCATATTTCAACTGGAAAAAAAGTAAAAAAAAAAAAAAAAAAAAAAAAAAACAGCAAAAAAAAAAACTAAACTTGAAGATGGGTCAACTGAAATGAACAGGAAAAAAAAGAATGAATGAAAACAAACAGAGCTTCAGAGAAATGTGGGACACCATCAAGATACAAACATTTTCATTCTTACCAGCAATATATGAGATTTCCAGAAAGAGAAAGGGGTAGAAGGAGTATTTGAAGAAATCATAGCTGAAAATTTCCCAAATTTGATGAAAAACATCAATAACGCATTCAAGAAGCTTGACAAAATTCACAAAATAGTCAAACTTTACAAAGCCAAAGAGAAAGAGAGAATCTTAAAAGTAGCAAGAGAGAAGCAACTCGTCATGAACAAGGGATCCCAAATAAGATTAACAGCTGATTTCTTATCAGAAACTATGGAAGCTTGAGGAACTGAAATGACATATTCAAACAGCTGAAAGCAAAAGACTGTCCAACAAGATTTCCATATCCACCCAAACTATCTTTCAAAACTGAAGGAGACCAACAAACTAGGCATTGAAGGAACATACCTTAAAATAACAAGAACCATCTATGACAAACTCACAGCCAACATCATGCTGAATGGACAAAGGCTGGAAGCATTCCTGTTGAGAACTGAAACAAGACAAAGATGTCCACTCTCACTGCTTCTATTCCGTATAGTACTGGAAGTCCTTGCCAGAGCAATCAGGCAAGAGAAAGAAATAAAAGGCATCCAAATAAGGAAAAAAGAAGTCAAATTATCTCTCTTCGTTGATGATATGATTATATAGCTAGAAAACCCTAAAGACTCCACCAAAAGGCTTCTAGAACTAATAAATAACTTGAGTAAAGTTTCAGGATACAAAATCAATGTACAAAAATCAGTAGCATTTTTACACACCAATAACATTCAAGCTGAGAGCCAAATCAGGAACACAATCCCATTTACAATAGTCACAAAAAAGTAAAATACCAGGAATATATGTAACCAGGACAAAAAAGACCTCTACAAGGGCTACAAAACACAGCTAAAAGAAATCATAGATGACACAAACAAATGGAGAACAATTCCATGCTCATTGATTGGGAGAATCGATATCATTAAAATGGCCATACTGCCCAAAGCAATCTACAGATTCAATGCTATTCCTATCAAATTACCAACATCATTTTTCACAGAATTAGAAAAAAACTATTCTAAAATTCATATCCAACCCAAAAAAGGGCCCAAATAGACAAAGCCATCCTAAGCAAAAAGAACAAAGCCAGAGGCATCACATTACCCAACTTCAAACTACAAGGCCACAGTAACCAAAACAGCATGGTAATGGTATGAAAACAGACATATAGACCAATGGAACAGAATAGAGATCTCAGAAATAAAGCCACAAACCTACAGCCATCTGATCTTCAACAAAGTCAACAAAAATAACCAATGGGGAAATGACACCCTATTCAATACTTGGTGCCAGGATAACAGGCTAGCTATATGCAGAAGAATGAAACTGGACCCCAACTTTCAACATATACAAAAATTAACCCAAGATAGATTAAAGATTTAAGTGTAAGATCTCGAAGTAGAAAAGTCCTAGAAGAAAACCTGGGAAATACCTTTCTGGACATCAGCCTTGGGAAAGAATTTATGACTAAGTCTTCAAAAGCAATTGCAACAAAAATATAAATTGACAAGTGGAATCTAGTTAAACCAGAGAGCTTCCACACAGCAAAAGAAACTATCAACAGAGTAAACAGACAACCTACAGAATGGGAGAAAATATTCACAAACTATGCATGCAACAAAGGTCTAATATCCAGAATCTAAAAGGAATTTAAACAATTCAACAAGCAAAACAAATAACTCCATTAAAAAGTGAGCAAGGCCAGGCACAATGGCTCATGCCTGTAATCCCAACACTTTGGGAGGCCAAGGTGGGTGGATCACTTGAGGTTAGGTGTTCAAGACCAGCCTGGCCAACATGGCGAAACCCCACCTCTACTAAAAATACAAAAAATTAGCCAGGCATGATGGCACACACCTGTAATCCCAGCTACTTGGGAAGCTGAGACAGGAGAATCACTTGATCCTGGGAGGCAGAGGTTGCAGTGAGCCAAGATCGCACCACTGCACTCCAGCCTGGGCGACAGAGCAAGACTCCATCTCAAATAAATACATAAATAAATAGTGGGGAAAAGACATGAACAGATATTTCTCAAAAGAAGACATACAAGCTGCCAACAAAAATGAAAAATGCTCAACATCACTAATTATCAGAGAAACGCAAATCAAAACCATGAGATACTATCTTACACAAGTTAGAATGGCTAAAAAGTAAAAAGCCAGCAGATATTGGTGAGGCTGCAGAGAAAAGGGAATGCTTATATACTGTTGGTGGGAATGTAAATTAGTTTGGCCACCGTGGAAAGCAGTTTGAAGACTTCTCAAAGAACTTAAAAAAGAACTACCATTCAACCCAGCAATCCCATTACTGGGTATATATCCAAAAGAAAATAAATCATTCTAGCAAAAACACATGCATTTGTATGTTCATCACAGCACTATTCACAATAGCAAAGACCTGGAATCAATCTAGATGCCCATCAACATTGGATTGGAAAAAGAAAATGTGGCACATATACACCATGGAATACTACACAGTCATACAAAAGAATGAAATCACATCCTTTGCAGCAACATGAATGCAGCTGGAGGCAATTATCCTAAGCAAATTAACACAGGAACAGAAAACAAAATACTGCATGTTCTCACATAAGATGGAACTAAATATTGGGTGCTAATGGACATTAAAATGGCAACAATAGACACAGGGAGGGGGCAAGGGTTGAAAAACTAACTGTTGTGTACTATACTCACGATTTGGGTCACAGGATCATTCGAATCCCAAACCTCAGCATCACGCAATATACCCATGTGACAAAGCTGCACATATACCCCCGGAATCTAAAATAAAAGTCAAAATTATTTTTAAAAAGTGAAGCAGAAATTAAGATATTACAGGATAAACCAAAACTGAGAGAATTTGTTTGTAGCACACCTACACTGCAAACAATACTGAAGGAAGTTAATCAAGGCTGAAATAAAAGGACACTAAACAGCAATTCAAATCTATATAAAGAAATAAAGACCAGCCGGGTATGGTGGCTCACACCTGTAATCCCAGCACTTTGGGAGGCCGAGGCGGGAGAATAGCTTGAGCCCAGGAGTTCAAGGCCAGCCTGGTCAACATAGTGAGACCCGTTCTAAAAAAAAAAAAGAAAAATAAAAAGAAATAAAGACCACTAGTAAAGGTAACTACACAGGTAACTATACAAACTACACACACACACATATATTAGACTCAGGGTCTTCCTTTGTCACCCAGGCTGGAGTGCAGAGATCACAGCTTACTGCAGCCTCGAATTCCTGGGCTCAAGCAATCCTCCCACCTCAGCCTCCTGAGTAGCTAAGACTACAAGCGCACGTTGCCATGCTCAACTAATTTAATTTATTTATTTATTTATTGTAGAGACAGGTCTCCCTGTGTTGTCCAGGCTGATCTTGAACTCCTGGACTCAAGTGATCCTCCCACTTCAGCTGACCAAAGAACTAGGTTATAGGCATGAGCCACCGTGCCTGGTTTATTTTATACTTTATATAAATATACTTTACATATATATACTTATATATACAAAAATATAAAATGCCTGGTTTGTTTTGTACTTTATATATATATGTATATAAAATATATTTAGTATATATACCAGGCATTTTATATATCTATATATATAGTTTATACTATCTCATAATGATATATATATAATATAGTATATATGCTATATATATAAAGAGGCTATATATGTTATACATATTAAAAGGCAGTATAGGCCAGGCGTGGTGGCTCACGCCTGTAATCCCAGCACTTTGGGAGGCCGAAGCGGGTGGATCGCCTGAGGTCAGGAGTTTGAAACCAGTCTGGCCAACATGGTGAAACCCCGTCTCTACTAAAAATACACAAAAATTAGCTGGGCATGGTGGCAGGCGCCTGTAGTCCGAGCTATTCAGGAGGCTGAGACAAGAGAGTCGCTTGAATTCGGGAGGCGGAGGTTGCAGTGAGCCGAGATCACACCACTGCACTCCAGCCTGAGAGAGAGCAAGACTCCATCTCAAAAAAAAGAAAGAAAACACAATGAGGAAAAATGAACAGAGCCTCAAAGAAATATGGACATCATCAAACACACCAATGTATGCACAACAAGAGTACAAGGAGAGAAAAGCTAAAAAAGAGCAGAAAAAAATATTACAATAAATAGAGGCTAAAAACTTTCCAAATTTGATGAAAAGCATTAATCTATGAACACAAGAAGCTCAACAAAATCCAAGTAGGATTAACTAGACATCCATACCCAGATACATATCAAAAATGTTGAAAAGATGGAGAAAAAGAGAATATTTTGAAAGCAGTAAGAAAAACAATGGAATGGTATTCCATTGTATGTATATACCACATTCTCTTTATTCATTTATCAAATGCTTTTTTAGGATCAATTGAAATGAACACGTGGTTTCGTCCCTCACTCTGTCGATATGATGTATCACATTAATTAACTTGAATATGTTGAATTATCCTTACATCCCTCAGGTAAATCTCACTTGGTCTTAATGAATGTTCTTTTTAATGTGTTATTGAATTTGGTTTGCTCATATTTTGTTGAGGATTTTTCTATCAATATTCATCAGTGATATTGGCCTATAGTTTTTGTTTTATTTGCTTTTGTCTGGTTTGAGGATCAGGGTAACGCTGGCCTCGTAGACTGAGTTTGGAAGTAGTCCCTCCTCCTCTGTTTTTTTGGAATAGTTTGAATAGGATTGGTATTAGTTCTTCTTTAAATGTTTGGTAGAATTCAGCAGTCAATCCATCAGGTTCTGGGCTTTTCCTTGATTGGAGATGTTTTATTAAGGCTTTCATCTTGTTATTTGTTATTGGCCTGTTCAGCTTTTGGATTTCTTCTTGTTTCAATTTTGGTAGGTTGTATGTGTCTAGGAATTAATCAATTTCTTCTAGATTTTCCAGTTTTATTCACATATAGTTGCTCATAGCAACCATGAATGATTATTTGAATTTCTGCAGTATCAGTTGTAATATCTCTTTTTTCTTCTATGATTTTATTTATTTGGGTCTTCTCTCTTTTTTTCTTAGTTAGTCTGGCTATAATTTGTCAGTTTTGGTTTCAAAATGTCAACTTTTTGTTTCATTTAATTTTGTATTGTTTTCTTAATTTCATATTCACTCATTTCTGCTCTGATTTTTATTTCTTTTCTTCTAATTTTGGATTTGGTTTGCCCTTGCTTTTCTAGTTCTTTAAGATGCATTACTAGGTTGTTTTTAAAACTTTTCTTCTTTTTTGATGTAGGCAATTATAGCTATAAACTTCCCTCTTAGTACTGCTTTTGCTGTATTCCAAAGATTTGAGTATGTTGTGTTTCCATTATCTCGTTTCAAGAAATTTATCAGTTTTCTCCATAATTGTTTCATTGACTCACTGATCATGCAGGAGCATACTGTCTAATTTCAATGTGTTTTTATAGTTTCCAAAAATCCTCTTGTTGTTGATTTCTAGTTTTATTCCATTGTGGTAACAGAAGATGCTTGATATTATTTCACTTTTTTGAATGTTTTAAGACTTGTTTTTTGACTTAACATATGGTCCATCCTTGAGAATGATCAATGTGCTGAGGAAAAGAATGGGTACTCTGCAGCCACTAAATGAAATGTTCTGTGTCTATTAGGTCCATTTGTTGTATACTATAGACAAAAGCCGACATTTCTATGTTGATTTTCTGTCTGGAAGATCTGTCCAATGCTGAAAGTGGGGTGTTGAAGTCTCCAGGCATTATTGTATGGAGTCTATCTCTCTTTTTAGCTCTAGTAACATTTGCTATATAAATCTGGGTGCACTAGTATTGGGTGCATATATATTTACAATTATTATACCCTCTTACTGAATCGACCCCTTTATATAGTGACCTTTTTGTCTCTTCTTGTGGTTTTTATCTTGAAATCTGTTTTCTCTGATATAAGTACAGCTATCCCTGCTCTTTTTTGGTTTCCAATGGCATGGAATATCTTTTCCCATCCCTTTATTTTCAGTCTATGTGTATTTTTTTTTTTTTTTTTTTTGAGACAGAGTCTCGCTCTGTCACCCAGGCTGGAGTGCAGTGGTGCGATCTCGGCTCACTGCAACCTCTGCTTCCTGGGTTTAAGCAATTCTTCTGCCCCAGCCTTCCAAGTAGCTGGATCTACAGGCAAGTGCCACCACACCCAGCTGATTTTTTGTATTTTTAGTAGAGACAGGGTTTCACCATGTTGGCCAGGCTGGTCTCTATCTCCTAATCTCATGATCCGCCTGCCTTGGCCTCCCAAAGTGCTGGGATTAAAGGTGTGAGCCACCGCGCCATGCCACGCCCTATGTGTATCTTTATTGGTGAAGTGTGTTTCTTGCAGGCAATCAGATCGTTGAGACTTTTTTTAAATCCATTCAGCCATTCTATGTCTTTTGATTGGGGGGGTTAGTCCATTTCCATTCTATGTTATTATTGATAAGTAAGGACTTACTCCTGTCATTTTGTTATTTGTTTCCTGGTTGTTTTGTGGTGTTCTCCGTCTTTTCTTCCTTCCTGTCTTTCTTTTAGTGAAGGTGATTTTCTCCAGCAATATAATTTAGTTTCTTGCTTTTTATTTTTTTTGTATCCATTGTATGTTTTTTTATTTGAGATTACCATGAGGCTTGTAAATACTATCTTATAACCCATTACTTTAAGCTGATAACAACTTAACATTGTTTGCATAAACAAACAAGCAAAAAGAAAACTAAAAAAACTCTACACCTTAACTTCATCCCCCCACTTTAGAACCTTTCGTTGTTTCTGTTTATATTATATTGTACTATCTATGTCTTGAAAAGTTGTTCTAGTTATTTTTTATTGCTTTATCATTTAGTCTTTCTACTTAAGGTAAGAATAGTTTATACACCACAGTTACCGTGTTATAATAGCTTGTGTTTTTCTGTGTACTTACTATTACCAAGAAGTTTTGTACCTTCAGATGATATGGTTCATTAATGTTCTTTTCTTTCTGACTGAAGTATTCCATTTAGCATGTCTTGTGGAACAGGTCTGGTGGTGATACAATTCCTCAGCTTTTCTTTGTCTGGGAAAGTCTATATTTCTCCTTCACTTATGAAGGATATTTTCACTGGATACACTATGCTAGGGTAAAAATTTTTTCCTTCAGCATTTTAAATATATTATGCCACTCTCTCTTGGCCTTTAAGGTTTCCACTGAAAAGTCTGCTGCCAGACATATTGAAGACTCATTGTCTGCTATTTGTTTCTCTTCTCTTGCTGCTTTTAGGTTCCATTCTTTATCCTTGACCTTTGGGAGTTTGGTTATTAAATGCCTTGAGGTAGTCTTCTTTGGGTTAAATCTGCTTGGTAGTCTATAACCTTCTTGAACTTGGATATTAATATATTTCTCTAGATTTGGGGAGTTCTCTGTTATTATCACTTGTTGGGTTTTGTTTTTGTTTGTTGTTGTTGTTGTTTGTTTGTTTTTTCTGAGATGGAGCCTTGCTGTGTTGCCCAGACTGGAGTGCAGTGGCATGATCTCGGTTCACTGCAATCTCTGCCTCCTGGGTTCAACTGATTCTCCTGCCTCAGCCTCCCAAGTAGCTGGGATTACAGGCGCCCACCACCATGCCCAGCTAATTTTCTATTTTTAGTAGAGACAGGGTTTCACCATGTTGGCCAGGCTGGTCTTGAACTCCTGACCTCATGTGATCTGCCCACCTCAGCTTCCCAAAGTGCTGGGATTACAGGCATGAGCCACCACACCCAGCCTTTGGGATTTTATTATCCCTTTGAATAAACTTTCTACCTCTATCTCTTTCTCTACTTCCTCTTTGCAGCCAATAACTTCTAGATTTGCCCTTTTGAGGCTATTTTCTAGATCTTGTAGGTGTGCTTCATTGTTTTTTATTCTCTTAGCTTTTGTCTCCTCTGTGTGTTTTCAAATAGCCTGTCTTCAAGCTCACTAATTCTTCTGCTTGAACAATTCTGTTATTAAAGGACTCTGATGCATTCTTCAGTATATCACTTGCATTTTTCAACTCCAGAATTTCTGCTTGATTCTTCTTATTTCAATCTCTTTGTTAAATTTATCTAATAGAATTCTGAATTCCTTCTCTGTGCTATCTTGAATTTCTTTTAGTTTCATCAAAATAGCTATTTTGAATTCTCCATCTGAAAGGTCACATATATCCATCTCTTCAGGATTAGTGCCTGGTGACTAATAAACCCTGGTGATTTATTTAGTTCATTTGACAAGGTCATGTTTTCCCGGATGGTCTTGATGACATTTACAGATGTTCATCTGTGTCTAGGCATTTTAAGAGTTAGGTATTTATTGTAGTTTTCACAATCTAGGCTTGTTTGTACCGTTCCTTCTTGGGAAAGCTTTCCATGTATCCAAAGGAACTTGGGTTTTGTGATCTAAGCTCTATCTGTATTAGGGAACACCCCAACCTCAATATCACTGTGGTTCTTGCTGACTCAAAGAGATACTACCTTGGTGATCTTGTTTAAGATCTGGAAGAATTTGGCCAGGCGCGGTGGCTCACGCCTGTAATCCCAGCACTTTGGGAGGCCAAGGCGGGCGGATCACGAGGTCAGGAGATTGAGACCATCCTGGCTAACACGGTGAAACCAAACCCCGTCTCTATTAAAAATACAAAAAATTAGCCGGGCGTGGTGGCGGGCACCTGTAGTCCCAGCTACTCGGGAGGCTGAGGCAGGAAAATGGCATGAACCCAGGAGGTGGAGCTTGCAGTGAGCTGGGATTGCACCACTGCACTCCAGCCTGGGCAACGAGCGAGACTCCGTCTCAAAAAAAAAAAAAAATCTGGAAGAATTCTCTGGATTACCAGGGAGAGACTCTTTTTCTCTTCTCCCAAACAGAACCTCTCTCTCTCTCTCTCTCTCTCTCTCTGTTCTAGGCCACCTGGAGCTGAGGGTGGAGTGACACAAGCACCCACCACTGGGACTGTACTGGCCATACATGAAGCCAGCACAGCACTGAGTCTTGCCCAAGGCCCACTGTAACCACTACCTGGCTACCACCTATGTTCGTTCTAGGCCTTGAGGCTCTACAATCTGCAGGTAGAAAATACAGCCAGGCCCGTGTCCTTCCCTTAAGGGTGATGAGCTCCCTCAGGCCCAGGGCAGGTCCAGAGGTGCCATCCAGGAGTCAGGGACTAGAGTCCCTTCAAGGTAGTTGATTCCTTTCTGGCCCAGGGTGTGTCTAGAAATTTACTCTGGGAGCTACAGCCTGGAAAGGGGTCTCTTTTGGAGCCAGGAGCTGTGGAGTCTAGGGTTGGGGTAGAGGTGATTCAAGTACTTTCTTAGCTGCCCGGCTGGTGTCTCCAATAGGTCACATGCCTCCCCCCGCCTCGTCCACTGGCTCTGAACTCAGTTCAGCCCTAGGACTCACCTAGGAGTTGCAATGCTTGTGGCCTAGAATTGTCTTTCAAGTTTATTTGGAGCCCCAGAGCACTTTAGCATGTGGTGGTGAGGCTTGCCAGAACTCAAGTTCTGACTGCTGGGAATGGGCAATTCCCCTCTGGCTAGGACTGGTTTAAATACTCCCTCTGTGGGTGGGCATCAGCTGAGTGCAGCCTGGTTTTGCTTTCTGCTATGAAAAGGCAGCACTGAGTTCCCTGCAATGTCTCACAATTGCTGCACTCACCCTCTCCCAAGTGCTCAGATTCTCTCTTCATGCCATGCACCAGCTGCCAAGGGATGGGGGATAAGTGGCAGCAGCAATTCAAGACTCTTTCCTACCCTCTTCCATGCCTCTTTCAGTGACGTGATGTTAAAATCGAGTACTGTGAGTACTCACCTGAAAAGTACTGAAAGTACTGAAAGTACTTTGTTTGCATAGATAATTGTTAAATCATGTCCTTGTATGGGGGACTATTGGTGGAGCCTTCTATTCTGCCATCTTGTACTGTCCCTCTTCTTTTCTTCTTTTTTAATGTAGGTATTTATAAACTTACCTCTTAGTATAGGTTTTGCTGCATCCTATAAGCTTTGGTATGTTGTATTTTTGTTTGTTTCAAGATATTTTCTAATTTGGATCTCTTCTTTGACCCATTGGTTTTTCAAAAATGTGCTGTTTAGTTTCCACATATTTGTGAATTTTCCAGATTTCCCACTGCTACTGAGTTGTAATTTCCTTCCACTATTGTCAGAAAAGATATTTGGTATGATAACAATCTTCTTAAAGTTGTTAAGACCCATCTTGTGACAAACATGTACTCCATCTTGGAGAATGTTGTATTTATATGTAAGAATTATAATTTCTTTAAAAATGAAACATACACCTACCATATAAACAAGCCATTCTACTCCTTGGAATTTATTCAAGAGAAATAACCAAATGTCCACAAAATGTCCACCAAATGTCCACTTGTTCATAACAGCTGTGTTTGTAATAATCAAAAGCTAGAAACAACCTAAATATCAATCCACAAGTGAATGGGTAAACAAATTTGGTATGGTCATACAATGGAATACTATTCAGTAATATGTAGAAATGAATTATTTATACACACAACAAACTCAATTAATCTCAAAATATTTATACTGAATGAAAAAATCCAGATTATAAAACTCTAGAAAATGCAAACTAGTCTATTGTAACAGAAAACAAATTAATAAACCTTGGGAAAGTGTAGTAGAGCAAGAGGAAAGATTTACAAAGGGAAATAAGAAATTTTGAGAAATAATAATTATGTTCTTTATCTTTTTTTTTTTTTTAGATGAAATCTGGCTCTGTCGCACAGGCTGGAGTGCAGTGGCACGATCTCAGCTCACTGCAACCTCCACCTCCTGGGTTCAAGCGATTTTCGTGCCTCAGTCTCCCAAGTAGCTGGGACTACAGGCACCTGCCACCATGCCTGGCTAATTTTTGTATTTTTAGTAGAGACGGGTTTTCACCATGTTGGCCAGGCTTGTCTCAAACTCCTGACCTCAGGTGATCCACACCCCTCGGCCTCCAAAGTGCTGGGATTACAGGTGTGAGCCACTGCGCCCAGCATAATTATGTTCTTTATCTTAAATATAGTGATTGTCTTATGATATATATATTAAAACTGATGAAATTGCACATTTTAAATGGGTGCAGTTAAATGTATGTAAATAATACTTCAATAAAGCTGTTTTTAAAATAAACGATGTTAACAAATAACAAATAAGTAAGAACTCTTAGTCCAACACAGAAGGAGCTTGGAAGTTGTTGCCTCTGTCCTCACAATAAGAAAAAATCTGAACAAGCTGAAACTAAACAACTCTTCTTAGGTCTATCAAGGCATTGAGGTCACAGGGCAAACTGCTACTCCAAAAATTGGAGCTATAAGCAAATACAGAAAATCACAGCTTACTGGAGCAGAAGCCTACCACTGGAACCAGTACCAAGTTACTTTTATCCATTGCATCATGTCTAGCTTTAAACAAAAAAATTACAAGGCATACTAAAAAATAAAACACAGTTTGAAGGGACAGAGTGAGCATCAGAACCTGACTTAGATATGGCAGATATTTTGAAATTATCAGATCAGGACTTTAGATTAACTACTGTTAATATGCTAAGGGCTCTAATGGAAAAAGTGGACAATATGCAAAAATGGATAGGTGAAGCAAGCAGGCAGATGGACACTCTAAGAAAAAAAATCAAAAGGAAATGCTAGAAATCAGAAACACCATAAGAGAAATAAAGAATTCCTTTGATGGGCACATCAATAGACTGGACCTAGCCAAGGAAAGAATCAGTGAGCTTGAAGATATGCCAATATAAATTTCCAAGATGGAAATACAAAGAGAAAAAGGAATTAGAAAAATGAAACAAAATATCCAAGAACTGTGGGACAATTACAAAAAGGGTAACATATGCATATTGGGAATACCAAAAGGCAAATAGAGAAAGAGACAAACTAAAGCTTTGAAGTAATAATGATTGAGAATTTTTCAAAATTAATAACATATATTCAACCATAGACACAGGAAGACACTGTAAAGAAAATGAAACAAAAGCCACAGACTAGGAAAAAATACTTGCAAAATACTTCTAATAAAGAACTTACATCCAAAATATACAAAGAACTCTTAAAACTCAACTATAAAAAAAAGGAAGCAATTAAAATTGGGACAAAAGATCTGAAGAGATGACTCACCAAGAAAGATACACAGATGGCAAACAAGCATATGAAAAAATGCTCAACATCATATGTCATCAGAGAAATGCAAATTAAAACAATGAGGCCGGGCGCGGTGGCTCACGCCTGTAATCCCAACACTTTGGGAGGCAGAGGCAGGAGGATCACTTGAGGCCAGGAGTTCAAGACCAGCCTTGCCAACATGGCAAAACCCTGTTTCTACTAAAAATACAAAAATTAGCCAGGCATGGTGGTGGGTGCCTGTAGTCCCAGCTACTAGGGAGGCTGAGGCAGGAGAATCACTTGAATCCAGGAGGCGGAGGTTGCAGTGAGCTGAGATGGCACCACTGCACTCTGGCCTGGGCAACACAGCCAGACTCCGTCTCAAAAGAAAAAAAAAAGAGAAAGAGAGATACCACTACACACCTACACACCTATTAGAATAGCCAAAATTCAAAATACTGAAAACACCAAATGCTGGCGAGGATGTGGAGCAACAGGAGCTCTCATTCATTGCTGGTAGGAAAGCAAAATGGTGTAGCCACTGTGGAAGATGGTTTGGCATTTTCTTACAAAACTAAACATACTCTTACCATATGATCCAGTAATTGCACTCCTTGATATTTACCCAAATGAATTGAGATTTATGTTTATGCAAAAACTGCACAGAAACATTTACAGCAGCTTTATTCAGAATTACCAAAACTTGGAAGCAATCACAGTGTCCTTCAATAGATGAGTGGACAAATTCTGGTACCTTCATAGAATGGCATGTTATTCATCAATAAAAAGAAATAAGCTCCCAAACCACAAGACGACATTGATAAGCCTTAAATATATATTGCTAAGTGAAAATAACCAACGTGAAAAGGCTGTGTGATTCCAACTATATGACATTTTGGGAAAAGCAAAAACTCCCCTTTCCAGGCAGTAAAAAGATCAGTGGTTGCCAGCATTTCTGGAGGAGGAAGAGAAGGATGAATAGGCAAATCGCAAGGGATTGTAGGACAGTGAAACTATTTTCTCTGACACTATAACAGTGGATACGTCATTATACATTTGTCAAAACCCATAGAATATACAACACAAAGAATGAACCCTAATGTAAGCTATGGAATTTAGCTAATAATAATGTATCAATAATGGCTCATAATTATAAAAAATATACCATTTTGATCTAAATATCTAAATATTTTAAAATATATTTTAAAATAATATCTAAAATATTTTAATCTAAATATCTAAAGCAACATATTAATCAAAGGGGAAATTGGTGGGCAGGGAGGAGTGGGGAGAGGGGTCATATAGGAACTCTCTGTACTTTCCATTCTTTTTTTTTGAGATGGAGTCTCGCTCTGTCGCCCAGGCTGGAGTGCAGTGATCTCAGCTCACTGCAACTTCCCCCTCCCGGGTTCAAGCGATTCTCCTGTCTCAGCCTCCCGAGTAGCTGGGACTACAGGCGCGTGCCACCATGCCTGGCTAATTTTTGTATTTTTAGTAGAGATGGGGTTTCTCCATGTTGGCCAGGCTGGTCTCGAACTCCTGACCTCAAGTGACCCGCCTGCCTCGGCCTCCCAAAGTGCCAAGATTACAGGCGTGAACCACCATGCCCAGCCACCATTCATTTTTTCTATAAACCTTAAACTGCTCTAAAATATGAAGTCTATTATTTTAAAATAAATAAATAGCAATATATGCACATTATATAGAAATATGGACATAATATGAGGGGAAACAGCTAGAACTGCATTTGTTGACATGGAAAGAAGAATAGGGTATGTGGAATGATAGGATGGAGGCTGACTTTTTTTATTAAGAGCCTTTAATACTGTATTAATCACTTAATACAAAGTAATAATTACCTTTATAAACAATATTGATTTTTTAAAGAACAAACATAAAATAATAGAATAGCCATCATTTATCATTTCTCAGTAAATTCCACTGCAGTTTGTTTAAATAGTCTACTTGGATTAAACAATCTGTGCTAGCATCTCCACATTTACAATTAATGATGTTTATTCCCATAGATATCCAAGGAGCATATAAAATGTCTCAGAAACGATAATATGCAGCAAAGAAACATGGAAGGGATGGATGGCTGGCATTCAGTGGAGTCCTCCCTTAATATAGGCACATCTTCAGTCCTTGAATGGTCAGGGACTACAAAAAACAGTTTGGGAAATGCATGGACTCCGAACAAAGTTCACATGTAAGAAAGCCACAGACAAATCTCACTTATACATATTGATGTAAAATAAATAAAATATTAACAAATGGAATTCAGCAGTAAATTGAAGAAGTAAAAACTGTGGGGTCCATTCTAAGAGTGCAAGAGTTATTCAATATTAGGAAATACACATAATTCATTGTACTAATAGGTCAAATGAAAAAACCCACACGGTCATCTCAATGGATGCCCAAAAGATGAATTTAACAAAATTCAAGATGTATTTCTGATTTAGTTATCTAGGAATGGATACTTTCTTGACATACTTTTTATACTCTATATTTCTAACCGAAAACCAGTATCATGCTGAATAATGAAATGTGAGACTCTCCATTAAAGTCAGAGAAAAGGTGCAAGCCCCATTATCACCACTATTACTATTCTGAAGGCAATACATAACACAATTAGACAAGATAATTAAATGAGGCACAAACTTGGGATAGCTATTATAGGAGCAAAATAATCTCTATTTGTTGATGACATAGCTGTGTAACTTGAAAGCCTGAGGAAATTTATGGAAAACCTATTAAAAACAATAATAGGATTTAGTGACGTACTGGTAATTGCTTTCCCACAACCAGTTCAAAAAGATAAGGGAAAAATATCCCCTTCACAATAGCAACTAAAATAGGAATAAACCTAACAAGGAACACATAAAACATATAAAAATAAAACTTTAAAATTCTACTAACATAAAAAATTGAATAACTAGAAATCCATACCTTACTCTCCAATAGGAAGATTCGATATTATAAAAGACAATGATTTTCTCTAAATTAACCTATAAATTCAATATAATCCCGGTCAAAATGTCAATAGGCAATTTTATATTATTTTTACTTTCACAATGTGTGCTAAGATTCACCTGGAAGAATAAGTATGTGAAAACAGGCAGAAATTTTCTGAAAAAGAAGCAAAAGAGGCTTTGCCCAACCAGATATGAAGATATATATTTTGAAGTTACATTAATTACAATGGGGTGGCACTGGTGCAGGCACAGACATTCAGATCAATAGAATAAAATAGTGCAGAAATAAACAAAAGCACATATGAAAACTCCATATTTGATAAAGGTGACATTCCAATTCAATGAGTCAATAATTATTAGTCAATAGATGGTACAGAGACAGTAGACTTAGCATTTGAAAGGAAAAGAAGCTAGATCCCTGTCCTAAATCCTACCCCAAAATAAATTCCAGATAGATCAAAGATTTAACTGTAAAACTGAAACCATAAAAGTACTAGCAGACAACATGGATGAATCATTTTTAATACATAATTTTGGAGTGGGTAAAGTATTTGTAATCACTGCAGTTAAAATGGCTTTTCTCAAAAGGACAAAAAATAACGGATGCTGGCAAGGATGCTGAGAAAGGAGAATGTTTGTACACTGTTAGTGGGAATGGAAAGTAGTACAGCCACTATGGAAAACAGTTTGGAGATTCCTCAAAAAACTAAAACTAGAACTGCCATATTATCCAGCAATCCCAGTGCTAGGTATACATCCAAAAGAAAGGAAATCAGTATATTGGAGAGATATCTGCACTCCCATGTTTATTGTAGCACTATTCAATATAGTCAAGACACAGAATCAACCTAAGTGTCCATCAACGGATGAATTGATAAAGAAAATGTGGTATATATACATAATTGAATATTATTCAGCCATACAAAAAGAGTGAAATCCTGTCATTTATAACAACATGCATGACATTATGTTAAGTGAAATAAGCCAGGCACAGAAAAACAAATATCACATGTTCTCACTCATACGTGGGAGTTAAGAAAACACTGATCTTGTGGAGGTAGAGAGTAGTAGGATGATTACCAGAGGCTGGCAAGGGTAGTGGAGAGGTGGGGATAAGGAGGGGTTGGTTAATGGGTACAAAAATACAGTTAGATGGTAGGAATAAGATCTAGTGTTTGGTAGCACCATAGGGTGACTATAGTTAACAATAATTTATTGTATATTTCAAAATAACTAAAAGAGTAGATTTGGAATATTCCCAACACAAAGAAATGATAAATGTTTGAGGTGATGGTTATCCCAATTACCCTGACTGGATCATTACACATCATAAACAGGTATAAAAATATCACATGTAACCCATAGGCATGTACAACCCATAAAAATTAAATTGTGTACCCATAAAAATTAAAATTAAATTAAATTATTTAAAAAGAAAACAAAACCCAAAAACCATAAAGGGAATGATTGGTAAACCTAACCATATAAGTTTAAACAAAGTTTATCTTTGCATATACCACAAGCAAAGACAAAAGACAACAAATGGGTGTGGGAGACATTTGTGCAAATACATATATAATAAGAATATTTATTTCAATATTACAACACATAAAAACAAAAAATTAGAAAAAAATAACCACTAAAAGACATCCAATTAAATAAATTCTGGTAACTCCATACATTGTAATAATATGAATTTGTTTTGTCTTGTTTTTAATAAGGTAGATGTATATGTATTGGTACAGGAAGATGTTAAGTGTTATATGAAAAAGGCAATTATAGAACTTTCATTGGTGTAAACAAAAGCATATATTCATATTTATCTTTATGCAGAAAGATACATGCTTGTTTGTATATGCATGGAAAATGGGAAGATGTAGACAAAACTGTTAACAGTTACTGTCTCTGGAGATTGGTATTAGGAGAGAAAAGCATTGGATGAGAACTTTGTTTTTAGTTTATACATTCATTTATTCTACAAATATTGATTGAACTTACATACCAGCAGTTTTAGATCCTCAGGATACAGATAAGGCTTCTGTTCTCATTTCTGAAGAGGAGGCAGACAATAAACAATTACATAAATGAGCAACGCAATTTCAAACAGTGACAAGGGCTATGCAGGGAATAAAAAGGAGTTTATATGACAGAAAGCAGTGGGGCCAAGAGTTGTGTGGGCTATTTCATACTGCGTGGTTTGGCAAAGTCCTCTCTGAAGAAGTGACAATTGAGTGAAGACAATGACAAGAAGGAGCCAGCCACTGGAAAAGCAAGGGGAAAAGCATTACAAAGAGAAGGGACTCTCTGTTTAAAGCTGGCGAAGGAAAAAAAATTTTTTTTTAAATAAAGAGAAGGAACACTCAGTATAAAGGACCAAAGGTGAGAACAACCTTGGCGTGTTCTGGAAACAGAGGCCAATGTAGCTGGAGCTACATTCCTTTACATTGAAAGGAAATAAATGAAAGGAAGAGTCGAAGGAGCTGATTGATGTTCAGATCAGATTATGTCTGTATTGATTGCTTTTGTTTTTATATGACAAGCTTGTGGTCATTTTTAAAAATAAAAATAACATATTAATGCTTTTAAAAAAAAGATTAAGAGAATCTGACAGACCAGCTCCATCACTGGCTGTGTCACCTTAGTCAAGTTAATCTCACTAAGCCTCAGTTTCTTCACTTGTAAAATGAGGAAAAGTACACTCACCTCAGAGGGCCGAAGTGCAAATTAAATTAAACCTATTTAAAAGGCTGTTTTTGTTAAGACTCTTTTGGATGCAAGGAACAGAAACCCAGTGAAGCTAGATCACGAATCAGAAATCCAAGGGCAGGAAGTGAAGTACAGATAAAGCTTATTAAGCCTGGAGCTGCAGGAAATTTCTGGATGAGGCATGGACCCTCTGCTCTGGAGCTTTACCATTAATGTAATTCATCTGCACTACATGTCTGCTTCTCTCTGTACATCTGCCCCAGCTTCCTCATTCAGCCAACCACCTTGAACTGCTCCCCCAGGATTTTAACAGGCACTTGACCTGATTCATAATGCTGCACCCACCTACCCAGCATCCTGGTCTACTGGACCTGTCAGCTCAGCTCCCCACAACTAACTGGCAACTCTCCTCTGGATCTCTTATTTCACATTCCCAAGAGAGCAATCTGATTGGCCCACCTCATCTTCTAAAGCTGGGCCATACAACTCACAGGTTGTGGGCTGGCCTTGGATCAGGTGCTGTATCCTAAAGGAAGGGTGGATGTAATACATAGTTAGTCCTTGCTTGATCATTTGGTAGGAGCTGTAAGTAGAGCCAGTGCTCCCAGAAGGGGATGTAAAGATGGCCAGTGGCCATCAAAGATAGTGGTGGCATCTCTGATGCATGTGTGCAGCAGAGTGACTGGAACATGGCAGGTGTTCAACAAATAGTCATAATTATTCACGGTAACATTATGCCACCTCTTACAGGAAGCCTTCCCAGAACTCTTAAGGTTCCCAAACTTTTTCACCCAGATCAGGACCCCTACTGCAGGAATCATCCAATTAAGAAATCAATGAAATTTCATTATACAGGACAGACTTTTATGGCCTTCTAGGTATAAAGCACTGTACTGGGCACTGGGAGGAAGGATACACAAATGAATGAGGCCCTTATCCTGGCCTCAAGGAGCTCTGAGGATAGTAAAAGGTAAAAGGCAAACTGAGCCATGAGAAATCCACAGATAGGGAGCTCTGGGAGTTCAGAGAAGGGCAAAAACTGTTGTTTATCCGTATGTATGCCTGTCTCCTGGATACCTCCCTTTAGATGTCCCAAAGGCACCTCGAACTAAATGTATTTAAAACTGATCTCATCTGCTCCCTCCCAAACCTGTTCCTCTTCTCAGATTCCCTGTCTCAGTGAGGCAAGTTCATCCAACCCAGTTGCTCAAGCTTGAAACCTGAGCTGCACCCGCTCACAATGTCAGCTGTTGCAGTTGCTAAAGTTGTCCCCGAACCTTTGGTGTGTGTTTGCCTTGCCCCAAAGGTCAGAACTAATAATAAACTTCTGCATTGCTGCAGGATACGGAAATTAAAACCAGCCTGGAGACAGACAAGACCCGGAGTCCACCAGGTTTGATTTCGGACTTGGCTTCTGATGTCAACGGGTATGATCCCTTTCAGGAAAGCGGGTCGACAAGAGCCTAAAACATGTTTATGACATTTTCCTGGTAATTCTGCTCCTAAATCGATATCCACCCACCCCTACTCCTACAGGAAAAGCTCTAAGCACAAAATTATTCCTTGCAGAGATATATTTTGGTGGTCAAACACTAGAAAGTAGTTTTAATATCCAACAAGAGAAGGGTTAAGTGAATTGTGGCACAGCTGTCTAATGGAACATTCTACAACCATTGCTGAGAGATGACGGCTGTGGAGATTCTATAGCAACAGAGAAAAATTATTATGCCATAACTAAGGATGCAGGGTTGTGTGTACACTCTGACTGCAACAACCTAAAAACTGCATGGCCTCAAGCTCTGCTGATGGACATTTAAAATTTCTCCTCTATTATTACTTTTTAAAAAGGCCTTAACTTTATGTCATGTATGGGTATCTCTGGGTTTGGGGTTTTTGGCTTGTTGTTTTCGTTTTTTCAGTCTTTTCCTTCCGTCAATCAACCGCCTTAAAAATGTGTCTTCTTTGTACCAGGCCCTCCCCGAGGTGCTGGTGATTCAAAGGTCAATCACCCACAACTCTTTCTCTGGGATGTCAGGGCAGAAGAGGAAACAGATACAAAAATAAACAGTTTCAAAAATATATGGGCCAGTCTTTATGGGCCCACTTGTGGACGTACGCAGGCACGGTCACCCCCTGGCGGCCACTCGACTACCAGCTCTTGGGTGGCTCTAACCTCTGGACAGCGGCTTCCACTCTCGGTGGCCAGCCCCAGCCTCGTTCTCCGAGAGAGTCCAAGACTCCTCCCTCTCCCTCCTTCTGGGGCCCTCCATCCCCTAGTAGGCGTCTCAGCCTGGGCCTGGCCCAGACAAATCCGACCCTGTTACTCTCACCGGAGCTCCTCCCTCCCCGAAAGCCTCACTCCGGCTGTGAGCTGCAAGATTACGTCATTGTCAATGGTTCGCATGCGCCCTCACCACTGGACAATTGGCGCACCCCTGCCGCAGGCGGGCGTAGCTTCGGGCTCCGGGGTTCTCCCTTTTCCTTTCCTGATGTTTTTTTTAAAGTGGCGACACACTACTTGTAAGAGACGCTGGTAAACTCGTGGCTTTAGGAGGAAATGGGAGCCAAGAAAAGCTGCAAAGCTCAAGGCTCACGACCGCTTGCTCGCCATTGTCCCACTCACTTCCGAAAGAGATAACGCCCCTTTCCGACTCTTTTGGCCTCCCCGCTCCAAGAGTGAGAATCGAAGCCCCGCCCCGTGAGCGTCTAGTCCCAAGATAACCCAGCTGCGCTTGCGAGTGCAAGTACACTGGGGCGGGGCTGACAGGAGGCTGATGCAATCGAGTCGGGCGGGCGGGGCACGTCGGATGAAAGTGGGTACCGGAAGAAAAGGGGTTATTTCAGCAGGCTTAGTAACCCTATTCAAAGTAAGACCTTAATATATAAGTAAAAGTTCGTGCCTGATTTGGAGAGCTCTTTGACTATTAAATTTTTTTTAATGTAACGCCTGTAATCCCAGCACTTTGGGAGGCCAAGGTGGGTGGATCACTTGAGTCCATGAGTTTGAGACCAGCATGGGCAACACAGTGAGACCCTCCCTCTCTATTTTATTTTAAAAAACATTATTTTAAAGGTATATATCCTATTGGCTCAGCAATCCCATTTCCATATATATACATCCAAGACTCCTAGAGAAGTGTATGCGGATCACCTACAGGGCTTTGTTAAAACACAGATTGTTGTGGCCCATCTACTATCAGAGATTAGGAACTTGTGTTTCTAACAACTTCCAGGGTAATGCTGGGGCAAACTGGTTCAAGACCACACTTTAAGAACCTTAGATCTAGAGGACAAAAAACTGCAAGGAGCCTTATGAACAAGTGTAAGCCGTGCTGATTTGTTGGCAATAACGAAAAATTGAAAGTATCAGTGGGGGCAGGAGATGGTTGATAAACTTATCAGTTTAAAATGGGCTATATATAGGCCGGGCATGGTGGCTGACGGCTGTAATGCCAATACTTTGAGAGGCCGAGGTGGGTGGATCACCTGAGGTCAGAAGTTCGAGACCAGCATGGTGAAACCCCGTCTCTACTAAAAATACAAAAATTAGCCAGGCGCCTGTAATCCCAGCTACTCAGAAGGCTGAAGCAGGAGAAACGCTTGAACCCGGGAGGCGGAGGTTGCAGTGGGCCGGAGATTGCGCCACTGCACTCCAGCCTGGGCAACAGAGCCAGACTATCTCAATTAATTAATTAATTAATTTAATGAGCTATATATAAACTGACATGGAAAGATATCGAAGGTGATGATGATAGTAGTGAGGGTGGTGATGATGATACTTAATGTTTATTGAGCACTTACACTGTATCAGGCACTGTGTGAAGGATTTTACATTTCTTACCTCATTTTCTACAGCAATTCTCAGGAATGTGGACTGTGTCTAATTCGCTGTATATTTTTAGTCCAGAACAGGGTCTGGCACCCAGGATCTTGTCAGTAAATGTTTGTGGCCTCATGTGATCAGATCCAGTCCCACAAGTTCACAGTCCCAAGAGTTTAGGACTTCACAGCCCAAACAATATTTCAAAAAATTGCAAAGGATGGATAAAATATTGCGGAAGAAGGACACTAAAAACAAACTACTGCCTTCTATCACCATCATTTTAAGAAAAGACAATTACACATAATCCCCCATTAAAGGAACGAACTTTTTAATTTATCTTTAATATGAAAATTTTTAACATATGCAAAAGTAGAAAGAAGAGTAAATGAACCCCCAAGTACCTCTCACCCAGCTTCTCAATTATCACCTCCTGGCCAAGCATCTTACATCTCAAACCCCAACACACATCGTATCCCAGATTACTTTGAAGCAAATGCTAGACGCCATTTTCTCCATAAATATTTGAGTTCATGTGTTTAAAATATAAGAACTCTTTTATAATAATAACCATAATACCACAGAATATCTAAAAATTTAAGAATAATTTCCTAATATTATAAAATATCCAAGTATTTACATTTCCCTGATTTATACATATCTTTTGCAGTTTTGCACAAATTAGCAAGTAAATAAGATAAAGCAGAGGCCTTTAAATCAAATATACACTACAGTGTCCTTTTTATCTTCATTTTACTGCAGATTGGCAAAAACTATATCAGGCCCTTGCACAAGATGACAGACCAGTATTGGGAACTACTGGCATAACATTCATTCAAAAGTAGATAGTGAGATATATATGTGTGTGTGTGTGCATGCACATGTGTGCACACATGTGTGTATATGTGTGTATACATACAAACTGCAAAATATATATGTGTGTATACACACACACAGCCTGACACTTCTAGCGGTACACAAGGGTAAATAAGACAGATGCAGTCCCTGTACTCCTGGAGCCAACATTCTACTGAGAGAAACAGACAATTACCAAGTCAAGAAATACATTTGGAATTTAATTTCGGGGTCATAATATGTACAATGAAAAAAATAAAGAAGGAAGATAAGGCAGTAGAAAATGATGGAGGCAGTAGTACATTGGCAAAATGGTGAAGTAGGCAGCTCCAAGCTCTTGTTCCCCTACAGAAACTGATAATCAAGCAGAAACTGACAGAACCAACTTTCTCAAAACTCTGGAAAACAATGAAAAGTTTATAGCAACCAAGCAAATGCTGAATAAAGAAAAAGGCAATAACAGATGCCAGTGAGGTTGCAGAGAAAAGGGAACACTTATACACTTATGGTGGAAATGTAAATTAGTTCAGCCACTGTGGAAAGCAGTGTGATTTCTCAAAGAACTTAAAACAGAGCTACCATTTGACTGAGCAATCCCATTACTGGAAGTCTCATATACCCAAAGGAAAATAAACCATTCTACTAAAAAGACACATGCATGTGTATGTTCATCACAGTGCTATTCACAATAGCAAAGATACAGAATCAACCTAGATGCCCATCAACAGTGGATTGGATAAAGAAAATGTGATACATATATACTGTGGAATACTGTGCAGCCATAAAAAAGAATGAAATCATGTCTTTTGCAGCAATATGAATGCAGCTTGAGGTCATCATCCTAAGCAAATTAACACAGGAACAGGGAACCAAATACCACATCTCACTTATAAGTGGGAGCTAAACATTGAGTACACATGGACATAAAAATGGGAACAATAGACACTGGGGACTACTAGAGGTGGGAGGGGGAGGGGGCCAGGGTTGAAAAACTACCTATTGTATACTATGCTCACTACCTGGGTGATGGGATCATTTGTACACCAAACTTCAGTGACATGCAACTTACCCATGTAACAAATTTGCATATGTACTCTCTGAACCTAAAATAAAAGTTGAAAAAAAGAAAGATAAAGGCAACTTCAAAATGGTAAGAAAGTTTTATGGCATATTTACTTGCTCTTGCCCCACCTCCTCTCCAGTGCAGTCATGGTCTTGAATAGGAAAGTCCACATTCTCCTGCGGGAAACTTGTTCCTGATCCTGGAGGAAACAGAGCAGACCTTATTTGCATATTGTTGTGTATGTATGTTCTAACCTGCCTTGGGGCTAAAAGACTGACATAAAGTATTCATCTGTGTTTCACTTCACTCAGAACTGAGGCTATAAAATGGCAAGCTCAAAATCAATGCAAGAAAAAATGAGCAATATGCAGATCTCAGGGGAAAAGATTATGATCAAAACAAAACAGACCACCTAAGGACTGAGAGCAAGAGCTGGGGAGAGTTTATTTGAGAAATTCGGACATTCAAAAGAAGCCACATATATGGGGAGATTTAGAAAGCCATGTGCATGCTCCACACAAGACACATCCTCAGAAAAACAACATGTGAAAACTCTAATGTTTCACCACTGGCTGAGTCCTATGCTTAGTGCAAGCCTAGTTAGGTGTTGAAAAAAAATGCCCTAGAACAAAATGATTCTGCAAGGATGAGGTGGGGGAGGTAATTTTTGTTTGTTTGATTGATTTTTTTTTTTTTTTTAGTTCCTGACATTCAAGGAAATCCTATCAAAACACTAGCTGAGCACAAACTGAAAAACAGAAATATCAATGACTACACACACAAAAAAACGGTCTTCCTAAAAGTACTTTGGGAAAGTCACTAAACAAATGGACTACTATAGCCTTCACATAAATTAAATAAACAGCGAACTCAGAGGAAAAAGGAGAATTTAATGTACCCCCTTAACATTTTATGATATTCAAACATATAGCTTTCAACAAAAAATATCACAAAACATACAAAGAAATAGGAAATTATGGCCCATTTACAGAAACAAACTAAATTGACAGAAACTATTCCTGAGGAAGTCCAGACATCAAATTTAATAGACAAACACTTTAAAACAATTGACTTAAATATGCTCACAGAACTAAAGGAAAACATGAACAAATAACTAAAGGAAATTAGGAATATGACGTATGAGCAAAATTAGAATATCAATTTAAAAGACAGAGCATAAAAAGGAACCAAACAGAAATTTTGGAGCTGAAAAGTACAATGATTGAAATGAAAAATTGACTAGAGGTATTGAACAGCAGATCTAAGATGGCACAATAAAGAATCAGTGAACTTAAGGATAGGATAATCGAAATTATCAAGTCTGAGGAGAAAAGAAAGAATTGGCCAGGCACAGTGGCTCATGCTTGTAATCCCAGCACTTTGGGAGGCCGAGATGGGTGGATCACTTGATGTCAGGAGTTCAAGACCAGCCTGGCCAACACGGCAAAACCCTGTCTCTACTAAAAATACAAAAATTAGCTTGGCATGGTGGCGGGCACCTGTAATCCCAGCTACTCAGGAGGCTGAGGCAGGAGAATCGCTTGAACCCCCAGGAGGCAGAGGTTGTAGTGAGCCGAGATCATGCCACTGCACTCCAGCCTGCGTGACAGAGCGAGACTCCATCTCAAAAAAAAAAAAAAAAAAAAGAGCCGGGCGCAGTGGTTCACACCTGTAATCCCAGCACTTTGGGAGGCTAAGGCAGGCAGATCACAAGGTCAGGAGATCGAGGTCATCCTGGGTAACATGGTGAAACCCCGTGTCTACTAAAAATACAAAAAAAAAAAAAAATTAGCCAGGCTTGGTGGCATGCACCTGTACTCCCAGCTACTTGGGAGGCTGAGGCAGGAGACTCGCTTGAACCCAGGAGGTGGAGGTTGCAATGAGCCGAGATCACGCCACTGCGCTCCAGCCTGGTGACAGAGCAAGACTCCGTCTCAAAAAAACAAAAACAAAAAAAAATACAAATTAGCCGGGCGTGATGGCACATGCCTGTAATCCCAGCTACTTGGGAGGCTGAGGCAAGACAATCATTTGAACCCGGGAGATGGAGGTGGCAGGGAGCCGAGATAGCGCCATTGCACTCCAGCCCAGGTAACAAGAGTGAAACTCCATCTCAAAAAAAAGGAAAGGAAAAAGAATAAAAGTGAACAGAGCTTAAGGGACCCATAGGACACCATAAGCTAACCCACATACATATTATTTGAGTCTAAGAAAGAGAAGAGAGAACAAAATAATATTTGAAGAAATAATGGCCAAGGATTTCCCAAATGTGAAGGAAAATAAGAATCTACAAATCCAAGAAGCTATATGAACTCCAAGCAGCATACTCTCAAAGAGGCACACACTGAGACACATTAGAGTCAAACTGTTAAAACACAAAGACAAAGAGAATCTTGAAAGCAGTGAAAGAAGTGACTCATTACATACGATCCTTGATACAACTGACAGTTGATTTCGCACCAGAAATCATGAAGGCCAAAACACACTAAGATGACATACTTTAAATGCTGAAACTGTTAGCCAAGAATTATCTATCCAGCTGCAGAAGGCAGGAAGGAGTGAGGCCTGAAAGCCCTGCTTGCTTTCTCAGCTGGAAGCTTTGCAGCCAGAGGCAAGATCTCAGCCCTGCATACCAGAGGCCTGGATACAAATTCAGCTCTGTTGGCTGTTGGAGGAGCATGGCGGGACTGAGACTGGCCTTGCTGGCTGTGTGGGAACTGAGTGAGGCCTGTCACTGCTGGCTTTTCCCCCACTTCCCTGGCAACCTGTATGAAGGAGCAGAGGTAGCCATAATCCCCCCTTGGAACATAACTCCATTGGCCTGAGAACCACCCCTGCCATCCCTCTCTTTGGCCGCAGCAAGTCCCCCTGAAAGACAATCTGAGCTCAGACTTGCCTAACCCTGCCCCCACCTGATGGTCTTTCTCTACAAGCCCTGGTGGCTGAAGACAAAAGACATAAAACTCATGGGTGCTCTATGGCCCTGCCCATCACCTGAGAAACCTGAATACTTATCCAGGTGACCTTAAGGCAAGCTTGTATCTCCCTATACTACCACAGCTGATGCTCTCTTGAAAGCTATCTCCTGGTGGAAGGTTAAAGCAACTCATAACAGAACAACCCTGCTCCAAGGAAGGAGAAAATAATACTTAATTCCACTGCCTGTAACATTCTGACTAACCAGAGGGCCAGAATCTGCCCATGTGACAACTTCATAGCTAGCATAAACAGGATTTGAGAAAAACAGCACACTAAACAAAACTACAACCACTTCACTACCCTGCTTCCTCCACTTGTAGCAGGTGCTGGTATTCGTGGCTAAGAGACCCGAAGATGGATCACATCACAGGACTCTTTGCAGACACTCCCGAGTACCAGCCCAGAGCCCAGTAGAAGAAGAACAATAACAATCACTGCACTCTCGCTCTCAGGAAGCCCCGTCCTTAGGAGAAGTGGGAAAGCACTCCATCAAGGGACCACCCCATGGGACTAAAGAATCTGAACAGCAGCCCTTGAGTCACCGATCTTCCCTCTGACATAGTCTACCAAAATGAGAAGAAACCAGAAAAACATTTCTGGTAATATGACAAAACAAGGTTCTATAACACACCCAAAAGATCGCACTAGCTTACCAGCAATGGATCAAAACCAAGAAGAAATCTCTGAATTGCCAGAAAAATAATTCAGAAGGTTGATTATTAAGCTACTCAAGGAGGCACCAGAGAAAAGTGAAAACGGATTTAAAGAAATTAAAAACATAATACAGGATATGGAAGGAAAATCTCCAGAGAAATAGACAGCATAAATAAAAAACAAATCACAACTTCTGGAAATGAAAGACACATTCGATGAAATGAAGAATACACTGAAAAGTTTCAACAATAGAATAGAACAAGTAGAAGAAAGAACTTTACAGCTCGAAGACTTTTGAATTAACCCAATCCAACAAAAACAAAGAAAAAAAATCCAAAAAAGAACAAAGCCTCCAAAAAGTTTGAAATTATGTTAAAAAAAAAAACTAAGAATAATTGGTGTTCCTGAGGAAGAAGAGAAATCTAAAATTTGGAAAACTTATTTCGGGGAATAATTAAGGAAAACTTCCCTGGCCTTGCTAGAAATCTAGACATCCAAATACAAGAGACTCAAAGAACACTTGGGAAATTCATCACAGAAAGATCATCACCTAGATACACAGTCATCAGGTTATCTAAAGTCAAGATGAAGGAAAGAATCTTAAGAGCTGTGAGGCAAAAGCATCAGGTAACCAAAAAAGGAAAACCTATCAGATTAACAGCAGATTTTTCAGCAGAAACCCTACAAGCTAGAAGGGATTGAGGTCCTATTTTTAGCCTCCTTAAACAAAACGATTATCAGCCAAAAATTTTGTATCCAGTGAAACTAAGCTTCATAAATGAAGGAAAGCTAACGTCTTTTTCAGACAAACAAATGCTGAGAGAATTTGCCACTACTAAGCAAGCACTGCAAGAACTGCTATAAGGAGTTCTAAATCTTGAAACCAAACCTCAAAATACACCAAAAATAGAACCTCCTTAAAGCATAAATCTCACAGGGCCTATAAAACAATAACACAATGGAAAAACAAACAAGATATTCGGGCAACAACAGCATGATGAATAGAATAGTACCTCACATCTCAATACTAACATTGAATGTAAATGGCCTAGATGCTCCACTTAAAAGATACAGAATGGCAGAATGGATAAGAATTCACCTATCAAGTACCTGCTGTCTTCAAGAGACTCACCTAACACATAAGGTTTCACATAAACTTAAGGTAAAGGGTTGGAAAAAGATATTCCATGCAAAAGAACACCAAAAGCGAGCAGGAGTAGCTATTCTTATATCAGACAAAACAGACTTTAAAGCAAAAACAGTTAAAAAAGACAAAGAGGGACATTACATAATGATAAAAGGACTAGTCCAACAGGAAAATATCACAATCCCAAATATATATGCACTTTTATATATAAGTGCTCCCAAATTTATAAAACAATTACTACTAGACCTAGTAGTATTTGTTAGATACTACTAGATAAGAAATGAGATAGATGGCAACATAGTAATAGTGAGGGACTTTGATACTCCACTGACAGCACTAGACAGGTCATCAAGACAGAAAGTCAACAAAGAAAAAATGTACTTTAACTATACCCTTGAACAAATGGATTTAACAGATATTTACAGAACATTCTACCCAACAACTTTAGAATACACATTCTATTCATCAGCACATGAAACATTCTCCAAGATAGACCATATGATAGGCCACAAAACAAGTCTCAATACATTTAAGAAAATTGAAATTAGGCTAGGAGAGGTGGCTCATGCCTGTAATCCCAGCACTTTAGAAGGCTGAGGCGGGTGGATCGCCTGAGGTCAGGAGTTAGAGACCAGCCTGGCTAACATGGTGAAACCCCATCTCTATTAAAAATATAAAAATTAGCCGGGAGTGGTGATGGACGCCTGTAATCCCAGCTACTCAGGAGGCTGAGGCAGGATAATCACTTGAACCCAGGAGGCAGAGGTTACAGTGAGCCAATATTGTGCCCTGCACTCCAGCCTGGGTGACAAAGTGACACTCTGTCTCAAAAAAGAAAGAGAGAGAGAGAGAGAAAAGAAAGAAAGAAAGAAAGAAAGAGAAAGAAAGAAAGGGAAAGAAAGGGAAAGAAAGAGAAAGAAAGAAAGAAAGAAAGAAAGAAAGAAAAAGAAAGAAAGGAAGGAAGGAAGGAAGGAAGGAAGGAAGGAAGGAAAGAAGGAGAAAAGAAAACAAAAGAAAATCGAAATTATACCAAGTACTCTCTCAGACTACAGTGGAACAAAATTGGAAATCAACTCCAAAAAGAACCCTCAAAACCATGCAAATACATGGAAATTAAATAATCTGCTCCTAAATGATCTTTGAGTCAACAATGAAATCAAGATGGAAATTAAAATGTTCTTTGAACTGAACAATAATAGTGACACAACCTATCAAAACCTCTGGGACATGGCAAAAGTGGTGCTAAGAGGAAAGTTCATAGCATTAAATGCCTACATCAAAAAGTCAGAAAAAGCACAAATAGATAAGCTAAGGTCACACCTCAAGGAACTACAGAAACAAGAACAAACCAAACCCAAACCCAGCAGAAGAAAAGAAGTAAGAAAGATCAGAGCAGAACTAAATAAAATTTTAACAAAAAAATACAAAAGATAAATGAAACAAAAAGCTGGTTCTTTGAAAAGATAAACAAAATTGATAGACCATTAATGAGATTCACCGAGAAAAGAAGACAGAAGATCCAAATAAGCTCAATTGGAAATGAAAAGGGAGATATTACAACTGATACCACAAAAATACAAAAGATCATTCAAGGCTACTATGAACACCTTTACATGCACAAACTAGAAAACTTAGAGGAAATGGATAAATACCTGGAAACATACAACCCTTCTAGATTAAACCAGGAAGAAATATAAACTCTGAATAGACTGATAACAAGCAGTGAGATTGAAATGAAAATAAAAAATTGCCAACAAAAAAAAGTAGAGGACCAAATGCATTCACAGCTGAATTCGATCAGACAGTCAAAGAATTGGTACCAATCCTACTGAAACTATTGCAAAAGATAGAGTAAAGGAAATCCTCCCTAAATCATTCTATGAAGCCAGTATCACCCTAATACCAAAACCAGGAGAGGACATAACCAAAAAAGAAAACTACAGACCAATATCCCTGATGAACATAGATGCAAAAATTCTTGACAAAATACTAGCTAACCAAATCCAACAGCATATCAAAAAGATAATCCACCATGATCAAGTGGGTTTTATACCAGGAATGCAGGGATAGTTTAATATATACAAGTCAATAAATGTAATACACATAAAGAGAATTAAAAACAAAAATCACATGATCATCTCAATAAACACAGAAAAAGCATTTGACAAAATCCAGCATCCCTTTATTATTAAAACCTCAGCACAATCGGCATACAAGGGACATACCTTAGTGTAATAAAAGTCATCTATGACAAACCCACAGCCCACATTACACTGAATGGGGAAAAGTTGAAAGCATTCTCTCTGAGAACTGGAACAAGGCAAGGATGCTCACTTTCACCACTTCTATTCAACATAGTACTTGAAGTCCTAGCCAGAGCAATCAGACAAGAGAAAGAAATAAAGGACATCCAAATTGATAAAAAGGAAGTCAAACTGTCACTGTTCACTGATGATATGATCCTATACTTAGAAAACCCTAAAGATTCCTCCAGAAAGCTTCTAGATCTGATAAATGAATTCAGTAAAGTTTCAGGATACAAAAGCAACATACACAAATCAGTAGCCCTACTATACACCAACAGTAACCAAGCTGAGAATCAAATCAAGAACTCAACCCCTTTTACAATAGCTGCAAAAAATTATATATATATAATTTTTATATATAAATTATATTTTATAATTATATTTTATATTTAATTATAATTATATTTTATATAATTATATTTTATAATTATATTATATTATGTTTTATATAATACAAAAACGAAGAGGAAACTTAATTAAACTAAAAAAACTTCTGCACAGCAAAAGAAATAAGCAAAAGAGTAAACAGACGACCCACATAGTGGGAGAAAATACCTGCAAACTATGCATCTGACAAAGAACTAATATCCAAAATTTACAAGGAATTCAAACAAATCAGCAGGAAAAAAAAACAACAAATAATCCCACCAAAAAGTGGGCTAAGGACAGGAATAGACAATTCTCAAAAGAAGATATACCAATGGCAAACAAACATATGAAAAAAAATGCTCAACGTCACTAATTATCAGGAAAATGCAAATCAAAACCACAATGCAATACCACTTTACTCCTGGAAGAATGACCATAATTTAAAAATCAAAAAATAATAGATGTTGGCATGGATGTGTTGAAAAGGCAACACTTTTACACTGTTGGTAGGAATGTAAACTAGTACAACAATCATGGAAAACATTGTCAAGATTCCCTAAAGAACTAAAAGTAGATCTACCATTTGATCCAGCAATCTCACCCAGAGGAAAAGAAGTCACTCTATGAAAAGGCACTTGCACATGCATGTTTATATCAGCACAATTCACAATTGAAAAAATATGAAACCAGCCCAAATGCCCATCAATCAACAAGTAAATAAAGAATACACACACACACACACACACACACACACACACACACACACCACGGAATACTACTCAGCCATAAAAAGGAACAAAATAATGGCATTTTCAGCAACCTGGACGGAGTTGGAGACCATTATTCTAAGTGAAGTAACTCAGGAATGGAAAACCAAACATCATATGTTCTCACTTAAAATTGGGAGCTAAGCTATGATGACACAAAGGCATAAGAATGATACAATGGACTTTGGGGACTTAGGGGGAAGGGAGGGAGGGGTGTGAAGCATAAAAGACTACACATTGGGTACAGTGTACACTGCTCGGGTGATGGGTGCACCAGAAGCTTAGAAATCACCACTAAAGAACTTATCTATGTAACCAAACCCCACCTGTAACACCACCTGTTCCCCAAAAACTATTGAAATAAAAATAATAATAAAGAAAAATAATAAGAGGAATTTTGGAAACAGTAAAACACATGAAACAAACAACATGCTAATAAACAATCATTGAGTTAATGAATAAATTAAGAAGAAAAGTTTTTAAATATCTTGAAACAAATGAAAATAGAAATGCAATATATCAAACTTATGGGATAGAGCAAAACACTGCTAAGAGGAAACTTGATAGCAATCAATGCCTACATCCAAAAAATAAATTTCAAGTAAACAATCTAATGATGCATTTCAAGGAACTAGAAAAGTAAAAACAGACCAAAACCATAATTAGTGGAAGGAAAGAAATAATAAAGATCAGAACAGGACTTCACAAAATACAGGCTTAAAGAAAAACCACAAAGCATCAACAAAATAAAAAGTTGGTTTTTTGAAAAGATAAACAAAATTGATAAATCACTAGCTAGACAAACTGAAAAAAAAAAGAGAGAAGACCCAAATAAATAAAGTCAGAAAAGAAAAAGGAAACATTACAACTGATACTTCAGAAATACATGAGGAGTTTAACTTCTGCTGGCCACAGTGGCTCACACCTGTAATCCCAGCATTTTGGGTGGCCAAAGTGGACGGATCACTTGAGGTCAGGAGTTCGAGACCAGCCTGGCCAACATGGTGAAACCCCATCTCTACTAAAAATACAAAAATTAGCCGGGCATCGTGGCGCACATCTGTAGTCCCAGCTACTTGGGAGGCTGAGGCAGGAGAATCGCTTGAACCCAGGAGGTGGAGGTTGCAGTGAGCCAAGATCATGCCACTGCACTCCAGCCTGGGTGACAGAGTGAGATGCTGTCTCAAAAAAAAAAATTGAAAAGTTTCTGCACATCAAAGGAAAACAACCAACAGAGTGAAGAGACAGCCTGCAGAATAGGAGAAAATATTTGTAAAGTATTCATCCAACAAGGGATGAAAATTCAGAATATACAAGGAAATCAAACAACTCAAAAGCAAAAAAAATCAAATAATCCAATTGAAAAGTGGGCAAAAGAACTAAATAGATATTTCTCAAAAGAAGACATACAAATGGCAACAAACATGGAAAAAATGCTCAACATCACTAATGATCAGGTAAATGCAAATCAAAACCACAATGAGATATCATATCACCTCAGAATGGCTATTTTCAAAAAGACAAAAATAACAAATGTTGGCGAGGACATGGAGAGAGGGGAACACTTATACACTGTTGGTGGAAGTATAATTAGTGCAGACATAAAAAACCATGTGGAGGTTTCTCAAAAAACTAAAAATAGAACTACCATATGATTCAGCAACTCCAGATTATTTATCCAAAGGAAACAAAATCAGTATATCAAAAAGATACCTGCACCCCTATGTTTATTGCAGCACTATTCACAATACTCAAGATGGAATCAACTTAAGTTTCCATCAGTGGATGAATGGATAAAGAAAACATGGTATATATACACAATAGAATACTACTCAACCTTAAAAAGAATGAAATCCTGTCATTAGTGGCAACATGGGCAAGCCTACAGCATATTATATCAAGTGACATAAGTCAGGCATAGAACGATAAATACTGCATATTTTCACTCATATGTGAGAGCTAAAAAAAATTTGAGTTCATGGAAGTAGAGAGTAGAATTGTGAGTATTAGAGACTGGGAGGGAGAAGGGAGACTGGGGAGGGTTTGGTTAACAGATACGAAATTACAGCTAGATATGAGGAATGAGTTCTATCATTCTGCAGCACTGTAGAATTAATATGGTTAAACTACAATTTATTGTATATTTTCAAAAAGTCAGAAGAGACTATTTTGAATGTTTACAACACAAATTTATTTTAAGGTGATGAATATGTTAATCACCCTGATTTGATCATTATACATTGTATACATGTATCATAATATCCGTCTGTATCCCATAAATATGTATAATTATTACCTGTCAACTAAAAATAAAAGGAAAAATGTGTTGAAACATATATGTATATACACATATATTTTGTCATGTTATAAAAACTTTTTCTGCTTTGTCATTGTCCGAAAATTTTGATACAGTGGTTTAAAATTTTGTAATATAATCAAATCTATCCATATTATTAACTATGACTTTTGGCTTTGATGTCATGCCATAATTTAAATAGTTCTCTACCATTAGATATTTTAGTTATTTCCAATTTTCCCCTATTATAAATAAGGCTATAATAAATACTACTGTGCCCAAAAAAAGAATATTACCGACCAATATCCCTTACAAATATATATGCACAAGTACTCAATAAAATATTAGCAAACTGAATCCAACATCATATTAAAAGGACTATACACCATATCCAAGTGGAATTTATCCCAGGAATGCAAGGGAGGTTGAACATAAGAAAATCAAACAATATAATACACTACATTAATAGAACAAAGTCAAAGAAACACATATGATCATCCCAAGTGATACAGAAAAGCTCTTTGACAAAATCCAACACCCTATCATGATAAAAACTCTCAGAAAAGTAGGGATAGAAGAGCGCTTCCTCTACATGATAAATGGCATTTATTAAAAAAAAAAAAAAACAAAACAAAACCAGAGCTAACATCAGACTGACTCAATGGTGAGAGACTGAAAGCTTTCTTCCTAAAATAAGGAACAAGACAAGAATGCCCTCTCTCACCACTGCTGTTCAATGTTGTACTGAAGTTCTAGTCAGAGCAATCTGACAAGAACAATAAATAAAAGGCATCCAAATTGGAAAGTGTTATGGGCTCAATTTTGTCCCCCCAAAATGCATATATTGAGGTCCCAAACCCCAGTACCTTAGAATATAGCTGAATTTGTAGATAGGGTCATTAAAGAGGTAATTAAGTTAAAATGAGCTCACTAAGATGGGCTCTAATTCAATATGACTGGTTTAAGTATTTACTATAGCCTTACCTATAATAAGGGAAAATTGGAAATAACCAAAATATCTAATGGTAGAGAACTACTTTCATTATGGCATGATATCAAAGCCAAAGCTCTTATGAAGAGATTAGAACACAGATATACACAGAAAAGAGACCATGTAAAGACACACGGAGACACATCTACAAGCCAAAGAGAGAAGCCTCAGAAGAAATCATTCCTGCCAGGTGCGGTGGCTCATGCCTGTAATCCCAGCACTTTGGGAGGCCGAGGCAGGCGGATCACCTGAGGTCAGGAGTTTGAGACCAGCCTGACTAACATGGTGAAACCCCGTCTCTACTAAAAATACAAAAAAAAATAGCCAGGTGTAGTGGTGGGTGCCTGTAATCCCAGCTACTTGGGAGGCTGAGGCAGGAGAATCGCTTGAACCCGGGAGACGGAGGTTGCAGTGAGCCGAGATCACGCCATTGCACTCCAACCTGGACAAAACAGCGAGACTCTGTCTCAAAAAAAAAAAAAAAAAGAAAAAGAAAAAAAAAAGAAATCATTCCTGCTAACTCCTTGATCTCAGACTTCAAGCCTCAAGAATTGTGAGAAAATAAATGTCTGTTGTTTAAGCCACCCAGCCTATGGTACTTTGTTATAGCTGCCCTAGCAAACTAATACAGAAAGATGTAAAACTATCTCTATTCACAGATGACATGATCCTCTATATAGAATATCCTGTCTGGATGCAGTGGCTTATGCCTGCACCCAGCCAGGATAATAATCCCAGCACTTAGGGAGGCCGAGGCGGGTGAATTGCTTGAGCCAAGGAGTTTGAGAACAGCCTGGGCAACACTGCAAAACCCCGTCTCTCCAAAAACTACAAAAATTAGTCAGGCATGGTGGCACATGCCTGTGATCCCGGCTACTCAGAGGGCTGAGGGAGGAAGATCACTTGAGCCCGAGAAGTCGAGGCTGCAGTGAGCTGAGCTCACGCCACTGCAGTCCAGCCAGGGTGACAGAGTGAGACCCTGTCTCAAGGGAAAAAAAAAAAATCCCAAAGAATCCACAAGAAAGCTACAAGAGTATATAAACAAATTCAGCAAAGTTACAGAGTATAAGATCAACATACAAAAAATTAGTTGTGTTTCTATATACCTGCAATGAACAATCCAAAATGGAAATTAAAAAAATAATTCAATTTACAACACCATCTAAAAGAATAAAATAACCAAGAATAAATTTGGCCAAAAATGTGAAAGGCTTGTACACTGAAAACTACAAAACATTCCTGAAAAAAATGAAAAGACAAGTCCCATGTTAATGGGTAGGAAGATTTAATATTGTTAATACATCAATACTATCCAAAAGGATGTACAGATATAAAACAATCCCTATCAAAATTTCAACACCTGGCCAGGCACAGTGGCGCGCGCCTGTAGTCCTAGCACTTTGGGAGACCGAGGCAGGCGGATCACAAGGTCAGGAATTCAAGACCAGCCTGACCAACATGGTGAAACCCCATCTCTACTAAAAATACAAAAATTAGCCGGGTGTAGTGGCACATGCCTATAATCCCAGCTACTCAGGAGGCTGAGGCAGGAGAATCATTTAAACCTGGAAACAAGAGGTTGCAGTGAGCTGAGATCATGCCACTGCACTCTAGCCTGGGCGACAGAGTGAGACTCCGTCTCAAAGGAAAAAAAAACATATTTCAACATCCTTTTTTTGCAGAAATGGAAAAGCCAATCTTCAAATTCATATGGAATTGCAAGGGGCCCTTAATAGTCAAAATGATCTTAAAAAAGAACAACAACATTGGAGGACTCATACTTCCTGATTTCAAAACTTACTACTAAAGTGATCCAAACAGTGTGGTACTAGTATAAAGATAGACATATAGACCATTGGAATAGAATTGAGAGTTCAAAAACAAACCCATACACCTATGACCAATTGATTGTTGACAAAGGTGACAAGTCCATTAAATAGGGTAAGAACAGTCTCTTCAACAAATGGTGCTGGGACAACTGAATTTCCACATGCAAAAGAATGAAGTCAGACCCCCTACCTCACATCATATACAAAAATTAACTCAAAATTGATCAATGACCTAAATGTAAGAGTTAAAACCATAAAACCCTTAGGAAAATATATATGGGTAAATCTTCCTAACACTGGACTTGGCAATGGTTTCTAGAATATACCAAAACATATGAAACAGCAACAAAAGAAAAAAATAGATTAGATTTCATCAGTTTACAAATTTCATGCATGAAAGGGCATTACCAAGAAAGTGAAAAGACAACCTCACAGAATGGAAGAAAATATTTATAAATTATATATCTGATAAGTGTTTAATATTCATAATATTTAAAAACTCATGCAACTCGGCCGGGTGCAGTGGCTTATGCCTGTACTCCCAGCACCCTGGGAGGCCGAGGCAGGCGGATCACCTGAGGTCAGGAGTTCAAGAACAGCCTGGCCAACATAGTGAAACCCCATCTCTACTAAAAATACAAAAATTAGCCGGGCATGGTGGCACGTGCCTGTAGTCCCAGCTACTTAGGAGGCTGAGGCAGGAGAATCGCTTGAACCCAGGAGGCAGAGGTTGCAGCATGCCAAGATCATGCCAGTGCCCTCCAGCCTGGGCGACGGAGCAAGACTCCGTCTCCAAAAAAAAAAAAAAAAAAAAAAAAAAAATTCCTGCAACTCAACAAAAAGACAACCCAATTTTAAAAGGAGAAAAGGACTTAGATATTTCTCAACAAAAAGACATACAAATAAACAATAAGCAAGTGAAAAAATGCTCAACATTATTAGTCATTAGAGAAATGCAAATCCAAACCAAATCACTACGTATCTATTAAAATTGGTATAATTTTTTTAAGAGACAGGGTGCCACTCTGTCAAATATAAGCACTCTAAAAGTAAAGTGGAATAAAAATCTCCTTGTGTGCTTTGTATGTTGAAATTAGGGAAGTAAAGTATAAATGTATGTGTGCCACAAGAGAAACTGCTGAAAAAGGAACCAGATAAGAATACAATAATTCTTTACATGGTTCCTATCATTTTACACCAAGGAAGATAACTGGTGTGCATGTGATGAAAACTGAGATGTGGATGGAAATCCAAAGATGACTTTCCTACAATTATTTATTTATTTTTATTGAGAGAGGGCCTCTCTCTGTTGCCCAGGCTGGAGTGCAGTGGGGTGAGCACAACTCACTGCAGCCTCAACCTCCTGGGTTCAAGCGATTCTCCCTCCTCAGCCTTCCAAGTAGCTGGGACTATGGGTGCAGGCCATCATGCCCGGCTCATTTTTGTAATTTTTGTACAGATGGGATTTTGCCATGTTGCTCAGGCTGTGTGTTCCAATTACTAGTGATGTGTAACAAAATACCCCAAAACTTAGTGGCTTAAAACAATCATTTTATTTTTCTCACAATTTTTGAGTCAGGAATTTGGGAAGGGCTCAGCTGGAAAATGTTCTCTTTGGGTCTTTCTTGCAGTTGTAGTTAGATGTCAGCTTGGGCTGCAGTCATCTGAAAACTTTACTGGATGTCCAAGAAGGCTCACTCAAATGGCTTATAGTCGATACTGCTTGTCAGCTAAGAGCTCAACTGAGCTGTTGACCAGAGTTTCTACATTTGGTCTCTACAGCATGACTGTCTCAGTTGGACTTCTTACATGGCAGCTCAGGGCTACAAGTATAAGTGTTCCAATTAATCAGGCAAAAGCTGCATCATTTTATATGACTTAGCCTAAAAGGTCACACAGCCATCATTTCTGCTATATGCTAATGACTGATAAATTCACAAGCCCACTCATATTCAAAGAGAGGAGAACTTGACTTCACCTCTTAATGGGGAAATGGTAAGGTCTCATTGTATTAAAGTATGTGGGATGAGTGAGATTGCTGCAGCCATTTATGAAAAAGATAACCTGTCATTGTGTAGCGATCTGTTTCCTGCCAGGACTCTGACTAATAAAGTTTTTCTCCCAGAAAAGTTTTTCTTGATCTTTAAAAGAAACATAGAAAAAGGAAGGTCCACTTTATGCTTTGGACACAGCTTTCTTCATGTGTTGTCTGGAGCTGTGACAGCCATTGTGAAACCATGAGGAAGCTCACCTACAAAAAAGGCAGACAGGCTTTTAACCAAAAGACAGGCAATAACAAGTGCTGGAGAGGATATGGAGAAAAGGGAACCTCACACGCTATTGGTGGGAATGTAAATTAGTACAACCACTATGGATAACAGTTTGGAAGTTCCTTTAAAAACTAAAAATAGAGCTACCATATGATCCAGCAATCCCGCTGCTGGGCATGTACTTAAAAAAAAGGAAATCATTATAAGGAAGAGATATCTGCACTCCCATGTCTGTTGCAGCACTGTTCATAATAGCCAAGATTTGGAAGCAGCTTAAGTGTCCATCAACAGATGAATGGATAAAGAAAAATGTGGTACATATACACAACGGAGTACTATTTGGCCATAAAAAAGAATGAGAACCAGTCCATTTGCAACAACATGGAACTGGAGGCCATTATGTTAAGTGAAATAAGTCAGGCACAGAAAGACAAACATTGCATGTTCTCACTTATTTGTGGGAGCTAAAAATTAAAACAACTGAACCCACGGGGATAGAGAGTATAAGGATGGTTACCAGAAGCTGGGAAGGGTAATGGGGGTGCGGGGGTGGTGAGAGAGAAGTTGGGGTGGTTAATGGGTACAAAATAAAAATAGAAAGAATGAATAAGATCTAGAATTTGATAGCACACCAGGGTAACTATGGTCTATAATAATTTAATTGCACATTTTAAAATAACCGAAAGAGTATAATTGTATTGTTTGTAACACAAAGGATAAATGCTTGAATGGATGGATACCCCATTTTCCATGATGTGATTATTACACATTGCATGCCTGTATCAGCAAATTTCATGTACCCCATTATTATATACACCTACTATGTACCCACAAAAAATAAAAACAAATAAATAAATAAAACAGGCAGACATATTTCAAATAGCCAAGTGGAAAGGTGGAAAAAACCTGGGGCCTTAATGTTTCTGCTAGTGAACAGCACCCCAAAAAATCTAACTTCTTTGTACCAGTGCCTGGTTCACTATAATCTGCATCATCCTCTAGCAATGCTAATGGTTGCCTCAGTCTTTCTGTGGACTTCCCAGATTGTAATTGGCACCAGGTAACATCCATATCCCTAGATCTGTTTCCCACCTAACTCCATCCCCATATCATATCTCTACCTCAGGAAACAAAACATCCTCAATCGAGGGTATAGAAGTATGTAAAACAGGCTGGGCACAGTGGCTCACATCCGTAATCCCAGCATTTTGGAAGGCCGAGGCAAGAGGATTGCTTGAGCCCAGGAGTTCAAGACCAGCCTGAGCAATACAGTGAGACCTTGTCTTTAAAAATTAAAAAAAAAAATTGCGCAAAACAGAATGTATAAGCCCCCATCCTCCCTACTCCTGTAACTCCTACTCCCGCAGTTAATGTTTGTACCTATATTTCCAAAAGTTTTTATATATATACAAAAAATAATTATTTACAGAAATGAGATTAATACACTATTGTGAAACTTTCTCTTTCTGCTTAATAAATTGTCATCATCTTTCCATGTCGTGTTAAACAGATACTTTATTATTTTTAAAAGCAGCTTAGTAATCTTTTATGTATATATTGTATATACCATTACTTATTTAATAATTTCATTGTTGATATTTCGATTATTTCCAATTCCTTATTGTGAACAATAATGTAATAAATGTCTTTGTATATATATATACTTGTGTATTTCTGTAGAATAAAATCTAAAAGTGCATCAAAGGGTATACATGCTTAATATTCTGATACATGCTGCCAAATTGCCTCCAAAAGGTTCTGCCAGTTTACACTCCCACCATCTGTGTATGAGTGTCCATTTCCCCTCACTAACCCTAGGTTTTAGCAAATCTGGCAAGTGAAGACTGGTATCATGGTGCTTTAATTTTTATTATAAGTGAGATTGAGCCCCTTCTTAGATATTTATTGCCCATTTGTGGGTTTTTTTTAAAAACAGGGTCTCACTCTGCCACCCAGGCTGGAGTGCAATGGCACAATCATAGCTCACTATGGACTTGAACTCCTGGACTCAAGAGATCCTCCTGACTCAGCCTCCCAAGTAGCTGGGATGATAGGTGTATGTCACCATGTTTGGCAATTTTTTTAAATTTTTTTGCAGAGATGGTGTCTCACTATGTTGCCCAGCCTGGTCTCCAACTCCTGGGCTCCAACTCCTCCTGCCTCAGCCTCTCAAAGCACTGGGATTACAGGTATGAGCCACCATGCCCAGCCCAGTCCATTTGTGTTTCTTCTGGGAATTGTCTATTTGTGTTCTTTATCCATTTTTCTATTGTGATCTAGTGCTTATTTTTGAGCATGGAAGTCATGTGATCAGAACTAGACTCCAAGAAGATCAATCTTACTGTAGGGAAAATGACTAGAGGCAAGATTACCACATCACCTAGAACATGGATCTGTTGAAAAGAGAGAATTCGTAAGACTTCGAAGGAAAGGGCTGACTCTAGGCTGATGCTCAAGTTTCTGTTTGGATAACTGAGCAGACAGAGGGGCTATTTGCTGACTTGGGAAAGCCAGGAGGAGGAGCAAGTTTAGAAGGACTAGGGGGATGAAGATGATAAGCAGAGTTTAATATATGTTGAGTTTCAGATACTTGCAAGACTGCCGGGGCAGATAATCAGGAGGCCTTCAAATATAAATGTCTAGAGCTCAAGAGGGAGGAATGAGCAAAAGGGAAAGATCTAGGAGCCATCAGCATACAGATGATAACTGAAGCCAGCTCCTATATGTGGCCTCTCCAGCATGGGAAAGCCAGGGGAATAAATGAGATTTTTTTTAACTGAGAGCTAAATTTTTTTAAAGTACTCAAATTTAGAGAATAGGAAGGAAAAGAATATATAAAAGAGACTGAGAAAGGCCCATGAAGAAGACTGAAAGAGACCCATTGGAATAGTGGGAGAATCAGTGTCTTAGTCTGTTTGGGCTGCTACAACAAAATACCATAAACTGGATAGCTTATAAATAACAGAAACGTATTTCTTACAGGTCCGAAGGTGTAGAAGTCCAAGATCCAACTGCTGACAATTTCAGTGTCTGGTGAGGGCTCATTCCCCATAGATGGTGATTTCTAGCTGTGTTCTCACACAGTGGAAGGGGCAAACAAGATCCTTCAGGCCTCTTTCATAAAGGTACTAATCCCATTTATGAGGTCTCCTCATTATTTAATCACCTCCCAAAGGCTATACCTCTTAATTCCATCACCTTGGAGGTTAGGTTTCAACATATGAATTTGCGGGAAGGGAGTACACATTCAGACCCCAGCAACCAGAGAAGTTTCTGAAAGCCAGAGTAAGTTTCTAGCGGGGGGAAAATTGTCAACAGAGATAAATGTGGTGACAAATTAAGGAGAGAGAAAACACAGCTAAAAGCCACTGAATTTAACAAGTAAGAGATAGTTGGTTGATGGTGGTAGATGCAATTATAGTAGAGGGCAGAGGGAAAAGCCAAATCACAGTGGGTTGATGAGTGGGTAAAAGGTGAGGAAACGTAAGTGTGAACAACTCATTCAAGAAATTGTTTTGTGTGAAGGAGAAGGCTTATGGGGAAGTAGCCAAAGGGATGTGGGTTTCCTTTTTCCAATGGAAAAATATTGAACATCCTCCAATGCTAATAGAAGGTAAGTTGAAACTTCTGAAAAGAAAGGGATAATTGGTGAAGTAGCTAAAGAAACAGAAGAGGATGGGATCCAGGCACAAGCACAGAAGTTTTCTCTTTCCCCAGATTCTTGGCACATGGACTTGAAATCTAAAGAACAGCCTCCTTCTTGGTTAAGAATGACCTTTTCCTTTTCCCACACAAATAACAAGCCAGTTTAAGTAGTGGACCAGTTAGCCAGTTGCTTCCCACTACACAAAAGGAAACAATATCATGGGATTAAATCTATGCTAATTAACTCAGATTTCTATAAGAAACTTCTCAACTAACTGGTGAAGCAAAAATTGGTCCCATCCTCTCTACCAAAGTTAACTGACATGGAAATAAACACAATAGTAACAAACCCCTTACAAGCTCATACTATTTATGGAATATTTTTGCAATTGTGCACATTCATACCCCCCAGGCCCTGAGGCTAACACTATCCAGTTGACTTGGGGAGAAGGAGCCAGGGTCAGCAGTAGCCTTACTCTCAAAGCCTAAAACTGAAAAATGCACAGTGTAAGGCTGTCTACAACAAGTCATCCAGTTTATTATCAAAATAAAAATATTTTAATGTGCCTGTTAAGGAGTTGTTAGGTTCAGGGGGGGAAAAAACTAAAACGGGAACAAAAACTACTTAAAAGTAGAAATAATTTTGCCAAAAGACTTTTCAAATATATTTAAACAAGACTTCCTGTCTCTATCCATGGGCAGTTAGTTACTTTTCCCCTTAGTGAGTGTGAGTGACTAACACACTCCAATTACAAGAAATGGAAAAACCATGAAATGAAAGGCAATTCCAAATAAGTTAAAATATTATGCTAAGTTTGGTGCATATAATATGTTCCTTATTTTGAACATCCAGAAAGGTATGCAATTTTTATTAAAAAAAAATTGGTTTTTCCTTTCTCCTGCCAAATAAATGCTGAACAAATATTTAAAGAATATCAGTTTGAAGAAGAACCCTTTCTGTAGCCTGCTTGTGGCGCCCATATGGCGGGCACTGCCCTTGCCAGGCCTTCTCACTGTGCCCAGAGAACACTGAACCTCTTATTCACCACCTCTTGCCTATCCAGCCATATCATTCAATGAGTTCCTCCAGCTCTGTGCTAGATACCACAAGAGAGACAAACTGAAACCATGATAATATTAAAATCACAGGAGAGTTGATTAGTTTCAAAGTGATGACATCCGTGAAACAGCTAACAGACTGCCTGGCACATAACAAATGCTTACTGGAAATATTTTACTTTTTCAGTTACATTTCCCAGGTTTCAGAAAAGCTGTTGACACAGGCTTCTCCTGGGATTCAGAAGTACTGGCTTCTGGGAGTGGTGGTGGGCGCCTGTAATCCCAGCTACTCGGGAGGCTGAGGCAGGAGAATCGCTTGAACCCGGGAGGCAGAGATTGCAGTGAGCTGAGATCACGCCACAGCACTCCAGCCTGGGCAACAGAGTGAGACTCTGTCTTAGGGAAAAAAAAAAAAAAGCAAGTACTGGCTTCTGGGAAAATTCCCTTCATCTGTTTTCGAAGGTAAAGAAAATGCACAGACTAGATGAAAAGCAGAGGTGGAAATACTTAGTAGAGATAAAGGGGAAGACTTCGTCTCCAGTTAACTCCATTAACATCTCCAGCCTTTTATTGGGTTTTTAAAAATTTTTTATTGTAAAGTATACATATAAGGTGCTGTGAAAAACAGTTTGACAGTTACTCTAAAAGTTAAACATGGAGTTGCCATATGACCCAGCAATTCCACTCCTAGGTATTTACCCAAAAGAAATGAAAACTAGTACGCAAATACATGTACCTGTATGTTCATAGCAACACTATTCACAATAGCTAAAAGGTGGAAAGAGCCCAAATGTCCATCAACATATGAATGGAGAAACAAATTGTGGTATTTACTTACAATGAAATATTATTCAGCCATGAAAAGGAATGAAAAACTGATACATGCTACAACATGGATGAGCCACAAAATCATTATGCTAAGTGAAAGAAGCTAAACACAAAAGGTCACATATTTAATGATTCTATTTAATATGAGGTATTCAGAACAGATAAATGCATAGAAAAAGAATGTAGATTGGTAGTTTCCAGATGCTGTGGAAGTGAGAAATGGGAATTGATTTCTTGATGGTAATAGGGTTTTCTTTTGGGGTGATGAGAATGTTGTGAAACTAGATAGATGGAGTAGTCGCACAGTAATGCCACTGAAGAGGACACTTTAAACTAGTTTCAGGTGTTTGGCAATCATGGCGGACGGAGGGCAAGATTAGATTGCAGCTCTGGACAGAGCAGTTGGTGGAAGCTCACGTTGTAAATTTCAGCTCCAGATCAACTGCAAGAATCCCAAGCAATCCCAAGAGGACCCAAAGACCCTCTGAAGGAAGCAGACTGCACCTGCAGGACCCAGGAGACGCCCCAAATACTGTGAGCGCCCGAACAGCGGAAATGGGAAAGGGAGACCCTCCTCTCCTGAACACACACTCCCATTGGAGAAGCTGAAGTTCTGTTTGCAGGACAAGTTTCTGACTTTACCTGGAGTTGAGTCAATTTAGAGAGCCGAGCGAAATATAGGGGTAGAGGAAGCAGCAGAAAGGCCCGGGGAGCTGGCTGCGTCCCCTCACAGGCTATTCCTGCCTGGCACCACAGGGATCCAGCGGGATGATGACCAGAGGAGCAGGGGGTAAAGCTCCACAGGGAGAAGGAAATCTCTAGATGAACTTTGTAACAATTTGAACAGGCAAGAAGCCTCCTGATCAGAACTCAGGGGAGGGCGCAAATCCGGTGTGCAGACTCCACAAGCAGGGGAAGAACCAAGCCCTTTTCTATCACAGCTGGAAGGTGAGTAGCCGGGGGCAAGTTTTCAAGCCTGTCATGTCCTCCGCCTGGAAACAGACTTGGGGCTGTTGTGGGGGCACAGTGGGTATGAGACAGGCCCTTCGTTTGCTGGGAGCTGGGTGAGATCTGCGACTGCTGGCCTTCCCTCACTTCCCTGACAACCTGCATGACTCAGTTGAGGCAGCCATAATTCTCCTAGGTAATCAACTCCAGTGATCTGGGAATCTCACCCCCACCCTCCACAGACCCACAGCAAGGCCCACCCAAGGAGAGTGTGAGCTCAGACACACCTAGCCCCACTCCCACCTGATGGTCTTTCCCTATCCACCCTGGTAGTGGAAGACAAAGGTTATATAATCTTGGGAGTTTTAGGGCCCCACCCACTGCCGGTCCCTTTCTATATTACTATAGCAGATGCTTTCTGGAAACCACCACCTCCTGACAGGAGGTCAACCAGCACAAAAAAAGAGCATTAAACCAACAAAGCTAAGAATCCTCACAGAATCTATTGCACACCCCCCACCCTGCCCCTGCCACCTCCACAGGAACAGGCGCTGGTATACACAGCTGAGAGACCCACAGATGGTTCATGTTCACATGATATGACTCTGCGGACAACCCCCAGTACCAGCCGGGAGCCAGGTAGACTCGCTGGGTAGCTAGACCCAGAAGACAGACAACAATCACTGCATTTCGACTCATAGGAAGCCACATCCATAGGAAAAGGGGGAGACTACTACATCAAGGGAACATCCCTTCAGCCTTAGACCTTCCCTCTAACAGAGCCTACCCAAATGAGAAGGAACCAGAAAACCAACCCTGGTAATATGACACAACAAGGTGCTTCAACACCCCCCAAAAAATCACACTAGTTCACCAGCAATGGATCCAAACCAAGAAGAAGTCCCTGATTTATCTGAAAAAGAGTTCAGGAGGTTAGTTATTAAGCTAATCAAGGAGGGACCAGAGAAAGACGAAACCCAATGCAAGGAAATCCAAAAACATGATACAAGAATTGAAGAGAGAAATATTCAAAGAAATAGATAGCTTAAACACAAAACAGTCAAAAATTCAGGAAACTGTGGACACAATTTTAGAAATGCAAAATGCTCTGCGAAAGTCTCAGCAATAGAACCGGACAAGTAGAAGAGAGAAATTCAGAGCTCAAAGACAAGGTCTTCGAATTAACCTAATCCAACAAAGACAAAGAAAAAAGAGTAAGGAAATATGAACAAAGTCTCCAAGGAGTCTGGGATTATGTTAAACAACCAAACATAAGAATAATCAGTGTTCCTAAGAAAGAAGAGAACCGTAAAAGCTTGGAAAACATATTCAGTAGAATAATCAAGAAAAACTTCCCTGGCCTTGCTAGAGACCCAGACATCCAAATACAAGAAGCACAAAGAATACCTGGAAAATTCATCGCAAAAAGATCTTCGCCTAGCCACATTATCATAAGGTTATCCGAAGTTAAGACGAAAGAAAGAATTTTAAGAGCTGCGAGACAAAAGCACCAGGTAACCTATAATGGAAAACTTAGCAGATTAACAGCAGATTTCTCAGCAGAAACCCTACAAGCTAGAAGGGATTGGGGCCCTATCTTCAGCCTCCTCAAACAAAACAATTATCAGCCAAGAATTTTGTATCCAGCAAAACTAAGCATCATATATGAAGGAAAGATACAGTCATTTTCAGATAAACAAATGCTGAGAGAATTCACCATTACCAAGCCACCACTACAGGAATTGCTAAAAGGAACTCTAAATCTTGAAACAAATCCTGGGAACACATCAAAACAGAACCTCTTTAAAGCATAAATCACACAGGACCTATAAAAGAAAAATACATGTTAAAAAGCAAAAACAAAAAACAAAAAAATCAAAGTACATGGGCAACAAAAAGCATGATGAAAGTAACAGTACCTCACATTTCAATACTAACATTGAATGTAAATGGCCTAAACGCTCCACTTAAAAGATGCAGAATGGATAAGAACTCACCAACCATCTGCTGCCTTCAGGAGACTCACCTAACACATAAGGACTAACATAAAGTAAAGGGGTGGGAAAAGGCATTTCATGCAAATGGACACCAAAAGCAAGCAGGGGTAGCTATTCTTATAACAGACAAAACAAATTTTAAAGCAACAGCAGCTAGAAGAGACAAAGAGGGACATTATATAATGGTAAAAGGCCTTGTCCAACAGGAAAATATCACAATCCTAAACATATATGCACCTAACACTGGAGACCCCAAATTTATAAAACAATTACTAATAGACCTAAGAAATGAGATAGACAGCAACAAATAATAGTGGGGGACTTCAGTATTCCACTGACAGCATTAGACAGGTCATCAAGACAGAAAGTGAACAAAGAAACAATGGATTTAAACTACACCTTGGAACAAATTGACTTAACAGATATATACAGAACATTTCGTCCAACAACCACAGAATACACATTCTATTCAACAGCACATGGAACTTTCTCCAAGGTAGACCATACGATAGGCCATAAAATTAGCCTCAGTAAATTTAAGAAAATTGAAATTCTGTCAAGCACTCCCTCAGACCACACACAGTGGAATAAGACTGGAAATCAACTCCAAAAGGAAACTTCAGAATTATATCAAGCACTCTCTCAGACCACAGTGGAATGAAACTGGAAATCAACTCCAAAAGGAACTTTTAGAACCATGCAAATAAATGAAAATTAAATAATCTGCTCCTGAATGAGCATTGGGTCAAAAATGAAATCAAGAAGGAAATTTAAAAATTCTTTGAACTGAGAGAATAATGACACAACCTATCAAAACCTTGGGGATACAGCAAAGGCAACGCTAAGAGGAAAGTTTATAGTCCTAAGTGCCTACATCAAAAAGACTGATAGAGCACAAACTGACATTCTAAGTTCACACCTCAAGGAACTAGAGAAACAAGAATAAGCCAAACCCAAACCCAACAGAAGAAAGGAAATTACCAAGATCAGAGCAGAACTAAATGAAATTGAAACAAACAAAAAATACAAAAGATAAATAAAACAAAAATCTGGTTCCTTGAAAAGGTAAATAAAATGGATAGACCATTAGCAAGATTAACCAAGAAAAGAAGAGAGAAAACCCAAATAACCTCACTAAGAAATGAAACAGGAGATATTACAACTGACACCACTGAAATACAAAAGATCATTCAAGGGTACTATGAACACACCTTTATGCAAATAAAGTAGAAAACCTAGAAGAGGTGGATAAATTCCTGGAAAAATACAACCCTCCTAGCTTAAATCAGGAAGAATTAGATACCCTGAACAGACCAATAACAAGCAGCGAGGCTGAAATGGTAATTTAAAAATTACCAACAAAAAAAAAGTCCAAGACCAGACAGATTCACAGCAGAATTCTACCAAACATTCAAAGAAGTGGTACCAATCCTTTTGACACTATTCCACAAGACAGAGAAAAAAGGAACTCTCCCTAATTCATTTTATGAAGCCAGCATCACCCCAATACCAAAACCAGGAAAGGATATAACCAAAAAAGAAAACTACAGACCAATATCCTTGATGAACATAGATGCTAAAATCCTTAACAAGCTACTAGCTAACAGAATCCAACAACATATCAAAAAGATAATCCAGCATGATCAAGTGGGTTTCATACCAGGGATGGAGGTGTGATTTAACATACACAAGTCAATAAATGTGATACACCACACGAACAGAATTAAAACAAAAATCACATGATCACCTCAATAGATGCAGAAAAAGCATTCAACAAAATCCAGCATCACTTTGATTAAAACTCTCAGCAAAATCGGCATACAAGGGACATACCTTAGTGTAATAAAAGCCATCTATGACAAACCCACAGCCAACATAATACTGAATGGGGAAAAGTTGAAAGCATTCCCTCTGAGAACTGGAAAAAGACAAGGATACCCACTCTCACCACTCCTCTTCAATATAGTGCTAGAAGTCCTAGCCAGAGCAATCAGACAAGAAAAAGAAATAAAAGGCATCCAAATTGCTAAAGAGGAAGTCAAACTGTCACTGTTTGCTGACGATATGATCGTTTACCTTGAAAACCCTAAGGACTCCTCCAGAAAGCTCCTAGAACTGATAAAAAAAACTCAGCCAAGTTTCTGGATACAAATTAATGTACACAAATCAATAGCTCTGCTATATACCAAGAGCGACCAAGCAGAGAATCAAATCAAGAACTTAACCCCTTTTACAACAGCTACAAAAATAAAATAAAATACTTAGGAATATACCTAACCAAGGATGTGAAAGACCTCTACGAGGAAAACTACAAAACACTGCTGAAAGAAATCACAGATGACACAAACAAATGGAAACACATCCCATGCTCATGGATGTGTAGAATAAATATTGTGAAAATGACCATACTGCCAAAAGCAATCTACAAATTCAACACAATCCCATCAAAATACCACCATCATTCCACACAGAATTAGAAAAAACAATGCTAAAATTGATATGGAAACAAAAAAGAGCCCACATAGCCAAAGCAAGACTAAGCAAAAAGAACAATTGTGGAGGCATCACACGACCTGATTTTAAACTATACTATAAGGCCATAGTCACCAAAACAGTGTGGTACTGGTATAAAAATAGGCACATAGATCAATGGAACAGAATAGAGAACCCAGAAATAAACCCAAATACTTACAGCCAACTGATCTTCAACAAAGCAAACAAAAACATAAAGCAGGGAAAGGACAGCCTATTCAACAAATCGTGCTGGAATAATTGGCTAGCCACATGTAGGAGAATGAAACTGGATCCTCATCTCTCACCTTATACAAAAATCAACTCGAGATAAATTAAGGACTTAAACCTAAGACCTGAAACTATAAAAATTCTAGAAGATAACATCGGAAAAACCCTTCTAGACATTGGCTTAGGCAAGGATTTCATGGACAAGAATCCAAAAGCAAATGCAATACAAACAGAGATGAATAGCTGGGACCTAATTAAACTAAAGAGCTTTGCAAGGCAAAAGGAACAGTCAGCAGAGTAAACAGACAACCCACAGAGTGGGAGAAAATTTATACAATGTATACATCTGACAAAGGACTAATATCCAGAATCTACAAAACTCAAATCAGTAAGAAAAAAACAAATAATCCATCAAAACATGGGATAAGGACATGAATAGACAATTCTCAAAAGAAGATATACAAACGGCCAACAAACACATGAAAAAAATGCTCAACATCACTAATGATCAGGGAAATGCAAATCAAAACCACAATGAGATACTGCCTTACTCCTGCAAGAATGGCCATAATCAAAATATCAAAAAACAGTAGATATTGGTGTGGATGCAGCGAACAGGGAACACTTCTACACTGCTGATGGGAATGTAAACTAGTACAGCCACTATGGAAAACAGTGTGGAGATTCCTTAAAGAACTAAAAGTAGAACTACCATTTGATCCAGCAATCCCACTACTGGGTATCTACCCAAAGGAAAAGAAGTCATTATTCAAAAAAGATACTTGCACACGCGTTTACAGCAGCAAAATCCACAACTGCAAAATCGTGGAACCAACCCAAATGCCCATCAATAAACGAGTGGATAAAGAAACTGTGGTATATGTATATATGATGGAATACTATGCAGCCATAAAAAGGAATGAATTAACAGTATTTGCAGTGACCTGGATGAGACTGGAGACTATTACTCTAAGTGAGGTAACTCAAGAATGGAAAACCAAGTATCGTATGTTCTCACTGATATGTGGGAGCTAAGCTGTGAGGATGCAAAGGCATAAGAATGATACGATGGACTTTGGGGACTCGGGGGAAAGAGTAGGAGGGGGGCAAGGGATAAAAGACTACAAATATGTTGCAGAGTATACTACTTGGGTGAAGGGTGCACCAGAATCTCACAAATCACCACTAAAGAACTTACTCATGTAACCAAATACCACCTGTACCCCAATAACTTATGGAAAAATAAAAAATAATAAATAAAATTGTTAGTTTTATGGTTATGTGAATTTCACCTCAATAAAAAATTTTAATTTAAAAACTTAAAGTGTCATATATAAAAGCAATTTAAAAATAATGACATGTATCTCCATGTGGAAAGTGTCAGGCAAAAAAAAGAAAAAGTAAAGACATGACTACCCAGGTACATATTACCTTAAAAGCCCTTCCCAATACACACAGCACTCCCCCTATACAAAAACAACCACTACCCTAAATTTTGTAGCTTCTTGTTTCTATTTAATTTGTTAGCTATGTTTGTATCCTTATATATCTTGTTTTGCCTGCTTTTGAATTTTATATCAAAGATTATTTTGTGTTTTCTTTTATGACTTGCTTTTTCAGTTAACATTATGTCTCTGAGCTTCATCCACGTTGGCCCATGTAACAGTAAATTATTCATTTCACTGCTGTATGTGCTTCATTGTCTAAATAAACCACAATTTTATTTATTCATTCTACTTCTGATGTACTTTTATATTGCTTCTAATTTTCTGCTATTACAAACAATGTTACAATAGGCATTTTTATACATGACTCCTCATGTAAATATGTGAGATCCTCTAGAGCTGTGCTATCCAATAAGGTAGCCACCAGCTACATGTGACTTGCATTTATTTATTTATTTATTGGAGCAGACTCATAGATCCCTATTTTATTCAATGGTTATAATCTGTTAACATTTTTATTTATTATGATGATCAAATTGCCTCAGATCTGGCCAGTGCAAACTCCTTCAAGGTGACTCCTATGTCCTTGTGACATGCACCTACCATCTGGAGGACATTTCCTTACTTTCTGCCACCACAAGATGTTCCAGCCTTATAACTTCCCTGATCCAGCCCTGGAATCAGCTATTATTCCAAGGCATTCTGAGTCCTTTTTAGTCAGAAATAATACTTAAAATCCAAGATCTGGGTCCTAGGTGTGCCCCATTGCTACAATAGGGAAATTTTTTCTTTCAATTCAGCAACAAAGTCAAAATGAGCAATTTTTCTTTCTGCCCTTCTGCTTGACAGGGTTTATTTCTCCTTTACCTTTACACTAAGGTGCAGTCTTTAGAAATTTCATTTTTTTTCTGCTCAGGGGTTCTCCTACTACATTTCCGACTTTGGGTAGGTTCCAAGCACAAATAACAGCTGTATGAATTTGCAAATATACAAAAAGAAAGAAAGAGAGAGAGAGAGAGACAAAGAAAGAAAGAAAGAAAGAAAGAAAGAAAGAAAGAAAGAAAGAAAGAAAGAAAGAAGAAAGAAAGAGAAAGAAAGAAAGAAAGAAAGAAAGAAAGAAAGAAAGAAAGAAAGAAAGAAAGAAAGAAAGAAAGAAAGAAAGAAAGGAAAGGAAAGGAAAGAAAGAAAAATCTTCATCACTCAGAACAAGATATATAGAACAGTCAGGCATGGTGACTTACACCTATAATCCCAGCACTTTGGGAGGCGGAGGTCAGAGGATCACTTAAGGCCAGGAGTTCAAGACCAGCCTAGGCAACATAGCAAAACCCCATCTCTACAAAAAATATAAAAATTAGCCAGGCGTGGTGGCATGCACCTGTAGTCCCAGCTACTTGGGAGGCTAAAGTGGAAGGATCACTTGAGCCCAGGAGGCAGAGACTACAGTGAGCCAAGAGCGCACCACTACATTCCATACTGGGAGACAGACTGAGACCCTGCCTCAAAAAAAAAAAAAAAATTGGCCTGGCATAGTGGCACACACCTATAGTCCCAGCTACTTGGGAGGCTAAGGTGGGAGGGTTGTTACAGCCCAGGGGTTTGAGGTTACAGTGAGCTATGATTGCACCACTGCATTCCAGTCTGCAGGGTGAGACCTGGTCTCTTAAAAAAAAGAGAGAGAGAACATTTCTCTCAGAAGTTTCCCTCATGCCCCTTCCCAGTACTACTCCCTAAGTGTAGACACTATCTTGGTTTCTAATACCATAGGTTAGTTTTACCTGTTCTTGAAGTTCATTTAAGTGGAATCAAATAGTATATACTCATCTGTACCTGCCTTCTTTCACCTAGCATGAGGTTTCTGAGGTTCATCCATGTTGTAGCATGTTTCCATCATTTGTCCTCTTTAATTCTCAGTAGAATCTCATTATATGCGTATACTCTACCTTGTTTTGAGGATTTATCTGCTTCTTAATCTAATGGTAGTTCAATAGGGCATTTTAAACTATCTAATTTTCTTTATATTCTATTAAAAATTTTAGTTGTTTAAATCAGAAAGGTCATTCAGGTTATCCTGCTGCCCAAAATGGAAGCCCTCCTGAAATTATTTGATTTAGAAAATTTGTTTTCTCAATTTCTGGTAAAGTGCTGTGCAAATGTACTTTCAAGAACCAATTCACCCAGAATGCCAATGATCAGCCCCTCCTATATAGAAATTTTCCACCAAAAATCAGGATGTAAAACAAAGTGTGAGTGCAAGTCCAAAAGACATTGGTATAGAATCCACTGGCCCAGAAACATGTCCTAAGGGAAGTATAGTATCACTACATATAGTATCAAGAGTTGATCATTAAAGGATTTGGGGAGGTGATCAGGAGCAGAGGAGGCATTGCAGTTAAAGAGAAGAACGCGAGCAAAGACAAAAAGGAATAGCACATTGAGGGGATAATAATAAATAAGTGAAAGATCAGGCCCTAATAAATTATGGAAGTAGCATCTCTCATCACCCAAGATAATTTCATTCACCCCAACACAATGGTTCACCTAAAAAATGTTAGGAATGAAAGGCAGGAATCTGAGTGCCTCATAAGAAATGTTTCTAAGATCAGCACAGTTATCCAGTACAGCACCAAGATTGAGACCGGAGCTGTAATGGGGCCTGAGTCAAGGCCAGTAACAGATTAAGTGAAGATGGGGGGCCGAAGATGGGGCCAAGTTTGGACCTCTTGGAGTGAAATTCGGATCTAGGCTAGATTTGGAGCCAGCAGCAGACTTCGGACTGGAGAAGTGGTCAGGATTTGGTTGGACAAAGGGTCAGGACTTCATTTGTATACAGGACAGAGATTAGGAATGGCTTTTATTTAGAAGAGTTCAAACATGAGTTGAATTTGGGTCTAGGTTAAGTATAAAAAATTAGAATTAGGCTTCAATAAGGGATTTTGACTGTGTCTTTATTTATGTATGCAAATGGAAATTCATGGTTTCCTGTTTTATTCAATGGGTCACACCTGATAGAATCCCTTTCACAGGACCTGGTTTTGGTAGGGGCTAGGAATGAGCAGGAAGCAGCCTTCATCCCTTACTGTGCAACGTCACATTTCTTAGGACTGGGCTCCTCTGTCCCCTCTCAGAAACATACAACCAGACAAGCTATACTTCCTGGGATCCTGCCACATACACACCAACCAGGCAGTTAATGAGCCCAGGCCAAATCAGTTAAGATAATTTCTAATATATATTGGGTTAGCACACTGGACACTGTCCTAAGCATTTTACACGTACTCATCCGTTTAATTCTCCAAGTAACCTATTTAGGTTGGAGCTATTATTAATTCTCATGTACAAATGAGGGAACTGAGGCACAGAAAGATTAAGGCGTTTTCGCAGAGTCACATAGCTGGTAGCAGAAACTGGATTTGAACCCAGAAGTCAAATTTCAGAGTTCTGCTGTTCATACTATATAGCTGTAAATTCTCACCTGTTTTGTTTTGTTTTTGTTTGTTTTTGGTTTTGTTTTTAATGTTGGAGTCAATGTTAAACTACCTTCATAATCCCAGGGGGTACTCCTAAAAATCCCAAGCTCATTCCCACCTCAGGTCCTTTGAACTTTGAACTTGCTGGTTCCTATGCCTGGAGTGCTCTTTCCCTAGACCTTTGCATAACTGAATCTTTTATCTTTTAGGTCTCCACTCAAACATTACCTCTCAAAGAGACCTTTGCTGACTAGCCTAATTTAAATAGAGCACCTATCAGCCCACATAGGTAGGTCCTGGAGTCACTCTCTTATGCTCTTCCTCTGGTTTATTATTAATGATTGCATTTATTCCCAAATGACTTGATATGATTTTTTAAATATTTTTTCTTATTCGTACTACAGTATAATGATTTATTTAGTGTTCATTTCCTCCCACTAAAAGGTAAAATCCATGAGAGCAGAAATTTGTATCTGTTTTTGTTGCCAGAAGTATTCTACTACCTGGGACAGTGCCTGGCACATATTTCCTTTTTAAATTTCTTTGTGTTTTTGAGAGGTGGTCTTACTCTGTCACCCAGGCTGGGGTGCAGTGATACAATCACAGCTCACTTGTAGCCTCGACCTCCCCAGGCTCAGGTGATCTTCCCACCTCAGCCTCCCAAGTAGCTGGGACTACAGGCATGTGCCACCACACTTGGCTAATTTTTATATATTTAGTAGAGACAGAGTTTCACCATGTTGCCCAGGCCTCGAACTCCTGGGCTCAACTCCCTTGGCCTCCCAAAGTGCTAGGATTACAGATATGAGCCACCACTCCTGGCCCCTTTTTAAATTTTTTATTTGGAAACAATTTTAAACTTACAGAGGGAAAACTACAAGATAAATACAACAACTCCCATGTATTCTTCACCCAGAGAGTACATTCAAGTTTCACCAACTATTGCAATAATGGCAAATTATTACATTTGCCATTATTGCAATAATGGGCAAAACGTTAAGATTTGTCTGATGCTTCCTCATGATTAGATGCAGGTTAAGCATGTTTGGCAGGAATACTATGAAAGTGATGTTGTACCCTTCACAGTACATCATATCAGAAGTACAAATGTCAATATGTCCAATTGCTGCTAACGTTAAGTTTGATTTCTTGGTGATACCTTCCAGATTTTCCCCTGTAAATTTATTCTTTTACCTTTGTAATTAATTAGTTTGTGGAAAGATACTTTGAAGCTATGTAAATATTCATTTATCATCCCACTTTCACCCCTAGTTTTAGCAATTATTGATGTTTCTGCCTGAATTAACTATTACTATGATGGTTGCAAAATAAATATTTTCTAATTATATTATTTCTTCTATACTAATTAGTTGTCCTTATAGTAGCAAGGAAGAGCTCTCTCTTCTTTCCATTGATTGATTGGTTATTTATTTATATAAATGTGAACTAATTATTTCCCATTTTATTCAATGAGTTATATTAATACTATTATTTATTTTGAATCTCATATTGTCCCAGATATGGCTAGTGAGAGCACCTTCAAATTTACTTCAGGGTCCTTTTGTCATAGCTTACAGTTATTTGAGTCCCTTCTTACTTTCTGACACAGCAAGATGTTCTAGGCTTATATTTTATTATTGCTGCATAGCAAATTAATTACCACAAAATTAGCAGCTTAAAATACTACACACTTATTATCTTACAATTTCTATAGGTCAGGATTCCAGGAACAGTTTATCTGAGTCCTCTGCTTAGGATTTAACAACACTGAAATCAAGATGTCAGCCAACCTGCCTTATCATCTGGAGGCATGACTGGGGAAGAATCCACCTCAAAGTTTGCTAAGATTGTAGGCAGACTTTGTTTTCTTGTGTCAGTAGGACTGAGGGCCCTGGCTTCTTGCTAGCTCTCGGCTGTTAGCAACAAGAGGTCTCCCACAGTTCCTAAAAGCCACCTGCAGAGACTACCTGAAGTATCTTGTTACACAGCCTATTCCAACATGGCCACCTATTTCATCAAGCCAAGAAAAGTCTCTAGAGTCTCCATCCAGCAAGACAAGAGTTTTATGTAATATAACCTAATGGTGGGAGTGACATCCCATCACTGTTGTCATATTCTACTAGTTAGACACAAGTTATGGGTCCTGTTTGCACTAAAAAGTGGGGATAGATTATTCAAAGGTATAATTGTGGTGGACAGACTCACAAACTCTAAAGCACCTCCTCCATGATACCAGCAGGCAGGTATCATGGAGGTTTAAATCATGCCCAGTTTAAAGATGGGCAAAAGACCCAAGCAGACACTTGACCACAAAGGCTATAGTGTGGCAAATAAGCACATGAAAAGATATTCACCATAATTAGCCATTATGGAAATAAAAGCTAAAAGTACAATAACTACTGACATATACTATGACAATACCTAAAATTTAAAAATATAACAATATCGAGTGCTGGTGAGGATGCAGGAGAACTAGAATTCTCAAACCTTGCTGACAGATATGCAAAATGGTAGAACTGCTCTGGAACACAGTTTGGCAGTTCCTTATAAACTTAAACATATACTTAACATACGACCCAGAAATCCCATACCAAGTATTTACCCTAGAGAAATTAAAACTATGTACATAAAAAGCCTGTACACAAATGTTTTAAGAAGTCCATTCATAATCATCAAAAATGGAAACAACCCAATATCCTTTAATGACCGAATGTATAGACAACCTGTGGTATGTATATCCATATAATGGAATACTAATCCAGAAGAAAAAAACAAATTATTGATACACAAACCAACTTCAATGAATCTCAAAGGCACTACACTGAATAAACGAAGCTATTCTCAAAAATCACTTATTCTTTTTATAATTCCATTTATATAGTAACAGAAAACAGACCAGTGGTTGTCAGAATTTAGAAATGAGGAAAGGGCATGACTACAAAGAAATAAAACACGGCAGTTTTGGGGTTAATAGTACTGTTCTGTATCCTGGTTGTGATAACCAGGATTAACATATATCTGTTAACCAATCTACATATGTGTTAAAGTTTATAGGACAATAAACAAAAAATTTATAATAAGCTAATTTTAAAAGTTAAAAGGTAATTTTGAAAACAAATGACTTCTGCTAACAGGACAAGATGAATTAAATGCAATTTTCTCTGGTCATCCCACTAAAAATCCTAGATATTATACATAAAACAAAGATAAGAAGGCTCTGAAAGGGGAGAGAAAAAGCATACTGGCTAGAGATGTTGGAACCTGAGGAAATACAGCGTGTTAAGTTCTCTGGGTTTTCTTTTCTTATTTGTAAACCCTTATTGAAATATAAATCACATAGCATATAATACACCCATTTAAAGTACACACATTAATGGCTTTTAGTATATTTCCAGGATTGTGCAACCACCATCACAATCAATTTTAAAACATTTCCATTAGCCCCAAAAGAAACTCCTTACCCATTAGCAGTCATTTCTCATATGCCCCCAACTCACCCCCCAGTTCTAAACAGCTATGAATCTATTTTATGTTCCTATATATTTACCTATTCTGGGCATTTCATATGAATAGAATCATATAATATTTAGTCCTCTGTGACTGCCTTCTTTCACTTAGCTTAATGTATCAAGGTTTATCCATGTTGTAGCATGATCAATACATCATTTCCTATTATTGCTGAATAATATTCCATTGTATGGATATACCACATTTGGTTTGTCCATTCATCAGTTGACAGACTAAATTGTTTCACTTTTTAGCTACAATGAATAATGCTGCTACAAACATTGGTGTACAAATTATTGTCTGGACATATGTTTTTATTTTTCTTGGGCTTATACCTAGTAGTGGTGTTGCTGGGACTTATGGTACCTCTTTTTGGAGAACTGCCAGACTGTTTTCTAAAATGGCTGTACCATTTTACATGTGAGTAGCAATAACAAGGAACTCCAACGTCTCCCACTAGAGAGGTATAAGTGAAAGCCTAAGTAGGGAGACAGAAGTCCCCTCCTTGCCCAGCAATAATAAAGAGCCTACCCTTGGGTGTCAACGAAGGCCAAGTGGAGAACCTAGACTTCTTCTTACATCTGGCAGTAATGAAGCAGTCCATCCCCACCCACTTCAACCAGCAGAGTAGTCACAGGAACCCAGATAAAGCAAACTGGGGCCAGGCGCAGTGGCTCACACCTGTAATCCCAGCACTCTGGGAGGCTGAGGCAGGCAGATCACCTGAGGTCAGGAGTTCAAGACCAGCCTGATCAACATGGAGAAACCCTCTCTCTACTAAAAATACAAAATTAGCTGGGCATGGTGGCACATGCCTGTAATCCCAGCTACTCAGGAGGCTGAGGCAGGAGAATCACTTGAACCCGGGATGCAGAGGTTGCACTGAGCCAAGATCACGCCACTGCACTCCAGCCTGGGCAACAAGGGCAAAACTCCGTCTTAAAAAAAAAAAAAAAAAAAAAAAAAAAAAAAAAAAAAGCAGCAGATTGGAATAAAATCTAGAGTCTCATAACATAATTCCCAAAATGTCCAGATTTTAATAAAAAATTACTCATCATAACAAGAACCAGAAATAATTCAAACTGAATGCAAAAGACAACCATTAGATGCTAACACCAAGATAACAGAGATTTTTTAACTATCTAAGATTTTAAATTAGCCATCATAAATTTGGTTCAACAAGCAATTATGAATGTGCTTGAAACAAATGAAAAAATAGAAAGTCTCATCAAAGAAATATAAAGCCTCTACAAATAAATAGAAGATATGAAGAGAAGAAAATGGAAATTTTAGAATAGAAAACTACATTAACCAAAATTTTAAAATTCAATGAATGGTCCCAACAGAAAAAATGGAGGGGACAGAGGAAGAATCAGGGAATTCAAACATTGAACAGTAGAAATTATCCAATCAGAGAAACAGAGAGAAAATAGACTCAGAAAAATGAAGAGAGCCTCAGCAACCTGTGGAACTATAGCAAGAGACAATAATATATAACATTAATGTTATCAGACTCCTGAAAGGAAAAGAGAATAAAGAGAGAGCTTAAAAAAACACTACTCAGAAATAATGGATATATATTTCTCAAATTTGGAAACAAAGAAATTTACAAATTCAAGAATTCACAAGAACCCCAAACTTACCATGGTCAAACTGCTGAAACCAAAGGCAAAGTCTTGAAAAGCAGCAAAAGAGAAACCAAACTTAGCTACAGGGGAAAAATGATTATAGCACACAGATTTCTCATAGATAGATAGATAGATAATTTCCTGTATATGTAGACTCAAGATTCAGATTTATATCATTTTCCTTCTCCCTAAAGAAAATATTTTAACATTTCTTGAAGGGTATGTCTGCTGCTGATAAATTTCTGTATTCCTCTGTCTCTGAGAAACTATATCTTCTTCACTTTGGGAGGATAATTTCACTGGATATAAAATTTTAGGTTGGTGAGTTTTGAATCTCAGTACTTTAAATATTTCACTCCATACTCTTCTTGCCGGCATTATTTCTGACAAGAAGTCTACTGTAACTTTTATTCTTGTTCCCTATAGAAACGATTTTTATTATCCTCTGGTTTGAGATTTTCTCCTTGTATTTAGTTTCCTTCAGTTTGAATATGACATATCCTTGGTTAACTTTTGGTATTTATTCTGTTTGCTATTCTCTGAGAATTACAGATCTCTGGTTTGGTGCCTATCATTAACTTTGGAAATTTCTCAGCCATTGTTACTTCAAATATTTATTCTGCCCCATTCTCTTTCTTCTCCTCATATTCCAATTATGTTCATGCTACATCTTTTTGAAGTAGTCTATAGTTATTCAATGTTCTGAGTTTTTAAAAATCCTTTTATATCTTGCGATTTATATTAGAATTACCTATTGACATCTCTTCAAACTCACTGAGTTCAATAACCCAGCCATAATGAATTTACTGATGAGCCTATCTATTTCTGTTAGATTCTTAGTATTTCATTTTCATCCCTTTGAAGAATTTATATGTCTCTACTTATATTACCAATCTACTTATATTATTAATTTCATGTTTTCTAATTTTTCCATTATAGCCCTCAATATATTAATCATAAATATTTTAAGGTCCTGTCTGAAATTCCAATATCTGTATCATATCTGAGTTTGGTTCTGATACTTGCTTGGTCCTTTGAGACTGCTTTTGCTTGCTTTTTGATGTGCCTTCTAATTTTTTTGTTAAAAGACAAATATATGGTATCAAGTTATACAAGCTAAAGTAAAATACCTTTAGTATAAGAATTTGTTAGTCTGGTTAGGAGTTGGGTTCTTTTATGTGTGCTGTAGCTATTGGTGCCAGTGGCTTCAAATACCTCAAGTGACCCTTGTTTTTGTCACTCCTCTTGACTTTGCGCTTTCCTAAATACTCCTCCTCAGAGAAAATCTGTTTCAGATAAAGGAAAACTAAGAGAATTTGTTGACAGAGGAAGGCAGAGAAAAAGAAAACAGAGGAAATAAATAGAAAATTAAAAATTAGGTGATGAACTTATTACCTAATATAGCAATAATTATAGTAAGGGGGTGGAGCAAGATAGTAGAATAAAAGGCTCCACCAATTGTCCCCCCTGCAAGAACACCAATTTAACAACTAACTACACACAACAGAATACCTTCATAAGAACAAAACATCAGGTAAGCACTTACAGTACCTGGTTTTAATTTCATATTGCTGAAACAGGCACTGAAAAGGTAGCAAAAACAGTCCTGAAGCACCAACACCACCCCTCCACCATCCCCCCAGCAGTGGCAGCGGGGTGTAGAAAGCATTCCTGTGTGCTGGCGGCAGGGAGAGTGCAGCAATTGTGAAGCATTGAACTCAATGCTACCCTATTATAGCAGAAAGCAAAACCAGACCAAACTCAGCTGATGCCCACCCATAGAGGTTGCATTTAAACCAGCCCTAGTCAGAGGGAATCAATGATCCCAGGAGTCAGAATTTGAGTTCCTGCAAGCCTAGCCACCATGGCTAAAGTGTTCTGGGGCTACAAATAAACTTGAAAGGCAGTCTAGGCCACAAGGACTGCAACACCTAGGCAAGTCCAAGTGCTAAACTGGGCCCAAGGCCACGGGATTGGGGCGGGGGGGCACAGGACCTACTATGATGCCAGCCTGGGTGGCTAAGGGAGTGCTGGCATCACCCCTCCCCTCACCCCAGGCTGCACAGCTTGCAGCCCCAAAAAAGATGCCTTCCTTCCATTTGAGGAGAGGAGACAGAAGAATGGGGAGGACTTTACTTTGCATCTTGGAAACCAGATCAGCCACACAAGATAAGGCATACGTCAGAGTTGTGAGGCCCCCTTTCCAGGCCCCAGCTCCCAGACAACAATTCTAGACACACCCTGGGCCAGAAAGGAAGCCACTGCCTTGAAGAGAAGGACCCAGTCCTGGCACCATTAATCACCTGCTAATGGAAGAGCCCTCAGGCCCTGAATAACCAGCAGTGATGCCCAGATACTATGTCAGTGGCCTTGGGTGAGACTCTGAGACTTGCTGGCTTCAGTTGAGACTCAGCACATTACCAGCTGTAGTGGCTATGGGGCAAGGATCCTCTTGAGAAAAATGGAGGGAAAAGTAAAGGGGACTTTGTCTTGCACCTTAGATACCAGCTCCACCGCAGGGAGGCAGAGTACCAAGCAGGCTCTTGGGGTTTTCAATTCCAGGACGTGACTCTTGGACGGCATTTCTGGACCTGCCCTTTGCCAGAGGGGAGGGCAGGGTGAGTCCCAGGCCAGGAAGCATTTACCACAAACTGACTTAAGAGACCTTGGGCCATAAGGGAACATAGGCAGTAGTCTGGCAGTACTTTCAATGGGCCTATGGTGACAGTGGCTATGGGATAAGCCTACTCTGCATTTGGAAAGGAGAGGGAAGAGTGAGAAGGACTGTGTCTCGTGGTTTGAGTGCCAGCTCAAATCTTAGAAGTCAACCAGGTAGACTTCTAAGATTTTTGACTCCAGTCCCTGGCTCCCCAGTGGCAACAATGGACCTGCCCAGAGCCTGGGGTAACTCACTACCCTAAAGAGAAGGACACAAGCCTGGGTGGCTTTGCCACCTGCTGATTGTAGAGCCCCCAGGGCTTTGATCGAACATTGGCAGTAGCCAGAGAGTGTTTACAGTAAACCTCGGGCGAGACCCAGGACTCTCAAGTCTGACACAGCACAGTCCTACTGGTGGTGGCTATAGGGGTGCTTCTGTCACTTTATCCCCAGCTCTAGGTGGTTCAGAACAGAGAGAGATTTTGTTTGTTTAGGAGAAAGTAAGGGAAGAGAACAAGACTCTCTGCCTACTAATCCAGAGAATTCCTCAGAATATTGTTCAAGGCCATCAAGGGGCTACCTTTATGAGTTTGCAGGAACCACAGCGTTACTGTGCTTGGGTGCCTTTTAAAGCAGATACAACTTAGATCACACCTAACTTCTTTTAAATATCTGGAAAGCCTTCCCAAGAAAGATGGGTACAAACAAGTCCAGACTGTGAAGACTACAATAAATGCCTAACTCTTCAATGTCCAGACACAGATGAACATATACAAGTATGAAGGCCATCCAGGAAAACATGACCTCACCAAATGAACTAAATAAATCACCAGGGTTCATTAGATCATTTAGCTTACCAGATGAACTAAATAAGACACCAGGCACCAATGCTGGATATCAGACCCCTCGGACAGAGAATCCAAAACAGCTGTTTGGAGCAAACTCAAACTCCAGATAACACAGAGAAGGAATTCAGAATTCTATTAGATAAATTTAACAAAGAGATTGACATAGTTTTGAAAAATTAAGTGGAAATTCTAGAGTTGAAAAATCCAAGTGGCATATTGAAGAATGCATCACAGTCATAGCAGAATTGATCGAGCAGAAAAAATAATTAGTAAGTTTGAGAACAGGCTATTTGAAAATACACAGAGGAGACAAAAGAAAAAGGAATAAAAAACAATGAAGCCCACCTACGGGATCTAGAAAATAACCTCAAAAGGGCAAATCTAAGAGTTATTGGCCTTAAAGAAGAGGTAGAGAAAGAAATAGGAGTAGAAAGTTAATTCAAAGGGATAACAGAGAACTTCCCAAACCTAGAGAAATATATCAATACCAAGTACTAGAAGGGAATAGAACGCCATGCAGATTTAACCTAAAAAAGACAACCTCACAACATTTAATAACCAAACTCCCAAAGGATAAAGAAAGGATTCTAAAAGCAGCAAAAGAAAAGAAACAAAGAACATACAATGGAGCTCCCATATGTCTAGCAGTAGACTTTTCAGTGGAAACCTTCCAGGCCAGGAGAGAGTGGCACAATTATTTAAAATGCTGAAGGAAAAACAAACAAACAAAAAACACTTTTACCCTACAATAGCATATCCAGCGGAAAAAAAAAAATCCTTCAAACATGAAGAACAAATAAACACTTTCCCAGACAAACAAAAGCTGAGGGATTTCATCAACACCAAACCTGTCCTACAAGACATGCTAAAGGGAGTACTTCAGTCAGAAAGAAAAACACACTAATGAGCAATAAGAAATTATCTGAAGCTACAAAACTCACTGCTAATAGTAAGTACACAGAAAAACACAGAATATTATAACATTGTAACTGTGGTGTGTGAACTACTCTTATCGTAAGTAAAATGACTAAATAATGAACCAATCAAAAATAATAACTAGAACAACTTTTCAAGACATAGTACAAGCTATAAATAGAAACAAAAGGTTATAAAGCAGGGAGACAAAGTTAAAGTGTAGAGTTTTTATTAGTTTTCATTTCAATTGCTTGTTTGTTTAATTAGGCAAACAGTGTTAAGTTGTTATCAGCTTAAAATAATGGGTTAATAAGGTAGTATATTTACAAGCCTTGTGGTAACCTCAAATCAAAAAACATACAATGTATACACAAAAAATAAAAAGCAAGAAATTAAATCATCCCACCAGAGAAAATCACCTTTACTAAAAAGAAGACAGGAAGGAAGGAAAGAACACCACAAAACAACCAAAAAACCAGTAACAAAATGGCAGGAGTAAATACTTACTTATCAATAACACTGAGTGTAAATTCACTAAATGCTTCAATCCAAAGACAGAGTGGCTGAATAGATTTTTTTTTAAAAAAAAAAAAAGGCCCAATGATCTGTTGCTGACAAGAAACATGCTTCACCTATAAAGACACACATAGGCTGAAAACAAATGGATGGGAAAAGATATTCCATCTCAACAGAAACCAAAAAGGAGTAGGAGTAGCTATAATTGTATCAGACAAAATAGATTTCAAGACAGAAAACTATAAGAAGAGACAAAGAAGGTCACTATGTAATGATAAAGGTGTCAATTCAGCAAGAGGATATAACAATTTTAAATATATAGGCACTCAACACTGGAGCATTCAGATATATAAAGCAAATACTATTAGAGCTAAAAAAGACAGATAGACTCCAATACAATAATAGCTGTAGATTTCAACATCCCACTTTTAGCACTGGACAAATCTTGCAGAGAGAAAATCAACCAAAAAAAATCAGACTTAATCTACAGTATAGAATAAATGGACCTAAAAATATTTATGGAACATTTCATCCAGTGACTGCAGAGTACACATTCTTTTCCTCAACACATGGATCTTTCTCAAGGATAGACCATATGTTATGTTAGGTCAAAAAACAAGTCTTAAAACATTCAAAAAGTTGAAATAATATCAAGCATCTTCTCTGACCACAATGGAATAAAACTAGAAATCAATAAAAAGGGGAATTTTGGAAACTATATAAAGACATGAAAATTAAACAATATGCTCCTGAATGACCACTGGGTAAATGAGGAAATTAAGAAGAAAATTGATGAATTTCTTGAAACAAAAGATAATGGAAACACAACATACAAAAACCTTTGGGATAGAGCAAAAGCCGTGCTAAGAGGGGAAGTTTATAGCTATAAGTGCTTACATGAAAAAAGAAGAAAAACTTAAACAACTTACTGATGCATCTTAAATAACTAGAAAAGCAAGAGAAAACCAAACACAAAATTAGTAGAAGAAAAGAAATGATAAGGACCAGAGCAGAAATAAATAAATATGAAATGAAAACAATATAAAAGTTCAATGAAACAAAAAGTTGGGAGAAGATAAAAATTGACAAACCTTTAGCTAGTCTAAAAAAAAAAGGACCCAAATAAATAAAATCAGAGATGAAAAAGGAGATATTACAACTGATACCACAGAAATTCAAAGGATCATTAGTGACCACTGTGTACAACTATATGTGAATAAACTGGAAAATCTAGAAGAAATTATTACTTCATAGACACATAGAAACTACCAAAATTGAAACAAGAAGAAATCCAAAACCTGAACAGACCAATAACAAGTAACAAGGTAGAAGCTGTGATAAAAAGTCTCCCAGCAAAGAAAAGCCCAGAACCTGAAGGCTTCACTGCTGAATTCTACCAAACATTTAAAGAAAAGCTAACACCAATACTACTCAAACTATTCCAAAAAATAGAGGAGGAGAAAATACTTCCAAACTCATTCTATTAAGCTAGTATTATCCTGATCTTAAAACCAGACAAAAACACATCAAAAATAGAAAAAAACACTATAGGACAATATCACTGATTAATATTGATGCAAAAATCCTCAACGTACTAACAAACCAAATTCAACAACGCATTAAAAAGATCATTCATCATGACCAAGTGACACTCATCCGAGGGACACAAGGATGGTTCAACATATGCAAATCAACTACTCTGATACATCATATCAACAGCATGAAGAACAAAACCACATAATCATTTCAATCGATGTTTAGAAACCATTTGATAAAATTCAACATCTTTTTGTTTTTTTTTTTTTGAGACAGGGTTTCACTGTGTCACCCAGCCTGGAGTGGTGTGGCATGATCACGAATCATCACAGCCTCAACCTCCTGGGCTCAGGTGATCCTCCCACCTGAACCTCCCAAGTAGTTGGGACTACAGGCACCTGCCACATGCCTGGCTAATTTTTGTACTTTTTGTAGAGACAGGGTTTTGCCATGTGGCCCAGGCTGGTTTCCAACTTCTGGGCTCAAGCGATCCACCTGCCTCAGCCTCCCAAAGTGCTAGGATTACAGGCATGAGCCACTGCGCCCAGGCAAAATTCAACATCTTTTCATGATAAAAACTCTACAAAATTGGGTATAGAAGGAACATACCTCAACATAATAAAAGCCATATACAAAAGACCCACAGCTAGTATCATACTGAATGGGGAAAAACTGAAAGCCTTTCCTGCGAGATCTGGAACACAGCAAGCATACCCACTTGCATCACTGTTATTCAACATAATACTGGAAGTCTTAGCTAGGGCAATCAAACAAGAGAAAGAAATAAAGGGCATTGTAATTGGAAAGGAAGACATCAAATTATTCTTCATTGTAGGAGATATGGTTTTATAGTTGGAAAAACCTAAAGACTCCACAAGAAAACTCTATTAGAACTGGTAAATTCAGAAAAGTAGCAGGTTTCGAAATCAACATACAAAAATCAGTAGCATTTCTATATGACAACAGTGAACAATGTGAAAAAGAAATGAAAAAAAGTAATCCCATCTACAATAGCCACAAATAAAATTAAATACCTAGGAATTAACCAAAGAAGTGAAAGATATCTATAATGGAAACTATAAAACACTGTTAAAAGAAATTGAAGAGGACACCAAAAATTGAAAAATATTCCATGTTCATGAATTGGAAGATTCAGTTTTATTAAAATGTCCATATAACCCTAAGCAATCTACAGATTCAATGCAATCTCTATCAGAATACCAATGACATTCTTCACAGAAATAGAAAAAAAAATCCTTAAATTTATATGGAACCACAGAAGACACAGAATAGCCAATGTTATCCTTAGCAAAATAAACACAAAATTGAAGGAATCCCATTACCTGACTTCAAATTATACTACAGAGCTTTAGTAACCAAAACAGCATGGTACTAGCATAAAAACACACACATAGACCAAAGGAACAGAGTAGAGAACTCAGAAACAAATCTACACACCTACAGTGAACTCAATTTTTTTTTTTTTTTTTTGAGACAAAGTCTCGCTCTGTCACCCAGGCTGGAGTGCAGTGGTGTGATCTGGGCTCACTGCAACCTCCACCTCCCGGGTCCAAGCGATTCTCCTGCCTTAGCCTCCTGAGTAGCTAGGACTACAGGCGCCTGCCACCACACCCAGCTAATTTTTGTATTTTTAGTAGAGATGGGGTTTTGTCATGTTGGCCAAGCTGGTCTCGAACCCCTGACCTCAAGTGATCTGCCAGCCTTGGGCTCCCAAAGCACTGGGATTACAGGAGCGAGCCACTGCGCCCCGCCTAAGTGAACTCATTTTTTACAAAGGTGCCAAAAACATACACTGGGGGGAAGACAGTCTCTTCAATAAATGGTGCTGGGAAAACTGGATATCCATATGAAGAAGAATGAAACTGGGCCCCAATCTCTCACCATATACAAAAAACAAATCAAAATGCATTAAATTCTAAATCTAAGACCTCAGGCTGGGGACGGTGGCTCACGCCTGTAATTCCAGCACTTTGTGGGGCAGAGGCAGGTGGATTACCTGAGGTCAGGAGTTCAAGACCAGCCTGGCTAACATGGCAAAACCCCATCTCTACTAAAAATACAAAAATCTGCCAGCTGTGGTGGTGTGCATCTGTAGTCCCAGTTACTCAGGAGGCTGAGGCAGGAGAATCGCTTGAACCCAGAAGGCAGAGGTTGCAGCGAGCCGAAATCGTGCCACTGCACTCCAGCCTGGGCGACAGAGCAAGGCTCTGACTGACTGACTGAATGAATGAATGAATGAATGAATAAATAAATAAATAAATAAATAAATCTAAGACCTAAATAAATAAATAAATAAATACATAAATCTAAGACCTCAAACTATGAAACTACTACAATAAAACACTGGGGAAAATCTCAAGCACATTGGTCTGGTAAAAATTTTCTTGAATAATACCCAATAAGTACAGGCAACCAAAGCAAAAATAGGATCACATCAAGTTAAAAAGCTTCTGTACAGCAAGGGAAATGATCAACAAAGTGAAGAGACAATTCACAGAATGGGAGAAAATTATTTGTAAATTACCCATCTGACAAGAGATTAAATAATCACAATATATAAAGAGTTCAAACAACTCTTTCATCAATGGAACCCACCACGTCAACAGACTAAACAAGAAAAATCATATAATCATATCAATTGATGCAGGAAAAAAACTAAAAATTTGATCAAAATTGGGCAAAATATTTGAATAGACATTTCTCAAAAGAAGACATATACATGGCAAACAAGTATATGAAAAGATGCTCAACATCATTCATCATCAGAGAAATACAAATCAAAACTACAATGAGATATCATCTCACCCTATTTAAAATGGCTTGTGGGCTAGGCGCGGTGGCTCACGCCTATAATCCCAGCACTTTGGGAGGCCGAGGCGGGCGGATCACAAAGTCAGGAGTTCAAGACCAGCCTGACCAACCTGGTGAAACTCCGTCTCTACTAAAAATACAAAAATTAGCTGGGCATGGTGGCACGTGCCTGTAATCCCAGCTACTCGGGAGGCTGAGGCAGGAGAATCGCTTGAACCTGGGAGGCAGAGGTTGCAGTGAGCCGAGGTCACACCACTACACTCCAGCCTGGGCGACAGAGCAAGACTCTGTCTCAAAAAATAATAATTAATAAAAAAAAAAAATGGCTTGTAACCAAAAGACAGGCAATAACAAATGCTGGCAAAGATGTGGAGAAAAGGGAACCCTTGCACACTGTTGATGGGAATGTAAATTAGTACAACCACTATGGAGAACACTTTGGAAGTTCCTCAAAAAACTAAAAATAGAGCCAACATATGATCCAGCAATCCTACTGCTGGGTATGTACACAAAAGAAAGGAAATCAGTATAAGGAAGAGATATCTGCACTCCTATGTTTGTTGGAGCACTGTGTACAATAGCTAAGACTTGGAAGCAACCTAAGTATCTATACAGATGAATGGATAAAGAAAATGTGGTACACATACAAAATGGAGTACTATTCAGTCATAAAAAGAATGAGATCCAGTCATTTGCAACAACATGGCTGGAACTAGAGATCATTATGTTAAGTGTAATAAGCCAGGCACAAAAACATAAACATCACATGTTCTCACTTATATGCAGGATCTAAATATCAAAACAATTGAACTCATCGACATAGAGAGTAGGATGGTTACCAGAGGCCGGGAAGGGTAATGGGGGATTGGGAGGGGAAGTAGGGATGGTTAATGGGACAAAAAAAAATAAGACTATTTTTCCATCTGTTTATAGGGTGACTATAGTCAATGATAGTTAGACTATTTTTTCCATCTAACTATTTATAGGGTGAATATAGTCAATAATAGACTATTTTTCCGTCTATTTATAGGGTGACTATAGTCAATAATAACTTAATTGTACATTTTAAAGAGTGTAATTGGATTGTTTGTAACTCAAAGGATAAATGTTTGAGGGGATGAATACCTCATTCTCCATGATGTGTTCATTTCACATTGCATGCCTGTATCAAAACATCTCATGTATTCCATAAACATATATACCTATGTACGCACAAAAATTTTTTAAATTAAAAAAAGAAAAAATCAGTATCAAAAAATAACAAGAATATCTTCAAACACTTGGAAACTAAACAACCCATTTTGAAAATGATACATGGGTCAAAGAGGAAGTATTTCAAAAGGATATCAAAAAAATTGAATTGAATAAAAAATAAAATAAAGCATAATAAAATTTGAGGAATAAAGTTAAAGCATTGCCGATATGGCTGGTTCCACTTTTTTTTATTTTTTATTTTTTTTGAGCCGTAGCGCGATCTTGGCTCGCCGCAACCTCCACCTTCCGGGTTCAAATGATTCTCCTGCCTCAGCCTCCTAAGTAGCTAGGATTATAGGCGTGTGCCACCACGCCTGGCTAGTTTTTGTATTTTTAGTAGAGACAGGGTTTCACCACATTGGCCAGGCTGGTCTCGAACTCCTGACCTCAAGTGATCCACCCGCCTCAGCCTCCCAAAGTGCTGAGATTACAGGCGTGAGCCACCACACCCGGCCTGGTTCCATATTTGTAATCCATCAGTGGAATCTACCATGTCAACAGACTAAAGTGAAAGAAAAACCATATAATCATATCAAGTGATGCAGAAAAGCACTTGATAAAATTGAATACCTATGAATGAGAATTTTTAAGCTCTCAGAAAAAATAGTAATAGATGGATATTTTCTTAATTTCACAAAGAGCATCTAAAAACGAACATACAACTAACATTACAAAAAATGGTAAAAGACTGAATGCTTTTCCCTAAGATATGGAACAAAGCAAAGATGTCTTCTCATACCACTTCTATTCAACATTGTACTGGAAGTTCTAGCTGTGCAATAGGCAAGAAAAAGAAATAAGAGACATACAGATTGAAAAGGAAGACATAAAGCTGTCCAAATTTGCAGAGGACATGATAATCTACATAGAAAATCCCAAAATAGCTACCAAAATATCTCCTAGTACACATTAGTGAGTTTAGCAAAATCACAGATTACAAGATAAACATACAGAACTCAATTATATTTCTATATAAAAGCAACGACCATGTGGAAACGGAAATTAAAAGTACAACCCTGGCCAGGCACAGTGGCTCACGCCTGTAATCTAGCACTTTGGGAGGCTGAGGCAGAAGGATCACCTGAGGTCAGGAGTTCGAGACCAGCCTGGCCAACATGGTGAAACCCCATCTCTGCTAAAAATACAAAAATTAACTGGACATGATGGTAGGTGCCTATAATCCCAGCTACTCGGGAGGGTGAGGCAGGAGAATCGCTTGAACCCGAGAGGCAGAGGTTGCAGTGAGCTGAGATCGTGCCACTGCACTCCAGCCTGGGTGACAGGGTGAGACTCCGTCTAAAAAGAAAAAAGAAAAAAAAAAAAACACCCTATTACAATTGTTCCAAAAATTGACACTCAGATGTAAATCTAACAAAACATGTATAGGAATTACATTCTGAAAACTATAAAACACTGAAGAATGAAATCAAAGAAGACCTAAATTAGTGGAGCTATACTATATTCAAGTTTTGGAGGGCCTATTATAGTTTTTTTAAAAAGGTAATTATCTCAAATTAATACACAGGTTTAATGAAATTTCTATCCAAACCCAAAACACAACACTGGAGCTCCCACATATATAAAGCAAATATTATTAGGCATAAAGTGAGGAATAGACTCCAACACAATAAATAGGAGGAAAATTCAATGCCATATTCTTAGCATTGGACAGATCATCCAGAGAGAAAAACCAACAAAGAAATATTGGATTTAAACCGCACTTTGTAACAAATATACCTAACAAACATTTACAGAACGTTTCATGGTGGCAGTGGTGGGCTAAGCATGCCTGTCCTTGGGCTCCATGGGAGCATATGCTGCCACTAGTGTTAGTGTGTCCAGGCAGGCTGACTCTTGACCTCCAGATGGCTTGCTCAGGTACCAGGAATGGCAGCAGTGGACCAGGTAGGTGGGCAGGTTCTCAAACCGTTGGGCAGTGTTCATGGCATGGGTGATAGCAATCGAAGTGGTGGGAAAACCCTCTGAAACCCAAGTAGTCAGTCAGCACTGGTGTTGGAACTGGCTGTGATGGGTTGGTTGGCCTTGTCTCCAAACCTACAGGTGGGTCGTGTAGGTGGGTGCCAGCAGTGGTGGTAGGAGCAAGTTGAGTGGGCCCGATCTCAGACACCAGGAGGAATGATTAGGTGCCACTGGTGGTGGACTGGGCTGGGCCACTCTCAGCCTCCTGGATGGTGTGCTCAGGTACAAGGGGGCTGGATCCGGGCTGAGCTGAGCCCTCAGGCACCTCAATGGTGCTATAGATGCTGTCTGTGGTATGTAGAGGTGAAATGAGGCCCAGGCCGTTGGCAGAATGCTCAGGTAGAGGCAGCAGCAGCTGCACTGTGGCCCTACTACTGAGGAGGGCAAGATTGCTTTCCCTAGTTGCCATAGGTAAGAAGCTGGGGGGTATTGGCTTTACTTGTGTCTTGGCCCACAGCAGTTTGCAGCCACGGAGGTTGCCAAAGGGGAATTTGTCCTTGGGGCATGTGAGAATACACAGGCACCCCTCTGCAGTGGGTGCAGGATTGCTGCCTCAGCCCTGGTTACAGAGTAGGATGCAGTCCGCTGTGGGCTGGGCTCTTAAAATGCTACTGTGCTGCTGCTGCTGCTGCTTAGGACTCAGGGGCTTTTGGGACCCCGCATGAGTGCTTCCTCTGGAGCAATAACCTTCATGAAGTTTCCAGGGAGCTCCCTATGTTAGTCTCAGGGCCCATAAGGGTCAAGGGGCTCTCCCATAGCTAGGATTGTAGGAGTCCATGGTGGGAATGTGGACTGCTAGGGTCTCTCACTTATCCTTTTCCTGCATTGGAGAGTCTCCCCCAGATCCAAGGTGATCTTGGCCCAGCAGGATGCTTCATTTCCTTCTCCTTCCTAGCTTTAGGTGTTTTCTGTCACTTTTCTGTCGAATTCCAATATTCTCTCTTGGATGATCTATTTGAAGTGTGATTATCTACTCACTATTTTGGTTCCACTTAGTGGAGAAGGGTAGTAGGAGATGCCTCTAATCAGCCATCTTGAAGCCCCTTACCCAGAAAAAATCTTGAAAGAAACAAAAATGGAAATACAACATGCCAAAATGGATGGCATGCATCAAAAACAGTTCTAAAAAGAAAGTTTATAGCAATAAATACCTACATTGACAAAAAAGAAAGATCTCAAATAAACAATCTAACTTTACACCTCAAGGAACTAGAAAAAGAAAAAAAAACTGAGGCCAAAAAGTAGAAGGAAGAAAATAACACAGATTAGAGATAAAAATGGAACAAATGTTAGAAAAACAATAGAAACAATCAACAAAATTAAGAGTTTTTTGAAAACATAAGCAAAATTGATAAACCTTTAGCTAGACTAAGAAAAAACATGAAGACTTAAATAAGATCAGAAATGAAAGAGGAGATATTACAACTGACACTGCATAAATATAAAAGATTGTAAGATATTATTATGAACAATTACATGCCAACAAATTGGAAAACCTAGAAGAAATGGATACATTTCTAGAAACATAAACCTAATGACTGGATTATAAAGAAGTTGAATATCTGACCAGACCTAGAATTAGTTAGAAGACTGAATCAGTAATCAAAAAATATCCCAACAAAGAAAAGACTAGGGTCATATGGTTTCACTAGTGATTTATACCAAGCATTTAAAAAGAACACCAATCTTTCTCAAAATCTTCTAAAAAAAAAATAAGGGAAAATACTTCAAAATTCATTTTATGAGGCCACAATTACCCCAATAAAAAGCCAGATAAGGACACTACAAGAGAAGAAAATTGCAAGGCAATATCCTCAATGAACATAGATGAAAAATTTCTCAACAAAATGCTATCAATTATCAAAAAGACAAAAGACAAGTTTTGGTGAAGATTGGTGAAAAAAGAACCCTTGTGCATTGTTGCTGAAAATGGAGGCCAGGCACGGTGGCTCATGCCTGTAATCCCAACACTTTGGGAGGCCGAGGCAGGTGGATCACCTGAGGTCAGGAGCTCGAGACCAGCCTGACCAACATGGTGAACCCGTCTCTACTAAAAATACATAAACTAGCTGGGAGTAGTGGCACACGCCTGTAGTCCCAGCAACTTGGAAGGCTGAGACCGGAGAATCGCTTGAACCCAGGAGGCAGAGGTTGCAGTGAGCCAAGATCTCCCCACTGCACTCCAGCCTGAGACTCCGTCTCAAATTTTAAAACAAAAGAAAATGGAAATTGGTAAAGCCATTATGAAAAACAATATAGAGGTTCCTCAAAAAAATTAAAAACAGAATTACCATTTGATCCAGGAATCCCACCACTGGGTATACATTCAAAGGAAATTCAATCAGTATATTGAAGAGCTATCTGTACTACCATGTTCATTGTATATTATTCACAATAGCCAATATACATTAACAACCTGGGCAATCAACAGATGAAGAAATAAAATATATGTACAATCGTGCTGCATAACATTTCAGTCAACATGGACCACATATATGATGGCAATCTCATAAGATCATAATTGGAATGTTCCTAACACAAATAAATGATAAATGCTTGAGGTGATATATATCCTAATTACCCTGATTTGATCATTATACATTATATGCTTGTATCAAAAATTACATGTACCACATATATATGTGCAACTATTATGTATCCATAAAAATTTTTAAAAATATAAATATGGCCGGGAGCAGTGCTCATGCCTGTAATCTCAGCACTTTCAGAGGCCGAGGCGGGTGGATCACTTCAGCCCAGGAGTTTGTGACCAGCCTGGAATACATGGTGAAACCTTGTCTAATAAAACTACAAAAATTACCCAGATGTGCTCACTTGAACCCAGGAAGCAGAGGTTGCAGTGAGCCAAGATTGCCACTGCACTCCAGCTTAGGCAACAGAGCGAGACTCTCGCTCTCAAAAAAAAAAAAAAAAAATCATTAGAAGAAAATACTGGAGAATACTGTAGTATGATACTAGCTGTGGGTCTGTCATACGTGGCTTTTATTATGTTGAGGTATGTTCTTTCCAAACTCAATTTTGTAGAGTTTTTATCATGAAAAGATGTTGAATTTGGGCTGGGTGCAGTGGCTCACGCCTATAATCCTAGCACTTTGGGAGACTGAGGCAGGCAGATCACTTGAGCCCAGAAGTTGGAGACCAGCCTGGGCAACATGACAAAACCCCATCTCTACAAAAATTACAAAAATTAGCCGGGCATGGTGGCAGACGCCTGTAGTCCCGGCTACTTGGGAGGCTGAGGTAGGAAGATCACTTGAGCTTGGGGAGGTCGAGGCTGCAGTGAGCTGTGATCACACCACTACACTGCAACGTGGGTGACAGTGAGACCTTGTCTCAAAAAAAAAATTATTATATAAACATCAATCCAAAATGGATGCAAACTTAAAGGTAAAACCTAAAATCATAAAACATATAGAAAAAATAGGGCAAAATGTTCAGAATCTAGGACCAGGCACAGAATTCTTAGACTTGACATCAATGATCTATAAAGAAAAAAAATCAATGGCCGGGTGCAGTGGCTCTCGCCTGTAATCCCAGCACTTTAGGAGGCCGAGGCAGGTGGATCACCTGAGGTCAGCAGTTCGAGACAAGCCTGGCTAACATGGTGAAACCCCATCTCTACTAAAAATACCAAAAATTAGCTGGGCGTGGTGGTGCACGCCTGTAATCCCAGCTACTCAGGAGGCTGAGGCAGAAGAATCGCTTGAACCCAGGAGGCGGAGGTTGCAGTGAGCCGAGATCATGCCATTGCACTCCCGCTTAGGCAACAAGAGTAAAACTCTGTCTCAAAAAAAATAAATAAATAAAATAAATAAATAAATAGGACCTCATCAAATTTTAAAACATTCGCTCTGTGAAAGACTCTATTAGGAAGATGAAAAGACAAGCTATAGACTGAGAGAAATTATTTGCAAACCACGCATTCAACAAATGACTAATATCTAGAATACATAAAGAACTCTCTCAAGACTCCAGAGTAAATAATAATAATAAACCCAATTAGAAAATATACAAAAGACATGAACAGACATTTCATTGAAGAGATAATACAGGTGACAGATAAATACATAAAAGATGTTCAACAACATTAGCCATTAGAGAAATGCAAACTAGAGGCCAGGTGCAGTGGCTCACGCCTGTAACCCCACCACTTTGAGAGGCCAAGGCAGGTGGATCACTTGAGGCCAGGAGTTGGAGACCAGCCTGGCCAACATGGTGAAGCCCCATCTCTACTAAAAATACGAAAATTAGCTGGGCGTGGTGGCACGCACCTCTAATCCCAGCTACTCGGGAAGCTGAGGCAGGAGAATCGCTTCAACCCAGGAGGCAGAGGTTGCAGTGAGCCAAGATCGTGCCACTGCACTCCAGCCTGGGTGACAGAGTAAGACTCCATCTCAAAAAAATAAAAAAGAAATGCAAACTAGAACCACAATGAAGTATCACTACACATCGAACAGAATGGCTAAAATAAAAACTAATGACAACACCAAATGCTGGTGAGGATGCAAAGAAACTGTATCACTCATACATTGTCGGTGAAAATGTAAAATGGTATACCTACTGTCCATTTGTATTATTATAAAGGAATACCTGAGGCTAGGTAATTTATAAAGAAAAGAGATTTATTTGGTTCATGCTTCTGCAGGCTGTACAAGAAGCATGACACCAACATCTAATTCTGATGAGGGCATCAAGCAGCTTCTACCCATGGTGGGAGGCAAAAGGGAGCCAGCATGTACAGAAATCACATGGCAAGTGAGTAAGCAACAGAGAGGGGAGGTGCCAGACAATCAGCTCTTGACAATCAGCTCTCCTAGGGACTAACAGAATAAGAACTCATTCAGCAGCCCCCAAAAGGGGGAGATTTAAGCTATTTATGAGGGAACTGCTCCCATGACCCAAACACCTCTCATTAGGCACCACCTCCAACACTGGGGATCAAATTTCAACATGATGTTTTGGAGAACAAACATCCAAATGACAGCACCTACTCTGGAAAACAGTTTGGCAGTTTCTTCAATCAATAAATATAAAGCTACTCCTACATAACTCAGAAATTCCACTCTTGGGCACTTATCCCAGAGAAACTAAAACATGTTCATACCAAAATCTGCACCAAAAAAAATGTTCATCCTAGCTTTATTGATAACAGTAAAAAATTGGAATCAGCCTTAATGTCCTTCAACAGATGAATGGTTAAGCTAACTTGTACATCTATACCATGGAATAATATTCAGTAAGAAAAAGGAACAAACTATTGTTTGTTGCAACAACCTGGACGAATCTCCAAAGAATTACTCTAACTATAAAAATCCTATCACAAAAGATTACTATATGACTCTAGTAATATAACATTCTTGAAATGACAAAATAATTAAAATGCATAGTAGATTAGTAGTTGCTAGGGTTTAAAGAGGGCGTAATGACAGCAAAGAAGTGGGTGGCTATAAAAGGGCAACATTGATGGGGCACAGTGGCTCATGCCTGTGATCCCAACACTGTGAGAGTCCGAGGCAAGAGGATCACTTGAGGCCAGGAGTTTGAGACCAGTCTAAGCAACAGCAAGACCCCATCTCTACAAAAAATAATTTAAAAATTTTAGCCAGGTGTGGTGGCATGCACCTGTAGTCCCAGCTACTCCAGAGGCTGAGGTGGGAGGATCACTTGAGCCCAGGAGTTCAAGGCTGCAGTGAGCCAAGAGAGCGCCTCAGCACTTCAGCCTCGGTTACAGAGTGAAATCCTGTCTCTAAAATAAAATTAAAATGTTTTGTATTTTGACTTTATCAATATCAATATTCTGTTAGTTATATGGTATTATAGTTTTACAAGATGTTACCATTGGGGGAAACTGGGTAAAGCTTACATGGAATTTCTCAGTATTGTTTTGTACAACTGCATCTAAAAATTAAAAGTTTAGGCCAGGCGTGGTGGCTTATACCTGTAATCCCAGCACTGTGGGAGGCTGAGGCAGGCAGATCACCTGAGGTCAGGAGTTCGAGACCAGCCTGGCCAACATGGGGAAACCCCGTCTCTACTAAAACTACAAAAATTAGCCAGGTGTGGTGGCACGCGCCTGTAGTCCTGGCTACTCGGGAGGCTGAGGCAGGAGAATCACTTGAACCCAGGAGGCAGAGGTTGCAGTGAGCCGAGATTGTGCCACTGCACTCCAGCCTGGGTGACAGAGTGAGACTCTATTTCAAAAGAAAATTAAAATAAAAAATAAATAAATTCTTAAAAAGGTTAGGCCAGACCATCAGAGAAATGCAAATCAAAACCACAATGAGATACCATCTCACACCAGTTAGAATGGCAATCATTAAAAAGTCAGGAAACAACAGGTGCTGGAGAGGATGTGGAGAAGTAGGAACACTTTTACACTGTTGGTGGGACTGGAAACTAGTTCAACCACACTGGAAGTCACTGTGGCGACTCCTCAGGGATCTAGAACTAGAAATACCATTTGACCCAGCCATCCCATTACTGGGTATATACCCAAAGGATTATAAATCATGCTGCTATAAAGACACATGCACACGTATGTTTATTGCGGCACTATTCACAATAGCACAGACTTGGAACCAACCCAAATGTCCATCAATGATAGACTGGATTAAGAAAATTTGGCACATATACACCACGGGAATACTATGCAGCCATAAAAAATGATGAGTTCATGTCCTTTGTAGGGACATGGATGAAACTGGAAATCATCATTCTCAGCAAACAATCTCAAGGACAAAAAACCAAACACCGCATGTTCTCACTCATAGGTGGGAATTGAACAATGAGAACACATGGACACAGGAAGGGGAACATCACACACCGGGGCCTGTTGTAGGGTGGGGGGAGGGGGGAGGGATAGCACTAGGAGATATACCTAATGTTAAATGACGAGTTAATGGGTGCAGCACACCAACATGGCACATGTATATATATGTAAATAACCTGCACGTTGTGCACACGTACCCTAAAACTTAAAGTATAAAAAAAAAAAAAAAAAAAAAAAAAAACAAACTTTAGGCCAGGCACAGTGGCTCATGCCTGTAATCCCAGCACTTTGGGAGGCCGAGGCTGGTGGATCACCTGAGGTCAGGAGTTCAAGACGAGCCTGGCCAACATGGCAAAACCCTGTCTCTACTAAAAATACAAAAATTAGCCAGGCGTTGTGGCGCATGCCTGTAGTCTCAGCTACTAGGGAGGCTGAGGCAGGAGAATCGACTGAACCCAGGAGGTGGAGGCTGCAGTGAGCAAACAAATACATTTTAAGAGAAAAATCTTTAACCTAAACCTCACCATTTAGCTGGGTGTAGAGGCTGATGCCTATAATCCCAGCACTTTGGGTGGCTTAGGCAGGAGGATCTCTTGAGCCCAAGAGTTCAAGATCAAGAACAGCCTGTGCCACATAGCAAGACCTCATCTCCACAAAAATTAAAATTAAAATTAAAATTAGCCAGGTACGGTTGTGCATGCCTGTGGTCCCAGCTACTTGGGAGGCTGAGGGAGGAGGATGGCTTGAGCCCTGGAGGCCAATTGTGCCACTGTACTCCAGCCTGGGCGGCAAAGCAAGACACTGTCTCAAAAACTTAAACTAAATTAATTTTAAAACCTCAAAATTTATATAAGAAATTGAAATGGTAATAGACTTAACTTTTAAATATAACATTATAGAACTTTAGAAAAAACATAGGAGAATATAATTGTGACTTCAGGTAAAGCGAAGATTTCTAAGATAGAACACCAAAAACATAATTCATATTAAAAAAAGATAAAGTTCAACAAAATTTAAAACCTTTGCTCTGTGAAAGACATGGTTAAGAGAATAAAAAAGCAAGCCACGGACTTATAGAATATATATGCAAATCACATATAGGACAAAAGACATATATGTAGAATATATAAATAATTCACAAAACTAAATAATGGCAAAACAACCCACTTTTTAAAAACAAGCCAAATATTTAAACAAATCCTTGTTTACAGATTATGCATGAATGTCAAATAAGAACATGAAAAGCCAAACATCATTAGTCACGAGAGAAATGCATATTCAAACCACAATAAGATACTATTACAGAACTATTAAAATGGGTAAAGTTAAAAGAAAACATTAACACTAGTTAGTGCTGGTGAAGATGCAGACAAACTGGAACTCCCATACATTTTTGCAGTTGCCAATAACATAGAATATACACTACCCAGAAATCCAAATTCTAGGTATTTACCAAATGGAATAAAAACTTAGGTTAACACAAAAATGTGCTTGCAAATATTGATAGCAGCTTTATTCAACACTGCTAAGAACTGGAAAGCACTTGAATTGACTAATGAACTCTAGTATAGCCATACAATGGAAGACTATGATACATGCAACAAAATGGATGAATCTCAAACGCATTATGCTAAGTGAAAGAAGCTAAACAAAAGCCTACATACTTTATGATTCCATGTATATGGCATTCTGAAAATGGCAAAACTATTAGAGTTAGTTAAAAGATCACATTATACATGGCCAAAGATTTGACTTAAAAAGGATAGCACAAGGAATTATTGGGAATGATAAAGTTTTTAATTTATCCTAACTGTAGTGTTGGTTAAATATCTATGTATTTGTCAAAAATCATAGAACTGTACACAGAAAGAGTAAATGTTACTATATGATAATTAAAAGTATAAATAAATGAGGAGAAATAAATCAGACAAAAACTAAAAATCCCAGCAGAATTTCATTACAAGAGATGTAAAAGGAAGTTTTTCCAGCAGAAGCAATATTTCAGACAGAAATTTGAATACACACACACAAAAATGATAAATGCCAAAATGGAATAAATGAAAGTAAATATAAATTTTATTTTTCTATTTGTTCTAATAGATAATTGACTAAAGAAAAACTAGTACCAATCTGGTGTGTCTTTACAGCATATGTAGAAGTAATACACGATAATACTACCACAAAGGGCCGGGTGCGGTGGCTCACACCTGTAATCCTGGCACTTTGGGAGGCCGAGGCAGGCAGATTGCTTGAGCCCAGGAGTTTGAGACCAGCCTGGGCAACATGGCAAAACCCTGTATCTACTAAAAATACAAAAAATTAGCCAGGCATTGTGGCCCACGCCTGTAGTCCAAGCTACTTGGGAGGCTGAGATGGGAAGACCACCTGAGCCTGGGGAATTCGAGGCTGCAGGAAGCCAAGATCATGCCACTGCACTCCAGCCTGGGCAACGGGAGTGAGACCCTGCCAAAAAAAAAAGGGAAATTCTGCCATCTGTGACAACATAGGTAAACCTGGAGGAATTATGCTAAGTAAAATAGTTTAGACACAGAAAGACAAATACTGCATGATCTCACTTCTAAGTGAAATCTTAAAAAGTTAAACTCTTGGAAACAGTAGAAAGGTGGTTACCAGAGGCTGGAGGTGGTGAGGGAAATGGGAAGATGTTGGTCAAAAGGTATAAATTTGCAGTTATAATATGAATAATTTCTGGAGACCTATGGTACAGCATGATGACTATAGTTAATAATAATGTATATTTGAAATTTAAGAAATCTTGAGTATTCTCACCAAACAAAAAAAAAGTTACCATGTGAGATAATGATGTTATTAGCAGAATTGTGATAATCATTTCACAATGGATATGCATATCAAAGCACCACACTGTACACCTTGAATATATGCAAGTTTTACTTGTCAATTACACTTCAAAAGCTGGGGTAGAAAACGGTGATACATATACAATGGGGTATGATTCAGTCTTAAATGGAAGGAAATTGTGAACTGTTACAACATGGATGAACCTTGAAAACGTTATGCTAAGTGAAATAAGCCAGTCGCAAAAACAGAAATATTATATGATTCCACTTATTTGTGATTCCTAGAATAGTCAAATTCTTAAAGATAGAAAGCAAAACGGTGTTTACCAGGGACTGGAGGGAAAGGAGAATGGGGAGCTAGTGTTTAGAGAGTACAGAGTTTCATTTGGTGAAGATGAAAAAGTTCTGGAGATAGATGCACTGATGGTTCACAACAATGTGAATGAACTTAATGTCACAGAACTGTTCTCCTAAAAATGGTTAAAATGGTAAATTTTTCTTTACGTATTTTTTACCACAACAAAAAAGAAGGCGGGATTTAAAAAGGGGTAGAGAAACACAAAACACATGAGATAAATAGAAACAAATAATTTAATGGCATACATAAATTCAACTATATCAACAATATATAAAATATAAATAAGGCCGAGCACAGTGGCTCACACCTGTAATCCCAGTACCTTGGGAGGCCGAGGCAGGTGGATCACTTAAGGTCAGGAGTTCAAGACCAGCCTGGCCAACACGGTGAAACTCCATCTCTACTAAAACACAAAAATCACCCAGGCATGGTGGTGGGTGCCTGAAATCCCATCTACTCAGGAGGATTGCTAGAACCCAGGAGGCAGAGGTTGCCGTGAGCCAAGATCCTGTCACTGAACTCCAGCCTGGTCAACAGAGCAAGACTCCATCTCAAAAAATAAAATAAAATATAAATAAGTTAAATATTCCAATAAAAGGGCACAGACTGTGACAAGCAAGTTCAAGCTATATGCAGTCTAGAAGGGACACACTTTGTATTCAAAGATAAAAAAATGGGTTGACAGTAAAAGATATACCATTCTAAGAAGAGGCTTTAAATGGTTTTACTAACGTGAAACAAAATAGACTTCAAAAGCAAAAAAAGTTACTAAGGACTAAGACAATGATTTTATAATAATAAAAAGGTCAATTTGTCATGAACATATAAAAACTGTAAACCCATCTAACAGATTTTCCAAAATAAATGAAGAAAACTGACAGAATTGAAAGGAGAAATAGACAACTGAATAATAATATGGAAGCTTCAAACAGATGTTCAATAATAGCTAGAACAAAAGGTAGAAATACCAGCAAAGATACAGAAAATCTGAACACTATCAACCCACTTGATCTTAATATCATCCTTAGAACACTCCATCCCACAATGGCAGAATATACATTTTCCTCAAATGCATATGGAACATTCTCCAAGACAGATAATATTCAATGCCATAGAATAAGTATTAATACATTTTTTTTTGAGATGGAGCTTCACTCTTGTTGCCCAGGCTGGAGTGCAATGGTGCGATCTCGGCTCACCGCAACCTCCGACTCCCGGGTTCAAGCAATTCTGCTGCCTCAGCCTCCCGAGTTGCTGGGATTACAGGCATGCGCCACCACGCCCGGCTAATTTTTTTGTTGTTTGTTTTTGTTTTTTGAGACGGAGTCTTGCTCTGTCACCCAGGCTGGAGTGCAGTGGCGAGATCTCAGCTCACTGCAACCTCCGCCTACCGGGTTCACGCCATTCTCCTGCCTCAGCCTCCTGAGTAGCTGGGACTACAGGCGCCCGCCACCACACCCGGCTAATTTTTTGTATTTTTAGTAGAGATGGGGTTTCACCGTGTTAGCCAGGATGGTCTCGAACTCCCGACCTCAGGTGATCTGCCCGCCTCCGCCTCCCAAAGTGCTGGGATTACAGGCGTGAGCCACTGCACTCGGCCTTATTAATACATTTTAAAGGATTTGAATCATAGAAGGTGCATTCATCCAAAAAATTAAAATGATAAATTATAAATCAACAACAGAAGGAAATTTGGAAATTCTACAAATATTTGGAATTAAACAACATACTTCTATGTAATCCATGGACAAAAGAAATCACAAGGAAAATTTAAAATATATTGAGCTGAATAAAACAGAACAAACTCATCTATTTCACAAGAGAAGAAAGATCTCCCATCAATAACCTAAACTTGTACTTTAGTAAATGAGAAACAGAACACACTGAACCCAAAGCAAACCAAATGAAGGAAATAATGAAAATTAGAGCAGGAATCTACAAAATAGAAAACAGAATAACAATAGAGAAAGTCAATGAAACCAAAAGCTGATTCTTCAAAAAGATCAACAAATTTGACAAAACTTTAGGTAAACTAACCAAGAAACAAAGACAGACAACACAAATTATCAAATCTGAATGAAAGAAGAGACATCACTACTGACCTTACTGAAAAAAAGTTAAAAAGATTATAAGCAAATTCTATGAACAATTTTATGACATCAAATTAAATAACTTGAAAAATACAAATACATTCAACACAAATTACCAAAACTAACTCAGGAAGAAATGCAATAAATAGAAAATCTAACAGAAATTTAACAAGATACCGAATCAGGAATCTTGCCTCAAAGAAAAGCCCAAGCCCAGCTTGCTTTGCTGCTGAATTGTAACAAACATTTAAAGAATAAACAATAACAATCTTTCACAAATTCTTCCAAAAAATAAAAGTAACACTTCCCAACTTATTCTATAAGGCTAGCATTATTCTGATACCAAAAACAGACAGAGACATCACAAGAAAACTATATACAAATATACCTTTTGAATAGACATAAAAATTCTCAAGAAAGTAGTAGCAAAATGAATCCAGTGGCATATGAAACGTATTATACACTATGTCCAAGTGCTATTTACTCCACGAACATGTAAGGTTGGTTTAACATTCAAAGATCAATTAATGCAATACGCTATATTGGTAGAATTAAAAGAAAACCTATATAATCATCTCGATAAATGCAGAAAAAGCATGTAACAAATGCAACACTCAATCGTGATAAAAAAATTTCTCAACAAACTAAAAATAAAATGGAACTTCCTCAGCCTGATAAAGGGCATCTACAAAACCTACAATAGACATTATATTTAATAGTAAGAGACTCGGTATTTTCCTCCTAAGGTTGGAAATAAGTCAAGGGTGTCTGCTTTCACCACTTCTACACAACATTGTCCTAGTCAGTATAGTGAGTTGAGAAAAAGAAATGAAAAGCACATCGATTGTAAAGGAAGATGTAAAACCATTTTATTCACAGATGATATGATCCAGCCAAACTGAAAAAACTTATGCCCTGAACCTGCTTAACAAATCATAAAAGCATGACCCAAAACGATCAAACTGTTTCAGAATAACTTAACTGCATCAAAGAACAAAGCTCAAAAGTTCATAAGAATACAAAAATATGCAAGCAATGAAAACGGCAAAATTCACAGGGCCTGGCATCAAATCAAAGATTACTGGTTATGCAAAAAAAAAAAAAAAGCAGAAAAATATGACCCATAATGAGAATAATCAACAAAGCTGACTGAGAATTTCCAAAGATGTTAGAATTATCAGAGAAGTACATTAAACATTTGTTATCTATATTCCGTATGTTCAAACAGGTAAATAGAGGAATAAAAAATATTTTCAAACACCCAAATTTAATTTCTAGAGATGAAAACTACAATGTCTGAGTTGAAGAAATACACTGGAGGGACAAACAGCACACTAGACAATGCAGAAGAAAATATTTGTGAACTTGAAGGCATAAAATAGAAACTACCGAGACTCTGTCTCAAAGAAAAGAAAAAAAGAGCTCTCCCTCTCCCTCTCCCTCTCCCCATGGTCTCCCTCTCCCCATGGTCTCCCTCTCATGCCCAGCCGAAGCTGGACTATACTGCTGCCATCTCGGCTCACTGCAACCTCCCTGCCTGATTCTCCTGCCTCAGCCTGACTGGTTTTCGTATTTTTTTGGTGGAGATGGGGTTTCGCTGTGTTGGCCGGGCTGGTCTCCAGCTCCTAACCGCGAGTGATCCGCCAGCCTCGGCCTCCCGAGGTGCCGGGATTGCAGACGGAGTCTGGTTCACTCAGTGCTCAATGGCGCCCAGGCTGGAGTGCAGTGGCGTGATCTCGGCTCGCTACAACCTCCACCTCCCAGCCGCCTGCCTTGGCCTCCCAAAGTGCCGAGATTGCAGCCTCTGCCCGGCCGCCACCCCGTCTGGGAAGTGAGGAGCGTCTCTGCCTGGCCACCCATCGTCTGGGATGTGAGGAGCCCCTCTGCCTGGCTGCCCAGTCTGGAAAGTGAGGAGCGTCTCTGCCCGGCCGCCATCCCATCTGTAAAGTGAGGAGCGCCTCTTCCCGGCCGCCATCACATCTAGGAAGTGAGGAGCGTCTCTGCCTGGCCGCCCATCGTCTGGGATGTGGGGAGCGCCTCTGCCCCGCCGCCCTGTCTGGGATGTGAGGAGCGCCTCTGCCCGGCTGCGACCCCGTCTGGGAGGTGAGGAGCGTCTCTGCCCGGCCGCCCCGCCTGAGAAGTGAGGAGACCCTCCGCCCGGCAGCTGCCCCGTCTGAGAAGTGAGGAGCCTCTCCGCCCGGCAGCCACCCCGTCTGGGAAGTGAGGAGCATCTCCGCCCGGCAGCTACCCTGTCCGGGAGGGAGGTGGGGGGGGTCAGCCCCCCGCCAGGCCAGCCGCCCATCCGGGAGGGAGGTGGGGGGGTCAGCCCCCCGCCCGGCCAGCCGCCCCATCCGGGAGGTGAGGGGCGCCTCTGCCCAGCCGCCCCTACTGGGAAGTGAGGAGCCCCTCTGCCCGGCCACCACCCCGTCTGGGAGGTGTGCCCAACAGCTCATTGAGAACGGGCCAGGATGACAATGGCGGCTTTGTGGAATAGAAAGGGGGGAAAGGTGGGGAAAAGATTGAGAAATCGGATGGTTGCTGTGTCTGTGTAGAAAGAAGTAGACATGGGAGACTTTTCATTTTGTTCTGTACTAAGAAAAATTCTTCTGCCTTGGGATCCTGTTGATCTGTGACCTTACCCCCAACCCTGTGCTCTCTGAAACATGTGCTGTGTCCACTCAGAGTTAAATGGATTAAGGGCGGTGCAAGATGTGCTTTGTTAAACAGATGCTTGAAGGCAGCATGCTCGTTAAGAGTCATCACCACTCCCTAATCTCAAGTACCCAGGGACACAAACACTGCAGAAGGCCGCAGGGTCCTCTGCCTAGGAAAACCAGAGACCTTTGTTCACTTGTTTATCTGCTGACCTTCCCTCCACTATTGTCCTATGACCCTGCCAAATCCCCTTCTGTGAGAAACACCCAAGAATGATCAATAAAAAAAAATAAATAAATAAAAATAAAATAAAATAAAATAGAAACTACCCAAAATAAAACACAGAGAGAAAAAAAAAATCCAAAAAATCCAAAGAACATCAATGATCTGTGGGACAACTTCAGGCAGCTTAAAATAGGTAACTGGAGTCCGTGAAGGAGGAAAGCAGGTGAAGAGGAAAAAATATTTGATAAATTAATGGCCAAAAACTTTCCAAATTTGATGAAATCTATAAACCTAAATATCCAAGAAGTTCAATAAACTCCAAGCAGAAAAACATAAAAGAAAAAAACCCACCAAGGCATATTATAATTACATTGCTCAAAAGTGATAAAGATTAAAAAACACATTATCTATAGAAGAAACAAATTAAGATGACATCAGATGTCTCAAGCCAGGTGCAGCAGTGCACGCCTATAATCTCAGCTGCTCGCAAGGCGGAGGTGGGAGGATTGCTTGAGCTCAGGAATTTGAGACCAGCCTGAGTAACATAGCAAGACCCTGTCTCAAAAAAAAAAAAAAAAAAAAGGCCGGGCGCAGTGGCTCACACCTGTAATCCCAGCACTTTGGGAGGCTGAGGCGGGTGGATGGATCACGAGGTCAGGAGATCGAGACCATCCTGGCTAACACGGTAAAACCCCATCTCTACTAAAAAATATAAAAACATTAGTCGGGCGTGGTGGCCGGTGCCTGTAGTCCCAACTACTCGGGAGGCTGAGGCAGGAGAATGGCATGAACCCGGGAGGTGGAGCTTGCAGTGAGCTGAGATCGTGCCACTGCAGTCCAGCCTGGGCAACAGAGCAAGACTCTGTCTCAAAAAAAAAAAAAAAAATTAGGATGACATCTTAGAAACAACATAATTGAGAAGAGCATGAAACAATGCTTTTGAGGTACTGAAAGACAAAACCTATCAACTTAAATTCTATATGTAGCAAAAATACCTTTCAAAGATGACGGCAAAAAAAATACATTCAGACATACAAAAGCTGAATTAATTCATTGCCCAATAGACTCACAATGCAAAAAATGTTAAAGAAAGTTCTTCAGGCAGAAAGAAAATGCTACCTTATAGAAGTCTGGAGCCACACAGAGCAATGAAGAATACCAGAAATGGTAACTATGTGAGTATATAATTATTTTCTATTATTTAAATCTCTTTAAAAGAGGACTTAAAGTATAAACAAAAATAACAACAATGTATTTTAAGGTTTATAAAATCTACAAGTAAAATTTATGACACTAGCATGAAAGCCAGGAGGAGGAAGTTAAACATTTATACTATAAACTCTAAAGCAACTACTAAGATAATAAAACAATGAGGTACAGCTAATAAATCAAGGAAGAAAAAACAATGGAATCATTAAAAAAAACAGTAATCCAAAAGAAGGCAGAAAAAGGGAGAAAAGGGAACAAAGCATACATGGAACAAATACAAAACAAATAGCAAGATGATAGACTCAAACCTAGCCATACTGATAATAACATTAAATGTAAATGGATCCAAACATCAATTAAAAGGCAGAGACTGTCAAATTGGATAAAAAAGCAAGAACCAACTATATGCTGCCTATGATAAATGCACTTTAAACATAAACACACAAATACATAAAAAGTAAAAGGATGAAAAAGATATACCATAGTTAAACTAGCCCAAAAAAGCTGCAGCAGCTATATTTATACTAGACAAAATGCATTTCAGAACAAAGAATACAAGGAAGTTCATTTCAGAATGATAGTGGGGTCAGTTAACTAAGAGGACATGACAATCCTAAAGGTCTATGCACCTAGCATGAAAGGTTCAAAATCAATTAAATAAAAACTGATACAACTACAAAAAATAACAGACAAATCCACAATTATCATTGGGGACTTCGATAGTCCTCTCTTAATAACTGATAGAACAAGTAGGCATAAAGTCAGCCTGGATATAGTAGACATGAAAAACACTATCAACCAACTTAACTTGGTTGACATTTATAGAAGACTACTCAACAACAGCAAAATTTATTCTTCTCAAGTGCACATGAAACATATTACCAATACAGACCATATTCTGGGCCATGAAACAAGTTTTGATATGTTTTAACATATTCAAGTCATATAAAGTACATTCCTTTACCATAATGTAATTAAATTAGAAGTCAATAGCAGAAAGATCTCTGGAAAATGTCCAAATATGTGGAAGTTAAATAACACAGTTCTAAGTAATACAAAAATCATAAACTTTTTGGATAATAAGCAAAACGAAACAATAAAGATAAAGCAGAAACCAATGAATTAGAAAACAGAAAACAGAGAAAATCAATTAAACCAAAATGTGATTCTTTGAGATGATCAATACAATTGATAAATCTTTAGCCAGATGATCAAGGGGAAAAAGGCACAAACTATTAATATCAGGAATGACAAATGTGGTATCACATTGTGTTAGTCTTCCAACTTTGTTCCTTTTTCAGAGTTGCTTTGACTACATTCTAACTACTTTGCATTTTCTTATCAATTTTAGAATCGTTTTAACAATTTATACAAAATGATAAGAGGATATTAACAACTTTACAAAAATTAATTTGATAAACTACATGAAATGAAGAACTTTCTTTAAAATACTAATTACCAATCCTCACACAAGAAGAAATATAACCTGAATAGCCCTATATATATTTTAAAAATTGAAATTGTAGTCTTAAACCTTCCCACAAATAAAACTTACTGGTAAACTCTAAAATTTAAGAAATGATACCAATTGTACACAGACTCTTCCAAAAACAGGAAACACTTCCCAACCCATTCTATGAGGTCAGCATTACCCCGATACCAAAGATAAAGACATTAAACAAAAGAAAACTTCAGACCAATATCCTTATGTAGATGCAAAAATTCCAAGCAAAAATTTATCAAATTACATCTGCAGTAGGCTGAATAATGCCTCCCATCCTCAAAGATCTACAGATCCTAATCTCCAAAACTTTTGAATATGTTACTTTACATGGTTAAAGGAACTTTCCAGATGTGATTAACTTAAACATATTGAGATGTGGAGATTATCCTAGATGATCCCAATGCATGCAAAGTAATCACAAGAGTCCTTTTAAGTGAGAGGCAGGAAGATCAGAGTCAGAGAAGATATAAGGATTGGAAGAGAGGTTCAGAAAAGAGAAAAAATACTACATTGTTGGCCAGGCGTCGTGGCTCACGCCTATAATCCCAGCACCTTGGGAGGCCCAGGCAGATGGATCATGAGGTCAGGAGTTCAAGACCAGCCTGGCCAACACGGTGAAACCCCATCTCTACTAAAAATACAAAACATTAGCCGGGCATGGTGGCGCATGCCTCTAATCCCAGCTACTTGGGAGGCTGAGGCAGGAGAATCACTTGAACCCAGGAGGCAGAGGTTGCAGTGAGCGGAGATCGTGCCACTGCACAACAGCCTGGGCGACAGTGTGTGAGACTCCGTCTCAAAAAAAAAAAAAAAAGATACTACATAGTTATTTTGAAGATGAGGAAAGAAGCCATTATTCTAGGAATCTAAGCAGCCTCTAGAAGCTGAAAAAGGCAAGGAAATGGATTCTCCCCTAGAGTCTCTGGAGAGAGTGTAACCCTGACAACACCAATTTTGGCCCAGTGAAACTCATTTGGGACCTCTCACCTCTAGAAGTGTAAGATGATAGATTTGTGTTGTTTTAAGCCACAAAGTCTGTGCTAATTTTTTACAGCAGCAATAGAAACTAATATAACTTCCCAACAATTTATTAAAAGAATAGGCTGGGTGCAATGGCTCATGCCTGTAATCCCAGCATTTTGGGAGCCTGAGGCGGGCGGATCACAAGGTCAGGAGTTCGAGACCAGCCTGGCCAATATGGTGAAACCCCATCTCTACTAAAAATACAAAAACTAGCCGGGCGTGGTGGCACGCACCTGTAGTCCCAGCTACTCAGGAGGCTGAGGCAGGAGAATCACTTGAACCCGGGAGGCAGAGGTTGCAGTGAGGCAAGATCATGCCACTGCACTCCAGCCTGGGTGACAGAGTGAGACTCCGTCTCACAAAAAAAAAAAAAAAAGAATAATACATCATGACAAAGTGGGGTTTATCACAGGAATGCAGGATTGGTTTATCATAAGAAAATCAATCAATATAATTTATTAAAACTACATTAAAAACAAACCACAAAAGAAAAACCATGTAATCATTTCAATAGATGCATAAAAACATTTAAGAAAATCTAACATCCATTCCTAAAACAAACCCTTAGCACCTCATACTAGTAAAGGGCAATACAAAAATCTAACATACTTAATGGTTAAAGGCAGAAAGAATACTCTCCCCCAAAGTCAGAAACAAGACAGGGATGCCTGTGCTCACCATTCTTTTTTTTTTTTTTTGAGATGGAGTTTCGCTCTTGTTGCCCAGGCTAGAGTGCAATGGTGTGATCTCGGCTCACTGCAACCTCTGCCTCCTGGGTTCAAGAGATTCTCCTGCCTCAGCCTCCCAAGTAGCTGGGACTACAGGCATGCGCTGCCACACCCAGCTAATTTTGTATTTTTAGTAGAGACGGGGTTTCTCCATGTTGGTCAGACTGGTCTCAAACTCCCGACCTCAGGTGATCAGCCCACCTCAGCCTCCCAAAGCGCTGGGATTACAGGCGTGAGCCACCGCACCTGGCCACCACTCTTACTCAGTGTAGTACTGGAAGTCCCAGCGACTACAATAAGACAAAAAAAAAAATGCAGACATATATATTAGACATGAAGAAATAAAACCATGTTTATTCACAGAAGATATGATTGTCTATGTAGAAAGTCTGGTTAAATCTGCAAAAAAAGCTACTAGAACTAAGTGACTTTAGCAAAGTTTTAGCACATACTGCTAGAAAAATTGGGTAACCATATTTTTTTAAAAAGCATAGATTCATACCTTGTACCATATACAAAAATTGACTCAAAATGGATCATAGACCTAAATGTAAAACCTAAAACTATAAAACTTTTAGGAGGAAACATGGGAGAAAACCTTTGTCATCTCATGTTAAGCAAAGACTCCTCTGATGTAACACAAAAAGCATGATCCATAGAAAAACAAATTAATAAATTTAACAGCCATGGTGGCACATGCCTGTGGTCCCAGCTACTCAAGAGGCGGAGGTGGGAGGTTCGCTTGAGCCCAGGAGGTCGAAGCTACAGTGACCTATGAGCACACCACTGCACCCCAGCCTGGGTGACAGTGAGATCCTGTCTCAAAATAAGGGGAGAGATCTCCATACCCATATTCATAACAGCATTTTTCACAATAGCCAAAAGGTGGGAACAATGCACATGTCCATCAGTGGATGAATGGATAAATAAAATGTGGTATATACACACAATAGAATAATACTCAGCATTAAAAAGAAAAGAAATTCTGACGCAGGCTACAACACAGATTAAGCTTGAATACATTATGCAAAGTGAAATAAGCCAGTCACAAAAAGATAAATATTATATGACTATCAGGGTATTCAAATTCAGAGACAGAAAGTAGCATGGCAGTCGCCAGAGGTTGTGGGCAGAAGGGGTTGGGAGGTTATTGTTTAATAAGTACAGTTTTGGTTATGCATAATATAAATCATTCTGCCATAAAGACACATGCACACATATGTTCACTGCAGCACTATTCACAATACCAAAGACATGGAATCGACCTAAATGTCTATCAACGAAAGACTGGATAAAGAAAATGTGGTACATATGTGTGGGGATTATGGGAACTACAATTCGAGATTTAGGTGTGGACACAGCCAAACCATATCAGATGGTAACGTTTATGTTCTGTGTATTTTACCATAATTTTTAAAAATAAAAACAAATGTGTCAATAAAGCTTTCCCATAATGAAAAAAAGACACCGTTTACAGAATGAGAAGACAAGATACTGGCCAGGCACAATGGCTCATGCCTGTAATCCCAGAACTTTGGGAGGCTAAGACGGGTGTATCACTTGAGGTCCAGAGTTCAAGACCAGCCTTGCCAACATGGTGAAACCTTGTCTCTGGTAAAAATATAAAAGTTAGCCAAGCATGGTGGCCTGCGCCTGTAATTCCAGCTACTCAGGAGGCTGAGGCATGAGAATTACTTGAACCCAGGAGGCAGAGGTTGCAGTGAGCCGAGATTGCACCACTACACTCCAACCTGGGTGAGGACTCTGTTTCAAAAAAAAAAAAAAAAAAAAACACCCCTGTATCCAGCATATAATCCTCAAAATTCAAAAATAATAAAACAATCCAAAATATGCAAGAGATGTGAACACCTTGCCAAAGAAGATATGTAGATAGCAAATAAGCATATAAAATATGCTCAAATCATTAGAGGATGCAAATAAAAACGATGAGATACCACCACATACTTAATGTCAAAAAACCTGGCTGGGCATGGTGGCTCACACCTGTAATCCTAGCACTTTGGGAGACCGAGATGGGAGGATTACTTGAGGCCAGCAGTTCAAGACCATCCTGGTCAACACAGTGAGACCCCATCTCTATTTAAATGTATTAAAAAAATTAAAAAATTTAAAAATTAAAAAACTAAACTGACACCCCCAAGTACTAGAGAGGATGTGGAAATGAAACTTTCATACTGATGGGAATGTGAAATGGTAGAGCCACTTTGAAAAACAGTTTAGAAGTTTCTTAAAATGTCAAACATATGCTTACCATATATCCCAGCAATCCAACTCTAGGTATTTACTATAGATAAATGAAAACACAAAATGTTGCATACAAATGTTTATAGCAGCTTTACTTGTAATTGTCCAAAACTGCAAAGATCCTAAACATCCTTCAACTGGGGAACAAACAGTAGTAAATCCACACAATGGAGTGACTCAGAAATAAGAACTATTAATATACTGAGAAATATGGATGAATCTCAAATGTATTACTCATAGCAAAAGAAGTCGCTCTCAAAATGCTACATACCATATAATTTCATGTATATAACAGTCTTCAAAAGACGAAAATATATGGCCGGACACGGTGGTTCATGCCTATAATCCCAGCACTTTGGGAGGCCGAGGTGGGTGGATCTTTTGAGGTCAGAAGTTCAAGACCAGCCTGGCCAGTGTGGAGAAACCCCCGCCTCTACTAAAAATACAAAAATTAGCCCAGCATGGTGGTGGGCACCTGTAGTCCCTGTTACTCGGGAGGCTAAGGCAGGAGAATCGCTTGAACCCAGGAGGTGGAGGTTGCAGTGAGCCAAGATCACGCCACTGCACTCCAGCCTCAGTGAAAGAGTGAGACTCTGTTTCAAAAAAAAAAAAAAAAAAAAGACAAAAATATAAGAACAAAGAAAAAGGCCAGGCGCAGTGGCTCACTCTTGTAATCCCAGCACTTTGGGAGGCTGAGGCAGGAGGATCATGAGGTCAGGAGTTCGAGACCAGCCTGGCCAAAACAGTGAAACCCCATCTCTACTAAAAATACAAAAATTAGCTGGGCGTGGTGGCGGGCGCCCATAATCCCAGCTACTCGGGAGGCTGAGGCAGGAGAACCGCTTGAACCCTGGAGGCGGAGGTTGCAGTGAACCGAGATCACGCCACTGCACCACTCCAGCCTGGACAACAGAGCTAGACTCTGTCTCAAAAAAAAAAAAAAAAAAAAGAGAACGAAGAAAAAAACCAGTGACTGCCAGGGTTTGGGTGTAGGGGACTGGTTTTGACTACAAAGTAGCAGGAATAAATTTGGTAGGGAGAGGCTAAGAGGACTGTTCTGTACCTTGGTTGCATTGGTGGTTACACAACTCTACACATTTATCAGAGCTTTATAGAACTGTATACCAGAGTGAATTTTACTGTAATGTAAATGTTTATAATTTTTAAAACCTGAAGGCATAAAATAAGCCTACTCATTGTATGATTCTATTGATATGACAGTCATACTAAAGCAAAACTATAGGGGCAGAAAACAAATCAGTGGTTAGCAGAATCTGAGGGTCGGGGGTAGGAGTTGACTACAAAAGGGCCTGGAGAGTTTTAGGGGGGTGATGCAACTATATTTCGATTGTGGTAGTGGTTCACTCCTGTATATGTTTGTACAAACTCACATAACTAAAACTATAAAGAGTGAACTTTACTATATGTAAATTGTACCCTAATTGTTTTGAAAAATGAAGGTAAAAAGTTAAGAAAATACTTTTTTAAAAAAAACCTTTGAGATATGCTGTAGGTAGAGAAACTGCACTCCCAACGTCTTTTTTGTTTTCCTCTTTTTTTTTCCCCCTGAGACAGTCTCACTCTGTTGCCCACGCTGGAGAGCAGTGGCACAATCTCGGCTCAATGCAGCATCGACCTCCTGGGCTCAAGAGATCCTCCTGCCTCAGCCCCATAGGTAGCTGGGACTACAGGCATGAGACACCATGCCCAGCTAATCTTTGTATTTTTTTGGTAGAGATGAGGTTTCGCCATATTGTTTAGGCTGGTCTTGAACTCCTGACCTCAAGTGATCCGCCTGCCTCGGCCTCCCAAAATGCTGGGATTACAGGTGAGAGCTATCGTAACTGGCCTGCAGTCCCAAATTCTTACCGACATGACTACTTTAGTTCTGTTTGATTTTGGCCAAATTATGCTCCCATGCTGTTTCTTACTCATTTAGATACTTCCATTTCTAATATTTACCTCCCAGCACTTCTCCATTACCGATGGGGTCACCTCCTGATAAACCCGTAATTTGCACATTACAATGGGTTTACCAGGAAGTAGCCCCATCATAAGTAGAGGTGCATTCTGAATGTATACTGCTTTTCCACCAAAAATCCCACATCAAACCACCAAAAGTCGGGGACTGTCTGTATTTTAAATGCTAAATTATGAAACGCTGTATGGTTGCAAAATAGACTTAGCTGTCCTGGTATGCAATTTTTCATTATAACACTATCACATACCAGGAGAGTTCAATGAGATAGTGTGAAATAAGTTGTAGCCTATTCAAGAGCACATAGTTTTAGCAAGACACTAAAAACTAGTAGTTTAAGAAACTAGAGTTTTTTAAACCAAAAAAGAAAAAATTTAACGTTAAATGCATTTAACGGACTTGATAACAGAGACTGGCACAAAGTAGGGGCTTAATCAATCTTCCTTTGTTAAGGAGGCAGTACAATATAGAGGAAAGGGCCTGCATAGGGTTTTAATCACGCTTGGGTTCCAATCCTAGCACCACCACTTAATACGCCCACTTGGGTCTGGCCATCCTGTCAACTTTTTTTTTTTTTTTCCGAGACGAAGTCTCACTCTGTCCCCCAGGCTGGAGTGCAGTGGTGTGATGTCGACTCACTGCAACCTCCGCCTCCTGAGATCAAGTGATTCTCCTGCCTCAGCCTCCTGCATAACTGGGATTACAGGTGTGAGCCACCATGCTCGGCCAACATTCTGAGATTACTTTTTTTTTTCATTTGGGGAGACGAATCCCTTACTAGCAGAGCTGTATTGAGGGTTAACGGTGGTAATGGGTCTCCAGGGCTTGGTGCAGTTTGTACTCAACAAGTACGTAATTCTCTCCTTTGGTTGCCCCTGAATACAAGAGTGGTCTTGTACTTCCCTGCCTGAACAGTCCACAGCCAATGGCACTCCAGTCCTTGTCACATGGTTCCACTCTTAGGATGTAAATTAGGAGGTACCAGCTTGAGAGGCAGAGGCAAAGGTAAGGTTAAGATGCAGCTGTGAGGCTGGGCACAGTGGCTCACGCCTATAATCCCAGCACTTTGGGAGGCCGAAGCGAGTGGATCACTTGAGGTCAAGAGTTCGAGACCAGCCTGGTCAACATGGTGAAACATCGTCTCTACTAAAAATACAAAAACTAGCCAGGCGTGGTGGCAGGTGCCTGTAATCCCAGCTACTTGGGAGGCTAAGGCAGGAGGATCACTTGAACCCGGGAGGCAGAGGTTGCAGTGAGCCGAGATCACGCCATTGCACTCCAGCCTGGGCAACAGAGCAAAATAAATAAATAAAGGTGCAGCTGTGGGTCGAAGGATGGTGTGGAAGTTTGGGGTAGACATCCAAGACTGCAGTAATGCTATGCCCAGGGTATATTTTGGGGCAAAACCCCCAAAATACCCTGGCAAAGAAAGAAGATTGTGTTTCAGTTGCAATCATCTACCCTAATCCCTTTCTGAGGGCCTCTGGCACTGCTTGGGCTCACTGCCCTTGTCTGATGGGGTAGGATCTCCCAGAGGAGACAGCTAATTATACTTTAATGAGGTGACTTACAGACACTGGAAAAGGAGTTGGCTGGTACACTCCCATATATAGCAGCTCTCTCGAGGATACAGTCTGTGAATAAATGGTACCAGAACCCTCTTGAGCCATGGAATTCAAATGCTGGTGCAATAGGAGACATGGTCACACAAGGGCAGGGTCCAGCCAGAGTACTTCAGTTAAAGAGATTCCTCCAATTCACAATCTGCCCAGAAATGCCCCCAAGACGGGGCTTCCCCCTAAAGCCTCCCTACTAACAGGTGCTTTGTTTTCTCTTCACGCAAACAGGGTAGTGCCTACCACACTTCAGCACAAGCCAGGCTTGTTTGTTCTCTTCTTCCCTCTACCCTATCCCTAGAACCTTCCAGAGACACAGGAGGCTCATTACTTTCTACTTTTTCTCACTGCCACCCAGGTGAAGACCTATGGACTTGGAAGATGCATGGCCCAAAGCCCACTGCAGGCATGCCTTGCCACTGAAATCTCCTGTGGGGTGGTAAAGAAACCATCACCCTCCCGCAGGGACCCCCAGGTCTACCAGCAACCTAACTTCTAGTGGCATATTCACCTGTCTAAGAGAGTTTTGTAGGCAGAGTTTTGTAGGTCAGCCCTCAACAGGTGTTAGCACCTGAGCTCTGCTGATACTTCTTTTATTTCTCTTGTAAAACAGAGTAGGGGTTAAATAGAGGGTATTGGGTTTGGCAGCTGCAGCCCCTTGGGATTTTTTTTTTTTTTTTTTTTTTGGGACGGAGTTTCGTGTTGTTGCCCAGGCTAGAGTGCAATGGTGCCGTCTGGGCTCACTGCAACCTCTGCCTCCCAGGTTCAGGCGATTCTCCTGCCTTAGTCTCCCAGGTTCAGGCGATTCTCCTGCCTCAGCCTCCCAAGTAGCTGGGATTATAGGTGCCACTAAGCACGGCTAAATTTTTTTGTATTTTTAGTAGAGACGGGGTTTCACCATGTTGGCCAGGCTGGTCTCGAACTCCTGACCTCAGGTGATCTGCCCACCTCGGCCTCCCAAAGTGCTGGGATTACAGACGTGAGCCACAGCACCTAGCCGGGACTGTTTTTACTGGAGGAGGGGGAGAAGACACACAGTGGGGAAAGCGTTCTTTCAATATGCAGATGCTTCAGGGAGAACCAAACTATTTCACTGGTATTCCCCCGTACCACCGGAACTGGTGCTTGGAGCGGAAGGGAAGTGAGATCAGTCGATTAGTCACCAACACCATCATCAGCATTGCCAGAGAGGTCGAGAGCAGACATCATGGAATCAGACAGCTTGCTGGCGATTTTATCTGCAAATGGAGAAATACAGGCAATCTTTTGGTGGCTGGCTTGCCACCAGGAGGCCTGCTGACGCTGGCCTACATCTACCTTGGTCTACACCAAGCTCCTGAACTGGCTCACTTACCCCCAAACGCTACCACAAAACTGGTGAGTGCTGGAAGCCACTGCTCAGCTTCACAGGTAGACAATCCATTTTTCTATCTGTGAAATGATCATCCCAACACAGCTTCTATCTCAGGGTTTCAGACTCACTGGGCTCCAAGTATTTTTGTCCAAATACCAAAGCAATAATTTTCTTTTACTATGTCAAACTTAGTGCTCTACCATTACCCTCAAAACAAAGCTCTCACAGCAAAGGGCAACACGGCTGTATGTTCGCCATAAGCCTGAACGTTCACCACGCACACCTCCCATCCCCCAGACACACCCTGTTGTTCCTCAGGATGCCCCCCAGACTTCACCTCCTCCAGGAGGCCTTCTCTGATCACCCCTATCCAACCACCATCCCCAGGCTGGGTTAGGTTCCCTCACTGTGCTTGCTGGGTCTTCAACGTGATTACTATGTGCTCGTGCTGCCAAGGTCTGTTTTCTTGTCTCCTCCTCACTCCCTAATAAGACTAGGAGTTCAAAGGCAATTCATCTGAATTCCCAGGACTCAGTGTGGAGCCAGGCCAAGAGTGAATGTCTGATTGTGTATGTTTGGTTACAGAACACAATCTAGTTCAAAGAATAGGGCTGTTGGGGTCAATCAACCCAAAGTCTGTATTTTGGCTCCATCAACTACAAGTTGTCTTACCTTTAGCGTGTCACTTAATGTCTCTGGACCTCAGTTTTCTCACTTATCAAATAAGGGGAAGACTTTTGCAATGAGTTAGTGAAAAGTACAGCATGGAAACCCAAATGGGCCAGCTACACAATGTACCACCATTAAAACGAGGGGAAGAAGTTCTTTTGTGTATTAACATAGACATATCCCTAAGACATAGTGAGTGGAAAAATGATAGGGCAAAACCATGTGTCCAGTAGATTGGCATTTGTGTGGAAAAAGAGAACAAAGAATATATAGATATTTGCTTGTGTCTCAGAAAAGACACAATAAACTAACTGGCTGACGAGGGGGCGGTCTGGATGACTAGCGGGTGGGAGAGATTTTACTGTATATCCTCTTGTACGTGTAGGATTTTGAGTATATTGCCTATTGATATATAGCCTGCAAGCTACCTAACACATAGAGAGTACCTGATAAATAAATGGTCGTTATTTGATACATAGACTAGGCAGGCCAGTGGTTCTCCCAGTGTGATCCCCAGAGAAATAGCATCAGCTGGGAACCTGTTAGAAATACAAATTCTAACAGGCCCCACAGAAGACCTACTCAATTAGAAACTATGAGGGAGGGGCACAGAAATCTGTGTTTTAACAAACCCTCCAGGGAATCCTGATGCGAGCTGAAGTTTGAGAGCCACTGTGCTAGTAGTTGAGCCTCCTAGCTCATCCCTGCCCCCAACCCTAGACTGGAGCTGGACACAGAGAGATACTCATTCAGGAGCCCCAATCAAGATCCCAGGTGGGGCCACGTGCAGTGGCTCACATCTGTAATCCTAGCACTTTGGAAGGCCGAGGCAAGTGGATCACCTGAGGTCAGGAGTTTGAGACCAGCCTGGCCAACATGGCGAAACATCGTCTCTACTAAAAATACAAAAATGAGCCGGACATGGTGGCAGGTGCCTGTAATCCCAGCTACTCAGGAAGCTGAGGCAGGAGAATCGCTTGAACCCAGGGGGCGGAGACTGCAGTGAGCCAGAAAAAAAAAACAAAAAAAGATCCCATGTGGGCCCCTTTCAGAGCACAGGGTTGGTCTGGGGCTCCCACCTGCACGTTTCTGCATCTTCTTCTTATTTTTCAGGGCAGATGCCAGAGCCTGGCCCTGTTGCAGGGGGTCCGTCTCCATGATCCTCTGCAGCACTGAGCGGCGGTCCACTGAGCAGACATCCACCATACTGTTGCTCTTAGGGCGGTGGTCCACATTGCGTTTAGCCCACCCCATCTGATGACGGTTCGGATTGGTGCAATACCCAGTGAGATCTCCAATCTAGGAAGAGACAGAAAACATAACGATGAGGTCTTAACCCCCAGAGAACCTCCAAAGACTTCTGCAGAAAAGGTAGGGACACAGGCTTGGGTAAGAACAGGAGCCTGGAGCCATGTGGAACTAGGCTCCAATTCTGGCCCCACCACACTCCAGCAGGTGCTTAGTTAACTCTCAGCCTCAGTTCCCTATCTGTCAAATGGGGGGTGGATAAGGGGTAGTTTGCATGGCTTCTACAAGAATAAAATGAAAAGGTAGGCCAGGCACGGTGGCTCATGCCTATAATCCCAGCACTTTGGGAGGCTGAGACAGGCAGATCACAAAGTCAAGAGATCGAGACCATCCTGGCCAACACGATGAAACCCCGTCTCTACTAAAAATACAAAAATTAGCTGGGAATGGTGGCACACGCCTGTAGTCCTAGCTACTCGGGAGGCTGAGGCAAGAGAATCGCTTGAACCTGGGAGGCGGCAGTTGCAGAGAGCCGAGATCGCACCACTGCACTCCAGCCTGGTAACAGAGACTCTGTCTCAAAAAAAAAAATTTTCTGGCAGGCGCAGTGGTTCACTAGGATTAGGTCTGTAATCCTAGCACTTTGGGAGGCCAAGGCAGGAGGATCACTTGAGCCCAGGAGTTTGAGACCAGCCTAAGCATCAAAATGAGACCTTCGTCTCTACAAACAATTCTGTTAAAAATTAGCTGGGAGGCTGGGCATGGTGGCTCACTCCTGTAATCCTAGCACTTTGGGAGGCTGAGGCGGGCAGATCACTTGAGGTCAGGAGTTCGAGACCAGCCTGGCCAACATGGTGAAACCTTTCTCTACTGAAAATACAAAAATTAGCCAGGCATGGTGAGGGGTGCCTATAATCCCAGCTACTTGGGAGGCTGAGGCAGGAGAATCACTTGAACCCAGGAGGTGCAGGTTGCAGTGAGCCAAGACTGCACCACTGCACTCCGGCCTGGGCAACAGAGCAAGACCCTGTCTCAAAAAATAAAAATAAAAATAAAATTAGCTGCGCATGGTGGCTTGCATCTGTAATCCCAGGCACTTGGGAGGCTGAGGTGGGGGGATTGCTTGAGCCCAGAGTTCAAGGCTGCAGTGAGCCAAGATCACACCACTGCACTCCAGCCTGGGTGCCAGAGCAAGACCCTGTCTTAAAAAAAAATTTTTTTTTTGACATCTACTTTGTGTCCAGCTCCGTGTGGGGCAATGCTGGGACAGAGAAATGAGTGACTCCATTCCATCTTTTTTTTTTTGAGATGGAGTTTCGCTCTGTTGCCCAGGATGGAGTGCAGTGGTATGATCTTGGCTCACTGTAGCCTGTGCCTCCTAGGTTCAAGCAATCCTCCTGCCTCAACCTCTCGAGTAGCTGAGATTATAGGCGTGCATCACCACACCTGGCTAATTTTTTTTATTTTTAGTAGAGACGGGGTTTCACCATGTTGGCCAGGCTGGCCTCGAACTCCTGACCTCAGGTGATCCACCCGCCTTGGCTTCCCAAAGTGCTGGGATTACAGGCATGAGCCACCGCGCCCGGCCTCGGTTCCATCTTCAGGAAACAACCAGGCTAAAGAAGGTACAATGATCTATACCACTAATCAGAGTATGGTAACTGCCCATCAGAAACATGAAGGATGAGTGACTGAGGTTAGGGATGATAGTGGTGGTCAACATACTACTGATGGGGAGGGGTCATTCCTGACTGAACACTGAAAAAACATAGAGCACACCTGAGTACCAAAAACAGTGTCTGTCTCTGGCTGGGCGCAGTGGGTCACACCTGTAATCCAAACACTTTGGGAGGCCAAGGAGGGCGGATCACTTAGGGTCAGGAGTTCGAGACCAGCCTGGCTGACATGGCTGGGTCCTGGACCACATGCTGCTGACCCCCTTGCCCAGAGAACTCCTCAGGTTTCAAGACGTGGCTTGATAGGGTTTGGCTGTGTCCCCACCCAAAATCTCATCTTGAATTGTAAACCCCATAATTCCCATAATCCCTACATGTCAAGGGAGAGACCAGGTGGAAGTAATTGAATCATGGGGGTGGTCTCCCCCATGCTCTTATCATGATAGTGGGTTCTCATGAGATCTGATGGTTTTATGTGTTTGGTAGTTCCTCCTGTGTTCATTCGTCTTCCTGCCACCTTGTGAAGAAGGTGCCTGCTTCCCCTTCACCTTCTGACATGATTGTAAGTTTCCTGAGTCCTCCCCAGCCGTGCTGAACTGTGAGTCAATTAAATCTCTTTCCTTTATAAATTACCCAGTCTCAGGCAGCTCTTTACAGCAGTATGAAAACGGACTAATACATGACTCAAGCAAGACTTCCTTGACCCACAGGTAGTACAGGTTAGGGTCCTTGGATCCATGCTGTCCCAACCTCGACCCCTATCCGCACCCTATGTGTCTCCCATCACAGTGCGGATGTCTGTGTCTGAAACCCACTAAAATATGAACTCCTCAAGGGCAGAGATGGAGGATGGACTGGCAGAAGAAGAGGCTGAAAAAACCTCTAGGAGTCATCATATCATGCCCTGCAGATCTTCAATAGCAGGCCACAGGTATATGGACTTGATTGTGTAGGTGTTGGGGAGCCATGAAATCAGTTTAAGCAGGGGAGGTGACATGGTCAGACTGGGCCATTAGAAACCAGGGGACACGGCCAGGTGCAGTGGCTCATGCCTGTAATCCCAGCACTTTGGGAGGCCGAGGCAGGTGGATCACCTGAGGTCAGGAGCTCAAGACCAGCCTGGCCAACACAGTGAAACCCCATCTCTACAAAAAAAAAAAAAAAAAAAAAAAAAAAATTAGGCATGGTGGCAGGCACCTGTAGTCCCAGCTGCTCCGGAGGCTGAGGCAGGAGAATTGCTTGAACCCAGGAGGCGGAGGTTGCAGTGAGCTGAGATCACACCACTGCACTCCAGCCTGGGTGGCAGAGCGAGTTTCCATCTCAAAAAAGAAAGAAAAAGAAAGAAAGAAACCTTGGGACATATGTCCAAGTAAGTGAGGGCTGGAAGCTTAGTTTAGGGTAACAGGAATGGTAGGGATGAAAAGGATGAAAAGCTTGTCAAAAGATTTAGGAGGGAGAAGACATAGGTCTTGCTGACTGACAGAGTATAAGATCCCAGGCCAGGCATGGTGGCTCATGCCTGTAATCCTAGCACTTTGGAAGGCCGAGGCAGGCAGATCACCCGAGGTCAGGGGTTCGAGACCAGCCTGGCCAACATAGCAAAACCCTGTCTCTACTAAAAACACAAAAATTAAGCCGGGTGTCGTGGCGCATGCCTGTAATTCCAGCTAACTGGGAGGCTGAGGCAGGAGAATCATGTGAACCTGGGAGGCAAAGGCTGCAGTGAGCCAAGATCACGCCACTGCACTGCAGCCTGGGTGACAGAGTGAGACTCTATCTCAAAAAAAAATAAAAAAATAAAAAATAAAATAAAATAAAATCCTGGTACTAGTTAGGGAGAAGAAAGAGTCGTTTGCAAGTTGGACAACTGGGTGGCTAGATAGTGATACCTGTTCTATGGGCTAGAACCAGAGCTGGGAAAGCTGCCTTAGAGAGCATGCCTGTTTCCTGGACCTGTCATTGCTTGGTAAAGGATATACTAGGCCAGGCATCCAGAAGCCCATAGGGAGCGAGTGAACTACCCACATCTCACCACATGAAAGGCAGGTAAAAGGGATTGACCACTTCCCAGAGCCCTGGGGAGAGAAGAGGGTTGCCATGAACAAAGATGACAGGTACCTTATACACGGTGGTTTTATTTTCAATGGCATCTGCTATTTTCGTCATCGGAGAATGGAGCAACTTGATCTCCATTTCAAGTGGGTCCGTGTCACCCAACAGCTCATCAGATTCTCCGGTGGCCAAGCCTTTAACACAACCAACACCACTGTCAGGGCCCTGGCTCCCCTCTGTTGCCAGCCCCCTGGTCAGGCCTCAGTGAAAAGGATACATGGATGCTTCCCAGGGGAGTCAGGTGCAGGAACTTTTTCACTCCTGCTGAGAGGCCACATCACCAAGAATTAAAAGCATGGGTTTTGCAGTAGGACATTCACTTGCTGGGAGCTGGACTCAGAGCTTCAGCTTCCTCATGTGGAAAATGGGAATTCCACAAGCCCTCTTCACACTGGGCTGCTGTGAGACATGGCAGATGTCTGTAATGCTCTGGCCCAAGATGCTGCTCTGTAAATGGCAGGCACTGGGATTCCCTCCCCAGGACCAGACTTTCTCCTCCTCTCTCTGGCCCCTTGCCTGGAGCTGGCCTCTACTGCAACCCTCAGATGTGCCCACTGCCCTGTGCCCCACTACCCTCATGCCTGCTTCTATAATTTTGCCCCTATTCCCTACCCTCGGCCTTCTAATCCCTACTCACCCTTCAAGATCCAGCACTAGGGCCAAGTCCTCCAGGAAACCTTCACCACTAAACCTGTTCCTCACTGTCTTCTCAATTTCTCAGACCTCAGTCTTTGGCCAAAATGTATTCTCAGTGATGGAGCACCTCTTGCCCTCACATCCAGCCAGGGTCAAGCATCATCATAAGAACATAAACTCAAACCCCTCTCAACTGCCCTATTTAACAGAAGAGGAAACTAAGGCCAGATACAGTGGCTCATGTCTGTAATCCCAGCACTTTGGGAGGCCAAGGCAGGCAGATTGCTTGAAGCCAGGAGTTCAAGACCAGCCTGGCCAACATGGCAAAACCCCATCTCTACTAAAAATAAAAAAAATTAGCCAGGCGTGGTGGTGCACACCTATAGTCCCAGCTACTCAGGCAGCTGAGGCACAAGAATCACTCGACCCCAGGAGGCAGAGATTGCAGTAAGCCCAGATCATACCACTGTACTCCAGCCTGGGCAACAAAGCAAGATTCTGCCTCAAAAAAAAACAAAAAGAGGAAACAAATTCAGAAAGGGGGCTGACTTGCTCAAAGCCACATGAAATACAAACTAGAAAGCAGGCAAGTCCTCTTAACCTCGTGTGTAACACAAGGACACTAAAAGACCCAGAGAAGGAAAACTACTGGACCTCAAGAGAAAAAACAGAGAATCTAGAAGCCAGGCTAGCCAACGCTTCCTCAACTACCCCATAATGTCTACAGACAAGCCCAGAAGGCACTGGATACCTTCCTTAGGCAGTGTAGAGAATGAAGCAGGGAGCCACAAGCCAGGGCTGCAGAGAGTAATATCTGAGGAGGGCAAACATTCTCAGGAGTTTCTGAGAGTCACATCTCTGTTCCCCAGCAAATAATCATCTTAATAAAAACTAACATTTACTGAGCATCTATTTACTATATGCCAGGCACTGTTGTTCTAAATGTCTTTTACATTATTAAAAAAATCCTCATAACTACCTTATCGGGTGGACTTACTGTCCCCATTTTACAGATGACATCATTGAGACAAAGAAGTGAAGTAATTTGTTTAGCATCACACAGTAAAAAGGAAACAAAGCTCGGATTTGAATCCAGGCAGTCTATACTTTTGGACACCCAGCTCCTGTGAGCTGGAAGAGTCTTCAACAGGGCAGGAGAACTGGGTCAAAGGCCACCTCTGCTGACATCCTTTTGGCAAATATCAGCTTTCTGTGACTTGGGTACCTTACTCACCGATAGGGGTAAGAAGGAAAATCGAGAAGTGGACCTGAAGTGGTTGTGAAAAAGCCTAAGGCAACATTAGAGAGTTTTTGAGAGAATGTCTCAGTCCATTCCAGGTCCCAAGAGACAGGAATGGAGCTTCACATTTCCAGAGCACCTCAATGGGTACCAGGCACTTTTTCTTTCGTTATTTACCAAAAGCTCACAACCACCCTCCCCCAACCCGCCCTGCCAGGGCCAGATTAGAATTCCCCACCTTGCAAGAAAAGAAATTAGGCCTGAAGCTGCTTAAGCAACTTGCCCAAAGCCCAAGTAGGGCCAAGGAAGCGGGAGGTCAAAAGTGGGATTTGCTGTCAGGTCTGTGTGGCCCCACTAGTGCAAGACCAAGTGCACCCACCCTGCCCACACTTACATTCCATGGTGTCTTCATTGGCCTGCTCAGTATCCTCGATGTCAAAGACCTCGGTCATTTCCTTAACGATCTCAGCACTGAGATGGGTGGGCAGAGTGTGAGTGGCTGGTGGTGGTATATAGAAGCTGATCTTCCCGCTGCATTGGGAGATAGGGGAGATGAGTGGTGCTGTCACTGAGAGAACCAATGACAATCCAAGAGACGATGAGTTTGCAGGCCAGAAACAGCAACGGAACAAGAAAACCCAGACAGTGGCTTCTGAACAAGAAGGAGTTGAGTTGCTGGATAATCACTGGGCATAAAGTCTCGAGCAGGACATGACCTGGCACCTTGGCCATCCTCTGCCCCAAGACCCAGGAAGTCAAGCTGCCCCAGCGGCAATGAGCACAGATGAGCCCCTTTGGGGAGCCAGGCTGCCAGCGGGCCTCACCCTTACCCCTAACCCCCTCCTCACCTCACCCAGTCAGCTAGGACAGCTTTGGCCGCCTGTTCCTGACTATATAAGCCTCCCTTCTTCTTCTTCCCCAAACGGTGGGCCACTGCCGTCAGAAAGTGCTCAGTGGTCTGGAACCCAGAGACGCCATAATAGTTGGAAATCTGGTGAAGGGAGGAAGGAGAGAAGTCATGAGGAGGAATGAAGGGCCCTTAGAGTAGGGCAGGGCATCAGCCAGGGCTCTGCTGCGGACCTCCTCCAGGTTGCAGCGCTGCAGGATGGTCTCCACTGGGGTCACAGGGTCTGCCAGCTTCTGCACGTGGACGCAGTTACGCAGGATGGTGCCCACCTCTGAGTTGGGCCCTGGGACAATGCCTGGAGCATCCAAGAGCCGGATGAACTTGTCCAGGTAGACCTCCTGCATGAATCTGGGGCGGGGAAGAAGAAAGCCCAGATGTACCTGGCATCGTAGAGGCCCCAATCACGAAGGTGGGCCTGGGATGTGGGAGTGTAAAGGAGTGAGGGGAGGGTGCATTAGAGACGAAGGTGGAGAGATGTAGAGTTGGAGGAGGGGTGACTGGGGCTCTACAGACTTGAGGCTGATTCTAATCTATCCTCTGCCACTGGGGACTGAGCTGCAGGATCTTGGGCAAGCTTGACTCTCCAAGCCTCAGCTGCTTCATCCAGTCAACAGAGCTCCCATTTGTAGCCCAATCTTGCATCGTTATTCAGAAGCTTCAAGGCGCTAATGGGAACCACCCATGTGGGGACCTGGCCCACACCTAGGGTGTATCAGGAAAATGAGGGCTATGAGACTCCCATGCCTGGGGAAAGCATCAGGGGATGGTCCATGATAAGGAAAGGGACAGGGGCTGAAGGCATGGGAGTTGGGGGGAAATGGTAGGGTCAAGGAATTGTGGAGTGGAGGAGCAGGCAGGTGCTTACTTGGTAATTCCAGGAACAGCTCCCACGCTGCATGCGCGGCTGCGCTTCAGGCTATTGATCAGGCTGCTCTTCCCAACATTGGGAAGACCTACAAAATAGCAGCAGATGGCTCAGGGCAGAAGAGGCCCTCAGGAACACTCAGGCCAGCCTGTGTGAGGGAGGCCTAGCCAGGGGTAGTAACCAGGCCATGGGGAAGCCAAAAAATTGAGCCTGACCTCCTCCCTTCCCACCCCAGGCCCTGACAAAGCCCCTACAGGGCCTTTCTACCTCTCCCCTCCATTTGTGAGCATGCTAGATAGGTATGTCCCTCTTTCTAGACGTGACACCAACCTCCCACTCACAATCAGCCAGGCAGAGGTCCTCAATGCAAGGCCTCAGTGGCACAATCCAACAGAAGGTGGACATCGAGAAATGTCTAAGAAACAGAGAACAACCTGTCTGGGTGTATCATTCCATGGATGGGGATGGAGGTCATCTCCAGATGCCAGTCTCTCTGTGCAGCTGTCTACCTGAGGTGTGTATTTTGCTGTTTGTGCATCTGTCAGCCATTCTCAGCCTGTGGATGTCTTTGTGTTTCCCCTCACTGGGCCTCATTCTCACCGTTCTCTTTCTGTATGTGCTCAATTTACATGTGTGTACTATTGTCTCAAGCATATGCTTGTTTCAACCCGAGAAAGCTGATTGCCTAAAGAAAAAAAAGGTATATGTCTAAGTATACCTCTCGTGCATGAAGCCTCTGCACACCTCTCTCCCCCCTCCCTCTCTCTAGGTCATTCTCATTCTAAATTATCACCATGCATGGAAGTCTCTACACATCTCTCTCTCTCTCTCTCTCTCTCTCTCTCGGTCATTCCCATTCTCAGTATCACCACTTTTTCCTTTTCTTGTATCTCTCCCACTCAGTCTCTTTCTCTATCTTATCTTTGTTTCTCTCTGTGTCTCTGTATCTAAGCACCTCTTTCTCTGCCAATTTGTCTGTCTCTCATTCTGGCCATTGTTCTTTTCTCTCTGATTCTCTCCACCCCACCAATCCTGCCTCTATTTGTAATTCCCTCCATGCCAACTCCTGTCAGCCTCTGTCCATGCTCCTCATCTCTGTGGGCTGGTCACTTCATGGATGCCTCTCTGTATGTGTCTCACGGTGTCTCTTCTACTCTCTCCCTGTCTGCGCCTCCTTAACCTCCTCTCTGTATGTCTCTATTTCTCTCTGTACAGGTACACATACCTGCCTCATAGTGACATGTCTGGTATTTGTGTCCCTCTGTAACTCTAGGTATGTGATTATGTTCGAGGGTCAAAGTGTATGTGGGCACATGCGTGTCTTCTTTTTTTTGAGACGGAGTCTCGCTCTGTTGCCCAGGCTGGATCTCAACAGTGGCACGATCTCAACTCACTGTAACCTCAACTCACTGTAACCTCCACCTCCCAGATTTAAGCGATTCTCCTGCCTCGGCCTCCCGAGTACCTGGGATTACAAATGCCCGCCACCACACACATCTAATTTTTGTATTTTTAGTAGACATGGGGTTTCGCCATGTTGGCCATGCTGGTCTCAAACTCCTGACCTCAAGTGATCTGTGCGCCTCAGCCTCCCAAAGTGCTGGGGCTACAGGCATGAATGAGCTGCTACATCCAGCCCTCCTTGTGGTTCTATGCGCGTTGGGGGAGCAGCGTTGGGGTGGGTGTGTGTGGGAAGGGCTTGGTCTACATGCATTTTGACTGTGGTTCTGTCTCGCTAGATGTGCCTCCTCTGGATCTCTGGGTCTGTAGCGTGGGTCTGTGTATGTGTTTGTGGATCTGTATGTGTACTTAAGAGCTATGTGTATGTGTTCCTCTGTATCTACAGCCTTGTCCAGTCTGCTTCCATGTATGTCTCTCTCTGAATCTGTCTCTATCCCTGTAGTATGTTTTTCTCTCTCATTCTTTGAGAAAACATGTCTGCCTCTCTACATACATGGGTTATCTCTACCCTTCCTATGTCTCCCTCGGCAGATCTCTGTATGCATGTCTGTTTCTATGTCCCTTTTGGTGTTTCTGATTGTATCTCCCTCTTTACATGCCTCCATCATGTAAATCTGTCTCCTCTTTCCATTCCCCACCAATCCTGCCATCTGGCTTCCCAGTGCGTTCTCTGTGTCTTCTTCTGTATCTATCCTGGTATGCATACCTATACCTTCTCAGTGTCTAGCTCTCTCTCCAATGTCTTTCTCACGTGGCTTCACATTCTTTCTCTGGTGATCTATCTCTGCCTCTCTCAATTTCCCTACTCCATTCCCATCATCCCTCCCTCAGAAACTTGTGCTCCAGAAAGGCCCAGGTTTTGATCCTCAGCTCTGCCTTGTCTTGCACAGGGCTGGGCTCCAAAAGTCCCTTTGCCCTTCTCTGAGCCTCACTCAGAATTCTCATCCGTAAAAGGTAGACGGTCACCCCATCCTCCCATAGCTCTGATAGGATGAGATGGTACCAAGTCCAAGCCTGGCACCCTGTATTTGCTCCATGAATCTAATACTCAATACGCAGTGATGCCCACCCATCCAAGTTACAAATCACGAAACCCTTCTCCTGAACCACTCCTCTCTCCCCGCAAAAGACAATGAAGCTCCCAGGATCCTTTCCCCCAGCGAAGTGTCCGCTCAAGAAAGAAGCCTGAGCCCCATGACCACACAGCAGGTCTTACCCACAACACCCACACGAATGTGGGTGCGCACTTCACCAAGGCGGCAATAGTTCCCCAGAACCCTCATGAGGTTTTCAGCTCCAAAGCAGGCTTTGCTTTTCAGCAGTGACTCAGAGGCCTGATCTACTGGCACACTGCAACGATTCTGGAAAAAAAAATTGAATATCACAGAAGAGACATCAGGTGGCAGATGAGGTCTGAGCCCAGATTTCCAACTTTCAGGGCCTCCCTATGATCACTGAGCTCCTCAGCCTGAAACGGAAGGCTTCTCACACAGATCTTGAACACGTGTCATTTCCCCATTCCCCTCCACTGTCTTTGTGTCTCCAGTCTCCTCTGCCCCTGCGTCTGCTTCGACACATGTCACTTGCCTCCCTCGGCAGTGGCAGGATGGCATCCTGGCTCTAAATAGGCCAGGTTTGAGCTCCAGGTCTACTTCTCACAGGCCTATGTCCAGCAAAGCCTGCTTCCCTTCTCCAGGCCTCAGTGCCCTGTGTGCACAACAGGGATGCCCACCCTCCCTGCCTGCGCAGGGATGAGAGGGAGCCTGGCCCACAGCCTACCCTCCCTCAATTCCTCACACAGGACAAAGCCATCCCAACCTTTACTCCTGATGCCACTTCCTCTGCCCAGAATTCCCTCCCTCCTCTTCCCTTACTTTTTTTCTTTGAGACAGAGTCTTACTCTGTCACCCAGGCAGGAGTGTGGTGGCACAACCTTGGCTCACTGCAACTTCCACCTCCTGGGTTCAAACGATTCTCATGCCTCAACATCCCAAGTAGCTGGGACTACAGGCATGCACCACCACACCCGGCTAACTTTTGTATTTTTAGTAAAGACAGAGTTTCGCCATGTTGGTCAGGCTGGTCTCAAACTCCTGGCATCAAGCAATCTGCCCACCTTGGCCTCCCAAAGTGCTGGGATTACGGGCATGAGCCACCACGCCCAGCCACAGCATTGTTTCCAATATCACAAAATTGGAATTAGCCTATATATCCATCAATAAGAAACAGGTTAAAAAGCTGTAGCCTTAAAGTGGAATACAAATGAAATACAGCTGTTAGAAAAGGTGGCTTCTGGCCGGGTGCTGTGGCTCATTCCTGTAATCCAGCACTTTGGGAGGCCAAGGCAGGCGGATCACTTGAGGTCACGAGTTTAAGACCAGCCTGGCCAACGTGGCAAAACCACGTCTCTACTAAAAATACAAAAATTAGCTGGGTGTGGTGGCACGCACCTGTAATCCCAGCTACTCGGGAGGCTGGGGCAGAAGAATCACTTGAACCCGGGAGGCAGAGGTTGCAGTGACCCAAGATTGCACCAGTGCACCCCAGCCTGGGAGATAGAGTGAGACGTCATCTCAAAAAAAAAAAAAAGAAAAAAAAAAGAAAGAAAAGGCGGCTTCTATTTTTGCCATCAAAAAGGCCAAGAAGCTGGGCACGGTGGCTCAAACCTGTAATCCCAGTACTTTGGGAAGCTAAAGCAGGTGGATCACTTGAGGTCAGGAGTTCAAGACCAGCCTGACCAACATGGTGAAACCCTGTCTCTACTAAAAATACAAAATTAGCCAGACGTGGTAGCACATGCCTGTCATCCCAGCTACTCGGGAGGCTGAGGGAGGAGAATCACTTGAACCCAGGAGGCAGAAGTTGCAGTGAGCCGAGATCGTGCCATCCCACTCCGGCCTGGGCAACAAGAGTGAAACTCCATCTCAACAAAAATTTAAATTTAAATTTTAAAAAGGCCAAGAAAATGTAAATAAGGTATCATGTTTCTGAAAGGTTTAAAAGTTTAATGCTATCAAATGTTGCCAAGGGTGTAGGAAAAGAGGCCTCTCACACATTCATCTACCCCACTGGTGGGAGTATAAATTGGTACAGCCATCACGGAGGGTGATTCATCAGTGTCTAGGTAAAGGTAAAATGCAGAAAGGCTATGACCCAGCCACTCCCTTTCTCTACCTCACCTACAAACACACACTTGCCCATGTGCCAAGGAGACATGTACAAGGGTATTTGTGGAAGCCCAGGTTATAACGATAAAAAACTGGAAACTAATTGTATTCAGCCTCGAAAAGGCACATCTCTATAGAAAGATGTCCAAGAGAAAAAAAAAACTAAGCCACAGAATGATATACATAATACTTCCAAACAGTATTCCCTCTTTATATATACACTTCTATGTATATCCAAAGCACAGAATAACATTTGGAAGAAGGCCGAGTGCAGTGGCTTACGCCTGTAATCTCCGCACTTTGGAAGGCTGAGATGGGAGGGTCACTTGAGGCCAGGAGTTCAAGACCAGCCTGGGCACCAAAGCAAGACCCTCCCCCCATCTCTACAAAAATAAAAAAGATAAAAATTAGCCTGGCATGGTGGCATGCACTTATAGTCCAAGGTACTCAGGAGGCTGAGGCAGGAGGATGGCTTGAGCCCAGCAGTTTGAGGCTGCAATGAGCTATCATCACGCCACTGCACTGAGGCCTGGATGACCAATTGAGACCCTAAATATCTGTATCTAAAATAAATAAAGTCTGGAAGAATGCACACCAAACTGTCAATGGTAGTTACCTCTGGGCATGAATAAAGGAGACTAGAATTAGGGAGACTGGTGAAAGGGTATTTAAGCTTTATCTGTAGTTAATTTTATTTTTTCTACTTTATTTTTAAATAAGTTTAACATCCAATGCAAAATTGAAAAAAAATGTCCCTTAGTATCCAATTTTTCTCCCAGAAACAATCAGTTTCTGTATTAATATTTTACAAACCATACATATTTCTCTATTAATGATATAATTGGGAAGAACTGTGATTTGTTTCAAAGAGAAAAATGATTGGAGGTATACGTATTTTTTAAAGTTAACAAGTAGTTGGTTGTGCACAGTGGCTCACAGCTATAATCCTAGCATTTTGGGAAGCCAAGGCTGGTAGATCACCTGAGGTCAGGAGTTCGAGACCAGCCTGGCCAACATGGTGAAACCCTATCTCTACTAAAAAAAAAAAACACAAAACTTAGCCACAATCCTGGCTACTCTAGAGGCTGAGGCACAAGAATCACTTGAACCCAGGAAGCAGAGATTGCAGTGAGCCGAGATGGTGCCACTGCACTCTAGCCTGGGTGACAAAGTGAGACTCTGTCTCAAAAAATAAAAAATAAAGTTAGACCGGGAGTGGTGGCTCACGCCTGTAATCCCAGCACTTTGGGAGGCCAAGGCGGGTGGATCACCCGAGGTCAGGAGCTTGAGACCAGCCCGGCCAACACGGCGAAACCCCGTGTCTACTAAAAATACAAAAATTAGCCAGGCATGGTGGCACATGCCTGTAGTCCCAGCTACTTGGGAGGCTGAGGCAGGAGAATTGCTTGAACTTGGTGGGCAGCGGTTGCAGTAAGCCAAGATCATGCCATTGCACTCCAGCCTGGGCAACAGAGTGAGACTCTGTCTCAAATAAATAAATAAACAAACAAACAAGTAGTTAACTGTATTTTACAAATTCCCTATAGACATTATGTTTTATCCTTACAACTGAAAAAAAAGAAATGCTTCCTGAAGAGTGATAATACAGGAAGAAGTCAAGTGAAACTAATATTAAGAAGTCACTGGCCAGGCATGTTGGCTTATGCCTATAATCCCAGCACATTGGGAGGCCGAGGTGGGTGGATCACCTGAAGTCAGGAGTTCGAGACCAGCCTGGTCAACATGGCAAAACCCATCTCTACTAAAAATAAAAAAATTACAAAAATTAGCAGGGCATGGTGACGCGTGCATGTAATCCCAGCTACTTTGGAGGCTGAGGCAGGAGAATCATTTGAACCCAGGAGGTGGAGGTTGCAGTAAGCCGAGATCACACCATTGCATTCCAACCTGGGCAATAAGAGTGAAACTCCATCTCAAAAAAAAAAAAAAAAGTCACTCGGTGGAGCAAAAAGCTCAAAGTTGAAGGCCCAGTTCAATTACTAAAGGGCTGGAGGTCCCAGTCCAAGTCACGACCCTCCCAGCTCTGGCCCCAAACTACCCTGAAAGCGGCTAGATGACCCTAGCCCCAGGCTTACCAGGTTTTTGACCTGATGCTGGGTACTGGCCTTGAAAGCCACGGTTGGCAACTCATTCCGAAGGTAATCCAGCCATTTCTCCACAACCTCCTTGGGGACCAGGTCTGGGGTAAATATAGGAACAGATGGGGCTGGTAAGCAGAACAACACCTCCATGGTTCCCTCCAAAGACACCTCCACCCGTACCCAAAGCTAGGCCCACCTACCATCAACAGGTCTCTCAACTGGCCCTGTCATTCCCATCCAGTCCGCAGGTTGGAGTTAGAAAGGATAGTCTGGTCTACGGGATGCGTTAGCCCTCCCTGAAGGGGCCTCTGTTCCCTCAGGGAAAATGGACAAACTAGCTATCTGGTCCCAAATGTTCTCTTTCCAAAACAGCGCCAGGAGCATCAGAGACCCCCCAAATATTGTGTTTCCTATCCCCTCTCTGGATCATTCTAGGTTGGGCCAAATGACAAAGATAACCCTAAAAAGAATGGCTATCATGTGTGAAGTACTGACCACCATGTACCAAGCATTTTATCATTAATTCTTACAACAAATCTGTGAGGTTGGGATACCCATGGCCCATTTTACAGCTAGAGAAACAGGAGCTCTTGGAGGTGGCATGACTTATCCAGTGTCTCAGAGAAAAGAATCAGGACAGGTGGGAGGCTGAACCCTAGACATGAGTGACTCCTGAGCCCATGTGCTCCTCTGCCCCAGTCTTTGAGTTGAGGGAGGAGGAACTCTCCAGGGTTGTCCAAAAACAGAGAAGGCTCAAAATGGCAAGAACAGGGGACTGAAAGGCAGACAGGCTTGGATTCCACACCTAACTTGTACCATACTCTGTGATACAGGCTTTGAAAATCGGAACAAAAATTTCTACTTTGCATGACTATTATGAGTATCACTGAGTTGCTGGGTTCAGTGTCTGGTCCAAGCTAGACGTTAAAGATGGCCTGCCCACCTTCCCTGTCACACCCAATCCTGCCTAACACCCACCAATCTTGTTCAAGACCAGGACCAGCTTCTTGTTGCCTTGTGCTCGCAGGACAGCCTCCTCCATTTGGAAGCAGCGGCAGCCTAATGGGTCTCTGGCATCCAGGACTTCCAGAATCACATCAGAGTATTCCACCACCTGCAGGGCAGAGGACCAGGAGATGAGGGCAGGAAAAGGATAGGGTAGCAGTGATGCAGGCCTGTGAAACAAAAATCTCCATCTCAGTCAGGAAAAAACAGAAATGGAGAGGAAAAGGGGCTGGACTGGAACCCTCCCGCAAAAGCCTGAAGAAATGGAACCCTGTACCTTACGGAACTCCTTGTAATAAGCCTTCCTCGTGGCCTCGTCATCCAGCTGAGGAAACATATTTAATTCCTGCAAAACTTCCTCCTAAAGGAGAAAAAAAAAGAGAATGGTCCAGGGGAGGAGGGGGAGAGAGCGAGAAAGAGAAGCAGGGCTTTTTAAACTATAGGAGGCTTAAAAAATCATGTGAGTCCTGGCCATCAGAGAAATGCAAATCAAAACCACAATGAAATACCATCTCAAACCAGTTAGAATGGCGATCATTAAAAAGTCAGGAAACAACAGGTGCTGGAGAGGATGTGAAGAAATAGGAACACTTTTACACTGTTGGTGGGACTGGAAACTAGTTCAACCATTGTGGAAGACAGTGTGGCGATTCCTCAAGGATCTAGAACTAGAAATATCATTTGACCCAGCCACCCCATTACTGGGTATATACCCAAAGGATTATAAATCATGTTACTATAAAGACACATGCACACGTATGTTTATTGCGGCACTATTCACAATAGCAAAGACTTGGAACCAACCCAAATGTCCAACAATGATAGACTGGATTAAGAAAATGTGGCACATATACACAATGGAATACTATGCAGCCATAAAAAATGATGAGTTCATGTCCTTTGTAGGGACATGGATGAAGCTGGAAACCATCATTCTCAGCAAACTATTTCAAGGACAAAAAAACCAAACACCCCATGTTCTCACTCATAGGTGGGAATTGAACAATGAGAACACTTGGACACAGGAAGGGGAACATCACACACCGGGGACTGTTGTAGGGTGGGGGGAGGGCGGAGGGATAGCATTAGGAGATATACCTAATGTAAATGACAAGTTAATGGGTGCAGCACACCAACATGGCACATGGATACATATGTAACAAACCTGCACGTTGTGCACGTGTACCCTAGAACTTAAAGTAAAATAATAATTTAAAAAATAAATCATGTGAGTCTCAGGCCACCAAAAAGTAGCTTTGACCAACCAATAAAGCTGGGAACTGGAAGAAAAATGGACAGAACCCCATGGTTCATGTGTGCGCCTATGTGTATACGTGTGCTCGAGCACCAGGTGGAGACCTGAGTGTGCACATGGGTGTGAAAGGGAGGGATGGAGGAGGGAGGTGTGAAAAAAACAATCTATGAGGGACACAGGATGGGGGAGGCATACACACTGCATATCAGAAAAGGGAGTATGAGCTGGCAAGCGTGTATTCTGTGTGTGAAACAAGAACATCTGCCAAAAAGGCAGCAAGAAGCCCTAGAAGGAAGACAACATCCCCTCACATATGCTCCTCTCTGTCTCTCAATCCTCTCCTCATACTTTCGCTCCCTCTCCCCCAACCCCATCCCCTGGTCACATGTAACTCTCCCAGCCCCCAACTCCGCCACCAGCCCCAGTCTTCAGGCTCAACCTTGGGAGAGAGGAGCTCTCCAGAGGTGTCCAGTCACGGGTAAGGCTCAAAATGGCCCTTTATCTCCCTTTATCCCTCCCTCCCTCCCTTCGTCCGTCCCCATGGTTTTCTATCCTCTCTACACTGATTCCCTTGTTCCCCTCCAACAACTTCACACCTTCTTCCCTTTCACAGAAAAACGGCAAAAGATGCTTTGAGCAAACCTACCCAGGGGCAAGGGCTGCACTCTTACCTTATGCTCAAACTCCTCCTGGCGTCTTAGGACATCCTGACAGTAGCTCTCAATGGTCCTGCGTTTTTGTCTTTCTTGCTCCCGGGCGGCTTGCTGCTTCTCCCTCATCTCCTCAACCTAACAAGTGAACACACACTGGTACTGGAGCTGACTGGGTCTGCAGCCTAAGGGAGGGATGGGTGACAGACAGAGGAAATGGTGCGACATGGCAGAGGTGGCAGGAGCAGGGTCCAGGGAGAGGGAAGATATGACATCAGGAGATGAGGGTTTGAGAAGAAGAAAAAGAGAGATGAAGGGAAGGAAAGAGTTGCAGAGAAAAGAGGGTATAAAAAGCAGAGAGAGAATGTATCCTAGGCAGGCGGAACCACTTAAGACCAGAGATGGAAAGAAGCCAAGGTCCTGGGATGCTTCATCATTTAAAGATAAGGAAGAAGGCTGGGCAGGGTGGCTCACGCCTGTAATCTCAACACTTTGGGAGGCCAAGGCAGGTGGATCACCTGAGGTCAGGAGTTCAAGACCAGCCTGACCAACATGGTGAAACTCCATCTCTACTAAAAATACAAAATTAGCTGGGCGTGGTGGTGCATGCCTGTAATCCCAGCTACTCAGGAGGCTGAGGCAGGAGAATCGCTTGAACCCGGGAGGTAGAGGTTGCAGTGAATCGAGATCACACCACTGCACTCCAGCCGGGACAACAAGGTGAAATTCCATCTCAAAAAAAAAGATAAGAAAGGGGAAAAAGTGGCAAAAGAGACTGTCAGTGGCTAGTCAAAGAAGAAAGACATCCAGGAGAGTGAGATGACAAGAAAGTCCACATGCTTCAAAGAAAGCATAGCCTCAAATGCTGAGCATTCCAATAAGATGAGGGAAGAATACTATTCATGAATGTGATGTCAGGGAAGGCGCTGATGAGGCCAGCAGGGGCAGTGTCAGCAGAGCAGTGGAAGCATAAGCCAGACAGCAATGGACTGGGTGGTGAACAAACGCAGACATAAATCCAGTATCATGGTAACCTCCCTCTCTCCCGGCTTCCACAAATAGCCTCAACAACCCTAACAACTCTTGCCTTTGCCCTTCCATTCAACACTTCTGCGGACCTGGCATTCAAGGCAGGCCCTCTCTCTCCCCACCAAGGCAAAAAGCTTACCCACTTCTTCTTTAATTCAGCCTCTCGATTGGCATGATCATTGGGGTGAACAAAATGAGGTGCAGAGGGCACTTTGGAGGTTGCTTTCTTCCCATTTTGCTTTGCAGGCTGGCCACCACATAAGAGAAAAAAAACAGAGGTAATGAACCCATGGAAATCACCTCAAAAAGGCAGCAAGAAGCCCTAGAAGGAAGACAACATCCCCTCATAAATGCCCCTTCTATCTCTCAATCCTCTCATCCTCTCATCCCCTCACTCCCAAGGTGAGCAGCAGGAGTTAAAGCTTCTCAGATAAGTGTAGTTGTGGGGACAAAGAAAGGAGAGAAGCAAAAAGGGCTCCATCCCCAAAGATCTGCCCATCTGGCTGGGTAGAGGTCCTCTCTCCTATAGCTAGGCAGGGACTGACAGGAGACCTCTCAGAGGGGAAGGGCAGCTGGGAAGGTTTCCCAAGGCCCAGGGAAAACCTTTCTAGATAAGTGACTCTCAAAAGAGTGGTCCTCAGACCAGCAGTAGCAGCAGCACCTGGGAACTTGCTAGAAATACAAATCATGGGATGCCATGCCAGACCTACTGAATCAGAAACTCTGAGGTGGGGCCCAGCAATCGATGTTTTCCCCCATCCTCCAGGTGATTCTAGAGGACTGGTTAAAGTTTGAGAGCTTCACCCATGCTAAATTGTGAGAACCCAAGCCTTCTCTGGCCTATACCTTCTTCTCATTGCTCTTTCCCAAGCCTTACTTACCCACACCTTTCCCAGCAGGACCAGGAGATCCAGGAACCAAAGATGATGTTTTGGCCTCCCTCTTCTCCATAAGAAACAGGGACTTGAGAATCAGACAGTCTCAAATCCCAGTTGCGTTACCTTGAACCTAGGAACTTTCTCACTGACAGTTTCCTCAACTAAAACATGGGGATAATGATAATCCCTACCAAGGTAAATCAAGCACGAAGCTGCATATGACTTGGGAAAAATGCTGCTGATTCTCTGCTGCGGCCACCCAGAGAAGGAGGGAAAGCCAGATCCACTGACTCCAATGTGGCACTCTGTCCAGAGTCACCCAATATTTACTGGGTTTAGTGGGCCTCTCCCAGGACAAGCAACCTGTTCTTGACCTTACCCTCAACAACAGGCATACCTTACCTGAGGGTAGGGCCAACTTATCTTCTTGTGGCCCTTGGAACCTTCACCTGGCTTTTTATTTTCTACAAAAGAAAAAAAAGAAAGAAAAGAGCCGTCATCCATCTACACGATATTTGTTGACATCTGAATCAAGGCCAGGCCACACTGGGAACCTAGCTAGGAAGCCTCAGATACCATGTCTGTCTAGATCCAGCACAAGACAAGAGATGCGGATGGCAGCAATAGTATCAGAGGAAGTACTGGATATAATATTTGCACATTATTTCACTGCAAACTCAAATAATTCTGAGAGGAATTCTGTACAGAGAGAAACCTGAATATGTGCTTGTGACTCCTCTTTCCCCCAGAACTTCCTACTGGGGGAAACTCAACAATTTAAGTGCCAGGCTGAGATGAGGGAGCTGGCAGAATGAGAAGGTAATCTAAGGAGTCCCAGCCCACTAAACCTGGGCAGATGCCCTCAGTATGTGGGGAAAGAACCATCCTTCCTGCTGACCCTGCTCAGGCCATTGCCTCCAAAGGGACTTGACCTACTCAGCCAAAATGCTGCCGCCTCCCTCAGATACAAAAAGAAGAGATCTACCACTTCTCCAATCATGACTTAGCAAAGCCCAAGAACTTATGAGGCCTCTCCCCTTCTTCAATAAGAAGTCCCATCTCTCAACCCGTTCACAGTTGGCCTATTGGGAAGAATGGCTCCCTTTAATTCTTACCACCTTCATAGGGGCTCAAGGAATTCCTAGAGAGACAGGAGTTTCTGGAAGCTCAGGATATATACAAACAAATATATTATATGAGCAGCTCGAGAATACCACACAGAGAACAGGCTCCACAATCACATCAGTTGGCTCCCACTGCAGAGTTAAGGTACGAAACAGAACTTAAGTTCTACTGCAAATTCTTTTTATTTTGAGACCGACTCTTGCTCTATTGCCCAGGATGGAGTGCAGTGGTGTGATCTGGGCTCACTGCAACTTCTGCCTCCCGGGTTCAAGCGATTCTCCTGCCTCAGCCTCCCGTATTCGTATACAAAAATACAAATTTTTGTATTTTTAGTAGAGATGGGGTTTTGCCATTTAGCCAGGCTAGTCTCGAGCTACTGCAAATTCTTAAGGAGAATCAAGAAGATACTTCAAAGGAACTGTGTGAGAAAAAAAGATTTTCCAAAACTTGACACTGAATAAAAATTCAAAAGCTGGGTGCCGTGGTGCATGCTTGTAGCCCCAGCTACATGAGAGGTTAAGGTAGGAGGATCCCTTGAGCCCAGGAGTTCTAATCCAGCCTGGGCAACAAAGCAAGACCCCATCTCTTAAAAAAATACACAAACACAGACTGCTTTAACAGTCAAAACTTAAGCTGGGCACAGTAGCACCTGCCTGTTGCTAGCTGGGAGGCTGAGGCAAGAGGATCACTTGACCCTAGGAGTTCGAGAACAGCCTAGGCAACATAGTGAGACTCTGTCTCTTAAAAAAATTCAATAGAAATAGTGAAAAACAAAAAAGACATCACTAACAACCAAATTAATAAGCTAGAAGACCAAAGGAGGGGCTTACTTAGAGCAAAAATTCAAAGAAATTGAAATGATGAGCAAAAATATAAAAGAAAAAATGGACAATAGAGCCAAGACAGCTAAAATCTAAACAGGAGTTCCTGAAAGAGAAAAGGGTACAAATGGAGAAGCAATAATTTTCTGAATAACAGACGAAAGTTCCTTAAGTTGAACATAGGCTTGAGGTTTCAGACTGGAAAGACACAGGCAGCAGCAAGATTAACAACCAAGGCCGGGTGCCATGGCTCACCCTGTCATCCCAGCATTTTGGGAGGCTGAGGTGGGAGGATCGCTTGACACTAGGAGTTTGCGACTAATCCAGGCAACATAGTGAGACCTTGTCTATATAAAAAAAAAAGTTTAATTAACCAGGTGTGGCGGCATGCACCTGTAGTCCTAGCTCTCAGGAAGCTGAGGCGGGAGGACTGGTTGATCCCAGGAATTCAAAGTTATAATGAGCTATGATGGCACCATTGCACTCCAGCCTGGACAACAGAGACCCTGTCTCAAAAAAAAAAAAAAAAAAGATTAACAACCAAAAAGACATACCCTGGACATATCCTGATGAAATTTCTGAACTCTAAAGATAAAGAGATAAAATTCTAACCAACAGATCACTCTTACTTTGTGAAAGTAAGAAAAAGACATTTTCAGGTGAGCAAAGATTACCACTTGCCTTTCTTTCTTTCCTTTCTTTCCTTTCCTTCCTTCCTTTCTTTCGTCTCTCCCTCCCTCCCTCCCTCTCTCTCTCTGTTTTTTTTTTTTTTTGAGACAAAGTCTCGCTCTGTTGCCCAGGCTGGAGTGCAGTGGTGCCACCTGAGCTCACTACAACCTCCACCTCCCAGGTTCAAGGAAATCTCCTGCCTCAGCCTCTGGAGTAGCTGGGATTACAGGCGTGCACCACTGTGCCTGGCTAATTTTTTTATTTTTAGTAGAGACGGGGTTTCGCCATGTTGGCCAGGCTGGTCTCAAACTCCTGGCCTCAAGTCATTGGCTCGCCTTGGCCTCCCAAAGTGCTGGGATTACAGGCATGAGCCACCACGCCTGGCCCTGTGTTTCCTTTTGGATAAAACTACTGGCAAAATAAAAATTAAATCAGAATAAAGATCCCAAGCTAAAGGAAACAAACAGTGGTGGGCAGGAAATCTACGGAAATCTACTAAAACTTATCACTGAGGCCAGGAGCGATGGCTCACAGCTATAATCCCTGCACTTTGGGAGGCCAAGGCGGGTGGATCACTTGAGGTCAGAAGTTCAAGACCAGCCTGGCCAACATGGTGAAACCCCATCTCTACTAAAAATACAAAAATTAGGAGTTTGAGACCAGCCTGCCCAACATGGTGAAACCCCGTCTCTACTAAAAATACAAAAATTAGCCGGATGCCTGACTTGAGGTCAGGAGTTTGAGACCAGCCTGCCCAACATGGTGAAACCCCGTCTCTACTAAAAATACAAAAATTAGCCGGGCGTGTTGGCACGCACCTGTAATCCCAGCTACTCGAGAGGCTGAGGCAGGAAAATTGCTTGAACCCAGGAGGTGGAGGTTGCAGTGAGCCAAGATCGCACCACTGCACTCCAGCCTGGGCAACACAGCAAGACTCTTGTCTCAAAAAAAAAAAAAAATTAGCCAGGTGTGATGGCACATGTTTGTTGTCCCAGCTACTCAGGAGGCTGAGGCAGGAAGATCACTTGAGCCCAGGAGGCGGAGGTTGTGGTGAGCCATGATCACACCTGCACTCTAGCCTGGCCGACAGAGTGAGACCCTGTCTCAAAAAAACAACAAAAAAAGGATTCTTAAAATCGAAGAAGCATATCATAAGGAAATAGCTCAGAACTGAAATACCAAATTATTTCAATAAAATCCAGGAATCAAGTAATGGGGGTTGGAAAAGCAAAAGCATGAAAGCATGCTAAAGGTTTCATTTTGAAAGGGTAGGTTACAAAATAGTCATTATTTAACTTTGGTAAAGTGATAAATACAGAATTAATTATGTTTGATATAAATATGAATACAATTACCAACATAACTTAATTACCGATGGAGGATTGTTTAAAAACTTCATCAAGTTAGCAAAACATAAATAAGGGAATAAGAGGAAACAAAATAAATAATAAATATAAAATAAGATGGTAGAGAGCCGTGCACGGTGGCTCACACCTGTAATCCCAGCACTTTGGGAGGCTGAGGTGGGCGGATCACTAGGTCAGGAGTTCGAGACCAGCCTGGCCAACATGGTGAAACCCTGTCTCCACTAAAAATACAAAAATTAGCTGGGCATGGTGGCAGGCACCTGTAATCCCAACTACTCGGGAGGCTGAGGCAAGAGAATCGCTTGAACCCAGGAGGCGGAGGTTGCAGTGAGCTGAGATCGCGCCATTGCACTCCAGCCCGGGTGACAGGGCGAGACTGCATCTCAAAAAATAAATAAATAAAAAATAAGACGGTAGAAATCTGACCAGACATAAACGTCTCATAACAAATGTGAATGGGTCGAATTTAAATAAACACAGTTTAAATAAACACGAAACAGACCACCAGTCTCCTTTCTTCTAAAGTACTCATGTTGCAACAACAACAACAAAAAAAATGTGAGGTTTGGAATGAACCAGGTCTGGACATTTCACTCAACAATTTCCATCTGCCTAACTTCCCTGGAAACTGAGTGCCTGCAATGGATACAAGCACACAGTGAAAGAAAACACATCACTTGGAGAGAAAAAGAATGTGCTTCAGAGGGGAGAAGAGAAGGGGGGAGGGAAAAAGGAGAAGGGGGTGCAGTCAGTCATCCCTCCCAGCACTCAGGAGCCTCTGCTCATAGGTTTTTCAACAACTCCAGAGAGAAAACAGCTACCATTTTATAACCAGCAGACATTCTTACTCTGGCTCAACAACTACCTAGCTATATGACCTTGAAGAATTTTTTAAAACCTCTCTGAGCCTCAATGCATCCACCAATATCATCTAGGCCTAAAATCACCAATTCATCAGTACTCAAAAGCAGATCTCTGTATTCGCTAATCCCTCATCTCCCATACTGTCACCCACAGATGTCCCTGTACACCCACTGACTTCATTCCCCTCATCCTTCCTCTGCCGTAGCATCAAATTTCCCACAACATTCTCTGAAACTCCCACCTGGGTGATCAGCACTCCCCTAACAACCTCTCCCTGGGATCAATTGTCCAAGCTCCTGCCTTGATACTTGGCTCTCCCAAGGACAATGCTTCACTTGCAGGCCTCTCAAAAGGTGGTTGTTGTTTTCACTGCCACACGTTTATCCGGGGGTCAGTAGGTAGAGAACGTAGCCCTCCAGACTCACCAGTGCCAAGCTGAGACTATTTTTCCCTCTTGTTAAAAAGAAAAAAAAAAAAAACCAGGTGTGGTAGCTCACGCCTGTAATCCCAGCACTTTGGGAAGCCAAGATGGGAGGATTGTTTGAGCTCAGCAGTTCAAGCCCAGCCTGGACAACATAGAAAGACCCTCATCTCTATTGAAAAAAAAAATTAGTGGGGCATAGTGGCAAATGCCTGCTTTCAGTTAGCAAATCTGAAGATCTTTCCATCTAATAGTCTTTCCACACAATACAGTTTTTCCATATAATCTTTCTATATGATACTACTTTATCTTTTAAACAGCCAGAATTCTTAAGTATGCATATATCCTACTTTATTTAACGAGGTAATTTTTGTCTTTTCCATCACTATCAATATTTCTATCATCTAGTATTAGATGTTCCTAAATAAAGTATAATTACCACCTTTCTTGTGTTACTTATAAATATGATTATTTGGTCGGGCATGGTGGTTCACGCCTGCAATTCCAGCACTTTGGGAGGCCAAGGCAGGCGGATCACTTGAGGTCAGGAGTTCAAGACCAGACTGGCCAACATGGCAAAACCCCGTCTCTACTGGTAACAAAGCAAGAGTCCATCTCAAAAAAACATAAAAAATAAAATAAAAGTATGATTATTTGCTTTTGGTATTAACAGTATGATTCTTGATGACATTTTTATGATTATATAAAAAATGTATTTTTTTCCCACCAAGCTGTCCACTGGCAGGGCCAGCATTCACACAGAAAACAGAGCACAATCCTCATCCAGCCTGCCCAGTGCCAGTGTGCTATCCAAATGTTATCATTTTCTTTTCTTTTTTTGTTTTGTTTTATTCCTTTTTTTTTTTTTTGAGACAGCGTCTCACTCTGTCGCCCAGACTGGAGTGCAGTGGCATGATCTTGGCTCACCACAACCTCTGCTTCCCAGGCTCAAGCGATTCTCCTGCCTCAGCCTCCCAAGCAGCTGGCATTACAGGCACGCTCTTAATCACTAGTACAACTTATGGTACCAACTGATAGAGAAAAATGTTAGGACATGTCGGGGTTACAGGCAGTGTGATATGTTTTTATCGCAATTCACCTCAGATCAAGTCACTTAACCTTGCTAAGCTTCAGTTTCCTCATCTGTAAATTGAGAATGGGGCATAATGGAAACATTCTCTTACAAGGAAGTCAGGAGGACAGCAATGATACCATATGAAAAAGATCCAGACTGAGTGATGTGAAACATATTCAACAGTTTTTAAAAGTTGCTGTGAAGGCTGGGCGCAGTGGCTCATGCCTGTAATCCCAGCACTTTGGGAGGCCGACGTAGGCAGATGACTTGCGGTCAGGAGTTCGAGACCAGCCTGGCCAACATGGTGAAACTCCGTCTCTACTAAAAATACAAAAAGTAGCCTGGCATGGTGGCACACACCTATAATCCCAGCTACTCGGTAGGCTGAGGCAGGAAATGCTTGAAACCGGGAGGCGGAGGTTGCAGTGAACTGAGATTGCACCACTGCACTCCAGCCTAGGTGACAGAGCGAGACTCCATCTCAAAACAAAAACCAAAAAAACAAAAAGTTGCTGTGAAATTCTATGAATATTCATTAAAAGCACAGGATTGGGAGGGGTGGTAAAGGAAACTCACTGTGTCTAAGTTTCATCATGATGACCAGCTTGAAAGCAGATAGGTTCAAATCTGCTTGCTCTCTTCCTGTCAGAATGGGAGAAGAAGCAATTTGAAGACAGCTGGGAATCACAATGCCACAAGCCCCCTCCTAAGTCCCCTAAAGGTAAAATGTTAAAGAACATTATGAGGAAGGCGTAATAATTAGGAAAACTGGGAGAAGCTGGAGCTAAAGCCTCATATGGCTGAGTCCACACAGAGAAGGCAGTGTCATACTACCCAAAGGGAGGAATAGGTCTCAACCTCATCCGGGGTGGAGTCAGTGGCTCAAAGCCACTGGGCTTTGAGCCCAGTGGGGTCAAATGGGGTCAGATGGGGTCTTTGGTCCTTATTCCTCCACACTGTAGTGTTATATTCTAGGTAGGGGACTAGTGCTCAACACCTCCACACTGAGGGGAAAGGGACATGCAAGGATGGTCTATTTCTATATGGGGTGATAATAGTGCCTCTTTTCCCAAGTAGGGGATTCTATATCTCATCTACCCTGGGAGAGGTGGTGGGGAAGGGCGTAAATAGATCTCAGGAGTCTACCCTGGGGAAAAGGGGCCTGAGAACAGGGATTCTTACCTGAGTGTCTATATGGATTGAGATAAGTACAAAATCTTGGAGGAGGGGGTAAAAATCTGTGCCTGCATATGCCTGGGGTCTATACCTTGGTGATTTGGGTTGGGGGGATTGCCATCTGTCCCTCTACTCTGGGGTGCAGAGAAACTGGGGAAACCCACAAAGTGGCTGTGTGCATCTCTGCTGCATGGGGAAAGAATCACAGATCTGTTTATCTCTAGATTGTGGGGATGGGTCCTGCGTCTCTTCACCCTGGAGAGGGCTGTGGTACAGGATCGATATGCCTGATTCCACAACTATGCAGCTTTGAATAAGCGGGTCTGCACCTTACCTGCAGTGAGCTATTCTGGACCCTTCTATGGAAGGTGGACTGTGACAACTTTCATCTTTTATGCTGGTTGAAGTCAGCGGCACACTAACACTGAAAGAAATAGGGGCTCTGGTTCTCTGCATGGGTGGTGTGTGGAGGGGGCTGGCAATGCAGCTATAAATTAATAGATCAGCCCTAATACTTGGGGGTGGGGGCGTCTGTGATTCTACCCTGGGTGGAGAGAAACAGATCTGAGCTCCACTACCTTGGGTAAAGGGGAGAGACCATACGCACTGAACTGCCAGGTAATCAGCGATGTCACTCCCTCTCAACATTACAGGGAGGGAGACCTGCATATCTGCTCCTGTGGGGTATCTCCCTTGCTACATTTAGTGATTCTAAATCTTTGGGGGAGGTAGGGGGAGGTAGGGGGATGATCTGTGTCTACCTCAAAGGGAGAGGAACACATCTGAGCCCCTCTACCCCCACGGCCCCTCAAGGGGCAGACCTGACTGTCTCTTCATGGATTAAGGTCTGTTCCTGTTTGCTTCGAAGCATGTTGGGTGCTTCGAAAAATTACACATTCGGTAAAACGGGGGCTACGGAAGTAGGGATCAGGTCTGATTCTCCACAATGGGGACTCACTCTAACCTAAGAGGAGGGGGCAATTGGCTTAGTTGTCCATAAGCTGAGGCCTGTAACTGCAACCACTTTGGGGACGGGTGAGTTGGGGAGCGATACTGAGGGCTCTGAGTCTACGCGTATGGGGAGGAGGTGCCCTCCCTCTGTATATTAAATGTTTCTAAGCTCCTCTATGCTGGTATGGGGGCAGATACATCAAAGCCTCTGTCTGTCCTGAGGAGGTGCCTCGAGACGGCTGTCTAGAGCCAAGCCAAGGAAGTGCCTTAAGTCGGGAGAAGTCTGCGCTGCTCAGCTGGGTGGAGGGAGATGTCTCTACACGGTTGGGGTGGATGTCCCCCATGCCTTTGGTGGGTCGACTCCTGTCTATACAAGGTGAATGCAGAATGAAGCCTCACTATCTTGAGGACGATCAACGCTTCACCACACAAGTGAAGTTTGTGCCTCTCTACACAGTGTGTCCCGGGTCTACACCTTTCTAGGTGGGATGGGGCAATGCCCCTCTCCCGGCAAACTCCACTCCGCGAAAAGGCAATTCGGCGCGTCTCCACGTGTGCCGCGATCCCTGCCCCTCTTCCGGTCCCTTCTACCCTGGAAGGGATCCTGCTGTTTACCTCTCTATTCCAGGTTGGCGGGCATCTCTGGTTTCACATCCAATAGACGATCCTAACTGCCCGGCCGTCTAGGTGAGCGCACATTGTGAGAAAAGAGGAGAGAAGTTTCTTACTTACACTTCCGGCGGGGATCTGAGAAGCGAGGGCAACACGACAACTCGGTTGAGCGAGCAGAAACTCTCGCGCAGCTAGGCTCCGACTTCCGGATCCCAGGCCGGCGGCGCCCGACTCCGCCCACCGTGCGGTCTCCGCGGGGGGGGGGGGGGGGGGGCGGAGCTTCTGACTGACAGCTCACGCCCGCCCGTCCCTTCTTCGCGACCACGCTGGCCCCGCCTCCTGCCTGCCCCGTAGTTAAGGAAATAGCGGAGGAGGGAGAAGGAGGACGGGGAAATGACCGGGAAGAAGCGGCGGGTCGACTGGTGCGGCCATATACCTTACTTGCAAGCCAAAATTTTGTCTGCGGGCATCTGTCTGGGGTTAAATATGCGTGCTCCCAAATCTCAATAACCAGGCAGTCACCACGCCCGAATCAGACAAGGGTGGGGGATGGTGTCTTTGTCTGCCTGGAAGATGGCGACAGCAGGGTGTGAGAAAATGGCCGCCTGGGTCACGTGTCTGGCCGAGTATTTCCCCACCTGAAGTGAATTGGTTAGCTATTCCCAACCACCTTCCCGGGTCCTTGAGCCCCAGACCATCCCTGAGCACTCCTAGCTTTTTCTGCATACGTTCAGATCTATGGCCATACCCAACCCGAGCTGGAGCAGGAGCCAGAACGACTAGAAGCCTCTCCCACACTAGAAGCCTCTCCCACCCTTTTGCCTTCTTCCCCTCCTACTCCATCCTTCCCTCAATCCCGGAGCAGCGTCTGCAGAAGGGAATGAATTTATATCTCTGGAGTGGGGCAAGTAGGGGTTTCTGAAGCCATCTCAAGGAGCTGGCTGGGAAGTGAGGTCTCCCCCACAAAATAGTAAATATTAGTCTGCAAATGTTTTCTTCTTGATGGTTTAATTCCAGCCCCTCCTCTTCCTCAAGCCTAAACCCTGGGGTGGGGCACAGAGTAGGTGGAACTCTGTGCCTCCGAGGGTGGGTTTGTTTCTCCACTTCAAGCACAGACGGGCTGAAAATGACTCCATCTGTCCCTTTATCCCTTACATAAACAGGACTCACTACCTCTCTACATCGTTGGAGGGCTTCTAACCTCTCATCCTAGAGACACATGAAATTCCTCTGGACCTGAAACCAGCCCTGACCACTTTCACCTTTCCCCCTGCATTTGCAATTTTGCTCTGTTTCTCTAAGACCTAACTCTTGTCACTTCGATGAAACCTTCTCTGACTTTCGCAGATGAGTTAGAAACCCAGAGCACCTTACCTATACAGCTAAGCTAGCACTTATCACAATACTGTAGTTGTTTATGTGACTGTGTCTCCACAGGAGGGTGAACTCCCTGAGAGCAGGGGCCATGTATCTTCAAGCTTTCAACAACACCCAGCACAAGACTGGTATGAGGCAGGCTTCAACAACTGTTTGTTAAATGGGTGAGTTTACAGGCCTGCACCACAAAAAATGGGAAATGGGCTGTTTAGTAGATGGCATTGGGAAATTTGGCTCTCCATGAAAAGAAATATAAAACTGGATCTCTATTTATTCCACCTAAGAGGGTAGACTGTGAATGTGAAAGGTAAAACTATGAAGTTAATATATGCAGGAGAATATCTTTGTGACTTGTGACTGGGGAAGGACTTTTTAAACAAAATCCCAAATGCACAAGATATAAGGGAAAAAATACAATGAAATCTTGTGGAAACTAGTTATTACGACTTTGGAAAACAATTAGGAAGTATCCAGAATAGCTGAAGATGACCCTGGGACCCAGCAGTTCTAGTATTGGAGATGATTGATTAATAGGTAGATAGATAGATAGAGATCACCTCTAAACTTTAACTCCTAGAGAAATTCTTATACACTTGCTCAATGAGCATGTGGAAGAATGTTCATTGCAGAACTGTTTGTAATAGAGAAAAAAATGTGAACAGCCCAAAATTCCACCAACAGGAGAATGAATAAGTAAATTATGGTATAGCCATATGACAGAATACTATGCAGAATACTATAATGAAAAAGAATGAATCATGTTGCATGCATTGACCCAGCTAAATTTCAAAAACACAATACTGAGATAAAATACAAATTGCAGAGGACACATAAAGTATGAAACCATTTATATAAAGTTTTAAAATCTAGAAAACAGCAAACAATGTTGCTTATAGATTATATAGATATATAAACAATAATTTTTTTTTCAGACAAGATGTTGCTCTGTCGTCCAGGCTGCAGTGCAGTGGCTTGATTTCCTCTCCCTGCAGCCTCCACCTCCCTGACTCAAGCCATCCTCCCACCTCAGCCTCCCAAGTACCTGGACTACAGGCATGTACCACCACACCTGGCTAATTTTTGTATTTTTTGTAGAGACAGGGTTTCACCATGTTGCCCAGGCTAATCTTGAGTTCCTGAGCTCAAGTGATCCAACCACATCTTGGCCTCCCAAGGTGCTGGGATTCCAGGTGTGAGCCACCGCCCCCAGCCAACAATAATTTTTAAGGAGAAATACCAAATCCAGAATACTGATTACCTCTGGGGAAGAAAACAAAAGAACAGAATGAGAGAGAGATACACAGGGAACTTCAACTGTTTGTCTAATATTTTACTTTCTAAGCTAGGTGGTAGGTACGTGGGTTTTTGTTATCTTCTCTATACTTATTTGTATGTCCGAAATATTTCATATTTTTTAAAAGACTACAAGGATCTGAAACAAAATGTTAATAATAGTTAAATCTAGATTAGTGGTTCTCTAACTTTCCCCAGCATCAGAATCACTGGGAGGGCTTGTTAGAACACCAATTACTGGGCCTCATGCCCAGAGTTTTGATTCAGTAAGTCTGGTTTAGGGCCCAGGATTTGCATTTCTAACAAATCAAAGTGACATTATCAGTGAATTTAATTTTCTTCCTTGTACTTTTCTGTGTTTTCCATGTATTTGATGAATATTTATTACTTTAGTGAGAGATTGTGTTATTTTTTAAAATCTCTTTCATCTCTACTTCCCACTTTCATTTCCCTCCTATAGGCAGCCATTCAAAGGTGTTTTATGCATATTTTTGCATATATGCATTCTTGGAAAATACGTATTATTGCTTTATGTGTATTTCCTCCTTTTTTTTTTTTTTTTTTTTTGAGCCAGGGTCTTGCTCTATCGCCCAGACTGGAGTGCAGTGGCATGACCTCCACTCACTGCAACCTCCACCTCCTGGGCTCAAGGGATCCTCCCACCTCACCCTCCCGAGTAGCTGGGGAACTACAGGCGCACATCACCATGCCCAGCTAATTTTTAAAGATGTTTTTACTGGTCTCGGCTGGGCACTGTGGCTCACACCTGTAATCCCAGCACTTTGGGAGGCCAAGGCAGGCGGATCACCTGAGGTCAGGAGTTCGAGACCAGCCTGGCCAACATGGTGAAACCCTGTCTCTACCAAAAAGAAAAATACAAAAAATTAGCTGGGTGTGGTGGCAGGCGCCTTAATCCCAGCTACTTGGGAGGCAGAGGCAGGAGAATCGTTTGAACCCGGGAGGCGGAGGTTGCAGTGAGCCAAGATCAAGCCATTGCACTCAAACCTGGGGGACAAGCACGAGACTTCTCTCAAAAAAAAAAAAAAAAGATTTTTTTACTGGTCTCAAACTCGGGGCTCCAGCAATCTGCTTGCCTCGGCCTCCTAAAGTGATGGGATTGTGGGTGACTGCACCCGGCCAAATTTTTATTTTATATTGTTTCCAAATTCAGAACAGTCGAAAGAATGGTATAATGAAAGCCCATATACCCTTATACTTCACCAAATATCATCCTACATAACCACAATACCATTATCAAACCTAAGAAGATTTAACTATAATTCAATAATGCCATCACGTATAGCCCATATTCACATTTCCGCCCAATTATCCCCAAAAATGCAGCTTTCGTTTTTTGATCCCAGGATCTAATCAAGGTTTATGTACTACGTTTCTTTTTTTTTTTTTTTTTTTTTTTTTTTTTGAGACGAAGTCTTGCTCTGTTGCCCAGGCTCGAGTGCAGTGGCGCAATCTTGGCTCACTGCAACCTCTACCTCCTGGGTTCAAGTAATTCTCCTGCCTCCACCTCCCAAGTAGCTGGGACTACAGGCGCCCGCCACCATGCCTGTCTAATTTTTGTATTTTAAGTAGAGACAGCGTTTCTGCACATTGGAGTGATCCATCCACCTTGGCCTCCCAAAGTGCAGGGATTACAGTCATGAGCCACCACACCTGACGTTTGTGTATTACATTTGGTTGTTATATCCCTTTAACCTCTTTTAATCTAGAATAATACCCCTATATTTTTTGTTTCAAATGACATTTATGTTTTTGAAGAGTCCAGGCCAATTGTCTTGTAATATGTCCCATATTCTGGATTCATTTGTTCTTTTCACATGAATAGATTCAGAATAAATATTTTTAGCAAGAACAGTACATAGGGGATATCCTTTATTTTGTATTGTGTCACCTCAAGAGGCACATGATATCAGATTGTCTCACTATTGAGCATACTTTGTACTTGTTTTTCTTTTACATAAATATCTCATTCTGGCCAGGTGCGGTGGCTCATGCCTGTAATCCCAGCACTTTGGGAGGCCGAAGCAGGCGGATTGCTTGAGGCCAGGAGTTCAAGACCAGCCTGGCCAACATGGCGAAACCCTGTCTCTACTAAAAATGCAAAAATTAGCCAGGTGTGGTGGCGCACACCTCTAATCCCAGCTACTGGGGAGGCTGAGGCACGAGAATCGCTTGAACCTGGGAGGCAGAGGTTGCAGTGAGCTGAGATCACACCACTGCACTCCAGCCTGGGTGATGGAGTAAGACTCTGTCTTAAAAAAAAAAAAAAAAAAAAGTCATTCTGTTTTCCATTCAGCCTAGTGTTTTTAAGGTCTATCCATATTGCTGTGTGTACATCTAATCTATTGCTTCTTTTTTTTTTTTTTTTTTTTTTTTTGAGATGGTGTCTCACTCTGTTGCCCAGGCTGGAGTGCAGTAGCGCTATCTGGGCTTACTGCAAACTCTGCCCCCTGGGTTCCTGCCTCAGCCTCCCGAGTAGCTGGAATTACAGGCGCCCACCACCATGCCCGTGTATTTTTAGTAGAGACGGGGTTTTGCCATATTGGCCAGGCTGGTCTCGAATTCCTGGCCTCAGGTGATCCACCCACCTTGGCATCCCAAAGTGCTGGGATTACAGGCGTGAGCCACTGCGCCCAACCTGACCTCATCCATTGCTTCTATCTGCTCATGGTAACCATACTGTGCCTTCACTGCATAGATTGCCTCCAGCTCTCCAATAATACTTCAGTGAACATCCTTGTACATATTCCCTTATTGACCTGTGTGAGGATTTCTTTTGGAACATACACTCAAGAGCCACATGATTACATTCTAAAGTATGCATATACTTAGTTTGACTTAAAAACACCAATACTTCTAGATGGTTCTCTGGGATGGCAGTACCAGTTCACACTTTCACCATGTGTGAGGATTTCTGTATCCCCACATCTTCACTAACACTTGACATTCTCTAGCTTGCTATTTTTTGTTTTTAAGACAGAGTCTCTGTTGTGCTCTCCTCGGCAGCACATATATTAAGACAGAGTCTTAATGCAGTAGTGCGATCTTGGCTCACTGCTACTTCCACCTCCCGGGTTCAAGCAATTCTGCTGCCTCAGCCTCCCTAGTAGCTGGGATTACAGGCGCCCGCCACCATGCCCTGCTAATTTTTGTATTTTATTAGAGATGGGGTTTCACCTGACCTCAAGCAATCCACCCACCTCAGACTCCCAAAGTGCTGGGATTACTGGCGTGAGTCAGCACGCCCGACCAAGATGGCTAATTTTTGCCAGTCTAATAGGTGGAATAGGTTTCAATCCATCTAGATTCCACCCTCATATGTGGTAATACGTGGGAATGTAGCTTTATTATTCTCCACATGGTAAGCCAGGTTTCCCACCATCAAATACTGAACAATTCCTCCTTTTCCCATTGATTTGCCATGCCACCATTATCATATGTTATTAGGCATACACACATAAACACACATACATCTTTTTCTGTCCTTGGGCTAATACCACCTTGGTTTTAGTATTTTGTAATGTGTCTAAATATCACATGGAGCATTTCCTCCTCTTTAGTGTTCTTTTTAGGTGTCTTAGATCTATTGCCACATAAATTTTAAAATGAGTCTATCAAGGTCTTCAAAAATCCAACTGGGATTTTGATTGGGATCACACTAAATTTATAGATTAATTTGGAGGAACTGCCATCATTGTAATAATTACTCATTCCATCCAACAACGTGGAATATACCCTCATTTCTTCAGTTCATCTTCTTCTGTGTTCTTTATTAAAGTTTTCTCTTAAGAATTGTGTATTTTAAAAAATAAAAATGAGGTCAGGCACAGTGGCTCACACCTGTAATCCCAGGATTTTGGGAGGCCGAGGTGGGCAGATCACGAGGTCAGAAGTTCAAGACCAGCCTGGCCAACATAGTGAAACCCCGTCTCTACTAAAATACAAAAATTAGCTGGGCATGGTGGTGGGCGCCTGTAGTCCCAGCTACTTGGGAGACTGAGGCAGGAGAATCGCTTGAACCCGGGATGCAGCAGTTGCAGTGAGCCGATTGCGCCACTGCACTCTAGCCTGGGTGACAGTGAGACTCTGTCTCAAAAAAAAATAAAAATAAAAATAAAAATGAATTGGTTACCTTGGATGTTGCTAAGGCATCAGCTCATTCTGCTGATAATTAATCAACAAATGGAAAAAATCTGGCATTATTCCTGCCTTCCCACATGAATCATATTGCAGGTTAATCAAATAGATAATTAAGGAAAGAGCTTCTTTATGGAAGACTCAACTTATAAATGCAAGAGAAATGGCAGTGTTACAATTCAATCCCTAATGAGATAATGGATTTAAGAAAAAATATGGCTGCTAAAACCATAGGTGAAAAACATTTGGGGAATTATAACAGAGGAATTAGGCTGATACCATCTGACCCTACTCATCAAACTTATCATCAAAGACAGAAAACAAGATATATGTGCCTTCTTATGTTGTACAATAAGAAGTATACAGCACTATTCATGAAGTATACTTTTAAACAAGAAGGAAAAAAGAAACAATTTAATCGAGCATCTCTATTTAACTTCATTTACAAAAAATTCAGGTAATATAGGAAGAGAAACATGTTAAATGGTACCGGGAGAAACAATACACCAAAGCAAGAACTTGGGAAATTTTACAGGACAAAAGAGCCAGTATATTCAACAAATAAATGGAAGGAAGAAAAGAGAGGGAAAATTACAGATTAAAAAGAAAATAAGGCTGGGCATGGTGGCTCATGCCTGTAATCCCTGCACTTCGGGAGGCCGAGGCGGGTGGATCACTTAAGGTCAGGAGTTCAAGACCAGGCTGGCCAACATGGTGAAACCCCATCTCTACTAAAAACACAAAAATTAGCCGGGCATCATGGCACATGCCTGTAATCCCAGCTACTGGGGAGGCTGAGGCAGGAGAATCACTGGAACCCGGAAGGCAGAGTTTGCAGTGAGCCGAGATCGCACCACTGCACTCCAGCCTGAGGGACAGAACGAGACCTCGTCTCAAAAAAAAAAAAAAAAAAAAAAGATTAAAAAGAAATAAAAAGGAAAGGAAATTTCAGAGATAAAGCAAACAAATGCAATGTGTGGGTCTTGTTAACAACCAGATTCCAATGAAGTATAAAAAGATTTTTTTTTTCGAGATGGGGTCTTGTTCTGTCACCCAGGCTGGGGTGCAGTGGCAAGATCTCGGCTCACTGCAGCCTCCGCCTCCCAGGCTCAAGCGATTCTCCCATCTCAGCCTTCCGAGTAGCTGGGATTATAGGGGCGCACCACCATGCCCAGCTAATTTTTGCATTTTTAGTAGAGACAGGGTTTCACCATGTTGGCCAGGCTAAAAAAGGTATTTTTGAGATAATGAAGGACAGTAGAACATGGACTGGGTGTTAGATGATATTCAGGAATAAATGTTAAATATGTTGGGTATGTTAGACCGGGCACAGTGGCTCACGCCTGTAATCCCAGCACTTTGGGATGCTGAGGCGGGTGGATCACCTGAGGTCAGGAGTTCGAAACCAGCCTGGCCAACATGGTGAAACCCCATCTCTACTAAAAATACAAAAATTAGGCCGGGCACGGTGGCTCACGCCTGTAATCCCAGCCCTTCAGGAGGCCAAAGCGGGTGGATCACGAGGTCAGGAGATTGAGACCATCCTGGTTAACACGGTGAAACCCTGTCTCTACTAAAAATACAAAAAAATTAGCCAGGCATGGTGGCAGGCACCTGTAGTCCCAGCTACTTGGGAGGGTGAGGCAGGAGAATGGCGTGAATCTGGGGGGTCGGAGCTTGCAGTGAGCCAAGATCGTGCCACTGCACTCCAGCCTGGGCCACACAGTGAGACTCCATCTCAAAAAAAAAAAATACAAAAATTAGCCAAGCGTGGTGGTGCACACCTGTAATCCCAACTACTCCTGAGGGTTTGGCAGGAGAGTTGCTTGAACCCGGGAGGCGGAGGTTGCAGTGTGCCCAGATCGTATCACTGCACTCAAGCCTGGGTGACAGAGCTAGACAATGTCTCACACACACACAAAAAATGCTGGGTATGTCAGCATTATTGTAATTATGCTTTTTTTTAAAAAAAAAAAGTGTGTTAGAGAAACATGGTTTTTATGTGTGAGATTACCTCAGGTCTGGAATTTGCGATAAAATACTCCAGGACTGGGCATGGTGGCTCATGCCTGTAATCCCAGCACTTTGGAAGGCAGAGGCAGGGGCATCATCTGATGTCAGGAGTTCAAGACCAGCCTGACCAACATGGTGAAACCCTATCTCTACTAAAAATACAAAAATTACCTGGGCGTGGTGGCAGGCACCTGTAATCCCAGCTGCTCAGGAGGCTGAGGCAGGAGAATCACTTGAACCCAGGAGGCAGAGGTTGCAGTGAGCCTAGATGGCGTCATTGTACTTCAGCCTGCGCAACAGAGCAAGACTTCGTCTCAAAACAACACACAAAAAAAACCTCCAGATGTATTCAGGCATTACTTATGCATTAAAATACATTAACAAGTAAGTTTTAAAAAAGAATTGTATATTTATTAAATTTCTAATTGCCTTCGAGTTTTGTTACTTTGTGAACTTTTTTTTTTTTTTTTTTTGAGATCAGGTCTCGCTCTGTCACACAGGCTGGAGTGCAGTGTTGTGATGTTGGCTCACTGCAGCCTCTGCCTCCTGGGGTGAAGTGATCCTCCTGCCTCAGCCTCCTGAGTAGCTGGGATTACAGCTGTGTGCTACCACGCACGGCTGATTTTTGTATTTTTAGTAGAGATGGGTTTCACCATGTTGGCCAGTCTGGTCTTGAACTCCAGGCCTCAAGTGATCCACCCTCCTCAGCCTCCAAAAGTGCTGGGGTTACAGGCATGAGCCACCACGCCCAGCCTGAATATGTCATTTGTAATAGATAAAATACACATTTTGAATATTGAAACTATTTAAAAATTATACTTTGAGATTTCTTATCCCCATCTAGTCCACCCAGTTCCCCTGCACCCCCACAGGTATCAGTTTTGTTAGTTTATTTTGTCTTCTTCTAGTGTTTCTTTATACAGATGCAAACAAATATAAATGTATAGCGTATTCCACCTTCCGCCTTACACAGAAGGTGCCGTACTATGTATATTGTTATACATATTGCTTTTTTCACTTAATAATACATCTTGGAGGCCAGGTGCAGTGGCTGACGCCTGTAATTTCAGCACTTTGGGAGACCAAAGTGGGCGGATCACCTGAGGTCAAGAGTTCAAAACCAGCCTGGCCAACATGGCAAAACCCAGACTCCACTAAAAATACAAAAATTAGCCAGGCATAGTGGCACACGCCTGTAATCCCAGCTACTCAGGAGGCTGAGGCAGGAGAATCGCTTTAACGCAGTAGACAGAGGTTGTAGTGAGCCGAGTTTGCGCCACTGCACTCCAGCCTGGGTGACAGAGCTAGAATCCATCTCAAAATAAATAGATTAATTAATTAATTAATTAATTAATACATCCTGGAGGTCTTTCCCTATCAGAGCACTAGAGAGTTTCTGGTAAGTAGAAAGCATGAAAGTAGAAAGCTTTCTGTATGAAAGCACATAGGACTACTACCTCAAAGTATTAGGTAATGTGAATGTATGTTATGTGCACATTTATTTAATGACTGTGCCACAAAGGATAGATAGTTCATACAGATGCAAATATTTCTGTAGGATACATTCCAAGAATTACATTTGTAACTTTGGGAGATACTGCCAAAATTGCCTCCACAGGTGTTGTATCATTTTGCATTTCTACCAGCCAAATGTGATTATATCTGTTTCACCACAGCCTCACAAGCAACGGAGTGTATTGTGAGACTTTTGGATTTTTGACAATGATAGGATAGAAATGGTATCTCAGGCCAGGCACGGTGGCTCACGCCTGGAATTCCTGCACTTTGGGAGGCCGAGGCAGGCAGATCACCTGAGGTCAGGAGTTCAAGACCAGCCTGGCCAACATGGCAAAACCCCATCTCTACTAAAAATACAAAATTAGCTGGGCGTGGTGGCGAATGCCTGTAATCCCAGCTACTTGGGAGGCTGAGGCAGGAGAATTGCTTGAACCAGGAGGCAGAGGTTGCAGTGAGCCGAGATAGAGCCACTACACTCCAGCCTGGGAAACGAGTAAAACCATCTCAAAAAAAAAAAAAAGGAAAAAAAGAAAAAAAATGGTATCTCAGTGTAGTTTTGATTTTCATTTATTATGAGTGATGATAATTTTTTCATGTGTTTAAGGGACTTTTTATGTGTTTTTGTATTAATTATCTATTTATATCCTCTGTCCCTTTTTCTGTTTGGTCTCTGGCCTTTCATTCATTTCAGAACTTTGTTATATAATTAGAGAGATCATAAACTCTACTCCTTTAAATACAAGTTTTAAAAATTAAATAAATAGGCCGGGCGCAATGGCTCACGCCTGTAATCCCAGCACTTTGGGAGGCCCAGGTGGGCGGATCACAAGGTCAGGAGATCGAGACCATCCTGGCTAACACAGTGAAACCCCGTCTCTACTAAAAATACAAAAAATTAGCCGGGCGTGGTGGCGGGCGCCATAGTCCCAGCTACTCGGGAGGCTGAGGCAGGAGAATAGTGTGAACCTGGGGGGTCGGAGCTTGCAGTGAGCCGAGATCGCGCCACTGCACTCCAGCCTCGGTGACAGAGCGAGACTCTGTCAAAAAAAAAATTAAATAAACAGAGATAGACCTTTGTCAATGATCTCAGCTGTCAATTTTTTCCCCAGTTCATCATTCTTCAGACTTTGTTAGCGGACTTTTTTCCAAAGCAAATTTTATTTTATTTATTTATTTATTATTATTTTTTGAGATGGAGTCTCGCTCTGTTGCCCAGGCTGGAGTGCAGTGATGCAATCTCAGGTCACTGCAACCTCTGCCTCTTGGGTTCTAATGATTATCCTGCCTCAGCCTCCCAAGTAGCTGGGATTACAGGCGCCTGCCACCACGCCCAGCTAATTTCTGTTTTTGTTTTTTAGGTTTTTTGTTTGTTTGTTTGTTTTTGAGACGGAGTCTCGCTGTCTTGCCCAGGCTGGAGTGCAGTGGCATGGTCTCGGCTCACTGCAACCTCTGCCTCCCGGGTTCAAGCGATTCTCCTGCCTCAGCCTCCCGAGTAGCTGGGATTACAGATGCCTGCCACCATGCCTGGCTAATTTTTTGTGTTTTTAGTAGAGAGGGAGCTTCACTATATTGGCCAGGCTGGTCTGGAACTCCTGACCTCAGGCAATCCACCCGCCTCTGCCTCCCAAAGTGCAGGGATTACAGGCGTGAGCCACCGTGTCCGGCCTCTGTATTTTTAGTAGAGATGGGGTTTTGTCATGTTGGTCAGGCTGGTCTCGAACTCCTGACCTCAGGTGATCTGCCCACCTCAGCCTCCCAAAGTACTGGAACTTACAGGCGTTAGCCACTGCACCCAGCTGCAAATTTTATATTTATATAAATAAATTTATGTTTTCTTTCATGGATTCTAGATACTGAGTCATAGTTTTGTGATAGATTGCATTAATGACCCCAATTTTTCATGTGTCTCTTTATCTAACTTTGGTAAAGGTAGTACCTTCCCACACTGACTCTTGAGTTTGGCCATACAACTTGCTTTAATCAATGGGATAGTAGCAAACTTGGTATAAGCAGAGACTTGAAAAAGCTCTTGCATATTCTACTTCCTCTCTTGGACCCCTGCCGCAGCTGTGAGAACATATTCAGACTAGCCTCCTGGAGAGATGTGAGAGACAAGTAGAAATGAGCTTGGTCATCCCAGACAGTGTGTCCTATAGCAGCCAACCAACCTCCAGCCAAGCCACCAACTGGGTGCAGACACATAAGCTAGCCCAGTTGAGATTAACACAGCCTAGTCCAGATCATAGAACCTCCCAGCTGACCCATAGACTCTGTCTGAGTTTTGGTACATAATTATTCACTTTGGTTTACAACACAGCATTATTGTGGCAGTAGTCCCCCATCATCGTTCTTTCTTTTCAGAGATATGCTGGCTATGCTTGCTTGTTATTTTTCCATATGAACTTAGAATCAGCTTGTCTAGTTTCAGAAAAAAAAAAAATGATATGCTTTTTTTTGAAACAGAGTCTCGCTCTGTCGCCCAGGCTGGAGTGCAGTGGTGCGATCTCGGCTCTCTGCAACCTCTGCCTGCTGGCTTCAAGCGATTCTTCTTCCTCAGCCTCCCAAGTAGCTGGAATTACAGGCGCCCACCACCACACCCAGCTAATTTTTGTATTTTTAGTACACACAGGGTTTCGCCATATTGGCCAGGCTGGTCTCGAACTCCTGACCTCGTGATCTGCCCACCTCGGCCTCCCAAAGTGCTGGAATTACAGGCGTGAGCCACCGTGCGCAGCCAAAAAATGATAATGGGCTTATACTAAATTTATAAATTAATTTGACATCTTTATGATTTTAAGTCTTCCCATCTGAGAACGTGGCATGCCTTTCCATTAGTTCCTTCAGAGTGTTATGAATGTTTCTCATTAAGGTTTTAGACATTTCTTGTTAAGGTTGTTTATAGGTATTTTATCTTTTTTGTTGCTCTAATAAATGGAGCCTTCTCTTCCATATATCTTCTAACTGAATGATTTCTATATATTAATTTTATATCCTGCTACCTTACAGAATTCTCTTGTTTGTAGTAGTTTCTCTATTGGTTTGTTTGGGTTTTGTGGCTGTACAATCTGATCATCTATAAATGGTGATAGCTTTACTTCTTCCATTTCAATTGTATATTTAATTTATTTCTCTTTTCTAATTGTAATGATTACTACCTCCAATGCAATTTTTTTTTGTTTTTTTGTTTTTAAGACAGAGTCTCTCTCTCTCACCCAGGCCACAGGGCAGTAGCACGATCTTGGCTCACTGCAACCTCCACTTCCCAGGCTCAAGTGATTCTCATGCCCCAGCCTCCTGAGTAGCTGGGATTACAGGTGTGCACTACCACACCCAGCTAATTTTTGTAACTTTAGTAGAGATGGGGTTTTACCATGTTGGCCAGGCTGGTCTCAAACTCCTGGCCTCAAGCAATCCACCTGCCCTGGCCTGCCAAAGTGCTAGGACTACAGGCGTGAGCCACAGTGCCCAGACAACCTCCAATAAAATGCTAAATTGTAGTGGAGAGAGTAGGTACCCTTAGTTGGTTTCTGATTTTAGCATATAAATACTGGTGGTATTTCCTGGTTAAGTGAAATGCTGGATTTGGGGGATCTATCTATCTATAGAGAATGAGATAAAATATATATCAGGGAAGAAACCACATATTCCTCTTTTATTGAATGTTTTTATAAAGAATGGGTATTGATACCAAAGTTACTGAAGGAGAAGAAAAATAAAAGAATGGGTGTTGAGTTTTGACAAACAACTCTTTGGTATCTCTGAATAAAATGATAGGATTTTTTTACTTAGATCTAATAATAGGTTAGATTATATTAATGGATTTCCTAATATTGAACAATTCTTGCATTCCTGCAATTAAAACCCACACAGTCATGGATTCTATTTGTTAATATTTAGGATATTGTGCCGATATTCCTAAGTGAGAATTAGTCTATATGGTTTTCTTTTTCTTGTGGAATCTTTGTCAGATCTTGGTATCAGTGTTATTATTCACTTGATAAAAACATTTCTAAAGTGTTCCTTCCTTAGGCTCAGGAAAATAAGAATAGTATTTGAATTATCTGCTTTTTAGTGTGAAAAGACTTCCCCTTGTGAAAGGATCTTGCTCTATCTGGTGCTTTGAGGAATTGGGGAGCTCTTTATAACTTTGTCTATTTCCATGAAAATTGAGCTACAAGGCCAGGCGCGGTGGCTCACGCCTGTAATCCCAAAACTTTGGGAGGCTGAGGCGGGTGGATCACATGAGGTTGGGAGCTCAAGACCAGCCTGACCAACACGGAGAAACCCTGTCTCTATTAAAAATACAAAATTATCCAGGCTTGGTGGTGCATGCCTATAATCCCAGCTACTCGGGAAGCTGAGGCAGGAGAATCGCTTGAATCCGGGAGGCAGGGGTTGCGGTGAGCCGAGATCGTGCCATTGCACTCCAGCCTGGGCAACAAGAGCGAAATGCCATCTCAAAAAAAAAAAAGAAAGAAAGAAAAGAAAATTGATCTACATGGACTTGTCTTTTAGGGTCAGTTTGTAAATTATATTTTCCTAGGACATTATCCATTTCTTCAGTTCTTTGAACAATTTCTATAGAGTTGTGTTTTGTGATATTTAAAATGTCTTCTTACTATAGTTATGTGCAACTTTTCATTTATTTTGTATATTTGTGCTTTCTCCTTTTCCTGATTATGTTATCTAATAGCTTATATAATTCTTTTTTACAGAATCAACCCACTCATTTATTAGTCCTACTGTTATCTATTTTCTAACTCCTTTATTTTAACTTTTATTTTTGTTAATTCATTCCTTCTGCTTCCCTGTATTTGTTTTGTCTTTCTCTAACTTTTTCAATCTGATGCTTATTCATTTAGTTTTTTTGTTTGTAATGTAAGTATTTTAAGGCTATGAACTTTCCGCTGACCACTGCTTTAGCTGTATCCATGGATTCTGATACGGAATGTTTTTATTGCCATTATTGTCTAGAAATTCAGCAATTTTGGTTTGTTTTTTGTTTGTTCATTTGTTTGTTTTGAGACAGGGTCTTGTTCTATTGCCCTAGCTAGAGTGCAGTAGTGCAATCGTAGCTCATTGCAGCCTCAAACTCCTGGGTTCAAGGGATCCTCCTACCTCAACCTCCCAAGTAGCTGGGACTACAGACATGCATCATGACACCCAGCTACTTTTTTATTTTTTGTAGAGACAGGGATCTCACTGTGTTGCCCAGGCTGGTCTCAAACTCCTGGCCTCAAGTGATCCCCCCGTCTCAGCCTCCCAAAGTGCTGGGACTACAGGCATGAGCCACTGAAACCAGCTCGAGTTTCCCCTTGACCCAAGAGTTGTTTGAGTTTTCACATGTTCAGATCCATTTTACACTGATCTCTAGTTTTATCCAGTTGTGATCAGAGAACATTGTCTACATTGGTTTTACTTTTTGGAATTTATTGAGATTTTCTTCTTGTCCTAATATTGAGTTTGCTGTTTAGGTTTTCTGGTTCTTACTAGGTTTTTTGATCCTTTACTCTGTTCTGGAATGAGAAAGGTAAGTTTAATTTCTCCTGTTCTTAGTGTGTTTCAATTTATAATCTATTTCTCCTTGTATCTCATTATTTCAGCTTTGTGAAAATTGCTATTTCATGTGGTACAAAAATATTAGTAACTTTATATCTTCATTGTGAATTGTGGCTATATTAGTCCATTTTCACGCTACTGATAAAGACATACCTGAAACTGGGAAGAAAAAGAGGTTTAATTGGACTTACAGTTGCACATGGCTGGTGAGGCGTCAGAATCATGGCAGGAGGCAAAAGGCACTTCTTACATGGTGGCGGCAAGAGAAAATGAGGAAGAAGCAAAAGTGGAAACCCCTGATAAACCCATCAGATCTCGTGAGACTTATTCACTGTCACGAGAATAGCACTGGAACTACCTGCCCCCTTGATTCAATTACCTCCCCCTGGGTCCCAGCCACAACACATGGGAATTCTGGGAGATACATATTCAAGTTGAGATTTGGGTGGGGACACAGCCAAACCATATCAGTGGCCTTTTTTGTCTCAATTAATGCTTCTTTGTAATAAACTTTTTATTTTTGATTAATTTTGGATTTACAGAAAGGTTGCAAAGATAGTACAGGGTTTCCATACACCCTTTACCTAGTTGCCCCTCATGTTAACATCTTGTATGACTACCTTCGTCTGAGCTGAGAGATTAACATTGGTATGTTATTATTAACTAAAATCCAAACTTTATTCAGATTTCACCAGTTTTCCACTAGATATCCTTTGTCTATCCTAGGCTTCAATTCAGATGTGACATTGCATTTAGTCACCATATCTCCTCCAATCTGTGACAGTTTCCCAGTCTTCCCTTGTTTCTGATGACCTTGTCAATGCTTTTTATGAGTTCCTAACTTATCGGAAATTAAGATGCAACATTTTTGCTTTTTTTGTTTGCCTTTTATTAGCATGCCTTTGCCCTTTCTTGTATTTTTAGCCTTTCTGAGTCAGTTTGTTTTAGTTGACACTCTTGAATATAGCATTGAGTTTTGCTCAGTGATCCAATAGAAAAATATTTTTCCTTAAACACTTGAGCTAAGACAGTTTGTATTTATATATATGAAAGATGTTTAGTGTTAGTATTGCCATATTATTTTATTTTATTTTATTTTTTTCGAGACAGAGTCTTGCTCTTTCACCCAGGCTGGAGTGCAGTGGCATGATCTTGGCTCACCTCAACCTCCGCCTCCCTGATTCAAGCAATTCTGCCTCAGCCTCTCAAGTAACTGGGATTACAGGTGCGTGCCACCGCAGCTGGCTAATTTCTGTATTTTTAATAGAGATGGGGTTGCACCATGTTGGCCAGGCTGGTCTCAAACTCCTGACCTCGTGATCTGCCCGCCTCGGCCTCCCAAAGTGCTGGGATTACAGGCATGAGCCACCGCACCCGGCCTGTCATATTATTTTAATGTTTTTCTATATGTTTATATATTAAAAGCATTTCACTATATAGTCTGTTTTGTTTGCTTGTTTTTGTAATTATCCTGACATTTAGAAAAGCTTATATTTTGGTCTGCTGATTAATTTTAAGTATCTTTTTTTTATTACCTTTTTCTTTTTTATTTTTTTGAGACAAGGTTTCCACTCTGTCATCCAGGCTAGAGTGCAGTGGCATGATCACAACTCACTGCAACCTTGACCTCCTGGACTCAAGGAATCTTCCCACTTCAGCCTCTGGAGTAGCCGGGACTACAGGGGCATGCCACCACGCCCAGCTAATTTTTTGTTTTTTTTTTTATAGAGACAGAGTCTCGCTTTGTTGCCCAGGCTGCTCTTGAACTCATGGGCTCAAGTGATCCTCCCACTTCAGCCTCCCAAAGTGCTGGGGTTACAGGTGTTAGCCACTGTTCCTGGCCTGTATTTTCTTTTTTTGTTTGTTTTTGTTTTTGTTTTTGTTTTGTTTTGTTTTGTTTTTTGAGACACGGTCTCACTCTGTCTCCCAGGTCAGAGTACAGTGGCATCACCTTGGCTCACTGCAGCCTTGACCTCCTGGGCTCAAATGATCCTCCCACCTCAGCCTCCTAAGTAGCTGGGACTGTAGACACACACAACCATGCCTGGCTAATTTTTTTTTATTATTATTTTAAGACAGAGTCTTGCTCCGTTGCCCAGGCTGGAGTGCAGTGGCGCAGTCTCAGCTCACTGCAACCTTTGCTTCCCAGGTTCAAGCGATTATCATGCCTCAGCCTCCCGAGTAGCTGGGATTACAAGTGCCCACTACCACACCTGGCTAATTTTTTGGTTTTTTTGGGTTTTTTTGAGATGGAGTCTCGCTGTGTCACCCAGGCTGGAGTACAGTGGTGTGATCTCGGCTCACTGCAAGCTCTGACTCCCAGGTTCACGCCATTCTCCTGCCTCAGCCTCCCGAGTAACTGGGACTACAGGTGCCCACCCCCACACCCGGCTAATTTTTTGTATTTTTAGTAGATACGGGGTTTCACCATGGTCTCAATCTCCTGACCTCATCATCCGCCTGCCTCGGCCTCCCAAAGTGCTGGGATTACAGGCGTGAGCCACCACGCCTGGCCAGATTTTTGTATTTTCAGTAGGGATGGGGTTTCACCATGTTGTCCAGACTGGTCTCAAACTCCTGACCTCAAGTGAGCTACCCGCCTCAGCCTCCCAAAGTGCTGGGAATGAGCCACTGTGCCCGGCCTTATTATTATTTTTTGTAGAGGTGGGGTTTCACCATGTTGCCCAGGCAGTTAAGAGTTGTGCATCTGGCCCGGCACGGTGGCTCACGCCTGTTATCCCAGCACTTTGGGAGGCCAAGGCAGGCGGATCACCAGGTCAGGAGATCGAGACCATCCTGGCTAACACGGTGAAGCCCCGTCTCTACTAAAAATACGAAAATTGGCCAGGCGTGGTGGCGGGTGCCTGTAGTTCCAGCTACTCGGGAGGCTGAGGCAGGAGAATGGTGTGAACCCGGGAGCCGGAGCTTGCAGTGAGCCGAGATCGCGCCACTGCACTCCAGCCTGGGCGACAGAGCGAGACTCTGTCTCAAAAAAAAAAAAAAGTTGTGCGTCTATATTTATAAGTGAAATGAGCCTAAAATTTTCTTTTCTTCTGTTGTCCTTATCGGGTTTTAGAATCAAGATTTCAAGATTGTACTAGACTGATAAAGTGAGCCAGGAAGCTTTCTCTCCTTTTCTATTTTCTGGAATAATTTCTGCAAGAAGAGAATTAATGGTTCTCTTGAGAATCTGGCACAATACACCCGTAAACCATCTGGGCCTGAATTTGGGGGGACATCCTTGACTACCATTTTAATTTATTTTCTTTCTTTCTTTTTTCTTTTTTTTTAAACTGAGTCTCGCTCTGTCACAGAGGCTGGAGTGCAATGGTGCAATCTCGGCTCACTGCAACCTCTGCCTCCTGGGTTCAAGCAATTCTCCTGCCTCAGCCTCTCAAGTGTCTTGGACTACAGGCAAGCACCACCACGCCCAGCTAATTTTCTGTAATTTTAGTAGAGATGGGGTTTCGCCATATTGGCCAGGCTGATCTCAAACTCCTGACCTCAGGTGATCCACCTGCCTCAGCCTCCCAAAATGCTGGGATTACAGGCGTGAGCCACCATGCCCAGCCGATTTTAATTTCATTAATACTTAGTGGTCTATTCAAATTCTCTATTTCTTCAGATACCATTTTTCTTATTTTATATTTCTCTCTTTTTTTTTTTTTTTTTCTCAGACGTACTCTCACTCTGTCACCCAGGCTGGAGTGCAGTGGTGCAATCTTGGCTCACTGCAACCTCCTCCTCCCAGGTTCAAGCGATTCTCCTGCCTCAGCCTCCCAAGTAGCTGGGACTACAGCACCACCACACCCAGCTAATTTTTGTATTTTTAGTAGAGACAGGGTTTTACCATGTTGGCCAGGCTGGTCTTGAACTCCTGACCTTAAGTGATCCCCCATCTCCTTGGCCTCCCAAAGTGCTAGGATTACAGGCATGAGCCACCACACCCAGCCCATCTAGTTCCTAATGGTCAGGTTTCTGACTTGAGTGCCTGATGGTGGCTTCACAGAGGGGAGGGCAGCAGAGGAGCAGCATGCCTGTCATTTGGGGAACAGAGGGAGTTTGCCTACCTTTGTACTTCCAGCAAAGGAATGGGATTCTCTGTGACTTTGGATATTTGTGACTGTATGTGATTGTGCATACTTCTAGGAATGTGTATGTTTATACATGATGCTCTACTGTGCTTCTGTTTATATGAAAATATAAGACTGAAAGAGAACAATTTTTTTTTCAGACGGAGTTTTGCTCTTATTGCCCAGGCTGGAGTGCAATGGCGCGATCTTGGCTCACTGCAACCTCCGCCTCCCGGGTTCAAGCGATTCTCCTGCCTCAGCCTCCCTAGTAGCTGGGATTACAGGCATGCGCCACCACGCCCGGCTAATTTTGTATTTTTAGTAGAGACAGGGTTTCACCATGTTGGTCAGGCTGGTCTCAAACTCCTGACTTTGGGTGATCCACCCACCTCTGCCTCTCAAAGTGCTGGGATTACAGGCGTGAGCCATCACGCCCAGCAAGAACAATTTTTCAAAAGGGAATTGGTTAAATTATCCTCTGTGTAGCTATTCTTCTGTATCTGTTCACACAGGTCCCTGAGCTGAGAGGGGGTAATTCCGTGGGTCTCTCAATGTCCCTATGCATGTCTCCATCTCTGCCAGCGGGTGATTCATTCTGTGTGCTTTTCCATGTCTCTGAGTATCTGCATCTGTGAGAGTCTGATTCTATGTGTGTCTCTATGTGTCTGCACACATCTGGGTCTCTAAGGGTAGAGGATTCTGTATGTATCCATGCCTTTCGCTGTAGAAGCATATGCATGGAGTGCACATGCTACGTGGTAGGTTCAGACTCTCCAAGTCTGGAAGAAACATTACAACAGGAAATGCTCTGGATTCCAGCTTCCGGATGGAATTTCACTCAGAAAAGTACCCCTTCCTGGTCCTCCCAATAAATGCAGCATTCTTTGTCTTTCAAGAGACTGAGTTGAGGGGATTTATGCTAACCTTGACCTCAGAGGCCACGTCTTTCAGGAGGATTTGGCAGACCCATGAAATTCCACACCCTGCCACTCACCTCTTGCCAGGCCTACTTCTTCCTCTTGAACCCTTTTATAGCTCCACATTATCTACCAAAACAATTCCAATCTAAATTGTCCAGAGCAGCCAGAGGAAAACACAAGGAGATGGGGACAAAGAAACAGCATAAGATTAAGTAAATAAATAAAGATATATAGAGGGACAGAAAGACAAACAGACCAAGAAATAGGGTTTGAAGGGTGAGAACAGACAGTAAAAAATGGAGATAAAGAAACAGAAGGAGGGCCAGGTGCGGTGGCTCATGCCTGTAATCCCAACATTTTAGGAAGCCAAGGTGGGCAGATCACTTGAACCCAGGAGTTCGAAACCAGCCTCAGCAACATGGCGAAACCCATTTCTACAAAATAAAAAAATTAGCCGGGCATGTTTGTGTGCACCTGTAGTCCCAGCTACTTAGGAGGCTGAGGCAGGAGGATCACTTGAGCCCAGGAGGTCCAGGCTGCAGTGAGCCACGACCACGCCACTGCACTCCAGCCTGAGTGACAAAGTTAGACCTTATGTCAAAAAAAAAAAAAATAGAAGGAGGCTGGGTGCTGTAGCTCACGCTTGTAATCCCAGCACTTTGGGAGGCTGAAGGCTGAGGTGGGAGGATCACTTGAGCCCAGGAGTTTGAGACGAAGCTGGGCAAAATAATGAGACCACATCTCTCAAAAAAAAATTTTAAAAATAAGCCAGGCACAGTGGCTCACGCCTGTAATCCCAACACTTTGGGAGGCCAAGGCGGAAAGATCACTTGATCCCAGGAGTTCAAGACCAGCCTGGGCAACATAGTGAGACTTTGTCTCTACAAAAATAAAGACAAAGTTAGCTGGGTGTGGTGGCACATGCCACGACAGCTACTTGTGAGGCTGATGTAGGAGGATCGCGTGAGCCTGGGAGGTTGAGGCTGCAGTCAGCCGAGATTGTGCCACTGCACTCCTACCTGGGCAGCAGAGTAAGACCCTGTCTCAAATATTTCTTTGTATAAATATGAAGAAACAGAAGGATGGAGACAGATATATGGAAAGATGAAGTGAGCAAAATGGAGAACAAGGGACTGGCTGAAATGAGGCAGGAATGTAGGGAGAGATATAAAGAGATGGGAACAGAGACAGACAGAGATTGGGGTCAGAGAAGCAGCTACATTAAAAATGAGGGAGAGATTAATGGGTACAAATATACTATTTGATAGAAGAAATAAGACCTAGTGTTCGATAGATCAGTAGGGTGACTATAGTTTACAGTAACCTATTACACATTTCAAAATAGCTAGAAGAGAATAATTCAAATGTTTCTAGCATAAAGACAAATATTTAAGGTGATGGATATCCCAATCACACTGATTGATTTTTACAAATTGTGTAAATGTATTAAAATATCATATGTGGATGGGCGCAGTGGCACATGCCTGTAATCCCACTACTTTGGAAGGCCGAGGCCAAGGTGGGTAGATTGCTTGAGTCCAGGAGTTGGAGTCCAGCCAGGGCAACATAGCAAGACCCCATCTCCACAATAAATAACAAAAAATTAGCCAGACGTGGTGCCCACCTATAGTCCCAGCTACTTGGTAGACTGAGGTGGGAGGAAGGCTTGAGCCTAGGAGGTAGAGGCTATAGGAGCCAAGATCACACCACTGCACTCCAGCCTAGGCAAAAGAGTGAGACCCTATCTGAAAAAATAATAAACATTGTTAAAAATCATATGTACCCCAGCCAGGCGTGGTGGCTCACACCTGTAATCCCACCACTTTGGGAGACCAAGGTGGATGGATCACCTGAGGTCAGGAGTTCGAGACCAGCCTGCTCAACATGGTGAAATACCATCTCTACTAAAAATACAAAAATCAGGCTGGGCACGGTGGCTCATGCCTGTAATCCCTGCACTTTGAGAGCCGAGGCAAGTGGATCACCAAGGTCAGGAGTTTGAGACCAGCCTGGCCAACATGGTGAAACCCCTTCTCTCCCAAAAATACAAAAATTAACTGGGCGTGGTGGCGGACGCCTGTAATCCCAGCTACTTGGGAGGCTGAGGCAGTAGAATTGCTTGAACCAGGGAGGCAGAAGTTTCAGTGAGCCAAGATCACGCCACTATACTCCAGCCTGGGTGATAGAGCAAGACTCAGTCTCAAAAAAAATAAAAATAATAAAAATAATAATTAAAAAAAACAGAATTAGCCAGGCATGGTGACGCACTTGTAATCCCAGCTTCTCTGGAGGCTGAGGCATGAGAATCACTTGAACCTGGGAGGCAGAGGTTGCAGTGAGTGGAGAACACAGCACTGCATTCCAGCCTGGGGGACAGAGTGAAACTCCATCTTAAAAAGAAAAATCAGGCCGGGCGTGGTGGCTCACACCTGTAATCCCAGCACTTTGGGAGGCCGAGGCAGGCGAATCACAAGGTCAGGGATCAAGACCATCCTGGCTAACACGGTGAAACCCTGTCTCTACTAAAAAATACAAAAAATTAGCCGGTCATGGTGGCGGCTGCCTGTAGTCCCAGCTACTTGGGAGGCTGAGGCAGGAGAATGGCATAAACCCGGGAGGTGGAGTTTGCAGTGAGCCGAGATCACGCCACTGCACTCCAGCCTGGGTGACAGAGCGAGACTCCGTCTCAAAAAAAAAAAAAAAAAATCATGTATCCCCAAAATATGTACATATATTATGCCTCAATTAAAAATTGTTTTAAAATAAAATTAATTAGGCTGGGTGCGGTGACTCACTCCCGTAATCCCAGCACTTTGGGAGGCCGAGGCGGGCAGATCGCCTGAGGTCGGGAGTTCAAGACCAGCCTGGCCAACATGGTGAAACCCCATCTCTACTAAAAATAAAAAAAATTAGCCTGGCATGGTGGTGCGCGTCTGTAATCCCAGCTACCTGGGAGGCTGAGGCAGGAGAATCACTTGAACCCAGGAGGCGGAGGTTGCAGTGAACCAAGCTCGCACCACTGCACTTCAGCCTGGGCAACAGAATGAGGCTCCCTCTAAATAAATAAATAAATAAATAAATAAAATTAATTATAAACAAAACAATTGTGGGCAGAGAGAAAAACAAAGCAATAGTAATAGCCAGGTAGTTGGAGGGGGAATGACTAGGATTAGATAAACAAAGATGGAAACAGAGATGGTGATGACAATGGGGAGGGAAATGTCAGTGATGTCAAAGTCTACATGTTTGAGTGTTCTGTCTGAAACATCTTCTAAGAGGTGTACATGTATTAACTCATTTAATCCTCACAATAACACTATGAAGCACAGGTACTATTATCAGCCCTATTTTACAGATGAGGACACTGAGGCACAGCAAGTCAATGGCACATCTAGGACTGGAATCCAAATAAATAGTCAAATACCAGAGACCATACTCTTGACTACTTTGTCAGTGACACAGGTAGAGACAAAAGGACGTGGAGCTGGGGACAAGATAGCAGATGAAGCACACCTAGCGACAGAGAGATGGGGACAAGAGTCAGACACATGAGGAAAACAGCCCAACAAGAGAGATGGTGACAGAGAAATAGAGGTAAAAATTGGATATAGAGTAATGAGAGAGAATCAGACAGGGAGAAGGAGGCAAGAAGACCAACATAGGAGTGTGTGTGAGAGAGGGAAAGACAGAAACAAGAATGTAAATGTTAAGAGGGAAAAAATGAAGACAGAGATACAGAGATAGGAACAGAAAGGTGAGAATAGAGAAAGACAGTGGTAGCGGGGAGCAGAGACAGATGAATGCAGCAATGCAGAGATGAGGACTGAGAGAGACAGCCAGAAATAGGATAAATTGGGACAGAGTGATGGAGACTTCTGGAAATACATAAAAGAGGCCAAGGAGCCAAGGGAAATTGAAAGGAAAACAGAAAAGACAGAAATTCTGGAACACATAGAAATTTAGAAACAGGCAGGGTGCGGTGCCTCACGCCCAGCACTTTTGGAGGCTGAGGCAGGCAGATCACTTGAGGTCAGGAGTTCGACACCAGCCTGGCCAACATGGTGAAACCTCGTCTCTACTAAAAATACAAAAATTAGCTGGGCGTGGTGGTGCATGCCTGTGATCCCAGCTACTCAGGAGACTGAGGCAGGAAAATCACTTGAACCTGGGAGGCGGAGGTTGCAGTGAGCTGAGATCACACCACGACACTCCAGCTTGGGTGACAGAGTGAGACTCCGTCTCAGAAAAAAAAAAAAAAAAAAACAGATGAGAGAGAACAATGTGGTCATATATATAAGGACAGAGACATGGACCAAGATGAGGATCATGAGTTAGACTCAGACAGGATGGAGACAGGGTAGCCAGCAACATAACTAATAGAATGAGAGAACAAGAGTGAGAGGGGAGAGAGTTTGAGAAAGAGAATAGGAGAGACAGGAAAAAGAAGCAGCCAGACAGTTGTAAACAGAGAGACAAGAAAAAGCAAAATAGAGACAGAGATAGGGGATGTCTGAGAGGTGGTGACAGTGATGGCTAATTGGGAGGAAGAGAGACAAAAACATGAAAGAGAAATAGTGGCCGGGCACCGTGGCTCATGCCTGTAATCCCAGCACTTTGGGAGGCTGAGGTGGGTGGATCACCGAGGTCAGGAGTTCGAGACCAGCTTGGCCAACATGGTGAAACCCCGTCTCTACTAAAAATACAAAAATTAGCCAGGTGTGGTGGCGGGCACCTGTAATCCCAGCTACTCGGGAGGCTGAGGCAGGAGAACTGCTTGAACCCAGGAGGCGGAGGTTGCAGTGAGCTGAGACTGTGCCATTGCATTCCAGCCTGGGTGACAGAGTGAGACTGTGTCTCAAAAAAAAAAAAAAAAAAAGGGAGAGAGAGAAATAGAGACAAAAGGATTAAATCTTTCTGATCCAACAATCATTCACAAGTCTCTTGGCTATATCAGGGTGAGCACTGGGCCATATGGGGCCCACTAGACTATGAGTTCAGGAAGGCAAGGCCCAGGCCTTTGTTATTCCTTACTGTATCCTACACTCATGATAGAGTGCCAGTCACATGGAGAGCTCCATTTATTAAACATTAGGCACCATGTCCTGTGCATGCCTTTTCGTGGATTATGTCATCAGAACCTCACAGGTCTGATGTAGTAGGTGTTATTATCATCCACAGTTTACACATGGGGAAACTGAGACTCCAAACAATGAATAACTTGCCCAACATCACACAGAGGAGCTAGGAGTGAATGAAGCTCCTGCCCGGACCAATGGTGAGAGTATATCATAAACCAAGGATTGGGATGAATCCTTTCCCATGCACTGAAGATACAAAAAGCCAAATTCCAGTCTGCTTGCTTCCAAGGACTACATGTTTGACTACAATGCCATACTGCTTCAATTGAAGGTTTGCTGACAGACTAATGGAAGACTGCGGTCTCTAGGGTAAGTGGGTCCTGACTCCTTGTACTCTGGAGCTCCCTCCTTCTAGTAGTTGAGGCAGACCTACCTAGCTTAGAGAGACTGGGAAAGCTCAGAGAGACTGGGGAAATGGCAGAAATAAAGCCCTGTGGGAAAAACTCAGCCTGGGAAAATCAGAGAAAGCTTCCTGGAGGAGGAGGTAATTTAAAGAGGCCAGAGGTAGATTTACATAGAAATCAATGAAGCTTAAGCTTCAGGGCTCCTCCTTTGCACAGGTCTCTTCCAAGGCCCTGTTTAATGAACAGTGAACAATCATAGTACTGAAGATTTGTCATTCTACAAAAAAATTAAAATGTCCTGAAATTTTACAGCTCATATATGAAAGAAACTAGACAAGGGTTTTCCCAAATTTGATAGCAGTCCTAAACATGTATAAAATATTATTATTATATGAAACTGAAACTTTGCTAAACTGTCAATAGTAAAAAACAAATTTCTATCAACCATGCTACTAAAAAAGACTAATTTTTTTTTTTTTTTGAGACTGGGTCTTGCTCTGTCACCCAGGCTGCAGTGCAGTGGCACAATCATGGCTCACTGCAGCCTCAACCTCCTGGACTCAAGGGATCCTCTTGCCTCAGCCTCCCAAGTAGCTGGAATTACAGGCAGGCACCACCATGCCTGGCTAATTTTTTAATTTTTTGTAGAGACAGGTCTCACTATGTTGCCTAGGTTGGTCTCCAACTCCTGGGCTCAGCCATTCTCCCACCTCAGCCTCCCAAAGTGCTGGGATTACAGGCCTTAGCCATCGCGCCTGGCCCTCTATTTTCTCTATCGCAAATGACCTTACTTCATGCATCAGTGAGAAAATAGAAGCCATCAAACATCAAGAATTTTTTACAGGGCCTTTATCTTCCCACCACTCAATCTGTAAAGTTACCTGTATTTGCATTTGTCTTTTTCTCATTCCTTCCTGTTACAATTAAGGGTCCAGGGACCCTCTGAGGCTCAGTACCCTAGATCCCAACCCCAACCTTTCCTTTCCCTTGTGTTAGTGCCTTTCTCTCTCTCTCTCTCTCTCTCTCTCTCTACTGGATCATTCCCAGAAGGAAACATAGTCCAGCATCTCTCATCTTAAAAAAAAAACATTATTTGACCCTCTTCCTATGATCATGCTATCTCCCTAGGATCTATTTCCCTTCACAGCCATGTTTCTCAAGGGAACTGCATACGCACATAACCCCACTTCACTGGGGTGGGAGGAAGTGTTCCTTCTAACCTCAGTGAGGATCCTATAACAATCCGGCCCTCTAGGCAATTAGTCTTATTTTTTTAATTAATTAATTTATTTGTTTTTCATGATATACATTATAAATTTTATAATATACATATCTGTACAGTTTGAATAAACAATTTAAAAAATCTGTGTCCCTATCACCTAGCTTCAATAAGAGATCATTTACTAATGACAAAACTCCTTGTACGACTCTCCCCAGTCATGTCTCCTTCACCTCTGTGACAGGTAACTGCCATCCTGAATTTTTGATTTTTCATTCCTTGCTTTTCTTGTTTTATAATATATGACTGCATCCACATACTGTTTAATTCTGCATGGTTTTCAGCTTTATATAAACATATTCTTCTGTGACTTTTTTGAATCAGTATTAGGTCTCCTGAGTCTCATCCATGTTGATACATGTAGCTACAGTTCATTCATTTTTAAAATTTCCTTATAGTATTCTGTTGTGTAAATATGTATGAGTGGGCCAGGTGCCGTGGCTCACACCTGTAATCCCAGCACTTTGAGAGGCAGAGGCGGGTGGATCACCTGAGGTCAGGAGTTCGAGACCAGCCTGACCAACATGTCAAAGTCCCGTCTCTACTAAAAATACAAAAAATTAGCCAGTTGTGGTGGCAGACACCTGTAATCCCAGCTACTCGGGAGGCTGAGGCAGAGAATTGCTTGAACAGGAGCGGAGGTTGCAGTGAGTCGAGATCGTGCCCTTGCACTCCAGCCTGGGCAACAAGAGTGAAACTCCATCTCAAAAAAAAAAAAGTATGAGTGTATTTATCCTATACTCTTGTTTCCAGTTTCTTGCTGTTACAAACAGACTTGTGAACATTCTTGTACATGACTCCCAATACACATACATGTGCAAGGGTTGCTTTAAGGAGCAGTTCTCAAACTTTTTGGTCTCAGGATCCCTTTATATTCTTAAAAAGCATTGCAGACCCCAAAGAGCTTTGATTTATGTGGTTTATATCAATTGATATTTGCCGTGTTTGAAATTAAAGCTGAAAAAGTTTAAATACATTAAAATAACAATAAGCCAATTACACTTAACAATATATTTTTATGAAAAATGACTATTTTTCAAAACAAGAATTTAGTGAGGAGTGGCATTGTTTTACATTTTTGTAAATCTCTTTACTGTATGGCTTAATAGAAGACAGCTGGATTCTCATATCTGCCTCTGCATTCAATCTGTTGTGATATCACATGTCATGTAGCCTCTGGAAAACTCCACTCTACATTCTTGAGAGAATGAGAGTAAAAAAGCAAGTAACATCTTACTATATTTTGGTTTTGGTTCTCCCCACTACCCCCATCCACAGGATCCCCAGATCACACTGTGAGAACTGCTGCTCTGGGGTATATACCTAGAATTGCCAGGTCACAGAGTATGTGCATCATTCAGCTTTACTAGAAAATGCCCAACTTTTTCTAGAATGGTTGTATCAATTTACACTCCCACCAATGGTATCCAGTGGTATCCATTCACTCTTCATCCATTCTGGTGTTCACCTCCACCACTCCTCCAAAACCACTACTATCAAGGTCATCAATGATATCAATGTTGCCATAGCCAATGGACCCTTTTAAATCCTTATCTTCTCAGCACTCTTGGAACATCCTTGACACACTCCTGGTTATGTCCCTGCCTCTTTTTTTTTTTTTTTTTTTTTTTTTTTGGGGATGGAGTCTCACTCTGTCGCCCAGGCTGAAGTGCAGTGGCATGATCTCGGCTCACTGCAAGCTCCGCCTCCCGGGTTCACACCATTCTCCTGCCTCAGCCTCCCGAGTAGCTGGAACTACAGGCGCCCACCACCACGCCCGGCTAATTTTTTGTATTTTTAGTAGAGACGGGGCTTCACCGTGTTAGCCAGGATGGTCTCAATCTCCTGACCTCGTGATCCGCCCGCCTCGGCCTCCCAAAGTGCTGGGATTACAGGCGTGAGCCACCGCGCCCGGAGCTCTTTACTTCTTTTTCAGTCTCTGCCAACTCCTGCTCCTTCACTCAACCTGTAAAGTTGAAGTTCCTCAAAGCTCAATCATGGATCCTCTTCCTTTCTCAGTCTTTACTGTTTCAGGGTGATTTTTTTCTACTCTTGACTTTTAATGCCATCTCTATGCTGACAACTCTAACTTATATCTGAAACAGACTTCTCCCCTGGGATGTATATACCACTATCTACTTGACTTCTCCACTTGGATATCTCAAGGGCATGTCCAGCTTAGCATATCCAAAACTGAACTCTTGATCTTCCCCTGAAAATCTGTTCCTCTTTCTGTCTTCCTCATCTCAGTGAGTGACTGGCCTACCATCACCAGATCCCTTGGAGTTCCCCCCTTGATTGGAATGGAATCCCTTGATTCCCCCCTCCCCCTCCTTCTCCCAAGCTTTCACACCAAGCCTTCTCAATTCTAAATATCTCTCAAATCAGTCTGCCTCTCTCCATCTCCACTGCCACCTCCTTAGTCAGCTCACCATCATCTCTGGCCGCAGTAGGTTCCTAATCTTGTCCACCTGCAATTCAATCTAGAGCAACCAAAGTCATCTTTGTAAAACGTTAAATATACCCTGTGAATCTCAAGCTTAAAACCTTTCAATGTGTATTTCAGCATTTTGGGGATGTGAGGTATCTGCAAAAGAGATACTATTTCCTCGGGATCCAGTTCACATACGATACAAACTGAAGCATTTCATGAAACATATTTACCCTTCCTACATGATCCTATGATACACTCTTTTTATTAATTAATTTATTTATTTGTTGTGTATGTGAGATGGAGTCTTGCTCTGTCGCCCAGGCTGGAGTGCAGTAGCACGATCTCGCCTCACTGCAACCTCCATCTCCCGGGTTCAAGCCATTCTCCTGCCTCAGCCACTCGAGTAGCTGGGATTACAGGCACGCTCCACCACACTCGGCTAATTTTTGTATTTTTAGTAGACGGGATTTCACCATATTGGTCAGGCTGGCCTCAAACTCCTGACCTCAGGTGATCCACCCACCTCGGCCTCCCAAAGTGCTGGGATTACAGGCGTGAGCCACCATGCCCAGCCCATTCTTATATTTTCTATTCTTAAATTGATTTCAGTACCTTCTCCAGTTTGACCCACATTTAAAAGCACTGCTTCAATACCTTTTCATTGCTTGTAGAATAAAACCCATTCTTCTTAACATGGCCTAAAAAGCCCTGCATAATCTAGCTCCTGCCTACCTTTTGAATCTCATATCCCACCCCTCTTGCCTTCCAAGCACTATGCTTTAGCCATATTAGCCTTCTATAGCTCCTAAATAGGCCATTTCTCTTTCTCCCCAGGGCCTTCCTACTTGCTGTATCCTTTGCCTGGAGCACTTTTGTGTCCACTCATCTGCCAACTCCCACTCCTTCAGGGCTCAGCTTAAATAGCAGCCCTTGCCTGACCCCTCAGGCTAAATCACACCCCCCCACACACACATACCCGTTATTCTCTTTCCTATCACCCTGTTCTGTCCCTTTATAACCTTATCACAATTTGTAATTATGTGTGTTTATGTGTTGTAATTATGTGTTTATTTCACATCCTCTCCAGTACCAGCCAATGAACTCTGAGGACAGTTTTTTCACCATTGTCTTGTTCATGTCTGTCTTATTCACTGCTGCATAGCTAGTGCATCACATGGTGCCTGGCCCATAGTTTGTGTTCAAAAGACATTCGTTGAATGAGCTGAGATCTGAAGAACAAATGAAGTGGAATTGGGGAGATGCAGAGAAAGTTTCACTCAGCGAGAACAGCATATGCAAAAACTTGGAGGCTAGAGAGACTAAGGAATAGTCTAAGAATTTCAGCACGGAAAGGCTGGCAGGGGCACAGATCATGAAGGGCCATTTAACCTTTCCTGTTAAGGAAGGTGGGTTTCATTTTGAGCCAGTAGAGACTCACTGAAGGGTCCTAAACATGGGAGTGATATAATTTGATTTAACTTTTATTTAATTATATATATATATATATATATTTTTTTTTTTTTTTTTTTTTTTGAGACGAGTCTCGCTCTGTCGCCCAGGCTGGAAGCAGCATGATCTTGGCTCACTGCAACCTCCGCCTCCCGGGTTCAAGCAATTCTCTGCCTCAGCCTCCCAAGTAGCTGGGATTACAGGCATCCGCCCCCATGCCCGGCTAATTTTTGTATTTTTGGTAGAGATGGGGTTTCACCATTTTGGCCAGGCTGATCTCGAACTCCTGACCTGAAGTGATCCACCCACCTCGGCTTACCAAAGTGCTGGTATTACAGGTGTGAGCCACCGCACCCGGCCTTATTTATGTTTTCAAAAGATATACACTGCCTATAGTGTAGAGAATAGATTCCAGAGAACAAGACTGAAATAGGGAGGCTGTGACAGTATTGCAGGTTAGAAATGGTTCTGGTCTAAACCAGGGTAGTGGCCCCAGAAATGTAGAGACTACATAAATAGATTTGGTAGGAGGTCAAAATGATGGGACTTGGTGACTGCATGGGTGATGGAGGAGAGAAAAGAATTAAGGGTGTAACCCGGGTTTCTGCTTTGACTGGGGTCATTCACTAAGGTAAGACACAAAGAAGGACAAACAGGTTGGAAGGAGGATGCCTTGAGTTGGGAAGAAGCTGAGGTTTTAGGTGTCTCTGGGATATTCAGGTAGAGCTGCCTAATAACCAGTTGAATGCATGGGTCAGGAGAAATATCTGGTTTTGAGGTATCAATTTGGGAGTCATCAGCAAAGATATGATCATTGAAGCCAGGGGAGCAAATGAGATAAAGAAAAGAGCGGCCTGTAATCCGAGGCTTCTCTTTCCTCAAGTGGATCACTTGAGGTCAGTAGTTGGAGACCTGCCTGGCCAATATGGCAAAACCCCGTCTCTACTAAAAATACAAAAATTATTCGGGCTTGGTGGTGCATGCCTGTAATGCCAGCTACTTGGGAGGCTGAGGCAGAAGAATAGCTTGAACCCGGTAGGCGGAAGTTGCAGTGAGCCTAGATCGCGCCACTGCACTCCAGCCTAGGCGACAGAGCAAGACTCTGTCTCAGAAAGAAAGAAAGAAAAAAAAATCACATGTAGAGAGAGGACAAGAGCGCTCAGGCCAAAGCCCTGAAGAGCACCAGCATAAAGCGTTGGACAAAGAGGAGCCTGGAAAGTAAAAAAAGAATTACTAAGGAAGTAGAAGAAAAACAAGGAAAGTGCAGTGTCATGGAAGTGGTTTAAGGAGGAGGGAGTGGTCAACAGTGCCAAATGCTATCAAGAAACCAAGTAGGATAACCTCTGAAAAGATTCTATGGGGGCTGGGCGCGGTGGCTGACGCCTGTAATCCCAGCACTTTGGGAGACAGAGGCCGGCGAATTACAAGGTTAGAAGTTCGAGACAAGCCTGGCCAGTATGGTGAAACCCCGTCTCTACTAAAAATACAAAAAAATAGCTGGGCGTAGCTACTCGGGAGGCTGAGGCAGAAGAATCGCTTGAACCCAGGAGGCGGAGATTGTAGTGAGCCGAGATCGTGCCGCTGCATTCCAGCCTGGGCGACAGAGTGAGACTCTTGTCTCAAAAAAAAAAAAAAAGAAAAGATTCTATGGGATTTAGTGAGATGTTTCATGGCAGACCCTGATGAGAGAGAGCAGTTTCAAGCAAGTAGTGGAGGCAGATTGGAGTGGGTTGAAAGATAAGTGGGAGGTGGGAAAATGAAGACAGTTGGGTGTAGGCAACTCTTTTGAGAAGTTTGTAGAAGAGAAGAGAAGGAGGTGGTTGGAGAGGCAGAATTCTTGGTAATTGTTTATTTGTTTTTAGATGGAAGAGGTCTATGTTTAGATGCTGTTGGGAAGGAGCAAGGACAAATTCCTAGGCTTCGTAGCAAAAAGTCAAGAGCTTCCTCTACGGTGGCTCTGTTTACTCTCTGCAGCAGGTCAGGTTATTTGCTGAGGGTTACAGGGCAGATGGAGCACTTGGGGTTTGAGGGGAAAGGAGAAGGTTTGAAATGGTCACTGTGGAGAACAGAGGGAGAGCTGACTAGTAGGGTTGTGGGTCAAAACTGAGGGCCTGGTAGAAGCTGGGAACCATGGGTTTATAGTGGCACAAATCTGTGAAGTTGAATAGTTTTCCCCAGCAATGTTTAGCTGCCTGGGCGCAGGCATGGAAAAGGCGGACAGTTGGACCGATTCAAGACTGGGATGTTGCCAGGCGGATGCGACAAATCAGGGAACTGAGGGTATTTAAGAAAGTGACTAAGTAAGGGACCAAGATATCTGGTCTGAGCAAAGTGAAGGAGAATCAGAGACAGGTCCTCTATGAGCCAAGCCCTAGGAACACTCAGGAACATGAAGAAAGGGTTTTGGAAAAGAGAGTGAACGGCAAGCAGAGGGGGGAAGACCTGAGATGGGATGGAAGGGCAGATATGGGGGGAGGGGGTTGAGCCCGGAGACTTGCCTGTGGGGAAAGCAGGCTGAGGGGGAATTTTTTAAGGGGCAGGAGGGCCTTGAGAGCGGTAGCAGCGAGAAGTGAGGCGGCCCCGAGCGAGGGGGCGTGGTCAGGCGCAAATCCCGGGCGAGGGGGCGGGGCCCCGGTAACTGGGTCCCAGTGCCGCTGTGGCTGCGGCTGCCTCTGCGAGGCTCCCGCCTCCCCACCCCCCTTCCCAGGGCTCCTTCCCGCCCGCCGCCGCCGAGACCCAGGCTGAAGCTGGGGAGGACGGTGGAGCCCGGCCCAGGCCGTTCTCCTGCCCCCGCGGCTGGAGCATCGTCTGGGACTACTGGCTGAAGGCGAGCCCCGCAGCCCAAGCGCAGCGCACACGCGCGCCCCCGGCCACCGCCGTTCTCTCTTCCCTCCCCTCCTCTCCCCTCCCCTCTCCTCCGCCCCCGGCCTCGGCTGCGGCGGGAGGAAGAACGCTTCCCAACCAGCCAGGAGAGCCCAGATCTATTCCCATTCGGGGAGAAAGAAGAGACCCCGCACTTGGATCCGACCGACTTCTCGCCCCGGGGCCACGGAAGTGGCTCGCCGTCCACCGGAGAGTCCCCGCCGAGCGTAGCCCTCCAACCCTCGCCCAACCGCAGCCGCATAGACAGCGCTCCCCAGCGGGCCCCCGGCCCCGCCGAGCCCACTCCCCGCGCGGGGCCGGGGCCGGGGCCGGCGATGCCTGGCACGGCAGCGGCGGTGGCCGCGGCTGCTGCTGCTGCTACTGCCACCGCTGCCACGGCTGCTGGCCCGGGCCCGGGCTGGGGGCTTGAGTCTCTGCAGTGGGGCTGAGCCCGCAGTCCCGCCCCCCGATCCTGAGGCCGCTGCTCCGCCGGGCGCCGGGCCTCCTCCGCCCGCGCCTCCGCCCCAGGAGCTGGAGCCAAGCGGGGAGCTCGGGCCCCGCGCCCAGGCCCGGACCATGCATGGCCACCGAGCCCCGGGGGGCGCCGGGCCTTCGGAGCCCGAACACCCGGCCACGAACCCGCCGGGCGCCGCTCCGCCGGCCTGTGCCGACTCGGACCCTGGAGCCTCGGAACCCGGACTGCTGGCGCGCAGGGGCTCAGGTTCGGCTCTTGGCGGCCCACTGGATCCCCAGTTTGTCGGACCCTCGGACACCAGCCTGGGCGCTGCTCCAGGCCACCGGGTCTTGCCCTGCGGTCCCAGTCCACAGCACCACCGGGCCCTGCGCTTCTCTTACCACCTGGAGGGCTCGCAGCCTCGGCCTGGTGAGTGAGCGACTGAGAGAGCATGGGAGCCCGGGCCACGGGCCTGGTACTGGGAGCGGGTTCTTGTTCTCGAGCCCTCTAAGCCCCACCTCGGAACAGGCTCGCTTACCTCGGCCCTTTGGGTTCCCTCAAACCCCTCCTCCTCCCCACGTCCCTTGGCCTTATGTCCAGTCCTTTCAACCTCTGTCCCCATCTCCTCTCTCTGTCCCTTGTGCCCCTCAACCTCTCCAACCCCCTTCTCCTCTGTCTGCTGAGGCTAATGGGAGAGGGAGCACTCGCGAGAAAAAGAGGGAGGATTGCAAGGCAGCAATCCTTGGATATTTGGTTGGGGAAACCAGGGTTTCGTTTGGAGAACAGAAGAAAAAAAGGAGCCTTACATTTGCCAAGCGCCTACATTGTACCAGGCACTGGACTGGGTGCTTTACATGGATTTTCATTTCAGCTTCAGGAACCCTCATGAAGTAGATACCATTAGTCCCATTTTGTAGGGAAGGAAACTGAAGCTCAGAGAAGTTAAGCAACTTGCCCAAGGTCACACAGCTAGTATGGAGCCACGATTCAAACCAGATCTGTTTGTGTCCAAAGTCTGTGGTCTTTCTGCTTCCCCAAACTGAGGCTGGAGACCATGAAAGTAATGCCAAGCCTTCTGCTTATGTGATTTTCTCCTGTACTATTCAGCAGCCCTGGAGTATGAGCGGAAAAAAAAAAAAAAAAAAAAAAAAAGAAAGACGGTGGATTGATCCAAGGTTGAGATTTTGCCAGGTGTGTGTGGCGGGAGAACAAGGGAAGGAAGGAGTAGAAGGTGCTGAGAGAGAAAGGTGGAAGAGGTGGGCCTTGGGAGTCAGGCTAGAGGAGAAGGCTGGAGGGGCTGATAGGTAGGGAGACAGCAGAAAAGCCAACAGAGGCAGAAGCCAGTTGTAGCAGGAGCTGGAGAGCTGCAGGTCCACGAGGTTGGTTGTGATGTGAAATCAGGATGGTTTCTTGGATTTGAAAAGGTGGAGCAGCTTTAAGTCAGGCTGAGGCCACAGACCACTGCCTTTGTGCTACACAGACCTGAGTGTCTGAGGAGCACAGCAGGACCTTCCCCATCTGGGGACATTCTCATACGGGCCTGAGCCCAGGAGCCACAGAAGAAGAGCAGCGCACATCTGCCCTGCCTTCCACTGGGACTGAAGGAGTTGTTAAGCCCTTGGGGGCTCCCGGGTTCACACCTCAGGCTCCACAGATCTCTGGGACCGTGGCCTTGCACCAGGTAGCAGTAGTGAAGTATAAAGCATGGGTAGGATGTGCCTTTTGGTGCCTTCATGACCTTGGGCTAGTCATGGAACCTCTGGGAGATTTCAGGGGGCTCCCTCAGTGTGGGCTGAAGATAACCAGCTGGCAACAGGCCCTTAACACCTTGGCCTGCATGTTACTTCTGCTGGCTTTCCAAACTCCCCTTGACACTGTGTAAAGCCAGTGCCTTTTTGCAGCTGCCAAAACAGGCCACAAGCACTCCCACCCCAGGACTTTTGCATTGGCTTTTCCTTCTGGCTGGAAGCTCTTCCCCTAGCCCTCCACCTGGCTTGCTCCTCGTCTTGCATGTCTCAGGTCAAATGTCACCTCTTCCAAGAGACTGTCCCTAACCACTTTAGGTAGGGCCACTTGTGAGTCTCCATCAGAGACTGTGAGTGTGCTTCCATCTTTGCACTTAGTACAATCTGAAATTATCTTATTGTATGTGTCTACTCGTTTATTGCCTATCTTCCTCTACTAGAATGTGAGCTCCATGGGGGCAAGGCGATTATATCTCTTTTGCTCACTGTTGTATCCCCAGCAACTAGCGCAGTGCCTAACACGCAGTAGGTGTTCAAGAAATCCTCATTAAATAAATGCCTAAACAGATACTAAAGAAGCACATAGTAGGCCCTCAGTAACTATTGCCTAAAAGAAGGACACCAAATTCCTGCCCTCTGGATACTCTTGATCTGAAAGTCAGTAGCTGGGCAATGTCTAGACCCCCAGTCTCTGGCCTCTGTAATCAATACAAGGTGATGATTCTGAGTATGCCTTCCCAATCCACCAATTCATTCAAATTACAAATCATAATACCCTTCCTAAACCACTCTCCTCCTCCCCAAAAAGGCAACACAGAGTTCCCAGGATCCTTTTCCCCAACGAAGTCCTTGCCTCTGTAATTGCATAGTGGGTGTCTTTTTTTTTTTTTTTTTTGATTCAAGATGGGGATTAGGAATAAGACAAGTGTCAGGGAAGGACCTGGCCTCCTATTCTAACTAATTCACTTTGTGACCCTGGGTGAGTGACTTTTCTTCTCTGAACCTCAGTTTCTTCATCTAGAGAATGCAATGAGGAGTCTATGAATTAATGGTTGTAAAGCCTGCAGCATGGTATAAATCCTCAGCAACCAGGAGTTTAAAAAAATAAAATTAAGTTAAAAAATAAGAGAAAAACCTTCTGAAGAAGAGGCGGAGGAATTACTCAGGCCCTGACTAGGCGGGCGCCGGGCCATGTGATTCACTGCAGCATGGGTTGTGAGAGGCCACCTCCCCCACTGCCCAGCCGGCCCAGGGGTAGGCACAAGTGACTTGGCTTCTCTCTCCATGGGACTCGCCTATAATTGGCCCTAAGAGGGCAGGGTTAGTGGTTGTAGGGTGTGTGTGTAAGAGAGAGACAGAGAGGGTTTCCTGAGCTTCAATTAAAGGGCTGAAACATGCTGGTCCACATGTTAAGATTTCTGTGTGCCTGCTGACTTCCTCCCTAACACTGCTGAGACCTTTATTGAATCACCATCTTTAGGGCTCAGTGGCTCATCCTGGGGGTGGGGGGAGGCTTTTAAAAATAATAATTGTATCTTAGCCATGTGAACAGCCTTGAATTGCTTCAAAGTGCTTTCTCTTTTAGTGATCCTGTCTGCTTCCTGGTGGGGAAAGGTACAGTTGTTATTATGCCCATTTTCCAGGTTGATTAAACCGAAGTCCTTGTTGGATCACTGGGAAAACCCAGTGAAATGCCAGAGAGGGGTTTGAGAGAGTCAGAAAGCGGTTTGCTTGCAGGGGTTTGCAGAGATGGTTGCTCTATTCCTCAGGGTTGAGGCCTAGAATGTCCTTTCAGATGCAGGGATTGTGGGGATATTGGTGTCTGACCCTAGCTAAGTCAAAGGAGTTGCACCTGATGTTAGAGCCGTTTTGTGGGTAATGGGGGAAACTGAGCCAGTTGAGGGGGGCAAGGGGAGGGGCTGACTCTTTCTCATTTGGATCCTGAGGCATCTTCAGAGTCTCCAAGAGTAAGAATTGGAGCTAGAAAAGACTCTAGATACTGCCTCGTTCTGAGTTTCCCTAACTGAGTGAGCATCAGAATCTCTTGTTGACCTTAAAAAAAAATGTGATTCCACACTCCACCTCAGAGTGCCAGAATCTTGGGGTTGACAACCAAGGAACCTATTTTCAAAAGCTCCTTAGGTGATTGTGATGCACAGCCTAGAGTGGGAACCACTAGTTAAGTCCGTTTTCCAGATGGGACAGTGAGGAAGGCTCAGAGAGGTAGTGATTTTTTTAGCCATCATCCTACAGTGAGTCAGCATCATTAGGGCCAGGAGAATACATCGGCCTCCCCATCTAAGGCCCTTTCCCCAGGGCCCCATGTGGGCTTCTGTCAACTCACTCCCAACCGCAAATGGAGGCATGGGATTAAACACAAAGGGAGAGTCAACCTCCTGCCCTCATACACACAAACACTGGCTGCCTCAGTTTACCCTTATTCTCAGCTCTCGTGAATGGCTACCATTTGGCAGTTCAAATTGGAAGGCAGTTGCCATTCTGGGACTCTAGGCAGAGGAAACCCTGGCATCATCAGTGCCCAGTGCAGGATCTGGCCCTAAGGAAGGGTTCTAGAGGGGTGTCAATAAAGGGTTGTAGAGCTAGAGAAGAACATGGAGGACAATTCAGGTAAGAGGTTCAGTGGAAGCAAAGGCAGCGAGACATGGGGCACTGGGGAATAGGGCTGGTATTGGGAGGAGTGGAGTGACAAGGCTGACAAGGAACTTTCTTCTGAGGGTGAAGAGAAACCATCGAAGGGTTTATTAACGAGAATGACATGCTCAGACGGGGTGTTTGGAAACTCTCCCTAGCTGCATGGGGAGAATGGATGGAAGGGGTGCAAGAGTGGAAGCAGGGAGACAGGCAGGTGAGTGTTGCAGTTTTCCCAGAGAGAGGTGATAGCTTGAGTTAGAGCGATGGGAGGTAAGGAGGGTAAGATCTGAGAGATATTTAGATGCTAGCATGGACAGGCCTTGGTAGTAGCTTGGATGTAGAGGCTGAGACAGAAGGCAAAGTCCAGATTGCTCCATGTTGTTTTCTGAAACCAACTACAGTGACCTGGTGGATGTTGGTGGGGCCATCTATATACAAGAGAGGGAGGAGGTTTGAGGGAAGATAGTGAATTATGTTTGAGACAAGTTGAATTCGAAACGCCTGGGGGTACATGCAGGTGAAGATGGCCAGCAGGCATTTGTGGGTTTGGTTCATTTTTGTTTTTTACTACCCAGGATGATCACTTTTAATATTTTGGTCTGTTTTCTGCTAGATCTTTTTCTACATATTGACGTATATTTTACATAATTGAAATCATACTATATGTTCAACTTTATATCATGCTTTTTCATTTAATATATGTATTTTTCCAATATCATTAAAAACTCTTCATGAACATTTTATTTTTTTTGAACAACATTTTAATGACTGCATAATAATATGCCATTGTATGGATTTACCATAATCTTTTTTTAAACTTTTATTTTAGGTTCAGGGGTACATGTGCAAGTTTGTTATATGGGTAAACTGCATGTCAGGGGGATTTGGTATACAGATTATTTCACCACCCAGGTAATAAGCATAGTACCCGATAGGTAGTTTTTCGATCCTTACCCTCCTCCCTCCCTCCACCCTCAAATAGGCTCCGGTGTCTGCTTTTTGTTTCTTTGTGTCCATATGTACTCAATGTTTAGCTCCCATTTATAAGTGAGAACATGCAGTATTTGGTTTTCTGTTCCTGCCTTAGTTTGCTAAGGATAATGGCCTCTAGCTCCATCCATGTTTCTGCAAAGGACGTGATCTCATTCTTTTTTATGGCTGCATAGTATTCCATGGTGTATACATAACACATTTTCTTTGTCCAGTCTACTATTGATGGGCATTTGGGTTAATTCCATGTCTTCGATATTGTGAATAGCACTGTGATGAACATACATATGCATGTGTCTTTATGGTAGAACGATTTATACTTCTTTGAGTGTATACCCAATAATGAGATTACTGAGTTGAATGGTAATTCTGCTTGAGTTATTTGAGAAATCACCAAACTGCTTTCCACAATGGCTGAACTAATTTATATTCCCACCAGTAGTGTATAAGCATTTCCTTTTCTCTGCAACCTGGCATGTTATTTTTTGACTTTTTAGTAATAGCCATTCCGACTGGTGTGAAATGGTATCTCATTGTGGTTTTGATTTGCATTTCTCTAATGATTAGTGATGTTGAGCATTTTTTCTTTTTTTTTTTCTCTGTCACCCAGGCTGGAGTGCAGTGGCTCTATCTCAGTTCACTGCAACCTCCGCCTCCCAGGTTGAAGCAATTCTCCCACCTCAGCCTCCCAAGTAGCTGAGATTACAGGTGCTTGGTGGCACCACACCCAGCTGATCTTTGTATTTTTAGTAGAGACGGGGTTTTGCCATGTTGGCCAGGCTGGTCTCGAACTCCTGACCTGAGGTGATCCAACCGCCTCGGCCTCCCAAAATGCTAGGATTATAGGCGTGAGCCACCACGCCTGGCTGATGTTGAGCATTTTTTTCATATGCTTATCGGCCACATGTATGTCTTCTTTTGAAAAGTGTCTGTTCAAGTCCTTTGCCCACTTTTTAATGGGGTTGTTTATTGCTTGTTGATTTAAGTTCCTTACAGATTCTGGATATTGGACCTTTGTCAGATTCATAGTTTGCAAATATTTTCTCCCATTCTGTAGGTTGTTTACTCTGTTGATAGTTTCTTTTGCTGTGCAGAAGTTCTTTCATTTAATTAGGTCCCATTTGTCAATTTTTGTTTTTGTTGTAATTGCTTTTAGTGCCTTCATTATGAAATCTTTGCCAGGTCCTATGTCCAAAATGGTATTTCCTAGGTTGTCTTCCAGGGTTTTTATAGTTTTGGGTTTTACATTTAAGTCTTTAATCCATCTTGAGTTGATTTTAGTATATGGTGTAAGGAAGGGGTCCAGTTTCAGTCTTCTGCATGTGGCTAGCCAGTTATCTCAGCACCATTTATTGACTAGGGAGTCCTTTCCCTATTGCTTCTTTTGTCAACTCTGTCAGAGGTTAGATGGTTGTAGGTGTGCGGCCTTATTTCTGGGCTCTCTATTCTGTTCCATTGGTCTGTGTATCTGTTTTTGTCCAGTACCATGCTGTTTTGGTTACTGTAGCCCTGTAAGTATAGTTTAAAGTCGGTAGTGTGATGCCTCTGGTTTTGTTTTTTGTTGTTGTTTTGTTGTTGTTGTTGAGATGGAGTCTCGCTCTGTCACCCAGGCTGGAGTGCAGTGGCGTGATCTTGGCTCACTGCAAGCTCCGCCTCCCGGGTTCAAGCAATTCTCCTGCCTCAGTCTCCCAAGTAGCTGGGACTACAGGCACCCGCCATCACGCCTGGCTAATTTTTTGTATTTTTAGTAGAGACGGGGTTTCACCGTGTTAGCCAGGGTGGTGTTGATCTCCTGACCTCGTGATCCACCCGCCTCGGCCTCCCAAAGTGCTGGGATTACAGGCGTGAGCCACCGCACCTGGCCTTTTTTTTTTTTTTTTTTTTTTTTTTTTTTTTTTGAGACTGAGTCTCGCTCTGTAGCCCAGGCTGAAGTGCAGTGGCATGATCTCGGCTCACTGCAACCTCCTCCTCCCGGGTCCTGGTTCAAGCAATTCTCCTGCCTCAGCCTCTCGAGTAGCTGGGATTACAGGCACACGCCACTGTGCCCAGCTAATTTTTGTATTTTTAGTAGAGATGGGGTTTCGCCACGTTGGCCAGGCTGGTCTTGAACTCCTGACCTCGTGATCTGCCCGCCTCGGCCTCCCAAAGTGCTAGGATTACAGGCGTGAGCCACCGTGGTTTGGTTTTTTTGTTTGTTTGTTTGTTTGGTTGGTTTTTTCAGACGGCGTGTCACTCTGTCGCCCAGGCTGGAGTGCAGTGGCATGATCTCGGCTCACTGCAACCTCTGCCTCCTGGGCTCAAGTGATTCTCCTGTCTCAGCCTCCTGAGTAGCTGGGATTACAGGCGCCCGCCACCATGCTTGGCTAATTTTTGTATTTTTAGTAGAGACATGGTTTCTCCATGTTGGCCAGACTGGTCTCGAACTCCTGACCTCAGGTGATCCGCCTGCCTCGGCCTCCCAAAGTGCTGGGATTATAAGCTTGAGCCACCATGCCCAGCTGGCTTTGTTCTTTTTACTTAGGATTGCCTTGGCTATTTGGACACTTTTGGTTCTATATTAATTTTTAAATAGTTTTTTAAAATTCTGTGAAGAATGTCATTGGTAGTTTGATAGGAATAGCATTGAATCTGTAAATTGCTTTGGGCAGTATGGCCATTTGAACAATATTGAGTCTTCCTATCCATGAGCATGGAATGTTTTCCCATTTGTTTGTGTCATCTCGCAAGCAGGCATTTGGACGTAAGATTGGAAAGTTCAGGAAAGAGGCCTGGGCCAGTGATGTTTGGGAGTTTTCACCACCAACACATACCATGTATAGATCTGGGAGCCAGTCCCATCCTTGAAGACAGACAGTAAGGTTGGCAGGGTCACACTCAGATGAATTATTCAGTACCTGCTGTAACTTTGCCATAGAAATGCCTTTTTTCAGGGGAAAGCAGTTTTTAAAGTATATTTTCATGAAGCTGAGACCCAGCCGTTTTTAAGGCATATTTGAGGGCTGGGCACGGTGGCTCACACCTGTAATCTCAGCTGCTCAGGACGCTGAGGCACGAGAATCACTTGACCCCGGGAGGCAGAGGTTGCAGTGAGCCAAAATTGCACCACTGCACTCCAGCCTGGGTGACAGAGCAAGACTGTGGTTTTGTTGTTGTTGTTGTTTTCTTTGTTTTTGCTTTTTGACGGAGTCTTGCTCTGTCGCCCAGGCTGGAGTGCAGTGGCAATCTCGGCTCACTGCAACCTCCACCTCCCAGGTCCCCGTTCAAGCAATTCTCCTGCCTCAGTCTTCCCAGTAGCTGGGATTACAGGCGCACACCACCATGCCCAGCTAATTTTTGTATTTTAAGTAGGGAAAGAGTTTCACCATGTTGGCCAGGCTGGTCTTGAACTCCTGACCTTGTGATCCGCCCGCCTTGGCCTCCCAAAGTGCTGAGATTACAAGCATGAGCCACCATGCCAGGCCAAGACTGTGTCTTAAAAAATAAAATCGACCGGGCACGGTGGCACACGCCAGTAATCCCAGCACTTTGGGAGGCCAAGGCGGGTGGATCACTTGAGGCCAGGAGTTTGAAACCAGCCTGGCTAACATGGCGTAATGTTGTCTCTACTAAAAATACAGAAATCAGCCAGGCGCAGTGGCTCATGCCTGTAATCCCAGCACTTTGGGAGGCCAAGGTGGGTGGATCACAAGGTCAAGAGATCGAGACCATCCTGGCCAACATGGTGAAAACCTGTCTCTACTAAAAATACAAAATTAGCTGGGCGTGGTGGCGCATGCCTGTAGTCCCAGCTACTCGGGAGGCTGAGGCAGGAGAATCACTTGAACCCGGGAGGTGGAGGTTGCTGTGAGCCAAGATCGTGCCACTGCACTCCAGCCTGGTGACAGAGCGAGACTCCGTCTCTAAGAAAAAAAAAATCATCCAGGTATGGTGGCACATGCCCATAATCCCAGCTACTCAGGAGGCTGAGGCAGGAGAATTGCTTGAACCCAGGAGGCAGAGGTTGCAGTGAGTCGAGATTGTGCCACTGCGCTCCAGCCTGGGTGACAGAGCGAGACTCTGTCTCAAAAAAATAAAATAAATAAAATAAAGCATATTTGCCGGGCACGGTGGCTCACGCCTGTAATCCCAGCACTTTGGGAGGCCGAGGTGGGTGGATCACAAGGTCAAGAGATTGAGACCATCCTGGCCAACATGGTGAAACCCTGTCTCTACTAAAAATACAAAAATTAGCCAGGCGTGGTGGCGCACGCCTGTAGTCCCAGCTACTCGGGAGACTGAGGCAGGAGAATTGCTTGAACCCAGGAGGTGGAAGTTGCAGTGAGCCGAGATCTTGCCACTGCACTCCAGTCTGGCAACAGAGCGAGACTCCATCTCAAAAAAAAAAAAAGCATATTTGAAGCCAGTCATGGTGCCTCACACCTGTAATCCTAGCACTTTCGGAGGCTGATAGGGGAGGATTGCTTAAGGGCAGGAGTTCATGACCAGCCTGGGCTACATAGTGAGACCCCGTCTCTACAAAAAATATTTTTAAATTAGCAGGGCATGGTGGTGTATGCCTGTAGTCACAGCTACTTGAGAGGCTGAGGTGGAAGGATCACTTGTGTCCAGGAGTTCGAGGCTGCAGTGAAGTATGATTGTGCCACTGCACTCCAGCCTGGGTGACAAAGTGAGACTCTGTCTCAAAAAATAATAAATAAATAAACATATTTGCATGAAGCTGAGACCCATTTCACGTACACCCAGGGTAGCTGGCTATTGCAAAGTATTGAGGGAGGAGTACTTCTGAAAAGCAAATCAAACATTGGTAAAGTAAATTTGTGTGGTTCCCAGTGTTCTCTCTGTTGAGGGCATCCTGAGAGGCCAGTGAGGGGGTTTGCTTACGGAAAGGAGAAGAGAGGGCTTGGGACAGGAGGGGATCGTGGGGTCTGCTGGGGAGTTTTGGAGAGAAGTAGTTTGAGATTCCAGGGGAGAGTCTGGGGAAAGAACCAAATTTGGTTCCTAGTCCACTAGGGCCTTCCAAACAAACACAACAAAATGTAAAGACTCTGGGTAGCTGGGAAAAGGACTTCCCCAGACAAGACTAAAAGAATAGAAGCTTCTAAATTGCAGATGGCTGGCAGTCCGCTCTTGGCCCTTTCAGGCCCCTCTGTCCCTGGGGGAGGGCCCAGGTGGGGCTGCCTGCTTCCTCAAGGGAGAGTGGAGTGGCAGCTAACAATGCCCCACACAAACCCAAGCCATGGCTTTCTGGGGGCCAGTTAGCTAAATGCCTTAGGCAGATGTGGAGCTGGCCAGACGCTGGCTGGGTGGGGCTAGGACCTGTCTGGAATGAGGGCAGGAAATGCAGTCTGCCATTGGCTAGCACCACAGAGTTCAGTTCCCTCATCTGGAGAGAGCAAACATCTTTGGAGCAATGAGTCCAGCCTCTCTGGGCTCTGGTGCCCAGTTCCTTGGACCTAGAAGGTGTGACACCTCCAAACGGTGTCTGAAAACACACACAGCTCCTGAGACAAGGCTGCAGGGCATAGCCGGGGGAGCCTCAGCACTCCTAGCTCTGCTATTGGTTCACTGTTCCTCCAGGCCTCCCTTCCCCTCTCAGGGTCTTAGTTTCCCTATTTGTAATACCACAAACCTGGTCATTGTGGCATCAATAAATAATACTTGGTGAGCAAATAGGGTACAGGGGAAGGGAGAGTGAAAGAGGGGAGCAAGGGGGGCATTTCTTTATTTAACATGTACCTGTTGAGTGCCTACTATGTGCTAGGCCCTGTGCTTAGGTGCCAGGTAGGCAACAAGACAGTCACTATCCCTGTCCTCGTGGAGCTGATATCTAGCAGGAAAGACACACTACAAGCAATTCCAAGTGCAGATGCTGCAAGAACACATGAGGGTGGGGGGAGTGGGCGGACAGGGCAAAGGAGATATTTGAGTTGAGACCTGAAGGATAAATAGGAGTCCAGAGGTAGGGAGAGGCAGACTAGCAGTTCGGGTCACGGGAACAACATGTGCCAAAGCCCTAGGCGGAAGAGAGCACTTTCGAGGAACAGACAAACGGCCATTGTGGCTGGATCGTGGGGCGGGGAAATGTTCCTGAGCTAGGCCTTCCTTGTCCCTGTGCTCAGGAGTTTCACCCCTGAAGGCAAAGGGAGCCCTTCACAAGGCTGAAGGGATTGCAGGGGACTGTGTTTTCCAAAAGCTGGCAGTGGTGTAGAGAATGCCTCGTAGAGGCCCGGAAGATGGGAGTGAAATCAGTTAGGGGGCTGGAGGGGGAATGAAGCATAGGGATTCTAGAGCAACTGACCATGGTGCATCTAAAGGACTTGGGGCCTGGCTGGACATGTGGGTTGAGGGAGAGGAATAAACCTAGGACTTGGGCTTGGGCAGCTGGGCGGATGGAGTTGTCCTTCCTGCGATGGGGAAGGCAGGAGGAGAAGCAGACCGGGGCTGGGGTAGGAGTGTCGTTCACGATGTGCTGAGGCTGAGGAGCCTGAAGACAGGACATCTAGGTGACAGCACCCAGTTGGCATCAGATATGCCTATCTGGGTCCCAGAGTAAGGGCAGGTGGGTGAGGGGCACAGGTATGTAGCTGAGACTAAGAGGGAAGAGCCCTCCTTGGCGCTTCCCCATGGCCCCTGCAGGGAAAGGGTTAAATCGCGGAGGGAAGGCGCCTGTGGAAAGCGGGAAAGGCGGGACTGGCAGGGCTGGCCTTTGGGAGCTGCAGCTGGCATAGAAGCCCTTCCGCCCGCCAGGGCCTGCTAGGCCTGGGCCGCCACCGCCCACACCACCGCCTTTGCCTTCGCCTTTGCCTTTGCCTTCCCTGCTCCCCCTCCAGCCCCTTCCCTGCTCCCCTAGGCTGGGGGACCCCCCTACCTAATGCATTCCAGGTGTAGACGCAGCCCCTCCCCCACCGCGCGGGTGTGGGAGGGGCAGGGAAGGCTGGGGTCACTTTCACCGCATCTCTTAGGGAGCATCTCCCAGGCTTGCTGACTGCTTCTCTCTCTCTGGAGAATTCCCTCAGGGATCTCTGTTTGGGCCTCCCTGACTCTGGCAGGGGCTGGCAGCAGAGAGAGCCCCCCAGACCCAGGTCCGCCACTTTCTAAAGTGTCACGTGACCTTGGGCAAGTCATCTCACCCCTCTGAGCCTCGGTTTTCTCATCTGGAAAATGGGGCTGTCATTCCCACCTTCTAGGGTTGTTGTAAGGATTCAATGCCACAGATCCATCCCCAGCCCTTGGCATGGCACATTGTCACCATGTTCAACAGATGGCCCTGGCCTGCCCTTTTTGTTCCTGCCCCTCTGCCTGGGTCTGTATCCCTCGCTGACTACCATGCCCTGTGTGGACCTTTCTGTCTCTGTCTCCCTTCTGACTTGTCCCTTCCTTTTGTCCATCTCCCTCTATGTCCATCTCTGGGTCTCTGTGGTTTTCCTGTCCTCTCCCTCCTTGTGTTTGTCCCAGTGTCTTTCTCTTATCATCTGTCTTTTCCCCTCATAATCCTTCTGTGTCTCCAACTCTCAGATTTGGCCAGGCCTCTGGTGAATGGGAAGGGAGATGGGTGGGTGTTGGGGTCCCTGGGGTTGAGGCAAGGGTCAGAGGGACCATCCCCCTAGCGGCTTTGCCTCACAGGAAGGGGAATCTCAGCCAGCGTGGCAGCCCCAGCATCTGGTAATTACTGCTCCCAGTGCTCCCAGCTGCAGTTCCACTCCCTTCCCTTCCTGTCCTCTGAAGTCCCCAGCTCCTCCCGGGGCGGGGGAGGGAGATGGGCGGGGGTGGAGCTACCGCCCCCTATCCTCTGGCCTCTAGTCCAGAGAAGCAGGGAGGAGGTGGCCAGGCCCTCACAGTAATCAAGGAACTGGAAGAGGGATGGGCTGCTTGTGCTCTCATGTGGCTGCTTGGTTTGTCTGTGTGTGTGTGTGTGTGTGTGTGTGTGTGTGCGCGCGTGTGCGCGCGCATGTGCCTGGCCTTCTTTGTCCCCGTGGATCTATTTTGTGTGTGTGTCTTAATGTTCTTGTTTCTGTATGGCCATCTGTATGTTTGCATATAGATCCATGTGTGTCTCTGGGTCTGTATGTGTTACGTGCTCCTCTGTGCCTGGTTGTATGTCACCTTGGCCCTAAGTATGTGGGAGTTTCTAGATGTTTCTGCGCATGGGTCTCCTTAGATCTTGTGGATGTGTCTGTCTGTTTCTATACCTGTGTCTGTTCCCGTGCCTGCGTCTGCCTCTGCATGCCCCCTATAGGTCTATGGTTGTGGTGTAGGGAAGGGGGTGTCTGCTTGCTTGTATCTTTTGGCCTTTCCTGATCCTTCTTCCTGCTGTGGAGCCTTCTTGCAAACCCATGACATTACGTACTTCAAATATATGCTTCACTCATACCTCCCCACCCAATATCCACACTTTTGCCCACTCTTCTTCCCTTGTCTGCAGAACCATTCTCAGTCCATCTATACCTAAAAAAAACACACCCCATCCTGGATGGTGCAACTAAAAACCACCTCCTTTAGGAAGTCTTCTCTCCTCCCCCCTCCAAATGTGATTTCTTTCCCAACTCAGCAGTCACTGAAGGTGTGCTCTGTGACTCTGGACACAGACACACCTGGGATCTGGTCCCAGCTCAACCACTTTTAGCTGTCCTCAGGCAAATTATTTTGCCTCTTTGTGCATCAGTTTCCTCATCTGTAAAATGGGTAATAGCTCACCGGATCATTAGGAGGATGCCATACGAGATAGCATCAACACAACACCTGGCCCAGAGTGGGTGTTCAGCAGTTGAATCCTCATATCTTATATCCTCTACTAAAAAGTGAACAGCTTGAGTTCCAGAGATTTCTGCATATTCTTACAATCTCCTGCTCTCTCTTCTTTAGGCATCCTGCACAGGGCAGAAGGTAAATCGGGTCACACAGAACAAAAGGCAGATTCCAATTCAGGGAACTTCTGACAAGTAATGCATGGGCCAGCTCCCTGAGCCTGCTCAGACACAGAGGAAACTGGGCCCTTCCAGGGAGTGGGAGATAGGACCTGCAAGGCTTCTACTCAAGGGCAAGAGCATGTGAGATAGGGCAAGGCATAAACAGCAGGAGTAGAATGAGCCTTCAGGATCATCTAACTCAGATAGTGCAACATGATGGCCCACAAGTTGAATTTGACTCACAAGTTTCATTTGGCTTGCCCACAGTTTTTAAAATTAAGGGACTTCACATGAAAAACCTGGATTTCCCGGCCGGGCACAGTGGCTCATGCCTGTAATCCCAGCATTTTGGGAGGCCGAGGCGGGTGAATCACCTGAGGTCAGGAGTTCAAGACCAGCCTGGCCAACGTGGTGAAACCTCGTTTCTACTAAAAATCCAAAAATTAGGCAGATGTAGTGGCGTGTGCCTGTAATCCCAGCTACTCGGGAGGCTGAGGCTGGAGAATCGCTTGAACTCGGGAGACAGAGGTAGCACTGAGCTGAGATTGCGCCACTGCACTCCAGCCTGGGCGACAGAGTAACACTCTGTCTAAAAAAAAAAAAAGAAGAAAAATCTGGATTTCTGGATTCCCTTGAAATATTGGAAGACCTGACAATACAGCGCCACATTACTGCAAGATGACACCTGGGTGGAGGGGAGAAGCTGCTGCTTCTACTTCAGGTTAGGCATGTGCTTTCCAGTTTAACCCAGTCCCCACCATTCCCCATGGCCTTAGACTGTCCCACTCTACAGAAAGTTCCTCACTTTATACTAGGGTCTGCACTTTACAGAAACATCCTTCTCTTTACAGAAGGGGCCTCACTTTACAAAAAGGAGTTCTCCTTTTTAACAGTCTTCTGTTTTGTCATGATCCTTAAGAGTCCTTTGGTTACAAACAGGCCATCCATTTTACAAAAGGGCCTTTAGAGAACTCTCCTCACTTTACAGCATGTCCCTCCACTTTGAAGAAGGCTCCTCTTTTTGGAAAAACTTCTTCCCTTTACAGAAGGGCCTTCTGTTTATCAAAGAGATCTCCATTTCACAGAAAGTGTCTCCGTTTTGAAGGATGGAACACTCTTCAGGAAACTCGAAAGAGTTAGGAAGCTCCTGACTTGCCAGAATGGCCCCCACTTCTTGAAAGTGTCTTCACACTATAGAAAGTGCCTCCATTTTTCTGCAGAGTCCTTATGTTGAGAAGAATAGTCGACTTCAGGGAAGGAACCCCTGAGCTACCCACAGGGTTCCTGTAAACAGCTCCTTCTGCACATTTCACACTTGACCGAGCTTTGTGTTTGAACTTTGAGAGACAACATCTGCCAGGTCAGGCAGCCTGGGTGCAGTCTGGCCTTGAAGGCGGAGTGGGGCAGCTGGCCTGCAGTTCACATTCAAGGGGCAGGTGGGAAGAGGTGGGGCAGTTATGGCTTTTTTTTTTTTTTTTTTTGTCAAGCGGAGGGATGCCCCTTCCCCTGACAGAACTGGCTTCCCAAAAGGCACTTTCCTTTCTGCTGTTCTTCTCCACTCCCTCTGCTCCCTTTCCCCACCCCACCCCCAGGAATTCCAGCTGTCCCAGGAGCCTACCTCTCTGCCCGGAAAGGAAAAGATTTGAGGGCTGTAGGGAGAAGTTTGCCTGGGCTGTCAGGAGACCTGCGTGCTAGGGGCTGGCTTCTGCTCACCCTAGGATCTCGCTGATTGCTCACAACAAGCAGAACACACGTTTTCTCCCCATTTTAGCATCTCTGCAGAGCTATCCTTCATAGCTGTGGGCCCCAAATGGGGAAATTGGGGCCCAGAGCTTTGAAGCCACTTGCCCCAGGACACCAGGGAGTTAATGGCCAAGGGCCAGTCTGGGGCCCTAGTAGCTGTCTTGAGATTAAGCCAAGGCTACAGCTGGGAGAAGTGAGAGGGGCTGCTACTAGCTGGGAGGGGGAAAACTTGGCAGCTGAGATTCCCAGGAAGGGTTGAGGGAGATGCAGGGTCCAGTTCCAGTGGGAATGGGCAAAAGGAGCCCTTGTCCTCAGACACAGCTAGATGCTGGACTTTCTCTGCCAGTAAACCCAGAAGCATGTGCTCAGGGCACCTGCCACGCAGGGGCATGCAGCAACCAGAAACAATTTTTGCAAGGATTTTCCTATTTCAATAATAATAAATTGTCATGGGAAAATTCAAACCTCAGCTACACTTCTTGACACTTATTTTACAGTTTTTTTCTGGTTTGTATTTTGAATTGAATTTGAATGGGGAGGACAGGGCACCATTGTCTTCACTGCCCTACCACCTCGCATAGGAATCCTGCCCTGATCTGCAGAGCTATCCTGGTGAGTGGGGCTAGGTTCTGTGTCTCTCACTGGCTGAGTTTGCTTGTGTTTCTCAGTGTATATACAGTTTTACGTTGGGTTGCAGCCTACAGCCCGTGGGCTTATGTATTTATGTGTGTAGTTTTGTGGCTTTGTGGATGTGTGATTCTGTTGGTTTTCAAATTTAACCCATATCACTCTGTGTGTGTGGTGGGGTGGGGGTGGGTCACTGTGCTCTTTCCCTTCCTTGTCCCATAGGCTCCCCCAAACCAAGGAACTGCTATTATTGTCCTTCTTTCCAGATAAAGAAACTGAGGCTCAGGTAGATGGGGAGACTTGCCCAGGGCCACACAGCTAGTAAAAGGTAGTGTTGTGATCTAAACTGAGGTCTGTGCAAGTCCTAAGCCAGCTGTTCCTAATACAGGTGCTGCAGCAGTTCAATCCGTGCAGTTCAGTCAGTGATCATGATGACACCACCCTTGTTGGGAATAGTCAAGTATCATAGTTTTATAAATTAGTGACTTAAGAAAAAAAAAAAGACCAGATTCAAGGCCATCCCTGAAATAATGGCACTGTCGTGAGCATTCAGATGCCCATGGCAGAAAAAATTGGGTAGAGTCCCTAGCCTGCTTGAGGCTTAAGTGGACAAGAGTCTGGGGGAACTCTGGCTACCAGGTGCTGTCTTGAAGGCCCGGCTCTGCCACATTCATTTGGAAGCTTTCCCTGACTAGCGTTGCCAGAATTAGCCTTCAGAAAGTATTTAATACAATTAGATTTGAATTTCAGATATACAATAAGTCATTTTGTTTTTAGACGGGGTATCACTCTGTCGCCCAGGCTGGGGTGCAGTGGCATGATTTCGGCCCACTGCAGCCTCCGCCTCCCGGGTTCAAGCCATTCTCCTGCCTCAGCCTCCCGAGTAGCTGAGATTACAGGCGCCTGCCACCATGCCCAGCTAATTTTTGTATTTTTAGTAGAGACGGTGTTTCGCCATGTTGGTCAGGCTGGTCTCGAACTCCTGACCTCATGATCTACCCACCTCGGCCTCCTAAAGTGCTGGGATTACAGGCATGAGCCACTGCGCCTGGCCCAACAAGTCATTTTTTAAGTATAGCTTAAGAAATTGTTAGTATAAGTATTCATGAGACATATTATACTAAAACATTCCTTGTTTATCTAAAATTCAAATTTAACTGAGTGGCCGGGCATGGTGGCTTACGCCTGTAATCACAGCACCTTGGGAGGCTGAGGCAGGTGGATCACCTGAGGTCGGGAGATCGAGACCAGCCTGGCTAACATGGTGAAACCCCATCTCTACAAAAATACAAAAATTAGCTGGGCTTGGTGGCAGGCACCTGTAATCTCAGCTATTCGGGAAGCTGAGGCAGGAGAATTGCTTGAACCCAGGAGTCGGAGGTTGCAGTGAGCTGAGATCGCACCATTGTACTCCAGCCTAGGTAACAAGAGCGAAAGTCCATCTCAAAAAAAAAAAAATTAACTGAGTGTCCTGTATTTTATCTGGCCACCCTATCCATTCTCCTCCACTGAGCTTCCCCAGTCCCCACAGGCTCGCCCTCGTTGCCTTTCCTGAGTTAGAGTCTTTGTCTTTGAGATTGGGAGCTCCCTGAGGGTAAGGGTCAAGATTGCCCTTCTGGCCTGCTGAATGCCTGGGGGGGCAGGGGTTTGAGAGTGGGGCAGGAAGGGTGCATACCCCACCCCCATCCCCACAGCAGAGCTGGCACAGTGCACTGGCACTCCTGGGGTGCCTAGAGTATGCTTTCCTAGGTGACAAGAGATGTCCGAGTGGCAGTGGTGGTTGTGTGTGTGCAGTTGTGCCGAGCACGGTGCACACAGACATGAGTAGCTCTGTGGTTCTCTCTCTGGGTCTTTGAGGGATGTGCACAGTTGGTGTGTGGCTGGGTACATTTCCACAAAGTGTTATCAGATTTGGTGGTGGCTGGGTGTGGTGGTACACACCTGTAGTCCCAGCTACTTGGGAGGCTGAGACAGGAGGATTGCTTGAGCCCAGGAATTCGACACCAGCCTGGGCAAAATAGTAAGGCCTCACCTCAAAAATAAAAAATAAGAAAGATTTGGTGGTGTGACCAAATGTGTGTGACGGGGGCTTTTTGGTGATCTCTGCTCTACTGGGCATTGGGGAATTATAAATCCGTTGATGGAAGGGGCAGTGCTGGTGGAGGATCTTGTCAGGTGTGGAGGTGTGGGTGTGGGTGTGATAATGTTGTGGATTATCAACCACAAGAAAAATGGGCTGGAATTGGGCACACTGGCTCATGCCTGTAATCTCAGCACTTTTGGAGGCAGAGGCAGGAGGATCTCTTGAAGCCAGGAGTTTGACACCAGCCTGGGCAACAAAGAAGGACCCCATCTCTACAAAAAAAATTAAAAATAGCCAGCCATGGTAGTGAGTACCTGTAGTCCCAGCTACTTGGGAGGCTGAGATGGGAGGATCACTTGAGCCCAGGAATTTGAGGTTACAGTGACCTGATCACACTACTGTACTTAACCCTAAGCAACAGAGCAATACCCTGTCTTAAAAAAAAAAAAAAGGGCTGGAGAAAATGAATCCAGGACCTTGCTGGGTAGGGACGGGATGGGGCAGTGGGAATGGCTGTGGTTTCTAGGAAGGAGGAGGGGGGCCTACCCTGGGAGCTCCCCAAGGGCAGGGATGGGATTTTCTCATCTCCAAGCACAGGGTCTACTAGGTTCAAAAATATTCTGGAGACCAAACTCAGCCAAGGAAAGCCATAGAGTTCAGCATGGTCATGAGGGGCCACTGAGAGCTAGCTGAGAAGTTTCTTTTTTTGGTGTTTTTGTTTGTTTGTTTGTTTGTTTGTTTTTGAGACAGAGTTTCGCTCTTGTTGCCCAGGCTGGAGTGCAATGGTGCGATCTCAGCTTACCACAACCTCCGTCTCCTGGGTTCAAGCGATTCTCCTGCCTCAGCCTCCCGGTAGCTGGTATTACAGGCATGCGCCACCACGCCCAGCTAATTTTGTATTTTTAGTAGAGATCGGGTTTCTCCATGTTGGTCAGGCTGGTCTCGAACTCCCAACCTCAGGTGATCCACCCACCTCAGCCTCCCAAAGTATTGGAATAAAGGCGTGAGCCACCGCGCCCGGCCTAGCTGAGAAGTTTCTATTTTCCCATGGACAGTAGGGAGTTACAGAAGGTTCTTGTGCAGGTAAGTGGCATGATCTGAGCTGGACTGTACGTAAGTTCATTCAGCCACCTGGAGGGAGCAAGACTTGGAGCCAAGGAGGCCACTGAGGGAAAATAGGAGACAGGGAAATGTAGGCAGAGAGACAAGGGAGAGGGAGTTCTGAAACGAGAGGGAGGGATCTTGAACCTTCTCCCGCTCAGTGAAACCTAGCCTGGTTCTTGGCCAGGCCTAGGCTCCTAAACTGGACCCCTGTTCAACTCCCTGTGGACAGGGTTGAGGGGTGTCCCTCTGACTAGCTACACTGCAGTTTGTGACTTTCGGAAGCCGTTGGGTCCACCCGCCCCTCCTGGTTCCCCTCTTTTCCAGCTTGCCCTTGGAGAGCAGGGTTAATAAGAAAGGAATCCAGTCCATGACCAGTCTGCCCAAAAGTGTGCCATTCATTGATTTGCTCTGTGACCTTGGGCAAGTCACTGCCTCTCTCTCTGACTCCATCTCCTCACTAGAAACTGGGCTGACAATCTCTTTTCCTCTCACCTGGGACTCCAGGGAATCTTTGCATTTCATTCAGCCTCCTCTTCCTGCAGGGCTGCCTGCAAGGAGGCAGAGAGAATGGAGAGGCAGGTCTGTCTGTGGGCTGTCAGGTGAGATGGGTGAGGAGGGAGCAATGGGTGGGCTAGGGCAGGGCCATGGAAAGTGGGATGTATGGTCACTCCATCCCGAGGACCAGCACTGGAGGAGAAGGAGAGCAGCATTATCCAGGGACCCTGCTGCTTTGCTACAGATAGGGTAGGGAGGGCTTGCCCAGAGAGGCCTGCCTGCTTTGAGGTGTGGAGATAGGTGGGCTCCTCCAGGCCCAAGGAGGCAGACAAGGGGCACCAGGGACCCTGGCACCTATGTGTGTATATCTGAGGAGGGGTCTCTGCATGGCAGGGTGCCTGGCTTTACTCACTGCCTCTCTGGCCCTGTCAGCTCCTCTCTGTCTCTCTCCCTTGCTCTGGCCATGTGTCTCTCCAACCACATCTCCGCCTGTGCCACCCTCCAGGTGATTCATCTTCCTCACCCCCACGCCCAGGGGGAGGGCAGGGCAAGACCAGGCCAGGATGTGCTGAGCAGGGCAGGGTAAGCGGCACAGCTGAGTGGAGAGGAGCGCCTCCTCCATCCTGGCCAGGCCCTGCCAGCTTAGGTGGGGAAGGAAGTGAGGAACGACACCCAAAGCAAGGTACAGAGTTGGGGAGGGGCGCTCGGCCTGGGGCCTGGGGCACCCTGTTCCCTCAGTGCTGGGAAAGGACCCTGATCTGAGTCCCCTGGGGTGGACCTGGCTGGGATGTAGCCAGGGGTGAGGTCAGGGGCCTAGGGAAGCTGCTGGAACCCTGTGGGTTGGGCTATTTCTTCCCTCCGGGACTGGGAGACCTAAAATCCCCTGTGACTCTTTCTGCCTGTGTGACCCTGGAAGGGAGGCTGCAGAGGTCTTTGTGTGTGTATGTTTTCACAGCAGAGTTTGTATGTGACTATTTAGGAGGAGGCAAGTGTCCCACAGTGTGTGTATTCCTGGGCCTATGGCTAAGACCCAGGGACACCGTGGATGTGTTTGTTAGATGAGTATGACATAGTAAATGACAGTTGTCCCTTGGTCTCCATGGGGAATTGGTTCCAGGACAGCCTGAAGATACCAAAGTCGCCAACACTCAAGTCCCTTATATAAAATGGCATGTTGTTTGCATATAAACTATGTGTATCTTCCTGTATATATATATATATTTTTTTTTTGAGATGGAGTCTCTGTCGCCCAGGCTGGAGTGCAGTGGCATGATCTTGGCTCACCGCAACCTCCACCTCCCTGGTTCTAGCGATTCTCCTGCCTCAGCCTCCCGAGTAGCTGGGATTACAGGCATCCACCACCACACCCAGCTAATTTTTGTATTTTTGTAGAGACAGAGTTTTGCCATGTTGGTCAGGCTGGTCTCGAACTACTGACCTCAAGTGAACCGCCCGCCTTGGCCTCCCAAAGTGCTGGGATCACAGGCGTCAGCCACCGCACCTGACCCTTCCTGTATACTTTAAATCATCGCCAGATTACTTATAATACCTAATACAATGTAAATGCTATGTAAATAGTTGTTATACTGTACTGGGTTTTATTTATATAATTTTTATTGTTGTATTGTTATTTTTTGTCTTTTTTTCCAAACATTTCGATCAATCAGCCTCCATGCAGAGGCCGAGGATGCAAAACCCATGAATGTGGAGGGCCACCTGTATGCCACATGTCTGTGATTGTGAGTTCGTGTTTCTGAGTGTGTGGTATCATGTGACTTTATGCTGTTTTGCCACTGTATGTGATTGTGTCTGACATGGTATAATTGACTCTGTGCCTATAGTCTTTGTGTGTAACCATGTTTGCAGGTGTGACATGGTGTGTATGACACTCCATGGCCCTGCAATTGTGAGACATAGTGTAAATGACAATGTATATCTTTTGTGACTCAGTGAAACCATGTTTGAAGAATGTCTAACTGGGTATATGATTGTCTGTGGTTGGGCGGTTGTATGAAGCTGTGTGTGAGATGGCAGAATTGCCATTGTGTGACTCTGTGTCTTTGTGACTGCATGACCATGTTTGCAGGTGTGTGTGATACTGCGAGGCTGTGTGATCGTGTGTGAGGTTGTGGCCGCAGGTCTTTGTGACTGTGTGTAACTAGGCTTTCAGGAGGGCGATTACCTGCAGTTGGGTGAAATGGTGTAAATAACACCAAGTGTTTCTATGACTGAGTGGGCCCATTTGTGACTAGTCATTTATGAGACTGTGTGTGATATAAGCTAACAGACCCTTTGTGGCTGTGAGTGGGAGGCCATGTGGTTGTGGCACAGCATAACTTACACCATGTGATGGTGGTACCTCCGGGAGCTCTTGACTACTGCTCACTCTCTTGTCCTCACACCTGTTTGCCTCCATCTCTCCCTATGCAAGGGGTTTTTGTGGCTCCCTTCTGCTACAGGATGAATGTCAGCCTAGCATCCAAGGCCTTTCCCACTCCTCTCTGGCCCCACCTGACTTCTCTATCATTTGAGGCACTCCCACAGCCCCCTGCCCAGCCAGGACCACATGAGCCCCACATTCCTTTCCTTGGGGCATGCCATCCCTGGGGTGGGGGTCCCTCACTGCCTCCCAGACCAAATCCTCTCTCCTAAGCATGACCATCATCTCCTCTAGAGCCAAAGATAGAGGTGGCTTTAGGGGACATACAGTGAGGGAAGAGGGACAGTATAAAAAGGCCTCCCCTTTTTCTGAACTGGCTGCTTGATTTAAAGTTATTCCTGTGACCTGAACTCTGGATGTTGCACGTGTGTGTGTGGCAGAGGTGGAAGATGCATGTGGGTCTGTGTAGATGTGGAAGTTGAGGAAGGTAGTACAGATTGCTGAGAAGTTGGGATTTTCTTTTTCATTTTTCTTCTTTTTTTTTTTTTTCTTGAGACAGCGTCTTGCTCTTTTGTCCAGGCTGGAGTGCAGTGGGGTGATCTCAGCTCCCTGCAACCTCCACCTCCCAGGCTCAAGTGATCCTCCCACCTCAGCCTCCCAAGTATCTGGGAATACAGGTGCACACCACACTGCCCAGCTAACTTTTATATTTTTTGTAGAGACAGGGTCTCACTTTGTTGCCCAAACTCATCTCAAATTCCTGAGCTCAAGCAATCCTCCCTTCTCAGCTTCCCAAAATGCTGGGATTACAGGCATGAGCCACTGTGCCCAGCCAGAAGTTGGGATTTCAAGAAGCAAAACTTGCTCATGAAACACAATTTCATCATTTTTAAGCACACTTAGCTGCACAAAATTGTAAACAAGAAAGTCTAGATATTCTCAGGGCCTTAACAAAAGCGTTGAAGAATGGTTTATACTCAGCATACCTATGTGGCTGTAGAAACAAGGGCTGCAAACGCATGTATAAACTTTAGGGTGCTCACAGCCACCCCCAGCCTGGTTAAACTCCCTAGTGATACTGCCTGCTGACATACATGGAATCAATGCACTAGTCACAAAGAATTCTTATCTATTGATGAAAACAGCCAGCCCCAGCCCTGGGTCTGGCTCTCCATCTGAGGGCTAGGATAGGGGCTTCCCAGAAAAACACTGTGGCCAGGAAAGGGGCTCAGAGAAACCCAATACCCCAGATAGCTGCTAAGACATGCCAGTCCTAACTTTAACCCCAGTCCCCTTTGGGTTAAAGTCAGTTACTTCACACCCATTTTCTCCCTTCCTGCAGGGCTGCACCAGGGAAACCGGATCCTGGTTAAAAGTTTGTCCCTTGACCCTGGCCAAAGCCTAGAGCCTCATCCAGAAGGTCCCCAGCGGCTTCGCTCAGACCCAGGTCCCCCGACTGAAACCCCTAGCCAGCGTCCTTCACCACTGAAGCGGGCACCGGGCCCGAAGCCACAGGGTAAGTGGTCCTGGAAAAGAGCAGAGAAGTGGCCCAGGGGAGGGTACAGAGGAGGGGAGAAGTTAGCCAGTGGCAGAGAAGAGGGTTTGTTAGAAGGATAGGGAGCCACCATGCTCCCAGGGCAGTGCTACCTACCTAGTGCACAGAGTGCTGTGGCCTGAGGCTAATGTGTGCATACTGTGATCTCACCTTAGCCCCTTTGTGTCTACCTCAGGCAAAGGTGCAGATTGGTGTTTGTGGAAGGGGTTGTGGCCTGGCCATGACAGCCAGCCACCTCCAAATCCAGCTTTTTTTTTTTTTTTTTTTGAGACAGAATCTCACTCTGTCACCAGGCTGGAGTGCAGTGACATGATCTTGGCTCACTGCAACCTCCGCCTCCTGAGTTCAAGCAATTATCCTGCCTCAGCCTCCCAAGTAGCTGGGACTACAGGCACGTGCCACCATGCCCAGCTAATTTTTGTATTTTTAGTAGAGATGGGGTTTCACCATGTTAGCCAGGCTCAAATCCAGCTCACTGATGTCTCCCTTCTCTCTTCCCCATTCGTCTCTCCAGTGCCCCCAAAGCCCAGCTACCTGCAGATGCCCCGGATGCCCCCCCCACTGGAGCCCATCCCCCCTCCACCATCACGCCCACTGCCTGCCGACCCCCGAGTGGCCAAGGGCCTGGCTCCCAGGGCAGAGGCCAGCCCCAGTTCTGCAGCAGTATCCTCACTGATTGAGAAGTTTGAAAGGTGAGTCTGGTCCCTAGGGCACCCTCTAGGGGAAAGGGGGAGCCTGGGACAGGAAGGGATAGTCAGGAGAGGCCTCTCAGTCAAGCTCATACCCTGCTTCCATGTGTGTCCACCACCCACCTCAGAGAGCCTGTGATTGTCGCCTCGGATAGACCAGTCCCTGGCCCCAGCCCAGGTCCCCCAGAGCCAGTCATGTTGCCACAGCCAACCTCGCAGCCACCAGTGCCCCAGCTCCCCGAGGGTGAGGCCTCCCGCTGCCTGTTTCTGCTGGCTCCTGGGCCCCGGGACGGTGAGAAGGTGCCCAACCGGGACAGCGGCATTGATAGCATCAGCTCGCCATCCAACAGCGAGGAGACCTGCTTCGTCAGTGATGACGGGCCCCCCAGCCACAGCCTCTGCCCTGGGCCCCCTGCCCTGGCTAGTGTGCCTGTTGCCTTGGCCGACCCCCACCGGCCTGGCTCCCAAGAGGTTGACAGTGACCTGGAGGAGGAGGACGACGAGGAGGAGGAGGAAGAGAAGGACAGAGAAATCCCAGTGCCCCTGATGGAGAGACAGGAGTCTGTGGAGGTACTGACCTGTGTTCACCGAGAGGCAGGTCCATGTGGAGAACCTGGAAGCGCCTTTTGTGCTTGATTCTTCCCCTAGCTCAGTATTTCTCGAAATAGGACCTTGTTTCCAAGCTCTGTGACACTGGGCAAGTCTTTTCCCTTTCTGCTTCCCTACCATAAGCCTCAGTTTCCTTATTTGTAATACGGAAAGTCTCTTACTTACATCCATAGAGACTTCTCAACAGCTGGAGGAGGGGCGCAAGAGCTAGAGCCCTGCAGGGGCCCGAGGCTGTGCAGATGAAGGCTCTTGGCAGCAGAGACCCCTTTCTGTGCCCGGGCAGCCTAACATTTCTTCAGAAGGCACCATCGCACTTGAGTTAGATCTCAGCCGGAATACTTGCTCTGCTAGGACCAAGCTCAAGTGTAGGGGCCAAAGCCAGGGACTGCCGGCATGGCAGGTAGTCAACACATATATCTAAGGAATAGGAAACTAGGCCAACAGGCAATGAGTTTTATACGTTCTTATACTTTTGTGCTTTTCTCACACCCCAGGTACTCAGCAAGCCCTTGCTGATAGTGTACTGAGTGGGTGAATAAATGATTAATTAACATTTATATACCATTTAATCTGTAGTCTGATGTGTTTTATTTATATTAAATTATCTAATTGTCTCCATTACCAATGGACTTCAGTCCTATTATTATTTTGTTTTGGTTTTGTTTTTGTTTCTCACCAGCCTCTACATTAAATAGATTCTATTATTATCTGTATTTATGGATGAGGCGTCCTAAATACAGAGCTGTTAAAGAACTTACACAAGCTAGTGAATGGCAGAGCTTAGGATTTGAACCCAGGAAGTCTGACTTACCATCCCACATGCTTAACCACTACACTCTGCTGAGTGAATAGAGAGAGCGGGTGAATGAGTTGTTGAGTGAGGGAGTGCACGTCATCAGAATGGAGGGGTAGGCTTTATGGTAGACTGGGGACTCAGGGATGAAGCTGAAGGACTTACAGATCTAGAGATGGGGGTCAAGGTTATCCTAGGGTGGTATTAGGCTTAGAGTGGCATGGGAACTGTTTTAAGAATTCTGGGGGCTTGGGTGAGGGTTACGATAGAGGATGATGGATCAGGGGTTACTGTTTCTCCTTTCCAGTTGACTGTGCAGCAAAAGGTGTTTCACATTGCCAATGAGCTCCTGCAAACTGAGAAGGCCTACGTTTCCAGGCTCCATCTCCTGGATCAGGTGAGTGGCCCCTTGGGGGTACGAGGGCCCCAGGACCTTGTAGGTGCGTTTCAAGGAGGCAGTGATAGGGCCTGAGTTCAATCCCACCATTGTGGCCAGAATTTAGAGGCAGTAAGGCTCCTCTCTGACCTTGAAGTCAGCTTGTCCCTGAAGCCATCTCTGATTATGCCCCAAGCTTGATCAGTGAGGGCTGATACCAACCCTCACTCCTAACGCTGGGCAGGTACACCAGCCCTGACTGCGACTCTGACACTAGTACTGACTTGGACCCAGATCCTGAATTTATCCCTAGCTGTGAACTTCATTCTAACCCTGGCCCTATTCCAGATCCCAAATCCACTAGAATCCCTGAGAGTAGAGATTTTTATCTTTGTTCACTGCTCTATCTTACCCTCTATGACAGTGCCTCGCACACAGCAGACATTCAAAAATATTCATTAAATGAACAGATCTAATTCCAACTTTCTCTCTGACCCTGAATCTAATTCTAAGCCTGACCTTGATCCTGACTTCTAATTGTTCCAAAGCCTAACTCTTGGCAGCAGGGACCCCTTTCTGTGCCCAAGCAGCCTAACATTTCTTCAGAAGGCACCCTCGCACTTGAGTTAGATCTCAGCCAGAATACTTGCTCTGCCGGGACCAAGCTCAAGTGTGGGGGCCAAAGCCAGGGACTGCTGGAATAACCTGAAATCCATCTCCCCAATATATAACCCTAACCCCATTCCCTGTCTCCTCAGTCTCAAGACCAATGCTGATCCCAAAGCTCCACAAGCCTCCCCACAAATACTGCCCTCACCCTTCACCAGCCAAGCCCCAGGCCCAGCTGGGCTGAGTGCTTCTGCCCTGCCCCACAGGTGTTCTGTGCCCGGCTGCTGGAAGAAGCTCGGAACCGCAGTTCCTTCCCGGCCGACGTTGTCCACGGCATCTTCTCTAACATCTGCTCCATCTATTGCTTCCACCAGCAGTTCCTGCTGCCTGAGCTAGAGAAGCGCATGGAGGAATGGTGAGGGGCCCTAGACCTAGACTGCCCACTCCCCTGTCCACCTGCCTGCCGAGCCCAGACCCAGAGGTGTACACAAGACTTCATTTCTGCTTGCTCTTCCTCTTAGTGACTTTTGAAAAAGGAATCAGAGCCGGGCACGGTGGCTCACACCTGTAATCCCAGCACTTTGGGAAGCTGAGGCAGGTGAATCACCTGAGGTCAGGAGTTCGAGAACAGCCTGGCCAACATGGCGAAACCCTGCCTCTACTAAAAACATTAAAAATTATCCTGGCGTGATGGCACGCGCCTGTAGTCCCAGCTACTCGGGAGGCTGAGGCACAAGAATCGCTTGAACCCAGGAGGCGGAGGTGTGGTGACCCGAAATTGCACCATTGCACTCCAGCCCAGGTGATAGAGCTAGACTCTGTCTTAAAAAAAAAAAAAAAGAAAAAGAAAAAAGAATCAGGCCCAAGCTCTGCCTTCGAGGACCTCCCAGTCTGATGTGGAACACAGACCAGAACTCAGAAAATTGCAACAGAATAGCATAGCCTACAGGAGTATGAGGTTAGGAGCCAAATTGGCTGAGTTCAAATTCCAGCTGTGCCACTTGCTAGCTTTGAGCAAGTTTCTTAAGTTGCTATGCCTCAGTTTCCTCATCTATAAAATGGGGGGAAATAATAACGGCCTACCTTGTAGGGTTGTTTTAAGGATTAAATAACTTAATACATAAAAGAGCTTAGAACAGTACCAGGTATAGGCCAGGCATGGTGGCTCACACCTGTAATCCCAGCACTCTGGGAGGCCGAGGCAGGCGGATCACCAGGTCAGGAGAGCGAGACCATCCTGGCTAACACGGTAAAATCCCGTCTCTACTAAAAATACAAAAAATTAGCCGGGCATGGTGGCGGGCGCCTGTAGTCCCAGCTACTCGGGAGGCTGAAGCAGGAGAATGGTGTGAACCTGGGAGGTGGAGCTTGCAGTGAGCCGAGATCGTACCACTGCACTCCAGCCTGGGCAACAGAGCAAGACTCTCTCAAAAAAAAAAAAAACAAACAAACAAAACAGTACCAGATATATACAGTAAGTGCTCAATGGATGTAAGCTTTTGTTATTTTTACAGTGCTATGATAGAGCAGAGAATGGGAGGCTGTGGGAATCCAGACAAATGGACCAAGCCTAGCTTGGAGATTACAGAAGGATTCAGGGAGAAGGTGATGCCTAAGCTGAGTCCTGAGGTAGAAGGGCAAGGTTTACAGGCAGCCTCTCAGGCCTTCTTCCAATCCAGCCTTTAGAGTCCACACCATTTGCCAGAACGGTCTCTCTAAACAAGTCAGACCATGTCTCTCCCTGCTTAAAATCATGTCCACATTCCCCATACCTACAGATTCTCCACACCTACAGAGTCAAGTGTGTCCCCCTCACCAGACTGTGACCACAGAAAGCCAGCATGAAGCCTGGTTCCTATATCTCCCCACGAGTCTGTGAACCCTGAGGGCTGGGACCAGGTCTGGTTTGCTTTGCTCCTGCACCAGACTGACCAATGAGGAGTACAACCAGGCCTGGTCTCTTTGTCTCACCTACCAGATGGTGACCCTCTCAGGGCTCAAATGGGTGTGACTCATTTCTGTGTCCCCAGCATCACCCAGCACACAGTTGATAATCAGTATATGAAGTGGTCCTGGCAGTAAGGTCTCAGGGTGAGTACTTCAACCAGTACTCGGGCAGGGCAGAATTGAGGCAGGTGGCATCCCAGGCTGTGGTCTGAAGTCAAGCCGAGCCTCTTGGCCTCACTGGCCTGTAATGTAAGCAGCATTTCTGAAGGAGCAGACTAGCTGAGAAGTAGGTTTCTAGGACTGAGATGAAAGGTATCTGCCTGGGGCTGGAAACTTGTGGGGGAAGTTTCTGAGGGGCAAAGAGCAGCAGGACCACATCAGCCCCTAATTCCACCCCAGGGACCGCTATCCACGCATTGGAGACATCCTGCAGAAACTGGCCCCCTTCCTCAAGATGTATGGTGAGTATGTGAAGAACTTTGACCGGGCCGTGGAGCTGGTCAACACCTGGACAGAGCGCTCCACCCAGTTTAAAGTCATCATCCATGAGGTGCAGGTAAGTGGTCAAGCTGGAAGGAGCAGACTTGGGGAGGAGAGGTCTGCAGGGATGTGGTGGGGCATCTGCAGCCAGATCTGAGCCCCTCTGCTTCTGCCTGTCACAGAAGGAGGAAGCCTGTGGCAACCTGACATTGCAGCACCACATGCTGGAGCCTGTGCAGCGCATCCCCCGCTATGAGCTTCTTCTCAAGGACTATCTGTTAAAGCTGCCCCATGGCTCCCCGGACAGCAAGGATGCCCAAAGTGAGTGTGTGCACCCAGGCCCCTTCCTACTTCTCCACACTAATAGCTCTAGGCCAGACCTCTGAGGCAGGACCCCAAGACTTAATTCACAGGGTCGGCCTTCCATTGCCACATGATTGAAATCCCAGAGGAGAATCTCCAAACTGAAAGGCCCACATTGAGGTTCTGAAGTGAGACCCCAGGATGAGATCCTCCTTCTGAATGTTCTCTTTGGGTATTCAGGCAGGGACCTCTAAGTTGAGACCCCTGCCTGAATACCTGTAGAGAACATTCAGAAGGAGATCCCCAACCTGAACTTCCCAACTGGAACCCCAGAGTTTGAGTGGCATGCCCATTATGATCCCCTAAAGGAACTCATCCATTTCCTAGATCGAGACCCCAAGGCTGACCCCTAGACTCACCCCCAAATGAAGTTGTACCAAATGAGAAAGGAAACTGAGCCTGAAACCTCAGGGACTGAGCCACCAAGCTGAGAGGCCAGACTGACCCCTCAGGCCAAGCCCACATCACAGAATCTCCACAGCTGAGCTCCCCAGAAAGAGCCCTGGCTCATCAATTTTCCATCCTCCAGATTTAGAGCTTTCCTCCATGTCCGCCAGCCACTACCCAGAATGAACCTCCCAAAAGAACCTCCAAATTGAGCACCCTAGACTGGACCCCAAATTTTCCACCTCTCAAATTTGGATCTCTAGGCTGAGATACCTCCTCCCCAGACTGAATCCTTACACATTGAACCACTAGAAAAGTCTTCTATCCCGATTCCTCCAGTATCAACCTGAACCCCACACCCCAGATAGAGCTCCCCCCGCCTACCCCACTTTCTCTTCCCCAGATTTTCATTCATTCATTCATTCATTAGTTTAACAGCTACTTACTGAGCACCTCCATGTTTTTGTGCATTGTTCTAGGTACTGGGGATATAGAGGTGAACAAAACAGACAAGGTCCTTGATCTCAGGGAGCATATATTCTAGTCAGCAATGAGACACAGTAAACAAAAATAATAAACACACAGTAGAGGCCGGGCGCAGTGGCTCACGCCTGTAATCCCAGCACTTTGGGAGGCCAGGCCGGGGGATCGCCTGAGGTCAGGAGTTTGAGACTAGCCTGGCCAACATGGTGAAACCCCGTCTCTACTAAAAATACAAACATTAGCTGGGCGTGGTGGCGGGCACCTGTAATCCCAGCTACTTGGGAGGCTGAGGCAGGAGAATTGCTTGAACCCAGGAGGTGGAGGTTTGCAGTGAGCCAAGATTGCATCACTACACTTCAGCCTGGGCAACAGAGCGAGACTCCTTCTCAAAAAAAAAAAAAAAAAAAAAAAGAGCTGGGCGTGGTGGTGGGTGCCTGTAATTCCAGCTACTCGGGATGCCAGGGCAGGAGAATCACTCGAACTCGGGAGGCAGAGGTTGCATTGAGCTGTGATTGAGCCACTGCACTCCAGCCTGGGTGACAGAGCGAGACTCCATCTCAAGAATAAATAAATAAGTAAATAAATACACAGTAGAATATTAGATAGGTGCTGAGTATAATTCAGAGAATTAGAAGAGGGTGGCATGACAGTGGCTGGAGAGCCTACTTGAGATTGGGTGGCCTGTCTGACTAGAAGACAGTGAGTCAAAACCTGAATAAAAAGAAGGTAGGCACATGCCTGTTGGGGTTGAGCATGTTCCAGGCAGAGGCCACAGCAAGTATAGGGTCCAAGGCAAGGGGAGATATTAGGGGAGGTGGGGTGCTGGACAGGTTGCATATCTCTGGATCAGGAAGAAGGTCAGTGTGACCTGAACATGACAAATAAGAGTAGAATGGTAGAAATGAGGTTGGAGAGAGGAGCAAAGACTGAAGGCCAAGATAAGGAGATGGATTTTATTCTGAGTATGGTGGGTAGCCATGGGAAGGTTTCGATCATGATTACTTGGGGAGCAAGAGAGAGAGAGCTGAGAGATCAGTTAGAAGCCTTTTGCAATAATCCAAGTGAGAAAAGTTGGCTTGGATGAGGACAGTAGCAGTAGAATCGGTGAGAAATGGTTGGATTCAGGATACATTCTTTTCAGAAGCAGCACTGAGAGGACTAGGGTGGAGTGGATGCTGGGCTTGGGAGCAAGAGTCAGGAATGACTTAAAGGTTTTTGGCTGGTGGTGATGGTTCCTGAGATGATCTTAGGAGTCTGACTTTGGACATGTTCAAAGTGAGCTGCTAGTCAGGCAGTTAGATGAATCTAGAATTTCAGGGAGAGATTTGGATGTCATTGGCACATAGATAGTATTCCAAAGCCATAAGGCTGGCCAAGATCACCAAAGGGAGTGAGTGTAAAAGGAGGGGAAAGGGGGCCAAGGACAAAGCTCAGGGATGTGGAATCACCAAAGGAGACTTAGAAGGAGCAGCCCTAGGCTGGGCGCGGTGACTCACACCTGTAATCCCAGCACTTTTGGAGGCTGAGGCAGGTGGATCACAAAGTCAGGAGTTCGAGACCAGCCTGGCCAACATGGTGAAACCCTGTCTGTACTGAAAATACAAAAATTAGCCAGGTATGATGGTGCACGCCTGTAATTCCAGCTAGTCAGGAGGCTGAGGCAGTAGAACCACTTGAACCCGGGAGGCAGAAGTTGCAGTGAGCCGAGGTGGCGCCACTGCACTCCAGCCTGGGTGACAGAGCAAGACCCCATCTCAAAAAAAAAAAAAAAAAGAAGGAGCAGCCCTAAAGGTAGGAAGAAAACCAAGAAAGTGTGGGGTCCTAAAAGCCATAAGAATGGGGTTCGAGGCCGGGCGTGGTGGCTCACGCCTATAATCCTAGCAATTTGGGAGGCTGAGGCGGGCAGATCACCTGAGGTCTGGAGTTTGAGACCAGCCTGGCCAAGATGATGAAACCCCATCTCTACTAAAAATACAAAAATTAGCCAGGCGTGGTGGCCGTGCCTGTAATCCCAGCTACCCTGGAGGCTGAGGCAGGAGAATCGCTGGAACCCGGGAGGCAGAGGCTGCAGTGAGCCAAGATCGTGCCACTGCACTCCAACCTGAGCCACGGAGTGAGACTCCATCTCAAAAAAAAAAAAAAAAAAAAAGAATGGGAAGTGGACAGCTGTGTCCACTGCTGTGTCCGCTTCCCAAACTGAGCCTTCTCCACCCTGCCAGATGGGGCACTTTGCTACCAAGCCTGGACCCCTAGAAAGAACTAGGCCTCTAGAAAGTTTAATAGCTAAGCTCTACAAGCAGACATCTGCAGCATAAGTAAGTACCTCATTCCTCCTGCTGAAAAAGAGCCCTCACTGAGGTGCCAGCCTAAACTTCTAGAAAGGGCCTTCCAGACTGATTGTCTGGGATGGGCCCTATGGACTGACATCTCCAAACTGAACCTTCATACTAAGCCCATTCTGAGGTCCCAGTTATAGATCCCAACACTGGTTTCTCAAACTAAGATCCCCAGACTGGGCCTCTTCCCACCTGGAATACTCTTCCCACACTGAGCCCTGAGAGTGGGTTCCCAGTGAGAGCCTTCAGCTTGAGGTCCCCAAAAGAGCTTCCCAGTCTGATCTCCTTGGCCACCATTCTATAGACAAGTATTGCCAAACTGAGCACCCTAGATTAATTCTCCTATTTCATATCCCTCAGACTGAAACTTTCAGCCTGAACTTAAAAGACTGACTCTCCAGGTCCATCCTACAGACTGAAGCCCCACTGAGCCCCAAGACTGGATTCTCTGAGTTCCCCAGAGGGAACCCTGAAATTCAGCAGCCCAGACTGAGCTCCAGACAGAGATTCCAGATTGTGTTCTCCCCAGCCCAAGTCCCCTAGACTGATGACCCCTATTTTTCTTTTTTCTTTTTCTTTTTTTTTTTTTTTTTTTTTTTTTTGAGACAGAGTCTTGCTCCGTCACCCAGGCTGGAGTGCAGTGGCGCGATCTCGGCTCACGGCAACCTCCGCCTCCCTGGTTCTAGCGATTCTGCAGCCTCAGCCTCCCAAGTAGCTGGGATTACAGGCACCCACCACCGCGCCCGGCTAATTTTTGTGTTTTTAGTAGAGATGGGGTTTCACCATCTTGGCCAAGCTGGTCTCGAACTCCTGACCTCGTGATCCACCTGCCTTGGCTTCCAAAAGTGCTGGGATTACAGGCATGAGCCACCGTGCCCGGCCAACGACCCCTATTTTTCATTTACCAGATGGAGAGTCCCATGATGAGCTCCAGGACTAATGCCCTAGATTATTAGACTGTCCCCCAAATTAAGCCACACAGGCTAAGTGCCTAGTCCCATGTCCACATTGAGCTTCCAGGACTCAGTTCTGCAATTTTATTTTCACACTGGATCCCCAACGTAACATCCCCAGGTGAAAATTCTCCAAATAAGCTCCCTGCACTAGACCCAAAGTGAGCCGCCAGTGAAAGCAACCTAGAGTGGGCTCCAGATAGAGTCCATTTTCTCAACTGTATATCCTTGGGCAAGCTGCTCAGCCTCTCAGCCTAAGTTTTCTCACATGTAGAATGGGGATGATAATGATACCTACCTCATATGGTTGTTTTGAGAAGTAATGAGATAATCTGGGTAAAGCTCCTAGCACAATGCCTGGCACATGGTAAAGGCTCAATAAATGTTAGCTGCTTTTATTACTAAATGCACTGGCTAATGCCCATCCCTCTAAAATTGGCCCCAGGTTGAGTTTAAGAAATTTATTTATTTTTTATTTATTTTTATTTTTATTTATTTATTATTTTTTTGAGACGTAGTCTCACTCTGTCGCCCAGGCTGGACTGCAGTGGCGCGATCTCCGCTCACTGCAATCTCTGCCTCCCAAGTTCAAGCGATTCTCCTGCTTCAGACTCCTAAGTAGCTGGGATTACAGGCACCCACCACCACGCCTAGCTAAATTTTGTATTTTGGGTAGAGACAGTGTTTCACCGTGTTGGCCAGGATGGTCTCAATCTCTTGACCTCGTGATCCACCCGCCTCGCCCTCCCAAAGTGCTGGGATTACAGGCGTGCGCCACCGCACCCAGCCTATTTTTATTTTTATTTTTTTTGAGACTGAGTCTCGCTCTTTCGCCAGGCTGGAGTGCAGTGGCACAATCTTGGCTCACTGCTGTCTCTGCCTCCTGGGTTCAAGTGATTCCCCTGCCTCAGTCTCCCAAGTAGCTGGGACTACAGGCACACACCACCATGCCTGGCTAAGTTTTGTATTTTAGTAGAGATGGGGTTTCACCATGTTGGCCAGCATGGTCTCGATCTCCTGACCTCATGATCTGCCCACCTTGGCCTCTCAAAGTGCTGGGATTACAGGCATGAGCCACCGCACCCGGCCTTTTATTTTTTTTTATTATTTTTATTTATTTATTTATTTATTTTTGTATTTTTTTTTTAGTAGAGACGGGGTTTCACCATGTTAGCCAGGATGGTCTCAATCTCCTGACTTTTTGATCCACCCGCCTCGGCCTCCCAAAGTGCTGGGATTACAGGCGTGAGCCACCGTGCCTGGCCTATTTTTTTTTTTAAGTGAAAGTAAGTTTATTAAGAAAGTAAAGAAATAAAGAATGGCTACTCCATAGGCAGAGCAGCCTGAGTTGAAGAAATTGAGCTTCCTGTTTTGTATCAATCCCAACCCTATCTGAGGCCCCAGGATGAACCTCACAGCTTGAGCTTGGCCAACTGAGCTTCCTTAATGGAGCCTCCCAGATTGAGCTCCCCACATCAAGTCCAAAGATGAAACTTTGTCCCCAGAAACAACTTACCGGTCTGGTTTTCTGAGCTGTTCAGAATGAGAATCTCTGAATGAGAGCCCGCCTGAGATATGCGCACTAAGATCCTCAGCCCAAGATCGTAAGCTGAGCTCCCAATTTTTTACACCTCAGACTAAATTCCCCAGGCTGAGCCTCACTGAATCATATGTCTGGTTCCCCAGACTGACTTGCCCACTTTCTACTTTCCAGACTGCACTCTGGAGCCTGGACCCTAGACCAATCTCCCCATACCAGGCCATCTGGAACTCCTGGCCTCAGTTGCCTACACTGGGCCCAAGACTAAACTCCAAACCAAGATCCTAGACTGCCAAGCCCAGACCAGGCCCCACTAACGCTTCCAAACCAAGCCCCTACATCAGGCCCCGCAGATTGCACTCCCTAGCCTGAACCCCTAAGTGAAATTCTAGACTGAAATCCCCACACTGAGCCCCCAGGTAGGGACTGTACACCCTGGATCCTTGGAAATGCCAGTCTGTACTCCACATGAGACATCTCCAGACAGAGCTCGTTGTAACAAAGCCTCCAGTCAGAGCCCATCAGCCTACACAGGCCTGAGCTTGTGTGCCCACAACTTGCCAGAGTCTTCTTCCTATCCCCTTCCCTGGGTGCCCCCTACCTCTACCACTCAGCCTGCCCCCTGCCTTGGGGTGGGGGAGATGTAGGATGTGTAGGAGAAAAGGCAGCTGGGAGATCATTCCCAGCTCTGATGCCAACTCTGCCACCCAGGTAGGCAACCTAGGGTGGTCACCTTCTCCCTGGGTCTTGGTTTCCTCATTGGATAAATGGGGCACAATCATCTATGTTACAGGGTTGTTGTGAGGGTTGAAGGAGCTAATTTATCCAAAGCATCTGCCTGGAGAGGGCAGTGGGACCTTGGCCCTGTCCTAGGGAGCTCGTAGTCTACTGAGGAATATGGATGCAGATGTATAAATACATGATGAGCACTGTGACTAGTGGGACAGAAGGGAGCAAAGGAGAATGTGAGAACCCAGACAGGGTCCTAACCCAGCCCGAGAACTCTGGGCAGGCTCACTGGAGGAAGTGAGCTGGATCCAGAAGACAGTGACAGTTGGCCAGATGAAGTAAGACGGGACATGTTTAGGGAGGTGTAGGAAGCTGGAGTGGTCAGCAGAAGCCACATCACCAAGGGCTTTGAGTCTTTTTTTTTTTTTTTTTTTTTTTTTGAGACGTAGTCTCGCTCTGTCACCCAGGCTGGAGTGCAGTGGTGCGATCTCGGCTCACTGCAACCTCCACCTCCAGGGTTCAAGTGATTCTCCTGCTTCAGCCTCCCGAGTAGCTGGGATTACAGGCACGTGCCACCACGCCTGGCGAATTTTTATAAATTTAGTAGAGACGGGGTTTTGCCATGTTGGCCAGGCTGGTCTTGAAGTCAGGTGATCTGCCCCCCTCGGCCTCCTAAAGTATTGGGATTACAGGCATGAACCACCACGCCCAGCCTCACCAAGGGCTTTGAATGTCAGGCTAAAGGGCTAGGTCTTTACCCTGCAGGCACAGGGGAGCCATTGACAGATTTGAGCAGAGGAGTGACAGTAAACTGTGTGAGAAAGCTCCTTCTGGCAGCTAGGATGGAATAAGGGTTGGAGATTGGAGCCCGGCCCCTGAAAGGCATGTGGATGCCTGAGCTGGGACAGGGGCCATAGATCTCCGTGAGCACCAAAACTTGGTCATGAAGAGAGAGCCTCTTAGGAAAACACGACTTGGTTGGCCAGCCATATGGACCTCCTTCAGAAGCACCTCTGCTCCTCTAGCACAGGCTGATCTGAGTGGGGAGATCCAGCACATACAGAATGGGGTACACAAAGACTGTGGCCAGGCCTTAAGCATGGGTGGGATTTATTAGTGTGTGGAGATGTACAGGGACTCATTTCAGCTTTTTCTTTTTTTTTTTTTGATGATACCTGGTCACTATAGGAAATATGGAAATTACAGAAAAAGATGAAAGAAGTAGGAAAAAAATCCCCTGTTATCTGAGCCCCCAGAGAATAAGCACAATGAACATTGTGACATAAATTCTTCCTGGTGTTTTTTAGACATGTATACTTGTAAAAGTAAGATCATTCTATATAAACATGTTTGTATCCTTTTCTTAAAACACCCTGAGCATTTCCCAGATTATTAAAAGACCTACATGAGGATCATTTGTAAAGGTTGTTTAATGTTCCATTATATGAAGACACCATAATGTATTTAACTGAACCCCTACAGTTGGCCATTTTTTTTGGCAGGGAAGAGGTACAGGTGAAGGTGTGCTCCCCTACAGATGGACATTTTTGTTTCCCACTTGGAACTGTTGTAAATACCAATATGACAAAAATGTGTTTGTGTATAGAATGTGTATTTTCCTAGAATAGATACCCAGAATCAGAATCATTGAGACAAAGAACAGGATCATCTCATTGTTTCTTTATATGGCTTTTTCTGATTATAAAAGTAATACATGTTCTTTGTCAAAAATACGGAAAATACAGAAAAACCTAAAGAAGACAATAAAAACCACCCACGGCCCCACCAACCAGAGACAACATGGGTATGCTTCCTTCTGGTTACATATGTAACTATTATTGTTATTATTAATGGTAATAATAATCTTGGCAAGCTTGCATTTTTTTATTGGCTGCCAACTACTCCATCTATTGTGATTCTGGCATTGTGACATTGGACAACTTCTGATTTTAAATGATGTTGCTGTGGACATCTTTGAGGGTGGAGCTTTCTGAGATGGGAGGGTGTGATCAGGCCAGGAGGAGGTATTCAGGGAGGAAAGAAGCCCCGAGGCCGGGTGCGGTGGCTCACGCCTGTAATCCCAGCACTTTGGGAGGCTGAGGTGGGTGGTTCACAAGGTCAGGAGTTCGAGACCAGCCTGGCCAACATAGTGAAGCCCCGTCTCTACTAAAAATACAAAAATTAGCCAGGCATGGTGGCACGTGCCTGTAGTCCCAGCTACTTGGGAGGCTGAGGCAGGAGAATCGCTTGAACCCGGGAGGCAGAGGTTGTGGTGAGCCGTGATCATGCCGCTGCACTCCAGCCTGGGCAACAGAGTGAGACTCCGTCTCAAAAAAAAAAAACAAAAAACAAAGCCCCGGAAAGGCTCCTCTCTGCTAGTCCCCCATCTGACCTCACCCCTCTATGCCTGTAGAGTCTCTGGAGCTGATCGCCACAGCAGCAGAGCACTCGAATGCTGCCATCCGCAAAATGGTGAGTGGCCCTTCTAGCCCCTGCCCTTCCTTGGCCACCCACCTGTGGTGTCTCCATCCTGGAGTGGGGGTGTCGTGACTTGTGGGCATCTGACAGGAGGCTGGCACCCCAACCGTGCCTTTTGTTCCCTGTCTTTTGCCAGGAGCGAATGCATAAGCTGCTGAAGGTATATGAGCTGTTAGGGGGCGAGGAGGACATTGTCAGCCCCACCAAAGAGCTCATAAAAGAAGGCCACATCCTTAAGCTGTCAGCAAAGAATGGGACCACTCAAGACCGATACCTCATACTAGTAAGTGCCAGGCATGGAATTGTGGGTGGGTCATGCCCCTCCCAACACACACACACATAGTGACCTGGTACTCACTCAAAGACTATACCTCCTTTCATTCCTGAAAGAGGAAAAAAAAGAAAAACAGACTATACCTCCTGCTAGTCATTCTCTCCTCTAGTAACGAATTGTATTTTCACTACCTAGCTAGGATTTTTTTTCTCCACTTTACAGATGAGGCAAATAAGCCTTGCAGAGAAGTGACTTGCCCGAGGTTCCCCACTAGGAAGTGTCTTCCATGCCTAGGCTCTTTCCTTGTGACCCCTGTGCCCAATTTGGGCTGTCTTTTCTCCATCTATTGCCTACAGTCCTTGGCAGTAAAGCTTCAGGGCAAGGAGCTGGGCCACATCCCCACTAGGCCCTCTGCACATACATCCCAAACTTTTTCCTTCCTAGTTCAACGACCGCCTCCTTTACTGCGTGCCCAGGCTGCGGCTCCTTGGCCAGAAGTTTAGCGTGCGGGCACGCATTGATGTAGATGGCATGGAGGTAAGCATCCAAGAGGTGGGAAATGGGAACTTGGAGTGGGGCATTGGTGTTGGGAGGAACAAAGATGCTGGCTTTGACCCCGAGTCTGTGTGTGTATGTGTGCAGAGGGCTAGGGCCCTGTGGAGTTCAGTGGCCTCACCATGCCCCTTTCTGCCTCCATTCAGCTAAAGGAGAGCTCCAACCTCAATCTGCCTCGAACCTTCCTGGTGTCAGGAAAGCAGCGCTCCCTCGAGCTCCAGGCCAGGTACTTATCCTTGCCTATGCCTTTCCTCCAGCGCCTACCTCCCTTTTGTTCAGATATGCTGAGGCATTCCAGGCCCAGAGATTGTTCCAGAGAAAGGATGGGCACCTTTCCCCAAAGATGCAGGCTTGCTCTTCAGCGGTGGGGGTGATCCCTAAGGGTTAGACACCATTTAGATTCAGGGTGAGTACTTCACGATATGGGGAAAGGTGGCACTCCTGCCAGGGAAACCTTTTGGAAAATGAATAAGCTCTCCCTAATTAAACCAAGAATTTCTTCTGGTGGATTTTGTTAGAGGAGAGAGAAGAATGGGATGTGAAACCCAACATGAATAATACCACCACAAATAGTTTATTGTAGATTCACAGATCTAAGAGAAATAACAATCAAATGCAGTACTTGGTCCATGACAGAAGCCTGGTTTGGGAAAAAGAGCCCTAAAAGACATTTGTGGGACAATAAGAGAAAATGTGGATGTAAAGTGAACATTAGATATTGAGAAATTATTGCTGTCTTAGGTGTGATAATGTTATGGTGGTTATGCAGGAGAATGGCCTTGTTTTGCAGCAGTGCATGCTGAGGGCTTAGTGTCACAATGTCTGTTAATTACTTTAAAATGGTTCAGCACCCAAAAAATACATATGTAACCATACATACACATTTGCACACATATACATACATACACATATACAGTCATGCACTGTATAAAACATTTTGGTCAATGACAGACCATATATACACAGTGGCCCCATAAGATTAAAGTATCATATTTTACTCTACCTTTTCTTTTTTTTTTTTTTTTTTTAAGACAGAGTCTCACTCTGTCACCCAGGAGTGCGGTGGCATGATCTCGGCTCACTGCAACCTCCACCTCCCAGGTTCAAGCAATTCTCCTGCCTCAGCCTCCTGAATAAGTGGGATTATAGGTGCATGCCACCACGCCCATCTAATTTTTGTATTTTTAGTAGAGACAGGGTTTCACTATGTTGGCCAGGCTGGTTTCGAACTCCTGATCTCAAGTGATCTGCCCGCCTTGGCCTCCCAAAGTGCTGGGATTACAGGCGTGAGTCACTACGCCTGTCTTTACTATACCTTTTCTAGGTTTAGATATGTTTACATACCCAAATAATTAGTGTGCTACAAATTAATACAATATTCAGTACAACTGTAACATGCTTTACAGGTTTGTAGCCTAAGAGCCATAGGCTGTACCTTATAGCCTAGGTGTGTCGTAGGCTAGACCATCTAGTGTACTAGTGTCAGTACGCTCTCTGATAGTCGCACAACAATGAAATGGTCTAACGACACCTTTCTCAGAACACATCCCCGTGGTTAAGTGACGCGTGACTGTATGTACATATATATGAAGTAAATATGGCAAAATATAAAAAAATTTTGCATCTCTATAGTAGGTATATAGATATGTATTGTACTTGTGCTATCCTGTTTACTTTTTTGTATGCTTGAAGTTTTTTATAATAAACATTTTAAAATAATAGCATGGGATGATGGCCAGCCATTTAACAGAGGGGCCTTTCATATCCATTCTCTACTTCGATGATTATAATCATAGCTCATATTTCCTCAAGACTTAGTTTTTTGCCAGGTGCTGTTTTAAGTTAATGTTAACTTAAAATTTTAAGTCTAAGTTGACTAGTCAAAAGCTTACAAGAGCCCTAGAAGTAGCTACTGTTACCATAAATCTACTTTACAAATGGGGAAACTTAGGTGTAGGACAGTTCTGCATGCAGGGCGCAGTGGCTCACGCCTGTAATCCCAGCACTTTGGGAGGCCAAGGTAGGAGGATCACTTGAGGCCAGGAGTTCGAGACCAGCCTGGGCAACATAACGAGACCTCGCCTCTTAAAAAAGAAAGAAGAAAGAAAGAAAAAGAATATTTATGTACTTGCCCAAGATCCCAGAGCAAGAAAGGAGCAGAGCTGAGATTGGAGCTCAGGTCATCCGGCCCTGGAGTCCACATTCCTAACCACTGTCTATGCTGCCTTCTGAGGGACCAGGTGAAAGGGTATCAGGGTCATGGTGAGGGCCAGAGGATGGATGCATGTCAGCAGATGGCCTGCTTCTGACAGGCTGTGAGAAAGTGAGAAATGACTGGCTGGGACTGCAAGGAGGTGGGAGAGAGAGATGAATGTGAGATAGAGGGTATCCTCCTGGGGGATGAAGTGAGTCTTGAAGCTTGGGGAGATTGAGAGCCTCATGGAGGCCTGCAGCAGGGAAAGTGAGAGCAAAGCAGATGCCCTGCACATCCAGGGGAGTGACAAGCCACGTGACAGGGACTCATCATCTGCAGAGAGGAAAGGGGCTGCAGTGGGACACTGGGCCCAGAAGGGGCAGCCAAGCAATGTAGGATTTCCTCCTAGTGGCAGCAGGAAGGCATGGAGGGTTTGCTTTGCTTTGCAGTCACTTTTACTGCCCTTAAAAGAAAAAAGAAATTTAATGCAAATTTTCAAATATCCGGAAAAGTGTAAGTACAACAAGCACCCAGATGCCCACAACTTAGACAGCTGCTTCTCAACTTTGGCAACCTTTGGAATCAGCTGGGGAGCTTTTAAAAAATACGGATGCCTGGGACCCACCTGCAGAGATTCTGATTTAATTGGCTTGGGGGATAGCCTGAACATGGAGAGCTCTAAAAGCCCCCCAGGTGATTTTATTTTACTTTTTAATTTTTATTTATTTATTTTTGAGATGGAGTCTCACTCTGTCGCCCAGGCCAGAGTGCAGTGGCGCCATCTCGGCTCACTGCAACCTCCACCTCCCGGGTTCAAGTGATTCTCCTGCCTTAGCCTCCTGAGTAGCTGGGACTACATGTGCATGCCACCGCGCCCGGCTAATTTTTGCATTTTTAGTAGAGACGGGGTTTCGCCATATTGGCCAGGCTGGTCTTGAACTCCTGACCTTGTGATCTGCCCGGCTCGGCCTCCCAAAGTGCTGGGATTACAGGCATGAGCCACCACGCCTGGTCCCTAGGTGATTTTAATGTGTGTATCAGGGTGTACAACCACTTATTTAAGAGTCAACAACTACTGACATTAAATGTCTTTTGCTGAACCATTTTAAAGTAAATTACAAATATCAGGACACTTCACCCCTATACACTTCAGCATGAATAGCCAAAAAACTCTACTATACTGTAGTTCTTTTTTTTTTTTTTTTTTTTTTTTGAGATAGGGTCTCTCCCTGTCATCCAGGCTAGAGTGCAGTGGCGTTATCATGGCTCCCTTCAGCCTCGAACTCCTGGGTTCAAGTGATCCTCCTGCCTCAGCCTCCCAAGTAGCTGGGAATACAAGCATATGCCACCATGCCCAGCTAATTTTCGTATTTTTTGTAGAGATGAGGTCTCACTATGTTGCCCAGGCTGGTCTTAAACTCCTGGCCTCAAGCAATCCTCCCGCTTCAGCCTCCCAAAGTGCTGAGATGACAGGTATGAGCCACCACTCCGTCTATTGTGGCTCTTAAAAATAAAAAGCAACACTTGTTCACTTCTAAGAAATTATAAATTAGAAAATATAGATAAATAAAATATTTCTTTTTTTTGAGTCGCAGTTTCTCTCTTGTTGCCCAGGCTGGAGTGGCAGCAATGGCTCCATCTCGGCTCACTGCAAGCTCCGCCTCCCAGGTTCAAGCGATTCTCCTGCCTCAGCCTCACAAGTAGCTGGGATTATAGGCTCCCGCCACCACGCCCGGCCAATTTTTGTATTTTCAGTAGAGACGGGGTTTCACCATGTTGGCTAGGCTGACCTCAGGTGATCCAGCCGCCTCGGCCTCCCAAAGTGCTGGGATTACAGGCATGAGCCGCTGCACCTGGCCAATAAAATAATTTTTTAAAAGAATACAATCAGAATAGGCCAGGCACGGTAGCTCACGCCTGTAATCCCAGCACTTTGGGAGGCCAAGGCGGGTGGATCACCTGAGGTCACGAGTTCAAGACCAGCCTGGCCAACATGGCAAAACCCCGTCTCTACTGAAAATACAAAAATTAGCCAGGCATGGTGGCACACACCTGTAATCCCAGCTACTGGGGAGGCTGAGGTAGGAGAATGGCTTGAATCTGGAAGGCGGAGGTTGCAGTAAGCTGAGATCACGCCACTGCACTCCAGCCTGGGTGACAGGGCAAGACTCCGTCTCAAAAAAAAAAAGAATACAGTCAGAATAAAGTGATTGCAGTGCAGTGCAGGGCAGACAGAAGAGTCAGGGAAGGGGAACGCACACTGATTGAGCATCGAGTGTGCCAGACATTGTGCTGAGCACTGTACACGTTACCTCGGTTACTGCTGAGAACCCAGAGAGTGATAATCATTATCTCCATTTTACAAATGAAAAAAAAACTACCCTCTTTTCTCAACTTGACACCCAGCAACAGAGAATTTTTTTTCCTTTTTGAGACAGAGTCTCACTCTGTCACCCAGGCTGGAGTGCAGTGGGACGATCTCCGCTCACTGCAACCTCCGCCTCCTGGGCTCAAGCGATTCTCATGCCTCAGCCCCCTGAGTAGCTGGGACTACAGGCATGAGCCATCACGCCCGGCTAATTTTTGTACTTTTAGTAGAGACAGAATTTCACCATGTTGGCCGGGCTGGTCTCCAATTCCTGACCTCAAGTGATCCACCCGCCTTGACCTCTCAAAGTGCTGGGATTACAGGTGTGAGCCACCCACACCCGGCCAACTGATAATTATTGACACGGTTTCTTTTATGTTCTATATTCTCTCCCACACATTTCACCCTTACCCCTCTACCTGAGGCCTAGCACCTCCTTGAAAAGTCCTCACCCAAACTTCAGACTGGGGCATGTCACCTCCTCTGGGCTCCTTGGCCTTATTTTCACCATCAAAACACTGATCTCCCTGTATTGTCCCTGTCTATTTCCTCTACTAGACCATGAGCTCCTTGAGGGCAGGGTCCTCTCTGAAGCTCAAGTTCTTAGCACAGGGTCTGGAAAGTATTAGTAATCGTTGAATAAATAAACCCAGGCAGATTATGTGACTTGCCCAAGGTCATATAAGTAATAGGTGAAGAAGAGGGTCAAGCCCAGGTCTTTCTGACTCCAAAACACCTGCTCTTCCACTCCTATTGCTTTTTGTGGGCCTACCTAACCAAACATCTTTCTTTTTTATTCCCCACCCCAAGGACTGAGGAGGAGAAGAAAGACTGGGTCCAGGTAACATCCAAGGCTCTGTGGTAGGGGGCTAGAAGAGTATTAACAGGTCTCCTAGGGGTTGATAGATTCTCCCTCAAAACTCACAGCTAACCAGAATGGTCCTGGACAACTGTCTTTCAGCAAACTTTACTATCCCCATTTTACAGATAAGCAAACTGAGGTGCAGAGGTTGAGCAGAAACTCACAAACTCTTCTTTTAGGAAGCTGGTTTCTCTGAGGGTGTATAAGGTGAGGGTGTCAAGCTCTGTAAAATCTTAAGCCCAGAAGGTGGCCAGGAAAGCCACCTGAGGTTTTTCAGCCACCACTCCCCCTCCCCCATTTTACACTTGTAACACTGAGACCTGGATTTGGGAGGGGATTTGTTCAAAGTCATCCACCTACCAGTGACAGAACTGGGTTTGAAACCCAGCTTTTCTAACTTCAGGCTAGGGTATACGAAGGTGAGGCGAGGGTAGAAATGGGTAGTTTGTGGGGTGATCTGACTTCTCATTTCTTACACCTCCTCCCCAGGCCATCAACTCCACCCTCCTGAAGCATGAACAGACGCTGGAGACTTTCAAACTGTTGAACTCAACAAACAGGGAAGATGAAGACACCCCACCCAACTCTCCAGTAAGAGTCCCCGCCCTCTTTCCCCTGCACTGGGACCCCTTCCAGACTTCCAAATGCCCACCTGACCTTTAGATGATCCTCTCCCTTTCCTAGACGGTAATGACCAGAGAGGCAATGCATGACTTCAGAAGCAGTCTTCCATTGGTAGGGCCACAGAGAAATCATTGGGGAAACTGAGGCCCAGAAAGTATAATAGAAGTGACTTGTCTTCAGTAGCACAGCTAGGAGCAGAGCCAGGACTTAAAGGCAGGTCTTCTGAATGTGGCTGCTCCCCCTACCCCCAGCCCATCCCCACCCCATGATAATCCAAGCGTTGGAGCAGGAACAAGGGCTGGCTGGACTGGGCTGGGGAGTAGCTGTCTCTGACCTGAGACCTGGCCCTCCCTACAGAACGTGGATCTTGGGAAGCGGGCACCTACGCCCATCCGGGAAAAGGAAGTCACCATGTGCATGCGCTGCCAGGAGCCCTTCAATTCTATCACCAAACGCAGGCACCACTGCAAGGCCTGCGGGCATGTGAGTGTTGGGAGGCAGGGGCAGAGCTAGGGAGGGGACAGAATGGCAGCCCAAAGGCCCACTGCAGAGTGGGTACCCTCCAAGTGGGGGGAGGCCACAAGTCTGCTGTGGGAGTTGGTATGCTGAAGGGAAGACCCGCTGGAATCAGGCTACTCTTGCCCACTTGCCACCCCAGGTGGTTTGTGGGAAGTGCTCCGAGTTCCGGGCCCGCCTCGTCTATGACAACAACCGCTCCAACCGTGTGTGCACTGATTGCTATGTGGCCTTGCACGGGGTGCCTGGGAGCAGTCCAGCCTGCAGCCAGCATACACCCCAGCGCCGGAGGTCCATCCTGGAGGTAAGAGCCAGCCCCTGACTAACTCTCCCACAGTGGGCAAATGGGTTCCAACTCTACCCAGTGAGACTGAGGAGGCCCGAGTATTTGGGAAACAGTAGTGATCAAGGGACCCAGGCTTGGAGTGAATAAAATGACGGCAAGAGTGAATGAAAGACAGTCATCTTTAAGTACTTAGACATTTAATCCCCACAGTAACTAATCTGCCCATGCTATTGTTCTCTTTATTTTACAAACGAGGAAACTGAGGCCCAGAGGGGTCATTTGCCCAAATTACACAGCAAATGAGTGGCAGCACTGGATTTTTTTAAAATTAAAAAATTGGCTGGGCACAGTGGCTCATGCCTGTAATCCCAGCACTTTGGGAGGCTGAGGCGGGTGAATCACCGGAGGTCGGGAGTTCAGGACCAGCCTGACCAATGTGGAGAAACCCCATCTCTACTAAAAACACAAAATTAGCCAGGCATGGTGGCGCACGCCTGCAATCCCAGCTACTTGGGAGGGCTGAGGCAGGCAAATCGCTTGAACCTGGGAAGCAGAGGTTGCGGTGAGCCAAGATCGCGCCATTGTACTCCAGCCTGGGCAACAACAGCAAAACTCCGTCTCAAAAAAAAAAAAAAAATTTAAAAATTGTCTTTTGTTATTACAAAGTAGGATAAGTAGACCAATATAAACAAAAAATAATAAAATACCGTATCCCTTCTACCCAAAAGTTACCATTGTGAGGGCTTATCCTATCTTTCTAGGCATATATGCACAAACACACATTTTGGAGATTTTTTTAAAAACAAATCTAGGTATTTATTTAACACTTAAAAGAGTACTTACTCTGTGCCAGGAACTATTCTAAGCACTTTGCATATATTAATTCATTTAATTCTCACATCAGCTCTCTTTGCTCTCCAAGTCAATACATTTTCATCTAGAGCTGGGATTCTAAGCCAGACTTCATTAACCACCCACATACCCCCTTAAAACCACAATGCTAGATTACCTCTCAATGAGTGTAGGAAATGGATGTGATGAAAGACAGAAAAAAGCATGAGGCCTAAATGTGTGAATGGCTTGAGGAATGAATGCTCTGACTGAAGAAAGAATGCCTGAGATCCGCACACTCCTTCCACTGGCCTGTAGAGGCAGCAGCCGTTGCCCAAATGAGGCAGACGAACCTAGCTTTGAATCTCAGCTCTAGCTGATTCACTGGGTGGCACTGGACAAATCACTCCTGCCACCTGAGCTTGAGCGTCTTCATCTGAGATAGGAATAGCAGTCCCTACACTGAGGAGGTATTAAAGCTAGGAGGAGCCAGGCTAGGCCTTCTGTCAACATTGATGCCCGGTGTCTCTGGCCACAGAAACAGGCCTCAGTGGCTGCAGAGAACAGCGTCATCTGCAGCTTCCTGCACTACATGGAGAAGGGTGGCAAAGGATGGCACAAGGCATGGTTCGTGGTCCCTGAAAATGAACCCTTGGTGCTGTATATCTACGGAGCCCCTCAGGTATGCATCCTACTCCTTCGGGTCCTTTCAGCCACCTGGCAAAGCCAGATCCAGTCCTTGACCTCTCCTTGGCCTTGGAAGATAAGGTGAGCCTTGGAAGATAAGGTGAGCCTATCTCTAAGAGGAAATCAGAACCCCAACCCTTGAGAGACAAAGACTGGCTAGAGACAAGGAGTGGTTGTGGTATGTAGGGAAAACCAGGATGAGTTGTGGGCCTGGCTTCCTGGAAGGAGTAGAGATGGGGAACTGCTAGGTCCAATTTGGAGTGGGTAAGAGTATGCAGATGGGACCGAGCGCAGTGGCTCACGCCTGTAATCCCAGCACTCTGAGAGGCCGAGGCAGGTGGCTCACCTGAGATCAGGAGTTCAAGACCAGCCTGGCCAACATGGTGAAACCCCGTCTCTACTAAAAATACAAAAATTAGCCTGGCGTGGTGACGTGTGCCTGTAGTCCCAGCTACTCAGGAAGCTGAGGCAGGAGAATTGCTTGAACCTGGGAGGTAGAGGTTGCAGTGAGCCAAGTTCATGCCACTGCACTCCAGCCTGGGCAACAGGGCAAGACTCTGTCTCAAAAAAAAAAAAAAAAAAAAGTATGCAGATAGGGGCAATAGCATAGACAAAGGCCTGAAAACATTATTTGGTATGCTAAAGAGACTAGCCCAGCAGTTTTGTGAGAAGAGGCGGGGGTGGGGGGAGACAGGTATTTAAACCAGCCTGCATTTTAGCCCCAGTTCTGACATGTTCCTGTTGATAACACTGGAGCCACGGAAGGTTCCTGAGTAGGGGAGTTCCTGAGTAGGGGACTGAAGACAGAGCATATGCAAAACCAGTTAGAAGCTGGGGCGGGGGAAAGGTCTAGCCCCAAGGTGGCCCCAGCTCTGTCCCTCCTCCCGCCAGGATGTGAAAGCCCAGCGCAGCCTGCCCCTCATTGGCTTCGAGGTGGGACCGCCCGAGGCAGGGGAGCGGCCTGACAGAAGGCATGTCTTCAAGATCACCCAGAGCCACCTCAGCTGGTACTTCAGCCCTGAGACAGAGGAACTACAGCGACGCTGGATGGCTGTGCTTGGCCGGGCGGGCCGAGGGGACACGTTCTGCCCGGGGCCCACACTGTCTGAGGACAGGGAGATGGAGGAGGCACCGGTGGCTGCTTTAGGAGCCACTGCTGAACCCCCCGAATCCCCCCAGACCCGAGACAAGACCTAGAGGGTTTGGGACAAACTGGGAGCCCCCACCCCACACTCTAGTTGCCCATGTCTGATTGGGGGCTCTAGCCCCTTCCCTCCCAGCTCAGTCAATACTTGAACTCCCATCACGGGCACTTTCAATCCCGAATGCTGGGTCTTGGGTTTTTTAATTCATCTTTTCACAAAACGTGGGCTTTTAAAAAATATATTCCTACAGTGATGTCAATTTTTATTAATCCCTGTCCCCAGGGAGGGTGGGAGCCGTTGCCAGTCCTACCTGAATTAGGTCGTTTTTCTCCCTCATCCCTCAATACCCTACCACAGATCCTGCCTCCACCCAGTTCCCCACAAAGCACCAGAGGTAGGAGACCTGGATTCAAGTGCCAGCTCTGCCACTGACCCTGGGGCCCCGACCCAGCCCTGCCTCCTCAGCCAGTGTCTTCACACGTACAACTCCACGTGGGGTGGCAACTAGACCTCTCCTGCCTCTCCCATGGCTTACAGCTTCTACCCGGCCCCAAGGCTACCCAGTATTTTATCGTCCAGACCCATGGCAGGGCCAGCGGGCAGGACAGGGAAACAGGGGGGAGGACAATGGATACTCAGTTTTTTGTGTTTTTTTGTGTGTTTTTTTTTTTTTAAGAAAAATACAGTTTATTTCAGGCTTACAGTAACTTTCATAGCACTGCTGTGCTCCGTTCGTTCATCTGTTTGGTTGTCCAAAGTACCAGGCTGCTAGGGTGGGCCCAGAAACTGCTCCCTTGTAAACTCTGAAGCTGAGCTCCCAGAAGGCTGATTCTAAGGCTACTACTCACAGGTCAAGCCACAGATTAAGCAGTAAGGTATTATTTATTAAGATCTTAAGCCTCACCCCTGAACTCAAATGGGATGGGATAAGGAGTAAGGAAAGAGGTTAGAGGAGACAGAAAACAAAGCCCAGCTCTTCCAAGCTCACCACCTAGCCAAGGTCTTCGAATTCCTGAGGGAACCCAGGACTGGAGGCTGGGCTGAAGGAAGGCAGCATTCCTGGGAGGTTCCAAGTTCTGGGCAGGGGTACAGAGCTGTTGCGTGTGTGTGGGGTGGGGTAAGGGAGAGGCTCCAGAGCTACTTTCATTCACATTTTCAACTATTCTCTCTTCCACTTGCATGTTCATCTCACCATTCCTGACCCAGCCAGCCCCCTATCACTGAGTACTGCTGCTGCTGCTGATCCTCTCCTCCCCAAATCCACCTGCCCACTGTCCACCGGCATCTAGCTCCTCCTCCAGCCACACCCACACTCACTCATCCCCTTCCTCACAATGACCGCACCCAAAAGACACTGTACTGGGGAACCCGGCTTCGTCACTCGGATGTTAACTAAAGGCCCAGGGGAATATGCTGGAAAAGGTCCCCCCACCCCCAAGACCAAGGACCCTAGGTTTTCCTTGCCCTGGAGGGAGCCAGACAGAGGAACAGGGGAGAGGGTGGAGATGGGGTAACCAGTCCACAGGTCTGCAATCCTCAAAAAAAAAACCCCTACAGACAACTCTTAGAACAGCAAATAAGGGCCCAAAGCCATTTCCAATCATCCCCACTCATTTTTTTCTCCGGACAATGGTCCAGCCATCTTCCACTATATCCTCTTCCTTAATAGTCTGAGCGTCTGGATCAGAGGGTTCAGGCTGGGGGCAGACCCCATCTGTAGCAGCCCCATCATTCGTAGCTGTGACCTGGAGGGGAGATTTAAAAGAGAGCTGAATACACTGACCACTGGAGACCCAGGCTCTGCTCCAGCTTTTCCAGGATTGGCTGTGTAACTTTAGGAAAGTTCCCTGCCCTCTCTGGATAATACTACTACCACCAACCACCACCATCCCCTTATCACTTCCCTGTGAATCTAGCTGCTCTTCCAGAAAATTGAAAACATCTGTATCCCCCAACCCAGGGGGCACCCACTTCACCTCCATCTCTTCCACACTGTCCACATCATCTTCATCCTCATCAGTCTCTCTAGCTGTCTTAAGTGCAGTGGCTGTGACCTTGCATTTTCTCTGAGTGATGCAGGAGGCCATCTCCCTCAGAGCAGCCCCATCACCCCTCTGGAAGTGGTGGAACATGGTCTGCAGTTGCTGGCTCACCTACCAAGAAAATATTCAACCAGTTTGGATTTTCCAGATATCTACTATACAAACAGCACGTGTTTGAAGCAACAGTGGGGAGTAGGTTGGATTTTTCCAGAAGAGAACAGAGCTCTTTCCTCCCCAAGGAATTAACCAATGAAGCAACCACATATGAAGGGCTCAAATGAAGGCCTAAAGCATCAAAAGAGAGCCTAACTAGCAGGGAATCCTCTAGAACTGGGCTTTGAAAGAAATAAGATGTAAAAGGGAAGGTAATCTTATTGGGGAGCAATGGTAACCAGAGCGGGGGTGAAAATGGACCTGGACTGGCCTGACCTGCCCTTGGGATGGGGCTGAGGAACAGGCCTGGATGGGAATGATGTATAGAAATAAAGAAAAGGCAGGGTTTGGAAAGGCTACACTTTTTCCTCTAGGCAACAGAGTCATAGTCAAGAGTCTTGGCCCAAAACAGACAGCTGGGGAGAAGAAAGACTACAGGTAGGGAGACTGCAGTTGTGCCCGTGATAAGCTCACCTGGGGCAGACTCCCGTCTTCCACAACTGTATCAAACTCGTTGGTCAACAGCTCTCCAAGGAAGTCTTCCACCTCATCTAGCTCCAAGTCAGCTAAGTAGAAAAGGACAGGGCCCTTGGGTCAAAGACCAGCCAACTTCATCACCCCTGCCCACTGCTCTTCAATATCTACTTGGTGGATCTGCAACTGGGTGGGTAAAGGCACAGTGAGCCTTTTATCTGCTAAAGTGTTCTGCATTCCAGGTTTTAACAATTTTTTAAGAACCACTAAAAATACCTCATTTCCAATCTCTTCCATCCTGCCTTTTATCTGCTAAAGTGTTCTGCATTCCAGGTTTTAACATAATTTTTTAAAGAACCACTAAATATTAATACCTCATTTCCAATCTCTTCCATCCTACCAAGGCCTCTTTCCACAACTCCCAGCCCTACACTCACCCTCTTTCATCTGGACTATTCTAACTAGCCTCCCCTCTATGAGACCTTGAGCAAGCTACTTCTTTCTGAGCCTCAGTTTTCTCATCTGTAAAGTGGGGCTAATGGTGGCCTCCTCAAAGGTCTGTTATGAGGAACCATCCAACACAATGCCTAGCACAGTGAAGATCCATGATCCATGTTAATTTCTATCATGCAAAAGCTGAAGTTTTTGAAGTGAAGAGAACCTTCACAACTGTGGTTCCACTGATAAAAGAAGCCACAGACCAATGGGATAGTTAAGAAGAAATGGACATAGTAATTCCAATGATGAAATCATCATAGCCTTGACACTGACATCCTACTGTGTGACTCTGACTGAGCCACCTTCCTCTCTGGGCTTCAGTTACCTATGGGCCTATGCTCTACTTTTTCTGAATTAGACAGTAACTCAAGAAAGTCTCCCACAAAGCTCCTAGCCCTCTCCCCTCTATGTGCTTTCTCTGGGAGAGCTCATCCACACTCTTGGCTTTCCCTACCACTCAAACTTAATATCCCCCGAATTTATCTCCAACTGAGACTACTCTGTGCCTGGACGTTTCACAGATGCCGCAGATCTTCCATATCTAAAGCCAGACTCATCACCTTACTCTTTAAACCTGCTTCGCATCCTCCAGGGTTCCTCTACTCCGAGAAAAGACACCTAATCCACCCATCAACTCAAACCAGGAACTTGCCTCTTTTTCCCTCCCTGTCTACAGCCAACCAATCTCCAAGGCCCTATTCCACCCCTTCTTTTCCATGCCTGTTGCCACTGTCCTACTTCAGGCCTCATCAGTTTCTAGACAAAAACAGCGTTCTCATCAGTCTTTCCCTCTCCAGGTTATGCTTCATACTGATTATTTCCTGAACTTTCTAGCCAGCAAATCCCATCCTATTTCTCACCCTAGAACCTGCCCACGAATTTTTACCAGCCACTGCAGTGTTTCACAGTTTGCCTTTGAGAAATATCTGTTCTGCTGGGTCTTAAGGGACACTATCCATAGAAAGCTAATGAGAAACAAAAGCAAACAGGTTTTTTAGTGGTTCTTATTCTTACCCAAGCCTTTAATATGTTCATGAGTGTTAAGACTTTTCAGTGGGAGCAGAACAAGAGTTTTTCTTACATAAGGTAACTGGAGAAGCTTCTTCACTGAACATCTAACAGAACTAGTTAGCATGAATTTTGGCAAACACTGGCCTAAATGATAAAATCAAAGGCACATAAGGGCTTCCATGTCTTATGCTTTTCAAGGGGGCTTCCCACACCCCAGCTTCATTCTCTACCACTCCTCCACCCCCCACGCACACACGCCCATACTCCAATACTGAGCTCCCTGCTACTTTCCAAATATAACACATTATACCCTCATGCCACAGAACTTGAGTGTTGCTCTCTCTGCTTCCCCCACCTAGTTAACTCCTTCTCACTAAGACCCAGCCCAATTCACCACCTCCACTAAGAAGCTGTCTCCCCATCCTGTTACCCCATGCACCCTGAGCTCCTCTTTATCAGAAAATCTATCAATGTTGTAACTATTTACGTGTGTGGATCCTCAATGGATAGTATACTTTCTTGAGAGAGATGACTCTGCCTAATGTCATCTCCAAAGCTAGAAATTGAATGAAGATTTTTTTAAAAACCATACTATGCAACAGGCCCTCTACTGGGCCTCTTGTTCTTGTATATCCCTCAAGACGAGCCTACAGTGTAGATCTTTGCTGTCCAAACAGCCACAGGTGGTTACTGAGCACTTGAAATATGGCTAGGCCAAATCGAAATGTGCTAAAACTGTAAAATACCAGATTTTGAAAACTTAATACTAAAAAATGTAAAATATCTCAATGTTTTATACTGACTACATGTTGAAATATTTCATACACACCGAGTTTACTAACATTGATTTCATCTGCTTTTTGCTTTATTAAAGTGGCTACTAAAAAATTTTAAATTATATGTGACTAGCATAATATTTCTACTGTACAGCGCTCTGGTGGATACTTTTATACGCATTTTAGAAACTAGGAAACTGAGTCTCAGGGAGGTAAACTGCCTTGTCCAGAGTAATCCCACGAGTCAGTGGTACAGCCCGTAAAGCACTGGAATCCAGGATTCTGATTCTAAAAGCTGAATTCATTCCACCTCACCTTTAGGTACCAATCCACAACTGCTCGAGAGGAAATGCAGGCTCTGCGGGATGGGGCTCCTCCTCTCCACACCCCCACACAGGCGGGTCGCGGCGCCTCACATTCACTCACCATTGCGCATGAAGTAATCCTCCACTGCACCCCCCAGCCACTTGGCCTTCTCCTGGCTGTGCACACCCCCGAAGCCATTCTCCACAGCGATCTGTAAACACAGGTCCAAGCCCACCAAGTCAGCTTGGGAGCAGACCTGGAGTAGCCTGGAGGCCGCTTACGCCGCCCAGCCAACTCCTCTTATGCCGCCTAGCCAAGCCTCAGGCACCTAGCCCAACCAACTCCTGTTCTGCCCCGGGCCCTAACCTTGACCTTGCCCTGGCCCTGGCCCCACTGACCTGCAAGGCCGGCCAGGCCTCCAGGGCCGCGCAGACCCCAGCCCGGAAAAGAGCTCGCGCATCTTCTGCAGCGCCCGCCATTATCCGGCCCCAGTCCACGTGACGTCCCGGCGGCCCAATCCCTCTGTAGCTCGGCCCAGGCAGAACGAGACGCAAGCCGAGCCTGAGAACACAGGATTCTCTTTTCCGCAGACCTGGCAGCAAGACTAGAGCAAAAGAAAAATCTGTCAGAGCGATCGATGACACCACCAGAGTTACTCACTTAAATCAAAGGACACCAGACCTGAAGGACGTGTGGGGCCATGGTTTCCGGATCCGTGGGTACTGCGGAGGAAATATGTGGGGAACTTATTACAGATACAGATTCCAGGCCCTGGGGCAGAGGACTCAGTGAGTATAGCCTTAAAAATCTGCATTTAAAAAAAGCATCCTAACATCTGTATAGAATACTGCAACCAACAACAGTAAAATACAATCAGCTCTCCCTATGGGGGGCAGTCCACGTCCGTGAATTCAACTAACCTCAGATGGAAAATATTCAGGAAAAAATTGCATCTGCATTGAACATGTGTATACTTTTTTTCTTGACATTATTCTCCTAAACAGTACAGTATAACAGCTATATACATAGCATTTACACTTTATTAGGCATTATAAGTAACCTGGAAATTATTTATTTATCTATTTTTTTGAGACCGAGTGTCACTCTGTGGCCCAGGCTGGAGTGCAGTGGCGCCATCTCGGCTGACTGCAACCTCCGTCTCCTGGTTTCAAGCAATTCTCGTGCCTCAGCCTCCCGAGTACCTGAGATTACAGGTGCCCACCACCACTCCCAGCTAATTTTTGTGTTTTTAGTAGAGACAGGGTTTCGCCATGTTGCCCAGGCTGGTCTCGAACTCCTGGGTTTAATCCACTTGCCTCAGCCTCCCAAATTGCTGGGATTATAGGCGTGAGTCACATCTGGAAATGATTTAAAGTATACAGTAGAATATTCATAGGTTATACGCAAATACTATGCCATTTTATATCAGGGACTTGAGCATCTATGAATTTTGGTATCCTCCGGAGGTCGTGGAACCAGTCTCCCACGGATACCCAGGGATAACTGTACATGTTTTTCTGAAGTACACAAGAACATTCTCCAGAACAGATCATACACTAGGCCATACAGTAGGCCTCCATAGATTTAACAGGATTGAACATACAAAGTATGTTGTCTGACCACAATGGAAAGAAGTTAAAAATCAGTAAAAAGAAACTTACAAAATTCACAAATATATGGAAATTAACACACTCCTAAGCAATAAATGGGTCAAAGAAAAAAATCACAAAGCAAATTAGAAAACACTTTTAAATGAATGAAAACAAAAACATAAAAAAATGCATGAGATGCAGCTAAAGCAAAACTTAGAGGGAAATCTTTAGCTGTAAACATGCATATCTAAAAAGAAGAGCCGGACATGGTGGCTCATGCCTGTAATCATAGCACTTTGGGAGGTTGATGCGGGAGGATGGCTTGAGCTCAGGAGTTCAAGACCAGCCTGGGCAACATAGTGAGACCCCATCTCTAAAAACAATTTTAAAAATTAGGCCAGGTGTGGTGGCTCACGCTTGTAATCACAGCACTTTGGGAGGCCAAGGCAGGCAGATCACTTGAGGTCAGGAGTTCGAGACCAGCCTGGCCAAGATGGTGAAACCCCGTCTCTACTAAAAATACAAAAATTAGCCAGGTCTGGTGGCAAGCACCTGTAATCCCAGCTACTTGGGAGGCTGAGGCAGGAGAATGGCTTGAACCCGGGAGGCGGAGGTTACAGTGAGCCGAGATGGTGCCATTGCACTCCAGCCTGGGAAACAGAGTGAGACTCTGTCTCAAACTAAATAAATAAATAAATTTGAAAACTAGGCCAGGCATGGTGGCTCACACCTATAATTCCCGCACTTTGGGTGGGCAGATCACCTGAGGTCAGGAGTTTGAGACCAGCATGGTCAATATGAACAAACCCTGTCTCTACTAAAAATGCAAAAGTTAGCCAGGCATGGTGACACACACCTGTAATCCCAGCTACTTGGGAGGCTGAAGCACGAGAATCGCTTGAACCCGGTAGGCAGAGGTTGCAGTGAGCTGAGATCACTCCACTGCACTCCAGCCTGGGCGACACAGTGAGACTCTGTCTCAAACAAACAAACGAACAAACAAAATTAGATGGGCATAGTGGCATATGCGTGTAGTACCAGCCACTCAGGAGGCTGAGGTGGGAGGATTGCTTGAGCCTGGGAGCTCAAGGCTGCAGTGAGCCGTGATTGTGCCACTGCACTCCAGCATGGGGGACAGAGCAAGACCCTGTCTCAAAAAAATAAAAAATGAAAGAATGATATCAAATTAATAACCTACACTTCCACTTCACAAAACCAGAAAAAGAAGAGCAAAGTAATCCCAAGGCAAGCATAAGAAAGGAAATAATAAATAATAGAACAGAAATAAATGAAATAGAGAATTGAAAAACAATAGAGAAAAGAAAAAACAGTGAAGCCAAAAGTCAGTTGTTGTTTTTTGTTTGTTTGTTTGTTTGTTTTGAGATGGAGTCTGGTGCTGTCACCCAGGCTGAAGTGCAGTGGTGCAATCTCAGCTCACTACAACCTCTGCCTCCCAGGTTCAAAGGAGTCTCCTGCCTCAGCCTCCAGAGTAGCTGGGATTACAGGCATATGCCACCATGCCCCGTTAATTTTTGTATTTTTAGTAGAGACAGGGTTTCACCATGTTGGCCAGGCTGGTCTTGAACTCCTGACCTCAAGTGAGCTGCCCACCTCAGCCTTCCCAAGTGTTTGGATTACAGGCGTGAGCCACCGGACCTGGGCGGTTATTTTTTTTTCAGAGATGAAGTCTTTTTTTGTTGCCCAGGCTGGAATGCAGTGGCACAAACATTGCTCACTGCAGCCTCAAACTCCTGGGCTCAAAGGATCCTCCTGCCTCTGCCTCCTGATTAGCTGGGACTACAGGAATAGGCCACCATGCCTGGCTAGTGTGTGTGTGTGTGTGTGTGTGTGGTTGTGTGTGTGTGTGTGTGTGTGTGTGTGTGTGTGTGTGTGTGTGTTGGGAGGGGGTGTCTCACTTTGTTGCCCAGGCTGGTCTTGAACTCCTGGTTTCAAGCGATCCACCTGCCTCGCCTCTCAAAATGCTGGGATTACAGGTGTGAGCAAATGCAACTGGCCAAGTCAGTTATTTGAAAAGATCAACAAAATTTACAAACCCTTAGCTAGACTGAGGAAGAAATAAAAGAAAGAAGACTCAAATTACTGAAATCAGGAACGAAAGAGGACGTATAATTACCGACCAGTCAAAAAAGACCACATATTGTATGATACCATTTATATGAAATATACAGAATAGGTAAATCTATAGAGACAGAAAATACATGAATGGTTGCCCAGGGCTTGGATGGGGAAAGAATAGAGTGTGACTTCTAAATGGCTTCAGGGCTACTTTTGGGGGTGTCGAAAATGTTCTAAAAATTAGACGAGGTAATGGTTGCTGTTATGAGCTAAATTGTATCCACCACCCCCCAAATTCATATGTAGAAACCCTAACCCCCAGTACCTCAGAATGTGACTGTATTGGGAGATAGAGCCTTTAAAAAGGTAATTAAGATAAAATGAGGTTGCATGGGTGGGCCCTAATCCGTTATGACTGATGTCCTTATAAAGAAGGGGAGATTAGAACTCGGTGCAATGGCTCAGATCACTTGAGGCCAGGAGTTCGAGACCATCCTGGGCAACAAAGCAAGACCCCCCATCTCTACAAAAAAATTTTTTTTTTAATTAGCTGAGTGTGATGGCTGTAGTCCCAGCTACTCAGGAGACTGAGGAGGGAGGATCACTTGAGTCCAGGAGGTTGAGGCTGCCGTGAGCCATGATTGTACCACTGCACTCCAGCATGAGTGACAGAACAAGCCCTGTCTCAAAAACAAAAAACAACAAAATATAATAATAAGAGGAGATGAGGACACAGGCAAAGAGGGACACCAGAGAGGTGTACACACAGGGACAACTATGTGAACACACAGTGAGAAAGCTAAGGAGAAAGCCAAGGAGCAAATCAGAAGAAACTATACTAAAAGCCATTGAATTGTACACTTTACTTATTTGTTGATTTATTGATGAAAGTATTTCCTTAAAATTAGAAATCTAATTTACAAATTACAAATTTTTAAAAACTGACAAATGTCACAAACATCTTCTAACCCAGAAAAATAAAATATTACTTTGTTGTTTTGTTTTTGTTTTGTAGATGCAAGGTTTCACCATGTTGGCCAGGCTGGTCTCAAACTCCTGACCTCAGGTGAGCCGCCTGCCTCAGCATCCCAAAGTGCTGGGATTACAGGCATGAGCCACCACGCCCTGCCAAAATAAAATATTCTTATTAATTACATGACTCACCTCTCTACTAATTTTTCTACATTTTTTGATATCAAAGAGTTTATAGAACTCTTCATATGACAAGTATTTTATATTTTCTAGAGAGAACACAAAGAATTCAATTGATTTCAATTCAGTTGAGTAAAATTTTTTATTATTAGTATTTTAGAAAAGTTTCAATTTCACAACTCATTATTAGTAATGTACATTTTAAGATTTTTGTCAAACTTGGGAAAATTTCTAGTTTCTTTTACATGTGAGCTGTAAGATTTCAGGTTATTTTAACTTCTCTTGGCACAGCGACAAATCTTAAACATTCTTCAAATAGACCAGGCTCAATAACCAGAGACCTGGAAGTGGCCTGTGCAAGTGTGGGGCCCTGATGCTTAAGATTGATTTGTTCTACGATAAATCTATCTCTGTGCAATGCCCAGGGAGAAAGGAGCACAGGGACTCATGGGAGTTCAGCAGAGGGTCCCTGACCCAGCCCTGGGGGCTGTGGCAGGCCTCTCGGAGGAGATGACACGTGAGCTGATTCTTAAAGTTTGAGTAGAATTTTGCTGGGTGATGGGGGAGTGTGTGTGTATGGGGGTGGAAGGTGTTACTGAAAGGAGGAAAGAGCCTTCTGTGCAGGGGAAAAATGTGTGCAAATACACAGAGGCAGGAAGCAACATGGTGTGTGATGATAATAAGAGCAGTTCCAGACTGAGAGAGAACCTCAGGGGCATAGCCTCCTCCGTAGCTCCAGAGACTCATTTTTTGTAGAGTCAGCAATGTAGATTGAGTTCAGAGAGGCCCAAATGAAGATATTGAAAACCTCAGTTGAAGTTCCCACAATCTGAGGCCTCAAACATACACAGAGAGAATAGACCTGCTAGATATCCCCACACATGGAGTCCCTCTCTGGGATGTAACAAACCAAGGCCTCTGAATGAACCCTTAGCTTTGAGACTGAAGTCCAAGGCCGAGTATCCTAAGTACCAAACGTCTTCACCTTTTTTGTGACTTGAACCCCCATCGGCAATCTGGTAAAGTCAATATAGCTCTTCACAGAATGTTTTTATTTTATTTTAAAATTTCTGAGGCAGGATAATCGCTTGAACTCAGGAGGTGGAGGTTTCAGTGAGCCGAGATCGTGCCACTGCACTCCAGCCTGGGCGACAGAGCCAGATTCCATCTCAAAAAAAACAAAAAAACTTATTTTGCAGAGACCAGGTTCTCACTATGTTGCTCAGGCTGGTCTCAAACTCCCGGGCTCAAGTAATCTTCCCTCAGCCTCCGAAAGTGCTGGGAATACAGGCATGAGCCTAGCCCAGAATAATGTTTTTAAATGCATACAATAAAATATAGGTTTACAAAGGAAGTCAAGTATGTTAAAATACAGTTATCAAAATATTACAGAAACACCATTCCAAATTGTGTATTTGTTTGCCAATTTTAAAATTGCAATCAGGCCAGGTGCAGTGGCTCACGCCTGTAATCCCAGCACTTTGGGAGGCCAAGGCGGGCAATCACCTGAGGTCAGGAGTGCGAGACCAGCCTGACTAACATGCTGAAACCCCGTCTCTACTAAAAATACATAAATTAGCTGGGCATGATGGTGCACACCTGTAGTCCCAGCTACTCTACTCAGGAGGCTGAAGCAAGGGAATTTCTTGAACCGGAGGCAGAGGTTGCAGTGAACCGACATGGCACCACTGCACTCCAGCTTGGGCAACAGAGTGAGAATCCATAAAAATTAAAAAAAAAAGGAAGGAAGGGAGGGCGGGAGGGAAGAAAGACACAGACACCCCAAAATTCTATGCATGATGCTTTATAAGTCCATGTATCCCAAACTCAACTCCCAGTATGACACCCTAGACTGAGCTCCAAGATTAAAATGCAGGTTGAACCACCACATTGAATGTGCAGAGGATGCTTCCAGATAGAAAATTTCAGCCGGGCACGGTGGCTCACGCCTGTAATCCCAACACTTTGGGAGGCCAAAGTGGGTAAATCACAGGGTCAGGAGTTCAAGACCAGCCTGGCCAACATAGTGAAACCCTGTCTCTACTAAAAATACAAAAATTAGCCGGGCGTGGTGGCACGTGCCTGTAGTTCCAGCTACTCGGGAGGCTGAGGCAGGAGAATTGCTTGAACCCGGGAGGTGGAGGTTGCAGTAAGCCGAGATCACGCCACTGCACTCCAGCTTGGGCAACAGAGTGAGACTGTCTCAAAAAAAAAAAAAAAAAAAAAAGAAAGAAAAGAAAATTTCAGATTAGGACCAAGCCTGGCATCCCAAGACAGAGCCCACCAGACAGACATCCCTGGGTGAGGCCATCACATCCGTATCTCCTAGGCTTGACCTCAGGCTAAAATCTCCAGACTGGGCTTCCAATACCTGAGCAGACTGAGCTCTGAAACTGGCACTCACTCGGTGAGAGGCTTAGTCATATGTCAGAGAAAATATCAGGCTCCCATATCAAATCCTCTCCCAACTGAAACACTAGAATTAGTGTCTCAAGAGTGAACCATCTGGGCAGATTCCTTGAGTCCAGGAGTTTGAGACCAGCCTGGGCAACATGGCAAAACCCTGTCTCTGAAAAAAATACAAAAATTAGCAGGACTTGGTGGGACATGCCTGCGGTCTCCAAGCTACCCTGGAGGCTGAGGTTGGAGGATCAGCTTGGGCCCAGGAGGCGGGGGTTGCAATGAGCAGAGATGGCAGCAGTGCACTCCAGCATGGGTGACAGAGCCAGATCCCTGTCTCAAAAAAAAAAAAGAGTGAACCATCAACATGTAAACCCTTAACCTTAAAGTCATGTCCCCATAATGCCCATAATGAGCCTCTAGGTAGAGCCACGGGACTGAGTCCCCAAACTTAGCTCCTTGAAGGAGTATGGGGACTGGGACTGATATCCTGCAAATGGGCCCAGGGTGAGTTCCCAGAAGGACCCATCACATACTAAAGCCACAAACTCATCCCCCCTGCTGAAAGTGTAGACTGAGCCCATGTTCTGAAACAGCTTCCCTCAGACTGAAAACCTAATATCTGAACCTGGAAATAACATGCCCAAGGCCGGGCATGGTGGCTCACGCCTGTAATTGGAGCACTTTGCGAGGCTGAGGCGGGCAGATCACTTGAGGTCAGGAGTTCGAGACCAGCCTGGCCAACATGGTGAAACCCCATCTCTACTAAAAATACAAAATTTAGCCAGGCATGGTGGTGGGCACCTGTAGTCCCAGCTACTTGGGAGGCTGAGGCAGGAGAATTGCTTGAACCCGGGAGTCAGAGGTTGCAGTGAGTTGAGGTCGCGCCACTGCACTCCAGCCTGGGCGACACAGCGAGACTCTGTCTTAAAAAAAAAAAAAAAAGTGAAAAAATTAGCTGAACGTGGTGGCACTTGCCTGTAGTCCCAGCTACCCGGGAGGCTGAGGCAGGAGAATCACTTGAACCTGGGAGGCAGAGGTTGCAGTGAGCCGAGATTGTGCCACTGCACTCCAGCCTGGGTGACAGAGCGAGACTCCATCTCAAAAAAAAAAAAGCCCAAAATGAGCCCTAGAGGGAATCCCCAGAGGGAACCACCGGTATGCACCTATGGTAGCCATGAGACTTCATCTCACAGACCGTAAGCTACAGGGGATGAATTTAATCAAGGGCCCCAGCTGCTGTTCTGAAATCCACCCTTGTATTTGCGCAGACATTGCTTGCCATCAGCTGAGTGCCAAAAACTACCAATAACTGAGTGCAGCAGGGATACTTTGGCAAATTTGGCTCAAAGAATCCTGGATAATTGCTTGAGCCCAAGAGTTCAAAACCAGCCTGGGCAACATGGTGGGACCCTGTCTATAGAAAATCAAAAAATTAGCTGGGTATGGTGTGCACTCCTATAGTCCCAGCTACACTTGGGAGGCTGAGGTGGGAGGAGTGCTTGAGTCAGGGAGTTCGAGGCTGCAGTGAGTCGTGATCTTGCCACTGCACTCCAGCCTGGGCAACAGAGTGAGACCCTATCTGAAAAAAAAAAATTTAATGGAAGAAAGGAGCAGTTTCTTAGGACTGCTTTTTTTTTTTTTTTTTTTTTTTTTGAGACAGAGTCTCACTCTGTTGCCAGGCTGGAGTGCAGTGGCATAATCCGGGCTCACTGCAACCTCCACCTCCCGGATTCAAGTGGTTCTCCTGCCTCAGCCTACTAAGTAGCTGAGATTACAGGCACGTGCCACCTCACCCGGCAAATTTTTGTATTTTTAGTAGAGACAGGGTTTCACCATATTGGCCAGGATGGTCTCGATCTCTTGACCTTGTGATGCACCCTGCCTTGGCCTCCCAAAGTGCTGGGATTACAGGGTGTGAGCCACCGTGCCCGGTCAGGACTGCTTTTACATAAGAGAAATAAAAGGTTTGAGCCGGATTCGATGGCTCACACCTGTAATCCCAGCACTTTGGGAGGCCAAGGTGGGAGGATCACTTGAGCCCAGGAGTTTGAGACCAGCCTGGGCAACAGGGAGACCCTGTCTCTACCAAAAAAAAAAAAATTAAAAAAATAAGCAGATATGACTAATTTACCGGCATGGCACATGCTTGTAGTCCCAGCTACTCTGGAGGCTGAGGTGGGAGGATTGCTTGAGCCCGGGAGGTCTAGGCTGCAGTGAGCAATGATCAAAACAGAGTGAAACTCTGTGTCAAAAAAAGAAAAATAGAGGTTTCTATCTTGTTTAAGCCATCATTATTTGGTGTCTCTTTGTTACATGCAATCACATCTGATGCCAGCTGAGCCCTCTTGAGTGAGCCAATGCCTGAGCTCACTCAGAACTCACTCGGAACTCCCGGACTTCTCTCAGGAGAGTGAATGCCACTGGGTGCGGTGGCTCACGCCTGTAATCCCAGCACCTTGGGAGGCCGAGGCGTGTGGATCATTTGAGGTCAGAAGTTCAAGACCAGCCTGGCCAGCATGGTGAAACCCCGTCTCTACTAAAAATACAAAAAATTAGCCAGGCGTGGTAGTGTGCGCCTATAATCCCAGCTACTTGAGAGGCTGAGGCAGGAGAATCACTTGAACCTGGGAGGCGGGGGTTGCAGTGAGCCAAGATCATTCCACTGCACTCCAGCCTGGGCGACAGAGCAAGACTCCATCTCAAAACAAAACAAACCAAAACAAACAAAAAGTCTGAATGCCCATGCTGAGCACCCAACAGTGAGTGATCCAGACAGAGCTCCTGACTGACTAATACAATGAGATTGATCTCAGGTATACCAGTGCCTGAACCTCTGGACAGACTACCATAAAGCAGGTGGCCCAAACAGTTTCTAGACCAAACCCCTAAAATGATTTCCCCAGAGGCCCCTGAAGAAGCTCCCCAAGCTGAGTACAAGAGACTCAGTTTGCAGAATTAAGTTTCAGATCCCCATACTAAAGCAATACTCTGAGCTCTGCAGAAGAAAGTCATACTACCAACCTTAGAATGAACCTTGGATGGAGCATCAACCTGTCATATCCAGAATGAGCCCCTTGACTGTGCCTAGCAGATAGAGTACCCCTCACAGTCAGAGCCTCCAAACTGAGTTCTACAGACTAAAATTCCCAGGTAGAGTTCTCTGAAACTGATCTGCCAAACTAAAGTCACAAATTGAGTCCTTCAGGCTAGGACCTCAGACTGACTGACCTGCAATAACAGCCCTAAGTGGTCCACTCAGGTTGCTCAGATTGAACCCAAGAATAGGCCTCTAGAGTGCCTAGATAAGCCCCCAAACTGATATCCCAGATTGAAATCTCTAGAAGAAGCCCCTCGGGAAACTGAAATAACCACTGACAATGTTGAAACTTATCTGAACCCTGTATTCCTGGAAATCAGCCATGGTCAAAAAATTCCCCAACCTGGCCAGGTGCGGTGGCTCACGCCTGTAATCCCAGCACTTTGGGAGGCCGAGGTGGGCGGATCACCTGAGGTCAGGAGTTTGAGACCATCCTGGCCAAAATGGTGAAACCCCATCTCTACTAAAAATACAAAAAAATTAGCCAGGAGTAGTGGTGCGCACCTGTAGTCCCAGCTACTCAGGAGCCTGAGGCAGGAGAATCGCTTGAACCTGGGAGGCAGAGGTTGCACTGAGCCGAGATTGCACCACTGCACTCCAGCCTGGGTGACAGAGTGAGACTCCATCTGAAAAAAAAAAAAAAAGTTCAAACAAGAGACAATGGTGGTTTGGTGTAGATTAGAGATAGTGGAGACGGAGAGATGTGGACAAATTCAGGATAAATTTTAGAGGTAGAACCAATAGCACTCCATAATAAATTGAGTGTAAAGGAGGTGAGAGAAGGGATGATTCTCAGCTTTCTAGTTCAATAACTACTGGTTATACAGATGGGAGAAGGTGAGAGGAGGGAAAGACTTGGGGAAGAATATCAAGATTTCTGTTTTAGACATGTTCAATTTGAGGTGCTTGTGAGATAATCCAGTGGCGATGACAAGGAGGCAGTTGGTTCTACAAGCTCAGAGAACTTCAATATTTAGAGGTCAGCAAAAGAGACTGAGAAGAAACACACGTGTTTCTAGGAGGGATTGTTGATTGCCAGATGCTACTGAAAAGACAAGTAGGATGAGAAAAAAAAAACAAACCTGTCTGTTGGATTTGACATGAAGTCTTTGGTGACTTTGACAAGAGTGGGTTCTATGGAGTGGTATGAAGCTAGACTGCAGTTGGTTGAAGAGTGGGAGATGAAGTGGAGAGAGTAATATGTAACTTACATCTGGAGAAGGTTTGCATGAGAGGAACAGAGAAATAGGCAGTAGTAGGAAGAGCTCATGGTATTCAAGGGGGCTCTTAAAGATGGTATATCAGCCAGGTGCGGTGGGTCACGCCTGTAATCCCAGCACTTTGGGAGGCCAAGGCAGGTGGATCACCTGAGGTCAGAAGTTCGAGACAAGCCTGGCCAACATGGTGAAACCCCATCTCTACTAAAAATACAAAAATTAGCCGGGCGTGGTGGTGCACACTGGTAGTCCCAGCTACTCAGGTGGCTGAAGCAGGAGAATCACTTCAACCCAGGAGGCAGAGGTTGCAGTGAGCCGAGATTGCACCACTGCACTCCAGCCTGGGCAAGAGAGCAAGACCCTGCCTCAAAAAAAAATGATAATTATCTCTGAGAGTGGAGAGGTGATCACAGCAGGATTGCTATAAGTCCCAGGTACTAATGCCTATTTGAGGTCTGCAATCAATACTTTAGAGTGAAATCATTGGCTTCTGTGGGGTTTTTTTGTTTTGTTTTCTCTAACAGCATTCAGCTGCTCTCTTACAGAGGCAGAGAGTAACCTGGGTTGTGTTTGGCCAGATGAGTATAAAGATGAGAGAGACGGGCTGTTTGTTTTCTATGCTGTGTAACAAGTTACCACAAAGTTAGAGACATAAAACAACACACATGTATTATCTCACAGTTTCTGTGTGTCAAGAGTCTGGGAACAAATTATCTGGGTCCTCTTTTTCAGGGTCTAACTAGGCTGCATCGTGGGTGTCAACTGGGGCTGCAGTCTCATCAGAGGCTTAACTAGGGAAAATATCTGCTTCCAAGCTCCCTCAGGCTGTTGGAAGAATTCATCTTTTGTTTCTTTAATATCTCCTATATCATATCAAGGAAGAATTAATCTTGAAGCTATAGGACCGAGGTCCTCATTTTCTTGCTAGCTTTCATCCAGAGTTGGCTCTCAACTGCAAGTAATGAGTTCCTTGCCACGTGGCCCTGTGATAACTTGGCAGCTTATTTTTTCAAAGCTGACAGAAAAGAGTCTCTGTAACTCCAGTATACCAAGATGGAGTCTCAGCAAAGTGACATCCCATCACCTTTGCCATATTCTATCGTTATTTATTTATTTATTTATTTATTTATTTATTTATTTATTTATTTTGTAGAAACAGAGTCTTGCTATGTTTCCAGGCTGGTGTTAAACTCCTGGGCTCAAAAGATCCTCCCACCTCAGCCTCCCAAAGTGCTGGGATTACAGGTATGAGCCACTGCACCTGGCCTGCCATAGTCTAGAAGGCTAGAAACAAGTCACAGGTTCTGCTGACACTCCAGAAGATAAGATTACATAGGGCATAAACACCAGGTGGTGGGGATTACTGGAGGTCACTTTAGCATCTGTTGGCCACAAGGGCTAGAATAGTAAGGATGTTTGCAAGGGAGTGATTACAATGATGAATAATGAAATCTAAGCTGAGTGTATTAGTTTTGTATTGCCACATAACCAATTACTACAAATTTAACAGCTGTAAAAAAACACATATTGTCTCCCAGTTTCCATGGGTTAGAAATCCAGGCACAGCTTAACTAGATTCTCTGCTCAGGGTCACACAGGCTGCAATCAGGATGTTGTCCAGGACCACAGCGTCATATGAGGTTTAGGTCCTCTTTCAAACTTACATGGTTGTTGGCAGAATTTAATTCTTTGTGGTTGTAGAACTAAGGCCCTCAGACCCTAGGGGCTGCCTACCATGTGGCCATCTCCATAGGTAGTACACAATAGCATAGCAGCTTCTTGCTTCTTCAAGGCCATCAGTTTGAGTTCTTTGCATGCTAGCAAGATGGAGCCATAGCTATATCTAGAGAGAGACAGAGAGAGAGGTAGGGGCAGGGCAAATCAGAGGAGTGAAATCCTATCATCCTGGCCATATTCTATCGGTTAGAAGCAAGTCACAATGACCACCCCCTTCAAGGGAAGGGGGATTATACAGGGCATAATAATGGGGTAGAGATACTATGGGGGTCATCAGATAATTCTGCCTACCATGCTGGGTAAGGAGAGAAGTGAGGACATGAGGGGACTGAGGGGCAGTTAGTTAAAAGGTGGTGGGACCTGCCGGGTGCGGTGGCTCACGCCTGTAATCACAGCACTTTGGGAGGCTGAGGCAGGCAGATCACGAGGTCAAGAGATCGAGACCATCCTGGCCAACATGGCAAAACCCCATCTCTACTAAAAATACAAAAATAAAAAATAGCCAGGTGTGGTGTTGCATGCCTGTAGTCCCAGCTACTCTGGAGGCTGAGGCAAGAGAATCGCTTGAACCCGGGAGGCAGAGGTTGCAGTGAGCTGAGATGGCGCCATTGCACTCCAGCCTGGGAGACAGGGCAAGACTCTGTCTCAAACAAACAAACAAACAAAAGGTGGTGGGACCAAAGAATCAGAGGTTGAGGTGAGGTTGAAGAATTTTTACATGGGAGAACAAATTAGAGAAATGAGCCTCTTCCTCCAGAGATAGACACAGATTTACAAAGAGGCAGCCAGCTTGTTGAGTGGATCATCATAGGTTAGATTTCAGCCCAGACCCTACTCATTCTCTGGACTGGGCGTGCTTGTGCAATGCATAAACTGTACAGCCATACACAGCAGCCAAGGCAGCATATATAGGGGAAATGACCACTATGTGGTCAGCCTCAGCTCTCTCATCTCCCAGCTAGACAACCTAAGGCCAGCTATCCCCCGTCTGAGCTTCAGTTTCTTCACTGGACAAATGGGAGACATTCACACTCATCTTACAGAGTTGTTGTGATGATGATGATGATGATGATGATGATTATTATTATTATTATTATTATTATTATTATTTTGAGATGGAGTCTCGCTTTGTTGCCCAGGTTGGAGTGCAGTGGCATGATCTCGGCTCACTGCAACCTCCGCCTCCTGGGTTCAAGTGATTCTCCTGCCTCAGCCACCTGAGTAGCTGGGACTTACAGGTACCTGCCACCACGCCCGGCTAATTTTTGTATTTTTTTAAGTAGAGAGGGGGTTTCACTATGTTGGCCAGGCTGGTCTCAAACTCCTGACCTCAGGTGATTTGCCTGCCTCAGCCTCCCAAAGTGCTGGGATTATAGGCGTGAGCCACCGCGCCTGGCCTGTTGTGATAATTAAAGGAGCTAATTGACACAAAGCATCTGATGGGGAGCCCTAGAGAGGGCAGTGGGACCTGGCTTCTGCCCTAGAGAGCACTCAAGCCTAATAGCCTATGTGTCACCCTCTTCTCGTCTCTCTCACAACCTACTCCAACATGATTCCTCCACTGGATTTCCACTTCTGTGGTCTGCCATATCCCTTGGCCATTTTTCTATTGGGATGTCGGGGCTTTGAATCTTTTTTTTTTGAGACAGAGTCTCACTCTGTCACCCAGGCAGGAGTGCAGTGGTGCAATCACAGCTCACTGCAGCCTCAACCTCCCTGGGCTCAGGTGATCCTCCCACCTCAGCCTCCTAAGTAACTGGGACTACAGGCACGTGCCGCCATGCTCGGCAGGAGCTTTGACTCTTGAGTGATGCAAAGATAGAAAAAAACGATTGTCGGCAAGGCGTGGTGTCTCAGGCCAGTAATCCTAGCACTTTGGGAGGCCGAGGCGGGTGGATTGCCTGAGCTCAGGAGTTCCAGACCAGCTTTGGCAACATGGTGAAACCCTGTCTCTACTAAAATACAAAAGAAAAAAAATTAGCCTAGCGTGGCGGTGTGCACCTGTAGTCCCAGCTACTCAGGAGGCTGAGGCAGGAGAATTGCTTGAACCCAGGAGGCGGAGGTTGCAGTGAGCTGAGATGGTGCCACTGCACTCCAGCCTGGTGACAGAGTGAGACTCCATCTCAAAAAAAAAAAATTTGTCTATTCATTCATTTCAGGAGTGGTGTCTGGGAAAACTCATTAATAAGTCTCGCTATTATCAAGTTCCCTTGGTAGTTGAATGGCTTCTGTCTGTCCAGCCTTCCTTTTAATCTTGTGAGTTCTCCTCACAGCCTTGAAATAATTCCCTTCTTCCTTAAGGTAGACAGGGCCACTTTCTGTTACTTGCAGACAAAGAATCCTGACCAAACCCCACAGTTACAAATATGGAGATGAGGCTGGGCTGGACTTCTGCTAATCTTGCCAGAATGATTTGGAGGGAAGCCTCCCAGAATAACATGCTGAATTCTAATTAATGAAGTGTTACAGGTTCAAGTTTTGCTCTCTATGAGTGGATGTATTAAATTACTATGTGGGCCGGAAATGGCAAATGGCAGCTCACGCCTGTAATCCCAGCATTTTGGGAGGCCGAGGTGAGTGGATCACTTGAGCTTAGGAGTTTGAGAAAAGGCCTAAGCAACATGGCAAGACCCCATCTCTAAAAAAATAGTTAGATAGATAGATATAGATAGATAGATAGATAGATGGATAGATAGATAGATAGATAGATCTCTCTCTATATATATAAAATTAGCCAGGCCTGGTGGCATGTGCTTATAATCTCAGCTACCTGAGAGGCTGAGGTGGGAGAATCACTTGAGCTTCGGGTGTGGGCGGGTGTCAAGGCTGCAGTGAGCCACGATTGTGACACTGCAGTCCAGCTGGGTGACAGAGCAAGACCCTGTCTCCAAAAAATAAACATAAAAAATAATTTTTTTTGGCCAGGCATGGTGGCTCACGCTTGTAATCCCAGCACTTTGGGAAGCTGAGGCAGGAGGATCACCTGAGGTCAGGAGTTTGAGACCAGCCTGACCAACATGGAGAAACCCCATCTCTACTAAAAATACAAAAAATTAGCCAGGAGTGGTGGTGCATGCCTGCAATCCCAGCTACTCAGGAGGCTGAGGCAGGAGAATCGGTTGAACACAGGAGGCAGAGGTTGTGGTGAGCCGAGATCGTGCCATTGCAATGCAGCCTGGGCAACAAGAGCAAAACTCCGTCTCAAAAATAATAATAATAAGAAGAATAATTTTTTGAGATGCAGTCTTGCTCTGTCACCCAGGCTAGTGTGCAGTGACACAATCTCGACTCACTGCAACCTCCATCTCTCGGGTTCAAGCGATTCTCCTGCCTCAGCCTCCCAAGTAGCTGGGATTACAGGTGGCCACCACCACACCCGGCTAATTTTTGTATTTTTAGTAGAGACGGGGTTTCACCATGTTGGCCAGGCTGGTCTCCAACTCCTGACCTCAAGTGATCCCCCCGCCTCGGCCTCCCAAAGTGCTGGGATTTACAGGTGTGAGCCACCGCACCCGGCCAAAAATAAAAAAAAAAATTACTATGTGATATGGAATAATAAACCCATTATAAACCAAAGTTTGAGTGGACATAATATACTATTTGCTGTCAGAAAATTTTTGGAGCCTTGGAGACAAAGCCATATGGATAACGCGTTGGCCAGCCGGGGAGCACCTATTGTGAGAACAGTGAGGGCAAGCAAAGCGCACCCAGATTTTTGTTTCCTCCACTATGTAATCTGCTTCATACCCAATATGGCCCCAGTTGGAAACTCCTTGAGTGTTCTGTTACCTTGCCTGTGAGAAATAAGAGCTCAACAGTTCTTGAAATTCTCAGCTGCTGGCCTCATCCACAATGATGCCCGTGTCCCCAGGCATTCATTCCATCTCTGAGAACCGGGGGCTTCATGTAGATTAACCCTCACAGAGATGTTAAGTCTGCTTTTGTTTTGTTTGATGAATCCCTAGGGAATGGAAAGAGGGAGGTTCTATGATGGGCAAACAATTACCTTAATCTGAACCTAGTGCCTTTGAGACAGTGAGATCTCTGAGAAGAGCTGAGCATATGCCCAGAAAGACTGGTCACTCAGGGTCATTCATCCCAAGGATTTAGAGGCCTTCCGTTTTAAACCCCTGAACTTCACTTTCTTGGGGAACCTATGAAGGACCTCACTGATCGGTACTGGAAGGTGGGGGTCAGGCAAAGCGTTGCTCAGTAGTAGACCAGCAGTACCAGATAGAAGCGGACTGGTGTTCCATAGCGACACTTTGTGGCAATGAGGCAAAACGGCAGGCATAGCAGTGGAGGCCTTACCCCACCCCCCACCCCCGACCCCTGACCCCACCGCCCCGCGCAGCGCTGAGGCTTAGACATCAAGGCGACCTCCTTTGCAGATTGTGTAAATTCCTGGATAAACCAGAGGAAGAGAAGAGCCAAAGAAAGTGGCACTAAACTTTTTTTTTTTTTGAGATGGAGTCTCACTCTGTCACCCAGGCTGGAGTGCAGTGGCGCGATCTTTGCCTCCCAGTTCACGCCATTCTCCTGCCTCAGCCTCCTGAGCAGCTAGGACTACAGGTGCCCACCACCACGCCCAGCTAATTTTTTTTTTGGTATTTTTAGTAGAGACAGGGTTTCACCGTGTTAGCCAGGATGGTCTCGATCTCCTGACCTCGTGATCCGCCTGCCTCGGCCTCCCAAAGTCCTGGGATTACAGGCGGGAGCCACCACGCCCGGCCAGAAAGTGGTACTAAACTTATTGCTACTCTGGCCTGTGAAGGCTCAAACCAGTTTTCATTTAATTCGGAGAATTACAAAATATGTAACTGGGCCAGGCGCGGTGGCCACCATGCCCTACTAATTTTTGTATTTTTAGTAGAGATGGGGTTTCACCGTGTTGGCCAGGCTGGTCTCGAACCCTTGAGCTCAAGTGATCCACTCGCCTTGGCCTCCCAAAGTGCTGGGATTACAGCTGTGAGCCACTGTGCCTGGCCAGGATTTCTCTTTTGCACAAAGTACATTTTGTGCAACGACTTTGTTCAAAAGCCTAAGTTAGAAGCAAAACAAAACAAAAGCTGAACATTATCTACATCTTTCTCTTACATTCCTTCTCTAACAATCCTTTTTGTAGAAGCAACAGTGTACTATTGTGTTGAATAGTGACCCCTCCAAATGTATGTCTACCCAGAACCTGTGAATTTGATCTCATTTGGAAATATGTATTCAAGTTAAGGTGAGGTCACATTGGATTAGGGTGAGTCATAAATCCAATGATTGGCGTCCTTGTAAGAAGAGTGGATTTTGTTCAGCTTTGTCCTGGATTGAGAAAGAAAAAAAAAAAAAGTAAATTTTGGACAAGATACAAGAAAACAGGCAGGGCATGGTCGTTCTTGCCTGTAATCCCAGCATTTTGGGAGGCCAAGGCGGGTGGATCACTTGAGGTCAGGAGTTTGAGACCAGCCTGGCCAACAGGATGAAACCCCATTTCTACTAAAAAATACAAAATTAGCAGGGTGTGGTGGCGTGCACCTGTAATCCCACTTACTCAGGAGGCTGAGGCAGAAGAATGGCTTGAACCCAGGAGGCAGAGGTTGCAGTGAGCCGAGATTATGCCACTGCACTCCAGCCTGGATGACAGAGCAAGACTCCGTCTCAAAAAGAAAAAAAAAAAAGATAAAAGAAAACAGACACACAGGGAGATGGCCATGTGAAGATGGAGGCAATTATTGGAGTAATGCATGTACAAACCAAGGATTGCTGGAAACCGCCAGAAGCTGGGAAAAAGGCATGGAACAGACTCTCCCTCAGAGCCTCCTGAAGTCACGAACCCTGCCAACACCTTGATTTTGGACTTCTGGTTTTCTGAACTATCGGGGGATAAATTTCTGGGGGTTTTTTGGTGTTTTTTTTTTTTTTTACAGAGTTTTGCTCTTGTTGCCCAGGCTCTGGAGTGCAATGGTGTGGTCTCAGCTCACTGCAACCTCCGCCTCCCAGGTTCAAGAGATTCTCCTGCCTCAGCCTCCTGAGTAGCTGGGATTACAGGCATGTACCACCATGCCCGGCTAATTTTTTTGTGTTTTTAGTAGAGACAGGGTTTCTCCATGTTGGTCAGGCTGGGCTTGAACTCCCGACCTCAGGTGATCCACCCACCTCGGCCTCCAAAGTGCTGGGATTACAGGCGTGAGCCACTGTGCCCGGCCTAAATTTCTATTGTTTTAAGCCACCCAGTTTATGATACCTTTTTTTAATGCCCACTCCTGCCCCAGAATTGTGTACTTCTTTTTATGACAGCCCTAGGAAATGAATACAAACATGGATGCCCTTGTTTCCTGATTGAAGAACCAGGAAAGGTAAGGCAGAAAAGGACAGCACAAAGATTAAGGTTTCAAAATCTCATCCTGAGATTCTTAGCATGGCCTACCACCTTGTTAATCAGGGTAGGTCTGAGGAAGCAGCAACATTACAGTTTAGGAAGGGCTGGCCCGCCAGTCCCAGTGGCTCATGCCTGTAATCCCAGCATTTTGGGAGGCTGAGTTGGGAGGACAGTTTGAGGTCAAGAGTTGGAGACCAGCCTGGGCAACATGGCGAAACCCCGTCTCTACAAAAAAATACAAAAATTAGCCGAGTGTGCTGGCTTGTACCTGCAGTCCCAGCTACTCGGGAGGCTAAGGTGGGAGGATTTCTTGAACCGGGGAGGTGGATGCTGCAGTGAGCCATGATCACACCACTGCACTGCAACCTGGGCAACAGAGTAATACTCTGCCTCAAAAAAGAAAAGAAAAGAGAAAAGAAAGGAAAAGAAAAGAAAAAAGAAAAGACTGGCCCAAAGGAAATTTTAACACGTGCTACAACATGGGTGAACTTTGAGGACATTGTGGTAAATGAAATAAGACAGTAACAAAAAGAGAAAGACTAAGCCAAGCAGGGTGGTTCATGCTTGTAATACCAGTATTTTGGGAAGCCAAGGCGGGAGGATCCCTTGAGGCCAGGAGTTCGAGACGGGCCTGGGCAACACAGAGTCTTCATCTCTTTAAAAAAAAAAAAAAAAAAAGCAAAGACTGCATGATTCCACGTATATGAGGTACGTAGAATAATCAAAATTATAGAGATAGAAAGTAGAATGGTGGTTACCAGGGACTGGGGGGAGGGAAGAATGGGGAGTTGTTTAATGGGCACAAAATTTCAGTTTTATAAGAGGAAGACAGTTCTGGAGATGGTTGCACAACAATGTGAATGCACTTAATGCCATTGAACTGTACACTTAAAAATGGTTAAGGTGGGGAGTATATATTCAGGACAATTTGAATCTATGCTCCCATGAAAAAAAATTTACAGAAAAAAATGGTTAAAATGGTAGCTTTTATATTATGTGTATTTTATCACAATTAAAAAAATTTTTAAAGAAGGGCTGACCTACAAAGCCACTTCTGGCCCTTGCCACCTCTCTAGCCTCATTTGACCTCCTCCCCCTCACTTTGTTCCCCAACAATCAGGGAACAATCTGTTCCCCTGGGCGTATTGTTCACCTCTGGACCTTGATAAGATGTTCTTTCTGCCTCGAATGCTCCTCCCACCCTTTTGCCTAATGTCGAATGTCCCTTTCTCAGGGCAAACCTTTCCTGACACTAAAGACCAGCTTGGGGCCCAACTGTACATCATCATGGTATCCTGTACTTTTTCTTCCTAGCATTTATTGCAGTTAAATACTTGTACAATTGATTATTTAATGTTTATATCTCCAACTAGAATGTCAGTTCCACAAAGACAGGGACTGTGTCTATTTTGTTTACTGCTATATTCTGTTAGAACAGTTAGATACTCAGTAAACATTTGCTGACTGTCTGAATAGATGACCTACTTATTGCTGGTTCAAGCTCCTCACATTCTATAATCCAGAGCCTGTGAGCCTCAGCCTTGTGGATCCAGAAACCTGACTTTGAAGAACACACAGAGCTGATTCAACTCAGAGCTGGGCCACATGAGCAAACTGTACACTTGATTACTCCACAAAGCATATGCCATTTAATTAATTATGGAGTGGCTCCCTGGTTGAGTAGAGGAACAGAGCCAAGAGAGATGAAGAGTCTTTTTTTTTTTTTTAAGACACAGCCTCTGTCACCCAGACAAGAGTGTAGTGGCATGCTCATAGCTCACTGTAGCCTCGAACCCCCAAGCTCAAGCAATCCTCCCGCCTCAGCCTCCCAAAGTGTTGGTATTACAGGCATGAGCCACCGTGCCCAACCAAGATGGACAGTCTTGAGTGATATTTGCTTGATGAAACAAAATGAAACAGTGGTGATTGGAATATTCCTGTTTCTGACCCTGCATATCTATTAAGGTTGTTGGTTTTGAACAGCAGAAATCAACTTTGGCTAGAGAATTATTGGATGACTATTAAGTGCTTGTAGAACCCATGTGTGGCTGGAGGAGCAGCCTTCAGACTGGGCAGGAAATAAAGGGAGCTGCAGGAATAAAGAATGAACAACTTGGACGTGGCATGGTGGCTCATGCCTGTAATCCTAGCACTTTGGGAAGCCGAGGTGGGTGGCTCACTTGAGCCCAGGAGTTCAAGACCAGCTTGGGCAACATAGTGAGACCCCATCTCTACAAAAAATTTTAAAAATCAGCTGGGTGTGGTGGCGCATGCCTGTAATCTTAGCTACTTGGCAGGCTGAGTGGGAGGATCACCCGAGCCCGGGAAATCGAGGCTGCAGTGAGCTGAGATCATGCCACTTCACTCCAGCCTGGGTGACAGAGCAAGACCCTGTGAAAGAGAGAGAGAGAGAGAAGGAAAAAGAAAAAGAAAGAAGAGAAAGAAAGAAAAAGAAAGAGAGACGAAAGAAAGAAAGAGAAAGGAAGAAAAAGAAAGAAAGAGAAAGAAAGAAAAGAAAGAAAGAAAGAAAGAAAGAAAGAAAGAAAGAAAGAAAGAAAGAAAGAAAGAAAGAAAGAAAGAAAGAAAGGGAGAGAGTGGTGAACAACTTAACACTCTTCCCTCCATCCTTGTATTCTTTGCTCACGATTCAAAGATAGCATCTGGTTGGCTAACCTTAGGTTGTATGCCTGCTCCGCTCAACACATCAGGAAGAGAAGAGGTAAGATCTTGCCTCTTGCCTAGTCAGGGTTTTCCTCTTTTTTTTGAGACAGGTTCTGACTCTGTCTCCCCAGGCTGGAGTCCAGTGGCACAATCTCGGCTCACTGCAGTCTCAATCTCCCAGGCTCAAGGAATCCTCCTGCCTCAGCCTCCTGAGTAGCTGGGACTACAGGCACATGCCACTACGCTCAGCTAATTTTTGCATTTTTTGTAAAGATGAGGTTTCACCATGTTGCCCAGGCTGGTCTTGAACTCCTGAGTTCAAGTGATCTGCCTGCCTCAGCCTCCCAAAGTGCTGGGATTACAGGCGCGAGCCACTGTGCCTGGCCCTGTGTATTTCTTTTTAACATCAAGGACACCTTTCCCAGAACACCATCCCACAGAGGAACCTATTTCTGTCTCATGAGTCAGGACAGTGTCACATTCCCCCACAGGAATGGGACCCCTATAATTTGCTTAAACCAATAGTTCTCAAACTTCTTGGCTTTAGGGCATCTTTATACTCTTAAAAATTACTGAGGACCTAAAAGAGCTTTTGTTTGTGTGAGTGATAGCTGCCAGTTTTTATCTTGTAATAAATTAAGAATGAGAAATTTAGGCCAAGCACAGCAGCTCATGCCTGTAATCCCAGCACTTTTAGAGGCTGAGGCAGGAAGATCATGTGGGACCAGGAGTTTGAGACCAGCCTAGGCAACATAGTGAGACCCCATCTCTACAAAAAAAAATTGTTAAAAAATAGCCAGGCATGGTGGTGTGTGTCTGTAGTCCCAGCTACTTGGGAGGCTGAGGTAGGAGGATTGCTTGGGCCCTGGGAGGTCAAGGCTGCATTGAGCTGTCATTGCACCACTTCATTCCAGCCTGGGTGACAGAGCAAGACCCTAGCTCAAACAAATAAAAATTCAGGGAGTACATGTGCAGATTCATTACCTGGGTATATTTAGTGATGCTGAGATTTGGGGTATGATTGATCCTGTCACCCAGGTACTGAGCATAGCACTCAATAGTTAGTTTTTCAACCCTTGCCCCCTCCCTCCCCATTCTGGTAGTCCCCAGTGTCTATTGTTGCTATCTTTATGTCCATGAATACCCATTATTTAGCTCCCACTTATAAGTGAGAATGTGTGGTATTTGATTTTCTGTTCCTGTATTAATTAGCTTAGGACAATGTCCTCCAGCTGCATTCATGTTGCTGCAAAGGATATGATTTCATTCTTTTTTATGGCTGTGTAGTATTCCATGGTGTATATGTAACATATTTTTTTAATCCAATCCACTGTTGATGGGCACATAGGTTGATTCCATGTCTTTGCTATTGTGAATAGAAGCACACATTCTATTAATGTCAGAGTGATGACATCATATGTCATGTAACCTCTGAAAAACTCCATATACTTGTGAAAGAACGAGAGTGGAAATTCAAGACAAACAACATCATGAAAAGAGTTTTGAATTCGCAGTCTGAAAAAGTCTTGTAGATCCCCAAGGATTCCCAGATCATACTTGGAGAGCTACTGGCTTAAATCAATTAGGACTCAGTTCTGAATCCCACAGGGAAAGAGTGGACACTGGAACCAAAGCAGGATGCTGACAGCTTAGAAGAAGGGAGTAACTTACAAGGCCTGCTACAGTGGGGTCAGAAAGAATTCTACAAAGGCAACCACGGTACAATTAGGAAAAGGGAGAAGTGAGTCTGGGCAAACAACAATGAACAAGCAATGTTATCAAATCCCTCTCGCCTGGACAGGCCTATCCACACTCTACTGATTCAGTGTCTCTCCTTTTCAAGGCTGGGCACAGTTGGGAGCAGAGGCTCATGCCTGTAATCCCAGCACTTTGAGAAGCCAAAGTGGGAGAGTGACTTGAGCCTAGGTGTTCCAGACCAGCCTGGGCAACATAGCGAGACACCATCTCTACCAAAAATAAAAAATAATTTTAAAAATCAAGGCTGGCCACACTTGTTTGTGGAACTATTCTTCCTTCAGATGTGTTTATAGTTCTGATGAATCTGTGCAGGCATTTGTCCCCCTCACATTACATATTGATTTCATTAGACCAGTGTTTCCTAACTAACAGCCAGTGAAGAACCACCTTAGAATGTTTTCCAAGACCAAGTGCCACCTTGGCTATTATTTACTTAATCTTCATCTTTAAATCAACTTTATCTATTTCAAAAAGAACATTTTATTCACCACCTACCCCGCTGATTGAAAGCCTCTTTAAGCTTCTCCAAGGAGTCGCAGGAAAAATGATCCACCAGACTATTGATTCTTCATTAGAATCACATTTATGTGTGGGTTAAGTTGGCTTTAAAAGCTTTTCTGTTTTCATTGTCTTATCAGATGCTGTGGTCCACGGCAAACCAAGTGTTTAAAAGATGCGGTTTCTTAGAAGAGTTTTCATTCCTAGAAAGGCAAACTAAGCTCTTAGACCATCATTAGTTGCATCTAGGGCAGGACAAAAGAGGAAGTTTTAAATTCCTTTGTTTCACTTTTCCCCTCCAAAATGAATGGCCAAAAAGAAAGCTGCAAGTGTAACGCCCCTTTTTCCTGCTACCCCTCCCCCTTGGCCCCTCCAGAGGGTCGGCCTTTTTCCGGCCCCAGTGGTGGGAGGCCCCAGCGTCTCAGAACAGCTGCGGGACTTCCAGACTCTGAGAGGTTGCTCATCCGTAAACGTGGGGTGCGGGAGGAAAGGTAGAGTGGGAATGAGGAGGACATGGAACCATAGGGCACTGGAGGCAGGGCAGGGGGTCAGGGGGACAAGAGAGGACAGGAGCAGGCAGACCCAAAGACCAACCCATCAAAGGGAGGGAGAAGAGAGACAGCAAAGCAGTAATCTGCATCACAGAGAGAGAGAAAGGGGACAGCACAGAGGGTGGCGAGGAAGGAGGAAAGGACAAAGAAAAACAAAGGGAAGGAGAAACAGAAGAAAAAAGAAGAAAAGAAAGGGGAAAGAAAAGTGGATGGAACAGTCTCCTCTAACCCTCCTGGGGAAGGATCACAGTGGTCTGAGTACCACCCAACTAACCTTTCTTAGGACAACATCATTTCTGTTCTGTCCACATCCTTGCAATGCACCTAGCTGTTGCCTCCCCTTATAAATCTGGGGGCTTGGCCGGGTGCGGTGGCTCACGTCTGTAATCCCAGCACTTTGGGAGGCCGAGGTGGGTGGATCACCTGAGGTCAGGAGTTCGAGACCATCCTGGCCAATATGGTGAAACCCCGTCTCTACTAAAAATACAAAAATCAGCCGGGCATGGTGGCTCACGCCTGTAATCCCAGCACTTTGGGAGGCCGAGGTGGGCGGATCACTAGGTCAGGAGATTGAGACCATCCTAGTTAACACGGTGAAACCCCATCTCTACTAAAAACACAAAAATTAGCCAGGCGTGGTAGCAGGCACCTGTAGTCCCAGCTACTTGGTAGGCTGAGGCGGGAGAATGGTGTGAACCCGGGAGGCGGAGCCTGCAGTGAGCAGAGATTGAGCCACTGCACTCCAGCCTGGGCGACAGAGCAAGACGCCCTCTCAAAACAAAAACAGAAACAAAAATTAGCTGGGCATGGTGACCTGCGCCTGTAGTCCCAGCTACTCAGGAGGCTGAGGTAGGAGAATCGCTGTAACTGGGAGGCGGAGGTTGCAATGAGCCGAGATTGCACCATTACACTCCAGCCTGGGCAACAAAGCGAGACTCCGTCTCAAAAAATAAAAAAAACAAACAAAAAAAACACCAAAAAAAAGGTTTTTTTCAGGAAATTTAAGGTTCAGGAAGACCAGGTGAGCCAACAAGGAGACCAAAGGCAGGGCAACCAGCTGGGAGCTCTTCTAGAAGTCCTGGCAAAAAGGATGAGAACTGGACTAAGGGGACAGTTAGGAGAGAAAGAGGCACTGCAACATCACGATACCCGCAATTATATGGCCAGCTTTCCAATAGTTTCCCTCACATCCACGGTTTCATTCCATTTGCTCCAAAAACCTTTTATTTGCAGGGAATATTACTCACATGGTACAAATGAAGAAACTATGTCTCAGAAAGGGGAAACGATTTGTCTAAGATTCCTCAGTGAGTCCATGGAGGAACTAGGGCTAGGGCTGAAGAATTCTGTGTGTCCACTAACTGCCAAGCCCAATCTAGCTGCTTGGAACATATATTCGATCATTATGACAAATTAATATCCTCATATTGCACAATTTACACAGAAGCACAACTGCTCCTGGACTCCCTTGAGAGCACAGCCTATTGGCTGCCAACCTTCCTGGGAGCCAAAGCTTTCTGGGGGCTATGGCATCTTTCCATGAGGAGAGAAACCCTCCCCACAATTCCCAGAGTAACCACCCTAACTTCTCCCTTTGGGGAATTGCTTAGGGCCAGAATGAGTCTGAACCCACATGTTTGGTGGATGTTACAGCTGTTCTTAGAGAAGCAATAACACTCCATTCTTCCCAGAGCTAGGACTGAAACTCAGGGCTAAGGATATTCTCAGCATTTCCCTTGTGCATTTGCCTCCCTCCACCCCACTACCACCCTGATCCAAGCCATCATCATCTCTCATCTGCATTGCCAAAACAGCCTTCTACCAGTCTCTTTGATCGAGGCCGCAGACAGTTCTGTGGTTTGTGCATTGCACAAGGACATCTGGCTAAGGGGCCCAGTAGGGGCTGAAATCCAGCCTGTACTCTAGTGCCAAGCCATGAACCCTGGTGTGGGGCTACACCTGCAGGAGGAAGAGGCATCTTTCTCTTTAGACAAGGGCCCTTTCTTTTTTCTTTTTTTTTTTTTTTTTTTTTGAGACGGAGTCTTGCTCTGTCGCCAGGCTGGAGTGCAGTAGCACAATCTTGGCTCACTACAACCTCTGACTCCCTGGTTCAAGCAATTCTTCTGCCTCAGCCTCCCAAGTAGCTGGGATTACAGGTGCGCACCACCACGCCCAGCTAATTTTTTTTTTTTTGTATTTTTAGTAGAGATGGGGTTTCACCATATTGGCCAGGCTGGTCTTGAACTCCTGACTTCGTGATCCGCCCGCCTCAGCCTCCCAAAGGGCTGGGATTACAGGCATGAGCCACTGTGCCCGGTGACAAGGGCCCTTCTTTCCAAGCCAAGTGCCATGGGGCTATGTCCACCCAGAGGAAGCACCTTTTCAAAGTCACACAATGATAGACAAACAGCACTTAAAGCAACCCTGTTCCCACTTCCACCTTTGCCCCCTATAGTTTAGTAGGCAACCAGAGGTGTCCTGTGTAAAGCAAAGTCAAATCCCTCCCCTGTTAAAAATCCTCCTATGGCTCCCACCTCACTCAGAGTCAAAATCAAAGTCCTGGCGGGACTCAGTGGCTCATGCCTGTCACCCCAACACTTTGGGAGGCGGAGGCAAGCGGATCACCTGAGGTCAGGAGTTCGAGACCAGCCTGGCCAACATGGCGAAACCCTGTCTCTACTAAAAAAAAAAAAAAAAAAAAAATTAGCAAGGCATGGTGGTGGGCGCCTGTAATCCCAGCTACTCGGGAGGCTGAGGCAAGAGAATTGCTTGAACCTGGGAGGCAGAGGTTGCAGTGAGCTGAGATCGTGCCACTGCACTCCAGCCTGGATGACAGAGTGAGACTCCATTTCAAAAAAAAAAAAAGAAAAGAAATCAAAGTCCTTATAGTAGTCTATAAGACCACACATGATCTGGCCTCTCAATAACTCTGAACTTTTCTTTTTTCTTTAATGTGTTCCCATCGTTAAGCAATTTCTCCAATATGACTTCCTACCTCCCATTAGCTCTACCCCAGCCACACTGGCCTTGTTTCTGTTTCTTAAACATATTAAACTCATCCCATCTAGGGTTTTTATACTTGCTTTTTCTTTTGCCTGGAATTATTTTCCTCTAGATATCCACAGCACTGATTCCTTATGCTTCAGGTCTCAGCTCAAATGTCATCTCTTTAAATAGGCCTTCCCCATCTACTTTATTTAATGCTGTCTTCCCCACTCCACCCCCAATGTACCACTCTATTACTTTTTCATGTTTTATTTTCTTCATATAACTTATTACTCTCTGAATGTGTTTATTTATTATCTGTCTTGCCCACTGGAATGTAAGCTTATGAGAGCTGAGAACATGTCTGTCTTGTACAGTATTGTATCACAGCATCTAGAACAGTGCCTGACCCAAAGCAGGTACTGAATAAGTTTTTGTTGAATGAATCAATCTATGACTTTTCTCTGATAACCAGAAGTGCAGCCTCGGCTAGGGGTCCCCTATAATAGACTCACACACACTGGGGAATAAAGCTGATACTTAGGGAACAGACTTAGGATATCCTAGGTTCTATGAGGCCCACAATAGAGCCCAGAGCACAAGTTCTTTTGATTCTTTATCTGGAGGAATGGGAAGGAAAAAGTATTTGTGATATCATTGAAATTTCAGGGAACAGTCTTACTTCCAAAATTTCTTCCATCATTGCATCAAAGTCCTAAGAGTGAGCCAAATTTGGGTCAAGTGCCCATACCATGTCTATACCAGGGATCAGGTAAAGAAAAGATCTGGCCCCTTCAGTTTTTGTAATGGGAGCCTGCAGTGTGAAGCAGGTGTTAGGAATTCCCCTCTTGCCAAGACTGCACACAGTGGAAAGTATGAAATTGGATAGCCCCCAAAAAGAACAACTGTCATGTTTTTAGGCGATGAAGTGGGAGCCTCAGTCTGAAGCAACCACTTGACAATTTCCATGAGGAAGTGGAAGGGGGGATGTTTAAAGGTATTGGCTGGTATGGCCATCCTTGCAGGAAATGCAAAGCCAAAGCCACACTGAGTGTTAAAACTGGTCAAGTAGTATATACATTTATTTACTTATGTTTTTACTTAAATACCTAATAAAATGTAAAGTTAAGTAATATTTATGTCCTTTTGTGGGAAGCAAGGAGGCTATAGAGTCCATCTCCCACCAAGTTGAAGATGAATCTCTTCTGGGGGAATTTTTCTTTAAAGCTTTTTCAGTTAAAAAATCATTTAGGCCAGTCGCAGTGGCTCACGCCTGTAATCCTAGCACTTTGGGAGGCCAAGGCGGGAGGATCATGGGGTCAGGAGTTCGAGACGACGTTGGCCAACATGGTGAAACCCCGTCTCTACTAAAAATACAAAAATTAGCTGGGCGTGGTGGCGCACGCCTGTAATCCCAGCTACTCGGGAGGCTGAGGCAGGAGAATCGCTTGAACCCGGGAAGCAGAGGTTACAGTGAGCCAAGATCACACCACTGCACTCCAGCCTGGGCGACAGAGTGAGACTTCATCTCAAAAAAAAAAAAATCCTTTAAAATTGTTTAGAATCCTGTCCGGGCACGGTGGCTTACGCCTGTAATCCCAGCACTTTGGGAGGCTGAGGCGGGTGGATCATGAGGTCAGGAGATCGACACCATCCTGGCTAACACGGTGAAACCCTGTTTCTACTAAAAATAAAAAAAAATTAGCCAGGCATGGTGGCAGGCGCCTGTAGTCCCAGCTACTCCGGAGGCTGAGGCAGGAGAATGGCGTGAACCCGGGAGATGGAGCTTGCAGTGAGCCGAGATCTTCCCACTGCACTCCAGCCTGGGCAATAGAGGGAGACTCCGTCTCAAAAAAAAAAAAAAAATTAAAAAAAATTGTTTAAAATCCTGAATCTCTTTGGGCAGAGCGCTTTAAAAACAATAAAAATGAAAGTTTTTTTTTCTTTTTTGAGATAGGGTCTGGCTCCGTCACTCAGTCTGGAGTGCAGTGGCGCCATCTTGGCTCATTGCAACCTCTGCCTCCCAGGTTGAAGCCATCCTCCCACCTCAGCCTCCTGCGTAGCTGAGGGACCACAGGCTCGTGCCACCACACCCAGCTAATATTTGAATTTTTTGTAGAGATGGGGTTTTGCCCTGTTGCCAAGGCTGGTCTTGAACTCCTGAGCTCAAGCAATCTGCCTGCCTCGGCCTTCCAAGTGCTGGGATTACAGGAGTGAACCACCATGCCCAGCCAGAAAATGTTTTTAAAATGAAAAGAAAGGAGAAAGAAAAAAAAGAAATTTAAAAAAATCCTGAATCTCAGGGACCCAGAATTAAACTGATTCGCTCAATCATTGTGGCAGACAGACCCTAAGGATGAGCTCCAAAGATTCCCACCTCCTGACATCTGTGCTTTTGTATCACTTCTTCTTGAATATAGGCACACTTGCTTCTCACCAACAGAGCATGGAAAAGCTGATGGGTTGTCACTGCTTTCATTAGGTTACATGATATGGCAAAGGTGATGGGATGTCACTTAAAACATAACATTATATTATATATGACTCCACCTTAGAAGACTGGGATTAGAGACTCTTCCTTGAGCCAGCACCTGTAGTGCAGCCTGATGAGACTCTAGAGAATCCAGCTAAGCTGTGCCCAGAATCTTGACCCACAGAAACAGACAATAAATGTGTGTTGTCTTAAGCCACAAACTTTATGGTAGTTTGTTACACAGCAGTAGAAAACTAATACAATCAGGCCGGGTATGGTGGCTCACACCTATAATCCCAGCATTTTGGGAGGTTGAGGTGGGCAGATTACTCGAGGTCAGGAGTTCGAGACCAGCCTGGCCAACATGGCAAAACCCCATCTCTACTAAAAATACAAAAATTAGCCGGGCATGGTGGTGCACACCTGTAATCCCAGCTACTCGGGAGGCCGAGGCAGGAGAATCACTTGAACCCAGGAGGCGGAGGTTGCAGTGAGCTGAGCTCGCACCACTGCACTCCAGCCTGGGCAACAGAGTGAGCCTCTATCTTAAAAAAAAAAAAAAAAAAAAAAAAAAAGAGGAAGAAAGAAAACTAAAACAATCATACTCCTTAGTTAGTGGTCTCATCATCAACCTAGACATGGTACCACATGGGAATAATAATAGCACCTTCCTCATAAGGCTATTATAGAGATACCATTATTTTAATCTTGTAAATGACTTAGAACAGTCTGTGGTACATACATCAGTGTTTTTAGGCTGTTTCTTGTTGAAGGATGGTGGTCCCGTCTTCATCCCAATAACTTCCACATTTACACTATTGAGGCTTGCTTATGATATCCATTTTGCCATCTCTGCAGAGTTCACAGGTTTCTGGACCATTCCTTACCCTATTTGGCATCTTGTGTCCTTACCCTATTTGGCACATCATGGAGCATCTTGCCTGGAGGACAATGATATTTAATTTAGCTGTTTCCACAAGACCCTTTTATTTAATTCTGTCTCTTTTTTTCCATTTTTTATTGTGATAAAATACATATAACACAAAATTTACCATTTCAAAGTATTCAAGTCAGTGATGTTACGTACAACCATTATCATGTTCATCACCTCAAACGGAAACCTCATGCCCATTAAGCAATCACTCCCCACTCCTTCCTCCCCTCAGCTGCTAAAACCACAAATATGCTTTCTGTCTCTATGAGTTTGCCTATTCTGGATATTTCGTATAAATGGAATCATATAATATGTGGCTTTCAGGTCTGGTTTCTTTTTTTTTTTTTTAGACGGAGTCTCGCTCTGTCGCCCAGGCTGGAGTGCAGTGGCACGATCTCGGCTCACTGCAACCTCCGCCTCCCGGGTTCACGCCATTCTCCTGCCTCAGCCTCCTGAGTAGCTGGGACTACAGGCACATGCCACCACGCCTGGCTAATTTTTTGTATTTTTAGTAGAGACAGGGTTTCACTGTGTTAGCCAGGATGGTCTCAATCTCCTGACCTCGTGATCCACCCGCCTCAGCCTCCCAAAGTGCTGGGATTACAGACGTGAGCCACCACGCCCAGCCAGGTCTGGTTTCTTTCATGTCACACGTTTTCAAGGTTCATCCATATTGTAGTATGTGTCAGTGCTTCATTCCCTCTTATGGCTGAATTATATTCTATTGTATGGACATACATTTGTTTATCCATTCATCAATTCATATACATTTGAGATGTTTCTACCTTTTGGTTTTTGTGAATAGTGCTGCTGTGAATATTCATGTGCAAGCTTTTGTTTGAACACTTACTTTCAATTATTTTGGGTATGTACCTAGAAGTGGAATTGCTGGGACATATGATAATTCTTTTTAACCTGTTGAGGAACCCAAACTGTTTTCCACAGTGGCTGCGCCATTTTACGTTCCCACCAGCAACGTACAAGGGTTCCAGTTTCTCCACATCATCACCAACAATTGTTGCTTTCTGTTTTGTTTGTTTGTTTGTTTGTATGGTCATCCTAGTGGGTAGGAAGTAATATTTCATTGTGGTTCTGATTTACATTTCCCTATGACTAATGATGTTGAGCATTTTTTCATGTGCTCATTGGCCATTTGTATATCTTATTTGGAGAACTGTCTATTCGAACCTGTTGCCCATTTTTAGGTGGATTATTATTATTATTATTTGAGACGGGGTCTTGCTCTGTTGCCCAGACTGGAGTGCAGTGGTGTAATCATAGCTGACTGCAGCCTCAACTCCTGGACTCAAGTGATCTTCCCACCTTAGCCTCCTGAGTAGTTGGGATCACAGGTGCATGCCACCACACCCAGCTTTAAAAAAAATTTTTGTAGATATGAGGTCTCACTATGTTGCCCAGGCTGGTCTTGAACTCCTGGGCTCAAGCAATTCTCCCGCCTCAGCCTCCCAAAATGCTGGGATTACTGGCATGAACTACTGCACCCGGCCCATTTTTAGTTGGGTTGTTTATCTTTCTGCCGTTGAGCTGTAGGAGTTTGTTATATATTCTGGATACTAGTCCCTTATCAGATATGTGATTTAAAACTATTTTCTCCCACTCTGTGGGTTGTCTTTTTACTTCCTTTTTTACTGTAATAGAGATAGGGTCTCATTCTGTCACTGAGGCCTAAATGCAGTGGTGCAATCATAGCTCACTGCATGCAGCCTTGAGCTCCTGGGCTCAAGCAATCATCCTGCCTCAGCCTCCCAAGTAGATGGGACTACAGGCACTTCTAGGCTCAAGTGATCCTTCCACTTTGGCCTCCCAAAGTGCTGGGATTATGGGTGTCAGCCACGGTGCATGGCCTCTACCCCTCCTTGATTATTGCATTTGCCTCTCTCCAATTTCCTCTTCCAGTCCACCTGCTACAATGGCCACTGCCAGCTGTGTCCTGGTAAATGTTTAACAGACTCTCTAGAAAAAAAGAAACTCAATTTGTAGCATTTGCTGATTTCCATGGTGTAAATATTCCCATTATACCAATTTCAAGCCACTAATACGATGTCAGTTAGCTTGCAAAATTCCTGACATTTTAACAAATGTCTTTCTTGGGAGTTGGTAGAAGCCAGCTCCAAAAAAATCACTGACACAGCTGAATCTTTGTAACACACAAATTTACCAGGTCACTCCCCTGATTAAAACCTTTCCATTTTCATCTGTGGAATGAAACTGGAAAAAAAAATGCAAAACCTTTTCGATGACTCTCCCTCTCCCACAGGATAAATACCCAAGTTGTTCAGCCCGGCATTTACATTTCTTTGTGATTTACCCACTGTGGATTTCACCATCCTCATCTCATAAACCACCCAAACTACCACCCTGATGCCCCACCGATTTTGAATGGCTCAACATTCTGGGTTTTTTTTTTTTTTTTTGAGACTGAGTCTCTCTCTGTCGCCCAGGCTAGAGTGTAGTGGTGCAATCTCTGCTCGCTGCAACCTCTGCCTCCTGGGTTCAAGCGATTCTCCTGCCTCAGCCTCCTGAGTAGCTGAGACTACAGGTGCCCGCCACCATGCCCGGCTAATTTTTGTATTTTTAGTAGAGGCGGGGTTTCACTATGTTGGCCAGGCTGGTCTCGAGCTCCTGACCTCGTGATCTGCCCGCCTCAGCCTCCCAAAGTGCTGGGATTACAGGTGTGAGCCACTGTGCCCAGCCAGCTCAACATTCTTATATTCACCAGATTGTTTTTTTTCACACCTTTGTATCTTTTCTCTTGCTTCTCTCTGTACCTGGTGAACACCTATTTATTTTTCCAGACTCATCTGATGCCCTCAGGTAGAACTAGACATTTCCATGTTGAAATCCATTGAGACCTCTATCATAGCACCTGTAACTCCTTGCAGCATCTGTTCCTTTATATTTCTTTCTCTGAGACCAGCCTGTGAAGCTACTTGAGAATGAACAGTCTCATTCATCTCGCTAACACCTCAGACCACAGCCTGGTCTATAGGTACCATTTAATAAGTAGTTATCAGAGGAATGTAAATCTGGACTAAGACTTTAGGAGGAGTTAGGAGTTGGCTAAACAGACAAGAGGGAATTGCAGGTGAGAGAACAATGTGTGCAAATATACAAAGGTATAAGCACACACTCCAGCTCCTTGGAAGGCAAGGAGTGTGTATGCCCCTGAGGAGTTTTTATTTTTTATCTTTTTTATTTTTTTATTTTTTTTGAGGCGGACTCTTGCTCTGTTGCCCAGTCTGGAGTGCAGTGGCATGATTTCGGCTCACTGCAACCTCCACTTCCCAGGTTCAAGGGATCCTCCTGCCTCAGCCCCGCTAGTAGCTGGTATTACAGGCACGCGTCACCATGCATCACCATGCCTGGCTAATTTTTGTATTTTTAGTAGAGACGGGGTTTCATCATGTTGGCCAAGCTGGTCTCGAACTCCTGACCTCAGGTGATCCACCCGCCTCGGCCTCCCAAAGTGTTGGGACTACACGCATGAGCCACCGCGCCCAGCCTTGAGGAGTTTTTAAAATCTTACTTTAAATAAGTAGATGAAAAAGTGAATTGTGAGTCTATCACACTGTGGACTCCAGTGATTAATAGCAGCAAGTACTATGATACTTTTCCTCCCAAACCCCTGTCTAATCTGCCAAGGGTACAGGAAGAGTGCTGTTTTTTTGTTTGTTTGTTTGTTTGTTTGTTTTTTGAGACAGAGTCTCACTCTGTCGCCCAGGCTGGAGTGCAGTGGTGCCATCTCATCTCACTGCAACCTCTGCCTCTCAGGTTCAGGCGATTCTCCTGCCTCAGCCTCCTGAGTAGCTGGGACTACAGGCACCCACCACCACGCCCAGCTAATTTTTTGTATTTTAGTAGAGATGGGGTTTCACCATATTAGCCAGGATGGCCTCGATCTCCTGACCTCGTGATCCGCCCGCCTCGGCCTCCCAAAGTGCTGGGATTACAGGCGTGAGCCACTGCGCCCGGCTTTTTTTGTTGTTGTTGTTACAGGGTCTCACTCTGTCGCCAGGCTGGAGTGCAGTGGCGAGATCATGGCTCACTGCAGCCTCGACCTCCCATCCTCAAGCAATTCTCCCACCTCAGCCTCCTAAGTAGCTGGGACTACAGGCACACGCCACCACGCCTGGCTAATTTTACTCTTTGTACAGACAGAGTCTCGCCATATTGCCCAGCTGGTCTTGAACTCCTGGGCTCAAGCAATCCTCTCGTCTCGGCCTCCCGAAGTGCAGGGATTTACAGGTATCAGCCACCTTGTCAGGCTCATGCTGCTCTCTTGATTTGGGAAAGTACAAATGTTCCTTCTCCTCTTGTTTTCTTAGTAGTGATTCCCAAGATTTCTTAGTGCAGATGGTGAGAAGTGGACAGACTTAGAATATATTTTGGAGATGAGGGTAAGAGGTTTTAATAACAGACTTGAATCCAAAGGAAAGAGAAGTATTAAGGATGACTCTTAGGGTTTTAGTTCAAACAACTGAAAGGATGGAGTTGCCACTAACCTAGCTGGGTAAGACTGAAGGAAGAATAGGTTTGTGGTAGTGGGAAGATCAGGACTCTATTTTAGACATGCTAAATTAGGGAAGCCTATGAGACATCCATGTGGAAAGTTCCAGCAGGCAGTTGAATATACAACTGTGAGGCCAGGCACGGTGGCTCACACCCATAATCCCAGCACTTCGGGAGGCCAAGGCAGGCGGATCACCTGAGGTCAGGACTTTGAGACCAGTCTGGCCAACATGGTGAAATCCTGTCTCTACTAAAAGTACAAAAATTAGTCAGATGGGGTAGTGGGCACGCCTTTTTGGGAGGCAGTGTAGAATATCATACAGATTGAGAGCACAGACTTTATTTTATTTATTTTATTTATTTTTTAAGACAAGTTCTTGTTCCGTGCAGTGGTGTGATCCTAGCTCACTGCAGCCTCAACCTCCCAGGCTCAAGTGATCCTCCCACCTCAGCCTCCCGAGTAGCTTCGACTACAGACACGTGCCACCACAGCTGGCTAATTTTTGTAGAGATGGGGTCTGGCTATGTTCGCCAGGCTGGTCTCAAACTCCTGGGCTCAAGCAAACATCCTATCTTGGCCTCCCAAAGTGCTGGGATTAGAGGTATGAGCCACCACACCTGGCAAGAAAGCACAGACTTTAGAGTCAGACTGTCTGGTTCTAGTTCTGACTTAGTACTTGCTAGTAGCATGATCTTGGGAAAATAACTTCCCCTCTCTGTGCACCAGTTTCCTAATTTATAAAGTGAACATAGGTTATTGTGAGATACACATAAATTAGTCTGTATGACATACTTAGAACAGTGCCTGGCTTTTTTTTTTTTTTTTTTTGAGACGGAGTCTTGCTCTTTCGCCCAGGCTGGAGTGCAGTGGCGCGATCTCGGCTCACTGAAACCTCCGCCTCCCAGGTTGAATTCGTCTTTACTAAAAATCAAGATAAAATACATAAAAATAAATAAACAAACATTATAAAGAGGGTGAGTGGAGGAAGGTTTTGGAGATGACGGATAGGTTTATGGCATAGATTGCAGTAGTGGCTTCACAGGTGTATACTTACCTCCAAATTAATCAAGTTGTACACATTAAATATGTATAGCTTTTTGTGTGTCAATTACACTTCAATAAAGTAGTTAAAAAATAAAATGATTTTTTTAAAAAAACAAAAACAAAAGATTTTTAGAAATCCAAGAACATAGACTAAATTTCAAGCTATCTAAATGGCAACTTACAGCAAATTCAGATTCTTTATATTTGACCTACATCTGTCTAAAACTATTCTTGTAACCTTTTCTATGATGTTTTGTCCCCTCCCCATTTAGTCCTTCATTATTTAAAAGTACTACGTAAACATTTATTATGGAGCCAGATATCTAGGTAATTCAATCATTCTCCTGTTTTCATTTCTTTCTTTCTTTCTTTCTTTCTCTTTCTTCCTTTCTTTCTTTCCTTCCTTCCTTCCTTCTTTCTTTTTCTTTTCTTTTCTTTTTTTTTTTTAGACGAAGTCTCTCTCTGTTGCCCAGGCTGGAACGCAGTGGCATGATCTTGGCTCACTGCAACCTCCGCCTCCCAGGTTCAAGCGATCCTCCGCCCTCAGCCTCCCTAGTAGCTGGGATTAGTAGAGATAAAATTCCTCACCTGAGGTCAGGAATTCGAGACCAGCCTGGCCAACATGGTGAAACCCCGTCTCTACTAAAAATACAAAAATTAGCCTGTAATCCCAGCACTGTGGGAGGCCGGTGGGGGACGGGGGTTGGATCACTTGAGGTCAGGAGTTCGAGACTAGCCTAGCCAACATGGTGAAACCCCCGTTTCCACTAAAAATACAAAAATTAGCCAGGCTTGGTGGTGGGCGCCTGTAATCCCAGCTACTTGGGAGGCTGAGGCATGAGAATCGCTTGAACCCGGGAGGTGGAGGTTGCAGCGAGCCAGGATCATGCCACTGCACTCCAGCCTGGATGACAGAGCGAGACTCTGTCTTGGAAAAAAAAAAAAAAGAGAGAGAGAGAGAGAGAAATCAGATTTCATCCTTACACTAACTATGTCATGTTCAAAAATCCAATTCTAGGCTTCTTAATCACTTAAAAATACAGGCAAAACTTTGAAAAAGAAACAAAAAATAGCAGCCCCTGATATTCAGAAACTGGCTTAACACTCAGAGGTAGGCTATGTTATTCTCCTATTTAGACATAAACAATCTCACAGAATATCAACCTCAAACAAGTTTATTCTGAGACCATGAAAAAAAAATGAGACAAATCAAGGTCACTTCATAATTTTGTCTAAGCACTGTGCCACCCACAATATACCAAATGACCCCTCTCTGGCCCAAAATAAGTGACTGTTACTTCTTTACCAATTTCAACTTTATCTTCACAATATTTTCCCCTCCCTATAGATAAGATTTATTGAGATATACAATCATAGAACTGTCCCTGCTTTCTGATAGCATTCAACCTAGACTAAACCACGACTATCTTAGACCCTCCTCCAAATCACCAAACCAAAGTCAAATAAGAGTTTCCTTCTAACATGATCTTACTGAGAAACCCCTTGATTGCTCATGATATGTCCTCCCTTGCTACAATGAGTAATAAACCCAACTTGTTCAAGTGTGTCCATACTCAATTCAGGTCTCTTACTGGTGGTCTTTGGCTGCAGGGCAGTGACAACTTCAAAATCTTTAGAAGAAAATACTGGAGAATACTATAGTTCCCCCATCTATGGAGCATACTTCCCCCTGTGTGGTAGGCAGTCTCTAAGATGGCACCGATGATCCCTTTCTCCTGATATTCATACACTTGTATGATCCCTTCTCCTTGGAAATGGACTGGATGTAGTGATTTGCTTCTAACATATACAATAGGCCGGAAGTGATGGAATAGCCCTTTTGAGATTAGGTCACAAAAACATGGTGGCTTCTGTCTGCAAAGTCTCTCTCTCTCTCTCTCTCTAGCTCTCTCTCTCTCTCTCAGATTGCTCACCCTGGAACTCAGTTTCCACATCATGAGGCAGATCTATAGAAAGACACCCAAGACAAGACACCAGGGTTATTAATCATCACATAAGTGAGTTTGGAAGTGGATTCTCCTTCACTCAACCCTTCAGGTGAGACCACAGCCACTACGTTTTCAAGTAATTTGTAACTTATTGATAATAAGACCTGATCTTATATAGACCACATTAAAATTAAGAACTTTGAAACTGAACTCATATATATAGAGAGTAGAAGGATGGTTACCAGAAGCTGGGAAGGGAGGGGGGTTGGGAGGGGAGGTGGGGATGGTTAATGGGCATAAAAAAATAGAAAGAATGAGTAAGACCTACCATTTGATAGCACAATAGGGTGACTATAGTTAATAATACTTTTTTTTTTGAGACACAGTTTTGCTCTTGTTGCCCAGGCTGGTTCAAGCGATTCTCCTGCCTCAGCCTCCCTAGTAGCTGGAATTACAGGCATGCACCATTACGCCCGGCTAATTTTTGTATTTTTAGTAGAGACGGGGTTTCTCCATGTTGGTCAGGCTGGTCTTGAACTCCCAACCTCAGGTGATCCACCTGCCTCAGCCTCCCAAAGTGCTGGGATTACAGGCGTGAGCCACCGTGCCCGGCCAATAATAACTTAATTGTACATTTTATTTTTTTTGAGATGGAGTCTTGCTTTGTCGCCCAGGCTGGAGTGCAGTGGTGCGATCTCGGCTCACTGCAAGCTCCACTTTCCAGGTTCACGCCATTCTCCTGCCTCAGCCTCCCAAGTAGCTGGGACTACAGGTGCCCACCACCACGCCCCGCTAATTTTTTTGTATTTTTAGTAGAGACGGGGTTTCACTGTGTTAGCCAGGATGGTCTCAATCTCCTGATCTCGTGATCCACCCACCTCGGCCTCCCAAAGTGCTGGGATTACAGGCGTGAGCCACCGTGCTCAGCCAATTGTACATTTTTAAATAACTTAAAGGCCAAGAATGGTGGCTCATGACTATAATCTCAGCACTTTGGGAGGCTGAGGCAGGCGGACCACCTGAGGTTAGGAGTTCGAGAACAACCTGACCAACATAGTGAAACTCTACTAAAAAATACAAAATTAGCCAGGTGTGATGCCTCCTGCCTGTAATCCCAGCTACTAGGGAGGCTGAGGCAGGAGAATCGCTTGAACCTGGGAGGCAGAGGATGCAGCGACCCGAGATTGTGCCATTGCACTCCAGCCTGGGCAACAAGAGAGAAACTCTGTCTCAAAAAATAATAATAAAATAACTTAAGGAGTGTAATTGGATTGTTTGTGACTCAAAGGATAAATGCTTGAGATGATGAATACCCCGTTCTCCATGATGTGCTTATTTCACATTGCATGCCTGTATCAAAACATCTCATGCACCCCATAATATATACACCTACTATATATGCACAGAAGTTAAAAATTTAAAAAAAAAGTGGCCGGGCTCCGTGGCTCATGCCTGTAATCCCAGCACTTTGGGAGGCCGAGGTGGGCAGATTCTGAGGTCAGGAGTTCAAGACCAGCCAGACCAATATGGTGAAACCCTGTCTCTACTAAAAATACAAAAATTAGCTGGGCATGGTGGCACACACCTGTAGTCCCAGCTACTCGGGAGGTGGAGGCAGGAGAATCGCTTGAACCCGAGAGGCAGAGGTTACAGTGAGTTGAGATCACACCACTGCACTCCAGCCTGGGCAACAGAGCAAGACTCCGTCTCAAAAAAGAATAAAAAATAGTAAAAAGAAGGAAACAACCCGAATGTCCATTGAGAGAAAAATGAATTGTTGTATATATACATAATGGAATATATTTGAAAGCAAATGAACTGCAGCCACATATAACAAAATGAATGAATCTTAGAAATACAATGTTGAATGAGGCCGGGCCGGTGGCTCACGCCTGTAATTCCAGCACTTTGGGACGCCAAGGAGGGTGGATCACCTGAGGTCAGGAGTCCAAGACCAGCTTGGCCAACATGGTGAAACCCTGTCTCTATTAAAAATACAAAAATTTGTCAGATGCGTTGGTGGGTGCCTATAATCCCAGCTACTGGGGAGGCTGAGGCAGGAGAATTGCTTCAGCCCGGGAGGCAGAGGTTGCCGTGACTGGAGACTGCACCACTGCGCTCCAGCCTGGGCGACAGAGTGAGACCTCATCTCGAAAAAAAAAAAAAGATAGATGCAAGTTAATAGTAATTTTCTAGTTTTTAAATGGGTGTTTAGGCCGGGCGCCGTGGCTCATGCCTGTAATCCCAGCACTTTGGGAGGCCGAGGCAGGCGGATCACGAGGTCAGGAGATCAAGACCATCCTGGCTAACACGGTGAAACCCTGTCTCTACTAAAAATACCAAAACAAACAAACAAACAAAAAAGCCGGGGGTGGTGGCGGGCACCTGTAGTCCCAGCTACTCAGGAGGCTGAGGCAGGAGAATGGCGTGAACCCGGGAGGCGGAGCTTGCAATGAGCCAAGATCACGCCACTGCACTCCAGCCTGGGCGACAGAGCGAGACTCCATCTCAAAAAAAAAAAAAAAAAATGGGTGTTTATTATTAAGCTTTATAATTTAAATAACAAATTACAAATATTCTTTCATATACATCAAATATTATTTTATTTTAAACATTTTAAAAAGTAGGCCAGGTTGGTCGGGTGCGGTGGCTCACGCCTGTAATCCCAGCACTTTGGGAGCCCGAGGTGGGCAGATCACGAGGTCAGGAGATCAAGACCATCTGGCTAACACAGTGAAACCCTGTCTCTACTAAAAATACAAAAAAATTAGCCAGGCATGGTGGCGGGCGCCTGTAGTCCCAGCTACTCAGGAGGCTGAGGCAGGAGAATGGCGTGAACCCAGGAGGCGGAGCTTGCAGTGAGCCGAGATGGCGCCATTGCACTCCAGCCTGGATGACAGAGCGAGACTCCATCTCAAAAAAAAAAAAAAAAAAAAAAAAAAAAGTAGGCCAGGCGTGGTGGCTCACACCTGTAATTCCAGCACTTCGGGAGACCTAGGTGGGAGGAGGCTTGCTTGAGTCCAGGAGTACAAGACCAGCCTGGGCAACATAGTGAGACCCCATCTCAAAAAAATAAATTAAAAAATAAAGAAAAAAAATTGTTTTAGGCCGGGCGAGGTGGCTCACGCCTGTAATCCTAGCACTTTGGGAGGCCTAGGCAGGTGGATCACCTGAGGTCAGAAGTTCAAGACTAGCCTGTCCAACATGGTGAAACCCCGTCTCTACTAAAACACAAAAATTAGCCGGGCATGATGTTGGGTGCCTGTAATCCCAGCTACTCGGGAGGCTGAGATGAGAGAATCGCTTGAGCCAGGGAGACGGTGGTTGCAGTGAGCCAAGATCGCACCACTGCACTCCAGCTTGGGCAGCTGAGCAACACTCCGTCTCAAAAAAAAAAAGAAAAAAGTTTTTAATTAGCTGGCCATGGTGGTGCACACCTCTAATTCCAGCTACTCAGGAGGCTGAGGTGGGACTGCTGAGGTGGTCTGAGGTTCATTTGAACCTGGAAGGTCGAGGCTGCTGTAAGCTGTGTTCATGCCACTGGACTCCAGCCTGGGCAACAGAGTGAGACCCGGTCTCAAATAAATAAATAAAAAAAATAAATTATGAGCATTTTAAACTTCATATTATAAAAATTAAGAGCATTTTTTAGGTCTAATGAAAGCAACAAAGTTCATTTTGTTTTAAGGGAAAGGAAAAATACAGAAGGAAGAAAAGTTTGGTGAGCTCCTAAGAGGATCAAGAAAAGGAATACAATTCAGGGGGGAAAAAAAACCTTCCATTTTAAACCATGTTATTATTTTAATCCTAGATCATTCAGGAAGCTATGCTGGCTGAAACTGGAATTTATTAAGAAGATTACACTTTCACCTGCAGTTCACATCAAGTAATTTCCATCCATGTTCCATGATTACATCTTTAAATAGTTTTTAATGATCCCCTTTCTCAATTCAATCTCAAACGCCAGAAACTGCCACATAAAGAAGTAGATACAGGCTGGTCACGGTGGCTCACGCCTGTAATCCCAGCACTTTGGGAGGCCGAGGCCGGCGGATCACCTGAGGTCAGGAGATCGAGACCAGCCTGGCCAACATAGTGAAACCCTGTCTCTACTAAAAATACAAAAATTAGCTGGGCGTGGTGGCGGGCGCCTGTAATCCCAGCTACTAAGGAGGCTGAGGCAGGAGAATCGCTTGAACCCAGGAGGTGGAGGTTGCAGTGAGCTGAGATCACACCATTGTACTCCAGCCTGGGTGACAGAGTAAGACTCCATCTCAAAAAAAAAAAAAAAAAAAAAAAGAAGTAGATACAGCTACTTCTGCTGGGGCAGGAGTGGGGAATCAATCTTGGTTAAATTCTTGGGGCTTCCCTAACTGGTTCTGGGGTCTTATGTAATGCCAAACCTTGGCAAGGTGTTGAGGAGGATTGTTTATCCCCACAGGTTATCACTGAGGGACATTGTTCACTTGGTATTTTTAGATTGGTAGGCTCTCTGTGGCTTCTGTGCCATGCTTGGGACACAGAAATTTCTTATAATACATGTCAACACAGGCCTTGCATTCCTAGCTCCCACATTCATTAAGCAACTATTCCACTGCGAGCCCTTACCAGGAATCTGTAAGAAGTCAGGCCCAGCTCCCCAGCTGAAATTTCCCCCCTTCAGCCTGCAACCCAAGGGACATCTCTTTATAATCTGATGGGAGCCCCATTCTCCTTCAAACCCAATTCTCCTTAAAGTGCTTGGGCTTTTAGAAAAGAAAGATCCGGCCGGGTGCAGTGGCTCATGCCTGTAATCCCAGCAATTTGGGAGGCTGAGGCAGGCAGATCACCTGAGGTCAGGAGTTTGAGACCAGCCTGGTCAACAGGATGAAACCCTGTCTCTACTAAAGATAAAAAAATTAGCTGGGCCTGCTGGTGTGTGCCTGTAATCCCAACTACCCAGGAGGCTGATGCAGGAGAGAATTGCTGGAACCCGGGAGGCAGAGGCTGCAGTGAGCCAAGATTGAGCCACTGCACTCCAGCCTGGGTGACAGAGCAAGACTCTGCCTCAAAAAAAAAAAAAAGAGAAAAAGAAAAAAGAAAAGAAAAAGAAAGCTCAGGCCAGGCACAGTGGCTCACACCTGTAATCCCAGCAGTTTGGGAGGCCGAGGTGGGTGGATCACCTGAGGTCAGGAGTTCAAGACCAGCCTGGCCAACATGGCGAAACCCTGTCTCTAATAAAAATACAAAAATTAGCCAGGCATGGTGGCGGGTGCCTGTAATCCCAGCTACTTGGGAGGCTGAGGCAGGAGAATCAGTTGAGCCTAGGAGGCGGAGGTTGCAGTGAGCTGAGACCATGCCATTGCACTCCAGCCTGGGCAACAGAGCGAGACTCCGTGTCATTAAAAAAAAAAAAGAAAAGAAAGGAAAGCTCAAATATCCTGCAAGCTAATCTGCTCTCAGCTGGGCCACCTACTTCCTAGAAGGTAATAAAGCACAGAGCCTGCTATTTTCTAGAAAGGGAGAAAGAAAGGGTAAAATACAGGGAGGAAAAAAGCCTAATATTTAAAAATATTATCTGGAAGTTAGCAAAGATTTTTTAAACAGGACACAAAAAGTGCTAACCATTGAAGGAACAAATGATAAATTGGACTTGATTGAAATAAATAACTGCTCTTCCTCCTGCTTTGGCCATGTAAAACATATCTCCTTCCTTGGCCAGGCGCGGTGGCTCACACCTGTAATCCCAGCACTTTGGGAGGCCGAGGCGGGCGGATCATGAGGTCAACTCTCGAGACCATCCTGGCTAACAGTGAAACCCCATCTCTACAAAAAATACAAAAATTAGCCAGGCATGGTGGCAGGCGCCTGTAGTCCCAGCTACTCGGGAGGCTGAGGTGGGAGAATGGCATGAACCCAGGAGGCGGAGCTTGCAGTGAGCCAAGATCTCACCACTGCACTCCATCCTGGGTGACAGAGTGAGACTCCGTCTCAAAAAAAAAAAAAAAAGAAAAGAAAAACAACAACAACAACAACAAAACACACACACACACACACACACACACACACACACACACACACATTATCTCCTTCCTCTTCACCTTCCACCATGATTGTAAGTTTCCTGAGGCCTCCCCAGCTGTGCTTCCTGTACAGCCTACAGAACTGTGAGCCAATTAAACCTCCTTTCTTCATAAATTAAAAGAAAGAACTGCTATTTAACAAAATACACTGTTTAACAAAAGAGAGTGAAAAGGCAAGACAGAGAGGGAGATGTTTCAAATACATATATCCAAGGAAGGATTTGTATCCAGAATACAAAATGAAAGTGAAGATAATACAATCAAAGTGACTTAAAACCAATACTTCATATTTCTACACTTGATCTTAGCCAAAGGGCTGAGAAGCAAACTATCTCAACACACAACAACATGGAAGACTTACAAACACAATGTTGAGTTAAAGAAGCCAGACAGGCCGGGCGCAGTGGCTCATGCCTGCAATCCCAGCACTTTGGGAGGCCGAGGCAGGAGGATCACCTGAGGTCGGGAGTTCGAGACCAGCCTGACCAACATGGAGAAACCCTGTCTCTACTAAAAATACAAAATTAGCCGGGCGTGGTGGCACACACCTATAATCCCAGCTACTAGGGAGGCTGAGGCAGAAGAATCACTTGAACCCGGGAGGCAGAGGTTGCGGTGAGCCGAGATCGCGCCATTGCACTCCAGCCTGGGCAACAAGAGTGAAACTCCGTCTCAAAAAAAAAAAAAAAAGCCAGACATAAGAGTACATACTGTATGATTCCATTTATATAAAATTCTAAAAGAGGGAAAATTAAGCTTTGGTCAGGATAGTAGTTACTTTTGAGATGAGCAGTGACTGGGAGGACACATGATGAGAAGGGCTTCTGGGGGATTGGTCACTACTCATCCATGTGGAATTCTGAGCACATATGTAGGATTTTTTGTTTTTTGTTTGTTTGTTTTTTGAGACAGAGTCTTGCTCTGTCGCCCAGGCTGGAGTGCAATGGCACGATCTTGGCTCACTGTAACCTCTGCCTCCTGTGTTCAAGTGATTCTCCTGCCTCAGCCTCCTGAGTAGCTGGGATTACAGGCATGCACCACCATGCCCGGCTAATTTTTTTATCTTTAGTAGAGACAGGGTTTCACCATGTTCATCCGGTTGGTATCGAGCTCCTGACCTCGTGATCCACGTGCCTCGGCCTCCCAAAGTGCTGGGATTACAGGCATGAGCCACTGCACCGGGCCACATATGTAGGTTTTTATGAAATGTGGCGGCCTGCCACTCACTGGTAAACTTGCTTCATTCCTACCTCAGCTGGAAGTGAGAGACAGCAACTGGTTTGAGTCTCCTTGCCAAACTTCACTTGATTCCCAATCCCACCCTCCCCCAAGCAAATTGCAAATAAATTTTTTCTTTTCCTTCTTTTCTCATTCTCCAGATTCTCAATTCACACCTCCAACTAAACAGGAAATGCAGACTTCATTGCTTTTAAAAAATCAAATATGCTTTTTATAGAAAAGTCAATCGACAAAGAACAAACAAAGCAACAAGAACCCCAAAATCTCACATCCCGGAGTAACCAGAGTTAACAATTGGTGAAGTTTATTTTTGTTTTTTTTGAGATGGAGTCTTACGCTGTTGCCCAGGCTGGAGCGCAGTGGTGCGATCTCAGCTCACTGCAACCTCTGCCAGGTTAAAGCGATTCTCCTGCCTCGGCCTCCCAAGTAGCTGGGGACTACAGGCGTGCGCCATCATGCCTGGCTAGTTTTTTTGTATTTTTAGTAGAGACAGGGTTTCACCATGTTGGCCAGGTTGGTTTCAAACTCCTGACCTCAGGTGATCTGCCCTCCTCAGCCTCCCAAAGTGTTGGGATTACAGGCATGAGCCACCGTGCCCAGCCTTGGTGAAGTTTCTATTGGATATAATCTCTTTTTTTCTTTTTTTACATCTGTGTTCATGAACACATCTATAGGATATATTCTAAGAGCCAGAATGATATAGATGAGTGGATGGATGACAGCTGTACAGGGGAAAATTTTATGAAAAAATTAAGCTGGGCATGGTGGTTCATGCCTGTAATTCCAGCACTTTGGGAGTCTGGGCGGGAGGATTGCTTGAGTCCAGGAATTTACCAGCCCGGGCAACATAGTATAAACCGAAAAGTATTTGAGACAAGTCACAATCAACTTAGAAGTTTATTTTGCTAAGGTTAAGGACATGCCCATAATACAGCCTCAGGAGGTCCTGAGAACGTGTGCCCAAGGTGGTTGAGCTACACAGCTTGGTTTTATACATTTTAGGGAGACATAAGACATCAATCAATACATGTAAGCTGTACATTGGTTGGGTCCAGAAAGGCAGGACAAGTCGAAGGTCCAAGTCATAGATAGATTCAAAGATTTCCTGACTGGCAATTCCTTGAAAGAGTTTATCTAAAGACCTGGAATCAATAGATGAGAGTGCCTGGGTTATGATAAGGGGTTGTGGAGACCAAGGTTTTTATTATGCAGATGAAGCCTCCAGGTAGCAGGCTTCAGAGAGAATAGACTATAAATGTTTCTTATTAGACTTAAAGAGGTGCCATACTCTTAGTTAATTGTCTCCTGGATAGGCGGGGGAAGATCTAGAAAGGGTAGAGGATTCACTACAGTATGTAGATTGTCCCCACAAGAAACAGCTTTGCAGGGCCATGCCATTTCAAAATATGTCAAATAAATATATTGGTGGGGAAAATACTTTGATTTCTTTTAGAGCCTGCTATCTGTCCTGTTGGTATCTTATTGCTATAAAGAGTCTGCTTTGTTTGTCTTAAGGTCTCTGGTTTTTTTCTTTGTTTGTTTGTTTGTTTGTTTGTTTGTTTGTTTTTTGAGACAGAGTCTCGCTCTGTTGCCTAGGCTGGAGTGCAGTGGCATGATCTCCACTCACTGCAAGCTCCACCTCCCAGGTTCACGCCATTCTGCCTCAGCCTCCGGAGTAGCTGGGAATGCAGGTGCCTGCCACCACGCCCAGCTAATTTTTTGTATTTTTAGTAGAGATGGGGTTTCACTATGTTAGCCAGGATGGTCTCGATCTCCTGACCTCGTGATCTGCCCGCCTCAGTCTCCCAAAGTGCTGGGATTATAGGCGTGAGCCACCGCTCCCAGCACTTAAGGTCTCTGTTTTAATGTTAAATGCTGCTCAGCTGTGTCTGAATTCCAATGGGAGGAGAAAATAATGAGGCATTTTGGACCCCCACTTCCCATCATGGCCTCAACTAGTTTTTCAGGTTAACTTAGGAATGCCTTTGGCCAAGAGGAGGGGTCCATTCAATTGGCTGGGGGGCTTAGAGTTTGTTTTTGGTTTATGATAGTGAGACCCAATCTCTACAAAAAAATAAAAAGGAAAATTAGATGGGCATGGTGACACACACCTGTAGTCCCAGCTACTCGGGAGGGTAAGACAGGAGGATCCCTTGAGCCTGGGAGGTCAAGGCTGCAGTGAGCTGTGATGGCACCAATATACTCCAGCCTGTGCAATCCTGTCTCAAAAATAAAAATAAAAAATAAAATAAAAAATTAAGCCACCAAATGGGAGAAGAAAATTGCTATAAATATAGCAGCAAATAATGAATACCCACTACATATAAAGAACTCTCATAAATCAAAAAAGGTAACTCAATTTAAAAATGGGAAAACAAAGCCTGGGCAAAATAGCAAGACCTCATCACTACAAAATATAAACAAAATTAGCCAGGAGACTGGGCGCGGTGGTTCACGCCTGTAATCCCAGCACTTTGGGAGGCTGAGGTGGGCGGATCACGAGGTCAGGAGTTGGAGACCAGCCTGGCCAACATAGTGAAACCCCATCTCTACTGAAAATACAAAAAATTAGCTGGGCGTGGTGGCAGGCACCTGCAATCCTAGCTACTCAGGAGGCTGAGGCAGGAGAATGGTGTGAACCCGGGAGGTGGAGCTTGCAGTGAGTGGAGATCACGCCACTGTACTCCAGCCTGGGTGACAGTGCGAGACTCCATCTCAAAAAAAAAAAAAAAATTAGCCAGGCATGGTGGCACATGCCTGTAGTCCCAGCTATTTGGGAGGCTGAGTTGGGAGGATTGCATAAGCCCAGGAGGCCGAGGCTACAGTGAGCTGAGATTGAGTCACTGCACTCCAGCCTGGGTGGCAGACCAAGACCCTGTCTAAAAAGAGTGGGAAAATTATATGAACAGATAATGCACACAGAATGAAACACAAAAGAGCCAATAAACATGTGAAAAGATGGTAAATCTTACTAGTAATCAGGAAAATTAAAAGTAGAATGACACAGAGTGAAGGAGATGGGACTTATTCTTACCTCAAAGCAATTTGATTGGTAATATTTCACAACCATCAAATTGGCAAAATTAATTTTTTTTTTTTGAGATGGAGCTTCGCTCTTGTTGCCCAGGCTGGAGTGCAATGGCACAATCTTGGCTCACCGCAGCCTCTACCTCCCAGGTTCAAGCAATTCTCCCGCCTCAGTTTCCCGGGTAGCTGGGATTACAGGCATGCGCCACCAGGCCCGGCTAATTTTGTATTTTTCGTAGAGACGGGGTTTCTCCATGTTGGTCAGGCTGGTCTTGAACTCCCGACCTCAGGTGATCTACCCGCCTCGGCCTCCCAAAGTGCTGGGATTACAGCCATGAGCCACCGTGCCTGGCATAATTTTTTTTTTTTTTTTTGAGGCAAGGTCTCACTCTGTCACCCAGGCTGAAGTGCAGCGGCGCGATCTTGGCTCACTGCAACCTCCGCCTCCCCTGTTCAAGCAATTCTTCTGCCTCAGCCTCCTGAGTAGCTGGGACTACAGACGCATGCTACCACACCTGGCTAATTTTTGTATTTTTTGGTAGAGACAGGGTTTCCCTGTGTTGGCTAGGCTGGACTCCTGGCCTCAGGTGATCCACCCGCCTTGGCCTCCCAAAGTGCTGGGATTACAGACGTGATCCACTAAGCCTGGTCAAAATTAATAAAATTTAAAAAAAATTAAGTAACTCTGGTAATACCAAGTATTTGTGAGAAAGTGAAGAAAAGGGAACTCAGATGTTAATGGTGGGAGTATAAATTGGCACAACCATTTTGGAGATTAATTCAGCAATGCCTAGTAAAATTAGATTCATAGCAAGATAAATTAAAACACATGTCCAGAAAAAGACTTTTACAAGAATGTTCATAGCTGTTGTATTATCCACTGCTGCATAACAAATTACCCCAAAACTTAGCAGCTTAAAACAACAAATATTTATTATCTCACAGTTTCTGTGGATCCAGACATACTGAACGTGAATACTTGTGCTTCAGGGTGTCTCGGGGCTGCAATTAAGGCATCGTCTGGGATTATGGGCTGATCTGAAGGCATGAAGGGGTGGATCTACAAGGCCATACATACCAGGGGGCAGGAATCATTTGGGGCCACTTTGAAGGTTGCCTACCACACAGCTTTATTCATAACAGCCCCAAACTGGAAACAGCTTAGATGTCCATCAATGCGAAAATAGATAAACAAACTATGGTATATTCATATAACAGAATACTATTCAACAGTATAAAGGTTGAGTGGGCCAGACACAGTGGCTCACGCCTGTAATCCCAGCACATTGGGAGGCCAAGGTAGGTGGTTCACTTGAGCCCAGGGGTTTGAGACTAGCCTGGGCGACACGACGAAACCTCCCCTCTACAAAAAATACAAAAATTAGCCAGGCATCTTGAGGCGCGTTTGTAGCCCCAGCTACTTGGGAGGCTGAAGCAGGACTATCACTTGAGCCCAGGAGATGGAGGTTGCAGTGAGCCAAGATCGCACCACTACACTTCACCACTACACTTCACTTCTGAGTGACAGAGCAAGACCCTGTCTCAAAAAAAAAAAAAAAAGACCGAGTGCAAGAAGTTTTACACTAATTAAATAATACATAGTATATGATTCAATTTACATGAAGTTCTGTAACAGACAAAACTGCTAATTTCTTGTGGAAAAAAAATCAGAACAGTGGTTGCCCACAGTGTCTGGGGCCTGGAGGCAGAGGCTGGATAATTTTTCTTCTTTTGATACAGAATCTTGCTCTGTCACTCAGGTTGTAGTGCAGTGGCATAAACACCTCATTGCAGCCTCAAGATCCTCAGCTCAAGCAGGCCTCCCAGCTCAGCCTCCTGAGTAGCTAGGACGACAGGCATACTCCACCATACCTCAGTAATTTTTTTTTTTTTTGGCCAGGCATGGTAGCTCACACCTGTAATCCCAGCACTATGGGCAGCCAAGGCGGGCAGATCACCTGAGGTCAGGAGCTCAAGACCAGCCTGGCCAACGTAATGAAACCCGTCTCTACTAAAAATACAAAAATTAGCCAGGCATGATGGTGCACACCTGTAATCCCAGCTACTTGGGAGGCTGAGGCACAAGAATGGCTTAAACCTGGGAAGTGGAGGTTGCAGTGAACTGAGATTGCACCACTGTACTCCAGCCTGGGCAACAGAGTGAGACTCTGTCTTTAAAATAACAATTTTTTTTTTTTTTTTTGTAGAGACGAGGTCTCACTATGTTGCCCAGCTTGGCCTCTAACTCCTGGGCTCAAACAATCCTCCCACCTCGCCTCCCAAAGTGCTGGGATTACAGGCATGAGCCACCATGCCTGGCTAGGGGTGGATGATTGAGAAGAGGTGTGAAATAACTTTCTGGGTTGATGGTAATGTTCTGTGTCTTTATAGGGGTTTGGTAAATTCAGATACATGCATTTGTTAAAGTTCACTGAATCACCACTTAAGATTTGTGCTTTCTTTTTTTAATTTTTGAGACAGAGTCTCACTCTGTTGTCCAGGCCAGTGTGTGCAGTGGCGTGATCTCGGCTCACTGCAACCTCCGCCTCCCGGGTTCAAGCCATTCTCCTGCCTCAGCCTCCCGAGTAGCTGGGATTACAGGTGCCCACCAACACGCCCGGCTAATTTTTGTATTTTTAGTAGAGACGGGGTTTCACCATGTTGGCCAGACTGGTCTCGAACTCCTTGACCTCAGGTGATCCGCCCACCTTGGCGTCCCAAAGTGCTGGGATTACAGGCGTGAGCCACTGAGCCCGGCCCCAACTTTCAATATAAGGAGTCTAAGGCTTAAGATTAAATAGTTTAACAAATATTATACATGCTACTAGATCCAGAAGGTCTAACAGCAGAGCTCACACTCTTGACCACTCTGCTTTAGAGTTTGTTGTTGTTGTTGTTTTGTTTTGTTTTGAGACAGAGTCTCACTCTGTCACCCAGGCTGGAGTGCAGTGGCACGATGTTGGCTCACTGCAACCTCTGCCTCCTGGGTTCAAGCAATTCTCATGCCTCAGCCTTCCGAGTAGCTGGGATCACAGGCATGTTCCACCACTCCTGGCCTGCTTTAGGTATTGTCTGTCACCTCATTAGCCTTGTGGATTGGTGTCTGAACCCTGCAGAGAAAGAGGTTTCAGGCAGAATATGAGGAGCTGGTTTTACAAGGGACCCTATAAGGCACAGGGGGACAAAAGTGGAGGAGGTGGAACTTCTATACAGAAGACAGCATAATTCTAGCACCTCAAACATTGAAAGCAGCAAGAGATATAACCCTTGACAACATGCTGGTGTTTAGTGAGTGTTGGCCTCTGTTGTGAGTTGAATTGTATGCTGCAAAAAGATAAGTTGGAATCCTAACCCCCTCTCTGCCTATACCTGTGAATGTGACCTTATTTGGATACAGGGCCTTTGTGGATGTAATCAAGTTAAGATGAGGTCAAACTGGATACTCCTCTCTCTTGCCCTTACACGTTGTTAGGTAATTCAGGGGATAGATGAGATGACCCAAATCCTTGGCTTATAACCTCTGCAGATTCCTGAAAGAGGTATGTCTCAAAAAAAAAAAAAAAAAAAAGAAAGAAAGAAAGAAAAAAGAAAAAAAAAAGAAAAGAAAAATCATTTGGCTAGTTCTCTTAGTTATGTAAATTGAAGGCAAGAAGGCACTCTTAGGCAAGGAATAACAATGATTTTTTCTTTTGTTTTATTTTTATTTTTGAGACAGAGTCTCGCTCTGTCGCCCAGGCTAGAGTGCAGTGGCGTGATGTTGGCTCACTGCAACCTCTGCCTCCTGGGTTCAAGCAATCCTCCCACCTCAGCCTCCTGAGTAGTCGAGATTACAGGTATAGCAATTTTCAGAGTTCTGGAGAGTCTTGGGGAGAGAGTAGATGAATTTGCATAAGAAAGCAAGGGGATTTCTGAGAAGGAAGGGGCCAAGAATCCAATCTCTTCTTCCGTAGATCTAAAGTTTTGAAAATCTGTTGGGGTGGCAGTAAAAGACACTAGTGGTCTCAAAGAAGAAATTACCTTAGGCCGAGTGCAGTCGCTCACATCTGTAATCCCAGCATTTTGGGAGGCTGAGGTGGGAGGACATAGTGAAACTCCATCTCAAAAAAAAACGAGAAGGAAAGAGGCACGGCGCGGCAAGGCGAGGCGAGAGAGGCCAAGGTAGGCAGCTCACTTGAGGCCAGGAGTTCGAGACCAGCCTGGCAAACATGGCAAAACCCTGTCTCTACTAAAAATACAAAAATTAGCCAGCTGTGGTAGCACAAGCCTGTAGTCCCAGCTACTCGGGAGGCTGAGGCAGGAGAATCGCTTGAACCCAGGAGGCGGAAGTTGCAGTGAGCCAAGATTGTGCCACTGCACTCCAGCTTGGGTGACAGAGTGAGAGTCTGCCTGAAAGAAAGAGAGAGAGAAGAAAGAGAGAGGCCGGGCGCGGTGGCTCACGCCTGTAATCCCAGCACTTTGGGAGGCCAAGGCAGGTGGATCACCTGAGGTGAGGAGTTCAAGACCAGCCTGGCCAACATGGTGAAACCCCGTCTCTACTAAAAATATAAAAACTAGCTGGGCATGGTGGTGCATGCCTGTAATCCCAGCTACTCGGGAGGCCGAGGCAGGAGAACTGCTTGACCCAGGAGACGGAGGTTGCAGTGAGCTGACACAGTGCCACTGCTCTCCAGCCTCGGAGACAGAGTGAGACTCCGTCTCAAAAAAAAAAAAAAAGAAAAGAAAGAGAGAAAGAAAAAGAAAGAAAGACAAGAAAGAAAATAAAAGAAGGCAGAAAAGATTACCTTGAAGGCAGCAAGAATCCGGGCTAATTATCTTAGCTCAACACTAGAGCCTAAGGGCTCTTGGGGGTTGGGATGTTTCTGTTTAAAGCACCAGGACTGAACCTGGCAGGTACAGTGGTGTATTTTGAGGATCAACAACAGCTGAGCATGAAGAATTAACTTAAAGAGCTGTAACCTTGGTATTCTAAACCCTTGTACTGTGCAGGACCCACAGGAAAAGCAGCAGTGCTAGTGGAATGACTGGACTTCCTCACTAGACTTTATAAACTCTGTATGGAGCTTATAAATAAGACTCATCGCCCTGGAATGAATAAGTACCTACAGTTCTTTACCAAGTTAAGAGGAATAGAGGCCTCAAAAGGAAAATAACTTCCTATTAATAAAAGCCAATGCATGCTTAAACAATTAATAGGAAAAAGGAGACAAATAGCCATTATTTATATTCTTAAGTGGTGACACTGGTCAAAATTTCACTCAATGAATATTATTGAGTGCCTATATGCATCAGGCATTGTACCAGACTCTAGAACTATGGTGGTGTGCAAGAGACATGGTTCCTGTGCTCTTTGAACTTATAATCTTGTAGGGAAGACAGACATTAAACAGACTGGATGAAAACTTGGTTTCTCATTAGCTGATTCAGTTCATGTGGCCCAAACATGGTCCCCCAAACTCCAACTTTATATCCTTATCAGCTCTGCACCTGTAGCTAGCTAACTGGAGTGTCTGAGTCCTCTTCCAAATTCTTAGGGAAGAGAAGATTTCCTCAGCTTAGGTTAGGTGTCTACCCTGGTCCATTCAGCTGTAGCCTGGGAATGAGGTAACGAAGGCCCATTACCCACTCAGTGGGGCTATGCGAAGGCTCTGTGAGAAGTGAATATAGGGGAGGGCAATTGAAAACAATGGACCTGCTATCTAACCCAGCTCTACATACTGGATTTCACAATGTGTATCAAGTTAACTACAATGACTTATCACAATCAATAACCAATAACATTTAATAATATCATCTTTTCCATGAGCAAGTTAATCTTTTCTTCCCAAGAAAAAATTAAAGCTCCAGGCCAGGCACAGTGCTCACACCTGTAATCCCAGCACTTTGGGAGGCCGAGGCGGGTGGATCACTTGAGGCCAGGAGATCAAGACTAGCCTGGGCAACATGGTGAAACCCCGTCTCTACTAAAAATACAAAAATTAGCCAGGTGTGCTGGTGCACACGTGTAGTCCCAGCTACTCAGGAGGCTGAGGCACGAGAATTGCTTGAACTTGGGAGGCAGAGGTTGCAGTGAGCTGAGATGGCACCACTGCACTCCAGGCTGGGTGACAGAGTGAGACTCTGTCTCAAAAAAAAAAAAAAAAATTAAAGCTCCAAATGTATCCAGGCATCTTATCTCTCATCTGGTTGCCTGATGGTGGCCTAAATTCCTAATTCTGTTGCTATGGTGTGGGCTATCTTCCACCACTGCTGTTTTGTTTGGCCTTGGGAAGTTCTTAGGAAGGGGAGAGGCCTAGCTCTTGCTGAGATAAAGCTGAGGGTTGCCTTGGTTTTCCCCAGCCTGAGAAGTGTCAGATAGCAACATCCACAAACTGGCAGATATCTCCCTAAGCACAAAAGAGATCATTAGGCCCCTTTCCATGATCTCTGCCCAGCCTCCAAACCTCCATAAAATATTGAGAGACATTCACTATCATATTTCAGATAGTAAGCAGAGGTATTGGCATCACCATATTATGTGTGCATATAACAGGCTGTTGAGCAACAGTAAATATTAGTTATGTTGAGGAAAAACATTGCAATGCAAGATCAGGAAGTTCTTCAAATCTTAACCCAGGAAGAGGAGCTAGAGCATATATGCACCACAGGGAGTCTAAAAAGAATGAATCTTTCCAGCTCAAGGTCTAAACTAGAGACTGGCCAGCAGGGTGCGGTGGCTCACGCATGTAATCCCAGCACTTTGGGAGGCTGAGCCAGGCGGGTCACTTGAGGTCAGGAGTTTGAGACCAGCCTGGCCAACATGGTGAAATCCCGTCTCTACTAAAAATACACAAATTAGCTGGGCGTGGTGGTGGGCACCTGTAATCCCAGCTACTCAGGAGGCTGAGGCAGAAGAATCTCTTTAACCTGGGAGGCGGAGGTTGCAGTGAGCTGAGATTGCACCACTGCACTCCGGCCTGGGCAATAGAGCGAGACTCAGACTCAAAATAATAATAATAATAATAAAAAGATAAATAAAAAAATAAACTAGAGACTGGACAGTTGAGATCCTTGGTACTTCCCTCTGGGCTCATAACCTGTGTTCTGTCCCTCTTATTGTACTACCCAGACTACGGTGGTAGGAGGCATAGAAAACCAAACCCAAAGAACAGAGCTCCTTTTCATAAGGCTTAGAGTAGTGGTTCTCAACCAGGAGGGATTTTGTCCCCTTCCTCCTATGCCCAGAGGACATTTGGCAATGCTTGGAGGCATTTTCTGTTGTCACAACTCTGTGTGTGTGTGTGTGTGTGTATGTGTGTTGCAGGGGGTGCTATTGGCATCTACTTGGTAGAGGCCAGAGATGCTGCTAAACACCCTATAATGCACAGGGAAGCCCCACAACAAAAATATCAATAGTATTGAGGTTGAGAAAGCTTGGCTTAGAGGGCTTAGAGCAGAACATGCCTTACTCTCACTCCTCAATTCCAGGCTTCCAATCTTTTGGACTCCATTGAAGTTCCCACTTAGTCTGCTCAGAGAAGAATGATGGTCTAGGGGTGGACATTTCTACTCCTCCACCTGCACAGGAGGAAAGGCACAATCCAACAAGTTAGGGAACGATGTCCAAGCAAGGGGAAGGCCAAGATTGCCAATAGAGATATGCCAATGAGCTTCATTCAATGACATGAAAAAAAAAGGAAAATAGAGATATGCCAAAATAGACATCCCCATAGCAACAGCTTTTTACCTCTCAGTTATTACCTGATAAAGCTCTACTGCCAAGAAAGTGGTTCAATTATGTGTCCTCAAACCCTATCACAAGACCTCCATTTTGAAAGCAGATGAGAATAAGGAAAACTTGAACTCTTAAAAAACAATTTAGAGACAAGGTCTCACTATGTTGCCCTGGCTGGTCTCAGGATCCTGAGCTCAAAGGATCCTCCCTCTTCATCCTCCCAAAGTGCTGGGATTACAGGCATGAGCCACCACACCTAACCAAGTTAAACTCTTCCTACTGACCCAAGTAAGTTCAAGCTTCCAAAGTTTGCCTCCACTCAGAATGCCTTTTCGCACCATCTTGGCCTGTCTACAGCTTTCCAGTCTTTCAAGGTCCACATCAGTGTTGCTTCTACTCAATCCCCCATAATTCCCCTAGCTCTTTCAAATTTTATTTATTTATTTATTTATTTTTATTTATTTTGAGACAGAGTCTCGCTCTGTCACCCAGGCTGGAGTGCAGTGGGGAGATCTCAGCTCACTGCAAGCTCCACCTGCCAGGTTCACGCCATTCTCCTGTCTCAGCCTCCTGAGTAGCTGGGACTACAGGCACCCACCACCACGCCTGGCTAATTTTTTGTATTTTTAGTAGAGACAGGGTTTCACCATGTTAGCCAGGATGGTCTCGATCTCCTGACCTCATGATCTGCCGGCCTCGGCCTCCCAAAGTGCTGGGATTACAGGCGTGAGCCACCGCACCCAGCAAGGATTTATTTATTTATTTATTTATTTATTTATTTATTTGCTTGTTTATTTATTTATTTTTGAGAGGGAGTCTTGCTTTGTCACCCAGGCTGGAGAGCAGTGGCGCGATCTCAGCTCACTGCAAGCTCCGCCTCCCGGGTTCACGCCATTCTCCTGCCTCAGCCTTTCCAGCAGCTGGGACTACAGGCGCCCGCCACCACGCCCGGCTAATTTTTTTGTATTTTTGGTAGAGACGGGGTTTCACTGTGTTAGCCAGGATGGTCTCGATTTCCTGACCTCATAATCTGCCCGCCTCGGCCTCTCAAAGTGCTGGGATTACAAGCATGAGCCACCACGCCCGGCAAGGATTTATTTTTAATTTATTTATGTAGTTCTCTTTACATTAAAAAATATATATATTTTTTGTAGAGATGGGGTCTCACTATGTTGCCCAGGCTGGTCTCGAGATCCTGAGCTCAAAGGATCCTCCCTCCTCAGCCTCCCAAAGTGCTAGGATTACAGGAGTGAGCCACCGAGCCTGGCTGGATTTTCTTTTTTTCCTCTTTTTTTTTTTTTTTTTGAGACAGGGTCTCACTCTGTCACCCAGGCTGGAGTGCAATGGAGTGATCTCTCACTGTAACCTCCACCTCCCAGGTACAAATGATTCTCCCATCTTAGCCTCCAGAGTAGCTGGGACTACAGGCATGTGCCACCACGCCGGGCTAATTTTTGTATTTTTTGGTAGAGGCAGGGTTTCACCATGTTGGCCAGGCTGGTCTGGAGCTCCTGACCTCAAGTGATTCACCGGCCTCAGTCTCCCAAAGTGCTGGGATTACAGACGTGAGCTACCACACCCAGCCTGGAGTTCTTTTTACAGCACACATTATTTTCTGCTTTGTTTTTGTTTTGTCTTGTTTTTTGAGACAGAGTCTTGCTCTGTCGCCCAGGCCAGAGTGCAGTGGTGCAATCTCGGCTCACTGCAACCTCCGCCTCCCAGGTTCAAGCGATTCTCCCACCTCAGCCTCCCTAGTAGCTGGGACTACAGGCGCCCGCCACCACGCCCGGCTGCTTTTGTACTTTTAGTAGAGACAGGGTTTCGCCATGTTGGCCAGGCTGGTCTCGAACTCCTGACCTCAGGTGATCCGCCTGCCTCGGCCTCCCAAAGTGCTAGGATTACAGGTGTGAGCCACCGCGCCCAGCCGTGATATTCTACTTTGTATTAGAGTTATTTGATGTCACAAGTTTTCAGCTTGTATCCATATAACTTCTATAAAATCTATGCAATCATACATTACACATTAACATACCCAAACATTCTTCCCTGTGCTGAATTTGGACTTAAATACATCAGGTGACAAACATTTCAAGCTACTGTCTGTCGGCCAATTCTCCAGTTCCTACTGAGGCAGGAAAATAGGGTCTGAAGGCAGGGAACCTAAGGCCGTTTCAAGCCGACTTCCTAGGACTAAATTGAAAGGAAAACCCTAACTTTCGAAGCCTAAGTAACAAAAGGACCAGAGGCTACTCCCTTTGCAAACCTTCACCTGTTCTGAGCAGCAGATGGGAAATTGAAAGTACCTCTGATTGGTTGTTTTTTTGCAAATGGAAAGCCAAAAACATGAAAGTATTAATACTGCAATTTAGACAAGGACAGATACTATTAAACATGCCAAAAGCAATGACTCTTGATGTAAGCATATTAGAGCAGCTGGTTAACTGGAGATTTGGTTGTGAAGGAAAAGAACAAAGTAAAAGAATATGTACAGATGACTGAAAATACATCATTGAAAATTGAGTCAAAAGGTACAATGTGGCTGGGCGTGGTGACTCACACCTGTAATCCCAGCACTTTGGGAGGCTGAGGCAGGCAGATCTTTTCAGGCCAGGAGTTTGAGACCAGCCTGGCCAACATGGCAAAACCCTGTCTCTACTAAAAATACAAAAAAATTGGCTGGGCGCGGTGGCTCACGCCTGTAATCCCAGCACTTTGGGAAGCCAAGGCGCGCGGATCACGAGGTCAGAGATCGAGAACATCCTGGCTAACACGGTGAAACCCCGTCTCTACTAAAAATACAAAAAATTAGCTGGGCGTGGTGGCGGGCACCTATAGTCCCAGCTACTTGGGAGGCTGAGGCAGTAGAATGGCGTGAACCCGGGAGGCGGAGCTTGCAGTGAGCCGAGATCATGCCACTGCAATCCAGTCTGGGCAACAGAGCGAGACTCCATCTCAAAAAAAAAAAAAAAATAGCCCAGCGTGGTGGTGTACACCTATAATCCCAGCTACTCAGGAGGCTGAGGCACAAGAATTGCTTGAATCTGGGAGGTGAAGGTTGCAGTGAGCCGAGATCGCAACACTGCACTCCAGCCTGGGTGGCAGAGCCAGACTCTGTCTCAAAAAAATAAAGCAAGAAAAAGGTACAATGTAATGGTGAAAGAAATGGAGAAAGTATTTACATTTTGGACTGAGAATCAGTAGGTTGCTGATATATACAGGTTTCCAGAATCAAGGACGAATTCACAGCTCCTCAGAGCTATTGATTAGGGCAGAGCTTCTTACACACAATGCTATTAAACAAAAAAGAAGGCTGGTGTTCAATTTCTTTCTTTTCTTTTTTTTTTTTTTGAGACGGAGTCTCGCTCTGTCGCCCAGGCTGGAGTGCAGTGGCGCGATCTCGGCTCACTGCAAGCTCCGCCTCCCGGGTTCACGCCATTCTCCTGCCTCAGCCTCCCGAGTAGCTGGGACTAAAGGCGCCCGCCACAACGCCCCGCTGATTTTTTTATTTTTATTTTTTAGTGGAGACGGGGTTTCACCATGTTAGCCAGGATGGTCTTGATCTCCTGACCTCGTGATCCGCCCGCCTGGGCTTCCCAAAGTGCTAGGATTACAGGCATGAGCCACCGCCCCTGGCCGGCTGCTGTTTAATTTCATTTGGACAACTTTGTCAAGAGAGTGAAAAAGACACCTCAAAGTCAGCATGAAGAGTCCCTGCTCAATCCTTTGAGAGTACTTATCAACAAGTCCCTCTTCTCAACATTAAAACCAAAAATGTTTGAAGAACTACCGGCCAAAAATTTTCAAAATCTGTTGAACATTACAAAACCACAGATCTTTTTCTGAGTTCCTGTGAGTTCAAGCATTGGGACTTGGGCTAACCCTCTATCCTAGGTTCCCATATCAAGTTAAAAAATTAATAAGTTTAAGGAAGAGCCGGCCGCCGTGGCTCACGCCTGTAATCCCAGCACTTTGGGAGGCCAAGGCGGGCAGATCACCAGGCCAGGAGATCGAGACCGTCCTGGCTAACACGGTGAAACCCCGTCTCTACTAAAAATACAAAAAATCATCCGGGCGCGGTGGCGGGCACCTGTAGTCCCAGCTACTCGGGAGGCTGAGGCAGGAGAATGGCCTGAACCCAGGAGGCAGAGCTTGCGGTGAGCCGAGATCGCGCCACTGCAGTCCAGTCTGGGCAACAGAGCGAGACTCTGTCTCAAAAAAAAAAAAAATAAAAATAAAATAATAATAATAATAATAATAAGTTTAAGGAATAAATGAACCTTATTATTTTCCAAATATCCAACAAGTATTTGCTGAGGTCCATAGGAGAAATAACTGTTCTTTTTTTTTTTTTTTTTTTTTTTTTTGGAGACAGTGTCTCACTCTGTCGCCTAGGCTGGAGTGCAGTGGCGCGATTTCAGTTCACTGTAACCTCTGCCTCCCGGGTTCAAGTGATTCTCCTGCCTCAGCCTCCTGAGTAGCTGGGATTACAGGCGCATGCCACCACGCCCAGCTAATTTTGTATTTTTACTAGAGACAGGGTTTCATCATGTTAGCCAGGCTGGTCTGGAACTCCCGACCTCAGGTGATCAGCCCACCTCTGCCCTCCCGAAATGCTGGGATTACAGGCCTGAGCCACCGCGGCTGGCAAAATAACAATTCTTGAAAGTAGAATGCTTTCAAGTGTAAGGCTTACTTGTGAAGGGAGCTTCTGTAACCAATAGGTTATATTATTGTTTCCAACAAGAAGTCTGCTATCATCCTTATTGTTCTTCTATACAGAAAGTGTCTTTTTTCACAAACTGCTTTCAATTTTTTCTCTTTATCATTGATTTTAAGCAATTTGATTATGCCATGCTGTTATATGTAAAATGTTTATTTAGAAACAGAATGCTTGTTCCCTGGTGCTGCAAAGAAATAGCAATTGAACATAAATTTAATTTTCTTAGCAAGGCAATTTTTACTTAGCAAGGCAAAATTTTCAACAAATTTGAAAAAATTTCAGCCATTAGTTCTTTAAATAATTTTATGATCCCTTCTACATTTCTGGGACCCTAATGACATGTATATTAGGCCCCATGAAGTTGTCTCACAGCTCACTGATGCTCTGTTTATTTTTTTCAGCCTTTCTTCACTTTTCCAGTGTTTCACTTTCAATAGTTTCTATTACTAGGTCTTCAAGTTCACTAATATTTTTTACTGCAACATATAATTTTCTGTTAATTTCCTCAGTTTATTTTTCATCTCAGACAATTTTTCATCTCTAGAAGTTCAATTTGGGTCTTTAAAAAATATATTACATGTTTCTCCTTTAACATGCTCACTCTTCGGCCAGGCATGGTGGCTCACAACTGTAATCCCAGAACTTTGGGAGGCTGAGGTGGGCGGATCACCTGACATTAGGGGTTTGAGACCAGCCTGGCTAATATGGTGAAACCCTGTCTCTACTAAAAATAGAAAAATTAGCTGGGCATGGTGGTGGGCACCTGTTAATCCCAGCTACTTGGGAGGCTGAGATGGGAGGATCTCTTGAACTCTGGAGGTGGAGGTTGCAGTAAGCCGAGATCATGCCATTGCACTCCAGCCTGGGCGATAGAGTAAGACTCCATCTCAAAAAAACAAAACAAAACAAAACAAACAAACAAACAAAAAGCTCACTACTCTTCTACTTTTTTTCTTTTCTTTTTTTTTTTTTGAGACAGAGTCTCGCGCTGTCACCCAGGCTGGAGTGCAGTGGCGTGATCTCAGCTCACTGCAAGCTGCACCTCCCAGGTTCATGCCATTCTCCTGCCTCAGCCTCCCGAGTAGCTGGGACTACAGGCGCCGCCACCACGCCTGGCTAATTTTTTTTGTATTTTTAGTAGAGACGGGGTTTCACCATGTTAGACAGGATGGTCTCGATCTCCTGACCTCGTGATCTGCCCACCTCGGCCTTCCAAAGTGCTGGGATTACAGGCGTGAGCCACCGTGCCCGGCCTACTTTTTTCACCATATAAAATATATTTATAATAGCTATTTAATATTGTTTTTAAGGTGTCATTTCTTGGTCTGTTTATATTGATTGGTTTTTCTTCTCAGTATTGGTTGCATTTTCCTGCTATTGTGCATGCCTGATAATTTTTTTTTTTTTTTTGAGACAGAGTTTTGCTCTTGTTGCCCAGGGTGGAGTGCAATGGCACGATCTCGGCTCACTGCAACCTCCACCTCCCAGATTCAACTGATTATCCTGCCTTAGCCTCCCAAGTAGCTGGGATTACAGGCACCTGCCACTACACCCAGCTAATTTTTTGTATTTTTAGTAGAGACGGGCTTTCATCATGTTGGCCAGGCTGGTCTCAAACTCCTGACCTCAGGTGATCCACCTGCCTAGGCCTCCCAAACTGCTGGGATTACAGGGATGAGCCACTGTGCCCGGCCATTTTTTTGTTTTTTGAGACAGGGTTTCATTCTGTTGCCCAGGCTGGTCTTGAATTCCTGGCTCAAGCAATCCTCCCATCTCAGCCTCCTGAGTAGCTGAGATTATAGGTATGCACTACCACACCAAGCTGCCTGATAATTTTTATTTAATTATTATATTTTAAATGTGTCAAGGGCTTTCAATAGCTCACAACAAGAGAGCTGCTCTGCTACATATATAAAACCCCAACCCAGACCTGATAATTTTTTAAAAAATTTTTATTCATTCAAAGACTCCCACATCATTTTTCTTACTTTTTTTGCCCTCTAGTTACATTGGCTTTGAGTTCTTTTTTTTTTTTTTTTTTTTTTTTTTTTTTGAGACAGTCTTGCTCTGTCGCCCAGGCTGGAGTGCAGTGGCATGATCTCAGCTCACTGCAACCTCCGCATCCCGGGTTCAAGCGATTCTCTTGCCTCAGCCTCCCGAGTAGCTGGGATTACAGGCGCCTGCCACCACGCCTAGCTAATTTTTTGTATTTTTAGTAGAGACGGGGTTTCACCGTGTTGGCCAGGATGGTCTTGATCTCCTGACCTCATGATCTGCCCGCCTCGGCCTCCTAAAGTGCTGGGATTACAGGTGTGAGCCACTGCGCCCGGCCCCAGACCTGATAATTTTTTACTGGACACCAGACATTATGAATTTTACCATGTTGGGTTCTGGCTTTTATTTATTTTTATTCCTTTAAATTATTTTGAGCTTGTTTTTGGACACCATTAAGTTACTTTAAAACAATTTATCCATTTGAGCCTTGTTTTCAAGCATTGTAGATGGGACCAGAGTAGTCTTTAGGACTAATTTTGCCGTACTACTGAAGCAATACCTCCTCCAAGTACTTTTCCTGATGCCCCATGTTATTACAAGGTTTCTCTACTCTGACTCTTGGAAATAATAATTATCCCAGCTCTGCATCACCCCCAATAATTTTTATGAATTTTTTTTTCAGGGATCTTTTTCCTCTGCTTTGGATAAGATCCTCACACACATGTGCTGATCAGTACACTGCTGTAGACTCCATGCAGGTCTTTGGAGTTCTTCCTTTGTTCAGCTCTCTACTTTCCATGCAGCTCTTCCTTCTTTGGTATTCTACTTTATGAATTCTAGCAATTGTGGCTTCTCTGAATCCTTAGCTCCATCTCCTCAACTTAGGGAGCTCCATTAAGATTCCCCCCTGGCCAGGTGTGGTGTCTCACACCTGTTATCCCAGCACTTTGGGAGGCTGAAGTGGAAGTGGGAAGATCATTTGAGCCCAGGAGTTCTAGACCAGCCTGGGCAACATTGGGAGACCCTGTCTCTACAAAAAAAAAAGAAAAGAAAAAAAAAAGCCAGGTATGGTGGCACACACTTCTGTAATCTCAGCTACTCGGGGACTGAGGCAGGAGGATTGCTTGAGCTCAGGCTTAAGGCTTAAGCCTTGAGTTGAGGCTGCAGTGAACCATGATTGCACCACTGCACTCCAGCCTGGGTGACAAAGCAAAACTCTGTCTTACAAAATAAAAATAAAAAGGATTCCCCCTATCTGCACTGTGGCCTGTAAACTCTCTCTGGGGGTAAGCAGGGCCAATCATAGAACTACCACACTTGTGGCCGGGCACGGTGGCCCACGTCTGTAGTCCCAGCACTTTAGGAGGCCGAGGCTGGTGGATCACCTGAGGTCAGGAGTTCGAGAGCAGCCTGGCCAACATGGTGAAACCCCGTCTCAACTAAAATTACAAAAATTAGCTGGGTGTGGTGGCAGGCACCTGTAATCCCAGCTGCTCCGGGGGCCAAGGCAGGAGAATCGCTTGAACCTGGGAGGCGGAGGTTGCAGTGAGCTAAGATCCTGCCATCGCACACTAGCCTGAGGGACAAGAGCGAGACTTCATCTCAAAAAAAAAAAAAAAAAAAAAAGCCGGGCGCGGTGGCTCAGGCCTGTAATCCCAGCATTTTGGGAGGCCAAGGCGGGCGGATCACGAAGTCAGGAGATTGAGACCATCCTGGCTAACACGGTGAAACCCCGTCTCTACTAAAAATACAAAAAATTAGCCAGGCATCGTGGCGGGCCCCTGTGGTCCCAGCTACTCGGGAGGCTGAGGCAGGAGAATGGCGTGAACCCGAGAGGTGGAGGTTGCAGTGAGCCGAGATCGCACCACTGCAGTCCAGCCTGGGCGACAGAGCGAGACTCCGTCTCAAAAAAAAGGCCGGGCGTGGTAGCTCACGCCTGTTATCCCAGGACTTTGGGAGGCCGAGGCGGGCGGATCACAAGGTCAGGAGATCGAGACCATCCTGGCTAACACAGTGAAACTTTGTCTCTACTGAAAATACAAAAAATTAGCTGGGTGTGGTGGCGGGCGTCTGTAGTCCCAGCTACCTGGGAGGCTGAGGCAGGAGAATGGCGTGAACCCGGAAGGCGAAGCTTGCAGTGAGCCGAGATGCGCCACTGCACTCCAGCCTAGGCAACAGATAGAGACTCCGTCTCAAAAAAAAAAAAAAAAAAGAACTACCTCACTTGTTTCCCGTCTCTCAGGGCCCACTCTTCTGCACTGCTTGATTTCCAATATCTGAAAACCTTTCTTTCATATATTTTGTCTGTTTTTTTAAAAATTGTTTAAGGCAGAGAGTAAATACGTCCCCTATTATTCTATCATGGCTGGAAGACCATTGAAGAGCTTTAAGCAGGTACGTGACATGGATGGATCTGCTGGTTAGACAGATCTCTACTGATAGGTGATGTCAGAGATTCGTTTGTTCTGGAAGGTGTGAAAAAGAAAAAAAAATTAAATGATATGAGAGATGGAGTGGTAGTATTGGGCTACAGGCAGAGAGATTGGCAAGGAGGCTGGTGTAGTTTATTTTATTTTATTTTATTTTAGTGAGATAAAAGCACTCGGCCGGGCGTGGTGGCTCATGCCTTTAATCCCAGCACTTTGGGAGACCAAGGCGGGCAGATCATGAGGTCACAAGTTTTAGACCAGTCTGGCCAATATGGTGAAACCCCGTCTCCACTAAATATACAAAAATTAGCCGGGCGCGGTGGCGGGCGCCTGTAATCCTAGCTACTTGGGAGGCTACGGCTGGAGAATCGTTTGAACCCGGGAGGCAGAGGTTGCAGTAAGCTGAGATTGCGCCATTGCACTCCAGCCTGGGTGACAGGGTGAGGCTCCATCTCAAAAACAAACAAACAAACAAAAAAGCACTCAAGCCTTATGGTGTAGTTTATTTATTTATTTAGTTGTTGTTGTTGTTGTTTGAGACGAAGTCTCACCCTGTTGCCCAGGCTGGAGTGCAGTGGTGCAATCTCGGCTCACTGCAACCTCCACCTCCTGGGTTGAAGTGATTCTCTTGCCTCAGCCTCCCGAGTAGCTAGGATTACAGGTGCCTGCAAGCACGTCCGGCTAATTTTTTTTTTTTTTTTGAGACGGAGTTTCACTCTTGTTGCCCAGGCTGGAGTGCAATGGCACGATCTCAGCCTACCACAACCTCTACCTCCCAGGTTCAAGCAATTCTCCTGCCTCAGCCTCCCTAGTAGCTGGGATTACAGGCGTGTGCCACCACACCCGGCTAATTTTGTATTTTTAGTAGAGACGGGGTTTCTCCATATTGGTCAGGCTAGTCTCGATCTCCTGACCTCAGGTGATCCGCCCCCCTCGGCCTCCCAAAGTGCTGGGATTGCAGGCATGAGCCACCGCGCCCGGCCTGGCTAATTTTTCTATTTTTAGTAGAGACAGGGTTTCGCTGTGTTGGCCAGGCTGGTGGCGAACTTCTGACCTCAGGTGATCCGCCCACCTCAGCCTCCCAAAATGCCAGGATTACAGGTGTGAGCCATGGTGCCCGGCTTTTATGGTGTGGTTTAGATCTATGTAAGCAACATCATAGAAATCTGGCAGTAAGAAGCACAAACTCATCCAATTCCAGAACAGATTTCAGGACTGGTGTCTGAGAAGGAGGGGGACAGGTAAGAGAAAGGCTGAGCCCAAAGTCCAATGCATAGAACAGATTATATAGATGATAACAAGCCAGGAGATCACCAAAACTGGAAAACCAGATGAGAAATAAATTTTAGACACCAATTTTGAGAAAGGAGGATGCTAATTCATAGGGTATTAGCTTGTGCACTAATACCCTATGAATGAATGAATAAATTCCTGAGTGCCTGTAGCACTTACTGTCAGCAACATGTGCATGATAATTAGATGTTCAGTACCTTATGATCATTCTTGAATTATTATACACTTATTTATTCCTTATCTCTTCATCTGCATTCTAAGTCCACCAAAGGCATAAACTGTGATTGTGTGCTTCTCTTTCTTTTTTTTTTTTTTTTGAGACAGAGTTTCGCTCTTGTTGCCCAGGCTGGAGTGCAATGGCGCAATCTCAGCTCACAGCAACCTCTGCCTCCTGGGTTCAAGCGATTCTCCTGCCTCAGCCTCCCGAGTAGCTGGGATGACAGGCATGCACCACCACACCCAGCTAATTTTTTTGTATTTTTAGTAGAGACGGGGTTTCTCCATGTTGGTCAGGCTGGTCTTGAACTCCCGACCTCAGGTGATCTGCCCGCCTCAGCCTCCCAAAGTGCTGGGATTACAGGCGTGAGCCACCACACCCAGCTTGTGTGCTTCTCTTTCTTATAAGTAGCAGCATTAGTATAATTATTTTGCCCAAGTTTCCTGACTCTCAGTTCAATAATTTTTTAAAACTATATTACTTAACCAGCATTCTTTTTTTTTAAACATACCCCTAACATGAAACTCATTAACCAGCATTCTTGAACAGAAATAGTTTACCGAGGTAATTTATACATATTCCTTGGCATATGCAAGGATGTATTCTTGAAAAGGCATGCATGGCTTAAAACCGTGCAAATCAAAAGCAATTTTCTCTCAAGAAATTATGGTAAAAGACTTCATTATGCCATTTCCATTTTGGCTAGGTAAAATTTTTGCTACAGAAGTAACATGTGCAAACCACTCCTAATTTCACACATTTCCAAATGAGTTAACCATTATTTAAATTATTCAAAATTTTCCTCAGGTCAACAGGTAAAACAGGTATAAATATAACTCATTATTTAAATTTTTTTTTTCTTTTGAGACGGAGTCTCGCTCTGTCGCCCAGGCTGGAGTGCAGTGGCGTGATCTTGGCTCATTGCAAGCTCCGCCTCCCGGGTTCACGCCATTCTCCTGCCTCAGCCTCCTGAGTAGCTGGGACTACAGGTGCCCGTCACCACGCTTGGCTATTTTTTTTGTATTTTTAGTAGAGACGGGGTTTCACCGTGTTAGCCAGGATGGTCTCGATCTCCTGACCTCGTGATCTGCCCACCTCAGCCTCCCAAAGTGCTGTAATTGCCTGTGTGAGCCACTGCACCCACCCTATTTAAAAAATTTTAAAGCGTATTTTATATGCTTTAGTGTGGATGTACCACAATTTATTCAACCATTTCCCTCTTGATGGGCATGCAGGTTTCTTGGTACTTTTATTTTTCGTTTTATTTTATTATTATTGTTTTTTGAGATGTAGTCTCGCTCTGTTGCCCAGGCTGGAGTGCAGTGGCATGATCTCAGCTCACTGCAACCTCCACCTTCTGGGTTTAAGCAATTCTCCTGCTTCAGCCTCCTGAGTAGCTGGGACTACAGGCATGCACCACCACGCCCAGCTAATTTTTGTATTTCTAGTGGAGACGGGGTTTCACCATGTTGGCTAGGCTGGTCTCGAACTCCTGACCTCAGGTGATCCGCATGCCTTGGCCTCCCAAAGTGCTGCGATCACAGGCATGGGCCACCACACCTGGCCTCTTAGTACTTTTATTCCTTACTCCGAACAGCTCAGTCAAAGGGTAAGTATATGTAGCAGACACAGTGGTTGTCTAATCAGCTGGCATTCTCCTCCTCCTTTCCTGCTAACAGAATGCTAATTTTGTTCGGGTATTAGGCAGAGAACCCTGATCTCAAGAAAGGTGGTCTTACTCCCTGGCCTAATGTCATCAGTTATGGCAAAGGAGATATATAGGTAAGTTCCTTTTTTTTTTCTTTCCTTGGCTCACTGCAACCTCCACTTCCGGGGTTCAAGCGATTCTCTGGTCTCAGCCTCCTGAGTAGCTGGGACTACAGGCATGAGCCACCATGTCTGGCTAATTTTTGTATTTTTAGTAGAGACGGGGTTTCGCCATGTTCGCCAGGCTGGCCTCAAACTCCTGACCTCAGGTTATCCGCCCGCCTTGGCCTCCCAAAGTGCTGGTATTATAGGTGTGAGCCATGGCGCCCGGCCAGTTTCTTGAGGGATATCTGGAAAAAAGGGCTTTCCCTGAAAAAAGGAAAGTGGCATCTCTCTTGCTTCCCTGGCCACTGCCATACCTTCACCCCCTTTACTGCCTTTGAATGCGATTATGATATCCAGATTCAGCAGCCCATCTTGCAAGCATGAAGCAAAAAGCCTAGGGACAAGTGCCCTGAAAAGGACTTTAAAAAATAAAAAGTAAAAAGCCTAGGGACAAAAAGGCAACATGCCGGACTAGATTCAGAGAGCTTCCAGATAGCTTCAGCACTTGGAGTTTCATGGAAGGTGGCACCCCTGGAGAGGGCATGGAAGTTCTGGGCCCCTTCTGATACCTCACCCTATGCATCTCTTCATCTGTATCACTTATAAATCTTGAAGCCTAAAATATCCACGGTGTCTTAAGTGAAGTCAAAGAAACACTGCAACAGGGATGGCAATATCCAGAAGAGTTCCATAATGAAATGGAAATGGCTTATACAGGATGATGCTACCTGTTAGCAGGAAAGGAGGAGAAGAATGCCAGCTGATTAGACAACCACTGTGTTTGGATTTTTACTGACTCCTGGGCAGTGTCCAATGGCCTGGTTATATACTCAGGCAGGAGGGCAATGGAAATGTGGCCTATTAAGGGGATGCCCACATGGGGCACAGCCCTGTGGAAATCTGAGGGGTGCATTAAAGTAGAACATGTCACCAGGCGTGGTGACTCACGCCTGTAATCCCAGCAATTTGGGAGGCTGAGGTGGGCGGATCACTTGAGGTCGGGACTTTGAGACCAGCCTGGCCAACATGATGAAACCCCGTCTCTACTAAAAATACAAACATTAGCTGGGCAGGGTGGTGGGCGCCTGTAGTTCCAGCTACTTGAGAGGCTGAGGCACGAAAATCACTTGATCCTGGGAGGCGGAGGTTGCAGTAAGCCGAGATCGCACCACTGCACTCCAGCCTGGGCAACAGAACGAGACTCTTGTCTAAAAAAATAAATTAATTAAATTAAATTTAAACAAGTTTTTAAAAAGTAGAACATGTCAATGGCCATCACAATAACTCCCTTTTGTTTTGGAACGTGATTAGAATCATCAAGTAGCTATCCTTATGTGCTCATTTATAAGGCGAACACCTGGGTCAAGAAATGACTGGATATCAGAATTCTATAGCTATGCAGAAATGGGCTGAATTGAGACATATTCCTTTTGCACCTTCTCAAGCACACAATGCCAATTAAGAACTGTTCTGTATGCCACAAAAGAGACAGAGACTGCCAATGACTATGTGGCAGATTCCCTGGTGAAAAGGCCCTGAACATAGTTGACAAGTCAGACTAATGCTGGTAGCCCTGGAGGGCTACAAATGGATCCTGATAGGTTGGACTTTGCTTACTTGGTAGAATATGCAAATGCCCAGAGTGCTATGGAAGAACCAGGACAGAAGATATTGCATGGATTTCGATGGCCATCCATCATTTCTTCAGCCCAAGGAACACTGTACAGCCCATAATGCCCAACAATGGGCAGAGGGACACCCTCCTCTGAGTAGTAGTTTGATAGAGTCAGAAACAAGGTCACTGGAAGGAAAAATAGTCTGATAGAGATGGAGAACTGGCAATCGAAAGATTGGTTATCTAAAATGGAGAGGGATAAAGGCATAAGGGGCTGACTTACACGCCTTCATGAGAGTGTGCTCACACTCAGCATGAGTGGAACTAAAGGAGTGTCCGCACTAGAGATTCTTCTGTTTTTCTGGTAGATCTGGGGAAGAGGGGATGGGAAAGGATCCCAGTATGACTATGCAATTCTTGCCAAGGGAGGAGTACAGTGGTATAACAACTATACTTTTTTTTCTTCCCCATATCACCTCAACTTTTTTTAAAAAAATTTCCCCTCCTTGATGCAGTGGTCATAGGACCAGGTCTGCAACTATAAATGCTGGAAGTAGGGATGATTCCTAAGAAACCTCATGTTTGGCTGGGCACGGTGGCTCACGCCTGTAATCCCAGCACTTTGGGAGGCCGAGGCAGGAGGATCACTTGAGGTCAGGAGTTTGAGACCGGCCTGGCCAACATGGTGAAACCACGTCTCTACTAAAAATACAAAAATTAGTCTGGTGTGGTGGTGGGCGCCTTTAGTCCCAGCTACTCAGGAGGCTGAGGCAGGAGAATCTGTTGAACCCAGGAAGCAGAGGTTGCAGTGAGCCAAGATCACGCCACTGCACTCCAGCCTGGGCTACAGAGCAAGACTCCATCTCAAGAAAAAAAAAAAAAAGAGGCCCCAAACCAAAAAACAAAAAACCTCATGTTATAATTCCTAAGGACCTGATGGGGTTGGGCTGTGCTTCACCCTATCTAGCAACATTAGGGTTAACACAGAGTGTGGCTATATTTTCTGGTGGTAGAAAATGGCCCATTAGTTCTGCACCTATGTAACCTTACCGCATCTCAATGGGAATGAACTGAGGGTGATGCACTTGTTGGACTAGTATTGCTGCATGCAGTCTAGACAAGCACAGTAGCAGAACCTAATATCCCTTACAAAGATGGAAAAGGCTGGGTGTGGTGGCTCACACCTGTAATCCCAGCTACTCCAGAGGCTGAGTTGGGAGGATCACTTGAGCCCAGGAGTTTGAGGTTGCAATTAACCATGGTCATGCAAAAATAAATAAATAAATAAAAATGAGCTGTTGTTGATTTGAAGCAAGAAAAAAAAATTTAAGTAAAAAGAAAATAGCTGGGCTGGGCACGGTGGCTCATGCCTGTAATCCCAGCACTTTGGGAGGCTGAGGCGGGCACATCACCTGAGGTCAGGAGTTAGAGACCAGCCTGGCGTGAGATGGTATCTCAATGTGGCCAACATGGTGAAACCCCATTTCTACTAAGAACACAAAAAAATTAGTCAGGCGTGGTGGCAGATGCCTATAATCCCAGCTACTTGGGAGGCTGAGGCATGAGAATTGCTTGAACCCGGGAGGCGGAGGTTACAGTGGGTCAAGATTGTGCCACTGCACTCTAGCCTGGGCAACAGAGACTCTGTCTCAAAAAAAAAAAAAAAAAGAAAGAAAGAAAAAAGAAAATAACTGAAAAAACACAAGGTGGAAAAATTTGGAGATAAATGAAGAGAAAGACAAATAGTAGCTGAGGCTAAAAGAATAAATAAATGGGTGGCCGGGCACTGTGGCTCACGCCTGTAATCCCAGCACTTTGGGAGGCCGAGGCGGGTGGATCACAAGGTCAGGAGATTGAGACCATCCTGGCTAACATGGTGCAACCCCGTCTCCACTAAAAATACAAAAAATTATCCGGGCATGGTGGCGGGCGCCTGCAGTCCCAGCTACTCTGGAGGCTGAGGCAGGAGAATGGCATGAGCCCAGGAGGCGGAGCTTGCAGCGAGCCGAGATTGTGCCACTGCACTCCAGCCTGGGGGACAGAGCAAGACTCCTTCTCAAAAAAAAAAAAAAAAATCCAATACTACGTTAACACCTTGACACCTTGATTGTCACATACAAGGACCAACAACAACAAAAAAGAGATACATTAGCACTTTGAAGGACAAGAGATGACATTGTCTTCTAGCTCACTTACCCCAGATGCCTGAAAGAGTTATGTTTGCCAAGACCACTCCTGCTTTTGGAACCTAACAAGATGGAATGGAAGCCTGCAAACCTGAGTGACCTCACCCTAGAAGACATATTTATACAATATGATGAACCAGATTGATTATTAATGATTGAATGAGATTCTAGTAATATGGTAGTATCTTTGGACTTACATATCCCTTTTTTTTTTACTTTTTGACACAGTCTCCCTCTGTCACTCAGGCTGGAGCGCGGCGGTGCCATCTCAGCTCACTGCAACCTCCGCCTCCCGGGTTCAAGCGATTCTCCTGCCTCAGTCACCTGAGCAGCTGGCATCCTCCCTCCTCAGCCTCCCAAAGTCCTGGGATTACAGGCGTGAGCCACCACGCCAGGCTGGATTTCCTTTTTTTTAAGGAAGAATACTATTCTACTGTGTATATACCACACTTTCTTTATCCACTCATCCATTGATGGGCACTTAGGTTGATTCCATGTCTTGACTGTTGTAAATAATGCTGCAATGAACACGGGAATGCAGATATCTCTTTGATACACTGATATCCATTTTCTTTGGATATATACCCGGTAGTGGGATTACAGAATCATATGATAATCCTGCTTTTAATTTTTTAAACATTTTTTTTCCTCTATAAGAGATTGGGTCTTGCTATGTTGCCCAGGCTGGTCTTGTACTCCTGGGCTCAAGCAGTCCTCCTGCTTTGGCCTCCCTAAGTGCTAGAATTACAGGCATGAGCCACCGTGCTTGGCCCTATTTTTAATTTTTTGAGAAACCTCCCTACCATTTTCCATAATGTCTGTACTAGTGTACATTTCCACTAACAGTGTGCAAGGGTTTCCTTTTCTCCACATCCTCCCCAACACTTGTTATCTTTCATTTTTTTGATTATAGCCATTCTAACAGGTATGAGGTGAAGCCTAGGTTCTTTTATTTATTTATTTTAAAAAATGGGATACATGTGCAGAATGTGCAAGTTTGTTACATAGGTATACGTGTGCTATGGTGGTTTGCTGCACCTATTGACCCGTCCTCTAAGTTCCCTCACCTCACTGCCTATCCCGCAACAGGCCCTGGTGTGTGTTGTTCCCCTCTCTGTGTCCATGTGTTCTCAATGTTCAACTCCCACTTATGAGTGAGAACATGCAGTATTTGGTTTTCTGTTCCTGTGTTAGTTTGCTGAGGATGATGGCTTCCAGCTTCATCCATGTCCCTGCAAAGGACATGATCTCATTCCTTTTTATGGCTGCATAGTATTCCATGGTGTGTATGTACCATATTTTCTTTATGCAGTCTATCATTGATAGGCATTTGGGTTGGTTCCATGTCTTTGCTATTGTAAATAGTGCTGCAATAAATATATGAGGGCATTTGTCTTTATAGTACAATGATTTATATTCCTTTGGGTATATACCCAGTAATGGGATTGCTGGGTCAAATGGTATTTCTTCTTCTAGATCCTTGAGGAATCGCCTTACTGTCTTCCACAATGGTTGAACCAATTTACATTCCCACCAACAGCGTAAAAGCATTCCTATTTCTCCACAGCCTCACCAGCATCTATTGTTTCCTGACTTGTTAATAATCACCATTCTGACTGGCGTGAGATGGTATCTCATTGTGGTTTTGATTTGCGTTTCTCTGATGATCAGTGATGTTGAGTTTTTTTCATATGTTTGTTGGCTGTGTAAATGTCTTCTTTTGAGAAGTGTCTATTCATATCCTTTGCCCACTTTTTGATGGGGTTTTTTGTTCTTTTCTTGTAAGTATGTTTATGTGCCTTGTAAATTCTGGATATTAGACCTTTTCTGAGATGGGTAGATTGCAAAAATTTTCTCCCATTCCGTAGGTTGCCTGTTCATTCTCATAATGGTTTCCTTTGCTGTGCAGAAGCTCTTTAGTTTAATTAGATCCCATTTGTCAATTTTGGCTTTTGTTGCAATTGCTTTTGGCATTTTAGTCATGAAGTCTTTACCCATGCCTATGTCCTGAATGGTATTGTCTAGGTTTTCTTCTAGGGTTTCTATGGTTTTGGGTTTTACATTTAAGTCTTTAATCCATCTTGAGTTAATTTTTGTGTAAAGTGTAAGGAAGGGGTCCAGTTTCAGTTTTCTGCACATGGCTAGCCAGTTTTCCCAGCAGCATTTACTGAATAGGAGATCCTTTCCCCATTGCTTGTTTTTGTCAGGCTTGTTGAAGATGGTTGTAGATGTGTGGTGTTATTTCTGAGGTCTCTGTTTTGCTCCATTGGTCTATATGTCTGTTTTGGTTACTGTAGTACTGTAGCCTTGTAGTATAGCTTTTTTTTTTTTTAGACAGAGCCTTGCTCTGTTGCCCAGGCTGGAGTGCAATGGTGCGGTCTTGTCTCACTGCAACCTCCGCCTCTCGGGTTCAAGCAATTCTTCTGCCTCTGCCTCCTGCGTAGTTGGGACTACAGGCATGCACCACCATGCCTGGCTAATTTTTGTATTTTTAGTAGAGACAAGGTTTCACTACATTGGCCATGCTGGTCTCGAAGGTCTCGAACTCTTGACCTCAGGTGATCCACCCGCCTCGGCCTCCCAAAGTGCTGGGATTACAGGTGTGAGCCACCGCGCCCAGCCAACTTTGTAGTATAGTTTGAAGTCAGGTAGCATGATGTCTTCAGCTTTGTTCTTTTTGCTTAGGATTGTCTTGTGAAGCCTAGGTTCTTAATGAACTTGTTGAGCAGCTGATCCAATATTAGCATCTGCGTCCCTCTAGATTTCTTGTTATGTGAGAAAGAAAACAAAACTCTATTTGTTTAAGCTACTATTAGTCAGATTTTCTGTTGCTTGCAGCCCAAACCATTCTGAACTAATACCATAGATTTTAAATTTTATTAGATTCTTCCAGATTACTTTGCAAACAACAAAAAAAGATAATAGTGATTCATACTCCTAGCAGCAATGGATGCATGTAGGGAAATGGACATTCATCTGGATTTTTTTTTTTTTTTTTTGAGACAGAGGGCCCCCTCTATTGCCCAAGCTGGAGTGCAGTGACATGAATACAGCTCACTGCAGTCTCGACCTCCTGGGCTCAAACAATCCTTCCACCTCAGCCTCCCGAGCACCACCACACCCAGCTAACTTTTTTTGTAGAGATGAGGGGGGTCTCAGTATGTCGCCCAGGCTGGTCTTGAACTCCTGTTCCTGGCCTCATCTGGAATTTAATTTTGTATATGGTATAAAGTAGGAACCTAATTTTGCTTACTTCTTGCTGGATAACCAATTTTTAAGCACCATTTATTAAATAAACTGTCTTTTTTGCACATAATTGAAATTGAGATTTACTTATATTTTCTGTAGTTATTTATTTATTTATTTTTTGACGAAGTCTCACTCTGTAGCCCAGGCTGGAGTGCAGTGGTGTGGTCTCGGCTTACTGCAACCTCCGCCTCCCGGGTTCAAGCGATTCTCCTGCCTCAGCCTCCCAAGTAGCTGGCATTACAGGCACACACCCGCGCGCCACTACACCTGGCTAATTTTTTGCATATTTAGTAGAGACAGGGTTTCACCATGGTGGCCAGGCTGGTCTTGAACTCCCAACATCAGGTAATCCACCCGCCTCGGCCTCCCAAACTGCTAGGATTACAGGCATGAACCACCGCGCCCGTCCTATTGCTTTTAATTTCTCTGTCTTCCTCACCCTCTTCCCCCACCCCGACCCAGGTTTTATTGTTTTAGGGGAAGGGATGTGGCAAGAGACTAAGAGCAGATTTTACTTGCCCATCTCTTTGTTTTTGTGTTTCAAAAGCCGAAGTCCTTAGTGGAAGAGGGTCAGGGTGTAGTCAAATTGTCTTGGCCAGAAAATATAAAGGGAGAATGATTTTATCCACCCTAAACAGAGATTCTAGTCCCTCCTACCCCCTAGGTCTGAGGATAATATAATGCTATCAGGGAGATCCTTGGGTTCCAGGTAGAAAGGACCTGTGTTCTGCTTCCTGGCACCATCCCTGGGTAGACAGCAAAACGTGAGAGAACAGAGGCTGTTCTAGGCAACTTTAACAAAAATTCCCAAGTCACTGGGAGGGACCCAGTGTAACAAGGGCCTGCTAGACCATAAAGGAACACTGTGGGAAGAGGCAATGGACCTCTGACTGCTAACCTGTGTGGCCACATAGCTAAAATTTTTTTTTCATTGCCCAGACTGGTCTTGAACTCCTGAGCTCAAGCAATCCTCCTGCCTCAGCCTCTCAAAGTGCTGAGATGACAGGCTTGAGCCACTGTGCCTGGCTATGATTAAGGATTTAATGGACCTCTGTTCCCAGGTCTTAGCACTGCGGCTTGAACCTGAGATGGAGGAACATCAAGAATAATATAGGTTATTTTCCAACCCCAAGGAATAGGGGATATTGGAGTCCAAAGTTAAATGGAATCATAGACAATAAAGACAGATGCAACAAAAAATGTTTAAGAGCATGGACTCTTTACTAAACTAACTGGGTTCAAATTCTAGCTCTGAAACTTACTTGCTGTGTTACTATGAGCAAGTTATTTAACTTCTTTGTGCCTTGGTTTACTAATTTAAAAACTGGTGTTAATAATGGCACTTACCTCATAGGATTCAATGGGCTTGTATAAAGCGCATAGTAAATGCTATTGGATTATTAGCCGACATTATTATTATTGTTGTTATTACTATTATTATTATACACCTTAGTAGGGAGACTACAATTCATACCTGCTACATGAAGGATTTGTGACAAGACTGTTTTGAAAGACTACTACAGACTATTGGAATAGATCCAGAGAGTCCATGGAAGGAATGGAGGGAGAGGAAGGAAAGGCAGGTCAGCAAATGAAGCCTGGTTAGTTAGCCCAGCAGACTGAAGTTTCTGATTCTCAAAAGAATATACTATGTCAGACTGTACATTTCTTAAAGAACTGATCTTATTCTGGAGAGGGAGGGGCTGTTACAGCAACCCCAACTCAGGCTCTGTAGTCTGGCCACATGGGAATTTTGCAGAGGAGTTAAGATCTTGGACACTTTGCAAGTTTTAGAGAAGTGATGTGGGCTTAGTCATTTGTAGGCATTCTGAGAGTCAGTTGTCAAGGCACAGACATTTACCTTAAGATTGCTCCCTGATGGCTGGGCGCAGTGGCTCAAGCCTGTAATCCCAGCCTCAGTTCGAGTTCGTCAGGAGTTTGAGACCATCCTGACCAGCAAGGTGAAACCCCGTCTCTACTAATATAAAAATTAGCCGGGGGTGGTGGCACGTACCTGTAATCCCAGCTACTCTGGAGGCTGAGGCAGGAGAATCGCTTGAACCCGGGAGGCGGAAGTTGCAGTGAGCCAAGATTGCACCACTGAACTCCAGCCTGGGCGACAGAGCAAGACTCTGTCTCAAAAATAAATAAATAAATAAATAAATTGCCCCCTGACGTATGCTCTGGGCACATGTGGAAAGACTGCATCTAGGAAGAAGAAACTAGACCAATAGCAAGGCTGGAGAAATTGCATTATCCAGCCTGAAACGTGGAGTGTTTCTAAGTCAGTCGCTAAGCCAAAGATAGCTGTTCACTTCTGAGTATGCCCTTACTCAAGGAATACTCAACTTGTGCTGGGAGGAAAGAGAACCTTCTGGGAGGACATTAATAACCCTTAGATGATCCTGGTGAGAAATTCCCCTAGTGGAAAGACTTGGCTGGAGAAAAGATCACCCAGACATCCAAGCCCTGGGAGTTACTGCCTTGAACAGAGGCACCTGGATGAGAAGTACACTTTCCCTTGCTGGGATGCTAAGATTTAATAGAAGGAGAATGTGGCTCAGTATTATCTAGAGAATATAATATATTTTTTTTCTTTCCTGTATTTTTCTTTTTCTCTACCTGTCTCTGCCCCCAAAATAACATAGCTTTGTGGTGTACCTCAGGGGAGGGAGGTGGCAAGGCAGTAAAACAAATACTCTGCCACTCTTTCTGGTTTCTGTGTTTCCAAAACATAAGTCCTTAAGCAAGGGGTATTAGGGTGTAGGGGCAGAGACCAAGTATCTGGGCCAGAAAACTAGAAGAAAGAGTTGCACAAACCTAAAAAATGATTCTTCTCTTCCTCACTCCCCTCTCCTTGCGAGAAAGAGACAACAAGAGCAGAGAGAGATCTCTGTGGGAGCTCAAGCAGCATTGATTAGCCTCAGCTTCCCAGGAGCAACACCTAGCTGATGGGGAAGACTCAAGAGAGGAAGAGCTGTGTGGAATGTCTAGGTAGATGGCCCAATATCTATTGGGACTTCGGGAAAAATTCTGTGCCCCATGTCGCAGAGACATTGGAGAGGACCACAGCACTGGAAAGGACCCATGTGGGCAGAGGGCTCAGCACAAACTGCCAGGATCTAAATAACTAGAAGCAGATATCCTTACTCCACTCCCACTTACACCCATGCCTGGACATTACCTAAGATCCCCAAACTGTGGTATCACTTGGGTTAAGGGAAATGAACATCAAGAATGATGGACATTGTTTACCTCCCCGCCCCAATAACCTGGTTAAAAAGAGGGCACCGGGTCAGAAATTAAGTTCCAGAAACAGTCACAACTCTACCCATGGTTGCAGTGGTCAGCTAACTACAAACTTTGAGGTTCATTTCAGCTCCATCTTGTTGACTGAAGGAGTTACCATCCTGTGTGGTAGGAAAGAGACCAACAGATAGTAGGGCCATGAAACTAACCTCCTACCCCCACTCCTGTGGGATTTTGGGGTTTAAAAATGATTCCAGTTAAATTTTTTGTAATTTATTGGCACCGGAGCCTCTAGAAAAAAATGAATTAGATTATTGGAAGGATGATTTCCTGGAACAATGTAAAACCAAACTACAAATAGTTAATATAAATCAAAATTTCTGTTTGATGAGTAGGAACATTGCAAATGTCACTTGAGAGTCAGTGGAAACCAGTGGGTAGGAAGGGAATGTTCCCTGTCATACCTTGGTGATTAGCTAGAATTGCCCGCTCCCCTTTCTGCCTACAGTGGCATTTGTGCTGAGTTACAGACCAGATTGTCCCAAACAGAAGAGCACATATGTCAATAAAAGGTCTAAATTGAGAAGGACCTGTATTTGGATGGGGAGCCGACTTGTTTGATTTTCAAATTTCTAAAGGTCATAAAAGTCACTCTACTCAATAGCTTTTTTTTTTTTTAACAAGTATTCAACTATCAAAGAGGTACTGCTCAAAAGAATTAACATCTAAGCAGATTGAAGGGCTAACATTTCCAAGTGTTGTTCTTTATTCATTACCTACATCATCAGGCTCAGAGACAAGGGAAGAGGAGCAGGTCACAACTGAGCTAGATGCCTTTTCATGAAGGTGATGTGTGTGGCAGTGGTGGGAATAGGGTGACACTGAGAAACAGAAACGGTGGCCACAAGTTTCTAGTTGCCATCTCATGGGAGTCAGGACCTACAAAGACTTGGGATAAACTGGTAACCTTTGAAACTTTGAAATTGCCCCTTACTGGTTGTTCAGCTACTCTTCCTCTGTTTTTCCTACACTAGTCAACCAATCAACAGGGAAAAGGGACTATCTTCAGGGACAGTGAGGAAAGGAGCGTGGGAGACCCCATCCATTTTTCAGCTAATTGAGACTTCAGAGACTCTTAAGGTAGAATGGTGAAGCTATTTGGAGAAACCACACCTTGCTCTTTCAAATCGGCCAGGAAGGAAGATCTCCACCATTCTAGTGGCTGGACCTCATAGCCCTATTGTTTCCTCAGCATCTCCCTCCGTTGTCAAAACGGAAAGATGGGAGTTTGAATGTATTAAGGGCATGGTCCGGTTTCCTTACATATTCTGGCAATATGGAAATTAATAAGGAAGGGACAGAGGCAAGAGATAGGGCTACAAGGCCTCCCATCATTATACTCACCCCCCCCTTACAAAGTCAAAGATAAACCATTACACTTTATTTGGACTTTGGAAACCTGAGTTAAATGTATTGATTGTGCTGTTTTAAAGAGCTGAAAAAGACTGAGATTTCTGAGGCCTACAGCAGGAAAAGAAAAATAGGTAGTGGAGAAGGGATAACTCAGTGATAGGGCCGAGGCTGGAGGGCTGAAAGCATTAGTCAGATATTTCCCACACAGCCTCCTAGCTTGAGGGGCATTCGAAAAGAATGCCCTGCCCTTTAGCTGCGCCACCAGATGACTCCCGGGAGATTGAAAAATGCCTCGGCTCTGGAGTGAGCACACCTGGGTTCAAGTTCTAACTCCACAAATAGTATGAAGTTGAGCAATTCATGTCCATTTCCCCTCCTGAGCCTCAATTTCCTCCTCTGTCGGGCCGGGATTATTCATGGGAGAATGACGGAAACAATTCTATACTGCTTCTGGCATAGCACAGGAAGCAGTTTGAAGCCGCTGCGCCGAGGCTAACATGTACCGAAAGCTCGAAGGAGGCAGCATTCACTACCAGCTAGAGGATCTGGGAGTTTTTCAAGGAGGTGGCCGGTGGGAGACACAGAGAGCCAGTCTCAGTGGGAGGCAGCCTTTCCGCATGCGCGCGCTCTAGAAGCCTGGCGGCGGCGAGGGGGCGGGACCAGGTCTCTGAAGGGGTTGCTATGGCACCAAGGGGCCGAGGAGGTTCACCGAACCCTTAAAACCATTGCTCCCTCCCCCACCTGCCACCATCAGGGCCGAGGGCCATTGTTCCCGGCAAAATGGCGTCGGAAATCCCCCTCCCGGTCAGAGGCCTAAGTAAAACTGAGGGTGGGAGTCGGACCATAGGTGGGAAGAAAAACTACAATTCCCAGGGTACATCGCACCCGTCTGCGAGGCGCAGGGCACGTGCCCAGGCCTAGCGGTTACATGCCGTCAAAAATCAGTTTCATAGCTTCCCTTTCCCATCCCTGCTTTGGTCGTTTCCCAGCCCCCGCGCGCGCGCACTGCGGTCCTGGGGGGCGGGGGAGACATGCCGTGGCTGTTGCCCCCGCAACGTAACTGGGAGGCCAGTATTTGTAAATCGGTGCTTCGACTTCTAATCCCAAAGCCGGCAGGTATGGGTCTCGCGAGAAATCCCGGGAGTTGGAAAAAGGGAGTCAGGGGTGGCGGGCGAAAAGGTGCCGGCGGGTACCACCTCCTAACAGCGGCGCTACAGCATTCAGAGGCTCGCGGAGACCCAAGGGTGGGCAGTGGGGGGCTAGGAAGTAGTGTGTGCTTGGACTTTTCTTCTTCTTCTTCTTCTCTGAGGGGAGAGGGTAGAGCAGCTGAGAGAGAGCGAGAGCGCTTCGGAACACACAGGAGATGTCGCGCGTGCTTCCTCTAAGAGATTTTCTCTTTGGAATGGGGAGAAGCCTTTCTCCTCGACGCGCATCCCTCTCTCCCGCGGCGCCGAGGGGGGCGGGAGGCGTGCGCGCACTCTAGTTGGCTGGCCACTCGGCACCTCGCTGCGATAGGGGCGGTTCCGAGTTGGGGCTGCTCCGTTGGCTTTCTCCGCCCCTCCCCCTCTTCTGTTCTCCCCTCCCTTCCCCGCCCCCCCTCCGCCCCTCTCTCCTACCCGTCCGAATTCCCTGGCTGGAGTACGCGTGCGTCTGCTCAGCTCCGGGCCGAGCGCGAGCTTGGGCTCGTACCCCGCTCCCCTCTCTCCGCCCGCTCTTTACCTACCGGCCGTAGCTGGCCCGGTGGGCTCGCGGGGAGACGCTCGCGCGCGCAAGCGCACACGACGCGGAGCGGAGCTCGAGACATCGAGGAGAGGAGTAAGAAGCATCGGAGGAGGCGATCGAGGAGGAGGCGGTGTGTGTGTATGTGTCTATTCTACGGTGTGGCTCGTCGTGGGGCGAGAGGAGGCTCGAGAGAGGGCGAGGGAGAAGCGAAAAGAGTAAGAGAGTCTTCCTTTGCGAGAGCCTCTAATCTGGTGAGGGTCCCGGGCCGGCCGGGGCGCTAGGAGAGAGGGAGGAGGCCGGGGGGCGTGTCTGGGATCGGGCTGAGAGATGAATGGGCCAGGGATGAATGGAGGGAGGCAGCGGCGGCCAAGAGTCTGTTAGGAGTAAGCGCCCTAGCGGGGGGCGGCTTGACCGAAGCAGGGTGAGTGCCTTCACCAGTCGGTACCGGACGAGGCCGGGCTCCGGGCTAAGGGGCTGTCGAAACTGCTGAATAGGCGGAGAGGAAAATGAACAGGGGGAAAGTGGGGAAGGGCAGGTTTGAGGCTGAGGTGCGTTTTTTGTTTTGTTTTCTTTTTTGTTTTTGATTTTTTTTTTGGTTGTTGTTGAGGGGTGACAACTTTGGGAGCTGATGGAAGACCAGGGGACGGGGAAGGTGAGGAGGATACAGGAGGGGGACAGGAGACGGTTGACAAAGGACTGAGTGATCACTTAAGTGAGATTGAAGCTACTGAAAGGGAAGATCGCTTCGGGTGTGGGAAGTTCAGTTGTATTGATGGGAATAGGATGAAGGAAAGAGTAGATTTATTTCAGAGGTTCAGCTGATGTGTGAGGGACAGGATGGGGTGAGAAATATTGCTGGCTTGTGTAAATGTGTTAGGCTCAAGGAGATTCTGAGGTGTTATTTGGGAAGGGGTGGTGTGTGTTGTGTGACTGACAGGTTGGGGATGGGGAGGAGATGGTATGATAGGTGAGGATGAAAGTGGTGAGGTGGCTTCACTGTACTGAAAGAGGTTTTGTTTGACTAGTTAAAAGTGGTGAAACATTTATATAATGGGGTGGGGGTGGAAATCCTGCACGTGAGTATCTCCGTATCTTGGGGGTTGAGAGACTGTTAAAATGAGACTGAACCCTCAAAACAGATGCGAATAGTATGGCTATTTTTTCTTAAGAGTTACTGTTGATTGAGACAATTATATGAATAAAACAGCTTTTGAGTTGTGAAAATCTTCTGCATAGTAGTGATTGTATCCAATTTTTGGAGATACCGTTATCTGTTTTTCATCTATAGTAAGTTGTAATACCAAGAGAACTTTTGAAGAGGTCTTAGTATGTGACAGAGCAGCGGGTGTCTTTTAAGACGGTCTCTATCCTTTGGATTGATGAGTTTAAAAATTGTTTAAACTCGACAGCTCAAGGGAAAGATACCTTGCATTAAAGGATAGCAAAAATGCACTAAAGCTTAGCCGGGCGTGGTGGAGCGTGCCTGTAATCCCAGCTACTTGGGAGGCTGAGGCAGAAGAATCTCTTGAACCTGGGAGGCAGAGGTTGCAGCTAGCCAAGATTGTGCCACTGCACTCTAGCCTGGGCGACAGAGCGAGACTCTGTCTTAAAAAATCCACTAAAGCTGACTTTGAACTAAAATAATTGTACATTTTTTTTGGTCATTACGAATTTATCTTTGAAAATTGGCACTCGCTTTTTGGTGTGAGTTTAAATTACAACAGATTACGTGAACATTTTGTTCTCTGAATACTTATCTTCTGATAAGGATGTCTTGTCCTGGTCTCATTCTGTTCTGGGTCAAGATTAACGGTTATGGATTTTAATCTTTTGTGATTATTTTTTACACATTTTACTGATATATATTTAGTTTTCTTGGAAATGTTGCAAACTTGAGAACATTCCCATGCTGTTTTTCTTTTATTCTGCTTTGATATTGGAAAGAGTGTAATCCTTGTTTAGGCTACCCGCAGTTTGAATACAAAAGGTCATATTCTGTTCATAGTCTCTCAGATTGAGATGAATACTTAATGTATTAAATAGTACAGTAGAAGTATAAAGGCACTGTAAGAGCCTGGAAATGTTGCACTAACTCAACCAGGCAAGGCGGCCTCCCAGTTTTGAACTAGATGTTTCTAGATGAAGGACATTCACATTTTGGGTCTTGAAAGTGTAAGCATGGTATATTTGGAGAATGGAATGAGATAAGGCTGGAATCTTAGGTTGAGGCTGGGGTGAATTAGGAACTCTTGATTGTTTAAGAAGGGGAATAACATAAACAGATTTATGGTGTTTCTCTCTCTGCCTTTGCTTCTGATGTCCCCCTCTACCTGGAATGCTCTCTCTCCCCCTCCCCTAGAATTTGAACTCATTCTTTTAAAACTTAACATTTGTCACCAGCTATTCCTGAAAGCCTTTCCTGGTTTCCCTTTCTTCCTTTTCCCAGCATCCTCCACCAAGCTAGGTTAGGTCCCCCTCTTTAGAGTTCTATCATACCTTGTACATAATTTTATTACGGTACTTTGGTTGGGAGGCAGGTAGGAAAGGTATTTTTCTCCTTCTATCTGAAAAAGAAATGAAGCCCAGAAAAACAAGACATGCCCTAGTAAGTGGTGAACCCCGGAGTTCTGACTTCTAGACCATTGTTGATCTTCATATCACAAGTTTACATTTGCTTAAATAATTATAGTTTTAGGAGTTAGATTTCTGTAGTGTTGACTTAACTTTCTTCCATAGAGTTTTGTTTTTACTATATTGTTCATTGCTGAGCCGGTAAATGATAAAGCCAGTGGCTGCAAAGAACCAGAGTAGGCAGAAGTAAAGAAAATAATGGATATTATTATTATTATTTTTTAGAGGGAGTCTCGCTCTGTCACCCAGGCTGGAGTGCAGTGGCGTGATCTTGGCTTACTGCAACCTCCGCCTCCCAGGTTCAAGCAATTCTCCTGCCTCAGCCTCCCTAGTAGCTGGGATTACAGGCACGTGGCACCATGCCTGGCTTATTTTTGTATTTTTAGTAGAGATGGGGTTGCCCCATGTTGGCCAGGCTGGTCTCAAACTCCTGACCTCAAGTGATCCGCCCGCCTCGGCCTCCCAAAGTGCTGGGATTACAGGCATGGGCCCGCTATCAGATTTCTAGTCAGATAATTGAAATAAAAATAATTAACAGAGGGCCTAATTTTTTTTATTTTTAAATAATACTTATTAGCATATTTAACTGATTTTTAAAAAAATAATTATTTTATTATTTTTTAAGTTCCGGGGTACATGTGCAGGATGTGCAGGTTTGTCACACAGATAAACGCGTGCCATGGTGGTTTGCTGCACCTATCAACCCATCACCCAGCTATTAAGCCCAGCATGAGTTGGCTCTTTTCCCTAGTACTCTCCCCTCCTTCCGCCTCCCTGACAGGCCACAGTTAACTGTTGTTCCTGGAGGGCTTAAATTTTTTGTGTATGTTTTCGTGGGGAAGGAATTGTGTATAAGGAAAAAAACCCCTCCTTTCTCAGTCTCTCAATATAAGTAGACCAGCTCTATTTACAGATATACTCGATTTTGTCTCTTGGCCAAAAGCCAGAATTCTTTCAAACGAGTGGGTCTTTTCCACCTTTGTTTGAGATCATAACATTTATGATGCCGTTAGGAGATATTTGATGACTGAAAGACATCTATAAGACATTCATTCAGAAATTTTAAAGCTTTAAAAGTAGAATTGATACAATTTTTAATTGTTTTGATAGAGCTTGTTATGAGATTTGGTTTGGCAAATGTTGAGATTGACTCACTACAGAAATGAGCTTTGATGCCCTTTCAGGGATATATTTTTCTCGTGAATCTTTTTTTTTTTTTTGAGACAGAGTTTTGCTCTGTCACCCAGGCTGGAGTGCAGTGGTGCGATCTCAGCTCACTGCAACCTCTGCCTCCCAGGTTCAAGCTATTCTCCTGCCTCACTCAGCCTCCCGAGGAACTGGGATTATAGGTGCATGCCACCACGCCTGGCTAATTTTTGTATTTTTGGTATAGATGGGGTTTCACCATATTGGCCAGGCTGGTCTCGAACTCTTGACCTTGTGATCCACCTTCCTCGGCCTCCCAAAGTGCTGGGATTACAGGTGTGAGCCACTGTGCCTGGCTGAAAGAAATGAAGTACATTGTTTTCTGTGTTTTAGCATGGTAACTTTTTTTTTTTGAGAGGGAGTCTCCCTCTGTCACCCAGGCTGGAGTGCAATGGTGCGATCTCAGCTCACTGCAACCTCTGCCTCCTGAGTTCAAATGATTCTCCTGCCTTAGCCTCCCGAGTAGCTGGAATAACAGGTGCCCGCCACTACGCCCGGCTAATTTTTGTATTTTTAGAAGAGACGGGGTTTCACAATGTTAGCCAGGCTGGTAGCATAGTAACTTTTAAAAATTGTGATAAAATTCATGTAATACAAACTTACCATTTTAACCATTTTATTTTATTTTATTTTATTTATTTGGAGATGGAGTCTCTCTCTGTCACCCAGGCTGGAGTGCAATGGCACGATCTTGGCTCACTGTAACCTCTGCCTCCTGTGTTCAAGTGATTCTCCTGCCTCAGCATCCCGAATAGCTGGGATTACAGGCATGCACCACCATGCCTGGCTAATTTTTGTATTTTAGTAGAGACAGGGTTTCTCCATGTTGGTCAGGCTGGTCTCCAACTCCTGACCTCAGGTGATCCGCCTGTCTTGACTTCCCAAAGAGCTGGGATTACAAGTATGAGCCACTGCGCCTGGCCCCATTTTAACCATTTTAAAGTGTACAGTTGTACAGTGGCATTAGGTAACTTCACAATGTTGTGCAGCTAACACCACCTCAAAAGGAAATTCTGTTCCCAGTAAGCAGTCACTCCCCATTGTCCCTTCCTCCAAGTCCCAGGTGACCATTAATGTTTGTCTATTCTGCATATTTCACATAAATGGAATCATATAATATATGACCTTTTGTGTCTGGCTTTCACTCAGCATGTTTTTGAGATTCATCTGTGTTATGGCATGTAACATTACTTTATTCCTTTTTATGGCTGAGTATTATTCCTTTGTATGGATATACCGTATTTTGTTTATCCATTTATCAGTTCATAGATATTTGGGATGTTTCCACCTTTTGGCTTTTGTGAATAGTGCTGCTATGAATATTTGTATACAAGTTTTTGTTTGAATACCTGTTTTCATTTATTTTGGGTATACCTAGGAGCGCAACTGCTAGGTCATATATAATCCTATGTTATGTTTTGTTTTGAGACAGGGCTCTGTTGCCCAGGCTGGAGTACAGTGGCATGATCATGGCTTAGTGCAGTTTCAACCACCCAGGCTGAGGCAATCTTCCCACCTCAGCCTCCTGAGTAGCTGGGACTATAGGTGTGTGTCACCACGCCCCACACCAGGCTAATTTTTTACATTTGGTAGAGACAAGGTCTCCCTGTGTTGCCTGGGCTGGTCATAAACTCCTGAGCTCAAGTGATCCTCCTGCCTTAGCCTCTCAAAGTATGGGGGTTACAGGCATGAACCACTGTGCCTGGCCCTATGTTTAACTTGTTGAGAAACCACCAAACCGTTTTCCATAGCAGTTGCACCAATTTTCATTGCCATCAGCCATGTATGAGGGTTCCATTTCTCCACATCCTCACCAACACTTGTTGCTTTCTGTTTTTTACTTGTTTTTTAAAAAATTATTTTTATTTATTTTTCTTTCTAAATAGCCATCATAATGGTATGAACTGGTATCTCATTGTGGTTTTGAATTGTATTTCCCTAATGATGTTGGGCATCTTCTCATGGCGTGTTGACTATTTGTATTTCTTCTTTGGAGAGATGTCTATTTAAGTTCTTTGCTCATTAAAAAATTTGGTTGTTTGTCTTTTTATTGTTGAGTTTTAAGAGTTTTTTAAAAAATATACAGTCTAGATACTAGACCCTAATCAGATATGTGATTTGCAAAGTTTCTTCCATTCCATGAATTGTCTTTCTGCTTTATTTTATTGTTTTGTTTTGTTTTGTTTTTGAGATGCAGTCTCACTCTGTCACCCAGGCTGGAGTGCAGTGGTGAGATCTCGGCTCACTGCAACATCCACCTCCCAGGTTCAAGCAATTCTTGTGCCTCAGCCTCCCGAGTTGCTGGGACTACAGGTGCGTGCCACCACGCCCAACTAGTTTTTGTATTTTTGGTAGAGGTGGGGTTTTGCCATGTTAGCCAGGCTGGTCTCGAACTCCTGACCTCAGATGATCCACCCGCCTTGGCCTCCCAAAGGTCTAGAATTACAGACGTGAGCCACTGCACCCAGCCAGTATTTTATTTTATTGTAAAAATAGAGATAAGGTCTTGCTATGTTGCCCAAGCTGGTCTCAAACTCCTGAGCTTAAGTGATCCTCCCGCCTCAGCCTCCCAAAGTGTTGGGATTACAGGTATGAGCCACCGCACCTGGCCTTTTTAACTGACTCTTTTGTACAGATTGTTAATGGGCAACTCTTCTTTAAAGGATTAAAGTAATATAGCATTAGATTAAAACGCCTTTTAACCCAACTTCCTGTCCTCCCATAGATAACCATTTGTTAAGAGTTGGTTCCATGGTTGCCAAAATAAGGATGAAAGAAAAAAAAAAAAGAGTTGGTTGTGGAATAGTTATAGTCCTTTTTTCTCTGTATTTGCATGCATATGTTTGTACATATACAAATAACAAGTATGTGATATATATTTTATGACTTTTCTCCCGAAGAGTGTCACTTAGGGCTCTTTTCATATCAGTATTTATATGTTCACTTCATTCTTTTTGATTGATACATAGTATTTCTTCCTGTGTGCTTCTCTAGCTTTGACTACTAGGGTCAGTTTAGAGTATGTCTTTCTAGCCTTTTTTATATGCATTCACCCATATATGAGTACATTTAGAAATACATAGTTTTGTGGGTTTTTTTTTAACACAAATAGTATGTAGATGTAATATACATGTTGTACTACAACTTACTTTTCTCACCTTATAGTATATATATGTAGGAGATTTTTATATATCAGTATATATCCATCTTGCATTTTTTAAACAGATGCTTATTATTTCACAGTATGGACGTACCATGTTTATTTCAGCATTCTCCTATAGATGGATATTTAAGTTCTTTTCAGGTTGATTTTGTTTGTTTGTTTGTTTTGCTATTTAAAACAATGTTTCAGTTTAAAAAAGCCCTGTACCTACATATTTGTTCACATGCAGGAATATTTCTCAAGTGATACTACTAAGGATTGGAATTGCTGGGTGACAGTTATGCACTAGATACTTGGAATTTGCCCTATGAAAAGGCTATTCCAGTTTAGCTGCCAACAATGCATGGAATACCAAATTTCTTATACAATTCTCAAACTTAACAGATATTTATTTTTTGCATCCTGATAGATGAAAAATGGTACTGAATCATTTGAGTTTGTACCCCTCTGTTTACTAATGAGTTTGAGTAATCCCCTTACCATACATGTATTGGCCACTTGTACTTACTTTTCTTTTTTTTTTTTTTGAGACAGAGTCTCATTCTGTCACCCAGGCTGGAGTGCAGTGGCACAGTCTCGGCTCACTGCAAGCTCCACCTCGTGGGTTCACGCCGTTCTCCTGCCTCAGCCTCCCGAGTAGCTGGGACTATAGGTGCCCGCCACCACGCCTGGCTAACTTTTTTGTATTTTTAGTAGAGACGGGGTTTCACCATGTTAGCCAGGATGGTCTTGATCTCCTGACCTCGTGATCAGCCTGCCTCAGCCTCCCAAAGTGCTGGGATTACAGGCGTGAGCCACCGCACCTGGCCTATGTTTAGCTTTTAAGTCCACATGGAATTTATTTTTGTGACTGGTTTTTGGTAGGGCTTTAGCTTACCACTCCTCAAAATTGATAACCAGTTATCCCAACACAACTTATTATACTACCTGTTCTTCACAAATTTGAAATGCCATTTTTACCATAGACTGCATTCCTATACATACATGTGTTTGTTTCTGTACTAGTTCTATTTCATTAGTTCATTTGTCTATTTTAAATTAAATTTTTTATTTTTTAAAGGTGGGATCTTGTTCTCTTGACTAGGCTGGAGTGCAGTGGCATGGTCATAGTTCACTGCAGCCTTCAACTCCTAAGGCTCACAAGATTCTCCTGGCCTAGTGTCCCATGCCACCATGCCAGCTAAGCTAATTTGTCTGTTTCTGTGCTAAAACCACATTGTTTAACTTACTATAACTATATGTTACTATCTGGTAAGGCAAGTTCTTGTTGTTCTTTATCAAGATTTTCTTGGCTTTCCTTCTACTCTTTAGAGGATCAGCTTGTCAGTTTCAGACAAAAACATCTCTTTGGGATTTTGATTGAAATTGCATTGATTTTGGAATAATAGTGGGGGGAGGGGAATTGTGAAGATGTTGATATTGGGTCTTTCCATCAAGGAACATGGTGTAGTTTGTGTATTTCAGTAAAATTTCATGGTTTTCTTTATGTAGGTGTTGTATATTTCTTCTTGAGTTTGTTCCTAGACTAGTATTTTATAGCTTTGTTGCTCTTATGAACAGGATAATTGTTTTTGTTTGTTTGTTTGTTTGTTTGTTTTTGAGATGGAGTCTTGCTCTGTCACCCAGGCTGGAGTGCAGTGGCACGATCTCGGCTCACTGCAACCTCCGCCTCCCTGGTTCAAGCAATTTTCCTGCCTCAGTCTCCTGAGTAGCTGGGACTGCAGGCGTGCGCCACCATGCCTGGCTAATTTTTTTGTATTTTTAGTGGAGACGGGGTTTTGCCATGTTGGCCAGGCTGGCCTTGAGCTCCTGACCTCAGGTGATCCACCTGTCTGGGCCTCCCAACGTGCTGGGATTACAGGCATGAGCCACTGTGCCTGGTCGATAGTTGTTTTTTCAAATTACATTTTGTAATGATTACTGAGATATATGGCAGATTTCTGTATGTTGATTTTGTCTTTGGCCTGTTTGCTGAACTCTTGTTAGTTCCTTGTTAGTTATAGTTTTTTAGTTGATTTTCTTGGATTTTCTAGATAGATAATCATGTAGTCTGCAAGTTTTGAGTTTTGTCTCCTACTTTCTAACATGTGTAGGTCTTGTTTTATTTCCTCAGTTGGTAGTAGGAAATCTTGGCTTATTCCTGACTTTAACGATTGTTTATGTGAAAGATACTTGCCCTCATGTGTAGGATAAATGCTAATTGAAACCACACTGAGATTCCTTGCTTAAACTTATCAGAGTGTTAAAAATCAAAATGTTTGATAACACTCTTTGTTGTCAAGACTCTGGGGTAAAAGACACTCATACGTTGGAGGTAGGAGTTTAAATTGGTACATTGCCCATGGAAGGCAATTTGGCAGCATTATATAAAGATACACATGTATTACATACATTATTTTGGATATATTAGTATACTTAAATAAATAAAAGTTTAAAAAATAAATATGCAAATTTCCTTTGATCTTGGCAGGGCACAGTGGCTCACACCTGTAATCCCAGCACTTTGGGGAGGCCGAGGCCAGCGGATCACCTGAGCCCAGGAGACCAGCCTGGCCAACATGGTGAAACCTCGTCTCTACTGAAAATACAAAAATTAGCCAGGCATGGTGGCGTGCGCCTGTAATCCCAGCTACTCTGGAGGCTGAGGCAGGAGAATTGCTTGAACCCGGGAGGTGGAGGTTGCAGTAAGCTGAGATCACGCCACTGCACTCCAGCCTGGATGACAGAGCGAGACTGTCTTAAAAAAAAAATTTCCTTTGATCTAGCAATTCTAGTTCAGGGATACACACACACACACACACACACACACACATATATACAATGAAATCTACAATGTTATTTATAATAGCAAACAATTGCATACTACAAAATAAGAATGAGAAACTTATATGTACTGAAAAGGAAAAACATGTATCTTAAGTTACTATGACTATAAAAAGAGCTTGGTGTGTACTGTGTTCCTTTTTGTGTAGATAGTGAAGGAGAGAACATATATTTGTTAATTTGCCTAAAGAGATTCTGGAGGAATACACAAGAATCTGTTGAGTGGTTACCTGTTGATGGGGCAAATGGAATTGAATGGAAGGGAGATAGAGTTGGGAATGAGCCTGCCCTTTATAAACCTCTTTACTTGATATTTGAGCCACATGATTGTATTATGTATATGTATATGTACATGTGTATATATATAATATAGTACATACATTGTGTTTTATATATATATATGTGTATATATATATGTGTATATATATATATGTGTATATATATATATGTCTTTTATTTTTTTTGAGACGGGGTCTCACTCGGTCACCCAGGCTGGAGTGTAGTGGCACAATCACTGCTAACTGCAGCCTCAACCTCCCAGGCTCAAGCAATCCTCCTACTTCAGCCTCCCAAGTAGCTGGGACTACAGGCGCATACTACATGCCTGGCTATTTATTTTTTATTTTTTGAGATGGAGTCTCGCTCTGTTGCCCAGGCTGGAGTGCAGTGGCGCTATCTTGGCTCACTGTAACCTCTGCCTCCGGGGTTCAAGTGATTCTCCTGCCTCAGCCTCCTGAGTAGCTGGGATCATAGGCACATGCCACCACGCCCAGCTAATTTTTGTATTTTTAGTAGAGACGAGGTTTCGCTGTGTTGGTCAGGCTGGTGTCGAACTCTTGACCTCAGGTGATCCACCCACCTTGGCCTCCCAAAGTGGTGGGATTATAGGCGTGAGCCACTGTGCCCAGCCACGGTTGTCTTTATATATATTCCTAGGGCTTAGATAAGTGTATTTATCATTTTATGAAGGAAAAATGGCTACATGTAGGTAATTATATATAACTGTGAACTTAGTAAGAGACTCCAGGTTTGAGGCCTGATTTTTGTAAACTTTTTCACTGGGCCATGTTTCTACATTGCTGAATGTAGAAGAGATATTATCCTGGTCACTGGAGCATATCCCTTTGGCAATGCCAACATGGTTCATTACTGAAAAACTTTAGAAAATATATGGTTTTCTGCCTTCCTAAATAGAATCTCCTGAAAATCATTTAATGTTTTCTGGAGTATTGTTGAATAGTACTTTAATATAGTGCTGTCCCTAGGGGTTTTTGAGACATAGAAAATAAAAGCTTGCATTTATTGATTATTATATTGTGCCTGGCACTGTGCTAAATATTTTATATGTGTATTTTCATATTGGTCCTGTGAGACTTCACAAATGCAATGAAGAATGATTGAGGTTAACTAATTTGCCCGAAATCTCTTCCAAGGATTGAAAGGCAGAACTTTGATTCCAGATTTCTCCCACTCCAGGGCATGTGTTCTTTTTTTTTTTTTTTTTTTTTGAGACAGAGTCTCACTCTGTGATCCAGGCTGGAGTACAGTGGTGTGATCACAGCTCACTGCAGCCTCAACCTCCCTGGGCTCAGGTGATCGTCCCCACCTCAGCTTCTCAAGTAGCGGGGACTACAGGCGCACAATACCACACCCAGCTAATTTTTTATTTTTTGTAGAGACAGGGTTTTGCCATGTTGTCCAGGCTGGTCTTGAACTCCTGAGCTCAAGCAATCTGCCAGCCTCAGTCTCCCCAGGTGCTGGGATTATTACAGGCGTGAGCCACCACTCCCGGCCGACCGAGCCTGTGTTCTTTTTTTTTTTTTTTTTTTTTTTTGGCTGATCAGCTAATTTTGAATTCCAAAATAATAAGTTCACAAAAGCTATTATTAATGAAAATATTCAACACCCAAGGTGATTTACAAAGTTTAACTGAGATACTATCTTGTTCCCAGAACATTTATAAACACAACATATATATATATATACACACACATATGTGTGTGTGTATATATATATATCATTGAGTTAAATTTATATATTGAAAATAGGAATATAAGATATAAAAATAAAAAACACAAAGGTTTAAGTGAAAGTTTTTGTAATTATATATTTATATTGGGATTGCAAGATGAATATAATGCTATTTATTTTATTCTTTTCTTTCTGAATTTATAGGGCTTGGAAGTATTTTACACAGAAAACGATCTGTGTTCTGACATTTCCCTAAAGTTCTTTGAACCTCAAGATAGAGATGATCTCTATTTTTATACTGCCATGTAAATAGGTTTGGTGCTCACCCTTCGTTGTTTTCTTTTTTTTTTTTTTTTTGATACTGAGTCTCACTCTGTCGCCCAGGCTGGAGTGCAGTGGCGCGATCTTGGCTCATTGCAACCTCTGCCTCCTGGCCTCAAGCGATTCTCGTGCCTCAGCCTCCCGAGTAGCTGGGACTACAGGCATGTGCCACCATGTCCGGCTAATTTTGTTTTTGTATTTTTAGTAGAGATGGGGTTTCTATTCATATGAAGGTAGTTCAACTCCTAAGGATCTGGGATAGGAAATAAGAGAAGAAAAATGCTGTTTCTAGAATCGCCTCTTTGTGGTTCTAATTTCTTCTCATCAGTACCTATAATTGCCAAAATAATATTTTTAAAACTCTGGGAAATATGAATTCACTTTGGTAATAGTTCATTCCGAGTATGTTTTAATAACTCTAGATAAATATATTTAAATGCCCTTATATTTTAACATCCACCAAATTAAATGGATTTTGAAGAATCCACTCAAATACATACATACATACATACATACATACATACATACATACATACATATATATATAGTTGTTGTTGTTGTTGTTGTTGTTGTTGTTGTTGAGACAGAGTCTCCCTTTGTTCCCCAGGCTGGAGTGCAGTGGCACAATCTCGGCTCACTGCAAGCTCCGCCTCCCGGGTTCACACCATTCTCCTGCCTCAGCCTCCCGAGTAGCTGGGACTACAGGCGCCGGCCACAGCTAATTTTTTGTATTTTTAGTAGAGACGGGGTTTCACCGTGTTAGCCAGGATGATCTGGACCTCCTGACCTCGTGATCCGCCCGCCTCGGCCTCCCAGAGTGCTGGGATTACAGGCGGGAGCCACCGCGCCCGGCCTCAAAATTTTTTTTTTTTTTTTTTGAGAGGGAGTCTCGCTCTGTCGCCCAGGCTGGAATGCAGTGGCACGATCTCCGCTCACTGCAAGCTCCACCTCCCGGGTTCACGCCATTCTCCCACCTCAGCCTCACGAGTAGCTGGGACTACAGACGCTCGCCACCACGCCCGGCTAAAATTTTGTATTTTTAGTAGAGACGGGGTTTGACCGTGTTAGCCAGGATGGTCTTGATCTCCTGACCTCGTGTTCCACCCATCTCGGCCTCCCAAAGTGCTGGGATTACAGGCGTGAGCCACCGCGCCCAGGCGCCCGGCCTCAAATATTTTTATGTTTAGTCAGGTCTTATATTAGTTTATGAGAACCAAGACTCAGTTTTGTACTACAAGGCAGTGAGTTATTCATATGTTTGTGATCATTGATTGTGGTCAGAACCACAAAGCTGAAAGACTGCAAAAGGAACATGTGAACCTTCTATGCTCAATATACTGACTTTGGAGTGGAATTTGCTTTTTCTTTTTTTTTTTTCTTTTGAGACGGAGTCTCGCTCTGTCACCCAGGCTGGAGTGCAGTGGCGCGATCTGGGCTCACTGCAAGCTCCGCCTCCCAGGTTCACGCCATTCTGCCTCAGCCTCCGGAGTAGCTGGGACTACAGGCGCCCGCCACGACGCCCGGCTAATTTTTTGTATTTTTAGTAGAGACGGGGTTTCATCGTGTTAGCCAGGATGGTCTCGATCTCCTGACCTCGTGATCCGCCTGCCTCGGCCTCCCAAAGTGCTGGAATTACAGGCGTAAGCCACTGCGCCCAGCCAGAATTTGCTTTTAATTAATGTTATTTCCTTAGTTTTTCATGGAAAATGTGAATTTTCCCACCTTTGCCAGAGAAAATACTTATATTTTTATATTGAAGCCCAAAGTTTTTTTTATTAAGTTGCAAGGCTAAATTAAATTATTCTAATTTACAAAGTTGCTAGATAAATAGAATGGAATTATCTTTAAAAGTGGATTTTGGGGACAGGCATGGTGGCCCATGACTGTCATCCCAGCACTTTGGGAGGCCAAGGAGGGAGAATCTCTTGAGCCCAGGAGTTTGAGAGGAGCCGGGGCAATGTGGCTTGACCTCATCTCTACAAAAAAAATTAAAAATTAGGAGTTTGGTGGCACGTGCCTGTAGTCCCAGCTACTCAAAAGGCTGAAGTCGGAGGATCGCTTAAGCCTGGGAGGTCAAGGCTGCAGTGAACCGTGATCACACCACTGCAATTAAGCCTGGGCGACAGAGTGAGACCCTGTCTCAAAAAAAAAAAGTGGATATTGGGATTTAAAAATATGGAACGCTTCACGAATTTGCATGTCATCCTTGTGCAGGGGCCGTGCTAATCTTCTCTGTATCATTCCAATTTTAGTATATATGCTGCCAAAACAAGCACGAGCCTGTGTTTTTTGTTTGTTTGTTTGTTTTTGTTTTTTGAGATGGAGTCTTGCTCTGTTGCTCAGGCTGGAGTGCAGTGGTGCGATCTTGGCTCTCTGCAACCTCCACCTCCCGGGTTCAAGCAATTCTCTGCCTCAGCCTCCCGAGTAGTTGGGATTACAGGCGCCTGCCACCATGCTCGGCTAATTTTTGTATTTTTAGTAAAGACGGGGTTTCATCAGCTTGGCCAGGCTGATCTTGAACTCCTGACCTCGTGATCCACCCTCCTCGGCCTCCCAAAGTGCTAGGATTACAGGCATGAGCCACCGCGCCCGGCTGAGCCTGTGTTCTTAAACTGTTTTATGGTGAAGATCCACGATGGCCCCACATATACCATAGTCAAGAAACTATTGAGGCCTGGCATGGTGACTCATGCCTATAATCCCAGCACTTTGGGAGGGTGATGAAGGCAGATTGCTTGAGCCCAGGAGTTTGAGACTAGCCAGTGCAACATGGCAAAACCCTGTCTCTACAAAAAAATACAAAAAGTTAGCTAGGTGTGGAGGCTCACGCCTGTAGTCCCAGCTACTCGGGATGCTGAGGTGGGAGGACCACTTGATCCCAGGGAGGTCAAGGCTGCAGGAAGCCATGATTGCTCCACTGCACTCCATCCTGGGTAACAGAGTGAGGCCCTATCTCAAAAAAAAGAAAAAAAGGAAGCTATTTGAATCCACGATGGCCCCAGATACGTTATACTTAGTGAAGTTCTTGGCCTAGTTTTTCTTATTCGTTGTTTACCTTTAGGTCACCAGCTATTACATTTTATTGTTGTCAGGCCTTTACTTTCTCCTGGGATTCTTAACCCAGGAGGCCAGGCTAAAGATGAGAGTGGACACAATGAGGGGTGGGAGGGTAAGTATAGTTTTTAAAAGGCATATTTGATAATGTGATGGTTTTGATTTTCATCAAAATGTTTTGCTTTCAGATTTTTTTTTTTTTGAGACAGATTTCACTCTTGTCACCCAGGCTGGAGTGCAATGGCACTATCTTGGCTCACCGCAACCTCTGCCTCCTGGGTTCAAGTGATTCTCCTGCCTCAGCCTCCCAAGTAGCTGGAATTACAGGTGCCCGCCACCACGCCCAGCTAATTTTTGTATTTTTAGTAAAGACAGGGTTTCACCATGTTGGCTAGGCTGGTCTGGAACTCCTGACCACAGGTGATTGCCCACCTTGGCCTCCCAGAGTTCTGGGATTACAGGCATGTACCACCACGCCCAGCCATATTTAAAAAAAATTTTTTTTATAGGCAGAATCTCTCTCTGTCACCCAGGCTGGAGTGCAATGTTGCAATCATGGCTCACTCTAGCCTCCTGGGATCAAGTGATCCTCCCACCTCTGCCTCCTTAGTAGCTGGGACTATAGGCGTGGACCACCGTGCCCAGCTTATTTTTTTTAATTTTGTTTTTTGTAGAGACAGGGTCTCCCTGTGTTGCCCAGGCTGGTCTCAAACTCTTGGGCTCAAGCTATCCTTCTGCCTCAGCAACTCCCGCCCCAAATACTGGGAGTACAGGTGTTAGCCACTGGCCCTGGCCAGGACATCATATTTTATTGAGATACAATTTATATAACATAGACTTTACAAATATAATATAAAAGTCAATGATTTTCAGTAAATTTATAGAGTTGTAAAATCTTGATTACAACTCAATTTTAGTTCATTACCATCATCCCTGAAAGATTGCTTGTGCTTATTTGCAGTCAATCCTGTTCCTATGCCCCAGCCCCAACCACTAATCTATTTTCTGTTTCTGTAGTTTTGTATTTTCTGGACATTTCATATAAATGAAATCATATAGTATGCAGTCTTTTCCTCTGACGTCTTTCGCTTAGCATAATGTCTTCATGGTTCATCCTTGTTGTAGCATATATCAATACTCCATTCCTTTTTTTTTATTATTTTTTATTTTTAGAGATGGGACCTCGCTATATTGCCCAGGGTAGCAGGCAGTGGCTATTCATGGGCATGATCATAGCACACTGCAGCCTTGAACTTCTGGGCTCAAGTGATCCTCCCACCTCAGCCTCCTGGGTAACTGAGATTATAGGTGTGTGCCACCACACCTGACACCATTCGTTTTTATTGCCCAGTAATATTCTTTTTTTTTTTTGAGATGGAGCTTCACTCTTTCGCCCAGGTTGGAGTGAAGTGGCGCCATCTTGGCTCGCTGCAACCTCTGCCCCCTGGGTTCAAGCGATTTTCCTGCCTCAGCCTCCTGAGTAGCTGGGATTCTAGGTACCCACTACCACGCCTGGCTAATTTTTGTATTTTTAGTAGAGATGGGGTTTCACCATGTTGGCCAGGCTGGTCTCGAACTCCTGACCTCAAATGATTCACCTACCTCGGCTTCCCAAAGTGCTAGGATTACAGGTGTGAGCCACTGTGCCCAGCCTTCCCATTAATATTCTATTACACCTAATACATTTTGTTTATCCATTCATCAGTTGATAGACATTTGGATTGTTTCCACCTTTGGGTATTGTGAATAGTGCTGCTATGAACACTTGTACAAGTTTTTGTGTGGACATATGTTTTCATTTCTCTTAGGTAGATGATATCATATGGTAACTCTGTTTAACTTACTGAGGAACTGCCAGACTGTGTTCCAAAGCAGCTGTACCATTTTACATTCCCACTAGCAGTGTATGAGGGTTCTGTTTTCTTCATGTGCTTGTCAACACTTGTTACTGTCTTTTTTTATTGTAGGGTATGAAGTGGCATTTCATTGTGGTTTTGATTTGCATTTCCACAATAAGTAATGATGTGGAACAACTTTTTATGTGTTTATTGGTCTTTTGGATTTCTTCTTTATAGAAATGTCTATTCAGATCTTTTGCCTATTTTAAAATTGGATTATTTGTCTTGTCATTATTGGGTTCTTTTTTTTTTTTATTTTTACTCAGGGTCCCACTCTGTCACCAAGGCTGGAGTGCAGTGGTGCGATCTCAGCTTACTGCAATCTCCACCTCCCAGGCTCAAGCGATTCTCCTGCCTCAGCCTTCTGAGTAGCTAGGATTACAGGCGTGCGCCACTACTGCCCGGCTAATTTTTGTATTTTTAGTAGAGATGGGGTTTCACCATGTTGGCCAGGCTGGTCTTGAACTCCTGATCTCAAATGATCCACCCGCCTCAGCCTCCCAGAGTGCTGGGATTACAGGTGTGAGCCAATGCACCCGGCCATTATTGAGTTCTTGATATAGTTTGATACCATCCCCTATCACATATATGATTTGGCACATACTTTCTCCTCCCCTGTAGGTTGTCTTCACCTCTTTCTTGAAGGTATCCTTTGAAGCACAAAAGTTTAAAATTTTGATGAGGTGAAGCTTCTCTGTTTTTTTGGTTTTTTGTTTTTTTGAGACTGAGTCTTATTCTGTTACCCAGGCTGGAGTGCAGAGGCGTGATCTCGGCTCACTGTAACCTCTGCTTCCCAGGTTCAAGCGATTCTTGTGCCTCAGCCTCCTGAGTAGCTGGGATTACGGGCACATGCCACCATGCCTGGCTAATTTTTGTATTTTTAGTAGAGATGGGTTTTCACCATGTTGGCTAGGCTGGTCTCAAACTCCTGACCTCAAGTGATCCACCTGCCTTGGACTCCCAAACAGAGGCGTGAGCCACCGCGCCCAGCCGAGGTGCAGCTTCTTAATTTTCTCTTTTATGCTTGTGGTTTTAGTGTTGTGGCTGGGAATTGTCTGACCCGAGTTACTGAGATTTACTCCAATGTTTTCTTCTAAAAGTTTTATAGTTTTAGCTTTTGTATTTAGGACTGTGATCCACTTTAAATTTCTGTGTATGGTACGAGGTCGGGGTCCAGCTTCATTCTTTTGCATGTGGATTGCAGTTATGCCACAAGTTTGGTTGAAATAACTGTTCTTTTCCTATTGAATGGTCTTAACCTCTGTATTGAAAATCAATTGACCATAAATGTTACGGCTTTTAGACTCTCAGTTCTATTGACCTATATGTCTGTCCTTACCCTGTTGTTCATTTCTAATTTATTCATTTTTGGTAGGAGAGCATGCTTTGTATGATTTCAATCTCTTTAAATTTGTTGAGATTTGTTTTATTGCATAGCATATGATTTTTTTTTCAGAGAATGTTCTATGTGTGCTTGAAAAGAATGTCTATTTTGCTATTGTTGGGTGAAGTGTTCTGTAGATGTCACTTAGGTCAAGTTGGTTGATAGTATTGACCAAGTTTTCCATATACTTGTTGATTTTCTGTCTAGTTACTCTCTCCATTATTGAGAGTGGGGTATTGAAATCTTTTGCTATTACTGAATTATCTATTTCTCCAGTTTTGTCAGTTTTTATTAAATGTATTTTGGGACTCTGTTGTTAGATGCGTTTATGGTATATTGTCTTGATGAATTAACTTTTATCCACGTAAAATGCCCCTCCTTTTCTCTAGTAACATATTTTTGTCTTAGGGTACTGGTTTTTAAAAGACTGAGGGAAGATTTCTTTCTTCATCCTTCTTATTTGCTTCTTTTTTTTTTTTTTTTTGAGACAGAGTCTTGCTCTGTCACCCAGGCTGGAGTGCAGTGGCATGGTCTTGGCTCACTGCAGCCTCTGCCTCCCAGATTCAAGCTATTCTCATGCCTCAGCCTCCCGAGCAGCTGGGATTATAGGCACGTACCACCACACCCGGCTAATTTTTGTATTTTTAATATAAATGGGGTTTCACCATGTTGGCCAGTGTGGTCTCAAACTCCTGACCTCAGGTGATCCACCCACCTCAGCCTCCCAAAGTGCTGGGTTTACAAGTGTGAGCCACCACGCCCAGGTCTTATTTGCTTCTTATCCTATACTTTGGGAAGCCAGGTGTTAGAATTATTATACCAGAGCACCAGTACTTGCCACTCCTCTATTATATTAGGGGTCTGAATAAGATTTTATTTTGTTTTTTATTTTAATTAATTAATTTTTTTTGAGACAGAGTCTCACTCTGTCACCCAGGTTGGACTGTAGTGGCTTACTGCAGCCTCAACTTCCCAGGCTCAGGTGATCCTCCCACCTCAGCCTCCCCGGTAGCTAAGACTACAGGTGCATGCCACCATGCCTGGCTAAGTATTTTTTTTTTTTTTAAACAGGTTCTTGCTCTGTCGCCCAGGCTGGAATGTGGTGACGTGATCTTGGCTCACTGCAACCTCTGCATTCTGGGTTCAAGCGATTCTTGAGCTTCAGCCTCCCAAGTAGCTGGGATTACAAGCATACACAACCACACCTGGCTAATTTTTGTATTTTTCAGTAGAGACGGGGTTTCACCATGTTGGCCAGGCTGGTCTAGAACTTCTGACCTCAGGTAACCGGCCTGCCCTGGCCTCCCAAAATGCTGGGATTATAGGTGTGAGCCACCGTGCCCAGCCCAGCCTATTGTTTTTAAATTAAAAAAAAATTTTCCCAACACCATGGACCTGAAGGCAAAGTTTTTTTTGTTTTGTTTTGAGACAAGGTCTCTGTCACCCAGGCTAGAGTGCAGTGGCTCTGTCAATCTTACTACAACCTTGTCCTCCTGGGCTCAAGGGATCCTCCTGCCTCAGCCTCCTGGAGTTTGGGCTACAGGCACATGCCAACATACCCAGCTAATTTTGTAATTTTTTTGTAGAGATGGGGTCTTGCCATGTTGCCCAGGCTGGTCTCAAACTCCTGGGCTCAAGCAATCCTCCCTCCTTGGCCTCCCAAATTCCTGGGATTATAAGCATGAGCTACTGTGTCTGGCCAAAGATTTTATTTTATTTTATTTATTTTTGAGACAGGGTCTCACTCAGTCACCCAGTCCTGAGTGCAGTGGTGTGATCTCGGCTCACGACAACCTCTGCCTCCTGGGTTCAAGCTATTCTTGTGCCTCAGCCTCCTGAGTACCTGGGATTGCAGGCGTAATCCATTGCACCTGGCCTCAAATATTTTATTTATTTATTTATTTATTTATTTATTTATTTATTTATTTGAGACTAGTCTCGCTCTGTCGCCCAGGCTAGCGTGCAGTGGCGCAATCTCGGCTCTCTGCAACCTCTGCCTCCCGGGTTCAAGCAATTCTCTGCCTCAGCCTCTGAGTAGCTGAGATTACAGGCACCCGCCACCACACTCAGCTAATTTTTGTATTTTTAGTAGAGATGAGGTTTCACCATCTTGGCCAGGCTGGTCTTGGAACTCCTGACCTCATGATCCACCCACCTTGGCCTCCCAAAGTGCTGGGATTACAGGCGTGAGCCACCGCACCCAGCCAAAGATTTTATTTTTTTTAAATAGGTTCTGTAGTAAAAAAAATTTTGAAGGCTTTCCAACTTAAATTCTCTGGCTTAACTATTTTTGGCTCCTTGCTTAGATGCCCTTTTGTCTAACTTGTGGAGTTTTGCTCTTGAGGTTTAAAATCTCACCTAAAATGTTTAACATTTGGGGAACGTCGGTGAATACTGGATTCTTTTTATGCTCTTGCAGGTTTTTTTTTCCCAAGTCAAAAATTATTTCAGAATAAAGAGTTAAACTAGTTAACTTTTTTTCACTTGCATACAATACTAGTCTTATTAAGTGACTTTGGAAGTGATTTGGCAATGTAACCTCATAGAGACCTTCATGAGTTCAGTTCTTAGCTTTGGTATTAACATAGATATGTCCTAGTAATGTCATCTGGTTGGCAAATTTTTGTGAGTCACCGTAAGACTCTTTCTTTTCCCTCACAGCCATATTCATTCAGACAGTAAATTTTCTTGCATTTAGTAGTTCCCTAATGTGTTTTGAACCTATCCCTCCTGCCACTATTTTCATTCAAACCTCATCATCTCTTCTGGATTGTTGCAGTAGCTTTTTAATGGGTCTCCTTGTTTTACATTGTATGGCATAGAAGTCCCTGGTGTCTATCTGCCTCTCTGTCCTCATCTGTCTGCTTCTTCTGATACACATGTAAACAACTGCTCATGATACCACTCATACACTTACTCCATACTGTTTAATGCCTTTGCTTGTGATCTTCCCTCTGCCTGGATCAGCTAATTATCTTTCTTTGAGACTCAACTCAGGCATTTTTTTTCCCAGAAAAACTTACTAGAGGATCTGACTTCATTCTTTTGCATGTGGATATCCAGTTGTCCCAGCACCATTTGTTGGAAAAAATATTCTTTCCCCCACTGAATTTTCTTGGCAACCTTGTGGGTTTTTTTGGGGGGATGGGGAGGGTGGGGCAGGGGTGAGACAGAGTCTCACTCTGTCACCCAGGCTGGAGTGCAGTGGTGAGATCTCAGCTCACTGCATCCTCCACCTCCCAGGTTCAAGCGATTCACAGCCTTCACTGCCCAGGTTCAAGTGATTCTCCTGCCTCAGCCTCCCGAGTAGCTGGGACTACAGGCACCTGCCACCATGCCTGGTTAATTTTTTGTATTTTATAGAGATGGGGTTTCACCATGTTGCCCAGGATGGTCTCGAACTCCTGAGCTCAGGCAGTCCACCCACCTTGGCCTCCCAAAGTGCTAAGATTGCAGGCGTGAGCCACTGCACCCGGCTATTCTTGTTGAAAATCAATTAACCATAAATAATATGGCTTTATTTCTGAACTCAATTTTTATTCCATTTATCTATACATCTATTCTTATGCCAGAACCATACTGTCTTAATACTGTACCTTTGTAGTAGGTTGTTAAGGAGTATGGATCCTCCAAATTTGTTCTTTTTCAAGATTGTATTAGCTTTGATTATTATGGGTCCCTTGACATTCTATATGCATTTTAGGATTAGCTTGATGTTTTCTGCAAAGAAACCAGCTGGAATTTTGATGAAGTGAGTTGAATGTGTAGAACAACTTGGAGTATTTGTCTCTATTTTGTTTGTTTTATTTTATTTTTATTTTGTTTATTTTAGTTCAAGGTTTTTTTTCTTCAGCTTCTCAAATTGATATTTCTGTGCATTTTTGGTTTGACATAATTCTTAACAAATCTTTGTGACAAACTGCGCCCTTTGAGGTGCGTAACATAGTAAGAAGTATACAGGCTTAACTTTGCAGTGCATGATTGTGGTGAGAAGGGAAGCATTTTCTTATTGGTGGTTTGACTACTCACTTGAAAAACTTTTTCCCACATATTTTCACATGTTTATTGTGCAAAGTTTTAGAAAATACAAAAAAGCAGAAAGAAAAATCCATAATTTCAGAATTATGTCTGTAAGCTTGTATATATTCCTTTTTACATTTAACCATATAATATATAGGGAACGTCTTTTATCTCACTGAAGACTACAGTGTTTTATTGTTGTTGTTGTTGTTTTGTTTTTTGAGACAGAGTCTCCGTCGCCCAGGCTGGAGTGCAGTGGCGCAACCTCAGCCTCCCAGGTTCGAGTGATTCTCCTGCCTAAGCCTCCCGGGTAGCTGGGATTACAGGTGCCCGCCACCACACCCTGCTAAATTTTTTTGTATTTTTAGTAGAGTCAGGGTTTCACTAAACCAGGCTGGTTTGGTCTCGAACTCCTGACCTCAAGTGATCTGCCCGCCTCGGCCTCCCAAAGTGCTGGGATTACAGGTGTGAGCCACCGTGCCCAGCCTACAGTGTTATTTTTAATGTTGTGGCATACCTCATTTTGAGATACTTAATTAAACACCAATTAGGCTTATGTTTAGTTTTTTCCATAAGTGCTAGAATGAACATCTTTATAGTTAAATCTTTGCACAGATTCTTGACTATTTTCTAAGGCAAGTTCCTATAAGTAGAATTGCTAGTTTAAAAGAATACGTGGTTTTGAGTCTTTCTTGCTATTGTTTTAGGATAGTGTATTAATATTTGACAATAGTTTCTGTTAAAATCTGAAGGCAAGCTTATAAATATTTGCATTATTTCAAATTGCTGTTGGATGTTTATAGCAGCAACATTCACAATAGTCAAAAGGTGGAAGCAATCCAATCCATTGGCAGATGAATGGGATGAACAAAATGTGGTCTATAACATATGGAATATTATTCAGCCTTAAAAAGGAATGAAATTCTGATACATGCTACAACATCAGTGGACCTTGAAAATATTATACTAAGTGAAATAGGCCAGACACAAAAGGACAAATGTGGTCTGATTCCATTTATATGAATTACCTAGAATAAGCAAATTCATAGAGACAGAAAGTAGAAGTTACCAGGGGTGGGTGGGGGCTGATAGGGAATCATTGTTTAACTGGTACAGAGTTTCAATTTGGGATGATTAAAAAGCTCTGGGCATGGATAGTAGTGATGATTGCACAACACTGTGAATGTACTTAACACCACTGAATTGTATAATTAAAAATGGTTAAAATGGTAAATTTGACGATATGTATATTTTAGTACAGTAAAAGAAACTACTATTGATGAATTCCAGAATTTTAGACAAAAACCACCTAGAAACCATGTGGTTGTTTTACTTACTGTGTTTGTCACATTGTGGCTAAGTGAACTCAGGGTTTGGGTACTCATTTTGAATTTGATGGATTGACAGATGGAGCTGAGAACTAGGTTTCTAACCAATATTCATGCAATATGAAGACAGATTGAGCTATATACTAAGTAGTCTGCTAGACACTGAGGACTAATGGTAAACAAGATAAGACACAGTCCCTAGAGTCTGCTGGTTCCTAAGATTGGACAGAAAAAAGAATAAACTTCTTATTAAGGAAAAAGGGATTAAAAAATCAGGTGATTTGTTTTCTCCTTAATGATTTCCTTTGTAGGGTGATTTTAAAATATCTTTTTCCCCCCCTTCAGGTTGCTATGGAAATACATGACCACGCAAAAGGAAGTCCATTCTGATAATTCTGATACCTGAGATGTAACTGGACTGAAGAGTAGAAACAGGAAAAATTTTAGTGCCAACTTTAATTACAATGGCCACTGATTCAGGGGATCCAGCCAGCACAGAAGATTCTGAGAAACCTGATGGAATTTCATTTGAAAACAGAGTTCCCCAGGTCGCTGCAACTTTGACAGTAGAAGCTAGACTAAAGGAGAAAAACAGTACCTTCTCTGCTTCTGGGGAAACTGTAGAAAGGAAGAGATTTTTCCGAAAGAGTGTTGAAATGACGGAAGATGACAAAGTTGCCGAATCATCCCCCAAAGATGAGAGAATTAAGGCTGCAATGAATATTCCAAGAGTAGATAAGCTTCCTTCAAATGTGTTGAGAGGTGGACAAGAAGTTAAATATGAACAGTGTTCAAAGTCAACCTCAGAAATCTCAAAAGATTGTTTCAAGGAGAAAAATGAAAAGGAAATGGAAGAAGAAGCAGAAATGAAGGCTGTAGCTACTTCTCCTAGTGGCAGATTCCTGAAATTTGACATAGAACTAGGAAGAGGAGCATTTAAAACAGTATATAAAGGACTGGACACTGAAACATGGGTTGAGGTTGCTTGGTGTGAGCTGCAGGTAGGTATATAATCTTCTTGGTTATAATAAATTCAAGTTTTAGCTGGCCTGGCCTTCTGTGTGATTCATGATTATCCATGTATCATGGATTAAAATAAAATAAAGGGCTTGTCCCCCACATCCTAGAAATTATGGTCCTTTCCTATATCCTCTTAGGAGCTCACTCCAAACTTTTTTTTCTCCTGTTGTTTTCTTTTCTGTTTTAAAGGGGAAGAAAAAAAAATCTATCATGGCTTTGTTTTTCTTTTTCTTTTTTCTTTTTTTTTTTTTTTGAGGCGGAATCTTGATCTGTCACCCAGGCTGGAGTGCAGTGGTGCAGTCTCGGCTCACTGCAACCTCTGCCGCCTCAGCCTCCCAAATAGCTGGGATTACAGGTGCACGCCACTACGCCCCGCTAATTTTTTGGTTTTTTAGTAGAGACAGGGTTTCACCATGTTGAGCAGGCTGGTCTTGAACTCCTGACCTCAGGTGATCCTCCCGCCTTGGCCTCCCAAAGTGTTGGGATTACAGGCATGAGTCATGGCTCCTGGCCTATCATGACTTTCTTTTGGAAAAATTGTTTTAATTTGTTAGCTTTAGGAAAGTCCCCAAACTCTTAATGTCTCCTTTTGAAAACTTTTCATAAATATATGACTTATGAGTTGATTGTTATACTAAGTACTTGAGAATGTGATAGGGAAATATATTCAGTGTGGCATATACCTTTTCTCTTTTTCTTTCAATAAAATCTTGGGGGTTCATGTGGTGTTTTTCAGAACAGGAAAGGTTTTACTTGATTCTTTGAGGACCTTTACTGATAGAAGCTCATGATGCCTTTGAGTTTACCTCAGAGAGTATCTCTGGAAGAAATAATCACCAGAATCTATTGAAGTTATTCAGCTAGAATGTGTTTAGAAATGAGAAATGAAAGCAACAGGAGAATGATTGAATTGCCTACATATTTGGTTCCATAATAAATGTTCATGTAGTACTTTTAATTAATGAAGAACTAAATAGGGACAGAACATCATAGAAGGGGTTATAATGAGAAGTTTTAGACAGATGTGGGTCAAATATAAGGAAAACCTCTGTGACCTCAGTCAGCCCATAGGAAATGGTTGGTTATTGATCACATGGGATGCTTAAAATTAGGATGGAATAAAGCCAGTTGCTAAGAACAGGTTTCTGTTGCTCAAATTCCAGTGGTCTCCGTGAGTGTAGGTGTATATGTATGAAAACACCATGATTTCACTCATTCTGAATTTGCTGTAGGTTGCTGTTCAGATAGGTTGGAATTTAGTCCAGGTTTCTGCATTTCTAGGAAGCTTTTTGTTTAATGCCATGGTTTCCAAACTTTACTGTTTATAAGAGTCAGTATTTGCTTCATATGCAAACTCTAGGGCCCGTTGGTACAAATTCTGATTCAATAAATCTGGATTGGGGTGCAAGACTGCAATTTTTAAAAACTTTCTAAGTGCTTCTAATTTAGGGAGTCCCTTGAACACTCTTTAGAAAGCAAGTTACTTATCAGTCAGACCCATTCCGGTGGGCCTCGAAAGGTATGTGCATGTGTGGAGTTTGCTTGGTTTTCTTCTCACCTGCTTTTTACCCTTTAAGAATTTTATATGGTATACATTGTAGTAGAAATATTAGATAATGCAGGCAAGCAAGCATCAGAATGACCTAAAATTCCAGTACTTTGAGTACAAGGCTTTAAACATTTTAGTATATACATCTTTCTGGTATATGTATGTGTGTATATATATATATATATATGCACACACACACATATATCTTTCTATAAAATTTTATAATCTTTATTTTCACTTATCTTGAATCTCTTTTCATTATCTGTAAGTGTATATTTATTTATTTATTTTTGTTAGTGTATATTTACATAATTTTTTTTCTTTTTAAATTTTATTTTTTGATTTCCAAATTTTAAGTTCAGAGGTACATGTGCAGGATGTGCAGGTTTGTTACATAGGTAAACGTGTGCCATGGTGGTTTGCTGCATAAATCATCCCATCACCTAGGTATTTAGCCCAGCATCCATTAGCTGTTCTTCCTGATGCTCTCCCTCCTCCCACCCACCCCCATTTTTTATTTTTTATTTATTTTATTAATTTTTTAATTTTATTTTTTGAGACAGAGTCTCACTCTTTTGCCCAGGCTGGAGTGCAGTGGCATGATCTCGGCTCATTGTAACCTCCACCTCCCAGGCTGAAGCAATTCTCCCACTTCAGCCTCTCGAGTAGCTGGGACTACAGGTGTGTGCCACCACTCCTGGCTAATTTTGTTTTTGTATTTTTTTTTTATTATACTTTAAGTTTTAGGATACATGTGCACAACGTGCAGGTTTGTTTTTGTATTTTTAGTAGAGATGGGTTTTGCCGTGTTGCCCTGGTTGGTCTCAAACTCCTGGGCTCAAGCCATCTGCCTGCCTTGGCCTCCCACGGTGCTGGGATTACAGGCGTCAGCCACTGTGCCTGGCCTACATAATTTTTTTAAAATAGATGCCTACTATTTCATTATAAGGTTCTTCTAGGTTATTTAAGCAGTCCCATATTGTTGGATATGTAGGGCCTTTTATTTTTTTGGGAGACATAATCTCACGCCGTCATCTAGGCTGGAATGCAGTGGCGCTGTCTTGGCTCACTGAAGCCTTAACGTCCTGGGCTCAAGTGATCCTCCCACCTCAGCCTCCCTAGTAGCTGGGACTGCGGATGTGTGCCACCACACTCAGGTAATAGTGTTTTTTGTTTGTTTGTTTGTTTGTTTGTTTTAGACGGAGTCTTGCTCTGTTGCCCAGGGTAGAGTGCAGTGGCACAATCTCGGCTCACTGCAACCTCCACCTCCCAGGTTCAAGTGATTATTCTGCCTCAGCCTCCCTAGTAGCTGGGACTACAGGTGTGTGCCACCACGCCTGGCTAATTTTTGTATTTTTAGTAGAGATAGGGGTTTCACCATATTGGCCAGGCTGGTCTCGAACTCCTGACCTTGTGATCTGCCTGCCTCGGCCTCCCAAAGTGCTGGGATTACAGGCGTGAGCCACCATGCCTGGCCGTGTTTTTATTTTTTGTGGAAATGAAGTCTTACTATTTTGCCCAAGCTGGTCTCACACTTCTAGGCTCAAGTGCTCCTTCCACTTCGGCTTCCCAAAATGCTGGGATTATAGGCATGAGCCACTGTAGCCTGCCAAGGTTTTTCCTCTCTACTATTTTACTATTATAACCATGGCTATGATGAACATCCTTGTGTATAATATTGAAAGTTATGTAAATTTTAATTTCATCTCTGCATTGTGACATCAGTAGCACTCAACTTTGCATGATACCATCTGTAAATGAGGGAAATAATTTCCATTCACTTGGTAGTAGGGTACATAGTAAAGATAAGTCAGTCATTTTGCAAGCTGTGTACTCTAGTTATGTTAAAGGATGTTTAGGTAAAACTTGAAAATATTTCAGTGGGAGAAACTGCATAGGATACTGACTTTTTTTTTTTTTTTAAGACAGAGTCTTGCTCTGTTGCCCAGGCTGGAGTGCTGTGGTGCAATCTCGGCTCACTGCAACCTCCTGGGTTCCAGCCTCCTGGGTTCAAGCGATTCTCTTGCCTCAGCCTCCCGAGTAGCTGGGATTACAGGCATGTACCACCATGCCCGGCTAATTTTTGTATTTTTAGTAGAGGCAGGTTTCAACATACTGGCCAGGCTGGTCTTGAACTCCGGACCTCAGGTGATCTGCCCGCCTTGGCCTCCCAAAGTGCTGGGAGTACAGGCGTGAGCCACCGCACCTGGCTGTAGGATACTGACTTCTATCATTCACCTCTGGAAAGGTTTAAAAATCTCATAAGGTCTTACTACTCGAAGTGTGGTCCCTGGACCAGCAGCATGGACATCACCTGGGAGCTTGTCAGAACTGCATATTCCCAGGCCTCATTCCAGACATTCTGAATCAGAATCTGACTTTTGGTAACACATCCAAGTGATTTGTATGCACAGTTAAGTAGAGTTTGGGAAGCACTTGAAATATGGGACCAAACCCAAAAGCTAGCTGAAACACAGTAGGCATTCCTTTAATACACTAACATGATCTTTATATTATATTATGTATTCTGATTTCCGGCTTCCAGTCCAGACTTCTCAAATTGGAATCTTTAGGAGATGAGCTCCAGGAACTTACTGTTTAAAAGTTCCCAAGATGCTGGGCATGGTGGTGCTCACCTATAGTCCTAGCTACTCAGAAGGTTGAGGCAGGAGAGTCACTTGAGCCCCAGAGTTTGAGGCTGCAGTGAGTTGTGATTGTGCCCCACTGCACTCCACCCTGGGTGACAGAATGAGACCCTGTCTCAAAAAAAAGTTCCCTAGGTGATTGGATACATAGCCAGATTTCAGAATCTCTAATGTGGAGGAAATGTAATATATAAAGTACATTTTAATTTACACAGAAAACAACAATTGTAATTTTCTGTTCTAAAAGGAATGTCAGAATTAGTGGACTTATTTAATCAGTTTTTGGATATTGCTTCGTCTTCTCCTTTTTTTTTTTTAAAGGCAAAGTCTTGCTCTGTTGCCCAGGCTAGAGTACAGTGGCATGATCATAGCTCACTGTAACCTCGAATGCCTGGGCTCAGGATCCTCCCGAATAGCCAGGACTACAGGCATAGGCCACCATCCCCAGCTAATTTTTTTTTTTTTGAAATATTTTGTAGAGATGCCTTAGCCTCCCAAAATGCTGGAATTACAGGCATGAGCCACCGTGCCCAGCCTGCATATTTGAAATTAAGAAAAACTAGCTTATTTATAATCCCAGGAGAATAAGGGGCATCATCTTTGAATTACTTCCTGAGTACAATGCAGTTTGTAATGTACAATTTCTCATTCTTCTTCTACAGTCTTATTTATTATATAATTAAACAAGTCTGTAGAAGAAGACCCCAGTGAGCAGTTTGAATGTCTAAATTATTCTAGATTCTTTTTCATTCTTTTTTTATATGTGTGTGCGAGATTGTATATATAATATATATATAATTGATATGTCCATACTTTTGTCTTATCAATTTGATATATGTTCTATTTATTACCATTATTAAAATATATAAACTATAGCATTGACACTACCTCTTGCTTAATTTTCTCCCCTAATGTTAGGTAATTCTTTTCTTTTTTTTTTTCTTTTTTATTTTTTGAGACAGGGTCTCCCTCTGTCACCCAGGCTGGAGTGCAGTGGTAATGATCACAGCTCACTGTAGCCTTGACCTTGTGGGCTTAATTGATTCTCCCACCTCAGCCTCCCTAGTAGCTGGGACCACAGATGTGTGTCACCATGCCTGGCTAATTTTTGTATTTTTTGTAGAGACGGGGTTTTGCCATGTTGCCCAGGCTGGCCTCAAGTGATCTGCCCGTCTCGGCCTCCCAAAGTGCTGGGATTACAGGCATGAGCCACCACCACCTGGCCTTTTGATTTTTAGAGACAGAGTCTCACTCTGTCTGCCAGATTGGTCTTGAAGTCCTGGGCTCAAGTGATCCTCCTGCCTTGGCCAACCAAGTAGCTGGGACTACAGGCACAAGCCACTGTACCTGGTACTTTTCTTTTTTTTAAATTTTATTTTTGCGTGTTTGATTTGAAATTTATAGCTCAACAATAGGTTTTAATACCTTTTTCTCTTGATGGCATTCCCTTCTTCCCCATTGTGGATATTTGAGTCTTGTGAAATAATTCTGTTTGTTTGCTTTTTGTAGAGACAGTCTCATTATGTTGTCCAGGCCAGTCTCGAACTCCTGGCTTCTAGAGGTCCTCCTGTCTCTGCCTCTCAGAGTGCTGAGATTACAGACATGAGCCACCATGCCCAGCCTAATTCTGTCTTTTTTATCACCAACAAAGCAAAGGCAAATTGTGTAATAATTCTTAACAGCCCCACTCCATTTGTTTAGAATACATTGACCTTATGGTGCTGCAAAGAACTGGGAGCGATAAATTTTACTGCTGATATTTGACTTTGAGGATGTTGAAAACAAACTCTCAGATTTAGGATTTGGCTATAAACACCTGCATTTCAAGTTTTTCATATTTTATGGTTTCCATAACTTGATTTTTTTAAGAGACAAGGTCTTGCTCTGTTGCCCAGGCTGGAATGCAATGGCATGTTGTAGCTCACTGCAACCTCAAACTCCTATGCTCCATCAGTCTTCCCCGCTCAGACTTCCTAGTGGCATGATCTCGGCTCACTGCAACCTCTGCCTCCTGGGTTCAAGCAATTCTTCTGTCTCAGCCTCCCGAGTAGCTGGGACTACAGGCGCTTGCCACCACACCTAGCTAATTTTTTGTATTTTTAGTAGAGACGGGGTTTCACTGTGTTAGCCAGGATGGTCTCGATCTCCTGACCTCAAGTGATCTGCCTGCCTCAGTCTCCCAAAGTACAGGATTACAGGTGTGAGCCACTGCACCCGGCTATAATTTCTTTCATTTTAATTTTATTATTTTTTTTTAGAGGCAGGGTCTCACTATGTTGCTTGGGCTGGTCTCAAACTCCTGGGCTCAAGTGATTCTCCTGCCTTGGCCTCTCAAAGTTCTGGAATTACAGGCATGAGCCACTGCACCCAGTCTTTAATTTTTGTAGAGATGGGGTTTTGCTATGTTGCTCAGGCTAGTCTTGAACTCCTGGGTTCAAGTGATCCTCCTACCTTGGCCTCCAAAAACACTGGGATTACAGGCATGAGCCACTGTACCTGGCTCCCATAACTTTATTTAAAAAATATATTAATGGGGCCTGGTGCGGTGGCTCACGCCTGTAATCCCAGCACTTTGGAAGGCCGAGGCAGGCGGATCACGAGGTCAGGAGATTGAGACCATCCTGGCTAACACAGTGAAATCTCGTCTCTACTAAAAATACAAAAAATTAGCCGGGTGTAGTGGCGGGCATCTGTAGTCCCAGCTACTCGGGAGGCTGAGGCAGGAGAATGGCGTGAACCCAGGAGGCGGAGCTTACAGTGAGCTGAGATCACGCTACTGCACTCCAGCCTGGGCAACAGAGCGAGACTTCATCTCAAAAAAAAAAAAAAATCAAACAAACAAACAAAAATTAATGGAAAGACTTTGACCTATTGTTCTTTGTAAAAACTTTGGTAAATTACTTGGTGATTACTTGGTAAATTAGTAAATTACTGTGAGTGAGGGCTATAAGTCGTAAGTGCTATTTAGAAGACTATATTTTAGTTTATGATGTTGAAAGACTTGGTCACATGTTACTGAAAGACCAGTTTAGCAACTCTCAGAAAGAATCAGTCACAGGAGTTTGTAATAGTTTCTTCCTCCACTAACAATTTGAAAATTAACATCACTTAGCTTTTACACATGGAAATACAACCAGTTTTTGCTCTATGATGAGTTGGAAAATACTTACACCAGTACATTTATCATTTGTTTTCTTCATATAATGGAACTATTTCCTTTTTTTTTTTTTTTTTTTTTTTTTTTGAGAGGGAGTTTCGCTCTTGTTGCCCAGGCTGGAGTGCAATGGCATGATCTTGGCTCACTGCAACCTCCGCCTCCCGGGTTCAAGCGATTCTCCTGTCTCAGCCTCCTGAGTTGCTGGGATTACAGGCATGTGCTACCATGCCCAGCTAATTTTTGTGTTTTTAGTAGAGACTGGGTTTCACCATTTTGGCCAGGCTAGTCTTGAACTCCTGACTTCAAGTGATCCACCCGTCTCGGCCTTCCAAAGTGCTGGGATTACAGTCGTGAGCCACAACGCCCGGCCAATGGAACTTTTTTCTAAATATAGAAACATCATAGAGATTTGAAATATGTTTTGTTGACTTTTTCTGAAATGTATTTGAGTGTGCTTGTAATAAGCCTCACTCTGTGGTCAGATATGTGATTGTGTACTTTGGAGGGTAACAGACCTTTGAATAGCACTTAGATATCTAACAACTCGAGCTATAGCCTGTTAACCGAACCAAACATGACACTGAAAAGAAATACCAAAAGGAAAAAAATGGCACAATAGAGTATAGCAGGTTGACACGTTGAGTGAGCATTCTAATATACTTTCATTATAGTAATGAATATACTCAAAGCAATGCAGTGGAAGTAACAGCTTAAAAATCCATACTTCCACACCTGAAGCATCTATCAAAATTGTGGAAGAACTTATTTCTATTTTATTTTCATTCATCATCTAAGTATACTTTGGGGAAAACTATATTTTGAGACATTAGCCCTATTACATTTGATTGTGAAATTAGAATTAGATACGAAAACAGTTGAATTTCCAATAAAGGAAAAAGTAATTTAAAAAGATGCTAGAATTTCTGTTTCTGAATATAGTTGTTTACAGTATTCGCACTGGGACATTTAATTTTGCTCCCCAAATATTTTTATGTCCCTCTTGGAAATGTTTCTGGATTCTGTTTAGCCGTGTAAGAAAGTGCTTCATTACATTATAGGCACACGCCAAATAGTCTGATTCAGTTTGATTTCCCACTCTCTTCATCAGATCCAGCCCTAAAAGTAGAATTCAGTCATGGACAAAGCGTGATTACATTGAAGGGAGGAGGGATAGAGCTTGCTTAAATATACATGTTCTCATCTCTGTTTAAAAACTAGTCACGAACTTTATTAAATATAAACCAAAGGCAAATGCTTTTACAAAATGACAAAGGGTGGGAGTGGCAGGAGATAGCCTTTGTCTGGGAAATAGCATTAATTTCCCCAGTTAGTTGAGTGAGTTAGTTTTGAGCTAATTATTTGCTTGATAGATTTAAAAAATTGATACATGTGGTAAGCTGAAAATAGCCCCCCAAAGATGTCCATGTCCTAATCCCTGGAACCTGTGAATATGTCATCTTACATTTCAAAAAGGACTTTGCAGATGCGATTAACTTAAAGATCTAGGGATTGGAAGATTACCCTGGATTATCTGGGTGGACCCAGTGTAATCACAAGGGTCCTTATAAGAGGGAGGCAGAATGGCCATAGTCAGAGGAGGAGATCTGATGATGGAAGCAGAGGCTGGAGTGATGCAGTTGCTGACAATGAGCCAACGAATGTGGACAGTCTCCAGAAGCTGGAAAAGATAAGGAAACATTCTTCTCTAGAGTCTTCACAGGAATGCAGCCCTCCTGATACCTTGATTTTAGTCTAGAGAGACTCAATTTGGATTTCTTAATCCCTACAACTAGCAGATAATACATTTCTGTTTTAAGCCACTGTGTTTGTTGTAATTTGTTACAGTAGCAATAGGAAATGAATACAATAGACTATAGCTGCCATTTGTTCATTCAACAAATAAATAGTACCTGCAATGTGCCAGACACATGCCAAGTGCTAGGGACATAATGGGGAGAAAAAGCAGACACAGGCCTCATTTTCACAAAGCTTACAGTAGAAGGAGTTTACAGTTATAAGAAGGCTTAGAAATTGGAGTTCGTGAAATGATGAAAGGGCTGTTTAATATAGGTTTGTTTAAAGGAAATGGTAGGGTTGACAGTAGGGGGCAACAGGGATACCACTCCTTTATTACATAGTTTTCTTTTTTAAAAACTTTTTATTTTGATATATTTTCTACTCACAGAAGAGTTGCAAAAAGAGTATAGAAAGTTCCTGTATACCCATCACCCAGACTCCCTTTATGTTAATATCTTGTATTTTTATTTTTGGTAGAGATGGGGTCTTGCTATGCTGAACAGGCTGATCTCTAACTCCTGGCCTCAAGCATTCCTCCTGCCTCGGCCTCCCAAAGTGCTGGGATTACAGGTGTGAGCCACCATGCTTGGCCCTTAGTTGTTTTTTAGATTGCCCCTTAGTTGTTTTTTAGATTGCCCCTTAATTTGACTTTGTCTTATGTTTTCTCATGCTTAGATTTAGACTATGCATTTTTGGCAGGAATACCACAGAAGTGATGCACCATCCTCAGTGCATCATAACTGGGGGTACATGGTGTTGTTTTGTATTACTGGTGATAATAATCTTGATCACTTGGTTAAGGTGGTATCTGCCAGGCTTTCTCTCCTGTAAAGTTACTGTTTTTCCTGTTGTATATTAGTAAATATCTTGGGGGTAGATCTTTGAGACTATGCAAATATACTGTTTTCTTTTAAACTTTTGCCCGCTGATTTTAGCATCCGTTGGTGTATCTTGCATGTCATCATTATAACTGTAGTGTTCTAATGATTTTTTTCTCACATTCCTTCTGCATTTATTAATTGGCATTAACCTGTTAGTTTTATGTGATTTCTCCCCAGTATACCTGTTAAGTTTCTGGAAACCCAACAATAGGAGAATTTATGGTTGAGATACTTTGGTATAGTTAGTAATAGCAGGTATCATATATTTTCCATTATCAAAATTAACATTAATGGAACATTTATACTGGTACTTAATTTGAATATTTTATTTAATCCTTAGAATAGGTATATGAGATAAGGATTATTAGTTTTCAGATGGTGGAACTGAAATTTAGATATGTTAAGCAATTTTCCCAATGGAGCAGAGTCAGGATTTGTATTCCATCAATTATATCTATGTAAAGCATTTACATAGATGATTGAAGAATTTCCCACTCACTAGTTACTTGGGCAGATCATTCTTTTATGTTTTTAACCATTTTAGAACAAATGATTTCTTAAACGGATCCTGTTTAAGATTCTTAACATTGAACTACCGAAACTCAAGGGATGTCAGTTAATGGTGTCATTGAAGGGCACCTGAGGAATAGTTTCGTGATTAGATGGTCATGGTTCAGTATCTGGCCTTCACCTTTTGTCAATGTCCAGAGGTTGGGGAGTTGGGGAGACTGACTTGTGTTCACTCCAGCTCCTAAATCTAGGATACAAGTTTATTATTTTAAAATGAGAAATATAGTTGTTAGGTAAAATGTTCTATATAGTCTTTAGGCTAGTTACATGGGGAGCTAAATTATAATCAGAAGCTGGCTTGGTGCTTATAGAGTCGGAACAAAGGAGCTAGATGTTCCTGTATGTCCTCCTGCTAAGGCAAGAGCCTGACCAAATGAACCGAATGCTCACATTCTGATTGGATGAGGACATCTTTGATCAGCAGTTCTGGAAGATAAGTGAACCTGGTTCTATGCATGGTTTATTGCCTTTTGATTTATTACCTTGACTACCACTTGTGAGCACTTTTCTTTTTTCTTTCTTTTTTTTTTTTTTTGGGATGGAGTCTTGCTCTGTCACTCAGGCTGGAGTGCGATGGCGTGATCTCGGCTCACTGCAACCTCTGCCTCCGGGGTCAAGCGAATTTTCTGCCTCCCGGGTCAAGCGAATTTCCTGCCTCAGCCTCTCGAGTAGCTGGGATTATAGGCATGCGCTACCACGCCCAGCTAATTTTTGTATTTTTAGTAGAGATGGGGTTTCACCATGTTGGCCAGGCTGGTCTCGAACTCCTGACCTCAGGTGATCCACCCGCCTCAGCCTCCCAAAGTGTTGGGATTACAGGTGTGAGCCACCGCGCTCAGCCAAGCACTTTTCTTTAGGTATTAATACCATTGCTGTCTCAAAGCTTTAGTATGGTAATATGACCAGATTATGACTATTATACCGTGATTTCTTAATTGATATGTTGATGTCACCTTTTACAAATTATCGTTATCCTCAGTGTCTGTTTATTTCATTTAGCATGAGTTCTGGGGTACTACACCATCTCTCCATGGAAAGTGGTTTGTGAATGAGATATCTGCACTCATTGCCATGACTGCTGTTTCTGAGAGGCAGAGTAGTGAACCAGAAAGTGCTTTGGATTCAGAATTCAGCGTACGGGGTTCCAGTGTTGCCTGTGCCAGTTAGGTACCTTGGGTAAGCCAGATAGTTTAACTGGAGCCTTAATTTTTTACTTTTCTTTTAAAGAAAAACATGATAAATACTTTGGATGTACTAAAAAGAATAAAGAGTAACATAATGGAAACTGTGTACCTACTGCCCAGTTTAAGAAATAAAACATTGGCTGGGGGCGGTAGCTCACGCCTGTAATCCCAGCACTGTGGGAGGCTGAGGTGGGTGGATCACCTGAGGTCAGACATTCGAGATCAGCCTGGCCAACATGGCGAAACTCCTCCTCTACTAAAAATACCAAAATTAGCGGCGCATGGTGGCGCATGCCTGTAATCCCAGCTACTCAGAAGGCTGAGGCAGGAGAATTGCTTGAACCCGGGAGGTGGAGGTTGCGGTGAGCCCAGATCATGCCATTGCACTCCAGCCTGGGTGACAGAGCAAGACTCCATCTCAAAAAAAAAAGAAAAGAAAACATTGAGGATTAGAGAGATTACTTTTAAAGCATGTGACGCATTTTAGTGTTCAATAAATGGTAGTGTTAAAATACTGAGCAACCTCATGTTTATCAAGAATATTCAAGCTGAGGCAGGAGAATAGCTTGAGGATAGGAATTCAAGACCAGCCTGGTCAACATAGCAAGGGCTCATCTCCACAGAAAGAAAAAAAAAAAAAGCTGAGCATAGGCATAGTGGCATGTCCCAGTAGTGTCTTGGGTATTTGGGAGACTGAGGCAAGAGGATCATGTGAGCCCAGGAGTTCAAGGCTGCAGTGAACTATGATCGTGCCACTGCACTCCAGCCTGGGCAACACAGAGTGAGACCCTGTCTCTCTAAAAAGAAAAAAAATATTCATTGATAGAGTGCTTTATAAGCTAAGCATCATTTTGAAGCCTTTGTAATATTCATCCTTACTTGATTAGGTTATTTTATAATATAGCTTTTATATCATTGTTAATGATTTCTCCTTTCACATTTGCGGAAACAGATCCATGTAGCCTCTGACTTGTTTCTGTAGATCATTGTTGGTGTTTGCATTAAGATATATACCTGATAAGGACATAGTTTACTTTTTGGAAATGAAATGCTTCTTATCTTGAATAAATATATATACAGGTTGGTCATACTGGTATTGTGCCATGTCTCAGGAAAGGTTTTGTGTACACTTTTAGCATTCCATATGTTATAATAGATTTAATGTTTAGTTAACATTTATAAAAGGATAATATTTCTTTTTACAGTAGTGTGGAGTAGTTGAAATCTATTTGATAAATTTGTATTTGACTCCTATTTATCAGCTATATAAATGAACATTTATAACACTGATATTTGACATAAAATTGATATTTGATGCTTTCTTCTTGGTGTCCTTACCTTGAGACAGCAAGATTTAGGGATCATTTTCATAGACCAGAATTTTCCCAGCATTTGACTATGTCAGCTTCATTAGCTAGTGCTGTTCTCTGGTTTGTCTTTTGTGGCTCATCATTCCTTTCTTGTGTAAGAATTCTTATTGATGATGTGTGAAAGTTTCTCTACCAAAGTGGTTGTCATTAATACAATAATGCATGTAGGGGTGTGTGTGTTTAAAGGATGTTACTGTGGTAGCTGAAAGCTCTACTCTAAGTATTTTCCTCTGGATTTTGGTGCTACTTTAACAGGTTTACTTTCCCCTTGCTAAATGTGAAGTGGAGTTTTGAAGATCTTGGCTCTACATTTTTAGTAGACTTCACCTCCAGCAGTATATCTGGGAAAACAGTTGTAATTTTGTAAAGTTGTTTATTCCTAATGCTGACTACTTTCAATCTGTAGAATCAAAGGATGAAGTAGGGTAGTTTAGTATGGCACATGAAAGACTTGGCATTCTACTAATTTAATCAGAAGGCATCAAAATTTATTCATTATTCTGGCCAGGTATGGTGACTCATGCCTATAATCCTAGCACTTTGGGAGGCTGAGGCAGGCAGATCACTTGAGCTCAGGAGTTTGAGACCAGCCTGGGCAACATGGCGAAATCCCATCTTTACAAAAAATACAAAAATCAGCTGGGTGTGGTGGCATGTGCCTGTAGTCCCAGCTACTTGGTAGGCTGAGGTGGGAGGATCGCTTGAACCTGGGAGGTGGAAGTTGCAGTGAGCTGAGATCGCGCCACTGCACTCCAGCCTGAGTGACAGAGTGACACCCTGTCTCAAAAAAGAATTACTAATTATTCTTCAGAGTAGATCTGCTGTCTATCATGAGTAGAGGACTTCTAGCCAGTTATAGGGGCACTTAAGACTTATTAGTCAGGTTGGGCTGGGTGCAGTGGCTCATACCTGTAATCCCAGCACTTTGGGAGGCCGAGGTGGGCGGATCGCCTGAGGTCAGGAGTTCAAAACCAGCCTGGCCAACATGGCGAAACCCTTTCTCTACTAAAAATACAAAAATTAGTCAGGCGTGATGGCGGGCACCTGTAATCCCAGCTACTGGGGGAGGCTGAGGCACGAGAATCGCTTGATCCCGGGAAGTGGAGGTTGCAGTGAACCGAGGTCACACTACTCACTCCAGCCTGGATGACAGAGCAAGACTCCATCTCAAAAAAAAAAGAAAAGACTTATTAGGCCAGATAGTAAAGCATAAAGACTCTACTTGTTTCCTTGCTTTTGTTCTCTGAGTTCCTTATTTTTTTTCAAGACAGGGTCTTGCTCTCTTACCTAGGCTGGAGTGCAGTGGCGTGACCATAGTTCACTGCAGCCTTGAACGCCTGGGCTCAAGTGATCCTCCTGCCTCAGCCTCCCAAGTAGCTAGGACTACAGGTGCATGCCTCCATGCCCAGCTATTTTGTATAGTTGGGGTCTTGTTTTGTTGCCCAAGCTGGTCTTGAACTCCTTCCTAGCCTCCCTAAGTACTGGGATTACAGATGTGAACCACTGTGCCTGCTGACTTCCTTAACTTTCTAAAAAATATTTTTTATTGTGGCAAAATGTCTAATATATAACAAGAGTTACCATCTTAACCTTTTTTTTTTTTTTGAGACAGAGTCTCACTCTGTTGTCCAGGCTGGAGTGAAGTGGCATGATATCAGCTCACTGCAACCCCTGCCTCCTGGGTTCAAGCAATTCTCATGCCTCAGCCTCCCGAGTTGCTGGGATCACAGGCGCGTGCCACCACAGCCGGATAATTTTTGTATTTTTAGTAGAGAATGGGGTTTTGCCATGTTGGCTGGGCTGGTCTCGAACTCCTGGCCTCAGGTTATCTGCCCGTCTTGACCTCCCAAAGTGCTGGGATTACAGGCGTGAGCCACTGTGCCCAGCCATCTTAACCATTTTTAAGTGTGCAGTTTTTCAGTGGCATTAAGTATATTTACATCATTGTACATCCCTCAGCAATATCCATCTCCAGTACTTTTTTATCATTCCAAATAGAAACTCTATACTCATTAAACAATTTAACTTCCCCTGGCTGGGCGCGGTGGCTCACGCCTATAATCCCAGCACTTTGGGAGGCCGAGGCAGGTGGATCACGAGGTCAGAAGATCGAGACCATCCTGGCTAACATGGTGAAACCCTGTCTCTACTAAAAAATACAAAAAATTTGCCGGGCATGGTGGCACGTGCCTGTAGTCCCAGCTACTTGGGAGGCTGAGGCAGGAGAATGGCGTGAACCCGGGAGGCGGAGCTTACAGTGAGCTGAGATGGCACCACCGCACTCCAGCCTGGGCGACAGAGCGAGATTCCGTCTCAAAAAAAAAAGAAAAAAAAAATTTAACTTCCCATTCCCCACTCTGCCTAGCTCCTGTTAACTACTATTCTACTTTCTGTCTCTATGAATGTGCCTATTGTAGGTACCTCATATAAGTGGAATCAAGCAATGTTTGTCTTTCCTGTCTCGTTTATTTCACTTACCATAACGTTTTCAAAATTCATCCATGTTGGCCGGGTGCGGTGGCTCACACCTGTAATCCCAGCTACTTTGGGAGGCCGAGGTGGGCGGATCACAAGGTCAAGAGTTCGAGACCAGCCTGGCCAACATGGTGAAACCCCGTCCCTACTAAGAATACAAAAATTAGCTGGGCATGGTGGCATGTGCCTGTAATCCTAGCTACTCAGGAGGCTGAGGCAGGAGAATTGCTTGAACCCGGCAGGCGGAGGTTGCAGTGAGCCGAGATTGTGCCTCTGTACTCCAGACTGGGTGATAGAGCAAGACTCCATCTCAGGAAAAAAAAAAAAAAAAGATTCATCCATGTTTTGTAGCATGTATCAGAATTTCATTTCTCTTTAAGGCTAAACAGTATTCCATTGTATGTATGTACCATATTTTGTTTATTCATCTGTTGGTGGGCATTTGAGTTGTTTCTACGTTTTGGCTATTGTGAATAATGCTGCTATGAACATGGTTCTACAAATGTCTGTGTCTCTGCTTTCAATTCTTTTGGGTATATACCTAGAATACCTAAAAGTAGAATTGCTGGAGCATATGATAATTCTATGTTTAATATGTTGAGGAACCATCATGTTGCTTTCCACAACGAATATACCATTTTACATTCCCCAGCAATGTACAAGGTTTCTCCATATCCTTGCCAACACTTCTTATTTATTTATTTATATATTTATTTACTTAGATAATAGCCATCCTAATGGGTGTGAAGTGGTATTTTATTGTGGTTTTGATTTGCATTGCCCTGACAACTAATGATGTTGAGCATCTTTTCTCAAAGTTGTAGAGATTATAAGTCCCAGATCAAGTTCTAGCTTGGTGGGTTTCTGGTGAGGGCTCTCTTCATGGCTTGGTGAGGAGAGTTGGGAGTGAGCTTTCTCTTGTCTTCTTGTCTTTTTTTTTTTTTTTTTTTGAGATGGAGTCTCGCTCTATTGCCCAGGCTGGAGTGCGGTGGCGTGATCTCAGCTCACTGCAACCTCCGCCTCCTGGGTTCAAGCGATTCTCCTGCCTCAACCTCCCAAGTAGCTGGGATTACAGGTGCCTGCCACCACGCCTGGCTACTTCTTTATATTTTTAGTAGAGACGGGGTTCCAACATGTTGGACAGGCTGGTCTTGATCTCCTGACCTCAGGTGATCCACCCATCTTGGCCTCCCAAAGTGCTGGGGTTACGGGCATGAGCCACTGCACCCGGCCTCTGTTATCTCTTTTTATAAGGATACTAATCCTATTGGATCAAGGACCCACCCTTATGACATAAAGGTCCCGTCTCCAAATACAGTCACATTGGGGTTGGGGTTTTAACTTACAAATTTTGGCGGAGGAGAGAGGACACAAACATTCCATCTATAATACAGGGGAAGATCTGCTGATCTCTTTGTATAGTTATGCCCCCTCAAAAGTGTGAGCAGAGCTAAAAGACTAGTGGGCTGACCAGTCTTTTAGTCTTGAGGGTCTAAAGGGTAGACGGGGTCATTTTTAGTCTGCAGAGTAGGAGAGAGAGTTAGCTTTTGCATTCTAGGAGAATAAGGAGCAAACACACTTCCTCGATGTCTAACAAGATGTTAGTTGTTACAGAACAGCCCTCAGGGGAGAGACTGCTATAGCTCCATCACTCATGGGACTACATAAGGTACCCCAGGGCTCCCCTGAGTAAATCAAGGACTCAGAAGAGGATTGAATATGAGGGGAAAATAATCACTTTTCTGACTTGAATTAGTAGTCTCGATAATCAAAAAGAAGTAGTATCTAAAAGTAGATATCTAGTAAAATCTGGTAAATAACTAGACTAACCAAGAAAAAAGAATCTTACATGCACCTTTCTTCTTATCTTCAATGCTAGAAGCTAAAAGACAGTAGACCATTAAGGGGAAAAGGCTACACCATCCAAGAATCTCTAATCAACTAAGATATCATCTCCCAGGGTGAAAAAGATATTCATGGACCATAGTGCAGAAAACTATGTAATAGTTGAAAAGATGAAGCTAGATCTATGTAACTAACATATGTTGACATTGAATGAATGGAATATTTGATAAAAGTGCTAAGTAAAGACTCTACAGCTAGAACAGAAGTGTGTCAGGGGGAGGGGCAATCATATAGAAGTGGACAGTGTAGGGGTGATTAAGTCTTTTTTTTTTTTTTTTTTTTGAGACAAGGTCTCCCTCTGTTGCCCAGGCTGGAGTGCAGTAGCAGAATCTTGGCTTGCTGCAACCTCCACCTCCCAGGCTCAAGTGATCCTCCCACCTCAGCCTCCCAAGTAGCTAGGACTACAGCTATTGGGACGTGCCTCCATGCTCAGCTGATTTTTTTTATTTTTAGTAGAGACAAGGTTTTGCCATGTTGTCCAGGCTGATTTCGAACTCCTGAGCTCGAACGATTCACCTGCCTCAGCCTCCCAAAGTACTGATATTACAGGCATGAGCCATCGTGCCTGACCAGTGATTAAGTCTTCTACATGTGTTGTCTATGTGGCATGATAGAAAGGGGGGAAATATTAGTATTTTAGATTATTTATTTATTTTTGGTGAATGGGGGCTAGGTGAAGTAGGGAGAACGAGTAGATGAGTTACTTTCTTAAAACAGATAAATATGTTTGATCTTGAGTGTCTGGAAAGGGAGGCTATCCACTAGTAAAAAAGGAAAAATATTATATATCTCTTTGTTTTTTGAGACAGCATCTCACTTTGTCACTCAGGCTAGAGTGCAGTGTGGCGCAGTGTGGCGCAAACATGGCTCACTATACAGTCTCGACCTCCCGGGTTCAAGCGATCCTCCAGCCTCAGCCCCCTAAGTAGCTGGGACTACAGACATACACCACTATGCCCGGCTAATTTTTGTATTTTTTGTAGAGACAGGGTTTTGTCATGTTGCTCAGGCTGGTCTTAAACTCCTGAGCCTAAGCAATGCACCCACCTTGACCTCCCAAATTGTTGGGATTACAGATGTGAGCCACTGTGCCTAGCCTGCTACATCTCTTAGTTAATAATAGAAAACAACAAAGTGAAATAAATAAAGAACATAAAATAAGATTGAAGGAGTAAAATTAAGTATATTATTTGCTATACCAAATGTGGACATGTTGCATTTACTTAATAAGAAACTCAGATTGTCAGGTAGAGTTAAAAGACAAAACTCACATGTGTTGTTTACTAAAATCATACTTAAAGCAGTGATAAAGAAAAGGTAAAGGTGTAAACAAGCAAAGAGAAAACAAGAGTGGCAATGTGTTTTGTTTTTTTTTTTTTTGTTTTTTTTTTTGAGACAGAGTCTCACTCTGTCGCCCAGGCTGGAGTGCAGTGGCATGCTCTTGGCTCACTGCAACCTCTGCCTCTTGGGCTCAAGTGATTCTCATGTCTCAGCCTCCCAAGTAGCTGGGATTACACGCACGTGCCACCACACCTGGCTAATTTTTTGTGTTTTTATTAGAGACAGGGTTTCACCATGTCGACTAGGCTGGTCTCGAGCTCCTGACCTCAGGCGATCTGCCCGCCTTGGCCTCCCAAAGTGCTGGGATTACAGGTGTAAGCCACCACACCTGGCCCCAAAGTGGCAATGTTAATGTACATCAAAAAAGGAGGAAAACAAGGTTGAAACATTAGACAGGATATTATGAAATTATATACTTCATAGTTTACGAAGATGTATCAAAAACTTGTAGACATCAACAACATTTTGGCTAAATAACCTCTAATAGCATTTTCAAAAAAGCAAACATGTATTTGTAGTGGGAAATTTCATGTACATTTCTTTCAGCATAGGAGAGATCTAGTGCACAAAAAGTGAGTAAATACAGAGGAGTTGTGCCAGGCGAGGTGGCTCACGCCTGTAATCCCAGCACTTTGGGAGGCCGAGGCAGGTGGATCACCTGAGGTCAGGAGTTCAAGATCATCCTGACCAACATGGAGAAACCCCACCTCTACTAAAAATACAAAATTAGCCGGGGTGGTGGCGCATGCCTGTAATCACAGCTACTCGGGAGGCTGAGGCAGGAGAATTGCTTGAACCCGGGAGACGGAGGTTGCCGTGAGCCAAGATCGCGCCATTGCACTCCAGCCTGGGCAACAAGAGCAAAACTCTATCTCAAAAAAAAAAAAAATACAGAGGAGTTGAATAATATAATCCACAATCCACAAACTTTATTTGATGGATGTATAGAACTTTATATCCTTCAAGCAAGAAATATACATTGTTATATGTGGCCCCCAAAAACCCTTAAGTTAAAGCAGAGAGATTTTGTACTTGCATTACTCAATAAGATTAGAAATAAATAATGAAATAAATAACCAAAAGATTCTTAACTAATTAGAGAGCAGAAATCACATTCCTAGGTAAATTTTGAATCAAAGAGAAACTGAAAACTGAAAATGAAAATGAAAATGAAAATTATAAACTAGAAAGCAATGAAAAAGAGAAGACATTACAACAAAACCTGTGGGTCATTGCAAAAGTTGTACCTGTTAGAAAATTTATAGCCTAAAATATCTTCATTATTAATGAACAATAACTAAAGGAATTTAGTACTCATGTTAAGAAATTAGGAAAATAACAGCAAAAGAAAGGAAGAGGGAATTCAGAAAAACTGAAATTAATTTAAAATTTATATACATAAAAATAGGATAAATAGATTTTATTATTTTGGGCTTTCTGAAAAACGATTAATGTACCTGATGAAGAAAATAGGGCAGAAATACACAAGGAAAGGAATGAGAAGGCCGGGCGCAATAGCTCACTCCTGTAGTCCCAGCACTTTGGGAGGAGGCCGAGGCAAGTGGATCACTTCAGGTCAAGAGTTCAAGACCAGCCTGGTCAACATGGTGAAACCCCATCTCTACTAAAAATACAAAAATTAGCCGGGCGTGGTGGTGGGCACCTGTAATCCCAGCTACTCAAGAGGCTGAGGCAGGAGAATCACTTGACCCCGGGAAGCAGAGGTTGCAGTAAGCTGAGATCGCACCACTGCACTCCAGCCTGGGCAATGGAGCGAGACTCCGTCTAGAAAAAAAAGGAATGAGAAATAAAACATAGCATGCTATGAAAGAGAATAAAAGAAATTAGAAGATAATGTCATGTACAACTTTGATAACAAAATTTTTCTAACATTTTGTTATTTTAATTTAATTTTTTTGAGACAGGGTCTCACTCCGTCACCAAGGTTGGAGTGCAGTGGCATGATCTTGGCTCACTGCAACCTCTGCCTCCCAGGTTCAAGCAATCCTCCCACCTTACCCTCTCGAGTAGTTAGGGACTATAAACATGCACCACCACACCCAGCTGTTGTTTTTATTATTATTTTTTTGTAGAGACGGGGGTCTCACTATGTTAGCCATGCTGGTCTCGAACTGGGCTCAGGTGCTCCTCCCACCTCAGCCTCCCAAAGTGCTAGGATTATAGGTGTGAGCCACCGTGCCCAGCCCATACCTTCCTTTTCTAACTTTTTGTGTCCAAATTTTTATTGAAGTTCTTTGAGTAATATGGTCAGAGACGGTGTATGGGGTGGTGTACTGTCTGTGTCCCTGTTGTCTAGAAATGTAGGATTTTTTCACTTTTAAACTTGATGGATAGCTTGTCTGGGATCAGAATTTTAGGGCCATAGTTCTCCCTCAGAATTCTGTAAAATTGTTCCTTTGACTTCTAGCAGTTAATGTAGCAGATTAGAGGTCCAATGCCTATTTGAATGTCTCACTGGTTCATAAACTAATATTTCTGTATGGAAACCTAGAGCACTTTTATTTTGGCAATTCAGAAATTTAATTAGATTAAATGTCTAGATGTTTAACATTTTTATTGTTCTTGTTCTGACATTACAGATGTTTTAGATATGGAAACTCAGGGATTTCTTAGGGAAACTTTCCTATCTGCTTTATTGCTTTTTCTCAATTCATTTTGAGATACTGTTTTTCAAGATACTGATTTATTACCCAGGTGGGTTTATAATGTACTTATGAAATATAATAGTGCTGCATTGCCATGTTGGAGGAGTCACAGTAGCTAATAAAGGATATCTGTGATGATACAAGTCTTGAGAAAAGCATTGACAGGCAAAAATAAATAAATATACACATCCATGCATATATGCAATAAAGCATTCAGTTGAGTGGTATTAGAAATGTGCATGAGAATTTTCATGACTTTATTTTGGAACTTGTTATTCCTTTTCAGGACCGAAAGTTAACCAAAGCTGAGCAGCAAAGATTCAAGGAAGAAGCAGAGATGTTGAAGGGTCTCCAGCACCCCAATATAGTTCGATTTTATGATTCCTGGGAATCTATATTAAAAGGAAAGAAATGTATTGTATTAGTGACTGAACTAATGACATCTGGGACCTTAAAGACGTAAGTTGACCCTGATAGTGCCAATGTAGTTTTATTTGGAAATAATTTTCAGGAGTCATAACAATTTTTATAAAATAAAACTACTCAAAGAATTTTTAGAATCTGGCCAGGCGCAGTGGCTACACCTGTAATCCCAGCACTTTGGGAGACTGAGGAGGGTGGATCTCAAGACTAGCCTGGGCAACATGGTGAAACCTTGTCTCTACCAAAAAAATACAAAAAGTAACCAGATGTGGCAGCACACACCTGTAGTCCCAGCTACTCAGGAGGCTGAGGTTGGAGGATGGCTTGAGCCTGGGAGATGGAGGTTGCAGTGAGCCATGATTGTGCCACTGTATTCCAGCCTGGTTGACAAAGCCAGATCCTGTCTCAAAAAAAAAAAGAATTTGTAGATTCGAATCTAGTGACTGTTTTAAGTTAGGTTAAACAATTGAGATGTTAATGAAGTTTGTTAAAAAAATACAGTACTGAGAAGTTAATGTTTGTGGGATATTATAGAATTTTAGAATTAAAAATCTATTATAGAGAATATAATTTTATTTTATTTTATTTTATTTTATTATTTTTTGGGACAGGGTCTCACTCTGTCACCCAGACTGGAGTGGTGCAGTGGCATGATCATGGCTAACTGCAGCTTCGACCTCCTTGGGCTCAAGTGACCCTCCCACCTCAGCCTACTGAGTAGCTGGAACCACAAGCATGCAGCAACATGCCTGGCTAATTTTTTTAAAAATAATTTTTGTAGAGATGGGGTTTCGCCGTGTTGCCCAGGCTGGTCTCGAATTCCTGGGCTAAAGCAATCTGCCCACCTCAGCCTCCCAAAGTGCTAGGGTTATAGGAGTGAGGCAGCATGCCCGGCCATAATTTTATTTTGTAGAAGATAATGGAAGGTTGGAGGGCTTGGTCAAGTTCAAATATCTAGTGAGCGATACTATTATGATATTATAGTATTATAGTATATTATTATAGTATTATATAGTATAATATTATAGTATTATAGACTATTAATTATAGTCTTTTATTTCTAACCACAATTATTCATTTGGTGAATAATGACTTGTAAATATTAAATGTGGTTTAATCACTTGCAAATATTAAATATGGTATAAACTTTTTGTTTCCTAACATTTGTGTATATACTAAAATTTTACATAGTTTAACCCTCTAGTGACTTTATATAAGCAGTTATTAGGTAGTAGAGAAGGACTTTCTTTTTAAAATTGTGCTGCCATTCTACAAAAGGCCACTCTGGAATGATTTTTAGTTTGAATTAAAAATGCTACACTTGGCTAAGTGTGGTGGCTGATGCCTGTCATCCTAGCACTTTGGGAGGCCGAGGCAGGCAGATCACCTGAGGTCAGGATTTCAAGACCAGCCTGGCCCACATGGTGAAACCCCGTCTATGCCAAAATGCAAAAATTAGCTTGGCGTGGTGGTGCATGCCTGTAGTCCCAGTTACTTGGGAGGCTGAGGCATGAGAATCACATGAACCTGGGAGGCGGAAGCTGCAGTGAGCTGAGATTGCACCACTGCCCTCCAGCCTGGGAGACAGAGTGAGACTTCGTCTTAAAAAAAAACCAACCAACCAACCAAACAAACAAAACAGCTATGCTTGGTAGGATGTCTTATCTAAGAATGAAGTATTAGATTAAATTTTTGTTTTGCCATAACAGACAATAGAAAACAACTCAGTGATGGGAATCATAGTGCATAAGTTGTTTGCTTATGTAACTTACCTTAATAGTGTTCATATAATAAGTTGGATATGTTTGTTTACACATGGTCTTTTGTTTCTTTGTATAGGTACTTAAAACGATTTAAAGTCATGAAACCAAAGGTCTTAAGGAGCTGGTGCAGGCAAATTTTAAAGGGGTTGCAGTTCTTGCACACTAGGACTCCTCCTATTATTCACCGGGATCTGAAGTGTGACAATATTTTCATCACGGGACCCACTGGATCTGTGAAGATTGGTGATCTAGGATTAGCCACCTTAATGCGTACCTCATTTGCTAAGAGTGTCATTGGTGATTAAAGTTTTACAGTTTACTGGTTGGGTAAAGAGAGATTTTTCAATTGTATAGGTCTAGAACAGGAATCAGCCAGCTATGGCCAGTGGGATGAATGTGGCTCACTGCCTGTTTTTGTAAATCGAATTTTATTAGAACACAGTCACACTCACTCATTTACAGATTGTCTAGGACTGCTTTTGCACCTACAAGTGACAGAGTTGAGTAGTTGTGTGACAGAGACCATACAAACTGCAAAACCTAAACAGTTTACTATCTGGCCCTTAACAGAAAAGTTTGCCAATACTGGGCTTAGACTGAATTTGCTTTGAAATACCTATTATATATTGGCTTTTTTCAGAGACATCCTAATGTATTTTTTGTGGGATAATAATTTATATTTAGGATTATTGAAAGGTTCTAAGGATGTAAGTAAGAGAGTTTATTAAGTTAATTCAGAAAAATTTAAGTAAAAAGGATAGAAATAAAAACATTTTATTAATCGTTACCTAATCTTGAGCATTACAAATTACACTCTATCAGTATGGAAAATTAAATAAATTATTTCAGTGCTTTATGTAGATATAGCAAATATTCAACAAATTGTATACTTAAAAATTTGCGGCCAGGCATGGTGGCCCACGCCTGTAATCCCAGCACTTTGGGAGCCTGAGGCGGGTGGATCACGAGGTCAGGAGTTCGAGACCAGCCTGGCCAACATGGTGAAACCCCGTCTCTACTAAAAATACAAAAATTAGCCAGGCATGGTGGCAGGCGCTTGTAATCCCAGCTACCCGGGAGGCTGAGGCAGGAGAATCACTTGAACCCGGGTGGCAGAGGTTGCAGTGAGCTGAGATGGCACCACTGCACTCCAGCCTGGGCAACAGAGCAAGACTATGTCTCAAAAAAAAAAAAGAAATTTGCTTTGGGGGAGTAGAAATTAACACAGATAATCCTTATAGGAAAGGGGATGTGATCTTGGTGGATACGTTTTTCTCTTCTATAAGAATGTGGTGGTGGTGTTATTTTGTAGGAACTCCTGAGTTTATGGCTCCAGAGATGTATGAAGAACACTATGATGAATCCGTAGATGTTTATGCTTTTGGAATGTGTATGCTGGAAATGGCCACATCGGAGTATCCTTATTCTGAGTGTCAGAATGCAGCTCAAATATACCGGAAAGTAACTAGTGTAGGTATAACTTTTTTCTTTTTACTTTATCAGTTGCCACGTTTCATGTTGAAATTAGTTAAGTTTGACTTACTCAAAACTAATTTTGGTTTAGCTCTAGGTAACAGTATTAAAATTAACAATTGTAATGCAACAAGCCTTAGATTTATACCATATGACTATGCTTCATTGGAGTCATATAAAATGCTCTGTATTAGTATCTTTGGGAAAATGTACAGGTATATCATCTATATATATTTGTTTGTAAGGAATTTTTAGTTATCTATTAGATGGATCTTATTTTTCAAAGCTGAATAATAGAGACCGACTACATGGTTTCTTCTAGGTCTAAAAGCCTTTTTATGAAAGGGCATTCAAAATATAGTTCAATAGATACAGTATTTGGGTCCCTGCTATGAGTAAATTTTTGTGTTAGAAATTGTAAGGAATGCAAACATGAGTAAGAAGTGTTTGCTACCCTAAAGAGCTTACATTTCTAATAAGGGAATAATATAAATTCACAAATGACTATAAAATAAGAGGATGAGAGTATAGTAAGGGACATAAGGAAGGTAGAAGCAAAGTGTTGTTCAAAGGAGGACTGCTTCATATCCAGTTGGGCAGCTCAAGACAGGCTGTGAAAGATTGTTTCAGGTAGCTTAACATTAGTAGGTATTGGTTTTTTAAATCCTTTTAAAATTAATACCTTTTTTTTTTTTTTTTGAGACACAGTCTGTCGCCAGGCTTTAGTGCAGTGGCGGGATCTCGGCTCACTGCAACCTCCACCTCCCGGGTTCAAGCAATTCTCCTGCCTCAGCCTCCCAAATAGCTGGGACTACAGGTGTGCACCACCACGCCCAGCTAATTTTGTATTTTTAGTAGAGATGGGGTTTCACCATGTTGGCCAGGATGGTCTTGATCTCTTGACCTTGTGATTCGCCCACCTCGGCCTCCCAAAGTGCTGGGATTACAGGTGTGAGCCACCGCGCCTGGCCAAAATTAATATCATTTTTAATTGACAAATTGTTATTGTACATATTTAAGGGGTACCATGTGATGTTTTGAGATACACACACACAAATGTGGAATGATTAAATCAGGCTAGTTAACATATCTGTCACCCCACTTGCTTATTATTTTGTGTGGTAAGACATTTGAAATTTACTAAGTTATTTTGAAATTTACAGTATATTATTGTTATTATCGACTGTAGTTACCCTGGTGTACGGTAGATCTCAAAACCTACTCCTCCTGTCTAACTGCAACTTGTACCTTTTGACCAATAGCTCCCCATTTCCTCCCCCACAACTCCCAGTCTCTGGTAACCATCATTCTACTCTTCTATGAGGTCATCTTTTTTAGATTCCATGTGTAAGTGAGATCATGTTGTATTTGTCTTTCTGTGCTGGTTTATTTCACTTAACATAATGTCTTCTAGGTTCATCCACATTGTCACAAATGATAGAATTTTCTTCTTTTTAAAGGCTGAATAGTATTCCATTGTATATATATACCACATTTTCTTTATTCATTCACTGATGAACATGTAGGTCATTTCCATATCTTGGCTATTGTGTATAGTGATGCAGTGAACATAGGCATGCATATATCTGTTTGACATACTAATTTCAATTCCTTTGGGTATGTACCAAGAAGTAGAATTGCTATGGTAGTTCTGTTTTTAGTTTTTTTGGGGAAGTTCCATACCATTTTCCATAACAGCTGTACCATTTATATTCCCATCAACAACGTACAAGGGTTCCCTTTTCTCTGCATCCTCACCAACACTTATCTTTCATCTTTTCGATAATAGTCATTCTAACAGATGTGAGGAGATACTGTTTTTTAATGCATGCGGTATACCACATGCTTTATTTATTTATTTTTTGAGACCGAGTCTTGCCCTGTCGTCTAGGCTGGAGTGCAATGGCGCTATCTCGGCTCACTGCATCCTCCACCTCCCAGGTTCAGGTGATTCTCCTGCCTCAGCCTCCCGAGTAGCTGGGATTACAGGCGTGCACCACCATGCCCGGCTAATTTTTTGTATCTTTAGTAGAGATGGTGTTTCACCATGTTGGCCAGGATGGTCTTGAACTCCTGACCTCGTGATCTACCCACCTTGGCCTCCCAAAGTTCTGGGATCACAAGCGTGAGCCACTGCGCCCGGCCACCACATACTTTAATCTTTATCCCCTACGAGATAGGTGCAATCTTCAGTTTACAGATGATGAAACTGAGAATCAGAGGTTGTACCTTGCCCAACTTCCCGCAGCTACTGATAATGGTGGGTTTTGACCCCAAGTCTGTCTGACTCTAGAAGTTTGTGTAAGGAGACAATAAGAAATAAGGCTACAATCCAGAATGTGGGACATTCTGTAGGACAAATGACCTAGTTTCTCCAACAAATACATTTTATGAAACAAACAGGAAGGGAGGGAGGCTTTTATAGAATACAAGAGACTTAAGAGTAGTGGTGAGCTGGTAAATGTTTAACACCTGATTCTCTGAAGAAAGAAAGAATGCTGACTTCTAGTATTTGCTGATTTTTGTGGTATAAGTACTCCCACTATGGCTGATTTCAGGTTACCAATGTGACCTCACTGAATGAAGAGTTGGGAAGAGATGCACTGTTGCACTCATTGTATGGTTATTTCTACCATGCAGATAGAGTAGCTGTAAATAACCTCAAACACATAAATAATAGTAAACTGTAGTAAAATAGTTAGGGAGTGATGTTTTCAGTATTTATTGCTTTGGCTTTTTTTTGCTCTGTTTTGTTTTGTTTTGTTTTTGAGACAGAGTCTCACTCTGTCACCCAGGCTGGAGTGCAGTGGTACGATCTCAGCTCACTGCAACCTCTGCCTCCTGGGTTCAAGCGATTCTCATGTTTCAGCCTCCCAAGTAGCTGGGATTACGGGCATGCGCCTCCACACCTGGCTAGTTTTTGTATATATATATATATTTTTTTAATAAAGATGTGGTTTTGCTATGCTGGCCAGGCTGGTCTCAAACTCCTGACCTCGGGTGATCTGCCCACCTCGGCCTCCCAAAGTACTGGGATTACAGGTGTGGGCCACTGTGCCCAGCTTACCTTGGCTTTTAATGTAATTTATTTAATTGTAAACTTTTATAATTTAGTTTTATTTTAAATGGCCATGTTTAACAATTGGATTGCAGAATTTCTGAAAACTTAATAGCATTTGTGAGCTGGTATGAGCCAGCTCATGCACACCCTACCCTATGGACCTTGTTTGGATCCTGATTTGAACAAACCAACTGTAAAAAGACATCATTTAGACAATTTTGAAAATTTGAGTATGGACTGGGTTTCAGATATTTGATATTAAGGAATTATTCATGAGTATTTTAGGGGGGACGATTATATGATTTTTTTTTTTTTTTGGAGACAGTGTTTGCTCTGTCACCCAGGCTTGAGTACAGTGGTACGATCTTGGCTCACTATAGCCTTGACTTCCTGGGCTCAGGCAATCCTCTCACCTCAGCCACCCTGGTAGCTGGGACCACAGGTACACACCACCACACGCAGCTATTTTTTTTTTCTTTTTATATTTTTGTGTAGAGATGGGGTTTCACCATGTTGCCCAGACTGGTCTTGAACTACTGGGCTCACGCAATCCACCCACCTTGGCCTCTTAAAGTACTAGGATTACAGGCATGAGCCACCATGCCTGAGCTACACGATTTTTTTTTAAAAGGTTCTTATCTGTTAGAGATGTAAACTGGAAAATTCATGGGTGAAATGACGTGATGCCTGAGATTTGCTTTAAAATATTCCAGGATACAATATGTGTGGGGGCAGATAGCTGAAACAAGGTTGGCAAAATGTTGACTGTTGTTGAAACTGGTGATGGTTACACGGGACTTCATTATGCTATTCTACTTTCAAGTATGTTTGAAAATTTCTATAAGAGCTCAGAAAAAGAGATAAGGCTAGAATGTGTTTTTAGTTTTGGCCCATATTTTGGAAGGCCATAAATAGAAAAGAATTTCGTGTTAGATTTTGTAAGTTACAGCTCCTGAACTGTTTTTACGTAGGAGCAGAGAAAGGCAGTAATTTACCCAGAGATGAGAAATGAGTATATCAGTGGGAAGGTCAAAGAGGGCTTTTTCCATAGGTAGAATAACAGGTCAATTTTTAAAAATTTTTTAAATGTATTTATTTTAGAAAATTTATTTTTATTTTTAATTTTTTATTGTACTTTGAGTTGCTGTTTTAATAGGTCTATTTTTTGAATAGTGACTTTATTATTTTATAGTAAAGTCATTAAAAATGCCATATCACAATTCAGATTTCCATCTGTCTTAAGCTTCTACATTTTAGGAACTAAATTAACTCCTAATTTCATCATATTTGTCTACGATGTAATGCTGGGCTTTCTGATTCTATGTCTTTTGAGGTAGCATGACAGGCGTAGAAGTAGATGTTAGATTGCTTCATTCCATAACAATTATTCTTTCCATTGTACCTTTCTGCTTCCAGCTTAATTTGGAATTTTCTATTAAATGACTGCAATGATCTTACTTGGGTTATTTTTTAAATCTTAAATAAAAGGTAATAGAATATAAAATAAGCAGATTCAGGAAGCCAACACAGTTATTATAGAAACATTTTGAATTGTCTGGACTTCATTTATTTGTTCTTGAATTCCTAGAACCTGATAATTAGCTTGAGGTACATGCTCTCAATATTTTATTATTGTTTAAGGATAAAAATAATACAGATTTCTTAAATATATAGGTATATATGTTCATATATATACATATATACCCATACATACACATATGTATCTACTGATTGCCGTCTACCGATGGCTTCTAGCCATTCTAGAAGACTGAAATATAGTGAATTGGGCTGGGTGCAGTGGCTCATGCCTGTAATCCTAGCACTTTGGGAAGCTGAGGCAGGAGGACTGTTTGAGCCCAGGAATTCAAGACCAGACTGGGCAACATAGCAAGACCTTGTCTCTACAAAAAAAAAAAAAAAAAAAAAATTAGCCGAGTTTGGTGGCATGCGCCTGTAGTCCCAGCTACTCTGGAGGCTGAGGTGGGAAGATCACTTGAGCTTGGGAGGTTGAGGCTGCAGTGAGCTGTGATCATGCCACTGCACTTCAGCCTGGGTGGACAGAGTGAGACCCTGTCTTAAAAATAAAAAAAAAAAAAAAAATATATATATATATATATATATATATAGAGAGAGAGAGAGAGAGAGAGAGAGAGAGAGAATTGGAATGTTTGAAATAGAGAAGCCTTTATTTTGAATTTTCAAAAGTTTTTTAAAATAGCATTAATTATTTTCTGATTTCAAAAAAGTATTTGTTTATGGCTGGGCGCAGTGGCTTACGCCTGTAATCCCAGCACTTTGGGAGGCTAAGGCAGGCAGATTGCCTGAGATCAGGAGTTTGAGACCAGTCAGGCCAACATGGTGAAACCCCGTCTCTACTAAAAATACAGAAAAATTAGCCGGGCTTGGTGGCGTGCGCCTGTAATCCCAGCTACTCAGGAGGCTGAGGCAGGGGAATTGCTTGAACCAGGGAGGTGGGAGGTTGCAGTGAGCCAAAATCACGCCACTGCACTCCAGCCTGGGCGACAGAGCGAGACTCCATCTCAAAATAAATAAATAAATAAACTTGTTTATTATATATTGTTAATTGGGATTATACTGTATGTAGATTTGGGGATCCTATTTTTCCCTACTTAATAGTACATTATGAGAATTTCCCATGTCATTAATTATTCTGAGAACATTTTTAATTTCTGTATATTGTCATATATACCTGCAGATCTAGATTTGAAAATCATACTATATATATAACATAATATGTGTAACTTTGCCTCTGTTGTCAGAAGTTTAGATTATTTAAGGTTTTTTTACTGTTATTTGTAGACAACATCCTTGTCAAAAGGTTATTAAACTTATGTTCTCTATATATACACATGTATATTTAAATATTTCATTTAAAACTTGACTATGGTTTAGTGATAAAAATAATGTTTAATAAATGTCATGTTGACTTGGGCTTTCAATTGCATCATTGTTACTAGAAACCATTTTTTTCTCCTAGGGCATAAAACCAGCCAGCTTCAATAAAGTCACTGATCCTGAAGTCAAAGAAATCATTGAAGGATGTATTCGTCAAAACAAATCTGAAAGGTGGGTGCAATTGTAGCAAAATGACATAACTGAAAGATGCATTTTTCTCTTATCTTGCATTGGGTCGTTTTCTGACCTTTCAGTCATGCTGAGTTTGACTTTTGAGTAGAAGCCAAACCATACTCTAGATTGAAGTGTATCAGTGCATGTTGTTTACCATTTTAGACTTGGATATCATGTGCTGAATTTTTCTTGAACTGACGTTTGGGTTGCGTTTGTGTGTGTGTGTGCCTTTTGACAAGCTTTCATCACCTTCAGCCATCAGCTTAACAGTCAGTAGGCCCTCACAAGTTAATTTGCTTCTAACAGTTGAGAGTGGACAAAATTTTAAAAATTTGATTCTATATCTTTAGTGTCATGATAATGATAAAGCTAATATGGATAGAAGAAATATGTATTCAAGAAATCGTATTCCACATTTATTTGTGTCACAATTTGCTTTATAGACAACTCCCATTACTCTTAGCTTTTGCCTCCCTTTAGGTTTTATTTCTTATTTTATTTTTAATTTTTTTTTTTTTTTTTTTTGAGACAGAGTCTCGCTCTGTTACCCAGGCTGAAGTGCAGTGGTACGATCTTGACCCATTGCAACCTCTGCCTCCCGGGTTCCAGCGATTCTCCTGCCTCAGCCTCCTGAGTAGCTGGGATTGCAGGTGCATGCCATCACACCTGGCTAATTTTTGTATTTTTAGTAGAGACAGGGTTTTACCATGTTGGCCAGGCTGGTCTCCAACTCCTGGCCTCAAGTGATCCACCCGTCTCAGCCTCCCAAAGTGCTGTCATTACAGGCGTGAACCACCACGCCCAACCTGCCTCCCTTTAGTTTCAGCTTTGGACAGTTGCTGACTTTAAATTGGTGGGTTTGTCTTTTGATTTTTACTTCCTTATTGATGATTATTAGTAAAGGCGATATATCCTTAGTAGAAATTTTCATGGGGTTATTGGCCATTTGTATATCTTTGCAGAAATATCTATTCAACTCTTTTGCCCATTTTTAATTGGCTTGTTTGGTTTTTTGTTGTTGAGATAGGAGCTTAGGCATGCTTTTAAAAATGAAGCTAAAAACACTATATAGAAGTAGCTATTTTAGTTTGGATTCTGATTGTTGTTTGTACAGCCTTTAAATATGTTCTATTACCAAAGAGCACTGGAATATTGCAAAGGATTTATAGCATATTAGTATATTGGGAAAAGCACAGTCTTCATCATCAGACTTAAAGTCAAATCTGGGCTCACACTTAGCCTGTGTGACCTTGAACAAGTTAGTAATTACATAAAACAAGTATTATTTTGATAACTAAAAGGATAATAGGTTGAGGGTAGTGGCTTATACCTGTAATCCTAGCACTTTGGGAGGCCGAGGCAGGAGGATCACTTGAGGCCAGGAGTTCACGACCAGTCTGGGAAGCAAAATGAGACCCTTGTCTCTACAAAATATTAAAATGAAAAAATTAGCCAGGCATAGTGTCACACGCCTGTAGTCCCAGCCCCTGGGGAGGCTGAAGTGGGAGGATTGCTTGAGCCCAGGAGTTGGAAGCTACAATGAGCTATGATCATGTCACTGTACTCTAGCCTGGATGACAGAGTAAGACCCTGTCTTAAAAACAAACAGGCTGGGTGCAGTGGCTTACACCTCTAATACCAGCACTTTGGGAGGCTGAGGCGGGCAGATCACTTGAGGTCAGGAGTTTGAGACCAGCCTGGACAACATGACGAAACCCCATCTCTACAAGAAATACAAAAATTAGCTGGGCGTGGTGGTGGGTGCCTATAATCCCAGCTACTCTGGGGGCTGAGGCAGGAGAATTGCTCGAACCTGGGAGGTGGAGGTTGCAGTGAGCCGAGATCTTGCCACTGCACTCCAGCCTGGGCAACAGAGTGAGACTCCATCCCAAAACAAGCAAGCAAACAAACAAGCAAACTAATAAACCAAAATAATTCTACTGTAAATAATAAAAATTTTACAGTAAAAATTCACTATAAATAATACAGTAAAAATTTTTATTGGGAAGCAGAGGGCTTTACTTGGTTGTGCCTCCTTAAACACATCTCGCTTTAGTCTTAGGGACGGGCACAGTGGCTCACGCCTGAGGCTGAGTGGGGCGGATCACAAAATCAAGAGATTGAGACCATCCTGGCCAACATGGTGAAACCCCGTTTCTACTAAAAAATATAAAAATTAGCTGAGCGTGGTGGCACACACCTGTAGTCCCAGCTACTTGGGAGGCTGAGGCAGGAAAATTGCTTGAACCTGGGAGGTGGAGGTTGCAGTGAGCCAAGATCACGCGACTGCACTCCGTCCCAAAAAAAAAAAAAAAAAACACCAAAACACACATCTCATTTTAGTCTTAAAAGTAATTCATTTGAGCAACTTTTTCTTTTTCAAAAAAATCAACTTTGTATGGAATGATGGCTTATTCTATTTATGACACCATCTTAGTTAAGTATTTGTCACTTGGTCACTAAAAATGTAGGGGGTTGAAAATCCTCAACTTACAGGATATCATGCTGTGTATATACTTTTTCTGTTTATGTAGTGTAAGAAGAGGTCTCTGTAGACATTATGCAGTACATCAGTTTCAGCTCTCACTGGCCTGTAATACAGAGAGTTTAAATATTATGTATCTGTTTTAAAAGTTAGTAAAAGTAAATTAACTTGTCCAGCTTGTAAACAAATCTTTTGAAGCTATGTCCTTTGTTTCTCTTCAGAGATGGTTAATCCCTAATACTAGGCTAGGGTTGTATCTGTTATATGTATACTCTGGTCTAAAACCAGAGTTAAATACGAAAACCACTGGACTTTGCTGAACCACATTAGCTTCACCCATGGCATTCTGTAAAGTACTTTGACTAGATTATTGTTAATGGAGACAGTGACTTCTATTTATAACATTCGTAAAAAGAGTTTGAATTTTTAACGTACTTTAGAGTTTATAAATCTGCAAGTTTTTGGTTCCCTTTGCTGAGAATCTACTGTTTGAGTCTGAGTAACTTAAGCCAGTGGCTTAGGGAAATTTGCCTAACATGTACTAAGCTACTTCTCCAGTTCTCACTAGGCATAATTTTGTGTATGTTAAACTTTGTTATTTAGATGTATTACTTGTAAGAATTCATTTTTAATTGAAGTCACTCCGTATGCATGTTAGTTGGGATTTCTTTGCATCCCTGGTAATAAATTGGATATAAGATTTATTGTTGTTTTTGCTTCCACAGGATCTGTTAAAGAGATTTGGTTTTTATAACAAGGCAGATTAATGATTAAATTGATAGAAAATTTCAAATAAGTTTTTTGCTTTTATACAATTAATTTTTAGTAATTAAAGGGTCTTGCTATGATTGGAAGAACTGATAATGAGATATATGTTTTGTTTATTAGGTTGTCTATCAGGGACCTATTAAACCATGCATTTTTTGCTGAGGATACAGGACTGAGGGTGGAGTTAGCAGAAGAAGATGATTGCTCAAATTCATCCCTTGCTTTAAGACTCTGGGTTGAAGACCCTAAAAAATTGAAAGGCAAACACAAAGACAATGAAGCTATTGAATTTAGTTTCAACTTAGAAACAGATACACCTGAGGAAGTAGCATATGAAATGGTAAGTTAATCATACCACTATTCCCCTCACCTCTTATTGTATCAGAGTTCATTCCTTGCTCCTTCTCATTGCTTTCTTTCCTCTCATTTTCTCCTTTTTTTTGAGACAGAGTCTCGCTCTGTCACCCAGGCTGGAGTGCAGTGGTGCGATCTCGGCTCACTGCAAGCTCCGCCTCCTGGGTTCATGCCAATCTCCTGCCTCAGCCTCCTGAGTAGCTGGGACTACAGGAGCCCGCCACCACGCCCGGCTAATTTTTTGTATTTTTACTAGAGACGGGATTTCACCGTGTTAGTCAGGCTGGTCTTGAACTCCTGACCTTGTGATCCGCCCACCTCAGCCTCCCAAAGTGCTGGGATTACAGGCGTGAGCCATCGAGCCTGACCTTCTCCTTTTTTCTTTAAATTGTTATGTTGTTGTGAACTATATCGCTGTGACAGTGTATTAAATTTGTATGTAGAGTATAAAGAATAATAAAGCTCTACATTTATTAAGAAATAGAACATTACCATTACCTTAAAAGCCACCTGAGTGCCTCTCTCATTTGCATTTTCCTCCCTCATCACCATGAGTAATATCTACCTAGATTTTTTTTTTTTTTGAGATGGAGTCTCACTCTGTTGCCCAGGTTGGAGTGCAGTGGCACAATCTCGGCTCACCACGACCTCTGCCTCCCGAGTTCAAGCGACTCTCCTGTCTCAGCCTCCCGAGTTGCTGGGATTACAGGCGCCTGCCACCACTCCCAGCTAATTTTTGTACTTTTAGTAGAGATGTGGTTTCACCATGTTAGCCAGGCTGGTCTCGAACTCCTGACTTCAAGTGATCTGTCCCCACCTCAGCTTCCCAAAGTGTTGGGATTACAGGTATCAGCCACTGTGCCCGGCCCCTACCCAGACTTTTGTGTTACTCATTTCTTTGTTTTTCATCATAGTTTACCTGCATAATATATTGTTTTGTTTTGAAAACTGAATGGCAAGCATGCACCTAGTTGGTGGGAAGGGGCAGTATTGGTACAATTAGGTGAAGAGTCCCAGGAGAGGATAAGCTGAAGAGACTTTCTCAGTTATAGCAATTCCAGCTTCAGTTTCCCTAAGAGTTTACAAGAGCTACTTCTGGAGAAGTCAGAGGGTAAGGTTCTAAATGAGGCCAGGAAAATACACCCATGTCTCAGCGCAGTCAGGGCACCGGCAGGGCTAGTGTGCAGACCAGAAATTAGTTGTCTGGTTACCATATGGTTTGATGGGGAGTGGGCCACTCTGACTCTTTGCTTCCAATCTCTCTGTGACCAGCCCCCACTCTCAATAGTGGATCACAGAAGGCAACTTCTGTGGGGTGAAATGCATGTCCATACCTGCTCCAGGCAGCTGCAGTGCTGATGGGAGGGTGTGCAGGAGCCGCAGCAGCATGTACTCAAAACCAGCCGAGTACAAACCATCTGCGCCAGGCTCACCTGGGCATTCTGGCCTCAGGTTAAAAAGAAGGATGGGGCAATGACAGTGGGAACCTGGAAATGATAGCCTTTAACATGTCTTTCTGATCATACTGTTGTTCTAAACTGGAATGATTATTTTGGACATCTGGTACACAACTATCACCCTGGCATTTCCCATTACCATCTTCCTAGACTTCTCTGCTTCACTCCTGTATTTAATTTTGGATTTCCTGAATCCCATGTCTTCAGGGGACATGGGATTAGCTGGGTCCACTTTCAGCTCCTAGAAGCCACTCTTCAGTCCTTTCCATGTCTCCACCCCGTCTTCAAAGCCAGCAATGGCATATTGAATCCTTCTAGTGTCAGCAGCTGGTAAAAGATTCACCGAGATAATCTCCCTAGATTAAGGCCAATTGTGCTATATATTATAGCAAACACAATGATGGGAGTGATATCTCATATGCACAGGTTTGGGGATTAAGAGGGATCATCTTAAAGCAGATTGCAGGACTGAGAATGATATGTCATGGTACCTCCTCAAATGATCTTCTCTACTGTTCAGCCCTGTTCCTCTGAGATGACGAGGCAGAACCTTTTCTTCTCTCACTCCTCTAATGCCTAGTAAGATGTAGCACTTTGCTGTTAGCATACTTGCCTCTGCCTAGAATGTTGGTCTCCACTCCAAACTTCTGCACATCCCTCAATAGTGTGCACGTTCCTTTTTTGGCTTTAATTCAGGTCAGAACTTACCTTCCAGGCTGGATGTGGTGGCTCATGCCTGTTATCCCAGCACTTTGGGGAGACCGAGGTGAGAGGATTGCTTGAGCCCAGGAGTTCGAGACCAAAGCCCAAGCAATATAGGGAGACCCCATCTCTACAAAAAATTAAAAATTAGCCAGGTGTGGTGGTGCATGCCTGTGATCCCAGCTACTCGGGAGGCTGAGGTGGGAGGATCACTTGAGCCTGGGAGGTCAAGGCTGCATTGACCTATCATTGTACCACTGCATTCTAGCCTGGGCAACAGAGTGAGAACCTGTCTCTCAAAAACAAATCAAATAAAATAGAATTCTTTTGTGAAAACACTTACTCTATTACCTTCAGAGATGCAGCGTGCTCCTACTTAAGACTTTTACAGCAGCTCATTTCAAGTTAAGTTATGTCCATTTCACACCACCTGATAGTGTGCTCATACAGGACAAAGGACCAACTTAGTCACCTGTATCTGGTGCCTAGTACTGTGCACATTGTAGACACTTAATGTTGCTGAATGAGGAAACCTTTTTAATCCTTCAAAAAACGTAATGGCAGTTCTAAATTACCTGTGATAAGACTGCATATTCTGAAACATCAAGTTGTTTTGTTCGTTTTTGTTTAAAGCCTGAATTATTTTAACAATGCTTGGTAATACTATTGATTTTTCTCATGCCAATTAGAGGCTCTGGCATTTATGTATGTCTTTGTTTAAGAGAGAATATAGAAACAGATTAACTGTTAATTTGGAATTTGGGGGCATAAAATAACTGCTAGTAAAAAAAAAAAAAGTTAAAATTGGCCGGGCGCGGTGGCTCATGCTTGTAATCCTAGCACTTTGGGAGGCTGAGGCGGTGGATCACGACGTCAGGAATTCAAGACCAGCCTGGCCAACACAGTGAAACCCCGTCCCTACTAAAAATACAAAAAAATTAGCTGGGCGTGGTGGCGGGCACCTGTAATCCCAGCTACTTGGGAGGCTGAGGCAGGAGAATCGCTTGAACCTAGGAGACAGAGTTGCAGTGAGCCGAGATCATGCCACTGCACTCCAGCCTGGGCGACAGAGCTAGACTCTGTCTCAAAAAAAAAAAAAAAGTTAAAATCTTAAATGTTAAAGAAGTAGTTTGCTTATTATGTTTTGTTTGTAGGTCAAGTCTGGGTTCTTCCATGAAAGTGATTCCAAAGCTGTTGCTAAATCCATTAGAGACCGGGTGACGCCAATAAAGAAGACAAGAGAGAAGAAGCCTGCTGGCTGTTTGGAAGAACGCAGGGATTCTCAGTGCAAGTCTATGGGGAATGTATTCCCTCAGCCCCAGAATACAACTTTACCCCTTGCTCCCGCTCAGCAAACTGGGGCTGAATGTGAAGAAACTGAAGTTGATCAACATGTTAGACAACAGCTTCTACAAAGAAAACCACAGCAGCACTGCTCCTCTGTTACAGGTAACACAGTTACAGCTTGTAAAAGCAAACGCATGTGCAATTATATTCTCTAATCTTTATTTATTTTGAAGGGCAGTGGTCAATGACCTATTTTGTTTCTTTTCCTTTTTGTATGTTTGCTTATCTTTAAATAGCACTTCTGTGCTCTAAATAGCACTTCTATCATTTCATCAAGCCTTTTACAAAACCCCTGAAATAGACAAGCCAGCTAGTTTCCTTATTTTAAAATTAAGAAACTGTTTTGTTAAGTGATTCTTCTAAGGTGCTAGTTGCAGAAGGATCATAATCTAGCATCTGGTTTTGTTTGGGGTATAAATAAAATGATCTTATTATCATTTTTGAGGGTCTAACATAAATCCTTTCTTTTTTTTGAGACAGGGCCTTGCTCTGTCACCTAGGCTGGAGTGCAGTGGTGTGATCATGATTCACTGCAGCCTCGACCTCCCCAGGCTCAGGTGATCCTCCCACCTCAGCCCCCTGAGTAGCTGGGACTACAAGTGCGTGCCACTACACCTGGCTAATTTTTGTATTTTCTTTTGGTAGAGATGGGGTTTCACCATATTGGCCAGGCTGGTCTCAAACTCCTGGGCTCAAGCCATCTACCCGCCTCAGCCTCCCAAAGTGTTGGGATTGTAGGCATGAGCCACCGCGCCCAGCCACGTACATCGTTTAATAAAGAAAATTTAGAACTAAAGATAAAATTTATTCCTCAAGAAGGAATTTTCTAGTCTTTAAGACCCTTTGTATTTTAGGCTCAAGTGTAACATTAACACAATTCCTCTAATTTTCTGCTGTAATGCATTTTCTTTTCCAGAAGGACACAGTATTTGCATAGTAATAACCTATTGTTCTACAAAGACAGTATTCTAGGTTATAGGAGAAAGAGAATATGATATATTTTACTGAAATCCTTATGTCAAGTGTAGATTAGTTAGGGATATACATGACATGGCCAGCAAATGGAGTTGATTTTTATCTGATTCTCTGTTTTTAGGTTGGCTTTACTAAGAAAATTTTAGTTATACCACAATGTCAACATTTCATTGCTTGATAAGAGTTTACATGCTGGTTTTTGATTAATGTTGTAGTGTAAATATTTTATTTGAAGCTATGTCAGGTTCTCAGAGTAAAAAAGCCATTAAAGAAACACCATTACCTATACCATTTGGACATTTTGTGCTTCAAGTTTTCCCTTCTACCTGTTACTTATTTTCTTTTTTTATAGGTGACAATTTGTCTGAGGCAGGAGCTGCATCAGTTATACATTCAGATACTTCAAGTCAGCCCAGTGTAGCCTATTCCTCAAATCAAACGATGGGCTCTCAAATGGTTTCTAATATCCCGCAGGCTGAAGTAAATGTTCCAGGGCAAATTTATTCATCTCAGCAACTAGTAGGACATTACCAGCAAGTTTCAGGGGTGAGGTGAACTGTTATATTTTTAAATATATAATCAGTGTATTTACTGTAAATGGGAAAGTTTATCTTTAATCTTTTTTTCCCCTTATTTTAACAGTTACAGAAGCATTCAAAGCTGACTCAGCCGCAGATTTTGCCTTTGGTTCAAGGTCAGTCCACTGTTTTACCTGTACATGTCCTTGGACCGACAGTTGTTTCACAACCCCAGGTTTCCCCATTAACTGTTCAGAAGGTCCCACAGATAAAGGTAAGACACATTTTAGAGGTTCTGTATTCATTTAAACAAATTAAACACTGCCTAGATTTTCTGACAGGCAAAAGTTCTCTTTTATAAATTCATTATAGTTTAGAGAAAGGTCACCAAAAGCTAAAAGTTGTTTATGCTTTCCTTCACCCAAGACATTCCTTTTTTTTTTTTTTTTTTTTTTGAGGTGGAGTGTCGCTCTTGCTGCCCAGGCTGGAGTGCAATGGTGCAATCTCGGCTCACCGCAACCTCCACCTCCCAGGTTCAAGTGATTCTCCTGCCTCAGCCTCCCAAGTAGCTGGGATTACAGGCATGTGCCACCATGCCCCGCTAATTTTTTGTATTTTTAGTAGAAACGGGGTTTCTCCATGTTGGTCAGGTTGGTCTCGAACTCCCGACCTCAGGTGATCCGCCTGCCTCGGCCTCCCAAAGTGCTAGGATAACAGACATGAGCCACAGTACCCGGCCCAAGATGTTCCTCTTAATGTGTCTAATATTGTGTAACTAGAATCTTGAGATACTGCTTGTATAATTGGAGAAGAAACAGAGAACTCAGTATATATGGACAAAAGATTTATTTAGGACTGATCTCTTCCTCTTATTCATGATTATTTGTTCTTTGTATTAAACTTTTCCAGCCTGATTTGAACATGGAAGGATGTCTGTTGCAGTTAATTAGAAATAGTGTTTCATAGATTTTCATGATTTTTAGCATGTTCATCTAAACTCTTGACTTGTTTTGGTTCATGTTTATTTCTGTAGGAGAAATAAGAAGTGTTTTTGTCTTTCAGACTCTTAAAGTCAGCATTATTCATTTCTGACAATGAGTTAATAGTCTTTGTGTGAGTTTATATATTAAGACTATATCCTGGTTCCCTAGGTTATGGATTCTGGATGCATGGTTGCATTTTTCTTTGCCATTACCCGGTTTTCTCCTCTCACCTCCCACCATACCTTGCGTTTGTCTTCCTTCTCTGGGAGTGAGATGATCTAATAGCTGCTAGCTAACAGAGAATGCCTGATTTAGCTAGTTGCTGGTGCATCTTTTAAGAGATTAGTATATTATCAGTTCATCATCAAACTTTTAATGATTACCACCTTCTGGGGATATGAAATAAAATAAACATGATCCTTGCCCTCAAAGAGCCCAGTCTTTTAGGGGAAAGCATGTATGTACTTGACAAATGCCAGATGCATTTAAAATCTGCTAGGGGTAGATTTAGTTTGATATAGTTGAAGATGCCAGATATTTGGCTAGTATTTATAAGTGATATGGTGCCTATTTGTAATTGAGCTCATGTGGTAGTTTGATTTGCCTCTTTCTAAGCCTATAATGCAAAGTGTGTTGAATGGGAGCTTAAATTTAACTTAGGTTCAATTTACATAAGCATACAGGTATGTGTATTTTAAAATGTGTTCCAAAAATTTAATTATCAAAATGTTACTTGCTTATTTTAAAATAAAGCCCATAAAGTTATGAAAAAGAAAGTGAAAAATTACTTGTTATTTCTCCAGCTAGAGACAACTTATTGTTTTTTCATTTTGTTTTGTTTTGTTTCGTTTTGTTTTGTTTTTTTTGAGATGGAGTCTCATTATGTCGCCCAGGCTGGAGTGCAGTGGCGCGATCTCGGCTCACTGCAACCTCCGCCTCCCGGGTTCAAACGATTCTTCTGCCACAGCCTCCCGAGTAGGTGGGACTACAGGCACGTGCCACCATGCCCGGCTAATTTTTTGTATTTTTAGTAGAGACGGGCTTTCACCGTGTTAGCCAGGATGGTCTCGATCTCCTGACCTCGTGATCCGCCCGCCTCGGCCTCCCAAAGTGCTGGGATTACAGGTGTGAGCCACCGTGCCCGGCCAACAACTTATTGTTTATGTTTGAGGTATAGCCTTTAGATTTATCTTTTTTTCTGTGTACACATGTATAACTTTGTTTATATATACACATGTATATCACATACATATGATTTTTTGTAGCCTGCCCTTTTCACCTAATATATAGAAGCCACATAAGCAAGAAATTTGATTATATGGGTCTTTTTATGAGCATGGTAGCCCAAATTCTAGGAATTATTGCAGCCAATCAGTATTTATTTCTGCCAACTCTCTCCTCTCTTCTTGAGAGAGTATCTATATTCATTTTAGGAATGATACTGAAATCCTTTGAGCTTTCTCATGGGACTTCCACTGTCAGGTGTGTGACAATGTCAGATTCGGATACTCAGAATCTCTGCCAGGGTTTGAATGAGTTATGTAGTAAATTGCGATAAATAAGAAACCATGAGTGGTATATTGCTGTGACTTGTCTCAACCCCTTAGTGTATTCAGTTAACTAGCATTTACTCATGGTATTAGGATTTTTATAGGACTAATGCTATACCTAGCACCTTTTTGATAATTTGCTGAAATTTTTGGAACATAGCATTATTTTCTCTATCAGTATGTCCGGGAAAGTCCCATTAAAATGGGCATAGTATATGCATTTATAATTTGAATTCTCCTTGTACCTGTAGCTGGCCTTTGGAGCAGATAGAAAAACTTTAGCCCAACCTATGACTTTAGACTTGTCAGTTACTGGAGTTCCACAATCAGTCCTTTCTTTCTTTTTTTTTTTTCAGACAGAGTCTCACTCTGTCACCCAGGCTGGAGTGAAGTGGTGTGATCTCAGCTCACTGCAACCTCCGCCTCCTGGGTTCAAGCGATTCTCCCACCTCAGCCTCCCAAGTAGCTGGGACTATAGGAGCACACCAGCATGCCTGGCCAATTTTTGTATTTTTAGTAGAGATGGGGTTTTGTCATGTTGGCCAGGCTGGTCTTGAACTCCTGGCCTCAAGTGATCTGCCCCGCCTTGGCCTCCCAAAGTGCTGGGATTACAGGCGTGAGCCACCATGCCTGGCCACAACCAATCCTTTCTGCAGTTTCTCTTCAGACGTTTTCTGCTTCACAGATGACTTCCCAGCATCCAACAGTTGGTCTTCAACTTGAGCGTGATCCTAGAAATGGGAATCAGGCATTAACCAAAGCACCAGATGCCAGTCAGACTTCTAGTTTCTTACCGGTTAATCACCCTCAAGCTTTGTTGAATCATTCTTCTGTCCAACATGTGAGCAGTGCACAGAATGCTGCTAGTACAGCTCAGCTCCCTTCTAATTCCATTGGGGGGCATTCAGGGGCCCATCAGCCTTCACAAAAGATACATTCAGTATCACAGCCATACCCATCAGAAGTCTCTAACTTCAGATTCTTCAATGCCACAAAGCCAGACTGTGCAAGGAGTATTGTTTCCAAGCTTGTATTCAGCAACAATCATTAATTTTACAACCTAAGATTTTGGCATCTCCACAGAAAAATGTTCAGCAGGATTATGTTCTCCAAGAGTCTGAAGCTCTTGCAAGTCAGCAACAGCCAAAGGGTGGTATTGAAAGTGTGATTCAGCCCCTGGAATAGCCTTCTTATTCTGTTCAACACACTTCCAGGGCCACCTGCGGAATTATCATCCTTCCCATTGAAGGCTCCTGAGCAGCTGCCCTTTGTGATATGTCCCCAGCAACAAACTTCTTACTCATCACAGCCAACTTACTCAATTCAGGCTCCACTACATAAACAGCCTGTTTATTCACTGCCAGTCCTGGAGCATCCTCTTTACACTGTACAACCACCGAGATCACAGCCAGCCTATTCTGTGCAGACTTCTTATCCAGTCCCAGCTGCAGTACAGCCCTCATATTTGGCAAAGACTCACGTGCAGTCTGCTTATCTAGTGCAACCTCTGCTTCAGTCACCTTTTCCAGACCAGGCAGCATATGCAATCCAGGCAGCTTACCTTATGCAACCTATGGAACAGCTTGCTTATCAGACACTGTCTCTTGAGCATGTATCTTATTTAGGACAAACTGCTTACACTATCCAGATAACTGAACATGCAACCTTCATAACCCAGCAGGTATATACAATAAGCCCTCCTGATAGCAAGTGAGTACACATGACAGACAAACTCTGCACATCAGAAGTTATACTCTGTACCACCATTTGTAGCACAGACTTTTGAGCAACAAGCCTATTTAACACAACCCCAAGGTAGTTCTTCTTCAACATTGGAACAAAGGATGTATTTAATACCAACCTTAGATACACAGACACATTCTACTGAGCCTTTATTTAATGTCCAGCTTTCAGCGACTCCATCCCAAGCAGATGTCAGTTTTGGACACCAGCAGCTAAAAACTCAGGCCCAGGCAACTAGCATTATATCTCAGAGGGCAGTGGAAGGACAGCTTCAAAACCCTGAGCAGATGTCCTTCATTCAGCAGGCCTCTTCACAGGCACAGATCCAGCCCCCACATTTCTCAGCACAGTTTTCCCAATCACATCTAGCACCAAGCCAGGTTTTTCACTTAGCTTTCATTCAGCAGCAGCAGATGACTCATTCATCTCATAGACAAGCACAGGAAACCCATCAGTTGTCTACTCAGGAAGGTCCCATAAATCAACAGCAATCTTTATTTAGTCAACATGCTGCTCTCCAGCAGCAGGTACCTCATTGACAGGCACCTAAGCAAGTTCAGCCATTACCAGGTATTCCAAACACCATTACAAACATGGTCCAGATTATACATCCATTGCAAGAACAGTTGCAACTGGCAGCCCTGGAACAACAATATATAATACAGCCTTTAGAGCAGCCTCAAGTACTTCAGGCACTAGATAACAGTCTGACTTTTCCCCTACAGAAAAACCTAGCACAATACCAGCCAGCATACATCCAGCAGCAGTCTGCTGACTGGCCGCAGTGGTAGCCATCTTACAGCTTAGCACCTGTTTCTGGGTCATCAGAGCCACAATTACAACAGCAGACCCTCTATCAAAGCTCTGGGATAGCCCTTCCAAATCAGCAATCTTCAGTTCATCTCCTGACACTTAGCATTCTGGTAGACGCTTCCACTGCTTTTCAGAGCATTTCTGTGTTACACACACAGCAGCATTTACAAGGCCAAGAAATTCCAACGGTAAATCCTCGTGGGGGAAAATAAGGATGATTGTGATTTTTCTGTGATGTTTAAGGGTCAGGATGATAGTGAACTATAATAGATACAGCACTTCAGTGGGAGTCATGGTCCCTGTTCCTGACTCTTTTCCTTACTTACTGAGTGACCTTGATTCAGGTCTTTTCTAAATTTTCTCATCTGTAAAGTGAAGGGATCAGACCAGATGACTACAATTAAAAAAAATTTGAGGACCTACTTAGGATATAACAGTGAATAAAATACAAAAACCCCTTCTGTCATTGAGGTTTGTTGTCTAATGGGGAAAGATTGTCAATAACCACTATAAAAAGGAAATTATACAGTACAAGGTGCTTTGGGGAAAATGTAGAGGAGGAAAAGGAGGAAAGTGGGTTGCAGGTTTAAGGAAGATGGCTATCAGAGTAGGTCTCATTGAGAAGGTAACATTTGAGCAGACACTTGAAGGAAATAAGGGAGTCAGTAATGTATATTTCAGACAGAGGGAATAACAGGTGCAAAGGCCCTAAGGGAGAAGTTTGTCTGGCATGTTTGGAAAACAGCCAGGAGGCAAATGTAGCTTTCCAAGATCCTTTAGTCCTAAAACGTTTGGAACCTATGGTTCTCTTATTGTTCTACATTTATAATAAAGCATTTGCCTTTGTGAGATAATACTATTGAGTGATTCTTATTGCCAAATACTATCCCAAAGGCATTACATGTACATCTTCACACCAACCCTAGGAATCCCATTATTACCTTTTTTTACTGATGAAGAAACTGAGGTTCATAGAGGTTAAGTAACTTTTCTAGTGTCATACCCAAAAGCTAGCATTTGAACCCAGCATATTCAATCATTTTACTACCCATCTGCTTTGAAAGATAGTTACCCTCCCCACCAGAATTGGAGAAAAAGGTTATGATGGCTTCAGTGAGATTTAGTTAATTTGGGGAATTGATTGCTTTTTTTTTTTTTTTGAGATGGGGTCTTGCTCTGTCACCCAGGCTGGAGTGCAGTGGCGCCATCTCGGGTCACTGCAATCTCTGCCTCCTGGGTTCAACTGATTCTCCTGCCTCAACCTCCTGAGTAGCTGGGATTACAGGCATCTACCACCACACCCAGCTAATTTTTGTATTTTTAGTAGAGAGAGGGATTCACCATGTTGCCCAGGCTGGTCTCGCACTCCTGACTTCAAGTGTTTCACCCACCTCAGCCTCCCAAAGTGCTGAGATCACAGACGTGAGCCACCATGCCCAGCCCTTGATTGAATTAATTAAAGCAAAGAACTGAGAATCTGACTTATTCTTTTTGCTCTTCTCCCCTGCTTTAGGTATATCTAAAACACACTGAATTTATTGTTTGGCTAATAAAATACTTTGAGGTCCTTAGATAAAAGGTGTGCTATGCTGTATGAGTTATTTTCTAGTGATAATATATTACTCTACCAAACAGCTATTACCTCAGGTATTCTGTATTTTATAAAATCTCCTCTTCATCAAGGGCATAAATTATAATGGATTTCAGTATGTGCGTGCTGACTCCTAACAGGACTGAGCGAGAATAAATAAAGATCTTTGCAGCTGAAGTTTCTTCAGACAGGGGCATACTATTCTGGGATTTATTTATTTCAGATTAAGGGGTTTAACAAACCATTTTTTCTTCTCCCCCCCCACCTTTTTTTTTTTGTTTGTTTGTTTTCCTGCACTACACAGATGTAATTAACAAAGTATTTTGGATTTTAATGTTCATTCTGTGGGCAGATTGCACGTGTTGTATACTTTCCTTACCTAATTAAAACGTTTTCCCCAACATCTTATTAAGAAAAACTTCAGATATACAGAATATTGGAAAAAATTGTAGCATGAACACCCATATACCTAACACCTAAATTATACAGTTAACTTTTGCTCTATCTGCTCTATCACATACCTATTTATCCCTTTATTAATCCATTTTATTTTTCTGGTGCATTTCAAAGTTTAAAGGAAGTTGCCAACATCAGTATACATCATCCATAAATACATATCATTGACTAGAACTCAGTATTTATGTTTTTTAGTTTAAATGTATATACAGTAAAATGCATAAATCATAATTCATGAGTTTCGACAAATGCTTACACCTATGTAACCCCAACCATTATCAAGACATAGAAGAGGTGTTGACAGTCTTTTTCTGTAAAGGCCTAGATAGTAAATATTGTAGGCTTTGCAGGCTATATAATCTCTGTTACAGTTACTCAGTTCTGCTGTTGTATGCATGAAAACAACCATAAATATGTAAACAAATAGGCGCGGCTGTGTTCCAATAAACATTTGCTCACAAAAACAGGTGGTGTGCCAGATTTGGCCTGAAGGCTGTGGCTTGCCCACCTGATAGAGAATATTGCCATTACTCCAGAAAGTTCCCTCATGCCCCTTCCCAGTGAGTTTTCTCCACACCCGTTAGAGTCAATCGCTGTTGATTATTTGTTGTTGTTTTTTGAGACAAGGTCTTCCTCTTTTGCCCAGGCTGGAGTGTAGTGGTGCAAACACAGCTCACTGCAGCCCTGACCTCCTGGCTCAAGCCATCCTTGCACCTCAGCCTCCTGAGTAGCTGGGACCACAGGTGCGCACCACTCCGCCTGGCTAAGTTTTTGATTTTTTTATAGAGACGGGGTCTTGCCATGTTGCCCAGGCTGGTCTTGAACTCCTAGGCTCATAGGGTCTTCCCACGTTGGCTTCCCAAAGTGCTGGAATTACAGATGTAAGTCACCATGCCTAGCCAATTTTTTCACCATAGATTAGCTTAGCCTGTTCTAGACCTTCATATAAATGGAACAATATAATATATATTCTTGTGTAAGGCTTCTCTGATTCAACATGTTTTTGAGATTGATCCATGTTGTGTATGTATCAGTAGCTTTTTTTTTTTCTTTTTTGAGACGGAGTTCGTTCTTGTTGCTCAGGCTGGAGTGCAATGGCTTGATCTCGGCTCACTGCAACCTCCACCTCCTGGGTTCAAGTGATTCTCCTGCCTCAGCCTCCCAAGTAGCTGGGAGTACAGGCATGAGCCACCACGCCCGGCTAATTTTGTATTTTTAGTAGAGACGGGGTTTCTCCGTGTTGGTCAGGCTGGTCTGGAACTCCTGACCTCAGGTGATCTGCCAGCCTCAGCCTCCCAAACTGCTGGGATTATAGGCACAAGCCACCATGCCCAGCCAGCTCATTCTTTTTTGTAACTGCAGAATAATGTTCCATTTTATGGATATACCAAATTTGTTTATCTATCCTATTCACAGACACCTAAGTGATTTCTGGTTTTGGGCTATTGTGAATAAAGCTGCAATGAACATCCCTATATAAGTTTTTTTTTTTGTAAACATGTTTTCATTTCTCTTGAATTATACCTAGAAATAGAATTGCTGGGTCATAGAATAAGTGTTTGACTTTTTAAGAAATTGCAAGTTTTCCGAATTGGCTGCACTAACACCAGCAATGTATGAGAGCTCCACACCCTCACCAGCATTTTTAATTTTAGTTATTCTAGTTGTTGTATAGTGGTATCTCATCGTGGTTTTAATCTGTATTTCCCCGATGACTATGATGTTGAGTACCTTTTCATGTATTTGTTGGCCTTTGTATATCTTTGTGAAGTGCCTGTTCAAGTCATTTACCCATTTTATTTGCTCATGTTTGTCTTTTTATTATGGATTTACAGAAATTCCTTATATATCCTGGATTATACAAGTCCCTTGTCAGATACATGTTTTATAAATATATTCTCCAGTCTTTATATTGCCCATTCGTTTTTGTAATGGTCTCATTTAATGAGACAAAGTATTTAATTTTGATGAAGTCTGATTCATCAAAGTTTTTCTATTGTAGTTACTACTTTCTGTGGCCCATGAAACCTTTGCCTACACCCAAGTTACAAGGAAACTTTCATATGGTTTATAGTTTTATGTTTAAGTCCATGGTTCATCTTGAATTAATTTTTATGAATGCTGTGAAGTAAGGGGTCAAGTTTCTTTTTTTTTTTTTTTCCTCTAGGAATATCCTAACAGCTTCATCTGTTGAAAAGACATCCCTTTCTCCACATCTCTACCAACACTTGTTATCTTTTTTTTTTTTTTTTTTTTTTTGAGACAGTCTTGTTCTGTCGCCCAGGCTGGAGTGCAGTGGCACGATCTCGGCTCACTGCAAGCTCCGCCTCCCAGGTTCACGCCATTCTCCTGCCTCAGCCTCCCAAGTAGCTGGGACTACAGGCGCCTGCCACCACGCCCGGCTAATTTTTTGTATTTTTAGTAGAGACGGGATTTCACCATCTTAGCCAGGATAGTCTCAATCTCCTGACCTCGTGATCCACCCGCCTCGGCCTCCCAAAGTGCTGGGATTACAGGCGTGAGCCACTGCACCCAGCCCATCTGTCATTTTTATTGTAGACATCCTAGTGGGTGTGATGTGGTATCTCATTGTGGTTTTGATTTGCATTTTTCTGAAGACTAATGATGTTGAGCATCTTTCTATATGCATATAGGTCGTTCATGTATCTTCTTTTATTATCTTTGGAGAAATATCTATTGAAATCCTTTGCCCAGTTTTTATTTTATTCTTTTATTTTATTTTTTGTAGAGATGAGGTCTCGCCATATAGCCCTGGCTGGTTTTGAACTCCTGGTCTCAAGCAATCCTCCCACCTTGGCCTCCCAAAGTGCCAGGATTACAGGCATGAGCCACTGCGCCTAACCCCTTTACCCAGTTTTTAATTGGGTATCTTTTTGTCTTTTTATTGTTGAGTTATGAGTTCTTTATATATTCTGGATACTTAGACCATTATCAGATGTATGCTTTAAAATATTTTCTCCCATTCTGTGTGTTGTCTTTTCACCTTCTTGATGGTGTCCTTTGTGGCATAATTTTTTTAAAAGTTTGATAAAGTCCAATTTCTCAATGTTTTCTTTCGTTACTTTGTGCTTTTGGTGTCATATCTAAGAAACTATTGTTTGATCCAAGGTCATGAAGATTTTCTCCTATATTTTCTTCTAAGAGTTTTAAATTTTAGCTCTTAAATTTGGGTCTTTGATCCATTTTGAGTTAATTGTTGTATATAGTTTGAGGTAGGGGTCTAATTTCATTCTATCCATGTGGACATCCAGTTTTTCCAGTGCCATTTATTCAAAAGACTATTCACCCATTGAATAGCCTTGGCACCCTTGTTGACAATCAATTCACCATAAAAGTATGAGTGTTCCAACTTAGTTTTCCTTTCTCAGGATTATTTTGGTTCCTCTGAGTCCCTTGCATTTCCACATGAATTTTGGGATCAGCTTGTCAAGTTGTGTCCAAAAAGCCAGCTGGGATTTTGATAGGCATTGTGTTAACTTTGTATATTGCTTGGGTAGTATTGTCTCTTAGTAATATGAAGTCTTCGAGTCCAGGAACATGGATGTCTTTTCATTAAACTAGGTGTTCTTTAAGTGTTGGCAAAGGTGTGGAGAAAAGGGAACCCTTGTACACTGTTGATGGGAATGTAAATTGGTGTAGCCATTATGGAAAACAGTATGAGGCTAGGTGCAGTGGCTCACACCTGTGATCCCAATACTTTGGGAGGCTGAGGCACGAGGATCACTTTAGCCCAGGAATTCAAGACCAACCTGGGCAACATAGTGAGACCTCCTCGTCTCTACAAAAAAATTAAAAAATTAGCTAGGTGTGGTGGCATGTACCCCATAGTCCCAGCTACTCAGGAGGCTGAGGCAGAAGGATCCCTTGAACCCAAGAGGTCAAGGCTGCAGTGAGCTGTGATTGCACCACTGAACTCCAGCCTGGGCAACAGAGCAAGACCCTGTCTCAAAAACAAACAAACAAAACAGTATGAAAGTTCCTCAAAAAATTAAAAAAAAAAAAAACTATGATACAATCCAGCCATTCCACTTCTGGGCATATATCCAAACGAAAAGAAATCAGTATCTTGACATATCTGCAACCTCATGTTCATTGCAGCTTTATTCACAATAGCCAAGATATGGAAACAACTTAAGTGTTGACAGATGAATGGATAACAAAAATGTGGTGTGTGTGCATATACATACATGTATATGTGTGTATACACACACATACAAAGAAGGAAATTCAGGAAATCAGCCACTAAAAAAGAAGGAAATCCTGCTATTTGTGACAACATGGATGAACCAGGAGGACATTATGCTAAGTGAAGCCAGATACAGAAAGATACTGTATGATCTTACTTATATGTGGAATCTATAAATATCAAACTCATAGAAGCAGAGAGTAGAACAGTGGTTGGCAAGGGCTGAGAAGTAGGAGAAATGGAGACACTTGGTTAAAGGGTATAAACTTTTACTTATAAGATGAATAAGTTCTAGGGATGCAATGTATTATTTAGTTGAAAAAAAATTTTTTTTTGAGTCAGCGTCTCACTCTGTTGCTTAGGCTGGAGTGCAGGGGTGCAATCTTGGCTCACACAACCTCTGCCTCCTGGGTTCAAGTGATTCTCATGCCTCAGCCTCCCAAGTAGCTGAGACTACAGGCGTATGCCACCATGCCCAGCTAATTTTTGTATTTTTAGTAGAGATGGGATTTCACCATGTTGTCCAGACTGGTCTCGAACTCCTGGCCTCAAGTGATCCGCCCACTTCAGCCTCCCAAAGTGCCGGGATTACAGGTGTGAGCCACTGTGCCCAGCCCTAAAAGAGATCTTAAGTATCCTCACCACACATACACGTACAAAGGGAGGGTAACTTTGTGTTGTGATTGATATGTTAATTAATTTTATTGTGGTAATCATTTCACAGTGTATATGTATAGCAAATCATCACATTGTACATCTTGAATATATACAATTTTTATTTGTCAATTATACCTCAGTAAAGCTGGGAAAAAATAGCTGGTTTTTAATTTCAGCAGTATTTTGTAGTTCTCAGAAAATCTTTTTTTTTTAATTTTTCAACTTTTATTTTAGAATCAGGGAGTATGTGTGCAGGATTGTCACAGAGGTATATTGCATGATGCTGAGGTCTGGGATATGACTGAACTCATCACTCAGATATGGAGCATAGTACCCAATGGTTAGTTTTTCAGCTTTTTTCCCCATCCCTTTCTCTCCCCTCTCATAGTCCCCAGTGTTTACTCTTTTCATCTTTATGTCCACATGTACCCAGTGTTTAGCTCCCACTTATATGTGAGAACATGTGATAATTTGGTTTTCTGTTTCTGTGTTAGTTCGCCTAGGAAAATGGCCTCCAGCTGCATCCTTGTTGCTGCAAAGGACATGATTTCATTCTTTTTTATGGCTGCATAGTATTCCACAAGTCCTTACAATTCCTTGTAAAGTTTTTTCCTAAGTTATTATTTTTGTTGTTATTATAAATGGAATTGTTTTCTTAATTTCCATTTGGATTGTTAATTGCTAAGGCATACAAATACAACTGATTTTTGTGAGTTTCCATTATATCCTGTAATTTTGCTAAATTTGTTTATCAGCTCCAATAGTTTTTTTGTAGATTCTGTAGGAATTTCTCTAATAAAATCATGTCATCTGGGACTAGAGATAGTTTTAATTTTGCTTTCCAATTTATATTTTTTTTTTTTTTGAGACAGAGTCTTACTCTGTCACCCAGGCTGGAGTGCAGTGGCACAATCTTGGCTCTCTGCAATCTCCGCTCCCCGGGTTCAAGCGATTCTCCTTTCTCAGCCTCCCGAGTAGCTGGGATTACAGTTGCCTGCCACCGTGCCCAGCTAATTTTTGTATTTTTAGGAGAGACAGGGTTTCACCATCTTGGCCAGGCTGGTCTTGAACTCCTGACCTCCTGATCCACCCGCCTCGGCCTCCCGAAGTGCTGGGATTTACAGGCGTGAGCCACTACGCCCGGCCTAGATGTTTATTTTTTAAAAAATTATTCTTGCTGGAACTTCTAGTATAATGTTGAGTAGGAGTTGAGAGCAAATATCCTGCTTTTCCTAATCTTAGTGAGAAAATTTTCAGTCTTTCACCATTAAGTATGATGTTATCTGTGTCTTTTTACTTTTAAAGAACTTTATTCAGGCTTAGTTTATGTACGATAAATGCATATATTTATAGTGTACAGTTAAATGAGTTGACAGATGTATGCCATAATCAAGATACAGAACATTTCCAGAACACCCAAAAGTTTCTTGTGTCCCTTTTCAGTATTTGTATGTGTGTGTTTACTCTAGGGATTTTAATTTACATTCTGAATTCTTCACAGTTTTTACATAGATTTAATATTATAAAATGTAAGGACCATGCAACTATTTATTTCCTGCAGGCTTTAAGCTATAATTATTTTTGTTTGTTTGTTTGTTGAGGTAGGATGTCCTTCTGTAGCCCAGGCAGGAGTACAGTGGTTCAGTCACAGCTCACTGTAGCCTCGACCTCCCAGGCCCAAACAATCCTCCCACCTCAGCCTCCCAGGTAGTTGAGACCATAGGCATGCACCACCACACCTGGCTAATTTTTTTAATCTGTGTAGAGACGGGTCTCCCTGTGTTGCCCAGGCTGGTTATAATTGTTATGTATATTACATCTACATACATTATAAACTGCACAATGCAATGTTATAGTTTTTGCCTTATATAAACATATGCCTTTTCCAAGAAATTACGAAGAGAAAAAGTTTTAAATTTTGGTGAGGTCCAGTTTTTTTTTTTTGGATTGTGCTTTTTGTGTGAAGTCTAAGAATTCTTTGCCTAGCCTTAGAACTGGAGATATTCTTCTACTTTTACATTTTTCATTTCAGTGTGATCTATGTTAATGTTTTTATTTATTTTATTTTATTTATTTATTTATTTATTTATTTTGAGATGGAGTTTCGCTCTTGTCGCCCAGGCTAGAATGCGATGGCGCGATCTTGGCTCACTGCAACCTCCGCCTCCCGGGTTCAAGTGATTCTCCTGCCTCAGCCTCCCAAGTAGCTAGAATTACAGGTGCCCGCCACCACCCCCAGCTAATTTTTGTATTTTTAGTAGAGACGTGGTTTCACCATGTTGGCCAAGCTGGTAAACTCCTGACCTCAGGTGATCCACCCGCCTTAGCCTCCCAAAGTGCTGGGATTACAGGCATGAACCACCACGCCCGGCCTATGTTAATGTTTTTTTAAGTTAGAGGCATTCACAAGGTAATATGTTAATCTTGTATATGGTTTTGAGATTTAGATTCAGGGTTTTTTTTTGGGGAGGGAGTTTCCCTGTAGATGTTTAATTGCCATAGCATCATTGAAAACACTGCTTGTCTTCCATTCAATTGCTTTTATATTTCTGTCAAAAATCAGTTTGGCTTATTTGCGTGGGTCTTTTCTTCTGGGTTCTCTATTCTGTTTAATTCATTTATGTTTTTAACTCTCTGTTAATTACATACTCTCTTGACTACTATAGCTATATAGAAAGCCTTAATATTGGGTAGTGTGATTGCTACCCAATATTCTTTATTCTTTTTTTAAGTTTTTTTTTTTAGCTCTTCTGGATTTCTGTTTTTCCATATACATTTTAGAATAATCTAGTCTATGTCCACAGAAAACCTTGCTGGGATTTTGATAGTAATTGTATTAGTCCTATATATGACTTTGGGGAAAATTGACATCTTGACTATGTTGGGCCTTCAAGTTCAGGAACATGATATGTCTCTTCATTTATTTAGATCTTCTTTGATTTCTTTCATCAGCATTTTGTAATTTTCAGCATACAAATCCTAAGGCTCTTTTGTTAAGTTTGTGCCTAAGTATCTGGTTTAATTTTGAAGGATTATAAATAATTGTGCTCTTTTTTTTTTTTTTTTCTGAGGCAGGGTCTCACTCTGTTGCCTAGGCTGGAGTTCAGTGGCGTGATCTCAGCTCACTGCAGCCTCTGCTTCCCAGGCTCGAGCAATCCTCCCACCACAGCCTCCCAAAGTAGCTGGGACTACAGGTGCATGCCACCATGCCCGGCTAATTTTTGTACTTTTAGTGGAGATGAGGTTTTGCCATGTTGCCCAGGCTGATGTTGAATTCCCGGGCTCAAGCGGTCCACCCACCTCAGCCTCCCAAAGTACTAGGATTACAAGTGTGAGCCACTGTGCCTGGCTAATATTGTAGTTTTTAATGTCAGTTTTCACATGTTCCTTGTTAGAGTATAGAAATGTGATCGTGTGTGTTGATGTTGAATTCAAATACCTTGTTGAACTTACTTATTTGTCCTAGGAGGATTTGTTTGTTTTTTTGGTAGAATCCTTGGAAATTTTTTTAAATATAGAAAATCATGGCCGGGCGCGTTGGCTCACGCCTGTAATCCCAGCACTTTGGGAGACTGAGGCAGGCAGATCATGAGGTCAAGAGATTGAGACCATCCTGGCCAACATGGTGAAACCCCGTCTCTACTAAAAATACAAAAATTAGCTGGGCGTGGTGGCACGTGCCTGTAGTCCCAGCTACTCGGGAGACTGAGGCAGGAGAATCCCTTGAACCCAGGAGGCGGAGGTTGCAGTGAGCCGAGATCGTACCACCTCACTCCAGCCTGGCAATAGAGCAAGACTCCGTCTCAAAAAAAAAAAAGAAAAAAAGAAAATCATATAATCTCCTAAAATAGAGACAGTGTGATCTCTCCCTTTCTAATCTGTATGCTTTTTATTTCTTATTTTCCTTTTATTGTGCTGGCTAGAATTTCCAGTACTGTACTGGAATAAGAGTGGTGAGAATGTACTGTCTTGAATAAGAGTGGTGAGAATGAACTTCCTTGCTTTGTTCCGAGTCTTAGGGGGGACAAGTCTTTCACCATTAGTATGATATGAGCTACAGATTTTTTATAGATGCTCTTTATCCAGTTGAGGTAGTTACCCTCTATTACCTGACTCACTGAGAAGTTTTATTATGAATTAATGTTGGCCAGGCGCGGTGGCTAACACCTGTAATCCCAGCACTTTGGGAGGCCGAGACAGGTGGATAACCTGAAATCAGGAGTTCAATAACAGCCTCGCCAACATGGCGAAACCCTGTCTCTACTAAAAAATACAAAAATTAGCCGGGCGTGGTAGTGGGTGCTTGTAATCCCAGCCACTCGGGAGGTTGAGGCAGGGAGAATTGCTTGAACCTGGGAGGTGGAGGTTGCAGTGAGCTGAGATCGTGCCACTGTACTTCAGCCTGGGTGACAGAGCGAGACTCCTTCTCAAAAAAAAAAAAAAAGGAATGTTGCCTTTTTCAGATGTTTCTTCTGTGTTAATGATATGATTATATGGTTTTGTTTTTTTTTACTTGTTGATATATAGTGGATGACATGGATTTCAAATATCGAAACAGCCTTCATGTCCTTGGAATAAACTCATTTGGTCATGGCATATGATTCTTTGCATACATTGTTTGATTCACTTTACTAATACTTTGTTGAAGATTTTTGAACCTTAAGTTCATGACAGATACTGATTTGTAGTTCAGTTTTATGTCTTTGTTAATTTTCTATTATTAATTGCTGAGAGTGAGGTGTTGAAGTTTCTAAGTATAATTGTAGATATATGTATTTCTCCTTTTAACGCAGTAATTTGTTTTTTTTTGTTTGTTTGTTTGTTTTTGAGACAGAGTCTCGCTCTGTCACCTAGGCTGGAGTTCAGTGGCACAATCTTGGCTCACTGCAACCTCCGCCTCCTGGGTTCAAGCAATTGTCTCAGCCTCCTGAGTAGCTGGGATTACAGGCGTGCACCACCATGCCCAGCTAATTTTTGTATTTTTAGTAGAGACGAGTTTCTGCCATGTTGGCCAGGCTGGTCTCGAACTCCTGACCTCAGGTGATCCACCCGCCTCAGCCTCCCAAAGTGCTGGGATTATAGATGTGAGCCACCGCGCCCAGCCTACACAGTCATTTTTTTTTACTTCTGTTTTGAAGCTCTTATTTGGTGCATCCACGTTTAGGATGGCTATGTCTTTTTAGTGGATTGATCTTTTTATCATTATATTATATCCCTCTTCATTTCTTGTAATTTTCTTTCCTGTGAAGTCAACTTTATCTGATATTATGTACTCCCTGCTGCTTTTTATTGCTTAATGTCAACATGATATATTTTTCCATCCTTTTACTTTCAGCCTATCCTATGTTTCAAGTGAGTTTCTTGTAGAAAGTGTATAGTTAATGTTTATCCATGTTTTTTATCCCTTCTGTCAATGTCTCTTAATTGGCATATTTAGACTGTTTTGCATTCAAAGTAATTTTTGATATGCTAGGATTTAAGTCTATCATGTTAGTATTTGCATTTTGTTTCTTCTCTATGTTTCTCCTTCTTATGCTTCTCTTTTCTTACCCACCTGTGGGTTATTTGAAATTTTTTAGGATTCCTTCTTGGTTTTCTTTTGCTTGGTCATGAACTTCTTGTTTTATTTATACTGTTTTGAGTATATTATACTGTACAGTTTTCTTAGTGGTTGCTCTAAGGTATCCATACACACACACACACACACACACACACACACACACACACACACACACACACACACACATATGAACTTATACCCTACAGATACCGACATTTTACCACCTCTAGTAAAATATTGAAATCTGAGTTCCATTTAGATCTGTTTACCACTCCCACTTTTTTCTGAGCCGGAGTCTCACTCTCTCGCCCAGGCTGGAGTGCAATGGTGCGATCTCAGCTCACTGCAACCTCCGCCTCCCAGGTTCAAGCGATTCTCCTGCCTCAGCCTCCCAAGTAGCTGGGATTACAGCTGCCTACCACCGCACCTGGCTAATTTTTGTATTATTAGTAGAGACGAGGTTTCACCATGTTGGCCAGGCTGGTTTCAAACTCCTGACCTCAAGTGATCTTCCCTGCCTCGGCCTCCCAAAGTGCTGGGATTACAGACGTGAGCCACTAGGCCCGACCTTTTTTTTTTTTTTTTTTTTATGTGACAGGGTCTTGCTTTGTCACCCAGGCTGGAGTGCAGTGGCTCAGTCATGGTCTACTGTAGCCTCAACCTCCTGAGCTCAAGCAATCCTCCTACCTCAGCCTCACAAGTAGCTGGGACTCTAGGCATGTACTACCATGCCCAGCCTTTTGTTGTTTTTGTTTTCTTGTAGAGATGGAGTCTTGCTATATTGCCCAGGCTGGTCTCAAACTCCTGGCGTCAAGCAGTCCTCCTGCATCAACCTCCCAAAGTGTTGGGATTATAGGCATTAGCCACCATCAGCTCCCATCATCTTTGAACTTATCTGTACACAAGAAGATGTTCCAGACCTATCCTATTCTTCCTTGCCCCAGCTTTATAATCAGTCATCTCCAGTGAGCTCTGGTTGAGAGGGTTTGTTTTCATGGAGAAATAATCTCATTTATAGGAAGAATGATTTAGGAATGAGGGAAAATTTCTTGAAATAGGAAAAAAATTACCGTAGTGATGTCCTTGAGAAGATGAGAGGAGATGACATTTAGTTTCTACATAGAGGGGTTGGCCTTAGCATAGGAGTACAGTTGTCCATAATAATAAGCGTGAAGGTAGAGATTATGGCCATAAATGCTATTTAGGTGGGTGGATGTTATGGAAATTATCTTTTTGTTGCCTTTTTTATTTTCTCAGTGAAATGGAAGCAATGTCATCAGCTGAGAATGAAGTTAGGGGAGGGAGTGTGTATTAGAAGTTTAATGATGGAAGCAAAAGTATTAAATAGTTACATAGAAGAATGGTAGTAGAATGAATGAACAAGGGAAATGTAGTGAGATTGCCAGGCAGCATTAAGGATCCTCTTGAAGTTAATTAAAGAGTTAATCTCTTTGTTGAGTTTGGTGCTTCTTTTTTTTCTAAGTTTTAGTGTTTCTCAAGGATTTGGTGATTCTTGGTTTTTTATTCAGTCATATTTAAGGGTCCTGTTCACCTGTCTGATTTGTTTACTTACAGTAGCCTGCCTTGCTGCCAGTTACTGTAGAGGAGAGACAAGTTGTGTTGGGAGCACGTTTTCTTAGTAGTTTGTTACCTGTAGATTTGTTCTTCCTCTCAGGCTCTACCTTGAGTTTTTGGGCAAATTTCCTTGCTGCTCACTATTTAGCATAATGAGGGGTTAGGAGAGGATAGGATTGCCTAGCCTAGCTGCTGTTAATTCACCATATCATTTAATCTCCCAGATGAATTCCCCAAAGCCAGGCAATCTTCTGGTATCCATTGAGTAGTTTTAGAGCTTCCCCAAATCACTCCTAACTTTGCAATAGTTTTCTCCTATATGTGCGTTTGAAGCTTTGGTTTCCATATATTTTGTTCCCCATGGATGTGATCTATTGGTTTCTGTTCTTTTGGAAGGTTCTTTACCATTTATGGTCTGTGGATGGCATTCTTTTTAGTTTTTCTGGGATGTTATGACTTTATTCTAGTTTTTGTTTTTTGCTTTAAGATGGGAGTCTCGCTCTGTTGCCCAGGCTGGAGTGCAGTGGCACAATCTTGGCTCACTGCAACCTCCGCCTTCCGGGTTCAAGCAATTCCTGGCTAATTTTTGTATTTTTAGTAGAGACAGGGTTTCATCATGTTGGCCAGGCTGGTCTCAAACTGCTGACCTGTAGTGATCTACCCGCCTCGGCCTCCCAAAGTGCTAGGATTACAGGCGTGAGCCACCGTACCCGGCCAATTCTAGGTTTTTAAAGTAATAATTTCTGTTGCTTTCTAGAGTATTAGGTAGTTGGTAAGACAGATGTATACGTTCGTTGTTACCATATTGATTCAGTCACAGAATTTCTCTTATCTACATGAATAATGTGGATTGACATTAAAAGGGAAAATAACTTAGTGATTTTGTTGTTGCAAATATCTAGCGTTGACAACTAGAAGCAGGGGTTTCATTCAGGTTTTTGTTGATATTGTTTTCATAAGTACTGACTGGATTGGCCAGATTTCAGACTTTGAATGCATGAGGAGTCATTGAAAGGTTATGTATTACTTGTTTTCATGGCTAAATCTACATATTAGCATAGCTGAGTTGTGTATTTGTAAGATTACTCTAGAAATTGTGGTTCTATTTTCTATTTTACTACTATTCATAGCTTAGCCAATGGAATCATTTGCTTTGTTAATTCCAGTTTCTTAATCAGTGAAGGTAATATCTTTATACTTCAGTCTTTATCTTAATTCTAGCCATGGTATGTTTTAGACCCATATAGTTACTGTGGTTATCAGTGGTTTTAAGAAATTGGCTTTGTTTCTGGTGACATTTCTATTCTTTTAGTGCTTACAAAACAGTACAGAAACTATATGAAGAATGGACTCTGTTGATGTGTATAACACTGACATTAATTGGCAAAAGATTCTCTACGTTCAGTTTGTTCAGAAATATCCATGGGCCTACTGTGAGTGAATATTATTAAAACACTCCACACCTGTATTCTGGTAATGACCATTTTATTATGTAACCAGTTTCTGAGACTAGCTGGCTGCCTTCCTTACTTCCTTCCTCCCTCCCTTCTTCCCACCCTCTTTTTTCATCCTTTTTTTTTTCTTTTGAGATACGGTTTCACTCTGTCACCTAGTGCAGTGGCACTATCATAGCTTATTGCAGCCTCGAACTCCTGGGCTTAAGTGATCCTGCTGCCTCAGCCTCCCAGGTAGCTGAGTCTGAGGCATTCTAATGGAGTGAAACTTATAGTTAGGGAGTTGACATTTTTTGAGGACCTGCTATGTATCAAGCAGTGTCATTTCGTTTAATCTTCACTGTAGCTTCCTCTATAAAGTAGTTAATTCCATTACATGGAAATATTTGTGTAAAAATCGAGAAAGTTATAACTGATTTCTCTAGAGAGATATTCTAGTTTCCAGGGAATCAGACTATTTCTGTAAAAATGCTATTTAGCACAGTATTGTATTTATGTGAAATTGCTTTATTCTAATTGAAGGGAAATCAGTTTAAACAGTGGGTGTGTTTGCTGAACATTGTCAAAAAGTGTTCCCAAAAGGCATGTATTGCTTTGTATCTATTCATATTGTTGAAACTGGTAATAATAAGGACATTAGTCATTTGGATTGATTTCCAGTGACATTATTCAGCCCTCTCCCTTTTGTAATGTAAATCAGTTAGAATACTGAAGATGTTGAAGTGGGGAGAACCTTTCAGATTGATCTCATTTTTCCAGGAAGGAGCCAGCTTCGTAAATAGCAGCACAGTTGAACTCTTCAATTTGGGAGGTTGGTTGAATGAGCTAAAAGACTGATTATTTGCGGATTACCATGATAAGGTATTTAAGAAAAAGGCAAACTGTTGTTTTGGGAGGATAGCAATTATGAAAGCTTTTTAAAATAATTTTATCATATTATACATGTTATATTCTTGATTTATATGTGTACATTCAATTTTGAAACTACAATTCTAACAATTTGGACTCAATATTAACTATTGGTTTTAGTATAGATCACCAGTTTTTATACCACATATTCTCTATTCTTGATTTTTAAATTTTGCTAAGTACCTGTGTAGTTTGAAGAATGGCTTTGTGTAATTTTTCAAAGTTACTTGGGTTTGAAATTTCTGATTCTTTGGATATCCGAAACTGACGTTTCATTTACATTCACACATGAACAAAAACTTGTTAGGCATTAAAAAAAAATCAGTTTACAGTCTTTTTTTCCCATCTACATATTTTGTTCTTTTGTCTTCTTCTAGCTAATGCTTCAGAAGAGAAGCCTAGGCCTGTCTGATTTTTTTTGTTCCCTTTTCCTCCTAAGTGCTTATAGGTGGTATTCTTTATCTTTATAAGTAAAAAGTTTGGTATATATATTTTTTTAATTTTCAGAATTCTTTGGGTATGGCATACATCTTTTATATGTCTTGGTATGGATCTTTTATTTCCTCACATAAAAATAGCTTTTTAGGCTGGGCGCAGTGGCTCACGCCTGTAATCCCAGCACTTTGGGAGGCCAAGGCGGGCAGATCACCTGAGGTCAGGAGTTCAAGACCAGCCTGGCCAACATGGTGAAACTGTGTCTCTACTAAAAATACAAAAAAATTAGCCAGGCGTGCAGCCATAAAAAAGAATGAGTTCATATCCTTTGCAGGGACATGGATGAAACTGGAAGCTATTATTCTCAGCAAACTAACACAGGAACAGAACACCAAACACCGCATGTTCTCACTCATAAGTGGGAGCTGAACAATGAGAACACATGGACACAGGGAGGGGAACATCACACACCGGGCCTGTTGAGGGGTCGGGGGAAAGGGGAGGGAGAGCATTAGGACAAATACCTAATGCATGCGGAGCTTAAAACCTAGATGACGGGTTGATAGGTGCAGCAAAGCACCATGGTACATGTATACCTACGTAACAAACCTGCACGTTCTGTACATGTATCCCAGAACTTAAAATTAAAAAAAAAAAATTAGCCAGGTGTGGTGGCAGGTGCCTGTAATCCCAGCTACTTGGGAGGGTGAGGCAGGAGAATCGCTTGAACCCAGTGGTGGAAGTTGCATTGAACCAAGACCACGCCATTGCACTCCAGCCTGGGCAACAAGAAAGAAACTCTGTCTCAAAGAAAAAAAAAAAAAAAAAAGAGGCCGGGCGCTGTGGCTCACGCCTGTAATCTCAGTACTTTGGGAGGCCGAGGTGGGCCTGAGGTCGGGAGTTCAAGACCAGCCTGACCAACGTGGAGAAACCCCATCTCTACTAAAAATACAAAATTAGCTGGGCGTGGTGGTGCATGCCTGTAGTCCTACCTACACAGGAGGCTGAGGCAGGATAATCGCTTGAACCTGGGAGGCGGAGGTTGCAGGGAGCCGGGATCACGCTGTTGCACTCGAGCCTGGGCAAGAAGAGCAAAACTCCATCTCACACAGACACAAAAAAGGAGCTTTTTAAAAATAACTTTTCTTCTCATAAATACTTTTTAAAGTACAGAAATGTATAAAGAAAGTTAAAGTTACCTATGATCCTACCTCTCAAAAACAAAACTTTTGTAGTTTTTCTAGACATTTTCCATGCTATGTGTGTATGAAAAATGTGTGGTATTTTATCAGAATTGAATCATACCAGCTGTTCTTCAAATTTTTTTTTACAAAGGTATATACATTCATTAAGGTATCCTAAATGTACAGTTTGATGAGTGTTCATATATATATATCTTCATGAAATGCAAATGAAGATATAGAACACTTCCAGCCCCCTAGAAAGTTCACCGAGATTCATCTACATTGTTGCATGTATCAATAGTTTGTTTCATTGCTGGTAGTTGTTCTGTTGTAGAATATATCATGATTCAGTTATCCATTCTCCTATCCATGTACATTAGGATTGGTTCTAGTTTTTGGCTCTTATGGATAAAGCTGCTGTGAGCTTTCCTGTATATTTTTTGGTGAATATATGCACTCATTTCTCTTGTGTATATACTTAGGAATGGGATTGTTAGGTCACAGAATAAGGGTAGTTTTAGCCATACCTTATATTGCCAGACAGTTTTCCAAAGCTATTGTACTGAAATACGTTCCCGCTGGCAATGTATGAGACTTCCATTTACTCTGCATCCTTATCTGTTGTCAGTTGTTTAAATTTTAGCTGTTTTGATGAGTTTGATGTGGTTATATATTGTGGTTTTTAACTTGCATTTTCCTGATAAATAATGATGTTGAGTGTTTTTTCATATAATTATTAGAGATTCAAATACCTTCTTTGGTGAAGTGCCTATTCAAATCTTTTAATTTTTGTATTTAGTCTGTTTTAATTTTGAGCGATTCTTCAACCTTTTTCTGTCTTTCTTGACAGTATTGCAATGCAGAGGCCAGTTGTTTTTTTTTATAGAATGTCTCTCAGTTTGGGTTTGTTTGAAGTTTCCTCATGATTATATTCAGATAATGCATTCTTGGCAGGAATACTGTGTGAGTGATGTTGTCTTCTTATCAGTGCATCATAATAGAAGTAATGCCAGTTTGTCCCAATATTGGTGAAGTTAACTTTTATTACTTGGTTCAAGTGGGGCCTGCCAAGCTTCTCTACTGTAAAGTTATCGTTTCTTCCCTTATAGTTTATGAGTTATTTGTGGGGAGATATTTTGAAGCTATGTAAATATCCCTTTCACTTACTAGTTTTAGCATCCATTTATGATTTTCTAGCTCCATCATTCCTCTTTATTAGTTGGCCATTCTCCCTCATTTATTTATTTATTTATGTTAGTATGAACTCATGGGGACCTTATTTTATTTACTAGGTTATAGTATAATACTATCATTATTTATTTAGATGGTTAAAATGCCCTAGATTTGGGGGACCATTCATGGTAGCATTTGTGTCCTTTTGACATTTTCCCATCATTCTTTGAACACTTCCTTATTTTCTGGCCACAGCAAGACAGATATTCCAGGCTCATTTTGTCTTTTCCCTGCCCCTACCCTGGAATCCAGCTATTTCTCCATGGAGTTCTGATTCCTTTAATTTATTGATTTATTTGCATTTTTAAAAATTTTTTTGAGGCAGGGTCTTGCTCTGTCACTCAAGGTGGAGTGCCAGTGGCAAGATCATGGCTCACTGCAGCCTCAACCTGGCTCCTGGGCTCAAATAATCCTCCCATCTCAGCCTCCCAAATAGCTGGGACTATATGCATGTGCCACCACGGCCAGTTAATTTTTTTAGTTTTTATTTTTTGTAGAGGCGAGGTATTGCTCAGTTGCCCAGGCTGGTCATCAACTCCTGGGCTCAAGCGATCCCCTCGCCTCAGCCTCCCCCTTATTCCTTTTAGTGGGTAATGTAATTTAGAAAAAAAGCCTGAGTATTGGGTGTGTTTGCTGCTACTGGGGAGTTATTGCTTCTAGAGTTCTCAGCAGACAGGCTAGGAAGTGTGTGTGTGTGTGTGTGTGTGTGTGTGTGTGTGTGTGTGTGTGTGCACGCATTCAGATATCTTAGGTGACTTTGCTTTTGACTTTGTGTTCTAGGAGAGAATTTATATATTTTTTGCCATGTATCTCCAGTGTACATGCAAGATCTCCACTTGGTTGTATAATGACGTTTCAAATTAAGTATATCCAAAATCGAACACTTACATTTGCACTTTCCACCACCCCAAGCCTGCTCTTTTCACTGTCATCCCCATCTCAACAAATAGCAACTCTGTCTTTCCTTACTCAAGCCATATGGCTATGGTTTTTTTGTTGTTGTTGTTGCTCTTTTTTTGAGAGAGTCTCGCTCTGTTACCCAAGCTGGAGTGCAGTGGTGCTGTCTTGGCTCACTGCAACCTCCGCCTCCCGGGTTCAAGTGATTCTCTTGCCTCAGCCTCCCAAGTAGCTGGGATTACAGGCACTTACAGGCACACACCACCATGCCCGCCTAATTTTTGTATTTTTAGTAGAGATGGGGTTTCACCATGTTGGCCAGGCTGGTCTCGAACTCCTGACTTCAAGTGATCCCCCCACCTCGGCCTCCCAAAGTGCTGGGATTATAGGTGTGAGCCACCACACTCAGTTAGCTATGGTCATCTTTTATTCTTTGCTTTCTCTCATATTCCACTTCAAACTATCAGCATGTCTTTTGACTCTTTTTACAAATTTTTGTGGGTAAATAGCAGGTGCATATATTTATGGGGGACATGAGATATTTTAGGCCTGGGGATGGTGGCTCTCCCCTGTAATCCCAGCACTTTGGGAGGCCAAGGCAGGAGGATCACTTGAGCCGAGAAGTTTGACACCAGCCAAGGCAACATGGCGAAATCCTGTCTCTACCAAAAAGAAAAAATTCTTTTTTATGGCTTCATAGTTTCCTATGGTGTATACATGCCACATTTTCTTTATCCAGTCTATCATTGATGAGCATTTGGGTTGGTTCCAAGTCTTTGCTATTGTAAATAGTGCTGCAGTAAACATACGTGTGCATGTGTCTTCATAGTAGAATGATTTATAATCCTTTTGGTAGATACCCACATGTATGAAGCTGGAAACCATCATCCTCAACAAACTAACACGGGAACAGAAAGCCAAACACTGCATGTTCTCACTCATAAGTGGGAGTTGAACAATGAGAACACATGGACACAGGGAGGGGAACATCACACACCGGGACCTGTCGGGGGATGTGGGGAAAGGGGAGGGAGAGCATTAGGACAAATACCTAATGCATGCGGAGCTTAAAACCTAGATGACAGGTTGATAGGTGCAGCAAACCACCATGGCACATGTATACCTATGTAACAAACCTGCACGTTCAGCACATGTATCCCAGAACATAAAGTAAATAAAATTATATATATATATATAAATAAATTAAAAGTTAGCTGGGCATGGTGGCCCATGCCTGTAGTCTCAGCGACTCAGGAGGCTGAAGTGGGAGTATTGCTTGAGCCTGAGAGATCAAGGCTGCAGTGAGTCTTAATCACATTATTGCACTTCAGCCTGGCTGACAGAGCAAGACCTTGTCTCAAAAGAATAAAAAGAGATATTTTGATACAGGCATACAATGCATAATAATCACATCAGGGTAAATGGGGTATCTATCACCTCAAGCATTTATCCTTTGTGTTACAATCTAATTATACTCTTAATTATTTTTAATGTACAATTAAATTATCAACTATAGTTGACTTGTGCTATTAAATACTAGATCTTATTCAGTTTTTCTGATTAATTTTTGTACCCATTAACCTTCCCCACTCCCCTCCTGACTCTCCCCACTACCCTTCCCAGCCTCTGGTAACCATCCTTCTACTTTCTATCTCTATGAGTTCAATTGTTATAATTTTTAGCTCCCACACATAAGTGAGAACATGCCAAGTTCATCTTTCTGTGCCTGGCTTATTGTTCACTTCATATAATGACCTCCAGTTCCATCTATGACAATATCTCATTCTTGTTTATTGCTGCATAGTGCTCTGTTGTGTATATTTGATTTGACTCTTACTTTAACATATATCTGCATCCTGACTTCTCAACACCTTCACCATTGTCGTGCTGGTCTAATTCAGCTCTTTTTTTTTTTCGCTGTCTTGTCCAGGCTGGAGTGCAGTGGCACGATCTCGGCTCGCTGCAGCCTCTGCCTCCCAGGTAGCTGGGAGTACAGGCACCCGCCACCACATCTGGCTACTTTTTGTATTTTTGGTAGAGACCAGGTTTCACCATGTTGGCCAGGCAGGTCTCGAACTCCTCACCTCAAGTGATCTGCCTGCCTTGGCCTTCCAAAGTGTTGGGATTACTGGCGTGAGCCACTGTGCCCAGCCTCATCTCTTGAATAATTGTAGTAGTCTCCTAATTGTTCTTGCTTTTGCTTTTGTTCTTTTGTAGCCTTTTTCTTATTGTAGGAAGCAGTGATAGTTTTAAAATGCAGGTCACAACATGTCTCAGAGACCCACAACCTCTCGTTGCTCATCTCTTTGATAGTAAAAGCCACAATAATGTACTAATGGCCTGCAAAGTCCTACAGGATCTGGACTCCCCTGCACAACTCTCTGACCTCATGTAGATTTTCTTTGACTTCCGTTTTCCTCTTTTTTTTCAGACGGAGTCTCGCTCTGTCACCCAGGCTGGAGTGCAGTTGCGCAATCTCGGCTCACTGCAACCTCTGCCTCCCAGGTTCAAGCGATTCTCCTGCCTCAGCCTCCCAAGTAGCTGGAATTACAGGCACATGCCACCACGCCCGGCTAATTTTTGTACTTTCACTAGAGACGGGGTTTTACCATATTGGCTAGGCTAGTCTTGAACTCCTCACCTCAAATGATTCGCCTGCCTCAGCCTCCCAAAGTGTTGGCATTACAGGCATGAGCCACCCACACCCCGCCCCATTTTCCTCTTGAATGATGATTAAACCCTTTCATAGGCCTATAGCTTGAGGACAAGGAGATGCACACTTTCTGTGTATTAGTAAGCATTGATTTATTCTGGTTCTTCTGTACTGAAGTGTGGTTTACTTTTTTTACTCCCATAATGAATTATCCAATGTTCTGAAATAATCAAATACTTTAAAGACTATGATCTCCAACATGCAGGGCTGCCAAAATGTGTCTGCATCCTTGCTCATTTGGCTTTACTTATAAGATCTCTACCTTCCAGACTGCGAAATGGCTCAGTCTGTCCTCTCCTTTTCTTCTCCAGTATGCATTCTCATTCTTGCCATTAAAAAAAAAAAAAATGTTAGTTGCTCTTTCCAAATATCTGTAGAAAGCTTTGCAGGGCTGAGGCAAGACTGTGCCTGATCAGTTTGTTAGTTCTTACAGACCTTTGATCACTTAACGGGGCAGTATTAGAATAAAAGTTTGGAATTTAAGTCTGCTTTCATGAAGTTAGGCTCCCCTCAATTCAGTTCTATCTGCCTTACAGTTAATGGAACTTCTTCCTAGTTCCTATCACTCTTTCATCTCTCATAGTTCCTATCACTCTTTTATGTGTCAGTCTTTGTAGTGCTGGTATGTTTTCATCATTTTGGCCTATGTAATAGGCTGGATGTCATTATGTGAGTTTTATCCCAGGAACCGTGCTTTTGGATCAGTTTTTTAACTTAGGGTAAATTTCATCGTTCAGGCCTGGCACGGTGGCTCGTACCTGTAATCCCAGCACTCTGGAAGGTCAAGGCAGGAGGATTGCTTGGGCCCAGGAGTTCGAGACCAACCTGGGCAACACACTGACACCCCCATGTCTACCAATTTTTTTTTTTTGAGACAGTCTCACTCTGTCACCCAGGCTGGAGTGCAGTGGCACAATCATGGCTCACTGCAACCTCCACCTCCCGGGTTCAAACAATTCCCGTGCCTCAGCCTCCCAAGTAACTGGGATTACAGTCATGTGCCACCACATCTGGCTAATTTTTGTATTTTTAGTACAGACAGGGCTTCACCCTGTTGGCCAGGCTGGTCTCCAACTCCTGACCTCAGGTGATCCGCCTGCCTCAGCCTCCCAAAGTGCTGGATTATAGGCATGAGCCACCACACCTGGCCCAAATTTTTTTTAAAAAAATTAGCCAGGTGTGGTGGCACATGCCTGTAGTCTCAGCTGCTCAGGAGGCTGAACTGGGAGAATCACTTTGAGCCTGGGAGGTTGGGGCTGTACTCCAGTCTGGGCAACAGAGTGAGACCCTGTCTCAAAAAAAAAATGTTTAGAATCTTGCCTTCACCAACAATTGGCCTTATACAAGACAACGTCTTTATAGATGAAGAATTCTATATAAATATAAAAATATGGAAGTGGGCATCATGCACAGTGATAATTTTATTTAATTAAATAAGCAAAAATTCCACTGTTAACCAGGTATATACAGCATACATATAGGCTTGAGCCAATTTGTGTCATTGGTCAGACCTGGATTTCAACTCTGGCTCTTTGAACTCACTGTGTGACTTGAGGAAAGTTATTTAATCTCGCCCAGCTTTGGTTCTTTTTAGTGTGAAATGGTTTTAAATGGTTGTAAAAGTTTTAAAATGCCTATCTTGCATTTGCAACCTACTTTGAAATATATGGGATAATGTACATATAGTAAAATCCTGTAGACTATGGGTGGTGTTAGATATATAGGTTTTCACAGAACAATTCCACTTTTCTATGTGTTGGAAAATTTTTATAATGTTAGAAAAAATGCCTGTATTGCAGGCTTATTAGGATTAGGTGATATAAAATATGAGAAGTGTCTGGCATGTAATAGGTACTCAACAAATAGTGGTTGTTAAAAGTACTTCAGGGGAGAGATATGCTTTGTAACATCAATAACATAATAAAGCAATTTATGAAATGTTTAAAAGTACATCCCAGTTTTACTGGTCTCCTTCACTCCATAATAACTGAATAAGAATCTCTGGGATGTTGTACATGGGCTTAGCTTTTTATCTCTTTTGTCCTCCCATCTCCCCTTCTGGGGCTGAGAACCACTAATGGGAGGAGGAGAGGAGTGGTGGAGCAAGTAAAGGAGAAAGATCCTCCTCAACACCTTCCCGAGGTTTGGCATTACATAAGACCTCAGAACCAGTTAGGGGAGCCTCAAGAATATAACCAAGATTGATTCCCTGCTCCTGCCCCAGCAGAAGTAGCTGTATCTACTTTTCTTTTCTTTTTTTTTTTTTTTTTTGAGACAGTTTCACTCTTGTCACCCAGGCTAGAGTGCAATGGCTCAATCTCAGCTCACTGGAACCTCCACCTCCCAGGTTCAAGCAGTTCTCTTGCCTCAGCCTCCTGAGTAGCTGGGACTACAGGTGCATGCCACCACACCCAGCTAATTTTTGTATTTTTAGTAGAGATGGGATTTCTCCATATTGGTCAGGCTGGTCTCAAACTTCTGACCTCAGCCTCCCAAAGTGCAGCCTCCCAATGTGAGCCACTGCGCCCAGCCCACTCTTTATTATATATGTTTAATGTTTGACTCCAGGGACTCCATCAGATTCATTTTGTATCCTCACTGCCTCTTAGCACAGTGCCTGCTACACACTAGGTTTCCAATAAATGTGTGAAGGTAGAAATAAGAAAGGAAAGGGTGACATAGGAAGAAAAACTGTGCCATAAAAATGTTCATGATCTGATATTGCCAATCCTGGAAATAAATCTGAAGAAAATAATAAAAAGGAAGCAAAAAGCACATACTACAACGCTTGTTTCATAGTGAATGTTAGCTATCTCTGTATTTTTGCTGTATTTTTATTTATATGTAATAAAATTGGCAGTAAGTTAGTTATCCAGGAATAGGGGAGGAGTTAGATAAATATGAATACTTATTGTCCTATCATGTGCCCATTAAAAACTGAAGTAATGCAGGCCAATAAAGGTAAGGAAAAATACTTAATACATTTTAAAAAGCAGAAAAAACTGTATAATTACAACCATTTATACACATGACAAAAGCCTATAGTATTGAAACAAATATTATAATCACAGCCATGTTAGGAAAACAGCATTCTAGGTGATTTTTCCCATTTTCCTACATTTTATAATGTTATATACATTTAATAATTAAACATTTTTATAGGATAGCAAATACCAAATGTAGAGGAAAATGGATACTTTCACAAACCTCTGGTAGGACTGTAAACTGGTTAGACCTTTCTGAAGGGCAATTTGGCAATATATATCAAGCCTTAAAAATGTCTAGCAATTCCATTTTTAGAAAGGCTTCCTAAGGAAATAATTAAGAATGCATACAAAGATTTGGCTACAAGAATGTTCCTCACAATATGAAATATAGTTGCAAATAGCAAAAAAATTAGATGTTTGTCTCCCTTACTTGCACCATTAAATAAATAATGGTATGTTTACACTAAAGGATATTATGTAGCCCTTAACATGTTCTTAAACACTTAAGATGTTTTCAGTAAAAAGAAGATTATAAAAGAGTACATACATTATGATTACATTAAAAACGTGTGTGTGTGTGTGTGTTTGTGTACAGAAAATGGTCTCAAAGAATATACACCAAGGTGTTAAACAAGCTTATCTATATTCATCTTGCTTTGGTAATAAGAAAAAAATAAATTCAACTTTGTACAAACAGACTTACCAAGCCTCAAATCTGATAATCTTAGGGTAGGTCATCATTATATCAATATGCAACACTATAGTACAATCGTCCTTTGGTATCTGTAGGGGATTGGTTCCAGGACTTTTCTTGGATACCAAAATCCAAGGATGCTAAGCCCTACAGTTGGCCCTGTGGAATCACACACATGAAGTCAGCCCTCCATATCCAAGGGTTCTGAATCCTGAAAATACTGTCCTGTCTTGTCTTGTCTTTTTCTTTTTCTTTTTTTTAAGACAGGGTCCCAGGTTGGACTGCAGTGGTGTAATCATAGGTCACTGTAACTTCAAACTCCTGGGCTCAAGCATTCCTCTTGCCTTGGCTTCCCAAAGTGCTGGGATTACAGGTGTGAGCCACCATGCCCAGGCAGAATATTACATTTTCAATCCAAGATTGGATGAACCCATGCATGTGGAATCCACAGATAAAAGGGCTGGCTGCAGTTTTAAACAAAAGTGAAAATGGGCCAGGCGTGGTGGCTCACGGCTGTAATCCTAGCACTTTGGGAGGCCAAGGCAGGTGGATCACTTGAAGTCAGGAGTTCGAGACCAGCCTGGCCAACATGGTGAAACCCCATCTCTACTAAAAATACAAAAAAAAAAAAAATAGCCGGGTGTGGTGGTACGCGCCTGTAGTGCCAGCTACTCGGGGGCTCAGACAGGAGAATCACTTGAACCTAGGAGGTGGAGGTTGCAGTGAGCCAAGATCACGCCACTGCACTCCAGCCTGGGTGACAGAGCGAGACTCCATCTCAAAACAAAAAACAAACAAATGAAAGTAAAAATGAAACATTTCATTAAATTTGAAAGACATCTGCAAAAATGGCCCAGCACCTATTTGTAAATATTAATTTTGAAACCTTTAGAAATATTATGACAGAGCTTAACTTGTACCTATCAGATATGAAGGCAGATAAACCAAACATTAGCCATGATTCTGAGCACCAGCACAAAGTAGCATTAATAACCCCATTAATAATTGCAAGTGATTATAAAATATATTTCCATATTATTGTATAGTAGCTATGTTTTGTTTCTCTTTGATTAGTACATACACTTGTCTCTGGATTTATGCATTAGGATGCCAGTTGCTGTTCCAACTTACGGGGACTGTACAAACATTAGTTAAATTAGATACATTTTGTTGAATCTTAAGTGTACAAAAACACTATTTGCCGAAATATTTGCTCTCAATGTTTAAACAGTAATTATGTTAAAGAGCTAATTAACTAATCTATAATTAGAAGCTAGTCTAATTTATGCAGGAAAAAATTTCTCAGTATGGGTTGATTAGAATGATGAAATAGTTTGAAATAGTTTAGGGAAGTGGAGGAATATAAGTAGAGTCACAATATGCAGAAGAGCCTAATTTATACAGAGGAGCTACAGTTTAGCGTGGCTTCAAACAGAGAGATAAGGCTAGATAATCAGGTATAGGCCAGTTCATTGAGAACATTATTTGCCATCTGAAGGACCTTAATCTTATAGAAGATGAGGCACCATCATATAGGGTTTAAACTGGGTAAGGAAATTATCAGTTTTGTTAGATTTGCATTCTAAGATCACTCTGCTATCACTAGTGGCAGTGCATAGAGGATGGATTAGGTAAATGTAAAATTATTTTCCAGTAGAATTGGTATTTGCCCTATTAAGAGCTTAAACACTTTTCTCCTGGAAGCCAATGTTGCAGCTGCTGAGTACTAATTCCTTGAAGGGATAGTTGAAATAGTCTAGAGAAAAGAGATGAGAGACAGACAGACAGACTACACAATAAGTTAATGCTTGAGTCATTGATTTATCTTCTTGTAGAATGGTAGTACCTCTTCTTTTAAGTAGTAGTCTTACAACTAGGACTGGAAGCTCGATAGTAGTGTCTTCCATTGAAAAATAACTCAAAACAAAAGTACATATAACAGTAATAACTTTTTCAAATGAAAAATCTTCATGTATAAGATGTACTTGTTGTATTGTTAAATTTTATTTATCTTTGGTAATAATGTTAATAATAGGATTGATACAGACATTCAATAACATAGATATTCTACCAGGTTTGCAAGGTAACCAAAACTATCGTGTTTTCTGAATAGTAACAAATTGTATATTTAGCTTGAATTTTACTGTTATCATAGCAAGTTTTATGTCTGTACTGTTTACAGCCTGTATCCCAACCAGTTGGAGCTGAACAACAAGCAGCTCTTCTAAAACCAGATTTAGTTCGAAGGTAAGTATCTTCAAATTAATACCATGAGAACAATGAGGATATGCTGAAGTTTGTTTACTCATTAGGTGCTTAGTGCATCCTGACTAGAGAAGCTTCTGTATTCTTGTACTTGTGTGGATGTTTAATAAAGACGATAGTTTTTTTTTTTTTTTTTGCTTTTTTATGTCAGTAGGGATCATATGGATTGTGAAATTAATTGATCATTTTCTTATTGTGTTTATTTATACCATTCTGTTCTAGGAAAAGCTGGTAAGGGTTAAGGAAGGAAGAAACAATAGAGTTTAGAGTAGAATTCTAGCTAATCTAAAGAAATAAATTACAACTAGATATTTAATTGTATTATTATTTAGTACTTGAAAACTAGTATTTTTCTGTATAAAAATATAGATTGGATAGTCTTTATTGTTCTTTCTTCAAGTTCATTGATTGTTTCCTTTGTCCTGTTCATTCTACTATTATGCCTATTCAGTGAGGTGTTTTTTTTTTTCTGTGATTGTTTATTTCTATACTTTCTATGTGGTTCTTCTTAAAATCTTCTATTTCTTTTATAAGATTTTGGTTTTTTTTCATTTGCCTCAAGATTATTTGTGATTGCTCATTGAAGCATTTTGATGATAGCTGCTCTAAAATTATTGTTAGAGGCCGGGTGCAGTGGCTCACACCTGTAATCCTAGCACTTTGGGAGGCTGAGGCAGGCAGATCACTTGAGGTGAGGAGTTCAAGACCTGCCTGGCAAACATGGTGAAACCCTGCCTCTACTAAAAATACAAAATTTAGCCAGGTGTGGTGATGTACGCCTGTAATCCCAGCTACTTGGGAGGCTGGGGCTGGGGGATTGCTTGAATCCAGGAGGCAGAGGTTGCAGTGAGCTGACATCGCACCACTGTATTCCAGCCTGGGTGACAAAGTGAGACTCTGTCTAAATAAATAAATAAAATTCTTGTTAGATAATTCCAATATCTGATTCATCTTGTTCTTTTTTTTTTTTTTTTTTTTGAGATGGAGTCTCACTCTATTGCCCAGGCTGGAGTGCAGTGGCACGATTTCGGCTCACTGCAACCTCCACCTCCTGGGTTCCAGTGATTCTTGTGCCTCAGCCTCCCAAGTAGCTGGGATTACAGGCTCGCACCACCACGCCTGGCTAATTTTTGTATTTTTAGTAGAGACAGGGTTTCACCATGTTGGCCAGGCTGGTCTCAAACTCCTGAGCTCAAATGATCTGCCCGCCTCGGCCTCCCAGAGTGCTGGGATTATAGGCGTGCACCACAGCGCCCAGCCTCATCTTATTCTTGTTAGATGATTTCAATAACTGACTTATCTTGGTGTTGGCATCTGTTGATTACCTTTTTGCATTCAAGTTGTAATTTTTCTAGTTTTTGGTATGACAAAGGAGTTTATTTTCATTTGTCTCCTGGGCGTTTGGATATTGTCAGGTGACTGTAGATCCTATTTAAGTCTTTTTTTTTTTTTTTTTTTTTTTTTTTGAGGCAGAGTCTTACTCTGTTGCCCAGGCTGGAATGCAATGGCGTGATCTTGGCTCACTGCAGCCTCCACCTCCTGGGTTCAAGCGATTCTCCTGCCTCAGACTCCTGAGTAGCTGGGATTACAGGCACATGGCACCATGCCTAGCTAACTTATTTTAGTAGAGACAGGGTTTCACCATGTTGTCCAGGCTGGTCTCAAACTCTTGACCTCAGGTGATCCGCCCACCTCAGCCTCTCAAAGTGCTGGGATTACAGGCGTGAGCCACCATGCCTGGCCTATTGAAATCTTCTATGTTAGCAAGCAGTCGCCCTTGTTTAGATGCATAGGTTCTGGCCTGCTTTTGTGGGCCGTGATTCTGATGACAATTTAGTTTTCAAAATCCTTACAGTGCTGCTATTCTGGTTTGTTTTGTTCACCTGAACCCCTGGCCCCCACTGCTGGGCCAAGAGGTGGAGAGTGCTTCCCTAGGCCTGCTCCCCCAGGTGTGCTCTACAGGCTATACTCTACTTACTGGTGGGGCTCCTACCAGCGGCACTGGGGAAGGACAGGGCCTACTTAAGTCCTCTTCTGTTGCTGGGTTGGGGATCAGGAGATACTGTGCTTGGGCTGCCTTTGCCTCTGGACTGGGAATTGGGAGACACTGCCTGTACTGCCTTTATTCACTGGGTGGATAATTGGAAGATACCAAGCTGCTATGATGTTACTCAAGTCCTAGGGGTCCCCAGCCAGTCCGCTTTCATCTTTTCACTCTTCTGTGCCCTCCTGTCATTGTCTACTACATTATTTCTAGAACTTTTAGCTGTACTTAGAGGGGAGGAGCAGGGAGAGTTGAGTTTCTGCCATCTTGTCCCAAACCCTAAACTGATGTGTTAAGTAACTTTGGAATGTGAATGATATAGCCCATTGGCTAAAATTATATTCCTTTTATCCTCTGATTACTTGTTACTGCCATTTCTCTGTGTATTTAAAAAACTCTTAAGGGCAGTATTAATGTATCTTCTTCCACTACTTATATTTATGTCATACGTCATATGGACATAAAAAATTTAGGAGTTATTTTTATCTCTTGTACATCTATATATAGATGCTTCATGAGTAGTTTTTAGGAGAAATAACTTGCTTAAATTAACTTGAAAGATATCTATTTCAAAAAGATGTCTGAGACTTAGAGCTTGTCATTTAAATTCCAAACGTGTTTATTGAAATTTTTGTATTTGTTGAAATATGTTTGAGTTTAAAGAAAAACCTGAAAAATGCCTTTGACGCAGATAAACTAAAAGGTAGCCTCCCCTTTCATAATAATATTGATGTAGACCTGTAAAATGTAACTAATTAGAATTAATAATGTTGAGCTATTTTTACATCATTCATTTTCATATCTTGTTCTGCCTCCTGCAGAACACTATTCTTGTCTCCCATACCTGGTCTACCCTGTTGAGTTCATTACATAAACAAGTATATTTTGAGTGATAATTTGTTTTGGTTTTAGAAGTTTTGTTTGAAGATATTAATAAAGTAACCAAACAAACAAGATAAAACTGATCAAGAGCACCCTATAATAAAAGGCTCCACAGAGGTCTATCACTGGCAATATTTTTCTTTCATTCTCATCACTGTGAGATGGTTTGCTAAATGCTAAATAAATACAGTGTGACCTTGATTTTTCAGCTTTTTAAGAAAGCTTTATTGAAATATAATTCACATACCATATAATTCACTCATTTAAAGTGTGTAATTTAATGGCTTTTAGTATATTCACAGAGTTGTGCAGTCATAACTTTTAAAAAGATTGTAGTATTAATTTTTCTTAAATTCATTATTTATAGTTTTATAATTGGGAGTTTTTCTTAGAATTTTACTGTCAAGACTGGAATGAGTTACTTTTTTAAAAATATTACTAGCTTGAATCAAGATGTGGCAACTACGAAGGAAAACGTCAGTAGCCCTGATAACCCAAGTGGAAATGGCAAACAGGATCGGATCAAACAGAGAAGAGCTTCCTGTCCCCGACCAGAGAAGGGGACTAAATTTCAGCTTACCGTCCTTCAGGTCAGTTTGTAAATATGGTTTGGTTAAGAGTACATATAGAGGTCTGGAGGGTCAGAGAGGGGCAGTGCTGCAGAAGTGAGTTGTAGAATATTGCGAGACCCTCTCTAAACTAACCTTTTCTCCGTTACAGACTTTCCAATGTGAGTATTATGTGTTCGTTGTTAAACTTAGGAAATATAAGAAAGAAAATAAAATCTACTTTTAACCACCATTCAGAGATAGCTCCTATTAATGTTTTAGTTTGTTTTTCTCTCCTTTTCCTGTATGTACATGTAGTGTTTTACATTATTGAGGTTGTAATAGTACTAGTAATCGCAGCAAAAATCTATTGAGTTCTTTTGTGGTAGGCACCCTAAATGTTATCCATGCATTTTACCATTTAATCCTTCAATAACCCTGTATGATAGGTCATAGTATATACTCATCTTTACAAATGAAGATACTAAAGATCAGAGGAGTGAGCCGGGCGCAGTGGCTCACGCCTGTAATCCCAACACTTTGGAAGGCCGAGGCAGGTGGATCATCTGAGGTCAGGAGTTCGAGACCAGCCTGACCAATATGATAAAACCCCGTCTCTATTAAAAATACAAAAATTAGCCAGGCATGGTGGTGCATGCCTGTAATCCCAACTACTCGGGAGGCTGAGACAGGAGAATCGCTTGAACCCAGGAGGCGGAGGTTGCGGTGAACTGAGATCACACCATTGCACTCCAACCTGGGCAACAAGAACAAAACTCCATCTGAAAAAAAAATGAAATCAGAGGAGCGAAGTAAGTTGCCTAAGATCACTCAACTAGCAAGTGATAATGTCAGATCTGAACCTAGATCGGACTTTAAAGCCCGTATCTCTAACCAATATAATGTATGTTTTAGTTGGCTGCTTAAACCTATATATAATTTTATATCCTGCATTTTTAAAAACCTAATATATCATGTATGCCTTCCTGTATCATTAATTTTTCAATAACATGACATTTTAAATGGCTACATTAGATAGCTGCTTATACAGAGAAATAACTTACATTCCCTATGTTCTTGGTTTATGTTCTTTCTTTCCATCTTTTTCCCAGTCTGTCTTTTTTCTAACTTGCTGTCTTTTACTCTTTTTGTCTGTCTGTATATCTTTGCAGCAAAATCCTTGAACATAAATCTTTGTATCTATCCCTGATTATTTCCTTATTAGATCCATAGGAGACGGATTCATGGATCAGAATATGAAGATTTTTAAAGTTTCTAGATACATGTTGCTAGATTGCTGTCCATAAAGATTGGTCCAGGTTACATTTCCATTTGCAGTGCCTCTTCTTTTGCTTAGAGTCAATTTATAGATTAAGATAATTTTGGAAATGAATTATTAAATTTAAATCTTTGCATTGCAGATAGCTCTAGTGACTATTATAACTTTTTTTGCTTTCTTATAAAAGTTGTATTGTTTTCTTTACCACAGGATCACATTTATAACTTATTTTTTACTGAGTAACTTGAACCTGTTAGTTTAGTCATAGAATGGCTGTTTAGATGGTATTCCACCAAGGGAAAACATTCTGAACTATTTAAGCCATTTTCCACATATATTGTACGTGAACTAGTGTAGATGTTCCTTGCACAATTTGCAAAAAGAAGACAGTGATTGACTCTTAAACCGGTAAAATGTTTGTACTCAGGTATCAACCTCTGGAGATAACATGGTAGAGTGTCAGCTGGAGACACACAACAACAAGATGGTCACCTTCAAGTTTGATGTTGATGGTGATGCGCCAGAGGATATTGCAGACTATATGGTAAGTGCAGTAAGACCAAATTATCTTCCCTTCAGCATTCTGTCTTTTTTCCCCTATAATTCTGTCTCCATTTATTTTGAGCCATTGTTTTTTAGAGTACGATTAGTTTTAAAATTTTGTACAGAGGTAAATTGGGTTATCATCAAGTGTAAGTCACTGCATCTCCTCCGGTTTCAGTATATTTAACTGGAAAATATGCAGAGGTTTCATTTAGAGATAATATAGCTAAATGGCTCTTATCTCTGATTGCATGTGAAAATCACCTGACAAGCTTTTTAAAAACAATTGTATTGCCTGGTCCCTTGATTAAATCAGAATATTTGGAGGTGAGGCCCAAGCATCAATAGTTTGTAAAGCTCCCCAGGTAATTCTTTTTTTTTTAGTTTATTTTTTGCTGGGCACAGTGGCTCATGCCTGTAATCCCCGCACTTTGGGAGGCCTAGGCAGGAGGATCACTTGAGCCCAGGAGTTCAAGACCAGCCTAGGCAATGTAGTGAGTGAGACCTTGTCTTCACAAAAAATTAAAAAATGCCAGATGTGGTGGCCACACTTGTAATCCCAGCACTTTGGGAGGCTGAGGGAGGAGGATTGCTTGAGCCCAGGAGATTGAGGCTGTAGTGAGCTATGATCATGCCACTGCATTCCAGCCTGGGCAGCAGAGCAAGACCCTGTCTCAAAAAAAAGTTACCTTTTATTATTTTTATTTTTTATAACAGGCTTTGAAAAAGCTAAAGCCCCAGGTAATTCTTTTTCTTTCTGTTTTTTTTTTTTTAATTTTTGTGGCTACATAGAAAGTTTATATATTTATGAGGTACATGAGATATTTCGATGTAGGTATACAATGTGTAAGAATGATGTAAAGGTAAATGGGGTATCCCTCCCCTTGTAATTCTAATGTGTTAGTCACTGATCTAACATCTTGCATGTTATTGTTTCATTTAGTTTTTAATATTTTCTTTGAATTGTTAGGTTTAAGTTAGTATTTCTTCCCCCCTTATTTTATTATTTTTTTTTATTATTTTCTAGGTTACTTTTCCATCTTCCCCTTTTTTGATGGGGATGGGACTAGGATGGCAGGAAGAGTGCATATAATGCTTTTTGTTTCTGCCAGCTTTCTTTGTGTATGCATTTCTAGCCAAGCAGAATTAAACATTTTAAAAGTTAATTATTTCATCATCAGTTCTGTTCTTGTTTAACGTAATATTTTCTGAACTGTCTCTTCTTTCATTCTTTTCAGGAATGTTTAACCTAATTAGTGGTCTTCCGAGCTATTTTTTTTTTTTTTTTTTGAGACAGAGTCTCGCTCTATTGCCCAGGCTGGAGGGCAGTGGTGTGATCTTGGCTCACTGCAACCTCCGCCTCCTGGGATCAAGTGATTATCCTGTCTCAGCCTCCCAAGTAGCTGGGATTACAGGCGCACGCCACCACACCCAGCTAATTTTTGTATTTTTAACAGAGATGGCATTTCGCCATGTTGACCAGGCTGGTCTCGAACTCCTGACCTCAGGTGATTCACCCACTTCAGCCTCCCAAAGTGCTGGGCTACCGTGCCCAGCCTTCCGAGCTATTCTTTATTTTCTTTGGAGATGTTTCATTTTGTGGTTTGTGATTTAAAAGCTTTTGGGTTTGGACATCTTAGTTTTAAACATTGCCTCAGTTATGTTCTTCAAATAACCAATTTATAGAATGACATATTTTTTAAAATGCTGGTTCCTTCTCTGGTAGGTAGTGCCAATCTGAGAAATGTCAGTAGTCTCAGAATAATTTAATGTATTTTTTGGCATTTTATTGCTGGTCTTTGTGAATTCTATTGTGACACTTGGATTTAGATACTTAATTTTAATTTTATTCTTCTTTTTCTTTTTCTTTTCTTTTCTTTTTTTTTTTTTTTTTGAGACAGAGTTTTGCTCTTGTTGCCCAGGCTGTAGTGCAATGGTGCAATCTCAGCTCACCATAACCTCCGCCTCCTGGGCTCAAGCAATTCTCCTGCCTCAGCCTCCCAAGTAGCTGGGATTACAGGCACCCGCCATCATACCCAGTTAATTTTGTATTTTTAGTAGAGACAGGGTTTCACCATGTTGGTCAGGCTGGTCTCAAATTCCTGACCTCAGGTGATCCACCCACCTCAGCCTCCCAAAGTGCTGGGATTACAGGCATGAGCCACTGTGCCTGGCCCAATTTTCTTTCTTTATGTGATAGTCACTATTTATATAATATTATAACTTTGAAGAAACTGAATTCATTCTCATGAATAGACTTACTTTTGGGCAGGTTGAAGATAACTTTGTGCTGGAAAGTGAGAAAGAAAAATTTGTAGAAGAATTGAGAGCTATTGTAGGTCAAGCCCAGGAGATCCTTCATGTCCACTTTGCCACAGAAAGAGCCACTGGAGTTGATTCTATTACTGTGGACTCCAACAGTAGCCAGGTGAGAACAATTGTTTAGCAAACAGATCTTCTCAGATATGAATCAGGAACTTTTTAATTTATCTATTCATTTTTAATTCAGACAGGGTCATCTGAACAAGTACAGATAAATTCTACATCTACTCAAACCAGCAGTAAGTATATTTAGTAAAATTTATCATTTGGTTTTTGAAGCAAGACATTTGAAAACTTTTAACACACCTTCATTGGGAAAGATGTTAGCCAATAAATTAATTTGGTAACTTATTAGTGTAGGTTTTCTCACACTTTGAAAGGCCCAAAGGTAATAATCCATCCCCTGACTTTTCCCCAAGTGTTGGTTCTTTATCTGATTGATTTATTTTTGAGTTATTGGGTGGTCATGTTACCAGAAAAGCAGTCACAGTACTGATGACCTTAAATGGCATAACTGTTTGAAACTTAACTGGTAAGTTATTTTTTTCTGATTTGAGATGGATAGAAACTTTTTAACAAAAGTCATCATTTTCTAAGTTTGCCTCATATTTCAATAGTCATTCGTATCTTGATTTTATTCTACTAACGATGAATGATATGCTTCTACTTGCGCTGGTCACTGATAACTTTTAGTAAATCAGATACCAGATAAACTTCCAGAAGCGAAAACTAGGGTCTCCTGTTTTCTTTTCTGATGACTTTATCTTTCCATTCTTCTCAGTTCTGGTCATGGGTATATTAAAGAGTGTCTGGGAGGGGGATAAGAGCCATAGACAAATGAGCACCCCTGAAGAAATTACAGGAACGTAAAGAAGCAAAAGGTGGTGTGGGAGTAATAGAACCAGATACCATTATCCTGAAATTTAGTTTGACTGTGTTAGGATGCAGTCCTTCCTATATCTTATTTTTCTGGTTAGCCAAGATATGAGTAGGTTTCTGACTAACAAAGTTGGGTAGAGTTTAAAAGAGAATTACTTATTTGAGTACATTTACAAAGTAGCAGTTAAGATGTAGGGGTTTATTTTACTTTATTTTAAAAAATGTCATACAGTAAAACTGATTTTCTTTTGGTGTACACTTCTGTAAATTTTAATACATGTATAGATTTATATAAGCACTATCATAATCAGGATACAGAATAAGAGATATAGGTTTTAATGAGAAAAGTGCTGTCAGTTTTTTCAAAGAGTACCCTGTTTCTAATTGCTATTCAAGCAATATTTGTTTCAGTAGAATCTAAAATCCTTCTCTAAAGATATTGTGTGCTTAGTACTTTAGACTTTTTGTCAGTATTAAAAGGGCTGGTCTTATCAATTACATATATTCTAGTACTATTAGAAATGGAGATATAAGACAAATTGTTTATTTAACCTGGCTTCTTCAGTCAATAAGGTAAATAAATTGAAAATAGCTTAGCATATTATTTTTTGCTAATTATTTCTGCAGATGAATCTGCTCCTCAGTCATCCCCAGTTGGTCGGTGGCGATTCTGTATCAATCAGACGATAAGAAACCGTGAGACTCAGTCTCCTCCTTCTCTTCAGCATTCCATGTCTGCGGTTCCTGGCCGACATCCACTTCCTAGTAAGCTTTTCTTCTCTGCCAGCTTTGTCCAGACTCAAAGGATGGGATGCAAAATACATATGATATCTTTAACTGGTTTCCATGGGAATTTTATGCTTATGAGAATTTTCATAAGCTTTTTTGAAGACATTAATATTAGGATACAACTTAAGCCATTTCCTATTTAATATTTATGAGAAAAAAGGAAAACATTATTTCCCTTGACAGGTTGAATTCTGTGTTTTGAGTCTTATTTACGAGAGTACTTTCACACAGGTTCTCATTTGCCCCTTTGTCCTCCTGTTCCTTTTGACTTAGGGTACTAGTCTGTGCTTTGTACTCGTCAGTACGTGCTTAGCCATTCTTTATTATTGTTCCAGGTCCAAAAAACACAAGTAATAAGGAAATATCACGGGACACATTGCTCACTATAGAAAATAATCCATGCCACCGTGCACTTTTCACCTCCAAATCAGAACACAAGGATGTGGTTGATGGTAAGATTTCTGAATGTGCTAGTGTAGAAACCAAGCAGCCAGCTATACTTTATCAAGTGGAAGATAACAGGCAGATAATGGCACCAGTTACTAATAGTTCCAGTTACTCTACTACTTCAGTTCGTGCAGTTCCAGCTGAATGTGAGGGACTCACCAAACAAGCAAGCATATTCATACCTGTGTATCCATGTCACCAAACTGCCAGTCAGGCTGATGCACTTATGTCCCATCCTGGCGAATCAACTCAGACTTCTGGTAACTCTCTTACAACTCTGGCATTTGATCAAAAGCCTCAAACCTTATCAGTACAGCAGCCAGCTATGGATGCAGAGTTTATTTCTCAAGAAGGAGAAACTACAGTGAACACTGAAGCAAGTTCTCCTAAGACAGTCATTCCCACTCAGACCCCTGGCCTTGAACCAACTACCCTTCAACCCACTACTGTCCTGGAATCAGATGGAGAAAGACCTCCAAAACTGGAGTTTGCAGACAACCGAATTAAAACTCTGGATGAAAAATTAAGAAACTTGCTCTATCAGGAGCACAGCATCTCTAGCATCTATCCCGAGAGTCAGAAGGATACCCAAAGCATAGACTCTCCATTTTCTTCCTCTGCTGAAGATACCCTCTCCTGTCCAGTGACAGAAGTCATAGCCATCAGTCACTGTGGAATTAAAGATAGCCCTGTACAATCCCCTAATTTCCAACAGACAGGCTCTAAGCTTCTGTCCAATGTGGCTGCAAGTCAGCCTGCTAATATATCAGTGTTCAAAAGGGACCTGAATGTGATAACTTCTGTACCCAGCGAATTGTGTTTACATGTAAGTATCATTCTTTCTAACCAATTCCTTACTCTTTGCTTATTGTTTTAAAGAAATGCCTTCTCTTCTAAAATTCTGTCCTTTGAGATGAAATGGTCTATGTCACAAGATGCTGAGGTCACAGGTATTTAAGAAGGCTATGACTTAGGCTGCAGGTGTTCAGAACCTCTCAGTAGAGATGACAAACTATCTTTGGTAAGAGAGCCCTCTGGTGAATTAGCTAAGAACTTGCAAGCAGTGTCTATATTTGTATTAATGACAGAATGAAAACTGACTCATGGATTGTTTTAGTGGGTAGGAAGAACTTTTAGATTTTCACTTAAAATGCCAGTTATCCGTTTCCTTCTTTAAAAAAAAAAGTTATGGTTTTTAATTTAATCATGTTTGGGGGGATTTAATTTGACAAAAAAAGAGAAGAAAAGAAAGTAAAAATCATCATTAATACCATGACTTTTTTTTTTTTTTAAACCCTAGACGGAGTCTTGCTCTGTCGCCCAGGCTGGAGTGCAGTGGCATGATCTCGGTCTGCCTCCCGGGTTCAAGTAATTCTCCTGCCTCAGCCTCCTGAGTAGCTGGGATTACAGGCACGTGCCACCACGCCCGGCTAATTGTTGTATTAGTAGAGACGGGGTTTTACCATGTTGGCCAGGCTGGTCTCGAACTCTTGACCTCGTGATCCACCTGCCTTGGCCTCCAAAGTGCTGGGATTACAGGCATGAGCCACTGTGCCTGGCCTGACTTATTTTATGAGTTATATAATGTAGGAACTTTAATTTTCCTTTTCTGCCCCTTCAAATCACAAAAGTAACCACTAATAATTTGATGCTTATTCTTCTTGACTTTTCTTAAGCTTATACAGATCTATTTACATACATATAACATTATATTCATAAAAATACTGTGCTGTATACATACTGTTCTGCAACTTAATTTTTTCATTTTACAGTAGATCATGGACATCTTTCTAAATCTTTATTGCTGTATCTTTTTGTCATTTTTGTTATTATATAAGTAATAATATATACTTGTACATAGTATATATGTACTACGTACAAGTAAAATCCACCCCATCCCCAAACCTGTAGACACAGCTGTTAACAAATCTTTCCAGACATGATTTTAATTAATATACAAATATTTATAAAGACATACTTTTTATATATGATATATTGTATCTTTATATAGATATAGATACATGTTAATATTTATATACATATACTTATTTACATATATGCTATTCTGCATTTTTTTCATTTATGGGTATCTATCCATGTCAGTACACATAGTTCCATCTTACTCAACTTTTTGAAACAACTGCATAATATTCCACTGATACATATAATTTAAAGATTTAAAAATTTTTTAAATTATTTTAAATAATAAATATCACATAATGTGATTCGAATCTTAAGAAATGAACTGTTATTTCTGTCATTTAAACTTTGTTGCTTGAAGGAGACTCTCCCAAGTGTCAAGGTCAAATGAATTCATTTATTTGTTTCAAGTGTCTGTTGCTATATCTGGATCATACTTAGCTGCCACTGTTTCTGGTGTCATGGAATTCTTCTTTTTTCCCCTAAAATACTTCTATGAGTAATATTTTCAAATATATTGCATGAGTATCCTATTTGGTATTCTTTTGCATGTCCAAAAATGTCTTTATATTGCTTCACACTTGATTGACTAAGTACAGATGGTAGGATCAGAATTTTTTCTTCTCAATTTAGAAGACAGTGTTTTATTGTCTTTTATTAGCCTTCCTGATGAGAGTGATGTCAGTTGTTTATCATTCATTTGTAGGTAACCTGTTTTTACTCTAGACCACTGCAATGCTCTTGTACTTTTTACAACGTGGAAATGTTCTGTATCTGCACTATCCAATACAGTAACCACTAACCAGATATGACTATTGAGCACTTGAAATGTGACTAGTGCAACTGAGGGCCTGAATTTTTAATTTAATTTAATTAATTTAAATTTAGACAGCCACATGTGATTAGTGGCTACTGTATTCAGTTAGCACAGGTCTAGTTGCTCTTAGGGAACTATCTTAGAGCTCTGATTATCAGACTGTATCTTGGTATATCACTTTCCCATTCATTTTGTATATCACTTTTGTGGATGTTTCGAATTTGAAGATTTGTGTCTTTTTTCAGCTCCGGTAACTATTTTCATTTCTTTTTTTTCTTCCCCTTCATTGTCTTGCTTATTTCCATTTAGAAATTGTAGGAGATATATGGCCTCTTGGATTATTCCCCATGTTTCTTAACAGCTTGCTCTCACTTTTAATTTCATTTTTTAAAACCTTATGTTCTCAGATATGTCTTCAGTTTTTTTTTTCTTTTTAAATTTCAGATCACTCTCTTGGTATTCAGCTGTATCCAGTTAATTTTTCATTTGGCAGTCATGAATTTGATTTTTTAAATCTTTCTTATTCTTGGCTCCATTTTCATAGCAACCTATTTTTGCATATATTTTTGTTCCAAGCTTTTTTCTCAGAAAACTGACAAAATATTAACTCTAAAATATATAAAGAATGCTTACAAATCATTGAGAAAAGATCAGACAACTCAGTGGAAGAATATCCAAAGCATCTGAACGTGCATTTCACAGAAGTGGAAATATAAATGCCTGCTAAACATGTGAAAAGATTTTCAACTTTCTTAGTAATGAGAGAAAGGCAAAATTTTATGGAAAAATAGTTTTTTGCTAATCAGACTAGCAAATATTAAAGAAATTGATGGCTGGGCGCAGTAATTTTCATTTTATGTTGGTAGGAATAAAATCAGTACAGCCTACTTGGAGGGCAATTTAACACTATGAAAGTTAGAAATGTGTACATTCCTGTGACTGAGCTATGTCACTGTCAAATTCTACCTGAGAGAAGTATTTGCACATATGAACAAAGGAACATGTATAAGAATGTTCAGTGTAACATTGTTTGATTATTGGTAACAGGAAAGGATTCACAAACAAGTTTAAATATTTGTAAATAGAAATTGAGGGACACTGATACTATGAAGCAATTTAAAAGCATGAAGTAGACCTATAAATATATGTTAGCTATTATCATCTTTATTTTAGCATGGACATATCTCCAGGAAAAATCATCAGGAAAAATATATGCAGAATAATTCAGACAGTATGATGAGGTGTGTGTATGTGTGTGTGTGTGTATATGTATGTATGTGTATGTGTGTGTGTGTTTTTGAGACAGGGTCTCACTCCATTACCCAGGCTGGAGTGCAGTGGCATGATCGTGGCTCACTGTAACCTCAACCTCCTGAGTTTAGGTGATCCCCTTGCCTCAGCCTCCCAAGTAGCTGGGACTACAAGTGCGTGCTACCATGCTTGGCTGATTTTTAAACTTTTTGTAGAGACATGGGCTTGCAGTGTTGCCCAGGCTGGTTTTGAACTCCTGGCCTCAAGCAATGCTCCTGCCTTGGTCTCCCAAAGCAGTGGGATTACAGGCATGAGCCACCACACCTGGCCTGTATTTTTAAAAAGGAACACACACACACACACACACACACACACACACACACACACACGCATATATATGTACATAAATGCACAAAAAAGTTCTGAAAAGATAAATTGATATTAGTGGATATCTTCCAGGGGAGACTGGGAAGGAGGGTTGTTACAGGGATTTTTGTTTTATCTAATGGTTTAGATCTTTTACAGAAAACAGTTATTCATGTTATAAGCCAAAAAATATCTAAGGCAGATCTCAATCAATTTAGAATTTTATTTTGCCAAGGTTAGGGACATGCCTAGAAGAAAGGAAACATGGAATCACAGATACAGTCTGTGGTCTGTGCCTTTCTCCAAAGATGATTTTGAGGGCTTCAGTATTTAAAGGAGAAAAGCAAGCTGGAGGGGAAAGAGGGAGGTTATGGTAATCCACATGTTGCAAGAGAAAAGGAGCAGGTAGGAGAATAATCAATTATGTATTCATCTCCCAATTTTGCTCAGTAAATCAGCACTTTACATAAGATAAGGTGAACATAGGGTAGCTACCTCTGGAGATATTTAACCTTTTATTTGTAGCTGTTTGCTTAGGAACAAAATGAAATGCAGTTTCTTGCATGACTCAGCTTTCAGCTTAATTTTTTTCTTTTTGGCATAGTGAATTAGGGTCCTGAGTTTTTGTTTTCCTTTCACAATGTAATACTTGTAATATTTTTTAAATGAAAACATTCTTATTGAAACAGTGTTAGAAAGAAAACAGCTTTTGAACCCCACAAACCAGTTTCAAAATCTTGCTTTGCCATTTACTATGTAATACTAGGCAAATTATCTACACCCTTTACCCAGCCTTAATTTCCTCATCTGTAAAATCGAGATAATAGTACCTACTTAAAGGGCTACTGGATGCCTTTGGTATATTCTCTTTATTGTTTATTCATCTTATTTCATATTCTTTGTGCTCTATAAATATGGAAACTTGTCTTGTGATTTCTTAGAATTTTAACTCTTTTACAGTGTTCGATCCAGTGACATTAAATTTGTTCACAAGGTTGTGTATCCATCACCATTATCTAGTTCCAGAACTTTTTCATCACCCCAAAAAAAGAAACTTCATACCCATTAAGCAGTCATTATTCATTCTCCCTTCCCCCTTGCCCCTTGCAACCACAAATCTGCTTTCTGTCAGTATAGATTTGCTTATGCTAGATATTTCATATAAATGGAACCATACAGTTTATGGCCTTTGTGTCTGGTTTCTTTCACTTAGCATAATGTTTCAAGGTTCATATTCCATTTTATGGCTATACTGCATTTTGTTTATCCATTCATTGGTTTGTGGACATTTAGGTTGTTTCTACCTTTTGGCTGTTGTGAATAGTGCTGCTACGAACATTCATATAAAGTATTCATATGAGTTCCTGTTTTCAATTATCTGGGGCATATGGTAATTCTACGTTTAACTTTTTGAAGAACCACCAAACTCTTTTCTAAAGCAGCCACACCATTTTACATTCCCACCAGCACAATGTGAGGGTTCCGATTTGTCCACATACTTACCAACACTTGTTTTCCAATTTTTTGATCATAGCCATCCTGGTAAGTATAAAGTGGTATCTTATTGTGGTCTTGATTTGCATTTGCTTAATGGCTAGTGGTGTTGAGAATCTTTTCGTGTGCTTGTTGGCCATCTGTATATCTTCTTTGAAGAAATGTCTGTTCGAGTCCTTTGCCTATTTTTTAATTGGGTTGTTGTTTGTGTTGTTGAGTTGTAAGAATTCTTTTTTTTTTTTTTTTTTTTTTTTGAGACGGAGTCTCGCACTTTCGCCCAGGCCGGACTGTAGTGGCGCTATCTTGGCTCACTGCAAGCTCCGCCTCCCGGGTTCACGCCATTCTCCTGCCTCAGCCTCCCGAGTAGCTAGGACTACAGGTGCCCACCACTGCGCCCGGCTAATTTTTTTTTTTGTATTTTTAGTAGAGACAGGGGTTTCAACGTGTTAGCCAGGATGGTCTCGATCTCCTGACCTCGTGATCCGCCCGCCTCGGCCTCCCAGAGTGCTGGAATTACAGGCGTGAGCCACCGTGCCCGGCCGTAAGAATTCTTTATATGTGTGGCTGGGCATGGTGGCTCAAGCCTGTAATCCCAGGATTTAGGGAAGCCAAGGCAGTAAGATCGCTTGAGGCCAGGAGTTCAAGACCAGCCTGGTCAACATAGTGAGACCCCCCATCTCTATAAAATAAAATAAAAAAAATCTTTGTATATTCTGGATGCTAAGTCTTTATTAGATATTTTATTTGTGAATATTTTCTCCCATTCTGTAGGTTTGTCTTTTCACTGTCTTGATGGTATCCTTTAACGCACAAAAGTTCTTAATTTTGTTGAAGTCTGATTATCCACTTTTCCTTGTATTGCTTTGTTAGCTCTTATAATTACGTCTTTGATATATGTTGAGTTAATTTTTGTATATGTATGAGACAAGGGTCCAGCTTCGTTCTTTTGCATTTGGATATCCAGTTGTTCAGCACCATTTGGTGAAGAAACTATTCTTTCCCCCATTTAATGGTCTTGGCATTCTTGTAAAAAATCAGCTGACTATATAGATGTATGGATTTATTTCTGGACTAATTCAATTCATCACTCCCAATATCTATCCTTATGCCAGTAGCAAAATGACAGTGTTTTGATTACTGTAGTTTTATAGTACATTTGGAAATCAGGAAATGTGAGTCCTCCAACTTTGTTCTTTTTAAATATTTTTTGGCTATTCAGAGTCCCCTGTGATTCCATATGAATTTTAGTATAAGCTTTTCTATTCCTGTGAAAAAGGCCATTGGGGTTTTGATAGGGATTGCATTGAATCTGTAGGTCACTCTGTGGACTGTTGACAGATTAAGTCTTCCTGTCCATGAACTTTCTATTTATTTCAGTATCCTTGAATTTCTTTCATTGATGTTTTGTAGTTTTCAGTGTATAAGACTTTCACTCCTTGGTTAAATGTATTCCTAAGTATTTTCTTATTGTTATTAGAAATGGAATTGTTTTCTTAATTTCTGTTTTGGATTCTTCATTGCTAGTATATAAAAATACAACTGATTTTTATGTGTTGATGTATCCTCCAACTTTACTGAGTTTGTTTATTAGCTCCAATAACTTTTGGTGGATTATTTTGGATTTTCTATATATAAGAGCATGTCAACTGTGAATAGAGATAGTTTTATTTCTTCATTTCCCATTTTTATTTTTCTTATATACAAACTTTTTTTTTTTTTTTGAGATGGAGTCTTACTCTGTCGCCCAGGTTGGAGTGCAATGGGATGATTTCAGCTCACTGCAACCTCCACTTCCCAGGTCCAAGCAATTCTCCTGCCTCAGCCTCCCAAGTAGCTGGGATTACAGGCGCTCACCACTACGCCTAGCTAATTTTTATATTTTTGGTAGAGATGAGGTTTCACCATGTTGACCAGGCTGGTCTGGAACTCCTGACCTCAGATGATCCACCCGCCTTAGCCTCCCAAAGTGCTGGGATTACAGGTGTGAGCCACTGCGCGCAGCTCTTATCTATAAACTTATGCTTTTCATTTGTTTGTCCTTTTGCTTTTTGTACTGGGATAATTTCTCAATTTTTAAGCGGTTGCATCTCCTATTCAGCTATTTTTTGTATCAAGTATTACATTGTTTTAATTTCTAGTAACTGTAGTTCATTCCTTTCTTTATCAATGTAGTATATTCACACATCTCTCTGAATATATTGAAGTCTTATTCTGTGTTATTAATGCTATTTCCTTGGCTATTCTGTTTGCCGAGTTTAGTATTTTCTTATAATGTTAGTTTTCCCTTGGTGTTTAGTGATTCTTAGTTGTGTTCTCTTCTTTTTCACTCATGAGATTCCTTGTTCATCTGTCTGTAAGTGTTTTATGTAATTACCGTAACTTTCCTTCAGTAATTGTGGGAAAGGTATGGGACATGCTCCCTGGCACTGTATTTTGTAACTTATCTCTAATGCTGCCTGGAGGGTGGCCCAGTAGCTAGTCTCCAAATGTAGGAGGGCTTACCTTTCTTCCTGGATGTCGTCTCCTTCCTACATCGTTGACCTCTTTCTTGGCCACAAAACCTTTTCCTCTTACTGCTCTTATTTGGGGGCGCATGCCTCTGCTGCCCTTTGCTTGGTCTGGAGGTGGGGAGAGAAGGGACAGAACTGCCTGCCTGTTCCTTCTTTGTTATCCCAACCAGTTCATTCTTCCATTCAGTAAATATCTCTTTAGCAGTGAATAAGTCAAAACCTCTGTTTTTGTGGAGTTTACATCTAGTAGAAGAAAATGGATACTAAACCTATATATGGTAGTCAGGGAAAGACTTGTATGTGATGGTGACAGTCATAGGCAGAGATCTGTTCAAGGAACCAAAAGGCGGCCAGTAAACAGGAGAGCATTAAGAGATAACATTGAAAGAGACAGAAGATAGATCTGATAGAGTTTTGTAAGCATTCTAGCCTACCACTCATCTTTTTAGTTGGCCAGGGTTCTCTCCTGCTGCCCGTATCAGCCACTCAGGTTTGCAGCATTTTGAAACAATTCCTACATATGTCATGGTCTACTTTTTCCTCTGTCAGTCATATATGCATGTGTCTATGTATATTTTCCTGTTGTGTCTGTAAATTTGGATTGATAAGGAAGGCTAGAACAAATATTTAATTTGCCATCTTGATCCAGTTACTACATATTAAAATTCTTTTCTGTAATTTCAGTGGGACCAATGTAACATTTTCTAAATTGTAATACTGATTTTTTTCTTCTCATGAAACTAATTATTACTAGTTTAAAATGAGACTTCAGAAAGTAAAAACTGATTGCTTACAATTTTATTTTTAATATGTCCTGACCTGCCATAAGTTTGTGTTTGTTTTTTTGTTTTTTTTTTTTTGAAACAAGAGTTTCGTTCTTGTTGCCCAGGCTGGAGTGCAATGGTGCGATCTCGGCTCATTGCAACCTCCGCCTCCGGGTTCTAGCTATTCTCCTGCCTCAGCCTCCCAAGTAGCTGGGATTACAGGCAGGCACCACCACGACAGGCTGATTTTGTATTTTTAGTAGAGACGGGGTTTCACCATGTTGGCCAGTCTGGTCTCAAACTCCTGACCTCAGGTTATCTGCCCACCTCAGCCTCCCAAAATGCTGGCATTACAGGCGTGAGCCACTGCGCCCAGCCCTGCCCTAAGTAGTAATAATGCTTACCCAAGACATCATACTTACTGCCATGTAGGCTATCTTCTTTCAGGCAAATGCTAAATCCCATTCTTTGTGCTTTTATATATTTTTTTAATCTTCTAGATTAGTAGTGACCCTTCTCATGTTTCCCAAAATATTTGTGGTTGTCTGTGCTAACTTTTCATATTAATTATTATAGGGGATTTATCTTTAAAGCACTCATTTAGATACAACAGTTATATCTGGGGCCCTTTTGCGGGGAGTAGAAGGACAAGAAGAGGGGATTGATTTTATAGCCAGCATAGCCTGACGTTAACAAGAATTTTTAGAGCATGATTTTGAAGTAATTTTGATGTCCTTTATAAATTTCCCTATGCTTTCATAAAGTAAGAAACTTGATTTCCTGATACTTCTCTGTAAATCTAAGTGCCTAGATATCTTGTTTTTTTCTGTTTTTATGTGTTTCAAGCATCTTTAACTGAGTCTCTTAAATAATATAGGCATAAATGAAAATTTCCATGATAATAGCATGGAGTTTTAGTAACCTTTTTAGTAAACTGGCACATATGAAGGAAATTTTAATTTGATTTTCAGTTTTCAAAGTTTGTATAATGATGAAAAATATTCTGGGGTAGAAGATTAATAATCTTCTCTTTTATTTACTAAAGTCTAAATAATATTTTTAAAGAAACAAGGCTTTTTATAAATTGAGTACTTTGGGTTCAGTCTGATATGCTACTATTAATGCAACTATATACGTAATACTCTATTTTGGGTTAAAGATTAGTCTATACAAGAAATTCCGTTTTTTTTTTTTTTTAAAAGCTTCACCTTACCTAAATTATTACCACTTTGGTTTTTCTCGGTTGTTTTGTTTTGTTTTGTTTTGTTTTGTTTTGTTTTGTTTTGTTTTGTCTCCATTAGGAGATGTCCTCAGATGCTTCACTTCCAGGGGATCCAGAGGCCTATCCTGCTGCTGTGTCAAGCGGTGGAGCCATTCATCTGCAGACAGGAGGTGGATATTTTGGCCTAAGCTTTACTTGTCCTAGTCTCAAAAATCCTATTAGCAAGAAATCCTGGACTCGCAAATTAAAAAGCTGGGCATACAGGCTACGGCAGTCAACCAGCTTTTTCAAGAGATCAAAAGTCCGTCAAGGTAGTGTGCTTACAGTCAGGGACATAGACTAGGTAACATCACTTTTCATTTACTTATTTTTTTTGTTGTTCATATACAAATCTTGCCACTTTTTCCACATAGCCCATGTATGTGACATGTCCCATTAATGTCATTGCCATTTTATTTTTTCCTTTTGTAACTAATTTGGTTTTCCGGTTATTCATTTCATATAGATACTAAGTCTTGGGATAAATCTTGCAATGTCTGATTTAGACTTAGGGACTTAATACAATGTTGCTTATTACATTAACACCTTTTAATTGTCTAGCAGGAGTTAAGCTTTTTCTACTTTTCTTCATTTTTGGTAATGTAAACAAATTTAGTCTTAACAAACAATTTTCTCTTTTTTACTTACAATTTGGCAAAACTTGCAGTGGAAACAGAAGAGATGAGATCAGCAATTGCTCCTGATCCCATTCCTCTGACACGGGAGTCCACAGCTGATACTAGGGCTTTGAATAGATGTAAAGCGATGAGTGGATCATTTCAGCGGGGTCGGTTCCAGGTTTGTGTCTTTGATTGAATCCTTATCTACAAGGGCATTATAAAATATAACAGCCAGTGGAGATCTTGGTCTGTAGATGATACTTCCATTTTTGTTTTTATTTTTTTTTGAGATGGAGTTTCACTCTTGTTGCCCAGTTGGAGTGCAATGGTGTGATCTTAGCTCACTGCAACCTCCGTCTCCTTGGTTCAAGCGATTTTACTGCCTCAGCCTCCCGAGTAGCTGGGATTACAAGTGCGCGCCACCACACCCGGCTAATTTTTTGTATTTTTAGTAGAAACGGGGTTTCACCATGTTAGCCAGGCTGGTCTTGAACTCCTGACCTCAGGTGATCCGCCTGCCTCGGCCTCCCAAAGTGCTGGGATTACAAGCATGAGCCACCATGCCTGGCCGATGATACTTACTTTAAATGTAGATCATTGTCATATTTAATTTGTTCATCTTGCATGCATCCCCTCACCTTTTGAAGCCATCAGTAAAGATGAATCTAAAGAAATGGAGATTTTCATAGCTGGTAGAGAGCACAGAAATAGGTTTTCTTTTGGCGGGTGGGTGGGTCCTCTTTTATAAATGTAATTTCACGTCCTTTAGAATCTCAGCAACTCTAATTGTGGAATTTTATTTGAGCAATATGATGCCCACTCTCTTTACCCAAGGGGCCTGATTGAAAGAGTGAATTTGGGGGTATAGATTAAATTTTTAAGTTTTGCTAGTATCAATACATATACATCACAGCAGAGCATCTACTTGTCTGTGCTATGCTAACCACTTTTACGTTTTTATATCTCAGGTGATTACAATTCCTCAGCAGCAGTCAGCAAAAATGACATCTTTTGGAATAGAACACATATCAGTGTTCAGTGAGACAAACCATTCTAGTGAAGAAGCCTTTATTAAAACAGCAAAGTCTCAGTTGGTAGAAATAGAACCTGCCACACAAAATCCAAAAACTTCGTTTTCTTATGAGAAGTTACAAGCTCTTCAGGAAACCTGTAAAGAAAATAAAGGAGTTCCCAAACAAGGTGACAACTTCTTATCTTTCAGCGCAGCTTGTGAGACTGATGTATCTTCAGTGACCCCAGAAAAGGAATTTGAAGAAACTTCAGCCACAGGAAGTAGCATGCAGTCTGGATCTGAACTGTTGCTTAAAGAGAGAGAGATATTGACTGCTGGGAAACAGCCTAGCTCTGATAGTGAATTTTCAGCCAGTCTTGCTGGCAGTGGAAAGTCAGTGGCAAAGACTGGTCCAGAGAGTAATCAGTGCTTACCACACCACGAAGAACAAGCTTATGCTCAAACACAGAGTTCACTCTTCTATTCGCCATCTTCCCCAATGAGCAGTGATGATGAATCAGAAATAGAGGATGAGGACTTGAAGGTGGAGCTTCAAAGATTACGAGAAAAGTAAGGACTGTTTCTCTTTTGTCACAAATCTGGTTGCCCTAGGTTTTATAGAACTTAGTATTGGATTGGTAACTAATTTAGGATTGGTGACATTTTAATGATTGAAAACTACAAAGAATGCTAATGCTAAACATTTATGAATGAGAAAAAGTTCTTATATATAAAATGTTTTCATAGTCTCAAGACTATTACAGTTGCTTATTTACCAATATGATTTAACTACTCTTTTTGCTAACCTTTACAATCCTTATTCTTCAGGACTTTTGGTTTTAGATTTTACAACTATTCTTATATAATTTCACATTTGATAAGTAAACAGCTGATTTATTATAATCAGAGATAGTGGTTCATCTTCTTTAGGAAAAGGTAAGATACTTTCAAGATCAAGCTTATTATTTGGTGACTGAGGTAATCAACCTTCACTAGTGATATTATGATAATATATTTTGTCAATAGAATGCTGTTTTGTATTTAGTTTTATAAAATAGGTCATTTAAAAAAAAGAAATTCAGGCCAGCTGGGCATGGTGGCGCATGCCTGTAATCTCAGCACTGTGGGAGGCAGAGGCAGGTGTATCACTTGAGGTCAGGAGTTCAAGACCGGCCTGGCCAACATGGTGAAACTTTGTCTGTATTTAAAAAAAAAAAAAAAAATACAAAACTTAGCCAGGTGTGGTGGCAGACGCCTGTACTCCCAGCTACTTGGGAGGCCGAGGCAGGAGAATCGCTTAAGCCCAGGAGGTGGAGGTTGCAGTGAGCCCAGATCGTGCGCCACTGCACTCCAGCCTGGGTAACAGAGCAAGACTCCGTCTAAAAAAAAAGAAAAGAAATTCATATTTAAGTTGCTGAATTCTAATTCTATCCACATGGTTCAAAATTCAAAAGGTACAAAAGGGTAACCAGTAGTCTCCCTCCTAGCACTGCAGCTGAACTATCCAGGTTCTCTCCTTAGACACAATAAATATTACCTGTTTCTTGTATATCCAGTTAGTCTATAACTGTACAAACAAATATGCATATTTCATTCTTTGTTCCCCAAATAGTAACTTACACTGCAAGACTGTTCTTATATCTTGGTTTTCTTTACCATTTCATAGTATCTTGGATATATATCTGTATCATTATATTTTTGACTGTTTCAAAGTATTCCATTATATGTATATACTCATAAGTTAATTACTAGCCTCCTATTGACGACCCCATGCCCTTACTTTGAAAAGTTGAAACCAACTCTAGCAATTTTTGAATATATCTTATGCTTTAGAGAATTTCCACACTGTTCTGGGACTTGAACAATTTGTAAAGCAGGGAGAACCAGGGAGGACTAAATAGGCACGCAAAAAGCTGGATTTGGCCAGACACAGTGGCTCATGCCTGTAATCCCAGCACTTTAGGAGGCCGAGGCGGGTGGATCACCTGAGGTCAGGAGTTTGAGACCACCCTGGCCAACATGGCAAAACCCCGTCTCTACTAAAAATACAAAAATTAGCCAGACGTGGTGGCGCGCACCTGTAATCCCAGCTACTCAGGAGGCTGAGGCAGGGAGAATTGCTTGAACCTTGGAGGCAGAGGTTGCAGTGAGTCGAGATCGCACCACTGCACTCCAGCCTGGGTGACAGAGCGAGACTCCATCTCAAAAAATAAAATAAAAAGCTGGATTTTAGTCAAGTTCTTACAAGCTTGAATAATGCTCCACTTGGATGCTACGTTCAAGTGCTTCAAGAATTAAAGCAGGTTAAAATCCTTGGAAATTTCTTAGTTTCTAGGGCCTTGCCCAGAGAAGAAAAAAACCCAAAACTGTCATTCCAATGATAGATAATTATAATATTTTCTCTCTAACTTGTTTCAGTGTTTTTAACTTGAGCTTGCAAGAAAATTGTGAATATATACTTTAAATATTCATCACCAGAAGGCTGATATTCCACTTTAAAATATATATACAGGCTTGACATTACATTATGTATACGTCAACTTATATATTAAGTACTATACAGTATATGTACACTGATACTTTTTATAATAAAAGTTATTAAAGCAGTTTCATATTTGTGATATAAGTATTCTATTGCTTTTGTTTTGTTTTGGTTTGGTTTTTTTGGTTTTTTTTTTTTTTGAGACGGAGTCTGGCTCTGTTGCCTCAGCTGGAGTGCAGTGGCGTGATCTCGGCTCACTGCAAGCTCTGCCTCCTGGGTTCACGCCATTCTCCTGCCTCAGCCTCCCAAGTAGCTGGGACTATAGGCACCCGCCACCACGCCTGGCTAATTTTTTGTATTTTTAGTAGAGACGGGGTTTCACTGTGTTAGCTGGGATGATCTCAATCTCCTGACCTCGTGATCCGCCTGCCTTAGCCTCCCAAAGTGCTGGGATTACAGGCGTGAGCCATTGCACCTGGCCTTCTATTGCTGTTTTTAATGGTTCTTTTAAACCATTGTCAAATGACTGGTAGCTTTTGTAGCTGGCTAGTTTTTTGTAACTGGGTGGTTATGAATATCTACTTAATTTTGAATGTGAGACATGGATTCTCATAACCTCATAGAACCCAAGACCTGGAAAGGATCTTTTATTTTGAGACAGAGTCTTACTATGTTACCCATGCTGGAGTGCAGTGGTGCAGTCATGGATCATTGCAGCCTCTACCTCCTGGGCTCAAGCCATCCTCCCACCTCAGCTTCCCAAGTATCTGGGCCTACAGACGTGTAACACATCCAGCTAATATTTAAATTTTTTTGTAGAGATGAGGTCTCCCTGTGTTGCCCAGGCTGGTCTCAGACTTCTAGCCTCAGGCCATCCTCCTGTCTCAGCCTCCCAGAGTGCTGGGATTATAGGCATGAGACACCATGCCTGGCCTAGAAGGGATCTTAAAAGATAATTTATTCATCCTTCAGTGTTCTTTTAGCATTATGGTTTCTTCACCGATTTTTATTATTCTTTCTTTTATTACTATTACAATTATTATTATTAAGATGAGGTCTTGCTCTGTCACCCAGGCTGGAGTGCAGTGGTGCTGTCATGGCTCACTGAAGCCTTGACCTCTGGCTCAAGAGATCTACCTGCCTCAGCATCCCGAGATGCTTGTACTACAGGCACGTGCCATCATACCTGGCTGATTTTTTTTTTTTTTTTTTTCAGAGAGACAGGGTCTCACTATGTTGTCTAGGCTGGTATTGAACTCCTGGGCTCAAGCGATCCTCCTGCCTTAGCCTCCCAAAGTGCTGGGATTACAGGCATGAGCCACTGCGTCTGGCAAAAAATGTTAATATTATTAATACTATTTGACTTTACATTTTGTTTTACTGACTTTCACTGTATTTCAGTTTTAGAAATTTGTTAATCTTTTTCTTCATGAGTGATTATTACAGTTAAATGTTATGCTTAGGAAGGCATTTCCCACTTCCCCTCCGGAAATTGTGAAAATACTCTGTATTTCCTCCTTCCTTCCTTCCTTCCTTCCCTCCCTCCCTCCCTCTCTCTCTCGCTCTCTCTTTCTTTCTTTTTTTTTTTTTGACAGGGTCTCTCTCTGTCACCCAGTCTGGAGTGCAGTGGTGTGATCTTGGCTCACTGCAGCCTTGAATACCTGGGCTCAAGTGATCCTCCCACCTCAGCCTTTTGAGTAGGTGGGACTACAGGCATGCACCACCGTGCCCAGCTAATTTTTGTATTTTTTTTTTTTTTTTTTTAGAGAGATAGGGTCACCCTATGTTACCCAGGCTTGTCTCGAACTTCTAGTCTGAAACAATACTCCTGCCTCGGCTTCCCAAAGTGCTGGGATTATGGATGTAAGCCATTGTGCCTAGTCTCTATTTCCCCATTCTTAATCTAAATTCCTTGTTAAACTTTACTTATACTGGTTTAGAGTTTCTTGGCTCATCTTTATGGAGCCAGTGCCATTAAAATGCTTTTTGCATGATTTTCATTCAGACACATTCAGGAGGTGGTAAATCTTCAAACCCAGCAGAATAAGGAGCTGCAGGAGCTCTATGAACGCCTTCGGTCAATTAAAGATAGCAAAACCCAATCTACTGAGATTCCTTTGCCACCTGCATCACCACGTCGACCAAGATCTTTCAAAAGCAAACTTCGAAGCCGCCCCCAGTCCTTGACACATGTGGACAATGGCATAGTTGCTACAGGTAAATCAGTCATAAAAGTAATTTTTAAAAAATCTAGTCCAAGATTAGCAAAATTAGTAAAATGATTATAATACAATTTATTTTTAATTAGGCTAAAATAATTTAAAGAAGTACACATTATTCTGAGATTATTTTCTGTTTTTGATGTTAAATGTCCTTTTATGTAGTAATGATTAGGATAATTGATAGATTGTAAAGAGAAGCTGAGTATGGTTCATGCTTTTATTTGGAAAACCAGCAGCTGGAAGCCCAATGCCAATCCCCACAATAATTTTTGAAATGTTATCAGTCAGTGGGAACTTCTGGTCTAGCATTTAGAGTTTGTTGGAGAGTTTGTTGGTAACAAGATAATCTTAAAATTATACTCGGCCAGGCGCAGTGGCTCACGCCTGTAATCCCAACACTTTGGGAGGCTGAGGTGGGCCTGTCGCCTGAGGTCAGGAGTTCGAGACCAGCCTAGCTAACATGGCGAAACCCCATCTCTACTAAAAATACAAAAATTAGCTGGATGTGGTGGCAGGCGCCTGTAATCCCAGCTACTCAGGAGGCTGAGATGGGAGAATTGCTTGAACCCTGGAAGCAGAGGTTGCAGTGAGCCGAGATTGTGCCATTGCACTCCAGCCTGGGCGACAAGTGCGAAACTCCATCTAAAATACATACATACATACATACATATATATATATATATATATATACACACACACACACACACATATACACAGACACACACACACACTCAACAAGAATGAAACTCCGTCTCATAAAAAGAAATACATACATATATATACACTCATGCTCTTATCTGAAGAGATCTTTATTAGTTATAAGAATATTAGTAAAATATACTTCTTTGACTTTGAAAAATAAGAGCATCAATCTCTACTTAACTAATATAGAAGTTGTTAATCAGGTCAGGCCTCTTTGGTTATATGTGCATAGTCAAGGTGGGGGTTAAGGATGTATTGTAAGGACATATGTGAAATCCCAATGGAACTTGTCGTAGGCAGAATAATTCCCCCCGAAAACGTCCATGTGCAAATCTCTGAAACTTGTGACCATGGTAGGATATATGGCAAAGGAGAATTAAGCTTGCAGATGGGATTAAAGTTGCTAATCTGCTGACTCTAAGATAGGGAGATTATCCTGGATTATCCAGGTAGGTCCAGTGTAAAATCACTAGGATCTTTAAAAGTAGAAGAGAAGAAACACAGAAGAGTCAGAGAAAAGGGAAACAGTGTCAGAAAGGTGCAACATTGCTGGCTTTGAAGATGGAGGAAGAGTGCCACAGACCAAGGAATGGAGGCAACTTCTGGAAGCTGGAAAGGCCAGGGAACACATCTCTCCTATAGCCTTCAGAAGGAACACAGTCCTGGCAACACCTTGATTTTAGGCCAGTGAGGCCCATGTTAGGCTTGTAACCTAGAGAACTATAAGATCAATTTGTGTTGTTTGAAGCCACTAAGTTTGTGGTAATTAGTTACAACAACAATAGACAACTAATACAGAACCCAAGAAAAGGAACTGTACTTGGATGATCTTGTAAAGACAGAATTAAGGGGTAGACTTAGATTGAAGGCAGCTCTGGGGATTTAATAGCAGAAGTACATGAACCTTCAGTCTGATGCAGTATCACTAATAGCTATACTTTATTTTATTCTGTTTCATTCCCAAATGGCTTCATTTTATGCATAGTTTCTGCTTTCCCAAAACTGTTAGATAACACTGGTTACTCGTGATCCCAAAGCATTCTTTCACTTTCAGGTCCTTATTTAACTGACCTTTGTTAGATTCCAGGGACAGAAAATTTGACTGTCCCTGCTCATCTTTTTCATGCCAAGAAATGGGTCAGAGCCCATTGCCTGGCCTATAGTTGGGCTGTTCTACAGTCAGGTGTCCACCTGTTTCTAAGTAAGCATGGCCAGAGAAGTATGATCTCATGGTAAAAACATGTCTCTGGAGGCTGTCTTTGGGATTCCTCAACTTATTTTGTGTTATAATGGATGTACCACAGTTTGTTTATCCATTCATCGGTTGGAGGACATTTGGGTTGTTTCTAGTTTGGGGTTTTACAAATAAAGCTCCCGTAAATAGTCACATACAGCTTTTTGGGTGAACATAAGTTTTCAGATCACTTGGATGAAATACCCAGAAATGAGATTGCTGCATCATATGGTATGCATATTTAACATTTTTTAAAAACTAACAAACCATTTTCCCAAGCAGCTGTATCATTTTACATTTTGTCAGCAATGTGCGAGACTTCCAGTTTTTCTGATGCTCTTCAGCACTTGGTATTACTAGCATTCTTTTTTTAGCCAATCCAATAGGTATTTGATGATATAAAGTGGTTATTTTATTATAATTTTCATTCCCATAATGGTTAGTGATGTTGAGCATTTTTTTTCTTGCACTTATTTGTGATCTGTATATCCTCTGTGGTAAAGTGTTTGTTCAAGTTTTTTGCTATTTTTTTGTATCCTGTTTTATTTTTAATTGAAATTTTCATTGAGATAATTGTCGATTTACATGCAGTTAAATAATACAGAGAGATGCTATGTACCTATGTATCCTTTACTCAGTTTATCCCAAAGGCAACAATTTTTGTCATTTTAGAAAATTAGGTTGTTGGTTTTCATATGGTTGATTTTCGAGAGTTTTTTCTGTATTTTTGATAAAAATCCTTTGTAGGACATGTGATTTAGAAATATATTATTCAAGTCTATAGCTTGTCTTTTCATTCTCTTAACAGTGTCATTGGCAGAGCGAAAGTTTGTGATTTTAATAAAGTATACTTTATCAAATTTTTTTTAAAAATTGTGATTTTGGTGTAATATTTAAGAACTCTGGCTAAACACAGGTCACAAAGATTTTCCTCTATGTTTTCTCCTAAAAGTTTAATAGTTTTATGTTTACATTTAGATTTATGACACATTTGGAATTACTTTTTGTATGAGGTGTGAGGTTTTGGGTGAGGTTCTTTTTTGCATATTGATATTCAATTATTACATTACCATTTGTGGAAGAGACCGTCCTTTCTCCATTGAATAGCTTTTGTACCTTTTTGAAAAATCAATTAGCCATATATGTGTCAATCTCTTTCTGGACTCTTTATTCTGTTCCAATTAATCTATGTGTCTGTCCTTTCACCAATACCACACTATTTTGATTATTGTAGTTTTATAGCAACTTTTAAAATTATTATTGTTAAAATTAGGTATTATGTTTCCTGAAACTTTGTTTTTTTTCAAAACTGTTTTAGCTACTCTACTTCCTCTTCCTTTTCATATAAATTTTAGAATCAGCTTGACTATATCTAAAAAAATCCTGCTGTGATTTTGATTGGAATTATGTTAAATCTATATATCAATTTTGGGGAGAATTGACATTTTTACTGTGCTGAGTCTTCCAATCAATAAACGTAGGCTATCTCTCCTTTTTTTTGTCTTTTTTTTTAACTTTTATTTTAGGCTCAGGGGTACATATGCAGGTTTGTTATATAGGCAAATTGCATGTCATGGGGGTTTGGTGTACAGTTTATTTCTCCAGGTCTTCTTAGATATGTTTTATCTGCTTTTTATAGTTTTCAGCTTACAGATTCTATATGTGTTTCGATTTATTTATACCTAAGGATTTATTTTATTTCTACAGGGTTTCCAATCACACATTGATAGAGAAATATGATTAATTTTTGTGTATCGACCTTACATCTGAAGATTTTGCTAAACATATTTGTTCTAGAAGTTTTCTTATAGATTCTTTGGGATTTTTTGAGTGAGCAATTATGTCATCTGCGAATATAGACTTTTTTGTTTCTCCCTTTTTAATCTTTATGCCTTTTATTTCTTCTTACTATTGTACTAGCTAAAACTTTATATTGGACATCCTTGCCTTGTTCTTCCAAGGAGAAAGCCTTCTGTCTTTTGCCATAAATTATAATGTTAACTGTAAGTTTTCGTATATGCCCTTTATTAATTTAAGTTCAATAAGTATGTTGGTTTACAGTTTTCATCTTTTTGTTTTATATTTTGAAAATTTTGATACTATCTTTTTCTGGTTTGATATCAGGGAAAAGCTGCCTTATAAATGAGTTGGAAAGTAAGTATTTCTTTTGCTTCTTTACTTTTAATTTTTTTAAAAAATTACAGTTTTATTGAGATATTTCACATATCATAATGTTCACTCATTTAACTTATACAATTTACAGACTTGTGCAGCTATTACCACAATTTGATTTTGGAATATTTTCAACATTCCACAAAGAAACATGTACATATTCATAGTCATCCCTCATTGTAGCTCCTCTACCCCAAACCCCCAACCACAGGCCCTAGGCAACCACAAATCTGCTTTCTGTTTCTATAGATTTGCCTATGCTGAAACATTTTGTATCAATACAGTTACACAATAATATGTGGTTTCGTGACTGGCTTCTTTTACTTATAATGTTTTTGGGAGTCAAACATTTTATAACATGTATCAGTACTTCATTTTTTATTGCTGTATAATATTAAAATGTATGTTTATCCATTAGAACACTTTCATCACCTCAAAAAGAAATCCCTTTTCTATGAGTAGTAGCCCCCGCCATTTATTCCCACTTCCCCCATCCTCCAGCCTCATCAATCACTAAAGTATTTTTTGTCTCTATAGATTTGCCTGCTCTTTTTTGGGAGGCCAAGGCAGGAGGATTGCTTGAGCCCAGGAGTTGGAGACCAGCCTGGGCAACAAAGTGAGACCCCATCTCTATAAAATTAGCCAGGCATGGTGGCGCACGCCTGTAGTCCCAGCTACTCAGAAGGCTGAGACAGGAGGATTGCTTGAGCCTAGGAGGTTGAGGCTGCAGTGATCCGTGTTCACGCCATTACACTCCAGCCTGGGCAACAAGCAAGACCTGTCTCAAAAAAATAAAATAAAATAAATAAAATAAAATAAGATTTGCCTACTCTGGACAGTTCATGTAAATGGAATCATACATCATGTGGTCTTTTGTGACTTTTTTCACTTAGCATATATTTACAAAGTTTAACTGTGTTGTAACATATATTGGTACTTCATTTCTTTTTGTTGCCAAATAATACTCCATTGTATGGATATGCCACATTTTATTCATTCATCAGTGATTACACATTTGTGTTGTTTTCTCTTTTTTTTGCTATTATGAATAATGCTGCTATGAACAGTTGTGTTCAAATTTTTATGTGGACATTTGTTTTCATTTCTCTTGGATAGATATGTAGGAGTGGAATTGCTAGATGACATGGGAACTCTATGTTTAATCTTTTGAGGAATTACCAGACTTTTTTTCCAAAATAGCTGCACCATTTTACAGTCATAACAGCAGGACATGAGGGTTCAACAACTCAACAATAAAAGATTCAAAAATCCAATTTTAAAATGGGCAAAAGATTCAAATAGGCATTTTTCTAAAGAAGATATATGAATGACTGATAAATACATGAAAAGATGTTCTGTAATATTAGTTATTAAGGAAATGTAAATCAAAGGCACAATGAGATAAAACTTTACACCCACTTAAAATGGCTGAAATTTAAAAAGGCAATTCCCAAGGACATAGGACATATGAGGCGAAAAAAAGAAAAAAAAATTTTTAAGACAGTAGCAAGTGTTGGAGGGAATGTAGAGAAATTGTTGAGTTGTGAGTAAGGACTAGAGCCTTACTGAATATGATTTTGCAAATAATCATCTCCTATTCTTAGATTGTCTTTTCACTTTCTTGATAGTGTCTTTTGAAGCACAAAAAGTTTTTAATGGTTTTAAAATCTAATCTGTTTCTTTTCTTTTGTTACTTGTGCTTTTACTGTCATATCTAAAATTCCGTTGGCTCACCATTGACTCTATAGTAATTGAAAAGAAAGAGAAAAAAGAAAAAAAATCTATTGCCTAACTTAAGGTCATGAAGATTTATTCCTATAATTTCTTTTGTTTGTTTGTTTGTTTTGTTTCGTTTTGAGATAGAGTCTCACTCCGTCGCCCAGGCTGGAGTGCAGTGGCGCGATCTCGGCTCACTGCAACGTCCGCCTCCCAGGTTCAAGCGATTCTCCTGCCTTAGCCTCCTGAGTAGCTGGGACACAGGCGCGTGGCACCACACCCCACTAATTTTTTATTTTTAGTAGAGACGGGGTTTCACCATGTTGGCCAGGCTGGTCTCAAACTCCTGACCTCAGGTGATCCGCCCACTTTGGCCTCCCAAAGTGCTGGGATTACAGGCATGAGCCACCGTGCCCGGCCTATTCCTATATTTTCTTCTAGGAGTTTTATAGTGAATCTCTTACATTTAGTTCTTTTTTTTTTTCTTCTTCTTTTTTTTTTTTTTTTTTTGAGACAGAGTCTCACCCTGTCGCCCAGGCTGGAGTGCCGTGGCACAATCTCAGCTCACTGTAACCTCCACCTCCCAGGTTCAAGCGATTCTCCTGCCTCAGCCTCCTAAGTAGCTGGGACTACAGGTGCATGCCATCACGCCTGGCTAATTTTTATATTTTTAGTAGAGACAGGGTTTCGCCATGTTGGCCAGGCTGATCTCGAACTCCTGACCTCAGGTGTTCCACCCGCTTCGGCCTCCCAAAGTGCTGGGATTACAGGCCTGAGCCGCTGCACCCGGCTACATTTAGTTCTTTGATCCATTATGAGTTAATTTGTGCATATGGTGTGAGTTAAAGATCCAGATTCTTTTTTTTTTTTTTTTTTTTTTTTTTGGGTATGTGGATATCTCCTTGTCCTAGCACTTTTTGTTGAAAAGACTATTTTTCCCCCATTGAGTTGTCTTGGTACCCTTATTGAAAATCAACTGACCAGAAATGGACAGATATATTTCTGTAATCTTAATTCTACTCCGTTGATCTCTGTGTCTGGCCTTATGCCAATCCCATACCATCTTGATTCCTATAGTTTATCATGTGTTTTGAAATTGTAAATTGAGTTCTCTAAATTTGTTCTTATCTTTCATGATTGTTTTGACTATTCTGGGTAATTTGAATTTTCATGTAAATTTTAGAATCAGCTTGTCAATTTCTGAAAAAAACAGTTGGAATTTAGAGTATTGACTCTATATATCAATTTGGGGAGTATTGTTATCTTTAAAATGTTGTCTTCCAATCTGTGAACATGGTATGTCTTTCTGTTTATTCAGATTGTCTTTAAATTTCTTTCTTTCTTTTTTTTTTTTTTTTTGAAACAGAGTCTCTCTCTGTTGCCCAGGCTGGAGTGCAGTGGCATGATCTCAACTTACTGCAACCTCTGCCTCCTGGGTTTAAACAATTCTCATGCCTCAGCCTCCCAAGTAGCTGGGATTACAGACGTGCACCACCACACCTGGCTAATTTTTCTATTTTTGGTAGAGACAGGGTTTTGCCATGTTGGCCAGGCTGGTCTTGAACTCCTGACCTCATGTGATCCACCCACCTCAGCCTCCCAAAGTGCTGGGTTTACAGTCGTGAGCCACCACGCCCAGCCAGGTTGTCTTTAAATTTCTTTCAACAATCATTTTTAGTTTTTAGTGTATAAGTTTTGTGCTTATTATTATTATTATTATTATTATTTTGAGGCAGGGTCTCACTCTGTTGTCCAGGGTTGAGTGTAGTGGCATGATCATTGTTCACTGCAGCCTCAACCTCCTGGTCTCACTCAAGTGATCTTTCTGCCTCAGACTCCCAAGTAGCTGGGACTACAGGCACATGCCACCATGTCCTGCTATTTTTTTTTTTTATTTGTTTTAGAGACAAGGTCTCCTTATGTTGCCCAGGCTGGTCTTGAACTCATGTATGCTAAAGAAAAGTATGTATTCTGGTGTTGTTGGGTGGAGCGTTCCATATATGTCTGTTAGGCCTCTTTGGTTTAGAGGGCTGTTCAAGTCTTCTATTTCTCTGTTGATCATCTGCCTAGTTCTATCAGTTATTAAAAGTGGGTTATAGAAGTCTCCAACTGGCAGGGCACGGTGGCTCACGCCTGTAATCCCAGCACTTTGGGAGGCCGAGGTGGGCGGATCACAAGGTCAGGAGATCAAGACCCTCCTGGCTAACATGGTGAAACCCCATCTATACTAAAAATACAAAAAATTAGCCCAGTGTGGTGGCGGGCGCCTGTAGTCCCAGCTACTCGGGAGGCTGAGGCAGGAGAATGGCGTGAACCCGGGAGGCGGAGCTTGCAGTGAGCCGAGATCTTGCCACTGCACTCCAGCCTGGGCGACAGAGCGAGACTCCATCTCAAAAAGAAAAAAAAAAAGAAGTCTCCAACCATTGTTGAATTTCTCCCCTCAATTCTGTCAATTTTGCGTTGTGTATTTTGGAACACACTTGCACACATATGTAATAATTGTTATGTCTTCTTAATTTATATTTCATTTTATTTGGCTGAAGGAGAATTATTATTATTATTTGTCCAGAAAACTCAACAGTCTACATTTAACCCAGCTTAATGGGAAGGTGTTTTTTTTTTTTTTTTAGATGGAGTTTCGCTCTTGTTGCCCAGGCTGGAGTGCAATGACGTGATATCAGCTCACTGCAACCTCTGCCTCCCAGGTTCAAGCGATTCTCCTGCCTCAGCCTCCCTAGTACCTGGGATTACAGGCATGTGCCACCACACCCAGCTAATTTTGTATTTCTAGTAGAGATGGGGTTCTCTATGTTGGTCAGGCTGGTCTCAAACTCCTGACCTCAGGTGATCCGCCTGCCTCAGCCTCCCAAAGTGCTGGGATTACAGGCGTGAGCCACTGCGCCTGGCCAATGGGAAGTTCTTAAGCCTTTGCCTTTTCCAGCTTGGCAATGAGAGCCAGAGATTTTGGACCCAGGATATTGCCTCCCTAGTGACAGTGGATCTCATCCTGTCTGTCATTGTCATTGGTTCTGATGGCTTCCACCAGCTTAGCCAAAGCTCCTTTGTCTGCCAAGTTAATCTGTGTGAAGGCGACAGTGGTGCAAGTCTTCCTGTGGACTAGACATCCCAGTCTTCTCTTCCCTTTGTATTTTATGATGCAGGGCAGGCAGGAAGACAGCTAGCTCTATGAGATCCATTGTCACGTGCAGTCACCACCAGCTGAGCTTTCTTGTTCTCCACCAAGGTGGTGACAGCATTAATCCCTGCTCAAAGGCCTTAGTGGAGACATCCCTCTGGCAACTTTCTTCTCAGTCTGGACCAATGATCTTCTTGCTTTGTCTCTGGTCTGTCCTTATAGGCCAGCTTAAGCAGTTGTGTAGCTATTTGGCAGTCCAAGGCCTAGGTAAACTGGTTATTTGCAGGAGGCACTTTCAGCTGCTTTTAGAAGATATATAGATCCTTGCTGCTGCAACCTGATATAGCAGGGCCATCTGACAAAGTGGGTGAGGTCCCTTTAGGGCTGGATGTCCTGTTCAGTGCCAAAATTCTTAGGCCTTTTCTCAAACGGGATTCATCACCTTCTTCGCCTCCTGCTTCCTCACAATAGCAGGAGAGGGGGCCATCTTCTTCCACTTAGCCTTCATTCCTTTTGGCATTTTGAATGGCTAGAGGAGAGATTATTTCTGATATTAGTACAACCAATCCAGCTTTCTTTTGGTTACTGCTTGCATGCCATATCTTTTTCTGTTCTTTTACTTTGAATGTATTTCTGTCTTTAAATCAGAATTGTGTTTATTGTTATCATATATAGTTAAATCATGTTTTTTATTCTGTCAATCTGTCTTTTGATTGGGGCATTTAAATCATTTCCATTTAATGTAAGGTAGGATTTATGCCTGTCATTTTGTTATCTTTGTTTTCTATATATCTTCGATTTTTTTCTTTTTTTCCTCATCCTCTGACTCTCCGTATTCCTGCCTTCTTTTATGTTAAATAGATATTTTCCAATGTAGCATTTAAATTCTATTGTGTCTTTTTTTATATATATATATATATATATATATTATTATTATTATTATTATTATACTATACTTTTTTTTTTTTGAGACAGAGTCTCACTCTGTCACCCAGGCTAGAGTGCAGTGGTGCAATCTCTGCTGACTGCAACCTCCACCTCCCGGGTTCAAGTGATTCTTCTGCTCAGCCTCCCAAGTAGTTGGGACTACAGGTGCATACCACCATACCTGGCTAATTTTTGTATTTTTAGTAGAGACGAGGTTTTGCCACATCGGCCAGGTTGGCCTCAAACTCCTGACTTCAGGTGATCTGCCCACCTCAGCCTCCCAGAGTGCTGGAATTACAGGCGTGAGCCACCATGCCCGGCCTATTATACTATACTTTTCATTTTTCTTCTTTTTTTTGAGACAGGGTCTCACCCTGTCACCCAGGCTGGAGTGCAGTGGTGTGATCATAGCTCACTATAACCTCAACCTCCCGGGCTCAAGTTATCCTCCCACATCAGCCTCCTGAGTAGCCGGGACCATAGGCGCATGCTACCATGCTCAGCTAATTAAAAAAAAAAAAATTTTTTTTTAAATACAGGCTCTCACTGTATTGTCCAGGCTGGCCTCGAGCTCCTGGGCTTAAGCAATCCTCCTACCCAGCCTCCCAAATTGCTGGTATTACAGGTGTGAGCCAAAGTACCTGGCCCTATATTATTCTTTTCTTATATTTTTCAGTTATTTTCTTGTGGTAGCCACAATGAGCTTCTTAATTTAAAAGCAATCTAGTTCAGTTTTTTTGTGTGTTTTTTGTTTGTTTTGAGACGAAGTTTTGCTCTTGTCGCCCAGGCTGGAGTGCAATGGTGCGACCTTGGCTCACTGCAACCTCCGCCTCCCAGGTTCAAGCGATTCTCCTTCCTCAGCCTCCTGAGTGGCTGGGATTACATGTACCTGCCATCACGTGCAGCTAATTTTTGTATTTTTAATAGAGACAGGGTTTCACCATATTAGCCAGGCTGGTCTCGAACTCCTGACCTCAGGTGATCCACCCGCCTCAGCCTCCCAAAGTGTTGGGATTACAGGCGTGAGCCACCACACCCAGTCATGTTTTTTTGTTTGTTTGTTTGGTTGGTTGGTTTTTTTTTAAGATGGGGTCTTGCTCTGTTGCCCAGGCTGGAGTTGAGTGGCGTGATCTCAGCTCACTGCAACTTCTGCCTCTGGGTTCAAGCGATTCTCCTGCCTCAGCTACCTGAGTAGCTGGGATTACAGGCGTGCGTCACCATGCCTGGCTAATTTTTTTGTATTTTTAGTAGAGATGGGGTTTCACCATGTTGGCCAGACTGGTCTCAAACTCCTAACCTCAGGTGATCCGCCCGCCTCGGCCTCCCAAAATGCTGGATTACAGGTGTGAGCCACCTCGCCTGGCCTCTAGTTCAGTTTAATACTAAATTAACTTCAATGGTACACAAAACATTTCTCTAATATATGTGTGTGTAATACATACACACACGTATTCCCTCACAACTTCTTTGTACTATTATTGTTATACACATTACATCTTTACATGTTATAAGCTCATTGACACAATTTTATAGTTATTGCTTTATGCAGTTGACTTTGAAATCAGGTAGGAAAAGTAGAGTTATAAATACAAAGTACATTTATACTGAATATTATATTTACCTATGTAGTTCTCTTCAGCAGTGTGCTTTATTTTTTCATGTGGATTTGAGTAACTATCTAGCATTCTTTTATTTCATCCTAAAGGACTCACTTTAATATTTCTTGTAAGTTAGGTCAGCTAGCAATGAATTTCCAGTTTTTTATTAGAAGTGTTTCTATTTTTATTTTTTTTCCATTTATGGAATTTGTTTTTAAAAAACAAGGACATAAAGGACTAGCTTAAATTGGATCAAAGGCTGTTAAAGGTCCTGGTACAATTCACCTTATAAAACATAAGGTATGAGAAAGTATGCCTGTGTTTTGTTTGGTGAGTAGAAAATAAGAAGGAAATTTTGGTGATTTCCAATTCAAGTGTGTCACTGCTGTGACAGCTTCCAGCTCACAGAAACATCTGGTATTCTTAATACCTTCTATTCTGGCCCAGGTTAAATTTCTTTAATTATATACAACAAGTAGAATCCTATTTTAATAGGAACTCTAAAATAGCTAGCTATTTAAAACTCTTCTCTTTATTGATGCTTCCTTTTCAGCCATAAAGTTGATAGAAAAAATACTGAAAAGTACAAAATTGAAAAAAAATTATTTTGCTTAATAAGTCTATTAATAAAGTTTTATTTTATGCAATAAGACACCTAAAAATTTGAAAGGCAAAATCATTCTTGTAAAATAAAGCCATTTGGATTTAGACTTTCTAGGGTTTTGGGAAATAATGTAAAAAAATAAAGATTCCATTTGTTTTGTTTTTGAGACAGGGTCTGACCCTGTCCCTCAGGCTGAAGTGTAGTGGTGCCATCACAGCTCACTGCAGCCTCGACCTCCTGGGCTCAAGTGATCCTCCCACCTCAGCCTCCCAAGTAGCTGGGACTACAGGTACACACTACCATGCCCAGCTAATTTTTTTTTTAATAGAGATGGGGTCTCCTTATGTTGCCCAGGCTGGTCTACAGCTTCTGAGCTCAAGTGATCTGCCCACATCAGCCTCCCAAAGTGCTGGGATTATTTAGGAAAGGTCTTATTCTAAAAATGCTTGGTTCAATGGAAATTCAGATTTTTTAGTATTCTTTGTATTCCAGTCATCAAGAAGAACTAGTTATTAGAATGAGCATTGAAAGTATAAAGTTCCTTTTGCATGTTCCCAAGAGTTAGTCATCTTCCATTTTTCAAATCTTTTTTACAACAAATATTTTGCTTTTGATACTTAACATTAGGTCTCTGAAATAAAGAATAGGTAAACAAAAGAGTAAATCTAGAGGCATGGCTACTTTACTGTTATAACTGGTTATTTCCAAATCTCAGTTGTATATACCTTATCCACTTCTCCCCTGGTATATAGACTAGCTTTTATCCACCTTTGAACTCTCACAACTGAACAGTTGGCTCCCAAAAGACAGTGCACAGTTTGGTGCCCTTAACTCTATTACATACTTTTCACAAGACACACTTCTTTTCCTATAGATTAAAATTCACCTATAGAAAACTGTTACTCATTTTCTTAAAACATAACAATCTCCAACTACATGCAGAGCATGATGTCTATGAGAAGGTCACCCTCTTCAAGGAGTTTATAGCACAGTGTTATGTGTGGATCTCCTTCCTTTTTTTTTTTTTTTTTTTTTTTTTTTTTTTGGGAGATGGAGTCTCGTTTTGTTGCCCAGGCTGGCGCGATCTCGGCTCACTGCAACCTCCGCCTCCCGGGTTCAAGTGATTCTCCTGCCTCAGCCTCCCGAGTAGCTGGGATTACAGGTGCCCGCCACTAGGCCTGGCTAATTTTTGTATTTTTAGTAGAAATGGTACCACCATGTTGGCCAGGTTGGTCTCGAACTCCTGACCTCAAGTGATCTGCCTGCTTCAGCCTCCCAAAGTACTGGGATTACAGGTGTGAGCCACCGTGCCTGGCCGGGTCTCCTTCATTTTTGAAAGATTTAGGTGAATTCTTCTTTGATAGTCTTACTCTTTCAACACTTTGACAGTGTCATCCCATTGTCTTTTGGCCTGTATGGTTTCCAATGAGAAGTCAGCTCTTAATTTTATTGAAGTCCCTTATACATGACAAGTCTATTTTTTGTCTTCTTTAAAGATTTTCTTTTTGTCTTTGATTTTCATCAATTTGATTATGAGTGTCTAGGTATGGATCTCATTAAATTTACTTTAGTTATAGTTCACTGAGCTTCTTGAATGTGTAAATTAATATTTGTCATTCAGTTTTGGAAATTTGGAGTTATTATTTATTCTGATATTTTTTCTGCCCTTTTCTCTTCTATTTTTGGAACTCCTATTATGCATATTTGTCATGCTTGATGGTGTCCAACAGGTCTGTGAGGCTCTTTCACTTTTTTAAATTTTTTTATTTTTTATTTTATCTATCTATCAATTTATTTATGAGACAGAGTCTCATTTTGTGAATTTATTTATGAGACAGAGTCTCACTTTGTTACCCAGGCTGGTGTGAAGTCGTGTGATCTTGGCTCACTGCAACCTCCGCTTCCCGGGTTCAAGCAATTCTCGTGCCTCAGCCCCCCAGGTAGCTGGGATTACAGACGCGCACCACCACACCCGGCTAATTTTTGTATTTTTAGTAGAGGCAGGGTTTCACCATGTTGGCCAGGCTGATCTCGAACTCCTGACCTCAAGTGATCTGCCTGCCTTGGCCTCCCATAGTGCTGGGATTACAGGCGTAGCCACCACACCCGGCCTCTTTCTTTTCTTTTCTTTTTTTTTTTTTTTTAATTCTTTTTTCTTTCTGTTCTTCAAAGTGGATTTCTTCATCAACCTGTTTTCTTGTTGGTTGATTATTTCTTTTTCCCACTAAAATCTCTTAATGGGCCCCTCTATATAATTTTTCACTTCAGATACTGTATTTTTAAGCTCTAGAATTTGCTTTTTAAAAACAACTTCCATCTCTAGTCTCTATTTGGTGAGATATTGTTGTCACACTTTCCTTTAATTTTTTTAGGCATAGTTTCCCTAAGTTTGGATATACAGTTTGTCCCTTGGTATATGCGGAGATCAGTTCCAGGACTCCTGCGTATGCCAAAATCCACACAGTCAAGTTCCACAGGTGGCCCTGAGGAATGCACATATATACAAAATGTCAGCCCTCCATATATGCAGGTTTCACATCCCAGAATACTGTATTTTCGATCCATATTTGGTTGAAAACAATCCACATATAAGTGGACCTGCACAGTTCAAACCTGTTTTGTTCAAGGGTCAACTGTATTTATAATAGCTGATATAAAAGCTTTGTCTACTAAGTCCAAAATATAGGCCCCCTCCAGGATGTTTTTGTTGGGTCCCCTTTTTTCCTGCATATGTCATGCTTTCCTGTTTCTTTGCGTGTCTCTTAATTTTGTGGTGCAAACTGGACATTTTAAATAATATATTAAAGAACTTCTAGTATCGGATTCTTCTACCCCTCAAGGGTTGTTGTTGTTTTTCTTGTTGCTAATTATTTAGTGATTTTCCTGGACAAATTTTACATTCCCTGCAGTGTATGGCCATTGAATTCCCTGCTGGATTTTCTTTTTCAAAGAGCCATGGCTGGAGTGTAGTGGCATGATCTAGTTCACTGCAGCTTCAAACTCCTGGGCTCAAGCAATCCTCCTACCTCAGCTTCCTTAGTACCTGGGACTAATAGGTGCATGCCACAACACATGGCAATTTTTTTTTTTTTAAGAGACCAAGCCTTGCTCTGTCACCAGACTGGAGTGCAGTGGTGTGATCTCGGCTCACTGCAACCTCCGCCTCCTGGGTTGAAGCAATTCCCCTGCCTCAGCCTTATGAGTAGCTGGGACCACAGGCACACGCCACCACACCCAGCTAATTTTTTGTGTGTATTAGTAGAGATGGGGTTTTACCATGTTGGCCAGGATAGTCTTGATCTCCTGGACCTCATGATCCACCCGCCCCAAAGTGCTGGGATTACAGGTGTGAGCCACCGCGCCTGGCCCACATGGCTAATTTTTTTTTTTTTTTTTTTTGATGGAGTCTTGCTCTGTCGCCCAGGCTGGAGTGCAGTGGTGCAATCTCAGCTCAATGCAAGCTCCGCCTCCTGGGTTCATGCCATTCTCCTGCCTCAGCCTCCCAAGTAGCTGGGACTACAGGCGCCCACGACCACACCCAGCTAATTTTTTGTATTTTTAGTAGAGATGGGGTTTCAGCGTGTTAGCCAGGATGGTCTCGATCTCCGACCTCGTGATCTGCCTGCCTTGGCCTCCCAAAGTGTTGGGATTACAGGCGTGAGCCACCGTGCCCGGCCCACATGGCTAATTTTTAAAATTTGTGTAAAGATGGGGTCTTGCTATGTTGTCCAGGCTGGTCTCAAACTCCTGGCCTCAAGAGATCCTCTTGCCTCAGCCTCCCAAAGTTCTGGGATTACAGGCATGAGCCAATACACCTGGCCTCCCTGTTGGATTTGTTTTTATTTATTTATTTTTAATTTTTAAGCCTGGTTTCCCAAGGTTCACACCTGGGCTAGTGCCGTTTAGTGATGAGCCATGATTGGTCAGAAGAGTTCACTAAGTGCCTTGCCTGGATATCTTTTCCAAAGGGATCTCTGTTAGAGATCAAACTTCAGACAGTTTGTAAGACAACCTTTGATTTACTTCCTGCTTGCCTAGGAACTCAAGGTCAACCAGAAGTGAGTGATTGGCACCTTCTCCTTTCTTAGGTCTTTCGTGGGCATGCCAGACTTTTATATTGCCAAGAATATGTTAGAGGTTTTCAAAGTTTCTTATGGTCATCTAGTTCTCCCAGAATTCCCTTTTAATTCTAGTCTAGGTTCTTATTTGCCCCAACTGAAATCTCAGCCTTAGGCAGCTGAGTTGTTGCCTGCACTTTCCCATAGTTTCAGTAATGCCTTGCAGGTAGCCCCCTACTCTCCATCCCACTATGCTCTTCCACTGCCAGGTGAGCAGAGCTTTGAGTGAAATCAAATCTCCACCACACTTGGGAAATAGAAATCTTTCCAGGGTGCTGCAAAATATATATATATATATATATATTTTAGTATTTATTGATCATTCTTGGGTGTTTCTCGGAGAGGGGGATTTGGCAGGGTCATAGGACAATAGTGGAGGGAAGGTCAGCAGATAAACATGTGAACAAAGGTCTCTGGTTTTCCTAGGCAGAGGGCCCTGCCGCCTTCCACCTTCCGCAGTGTTTGTGTCCCTGGGTACTTGAGATTAGGGAGTGGTGATGACTCTTAACGAGCATGCTGCCTTCAAGCATCTGTTTAACAAAGCACATCTTGCACCGCCCTTAATCCATTTAACCCTTAGTGGACACAGCACATGTTTCAGAGAGCACGGGGTTGGGGGTAAGATTATAGATTAACAGCATCCCAAGGCAGAAGAATTTTTCTTAGTACAGAACAAAATGGAGTCTCCTATGTCTACTTCTTTCTACACAGACACAGTAACAATCTGATCTCTTTCTTTTCCCCACATTTCCCCCTTTTCTAGTCGACAAAACCGCCATCGTCATCATGGCCCGTTCTCAATGAGCTGTTGAGTACACTTCCCAGACTGGGTGGCGGCCGGGCAGAGGGGCTCCTCACTTCCCAGACAGGGCGGCGGGGCAGAGGTGCTCCCCACATCCCAGACGATGGGCGGCCGGGCAGAGACGCTCCTCACTTCCTAGACGGGATGACGGCCGGGAAGAGGCGCTCCTCACTTCCTAGACGGGGTGGCGGCCGGGCAGAGGCTGCAATCTCGGCACTTTGGGAGGCCAAGGCAGGCGGCTGGGAGGTGGAGGTTGTAGCGAGCGGAGATCACGCCACTGCACTCCAGCCTGGGCAACATTGAGCACTGAGTGAGCGAGACTCCGTCTGCAATCCCGGCACCTCGGGAGGCCGAGGCTGGCAGATCACTCGCGGTCGGGAGCTGGAGACCAGCCCGGCCAACGCGGGGAAACCCGTCTCCACCAAAAAATACGAAAACCAGTCAGGCGTGGCGGCGCGCGCCTGCAATCCCAGGCACTCGGCAGGCTGAGGCAGGAGAATCAGGCAGGGAGGTTGCCGTGAGCCAAGATGGCGGCAGTACAGTCCAGCCTGGGCTGGGCATCAGAGGGAGACCGTGCAAAGAGGGAGAGAGGAGACGGAGAGAGAGGGAGAGCTCCAGGGTGCTGCAAAATATTGACTGTGCACTGGAGATGGTGTTTTTTTTTTTTTTTTTTTTTTTGAGATGGAGTCTGGCTCTGTCTCCCAGGCTGCAGTGCACTGGCACAGTCTCGGCTCACTGCAAGCTCCGCCTCCCGGGTTCACACCATTCTCCTGCCTCAGCCTCCCAGGTAGCTGGGACTATAGGCACCCGCCACCACGTAGTGGCGTGATCTTGGCTCACTGCAAGCTCCGCCTCCTGGGTTCACGCCATTTTCCTGCCTCGGCCTCCTGAGTAGCTGGGACTACAGGCGCCCGCCACCACGCCTGGCTAATTTTTTGTATTTTTAGTAGAGACAGGGGTCTCACCGTGTTAACCAGGATGGTCTCGATCTCCTGACCTCGTGATCCGCCCACCTCAGCCTCCCAAAGTGCTGGGATTACAGGCGTGAGCCACCGCGCCCAGCCTGGAGATGGTGTTTTTAAGGGAGCTCAAAAAGAGGTATGATTGCTCCATTGTCTGCAGTGCTGCTGTTTGTTGGCTACCACAACGCTGAGCTGGGGAACAAGGGGGAATGAGAATTGCCCCAAGTCAAAGTGTCACAGATGCCAGTAGTTTCCATAGTTTGTCTTTCATAGAGGTTTTTAGTTTTATTCTATGGCTTTGGATAATTGTCAGGGGTGGTTGGTTCTAGTTGTTTTGCCTATATTTTTATTGTTTTTGAATACAAGAAAGTTTACCCAGGCCCTTATTCTGCATTTTTAGAAGTCCATCTTCTCCTTCCTTTTCTATTTTCTGAAGAGTTTGTCTTGAGTTAGTATTATTTCTTCTTTAAATGTCTGGGAAATTTTTCCAATGAAACCATCTGGGCTCAGAGATTTCTTTTTTGGGAGGTTTTTAACTTTTCAAACTTTTGGCCAGGCTTGGTGGCTCACGGCTGTAATCCAAGCACTTTGGGAGGCCAAGGCGGGAGGATCATCTGAGGTCAGGAGTTTGAGACCAGCCTGGCCAACATGGCAAAACCCCGTGTCTACTAAAAATACAAAAATTAGCCAGGTGTGGTAGCGGTGGCACGCGCCTGTAATCCCAGCTACCAGGGAGGCTGAGACAGGAGAAGTGCTTGAACCCAGGAGGTGGAGGTTGCAGTGAGCTGAGATTGTGCCACTGCCCTCCAGCCTGGGTGACAGAGTGAGACTCCATCTCAAAAAAAAATTTTTTTTTCAAAAATAAATCAAACTCTTCAATAGTAGTTACAGGATTATTTAGATTACGTATTTCATGTTGGGTGAGTTTCGGTAGTTTGTGGTTTTGGGGGGGACTTGTTCCATTTTGTCTATGCTGTTGAATTTTTGTGTTTACAGATAATATGAACATTATATTTAATATCTGGGGAATGACGTCACCTTTCATTCCTGATATTTAATTTGTCTTCTCTTTTTTTCTTTGTGATTCTTGATAGAAGCTTATCAATTTTATCTTTACAAAGATCCAGTATTTGCTTTTATTGATGTTTTTCTCTACTGTTTTCCCATTTTAAATTTTATGGATTTCTGCTCTTTATTATTTTCTGCCTTCTACATGCCTTGTGGTTATTTTGATCATTTTTTTCCCCTAGTTTTTTTTTTTTTGTTTGTTTTTTTTTTTGAGACGGAGTCTCACTCTGTCGCCCTGGCTGGAGTGCAGTGGCGCGATCTCGGCTCACTGCAACCTCCACTTCCCGGTTTCAAGCGATTCTCCTGCCTCAGCCTCCCGAGTAGCAGAGATTACAGGCGCCCACCACTTCGCCCAGCTAATTTTTTGTATTTTTAGTAGAGACTCGGTTTCACCATGTTGACCGGGCTGGTCTTGATCTTCTGACCTTGTGATGCGCCCACCTCAGCCTCCCAAAGTGCTGGGATTACAGGTGTGAGCCACCGCTCATTATCTCTTATTTTTGTCCTTTAAAATCATTTGGGAGGCCGAGGCAGCAGGATTACTTGAGCCCAGGATTTCAAGACCACCCCTGGCAACATAGTGACACCCCATATCTACAAAAAATTTAAAAAAAAAATTAGCCCGTCATGGTAGCGCACACCTGTAGTCCCAGCTACGCAGGAGGCTGAGGTAGGAGGATTGCTTGATCCTGGGAGGTTGAGACTTCAGTGAACAGTTATTGTTATTGCACCACTGCACTCCATCCTGGGTGACGGAGTGAGACCCTTTTTCACAAAAAAGAAACCAAGATTTGAGTGCTTGAGGTATCATTGCTTCTAGGCCCTCTTAGCTGATAAGGAACTATACATGTGTATACTAACATATATATACACACACATATCCCTACCTATGAATATTTCTATATGTAATCATCTGTATTTATATTAAGGTAAATTTGCATTCATATTGATGTCTCCAACTCTAATCCATTACCACATGGATCATTCTGCCCTTATCGACTTATCTATTTGCTTATCTGTAACCTCCCACTCCAGAAGTGAGAAACCTGGCTCCCACCATCCTCCAGCCATTTACTTGTTTAATTCCAGTGTACAGGTATCGTAGTTTCAGAATTTTAACCCAAACCCTAGTGGGAAATACTTTTATAAAGTAAAATACAATGCTTATGTACAGTTTCTTTTGCCTTCAGTATTACAGGTGCCACTCATTTCCAAAGTTATATATAGTTCAGCATCTGTTCTTTTACCCGCTTATATGAGGTTGCTTCATACATTTTCAATATGATTAGATGCTTTCATCAAATTCTACATTCCCTTCTGGGATTCCCTGACCTCCTAAATTGCTTTTTAAACTTGCATATATTAAGGTTCATTCTTTGTGCCTTTTCTGTGCATTTTGACAAATACATTCTATCCTGGGATCTCATGACCTCCTAAATGATTTTTTTTTTTACCTTTGCATACATTGAAGTTTATTCTTTGTACTCCAGTATTCCCTAGGTTTTGATATATTATATTTTCTTTGTTGTTGTTGTTCTTGAGACGGAGTCTCGCTCTGTCCCACAGGCTGGAGTGCAGTAGCGTGATCTCCATTCACTGCAAGCTCTGCCTCCCGGTTTCACGACATTCTCCTGCCTCAGCCTCCCGAGTAGCTGGGACTACAGGCACCCACCACCATGCTCGGCTAATTTTTTGTATTTTTAGTAGAGACGGCATTTCACTGTGTTAGCCAGGATGGTCTCCATCTCCTGACCTCATGATCCGCCCGCCTCAACCTCCCAAAGTGCTGGGATTACAGGCGTAAGCCACAGCACCCGGCCCTATATTTTCTTTTTTTTTTGAGTTCTAAATGTTTTCTAATTTCCCTTGAGACTTCCTCTTTTATCCATGGATTATTGGTAGTGTGTTGTTTAATTTTGAAGAGTTTGGAGATTTTTCTCATTGTCTCTTTTTTTTTGAGGCAGAGTCTCGTCCTGTCACCCAGGCTGGAGTGCAGGGGCGCAATCTTGGCTCACTGCTACCTCCGCCTCCCGGGCTCAAGCGATTGATTCTCTTGCATCAGCCTTCCGAGTAGCTGGGGCTACAGGCGCCCGCCACCACGCCCGGCTAATTTTTGTATTTTTAGTAGAGACGATGTTTCACCATATTGGCCAGGCTTGTCTTGATTTCCTGACCTTGTGATCCTCCCGCCTCAGCCTCCCAAAGTGCTGGGATTACAGGTGTGTGCCACCACTCATTATCTCTTATTTTTGTACTTTAAAATCATTATGGTTAGAGAACATCCAGTCAGTCTGAGATATGTGGAGTTTTTTTTTTTTTTTTTGAGACAGAGTCTAGCTCTGTTCCCAAGGCTGGAGCGCAGTGGCATGATCTTGACTCACTGCAACCTCTGCCTCCCAGGTTCAAGCGATCCTCCCACCTCAGTCTCCCGAGTAGCTTGGATTACAGGCACGCATCACCACACCTGGCTAATTTTTCTATTTTTAGTAGAGACAGGATTTCACCATGTTGGCCAGGATGGTCTCGAATTCCTGACCTCAGGTGATCCACCTGCCTTGGCCTCCCAAAGTGCTGGGATTACAGGTGTGAGCCACCACGCTCAGCCTGACATGTGGAGAATTTATCAAGTCCCTATGGCTATCTCACTTCTCAGATCTCCCTGTTAACCTCAGGCTAATGGAGTACCTGCTTCTAAAGTTCTAAATCAAGTGAATCCCCTATGGTAGCAGCAACAGCAGCCAAACTTACTGTTTTCTCAGAATGCCCCACTTTGCTGGGCAACAGAGCTGGGTGGGGGTGATGGGAACAGCCTTGTGCAAAAACACCACAGATTGCACAGTTCTTACCTGAAAAGTTCAGTAGTTTTCACGAATAAATGCTTCTGATTTTGTTGTATTCCTTAGGACAAATTCTGGAGTACTAAAGTGATTGTTTTTGAATTTTGTCCAATTTTAGGATTCCTTTTGAGGGAGGTTTCTTAACGTCCTCACTCTGTCATACTGGAAGCCAGAAATTATTTTTTTTCAGTAGGCAGGAAGGAGAGTATCTGATTATTGTACTTCTGTTAAATTAACTTATTTATTAAAATATTTAGATGGGTTCCAAACCAGACTTTGTTATTTATCTATTTATTTTTTAGAGACAGGGTCTTGCTTTGTCACCCAGGCTAGAGTACAGTGGCTCAGTCATAGCTCACTGTAACCTCAAACTCTTGGGCTCAAGCAATCCTCCTGCCTCAGCCTCCCAAGTAGCCAGGACTATAGGCGTGTGCCACTGTGCCTGGCAAATCTTTTTTAAAATTTTTTTTGTAGAGATGGGGTCTTGCTATGTTGCCCAGGCTGATTTCAAACTCCTGACCTCAAGCAATCCTCCCACCTCTGCCTCCAGAGTCATTGGGATTACAGGCGTGAGCCACTATGTCAGGCCCTCGAACCAGATTTAATATAAAAATGGTCATGTCTTCTTAAGTAGGAACTAAATTATCTTCATTTTCTTTTTCTTTTTATAACTCATGGAGGCCAAGTTCACAAAGACAGGATGCTCCACATGTACCTTCCAGTAGTTTTGTTACCTTATTGCCTCTCACAGGAACAGGTGATTTCATATTTCTAGCTCCAATAGTGCTCTTTCAAAACTTGCTGACATTTCATCTTTTTCCCATTTGGCCAAGATTGGTGGACACATTTGTTGGCCTTAGCACAGCATTTCATAAGTTGTCAGCAGGGAGTTAATAGGTGTTACATGGTCAAATGCGAAATGTGGTATTAAATAATATAAATACCAGTCTCTCCACTGTAGAATTTCTTAGGTCCTTTAATGTGCTAATATGAATTGAGAATGTCCAAGAAAGGAAATAATATACAAAATCTCCCAAAACAATTTTACCAGGGAACCCATTTTAGGAAGCAGTGCTTGGCCAGGTGCGGTGGCTCATGCTTGTAATCCCAACACTTGGGGAGGCTGAGGTGAGCAGATCACCTGAGGTTAGGAGTTCGAGACCAGCTTGGCCATCATGGCAAAACCCTGTCTCTACTAAAAATACAAAAACTAGCCAGACGTGGTGGCAGACACCTGTAATCCCACCTACTTGGGAGGCTCAGGCAGGAGAATAGCTTAAATCCAGGAGGCGGAGGTTGCAGTGAGCTGAGATCACGCCACTGCACTCCAGCCTGGGTGACAGAGCAAGACTCCATCTCAAAAAAAAAAAAAAAAAAAAAAAGCACTGCTTAACACGTATATATCCTTCCCTGCCCACAATTATACATGTTTTGTTGGAAACATGAGTTGATACATGGTATTGCTATGTTTATTTATTTATTTATTTATTTATTTATTTATTTTTTAGACAGAGTCTCACTCTGTCACCCAGGCTGGGGTGCAGTGGTGTGGTCTCGGCCCACTGCAACTTCTGCCTCCCAGGTTCAAGTGATTCTCCTGCCTCAGCCTCCCGAGTAGCTGGGATTACAGGTGCGCACCAACACGCCTGGCTAATTATGGTATTGCAATGTAATGGTATCCACAATGTATGTGTGTAGTTAACTTATAATATGAGCATTGTAGTAAACTGTACAGAATAGAGCCAACCTAACAGACATGAGACTGCTATCTTTAGACAGGCCTGCTGGCAAGATTGGCCCTTGGCTGGTATGTGGGAACTTGGTTTCCCTCTGTTCCCTAACCGGTAAATAGTTCAGTTTGCCTGGTTTGTTGGTACAAATAATGTGATTTATCCTGAACACATGTTTTCCTCCTCAGAGTCTGGAATTTTAGTACGTGCCTCTGAGACCAGCCCCCAGTGAAAACCATGGTCACTAAGTCTCTAATGGGCTTTCCTGGGTAGAAATGTGTACACCTGTTGCTGTATTTTTTTGTTGCTGGAGAAAGGATAGGGAGAGAACATATGGAAGTCTGAGCATGAATTTCTCTAGACTCCTGTCTTTTCCCTTTGCTGACCGTAATGTGTATCTTTCACTGTAATAAACCTTAGCTATGAATACAACTATATCTTGAGTCCTTGGAGACCTGGTGAATCACTGAATGTGTGGGTGGTCTGGGAGATCCCAAGACATAATAAAAATATTGCATGTGTTAGGCTGGGCGTGTGGCTCATGCCTGTACTCCCAGCACTTTGGGAGGCCAAGGCAGGCAGATCACTTGAGCTCAGGAGTTTGAGACCAGCCTGGGCAATATGTCGAAACCCCATCTCTACAAAACATACAAAAATTAGTTGGGCATGGTGGCACACGCCTGTAATCACAGCTACTCAGAAGGCTGAGGTGGGAGGATTGCTTGAGTCCAGGAGTGTGACAGAGCCAGACCCTGTCTAAAAAGGTATATATTGGGCCGGGCGCGGTGGCTCACACCTGTAATCCTAGCACTTTGGGAGGCCGAGGCGGGTGGATCACGAGGTCAGGAGATTGAGACCATCCTGGCTAACACAGTGAAACCCCGTCTCTACTAAAAATACAAAAACTTAGCTGGGCGTGGTGGCGGGCACCTGTAGTCCCAGCTACTTGGGAGGCTGAGGCAGGAGAATGGCATGAACCCGGGAGGCGGAGCTTGCAGTGAGCTGAGATCGCGCCACTGCACTGCAGCCTGGGCGACAGAGCAAGATTCCATCTCAAAAAAACATATATAGTATATATTATATATATTATCTTAATCCTCAGAACATCTCTGTAAGGTAGATAAATATTAATGTTTGTCTTTTTTAGGTGAAGAGACTGAGGTTAGTGAGGTTAAGTAACTTCTTTTGGATCTCAGTTAATAGGTGAGAGAATCCAAATCTGTCTGACTTCAAAGCCTTGGCTTTTAACTATTATACTGCATTGCTTCCCAAAACCATAAATTTTACCTGTAGTGGGTTGAGGGGAATGAATGATGATAGTGGTCTGAGAATGCTTCACGCAGAAGATAGGATTTGAGTTGGTCTCAAAGGATAAATGGGCTGGCCAGGTGTGCAGTGGCTCACGCCTGTAATCCCAGCACTTTGGGAGGCTGGGGCGGGTGGATCACCTGAGGTCAGGAGTTTGAGACCAGCCTGACCAACATGGTGATACCCCATCTCTACTAAAAATGCAAAGGATAGCCGGGTGTGGTGGTGCACACCTGTAATCCCAGCTACTCGGGAGGCTGAGGCAGGAGAATTGCCTGAATCTGGGAAGCGGAGGTTGCAGTGAGCCGAGATCATGCCATTACACTCCAGGCTGGGCAACAAGAGCAAAACTCCATCTCAAAAAAAAAAAAAAAAAAAAAGATAAATGGGCAGAATTGAAATTAAGGGAAGTGGAAAGAGTATTGTCAATAGATAGAATTTCATGATATTAAGGCATGCAAACGGTAAAAATGCAAGATTTGCAAGAAAGACATGTAACTTTCAAATAGTTGGGTGAAATGGAGGATTTACAGTAGAAAGTTTTCCTTCTGTACTTAAAAAAATTTGGCAGCTGCCACAGCATGTTTCTGTTAGTGTTTAGTGTAAGATAATGAATCTGATCTAAAACAATTATATATTTAAGCTTAATAAGTGATACATGTTAGTTTAAGGATAATAAATAAAATAATGTACTTGTTCTGCAAGGACAACCATGATTTCCCAGGTCTTTGCCACCTAAACAAGTGGGAACCCTCATGCTGTTAGCAGTAAAGAACTGTTGAAGCTTTTTTTTTTTTTAAGCAGCATTTTATCTGAAAACAGCATTTCACTCATATTATTTTTTACTTATTTATTCTTTCTGAGACACGGTCTTGCTCTGTTGCCCAGGCTGGAGTGCAGTGGCAGGATCTTGGCTCACTGCAATCTCCGCCTCCCAGGTTCAAGCAATTCTCCTGCCTCAGCCTCCAATTAGCTGGGATTACAGGTGTGCACCACCATCCCCAGCTAATTTTTGTATTTTTAGTAGAGACAGGGTTTAACCATGTTGGTCAGGCTGGTGTCGAACTTCTGACCTCATGTGATCCAGCCACCTCGGCCTCCCAAAGTGCTGGGATTACAGGCATGAGCCACCGTGCCCAGCCTTCACTCATATTAATCTGGTGGTAGTTTGAAGAATATATTGGCTAGAGCCAAGGAGTGAGTCCATTTAGATCACTGCAATCATAGTAGTCTATGCATGAGATAATTAAGAGCTTATAGAATGGTAGAAATGAAAGTGGACAAGAGACATTGTATAGGAGGAATTTCATGACGTAGTGATGGACTGGAGATTTGTGTATTGGTGGGGAGATCCAAAGGATCTGAGTTTGAGTGGTTTGGAAAAAAATGCAGTATCTTAAACAGAAGTATGACATTTAAGCAAATCGTCATGCCAGGATTGTGATAGGTTTGACCCCAGGTATATTGACTTGAATTATTTATTTTTTAATTTAATTTTTTTAGAGACAGGGTCTCACTGTCACCCAGGTAGGAATGCAGTAGCGTGATCATAGTTCACCATAACCCTGCACTCCTGGGCTCAATCAAGCCTCCCACCTTAACCTCCCAAGTAGCTGGGACTACTGGTGTGTGCCACCATGCCCAGCAAATTTTTTTTGAGACGAGATCCTCCTATGTTGCCCAGGCTGGTCTTGAACTCCTGGCCTCAAGCAATCCTCCTGTGTCAGCCTCCTAAAGTACTAGGATTACAGATGGGAGTCACCATGCCTGGCCTGAATTGAATAATTTATTAACATCCAAGTAGAAAAATACATTTGGGAATTGGTTGTGAGATTGTGATTGAAGAGAGAAATCAAGGTATAGGATAAGAGATAGAAATAATGCAGTGGAGTGATCACTGAAACTGTCTGAATATAGGCATCACCTTGGAGGAAAGAACAAAAAAGAACATCAAGGACTGAACTCTGGTTTTATTCATTTCATCAATAAGAAATGAATATTAAAGAGCACATTTGAAGTTAATATGTTATTACTACCTATCATAAACCACGTTTGCATAGTACTTATTTTAATGTGCATTGATTGGGTATTTTCTGGCTTGTGAGCTTTGAATTAAGTGGTCTTTTATATTATGATATGAATAACTTTTAAATGAAATCAGTAAATAAATGATCCTGCTTTATGTAAAGCATAGATACTGAATAACATTCAAATAGCATTTTTTTCCTTTTCATATGGCACATTGTTCTTCATAACTTTGTGTGTGTTTGTGTGTGTATGTGTGTGTGTAGTTGTTCTTTCTGTTGCCTGCTTAAGAGACACGGTCTTGCTTTGTCGCCCAGGCTGGAGTGCAGTGGTTGTTGCCCTAGTCCCTGTTTCATTTAAATACTTGCTTCAGTTTGTTAATTATTTTTTCCTCCACTTGTTGGCTATTGTGCCACTAGTTCAGCAGCCTTAATTTACTGCCAATTGAGTATTTAAGATAACTTGTTAGACCAGAGTTATACACAAGAAGAGTCCTAACATTTTATTTCCCTTAGTGGAGAAATGTTCTTTTTTCATTTCTCTTCTTTTTCTCCCTCCCACCCAGAAATGTTCTTTTTTTTGTTGTTTGTTTGTTTGGTTGGTTGGTTGGTTGGTTGGTTGGTTGGTTGGTTTGGTTTTGTGTGTGTGTGTGTGTGGAATCTCACTCTGTCTCCCAGGCTGGAGTGCAGTAGCGTGATCTCGGCTCACTGCAGCCTCCACCACCCAGGTTCAAGCAATTCTCCTGCCTCAGCCTCCTGAGTAGCTGGGATTACAGGCACCCACTACCATGGCCAGCTAATTTTGTATTTTTGGTAGAGACGGGGTTTCACCATGTTGGCCAAGCTGCTCTCAAACTCCTGACCTCAGGTGATCCACCTACCTTGGCCTCCCAGAATGATTGGATTACAGGCGTGAGCCACTGTGCCAGCCCCAGAAATGTTCTTAAATTAATGACATTTAGACCTAACCTCTCTGCAACAAATGCTTTAGAAGCTGAAGGGATTGGGCACAAAAATATTTCTAAGAGAAGACGGATAGGCAAAACTGTGGGCATTGATACATTCCTGTTTCTGGCTATCTTCTCTTTTTAATTCTACCTGCTGACATTCTTCTAGGTTGAGAACACAGTCTATAAAAGCTTAGGCTCTAAAGTCTTCCCCAACTTTGTTGTGCTCTTTGCTCCCTCGCTGGAATAAGCAGAGAATTAGTTGAATGTGCAAAGGGATAACAAGAAGAAATGATACTTTTATTATAGACTGACTTTTGTGTCTCAGGATTTTATGTCTTAGAAAAATTGGGATTCCAACAAGTTAGTATGTCATTTTGATATATCATGGTTGCCCCAAATTAGTAAATGTTGTTTTAAAACTCTTGTATATGTGAATGTTCTGATTAATTCATTAAACTCTTCTTATACAACACTACTGTGTTTCCCTTTGATATTTAAGGCTGGGTGCAGTGGCTCACACCTGTAATCTCAGCACTTTGGGAGGCTGAGGCAGGCAGATCACTTGAGGTCAGAAGTTTGAGACCAGCCTGGCAACATGGTGAAACCCCATCTCTACCAAAAATACAAAAATTAGCCGGGCGTGGTGGTGTGCGCCTTGATTCCAGCTACTCGGGAGGCTGAGGTGTGAGAATCGCTTGAACCCAGGAGGCAGAGGTTGTAGTGAGCCAAGATCGCGCCACTGCACTCCAGCTTGGGTGACAAAGCGAGACTCTGTCTCAAAAACAAACAAAAATATTTAATCACCTTTGAATCTAAATTTTCAGTAGCACAGGGTTCATAGAAAATCACAGACTATGCATATGCAATCATTGAGATTGTCATGTTTCCCTTTATTAAGTAATATCTTCTTCCATTTCCTACTTTATTATATCAGTTGGCATTTATTTTATTGTATTATTATTATTCTTTGAGACAGAGTCTTGCTCTGTTGCCCAGGCTGGAGTACAATGGCGTGATCTCGGTACACTGCAACCTCCGCCTCCCTGGTTCAAGCGATTCTCTTGCCTCAACCTTCCGAGTAGCTGGGATTACAGGCGCACACCCCCACGCCTGGCTAATTTTTGTATTTTTAGTAGAGACGGGGTTTCATCATGTTGGCCAGGCAGGTCTTGAACTCCTGACCTCAGGTGATCCGCCCACCTCAGCAGTTGGCATTTATGATGGAGTACAACGGAAAGCCCACTGAACTGACAGTCAGGATATCTGGATTCTAGCCCCAGCATATGACGCCAGTTGTTAATCTTCTGGGTCCCAGTTTTACTGTCTATAAAACAGAATGACACTTGTTTATATCACAGGCCTGTTATAAGTTTCAAAAAGTATTAATATGGAAGCTTCTTGCATTACCTCTTGCAATTTTTTTTGTATTTTTTCATGATTAAAAGAAGTACCATAACACATGTATAAGGCATCTTCACATGCTTGTTAAATCCCTGGAACTGTTATTGTGCTTAAATTTACAACTGTATTTCCTAAAATTAATTTTAGAACCACTCTGTAAGTTTTTGGCTTATAATTCAGTCAGAGGAATTGGAACTCTATGAATATTTCCTGTAAGAATGATATCATAAGCATGAGTAATAGTACTCAATTATCATGTAAAGACTTAGTGTGATGTTCAGATTAGGAAAGTATACTTATGGAATTCTCTGTAATTGATTTCTTTCATTTATTTGAACATCTTATGCTCCACAACTCATGAGGCTCATCAAACCATCTGTGTCTTCATTTCTGCTATTCTAGATACACATTCATCTTTTTAAATCGTAAACAGAAATATCGGTAAAAAATAAAATGAGATTCTAGTTTTCTGAAGCTTCTTAAAAGTCAGTATGGTACATTGAAAAGATAGAGTGTCTTTGTCTAGGCTTTAGAGTTCCAGGCCTGTCTCTGCTGGTAATTAGTTGCAAGAACTTGGGCATGTCAGTTTACTTATTCTGGGCCTTGTTTTCCCATTATAAAAGTGGCTTGCACTAGACCTTTTTTTTTTTGTTTTTAACATTATTTGATTCTTTTTTAATCTTTAAAGTATCTATCTGAGGGAGCTGGTGAAAAGATTAGAGTTTATACTAATTTTTATGAGTACTATTTATTACCCTTGATTTATACCTAAGGTAACCATATAATTTGCTGTCCAAACAAGAGGAAACTTTTTTTTTTTTTTCTTGAGACGGAGTCTTGCTCTGTCCCAGGCTGGAGTGCAATGGTGTGATCTCAGCTCACTGCAACCTCCGCCTCCCGGGTTCAAGCTATTCTCCTGCCTCAGCCTCTCGAGTAGCTGGGATTACAGGCGTCCACCACCATGCCTGGCTAATTTTTGTATTTTTAGTAGAGACAGGGTTTCACCATGTTGGCCAGGCTGGTCTTGAACTCCTGACCTCGTGATCCACCCGCCTCGGCCTCCCAAAGTGTTGAGATTACAGGTGTGAGCCACTGCGCCCAGCCAAGAGGAAACTTTTGAGAGTGAAAGGGAGTACTGTTAGCAATTACTCCAGGACAACAGCTTTAAACCAGGACGACGCAGGTAAACTAGAGTGTGTGTTCACCCTAATTGCACCCCATGTGTGGCTCTGTTAACTGCTTTGTTGGCCAAAGAGTTATCTGATTATCAGTTTTAATTCTTTTTCATGGTTTCCCTGTTGTTGTTTTTTTTGTCTTATAGATCCACTGTGTGTGGAGAGTAATGCAGCATCATGCCAACAGTCTCCAGCCAGTAAAAAAGGGATGTTCACAGATGACTTACACAAGCTGGTGGATGACTGGACAAAGGAAGCAGTAGGAAATTCTCTTATTAAGCCAAGTTTAAACCAACTTAAACAAAGTCAACACAAACTAGAGACAGAAAACTGGAATAAAGTATCTGAAGTAAGTTGTTTATACCCAATTCACTTTGTTTACAAGAACTAAAACCATAAAAATTGATGCGCTTAGGCCTATAGTTACAGTCACTATGAGAGAGTAGTATGACTTGATAACATAGAGACTTTTATCCTTTTTTAGATTCATTATGTCTTTGAGCAAATTATATTTTAGACCATGAGTCAGTAAACTTTTGGGGGGAAGGAGCCAGTTAGTTAATATTTTAGGCTTTTCAAGCTATACTATTACAACTACTTAACTCTGTTATAGTGCAAAAGCAGCCATAGAGAATATGTAACCAAATGGGCATGGCTTTGTTCCATTAAAACCTTATTTACAAAAAGAGGTGGTGGGCTGTGGTTTGCCGACCCTTGTTTTAGACTGTTCTATTTTTTTAAAAAAATCCAGCAAGTATCAAAGAAGAAAGCGTCTGGAATGAAGGTTAATTCAGTCCAGTGTTTCAAGAAGAGTTTGGGTTTTAAGGAAAAGTTTTCCTGTGTTTCACGTCAATATTCTTAGATCTGATAAGTTATTTGTTCATTATGAAAAAGAACTTTAAAGTTATTTAAACTGGAATATTATAAGAGGTGTTTTAAAGAAAAGATGCCTAGTTATTGCATGTGGCCTTAGTCAGGTGTACATGCAATGAAGTGAAGAAAGATGCCCACAATGCATTCTGGAGTAGGAAGAAGTCAGGCTTACAGAACAGCACACATAGTATAATATAATTTATGCAAAATTATATACATTAGATATGCATAGAGAAATATGAAAAGCCATGAAAAATATGCTGGATGGTGGAATTTGGGCCTTATTCTACTTTGTACATTTCTGTGTTTTTGTATTTTTAAAGTAAGTGACTTTTTTTTCAAAATGAGTAAACCTATTAAAATGGAATCAGGGCTTATAATTTTAACCCTCTTAATTGAAAGAGATTTATCTCTGTGTGTTACATTTGTGTACATGTATTGTCATATGTGTACATGTATAGTCATATAGTTTGTTAAAGAAATAATGCATTTATTGTTAATATTGAATAAAAATTTTCAAAATCCTCGATTTCCCAAGCTAGTGAGCAGTATATCTCCTTGGGAGCTCTGTGTATTTATCTTACTTGTGGCACCAATTTATACACAGATAGCATCACCATTGTAAAAATTGGAAGCCTTTAGAGGCAAATTTCAAGACATAAATGCATTTGTACTGCCAGTGAGAGAACCTCTGAGTACTGTGTGAATGGAGGCTTTTGTTGACTAGTTGGAGGGCTGTTTACTGGAGTATAATGGAGGATGTTTGGAGGAAGGGTGAGTAGAAAATGGTGTGTGAATAAAAGTAGTGAACGTCATTTAACAGACTTGGGTTCCAATGTCAGCTCAGTCACTTACTAGTTGTGTGACTTTAGAAAAGTCATTTGATCTATCTGTGCCTCAGTTTTCATGTCTTTCAAACAGAATACCTGCCTTACAGGATTGCTGTGAGGATTAAATGAGATAACACCTATAAAGCTGTACCTTTATAGGTGTTACATAGTAGGTACCCTATATCTAGTAACTATTTTTGTATTTGTAGGTTCAGTTGGTTATATCTTTTGTGTGGCAAGCCCATCTCACTAATGCTCTTACATTGTATTGCTCTGTATCCTTACTCAGAAATACTTGTTTGCTTAACAGTTATGTACCAAGCCCTCTGTTAGACATGGGTTTGGTGAGTAAAAACAAGTATGATCCCTATCCTCATGGAATTTATGCTCTGCTAAGACAGCTAGTTAGACATAACAGAATTGCATATACGAATATAAAATTGCAACCGTAATAAGAACTACAAAAGAAAGATATAGGCTATAATACGGGAAATTTGACCTAGTAAAGGAAAGTCAAGGAAAGCTTCACTGAGAAAGTGATGATTAAGCAGAGATCTGAAGGATGAGTAGGTGTTAACTAGGTGAAAAGAGGAAATGATTCCATGCGGAAAGGATCGCATACGCAAAAGCCCTGTATGAGGAAAGGAGCGTGAAGGGATTGAAAGTAGGCCAGTTTGGCTGAAGTGAAGAGAGCAAAGAGGAGTTAGTGCACAATGGATCTAAGGTAGATGGAGTCTTAAAAGTGGTAATGATAAGGAACTTCATCTGTATTTTTTGTTAGTTTGTTTGTTTTTATTTTTTTTGAGACGGAGTTTCACTCTTGTTGCCCAGGCTGGAGTGCAATGGCGCGATCTCTGCTCACTGCAGCCTATGCCTCCCAGGTTCAACAATTCTGCTGCCTCAGCCTCCTGAGTAGCCGAGATTACAGGCGCTCGCGACCATACCTGGCTAATTTTTGAGTTTTTAGTAGAGACAGGGTTTCACCATGTTGGCCAGGCTGGTCTTGAACTCCTGACCTCAGCTGATCCACCCGCCTTGGCCTCCCAAAGTGCTGGGATTACAGGCGTGAGCCACCGCGCCCAGCCGTCTGTATTTGAAGAAAGATAAATAGCCATTTAAGCCCTAGGGTTGACATGATCAGACTTGTTTTTTGAAAAAATGACTCTGACTCAAGCAAGAGAAAAGGATTATTTATTGGAGGTAAGGGTAGATGTTGGCAGACCAGTTAAGAGTTAGTCATGGTAACTCTTAACTGGTCTGGAAAATGGGAGAAGTTGAGTTGAACAGAAGTGAACAGATTCCAAAAAATGCTTAAGAGATTAAATGGACAAGATTTGGTGATGGAATGGATGTATGGTGAAGGGGAGGTATTAAGGCTAGGTTTCTGGCTCCCATAACTGGATGCTATTCTAGTGTACCAATCACCGAGATGCGGAATGTGAGCAGACAGTGTGCTTTGGTAGGGGAAGATCACACATTTGATTTCTAGGCATTTGTTTCTGAGATGCCTTTGAAATATCCAGGAGAAAATGTATAACCTCTCCAATTTGTCTTTTTTTAAAAATCAGGTTATCTATAAACTAATAATGTTCATTATATAATTTAATCAGTGCAGAAAAGTACAAAATTTAAAATATCACCTTCAAATCCCACCACCCAGAAATAATTTTCATTAACTTTAGATAAACATCATGTCAAATATCTTTCTATGTATGTATGCATGGAAATAACTATAAAAATGTAAGGCAGGGCAGTTATGAAGATGGCATTAATTAAGGTACATAATTATGGTTAGCACACAGAAAGGTGCTCCAAAAATGGTAGTCCCTAATAGTAACAATAGGAATAGTATGCCAAAAAGACTAGGAAGGAATATTCATTTGTGCAGCAGCAATAGAAAAAAAAAGAATAGGAAGGAATATAGACTGATAAAAGTCTATACCAAATAAACTGATCTTTTGTTTTTATTTTTGTTTTTCTTAGAATACTCCGTCTACTATGGGCTACACATCAACATGGATTTCTTCTCTGTCCCAAATCCGTGGAGCTGTCCCAACTTCCTTGCCACAAGGACTCTCACTCCCTTCATTTCCTGGGCCATTATCATCATATGGAATGCCTCACGTTTGTCAGTATAATGCTGTGGCGGGGGCGGGGTATCCAGTACAGTGGGTAGGAATTTCAGGAACAACACAACAATCTGTAGTAATTCCCGCCCAATCTGGGGGACCATTCCAGCCAGGGATGAATATGCAGGCATTTCCAACTTCATCAGTGCAGAATCCTGCCACAATCCCTCCTGGTCCTAAATGAATCAGAGTAGATGGTGATAAAAAGGGAGGTTTTTTCAGAATTATTTTCAGGACACCCAAGATATTAAAGTTTCTTCCTCTTGGGTTCTGTCATATTTTCCCTCATTTGAGTTTACTTTAGACTATATATTTTTTGTTCCAGTGTGGTATTTGATACAGCTCATCATTCTGTAGAAATGTGCAGTTTGCAGATAGAACACTGCACACAGAAATGTTTTTTCACTTCAAATTCTATCCTCTTTGATACTTGATTTTTTAAAAATACTGTTCAGAATGCTTTAATAAGCTCAGCTTGAGCATTACCATTTCCAGGACACTTTCCATGAATTGTTGAGAAGCTCCCCATCCCCCGCCTTTTTTTTTTTTTTTTTTAACTGCTGCTATCTGCAGCTGGATACTCTTCTTTAAAAATGTTTAAAAATTATTTAGATTGATTCTCCCCAAATGTGGATGAACTGAGACCCTCCATCAGCCAGAGTCTTATGGGATCTTCACTTCACATGTTTGTCTTAGGTTTACCTTTCACAGAAGGCAGGGTAACTTGCTGCAGGAAACGTTTTGGTGTATAAAATTAGAATCACTTTTTTTTTTTTTTTTGAGATGGAGTCTCTCTCTGTCACCCAGGTTGGAGTGCAGTGGTGTGATCTTGGCTCACTGCTGCAACCTCCCCCTCCTGGGTTCAAGCGATTCTCCTGCCTCAGCCTCCTGAGTAGCTGGGACTACAGGCGCCAGCCACCATGCCTGGCTAATTTTTGTATTTTTAGTAGAGGATGGGGTTTCACTATGTTGGCCAGACTGGTCTCAAACTCCTAACCTTGTGATCCGCCCTCCTTAGCCCCCCCAAAAAATTACAATAATTTTGTCAACCAATACAGAACATGAGCCCTTTTTAAATGTGATTTCCCGTCATCACAGCAGTAGGATGAAGCCTTGTTTTGGGTGAGACAGAGGGAAAGGGAAAAAACAGAATTGTAACAGTTCCTTGATTCTGCAGATACTGCTGCTGTTTTACGATTTCAGTAATAATTCAAAGCAGCTGTCTCCTTGTTTCTCACATGCATACTACATTGGTTTTGAGCATCTGAGAGGCATTGGTTTGTCTTGCATTCTTTTGCAAGGCATATATTGCAGCTGATATGAATCTCGTTTGGGGGGAATCCTTGTATTCCTAACAAGGGGGATTAAAGCTACACCTCAATCCATTCTTCTGAAGTGAAATTTACTTGACACAGTAGGTTTCGAGACTTACATATGAAACACTGGCTTTACAGGGTTCTCAGAGATGTGGGGTATACACTGTCCTGCAGTGAGATAGTAGACCCTAGAAGGATACTATTTAAGTTGTCCTTAGCTCTTTTTAATTACAATTTTTAGTTGTTAGAATTTCTTTTTAGTATCTATAGTATCTTAGATGATTTTAGATCTTAAATGAGTTTGGCAGCCTCTTTAGAATCTGAGAGAGATCACTGTCAAGTTGCACTTTACTGGGTTTTATCCAGTTTTAGGAGGAGGGGAGGCAATGTCAAAATGTACACCTTTGGTTTTTAAGAAGGTTAACTATAATAATGTTAAAGGCTAGTCACAGGGTTACCTAATGCTCAGTCTGTGAAACCTAAATAGAATTCTTAAAATGTTATTTACCAACTAAGTATTCATGTTCAAATTACTTACCTTCCACTCTGAAGACTTTAAGGTCATTTCTAATACACATTTACCTAATTAGGAGTTCTGTCTACTAGTAAACATTCCAAATTGCTACCCAACATTACTGTTAACAGATTTTCCTCCGTATTCTTCTAAAAATTATACCCCATGGGCTTGCCAGGTAATGACGAAAACTTAATGGGTGTACTTTTTTTTTTTTTTGCACAGTCTACTTTGTGACATTAAGTACCTCTTTTCCAAAAAAAAAAAAAAATGTGTTTTATGTTGCTTACCTGAGGATCACATCCATTATCAAGAAGATTCTGTCGCTATAATTTGAGGCATCTAGGGCAGCATTTTGAGAATTGCTGTTGATAAGATCCACTGTTTCTTTTCATAGAACATGATCTGTTTTGTATGAGTCTTTCCAAATGTTAAGTACAGATTCTTCAAATTTCTTGTACAGTATTGGTTTGCAGTTTAAAGTGATTTTAGGACATTAGTGTAATGCAAATGCTTGCATTGCACTGTTTTCCATATGTATAAAAACAATGCTCCTAAAATCCCTAATTCTTTAAAACTGCCTGTGTTTCATTATAAAAAGTTGGCTTTGTGTAATTACACCGAGCCATACAACCTATAAAGTGAAAATACTGCAGATTTTAGGACCCCTTCTTCTCTAGTCACAATCATTTTAAACAGTGTACCCCAGGATGAAAAAAGCTCCATGGCTGACATGTACAATTACATGTATTAATGACTGCTCTACATCCTATGTTCTGCCTTTGGCCACCACCTCTATTCCACATATAATTCATCATTCTTGTTTGCCTGCAGACTCTTGCAGTGCCTTGTAATATTTACAATCTTTTCAGGTTTTTGCTGGAAAGAAAAGTAGTCTTCTAAAGTTTGAAGATGGTGAATAGTGTACTGCTGTCTCCATGCTGACTGCAGTAACCGGGTTATCATATATGTTATGTATACATTATGTATATATAACATGTGTACATTTAAAAATACAGAAAAAAGTGAGCTTGTGCAGAAATGGAGAAAACAATGTTATTCTCATCACTGTGGGGTTTTATTAAAATTATTTTTTCCCATGACTTACATGTTTGGTTCAGATTATAGTCACTTTGACTGTAAATACTGGCTAGTTTTCTATCCAGGGCTTTTGCATTATTTCATAATTTTGCTAAATCATATAATAGTGCTATTTTCATCCTTGTCTGAGGTACTTTTCCTCCCCAGAAATAATTAACTTGAGGTAAAGCTCAGAAATTCCCTTCTTAACAAAGAGCCTACTATATAAAAAGGGCCTTCCTTTCCAAAAAACACACAAACCTGTCCTTTTCATTTTCCTTCTTGTAGAGGAGAAAATGGTTGTACTTAACCATCCTGCTTGTAAAGTTTATTCAGAGGATAGTCTGTATGTCCAGCCACCATGTTTACTTCTCAAAGTGCAAGTCTGATGAATAGTACTGTATCTCCATATGTGGTAATGTGAGCATTTCATCATGAAGTACCTGCTGCTATGTCTGTGAAGTTGGGTGTAACATCATAAGAATATGAAACCAGTATTGGTGTAAATCTAATGAAAATAACCCTATGTATATTTGTAGCAGTCTTGAATCTCTATTTAAGGTAATTTGCTGTAATATAACAAATATTCATTCTGTTTTTCATCCCTTCCTTGCCAGTTTTATATCAAGCATGAATTCCAATGGTTTGACAGCAAAATTATCTGTGAAAGTTTAAAAGGCACTTTTCTGCTGTGATTTTTGGATTGAGTGTGGAGTGTTATGTACAGTTTGATGGGATATATCATTTTAGAACCCCAGATTTAATTCTAGTCCAATTAATTTTGTTTAACTACCTCGTTTTCAGTGCTGTTTTGGGTGCACAAGTAAACACTACCTGTGAAACTTGCTTTTTTGCCTTGATTCTCAGTATTCTTTCAGATTATAAATCTGGTCTGCCTCTTTTTTCCCAGTGCTAGCCAACAGTTTGAGATGAGAGGGATCATCACTCTCATCTGTGTTTAAGTGGAGAGCCATGTGCTTCTGTGAAATATGCTTTGGGGATTTGGGGGTGGAGAGCAGAAGAATAATTGAAATTGGTGGCAATATAGGATTTAGGTGTAGGAGTTAGTTATAAAATAAACAAATGGTAAGAAAGTACCTGAATTAGACAATCCAGTGCCTATAACTTTGCATTTTTTATTAGAGATGCATTTCTCGTCTGTGTGCCTAAAGGGCAATGGGTTGAAATTGCTTTAACTACCACAGCGAAATATTTGACAAATCCTTCAGCAATGGCCTATCATTCAACATATATTAGCACAGTGCTAGGTATTTGCAGTGGTATTTTGTTACCTTAAAACGGCCAAATGCATTTAGTTGAAATGTAGTTGATAGTAAGGGTTTTATATAACTTTATCCAATCTCTAAAGTTTATGGAAGCATTGACTTTCTTCTTTGCTGTCTTTTCTGAGTGATGAAAATGATGCATTCCTTTTTTTTCCTTGAAAACTCAGCAAATGTTTGTAACCAGATGTTCCTTGTTTCACATGTTTACTGTGTAACACTACAGCATATTTAATATTGGTAAATACTGTATTTCAGTCATTATGCATAAGTACATTCCTGAGGTATATTTGCCATCATTTTGGGATTCAGTTATTTTATCTTCTGTTTGGGTCAGAAAAACTTGAACTATCTGAGGTGGTATGCAGGCCATTTTCTAGAAGATTGTTTTTTGAATCTGTAGTTTATCAAGGACTTGTTCCCCCCCTCCCTTTGTTTAGAAGAGGAATCAGAAAAGGGGGGTGGTGTGTAGAAAAGGCCTTTGATTTGATAGGTGTAATTTCTAAGATTGAAATTTTAAAAATGCAGATCGTAAGATAGTAACACTCAAACTTGATAAAATCCTTTGAATTGAAATTAGTATGAAATTTTTATGGAACCAAATGCCTTCAGGTCACCCTGGAAATAGTCTTTGTATGTGAAAGATCAACACAAACATTGGTCAGGAACCCTGACAGCCAATATATGAAGGAGCCTGGGATAGTAACTAGGTTACACTAAAGTTATTTTCAACTAAGATAGCTAGACGAGTGTACAAACCAATAGCTCCTATTCTGGAAGGTTTTCTTTTTATTAAAAAAAATTCAAACAAGGTTAAAAGTCAAGCAAGAAGGGAAGAGAGAAACTGGGTTCTGAGAAAAAAATGTGCCAGTATAAAATAAACTCCTAAATGCGTGCTTGTCATCCTCTAGTTTTTTTTTAAGTTGAATTTCTTTTCCACTGTAACTTAAGATTTGAGATTGAGGTTTGCGGTCCAGAACATACCCTCAGCAGATACAGTGACTAACTGGAAAGTGCAGTTGTTCAAGGTCTGTCATGCTCAATCACCTAAAGCTATAATTTGTTTGATATATTAAGCATGTAGACCTAGTGCAGCATGGGAGCCACTCAGGAAGTTTATGCAATTAATAAACTTTCAGCATAATTTACTATGAAGTATGCAGAATTTCACCCTCTTCTCCACACTTAACATTTAGTTGTATATGTGAACTCTCCTTTCTTAATTGGGGAATGTAGCATTATATAGAATGTTGTTAAAGTTAATTTTAATCCTTTTTGACATTAACCTTTTTTTTTTTTTGGTAAACCAAGTGATCTGCCTTTCAGCAACTGTCTTATTTTGGTTCTTTGAAACTGTGATTTTTATTTCATTTGTACCCAACCATTGTAAGTATTTTGTTTTGTTTCCTGGAAATTCTGTTTTGAAACAGAAAATAAAGGCTGTGTTAAATGAGTATGTTATCTTATTAAAATGCTGCCATAGTCACTGCAATCATCTGGCTAAAACTGGTTCTTCATTTACCAAATGTAATTTAGCAGATTTAGAACATTTAGTCCTGTAAACTATGCTGGCCTAAAAAAACTAACCAAGCTGCATGTTACCTCTTGATTTACAGTTCCAACAAATTGAGTTGGACTTCATTTTCACGCTTGTACATGAGCCATAATTGTAACAGTTGCTCTCATTTACTGAACACATACTGTGTTAGCTAGGCTTTTACCTGCGATATTTTTAATTCACACAAAATCCTATAAGATGGGTCTGTTACTATTTCCACTTACAATGCAAATTTGAGGATCAGAGAGATTAAAGAATTTACTAGGGCCACATAGCTAGTCAGTAGTGAAGCCTGGATCCAAACCCAGATCTGTCTGTCTGCACAGCTCATGGGAAAAACCCTAGGCCACACTGATTCTCAGATGTACTACATGCATAATAATTCAGATACATTTAGAGTAGGCCTTTATCTAATAGGATTTGTATGTACACACTTTTTTTTTTTTTTTTTTTTTGAGACAGAGTCTCTCGCTGTCACCCAGGCTGGAATGCAGTGGTGCGATCTTGGCTCACTGCATCCTCCACCTCCCGGGTTCAAGCGATTCTTCTGCCTCAGCCTCCCAAGTAGCTAGGACTACAGGCATGTGCCACCACGCCCGACTAATTTTTGTATTTTTAGTGGAGACGGGGTGTCACCATATTGGCCAGGCTGGTCTCAAACTCCTGACCTCGTGATCCATCCGCCTTGGCCTCCCAAACTACTGGGATTACAGGCGTGAGCCACCTTGCCTGGCCCACTTTTTTTTTTTTTTTCCAGACAAGGTCTCATTCTGTCACCCAGGCTAGAGTGCAGTGGTGCAATTACGGCTCACTGCAGCCTCAACCTCCTGGGTTCAAATTGATCCTCCCTCCTCAGCTCCCCGAGTAGCTGGGAGCACAGGCACCTGCCACCACACCTGGCTAATTTTTGTATTTTTCGTAGAGATGGGTTTTCACCATGTTGCCCAGGCTGGTCTTGAACTCCTGGGCTCAAGCAATCCTCCCATCTCGGCCTTCCAAAGTGCTGGGATTACAGGCATGAGCCACTGCACCCAACCTGTATGAACACTTTTTACATGTCTTTCATGAAGTTGTATCCAGTGCTTATTTCACAGTTTCAGAAGGAGGTTTTTATGGCCCAAGCAAGGATTCAAAGTGTTCCCTATGCACAAACTTATTAAGAAGTATTTCCTTTCATGTTGATAGTGTGTATCATCCACCTTTAGAAAAACACGTATTTGGAAATCTCCCTCCCACACTTCTCATTCGTCACTCTGCACTGACTTGAGAAACTCAAGACTGGGTCAGATCACTTGCTCATCTGGTAACTTAGGGAGAAGGACATGCATATGCTTATGCAAACAACCCTGGATGAAGAGTAATAGGCCTATCAGAAATATTCAAGATTAGATGAGTGTTTTAAAGGTGTTTTTAAATATATGTTATCTTGATTTACTGACCCAATGACTGTGAGTCATTCTATCTTAGGTGATCCTTAAAGGGAGGTAACAAGGTACATGTGGAATAAGCATGGGTTTTTTTTGATTCACAGACCTCTCGAACCTATATTTCCTCACTTGTAAAATGAGGTGGTTATGAGTATTAAATGAGACGTGTTAAGGCAACTAACCCTGTCTCTACTAATTGCACTTATTGTTAGATATCACTGGTGACTTTCACAGTAAACTTGCACTTGGGAAATTAAACTGGTTTGGAAATGGGCCCTGATTCTGATTATAGTTAATACAGATACCTTTTGGAGTCCAGCAGACCTGGAGTTGTATTCTATCTTACGGACTTGGGAAAATTGCTTGACTTTTTAGCCTCAATTTCCTTATCTGTAAAAAGGATAATTCCCTCAGTGAGGTTGTTTTGAGGTTGAATGAAAAAGCATATAAAGGGCTTATCACTGTGCCTGATACATAGTAGGTTTGCTCAAATAACTTACACAAGGGACCTTACAGATCATTATTGTAAATGAGGACAAAACAGAGGTGACAAAAAAACTGAACTCAATCCGTGGGTTAACATAAGGTCTGTTGGTGGAAAAAATTGGGTGTTGGCCCAAAAGGGGCAAGATGATGTAATAAAGTGAGGTGTAGAGGTGAGAGTGTTTAAGTTGGGGAATAAGACCAACATAGACCCTTTTAAAATACGCCATCATTAATGAGCACCACTTAGTAAAAGAATGAGATAACAGGCAAGGCGCAGTGGCTCGTGCCTGTAATCCCAGCACTTTGGGAGGCCGAGGTGGGTGGATCATAAGGTCAAGAGATCAAGACTATCCTGGCCAACATGGTGAAACCCCGTCTCTACTAAAAATACAAAAATTAGCTGGGCATGGTGGCACACACCTGCAGTCCCAGCTACTCAGGAGGCTGAGGCAGGAGAATCGCTTGAACCCAGGAGGTGGAGGTTGCAGTGAGCCAAGATCGCATCACTGCACTCCAGCCTGGCGACACAGTGACACTCCGTCATACACACACACAGAATGACATAACAGAATTACATCTGTGACTAGGGTTTAGAAAGAGGTGAAGTAGTTGGGGAGTGGGGAGAAGACGGACATTATAACAGGAGCTCAAGACAGGAGTGAAGTATAGCATAAATGATGGTCTAGATAGGAGCAAGACCTCGGGCTAGGTGGAGAAAAGACTATCATAAAATTTTGGAATTGGAAAGGACTAGTTCACATGCATGTTACAAATGAGGAAGTAGGCTTAGGAATTTAACCAGTATTTATAAACGTTCTCCATTCCAGCTCAGTGGTTCTCAACCCTGACTGTATATTAGAATCACCTTGGGAACTATTTTAAAAAATGTTTTAGTTGTACAACAATATGAATATACTTAATATTACTGAACCATATACTTAAAAATGGTTATGATGGTAAATTTTATGTGTATTTTACAATTAAAAATAAAATTTTTAAATTTAGTGTCTGGGCCCCATCTCTAGAATCACCATCATCTTAAAAAGCTTCCCAGGTGACACTGATAGGTGACTTGGGTTGAGAACCACTGTCATTGTTTACTAATCAAATGACTTTCCTACTGTCAGCCAGTTGCTGATTCAGGTAACACAAGCAATATGGCAACCTCATTAGACCTTCTGATGAATTATTTCCTATAACTCTATGACCTCATAGCCTCTCAAAGAGGCCCCAAGGATTTGGGCAATAGAGAAAGCTAAGTGGACCTCTTTCAGAAACTGAACACCTAGTTCCTACTTCAGTGGAATGATGACATAAGATTGAGTTTGATGTGAACTCTCCATATAACCTCTTTATGCTTCTCCCCACCCTTCATAAGAGTTAACATTTCTTAGGTGCTTATTGTGCCAGTTATTATGCTAGTGCTCTACAATGTCATTTAATCTTCACAAGCTTCTAAGGTATCATTACTTATCACCTTTCTGTGCTCCTTGACTGTCTTTAAAACTGCTTTCTTCCAGTGCCCAGCTTTATTCCTGGCATGTAGTAGGTATTAAATAAATCTGTTGAATAAATTAATGGGCCCCCATTTCACAGATACAGGAAGGGTACAAGAGGCTAAGCAACTTGTTAAAACTATACAGCTAATAAAAAGTTGAACTGGTATTGGAAACCAGTTCTTGGCTCCAAAGCACACATTCTGAAACGCTATTCTATGACTTCCATCCTGTATAGTTTCTCCTGTACTATTTATGTTAGGAATCTTGTGTTTAAGTAGTATAAACACAATTTGAACAAGTTTAAGCAAAAATAGGAATTTATAAAGATAGGGGTGCCTCAAAGAACCCAGGGATAATACAGATGGGCCTTAGGAGCAAATGAACCAGGTGTCTGAATACAGCCAGGATTTTTCATGTCTTCTTCTCCAGCTCAATCAAATTCTCTGGGAATGTCCCTAAAGGATGGCTCCTGCTGCAACCATGAGGATAAGGTAGATAAGATGGTAGAAAAGGGGTGCTGCAGAGACAGTCTAATAGATATTTATCTATAAACCTCCTCTTGGCTGTCCCATAAACATGCTGTTTTCCCCATACCTACAATTCCCAAAATGCCAGCACCTAACATTAGCCATGGACAACTGCTGGTCATATGCAACTACTGCATTCAGAAGCAATGGTATGGCAAGGACATAACCTTTCCTCCTCTAGTTCGGTGACAATGTAAATATGGCTGCTCTTGATCTCACAACCTCTGATAAACTTAATTGCCACCAATAGATCTAATATGCAAGAGTAGAGAAATAATTAGATAACCACAATCAAAATGCCCTTTTAGGGGCCAGCACGGTAGCTCACGCCTATAATCCCAGCACTTTGGGAGGCCAAGGTGGGCAGATCACTTGAGGTCAGCAGTTAGAGACCAGCTTGGCCAACATGGTGAAACACCATCTCTACTAAAACTACAAAAATTAGCTGGGCGTGGTGGCATGTACCTGTAATCCCAGCTACTGGGGAGGCTGAGGCAGGAGAATCGCTTGAGCCTGGGAGGCGGAGGTTGCAGTGAGCTGAGATCCCACCACTGCACTCCAGCTTGGGTGACAGAGTGAGACTCTGTCTCAAAAAAAAGCCCATTAGGCCGGGCACGGTGGCTCACGCCTGTAATCCCAGCACTTTGGGAGGCCAAGGCGGGCGGATCACGAGGTCAAGGGATCGAGACCATCCTGGCCAACATGGTGAAACTCCGTCTCACCTAAAAATACAAAAATTAGCTGGGTGTGGTGCCACGCGCCTGTAGTCCCAGCTACTAGGGGAGCTGAGGCAGGAGAATCACTTGGACCCAGGAGGTGGAGGTTGCAGTGAGCCGAGATTGCGCCACTGCACTCCAGCCTGGCGACAGAGCGAGACTTCATCTAAAAAAAAAAAAGCCTATTTAGGAAAGGAGGGGTCACACCATTATCAGCCACCAGGTCCATTTCCACCTGGATCAGAATAAAAGAAAGAAATTACAGGCATATAAAAAATGGCAATCAATTTACTGATGTACCTCCTTGCTTAACCAGTCTGGACATGGGCCTAAGAGTATTTTTCTAGAAAAGCAGTGATTCTCAAACTCAAGAGTGCGGCTAGAATCACCTGAAGGGCTAGTAAGACCTGCAAAAACTCGGCAGGTACACTCCATTCAAACCCCTGCACTAAGAGACTTTACCAAACATTAGCATGGTTTCTGGCAGTCTTAAGATTGAATCCCTGAGAAGACCCAGCTCACTTTTTGTTTTGTTTTGTTTTTTTGAGATGGAGTCTCACTCTATTGAGCAGGCTGGAGTGCAGTGGCGCAGTCTCAGCTCACTGCAACCTCCGCCTCGCAGGCTCAAGTGATTCTCATGCCTCAGCCTCCCGAGTAGCTGGGATTACAGGTGTGCGCCACCATGCCTGGCTAATTTTTGTATTTTGAGTAGAGATGGGGTTTTGCCACGATGGCCAGGCTGATCTCAAACTCTGACGTCACGTGATCTGCCCGCCTCAGCCTCCCAAAGTGCTGGGATTAACAGGCATGAGCCACTGCACCCAGCCCCAGCTCACTTTTGAATTCCCTGTCAGGAAAATCTTTCAGTTTGTTCTAGTCCACACCTAAGGATAGGCCTCAGCTTCTCTTTATTTTATTTATTTATTTATTTATTTATTTATTTTTATTTTTATTTTTTGAGATGGAGTCTCTCTCTGTCGCCCAGGCTGGAGTACAGTGGCGCAATCTTGGCTCACTGCAACCTCCACCTCCTGGGTTCAAGCAATTCTCCTGCCTCAGCCTTCCCAGTAGCTGGGATTACAAGTGTGCACCACCATGCCTGGCTAGTTTTTTTGTATTTTTAATAGACATGGGGTTTCACCATGTTGGCCTGGCTGGTCTCGAACTCCTGACCTCAGGTGATCCACCTGCCTGGGCCTCCCAAAGTGCTGGGATTACAGGCGGGAGCCACCAAGCCTGGCCTGCTTCCCTTTCTTAGGGCATTTAGTAAAAAAGGGCTTAGTATTGTAAATCCTTCCTCTGTTCCTTTGAGATGTTTATGTATTTCCTACAAACTACAGAGTGTTTGTTTCTCAAGGGCCTGGAAGCCAGTCCTTTGAAATGTAGGGTAGGGCCTCTGTCTCCCAGTCTCTGGGAGGATAAAAATCTAACTTCAGTAATTGCCAGGTAGCAGACACAGCTGGCCTAATCACATTTATACTGAGAAACCCTCTGTAATTTTTCACTTCCATGACGCTACTGAGTCCCTGCTTGCTTTCCTTCCCTACTCCCTCATTTTCCCTCTAAAATGCCCAGTCACCTCTGTGCAAATCAGAATGAAGCTCAACTCTTTCCTCTTCTGTCAGTAGTTACTGAATAAAATCTGTCTTCACTGCTTTAACTAATGTTACTTAAACCACAGATTTCTGGCCCCACACTCAGAGTTTCTGATCCTGGAGGTCTGAAGTGAAGCCTGAAAATGTACATTTCTAATAGTTTGCAGGTGATGCTGATGTGCTTGCTCCAGAGACATACTTTTGAGAATCACTGCTCTGGTCAGGCACGGTGGCTCATGCCTGTAATGCCAGCACTTTGGGAGGCCAAGGTGGGCAGATTACTTGAGGCCAGGAGTTCGAGACCACCCTGGCCAACATGGTAAAACCCTGTCTCTACTAAAAATACAAAAATTAGCCAGGCGTGGTGGCGCATGCCTGTAGTCCCAGCTACTTGGGAGGCTGAGGCAGAAGAATCACCTGATTGCTTGAACCTGGGAGGTGTAGGTTGCAGTGAGCCGAGATCGCGCCACTGTACTCCAGCCTGGACGATAGAGTGAGACTCCATCTCAAAAAAAAAAAAAAGAGAATCACTGCTCTGGCTGATCAATTATGGTCCCTATTCACAGATTTGATCTTCTAGTGATACAGATTCTTTAAAACCTTATTTGACTGCCTGTTGGTTTCATTTTGAGGGGACTCAGAATGCTAAAAACAAGTGCCAAGAATCTTGTCAAGTTAGGCTCTTTGAAGCTTCAGATCTGCTAAAGGAAACAGCCTGGATCATCCTGTTGTGGCTTCTATTCATCACATTTAGGAGCGCTGGAGAACAAGGAGTACTACTTAGGAGGCAGATATAGATAACTTCGTTCCAATTGCCTTGATGCCAGTTTCCTAACTGGTGAAACCTTTGAGACAAAATTGAGATTCTGCTGTAATTCAGCAAGGCCAATGAATATCTGACCCTCAGCAAATGCAGATCTCTTGTTATAAGCAAAAGGGGCTGCTGTTTTGAGTCCCAAGAGCAATAAGCAAATGCTTCACTGCCAAATAACACAGAATGCCAACTTCCTTCCTATCAACTGATGCAGAGGTCTCTGATCTCTATCTGTTCTACATTTTAGGGTCTCTACAAAAAATAAAATTATTCAGGCATGGTGGCATGTGTCTGTAGTCCCAAGCTACTCAGGAGGCTGAGGCTGAAGTCGAGGCTGCAGCGAGCTGTAATCACACCACTGCATTATCTGGAAGCTGGGAATTGAACACAATGAAGACTCTATTTCTCACCTTTGTTCTTCTCTGAAAGTCTGCATTTTTTCTCTCTTTCTGCAGACCAGCATCTTTCACTTCTGTCCCTCTGGTGGGAAAATTGGTTGACAGCTTCCAAGCTTTACACTTAGAGAAAAGCTGGTATCTCTTGTCTAATTGCAAATTTCTAGAAAATGAGATTTTGATTGCCCCAGGTTGGATTAGCTGCCCACCTCTGACCCAATAAGCTATGGTTATAGGAACACGACAGTTTTTGCCATAACCCTATAAATGGGGGAAGGTGGAGGGTCAATTCCCGGAAAAGAGGGGCTGGGCAGACCGTCCCACACGTGTCCATTATACTAAAAAACCTCCATTCCTTCCATCCTTCATCCCTTCAAGCCACTGCTCTCTCCTTTCACTGCTTGCTTTCAAGAGTTAACTATGTACACTGCCTTGCCATCTACTTATTCTTTGACAATCTGGCTTGTTCCATCTCCACTATTTTATAATTTCTTTTATGTAGCTTGAAGCTTTTTTGCTTTTGCATCCTAATAGAGTATTCCCCTATCTCATTCATCCCGATCACTCTTGGGTTCTGCACTTCTGCATTCTAACTCTGCCTGCCATTATCTCCCATCTTCCAGTAAGTTCCAAGCCAGATCTGGCTACTACTCATTTCAGATCTTGTTTTCTGCTTTATTCCTGCTGAAAGAGTGGGCCGGCCCTAAAAGCCAGAAAGAAGACAGGCACTGCATCTGTTTCATCTCAGTATGTTGAAAATACATTTTTCAAAAGATTATGACTCCATACATCTGAAATTAGAGCCCTTGCAGCTATTTAGAAAAGCTCCCGACAGACTAAAACACAATGAAGTTTGGAAACCAAAGGCCCTAACCATAGGACATAGTGGATCTAGGAGTACCAAAAAGGTACAATTTGTAATGTAATTTGTGTTGGTAATTATCTCCCTGCCCAAAGAGATGCTGAGGGCAAGGATATTCGATTTAACTTTGTCTCTGCATTGCCTTAGGCAAGTAAATAATGTAAGTTTCTTTTTATTTATTTATTTATTTTTGAGACGGAGTCTGGCTCTGTCACCAGGCTGGAGTACGGTGACATGATTTTGGCTCACTGCAACCTCCGCCTCCCAGGTTCAAGCGATTCTCCTGCCTCAGCTTCCCCAGTAGCTGGGATTACAGGCACGTGCCACCACGCCCGGCTACTTTTTGTATTTTTAGTAGAGACGGGGTTTCACCATGTTGGCCAGGATGGTCTCGATCTCCTAACCTCGTGATCTGCCCGCCTCGGAGGGATTACAGGCGTGAGCCACCGCGCCCGACCAGTTACGTCTTTCTTAATTGGGACCAACAGCTCTTTAAATATTATCTTTCCACTAAGGGGAAAATCCTCCCTCCTGGGGAGTTTTAGCTCACTTTAGCTGAATTCAGTCAATCCACTCTAACTTCCATTCCCATGATGCATCAATCCATCCCCCAAAACTCTTTTTCCAGGAAAAAGCAGTAAATAACCTAAGCAACTCAGTGAGATGCAAGGAGTTGGAGTGCAACTCCTAAACACTCATCATCACGCCCCGCTTCCTGTGACCCTGTGAGCACAAGGGCTGAGAAGGGTGGTAGTCTGGTTCCTCGACTATATCCTAAGGCCATAGAGAAGACTACAACTACCAAGATGCCCCTCTCCCCGCCCCGCCCCGCCCCTCCTCGCTCCCCTTCCTCCAGCTAGAAAGCGTGTACCACCGAGAAGACGAGGCAACATGGCTCCCGGAGGTGGAAGAAAGAGGCTTCACCCCTTCTAAAGCGGGAAGAAGAGCGGCCGGAAAGGAGAAAAAAGAGAAGTGACTAGAGCCCATCCTCGCTTTTATCCTCCCAGCCTCTCCCGGGTCCGGTCTGCCCCTCCCCTTCTCTCTACCCAAATCCAATTTGTGGTCTCCTCCCCTCCCCGCCCTCATTCCCTCGCTTCCTCACCCCTCCCCTCGGGAATCCTTTTCCCGCCCCCCCTCGCCCCCCGCGGAGTGCGCACGCGCCCGCCCCCAGCTTCGCGCCCAGATCGTCGCCTATCCTGCTTGCGCAGCCGCTATCGCGTCTGCCCACCGACGAAGCATGGGTGTCCAGGGCTTCCAAGAGTTCCTGGAGAAGCGCTGTCCCGGGGCCGTGGTGCCCGTGGACCTCCTAAAACTCGCGCGCACGGTCTCGCGCCAGCAGCAGCAGCAGCACTTGCACCGCCAGCTGCCGCCGACTGCAGCCCTAGCGCCCGGGGCTCCACGCGCCGCCAGGGGCTCCGTGCCTCTGCAACCGCCGCTTCCGCCCGCTGCCTTGGGTGCCTACTCCGGGGGCGCGGGGCCGACTCGGCACCATCACCCCGCTCACCACTTCCACCATCATGGCCAAGCGCAGCCCGGGCTGCACCCTCCGCTGCCGCCGCCGCCGCCCCCTCAGCTGCCCGGGGCCCGGGTGCTGGTGGACGCCGGCTCGGCGCTGCCGCGGCTCTATGGCGGCTACCAGACGGATTGGGTGTGTGGCGGCCAATGGAACGCCATGCTGGGCTACTTGTCAGCGCTGTGCCAGGCTTGTGCCTATCCTGGCGGCGACGGCCTGGAGCTCGTGGTCATGTTCCCGGGGGGCCTGGGCAAGGACCGGCTGGCCGAGTGGGGCCGTCGGTGCCAGGCCGAGCGGCAGACAGCGCAACTGATCGTGGGACACGTGGGCAACAAGGGCACCCCTCCACCGCGGGCCTGGTTCCTGCCACCGGCCTGCCTGAGCCACTGCGTGAGGCTAGCACTCATCCGCTTCCGGGTCAAGGTGAGGGAGGGGCCGGATCTTAAATAATAAGCCCCACACCTATTCCCTCCCAACTAAATACCTAACCACCTACCCACTTACCCACTACCCTACCTCCCATCTACCCACCCACCTACCCGCCCAACAGCTAACCTACCTGCCTAACTACCCTCTACCATTTTATCCATTTACCTCCCCCTTCATACCACCCCCTACGGATTCACTCACCTACATGGCCATATCTCTACTCATGTCATCCCAGTAGCTCCCTTTAGCTTCCCTTATCCAATTGGCCTACCACTAGGTTTCAGCAGAATCTAGTCAGAATTTCTTTTGTAGCCTCATCTTTCTCCTGGTGTCTTCTGCCTCAAACTGAAATGCCTTTACCCTGCTTTTGCCAGTTGACATCTCTCTCCTGTATCTCTTTCCAACCTCGCAGTAAATCACTTAAGCAGGTGTGAACTGAACACCTTTCTTCTACATTGTTTTTCCGTCTTCACCCACTGCTGCTTTTTTACCCATCTGTGTCCATTCAGCCTTTTTCATTTCAACATGCATCTTCTTCCTCCTGCCTTAGCCTAAACACATAAAAACCCACTGATTCAGTCACTGTTCAGCAAGTATTAACTCACTGAGTGTAAGGGTTTTAAAGACATGTGAGACACTGCTCATGCCCTTGGAAAGTTAAATGTATACACATGAAACATTTAATTATAGCAATGTGTATGTGATTATGCCTTATGGTCCAGACAGTAAGTACAGTTCCTGTTTTCTGTATGTGGGAGTGGTGGGATATCTTTGGACTAAAGTGGTCAGGGGAGGCTTCCCTGAAGAAGTCGGACCTCACCTGGGTCTTCAAAGGTGGATTGGATTTGAATGAGTCACAAGCTTGGGAGGAGGCTGCTTTAAGTGGGAGGAAGAAAATGAGCAGAAGCAAAAAGGAATATTAAGTGTGCAAGGCCCCATAGGCAGTTAAGTCCAATCTGCATGTAGTTGGGTCACTGCATATGGGGCCTGGGGAACAGCTTGGCAGCATCCCCAGTTCTTGGCACCACTGCTGCTGCTCTGTTGCTTTCCCATACTCTTAGGTTTCAAGTTCCTACGTGTAGAGAATAGCAAGGCTTGGGAAGTAAAGGAGGTGGGCAGGAAGAAGAAAAAGAAAAGTAGTACAGGGTTGGGTAGAAAGAAACCGCAAACCTATTTCCCCAACCAAGGTTCTTGGGGGTTGTCCTTACAGTTAGACAGAACAGGGGATTGTGGGAATCACTTAAGAAGTGGTGTCGGCTGGAGTAATGAGGAGGAAAGAAATTTTAGCTCAGAGACTAAAAGACCTAAACAGAGAAGCTTGCAGTGGTTATAGAGCTTGTGGCTAGAGTCCAGTCATGCTAGACTCGTTCTCAGCATCAAATCTGTGCCTAGAGTGCCTAGATTATAGTTGTTTTAATTTAAACTAATCCAAACGTGAGCTATCTCATACAAGGTTAAAAAAAAAAAAAAAGGCACACATTTGCTTGCTCTTCTGACTGAACATTTTAAGGTAGATTCTTTATTCATGGCCATTCTTTCCACTTTGTTTTCACTGCTACCACCCAGGCTTTTAAGGACTTTTTAACCTCGTTGTTATTAACCTGGTTGCTGGCAATAGTGACCACATTGATGGAATATTTACTATGTTTTAGGTGTCGATCTGTGCACTTCTTTTAAAAAAAATTACCTCATCATCCTCGCAATAACCTATGAAAGCAGTATTATCCCTGTTTTCCAAATGAGGAAACTGAGGCACGGGCTTAGAAACTTGCCCAAAGTCACCCAGAGATAAGTGGCAGGGCTGAGATTTGTGCCTATGTGGTCTTCCTCCAAAGCTCATACTCTAAACAACAGTGCTGCTCTAAAATGAATCTTTCTAAAGTGCCACTGTGATTAGATCATTTCCCCACTCAGCTAAACTCTTCCTTGGCTCCTGGGTAAAGACGTGTTCAGGTCATTCACTTACTTTTTTATTTGAGTGCTTGCTGTAGGCTAAGTACTAGCTGCTTGCTGAGGACTGAGAGGTAAATAAGGGGATCCCGTCCTCAAGGAGGACAAGGTTTAGTGAAAGAGATAATAAATTGCAGATACTGTGGGCTAATTGCAAGTGATGAAAAATGTGGCCCCTATAGGGGGCATGGTTAATTTTGAGTAAGGGAGTGAAAGTTGGGGAAGGCTTCACCGATGGTGCTAAGCCATGAAGAGGGCTGTAGATAGTTCAGATAGCGGACAAGGGTGTGGAGACCCGAATAGCCAGTTATGAGCTCTGAATAGATTTTGATTGGAGGTTGGCAGGAGAGTTGAACACTTGAGTATGGGTTTGTGGTTTCCAAAGTTTTTTTTGTTTATATACCCCATCAGTCAAAATCTTTAGAGAAGCAGCCCTTAGTATATTTTTGTCATACTTCACTACACAGTCTCATTTTTAAAATCCCAGCAGTTAATAAAAAAGATGGATTGAATAGATGGATATGTGATAAATCAGGTATAGTAAAAATAGTAGAATCTCAGTCACGGGTATTCAGATGTTCACTGTAAAATTATCTCAACTTTGCCATGTGTTTGAAGTTTTTCATAATAAAATGTTGGGGAAAAATTCCCAGCAGTCCTCTTTAGTCCTTAGAAGCACTCTTGGGGAATGTATAAATCTTATTCCCTGTGCTAGATTATAAACAAACTCTGATCTTTTTGTATTCTCCATAATGTCCTGTGTACTTTGGGTGCAGGGTACATTGTTTTTTTCCATAGTGAATAGGTCAATGATCCTAAGAGAATGGATTGTAGAAGTGACTTTTTAAGAGTGTAGTGTGGCTCTTAATATAATGGATTTAAGACCAGCTCCAAAATTGCATATCTAAAGTGTCTGTCGATGTTACTAATGAGTGAAGTTCTCTCTCGGTTCTGGTCAGTGACTTTTTTGTTGTTACTGGAGTGATAAAGAACTCCCTGGATTGTAGCACAGACTTGAAAGTATTGATTAATAACCGATTGTGGTTTCCCTTTTCAGAGGAGTGTTCTACTGTCTTGAAGGTGGGAATTTTTCACTTGGATGATCTGCATGCCTACTATTTCTTTTGACTGAATGTCAGTGCCTCAGAACAAAACCCACTACTGTATCTCTCCCCTCTTTGGTTTTGTTCTTCAGGCTAGACCACAAGATGGGCCTTTATTCCCAGTCTCATTTTCATTTGTGATACAGAAAGTAGAGGTGGAAGGATTAAATAATAGATAAATTGCTGGGTTGTCTGTTTAGCTTTAGACAACTTCGGACTTCCCATGAAAAGATCCAGTGTGTATTGCTGGGATGAATTTTTTGATTTGGTTGGTTTCATTTATATGCTCTGCAAAGCTTTGTAAATGATAATCAGTAGAAGGAAAATTAAGTAAACCCACAAATTGCTTGCCTGATTGCTTCCTAAGGGTCTCAGAAATAAAGCAACCTAAAGCAGTTTTAGATTGTGATTCAGGAGATAATTTAGGGTGATTAAGGGAATGAATGCTTTGTTTTAATGGTTACTGTGTAATTAGAAAAAAATGATCAGCACATCAGACTCACCATTTCACAGCTATACTTTTTTAGAATGATTATGATTACATAAAATGAGTTGATTTAAAGAAAGCTATTAAGTTGCAGTACGTGGATATGGCAGAAATCATGTTGGTGGCATATGAATAACCAGACTTTGAGAACAGATACCATTTTGTGCTTTGGTTCTCTAGAATACGATAAAGCAATGGCTGCTATGCCTCCTGATTGTTTACTTACCATTAGTCATAGACATTCTGAAAAGTCATTGACTTTTCTAGATGCTCTAGTCGTTGGAAAATAATCAAAATAATAATTACTTCTTAGGCAACAAGTTGTATATTAAAAGCTTTTAAAATATCTCATTTAATCCTCAAGAGCTTGCAAGGTGCATGGTATTCTCCCCATTTTACAGTTGAGTAACTGAGGTAACCAAGAGGTAAAATAATTTTTCTTTGTTCTAAGTACTAGTAAGTGGTGGATAAAAATTATTGTTCTAGGTTTATATTGCTCAAAGTTTACACAATCCCACCATCCTGTTTCCTTCATTTTATACATTCTTGTGTATGATCGTACACTGTTATTGGCTAGACAATATGCATAGAAGACAATCATAAGTAGATTTTTTGAGCACTTAGTTTGTGCCAGCATTGCTAAATGTACAATACTGCCAGTACAAGGCAAATGTGTAAGCTAAGTGCCAAGTAAGTGAGTCATACAGTGATGTTATAGGAATTCAAAAGTAGTAATCCCTGTCCTTTCTACAGTTTCAGTCTCTGCCTCTCTGGTTTCTTTCACTTACAGCATGCACAAATAATCTTTGAAAAACAAAAACTTCCCCTTTATTTTCTAATTCCTTCGAGCCATTATCTTTATCTCCTTTCTTCCCTATTCACCATTATTCTTAAAGAAGCAGATTGTATTAATTCCCATTCCCTAGCCTAGTGCTACTTTATATCTGATGTCACCACTCTGAAGCTGCCACATGCATTTCCATTCTTAGCCTTTCTTGGTCCTCTTTAAGATCATTAATATCAAGCCATCCTATTCTTGAACTATCTTCCTTGGATTTCATAATTCAGCTCACTTCTGATTCTCCTTGTAACCCTCTAGTTCTTTCTTCTCTTTTCCTTATTCCTCTTCTGCCTGCTTCTTTAAATGTTGGTGCCCTCAAGGCTTCTGTCCTAGTCATATTCTTCTGCTTTTGTTTCCTGAGCAATCTCATCCATTATTGTGGCTTTAAGTATTAATTAAATTCTGATGATTCCTATTGCTCTGTCTCTACCCTCGACCTCTCTCATGAGCTTTCAACACATCTTTTCAGCTCTCTACTACTTGATGTCTTTTAGGTCACTTAAACTAAAAAATACCCAAAATGGAACTCATTATGTTTCCCCAAAACTTGTTTCACTTCTGGTACTCTCTTTTTCTATGAATGGTGTCTTTCATCAGTTTCAAGCCAGAAGCTGTGGAGTCCTCAATTCTTCACTCTCCTGTCACTTCCCACATTTACTTGGTCATCGGATCCTTTGAGTTCTACGTCAGAAATGTCTCCTGAGTCCAGCTACTTCTGTCTGTTTCCACCCCCATTGCTTTAGTTCAGGCTGCCAAAATTTCTTACCTGAACCAGGAAGACAGTGTCAACTTGTTCCTTTACCATAACACTCTCCGGACTCCATCTGCCATATTGCTGCCAGAGACACGATTCTGAAAACAGAAGCTGACTCTGTTATATGCCCAAAGGTGTATTTGCCCACCCTACCGAGTCCAAACTTCTCAGCATGGCAGACAGCGCCCTTCACAATCTGATCCCAAACTCTCTCCAGACTTACCTGGTGCTCACCTCTGGCCACCCCTGTTCCAACCATTCTATATTTTCTTAGTTTCCTAGACATACCGTGTCCTCTCTCATAGTATTTTTCTTATGTTTATCTTGACCTTTGCATAGCAAATTCCCCCTTATTCCTGCTCAAAAGTTATCCTATAGAATCTTTCCTAGCCAGCCTCTGTCAGCTGTGGTAGATGAAGCCTTCCCTTTACTACCAGAGTACTCTGTTCTTACCTCTCTCATATTTTTTTCTCTTTCATAGTATTTTCATATCGCATAATTCTCTTTTAAATGAGTTCTAAGAGGGCGGAGATTTGCTCTAGGACTTGACATATATAAAATAATGTTTGCCGTGAGAGAGATTGGTTGATTTGCCTTTACTGACTGAATCACTACAGAGGGCTTTACAGGTCAGATGAAGAATTTAGAATCAGTGCTATACAATGTTATATGTTAATTCCATCTAAATAAACTCAGATTGCAAACTGAATTGCCAAACTCCTTTTACTCAGAAGTTTTGTAGCTACTTAGCAATGCACTTATAGAATATATTCCCCTTTGATGGTAGTAATAATAGCTACCACATGGGCGAGGTACCTCACCAATATTCATTTAATCCTCACAACCACCCAACAGGAGAGGTATTAATCTCTATTTTTTCCTCTACTCCTATGACAGATTAAATCTCTTTTTTTTTTTTTTTTTTTGAGACAGAGTCTTGCTCTGTGGCCCAGATTGGAGTACAGTGGCATGATCTTGCCTCATTACAACCTCCACCTCCTGGGTTCAAGCAATTCTCCTGCCTCAGCCTCCCAAGTAGCTGGGACTGCAGGTGCGTGCCACTACACCCAGCTAATTTTTGTATTTTTAGTAGAGACGGGGTTTCACCGTGTTGGCCAGACTGGTTTCGAACTCCTGACCTCAGGTGATCTGCCTGCATCAGCCACCCAAAGCGCTGGGATTACAGGCGTGAGCCACCACGCCTGGCCTAAATCTCTACTTTTTATAGCCAAAAACCAAAAAACAAAAAAACAGGCTCAGTGTAGTTACTGGCCCAAGGATACACTGCTAGAACATGGTTGGACCAAGATTTGGACCTAAAGATATTTGACACCAAAATCCTTCATCTTTAACATATCTCAAAACAGTATAATTGCGTTTTTATAGTTATATTTTAATAACTTTTTCTAGAACATTTTTTCCTATATTTAGTTTGTGTAGCATAATGGCTGACAACACAGGCCTTGGAGCCAGACTGCCTGGGTTTAGATCCCTATTCTTCTAAGTACTCATTATGTAAGCTTAGGCAAGTTACTTGCTCTGTGCCTCAGTTTAACAATAATACCTACATCACAAATTTTGTTGTGAGTGTTAAATGATTTAAGTAATATGCTTGGAACATCATATGGCATGTAGTAAATGCCATATAAATGCCAGCTACTATTATATTGACTAAAATATCTTGTAGCGGGGCATGGTGGTGCGCACCTGTAGTCCCAGCTACTTGGGAGGCTGAGGCAGGAGGATTGCTTGAGCCTGAGAGGTTGAGGTTGCAGTGAGCTGAGATCGCACCAATGCACTGCAGCCTGGGCGACGGAGTTAAGACCCTGTATATATTAAAAAAAAAAAGTATAAAATATCTTGTGCACCTAGTAGGTTGGACATTGATCACCTCACTCTCATGCTTTAAGCTTAGCATGGCATGCCATGGCATGCCTTCATGATCTGCCCACCATTATCTAGCCTAATTTTACCCCATTTTTCTTATCAGGACAATGCTTTTCAGTTCAGTTAATATTTTTGAGCACCTGTTCTGTGCCAGACACTGTGCTAAGTACTATGAACAACGGAATTAATTTATTCAGCCAATGTATTGGACTCCTGTGTGCCAGGCAAAGTTCAAGATTGTGAGGATACAGCAGTGAATAAAACAGATTTCTGACCTCATGAAACTTGTATTCTAATGGAGAAAATAACAAACAAGATAAATAGGCAAAATATGTTTTGTGACATAGGAAATGCTGTGGAGAAAATGAAGTAGGGAAGTGAGATAAGGAGTGTTGAAGTCAGGGGTACAAAGCATGGTACCCTACCCTTCCAGGAGCTCATAGTCTATCTAGTAGAGGAGACAAGTAAGAAAATACTTATGGTATAAGTCCCCAGGATCATTTCTCCGGCCCTTGTCATTAGGCCCAGGGACATAACCAGTAGAAGTGGCAGAAACCAGGATTTGCATACCAGAAGCAAAACCCTTGCCCGTTCATCTGTATCACATGAGGAAATTACAAAGGTTATGGCAAAGATGGCAAACTGGCAGCCCGTAGGCCTTATGTGGCCCATGCATGTATTTTTGCATTGGCCCACACATTTTTTTCCTTTTCTTTTTGAAAGAACTTCGTTTATTTTCATTGATCAGTAGTGTTCACCAGGATCTGAAATCAAATAATGCACTTGGACTGAATATTAAGGCATCATCTAGTTGAATGAATTGAATGATTATCATTTCCTGCTGTCATTTAACTTGCATTATATGAATACACTTCTTTTTTAACAAGTTCGAATTTGTTGCCAACTTTTAAAAATTGAGAAATGTTGCAAAAAAGTCTCTTTCCAACCACTCCTGAAATATCAGATCCTCTGGCAATACTGGTTGACCCCTTTTGGTGAACCACATGGTCTTCATTTATTGGTCTCTACAGCTCCATGGTGTCTCCCTGCCACAATGATGAAGTGCCACTTGTCATTCATGGTAGACATCTTCTACAGTGGCTCCCAATGAGTCCCACCTCCTGGTATTCACACCCTTTTGTAATCTCCTCCTGTCCCCCCCGTTTGTGGGCTGGACCTAGTGACTTGCTTCTGATGAGCAGACTACAACAAAAGTGATGGGATGTCACTTCCAAGATTAGGTTATAAAAAACTGTGACTTCCATCTTGTTTGCACTCTCTCTCTCTTTCTCTCTGGCTCTTCTTGCTTGATCACTCTGATGAAGCAAGCTGCCATGTTGTGAGCTGCCCTATGGAGAGGCCCACAGGAAAAGAAACTGAGGGAAGCCTCCAACCAACACTCAGTGAGGAACTGAGGCCCTCAGTCCAACTACAGCCTGCAAGGAACTGAATTGCTGCCAACAGCCACGTACGTGAGTGAGCTTGGAAGCGGATCCTTCCCCAGGCAAGCCTTGAGATGACTGCAGCCCTGGCTGGCACCTTGATTGAAGCCTGTAGGAGACCTTGAGCCAGAGGACCCAGCTAAGCCATGCCTACAGATACTATGAGATAATAAATGTTGTTTTAAGCCACTAAGTTTGGGGGCTACTTTGTTACACAGAAATAGATAACTGAAACACCATTGATTGTTGTGCTTGTTCTTTTTAAATAATATTTTTGATGAATATGAAATATTTCTCCTACATCTGTGCAAAGTGAAAAAAATCTTTTTTATGGAAGAAGTTCACGTATTTGAACAGGAGAGAGCCTATTTCTTTGTGGAATTGATGAATTTTCATATACGTCTAAATAAAATGTGTCTGTTGAAAGACTACGATTTAAGATACCATTTAAAAGTAAACCATTGTAAGAAATATCAGTATACAGCCGGGCGCGGTGGCTCACGCCTGTAATCCCAGCACTTTGGGAGGCCGAGGCAGGCGGATCACCTGAGGTCGGAAGTTCGAGACCAGGCTGACCAACATGGAGAAACCCTGTCTCTACTAAAAGTACAAAATTAGCCGGGCGTGGTGGCGCATGCCTGTAATCCCAGCTACTCGAGAGGCTGAGGCAGGAGAATCACTTGAACCTGGGAGGCAGAGGTTGTGGTGAGCCGAGATTGCACCATTGCACTCCAGCCTGGGCAATAAGAGCGAAACTCCGTCTCAAAAAAAAGAAATATCATTATACAAAAATGATGAATGCTGAAATGAAAAGAACTTAAAAATGTACTTGGAATTTCAACAGGCTATATTTCTAGATACAGATAAAATAAGTGATGCCACAAAAGGCAATTATGTATTAAATGAAAAAACTGCCAGGGGTTGAAAGCTTTTTTAAGCAGTAGTTTTATAAAAGTGTTTGTTGAGTACAACAGAAATTATGTTATAAACAAGCATTTGCAAAGGTAGGAAATACTTTTGTTCAGGATGTCAAACATCGATGGCTAAACATTCTTGGGCCAGATTTAGTCAAAAAGTTAAATTATTTTTGGAGATTTACATAGCAGCTGGTTACAACAGATTAAAAACTCCATCCACATAGCTATACATTTAGCTGTATACGTAGCCAGTGGTTCTCAAAGTATGGTCCTAGACCAACAGCATTGTACCATCTGGAAACATGTTGGAAATACACATTCTCAGTCCCCTACCCCATCGGACCTACAGAATCAGAAACTGGCGGGAAAGGTGGGGGAGCTTATGGATCCATTTCAACAAGCCCTCCAGCTGATTCTGATACATGCTGAAGTTCGAGAGCCACTGCACTTAGGTATGATTTATGTGTTAAGAATTTGATGTAACCTGACTCTTGGACTCATCACAGGTACATCTGGAAATACCTGGATTTTGTGTGATGAGAAAAGTCTTGAGATTTTTAATAACAATTGTTCAAAATTAGTAAGTATGGCTACAGATTGTGCTTCTGCAATAGTGTTAAGAACTGTTGGACCCAAGAAACAATTTGAAGCAGAAACACTTTCCAGGGACCTAAACTTAAAGCTATTTCTGCTAAAAGCTTCAAAATGAATCAGTCAGATCAGAAACTAGTAATTAACATTGTGGTTTGCACCACAATTGAATACTTTGCTTGGTGAATTATTAGGTGCATGTTATGGAAATCTGCCCTATGACATGGAGGTTGATTGGCTTAGTTGAACATGATACTCAAGATGCTGAAAAAAATGATTTGGCATCCAAAGGGCATTCACCACACCCGCAGAGATTGAAATAAAATATTTGGCTTGTTTGGTTGATTTTACAACTCATCTAGACACTATGAATAAAAACAGCATTGTTCAGAAATACCTTCACAAATGTATGGTTGTACTTGCTTGTTCCTAGCAAAATTATGCCTTTGGGAAACTCATTTGGCAAGAGATAAACTGGCTGACTTTCCTTTGCTGAAATTGGTTTCCAAGAATTGAAAGTGATGGCCTGAATTACATTCCCACAGTTGTGGAGTTGTCTGTTGAATTCCAGAAAAGGTTCTCTGACATATTTGATGAAAATGAACTAATATTGTTCAATTAGCCTTTCTCAGTGTTCAGAGTATGAAAGAAGAGCTACAATGGAGATTCAGAATTACTGTGCCATGGTACTGAAAATGAAGCATGATGTCATTGAAATGCCGAATTCTACAAATACCTCGGAAGTAGTTACCGAAATATAAAAAACACTATGCCAAACTTCTGTGTTTGGAAATGCCTACATTTCTAAACAGCTGTTTTCCATTATGAAATAGGATCAAATTAGTCACTTGAAGTGAAAGCATTCAAGGCTCAATTCTGTACTGCATGTTGTAACAAAAATATAAGACCTAACATTGACCTCTTGGCACATAAATGTGTCAGGCCACCAGTTCCAAGTCAAAGGAGAATAAACAAACAAAAAAAAAGTGTAATGATAAATTTTCTAGTTTTTCACTTATGTCGTTAATGTAAAATGTAAACTCCAGTATTTTGCATGTATAAACACCCACAGCTTAAATAAAAATACATTTCTGTGTGTGTGTTTTTTATTTTTAAACACAGGGTCTTGCTCTGTTGCCCAGGTTGGAGTGCAGTGGTGTGAACATGGCTCACTATAACCTTGAACTCCTGGGCTCAAACCTTCCACCTCAGCCTCCCCAGTAGCTAGGACTACTGGCATGTGCCACCCACACCCAGATAATTTTTAAGGTTTTGTTTTGTTTGTTTGTTTTAGAGACAGGGTCTTGCTAGGTTGCCCAGGCTGATCTCAAACTCCTGGCCTCAAGCAATCCTCCTGCCTCAGCCTCCCAAAGTGCTAGGATTACCCACCATGCCTGGCCAAATATTACATTTTTGGAAGTTAATTTTTCTTTACTCAACCCCTTCATTCATGTTAGCTGCCCATCCCTGTAAGCATTTCCAGTCCCTAGTTCAAAGACTTAGAAATTTCTTGTGATCATTGTCTTCTCTGCAGTTCCCGTCCTCCTTTCTGAGGTAACCCAGAGGTTCCCTTGGATTCTCGCTCTCTTTCTCCTAAGAATACTTTTCATGATACCTCTGACTTCTCAGTCGTGAAGATTTGCTTTGGGCTAAACAAATGCCTATTCTGGTATCTACTTGTCTCAAATTATTTCTGAGGACCTTCAGGCAGTAGTACATACCACAGACTTCATCTCTGCAAAACAGACTTTCATAGCTACTTTTTCAGTCTGTGCCAGCTATTATATTATAAATTGTAAGTCTTAGAATTGGGTATGAATTAAGTAAATCTCCATTTTACAGATGAAGAAGCTAAGTGACTTGTCCCCACAAACTTTGATCATAGGTTCACTGGATGCCAAAGCTCCTGCTGTATATACTGATAACAAAAGTTAGTATCTAAAGTACAGTTTCCAGCCCATGGTTGACACACAACAGGTTTTTTAAAAATCCAAGTTTTCCCTTTTGTTCTTAAATGTGACAGAAGATTTCATCTGCAGAAATGGGCTGGCTTCTGGCAGCCTAAGAGTAATTAAGAGTACTAAAATTGGGCCGGGCACGGTAGCTCACGCCTGTAATCCTAGCACTTGGGGAGGCCAAGGCGGATGGATCACCTGAGGTCAGGAGTTCGAGACCAGCCTGGCCAACATGGTGAAACTCTCTACTAGAAATACAAAAATTAGCTGGGCGTGGTGGTGGGCGCCTGTAATCCCAGCTACTTTGGGAGGCTGAGGCAGGAGGATTGCTTGAACCCAGAGGTGGAGGTTGCAGTGAGCCAAGACCACGTCATTGCACTCCAGCCTGGGCAACAAGAGCAAAACTCCATCTCAGAAAAGAGAAAAAAGTACTAAAATTGGGTACTCGCAAATTAAAATTAGTACCTTAATAGTGTGTACTGAACACTGGATCAGTATTCTACTACCTCTAGCTTGACTGCCGTATTTCATGGCAAAGACTACCACGTATGTGCCTGTAGATAATTGAAATTCCTACAGTTGAGAGGGAAGGCCACTTTATCAATGTTTCCTTGAAGTAACTGTGGTTCCTAATTGCTGCTATTCTTTTAATACATTATTCTTTAGCTTTGTGATTATCAGTCTGGTCTCTTAATGGTTGGTTGGTGAACTCCACAATGTAGTGATGCATATTTGCATCAACAGTAGTTTCAGTCTGTAATTATTTAGTAGTTAGAGTTCCAGTTGAAATGTAAATCATCTATATTTCTATTGCTGAACCAGACTTATACATAATCCATCCCGCCCTCGAATCTTCTTATAAGGTGATACTTCCTTACTATCTCTGATTTCTTTTTGCCTTGGTGAGAACAGGTAGTGAAGATAGACCACAGAACTCAGCCCAAGTTAGTCACTAGTTTGGTGTATTTAGCATGGTAGAGGGGCTTGAGGGAATATGGGACAAGCTGGAGGAAGTCAAGTACCGCAGAGGTCAGAAAGCAGTATTGCCTCTAGTTTGAAGTTACTTTAACAAGCATTTATTACACTCTTTTTATGGTCCAGGCAGAGTGCTAACATAATTCTGCCACTAATGGGCTTACAATCTAGTTATTTTTTTTATGCCCTTGTGTTTATTGTATTACTTGTGAGTTGATCTCAGATTATGCCCACTTTTCCAGTTTCCTTTATTTGAGAAACAATGTACTTAATGGAAAGACCATTTGTTTTTTTAAAGACAGGGTCTCACTCTGTTGCTCAGATTGGTGTGCAGTGCATGATCTCGGCTCACTGCAGCCTCAACCTCCTGGGCTCAAGCGATCTTCCCACCTTAGCCTCCTGAGTAGCTGGGACCACAGGCATGTACGATCATGCCTGGCTAATTTTTTAAACAATATTTGGTAGAGATGGGATCTCACTGTGTTGCCCAGGCTGGAATCCTCGGCTCAGGCGATCCTCCTGCTTCTCCCTCTGCCTCACAAAGTGCTGGGATTACAGGCATGAGCCACCATGTCCAGCCCTGAAAGAGCATTATTTTAAAGTCAGACCTAATTGGTTCAAATCCAAGTACTGCCATATTGCTAGCTGTGTTATTTGGGGCAAGTTACTTAAGTTTTCCAAGCTTCTGTTTTCTCTGTTTAAATAAAAGAGAGGGAGGGGGATGAATGATCTAATACCCATTTTACAGAGTTAGAAGGATAAATGAAATATGCCTAGCCCAGTGTCTATCTTGAAATGTTAATCACTACAGTTAGTTCCATGAGGTCAAAGACTCTTGGCTCTTGTTACTGCTGTGTCTCCATACCTAGATTGGTGCCTGGCGTATATTAGTGCCTGGTTCAGTACCTATTGGTTGAAAGTTGAAACAGTTCATTGGTTGCCTACTCCGTGTGAGTGGTCTATGTACTGGAGATGACAGCAGTGAACAAAACAGATTTTTAAAATCCTCAGCCTTCTTGAAGCTTACATTCTACTGAATAATACTTCTGGTGGTTTTTAATATCAAATACTCTTCAAATATTTCTGAAAGAGCCGCAGTATATAATACATAAAATGGTGACTATGAGCTCAGGTTGAAGAGAAAGTTAGGAACACCAGGCCAGGTGCAGTGGCTCATGCCTGTAATCCCAGCAGTTTGAGAAGCCAAGGTAAGAAGATTGCTTCTGTCCAGGAGTTTGAGACCAGCCTGGGCAACATAGCAAGACCTGTCTCTACACAAAATCAAAAATTAACCAGGCATGGCGGTGCACACCTGTAGTCCCAGCTATTTGGGAGGCTGCAGTGGCAGGGTTGCTTGAGCTCGGGAGGCTGAGGCTGCAGTGAGCCGTGATCCCACCACTGCATTCCAGCCTTGGTGACAAAATGATACCCTCAAAAAATAAAAATTTTAAAAAGTAGAAACACCAATTCTCTTTAGTTATTTGGTCCGGTCTCCACCTACCAAAATTCTGGTTTGGGGAAGCACAGTTTGCAAGCCACTTCTTTAGACTACCTATGGTTGGAAATGAGACACGTCTTCTCAGAGAGCTTTTTTCCCTTGAGGTTTTCTTTTTTTTTTTTTTTTGAGACGGAGTCTCACTCTGTCGCCCAGGCTGGAGTGCAGTGGCGCGATCTCAGCTCACTGCAACCTCCACCTCCCGGGTTCAAGCGATCCTCCTGCCTCAGCCTCCTGAGTAGCTGGTACTACAGGCACCTGCCACCACACCCGGCTAATTTTTTTTTTTTTTTAAATAGAGACGGGGTTTCACCATATTGGCCAGGCTGGTTTCAAACTCCTGACTTTGTGTTCTGCCTGCCTTGGCCTCCCAAAGTGCTGGGATTACAGGCATGAGCCACCACACCCGGCCTCCCCTGAGTTCTATAAACAGGTGTCACTTCCTCTCAAAAACCATCACCCCACTGACTGTTGAGGTGCCTTTACTCTGTGTTCCCATGGTACCCTGTGCTCCATAACTTCTCACAAGTTAAGTGTCTTGCTTTGTGCTGTCTGCATCCTGGCACTTAGTAGGCCCTCAACCCCTATTCACTGAACTGAATGGTGAACCAGCAATTAAAAGCTATAGATAGTCGTTCAGAATCTCAACTCTCGCTTTCTTTAAAACTCAAATGTGCTGTTTTCTCTGATCAGTTGTTTGGTTATGTTATAGTTGAATCTCTCCTAAATCATTTTACTCTCCTGGAAAATTGCAAGGTTAACGACTAAACTGGACCAATTTGGGCCAGGCGCTTACAGGTGGTAACAGTGATGATAAATGTGTAAATTGAGCCAGAGTGCTCACTATTCTGACGGTCATTGTTGGCTCTTTGCCCTGTCAGGATTGAATGCAGATTGTATTTTGCTAGGAATAAATTGCCATGTTGTGTGATCTGACTAGATAAGTGTTTTTTAAACTTGCTTCATCACGAAATCATCTGGGGTTCTTGTTAAAAAACAGATTTCCAGCCTGACCCTAGACCTACTGAATCAGACTCTTCAGGGGTGGGGCTTAGAACAGCGATTACTTCCAAGGAATGAGAGTAAAAGGACTGTTTTCATTCTACACACTGCCATATTGTTTGCTTTTTTTTTTCCCTGAATATGTTCTGCTTTTATTCAGCTGCAATTTTATCTTTTGATTAACTTATAATTCATGGTACAAAAATTCAAAAGATACAAAAGGATATATGATAAAAAATATTCCACCCCTTTCCCAGTCACTAGGTTCTCCTCCCTGGAGGGGACCAATATTATCAGTTCATTGTGTATTCTTTCAGAGATACTATGGATATAAAAGCAAATAAGTATACATTTTATATATATATGCACATTTTACATATATACATATTCTACACAAAAAATACCTTTTAAAAACAGCATACTATGCATAATGTTCTGTACCTTGCACTTACCATTTACCATATCTTGGTGATTTTTCTATGTGTATAGATAGAGTTTTGTCATTACTTTTTATGGTTTTACACTATTCCATTGTACGTATACATTATGATTTACTTAACTCGTCCCTTATTGATGGGCAATTAATTAGGTTGTTTCCAGTCTTCACCTATTACAAATAATGCTCCAGTAAATATTTTGTGTTTGCAAAGGAGTTGCTCACACTTAGGCACTTTCATTGTTGTTCCAAGTGCTTTACATATCTAAAAGATAAATCCCTGAAAGGAGAATTGCTGGGGCAAAGGGTATGCACATTTGTAATTTTGAAAGGTCTTGCCAAATCGCTCTCCCTAGAGATTCTACCGTTATACCCCTACCAGGAATGTTTGCAAGTGCCTGTTTCCTTCACCAATACATTATTTGCTAATCTTGTACGTGAAACATCATGTTTCAGTATTATTTTAATTTTTATTTCTCTTATCACCAGTGAGTTTGATCATCTTTTTATATGCTTAAAATCTGTTTGTTTCCTTTTTTGTGAAATGTTCTCTTACATTGTTAGGTTTTTTCCCTTCTCTATTAAGGAAATTAGTCCTCTGCACTGTAAGTTGCAAATTTTTTTGCAGATTGTCATTTGTCTTTTGAGCTTACTTACATGGGTTTTTCCCAAGCAGAAATGTTTGATTTTTTTTTCTTATTCATCAGTCATTTATACGTTCATACTGTGGAAATGTTTGATTTTCATATAGTCAAGAGTATTGACCGTTTTCTGGGGGTGTTACTGGATTTCTTCATAAACTATCCCCACTCTGAGATTATACAAAATTTCCCTCATGGTGTATTTTATTATTTTTTTATTTTTATTATTATTATTTTTTTTGAGATGTAGTCTTGCTCTGTTGCCCAGGCTGGAGTGCAGTGGCGCGGTCTTGGCTCACTACAACCGCTACCTCCTGAGATCAAGCAAATCTCCTGCCTTAGCCCCCCGAGTAGCTGGGATTACAGGCACCAGTCACGATACCTGGCTAAATTTTGTATTTTTAGTAGAGACGGGGTTTCACCATGTTGGCCAGGCTGGTCTTGAACTCCTGACCTCAAGTGATCTGCCCGCCTTGGTCTCCCAAAGTGCTGGGATTACAGGCATGAGCCACCGTGCCTGGCCTATGATTTTCATGGTTATCCTAGTTAAAGTGTGAAGTATGGATCCATGTTTTTCTCCTCAAATGACTCTTCAGTTATCCCAACACCATTTGTTAAATAATCTATATTACTTTTCTAATCTAAAAACTGGATTTTTTAAACAAATAAATGGCATATAAATAAAGGGAAGGGGAACTGCTATACATTAAGGTCCTTAGAAGCCATATCAACGAAATACAGCATGTGGATTCTGTTTGAATCCTGATTTGAACAAAGCAACCATCGAAAGACATTTTCGGGACAATCATAGAAAGTAGAATAGGCACTAGATATTATGATATTAAGAAATTGTTAATTTTGTTGGGTGTAATAATGGTAGTGTTTGTTACTTTAACTGTGAGAGTTAAATAATGAAGTATTTATGGGTGAAGTGATTTGATGTCTGGAATTTGCTTTAAGATATGCCAGGAATGGTCAATAGCTTATGAAAAGATATTCAACATCACTAATCCTCCAAGAAATGCAAATCAAAACCACAATGAGATATTACCTCACACTCATTAGGATGGCTACTGTTAAAAAAAACACACAAAAAAATAAGTGTTGACAAGGATGTGGATAAATTGGAACCCTTATGCACTGTTGGTGGGATTGTAAAATGCTGCAGCTGCTGTGGAAAACAGTATGGAGGTTCCTTAATATATTAAAAATAAAACTACCATATAATTCAGCAATTCCACTTCTGAGTATATATCTAAAACAATTGAAAGCAGGATCTCTAAGAGATATTTGCACACCCATGTTCATAGCAGTACTATTCACAGTAGCCAAGAGTTGGAAGCAACCCAAATGTCTGTTGATGGATGAATGGATAAACAAAATGTATAGCATACAATGGAATATTATTCAGCCTTAAAAAGGAAAGAAATCCTGTCACATGCTACAATATGGATGAACACTTGAGGACATTATGCTAAGTGAAATAAGCCAGTCACAAAAGGACAAATTCCATATGATTCCGCTTATATGAGGTACCTAAAGTAGTCAAATTCATAGAGACAGAAAATAGAATTGTGGTTACCAAGAGCTAGGAGGAGGGAGAAAAGGGAGCTGTTATTTAATGGATATAGAATTTCAGATTTGCAAGATGAAAAAATTCTGGAGATACGTTGTATAACAATGTGAATATCCATAACACAGCTGAACTGTACACTTAAAAATAGTCAAGTTGGTAAATTTTATGTGGTTTTCAATCACAACAAAAAATATTAAAATACCATAAAAAGGCCAGGCACGGTGGCTCACGCCTCTAATCCCAGCACTTTGGGAGGCTGAGGCGGGTGGATCACCTGAGGCCAGGAGTTCGAGACCAGCCTGACCAACATGGTGAAACCCTGTCTCTACTAAAAATACAAAAATTAGCCGGACCTGGTGGCATGTGCCTATAATCCAGCTACTAGGGGGGCTAAGGCAGGAGGATCGCTTAAACCTGGGAGGCGAAGGTTGCGGTGAGCCGAGATCGCGCCACTGCACTCCAGCCTGGGCAACAGAGCGAGACTCTGTCTCAAAAAAAAAAAATATATATATATATGTATATATACACACATACACACACACACACACACACACACAACATAAAAAGGAGGGGGGCAAGGTAGATGAAACGAATGACTTAACATTGATAACAATTGAAAGTGGGTAATGCTTTCATGGGGTCTCATTACCTTTGTATATTTAAAATTTTCCATAATAAAAAGTTATTAAAGTTCTTAAAGCCTTAGGGGAGCTTGGGATTTGTAAACAGAGCTGAATTTGAATCCTAGCTCCAATTTTTAAAAATCGAGGTATAACTCATATACCATAAAATTCAACATTTTAAAGTATACAATTTAATGGTCTTTAGTATATTCATAGCATTGTGCAGCTATCACCACTAATTCCAGAAGATTTTTATAACCTCAAAGGGTAAACCAATACGTACTAGTCTTATTCCCCATCCCCACAATCCCTGGCAACTACTATTTTATTTTTCCATCTCTTTGGATTTGCCTATTCTGGGCATCTCATATGAAAGAAGTCATACAATATATGGCTTTTTGTGTCTGGCTTGTTTCACATTAGCATTCTGTTTTCAAAGTTCATTGATGTTGTAGCATAAATCCGCACTTCATTCCTTTTTATTGCCAAATAATATTTCCTTTTATGGATATACCACATTTTGTTCATTCATCAGTTGATAGACATTTGGGTTATTTCCACTTTTGGGCTATTATGAGTAAGCCTGCTGTGAACTTTCATGTACAAGTTTTTGTGTGAACATAGATTTTCAGTTCTCTTGGGTATATACTTAGGAGTGAAATCATTGGATCATATGAGATAACTATGTTTAACCATTTCAGGACCTCTGAGACCACTTTCCAAAGTGACTGCACCATTTTTCATTCCCACTAGCAATTTACGAGGATTCCAGTTTCTCTGCATCCTTGCCAACACTCATTATTTTCCATTTTTTGATTATAGCCATCCTAGTGGGTGCTAACTGGTGTCTCATTTTGGTTTTGATGGGCATTTCTATAATGACTAATAATGTTGAGCAGCTTGTCATGTGCTTATTGGCTAGCTTCACTTTTTAGCTATGTGACTTTGGTCAAGTTCTCTAACCTCTGACCCTCATTGATCGTTTGTCTTTAAAATGAAGATAATAATGCCTCCTGATGTTATTGCAAGGTTAGTGGATGTGAGGGGGGTTTGGAACAGTGCCTGGTACATAGTAGGTACTTAATTGATACCTAATACTACTTTGCTACTCGAGCTTGGATAGCTTGCAATCTAGTGACTTCACTACATCTGCTGTAGAAGTTAAACGCTGAGATGATAGTGCCCTCTCATTTGCCAGAGCTGTTTTTGTTTTTAACAATCTCACTAGGCCTTTCTTTACTATTCTGTACCAATCAACTCCTGTTCTCTGTCCTTTCTAGTTGGAAGGACATGGTTAGAACCATGGAGATAAAAGAGTAAGATAGAACCTGTGACCTTAAAACTTGAAGATGATGGTATTGTCAAATTAGTTCTGTGACTGTGTCATCTGTCTCTGTGCTATAAGAGTGAAGAGGAGGGGAATTATCAAGGAATTTGTCCAAGAGGTGGCAGGCCTATGGAAAGTATTCAGAACATTGGGAAAGAGAGGCAGTAAGGCATTCTAGGCAGGGAAACCAAGTGAGCAAAGACAGGGAAGGAGGAGTAATCTTGGAAATGGGTAGTTAGGAAATTAGCCTGTTAGGAGAGAGGTATTGCGGAATTGTGAGAGGAATTCATGAGATTCTTACTCTATTGTTTTTCATTACCTACTCCAGAATATTTAGTGAAAGAAGTCCTATACCTGGAATCATGAGACTTTTGTTCTAATCTTGGTTCGGCTGCAATTAGCTAGGTCAAGTCATTTATCCCCTCTAGGCCTCAGTTGCCTATGTGATAAAATGAATAATTGGATTAGTTCAGTGATTCTTAATTGGAGGTGTGCATGAGAACCTACTGGAAACTGTTTTGAAATGTAGGTGTTTGGATCACACTCAAGACATTGTTCCAGGCTGGGTACAGTGGCTCACGCCTGTAATCCCAGCACTTTGGGAGGCCAAGGCCGGTGGATCACCTGGGGTCAGGAGTTTGAGACCAGCCTGGCCAACATGGTGAAACCCCGTCTCTACTAAAAATACAAAAATTAGCCAGGTGTGGTGGCATGCGCCCGTAGCCCCGGCTACTCAGGAGGCTGAGGCAGGAGAATTGCTTGAACCTGGGACATGGAGGTTGCACTGAACCGAGATCAGGCCACTGCACTCCAGTCTGGGTGACAGAGTAAGACTCTGTTTCCAAAAAACAAAACAAGAAATAAGTTATTCCAGCAGATCTGAGGTGAAGCTTAGGTTTGTATATTTTGAAAAAGATCTCCAGGTGGTTGTGATATACATTCCTAGTGTTTTAAGAGCTACCAAATTGATTAAAAATCACTAGTCCTTGGCTTTCTGGAGTTGAAATCACTTGAATGGTGGCATAATCAGCTTCAGACCAGCTGAAGATTAAGTGTTGTAGTGGAGAGGGTCTTTGGTGACACCTAGAGACTTTGATGTCAATGTGACCCAGGTTGCTGTTTCCCAGCTCGATAGCTCTGAGTATGGCATCTTACTTTTCTGAGCCTCAGTTCCCTCATCTGTAAAATGGGGCTTCTAATACCTGCATGGTGAGGTTGTGATGAAGAGAGAGAAAATATCACACTTAGTAACTATCTCTGGTACAAGGTAAATGGATGCTCAACCAATGACTTGTATGAGTGGTGTGCTGGAAGAAACTATTACCAGGGGACAGCATAAAACTTTACTCCTACCCTGACACATCTGGAGTTACTCATATCTCTAAGGCATAAATATGTTACAATACTTTTTGGCTCCTTTGCCTGGATATCAAATAAATATCGACCTTGCTTCACTGTCTGCTTACTGGTGTCTCTCCCCTTGTGTGTGACATGACTAGCAACTGTAACTAGACTCCTTTTCCATAATCTAGCAAAAGTTTAATGCATTGAAACTCCTGTTAAACTCCAGAAAACTACCATTCCAACTTAAATGACAGATAGTTGAGTTGAAAAAAACTATCAAGGTCCACAGGCTCTAGAGCCAAAATCTGGGCTTTGCTCCTCCTAGCCATATGACCTTGGGGCTAACAATGTGTAAAATGGGGATAGTAATAATAGGTATGCCCTCACAAGGTTGTTGTGAGTATTAAATGAGTTAATGCACATAGTACATATTCAGTATCTGTTAGCCATTATTATTACTATTACGTACCAGGTCTTATGTGAGAGCCAGGAATACAGAGGTAATTTCTCTCTATGGTCAAGGAACTTAATTTGGTGGAGCCGGTATACAGATAATTTCAGTATACTTCAAGTACAGCAATAGAGGCATGTACAGGAAGAGTACTTAACAGTTTACCTCTATTACATAAAAAATAGTGATCTCCAGGAAGAAGCGTGGTACAACAGAAAGTGTGCATTCCGGAGTGAGATCAGCCTGGATTTGAATCCTGTCTACCACACTCACCCATTATGCAACTTTGGGGGCAGCCAATCTCTCGTAGCCTTAGTTTCCCCATTTCTAAAATGGGGTGTAGTTTCTGACTTCTCACTGTTGGAAGTGCAACTGTTTGGGTGCCCTGCGATGTACAGTGCTACTAAGAAAAAAAGCAAAGACTTTTTGAAAACAGTTAGATAAACTTAGATTTCTGTGTCTATTTCTACGTCTAAGTTTTTCATCCATATGTACCTACCTAAGGTTAATGATGAGATAATATATATAAAATATGTACAGCACATAGATATTGAGCAATAAATAATAGCTTTATTATCTAACAGAAGTCTCTAATGTTATTGTTTGACGTAAAAAGTAATATATACCTCGTTAATTTCAGTATTCTAATTTTGAAGAGCCTCAGGGCAAGTTTCATGAAAGGAGTGAAAAAAAAACCAGGGGAATAAACACAAACGCTGTCTGTGTTTACAGTAATAATCAAATTGTAGAGTGGGAGAGCATTTTTGTTTTGTTTTTTAAGAGTATTCTGTTCTGGTTGGGCACAGTGGCTCACACCTGTAATCCTAGCACTTTGGGAGGCCAAGGCGGGAGGATCACTTAAGCTCAGGAATTCGAGACCAGCCTGGGTAACAGTGAGATCTCATCTCTGTATTTAAAAAAAAAAAAAAAAAAAAGTAAAAAATGTTAAAAGAATGTTCTGTTCTCTCACGTACAATTTCAAATTTCACCAAACTATAAAATTTAGTTGCTAAACCTCCTGACCTTCTAACAATACAAATCAGGTTCTGTGGCATGACACGTTCTCTTCTTCCCTTCTAGGTCTTTCAGAGCCTTGAAGACCACCATTTGGAAGTGGTGGCGTTTTTCAGGGAAAATGGCTTCCATGGCCTTCTTGCCCATGACTCCGAGTATGCTCTCTACAATATTCCCTCTTACTACAGTTCCCATGCTCTGAAACTGAGCTGGAATGGGAAGAACCTCACTACCAACCAGTTCCTGATGCAAGAAGTAGCCAAGCAGCTGGGCCTGAAGAGGATGAATTTCCCCATATTTGCTGCACTGCTAGGTAGGTCATCCAAAGAAAAGACTGCAGTGATTGGTAGTTTCCTCTTCTGGTGTTAAGAGATGAGGACTAGAGTGATTTAGCCTGTCATCATTAGATTTGTCTTCTTAAAGTCTTCACGCTAAACACTGCTGGGGAGAACTCAGCATGGTTTTTGGGCTTCTTGGTAGAGCACACTAAAACTCAGCATGTTTGTTTTGTGGGTTGCTACAGGTTATTCCAGAACATTATTTAGATTCCTGTAAGCCGCCTTCTTTTGCTACATTTTATAACTCTTTTATGCAGAGTATTCTCAAGCCAAATGTTTTATTAGGCCGAGACAACTTTGGTTCCCCACACAGAGCATTAACATTTCTTCCCCAGTGTCTCAATTTAGATCGGAAAGACAAATTGTTCATTATGTTTTTCTCTTTGTTTCTTTTGTGCTAATATTTTTTATGAAAATTTCCAAATATACAGCAAAATTGAAAAAGGGCTTTGCAGTAAAAACCCTATATCCACCACCTGTATTCTGCCATTAACATTTTACTCTAATTGCCTTATATATCTATCCATTCCTTTACCCATCCATCAATCTGTCTCTTATTTTATTTTATTTATTTTTGAGACAGAGTCTCGCTGTGTCGCCCAGGCTGGAGTGTAGTGGCACGATCTCGACTCACTGCAATCTCCGCCTCCCAGGTTCAAGTGATTCTCCTGCCTCAGCTTCCTGAATAGCTGGGACTATAGGCACCTGCCACCATGCCCAGCTAATTTTTATATTTTTAGTAGAGACAGGGTTTCACGATGTTGGTCAGGCTGGTCTTGAACTCCTGACCTCAAGCAATCCACCCGCCTCGGCCTCCCAAAGTGCTGGGATTACAGGCGTGAGACACCGTGCCTGGCCCAATATATCTCTTAAAGATGTGTTTCAAAGTAAATTGCAGAGAGTTGATTATGTTTTGAATTGGTTTTTCAAGTACTTAGCGCATGAAGGTTAGTATTCTGTCTCAGGCATGGCCTTTGCTCTATAATTCCAAAGGACATGAGTTTGGATAATATAGTGGAGTCAGCACAAGTTTTGGAATTAGGCCATTGGCAAATCACTGAAGTGACATCTCCCTGGTTTCAGTTTTCTCATCTGTGAAATGCGGATAATAATACCTCATGATGTTATTGGTAAAGTGAAATGAAATAAAGTGTACAAAATGCCCAGCACTCATTAGGCAGTTAGTAATTGGTGGCTGCTATTATAAAAGGCAACATGACTTAGGGGATAAGTAATAGCATGGGCTTTGGAGTTACATTCCTAGCTTTTTATCTTGGTGTGTGTACCTATTGGCCAGACCACATTGGGCCAAGTCACCAAACATGTCTGAACCTCAGTTTCTTTATCTGTAAATGTAAATGATAATACTACCATCCATAGGCATTATAAAGATGATACATATAATGCACATGAAACATATTAAGTGATCAACACAGAACTACTGTAAGTATTACATTAAGAATACAGACCTATGTGAATTATTTGATCATTTTCTCTCCCAGGACCCCTTTCATGGCCTGGAGGTTCTAAGAAAACATTTGTACAGTCAATGAATGACAAATGTACTTTATAGGTAACCACATCCTCCCAGATGAGGACCTGGCTGCTTTTCACTGGAGCCTCTTGGGACCAGAACATCCTCTTGCATCACTTAAGGTAATGTTTCCTATTTCTTGCCTATACAGATTAGGGGATATGAGGTTTTGATTGGAGTTTTGATGGAATAATTATCTTACATTAGATTTAAAATATTTCACATACATACAAAAGAAAAAAATATTAGTTATGGCCAGGTGCGGTGGTGACTCACACCTGTAATCCCAGCACTTTGGGAGGCCGAGGTGGGCAGATCACCTGAGGTTAAGAATGCAAGACCAGCCTGGCCAACATGGTGAAACCTCGTCTCTACTAAAAATACAAAAATTAGCTGAGCGTAGTGGCAGGCGCCTATAACCCCAGCTACTCAGGAGGCTAAGACAGGAGAATCGCTTGAACCTGGGAGGCAGAGATTGCAGTGAGCCAAGATCGTGCCACTGCACTCCAGCCTGGGCAACAAAACGAGACTCCATCTAAAAAAAAAGACAAAAAAGAAAAACTTGGTTATGATCAATACCCTTAATATCTCAAGAATTCATACAAGTCTATAAAGAAATATACCGATAACCCAATAATGAAATAATGAACAAAGGACAGAAGCAGAAAATTCACAAGAGAGAAAATACAATGACTAGATGTTCAACCTCACTATTGATCAGACATGTAAATTAAATGATCAGTGTGATTTTTCTTTTTTTTTGAGACAGAGTCTCACTCTGTTGTCCAGGTTGGAATGCAGTGGCACGATCTCAGCCAGCTCACTGCAACCTCCACCTCCTGGGTTCAAGCAATTCTCGTGCCTCAGCCACCCAAGTAGCTGGGATTACAGGCCTGGCTCATTTTTTTTTTTTTTTTTTTTTTTGAGGCAAAGTCTTACTCCGTCACCCAGGCTGGAGTTCAGTGTTGCAATCTCAGCTCACTGCAACCTCCACCTCCCAGGTTCAGGCAATTCTCCTGTCTCAGCCTCCCGAGTAGCTGAGATTACAGGCATGCACCACCATGCCCAGCTAATTTTTGTATTTTTAATAGAGACAGGGTTTCACTGTGTTGGCGAGGCTGGTCTCGAACTCTTGATCTCAAGTGATCTTCCCACCTCAGCCTCCCAAAGTGCTGGGATTACAGGAATGAGTTACCACACTCGGCCACTGTGAATTTTTTTTTTTAACTTAACAGTTGAACAAATATTGAAAAATTAGTTTACCCACTGTTATCAAGACTGTTGCAGCCAGGGCACGGTGGCTCATGCCTGTAATCAAAAATTAGCCAGGTGTGGTGGCACGTGCCTGTAGTCCCAGCCACTCAGGAGGCTGAGGCAGGAGAATCGCTTGAACCCAGGAGGCAGAGGTTACAGTGAGCCGAGATCGCACCACTGCAGTCTAGCCTGGGTGACAGAGTGAGACTCTTGACTCAAAAAAAAAAAAAAAAAAAAAAAAGACTGTTGTGAGACTGATACCCGCATACACTTCTGGTGGTAGTATAAGTTGGTGATTGTATTCTATTTCCCTCGTTCTTTCATTCTCCTAGATGACTGTTTCATACCTTCTCTGTCCTCAAGCCTCTAATACTTTCTCCTCATTTGCTCACTCTCAGTTCATGACCTCACTTCCTGTTTTACTGAGAAAATGGAAGCAATGGGAAGAAAACTTCGATGAGTTCTTACCCCCTCTTCACCTCACCTATATGAAGGTGTTATCCCCTCTGTGGCCACATATTCTGCCTGCCTCCTATTAATTGTGCATGACCTGTCCATGTTCCTATCTAAGGCAAATCCCTCTACTTATACTAGGTCCCATCTCTATTTATTTAAAAAAATTTTTTTTAAGAGACAGGGTCTTGCTATGCTGCCCAGGCTGGAGTGCAGTGGCACAATCATAGCTCAAGTGATCAATCCTCCTGCCTAAACCTCCTGAGTAGCTGGGACTATCAGGCACAGCTCCCATCTCCTTTGGCCAACTTAAGAGCATCAGTTCAGCAATTCTCCCCCTTTTTCTCCTGCATCATCAATTTTCCTCTTTTCATTGGCTCTTTCCAGATTGTGTAAGCATGCATCTATGAAGTTTAAAAATACAACTTTATTTTTTTTTTAAAAAAGCCTCTGACCTCACTCTCCCCACCCAAGCTACTGCTCTATATTTCTTCTTATAGAAAACTCCTCTAAAGACTTGTCTACACATGAGTTGCTTACTATTCCCTTCCCCTGTTTGCTTTTCAATTGATTTGCTGAAATTGCTCTCAACAGGGTCACCAGTATAACTTCTCAGTTAATAAACCCAGTGGCTAGCTGTCAGTTTTCATTTTACTTGACCAGTCAGCAGCATTTGACACAGATACTCACCCATTCTTCCATAGAACACTTTTTTCACTTGGCCTTAAGGACACTATTCTCTTCTTATTTCCTTCCTACCTCGCTGACTGCCGCTTCCCAGTCTCTGTTGCTGCTTCCTTGTCTTTTCCACTTGTTAAAGGTGGAATAGCCCAGAGTTCCATCCTGGTTCCTTTCTCTTTTCTTTTCTGATTTGTTTTATTTGTTTGTTTGTTTGTTTTTGAGACACGGTCTCATTCTGTTGCCCAGCCTAGAGTGCAGTGGGGCGATCATGGCTCACTACAGCCTCGAACTCCCGGACTCAATTGGTCCTCCTGCAGCAGCCTCTTAAGTAGCTGGGACTACAGGCACATGCCATCACGGCTGGCTAATTTTTTTTGTATTTTTTGTAGAGATGTGATCTCACCATGTTGCCCAGGCTGGTCTTAAACTCCTATGCTCAAGCGATCTTCCCACCTCAGCCTCCCAAAGTGTTGGGATTATAGCCGTGAGCCACCATGCCCGGCCCCTTCTCTTTTCTGTCTCCACATACGATTGATCTCATATAGTCTTAATGACTTTAAATACCATCTGTCCGTTGATGACTCCTAAGTTTTATGTCTTCAGCTCTGACCTCTCCTTTGAACTCCAGATTTTAATATCTAACTGCCAATTCAATATTTTCATTTACATATCCAATAGGTATCTCAAAGTTATATGTTCAAGTGGAAATTCCTGATCTTCTCCCTAAACATGTTTCTCCCACAGCCTTCCTCATTTTTGTTGAAGGCAACTTCATCCTTCCATTTTCTTTCTTCCCTTTTTTTTTTTTTTTTTTTTGAGATGGAGTCTCGCTGTGTTGCCCATGCTAGAGTGCAGTGGCACAGTCTCAGCTCACTGCAGTCTCCACCTCCTGGATTCAAGTGATTCTTCTGCTTCAGCCTCCTGAGTAGCTGGGACTACAGGTGTGTGCCACCACATCCAACTAATTTTTGTATTTTTAGTATAGACAGGGTTTCACCGTGTTGGCCAGGCTGGTCTCAAACTCCTGAGCTCAAGTGATCCGCCCACCTTGGCCTCCCAAAGTGCTGGATTACAGGTGTGAGCCACTGCACTCAGCCCATCCTTCCATTTTCTCAGGCTAAAATCCTTGGGGGTCATCCTGACTCCCCCCCACCCCTCCCATACCCCACATCTCATTTGTCAGCAAATACCATCAGCTCTCCCTTCAAAAATATACCTACTTCTTAACATTTGCACTGCTGCTACCCTGGCCAAGCCACCATTATTTCTTGCCTGGATTATTATAATAGCTTACTAACTATTGGTCTTCTACTTACACTCTTCCCCTTACCTCCATTTTATTCTCAATATAACAGGAGAGCGACCCTTTTAAAAAAAAAAAAAAACCACTGAGATCCTGTCACTTCTCCATTCAAAATCCTTGGCCGGGCACTGTGGCTAACACCTGTAATCCCAGCACTTTGGGAGGCTGAGGCGGGTGGATCACTTGAGGTCAGGAGTTCGAGACCAGCCTGGCCAACATGGTGAAACCCCATCTCTACTAAAAATTTTTTAAAAGGCCGGGCGTGGTGGCTCAAGCCTGTAATCTCAGCACTTTGGGAGGCCAAGGCGGGCAGATCATGAAGTCAGGAGTTTGAGACCAGCCTGACCAACATGGTGAAACCTCATCTCTACTAAAAATACAAAAATTAGCTGGGCATGGTGGTGCTCACCTATAATCCCAGCTACTCAGGAGGCTGAGGCAGGAGAATCTCTTGAACCCAGGAGGTGGAGGTTGCAGTGAGCCGAGATCATGCCACTGCACTCCAGCCTGAGCGACAGCAAGACTGTGTCTCAAAAAAAAAAAAAATAGCTGGGCGTGGTGTTGTGTGCCTGTAACCTTAGCTACTCGGGAGGCTGAGGCAGGAGAATTGTTTGAACCCAGGAGGCAGAGGTTGCAGTGAGTCGAGATCGTGCCACTGTACTTCCTCCTGGGTGGCAGAGCAAGACTCCGTCTCAAAAAAAAAAAAAAAATATATTATCCAGTGGCTCTTCATGTCACTCTCCAAATCCTTACCATGGCCTGCAAAGCCCTTTACTGTGGCCCCCTCTCATATCTGATCTCTTTCTTTCTTTTGCTCTTAGAACCTTTGCACTTATCATTCTCCCTACTTGGAATACTTTTCCCCTCATAGCTATTTCTTCAATCCTGAAGGTTTTCTAAAATTTCATTCTCAGTGAGGCTTTTCCTGATCACCCTATAAAAAATTATATGCACACACTTCTGCAGTAGGGATTGTTTAGAAAACAATTAGCACATACATATTTGCATTCCCTAGCTTCTTCTCTACTCTTCTCTGCACAGCACTTATCTACATCTAGTACAAGCCCGGTTAATTTTTGTATTTTTAGTAGAGACGGGGTTTCACCATGTTGGCCAGGCTGGTCTCGAACTCCTGACCTCAGGTGATCCGCCAGCCTCCGCCTCCCAGAGTGCCGGGACTACTGGCATGGGTCACCGCGCCCAGCCTACACTATACATTTTACTTATTTAGTTTAACTTCCCTCACCCTATCCCAACACATCTACACTAGAATTTAAGCTCCCATGAGGGCAGAGATTTTTGTCTGTCTTGTTCACTGCTGTTTCCCTGGTGCCTAGGACAGTGCCTGGCACATAGTAGGCAGTAAATATTTAAGGAATGAATAATAAAGCCTTTTGGCAAAACAATTTATAAAAATTCAGAAGCCTTTGGAAAATTTATACCCTCTGCCTCAGTAATTACAGTTTGAGGAAGCTTGTAATTAAATAATTGGAAAGTGGGCAAGACGTCATACTTATAGTTTATGAAAGCATTAAAAACTTTTTCTTTAAAAATTTGTTAAGGGCCAGGCGCAGTGGCTCATGCCTGTAATCCCAGCACTTTGGGAGGCCATGGCAGGCGGATCACTTGAGGTCAGGAGTTCAAGACCAGTCTGGCCAACATGGTGAAACCCTGTCCCTACTAAAAATACAAAAATTAGCCGGGCATGGTGGCAGGTGCCTGTAATCCCAGCTGCTCGGGAGGCTGAGGCAGGAGAATTACTTGAACTCAGGAACTGCACATGTGTGCACATAATTGTTTTCTAGACAATCCCTACTGCACCACTGCACTCCAGCCTGGGCGACAGAGCAAGACTCCGTCTCAAACAAATAATAATAATTATAGACAACACCATGAGGGAAATTTTGTATAATCTCAGAGTGGGAATATTTTATGAGCAAATCCAGTCGTGGTGCGTGCCTATAATCCCAGCTACTTGGGAGGCTGAGGCAGGAGAATCGCTTCAACCCGGGAAGCAGAGGTTGCATTGAGCCGAGATTGCACCACTACACTCCAGCCTGGATGACAGAGTGAGACTCTGTCTCAAAAAAAAAAAAAATGTTTAGGTATCACAAAAACAGGAAACATAATATATAGTAAATCACCATTGTAACGTGTTCCAGATCCAACAGTTACCAGTATTTTGCCACACTTTCTGGGTTTTTTTGTTGTTGTTAATGTTTTTTAAAGCAAATCCCTTTCACATTCTTCAGTACACATCTCTAAAATACTTGGGCATTTTCTTACATAAGCATAATGCCATTATTACTCCTGACAAAATTAATGCTAATTTCTTGGTATCATCTTAATATCCAGTCCATTTTCAGATTTTCCTGATTGTCTTAAAATGGCCTTTTGTGATTAGTTCAAATCAGAATCCAAATGTCAACTCATTATAATATTACATTTAATAGCAAAAAAGCCAAAATGTCTCATGAAAGGAAGCCTGATTAATTGTGACAGTGTCATATACAGTAGTTATCTCTGCAGGAAGATGGATGATATGTTTTTATTGCTTTATACTTTTCCATCTTTTCCAAGTGTTCTGTACTGAGAATGAAGGGGCAAAACTATTTTTAAAGAAAATATTTTAACTGTCTCTCTGTGGATTTACCAAATGTGAATTCCATATCTCCCCTCAACTTCACTCTTTTTCTTAGTGATCCATCTTTGATGTCAGTGTCCCTTGCTTATCTTGCCTTTCTAGGTTCGAGCTCATCAGCTGGTTCTTCCTCCCTGTGACGTGGTGATCAAGGCTGTTTCTGAGTATGTCAGTTCCATCAAAGATCCCTCAAACCTGGATGTAGTTGGGAAGGATGTTTTCAAACAGTCTCAGGTAAGTTAGCATTCCCCTTCCTAAGAGTCCTCCGTTTTCTTACCTTCTTCAGCAACACCAGCAGGTCCCTGATCTTTTCTGTGACACCTAAGTTTTCCTAGCTGCTTGTCTTCTCCATGCTTACAAATGAGAGCTCCAAAATTTCCTTTAAAAAACATTACACAGCCTGGATTGAAAGTGCCCTTTACCTTTTTTTCTACTGATGATTAAAGTAATATAAGCCCATTCTAGTCCGGGCACGGTGGCTCACACCTGTACTCCCAGCACTTTGGGAGGCCAAGGTGGGTGGATCACTTGAGGTCAGAAGTTCAAGACCAGCCTGGCCAACATGATGAAATCCCATCTCTACTAGAAATACAAAAAATTAGCTGGGTTTGGTGAAGCAGAAGAATTGATTGAACCCAGGAGGCGGAGGTTGCAGTGAGCCGAGATTGCGCCGCTGCACTCCAACCTGGGTGACAGAGTGAAACTTCGTCTTAAAAAAAAATAAATCGGTAAAGTAATATAAGCCCATTCTAGAAAATTTAGAAAATGAAAACAAATTACATAAAATATCATTACCCATAAACAACTTGCTATAGTTACCACTCTGACATATGTCTTTCTAGTCTTTTTTTGTTTCAGTGTACACATGGTGGCTCACACCTGTAATACCAGCACTTTGGGAGGCCAAGGCAGGAAGATTACTTGAGCTTAGGAGTTTGAGACTAGCCTGAGCAACATAGCAAGACCTTTCTTTCCCCCAAAGAAATTTGAAAATAAATTTTTAAAAATGTACACATGATCCCTGACTTAACGTTGGTTCAACTTAACATTTTTCTGCTTTCCAATAGTGTAAAAGCAATATGCTTTCAGTAGAAACTGTACTTTGAGTACCCATATACCCATTCTGTTTTTCACTTTCAGTATAGTATTCAGTATATTACATGAGATATTCAATACTTTATTATAAAATAGGCTCTGTGTTAGATGAGCTATATGCTAATGTAAGGTATTCTGAGCACATTTAAGGTGGGCTAGGCTAAGCTGTGATGTTCAGTAGGCTAGGTGTATTAAATGGATTGTTGACCTATATTTTCAACTTGTGATGTGTTTATTGGGACATAACCCCGTCATAAATCAAGGAGCATCTGTGTATCTTAACATAAAGGAGTTCTTCCTCAATGGAAGATAATGGGCAAAGAAAAAAGACTGCTTAAAGTGAGTCCACATAAAACAAGAATGAAAATTTCATTGTTAATAGTGGAAAAAGAGCTCAACTGGGATTTTATTCTACAAAATGAAACTAAAAATTATGAAAATAAGTTAGTTTTATTTTTAACAATTTGATTTATATTTTTCAATTTGGATTTCTCACTTATTTTTAAAATTAACATACAGTCAAGCTGACTTGTGAATTTTAACACATGTATTGATTTATGTGACCATCATCACAATAAGAATACAGAACAGTTGTACTACCCCAAAAAACATGCTATCCCTTTGTAATAACACCCAAACCTACCTTTAACCCCTGGCAACCACCAGTTCATTTTCTGTTACTATGGTTGCATCCTCTAAAGAATATCACATGAATCATACAGTATGTGATTTTTTTTTTTTTTTGAGACAATGCCTCGCTCTTGTTGCCTTGGCTGGAGTGCAATGGTATGATCTTGGCTCACTACAACCTCCGCCTCCCTGGCTTAAGAGATTCTCCTACCTCAGCCTCCAGAGTAGCTGGAATTACAGGCGCCCGCCACCACGCCTGGCTAATTTTTTATATTTTTAGTAGAGAGGGGGTTTCAGCATATTGGCCAGGCTGGTTTCGAACTCCTGACCTCAGGTGATCCACCTGTCTTGGCCTCCCAAAGTGCTGGGATTACAGGCGTGAGCTACCGCGTCCGGCCCAGTATGTGATATTTTGAGAACGGCTTCTTTAATTCAACATACTACCTTTGAGATTCTTCTAAGTTGTTGCGTGTTACCTGTATCAATAATTCATTCCTTTTTATTGCTGAGTAATAGTCATTGCATGGATATGCCAGTTTGTTTATACATTTACCCGTTAAAGAATATTTAGATTTATTTCGATTTATGGTGTTATGAATAGAGCTGCTATAAACATTTGTGTACAGGTTTTTGTATGAACATAAGTTTTTATTTCCCTGGTGTAAATACCTACAAATGGAGTTTCAGGGTCATGTGGTAAGTGTATGTTTAAATTTATAAGACCTTGCCAAAGTAGCTGTTCCATTCCTTACCAGCATTTGGTATTGTCAGGTTTTTTTCCATTTATTTTTTTAATTGACAAATGAAAATTAGATATATTTATTGCATACAACGTGTTTTGAAATATGTATACATCATAGAATGGCTAAATCGAGCTAATTAACATATATATTACCTCAAATGCTTTTCATTTTTTTGTGGTGAGAACATTTAAAATCTACTCTTTTAGTAATTTCCAAAAATATAATACGTTGTTATTAACTGTAGCCGCCATGTTATACAACAGATTGTCAGTGTTTTTTATAGCTGTTCTAATAGGTGCGTAGTGGTAGCTCGTCATAGTTTTATGTTTCCCAAGTGACTAATGATGAACATTTTTTTCTTTTTGAGACACAGTCTCACTTTATTGCCCAGGCTGGTGTGTAGTCGCACGACCTCTGCTCACTGCAGCCTCCGCCTCCCGGGCTTGAGCAGTCTTTCCACCACAGCCTCCCAAGTAGCTCGGACTACAGGCGCACACCATCATGCCTGGCTAATTTTTGTACTTTTCGTAGAGACAGGGTTTTGCTGTGTTGCCTAGGCTGGTCTCAAACTCCTGAGCTCAAGCCTTCTGCTCACCTCGGCCTCCCAAAGTGCTGGGATTACAGGTGTGAGCCACTGCACCTGGCCAACATTTTTGTTCTGAGCATACTTCATTCATATATCCTCTTTGGTAAATGATTTGTTCATGAACAGTCTTTTCCTTTTTTTTTTAAAATTGGTTTGTTCATTTACTTACTGTGGTGTTTTGAGAGTTCTTTATAATGCATATGAGTGCTCTGACAGATATCTGGTTTGCAAATATTTTCCCCCAGTCTGTAGTTGTCTTTTCTTTTAACAGCATCTTTTGCAGAGCAAAGTTTTAAATTTTTCATTAGTTTTTATCTTTTATGGGTCATGCTTTTGGTGTGATGTCTAAGAACTCTTTGCCCAACCGCAGGCATGACAATATTCTTTTGTTCTCTTTTTTAAAAATATTTTTTAAAAACCAGAACATTGGCCGGACGTGGTGGCTCACACCTGTAATCCCCACACTTTGGGAGGCTGAGGTGGGTGGATCACCTTAAGGTCAGGAGTTTGAGACCCGCCTGGCCAACATGGTGAAACCCCATCTCTACTAAAAATACAAAAAATTAGCTGGGCATGGTGGCGCGTGCCTGTAATCCCAGCTACTCAGGAGGCTGAGGCAGGAGAATCGCTTGAACCCGAGAGGCGGAGGTTACAGTGAGCCGAGATTGCACCATTGTACTCCAGCCTGGGCAACAAGAGTGAAACTTCATCTCAAAAAAAGAAAAAGCAACAAAACATTTATTGCGTGACCAATCATTGAAATTCTTAAAAGGAACTGGATGCTGCTACAGCTGCCCCTTTGGGTTTTTGTGTTATTCCTTCACAGAGTCCATGCCTGAATTCATGGTGTACAATTTTTAGGTAACTAGTAACACCAATCCCGGCGGTATTTTGTCTTTTAGCCTTAGCACTCCAGTTATACTTTATTTTATGCTTGGGAGGGTAACGACATTTGCCACACATTGACTTCTGAAAGTGGCAGGTATTAGAGCTGTAGCAGCAGCGCAATGTGTGCGTCTTAATGTGAGGCTTTCCAAATGATGACGTTCCCTTCGTCACCTCACTTCTACTTTCTGTTTTTCTTATTTATTTATTTATTTATTTATTTGAGATGGGGTCTCACTCTGTCACCCAGGCTGGAGTGCAGTGACACTATCTTAGCTCACTGAAACCTCCACGTCCTTGCTTCAAGCGATTACTGTGCCTCAGCCTCCTGAGTAGCTGGGATTACAGGCACGCGCCCCCACACCTGGCTGATCTTTTGTATTTTTAGTAGAGATGGGGTTTCACCCTGTTGGCCAGGCTGGTCTCGAACTCCTGACCTCAGGTGATCCGTCCGCCTCGGCCTCCCAAAGTGCTAGGATTACAGGAATGAGCCACCACGCCCGGCCTGCTTTTCTTTTTTAATTACATAGTTCTGCACTTCACATTTTAGAACAAATCATCCATATTTAGTTCATTTCTGTATAAAGTATGAGAGGTTGTGTTTTTCATATGGATGTCAAATTGTTTCAGCACAGTTTGTTGAAAAGACTATCTTTTCCCCATTGAATTACCTTTGCACTTTTGTTAAAAATAAATTGGCCATGTTTGTGTGGGTCTACTTCTGGACTCTGTTCTGTTCAGTTGATCTATGTGTCTATCCTTTTACCAGTAATACACTATCTTGATTACTGTAGCTTTATAATAAGTCTTAAAATTGGTTAGTGATTCCACCACATTCATTCATTCATTCATTCATTTAGAGACAGAGTTTCACTCTGTTGCCCAGGCCGGAGTACAGTGGCACAAACATGGCTCACTGCAGCTTCAACCTCCTGGGCTCAAGTGATCCTGCTGCTTCAGCCTCCCAAGTAGCTGGAACTACAGGTGTGTGCCACCATGCCTGGCTAATTTTTAAATTTTTTGTAGAGATAAGGTCCCGCTATGTTACCCAGGCTGGTCTCAAACTCCTGGGCTCAAGCAATCCTCCTGTTTTGGCCTCCCAAAATACTGGGATTACAGGCATGAGCCACTGCACCCAGCCAACTTATATTATTTTTCACTGTTATCTATATTTGTTCCTTTGTCTTTCCGTATAAATTTTATTTTTTTTAATTTAATTTTATTTATTTTTTTATTATACTTTAAGTTCTAGGGTACATGTGCACAACGTGCAGGTTTGTTGCATATGTATACATGTGCCATGTTGGTGTGCTGCACCTGTTAACTCGTCATTTACATTAGGTATATCTCCTAATGCTATCCCTCCCCCCTTCCCCCACCCCACGAGAGGCCCCGGTGTGTGATGTTCCCCACCTTGTGTCCAAGTGTTCTCATTGTTCAATTCCCACCTATTAGTGAGAACATGTGGTGTATGGTTTTCTGTCCTTGCGATAGTTTGCTGAGAATGATGGTTTCCAGCTTCATCCATGTCCCTACAAAGGACGTGAACTCATCCTTTTTTATGGCTGCATAGTATTCCATGGTGTGTATGTGCCACATTTTCTTAATCCAGTCTGTCATTGATGGACATTTGGGTTGGTTCCAAGTCTTTGCTATTGTGAATAGTGCCACAGTAAACATACGTGTGCATGTGTCTTTATGGCAGCATGATTTATAATCCTTTGGGTATATACCCAGTAATGGGATGGCTGGGTCAAATGGTATTTCTAGTTCTAGGTCCCTGAGGAATCACCACACTGTCTTCCACAATGGTTGAACTAGTTTCCAGTCCCACCAACAGTGTAAAAGTGTTCCTATTTCTCCACATCCTCTCCAGCATCTGTTGTTTCCTGACTTTTTAATGATCGCCATTCTAACTGTTGTGAGATGGTATCTCATTGTAGTTTTGATTTGCATTTCTCTGATGGCCAGTGATGATGAACATTTTTTCATGTGTCTTTTGTCTGCATAAATGTCTTATTTTGAGAAGTGTCTTTTCATATCCTTCACCCACTTTTTGATGGGGTTGTTTGATTTTTTTCTTGTAAATCTTTGTAGATTCTGGATATTAGCCCTTTGTCAGATGGGTAGATTGTAAAAATTTTCTCCCATTCTGTAGGTTGCCTGTTCACTCTGATGGTAGTTTCTTTTGCTGTGCAGAAGCTCTTTAGTTTAATTAGATCCCATTTGTCTATTTTGGCTTTTGTTGCCATTGCTTTTGGTGTTTTAGTCATGAAGTCCTTGCCCATGCCTATGTCCTGAATGGTATTGCCTAGGTTTTCTTCTAGGGTTTTCATGGTTTTAGGTCTAACATTTAAGTGTATAATCCATCTTGAATTAATTTTTGTATAAGGCGTAAGGAAGGGATCCAGTTTCAGCTTTCTACATATGGCTAGCCAGTTTTCCCAGCATCATTTATTAACTAGGGAATCCTTTCCCCATTGCTTGTTTTTGTCAGGTTTGTCAAAGATCAGATGGTTGTAGATGTGTGGTATTAATTCTGAGGGCTCTGTTCTGTTCCATTGGTCTATATCGTTGTTTTGGTACCAGTACCATGCTGTTTTGGTTACTGTAGCCTTGTAGTATAGTTTGAAGTCAGGTAGTGTGATGCCTCCAGCTTTGATCTTTTGGCTTAGGATTGTCTTGGCAATGCAGGCTCTTTTTTGATTCCATATGAAATTTAAGGTAGTTTTTTCCAATTCTGTGAAGAAAGTCATTGGTAGCTTGATGGGGATGGCATTGAATCTATAAATTACCTTGGGCAGTATGGCCATTTTCACAATATTGATTCTTCCTATCCATGAGCATGGAATGTTCTTCCATTTGTTTGTGTCCTCTTTTATTTCATTGAGCAGTGGTTTGTAGTTCTCCTTGAAGAGGTCCTTCACAGCCCTTGTAAATTGGATTCCTAGGTATTTTATTCTCTTTGAAGCAATTGTGACTGGGAGTTCACTCATGATTTGGCTCTCTGGTTGTCTGTTATTGGTGTAGAGGAATGCTTGTGATTTTTGCACATTGATTTTGTATCCTGAGACTTTGCTGAAGTTGCTTATCAGCTTAAGGAGATTTTGGGCTGAGACGATGGGGTTTTCTAAATATACAGTCATGTCATCTGCAAACAGGGACAATTTGACTCCCTCTTTTCCTAATTGAATACCCTTTATTTCTTTCTCCTGCCTGATTGCCCTGGCCAGAACTTCCAACACTATGTTGAATAGGAGTGGTGAGAGAGGGCATCCCTGTCTTGTGCCAGTTTTCAAAGGGAATGCTTCCAGTTTTTGCCCATTCAGTATGATATTGGCTGTGGGTTTGTCATAAATAGCTCTTATTATTTTGAGATAACGTCCCATGAATACCTAGCTTATTGAGAGTTTTTAGCATGAAGGGCTGTTGAGTTTTGTTGAAGGCCTTTTCTGCATCTATTGAGATAATCATGTGGTTTTTGTCTTTGCTTCTGTTTATATGATGGATTGCGTTTATTGATTTGCCTATGTTGAATCAGACTTGCATCCCAGGGATGAAGCCAGCTTGATCATGGTGGATAAGCTTTTTGATGTGCTGCTGGATTCGGTTTGCCAGTATTTTATTGAGGATTTTTGCATCAATGTTCATCAGGGATATTGGTCTAAAATTCTTTTTTTGTTGTGTCTCTGCCAGGCTTTGGTATCAGGATGATGCTGGCCTCATAAAATGAGTTAGGGAGGATTCCCTCTTTTTCTGTTGATTGGAATAGTCTCAGAAGGAATGGTACCAGCTCCTCCTTATACCTCTGGTAGAATTTGGCTGTGAATCTGTCTGGACTTCTTTTGGTTGGTAGGCTATTAATTATTGCCTCAATTTAATTTCAGAGCCTGTTATTGGTCTATTCAGAGATTCAACTTTTTCCTGGTTTAGTCTTGGGAGGGTGTATGTGTCCAGGAATTTATCCATTTCTTCTAGATTTTCTAGTTTATTTGCGTAGAGGTGTTTATAGTATTCTCTGATGGTAGTTTGCATTTCTGTGGGATCAGTGGTGATATCCCCTTTATCATTTTTTATTGCGTCTATTTGATTCTTCTCTCTTTTCTTCTTTATTAGTCTTGCTAGCGGTCTATCAATTTTGTTGATCTTTTCAAAAAACCAGCTCCTGGATTCATTGATTTTTTTGAAGGGTTTTTTGTGTCTGTATTTCCTTCAGTTCTGCTCTGATCTTAGTTATTTCTTGCCTTCTGCTAGCTTTTGAATGTGTTTGCTCTTGCTTCTCTAGTTCTTTTAATTGTGATGTTAGGGTGTCAATTTTAGATCTTTCCTGCTTTCTCTTGTGGGCATTTAGTGCTATAAATTTCCCTCTACACAGAATTTTCATCTTTTCTGCTCTGGTTTCTCCCCATCTGTGTGGTTTTATCTACCTTTGGTCTTTGATGATGGTGATGTACAGATGGGGTTTTGGTGTGGATGTCCTTTCCGTTTGTTAGTTTTCCTTCTAACAGTCAGGACCCTCAGCTGCAGGTCTGTTGGAGTTTGCTGGAGGTCCACTCCAGACCCTGTTTACCTGGGTATCACCAGCGGAGCCTGCAGAACAGCAAATATTGCAGAATGGCAAATGTTGCTGCCTGATCCTTCCTCTGGAAGCTTCATCTCAGAGGGGCACCCGGCTGTATGAGGTGTCGGTCGGCCCCTACTGGGAGGTGTCTCCCAGTTAGGCTACTCGGGGTTCAGGGACCCACTTGAGGAGGCAGTCTGTCCATTCTCAGATCTCAAACTCTGTGCTGGGGGAACCACTACTCTCTTCAAAGCTGTCACACAGGGATGTTTAAGTCTGAAGAAGTTTCTGCTGCCTTTTGTTCAGCTATGCCCTGCCCCCAGAGGTGGAGTCTACAGAGGCAGGCAGTCCTCCTTGAGCTGTGGTGGGCTCCACCCAGTTCCAGCTTCTGGGTGGCTTCGTTTACCTACTCAAGCCTCAGCAATGGCGGACGCCCCTCCCCCAGCCTCGCTGCTGCCTTGCAGTTCGACCTCAGACTGCTGTGCCAGCAGTGAGTGAGGCTCTGTGGGCAAGGCTCCGTGTGTAGGACCCTCCGAGCCAGGCGTGAGATATAATCTCCTGGTGTGCCATTTGCTAAGACCATTGGAAAAGTGCAGTATTAGGGTGGGAGTGTCCCGATTTTCCAGGTACCATCTGTCATGGCCTTCCCTTGGCTAGGAAAGGGAATTCCCCGACCCCTTGCGCTTCCCAGGTGAGGCAATGCCCCACCCTGTTCTGTGGGCTGCACCCAGCACCCACTGTCCAACAAGCCCCAGTGAGATGAACCCACTACCTCAGTTGGAAATGCAAAAATCACCCGTCTTTTGTGTCGCTCACGCTGGGAGCTGTAGACTGGAGCTGTTCCTATTTGGCCATCTTGGAACCTCCTCCCTTTTCATATAAATTTTAGAATAATCTTGTCTATACATCTACAAAAAAGAAATATTGCTGCAATTTTTATTGGAATCGCATTAAATATATAGATGAATTTGGTGAGCCTTTGAATCCATGAATATTATTTGCCTATTTATTTAGGTCTTCTTTGATTTTTTTCATCAGCTAAAAGTTTTATAGTTTTTAGCATACAACTGTACATATAAAAAATATTTATACTTAAGTATTTCATATTTGAGACACCTATTATAAAGGATATTTTGTTTTTTAAATTTCTAATTGTTCATTGCTAATATATAGAAATGCAATTGATTTTTGAATGTTGCCCTTGTATTCTATGACTCTTCTAAACTCACTTATTACTTCTAGGAGTTTTTTGGTAGATTTCTTGGGATTTTCTGTGTAGGTGATCATATTGTCTATGGATAATGACCATTTTATTTTATTTTCCCATCTGTATGCCTTTTTCTTCTTGACTATACTGCACTGTCTAGGATTTCCAAATGATATGAATACAAATGCTAAGAATATATATTCTTATCTTGTTCCCGATCTTTAGAGAAAGCATTCAGTCTTCATTACATAGGATATTAGCTGTAGTTTTTGTGCATGTTATCAGGTTGAGGAAGTTATCTTCTATTCCTAGTTTCCTGGGTGTTTGTATTTTGGCAATTGCATTTTTCCACATATATTGATAGGATCATGTTGTATTTCTTCTTTAGTCCATTAATATTTTAGATTGATTTTTGAATATTCAACCATCCTTATATTCCCAGGATGTGATTGTAGTATATTAGTCCCTTTTTGTATTGCTGGATTTGAATTGCTGGTATTTCATTGAGTATTTTTGCATTTATTTTCATGAGGGATATTGACCTATAATTTTTTTGTGCTGTCCTTAGTCTGGTTTTATTTTCAAGGCAATGCCAGACTTAATGAAATGAGTTGGCAAGAGTTCTTTCCTCTTCTGTTATTGGAAGAGATTTTGTAGAATTGGTGTTATTTCTTCTTTAATTGTTTGGTAGAATTTGCCAGTGATGTGTTTGGCATGGATTTCTTTGAATTTATACTGTTTAGAGCTTCTTGCATCTCTGTTTGTCAGTCACTAAATTTGAGGAGTTTTTAGCTATTATTTCTTTTTCTTTCTTTCTTTTTTTTTTTTTTTTGAGACGGAGTCTCACTCTGTCACCCAAGCTGGAGTGCAGTGACACAATCTTGGCTCACTGCAACCCCTATCTCTCGGGTTCAAGGGATTCTCCTGCCTCAGCCTCCCAAGTAGCTGGGACTACAGGCACCTGCTACCACGCCTGGCTAATTTTTGTATTTTTGGTAGAGACAGGGTTTCACCTTGTTGGCCAGGCTGGTCTTAAGTGATCCGCCTGCCTCGGCCTCCCAAAGTGCTGGGATTACAGGAGTGAGGCACTGTGCCTGGCCAGCTATTCTTTCTTTCTTTTTTTCTTTTTCTTTTCTTTTTTTTTTTTCTTTGAGACGGAGTTTTACTCTTGTTGCCCAGGCTGGAGTGCAGTGGTGTGATTTCAGCTCACTGCAACCTCTGCCTCCCAGGTTCAAGTGATTCTCCTGCCTCAGCCTCCTGAGTAGCTGGGATTACAGGTGTCCGCCACCACGCCTGGCTACTTTTTTGTATTTTTAGTAAAGATGGGGTATCACCATGTTTGCCAGGCTGGTCTCGAACTCCTGAACTCAGGTGATCCACCCGCCTCAGCTTACCAAAGTGCTGGGATTACAGGTGTGAGCCACCGCGCCCAGCTATTATTTCTTTCCTTTTCTTTTTTCTTTTTCTTTTTTTTTTTTTTGAGACAGAGTCTCTGTCACCCAGGCTGGAGTGCAATGGTGCGATCTCAGCTCACTGCAACCTCCGCCTCCTGGGTTCATGCAATTCTCCTGCCTCAGCCTCCCAAGTAGCTGAGATTATAGGTGCACGCCACCACACCCGGCTAATTTTTTTTATTTTTAATAGAGACGGGATTTCACCATGTTGTCCTGGGCTAGTCTCGAACTCCTTAACTCAAGTGATCCGCCCGCCTCGGCCTCCCAGAGTGCTGGGAATATGGGTATGAGCCACCGTGCCCGGCCGGGAACCCTTCTTTCAAATAGTTACATGAAATTCAGCTTTTTGGAAAAAGGAGAGCCATTTTGTTTTTAAGTTAGGCTAGAGGACCTGAAGACCTCAACTCTTGTGTTTATGTACATGCACGCTGCAAATAAAGAGGCCTGGAATGCTGTATAGATCCTGGAGTGTTAACAATCACAATCTAGCCAGGTGTGGTGGTACACACCTGTAGTCCAGCTACTCAGGAGGCTGAGGTGAGAAGATCACTTGAGCCCAGGAGTTCAAGGCTGCAGTGAGCTATCATCACACCACTGTACTCCAGCCTGGGCAACAGAGGAGACCCTGTCTGTCTCAAAAATACAAATAAATAAAAAAATTTAAAAATAAAAGCAGGGGCCAGGCAAGGTGGCTCACGCCTGTAATTCCAGAACTTTGGGAGGCCGAGATGGACGGATCACGAGGTCAGGAGATCAAGACCATCCTGGCTAACACAGTGAAACCCCGTCTGTACTAAAAATACAAAAAAAATTAGCTGGGCATGGTGGCGGGTGCCTGTAGTCCCAGCTACTCGGGAGGCTGAGGCAGGAGAATCACTTGAACCCAGGAGGTTGCAGTGAGCCGAGATTGTGCCACTGCACTCCAACCTGGGCACAGAGCAAGACTCCATCTCAAATAAATAAATAAATAAATAAATAAATAAATAAAAGCAAAAAAAAAATCAAAATCTATGAGAGATAACATTATACATGTTTTACAGTTTTTTATTTGTAGAGAATACTCAACACTAGGGCTGTATGGTGGGACACTCTTGTACATTCATGATGGTAGTATAACTTGAGACATCTGTTTTGGAAAGAGATTTAGTATCATGTGTCAAGAGTTTGTGAAAACGATCACACCCTTTGACCTAGTAACTACACTTCTAAAAATTTGCCCTATGAAATAACCCAGAAGACCTACATAAAAATATGCCTATGTGAGAGTATTATTTATAATTAGAAACTGAAAATGACTTTAATATCTTCCATTCCACTTGATGAAATATTATGATGGTCTTAAAATTATATTCAAGGAGACTTTTAAATAACTTTGGAAAAGGCTTGATAAATGAAAAAGCCCCTTCTTAGCCCTTTCCCTACAGAGATAAACATTAATTTTTACTTCTGTTGCCACAGATTAGTTTTGCCTTTACCTGAACTTTTTGTTTGTTTGTTTGTTTAGACAGTCTCGCTCTGTCGCCTAGGCTGGAGTGCAGTGGCAAGATCTCGGCTCACTGCAGCCTCCTGGGTTCAAGCGATTCTTTTGCCTCAGCCTCCCAAGTAGCTGGGACTACAGGCGTGCACCACCATGCCCAGCTAATTTTTGTATTTTTAGTAGAGACAGGTTTTTACCATGTTGGCCAGGCTGGTCTCGAACTCCTGGCCAAAGGTGAGCCCCACCTTGGCCTCCCAAAGTGCTGAGATTACAGGTGTGAGCCACTGCACCTGGCCCTCCTTTACCTGAACTTTATATGTACTCTTTTTTTTTTTTTTTTTTTTTGAGACAGTGTCTCTGTTGCCCAGGCTGGAGTGCGGTGGCACAATTTCGGCTCACTGCAGCCTTGACCTCCCAGGCTCAAGCGATCCTCCCACCTCAGCCTCCCAAGTGCCTGGGACTACAGGCACACGCCACCACACCCAGCTAATTTTTGTATTTTTTGCAGAGACGGGGTTTTGTCATGTTACTCAGGCTGGTCTGAATTCCTGGGCAGAAGTGATCTGCCTGCCTCAGCCTCCCAAAGTGCTGAGATTACAGGTGTGAGCCACCAGGCCCAGTTTATGTGTACTCTTTTGTGTCTCCCTTCTTCACTCAGTATAATATCTTTGAGACTTACACATATTATCGTGTATATCAATACTTTGTTCTTTTTTATAACTGTATAGTAATCCATTGTATGAATATACCACAATTTATTTATTCTTCCATTGATATATATTTGAGTTGTTTCCAGTTTGGGGCTATTATGAATAAAGTAGTTGTTAACATTCTTGTTCATGTCTTTTGGTGGATATATGTACTCATTTCTCTTGGGTAGTATTTAACTGTATCCTCCTAGAAGAAGTAGGATTGCTGTATCATATGGTAAGTGTAATTTAATTTTATAAGAAACTGCCAAATTGTTTTCCAAACTGTACCAATGTACACTCCCACCATCAATGTACTGGAGTTCAGTTACTTCATATCCTTGCCAGTGCTTGATATTGATAGTCTTTTACTTTAGCCATTTTGGTGGATATGTAGTGGTGTCATATTGTGGTTTTATATATGTTTAAGTGCCTTTGGTTTTAATGTTCATACCTTTTGAACCAATAATTTCATTTTTAGGATATTTTCCTAAGAGCATAATCTGAAATCCAGAAAAAAATTTATATAGACAATATATACTCTTTGCTGTATAACTTACAAAAGCCAAATGTGAAAAATTACCTAAGTGTTTTTATTAGGGAAGAGGTTACATAATTTATGACACATTCATAATGACAAAATATGCAGCCATTCAAAATTACTTAGATTATTATTATAAAAGCAGGATACAAAATTGTACATAAAGCATACTGTCAACTATAGAAAAATACATATATTAAAATAGACCAGCTATACATCAACAAAATTATACAAAATAATACTGTAAGCCAGCCACAGTGGTTCATGCCTATTATCCCAGCACTTTGGGAAGCTGAGGCAGGAGGATTGTTTGAGGCCAGGAGTTTAAAACCAGCCTGAGCAAAAATAAAAAAAAATTGGCCGGGCACCGTGGCTTACGCCTGTAATCCCAGCACTTTGGGAGGCCAAGGCAGATGGATCACTTGAGGTCAGGAGTTCGAGACCAGCCTGGCCATCATAGTGAAACCCTGTCTCTACTAAAAATACAGAAGTTAGCTGGGCGTGGTGGCACACACCTGTAATCCCAGCTACTCGGGAGGCTGAGGCAGGAGAATCGCTTGAACCTGGGAGGTGGAGGTTGCAGTGAGCCAAGATCACACCACTGAACTCTAGCCTGGGCGACAGAGCGAGACTCTGTCTCAAATAATAATAATAATAATAATAATAAAATAATAAAATTAAAACATACTGTAAGGAAAGACACCAATTATTTTAGAAAGACACCAAAATATATTTGGATGGTGGTACTATGTGATTTTTCCCCCTTATCCCATTGTATTTTTTTGTAATGATCATGTAATCATTTTAGAATAGCACAAAATATAAGCTTTAAGTATTCCATATTTGATGTTTCATAATGCTTTCTCCCTGCCTAATCTTGTCTGCAAAGCGAAAATTTGCTTTCTTAGGTTTCTTTAAATATTTGATTTCTGATAATTATTTTGATTCCCAAATTATGAACTGTATTAAAAAAACACTCTCATGTTTTTTCTTCTGAAAATCTGATGTTCCAACATCCAGTCCAGGACAGAAGATAAAATAGAGCGATTCAAGAAAGCAGTTGAGTATTATTCAGTCACAACCAAACTCTCTTCGCTGCCAGTGGGTCCCTCCTTTCTAGGTAAGGCTTCCATCTGACCCTAAGCTGCTCTGTTCATAGGGGAAACTGAGTTGGTCCCTCAGGAACTCCAGGGCCAGAGTGGAATCACTCATTCGTGTTATATCCTCCTACAAGTCATTCCTCATCCCTGTTTGGTAGGCTTTCTCCTTTTGATTTCTGTGTCATAAGAGACGTAACATAAGAAGGGCCCTGGCCAGGCACAGTGGCTCACGCCTATAATCCCAGCACTTTGGGAAGCTGAGGCGGGCGGATCATCTGAGGTCAGGAGTTCACGACCAGCCTGGCCAACATGGTGAAACTCCGTCTCTATGAAAAATACAAAAAATTAGCTGGGCGTGGTGGCAGGCGCCTGTAATCCCAGCTACTCGGGAGGCTGAGGCAGGAGAATCGCTTGAACCCGGGAGGCGGAGTTTGCGGTGAGCCAAGATCGCGCCATTGCACTCCAGCCTGGGCAACAAGAGTGAAATTCCACCTCAAAAAAAAAAAAAAAAGAAGGGCCCTGCTTTCTCAAATTTACAGATGGGGTGCAATGCCATTTCCTTAGCTTGGGCTTCTTCTGATGCCAACCCCCATTCTGGCCTGGTATATGTAAAATATCCCTGTCTTTGGGGTCTGGCCTGAGTTGGAATTCCACTTCTGCTAATTACCAGCAAGTGAACCTTGGCAAGTCACATTTATATGAAATGTGGCTCATGATACCTACTTTATAAGATTCTTATCAGATGAAATAATTTATGTAAGGTTCTCAGCATGGCACATAGTAGCTGTTCAATAAATTGTAACTTATTTATTAATAACACTTTTTCAGGTGATATGGGGTGAGCAGAATATAACATGGTAAAATTATTAGGATTGACTGAAGTATAGCTCTTTCTCTTGGCTTCAGGTTTTCGGAATAATAGGCTTGGAAATCCTCCCCTTCCACGAAATCAAGTGGGCACCATTTCTGCTGGAAAGCCAATGGTAAGCATCCTTTAAGAAGCCTGAGATAGCATTAGACTCAGGTTGCTTCCTGATTTTTATAATCTGAGGAGTTAGGGTGATTCAGTGTTATTAGACTGTCAGGGCTATATATACTATATTACCTTCTCAACTTAAGGCTGGAAGACTATGCAAAAAAAGCATCCAAATCAGTAACCACTAGTCATTGTGAAAATAGATTAGCTAATATCAGAGAATAGTTCTAGGAGACTTCAACTGTTCATTGTCCTGTCTGTGGAGGATTCTGTTCATACATCATTTCTCATTATTCTCATTAGGTGCTTTGTATCTCAACAATCTCCACTGCTGGCATCATCCACTGTGTCACAACTTCTGAGGGAGCCACCTTGGAGCCTTATAAAATGTTAAATAGCTTTTCTGTCTGTTTTATCGTTTAGTTTTCTCATCAAGTGCCCCAGAAAGTGAAATATCCACCACCATTCCCAGTGGGACCCAACTCATCTCTTCTCTTCTCCTCCCATGCTTTGGGGGAATCCCATGCTTTTTCTGAGGATCCCATGCTGCAGAACAGCCCCTTTGCCAATTGGGCTGTCTCCTATGACTCTTCTGCATCCCAGTTTCCCAATTACCTGCCTTCTAAAGCCTCACCTCCTTTGGGACCAGACTCTTCCCACTCCTCTTCCTCTGATGGTGATGAGCCAAATGGAGCTAGCTCTGAGTAAGTATCTCTGTAGACACCTAAGGAAGTAGATTTCTGAGGCATCTGTATTATTTTGCTTGTTAGATGGGTGGAGGGTGTGGGAAAGTGTATTCCTGGGTTTCCTCTGTAGTGTTTTGCTCTTAGGAAAGCAAAGTAGGAAAACGTTTTCTATGCTTGCCCACTTCATGCTTATTTGGCCCTGTGCAGATGGTAATTTTCAAACACCCAGGCCACTGAAGTAAAAGGCAGCATAGGAGCTGATTAAGGAAGCCTTGGTATGGGTATTGTGGCTGTCATTTCTTAATTTGTGAGGAGGGCAGATTAAATGTCAAAAAAAGAAAAGCATTTATAGAGTGGAAATAGTGGAATCGTTGAGTAAGCAATTTTATTGCTTAGTAACTAAGACAGGGTTCTGAGGATTAAAACAGTGGGATTTGTGCTAGCTCATTTGTTCGTTGATTATTCCTCTAAGCAGATTAGTCCTGGGAAACAGAGCTGCTTTGAGGTTGTAATTGTGATTATTTTCTTAAAACATAAGCAAACTCTAAACATGGCCTCTTACAAGGTATAAAGGGTCCAGAGTGATTCCCATGACTTTTGATCACTTTGGTTGGTGTCAGGTGAAAGAAACCAGGAAGTCAGTAATGGCCATTGAGAGGAAAGGTACCAGTCCAGTGCTAACCCAGTGTCCTGCCCTCCAAAGGGTTTGTGAGACCCCTTGGGTCCAGAACAGGCATCTTAAGTAGGAATATCTTTATCAATCTCCCTTTTCTGTTTGACACTGTCTTTCTACATTTTTTAGTCATATCACAGAAGCATTTCATCACCAGCCTGAGTGGGGAAATCCCAATCGTGACAGAGGGTCCTGGGCACAGCCTGTTGATACTGGAGTTTCAGAAGCGAGCCTAGGTGATGGTGAGCCCCACATCCCATCTCTGCTGTCTATGTCTACAAGGAACCACATGGATATCACCATTCCACCCTTACCTCCAGTAGCTCCAGAAGTCTTGAGAGTTGCTGAACACAGACACCGGAGGGGTCTTATGTACCCATATATCTACCATGTCCTCACTAAGGTGAGGCAGCACATCAGCACCTACCTCCCTGCTCTTAACACTGTACTTCCTACTTCCTAGGACTGTAAGTTACAGAGAACATTCTGGTCACTGGTATATGAAGTTAGAAAAAGAAGGCCACATGTGGTGGGCCCCTCATCCTACTAAGGCCTTAGGTGAGGCCAGACTAGCAGGAGTTGGGACTGTGTGGTAAATGAGTCCCCTAGAAGAGAAGTGTAATTGTGAGATTTTGAAGTAGATAATGCACCAAGTTGGTCTGGTTCTAGGGATGGACACAGTCTAAGAGGCTTTATGCCCTTTTCCTTATTTCTTTTTCTACTTCCACAAAGCTGTTCCCCTCCTCTGGTCTTATACATGTCCATCCTCGAGCAAAATGCCTAAGGTGGACTTTCCCCATTCATTAGCTATAGTCATTGTTGAGACTTTATTTTATTTTATTTTGTTTTATTTTTTGAGACAGAGTCTCGCTCTGTTGCCCAAGCTGGAGTGCTGTACTCTTCTGCCTCCGAGGTTCAAGCAATTCTCCGGCCTCAGCCCTCCTGAGTAGCTGGGACTACAGGCACCTGCCACCACACCTGGCTAACTTTTGTATTTTTAGTAGAAACGGGGTTTCACCTGGTCTAGAACTCCTGACCTCAGGTGATCCACCCGCCTCAGCCTCTCAAAGTGCTGGGATTACAGGCATGAGCCACCATGCCCAGCCGTTGAGACTTTAAAAATGAAATATAGCTTATAAGTAGGCTGCAATCAGCTAAGCTTGTTACAGCTTCTTTTTAGTATGAAACTGTCTAAATACAAATAAATTTAGTAGGCCACAGAGGCTACAGTTTATTATTGGCTCTTCTCAGCTCAGTTCTAAACCTTGAGGTAACTCATTTTTTCCTTTTCCCTGGAATGTTCTCTTGTTAGGGTGAAATTAAGATCCCCGTATGTATTGAGGATGAGTGTAACATGGAGCTGCCTCCAGCTGCTCTCTTATTCCGGTCAGCTCGTCAATATGTATATGGAGTTCTTTTTAGTCTGGCAGAGACACAGAGGAAAATGGAACGCTTGGCCATGCGACGGCGGCTGCCTGTGGAAGGTAAGTGTAGTTCTAGCTATGACAATTCTCTCAGCACTTGACACAGCAGATATGTCTGTCCAGGCACATTGGGTACCTTTGGCTATGGAGTAGTCTTTAAGAAAATGCAACATTCAACAAAATGCATACTGATACTGGGAATACATTAACTTAAGCCCCAATTCTGCAATTATTCAAGCATTTAGAGTGACTACTACTTATAAGAACCATGCTGGACCAGGCATGGCAGCTCATACCTGTAATCCCAGCACTTTGGGAGGCCAAGGCAGGCGGATCACTTAAGCTCAGGAATTCAAGACCAGCCTGGGCAACGTGGCAAGACTCCATCACTAGAAAAAATGCCGGGTGCTGTGCCTCATGCCTGTAATCCCAGTACTTTGTGGGGCTGAGGTGGATGGATCACTTGAGTCCAGGAGTTCAAGACCAGCCTGGGCAACATGGAGAAACTCCATCTCTACTAAAAATTGAAAAAATTAGGCGTGGTTGTGTACACGTGTAGTCCCAGCTACTTGGGGGGCTGAGATGGGAGAATTGATTGAGTCTGGGAGGTCAAGGCTGCAGTGAGCCCTGATCGTGTTACTGTACTCCAGCCTGGGTGACAGAGTGAGACCCTGTCTCAAAAAATAATAATAATAATAAAGGCCGGGCGCAGTGGCTCACGCCTGTAATCCCAGCACTTTGGGAGGCCGAGGCGGGCAGATGACGAGGTCAGGAGATCGAGACCATCCTGGCTAACCCAGTGAAACCCCATCTCTACTAAAAAATACAAAAAAAAATTAGCTGGGCACAGTGGCAGGCGCCTGTAGTCCCAGCTACTCGGGAGAATGGCATGAACCTGGGAGGCGGAGCTTGCAGTGAGCCGAGATTGCTCCACTGCACTCCAGCCTGGGCGACAGAGCCAGACTCCGTCTCAAAAAAAAAAAAAAAGAAAGAAAGAAAGAAAAAAGAAAAACAGGCCAGGTGCAGTGGCTCATGCCTGTAATCCCAGCACTTTGGGAGGCCAAGGCGGGCGGATCACCTGAGGTCAGGAGTTCGAGACCAGCCTGACCAACATGGAGAAACCCTGTTTCTACCCAAAATACAAAATTAGCCGGGCATGGTGGCGCATGCCTGTAATCCTAGCTACTTGGGAGACTGAGGCAGGAGAATCGCTTGAACTCAGGAGGCGGAGGTTGCGGTGAGCCGAGATCGTGCCATTGCACTCCAGCCTCGGCAACAAGAGCGAAACTCCGTCTCAGAAAAAAAAAAAAAAAAAATTAGCTGGGCATGGTGGCATGTGCCTCTAGTCCCACCTACTTGTGGGACTGAGGTGGGAAGATTGCTTGACCCTGGGAGGTTGAGGCTGCAGTGAGCTGTGATCGCGCCACTGCACTCCAGCCTGGGTGACAGAGGAGACCCCGTCTCACACACAAAAAGAAAGAACCATACTGGGCTTTGGGAACATAGAGGTGTATCTAACAGTCTCTCTCCCATGAATTTTTTGTTTTGGGATTTGAACCTGTAGGTAGTTGGAGACATTGAAGTATTTTAAGCTACACAGTGCCATAGTCAAATTAGTGTGTTCAAAAGAACATTTCTCTGTTTCTGGGAAGATAGAGTAGATCAGATGTATTTTTCCTTAGTCCTCATGCTAAGTACAACTAAAAGCCCAGGACATTATCCATAAAACAAGGACAAGACACTCTAGAAAGTAGAAATCTTGGGGCCCAAGGAATGACGCAGTGGTGCAGTGGTGAGTTCCCTGAATTTTCTTTTTGCCTCACGTATCCCAGACTGGGTGTAGGACAAACTGGCAGCCCATAAATGTCAACAGCTGCAGACCATTATAAGCCCACCACAAAACCTACTTTCTCTGGCCAAAGGACCAGAAAAGAACAACCTAACAACACAAAGATTTTTAAATAATAATCTCTGTACTCCAGCCAAATACCACAGGAAAACAATGGTCTACCCCCACCCCTACCAGCAAAGGCCAAATGAAGAACCTAGACTTCCATACTTGCCCAGGCTGTAATGAGGTGCCCCTACCTGCTCCTGCTGGGGAGGTGTCAGATAAGGTCAAGTGGGGAGCCAGGACTTCCACTTCCACCTGTCAATAATGACACAGTGTCCCCCTTCACCCACCATAGTGGGGTCAGAAAAGGCCTACTAATACACAAGGTTTAAGTAAGATCCAGAGTATTTTAAAATAATACCCAAAATGTCCAGTTTTCAATGGAAAATTCCTCATCATACCTAGAACCAGAAAGATAACAAATTCAGACCTCAAGAAAACAAAACGAACACAGAGATGACAGAAGTTTGAATTATCTGACAAGGATTTCACAACAGCCACCATAAAAATGCTTTGATAAACAGTTATAAACATATTTGACTTTTGCATAGCAAAAGAAACAATCAACAGAGTAAATAGCCTACAGAATGGGAAAAATATTTGCAAACTATGCGTTGGACAAAGGGGTAATATTCAGAATCTACAAGGAACTCAACAAGAAAAAAGCAAATAACCCCATTAAAAAGTAGGCAGCTCTCCCTCTCCCTCTCCCTCTCCCTCTCCCCACGGTCTCCCTCTCCCTCTCCCTCTCCCTCTCCCCACGGTCTCCCTCTCCCTCTCCCTCTCCCCACGGTGTCCCTCTCCCTCTCCCTCTCCCTCTCCCCAGGGTCTCCCTCTCCCTCTCTTTCCACGGTCTCCCTCTGATGCCGAGCCGAAGCTGGACTGTACTGTTGCCATCTCGGCTCACTGCAACCTCCCTGCCTGATTCTCCTGCCTCAGCCTGCCGAGTGCCTGCGATTGCAGGCGCGCGCCGCCACGCCTGACTGGTTTTCATATTTTTTTGGTGGAGACCGGGTTTCGCTGTGTTGGCCGGGCTGGTCTCCAGCTCCTAACCGCAAGTGATCCGCCAGCCTCGGCCTCCCGAGGAGCCGGGATTGCAGACGGAGTCTCGTTCACTCAGTGCTCAATGGTGCCCAGGCTGGAGTGCAGTGGCGTGATCTTGGCTCGCTACAACCTCCACCTCCCAGCCGCCTGCCTTGGCCTCCCAAAGTGCCGAGATTGCAGCCTCTGCCTGGCCACCACCCCGTCTGGGAAGTGAGGAGCGTCTCTGCCTGGCCGCCCATCGTCTGGGATGTGAGGAGCCCCTCTGCCTGGCTGCCCAGTCTGGAAAGTGAGGAGCGTCTCTGCCCGGCCTCCATCCGATCTAGGAAGTGAGGAGCGCCTCTTCCCGGCCACCATCCCATCTAGGAAGTGAGGAGCTTCTCTGCCCGGCCGCCCATCATCTGAGATGTGGGGAGGGCCTCTGCCCCGCCGCCCCGTCTGGGATGTGAGGAGCGCCTCTGCCCGGCTGCGACCCCGTCTGGGAGGTGAGGAGCGTCTCTGCCCGGCCGCCCGTCTGAGAAGTGAGGAGACCCTCCGCCCGGCAGCCGCCCCGTCTGAGAAGTGAGGAGCCCCTCCGCCCGGCAGCCACCCCGTCTGGGAAGTGAGGAGCGTCTCCACCCGGCAGCCACCCCGTCCGGGAGGGAGGTGGGGGTCAGCCCCCGCCAGGCCAGCCGCCCCGGCCGGCCGCCCCGTCCGGGAGGGAGGTGGGGGGTCAGCCCCCTGCCCGGCCGGCCGCCCCGTCCGGGAGGTTGGGGGCGCCTCTGCCCGGCCGCCCCTACTGGGAAGTGAGGAGCCCCTCTGCCCGGCCACCACCCCGTCTGGGAGGTGTACCCAACAGCTCATTGAGAACGGGCCATGATGACAATGGCGGTTTTGTGGAATAGAAAAGGGGGAAAGGTGGGGAAAAGATTGAGAAATCGGATGGTTGCTGTGTCTGTGTAGAAAGAAGTAGACATGGGAGACTTTTCATTTTGTTCTGTACTAAGAAAAATCCTTCTGCCTTGGGATCCTGTTGATCTGTGACCTTACCCCCAACCCTGTGCTCTCTGAAACATGTGCTGTGTCCACTCAGGGTTAAATGGATTAAGGGCGGTGCAAGATGTTTTTGTTAAACAGATGCTTGAAGGCAGCATGCTCGTTAAGAGTCATCACCACTCCCTAATCTCAAGTACCCAGGGACACAAACACTGCGGAAGGCCGCAGGGTCCTTTGCCTAGGAAAACCAGAGACCTTTGTTCACTTGTTTATCTGCTGACCTTCCCTCCACTATTGTCCTATGACCCTGCCAAATCCCCCTCTGCGAGAAACACCCAAGAATGATCAATTAAAAAAAAAAAAAAGTAGGCAAAGGACAAGAAAAGACATTTTACAAAAGAATACGTACAAGTGACCGACAAATATATGAAAAAATACTCAGCATCACTAGCTATCAGAGAAATGCATATTAAAACCACAGTGAGCTGGGTGCAGTGGCTCACGCCTGTAATCCCAGCACTTTGGGAGGCTGAGGCGGGCAGATCACATGAGACCAGGAGTTTGAAACCAGCCTGGCCAACATGACGAAACCCGTCTCTACTAAAAACACAATAAATTAGCTGGGCATGGTGGCACACACTTGTAATCCCAGCTTCTTGAGGGGGTGGGAGGGTGGTGAGAAGGGAAGCGGGGCTGAGGCACAAGAATTGCATGAATCTGGGTGGTGGAGGATGCCGTGAACCAAGTCTAAAACCAACAGATGTTGGCAAGGATGCAGAGAAAAGGGGATGCTTATATACTGTTGGTAGGAATGTAAATGAGTACAACCTTTATAGAAAATAATACAGAGATTTCTCAACTAAAAAACGAACTACCATTCAATCTAGCCATCCCACTACTGGGCATACATTCAAAGGGAAAGAAATCATTATATCAAAAAAGATACCTGGGCCAGGCATGGTGGCTCACGTCTGTAATCTCAATACCTAGGGAGGCCCAAGTGGGAAGATGATTGAGGCCAGGAGTTTGAGACCAGCCTGGGCAACATAGTGAGACCCCATCACTACAAAAAAAAATTTTTTTTAATATAGCTGAGCATGGTGCATACCTGTAGTCCCAGCTACTCCGCAGGCTGAGGCCAGAGGATTGCTTGTATCCAGGAGTTTGAGGCTGCAGTGAGCTGTGATCACTCCACTCCATTGCACTCCAGCCTGGGTAACAGAATAAGATCTCATCTTTTTTTTTTTTTTTTTTTTTGAGATGGAGTCTTGTTTGTTGGCTGGAATGCAGTGGCACAATCTCGGCTCACTGCAAGCTCCACCTCCCGGGTTCACACCATTCTCCTGCCTCAGCCTCCCGAGTAGCTGGGACTACAGGCGCCCACCACCAGGCCCGGCTAATTTTTTGTACTTTTAGTAGAGACAGGGTTTCACCATGTTAGCCAGGATGGTCTCGATCTCCTGACCTCGTGATCCGCCCGCCTCGGCCTCCCAAAGTGCTGGGATTACAGGTGTGAGCCACTGCACCCGGCCATCTCATCTCTTAAAAAGAAAAGGGATTACATAAAAACAACACTTCAGACCAGTATCCTTCATCAATATATGTTATGGATTGAGTGTTCCTGTCCCCCGCAATTCTTATGTTGAAATCCTAACCCCCAATGTGATGGTATTAAGAGATGGGGCCTTTGGGAGATAATTAGGTCATGAGCATGGAACCTTCATGAATGAGATTAGTGCCCTTATAAAAGGAACCCCAGATAGCTCTTTCTACTCTCCACTATATGAGGATACAATGAGAAGACAGCCATCTGCATACCAGGAAGCAGGTTCCCACCAGATGCCTCTACCAATACCTTGATCTTAGACTTCCGAGCCTCCACAACTGTAAGAAATCAATTTCTGTTGATTATAAGCCTCCCAGTCTATGGTACTTTGTTATAGCAGCCCAAATTGACTAAGACAATATGGATGCAAAAATTCTTAATGAAATATCAGCCAGGGGAATTCAGCAATATATAAAAAGAATTACATGCCATGGCCAAGGCCGAGTAGGGTTTATTCCATTGTTGTAAGACTTGTTCAATATTTGAAAAATCTGTAAATATAATCCACCAAATAAACAGGCTAAAGAAGAAAAATCATGTGATTATATCAATGGATGCAGAAAAAGCATTTGACAAAATTCAATACTCATTCATGATAAGAACTATCAGGAAACTAAGAATAGAAGGGAACTTCCTGAAGATAAAGAACATCTACAAAGAACCTACAGCTAACATACAGTCATTCCTTGCCATATGTGGGGGATTGGTTCCAGGACCCCCACATACACTAAAATTCACTCATAATCAAGTCCCACAGTAGGTAGGCCCTGCAGAACCTGTGTATATGAAAAATTGGCCCTCTATATACGTGGGTTTGGCATCATGTGAATTCTGTGTTTTCTATCAGTGTTTGGTTGAAAAAAATTTGTGCATAAGTGGACCCGTGTAGCTCAAACTTGTGTTCAAGGATCAACTGTACTTAATGGTGAAAGATGTTTTTCTCCTAAAATCAGGAAGAAGGCTAGAATGTCTGCTCTTTCTACTGCTCTTCAACATACTAATGGAAGTTTTAGCCAGACCAGTAAGGCAAGAAAATGAAATAGAAGGCATAGACATCAGTAAGGAAGAAATAAAACTGTAATTGCAGATGGCATATAGTCAGTCTGTGTAGAAAAATCACAAGGAATCTACAACAAAACTCCTGGAACTAATAAGTGAGTTTGTTAAGGTTGCAGGATACAAGATAAATATATAAAAATTGATTACCTTTCTATATACTAACAATGAATATGTGGAACTGAAAAAAGTGCAAGACCATTTACAGTCCTTCCAAAGAAAATGAAATAAAAATTTAACAAAAGGTGTTGAAAATCTGTATGCTGAAAGTCACAAAATGCTGATGAAATCAAAGATCTTAATAAATGGAGAGATACAGATGTTCATGGATTAGAAAACTCAACATAGTAAAGATGTCAGTTCTCCCCAAATTGATAACACAGGTGTGATGCAATTCCTATCCAAATCCCAGCAAGATTCTTTGTAAATATAGACAAGATGATTCTAATGTTTATATGGAAAGACAAAGGAATTAAACTAGCTAAAATGATTTTTGAAAAGGAAGAATAAGTTGAAAGCAATTGCTGAACCTGATTGTAAGACTTACTAGGTAGCTACAGTAATTAAGATTGTAGGCCAGGCATGGCCGCTCACGCTTGTAATCCCAGCACTTTGGGAAGCCAAGGTGGGTGGATCCCTTGAGCTCTGGAATTTGAGACCAGCCTGGGCAACATGGAGAGACCCCATCTCTGCTAAAAATACAAAAAATATATATAGCCAGTTGTGGTAGTGTATTACCTGTGGTCCCAGCTCCTCAGGAGGCTGAGGTGAGAGGATCACTTGAGCCCAGTGGGTAGAAGTTGCAGTGAGCTGAGATCACTCCACTGCACTGTAGTCTGGGTGTCAGAGCGAGACCCTGTCTTAAAAGAAAAAAAAGACTAGGCAGAGGTATTGACATGTAGATCAATGGAATACAACAGGGCATCCAGAAATAGTCCCATATGAGTACTGATTTTTTTTTTTTTTTTTTTGAGACAGAGTCTCGCTCTATTACCCAGGCTGGAGTGCAGTGGCACAATCTCCGCTCACTGCAACCTCTGCCTCCCGGGCTCAAGCAATTCTCCTGCCTCAGCCTCAACTGGGATTACAGGTGTGAGCCGTCATGCCTGGCCAGCAAACTGATTATTGACAAAGCTGCAAAAGCACTTCATTGGAGGAAGGATAGTTTTTTTGTTGTTTTTTGTTTCTTTTATATAAATGGTGTTAGATCAACTGGACATCCATAGTTGAACAAGTACCACATATCTATACTAGTATCTAAAATATATAAAGAACTCTCAAAACTGAACATAACAAAAACAATTGAATTAGAAAATTGGCAAAAGACATGCACAGACATTTCACTGAAGAAGATATACATATGGCAAATAAAGACATGAAAAGATGTTCAACATCAGTAGCCATTAGAAAAATACAAATTAGCTTCTAGGTCGGTGGGGAGGAGCCAAGATGGCCGAATAGGAACAGCTCCGGTCTACAGCTCCCAGCGTGAGCGACGCAGAAGACGGGTGATTTCTGCATTTCCATCTGAGGTACCGGGTTCATCTCACTAGGGAGTGCCAGACAGTGGGCGCAGGCCAGTGTGTGTGCGCACCGTGCGCGAGCCGAAGCAGGGCGAGGCATTGCCTCACCTGGGAAGCTCAAGGGGTCAGGGAGTTCCCTTTCCGAGTCAAAGAAAGGGGTGACGGACGCACCTGGAAAATCGGGTCACTCCCACCCGAATATTGCGCTTTTCAGACCGGCTTAAGAAACGGCGCACCACGAGACTATATCCCACACCTGGCTCAGAGGGTCCTACGCCCACGGAATCTCGCTGATTGCTAGCACAGCAGTCTGAGATCAAACTGCAAGGCGGCAACGAGGCTGGGGGAGGGGCGCCCGCCATTGCCCAGGCTTGCTTAGGTAAACAAAGCAGCTGGGAAGCTCGAACTGGGTGGAGCCCACCACAGCTCAAGGAGGCCTGCCTGCCTCTGTAGGCTCCACCTCTGGGGGCAGGGCACAGACAAACAAAAAGACAGCAGTAACCTCTGCAGACTTAAGTGTCCCTGTCTGACAGCTTTGAAGAGAGCAGTGGTTCTCCCAGCACGCAGCTGGAGATCTGAGAACGGGCAGACTGCCTCCTCAAGTGGGTCCCTGACCCCTGACCCCCGAGCAGCCTAACTGGGAGGCACCCCCCAGCAGGGGCACACTGACACCTCACATGGCAGGGTATTCCAACAGACCTGCAGCTGAGGGTCCTGTCTGTTAGAAGGAAAACTAACAAACAGAAAGGACATCTACACCGAAAACCCATCTGTTCATCACCATCATCAAAGACCAAAAGTAGATAAAACCACAAAGATGGGGAAAAAACAGAACAGAAAAACTGGAAACTCTAAAACGCAGAGCGCCTCTCCTCCTCCAAAGGAACGCAGTTCCTCACCAGCAATGGAACAAAGCTGGATGGAGAATGATTTTGACGAGCTGAGAGAAGAAGGCTTCAGACGATCAAATTACTCTGAGCTACGGGAGGACATTCAAACCAAAGGCAAAGAAGTTGAAAACTTTGAAAAAAATTTAGAAGAATGTATAACTAGAATAACCAATACAGAGAAGTGCTTAAAGGAGCTGATGGAGCTGAAAACCAAGGCTCGAGAACTACGTGAAGAATGCAGAAGCCTCAGGAGCCGATGCGATCAAGTGGAAGAAAGGGTATCAGCAATGGAAGATGAAATGAATGAAATGAAGCAAGAAGGGAAGTTTAGAGAAAAAAGAATAAAAAGAAATGAGCAAAGCCTCCAAGAAATATGGGACTATGTGAAAAGACCAAATCTACGTCTGATTGGTGTACCTGAAAGTGATGTGGAGAATGGAACCAAGTTGGAAAACACTCTGCAGGATATTATCCAGGAGAACTTCCCCAATCTAGCAAGGCAGGCCAACGTTCAGATTCAGGAAATACAGAGAACGCCACAAAGATACTCCTCGAGAAGAGCAACTCCAAGACACATAATTGTCAGATTCACCAAAGTTGAAATGAAGGAAAAAATGTTAAGGGCAGCCAGAGAGAAAGGTCGGGTTACCCTCAAAGGAAAGCCCATCAGACTAACAGCGGATCTCTCGGCAGAAACCCTACAAGCCAGAAGAGAGTGGGGGCCAATATTCAACATTCTTAAAGAAAAGAATTTTCAACCCAGAATCTCATATCCAGCCAAACTAAGCTTCATAAGTGAAGGAGAAATAAAATACTTTATAGACAAGCAAATGCTGAGAGATTTTGTCACCACCAGGCCTGCCCTAAAAGAGCTCCTGAAGGAAGCGCTAAACATGGAAAGGAACGACCGGTACCAGCCGCTGCAAAATCATGCCAAAATGTAAAGACCATCGAGACTAGGAAGAAACTGCATCAACTAACGAGCAAAATCACCAGCTAACATCATAATGACAGGATCAAATTCACACATAACAATATTAACTTTAAATATAAATGGACTAAATTCTGCAATTAAAAGACACAGACTGGCAAGTTGGATAAAGAGTCAAGACCCATCAGTGTGCTGTATTCAGGAAACCCATCTCACGTGCAGAGACACACATAGGCTCAAAATAAAAGGATGGAGGAAGATCTACCAAGCCAATGGAAAACAAAAAAAGGCAGGGGTTGCAATCCTAGTCTCTGATAAAACAGACTTTAAACCAACAAAGATCAAAAGAGACAAAGAAGGCCATTACATAATGGTAAAGGGATCAATTCAACAAGAGGAGCTAACTATCCTAAATATTTATGCACCCAATACAGGAGCACCCAGATTCATAAAGCAAGTCCTCAGTGACCTACAAAGAGACTTAGACTCCCACACATTAATAATGGGAGACTTTAACACCCCACTGTCAACATTAGACAGATCAACGAGACAGAAAGTCAACAAGGATACCCAGGAATTGAACTCAGCTCTGTACCAAGCAGACCTAATAGACATCTACAGAACTCTCCACCCCAAATCAACAGAATATGCATTTTTTTCAGCACCACACCACACCTATTCCAAAATTGACCACATAGTTGGAAGTAAAGCTCTCCTCAGCAAATGTAAAAGAACAGAAATTATAACAAACTATCTCTCAGACCACAGTGCAATCAAACTAGAACTCAGGATTAAGAATCTCACTCAAAGCCGCTCAACTACATGGAAACTGAACAACCTGCTCCTGAATGACTACTGGGTACATAACGAAATGAAGGCAGAAATAAAGATGTTCTTTGAAACCAACGAGAACAAAGACACCACATACCAGAATCTCTGGGACGCATTCAAAGCAGTGTGTAGAGGGAAATTTATAGCACTAAATGCCTACAAGAGAAAGCAGGAAAGATCCAAAATTGACACCCTAACATCACAATTAAAAGAACTAGAAAAGCAAGAGCAAACACATTCAAAAGCTAGCAGAAGGCAAGAAATAACTAAAATCAGAGCAGAACTGAAGGAAATAGAGACACAAAAAACCCTTCAAAAAATCAATGAATCCAGGAGCTGGTTTTTTGAAAGGATCAACAAAATTGATAGACCGCTAGCAAGACTAATAAAGAAAAAAAGAGAGAAGAATCAAATAGACACAATAAAAAATGATAAAGGGGATATCACCACCGATCCCACAGAAATACAAACTACCATCAGAGAATACTACAAACACCTCTACGCAAATAAACTAGAAAATCTAGAAGAAATGGATACATTCCTCGACACATACACTCTCCCAAGACTAAACCAGGAAGAAGTTGAATCTCTGAATAGACCAATAACAGGCTCTGAAATTGTGGCAATAATCAATAGTTTACCAACCAAAAAGAGTCCAGGACCAGATGGATTCACAGCCGAATTCTACCAGAGGTACAAGGAGGAACTGGTACCATTCCTTCTGAAACTATTCCAATCAATAGAAAAAGAGGGAATCCTCCCTAACTCATTTTATGAGGCCAGCATCATTCTGATACCAAAGCCAGGCAGAGACACAACCAAAAAAGAGAATTTTAGACCAATATCCTTGATGAACATTGATGCAAAAATCCTCAATAAAATACTGGCAAACCGAATCCAGCAGCACATCAAAAAGCTTATCCACCATGATCAAGTGGGCTTCATCCCTGGGATGCAAGGCTGGTTCAATATACGCAAATCAATAAATGTAATCCAGCATATAAACAGAGCCAAAGACAAAAACCACATGATTATCTCAATAGATGCAGAAAAAGCCTTTGACAAAATTCAACAACCCTTCATGCTAAAAACTCTCAATAAATTAGGTATTGATGGGACGTATTTCAAAATAATAAGAGCTATCTATGACAAACCCACAGCCAATATCATACTGAATGGGCAAAAACTGGAAGCATTCCCTTTGAAAACTGGCACAAGACAGGGATGCCCTCTCTCACCGCTCCTATTCAACATAGTGTTGGAAGTTCTGGCCAGGGCAATCAGGCAGGAGAAGGAAATAAAGGGTATTCAATTAGGAAAAGAGGAAGTCAAATTGTCCCTGTTTGCAGACGACATGATTGTTTATCTAGAAAACCCCATCGTCTCAGCCCAAAATCTCCTTAAGCTGATAAGCAACTTCAGCAAAGTGTCAGGATACAAAATCAATGTACAAAAATCACAAGCATTCTTATACACCAACAACAGACAAACAGAGAGCCAAATCATGGGTGAACTCCCATTCACAATTGCTTCAAAGAGAATAAAATACCTAGGAATCCAACTTACAAGGGATGTGAAGGACCTCTTCAAGGAGAACTACAAACCACTGCTCAAGGAAATAAAAGAGGACACAAACAATTGGAAGAACATTCCATGCTCATGGGTAGGAAGAATCAATATCGTGAAAATGGCCATACTGCCCAAGGTAATTTACAGATTCAATGCCATCCCCATCAAGCTACCAATGACTTTCTTCACAGAATTGGAAAAAACTACTTTAAAGTTCATATGGAACCAAAAAAGAGCCCGCATTGCCAAGTCAATCCTAAGCCAAAAGAACAAAGCTGGAGGCATCACACTACCTGACTTCAAACTATACTACAAGGCTACAGTAACCAAAACAGCATGGTACTGGTACCAAAACAGAGATATAGATCAATGGAACAGAACAGAGCCCTCAGAAATAATGCCGCATATCTACAACTATCTGATCTTTGACAAACCTGGGAAAAACAAGCAATGGGGAAAGGATTCCCTATTTAATAAATGGTGCTGGGAAAACTGGCTAGCCATATGTAGAAAGCTGAAACTGGATCCCTTCCTTACACCTTATACAAAAATCAATTCAAGATGGATTAAAGATTTAAACGTTAAACCTAAAACCATAAAAACCCTAGAAGAAAACCTAGGCATTACCATTCAGGACATAGGCGTGGGCAAGTACTTCATGTCCAAAACACCAAAAGCAATGGCAACAAAAGACAAAATTGACAAATGGGATCTAATTAAACTAAAGAGCTTCTGCACAGCAAAAGAAACTACCATCAGAGTGAACAGGCAACCTACAAAATGGGAGAAAATTTTCGCAACCTACTCATCTGACAAAGGGCTAATATCCAGAATCTACAATGAACTCAAACAAATTTACAAGAAAAAAACAAACAACCCCATCAAAAAGTGGGCGAAGGACACGAACAGACACTTCTCAAAAGAAGACATTTATGCAGCCAAAAAACACATGAAGAAATGCTCATCATCACTGGCCATCAGAGAAATGCAAATCAAAACCACTATGAGATATCATCTCACACCAGTTAGAATGGCAATCATTAAAAAGTCAGGAAACAACAGGTGCTGGAGAGGATGTGGAGAAATAGGAACACTTTTACACTGTTGGTGGGACTGTAAACTAGTTCAACCATTGTGGAAGTCAGTGTGGCGATTCCTCAGGGATCTAGAACTAGAAATACCATTTGACCCAGCCATCCCATTACTGGGTATATACCCAAATGAGTATAAATCATGCTGCTATAAAGACACATGCACACGTATGTTTATTGCGGCACTATTCACAATAGCAAAGACTTGGAACCAACCCAAATGTCCAACAATGATAGACTGGATTAAGAAAATGTGGCACATATACACCATGGAATACTATGCAGCCATAAAAAATGATGAGTTCATATCCTTTGTAGGGACATGGATGAAATTGGAAACCATCATTCTCAGTAAACTATCGCAAGAACAAAAAACCAAACACCGCATATTCTCACTCATAGGTGGGAACTGAACAATGAGATCACATGGACACAGGAAGGGGAATATCACACTCTGGGGACTGTGGTGGGGTCGGGGGAGGGGGGAGGGATAGCATTGGGAGATATACCTAATGCTAGATGACACATTAGTGGGTGCAGCGCACCAGCATGGCACATGTATACATATGTAACTAACCTGCACAATATGCACATGTACCCTAAAACTTAGAGTATAATTAAAAAAAAAAAAAAAAAAAAAAAAAAGAAAAAAAGAAAAATACAAATTAAAACCACAATGAAATATCACTACATACTTACCAAAATGGCAATGGTGAATAATAGTGATAATACCATATCCCGGAGAGGATGCAGAGAAGCTGGATCACCCGTAAATGCTGGTGGGAATGTAAAATGATACTGCCATTCTGGAAAATACTTTGTCAGTTTCTTTCAAAACTAAAAATAGACTTATACAACCCAGCACTTACACTCTTGGGCATTTATATTAGAGAAATAAAGACTTATTTTCATGCAGGAACATATTCACAAGACAGCATTATGACCCCAAACTGGAAGCAACCCAGATATGCTTCAATGGGTGAATGATTAAACTGTGGTGCATTCTTGCCATGGAATATTACTCAGCAAAAAAAAGAATGTACTATCGATACATGCAGCAACATGGATGGATCTTAAGGGCATATGCTGAGTGAAAATGCCAGGTTCTTTTTTTTTTTTTTTAGATGGAGTTTCACTCTTGTTGCCCAGGCTGGAGTCCAATGGCACAATCTTGGCTCATTGCAACCTCTGCCTCCTGGGTTCAAGCGATTCTCCTGCCTCAGCCTCTCGAGTAGCTGGGATTACAGGCATGCACCACCATGCCCAGCTAATTTTGTATTTTTAGTAGAGATGGGGTTTCTCCATGTTGGTCAGGCTGGTCTCGAACTCCTGACCTCAGGTGATCCGCCCGCCTCGGCCTCCCAAAGTGCTGGGATTACAGGCGTGAACCACCACGCCCAGCCTGCCTTTGTGAATCTAAAAGATGTTGATTTTTTTGAGAATTTTGTGAAATATCTTAATATCTTTTGGTGTATCTCATTGTGTATTATAAAGCCAGATATTTACATAATTCTTCCTTGTGCTTCTTTCCTTGTTTACCCTGGTGCATCTACTGAAAAAATAAGATTCAGAGTAACTAAGAAATGTGTGACATTGGACCTTGATTTATTTCTCCAAGTTACTTTTTGTTTTTTTTTGTTTTTTTTTCAAACGAAGTCTCGCTCTGTCGCCCAGGCTGCAGTGCGGTGACTTGATCTTGGCTCACTGCAATCTCCGCCTCCCAGGTTCAAGCGATTCTCCTGCCTCTGCCTCCAGAGTAGCTGGGATTACAGGCACCCACCACTATGCCTGGCTAATTTTTTTTTTTTTTTTGGTAGAAACAGGGTTTCACCATGTTGGCCAGGCTGGTCTTGAACTCCTGACCTCAAGTGATCTACCTCAGCCTCCCAAAATTCTGGGATTACAGGTGTGAGCCACCACGCCTGGCCTTATTTTATTTTATTTTATTTTATTTTATTTTATTTTATTTTATTTTATTTTATTTTATTTTTAGAGACAGGATTTCACTCTGTCACCCAGGCTGGAGTGCAGTGGGAAGATCATAGCTCACTGCTGCCTCAAACTCCTGGGCTCAAGGGATACTCCTGCCTCAGCCTTCCAAGTCGCTGGCAGCGCATGCCACCACACCCAGCTAATTTTTAAATTTTCTGTGGAGGTGGGATCTCTCCATCTTGCCGGGGCTGGTCTTGTACTCCTGGGCTCAAGCGATCCTCCTGCCTCAGCCTCCCAAATTGCTGGGATTAAACGTGTGAACCACCACACCCAGCCCCTTGATTTCTTTATCTGCAAAATAAGCCTTTTGTTTTGTGATAATGTATCATAATAGTTCCCTCTCAGGATTTTTGTGAGGATTAATGAGATGATATATATAAAGTACTTGCATATCAAGCACTTAATAAACGTGTACTATTCCTGCTGCTAAAAATAAAAATTATTGTGACAGAAAATTAAGAGTTGAAATGCAATGGAGCCTGTCAATGTCCTGTGGCTAGCCGTAGAAATGCTGAGAGATTCTCTAGAGCCTCTTTTTCCTCAATTTCTGTTTTCCAGTTCCTTCAGTGATCCTTAAAGAGTGGTCTGCCTATAAAGGGAAGTCACCTCAAACCCCTGAGCTGGTGTCTGCACTGACATTTCGGGAATGGACTTGCCCAAACCTCAAGAAGCTCTGGCTAGGCAAAGCAGTTGAAGACAAGAACAGAAGGATGCGGGCCTTCCTGGCCTGTATGAAGTCGGACACGCCCAGTATGCTCAATCCAGCTAATGTCCCCACCCATCTGCTGCTCATGTGTTGTGTACTCCGGTAAGCTACCTGACAGGCAGGTGGCCTGTTCTTTCTCTTTTACTTTTTTTATATTTCCTTTAAGCACCTGCTTTTATGGTATTTCAAGGTGGGGAAATTTTTATTTTATGTTTGGCTTATGCGCCAGAAACACCGAAAATGATTGTTCAGACAGCCTCCTCAGTTTATGATCCTTGGTCATATCGGTCCATGCATGACTCCTCTTTTATATTTGGTTTTAGTTTAGTTTTTGTCTTGTTCAGTCCTCGTCCCTGATCCAATTTCCTTCTTTTATTCACCCATAGTCATCTACTCTTGGGTATTTGATGTGTGTCCTTCCAAGCCATCTTTCATATATTTGTTTAGACATCCATGTATTCATGCACAGCCTATAGTATTTTCTATGGGTAAACATTTTTCCTTTTATGGCATGAATGGTATTGTGCTGTACATCTCATTGTTTCTTTTTTTTCCCTTTTTTATTGAGATGGAGTTTCACTCTTGTTGCCCAGGTTGGAGTGCAATGGCGTAATCTTGGTTCACTGCAACCTCCACCTCCTGGGTTCAAATGATTCTCCTGCCTCAGCCTCCCAAGTAGCTGGGATTGCAGGCATGTGCCACCATGCCTGGCTAATTTTGTATTTTTAGTAGAGATGGGGTTTCACCATGTTGGCCAGGCTGATCTCGAACTGACCTCAGGTGATCTGCCCACCTTGGCCTCCCAAAGTTCTGGGATTACAGGCATGAGCCACCCCGCCCGGCCTGTTTCTTTTTTTCACTCAATATTATTTTTGAGGTCTGTCCATGTTCATATATCAATCGTTCCTCTTCACTGTTGGGTTATGTTCTATCAAATACTAATACTGATTGATAGATAATTGTTTCCAGTTCTTTAGTATTACAAATAGTGCTGCAGGGGATTTCTTCATAGATGTCTGTGTCTCTTTGTGTTCCTGAGTCAGTTTAAAGCATATACTGAGAAGTAGAATTTCTCGATCCTGTAAAATACGCATGTAGCTTTTTCACTAAATACTGCCAAATTGCTCTAGATTATAGCTGCACCAATTTATATTCCTGTGAACAATACGTGTTTCATTTCCTCATATTATTGCCAGTACTAATACCATAAAACTTCTTAATTTTGCCAATCTAGTGTTTTCAAGTAGTATCTTTAATTTTAATTTGCATTTGACTACAGAGGAGGTTGATCTTCTATTTTTATGCTTATTAGCCATTTGAGTTTTCTCATTCTCTGAAGTGCTTCTTTATTTGTCTTGCAAATTTTTTATTAGGTTACTTGTCTTATTTTGCTGATTACAGAAGTTCTTTGTCAGATATGTATGTGTGTACACTCAGACACACATGTAGCAAATATCTTTTCTATATTTGAGTGTGCATGCATGTGTCTGTGCATGTGTATCAGTCACAATTTGTTTAAACTTTATATATAGTGTTCTTTGTTTACCAGCAGTATTTCGTTTTTACTAGCCTTTTAAAAATTTAACTTGGCTGGGCGTGGTGGCTCATGCCTGTAATCCTAGCACTTTGGGAGGCCAAGGTGGGTGGATCACTTGAGGCCAGGAGTTCAAGACCAGCCTGGACAGCATGATGAAACCCCATCTATACAAAAAAAAGAAAAAAAATTACAAAATTAGCCAGACATGGTGGTGGGTGCTTGTAATCCCAGCTACTTGAGAGGCTGAGGCAGGAGAATCGCTTGAACCCAGCAGGCAGAGGTTGCAGTGATCTGAGATTGTGCCACTGCACTCCAGCCTGGGCAACAAAGTGAGATTCTGTCTCAAAAAAACAAACAAACAAACAAAATTAGGCTGGGTGCAGTGGCTCACACCTGTAACCCCAGCACTTTGGGAGGCCGAGGCGGGTGGATCACTTGAGGCCAGGAGTTAAAGACCAGCCTGGCCAACATGGCAAAACCCTGTCTCTACTAAAAATACAAAAATTAGCTGGGCATGGTGGTGCACGCCTGTGGTCCCAGCTACTTGGGAGGAGGGAGGATCACTTGAACCCCGGAGGTGGAGGTTGCAGTAAGTCGAGATTGTGCCACTGCACTGTAGCCTGGATGACAGAGCGAGACTCTGTCTCAAAACACAACAAAAAAAAACCAAAAAAACAAAAACAAAAAAAAACTTTATTTTTATAGATTTAAGGGGTACAGGTGTCCTTTTGTTGCATGGATATATTGTATAGTGGTAAAGTCTGGGCTTTTCACGTAGCCATCACTCAAATAGTGTACATTGTACCCATTAAGTAATTTTCAATCCCTCACCCCCTTCCCACCCTTCTGAGTCCCCAATGTGTATTATTCCACTGTCTACGTCCATGTGCACACATTATTTACCTCCCACTTATAAGTGAGAGCATGTGGTACTTGACTTTCTGAGTTATTTCACTTAAGATAATGGCCTCTAGTTCCATCCATGTTGCTGCAAAAGACATGATTTCATTCTTTTTTATGGCTGAATAGTACTCCAGTGTGTGTGTGTGTGTGTGTGTGTGTGTGTGTGTATCACACTTTCTTTAATCATTCATTCATTGATGAACATTTAGGTTGATCCCATACCTTTGCTATTGCAAATAGTACTGCAATAAACATACAGGTGCAGGCTTTTTTTTTCTTTTCTTTTTTTTGAGATGGAGTTTCGCTCTTGTTGCCCAGGCTGGAGTGCAATGGCACGATCTCGGCTCACCGCAATCTCTGCCTCCCAGGTTCAAGCAGTTCTCCTGCCTCAGCCTCCCGAGTAGCTGGGATTACAGGCATGCACCACCACGCCCGGCTAATTTTGTATTTTTTTTTTTTCAGTAGAGACGGGGTTTCTCCATGTTGAGGCTGGTCTTGAACTCCTAACCTCAGGTGATCTGCCCACCTCGGCCTCCCAAAATGCTGGGATTACAGGCGTGAGCCACCGCGCCCGGCCTGGTGCAGGCATTTTTGTTGTGGTTGTTGGATACATATTTTGCAAATATTTTCTCTCATTCTGCAGGTTGTTTGTTTACTCTTATTTCTTTTGCTGTGCAAGAGCTTTTTCATTTATGCCCCTTTGTCTATTTTTGTTTTTGTTGCATTTGCTTTTGAGGTGTTTTTTTTGAGATGGAGTCTAGCTCTGTTGCCCAGGCTGGAGTGCAGTGGCGTGATCTTGGCTCACTGCAGCCTCAGCCTCCCAGCCTCAAGCAGTTCTCCTGCCTCAGCCTCCTGAGTAGCTGGGATTACAGGTGCACGCCACCACGCCCGGCTAATTTTTTATTTTAGTAGAGATGGGGTTTCACCATGTTGGCCAGGCTGGTCTTGAACTCCTGACCTCAGGTGATCCACCCGCCTTGACCTCCCAAAATGCTGGGATTACAGGTGTGAGCCACCGCCCCCGGCCACTTTTGAAGTCTTAATCATGAATTCTTCACCTAGACCAATGTCCTGAACAGTTTTTTCTAGGTTTTCTTCTAGGATTTTTATAGTTCAGGTCTTTCATTTCAGTCTTTAATCTATCTTAAGTTGACTTTTGTGTTTTTTTGTTTGTTTTTGTTTTTTTGAGATGGAGTTTTGCTCTTGTTGCCCAGGCTGGAGTGCAATGGCGTGATCTCTGCTTACCACAACCTCCGCCTCCCAGGTTCAAGCGATTCTCCTGCTTCAGCCTCCTGAGTAGCTGGGATTACAGGCATGTGCCCCCATGCCTGGCTAATTTTGTATTTTGTATTTTTTTTTTTTTTTTGAGACAGAGTCTCACTCTGTCACCCAGGCTGGAGTGCAGTGGCACGATCTCGGCTCACTGCAAGCTCCGCCTCCCAGGTTCACACCATTCTCCTGCCTCAGCCTCCTGAGTAGCTGGGACTACAGGCGCCCGCCACCATGCCTGGCTAATTTTTTGTATTTTTAGTAGAGATGGGGTTTCCCTGTGTTAGCCAGGATGGTCTCAGTCTCCTGACCTTGTGATCCGCCCGCCTCAGCCTCCCAAAGTGCTGGGATTACAGGCATGAGCCACCGCACCCGGCCCTAATTTTGTATTTTCAGTAGAGACGGGGTTTCTCCATGTTGGTCAGGCTGGTCTCAAACTCTCGACCTCAGGTGATCCGCCCGTCTCAGCCTCCCAAAATTCTGGGATTACAGGCATGAGCCACTGCACCCAGCCTTTTTTTTGAGTGGGGTCTTGCTCTGTCGCCTAGGCTGGAGTGCAGTGGCGCGATCTCGGCTTACGACAACCTCTGCCTTTCGGGTTCAAGCGATTCTCCTGCCTCAGCCTCTCGAGTAGCTGGGATTACAGGTGTGCACTACCCTTCCCCGCTAAGTTTTGTATTTTTAGTAGAGACAGGGTTTCATTGTGTTGGCCAGGCCAGTCTCGAACTCCTGACCTCAGGTGATCCACCCACCTCAGCCTCCCAAAGTACTGGGATTACAGGCATAAGCCACCACACCCAGCCCATCTTGAATTGATTTTTGTATGTGGTGAGAAATAGGGGCCCAGTTTCATGCTTCTGCATGTAGCTAACCAGCTATCCCAATACCATTAAAAAGGTATTCTTTCCCCAGTATGTGTTTTGTCAACTTTATCAAAGATCAATTAGCTGTAGGTATGTGGCTTTATTTCTGAGTTCTCTATTCTGTTCCATTGATCTATGTGTCTATTTTTATGCCACTACCATGCTCTCTTAGTTACTATAGCCTTGTAGTAGTTTGAAGTCAGGTAATGTGACGCCTCCGGCTTTGTTCTTTTTGTGTAGTATTGTTTTGGCTACTTAAGCTCTTTTTTGACTCCATATGAATTTTAGGATTGTTTTTTCTAATTCTGTGGAAAATTATGTTGGTATTTTGATAGGAATTACATTTAATCTGTAGATTACTTTGGACAGTATGGTTATTTTCACAATATTGATTCTTCCGATCTATGGGTATGAATTGTTTATCCATTTCTTTATGTCATATATAATTTCTTTCATCTGTGTTTTGTAGTTTTCCTCGTAGAGATCCTTCACCTCCTTGGTTAAATATATTCCTAGGTGTTTTTTTTTTTGTAGCTATTGTAAATGGGATTGACTTCTTGATTTGGTTCTCAGCTTGATCATTATTGGTGTATAGAAATGCTACTGGTTTTCATACATTGATTTTGTATCCTGACACTTTACTGGGTTCATTTATCAAATCTAGGAGTCTTTTGGAGGATTCTTTAGGGTTTTTCTAGATATAAGATGATATCATCAGCAAACAGGGATAATTTCACTTTCTCTTTTCCCATTTGGATGTCTTATATTTTTTTTCTCTTTCCTGATTGCTTTGGCTAGGACTTCCAGTACTATGTTGAATAGGAGTGGTAAAAGTGGGCAAGTTACTTTTTTTGGAGACAGGATCCTGCTCTGTCACCAAGGCTGGAGTTCAGTGGCACAATCACAGCTCACTGCAGACTCAACATCCTGAGCTCAAGTGATCCTCCCGCCTCAGTCTCCTAAGTAGCTGGGACTACAGCACACACCATCATGCCCAGCTAATTTTTTTTTTTTTGAGACAGAGTCTCGCTCTGTCACCCAGTCGGGAGTGCAGTGGCTTGATCTCGGCTCACTGCAACCTCTGCCTCCTGGGTTCAAGTGATTCTCCTGCCTCAGCCTCCAGAATAGCTGGGATTACAGGGGCCCACCACCACGCCTGGCCAATTTTTGTATTTTTAGTAGAGACGGGGTTTCTCCATGTTGGCCAGGCTGGTGTCAAACTCCTGACCTCAAGTGATCCTCCCGCCTCAGCCTCGCAAAGTGCTGCGGCTACAGGCATGAGCCACTGCACCCGGCCATGCCCAGCTAATTTTTTAAAGTTTTTTTTTTAGAGACAGGCTCTCACTATGTTGCCCAGTCTTGAACTCCTGGGCTCAAGCAATCCTCCCATCTTGGCCTCCCAAAGTGCTAGGATTACAGACATGAGCCACCATGCCCAGCCAGAAAGTGGGCAAATTTTTGCCAACTTTTTATTATAATTTCATATATATAGAAAAATTAGAATAATAGTACAGTGAACACTCATAACCACCACCTAGATTCTATAATTAATATTTATATTTGCTTTACTTCATATAACTGTCCATTTATTCATCACTAGGCATTGATTTTTCCATCTTTTTTACTGCATTTCCAAGTAAATTGCAGACATCAGTATACTTCTCCCTTCACTGAGAAGTATTTATTTTGGTTCTGTCCAGCCCATGATTTTCTACCTTTATGGTGTGTGTTTTGGTGTCTTATTTAATAAATTCTCCCCTACCCCTAAGTCATAAAGATATTTTTCTGGCCGGGTGTGGTGGTTTATGCCTGTCATCCCAGCACTTAGGGAGGCCGAGATGGGCAGATCACGAGGTCAGGAGATCGAGACCATCCTGGCTAACACGGTGAAACCTCGTCTCTACTAAAAATACGGCTGTAATCCCAGCTACTCAGGAGGCTGAGGCAGGAGAATGGCGTGAACCCGGGAGGTAGAGCTTGCAGTGAGCCGAGATTGCGCCACTACACTCCAGCCTGGGCAACAGAGCGAGAATCCATCTCAGAAAAAAAAAAAAAAAAAAAAAGATATTTTTCTACGTTTTCTTATACTTCTATAATGTTGTCTTCCATATCAGGTCCTTAATACAGTAGATATTTTGTACATGCTGTGAGAAAGGATCTAACTTTATTTACATAATACACCAGTTTCCCAGCTTGATGTATTGAATGATCCTTTCTTTCCCCGACCTTTCTTATGTACCATGTTTGGTTTTTTTTTTTAGACGGAGTCTCGCTCTGTCACCCAGGCTGGAGTGCAGTGGCGTGATCTCGGCTCACTGCAAACTCCACCTCCTGGGTTCAAGCGATTCTCCTGCCTCAGCCTCCCAAAGCTGCTTCCACATTTTCAGGTATTCGTTACCAGAAACCCGCACTTCTCAGTACCAATTTTCTTTGTTTTCTTTTTTCTTTTTTTTTTTTTTATAGCCAGGGTCTTGCTCTGTCACCCAGGCTGGAGTGCAGTGGTGTGATCATGGCTCACTGCAGCCTCCACCTCCTACGCTAAAGTGATCCTCCCACCTCGGCCTCCCAAGTAGCTGAGACTACAGGGGCATGCCACCATGCCTGGCTTGTTTGTTTTTTGTAGAGATGGGGTCTATGTTGCCCAAGCTGGTCTTGAACACCTGGGCTCAAGTGATCCTCCCACACCTTGGCCTCCCAAAGTGCTGGGATTATAAGCATGAGCCACTGTGCCCTGCCTCTTAGTCTATTTTCTGTTGCTTATGGCAGAATACCTGAAACTGGGTAATTTATAAAGAAAAGGAATTTATTTCTTACAGTTATGGAGTCTAAGAAGTCCAAGGTTAGGGGGCTTGCATCTAGTGAGAGCCTTCTTGCTGGTCATATGGTAAAGGGGCTGATCACGCTCATGTGCTGTATCAGGTCTCTCTTCCTTTTCTTATAAAGCCACCAGTTCCCCTCCCATGATAACCCATTAATCCATGAATGGATTAGCCCATCTGTGAGAGTAGAGCCCTAAAGATCAAATCACATCTTAAAGGCCCTACCACTCAATACTGCCACACTGTGGATAAAGTTTCAATATGAGTTTTGGAGGGGACATTCAACCACAGCAGGGTCCCTTGTATTTACGTGTTTTTTTTTTTTGGAGACAGAGTCTCTGTCACCCAGGCTGGCTGGAGTGCAGTGGCGCGATCTCAGCTCACTGCAGCCTCCACCTCCTGGGTTCAAGCGATTCTCCTGCCTCAGCCTCCTGAGTAGCTGAGATTACAGGCGCGCACCACCACACCCAGCTAATTTTTGTATTTTTGTAGAGACCGGGTTTCACCATGTTGCCCAGGCTGGTCTTGAACTCCTGACCTCAAGTGATCCACCTGCCTCGGCCTCCCAAAGTGCTGGGATTACAGGCGTGAGCCACCGCGCCTGGCCATTATGTACTACGTTTTTATATCTGTATAAGTTCATTCATGGATTCTATTTTGTTTCACTGCCCATTAGGGTCCTCATCAATATCACATTGTTTCAGTTATTAAGGGTTTGCAATTTGCCTTAATATCAGGCAGCACAAATCTCCACTCTTTTCTTTTTTGAGACTTATACTAGTTATCCTTGCACCTTAGGAGCCCTTACTCTTCCATATATAATTTGTGATCAGTCTAGTTTCCACCAAAATCTTGTTGGGATTTTTTTTGTCATTGAATTGAATTTATAGATTAATTTGGGGAGCTTTGACATCTTTATAATGTTAAGTCCTCCCATCCAAAGATAATAGTTTACCTCTCCCATTTATTCAGGTTTCTTCCTTTATGTCTTAGTATAGTTAATTTTTTTCCATTGAGATCTCCTACATTTTAAATTAATTTCTAGGTACTTGATAGATATCGCCATGATTATGTGTGATATTCTAGTTTCTGTTATACTTTCTCATTATTAAAAAAAAGTAAGTTTTTGTGCAAAGGGGAAGTCAAGCCCTACAAGTCACCAGAGAACTGCAGAGCACTTCGCTTTCAAAATGGGCAGACCTTAGTTTGAATGCTGGTTCTGGCATTTTTCAGCTTGGATATTGTCACTTTAGCCTTTCTGAGCATCTCTTTCCTCACCATAAATGGATATAATTTTACGTCTCAGAGCAGTTTGAACATGGAGATAACATTCAGGGACCCTACCACATACTAGATCCCCAATATATACTAATTTCCTAACCACCTTAACATTAAGATTAGTGACTTACAAAGTTTTCCCAGTAAGAATAATGAGGCCGAGCACCATGGCTCACACCTGTAATCCCAGCACTTTGGGAGGCCGAGGAGGGTGGATCATTTTAGGTCAAGGAGTTCAAGACCAGCCTGGCCAACATGGTGAAACCCTGTCTCTACTAAAAATACAAAAATTAGCCAAGCAGTAGTGGCACACGCCTCTAATCCCAGCTACTCAGGGGGCTGAGGCAGGAGAATCACTTGAACCCGGGAGGCAGAGGTTGCAGTGAACCATGATCGCGTCATTGCACTCCAGCCTGGGAGACAGAGTAAGACTCTGTCTCAAAAAAAAAATTTTTTTAAAGAATAATGATAAAGATTTATTCTTCCTACTGCCTAACATGTTCCTGGGCCACAGCCCTACATTGTCCCATATTAACTCTGGAGTTGTACATTTCATTTACCTTCTTTCTAAAATATATAGTAGGCTGGTGCGGTGCCTCATGCCCATAATCCCAGCACTTTGTGAGGCTGAGGCGGGTGGATCACCTGAGGTCAGGAGTTTGAGACCAGCCTGGCTAACATGGCGAAACCCCGTCGCTAGTAAAAATACAAAAATTAGCCAGGCATGGTGGTACACGCCTCTAGTCCCAGCTATTTGGGAGGCTGAGGCATGAGAATTGCTTGAACCTAGGAGGCGGAGGTTGCAGTGAGCCAAGATTGCACCACTGTACTCCAGACTGGGCGACAGAGCAAAACTCTATCTCAAAAAAAAAAAACCAAAACAAACAAAATACATATAATAGCTCATTTTCCCATTTATTTGGTTCTCTACGTTACATGGACTAGATCCAGGAACATAAAAACAATTAAAAATAGCTTATGAATCACCACACTGTCTTCCACAATGGTTGAACTAATTTACACTCCCACCAACAGCATAAAAGCGTTACTATTTCTCCACGTCCTCTCCAGCATCTGTTGTTTCCTGACTTTTTAATGATCACCATTCTAACTGGTGTGAGATGGTATCTCATTGTGGTTTTGATTTGCATTTCTCTAATGACCACTGATGATGAGCATTTTTTCATGTTTGTTGGCTGGATAAATGTCTTCTCTTTTGAGAAGTGTCTGTTCATATCCTTTGCCCACTTTTTGATGGAGTTTTTTTTTCTTATAAATTTAAGTTCTTTGTAGATTCTGGATATTAGCCCTTTGTTAGATGGATAGATTGCAAAAATTTTCTCTCATTCTGTAGGTTGCCTGTTCACTCTGATGATAGTTTCTTTTGCTGTGCAGAAGCTTTTAATTTAATTAGATCCCATTTGTCTATTTTGGCTTTTGTTGCCATTGCTTTTGGTGTTTTAGTCATGAAGTCTTGCCCATGCCTGTGTCCTGAATGGCATTGCCTAGGTTTTCTTCTAGGGTTTTTATGGTTTTAGGTCTTATGTTTAAGTCTTTAATCCATCTTGAGTTAATTTTTGCATAAGGTATATGGAAGGGATCCAGTTTCAGCTTTCTACATATGGCTAGCCAGTTTTCCCAACACCATTTATTAAATAGGGAATTCTTTCCCCTTTGCTTGTTTTTGTCAGGTTTGTCAAAGATCAGATGGTTGTAGATGTGTGGTGTTATTTGTAAGGCCTCTGTTCTGTTGCATTGATCTATATCTCTGTTTTGGTACCAGTACCATGCTGTTTTGGTTACCGTAGCCTTGTAGTATAGTTTGAAGTCAGGTAGCATGATGCCTCCAGCTTTGTTCTTTTTGCTTAGGATTGTCTTGGCTATGAGGGCTCCTTTTTGGTTCCATATGAAATTTAAAGTAGTTTTTTTCCAATTCTGTGAAGAAAGTCATTGGTAGTTTGATGGGGATGGCATTGAATCTATAAATTACTTTGGGCAGTATGGCCATTTTCACGACATTGATTCTTCCTATCCATGACCATGAAATGTTTTTTCATTTGTTTGTGCCCTCTCTCATTTCCTTGAACAGTAATGTGTAGTTCTCCTTGAAGAGGTCCTTTACATCCCTTGTAAGTTGTATTCCTAGGTATTTTATTCTCTTTGTAGCAGTTGTGAATGGGAGTTCACTCATGATTTGGCTCTGTTTGTCTGTTATTGGTGTATAGGAATGCTTGCGATTTTTGCACATTGATTTTGTATCCTGAGACTTTGCTGAAGTTGCTTATCAGCTTAAGGAGATTTTGGGGCTGAGATGATGGGGTTTTCTAAATATACAATCATGTCATCTGCAAACAGGGACAATTTGACTTCCTCTTTTCCTAATTGAATACCCTTTATTTCTTTCTCTTGCCCGATTGCCCTGGCCAGAACTTCCAACACTATGTTGAATAGGAATGGTGAGAGAGGGCATCCCTGTCTTGTGCTGGTTTTCAAAGGGAATGCTTCCAGTTTTTGCCCATTCAGTGTGATATTGGCTGTGGGTTTGTCATAAACAGCTCTTATTATTTTGAGATACGTTCCATCAATACCTAGTTTATTGAGAGTTTTTAGCATGAAGGGCTGTTGAATTTTGTTGAAGGCCTTTTCTGCATCTATTGAGATAATCATGTGGTTTTTGTCTTTGGTTCTGTTTATGTGATGGATTACTTTTATTGATTTGTGTATATTGAACCAGCCTTGCATCCCAGGGATGAAGCCGACTTGATCGTGGTGGACAAGGTTTTTGATGTGCTGCTGGATTCGGTTTGCCAGTATTTTCTTGACGATTTTCGCATCGATGTTCATCAGGGATATTGGCCTGAAATTTTCTTTTTTTGTTGTGTCTCTGCCAGGTTTTGGTTTCAGGAAGATGCTGGCCTCATAAAATGAATTAGGGAGGATTCCCTCTTTTTCTGTTGTTTGGAATAGTTTCAGAAGGAATGGTACCAGCTCCTCTTTGTACGTCTGATAGAATTCGGCTGTGAATCCTTCTGGCCCTGGACTTTTTTTGGTTAGTAGGCTATTAATTACTGCCTCACTTTCAGAACTTGTTATTGGTCTATTCAGGGATTCGACTTCTTCCTGGTTTAGTCTTGGGAGGGGTTTTTTCTTTTTCTTTTTTTTCCCCCCCCGAGACAGAGTCTCGCTCGGTTGCCCAGGCTGAAGTGCAGTGGCACGATCTTGGCTCACTGCAACCTCCGCCTCCCAGGTTCAAGCGATTCTCCTGCCTCAGCCTCCCAAGTAGCTGGGATTACAGGTGCCCATCACTACACCTGGCTAATTTTTGTATTTTTAGTAGAGACGTGGTTTCGCCATGTTGACCAGGCTGGTCTTGAACTCCTGACCTCAGGCGATCTGCCCGCCTCGGCCTCTCAAAGTGTTGGGATTACAGGTGTGAGCCACCACACCCGGCCTCCTGTGTTTTTAAGAAGACAAAATGGTAGGAAAAAAATGCAGTTTTAACAATTAGCATAAAGTCTGGTTGGAAATTTAAATTTTAAATGAAGATTAACTTATCCTTAATACTGCATTGTCCAGCAATATCAAGTAAACACCAGGTAGGAACATTGAAGTTATAGCCTAACTGAGTGCTAGGAGCCTATACTCCTCAATTTCTTACACAAACTGTAGGTAAAAGATTCCTAGATGTCCTAGAGAAATTGAGTCTTCTAGGAAAGGTTGATACAGTTTGAGGAGGGCAGAACCTTTGCGCATACAATAGTCATCACTTAGGAGGGAGGGATACTGAAGAACTCAGTCAGGCTTCTGGAGGGGAGGTGAGGGGCAGCCCTGCTGAATGGGAGAGGCATGCATCAAGGCTTTATCATTTCTAGCAAAAATTCATTCAAATATCAACAGTTTTCCAGAGATGGAACATGAAATTGGACAAGGTTTCTCCTCTTTGTTTATGGGTAAAGTTGAGGAATCTCTCTTGAGAAGCAAATCGTTTAAGAAGCAGTGGATTCACTCTCAGCTATAACAAGATATTTGGATTAACCATGTGCCATCCCGATACATGAAGAATAAAGATACATAAGAACTAGTGTTCATTCACTTGACAGAATAATTCTAAAGTCCATCAGGAAAGGCAAATGAACAAGATTAGCTTAGAAAATGTAACAAAAATAATAATAAGATATATCTTGGTCCTGCAGCAAGACTGTTATTGGAAAAAAAAAAAAAAGAGGTGTTTTGGACCTATTACGTACCGAAGTGTATTATAAACTCATACCAAAATAATGTAGTATTATCACAAAAATTGACAGCTCATTGTTTTAGAGCAGATAATAATGAATAAGATCCTTGACACGTTAGAACTTAAAATACGCTAAAGAAAGCATCACAAATCAATGAGGAAGAGATGCATTTTTTAAATAATTATTTAGAGAATTGGATTTGTATTTGGGGAGAAAACATCCATTTAGAGCCATGCCTCACATAAATTCCAGATGGATTAATTATAAAGATGAATGTAAAAAAGATAAAAGGCAGAATAAAAGCTAAGCAATGATTTGCTGACCTTGAGATAGGAAAGGGATTTTTTTTGTTGTTCATTTCTTTTAGGAAAGGAATTTTTTAAATGAGAGTACACAAGCCTTAAGCCCAGAGTATTGTCAGAGACAGTAACTATCTTGGTGACAGGAAAGGCAAATACCTCAGTTGCCTGAGATATAGGCAAACTGAAAACTACAAAACACTGTTAAAAAAATCATAAAAGATATAAGTAAACAGAAAGATACCCCATGTTTATAGATAAGATAAAATCCTTCTTGTTGATTTCTAACTAGAAAAAAAGAATATAAAATATTGTTAAGATGGCAATACTCCCCAAATTGATCTACATATGCAATGGAATCCAAATTCCCAGCTTTCTTCTTTGCAGAAATTAACAAACTAATGCTAAAATTAATATGTAAATACAGGCTGGGCACAGTGGCTCACTCCTGTAATCCCAGTACTTTGGGAGGCCGAGGCAGGCAGATCATGAGGTCAAGAGATCGAGACCATCCTGGCCAACATGGTGAAACCCCGTCTCTACTAAAAATACAAAAATTAGCTGGGTGTGGTGGTGCGCGCCTGTAATCTCAGCTACTCAGGAGGCTGAGGCAGGAGAATCGCTTGAACCCAGGAGGTGGAGGCTGCAGTGAGCTGAGATCGCGCCACTGCACTCCAGCCAGCCTGGGTGACAGAGACTCTGTCTCCAAAAAAAAAAAACACGTAAATACAAGGGACCCTGCTGTGGTTGAATGTCCCCTCCAAAACTCATATTGAAACTTTATCCACAGTGTGGCAGTATTGAGTGGTAGGGCCTTTAAGATGTGATTTGATCTTTAGGGCTCTACTCTCACAGATGGGCTAATCCATTCATGGATTAATGGGTTATCATGGGAGGGGAACTGGTGGCTTTATAAGAAAAGGAAGAGAGACCTGATACAGCACATGAGCGTGATCAGCCCCTTTACCATATGACCAGCAAGAAGGCTCTCACTAGATGCAAGCCCCCTAACCTTGGACTTCTTAGACTCCATAACTGTAAGAAATAAATTCCTTTTCTTTATAAATTACCCAGTTTCAGGTATTCTGCCATAAGCAACAGAAAATAGACTAAGAGGCAGGGCACAGTGGCTCATGCTTATAATCCCAGCACTTTGGGAGGCCAAGGTGTGGGAGGATCACTTGAGCCCAGGCATTCAAGACCAGCTTGGGCAACATAGACCCCATCTCTACAAAAAACAAACAAGCCAGGCATGGTGGCATGCACCTGTAGTCTCAGCTACTTGGGAGGCCGAGGTGGGAGGATCACTTTAGCGTAGGAGGTGGAGGCTGCAGTGAGCCATGATCACGCCACTGCACTCCAGCCTGGGTGACAGAGCAAGACCCTGGCTCTAAAAAAAAAAAAAGAACAAACAAAATTGTTACTGAGAAGTGTGGCTGTTTCTGATAATGAATACCTGAAAATGTGGAAGCAGCTTTGGAACTGGGTAATAAGCAGAGGCTGCAAGAATTTGGAGGAGCAGGCTACAAAACACCAAGATTCTAGTGAAGGCTTAGAGCACAAGAAGACTAGGGAGAGTTTATAACTCCTTAGAGATTGATTAAATGGTTACAACCAGAATGCTGATATAAATATGGACAGCGAAGGCCATTCCGATAAGGTTTCAGATGGAACTGATGAGCGAGGTATTGGAAATGGAAGTAAAGGCCATCCTTGTTATAAATTGGCAAAGAACTTGGCTGAATGGTGTCCGTCTCCAAGGGCTTTGTTGTAGGCCAAACTTAAGAATGATGAATTTGGGTATCTGGCAGAAGAAATTTCTAAGCAGCAAAGTGCTCAGGCTACTGCATGGTTATGTCTAACTGTTTACAGTGAACTGCTAGAGAAAAGGGAAACAGAGCAGAAACATTTGGAAAATTCACAGCCTTGTCATGTGGTAGAGAATGAAAAAGAGTTTTCAGGAGTGGAACCAAGGGTGCAGAGGAGCCACCACTTTATGCCTAAAAGGGAGCCAGGTGCTAATAGTCAAAACAATGAGGAAAAGGCCCTAACGGCACTTCAGAGATCTTTGAGGCAGCCCCTCCCTTTAGAGGCCTACAGCCCTTGGAGGACAGAATTGTTTGGGAGTGGAGGAGGCCTGGGACACAACTGCCCTGTGCCACCTCGGGAAAGCTGCTTCCCTCATCTCAGCCCCTCCAGCTGGAGCAGCCATATCTCACATGGACCCAGGTGTGGCTCATGTCTCAGCTCAGGAAGGTACAAGTCGTAAACCTTGGTGGCATCCACATGGTGATAATTCTGCAGGCCCGCATAAAGTAAGAGCTGTGGAGGCTTCGCAACCTCTACCCATTAAAAGGATCTCATTGAAAGCCTGGGAGCCCAGGTAGAGACTTGTAGCGGGGCCAGAGCCACCACAGAGATCCCCTACTGTAGCAATGCCCAGTAGGAACATAAGGTTGGAGCTGCCACAGAGTCTCCAACCAGGGCAATGCATAGTGGAGCCATGGGAACAGGACTGCCACTGAGTCCCTAGAACTGTGAGGTTACTGGCAGCATGCATTGCCCACCTGGGAAACCTTCAGGCAGTGGATTCCAACCAGTTTGAGCAACCATGTGGCCTATACTCTGCACCCATACAGACAGGGCTACCTGAGGCCTTGCAGGTTGGGCTCCCACCACAGTGTGTCCAGGAGTCCCCACATGGAGTCAAAAAAGATTATTCTCCAACTCTAAGATCTTTTGTTTTGTATGTGTGTATGTGTGTGTTTTTTGTTTGTTTGTTTGTTTTAAGACAGAGTCTCTGTCACCCAGGTTGAAGTGCAGTTCACTGGGGCCTCAAACTCCTGGGCTCAAGCAGTCCTCCCACCTCAGCCTCCCGAGTAGCTGAGACCACAGGTACTTAACCACCATGGCCAGCTAATTTTTTTGTTTGTTTGTTTATTTGTTTGTTTGAGATGGAGTCTCGCTCTGTCACCCAGGCTGGAGTGCAGTTGCACAATCCCGGCTCACTGCAAGCTCCGCCTCCCCGGTTCACACCATTCTCCTGCCTCAGCCTCCCGAGTAGCTGGGACTACAGGTGCCCGCTGCCACACCCGGCTAATTTTTTTTGTATTTTTAGTAGAGATGGGGTTTCACCGTGTTAGCCAGGATGGTCTCCGTCTCCTGACCTCATGATCTGCCCGCCTCGGCCTCCCAAAATGCTGGGATTACAGGCATGAGCCACCGCGCCCAACCCATGGCCAGCTAATTTTTACATCTTTTGTAGAGATGGAGCCTTACTGCGTTGCCTAGGCTGGTCTCAAACTCCTGGACTCAAGCGATCCTCCCGCCTCAGCCTCCCAAAATGCTGGGATTACAGGCCAATTCTAAGATCTTGGAAGTAGATAACTTGTTTAGATTTCACAGGCTCACAGATGAGAGTTTGGGCTTTTGAGATAAATTCATTTTCTTTATATATAACCCACTGTCAGGCATTCTGTTATAAGCAACAGAAAATGGACTAATAATACAAACTCAGAATAGCCAAAATAATGTTGAAAAAAAGAACAAACACTGTACAGTTTCAAAATTTACTACAAAAGTATAGTAACCAAAAACAGTGGAATAAGGATAGACATATAAATTAATGTAGTTACATTCGAGTGTCCAGAAATAAACTCTGCTATTTGTGGTCAATTAATTTTTGACAAGGGTGCCAAGATAATTCAATGGGGGAAAAATAGTCTTTACAACAGATGGTTGGATATTAACATGCAAAAGAATAGTTAGACCTCTACTTCACACTATATACAAAAATTAGCTCAAAATATATCATAGACTTAAATGTCAGACTGAAAACTATAAAACACTTAGAAGACAAGAGGTATTCTTCACGAACTCAGGTTAGGCAGTGGTTTCTTTGATATGATGCCAGAAGCATAAGTAACAAAAGGAAAAACAGGTTAGACTAGATCAAAATTTAAAATTTGTGTGCTAGAAACAAGACTACAAATAAAGTGAAAACACAACCCACAGAATGAGAGAAAATATTTGCAAACCATGTATCTGATAAGGGCCTAGTATCCATAATATATATAAAGAATTCTTACAACTCAAACAATTGGCTGGCCACACTAGCTCATGTGTGTAATCCCAATACCTTGGTTCATGTCTGTAATCCCAACACCTTGGGTGGCCGAGGTGTGAAAATCGCTTGAATCCAAGAGTTTGAGGCCAGTCTGGGCAACATAGCAAGACCCCACCTCTACAAAAAAATCTTTAAAAAGCAGCTGGGCGTAGCTGTGCACCTGTGGTCCCAACTACTCCAGAGGCTGTCGGGGGAGGATTGCTTACACCCAGGAGGTAGAGGCTGTTGTGAGCCATGATCATGCCACTGCACTCCAGCCTAGGCAACAGAGCAACACCCTGTCTCAAAAAAAAAAAAAAAAAAAGCCTACAAGTAAAGCAATAAATGATGAATAAATCAATTTTTTAAATGGGTGAAAGATTTGAATAGACATTTCTCCAAAGAACATACGCAAATGTCAGCCGGGCACTGTGGCTCACACCTGTAATACCAGCACTTTCGGAGGCCGAGGAGGGCAGATCACGAGGTCAGGAGTTCGAGACCAGCCTGACCAACATGGTGAAACCCTGTCTCTACTAAAAATACAAAAATTAGCCGGGCATGGCGCGTGCCTGTAATCCCAGCTACTCAGGAGGCTGAGGCAGGAGAATCACTTGAACCCAGGAAGGGGAGATTGCAGTGAGCTGAGATCGCACCACTGCAGTTCAGCCTGGGTGGCAGAGCGAGACTCTGTCTCAAAATAAAATAAAATAAAATAAAAAAGAACATATACAAATGTCCAATAAGCACATGAAAAAATGATCATCAGGGAAATGCAAATCATAACAACAATGAGAAACCAGTTAACACCCATTCAGTTGCTATAATCAAAAAGACAAGGGATCGGGTGGGAGATTTAAAAAGAAGACATCCAGCAAGTGTTGAAAAGGATATGGAGAAATCGGAACCCTCATACATTGCTGATGAGAACATCAAATGAAGACACATGTCCACACAAAAACATGTTCACAAATGTTCATGTAGAATTATTCATAATAGGCCGGGCACGGTGGCTTATGCCTGTAATCCCAGCACTTTGGGAGGCCGAGGTGGGTGGATCACCTGAGGTCAGGAGTTTGAGACCAGCCTGGCCAACATGGTGAAACCCCGTCTCTACTAAAAATACAGAATTAGCCAGGCATGGTGGCGCATGCCTGTAATCTCAGCTACTTGGGACGCTGAGGCAGGAGAATCACTTGAACCCGGGAGGCAGAGGTTGCAGTGAGCCGAGACCGTGTCACTGCACTCCATCCTGGGCAACAAGAACGAAACTCCATCTCAAAAAAAAAAAAAAAAAGTAATATAAAAAAATAGGCCGGGCACAGTGGCTCACGCCTGTAATCCCAGCACTTTGGGAGGCCAAGGCGGGCGGATCACGAGGCCAGGAGATCGAGACCATCCTGGCTAACACGGTCAAACCCCGTCTCTACTAAAAATACAAAAAATTAGCCGGGCGTGGTAGCGGGCGCCTGTAGTCCCAGCTATTCGGGAGGCTGAGGCAGGAGAATGGCGTGAACCTGGGAGGTGGAGCTTGCAGTGAGCCGAGATCGTGCCACTGCACTCCAGCCTGGGTGACAGAGCGAGAGTCCATCTCAAAATAAATAAATAAATAAAAATAAATAAAGACTGAGTCCTCCTTCAAAAAAGAAGATATAAAAAGGAGAAGATCAGTAACTGTGACTGTATCTATGTCCCAAAATACATAAAATTAAAAAGACTAAACGGGGAAATATTTGCAACAGTTAGGACACTGTTAATATTCACAATATATAAAGACTTAGATATCAGAATAGCTATCTAAGATAGCACAGATGGGTAAATGACAGTCTCTTCAGACTCATTTGCTTAGAAGAAACAGAAGCCATTCTAGCTCTCTCGCTTTTCCTCTCTTTTTTTATTTTCTGGTAGAGATAGGGTCTTGCTACTCCTGGCCTCCGCCTCACAAAGTGTTGGGATTATAGGCATGAACCATCATGCCCAGCCCACTCTAGCTATCTTACTGTAAAGGTATAACAGGTAGTCTCCTAGTCATCCAAGGACAAGAAAAGTAGTATACACAGGGAATGGTCCTGGAAAGGCAGGAACAGAGACTGCCCACTCTCTCATAGGCCTGCATAGGTAGCTCTTCTTTCTGCATGTGTTGTATAAAGTCGCTGCATCACTTAGCTCAAATTCTGAAGACTCCGATTGACAAGCCATGAATTGTTTCACTTGGATCAGGTATCCATTCCTTGTCCAAATAGCTGTCATTGTTATAAAAATGGGGCTTTACATTATCTGAGAAGGGGCATTATCTGAGAAGGGGGTAAATAAGTGCTTGGGAAATATATGCAACCTCATCCTTGGGAATCAAAGAAATTTAAATAATGAGAGACTTATTTTCTGCCCATTAAATCATCAGTGATTAACGGTGACAATCAATGCTGACACACTGCTGGGATAGGATGTAAATTGGGTCTGGTCTGGAAAACAATTTTGCTGTATGTATTAAAGACCTTCAGAATGAATATAACCTACGACCCAATAATTCCACTTCTAGGAATCTATGCTAAGGGAATGAATAATCAGAGATATAGGCAAGATTTAATATGTTAATATCTTTGTAGTATTATTTATAATTTTTATTATATGAATGTTTTATTATATGAATTTTTATTATAGGAATGTTTAAGCTAACTGATACACCCACATGCTGAACATGCAGTCATTAATCATGTTTTTGAAAAGTATTTAATGAACAAAAAGTTCTCATAGTATAATGTCGAGTGAAAAAAGCAAGATATGATATTCTTTATATAGTATGAAAGAGAAAAAGTTGAGAATTCAGATGCTAGGAATGAAGAAGCCACAATCATAGTAATCTTAACAGTGCTTATATCTAAATGGTAAGATTACAAATTATTTCATTTTTTTATTTTTTATTTTTTTGAGACAGAGTCTCGCTCTGTGGCCCAGTCTGGAGTGCAGTGGCATGATCTCAGCTTACTACAACCTCCGCCTCCTGGGCTCAAGCAATTCTCCCACCTCAGCCTCTTGACTAGCTGGGACTACAGGCGCACGCCACCACACCTGGCTAATTTTTGTATTTTTAGTAGAGATGGGGTTTCACCATGTTGGTCACGCTGGCCTAAAACTCCTGACCTCAAGTGATCCACCTGCCTCAGCCTCCTAAAGTGCTGGGATTACAGGCGTGAGCCACCACACCTGGCCTTATTTTTCTTATTAATATTTTTTTCTTGTATTACCTTTAGCCAACTCACACCATATTTTTTTATTTTCTTTATGCTTTTTTACATTTTCTGAATGAGAATGAACTTAAACTTTTGTAATATACTTTTGTATATAGAATAAAGTTGTAAATGTTATTTAAAATTAAAAGATGTGGCCTGGCACAGTGGCTCATGCCTGTAATCCCACCACTTTGGGAGGCCGAGGCAGGCAGATTGCCTGAAGTCAGGAGATCGAGACCAGTCTGACCAACATGGTGAAACCCCATCTCTTCTAAAAATACAAAATAAGCCAGGCATGGTGGTGCATGCCTGTAATCCCAGCTACTTGGGAGGCTGAGGCAGGAGAATTGCTTGAACTTGGGAGGCAGAGGTTGCAGTGAGCCGAGATGGTGCCATTGCACTCCAGCCTGGGCAACAAGAGTGAAACTCCATCTCAAAAAACAAACCAAAAAAAAAGATGTGGGCTGGGAGCAGTGGCTCACGCCTGTAATACCAACACTTTGGGAGGCCGAGGCTGGCGGATCACTTGAGCTGAGGGGTTTAGGAGCAACCTGGGCAACATGACGAAACTCTGACTCTAATAAAAAATACAAAAGTTAGCAAGGTATTGTGACATGAGCCTGTAGTCCCAGCTGCTCAGGAGGCCGAGGTGGGAGGATCACCTGAGCCTGGGAGATCAATACTCAATACTGCAGTGACCCGTGATCACACCACTGCCCTGAGCCTGTCTCCAAAAAAAAAAAAAAAAAAAAAGATGTGGAGTAAAGGGGGAGCTACTGAGTATTAAAGCACATTTAAAATTTAAGTCACTATGGTGCTGGCATGAGAAATAGACATAGAATAAATAGGATAGGAGCAGATTTTCGTATGTATGAGAATGTAATATATAATAAAAGGAGAACTTTACCAAATTGTAAAGGAAGGATTATACCATAATTCGTTCAGTTACAAATGGTAACTAAAAGCACCTGCTGTGCCAGGCACTATGCTGAGTGCTGTTTTGGTTTTGGAGGGGTGTTTTGTTTTGTTTTGTTTTGTTTTTGAAACAAGTTCTTGCTCTGTCGCCCAGGCTGGAGTGCAGTGGTGGAATCTCTGCTCACTGCAGCCTTGACCTCCTGGGCTCAAGCAATTCTCTCTCCCACCTCAGCCTTCTGAGTAGCTGGGACCACAGGCATGAGCCATGAGTAATTTTTTTTTTTTTTTTGAGATGGAGTCTTGCTCTGTCACCCAGGCTGGAGTGCAGTGGCACGATCTTGGCTCACTGCAACCTCTGCCTCCTGGGTTCAAGCCATTCTCCTGCCCTCCTGCCTCAGCCTCCCCAGTAGCTGGGATTACAGGCATGCACCACCATGCCCAGCTAATTTTTGTATTTTTAGTAGAGACGGGGTTTCACCATGTTGGCCAGGCTGGTCTTGAACTCCTGACCTCGTGATCTGCCCACCTCGGCCTCCCAAAGTTCTGGGATTACAGGCTTGAGCCACTGTGCCTGGCTGCCACTACTAATTTTTGATAATTTTTTGTAGAGATGGGGGTCTCTACAAAAAGACTAGCCCAGGCTAGTCTTAGTGCTTTTATGTGCTTTTTCTTCTTTACTTATTACAACCTTTTGAGATGTAGGTGGTGCCATCCTCATTCTAAAGATTAGCAAACTAAATCCCCTAGAGGTCCAGGGGATTTAGTTGCCCAGGGTCACATAGAAAAGGAGTAGTGGAGGCCAGGTGCGATGGCTCATGCCTGTAATCCCAGCACTTTGGGAGGCCGAGGCGGGCAGATCACGAGGTCAGGAGTTCGAGACCATCCTGGCTAACACGGTGAAACCCCGTCTCTACTAAAAATACAAAAAATTAGCCAGGCGTGGTGGCAGGCACCTATAGTCCCAGCTACTCGAGAGGCTGAGGCAGGAGAATGGTGTGAACCCAGGAGACGGAGCTTGGAGCTTGCAGTGAGCTGAAATCATGCCACTGCACTCCATCCTGGGCGACAGAGCGAGACTCCGTCTCAGAAAAAAAAAAAAAAAAAAAAAAAGGAGTCGTGGAACCTAGATTAGAACCAAGGATGTCAGTCTCTAAGTTTGCATTCTTTGCCACGACATACTTTGTAGCTAAAGTTCTTAGCAAGGTATCTAGAATATCAGAGGCATTTAGTAAATGTTATTCTTATGTATAACTTATAGTTTGCTGCATATATTAAAGCTTGTATGTAATATTTGTAGTAATGTAACTACTAATAGCAATAATAAAGCTGTCATCATTAAAATTCAGGAAATTCCTTGGGAATAAGTAATGCTGTTATTTTCTGGGGAAAATCCCCAGTGGAATCATGTAATTCCAAAAATCGCACATGATGAAGCATCAATAAATATTGGTTGATTTAATAATTATTTCCTGCTGCCCCATTTCTGAGCCTCTCACTCCTCTGACTCATTAGACCCTACATTCTGTCTCATAATTCATTCAAAAATAGTTGAATAGTAGTGCGGGCCCAAAGATGGAGCTAGCATTTCCTTATAAATGTCCTGACATTGACTTATTTGTTCAGCAAACATCTATTAAGCATCCACTCTGGCATGTACTCTGTTAAGGTTAGAGAGACATTTAAAATTGCAAATTAACATTAAAGTGTAAACCAAACCAAACAAAAAGCTCCAACCCCTAGGAAATGTTCCCTCCTCTGTGGAGCCTTCTCTAGATTCTCCAAGGTAAATTTAGTCACTGACTCAGAGCACCCAGAACAATCTGTTCAACTTCTAAAATCACACCCCTTGCATTGTGTTAGTCTTTCTGTGAGTTCGCTGTTCTCCCACACTTGACTCCTTTAGGAGCTCCTTTAGGTCAATTTTTCTTGCACAGTGGTTCAGGATATGACTGGTACAATTCTGCTTTGAAGGATTTTTTTGAGTTTTGTCTTGTTTTGTTTTTGGCTTGGCATGACCAGATTAATGCATCAGTCACTCTTCCAATAAATATTTATTAATACCTATTCTATGCTATGTACTTGGCTAGATAGTTCATAATAAATAAAGGATGATAAACAAACACAAACAAAGGCAAACAGGCAAGGTCCTAGACCTCATGGGAACTGACATGGGCACTTGAAAAGAATGTGTTTTCTGTGTATTAAGTCAGTCAAGTATTTAAACCTTATTTATTGTACTATTCAAATCTTCTGTGAATTTAAATGTATTTTAGGTATGTTTTACATATTATAGCTTAATAGTGGTATATTAAAATTTCCCACTGTAATTGCATTTGCATTCATTTTCTTCTATTTTTGCTTTACATTTTGCCAATGAAATAAGATGGAAAGGTTAAAAATGAAAGAATGGGCAAAGGTAAATCAAGGAACTATAAATCCAAAAAAAGAAACAATATTAATAACCTGAGCCAGTCATTATCAAACCAGTCCTTCTGACAATCCTGCAGTGTCTTCCTACAATTTCAGGATGACGATCCAAATTCCTTAATCCTGTTTTTGAGTCTCTGTTCTCTGGTCTACTTTCTTTTTTATTTCCCCCACACACACACTTTCTTCTTCGTCGTCTCCTCCTCCTCCTTCTCCCTCTCCCCCTCCCCCCACCACTCTGTCGCCCAGGCTAGAGTGCTGTGGCATAATCTCAGCTCACTGTAACCCTCGCCTCCCAGGTTTAAGCGATTGTCCTGCCTCAGCTTCCTGAGTAGCTGGGATTACAGGTGCCCGCCACCACACCCGGCTAATTTTTTTTATTTTTAGTAGAGACAGGGTTTCACCACATTGGCCAGGCTGGTCTCAAACTCCTGGCCTCAAGTGATCTGCCCGTCTCAGCCTCCCAAAGTGCTAGGATTACAGGCATGAGCCACCGCACCCAGCCTTCTTTTCATTTTTTTCTTTAGTAACCCTATTTAATCCTCACAACCACCCTGTAAAAAGAGCAGGGCAAATTTTATTATCCCCATTTGGTAGATGAGGAAATGCAAGGCTCAGAAAGGTTAAATAATTTGTCCATAGCTATCAACTAGTAAGTGGAGGAACCAACACTCAAATTGAGATCTTCTCTCTTCAAAATTCATACTCTTTCTGTTAAAACGTTCTGGGCTTTTATGTGAACTTCACTTATCCTGGGCCATGTCTTGGGTACCATGATATGGTTCATGACCGCACTTTCCACCACCTGAAGCCCTCAGTGTTCCTCAGGCTGCCACCAATCTGACCTACTTCCTAATCTCGCCTCCTGTCACTCCAAACGTGCTTAGCTTCAGCAATATGGAAGCTGGTGCATTGTGCTGAACCACACCATCAGGCCTTCACACATCATACTCTTCGCTCAACCTGGAACATCCTTTCCCCACCTTTTGTCTCACTAAATTCTACAGGCCCTTTGAAACTGAACTCTTGCTGACTTTTCTCAGGATACCATCTTTCATCTTTACAGTCATGGCCCTCTTCTATGCTCTCATAGCAAGCACTCTGTGCATTCTTCCATCTTGGTACTTAACACACTGTCCTGTCATTGTTGATGTACATGATTCTTTTCCTCTACCACCCAGACTGGAAGTAATGAAAGCAGAGATTCTTTTTCCTTCATTCAGTTAGTATTGCCAAAATCTAGCCAAGTACTGGCTCATGATAGGTTCTTAGCTTAATAAGTTTTTGTGACATGAATAAGTGAGCTTTTGTGGCCTAATAACAGTGCTTTTATTTTCTAGGTACATGGTTCAGTGGCCTGGTGGCCGAATCCTGCATCGCCATGAGCTAGACACCTTCCTTGCACAGGCAGTGTCTACCCAGCTTTATGAACCAGATCGACTCCAAGAACTCAAGGTGAGTTCATGTACCCTCATTTAAGTTCTTTCTTTTATGAGCTTATGGCACTACTTTAGGTCTTTTTTTTTTCCTGAAGCTGAGGAAAATAGTAAGTTCTGCAGGTAACTGTTTGATTTACTTTAACCAAATATTTATGTCTATGAATAAAGCCAAGAGGTGCCTGCTACGCTGCTCTCATACTGATAAATGAGAATGGACAGAAAAGATGGATATTACGCAAGGAAAATAAATATTGGCCCATAGGCCATGGCAAGGTTTCTGACTCTTACAAGATACACTATAGGGGACATATCCTAATGTCCCCTGCTTGTGTCTATTTACTCAGACACACCTCCTTTTAGTGATATGTATTGAGTATTAAGTAGAAGTATAGGAAAGCATAAGGAAGAAAATAAACCCACCCACTGAAGGCAGTAGAGCACAGTAGTATAGAGGGGAGGCTCTGAAGCCGGGCTGCCTTGGGTTTGAATCCTGGCTTCATTACCTCCTAGCTGTGTGACCTTGGGCAGGTTACTTAATCTCTCTAGCTTCAGTTTCCTTACTTGTACAATTGTATATTAGTCTATTTTGTGTTGCTATAAAAGAATACCTGAAACTAGGTAATTTATAAAGAAAAGAGGTTTGTTTATTGAGCCCATTGTTCTGAAAACTGTACAAAAAACATGGTGCCAGCATCTACTCAGCTTCTGGTCAGGGTCTCAGGAAGCTTCTACTCATGATAGAAGGTGAGGGGAATAAGACAAGAGGAGCCAGTGTGTCACATGGTGAGAGAGGGCACGTAAGAGAGAAGGGCAGCAGTGCTGTAATCCCAGCACTTTGGGAGGCTGAGATGGGCAGATCACGAGGTCAGGAGTTCGAGACCACCCTGGCCAACATGGTGAAACCCTGTCTCTACTAAAAATACAAAAATTAGCTGGGCGTGATGGCAGGGCACCTGTAATCCCAGCTACTCGGGAGGCTGAGGCAGGAGAATTGTTCGAACCCGGGAGGCGGAGATTGCAGTGAGCCGAGATTGCACCATTGTACTCCAGCCTGAGCAACAAGAGTGAAACTCTGTCTCAAAAAAAAAGAAGGGCAAGGTGCTGGGCTCTTTCTAGCAATCAGTTCTTGCATGAACTAATAGAGTGAAAACTCGCTCATTACCACAGGGAGGGCACCAAGCCATTCATGAGGGATCTGCCCCCATGACCCAGACACCTCCTACTAGGTTCCATCTACAACATTGGGGATCACATTTTAACATGCAATTTGGAGGGGTCACATATCCAACTGTGTCAGTTTGTGAGGATACTATGTAAAGTAATCCATGTAAAACCCCTAGAACAGTGTCTCACTATTTTTTTTTTTTCAAGATGGAGTTTCGCTCTTGCTGCCTAGGCTGGAGTGCAGTGGCGTGATCTCGGCTCACCACAACCTCCGCCTCCCAGGTTCAAGCGGTTCTCCTGTCTCAGCCTCCCGACTAGCTGGGATTACAGGCATGCGCCACCACGCTTGGTTAATTTTGTATTTTTAGTAGAGACGGGGTTTCTCTGTTGGTCGGGCTGGTCTCGAATTCCCAACCTCGGGTGATCCGCCCACCTTGACCTCCCAAAGTGCTGGGATTACAGGCATGAGCCACCATGCCCGGCTAGTGTTTCACATATTTTATATACACAATACTCAATAAATGTAGCCATTAATGCAGAACATCCCTCCCTTGACTTTAGTAACCTTGTTCCTTTGAGCACCCAAAGTAAGCTAGAAGATCAAGTTCAATAAGACTTGCAAAATCTTAAGTGAGGTCAACTAAGGAAAGGTGGAATAGACTCAGACAACCAGTTAGTGCTTGCCTTTTGCAGTAAATGTAGTATTGCTTGTCCTAGAATAACTGCTCGTGCTAAACGACACCTAGGAGGGGACCTGCAAACACTTCCCCTTTTCCTGTTAAAGCTGTCTTCTAACACAGTGGCTTGAGATAACCACTGTGGGAATTTTGAGGTTTTTTTCCAGTCTTCTGTCATACATTTTTTACATAGTTGAGGTAGTATTTATGTAATTATATATTGTAGTTTTTTTCCATTTCACATAGCACATATTTTCTGTGTCTTAAAAATTTTAATAAATAGTATTTTATCATATGGATGTATCATTTAATTGTTATAATATTGGCGACTTAGGTTGTTTTCAGTTTTCCTCTGTTATGTGTTGTCTTACTCCATTTACAGTTGCTATAAAGGAATACCTGAAGTGGGGTAATTGGTAAAGAAAAGAGGTTTTTTTGGAGACAGAGTCTCACTCTGTCACTCAGGCTGGAGTGCAGTGGCATAATCTCAGCTCACTGCAACCTCCACCTCCCGGGTTCAAGCGATTCTCCTGCCTCAGCCTCTTGAGTAACTGGGATTACAGGCACATGCCACCATGCCTGCCAGATTTTTGTATTTTTAGTAGAAACGGGGTTTTGCCATGTTGGCCAGGCTGGTCTCAAACTCCTGGCCTCAAGCGATCCACCCACCTCAGCCTCCCAAAATACTGGGATTACAGGAATGAGCCACTGTGCCTGGCCAAGAAAAGAATTTTCTTTGGTTCACAGTTTTTCAGACTGTACAAGAAACATGGTGCTGGTATCTGCAAGTTTAATTTCTAACTCAACAAATGTGAACATTTTCAGGGTTCTTCATACATATTGCTTAATTGTAATATACATTTCTTTCTTTCGTTTTTTTTTTTTTTTTTTTTTTGAGATGGAGTCTTGCTCTGTTGCCCAGGCTGGAGTGCAGTGGTACAATCTCGGCTCACTGCAACCTTCACCTCCCAGGTTCAAATGATGCTCCCACCTCAGCCTCCCTAGTAGCTGGAACTACAAACACCCACCATCATGCCTGGCTAATTTTTGTATTTTTAGTAGAGACGGGGCTTCACCATGTTGGCCAGGCTGGTCTCGAACTCCTGACCTCAGGTGATCTGCCTGCCTCAGCCTCCCGAAGTGCTAGGATTACAGGCGTGAGCCACTGCACCTGGCCATGTAATATACATTTCTTACCAGCTTTATATGATTGCCCATTTATTTCACTGCATCAGCAGCAGCAGCATTGAGTGTTCTTTCAGCCTTTACTTTCTAAATTTTTTTCTAATTGGACAGGTGAAAAAAAAATGTCTCAGGTTGGTGTCTTTAATGTTGTAATAAGTACCTTTCAAATCATCTTAGGGGAAAGACATGGATAGAAGCTGCTTATGCACTGAGATGTCTACATTGAATGACAGCATGTTCAAATTTAACTGGAAGAATCAGCATGACAGGAATAAGAGTAAATGTTACCAAGAATAGTAGTTTCTTAATAGTAATATTTCATCTGTGGTGGTTTCAGATTGAGAAACTGGATGCCCGAGGGATCCAGCTTGCTGCCCTCTTCATGAGTGGAGTCGACACAGCTCTGTTTGCTAATGATGCCTGTGGCCAGCCAGTCCCTTGGGAGCATTGCTGTCCATGGATTTACTTTGATGGCAAGCTGTTCCAGAGCAAGCTAATTAAAGCAGGCCGAGAGCGAGTATCTCTGGTTGAGCTCTGTGATGGCCAGGTACCAGCATGTCAGGCTGCTAAGGACTAGCTCTGATCTCCTGTGGGAGTGAATGGGCAGGGAGGGGAAAGGAGCAGAGATAGTGGAGAGGGATGGGGCGGAAGCAGGAGAATGTGTCTCACTTTAACCTGACTCAGTCAACAGTGGTCCCAAAGGCCCGTAGTCTGATATGTACATGTTGTAAAATTTTATGTTGGAAAGTTTTTTTTAATGAGCTTAAAGTTTTCATATCCTTTTTCTTACTCTGAGTATTTCTTATCCATGGAATATTCAGATGTACTATATACCTTCCCTCCAACTCAGTATTTCATTTCTCTTATTTACAAAAACTGTCTGTCTCTTTTGCAAGCAATTTTTTTTTTTTGTAAAGGAGCTGTGTTTGGAAACAGAAGAGGGTAGTAAAGTTGATGGTAGAGTAGAAGCAGAGGATTTTTTTTTTTTTTTAGACGGAGTCTTGCTCTGTCGCCAGGCTGGAATGCAGTGGCGTGACCTCGGCTCACTGCAACCTCCACCTCCCAGGTTCACGCGATTCTCCTCCCTCAGCCTCCCAAGTAGCTGGGACTACAGGCATGCACCACCAGGCCCAGCTAATTTTTGTATTTTGAGTAGAAATGGGATTTCACCATGTTGGCCAGGATGGTCTCGATCTATTGACCTTGTGATCCACCTGCCTTGGCCTCCCAAAGGGATTTTTTTTAATGAAACATTGGGAAAGATGAGGGGAGGCAAGGGAAAGGAAACCTTACTTAACTCCTTTATCCATTTTGGTGGGGAAAGAGCTGAGGCACTAGAGCAGGGGTTGGCAGACTACCCAGCACACCTCCTGTTTTTTGTCACTATCCATAGTTTTTTGCGCTATCCATAGTGCTACAAACCATCTGTTTTTTGTAATACAGACCACCCTCTGTTTTTGTAAATAAAATGTTATTGGAACATAGCCACATTCATTCATCTACATACCATCTATGACTGCTTTCTTCTTTTTTTTTTTTTTTTTTTTGAGACAGATTCTTGCTCTGTCGCCCAGGCTGGAGTGCAGTGGCACGATGTCAGCTCACTGCAACCTCCGCCTCCCAGGTTCAAGTGATTCTCCTGTCTCACCCTCCCAAGTAGCTGGGACTACAGGCACATGCCACCATGCCTGGCTAATTTTTTGTATTTTTAGTAAAGATGGGGTTTCATCACATTGGTCAGGCTGGTCTTGAACTCCTGACCTCAGGTGATCCACCTGCCTTGGCCTCCCAAATTGCTGGGACTACAGGCGTGAGCCACCACGCCTGGCCTATGACTGCTTTCATGTTACAGTAGCCGAGTGGAATAATTGTGACAGAGACAATATGGCCTACAAAGCCTAAAATATTTACTATCTGACCCTTTTCAGAAGAAGTTTGCAGACCTTTGTACTAGAGGTATCAGGATCTCCAATCTTGGATATGGGGGAGAAGGTTAAAAGGCTTTTTATTTGTCAGATTTTTATTCTCTCTTTTATCTAATTCTGTTACATCTCCCTTAGAAAGTGACCCAGCCCAATGCCGGCCATGTAATAGACCATCAGTAATTCTTATTGTTAAATTTGTCTTCCTTGACCTAGTCAATGTACATCACAAGCCCTGAGTCAGAACTCATATGATGGTAGTGTGATGTCATGTAAAGAGTCGGGGCTTTGGTGCCAGACAGGCTTCCTGAGTGTGTAGCTTTGAGCCCTTTAACGACAGGCCTCAGTTCACTTAATGGGAATAGAATTGTGAGACTGTACCTAGAGTGCTCCATCCTGGGCCTAAAACATGGGACAAGTTCGAAAAATGGCAGCTGCTATTATTACTCTTCCTCATTTGAAGGCTGACCTGGCAACCAAAGTGGAAAAGATGAGACAGAGCATCCTTGAAGGAGTCAACATGAATCATCCACCGCCTTCTGCTCTACTTCCGTCACCTACTTTTGTGCCTCCCATGGTGCCCTCTCTCTACCCTGTTTCACTTTATTCCCGAGCTATGGGCTCCATGCCACTTCCCCCTCAAGGGAGGAGCCGGGGATTTGCAGGTCAGTACCAAAGAATGAGGTATTTACCATCCTCAATTTATGTCATAATAATCTATCCAGTCATTATTGTCAATAACAGGATCAACAGTTTCACATATATCTCATCTCATTGACTTTTTTTTTTTTTTAGACGGAGTTTCACTCTTGTCGCCCAGGCTGGAGTGCAATAGTGTGATCTCGGCTCACTGCAACCTCCGCCTCCTGGGTTCAAGCGATTCTCCTGCCTCAGTCTTCTGAGTAGCTGAGATTACAGGCATGCACTGCCACACCTGGCTAATTTTGTATTTTCAGTAGAGACAGGGTTTCACCATGTTGGTCAGGCTGGTCTCGAACTCCTGACCTCAGGTGATCCACCTGCCTCAGCTTCCCAAAGTGCTGGGATTACAGGCGTGAGCCACAGCGCCCGGCCTCATCTCATTTATATTCTGTGCTATGTAGTTTGAAGAGCAGCTTATATCCATTTTGACTTTTAAGACCATTCTTCATAGAGGTCGTTGGTCCCCAGGGATTTGACTCTCACCAACCAAACTCATGAAGTGACTGATGTGGAAACCAGAACCCACTTTATTACTTTAGAGAACCGTAAGTCATATGGACTGGCTCTTCATGGTTACTGTTTGTTCATTCCTTCCATATAGGCAATGCACACAGGAGCTTGCAGGAAGATCAGTGAGAGTAAACGGCCAGTGCTGGTAGGCAACAGTAGCTTGATGTATCCATTTCCACTCTGCGAATATACTTGACACATTTCCCTTCCTTCAGCTCCAGAAGCATGGAGAGAAATATGTCACCATCCATGCCACCAGAGGATTGCAGTTTAGTGAGGAAAACATACACACACACACACATATGTACACACAAACATATGTATAAATTACGGTGGCACTTGAGCTACAGTTTAACGATGAATACACAATCATGCCTAGGTTGCTCAGATACTGATCCTGATAATTGAGACAACCTGTCCCGTGGTGAAACAAGATTTTTTTTTTTTTTTTTTGAGGCCTGGTCTCCCTCTGTCCACAGCCCGGCTAATTTTTGTATTTTTAGTAGAGACGGGGTTTTACCATATTCGTCAGGCTGGTCTTGAACTCCCATCCTCAGATGATCTGCCCGCCTTGGCCTCCCAAAGTGCTGGGATTACAGGCGTGAGCCATGGCACCTGGCAGTGAAACAGGATATTTTAGTGGAGACATTTCAACATAAAATAGCAAGATTCTGTGATTGGGTCAGAGTGTCATCGCTGTGGTTGAAGGTGTTTGTTATCTATTGCTCCTCCCTTTAAAAGTAATAAAGCTGGAAGTTGAAGTTAGTTTTTTAGGGTGACAAAATTCAGTATGGGTGGTTAGCTCAAGGCTGGGCTTAGATGAACAGTGTGAAAGTCTGCTCTGGTAACTCCCTGTTCAGTCAGATCATGATCAAGTCTTAAAAACCAGGGAGCCAGCCAGTCCATCCCTTTCAGATGACTTTACAGATCCTTTCTCCGTTCTTTATGTGTTGATTTTATTTTGTAAGTCTCAAAAGACAGCCTTAATTTAAGCCAGGTTCTTGGAAGGTCACCACTGCCCTACCTACCAGTGATGCTTAGTCTCCAGTTACTGGTGGTTCACAAGGAGCCTCTTGCCTCCTGAAAGCCCACAGTAGGATCCTCAAATGCAAGTCTTTCTTGTCCCTCTTAAAAGTAACTAGCACTCTAGGCAGGGAGCAGTGGCTCATACCTGTAATCCAGCACGTTGGGAGGCCAAAGTGGGCAGATCACTTGAGGTCATGAGTTCCAGACAAGCCTGGCCAACATGGTGAAACCCTGTCTCTACAAAAAATATAAAAATTAGCCGGGCATGGTGGCGGGCACCTGTCTGTAATCCTAGCTACTCGGGAGACTGAGACACAATAATTGCTTGAACCCGGGAGGTGGATTGCAGTGAGCCAAGATCGAGCCACTGCACTCCAGCCTAGGAGACATGGCGAGGCTCTGTGTCAAACAAACAAACAAAAAGGTAACTAGCACTCTAGTTCCTTGGACTCTCAAGTTTTATAAAGTTTTATATAAATGAAGGACTCGTGTGTGTGTGTATGTGTGGATACAGGGTCTCACTCTGTCGCCCAGGCTGGAGTGCAGTGGTGCAATCATGGCTTGCTGCAGCCTCAACTTCCTGGGCTCAAGTGATTCGCTCATCTCAGCCCCCTGAATAGCTGGAACTACAAGCATGCACCAACATGCCTGACTAATATTTTGGTGTGTGTGTGTGTGTGTGTGTGTGTGTGTGTGTGTGTGTGTGTGGAGATGGGGTCTCGCTATGTTGCCCTGGCTGGTCTTGAACTGGGCTTAAGCGATCCTGCCTGCCTTGGCTTCCCAAAGTGCTGGGATTACAGGTGTGAGCCACCATGCCTGGCCTAAATGAAGTACTCTTTACTAACAACCTGCTAAATGAGTTAAGGGTTCATTTGGTTTCTTGTCATAAACTAAAATTAAAGGCCTAGTAGAACTCCATATTCTATGAAGGCTTATTTTTGTGCTAAATTACAAAACCCACTGTGCTTGTGACTTGGTTCTGGTTTTCAATTGTTGCTGTTCTTGCTTTTTTTTTTTTCTTTTGAGATGGAATCTCGCTCTGTCACCCAGGCTGGAATGCAGTGGTGCCATCTCTGCTCACTGCAACCTCCACCTCCCAGGTTCAATCAATTCTTCTGACTCGGCCTCCTGAGTAGCTGGGACTACAAGCATGTGCCACCACGCCTGGCTAATTTTTTTGTATTTTTAGTAGAGACGGGATTTCACCATTTGGTCAGGCTGGTCTCGAACTCCTGACCTCAAATGATCTACCCACCTTGGCCTCCCAAAGTGCTGGGATAACAGGTGTGAGCTACCATGCCCGGCCTATTCTTGCTTTTTAATTATAAATTACTGTTAGTTTAGTTTCATTATTTTCAGTTTAGTTTGGTTGTTGGTTGTTTGGCTAATTCTACAATCTGTAATGATGTATATTTGTATCAAAAGTAGTTTAGGACCGGGCACGGTGGCTCATGCCTGTAATCCCAGCACTTTGAGAGCCTGAGGCAGGTGGATCACTTGAGGTCAGGAGTTCGAGACCAGCCTGGCCAATACGGTGAACCCCTGTCTCTACTAAAAATACAAACATTAGCTGGGCATGGTGGCATGTGCCTGTAGTCCCAGCTACTCAGGAGGCTGAGGCAGGAGAATCACTTGAACCTGGGAAGTGGAGGTTGCAGTGAGCCGAGATTGCACCATTGCACTCCAGCCTGGGTGTCACAGTGAGACTCTGTCTCAAAAAAACAAAAAAAAGAGTAGTTTAGGCTTGTAATTTTCCAATAACTAGATGTTAAGACATTCATTCTTTCAACAAATACTGAATGCCTACTATATGCTATGATCTGTGATTAAAAAATGAGTCACCTGCACCATACTTGGTAAAGTAGATGTGTACAGATCTCCGGCCCTCCTCACTAAATGTGCTTCCATCATGACACCTTTCTGTTATCACAGAATCTTTTTTTTTTTTTTTTTTGAGACAGAGTCTTACTCCGTCCCCCAGGCTGGAGTGGAGTGCAGAGGTGTGAACTTGGCTCACTGCAACCTCCACCTCCTGGGTTCAAGCGATTCTCCTGCCACAGCTTCCTGGGTAACTGGGACTATAGGCACGGACCACCACGCCCGGCTAATTTTTGTATTTTTAGTAGAGGCGAGGTTTCCCCATGTTGGCCAGGCTGCTCTCGAACTCCTGACCTCAGGTGATCCACCCGCCTCGGCCTCCCAAAGTGCTGGGATTACAGGCATGAGCCACCGTGCCCTGCCACAGAGTCTTTTTATCAGAGAGAAATGGAAAAAAGAGTAGGTAGCGGGTTGTAGGATCTTTTGTCCACCTCTTATCCTGCCTTGTACTTACAATTCTTTTTTCTTCTTCTTTTTTTTTTTTTTTTTCAAGACAGAATCTCATTCTGTCACCCAGGCTGGAGTGCAGTGGCGCAGTCTCAGCTCACTGCAACCTCCACCTCCTGGGTTCAAGTGATTCTCGTGCCTCCGCCTCCCGAGTGGCTGGGATTGCAGCCGCACACCACGATGCCTGGCTAATTGTTTGTATTTTTAGTAGAGACAGGGTTTCACCATGTTGGCTAGGCTGGCTCTGGAACTCCTGACTTCAAGTAATCCGCCCGACTCAGCCTCCCAAAGTTTTGGGATTACAGGCGTGAACCACCACACCTGGCCCATTACCACCATTCTTTCTATCTTGCCAGGTCTCCATCCAATCCCACCCCAAGGAGGAAAACTGGAGATTGCTGGGATGGTTGTGGGCCAGTGGGCTGGCAGCAGATCCTCCAGGGGCCGAGGATCCTTCGGCATGCAAGTGGTTTCTGTCGGTGGGCCAGGAAAGGGGTATGTACCCAAATAGGTTGATATGAGCTAGTCCCCTTGGGAAAATGCCTAGGCCTCCTTGGAAAAATGCCTAGGTATTAAATCCTTCTATTAAGGCAAGAAGTACTAACTTTACTTTTTTTTTCTTTTTTTCTTTCTTTCTCTTTTTGAGATGGGGTCTCACTTTGTTGCCCAGGCTGGAGTGCAGTGGCATCATCTCGGCTTCCTGCAACCTCCTCTGCCTCCCGAGTTCAAGTGATCCTCCTGCCTCAGCCTCCCAAGTAGCTGGGACCACAGATGTGCATCACCATGACTGGCTAATTTTTCATATTTTTGGTAGAACTGGGGTTTTGTCATGTTGCCCAGGCTGGGCTCAAACTCCTGGGCTCAAACAATCCTCCCGTCTTGGCTTTCCAAAGTGCTGGGATTACAGGTATGAGCCACCATGCCTGACCAACTTTCCTTTTTTTTTTTTTTTTCTTGAGATGGAGTTTCACTTGTTTCCCAGGTCAAAGTGCAATGGTGTGGTCTTGGCACACTGCAACCTCCACCTCCGGGGTTCAAGCAATTCTCCTGCCTCAGCCTCCCAAGCAGCTGGGATTACAGGTGCCGCCCACCACCATGCCAGGCTAATTTTTGTATTTTAGTAGAGATGGGGTTTCACCATGTTGGCCAGGCTGGTCTCAAACTCCTGACCTCAGGTGATACACCCACCTCGGTCTCCCAAAGTGCTGGGATTACAGGTGTGAGCCACCGCGCCCGGCCCAACTTTCCATTTTTTAAAGTCAGTTTTCAGTTTAGTTCAGCAAATAAATAATAAATTGCCCTGCCTTAATGAAAGAGTTTTTGCCTTAGAGGAGGACATGGGATACAGAACAATTCAGTTCAGTACAATATAGGAATGACCAAGATAGATGTTCAGTAGTAACACTGAGAAGGGGCATCTGACTGAAGAGGGTCAAACTTCTAAGAGGAGACGAATAGTTAACCAAGTGAAAAGGGGTGTGTGGGCTTTATGTTTCTCATGATCACTTTTTTTCTCACTTGCTAAAGGCATGGAAAAGAACAGACTGGTAGAGGATCCAAGGGACACAAAAAAGGAAATAAGCAAGTAAGTATTTTTTTTGAGATTATTTAGCTTCTGTTTGATGCCTTTTGCCTTTTCAGCTAAACTAAAAGAGATCACATCAGGCATGGAAACCTGAGCTGCTTAGGGGAGCTTCTCAACTCCTCCAGGCATTTGATTTCATTCTAGTGGTATAGTGAGGGTTAGCCTGCCTCAAGCTTTTCCCACAGGGCTGCGAGTCTTACCCTTTTCCGAGTGAGGCCACAAGATAGAAACCAGGTACTGTGTCCTAAAGACCTGCCCCTAGTATACTATGTGCAGCATGCAGCCAGAAAGGGGCCAGAGTGATGCTAACAGTGAGACTGCCCACAGCCTGCCTGAGCTTCTGAGGGGCCACCAGATATGCTTAAAAAATTGGACTTCTTTGCCTTTGCTGAATATATGTGGCGGGAGCGTTACCATTCTGCTTTTTTTTTTTTGAGACGGAGTTGCGCTCTTGTTGCCCAGGCTGGAGTGCAATTGCACGATCTCAGCTCACCACAACCTCTGCCTCCCGGGTTCAAGCAATTCTCCTGCCTCAGCCTCCTGAGTAGCTGGGATTATAGGCATGCACCACCACGCCCGGCTAATTTTGTATTTTTAGTAGAGATGGAGTTTCTCCATGTTAGTCAGGCTGCTCTCGAACTCCCGACCTCAGGCAATCCACTCGCCTCGGCCTCCCGAAGTGCTGGATTACAGGCGTGAGCCACCGCAACCGGCCTGCTTATTCTTAATGACTCAGAAATGTCTTGAACTTTCTCTCTCTCTTCTTTCTCTCTCTCTCTCTCTCTCTCTCGACAGGGTCTCACTCTGTCACTCAGGCAGGCTGGAGTGCAGTGGCACAATCACAGCTCACTGTAGCCTCTACCTCCTTGCCTCACGCAATCCTCGCAGCTCCGTCTCTCAAGTAGCTGGGACTACAGGTGTGTGCCACCACACCCTGCTAAGTTTTTCTTTTTCTTTTTTTTTTTTTTTTTGAGATGAGTCTCGCTCTGCTGTCCAGGCTGGAGTGCAGTGGCGCGATCTCGGCTCACTGGGAGCTCCGCCTCCCGGGTTCACACCATTCTCCTGCCTCAACCTCCCAAGTAGCTGGGACTACAGGCACCCGCCACCACGCCCGGCTGATTTTTTGTGTGTTTTTAGTAGAGATGGGGTTTCACTGTGTTAGCCAGGATGGTCTCGATCTCCTGACCTCATGATCTGCCCGCCTTGGCCTCCCAAAGTTTTTCTTTTTTTTTTTTGTAGAGACAGGGTCTTACTTTGTTGCCCCAGGCTGGTCTCAAAGTCCTGGGCTCAAGTGATCCTCCAGCCTCTTAAAATGCTGGGATTATAGGTGTGAGCCACTGCGCCCGGCCTTTAAACTTTCTTCTAATCCATGCCTTGGATTATATCACAGTTCCCACTGGTCCTCATTAGGTATGCCCCACCCCACCCAAATACAAACTAGGAGGACCTATTCTTGTAGTGATCCAAAATATTGTAGTAGACTCAAACTGCTGGGCTTCTTATAGTATAGCAGCTACCATTTCTTGAGTACCTACTTTCTACCAAGCCCCCTCTAGACATTCTACATGTAGTCTGTAATCCTGGGCAATTTTGTCATCAGTTCTCAATCCTAAATCTATTCTGTATACAGCCAGCCCTCACTGCATCCATGTTAATCCCCATCATCTAATGTTTCCTCAAAGAAGATAAATTTGGTTTAATGTTATTTTTAGGCAAAAATGGAACTAGATAGTAAGTCTCCCACGCAAAGCATTTCATAATGCACTCCAAAGCTAGAGAACAGTGACTTTGGTGATTTTTCCAAAGCTTCTCAGCTTTTTCTTGAAGCTGCTCAGTAAGGTAAACGGATGCACCTAGAAGGAAAGCTAATCACCAGATAGGCTCTCGTAAGGTAGTATAGCCTTGGTGAATTCACCGCGATTCAGGGTCTGGTCATCAGGCATACAGTCTGAAAAGCCTGATACTTTTGGTACAATAAGAGTAGATCTCGGCCGGGCGCGGTGGCTCACGCCTGTAATCCCAGCACTTTGGGAGGCCGAGGCGGGCGGATCACGAGGTCAGGAGATCGAGACCATCCTGGCTAACAAGGTGAAACCCCGTCTCTACTAAAAATACAAAAAATTAGCCGGGCGTGGTAGCGGGCGCCTGTAGTCCCAGCTACTCGGGAGGCTGAGGCAGGAGAATGGCGTGAACCCGGGAGGCGGAGCTTGCAGTGAGCCGAGATCGCGCCACTGCACTCCAGCCTGGGCGACAGAGCGAGACTCCGTCTCAAAAAAAAAAAAAAAAAAAAAAGAGTAGATCTTATTGGATCTCTTAGTGAATACATCTCTTAGTGGTTGACTCACACTAACCAAGATTATAGAAATAGCTGTGTGGATATGGCTAAGGGGTGGGGGAAGAAGGGGGTGAGAGATAAAGAACTGATTTATGATAAGAAATAGTTATCACAATGTATTACACATTTACTCTTCTAATCACTCTTACAAACACGTGAGCTCATTGAAACCACATAAATACCCTGTGAAGTATTTATTATTCTCCATTTTATTATTATTATTTTTTTGAGACAGGGTCTCGCTCTGTCACCCAAGCTAGAGTGCAGTGCACTGCAGCCTCAACCTCCCAGGCTCAAGCAAATTTCCCACCTCAGCCTCCTGAGTAAGCTGGGACTACATGTGTGAGCCACCACACCCAGCTAATTTTTAAATATTTTTTGTAGAGATGGGGTTTTGCCATGTTGCCCAGGCTGGTATCAAACTCTTGGCCTCAAGCTGGGTCTCCCAAAGTGCCGGGATTATAGGAATGAGCCACCACACCTGGCCTGTTCCCCATTTTAAACAGGAGGAAATTGAGACTCAGAAGAATGAAGTATCTTGCCCCAAATTATCTATGAAGTCAGTATCAGAATTGACATTACAGCCTGAGCTAACTGATTGCAAAGCCCCGTGCTATGCTAATTCCAATATAGTATAACAACTCTAGTTGTTAGAGACAAACATCAGACTCAAGTGTGGCTGACTCTAGTGTACATGCCTTTAACCATTACTACTAGAGCTTTCTTTCTCTAAGGGCAAGCTACAAGAGAGGCCTTGGTATCAGAAGTTTGCTTGGGGGCATGGAATCAGACCAATGATATTAGCTAGCTTTTTTTTTAATGAGTCACCTAGGCTGGAGTGCAGTGTTGCAATCATAGTTTACTGCAGCCTCAAACCCCTGGGCTCAAGTGATCCTCCTACCTCAGCCTTCTGAGTAGCTGGGACTAGAGGTGCATGCCACCATGCCCAGCTAATTTTTATATTTTTTGTAGAGACAGGGTTTCGCCATGTTGGCCAAACTGGTCTCAAACTCCTGAGCTCGGGTGATCCGCCTGCCTCGGCCTCCCAAAGTGCTGGGATTACAGGGATGAGCCACTGTGCCCAGGCTTAGTGAGCATTTATTGAGTTCTTACACTGTGCCAAACACATATGTTCTAAGTGCTTTATATATAGTGTCTCATTGAATACTTACAGGAACCTACGAAGTAGATACCCTTATTCTATCTATTTTACAGATGAGGAAAGTGACAGAAAACAAGGGATGGTAGGTGATCTTAAGTTTCTCTTAGCTAAGATGGCTGCGGACACTATTATCTGCTCTAGAGGTCACCTAGCCAAGGAAATCCTCATTTCAACTTGGTTTATAGCAAGCCATCTTCTCTGGACAGAGCTGCTGCTGACTTCGTTTTTGACTCTTCTTTTTCTGTTTCAGTCGGGACAGAAAAAGAAGAGTATGAGATAATTAATAAAATGTTCCAGCTTATTAAATCTGGTTACACTGTAATCCTGTCTTCCTGAGATTATTCCTAGGCTACAAGAGTTTTATATGTTCTTAAATTCTTTTTTTTTTTGTATTTTTTTTTTTTTAAAAAAACAGTCTTGCTCCATCACTCAGGCTGGCGCGATGTCAGCTCACTGCAACCTCCGCCTCCTGGGTTCAAGCGATTGTCCTGCCTTAGCCTCCCAAGTAGCTGGGATTACAGTAGTGCACCACCACACCCGGCGAATTTTTATATTTTTAGTAGTGACAGGGTTTCACCATATTGGCCTGGCTGGTTTTGAACTCCAGACCTCAGTTGATCTGCCTGCCTCGGCCTCCCAAAGTGCCCAGGCTGCAGTGCAGTGGCACAATCTTGGCTCACCGCAACCTCTGCCTCCCAGGTTCAAGCAATTCTCCTGCTTCAGCCTCCCAAGTAGCTGGGATTACAGGTGCCCACCACCACACCCGGCTAATTTTTGTATTTTTAGTAGAGACAGGGTTTCGCCATGTTGGCCAGGCTGGTCTCGAACTCCTGACCTCATGATCCGCCCGCCTCGGCCTCCCGAAGTGCTGGGATTACAGGCGTGAGCTACCACACCCGGCCAGGCCTGTTCTTAAATTCTTTTTTTTTTTTTTTTTGAGACAGAGTCTCGTTCTGTCGCCAGGCTGGAGTGCAGTGGCGTGATCTTGGCTCGCTGCAACCTCTGCCTCCTGGGTTCAAGCAATTCTCCTGCCTCAGCCTCCTGAGTAGCTGGGATTACAGGCGCCCGCTACCACGCCTGGCTACTTTTTTTGTATTTTTAGTAGAGACGGGGTTTCACCATGTTGGTCAGGCTGGTGCTCAACCCCTGACCTTGTGATCTGCCTGCCTCGGCCTCCCAAAGTGCTAGGATTACAGGCATGAGCCACAGCGCCTGGCCGCCTGTTCTTAAATTCTTAAGTCACTTACTTGTAATGTTTTGATGTATTTGGTGATTCCTTCAGGTGGCTAATTCCATCCATTTGTATGGCTGTTACTTGTTTCATGTTATTTCCAGGTTGTTGGACAATACTTCACAGTAAGCCCCATATTGTACAGACTTTGGAACCAAATGATCTAGCTTTGAATGTGGCTCTGCTACTTACTAGTTCTGTGACCTTGGGCAAGTTACTTAGCCTCTCTGCCCTAGTTTTCTCATCTATAAAATTGGAGAAATTGGTATCTATGTTGTAGAGTTGTTACATGAGGACTAATAGTAAAGTCTTCGTACTTTTTGAGCCTGTTTATTTTTTCTTTTTTGAGACAGGATCTCACTCTGTCGCCCAGGCTGGAATGCAATGGTGCAATCATGACTCAATGTAGCCTGGACCTCCCAAGCTTTAGCGATCCTCCCACCTCAACCTCCCAGGTAGCTTGGACTACAGGTGCATGCCACCACGCCCAGCTAATTTTTGTAATTTTTGTAGACATGGGGTTTCGCCATGTTGCCCAGGCTGGTCTCAAACTCCTGAGTTCAAACAATCTGCCCGCCTTGGCCTCCTAGGAGCTTCAGTTTTCTTATCTGTAAAAGGAACAACAGAGTATGTGGCATGTCCAACCACTTAGTAGTCAGAAGCTGTTATTATTCCTAGCACCATTCATTAAGAGCCAGCACTGCACTACAAGGTAATGTAGTTCATATCATTAGCAGTAGCTACCATATTCCTGGGATTTACAAAAACCAGGTGATTGTTTTTAGTTATGAAAGATTCTGTGGCTCACGCCTATAATACCAGCACTTTGGGAGCTGAGGCGGGTGGATCACCTGAGGTCGGGAATTCGAGACCAGCCTGACCAACATGGAGAAATCCCGTCTCTACTAAAAAACAAAATTAGCCGGGCATGGTGGCACATGCCTGTAATCCCAGCTACTCGGGAGGCTGAGGCAGGAGAATTGCTTGAATCCAGGAGGCGGAGGTTGCGGTGAGCCGAGTTCGTGCCATTGCACTCCAGCCTGGGCAACAAGAGTGAAACTCTGTCTCAAAAAGAAAAGAAAAGAAAGATTCTGTGGAATATTGCACATAGATCTTCTGTGTTTTTTTTCCTTTTCTTGCATTTGCCTGTTCAATTGTCAGCGTTGGGCAGTGTTGCATGGCAGTTAAGAGAACAGACTTTAGAGGAGTAGAATCCTGGCCCTATGACTTTGTATCTGTGTCTCCTTGAGCAAGTTGCTTTAATATTTCTGAGCCTCACCTTCCTCATCAGCAAATGGGGCATGATCATATCTACCATTTAGGATCCCCATAGTATTAGAAAAACATATTGTAAAGCTTTGTAAATAGTAGCAGTGTCAGCCAGGTGCGGTGGCTCACACCCATAATCCCAGCACTTTGGGAGGCTGAGGCAGGCAGTTCACCTGAGCTCAGGAGTTCAAGACCAGTGTGGCCAACATGGTGAAACCCTGTCTCTACAAAAAATACAAAAATCAGCTGGATGTGGTGGTGCACGCCTGTAGTCCCAGCTACTTGGGGGGCTGAGGTGGGAAGATGGCTTGAGCCCAGGAGGTCATGGCTGCAGTGAGCCAGGATCGCAGCACTCCACTCCACTCTGGGTGACAGAGCAAGACCCTGTATAAAAAAAGAAAAAGCTGTGTCATTATTGTGTTGTCATTGCCATTGGATTTCATTTGGGTCTATATGTTTTCACCCTAACTTCTCAAGATAATATCAGAATGTACTAGGTATCCGGCTGGGTGTGGTGGCTCACACCTGTAATCCCAGCACTTTGGGAGGCTCAGGCGGGCAGATCAGTTGAGGCCAGGAGTTCGACACCAGGCTGGCCAACATGAGGAAACCCCATCTCTACTAAAAATACAGAAATTAGCTAGGCATGGTGGTGGGCGCCTGTAATCCCAGCTACTCTCAGGAGGCTGAGGTGGGAGGATTGCTTGAACCTTGGAGACAGAGGTTACAGTGAGCCGAGATTGCAGACTACACCCCAGCCTGGGCGACAGAGCGAGACTCCGTCTTAAAAAAAAAAAAAAAGATTGTACTAGTTGTCAACCAGCTTGAGGTCTTCTGGTGTTTTTGAAGAACTGAAGCCGCTTCCTCAGGCTAGCTTATGAATATGCTTAGGAAGGGTCAGCCAGTCTGGGATTCCCATTTCCACTGAGTATCTCTGTTTTTAACAGGGCTCTTCAGATGGAGTTTCTAAATCCCTGGAGCTTCATCAAGGTCGGTCTCGCTCCCAGGTAAATGGAAACAGTGGCGCATTGATCAAGGAAGAGAAGAGTGATCATCGTCTTCCAGCTCCATCACAATGTGCCTTATCCAGAGACAGCAATGAGTGTAATAATGGTAACCGCTACCTCCCTATGAATAATAGGGAGAAGAACCACTTACAAGAGCAAAAGCTAGAAACTGTGGCACAACGGAAAGAGGACTGATAAGCTGAAGATGGCTTCACCAAACCAGGAAGAGGGAAAAACTTTTACTTTTCTGATTTTAGGCCCAAGCTAGAGGAGGATATAAATGCTTACCCTAGATTTCTCCAGGATTTTGGTGGGATGTCCTATTGTGTCCATCTTTTCCCCTTCCCTGCCTGTTTCTGGGACTTCAGATTCAGTGGTCTGTTTCTGGAGAAGTTCTGGTCAAAGATGAATGGCAGTAAGACTAGGTCCTAGTCTCAAATTGAAGATATAGCACCAATAGTTTATTTATCTCCTCTGGGAGCCTAGTAAGGCAGTAGCTGTCAGAAATTGGGTATCATCACATAAGGTCCTATAGAAAAGCTCTAGCTTTGGTTTTTCTGAGCATTTATAATGATACTCATTATCAAAGACTTATATGATAAACCTATGAGGTTGTGGGGACAGCTGTGGCCTCCTGAGGTTTTTTTTTGTTTTTTTTTTTTCTCTATGAAGTGGTATCTACCTCTTCTTCACTCCTTCCAACTTACCTACCCCTGGATTTTGTACCACCACCTCTAGCTTTGGCCTGACAATCAGATAGGTAGATGTTTTCAGAAAAGTAAGGTAGTATTGGTTATTTTAATTTTTATTTTTTATTTTATACACTTCAAAAAAACTATCAATGGCCTTTGTACTGGGGGATTCAAGTGAATCAGAAAAGTACTGGGCAGATTTTTCCTGCCTCTCAACCAGTGCATTGTTTGTAAAATAGAAGATGTGGCACAGTTCATTCACTCCCTATTGCCCACACCATGAAAGGGTGGGAATCAGTGTAATGAACTTGAGTACGAAAGGGACTCAAGAGACTGTGTGTGTGTGTGTGTGTGTGTGTGTGTGTGTGTGTGTGTGAATGTGTGCTTGTGTGTGGGTGTGGGTGGATGTTGTGTGGGTGGGTGTATATATGAATGTGTGTATATGCATACACATACCCTTTATATAAAGAGACAGATCTATTTATCTATACATATTTTATATATATGTAAGTGTGTGTGTATGTGTGTATATATGTGTGTATATATATATACACACATATATACACACATACATACATACATACATACATACATACATACATGGTGATGTCCCAGAGGATTTACTCAATTTCCCAGAAATGCTTCCACTGCTATGGAGTGGAAGGTTTCAAAAGACCACACTTTTAATCTGAAATTCTTACTAAGTCACAGTGCATTCACAACTATGAGAAGTTGGATGGGCTTCTCTAAATCAGACAAAAAGTACTTTCCAGAAATTGCCTGTTCAGAACAATAAACTCTTGGGTTGTTACAAGCTTAATCTTGAACAGAGCCCTCACATCCCATATGGTGAAAACAGGAGGTTGGAATGGGATTGGGAAGAGTTGGGCATTTCCTTATGAAGGTTTGGAGAGAAAAGGGGGGATGGGAGGTGACTACCATTTGAAAGGGCTTTCAGCCAATTTGGAGGAAATCTCTTCTGGAACTCCAGGGTCAAATTGGTTTCAGGCTAGAATTGATTGACATGAATCCCTGAAGGAGAGAGGACTAGCTTTGGAAAGATAGGGTAGGGAAGTGTGAGGAAACTATTTGATTTTACACGCCTAGATTGTTTCATTTGTTCATTGACATTCTGACTACTGGATCTTTTCATTTGCTTTGCAAGGAAGACTTTAGAGGACTCTGGCCTGGGCCTTGAGAAGAATTCTATTAAAAGATTCTCAGCCTCCTGTGTGGCCAGGATCTGCCCAGGATAAAGAGGCTATTCCTCCTTGCTGGAGATAATCTTGAGACAACCTTGCATTTCCAGTTTCCCTCCTTGGGCAGCCTAACTATGAGGGAGGGAAACATGGCTTGCAATAAATTAGCATTGTGTCTTCATTCAGGAATTGAGGCTTCCAGCCTCATATACCTCCTTTTGGGCTTTGTGATATTCTTGCCCAAGAAGTACCATTTCTACAGAAATACAACTGACTAATCTTCTAGCAGGGTTCTTTTTGAAAAACCCCATGCACCTTAACCCACAGCAGGTCCTTGGTGATTTTTGCCCAGACAACCAGAAGGCTATTTGCTTACTGCCCACTTACAATGACCAGATCATAGGAAATTGAAAACAGTGTCAGACTATTTAGTCCTAATCTGTCCCAGATTAAGAGAATCCATGATTTTCAGGGGGAGGGAGCCCTGCAATGCCTTGACCCCTGCCCAGATACTTCTTACATAAACCAAAGAAAAATGACAAGAGTGTACATCTAACCAGACAGAAGTAGAAACAAAGTATAGAAAAACCTCCTCTTTGGAATCAGCTCCCTTAATGTGGTCCCCCTTCTCTTGGACCTGCCCAACCTTTCACAACGTCTTGAAGGTAGGACTTCTATATCCAGCAAAGGAAGGGATAGTAGTAAATTTACATGGCTTGGAATTTTCTTTCTGGAGCCACAGAGGGATGAATCCTTTGGAGCTCTAAAAGCAACCAGTATCACTGAGCTGTGAGATACCTATATCTCCATTTTCTAATAGGAAGCACTTGGACTTAAAATTGCTAAGATATTTTTTGCAGTTGCTATTTCTGTGCATCTTGAATCTATCTGACACAATCAAATGACAGTATTGTTAACTCTCACACCATTAAGAAAATTTCTTATTTTGTAGGCATTCACTGTGAGAGGTAAAATTGCTGCTTTGGCAGGTATGATTCCAGTTTGCCAAACGGCTTTTCTTCCTTCCACAACCTCTTTTTCCCCTAGCCCAGGGTGAAACAAGTGGGTCATCTCCAACCTTGATTTTTATTTGGATTCAGCATTTTGGGTTTGGAAGGTTACAAGAAGGAACCATAAATGGCCATATTCCTAGATTTTTATTTATCTGACAAAATACACAACTTAAAAGCCAGGAAAACTAAGGTTCATTACAGGGAGATGAACTTTTTCTAATTGGAGGACAAATTGTGGAAGGTGGGGTCTGATCTTTGCTTCACCACTTGAAGAGACTGTCATCCTTCACCTGAGGTTCCATTTCTAGCTTTTATGTGACCTCTCTTGAACAAAGTCATTTGGGAACCCCCAGAAATGACCCCTTTACATTGTAGGACCATAAGCAAAACACTGGTTGTGTATAGTCACTGATCCCCAAGGACTTGCAGTTTTTTATTTCTGCTGGTGTGTCTTGGGATCAGCTTATAACTCCTACTCTTACTTAGTCAGTGACCAGTCCAGTCTGGTCTGGACCAGGCCTGACAAACTTCTGCTCACTTGCATCATTTTCATTCTGAGCCAGTAGGACTTTGGGTAGACTTTAAAGCCCAAGAATTGGTACTCGCTTTGGCTAGTGACATTTGATTTTTGTCTCCATCTTGATTTCTGACATCATTGGCCAAGTCACATTAACTTTTTTTGATCACTGAGAAAAACAGTCGAACAAGGCATTACAGAGGGTGGTTAAGGTAGAGGGTGGGGGGCAGGAATGCTTATGTAGGATAGAAAGAATGTGGGGGTAGCTGTTTGGTTATGGTGATCCAGTCCTTTGGAACCTTACAAGGCTCCTGTGGGCATGTCAATGTTACCATTACAGCCTCTACGACCCACCCACCTTTGAAAAGTCAGTACAAGTAGACCACAGTTTAAAGTAGTTAGTATAATTCTACTAAGGTTTAATCATTATACTTGTTCACTTCCTGGTGCATATTTCCTAAATATGCTTGGGGTGTGGGGTGGGGGGTTGAGTTTTCACTGTTCCATTGCGTGTCATCTTATATTTTTCTCCATCCTGTGACTTTGGCATCTTACTCGACTTTCTATTTTCTTTTCCCTTGGCTTATTGCAGTAGTCTGCTGGTGCAGGTAGAGAGCTCAGTGCACCTATTCCCCTGTTACTGCTAATTATCTTGAATATTGTCAGAGGTTATTTTGATGTTCTAAGAATATAAAGTCATTTTTTACAAAATCATCTTTTCCAAGTTAAAAGCAAAATAAAAAAATCCCCTGTGCTAGGGTGCCCATTTCAGCTTTTGACATTGCCCCTGTACTTTTATAGATGCTCTTTTTGTCCGTGTTGGTAGTAACTAATGACTAGTGAATTTTCATGTAAATGAAGCAAAATAAATATTTCAGATTTTATTAATCTCTCATAACCCAGCCAAATCTGATGACTTCATTTTAATTGCTTCCCAGAAAGCACTTCCCCTCCTACCTTCTATTCTATTCTATTCTATTCTATTCTATTCTATTCTATTCTATTCTATTCTATTCTGTTCTATTCTGTTCTATTCTGTTTTTAGAATAACACACTAGGTAAAGAAACTTTAACTGCAAGGAGTCAGTGACTTTTAGTGCTCCCTGATAAATGATGTTATTGACAAAAGTAAAAAATTATTTCATTGTTTTTTTCCTGTATTACTATCTCCTCTCCTGTGCTTTTGACAGTGTGTTTAGTGGATGGATAATATGTATTTCTCTTTCCCACTCCCAGATTCCAAATTCCCTGCCTTTTTGGCCCACCTCACCACAAAAGCTCCATAGTTTATTAATGTAAGTTTGAATGGATGCTTCTTTGGGGAAACTTCAGGAGTTAATGGAAGAGTTTCAGAAAGGAATGAGAATGCCTCAGGAGTTGTTCTGTGATGGAAATTGGTCTGTTGTTCTGTTAATGCTGATGGAAAGAAACTTACAACGCTTAATAAAAATCTATTCTTTTAGTAAAAAAAATTGTGAAATAATTTTGGGTGTGCGAAGTTTGATTTCTTTTCCCATCTCTGGATCCCTTTCTGCAAATGGGGGATATACTTGTCTCAATTCAGAAGTGTTGCACAGAGATTTAGGAGTCTGTTTGTGTAATATCAGGGCAAGAGACCAAGTACAAGAATCATCAAAAGGTAGAGCATATTTAGCCTCCTAGTTAACTTCTTTATTTGAATGTCCTAAAGGCACCTTTGTCTTGACATTTCCCAAACTGAACCCATCCTTTCTGTGCAAGCCTGTGCCTCTCCATCAGTGACACTACTTTCTACTCAATTGCCTAAACCACAGACTGACCTGGGAGTGAACTGTCTTAGACTTGTCCCTCACTTCTCAAATCCAGTTGATGAAAACATCTGTTGATAACACCCAACCATTTTTCTATTTCTCACATCTGTTTCCTCATTTCTGTCCTGGCTCCTGTGGCTTAGTGGAGGCCTCATCGTGTCTTACTTGGACTGTTGCAGTTGCTCCCCGTCTTACTCCTTAACTGGGCAATTTTAAGCAACATTTTATGTCTAAGTGTATGTACCTTTTTCCAGTGAAAGGGCCCATACCTTTTTTCAGGTTCTTAAAGGAATCTGTGACACAAAAGGATGTTAAGAACCATTGCTTTAATCCACCATGCTTAGTAGCTTCTAAAGTGTCCCTCTAACATGCTGCTCCCCTGACTCCACGGTCCCTTCATGATCTGGCACCTGACCACATCTCAGCTCATTTACTACCTCCGTACTCCAGCCATAATAAAATGCATCCCATACACATTGAGCTGTCAATATCCATTTCTTCTCACTTGCTTGTACCATTGCTAAAATTCCTTTCTCCCTTTGTTTCTGGTGCAGACTTAACTTATTGCCCCAAGATTCAGCTCGTGTCTTTATGATTCTTTTTCTGATCCCCAATTCGGTGATGAGTATAGACTCATCACAGCCAGCCCCTCTAGTGCTTTGCTGCATCTTTGCCCCTAGATTACACTTGTGAGCAGTGACTGTGCTTAACCATCTCTGTGTTCTTGGCACCTACTGCACAGCACACACTTAGTAAATGTTTGATGAATAAGTCAAGAACAGCTAAAACACTTTTGAATAAGTCCTTTGGTACAAAGCAGATTTCAGACTTTGAAGGCAGAGGATATGGTGGCAAAAACTCAGGAAGATTGAGTATGAGGTTTCAGCCCTGGATGGTATTCACTTAAATGTGTTTTAAAATTGAGCTCTGAGTCACCTTTGAGCAATAGAGGGATGCTTTGAGCAGAGTCTGAAGCCAGGACTCTAGGGCATTCTTTACTGCTTCTGCTGAGTGACTCTAGCTGGGCTTGGCCTCTCTAACCACTTTGTGCCTTGTGTGTACAGATTCTAAAAGGAAACAGCTGAGCCTCAAGGTGAGCACTAGAGGCCTGCTGAAGCTTGTAAACACTTTATCCTTAAATGAAAAATTATTTGTAACATCTTTTGTCTTATATGGGTTCATTATAGCTACAGATGTCTTTTCCTGGCCTTTGATCTTTGAGTGTTGGGACTGTGAAAAGTTAATAGAAGGAAATATTTAGCATCTGGCTTTTTAAAATGAATTTATTGCAGACCTATTAGGTACCAGGCATAGTACTAAACTCTCATACATTATTTCTTATCCTTAAACAACTCTCCAAAGTACGATCCCTACTTTACATATGAGCAAACTGATTGAGTGGTGCCCAAGTTCACACACAGCTAATAAGTAATAAACTCCGGGTTCTAAACCTAAGCCTGTTTTGACTTCGATAACTCATTTCTGCCTCCCCAGCATTCCTTCCTTATTCTGGCAATTAAGCCCAGTTTTCTCCTTTGGGGGAAGTGGCCATCTATCTTGGGGTAGAGTTGGGTTGACCATCAGTCATGTGGCTTCATCTCCCCCAGCACGGGGATGGAGGGGTAGGTGACCTAAGCAGGGCCAATTGTAGTGCTTTTTCATGGAGTTGAGGGAGAAAGTTACGAAGAATGAAAATATCTCTTTTAAGAATACAAGCATTAGGAATAATGTGAGCCTGGAACACTGCCTTCTGTTTACATCTTCCAAAACTAGCCTTTATTGCATGTGAAAAATATGAAAATTCCGTAATAATTTAATAGCAGATACACAAAGGCATCTATTGAGGGCCTACAATGTGCACAGGAGAGAGTTCTAGACACTTTATGTATATTTTCATTATTCAGTCCTTATACATGTATAATTTCTAACTTGAGAAAAGGAGAATGTATCAGTCAGGATAGGCTAGGTTTTGCTGCAATTATAACCCCCAAATCTCAGTAATTTAACAAAAGTATACTTATTGCTCATATGTCCAACTGGGATTGACAGCAGAACTCTGTTCATGCATGGTGACTGGTGGACACTAATAGACTAATAGAAATTCCATTACTGCCGGGCACGGTGGCTCACACCTGTAATCCCAGCCCTTTGGGAGGCTGAGGCAGGCAGATCACCTGAGGTCGGGAGTTCGAGACTAGCCTGACCAACATGGAGAAACCCTGTCTCTACTAAAAATACAGAATTAGCCCGGTATGGTGGCACATGCCTGTAATCCCAGCTACTAGGGAGGGTGAGGCAGGAGAATCACTTCAACCTGGGAGGCAGAGGTTGCAGTGAGCCGAGATCACGCCATTGCACTGCAGCCTGGGCAACAAGAGCGAAACTCTGTCTCAAAAAAAAAAAAAAGGGCCGGGCGCGGTGGCTCACGCCTGTAATCCCAGCACTTTGGGAGGCCGAGGCGGGCAGATCACGAGGTCAGGAGATCGAGACCATCCCGGCTAAAACGGTGAAACCCCGTCTCTACTAAAAATACAAAAAATTAGCCGGGCGTAGTGGCGGGCGCCTGTAGTCCCAGCTACTTGGGAGGCTGAGGCAGGAGAATGGCGTGAACCCGGGAGGCGGAGCTTGCAGTGAGCCGAGATCCCGCCACTGCACTCCAGCCTGGGCGACAGAGCGAGACTCCGTCTCAAAAAAAAAAAAAAAAAAAGAAAAAAGAAAAATTTCATCACCAAGACTCTACTTTTTTTTTTTTTTTTGAGTTGGAGTTTCGCTCTTTTTTTGCCCAGGCTGGAGTGCAGTGCAATGGCATGATCTCGGCTCACTGCAACCTCTGCCCCCCAGGTTCAAGTGATTCTCCTGCCTTAGCCTCCTGAGTTAGCTGGGATTACAGGCGTGTGCCACCACACCCAGCTAATTTTGTATTTTTCAGTAGAGACGGGGTTTCACCATGTTGACCAGGCTGGTCTTGAACTCCTGAACTCAGGTAATCCTCCGGCCTCAGCCTCCCAAACTACTAGGATTACAGGCGTGAGCCACCGCGCCTGGCCACCAAGAGTCTACTTTCAAGGATCATTTCCATAGTTCGTTACTAGAGAAGTTTCTCTGAATGTGTAGAGCATCAATATGTTAAGTAAGAAAAGTTCCATCACTGAGTCAGGGGAAGGCATATGACCAAAATATACCTTGGCCCTTAAAGCTTAGAGTGTCACAGATCACTTCTCTCTTTTCATTGCCCAAAGCAAGCCACGTGGTTGCAGCTAATTTTATAGAGGTGGAAAAGAACAATTGTACTATGTGCCTGAATGGCGATAAAACTGGTTAAATTTGGTGAGTCACAATGACAGCATCACAGGAAGAAATGGTCCATTTCTGGTTGACTTAATTCACTTTTGGTTGGTACCCATTACTTAACCATTTGAGACCTTCAGTCTAAAATTTGGAATGTAATAGCTAAACATTCATTCCCGTTTCGGTGTTTCAGTAGGGGTTCTCTGCATGTGGTCGGAGGTGAACATAATCTGGTGGTAATACAAGCACTGAGCTTAGTCCCTGTAGCCCACCCTGTGGGGTGGTTGTGAGGATTAAATGTGTACGCAAAGGGCCTGGCATGTACTACAGCCTAGATAAATGTTAGCTGTTGTGGGTTAGGGAAGAAATGGTAGTAGATGAAAGACTTACGTACACTCCCAGTCCTGACTTCCCACATTCCTTCCCATTCTATAATCTGACATCAGCCCTCCCCATCTGAATGTGGCTGCTTCCAAAGGTGACCTGTGTGCTCTGTCATGAAGTTCAGGGTTTCCCTACAGGCCTTATCTTGCTGAGGTCTTCCATACCAATATGATGCTGCAAAACAACCCATTTACTGAAACTCTGACTTCCCTGACACTTCTCTCTTGTTTCTCTTAACTTTTGGACTACCTAAAAATATATGTAATATTTGATAAATACAAAAGGATATATGTAACATACATTATGAAATTCAATAATAAAATGAACACTCAAACCCACCGCCTAACCTAATAATGATCCCATCTCTTTACCTTCCCCAGAGGTAATCAGCATCTTGATTTCATTTTATTTTTATTTTGAGACACAGTCTTGCTCTATTACCCAGGCTGGAGGGCGGTGGCATGATCTCAGCTCATTGCAACCTCCGCCTCCCGGGTTCAAGCGATTCTCGTGCCTCAGCCGCTTGAGTACCTGGGACTACAGGCGCCCACCACCACGCCTGGCTAATTTTGTATTTTTAGTAGAGACGGGGTTTCACCATGTTGGCCAGGCTGGGTCTTGAACTAATGACCTCAAGTGATCCACCTGCCTCAGCCTCATAAAATGCTGGGATTACAGGCGTGAGCCACTGTGCCCAAACTTAAATGTGATGTCTCATTCCTACCTCTCCATTGTTTCCTATACCCCATCCTCCTCCAGCTTGATTCCCTTATCTCTGATTAATGTCACCATTATCCTCATAGTCACCCAAGCCACAAACCTCAGTCATCCCAGATTCTTTCCTCATCCACAAGCTCAAACATTCTGCTTCTGCAGTGTCTCATATCTGCCCCTCTTCATTTTCATGGCTCCTCCCCATCTTACTTCTTCCTCTTCTTCTTTTTTCCTGCCATTCAAAATGTGATAAGTGGTTCAGCAACATTAGCATCACCTGGAAACCTAACAGAAATGCAGACTATTGGCCGGGCATGGTGGTTCACACCCATAATCCCAACACTTTGGGAGGCCGAGGCGGGCGGATCACTTGAGGTCAGGAGTTCAAGACCACCCTGGCCAACATAGTGAAACCCTGTCTCTACTAAAACTACAAAAAAATTAGTCAGGCGTGGTGGCGCATGACTGTAATCCCAGCTACTCAGGAGGCTGAAGCATGAGAATCGCTTGAACCCGGGAGGCAGAGGTTGCAGTGAGCCAAGATCGCACCACTGCACTCCAGCCTGGGTGACAGAGTGAGATTCTGTCTCAAAAAAAAAAATGCAGACTATTGGGCCCTACCTGAGATCTACTCAGTCAGAATCTGCATTTTTTTTTTTTTTTTTTTGAGACAGAGTCTCTCTCTGTCACCCAGGCTGGAGTGCAGTGGCACGATCTCGGCTTACTGCAAGCTCCACCTCCCAGGTTCACGCCACTCTCCTGCCTCAGCCTCTCAAGTAGCTGGGACTACAGGTGCCTGCCACCACGCCTGGCTAATTTTTTGTATTTTTAGTAGAGACGGGGTTTCACCGTGTTAGCCAGGATGGTCTTGATCTCCTGGCCTCGTGATCTGCCCACCTCGGACTCCCAAAGTGTTGGGATTACAGGCGTGAGCCACCACGCCCGGCCAGAATCTGCATTTTAACAAGATTCCTGTATAATTCATATGCACATTAAAGTATAACAGGCTGTCATGGTTGCTCATGCCTGTAATCCCAGCACTTTGGGAGGCTGAGGCAGGAGGCTTGCTCGAGGCCAGGAGTTCAAGACTAGCCTGGGCAACATAGTGAGACCTCATCCTCTACAAAAAAAAAAGAAGAAGAAGCTGGGTGTGGTGGTGCACACCTGTAGTTCTACTCGGGAGACTGAGGTGGGAGGATCGCTTGAGCCCAGGAGGTCGAGGCTGTAGTGAGCCATGATAGCTCCACTGCACTCCAGCCTGGGTGACAAGAGCAAGACTGTGTCTCTGAAATAAACAAATACAGTAAAATAAGCAGTACCCTAGTTGAGTCTCAATCTGGATAGCTGTAAGTCTTCACCAGTTTATAACCTATGCCCCGTGTCAGTGCCACTCAAGCCTGGCTGCATATCAGAATACCTCAGAAATCTTTTTCATTTATCTTTTCATGATTTATAACATCCACTAGTTGTTTTTCAATATAGAAATACAAAGAAGAGGCCAGACGTGGTGGTTCATGACTGTAATCCCAGCCCTTTGGGAGTCCAAGGCAGGTGGATAGCCTGAGGTCAAGAGTTCAAGACCAGCCTGGTCCACATGGTGAAACCCCGTCTCTACCAAAAATACAAAAATTAGCCAAGCGTGGTGGCACCTGCCTGTAATCCCAGTTACTTGGGATGCTGAGGCAGGTCAATCACTTAAACCCAGGAGGCGGAGGTTGTAGTGAGCTGAGATGGCGCCACTGCACTCCAGCCTGAGTGACAGAGCCAGACTCCGTCTCAAAAAAAAAAAAAAAAAAAAGAGCGGCCGGGTGGCTCACACCCGTAATCCCAGCACTTTGGGAGGCTGAGGCAGGCGGTTCATGAGGTCAGGAGATGGAGACCATCCTGGCTAACACGGTGAAACCCCATCTCTACTAAAAATACAAAAAATTAGCCAGGCGTGGTGGCAGGCACCTGTAGTCCCAGCTACTTGGGAGGCTGAGGCAGGAGAATGGCGTGAACCTGGGAGGCGGAGCTTGCACTGAGCCGAGATCATGCCACTGCACTCCATCCTGGGCGACAGAGCAAGACTCTGTCTCAAAAAAACAAAAACAAAAACAAAAAAGAAATACAAAGAAGGAAATTTAAATTGGCCCATGCCTTACCCAGGTAGCTCCAAATGATAGGCTTTTTTTTAAAAAAATTATTTGTTTGTTGATTTTGTAGAGACAGGGTCTCTGTATGTTGCCCAGACTGGTATCAAACTCCTGGCCTCAAGTGATCCTCCTACCTTGGCCTCCCAAAGTGGTGAGATTATAGGCGTGAGACATTACTATTTTTTTTTTTTTTGAGGTAGGGTCTCACTCTGTCACCCAGACGAGTGCAGAGGCACGATCATGGCTCACTGCAGCCTCGACCTCCCTGCACTCAGGTGATCCTCCCACCTCAGCCTCCCGAGTAGCTGGGAATACAGAAACCACCCACCATGGCTGGCTAATTTTTTTATTTTCTGTAAAGACGGGGTCTCACCATGTTGCCCAGACTGGTCTCAAACTCCTGGGCTCAAGTGATCCTCCCGCCTCAGCTCCCCAAAGTTCTGAGATTACAGGCATCAGCCACCACACCCCACCTGTATTTAATAATTTTTTTTTCTCAAAACCATTCCTTTTTGTTTTTTTAATTTTTTTTAAATTTTTTAATTTCCGTAGGTTATTGGGGAACAGGTAGTGTTTGGTTACATAAGTTCTTTAGTGGTGATTTGTGAGATTTTGGTGCACCCATCACCCGAGCAGTATATATTTAATTTTTTTTTTTTTTTTGAGACGGTTCCCTCTTGTTGCCCAGGCTGGAGTGCAATGGCGCGATCTTGGCTCACTGCAACCTCCGGCTCCTGGGTTCAAGCGATTCTCCTGTCTCAGCCTCCTGAGTAGCTGGGATTACAGGCACCCGCCACCACGCCCGGCTAATTTTTGTATTTCTTTTTTTTTTTTTTTTTTTTTGAGATGGCGTCTTGCTCTGTCACCAGGCTGGAGGGCGGTGGCACGATCTTGGCTCACTGCAACCTCCACCTCTTGGGTTCAAGCCATTCTCCTGCCTCAGCCTCCCGAGTAGCTGGGACTACAGGTGCCCGCCACCACACCCAGCTAATTTTTTGTATTTTTAGTAGAGATGGGGTTTCACCATGTTGACCAGGCTGGTCTTGAACTCCTGACCTCAGTTGATCCACCCGCCTCGGCTTCCCAAAGTGGTGGGATTACAGGCGTGAGCCACCATGCCTGGCCTAATTTTTTATTTCTAATAGACATAGAGTTTCATCGTATTAGTCAGGCTGGTCTCAAACTCCTGACCTCAGGCGATCTGCCCACCTCAGCCTCCCAAAGTGCTGGGATTACAGGCGTGAGCCACCGCGCCCAGCCTATATTTAATAATTTTTAACACTACATACTATTCCATTAGATGAATTAATTCCCTATTCATAAGTGCTTTGTTTCCAGTTTTAGCTATTACAAACAATGCTGCAGTGATCATCCCTGTGCACATATCTTGGTGAACTTCTGCAAGGATATCCATAGGATAAATTTGTAATGGCAAGATTGCTGGGTGTATCAGTTAGGATGCTTTTGGTTGCGAGTAACAAAATACACTTCCAGCCAGCAGTAGGGTGAGCTAGAGCTACCCAGTTTCTTTCCGTCTTTCCACTTTGCAGTCCATACTTTTTCCAGGTAGTTTTCTATGTGTAGACCCATCACTCTGCCTTGATCCCTGGACCAGCAGCATCACTATCATCTGGGAACTTCTTAGAAATGCAAATTATCAAGCGGGTGCGGTGGTTCCGCCTGTAATCCCAGCACTTTGGGAGGTCGAGGCAGGTTGATCACCTGAGGTCAGGAGTTCGAGACCAGCCTGGCCATCATGGCGAAACCCTGTCTCTACTAAAAATACAAAAATTAGCTGGGCGTGGTGGCACACGCCTGTAATCCCAGCTATTGGGGAGGCTGAGGCAGGAGAATCGTTTGAACCCGGGAGGCAGAAGTTGCAGTGAGTCAAGACAGTACCACTGCACTCCAGCCTGGACAACAGAATAATGAGATTCCAACTAAAAAACAAAACAAAAAAAACCCTAAAAAAAATGCAAATTATCAGTCCCTACCTCAAACCTACAGAATCTGAAACTTGCAGGGGCTGGGGGTAGCAACCAGCAATTTGTGTTTTAACAAACTAAGTGATTCTGATGCATGCTTAAGATAGAAAGCCATTGCTTTGGCCAAGGTGACCCTAAGATGGCTGCCAGTGGCAATGGAGGCTGTGAGTCTCTTCCTTTAAGTCTAGCAGGAAAGAGAAAACATCTGACCCAGCATTCCAAGCAGGACTCCCAAGACTTGCCCTAATTGGCTTGTTTAGGTCACAAGTCTTCCCCTGAATTAATAATGTCTGTGACCAGAAGAAGTGGGAGTAGGATCAATTTACTCCAAAATACATGGGCTACAAGTGGAAGGAATGGATACACAATAAAAATTTAGGAATTGTTAGGAAGGAAAAAGTGGGGAACGATTGCTGAGAAGGTACTAGCAAAGCCTACAACATTTAGTTAAGGGGTATGTGTGTGATATATAGATATAGATAGATATAGATAGATATAGAGATAGATATAGATATATCCAAACTGTACCCTCAAAAGATTGCACTTGCTTACAGTCCCACTAGCAGCATATGACAGTATGTTTCTTCATACCCTCACTAGCCCTGTATGTAATCAGACTTTAAAAATTGTCCCAATCTAATAAGAAAAGATGGTATTTTATTGTTTTGATTTCTATTTCTTTAATCATGGATGAGGATGAATATCTTTTCAAATCACTGTTGATGTATCTAGGTCTTTCTCTGTAACTACTTGCTTATTTCTTAGCTCATTTATTATTGGGTTTTGCCTTTTTTTTTTAACAGATTTTTATTTTCTTTCTTTCTTTTCTTTTTTTTTTTTTTTTTTTTTTTTTGATACAGAGTTTTGCTCTGTTGCCAAGGCTGGAGTGCAGTGGTACGATCTCAGCTCACAGCAACCTCTGCTTCCTGGGCTCAAGTGATTCTCCTGCCTCAGCCTCCCAAGTAGCTGAGATTACAGGCATGAGCCACCATGCCCAGCTAATTTTTGTATTTTTAGTAGAGATGGGGTTTCACCATGTTGACCATGCTGGTCTCGAACTCCTGACCTCAAGTGATCCGCCCGCCTCAGCCTCCCAAAGTGCTGGGATTACAGGTGTGAACCACCATGCCCAGCCTTAACAGATTTTTCTGAACTCCTCATAAATAAACTAGCCCTTTGTCATGTATGTTGTAAATATGTTTTCCCAGTTTTGCTGATCTTTTGAATTTGTTCATGGTATTTTTTACCTCCCAAAGCTTTGAACTTCCATACAAATCTATCAGTCTTTTTCTTTATGGCATCTGAGTTTGAGATTCTGCTTTAAAAAGGCCTTCCTGGACTGGGCGCAGTGGCTCATGCCTGTAATCCTAGCACTTTGGGAATCCGAGGCAGGTGGATCACTTGAGGTCAGGAGTTCCAGATCAGCCTGGCCAACGTGGTGAAACCCCGTCTCTACTAAAAATACAAAAATTAACCGGGTGTGGTGGTGCACACCTGTAATCCCAGCTACTTGTGAGGCTGAGGCAGGAGAATCATTTGAACCTGGGAGGCGAGGGTTGCAGTGAGCTGAGATCACGCCACTGCACTCCAGCCTGGACAACAGAGGCTTTTTTTCTCTGTCTCAGAAAAAAAGGCCTTCCCCATTTCTAGAGTACAAATAAGTACATTAACATTTTCTTCCAAAATTATTTTGTTTTCACTTTTTTCTACTTTCACTTCTGATACACCTGGAATTCTATTTTGGTATAAGGAGTAAGATAAAGATAATTCCCCCACCCCTTCACTACCAACTAGCCAGTTATCTCAGCACCATTTTCTCCATTGATTTCAATTGTGGCCTTTATCATAAATTATTTTTTTAATGTACTTGAGTCTACTTAGGGAATCTATTTGTTCCATTGATCTAATTCTTTTTTTCTTTTGTTTTTTTTTTTTTTTTTAGACGGAGTTTTGCTCTTGTCACCCAGGCTGGAGTGCAATGGCACAATCTCAGCTCACTGCAACCTCCACCTCCCAGGTTCAACTGATTCTTCTGCCTCAGCCTCCCGAGTAGCTGCGATTACAGGTACGCACCACAAACGATTCTTCTGCCTCAGCCTCCCGAGTAGCTGCGATTACAGGTACGCACCACCCCACCCGGCTAATGTTTGTATTTTTAGTAGAGACAGGGTTTCACCATGTTGGCCAGGCTGGTCTCGATCTCCTAACCTCAGGTGATCCACTCACCTTGGCCTCCCAAAGTGCTGGGATTACAGTCATGAGCCACCATGCCCAGCCAATCTAATTCTTTTTACTATACTAAACTGTTTTAATCATCTTAGCTTTGCGGTATTTTTTTTTTTTTTTTTGAGACAGGGTCTCACTCTGTTGCCCAGGCTGGAGTGCAGTGGCCCAATCTTGACTCACTGTAGCCTCCACCTCCTGGGCTCAAGTGATCCTCCCACGTCAGCTTCCCAAGTAGCTGGAACTACAGGTGCGTGCCACAACGCCTGGCTAAGCTTTGTAGTATTTTTTTTTTTTTTGAGACAGAGTTTTGCTCTCGTTGCCCAGGCTGGAGTGCAATGGCACAACCTCGGCTCACCGCAACCTCCGCCTCCCAGGTTCAAGCGATTCTCCTGCCTCAGCCTCCCGAGTAGCTGGAATTACAGGCATGTGCCACCACGCCCGTCTAATTTTGTATTTTTAGTAGAGATGGGGTTTCTCCATGTTTGTCAGGCTGGTCTTGAACTCCCAACCTCAGGTGATCCACTGGCCTCAGCCTCCCAAAGTGCTGGGATTACAGGCATGAGCCACCGCACCCAGCCGCTTTGTAGTATTTTTAATATCTGACAGAACTTGTTTTCTGTCATTTTCTTTTTTTTTCAGAAATGTTCTCATTATTACTTTTCCAGGTGAACATTGATATTACTTGTCAAGTCAGTGAAATTTAAAATTAAGGAGGTTGGCCTGGTGCTATGGCTCACACTTGTAATTCTAGCACTGTGGGAGTTCAAGGTGGGAGGATTGCTTGAGCCCAGGAATTTGAGACCAGCCTGGGCAACATAATGAGGCCCTGTTTCTACAAAAGCAAAATAAAATTAGGGATGCTGGGCCTCCACTCCAGACATAGTGAAAGCAGATTTTAAAAATATGATACTCTGGGCTGGGCACAAGGCTCATGCCTGTAATCCTAGCACTTCACTGCAACCTCCGCCTCCTGGGTTCAAGTAATTCTCCTTCCTCAGCCTCCCAAGTAGCTGGGATTACAGGTGCCCACCACCACGCCTGGCTAATTTGCTATATTTTTAGTAGAGATGGGGGTTTCACCATGTTGGCCAGGCTGGTTTCGAACTCCTGACCTCAAGTGATCCGCCCACCTCAGTCTCCCAAAGTGCTAGGATTACAGGCGTCAGCCAGCACACCCGGCCTCAATACTTAATAGGATAGAAAAACAGAAAACTGAAATAAAAATTTTCTTTTAGAAAAGGGAGTTCTGATGTTGAGACAATCATCTATCCTTTTGGAAAAAATTAAGCTATATCCCTCCATCATATCAAATTAACTAAAACTCTAAAAGCATTCTAGAAGCTGGGAACAAGACAAAGTCTGTACTCTGACAGAGCTTACAATCTAAGGGGAGAATAACCATGAACAAATAAACAAATTAGGTAACTTCAGAGGGAGGTGATCTTTGAAGAAAATAATCAAGATAATAGGGCATATCTTGGCAGAGAGAGGAGTGGCTAATTTAGTTAGGGTGGCCATGGAAGGCCTCTTTGAAGAAGCAATATTTGAGTTGATCTCTGAAGGTGTCAGCCATAGGAAGATGTAGGGGAAGAGAGTTCCAGATAGGAGAAATGCAAAGGTTCTGAGGAGGAAATGAGTTTAAGGTAGATTAAAGATCTAAATGGAAAGTATCATAACAGAAAAACAAAAAAAGATAATATGGTTGTTACTTTGGATAAGGAAGGTCTTCTAAAACAATAAACAAAGCAGCAAAACCATAGCAGAAAAGATTGATGTAAGTATAAACTATATAAACACTGAAAACTTCTGCATGATAACACAAACCATAAACAAGTTACATACTGTGGGAAAATATTAGCAACATACATTTTAGACAAAGGATTAATATCTAGAAATATAAATGACTCCTACAACTCAACATGGAAAAGACAATGCTGTAAGAAAAAATAGGCAAAGGTTACAAATAGTTCATAGAGGATGGGCCAATAATAAACATCATATGAAAACATGCTCAACTTCAATAGTGATGGGGGAATGCAAATTAAAAACAAACAAACAAACATGAGTTATCATTTTTCATCAGTCAGATTGTAAAACAATCCAAAAGGCTGGGCACAGTGGCTCACACCTGTAAACCCAGCACTTTCGGAGGTCGAGGCAGGTTGATCACCTGAGGTCAGGAGTTCGAGAGCAGCCTGGCCAACATGGTGAAACCCCATCTCTACTAAAAATACAAACATTAGGTGGGCATGGTGGCACACACCTGTAATTCCAGCTACTTGGGAGGCTGAGGCAGGAGAATCACTTGAACCTGGGAGGCGGAGGTTGCAGTGAGCCAAGGCTGCAAAATTGCACTCCAGCCAGGCAAAAAGAGCAAAACTCTGTCTCCAAAAGAACAAACGAACAAACAAAACAACCTAAATGCCAGGGTCCTAGGAAATGTGAAGATACACTGCTGATGGTATTCAAAAATTGGCATAGTGCCTTTGAAGGGCAAGTTGGCAGTATGTATTAAAATTGAAAATATTTTTATTTTATTTTATTTTTTTGAGACGGAGTCTCGCTCTGTCACCCAGGCTGGAGTGCAGTGGAGTGATTTCGGCTCACTGCAAGCTCCGCCTCCTGTGTTCATGCCATTCTCCTGCCTCAGCCTCCCGAGTAGCTGGGACTACAGGCGCCTGCCACCACGCCCAGCTAATTTTTTGTATTTTTAGTAGAGACGGGGTTTCACCGTGTCAGCCAGGATGGTCTCTATCTCCTGACCTCGTGATCCACCTGCCTCGGCCTCCCAAAGTGCTGGGATTACAAGCGTGAGCAAAATATTTACACTCCATGACTCAGTAACCTTCTTTTGAGTGTCCATCTAGAGAAACATGCCTGGGCACAAAGAGGTCCCTACGGCGATGTTCACTGCAGCCCTGTAATAGTGAAAAATTAAGACCACTTTAAATATCCATCAAGGGAGAGGAGAAATAGATTAAGACTGCCTCCTTCCCCAGTGATGGAATTCCCTGCAGTAGTTAAAAAGAAGAAAGTTGGCTGGGCGCAGTGGCTCACGCCTGTAATCCCAGCACTTTGGAAGGCTGAGGTCGGTGGATCACCAGGTAAAGAGATCGAGACCATCCTGGCCAACATGGTGAAATCCCGTCTCTACTAAAAATACAAAAATTAGCTGGGCATGGTGGCTCGAGCCTGCAGTCCCACCTACTCAGGAAGCTGAGGCAGGAGAATCGCTTGAACTCGGGACGTGGAGGTTGCAGTGAGCCGAGATCACGCCACTGCACTCCAGCCTGGCGACAGAGTGAGACTCCATCTCAAAACAAAAAATAAAGTTGATTTTTTTTTTGTTTTTTTGGTAGAAAGATCTCCAAGACTTATTGTCAACTGAAGAAAGCAGTTGGCCGCCTAATTTGATTGAACAGTATGATCCTGTTCATGTGAAAATGATAAATACCCACACCAACCTCCATATTTCTGTGTTACTATCCTGCCACTACCCACCCGGACCCCCACTCCCAGTGGAGAGGATTTTGGTTTGAGCAGTGAGGCTGTTTGAGTGGCTTCAATCCCAGTTCACCTCACAATTACCACCAAGTAGGCATGGGAGTCAGCTACATAATTGGTGAAGCCCAGCACAACGTGAAAATGGAATGGAGAGCCTCACGTTCAAAAAGCAGAGGAGAAAGCCGGGTGCAGTGGCTCACGCCTATAATCCCAGCACTTTGGGAGGCTGAGGTGGATGGATCACCTGAGGTTGGGAGTTTGAGACCAGCCTGACCAACATAGTGAAACCCCATCTCTACTAAAAATACAAAAATTAGCCGTGCATGGTGGCCGGCAGCTGTAGTCCCAGCTACACAGGAGGCTGAGGCAGGAGAATTGCTTGAACCTGGGAGGCAGAGGTTGCAGTGAGCCGAGATTGCACCACTGCACTCCAGCCTGGGCGACAAAGCGAGACTCCATCTCAAAAGAAAAAAAAAAAAAGAAAAAAGGAGGGGAAGTGTAATTAAAGATCCCAACCTAAAAAGGTTTTTTCCTGTGGAGCCAAGATGGCCGAATAGGAACAGCTCCAGTCTACAGCTCCCAGCATGAGCAACGCAGAAGACGGGTGATTTCTGCATTTCCAACTGAGGTACCAGGTTCATCTCACTGGGGAGTGCTGGACAGTGGGTGCAGGACAGTGGGTGCAGCACACCGTGCATGAGCCGAAGCAGGGCAAGGCATCGCCTCACCTGGGAAGCGCAAGGGGTCAGGGAATTCCCTTTCCTAGTCAAAGAAAGGGGTGACAGACGGCACCTGGAAAATCAGGTCACTTCCACCCTAATACTGCACTTTTCCAACGGGCTTAAAAAATGGCACACCAGGAGATTATATCCCGCATATGACTAGACCAATAACAGGCTCTGAAATTGAGGCAATAATTAATAGCTTACTAACCAAAAAAAGTCCAGGACCAGATGGATTCACAGCCGAATTCTACCAGAGGTACAAGGAGGAGCTGGTACCATTCCTTCTGAAACTATTCCAATCAATAGAAAAAGAGGGAATCCTCCCTAACTCATTTTATGAGGCCAGCATCATCCTGATACCAAAGCCTGGCAGAGACACAGCAGAAAAGCGAATTTTAGACCAATATCCTTGATGAACATTGATGCAAAAATCCTCAATAAAATACTGGCAAACCGAATCCAGCAGCACATCAAAAAGCTTATCTACCATGATCAAGTGGGCTTCACTCATAGGTGGGAATTGAACAATTAGAACACATGGACACAGGAAGGGGAACATCACACACCGGGGACTGTTGTGGGGTGGGGGGAGGGGGGAGGGATAGCATTAGAAGATATACCTAATGCTAAATGACGAGTTAATGGGTGCAGCACACCAACATGGCACAGGTATACATATGTAACAAACCTGCACGTTGTGCACATGTACCCTAAAACTTAAAGTATAATAATAATAAAATTTAAAAAAAAAGTTTTTTTCCTAGGCCGGGCTTGGTGGCTCACGCCTATAATCCCAGCACTTTGGGAAGCCAAGGTGGGCAGATCACTTGAGGCCAGAAGTTGGAGACAAGCCTGGCCAACATGGTAAAACCCCGTCTCTACTAAAAATTAAAAACAAAAAAAGCCAGATGTGGTGGTGTGCGCCTGTCTGTAATCCCAGCTACTTGGGCGGCTGAGGCAGGAGAATCGCTAGAACCTGTGAGGCAGAGACTGCAATGAGCAGAGATCACGCCACTGCACTCCAGTCCAGCCTGGGTGACACAGCATGACTCTGTATCAAAAAAAAATTTTGTTTCCTTAAAAAAAATGTTTTTACTTATAAAACATAGTAAGTGTAATAGTAATGCATGAATAATGACAAATTACAGAAAAATATTTTTGTTATAATTTTACATGATTTTTTTTTCTTTTGAGACGGAATCTCACTCTGTTGCCCAGGCTGGAGTGCAGTGGCACGATCTTGGCTAACTGCAACCTCTGCCTCCCAGGTTCAAGTGATTCTCCTGCCTCAGCCTCCCTAGTAGCAGGGATTACAGGTGTGCACCACCACAGCCTACTAATTTTTGTATTTTTAGTAGAGACGGGGTTTCACCATGTTGGCCAAGTCGGTCTGAAACTCTTGACCTCAAGTGATCCACCTACCTCGGCCTCCCAAAGTGCTGGGAATACAGGTGACAGCCACTGTGCCCGGCAAAAATAGTGTTATTAATATATCATGATCATAAGATTTTTCTGACTCCCTTTTCTGCAAATTCAATTATTTGGTCATCAACATTTTTAGCAACTTCATTTTTTTTTTTTTTTTGAGACAGAGTTTCACTCTTGTTGCCCAGGCTGGAGTGCAATGGCGTGATCTCAGCTCACCACATCCTCCCGCTCCCAGGATCAAGTGATTCTCCTGCCTCAGCCTCCCAAGTAGCTGGAATTACAGGCATGTGCCACCACGCCCAGCTAATTTTTGTATTTTTAGTAGAGATGGGGGTTTCACCATTTTGGTCAGGCTGGTCTCGAACTCCCAACCTCAGGTGATCCACCTGCCTCCGCCTCCCAAAGTGCTGGGATTACAGGCATGAGCCACCGGCCGCAACTTCATTTTTTTTTTTTTTTTTTTTGAGACAGAGTTTCACTCTTGTTGCCCAGGCTGGAGTGCAGTGGCGTCATCTCGGCTCACTGCAACCTCCGCCTTCTGGTTTCAAGTGATTCTCCTTCCTCAGCCTCCCGAGTAGCTGGGATTACAGGCACCCACCACCACACCCAGCTAATTTTTTTTGTGTTTTTAGTAGAAATGGGGTTTCACCATGTTGGCCAGGCTGGTCTCGAACTCCTGACCTCATGATCCGCCCACCTCGGCCTCCCAAAGTGCTGGGATTACACGCGTGAGCCACTGTGCCCGGCCACATTCATTTTTTTTTTTTTTTAAGACAGGGTCTCACTTTGTTGTCCAGTCTAGAATGCAGTAGTGGGATCACAGCTCACTGCAGCCTTGACCTCCTGGGCTCAAGGAATCCTCCCGATTCAGCCTCGTCAGTAGGTGGGACTACAGGTGCGCACCACCATGCCTGGCTAATATGTTAATATTTTTATTTTTTATAGAGACGAGGTCTCACTTTGTTGCCCAGGCTGGTCTTTTTTTGTTGTCGTTTTATTTTGTTTTGTTTTGTTTTGAGACAGCATCTCACTCAGTTGCCCAGCCAGGAGTGCAATGGGAGATCATGGTTCACTGCAGTCTTGACCTCAAAAGCTCAAGCAATCCTCCCACCTCAGCCTCCTGAGTAGCTGGGACTTCAGGCACGAACCACTACACCCAGCAAATTTTTTGTTTTTTAATTTTTAGTAGAGATAGGGTCTCACTTTGTTGTCCAGACTGGTCTCAAACTCCTGGGCTCAAGCAATTCCCCGTCTCGGCCTCCCAAAGTGTTGGGAGTATAAGTATAAGCCATTGCGCCTGGCCTGTCTCTTCAATTACAGGGAAGAAACTTTTATATTGTCTTCTTCATTGATATTTTATCTGAAACTTTTCATTTAATGTGTCTTTTGTGACAATCTTTAATTTTAATTTCTATTTCTAAGCCTTTGGATATTTGTTTTGCTGTGTTGCACCAGTTTTTAAAACCAGAGATTCTAAACTCTTTGAAAAATTATAATAATCCTCTCCATACACTTTACTGCAATGTCCATGGGTACTCGTTTATTTCATAATCATTTCCTTGCAAAGTTTACTGCCTGAGTGCCAGCAGTTCCTGTGCCAGTATGCAGGCCAAAGCGTTAATCTTTGTACAGGCCCTGGTGACAGGACAAGCTTGCCTCTCACAACAGGTCTCCTCACTGTTCCTGCACAGAGGCCCTCCTCTCTCCCAGATCTATAGCCACTGCTACCTGTGCTGCTGCTTTTGCTACTGCTGCCACTGTAGTCACTGGCTTGACGTCCCCTCTGGGCCCTGATGTCCCCCTCTGGTGTGTTTCTGCACACCAGGCGGCCTGTCAAACTGCTTGGTGGCATGCACATTGCCTGCAGTTTCCATAGGCTGTGGGTGCTGCCACTTAGCATATCCCTTCTGCTCATGTCCATGATCCATTGTCACAGTGGACTACACTTAGAAAAGACAAGCTCAAAGATAAAATTATCAATTTCAAGACAGCCACAGCATTACATTAAACCAAGCCTAAGGCCCCTTCTAGGAGCAGAGCTCGGTGAACAGGCACGCCCATGAAGCTGGCCCTGGAGGCGTGGGTTGGTGTTCTCCATTGCTTAGTTTGGCACCTGGGGCACCATCCTGCTAGTTTTTATTTCAAGTGTGTGCAAACCACATTTTGTTTCTGTGTTTCAAATTATGCAAAGAACCATTAATTGATTACCTTCCCATTACATTTATACACCAGTTGCTGTTAAATCCACACTAGTGGTATAAAGGAGTGGTTAAGAGCCTGGTCTCTGAGCCTGTATCACCAGGAACCCCTGCTAGGATACAAACTAGCTAAGTGACCTCCAGCAAGTGAATTAAAGTTTCTGTACTCAGCTTCATCATCCATACAATGCTAACAGTATTGATATCTACTTCATATGGTTGTTCTAAGGATTCAGTGACTTAATGCTTGTAGCGAGTTTGTAACAGTGCTTAGCACAGTAAGTTCTCAGATAATGTTATTTAGTATTATTTTGTCTTTTGTTTTTACTGTCCTTGTACTTTCAAGTCTGTTTCAGAGGACACCTGTTTTTCCTCATGTAAGTTTCCCCCCAATCCCCCCTTTTCCACTCATGTGTTTTATAGTTCACTGTAGCCCTCATCATTTTTTTTTTTTACCTCAATAGCTATAACATATATGTAGAGAAATGAATTGGAAAAGATCCTGCTGAGGTTCCCTCTAGAGAGGTAAGCAGGCATTGAAATGCCCTGTCACGGGGAAAGTTCAGCCTGGCTGTTTGAATGTTTATAATGGGAATGCATTTACATTACAATGGGATGGAACTGAATCTGTGTTATTAAAAATAAATGTTTACAACTGTTAAATGGAGGTGGGATGGGGGAGGTAGGCTTCCAGGGCAGCCTGGTGCTGTGGCAGCCAGGTCCCATCATGGGCTGCATCCTCTGAGACTGGACCAGTCCACACATTTCCAGGGCAGCAGCCAGCTGCCTCCCATCCTTAGCAGTGGCAAGACTTGCTTTGTCAGCAAATCTGACTGCCTCTGGTTCAGACCCCTGGCAGCTTTGCCTTTCCTAATATCCTTTGTCCACTCCCCACCTCTCAAGGACACTGGGGAGGAATTTTAGGAGTCGGGGTAGGAACCACTGTACCTAGGTCCAATGCTACCTCTTGTGAAGCCTTTCCTCACACACCCACTGAATGTGTTTGAATTAACTGTGACTGCCTCTTTGTTCCCACACCACACAGGTTGCTCAAACCTCTATGTAGCACTTAGGGTTTGACCTTTTCCAGCCTCCTTGTTTTGTTAATTTATTAGATCGTCTATTCCCTAAGGGTACACACAGGGTCTCTAATTCAGGCTTGGAGACCCTGACCCCCACCTGTAGCCCACCCAGTCCTCTTGCCCCCATCTTAGGGCTTTAGCACTTTTTTTTTTTTTTTTGAGATGGAGTCTTGCTCTGTCGCCCAGGCTGGAGTGCAGTGGCACAATCTCGGCTCACCGCAAGCTCTGCCTCCCGGGTTCACGCGATTCTCCTGCCTCAGCCTCCTGAGTAGCTGGGACTACAGGCACGTGCCACCACACCCAGCTAATTTTTTGTATTTTTAGTAGAGATGGGGTTTCACCATGTTGGCCAGGATGGTCTGGATCTCTTGACCTCGTGATCCACCCGCCTCGGCCTCCCAAAGTGCTGAGATTACAGGCGTGAGCCACCACACCCGGCCAACACTTTTGATTCCTTTTGCCTTTGTCCCTAGCTAGCTCTTTTTGTTATTCAGGTCTCAGCTCCTGTCACCTTCTCTGAGAACCCTTCCTTGACTACCTTATCTAAAATAGACTGCTTTCCTTTCAAATCATTCTCTATCTCATAACTGGTCTTACTTTCCTGATAGCACTCACCTCAATTGGAAATTCTCTGATTTGCCTCACTTTTTATCCGTCTCCCTTGCTGGAAATGAGTCACAGGAGGGCGGGGACTTGTCTGTTTTGTTTACCCCTAAATCCCCAGTGCCTAACAGTAGGTGTTCAAGAAAATATGTGAATGAAATTCACATATTAATGAAATTTTATTTGATCATTGACTGTTTCCGCCAGTAGACTGTCAGCTGCATGCAGGCCAGGGCCTTATCTGGGGTACCTCAACATCCTCAGCACCTAGCACAGTGCATGATGCATAGTAGATTAATAAAGAACTGTTGGGTGAGGGAATTAATGTTCCACACACACCTGAACTCAACATAGTCCAAATTAAATTTAGTCTCCTCCCCACCAAATCTGTTTTCTCTTCTGCGTAGCCCAGTTCATTCAGTGGCACCGTCATCTATGCTGACACTCAACCCAGAAGTGAACTCACACCCCTTTCACTCACTCATCTGCTATTATCAGTTTCCAAACACTGCCTAGTCAACCTCCAAAATATCCAAATTATCTCATCTTTTTCTACCCTTTCCCAAACTATCCTGGACCAATTTTTTCCCCCCAACACTAGTGAAACAGCCTCATTCCTCCTGACTCCTTGTGAAGCTAAGACATCTTAAACTGCAGGACCTGTCACTTTCCATAGGGTCACATGGTGATGTGTTTTATAAAGTTCACAAAATACATTTAAACAACAATTGGTTCAAAGTGCTGTCCCTTTCCACTGAGGGCCTGGCCATACTTTCCCTTGCATTAGGTGGTGTTGGAGCTGCCTGACATTTTTGAGATCCACCTAAGGGGAAGTTGATTTGGGGGATATATTTAGGTTGGGTTTCATGGGATATTTGTTATTTAAAAATTCATTTTATTTTTATTTTGTAGAGACAGGGTTTCACTATGTTGCCCAGCCTGGTCTTGAACTCCTGGGCTCAAGTGATCCTCCCATCCTGACCTCCCAAAGTGCTGGGATTACAGACATGCAATCTGCACCCGGCCCCATGGTACATTTACATGTGCCTTGTATCACTTCTCTTCGTAATTATTACCCAGGTGAAGGAATTGCTTGTAGAAATACTCTTACTGCCTACCTTTGAACCTAATTTTGTATTCATAAGTCATTTTTTTTTTTTTTGAGATGGAGTCTCGCTCTGTCACCCAGGCTGGACTGCAATGACACAGTCTCGGATCACTGCAACCTCCGCCTCCCGTGTTCAAGCGATTCTCCTGCCTCAGCCTCCTGTGTACGTGGGACTGCAGGCATGTGCCACCACACACGGCTAATATTTTTATTTTTAGTAGATATGGCGTTTCACCATGTTGGCCAGGCTGGTCTCGAACTCCTGAACTTGTGATCCGCCCGCCTCGGCCTCCCAAAGTGCTAGGATTACAGACATGAGCCACCGCGCCCGGCTATTTTTTTCTTAAAGACGTCTCACCCTTCCTCCCCCAAACCATATAAGCTTCAGGTCCCATTAAACCTGGACCTTTCAGTGCAGTGGCTCAGGCCTGTAATCCCAGCGCTTTTAGAGGATCTGAAACCAGGAGTTTGAGACCAGCCTGAGCAATATAGCGAGGCCTGGGCTCTATAAAAAATAAAAAATAACCGAGTGTGGTGGTGTGCGCCTATAGTCTCAGTTACTCATGAGGCTCTGGCGGAAGGACCGCTTGAGTCCAGGAGTTCTAGGGTGCAGTGAGCTATGACCGCCCAGCCTGAGTTGACAGAGTGAGACCTTGTCTCTAAAACAACAAACATAAAAAAAAAAAAAAACCCTAAACCATCCTCTGGGTAAGTCACAAATATGAGACTAAGCTACCCCTGCTCAAAAACCTGTGTTTTCTTTTTGCTAACTGCATACAATCTAAACTCTTTTGCATTTCGCAATCTTTCATGTTGTGACCCTTTACTGTTTGACCTCCTACCTATCTCTCTTCTGTTTTCCTTGTTCCAACAATATTCAACTTCTAGTAAATATTTTTCTATGTGCCTCCATGCATTTGTACACGTTGATCCTTTTGAGTACAATGTTCTCGCTTGTTTATTTAAGTGAACTTAATCGTCCATGTCCCCCTGCCGTCTTTCTTACAGCAGCTGCAAGCAGCTTGTAAGGCTCTTTTGTAGCTTCATGTTGCATTTTGCAAAGGTCATTTTGCAGGTGGTATTTGTGTGCTTACTGTGCCTTCTATTCCAATTGTTTACTCGCAACTTTGTTTCCTGCACTGGCAGATGCCCTCCCACTCCAGAGGCCCTGTTTTCACCATTGCATCCCCAGGGCCTACCCCACCATCACTGGTTAGTAAATTGTGTGCACGCACACATTTCCTTTTTAAAGCAATGGGACCCTTTAAGAAAATGAAATAGTAAGATAACTCCTAGAGAATTTTCTAGAATGTTTGAGAAAACCTAGGCCATCTTGAAGCATATGTACGAAGCTCCACTAACTCAGCAAAGCTCCACTAACTCAGCCTTTCCTCTCATCCCCCCTCCTCTCCCCTCCCCTCAGGCTATAGTCAGAAAATTGTGGGACAGGTGCAAACAAATCCTTGAACTGTATTTGAACTGAAGTGAAACAGTAGGGTCAAAGAAGAGTTCAGAGGGAGTTGTGGAGTTGGCAGCAGCTTTACAGAGGAACTACACTGAGGGCCTGGGGACAGAACGCGGGTAGCACAGGGCACAAGGTTCAACGTCCCTGCTCCGGGACTCAAGTCACTTGGCTTCTCGAAGCCCCTGCCTTCATTTGGTGATAATCACAGAGCTTCCTTCACAGGGGGAAGAACCAACAACGCAGAGACCGTGGGAAAGAGCCCAGCCTATCGAAGGTGCTCAATGAACAGGAGCCGCGGTGAGTACTCCGCCTCTACCCCGGCTGAAGCCCGCCCCCGCCGCCACCTATTAATTTTGTAGTTTGGAGTCACCGAGTTCACCTCCTCTCATAGGAGGAGAAGGCTGGGGAGGAGGAGTGTGCGAGTCGGGGTAGCTGAACTCCCTGTTTGCCCGGAGGAGGGGGAAGGCTAGGAAGTTTCGGGCCCCACTCAAAATGGAGCCAAACGTCTGCCTCGCCTAAGATGGCGGCTTCTCCGCCTCTGGGCTCAAGGTCTTCAGCGGCGATTGGGCACCTTAAAGAGACGAGCGGGTCCAAAGGTGGCTGAGAACCGCCCTCCTTTCTCAAGGTGGCGCCCCGCCCCCCCGATGACGTCACCCGGGAGCCGGCGGCTCGCGGTTCCCCGCCTCCGCCGCGCTCACCTCGCGAGTCCAGCCCTCATAAGATGGCGGTCGCCTTGGTTGTCTGGGTAGCGCCGCCACTCTCAACATGGTAGCTGTTTATCCCGTATTTCTCCTCCCCTCTCCGCCTCAACTTCCTCATTGTTTTGAATAAACTTTATTGACTACTCCGAATTGCCTACCACCGCCACTGGGCTTCTCCCAGCGACTTTTCGGGCCGTGTGCCTCGGACGTGGCGGCCGGTTCATCTCTTTCCCCGTTGGTTTGCTCGCGAGTATCTCCTGCCGGCCCAGCGACGACGCCACTTGCCCGTTCGCCGGGCGGCCGCCAGACTAGGCCCAAGCCGCGGTCTCCAGTAGGCCCGAACGGCCGGGCCGAGGGGAATGTTGTGGAGGAGGCTGCTCTGAAGCACCGTTGAGCGGCTGGCGCCGCGCGACCCAGCGGGGGGCTCGAGGGGAAGGCGAGCGAGGTTCCCGGCGGTACGGGGACTATCCCAGAATTCGACGCGCGTCGCCGTAGGGGCCGGAACTACCGGACGAGCCTCCGCTGAGGCGCTTCGCAGTCCCGGAGCTAGCCCGGCTGCCGGCGTGTCGCTGGGGCTGAGCTCCGCGGGCGTGGAGTCCTTGCAGCCCAAAGCATGAGGAGGTCCCTGTAGGATTCTGGACTGAAGACGTTCTTGTCAGGTTTGGGGCGTGAGGAGGTTCCTGTCAGTTGGGGAAGCGTTAAGATTCCTGTAAGTTTTGGGGGCTGCGAGGCTATTACTGTCAGTTTTAGGATATACTGTGAGGTACCTGAACATTTGGGGAGACTAGGGAGCTCTCATCAGTTTGAGGGGGGGCTGCAAGGAAACGCTGCCAGTTTCCGAGCGATGCAAAAGAATCCTTGCTTAGTTTCGGGAGTGTGAGGAAATTCTAGTCAGTTTGAGGGGTTTTGAATAGATCCTTTTGAGTTTCAGGGATGCAGCCAGAACCCTGTCATCTTTAAAGTACAGAACGAGCTGGTCAGTTTAGAGATTTATATTTATTTCAGTTTTGGGGGTGATGAGACTCCTGACTGGTCGGGGAAGGAATGATATTGAGAGTGATGGAAAGGATTATTTAAACTCTCCGAACACGACCCCAGAACTGTGATTTGAGTTGGGCGCCTAGTCTTGTCTGTCTTGTTCGTGAAGGCTTTGAGTAACCTGAAGAGACTTTCAGGGATCCCTTATCTCTCTCTGGTTGGCCCTATTTCAGGTGGTGAGAGGAGGGTCTTGTCTTGAGATACCCCCAGCCTCATTTTTGACGCTGTGGTTTGCGTCATAATAGAGGGAGCCCTGTGAAACAGGGGTCAGCTAGGGGAGGGTTCAGTGAGAGATGAAAGAAGCTTCCCGAAAAGGCTTCAGGTATTTTCTTGAAACCCGGAAAGAAGTTATCACTGACAACGGGGCCGAAGAAGGTGGGGGGTGGGGAGTGGAGAGTGTGGGGGCGGTGGGAAGCCTGGAAGGTTGAGCTCCGTTCTTTACGTGTGAAAGAAATTCTAAGGGCCGGGTGGACTTTCTCTGGTTGCCCCCTACAGCCGCACCAGCTGTGTTGCATCCCGGCGGCGGTAACTCTATTGGAGAACTGAGGGTTGGTGCAAGGGGGTGGGGGGCGGGGGCTGATTCACTCTGTAAAAAGTGTTATTTGTGCCTAGCTATCGTCCAGAGAGGACGCGTGCTGCCGCCTCCCGCCCCTCTTGACACGACGAACCTGGCCGGCCGCAGAACGCTCCAGGGCCGAGCGAAGATGGCCTCGGTGCCGGTGTATTGCCTCTGCCGGCTGCCTTACGATGTGACCCGCTTCATGATCGAGTGTGACATGTGCCAGGACTGGTTTCATGGCAGGTAAGGAGGGCAGGCCAGGCTACACAGGGTGCGGTGGCCAGGTGTGTTCACTTGCTCTCTCTTCCTTTCTCAGCTCTGTTTTTAGATTCCGGCTCAGGACCCCCTCTCCCAGACTCAGGTTCTGCCATCTCTCCTTGCAGAACAGGACCTAGCTGACATTAGCCTCTGGTTTCTCCTTTTCCTGTGTTTTCCCCTATGTATTTCTTCTTTGCACTTTTCTTTTGAGTGTTTTTTTAGATTTATAAGACCCCCCCCCCCTTTTCTTTCCTGTTACAAAGAATCATTTTTATATTCTTCTCTATTTTATTTTTTATTTTGTTTTATTTTTTTCGAGACGGAGTTTCGCTCGTTGCCCAGGCTGGAGTGCAATGGCGCGATCTCGGCTCACAGCAACCTCTGCCTCCCAGGTTCAAGCGATTTTCCTGCCCCAGCCTCCAAGTAGCTGAGATTACAGGCATGCACCACCACACCCAGCTGATTTTGTATTTTTAGTAGAGACGGTGTTTTTCCATGTTGATCAGGCTGGTCTGGAACTCCCGACCTCTGGAGATCTGCCTGCCTCGGCCTCCCAAAGTGCTGGGATTACAGGCGTGAGCCACCGTGCCCGGTCATCATTTTTATAGTCTGACAATTATGTTCTGCCTCACACACTGGCTTTTGGGAAAACAGTGTTGCTTATTTGAGGTAGTTGAGTCCATAAACAGGGATTTAAGTTGTGGCTTTGTACTTAGTTTCAGAGTGACCATGCACAAGTTGCTTTGCTTTTCTGAGCCTCATTGTCTTCAGCTATAAAATGTTATCAAATACATCCTTTCTGACTTTGCAAAGCAGTTTGGATGTACTCCATAAATGGAGGCAGAAATGGAAGAGTATTTTATTTCTACAGCATTTATCTGCAGCACCATCCAACTAAATTGAATTAAGCAGAATAGATGCTGGGTAAAACAGGAGTAAAACCACTGATGAATTTCCTTCAGTTAACCGTGTGTGCACATAAGCACCTGTCACCCAGAATTCCGGAGAGGTTAGTGTGTACGATAAAACTAATATTTCATTAATGGGATTTAAATCTCAGCTATGGAAAGACAACCTTGAGGGGGCTTTGTACACTGGAGCACAACAAAACAGTGTATGGCACCCTCCTCCTGTTGCTTGTTAGATTCTAGAATTTTCAGTTGTCTGGTCTCCTCCAGAGGGGCTATTTCTTTTTCTTTTTTTCTTTTTTCTTTTTTTTTTTTTTTTATTTGAGACAAGGTCTCACTCTTGTCACCCAGGCTGGAGTGCAATGGCATGATCTCAGCTCACTGCAACCTCTGCCTCCCGGGTTCAAGCGATTCTCGTGCCTCAGCCTCCCGAGTAGCTGGGATTACAGGTGCACGCCACCACGCCCGGCAAATTTTTTTGTACTTTTTTGATAGAGATGGAGTTTCACCATGTTGGCCAGGCTGGTCTCAAACTCCTGACCTCAAGCGATCCGCCCGCCTCAGCCTCCCACAGTGCTAGGATTACAGGCATGAGCCACTATGCCCAGCAAGCTATTTCTGTTTATCACACTCAAGACCAAACTATAGGTGCTGGTGCTGCTAAAATCCTGCCCTCAGCAGGGACTGCCCCCTTGCCCCGTATCCAAATTCATGTTTAACTGATCTCTATTGAATATTTATTGTGTGCCCGGCACAGAGTTCTGTTTTACTGCCTCATGTTATTTAAGAGGGGACAACCCTAGAGGGTGGGACCTTTTCCTTTGCCCTGAAAATAAGTGGGGATTAAGATGTCTTTCAGGATTCCTGGTGTCTTTGCTAGTGCTGATCAAGTCACTCCTCAGCTTAACATTCTTCTTTCAGTGGTTCGTCTCTGGGATAAAATTCAGTATCCTTTATATGACAGACAAGACCTTTTGTGATCTACTTGTTTATTCTCATTTCCTGCCACTCCTCCTCTCTTGTTCTTTATGTCCTAGCAAGACTGAACTACCTATAGTTCTGGGAAAATTTTATACTCCTTTATGCCTTTTTGTCTTTGTACGTGCAAACTCCCACTAATGCCCTCTCCCCTTTGCAACTCACAGACTGTAAAAGGTGTAAAAGTCCTTCTTCCTCTTGGTTCCCATTGCACTTTGTGTGCGTCTTTATTAAAAAGTAATTATTTAATCATATCATAGTTATAAATATATCTGTGTCATTCGTTAGCCAGAGCTTCCTGAGGGCAGAGATGTCTTCTTTTCATTTTTGGTATCCCCAGAACCTAGTTCAGTGCTAAACATGTAATAGATGCTGAGTACATTTTTGAATGAGTTAATGAGTCTTCATGAAAAAAAGCTGTTGCCTGGGGCCCTTACTTTGGATTGTATGGGAAATGTGTAGGTTCAGACCTGTAAAATGGGCTCCTGCTAACTCCTCACTCTGGAAACAGGGAACAGGAATGAATGCTTCCTGACTGCTTATGTCTGCCGGACCCCATGACAGGGACTTGGGACAAATTATTTAGTCTATATGCAAGCCTGAAAGTTGGATATTTCTCTTTTAAATAATGTTCTTAATTTTTTCTTGCTCTTATAGTGAGACCTGCTTGTTGTAGAAAACACAGAAAAAGAATAAAGAAGGAAATATAACTCACCTAAGTCTACTACTGTCTGGCACAATCCACTGTTAAATTTGTTGTTGCATTAACTCCCATCTTTTGACTTAGAATATAAACATATTTTTACAAGATGGGATTGCGTTATAAATACCATTTTACAACCTATTTTTTATTTCTAGTTAATGTTACAATGTAATTGCCAGTTCATTAAATATTCAGCTAAACTTGATTTCTGATATCCCACAATATATATGTGTCACCGGTTAATTTGGTAATTTCCTTTATGGTTGGACATTGTACTTTTTTGAACATTATTTGTACTTTTTTATATTATAAATAATGTGAGGAAACTTTGGGCGTTCTGGAAAGGTTTTGCATCTTGATATGAGTGCTGATTAAAACAAAAACATTATGGAAAGCATCTTTGCCTAGTAGATACTTGACATTTATTTATAAGGAGCACCATTGAGGCCTTAAAGAATTCTAAACTTACAAATACAGAAATGGGCTTATGGGCCAGGCCCCTCTTTAATCACATTTCTGTGGTGAGTTGTGTGTTTCTGTGTACACTCTAACACAAGTTAACTGCCTTAATTTTTTTCCATGAAATACACCAAATTTTAAAAATCTCTTTTGCTTCTCTCTATGGGCCCCCACTGAACAAGGAAGCTAGCTGAGAATCAGGTCCTTGGGGGTGGCTGCTCTTGCTTACTCAGTGCATTGCTCACAGAAACACACCAGGCTTATAGTGCGCCATTTAAGTTTGTACTTCAGCACAATTGGAAATTACTACATACTGTGGACTTTTTATGGTTGCTTGCAAGAGTTAAGCCAACAAATTTTAAATCCACAGATACCTAGAGGTGATAGAAATCTGTTCATATCTCTAGTGACTTCTTTTTTTTTTTTTTTTTTTTGAGACAGAGTCTCACTCTGTTGCCCAAGCTGCAGTGCAGTGGCACGATCTTGGTTCACTGCAACCTCTGCCTCCTGGGTTCAAGTGATTCTCCTGCCTCAGCCTTCTGAGTAGTTGGGATTACAGGTGCGCGCCACCACACCCGGCTCATTTTTGTATTTTAGTAGAGACAGGGTTTCACTATGTTGGTCAGGCTGGTCTCGAACTGCTGACCTCGTGATCCACCCACCTTGACCTCCCAAAGTGCTGGTATTACAGGTGTGAGCCACCATGCCCGGCCTCTAGTGACTTTTGTAGGATAGATTTCTTGAAGTCCAGCTAGGGATTATGGAATATAATGCCAAGTTACTTTTTGGAAAGGTTATAACAAGCGAGGCAACTATTCCATTTTGCAGCTGAGAATCTGGAATTCGTGGAAGTTAAGTGACTTTCTGAGTGTGGATTTGAACTTTGAATTATTTGATTCCAGAGCCCAGGTTCTCAGAAGTGCAAAAAACATGGTATTGCTTCATTCTTCCTGTAAGAAGCTGGATTTTGCAAAAACACTTTGATTTGTACAGCGGTGGTTCTCAAACTTCAGCATGTATCAGACTCACTTGGAAGACCTGATGAAACACAAGTTAGGGATGCCCTAGCTACAGTATTTCTGATTCAGTAGGTAAGAAGGGCCCACCCTTGAGAACCACTGATTTAGAACATTATCCTGTCTTGATTCCTTCCCCTTCTGCGGAGTGTGATAGCTTCTGATACTGAGGGATGGATGGACTAACATATCATTACTGTACACCAGTCATTCTCTTTTTTTGGTACAGAAAAATTGGAATGAACATTCTTTTTATATTATTCTTTTTTAATTCCTAAGTGAGCTAACACAGGAGGAACGACCTTTTTTAAAGTACAGTTCATCAACTGGGAATTTGTTCAAAATGCAATTTCTTGGGCTAGGACTTGGACTCAGCAGTCTATATTTTAACAAACAAGTGATCCTGATTCACCCTAACATTTGAGAATCATTGCTGTACAATAGTGGAGAAAACTAGTTGGCAAGCATTTATTGATTTCTGGGATTTTTAGCACAAATTTCACTCTACAGTTTTCCTGTTTATAAAAGAAATATTGGTTGATACATGCCCAAGGGAATAACTTTGGTGTGGATTTTTAACTCTAGAGGAAAGGACACTGATTTCAGATCTGGGTTCAAATTCTGATTCTGTTACATATTAGCAAATAATTTCTTATCTGTGAAGCCTTAGTTTCCCTGAGAGGTTGTGATGATTTAAATAAAATGGTTATAGCTATCGTTTATTGAGCACAAGCTAGTGTTCCACTCACTATGCTAACCACTTCGCCTAATTATCTTTATCTTTTGGGGGAGTTTTAAAAATTATTCCATTTAGTAGTTATAGGACTATTCAAATTACCTATTTTATGTTGGATGTGTACTTTCCGAGAATTGACCCATTTCATCTAAGTTGTCAAATTTATGTTTGTAGAATTGTTCATAGTATTTCTTTATTATCCTTTTGATATCTTCAGGTGCTGTAGTGATAATTTTGTTTCATTAGTGATACTAAAAATGTATCAGGCTGGGCATGTGATGTCATTCATGCCTATAATCCCAGCACTTTGGGAGGCCAAGGCTGGTGGATTGCTTAAGCCCAAGAGTTCAAAACCAGCCTGGGCAACATGGTAAAACCCCGTCTCTACAAGAAATACAAAAATTAGCAGGGTGGGTGGCACATGCTTATAGTCCCAGCTGCCCGGGAGGCTGAGGTGGGAGGATTGCTTGAGCCCAGGAAGTTGAGGCCTCAGTGAACTGTGATCATGCCACTACACTCCAGCCTGGGTGACAGAGCGAGACCCTGTCTCAAAAAAACCGAAAACAAACAAACAAAAAAAATTTGTCTTCGTATTTGTCAGACTTGCTAGAGGTTTGTCAGTTTTATGGATCTTTTCAAAGAACAAGCTTTTTGTTTCATTGACTTTTTCTGTTGTCTTTCTGTTTTCAATTTAATAGATCTCTGCCTTTACTATTTTTTTCCTCCTTTGGTTTATTTTGCTCTCTATCTAGTTTCTTGAGGTGGGAGATTAGATTATTGATTTGAGACTTTCTTTTCTTTTTTTTTTTTTTTTTATTTTTTCTGAAACAGCCTGTTGCCCAGGCTGGAGTGCAATGGCGCGATCTCGGCTCGCTGCAACCTCCACCTCCCGGGTTCAAGTGATTTTCCTGCCTCAGCCTCCCTACTAGCTGGGATTATAGGCGCTCGCCACCACGCCCAGCTAATTTTTTGTATTTTTAATAGAGATGGGGTTTCACCATGTTGGCCAGGCTAGTCTCGAACTCCTGACCTCAGGTGATCCACCCGCCTCGGCCTCCCAAAGTGTTGGGATTACAGGCGTGACCCACAGCACCCGGCCTTTCTTTCTTTTCTAATGTAAGCCTTTAGCTGTTAAGTTTCTTCTCAGCACCAATAGATTTTAATATGTTACATTTTCCCTTTTCATGTAGTTCAAGGCATTAAAAAAAAAAAAAGTTTTTTTTTTTTTTTTTTTTTTTTTTTTTGAGACAGTGTCTCAGTCTGTTGCCCAGGCGGTACTGCAGAGGCAGGATCATAGCTCTCACTGCAGCCTCCAGCTCCTGGGCTAAAGTGATCCTCCTGCTGCCTCAAGGCATTTTTAAATTCCCCTTGAAACTTCCTGTTTGACCCATGAAGTATAGAAGTATGTTGTTTAATTTTGAAGTTTTTGTAGAGTTTCCTGTTATCGTTCTGTTACTGACTTCTAGTTTGATAGTGGTCAGAGAATATACTTTGTATGATTTCAATTCCTTTACATTTATTGAGATTTGTTTTATAGCCCAGAGTCTATCTTGGTAAATGTTTCATGATCACTCGAAAAGAATGTGTATTCTGCCATTTTTGGGTAGAGTGTTCTATAAATGTCAATTAACTACTGTTGGTTAATGGTGTTGCTGAATTCTTCTAATCCTTGCTGATTTTTTCTTTTTTCTTTTCTTTTTTTTTTTTTTTTTTGAGATGGAGTTTCGCTCTTGTTGCCCAGGCTGGAGCGCGATTTGGCTCACCGCAACCTCCGGCTCCCAGGTTCAAGCGATTCTTCTGCCTCAGCCTCCTGAATAGCTGGGACTACAGGCATGTGCCACCACGCCCAGCTAATTTTGTATTTTTAGTAGAGACGGGGTTTCTCCATGTTCGTCAGGCTGGTCTTGAACTTCTGACTTCAGGTGATCCGCCTGCCTCGGCCTCCCAAAGTGCTGGGATTACAGGTGTGAGCCACTGCACTCGGCCTACTCATTCATTCATTCATTTATTTTTGAGACAGGGTCTCTATGTCACCTGGGCTGGAGTGCAGTGGTTTGATCATGGTTTACTGCAGCCTCAAATTCCAGGGCTTAAGCAATCTCCTCATGCTTCAGCCTCTACAATAGCTGAAACTGCAAGCATGTGCCACTGTGTGCCCTAATTTTTAAAATTTTTTGTGTGGGGAGGGTGTGGGTGTAGGTTGGTGGTACCTCCCTTTGTTGCCTGGGATGGTCTTGGACTTCTGGCTTCAGATGATCCTCCCACCTCAGCCTCCCAAAGTGCTGGGATTACAGGCATGAACTACTGCTCTTGGCCCGAGTTATCTCTGTATTGCTTTTTTCAGTACTTGCTCTAGGTATTACATTATACATATAACTTACCATAAGCAACTGCTCTTGACATTTTACCAGTTTGATTGAAGAGTAGAAACTTTACTTTTCTTTTTCCTTTTTTTTTTTGAGACAGAGTCTCACTCTGTCACCCAGGCTGGAGTGCAATGATGTGGTCTCGGCTCACTGCAACCTCTGCCTCCTGGGTTCAAGCGATTCTCCCACCTTAGCCTCCCGAGTAGCTGGGACTACAGGTGTGGTCCACCATAGCCGGCTAATTTTTGTATTTTTAGTAGAGACGAGTTTTCACTATGTTGACCAGGTTGGTCTCGAACTCCTGACCTCATGATCTGCCCGCCTCAGCCTCCCAAAGTGCTGGGATTACAAGCGTGAGCCACCATGTCCGGTTGAAACTTTACTTTTCTTTATATGCCTTAATGCTCTTTTGTTTATAATCTAATTAATCGTTTTGTTGTTGTTGAGACAGAGTCTTGCTGTGTTGCCCAGGCTGGAGTGTAGTGGAACAGTCACGGCTCACCTGCAGCCTAAACCTCCTGGGCTCAAGTGATCCTCCCACCTCAGCCCCCCACCCCCCAGTAGCTGGGACTACAGGCATGCACCACTATGCCTGGCTGATTTTTTTTTTTTTTTTTTTTTTTTTTGAGACGAAGTCTCGCTCTGTCGCCCAGGCTGGAGTGCAGTGGCGTGATCTCGGCTCACTGCAACCTCCGCCCCTCCAGGTTTAAACAATTCTCTGCCTCAGCCTCCAGAGTAGCTGGAATTACAGGCGCCCGCCACCACGCCCAGCTAATTTTTTGTATTTTTAGTAGAAACGGGGTTTCACCATCTTGGCCAGGCTGGTCTTGAACTCCTGACCTCAAATGATCCACACGTCTCGGCCTCCCAAAGTGCTGGGATTACAGGCATGAGCTACTGTGCCCAGCCTACTCATTCTTTTAGGATAAGTGTTGGCAACAGATACGTTTAGTTTTCCTTAATCTGAGAATATCTTGATTTCCCTTGAATTCTTAGGGGATCTTTTCACTTCATATCGAACTCTGGGTTTCTAGTTCTTTTATCTCAGCGCTTGAAAACTGTTCTGCTACTTCCTTTTGCCCTCCATGGTTTCTGATGAGAGAGCCTCTGTCATTCAAATTGGTGTTCTCCTTGAGGTAATGTGTCATTTATCTCTCATTGCTTTCAGGATTTTTCCTTTGTCTTTTGCTTTTAGGAATTTGATTAAGCCATGTCTTAGTGTGGATTTGTTCCGGTTTGTCTTTTGTTGTAGTCCTGTAGGTTGCTGAGGCTCTGTTCATTTTTTTTCCAATCTGTTTTCTTTCTGTTGTTCAGATTGGATAATTTCTATTGTTCTATCTTCAACTTACTGATTCTTTTCTCTGTTTTCTCCATTCTGCTGTTGAATTTTCATTTAAGTTACTAAAGAATTTTCATTGTTACTGTATTTTTCAGTTCTAAAAATTCTGTTAGATTCTTTTCTATATCTTCTATTTGTTTGAAGAGATTTTCTATTTTTTGTTGACACTTTCTTTTTTTTTTTATTTGAGACAAGAGTCTAGCTCTGTGGCCTAGACTGGAGTGCAGTGGTGCAATCTTGGGTCACTTCAACCTCCACCTCCTGGGTTCAAGTGATTCTCCTGCCTCAGCCTCCCAAGTAGCTGGGATTAAAGGCACATACCACCATGCCTGGCTAATTTTTGCTGACACTTTCTATGTATTTATTTATTTTATTATGATGATGATGATTTTTTTCTGAGATGGAGTTTCACTCTGTTGCCCAGGCTGGAGTGCAATGGTGCGATCTCGGCTCACTGCAACCTCTGCCTCCCTGGGTTCAAGTGATTCTCCTGCCTCAGCCTCCCGAGTAGCTGGGATTACAGGCACATGCCACCACGCCCAGCTATCTTTTGTATTTTTAGTAGAAATGGGGTTTCACCGTGTTGGCCAGGCTGGTCTCGAACTCCTGACCTCGTGATCTGCCCACCTCAGCCTCCCAAAGTGCTGGGATTACAGGCATGAGCCACTGTGCCCGGCGACACTTTCAATTTATTCATTTGTTTCAGGCATGTTCTTAATTGCTCATTGAAACATTTTTATGATGGCGCCTTTAAAATTCTTAAATAATTCCAACATCTGTGTCATCTCAGTCTTAACATCTGTTGATTTTCTTTTCTTATTCGAGTTGTGATTTTCCTTGTTCTTGGTATGACAAATAATTATTTTAATTATATTCTGGACATTTGGGGCATTATGTCACGAGATCCTGGATCTTATTTAAGACTTCTGTTTTTGCAGGCCTTCTCAGACACTGCGCTCCGGTGGCAGAAAGGGGGTACCACTTCATGACTGCCAGGTGGGGGTGGAAGTACAGGTTCCCCACTTGGTCTTTGGTGCTATCCACCACCTGCTAGGTGGGTGGATCCTGCTGTCTCTAGTCGGTCTGCTTTCTTCCCTTCACCTTTCAGAGTTTTATGTTTGTTTTGTATATATTGTCCAGGGTTTTTAGCTGTACTTGGAGGGATAGGGAGGAGTGCATCTACTTCATATTGTTCCAGAACCAGCAGTGATAGGTTAAATAATGTGCCCAAAGCTACACAGACAGCTGGACCACAGATCAAACCTGGGTCTCCTCTACTTTCACTGTAGAATACAGTATTATAGACAATATAAGCACTGTTTAAGTTGTTAGAAGTTATGGAAGATAGGGAAAATCAGATATGTGCTATGTGCCAGGCATTGTTCTGGACACCGGGGTGGGGGAGGGGGGATACGGCAGTGAACATGAGACAGTAAACTAACAGCTTAATATATAGTGTGTCAAGTGATAATACATGGTCTAGAGAAAAGTAAAGTAGGGTGAGCAGGAGAAGGAGTACCACCCCAGGGTTGAAGTAGTGGTTACTTTATACAGGATGATTACAGATGGGTTACCTATGAGCCTGAAGGAAAGCGAGGAAGGGAACCATGCTGGTAAGTAGGGGAAGAGTGTTTCAAGTAGAGGACATAAAGGACCCAAGTGGGGAGCAGACCTGGCATGCTACCAGTCCAGTCCAATGCTATTGGAACAGAGTGAGTGAGGGGAGAGTAATAGAAGCTGAGGTTAAGGGTCAGGGGTGTGCAGATCATATACAGCAGTGATTTTCCAAGTATGGTTCCCAGACCAGCAGGATCAGCATTATCTAGGAACTGATTAGGCCAATTCTTGGATCCCACCCCAGACTGACTGAATCAGAAACTCTGGAGATGGAGCCCTAGAATCTGTGGTTTAACAGCCTTTCAGATGCACGCTAAAGTTTAAAAACCATGGGTATAGGGTGTAAGGACTTGGTTTTTACTCTGGATGGGAGCCACAGAAGCTTTTTGAGCAAGTGAGAGTTGTGATCTGATTTAGGTTTTGGCTCTTGTGAGGATAGACTAAAGGTGAGGAGCAAGGTAGAAGCAGGGAGAATTTCGGGGCTACTGTAGATCATTATTCCTTAAAGTGTGGTCCCTGGACCAGCAGCATCAGCATCACCTGAGAGGTCATTAGAAATGCACGTTTATAGGCCCAACCCAGTCCTACTGAATCAAGATGTCTGGGGATGGGGCCTAGGAATCTGTATTTTAACAAGCTTACCAGGTGTTTCTAATATTCCCTAAAATCTGAGAAACTTTGGTCTAGTTAGGCAGTGGTGGCTTAAAGCAGAGTCAGTGATGATGAGAAGTGGTTGGATTTTGAATATATATTGATACAGGATTTGTTAATAGATTGGATTGGGGTTGTGGAAGAAGGAACTCAAGAATGACTCAATTTTGAAGAATTTGGTGTAAAGGGGACTAGAGTAATGGGGCAGAGACTGAGGGGATCACAAAAGGGTTTTTTGTTTGGGTTTTTTTTTTTTTTGGAGATAGAACAGTCTGTCTGTGTGCATGTCAGTGCATATGAAGTTATTCCGTTGGTGCATCCAGAATTCAGTGAAACCTGTTATATGACAAACTCATAAAGGAGACACTTCCTAGGTACGCTGGAACTTGCTGTGTCCTTTGCATTCCTTTAAGTCCTGTGTGCCTGGAGTTGGAGGGGTGGGGCGGTGGGAATGGTGGATGCTTCAGCTTCTGGTTTTATAGATGGTGCTCTGTCTGGACCTGGATCCTTGGGTACCCTCAGAAGGCAGAGGTTGAGGAGATAAGAAGCCAGACAGGATCTTGAGCAAAATCATCATCTCTCAGGCATCTCCAAGTCTCAGCTCCCACTCAGTTCCACATCCCTGGAAGAGTTGAGTGTCCATTTTGGAGTGCTCATAACACTTGACTGTATTAATCACCCCACATTATATCCTGGTTACATATTGTAGTGATATAGTAGAGTCACAAAGTCCTGAATTTGTATCCTGCTCTGCTACTTAGTAGTTTTGTAATTGCCAACAATTTACTTAACCACTCAGACCCAGATTTCTCATCTGTTAGATTAGGATAATATTAACGATGATGATGATGATAGCTAATACTTAACATGTGCCAGGAACTTTAAGTACTTAACTATTTTAGCTCATTTAATCCTCTTAACCACCCTGTGAAGTGGGTACTATTAGTACTTCCATTTCACAGATGCAGAAACTGAGATGCAGAAAGGTGAAGTATAAATTGCTTAAGTTCACATAGCTAGTGAGTGGCAGAGGTGAGATTCAAACCCAGGCAGTTTGGCTCCTAAGCCTGTACTTTAAACCTCTGCTTCTGTGTTTAATGTCTGTGAATGTTGTACGGAAGGCCCTGATTTGTTGTGGAGATTAAATGTGATAATATGTGAAGTTCATAGCTCAGTTTTTTTCTCAGTGCCTTTTATGCTAACTTCAAATTCATTCACTCACTATCCTGTTACCTTGCTTTACTGACTTTATAGCACTTACGAAACTGTTTTGACACTGCCTCTCTGTCTCCCGCTCTAAAATGTCCAGTCCATGAGGGCAGTGTCTGCTCAATCAATATTTGTTGAATTTATGCACTCATTTACTTAACAAATACTGCTTACCGTGTGCTTGGCTTTGCAGTATACCATGGGGATAACTCATCTTAATCACAAGACCTGGTGCTATAATAATTATCCTCTTGACTAAGGAAGCTACTCAGAGCAAATCAGCATTTACCACCCTTGGTCCCAGGTGGTAACTATCGAGACAGTGCAGCCAGAAGCCCGATTTTTCATTTGTCTGCCTCCCTGATATGAGGAGTTGTCTAGCACGTTGATGTTTGTTGAATAATAAGTAAGGCAAGACTGAGAGATGGGAAAGGTGAGGACTTTTGGTAAATAAGATACACTATCTGGCAAATGTAGTGGGGACAGACAGCAGGTAAGTGAGCAATTCCAAGGCCTCGTGGTGAAGGCTGAAATAGGGATAGTGTTGTGGGGGTGCCACAGCAGCAGGGAAAAGGAAGAGCAGGAATGTTCCAGGTAGAAGGAGATACCTGTGATGAAACCCAGAGGCTAGAGCTAGACAGAGTATGGCACCGAGAGTCCGCTGGCTTTTTAGAGCAGAGCTGGCTTCATGGGTGTGCAATCGTTATAGTCACATGGTGCCCCATGCCTGAGGTTTAATGTTCTGTGGTGGTTGTCTTGAAATTCTTAATAATTTTGCCTTTGATTTTGTGATTGGTATGTGATGGAACAATGGAGTGTGCGCTGGGGATTTAAGAGTCTTGGCTCATATGTGGTTCTACCTCCTGCTGCCATTCTACCTCCCCGAACAGGTTCTTGGCTAGCTGCCTGGGGCACTGGGCCCAGGTGCAGGTGTGGACAGAGTCGGTTGGGTTCATGTACCCTGTGTACTAAGTCACCGGGCAGGGCCCCAGGGTACTTGTGTGGGCCTGCACTCGCCCCTTGAGTTATCCCTATACCCAAGGGAGCGTGACAGTAAATAGCATATTAAAACTGCATGGTAAGTTGAGAGAGAGACCATGGAAGAAAGGAAAAAGCTTTTCTATTTTTTGAACAGGGAGCTCCCACTTTTCATTTCCATTAGGCCCCACAGATTGTAAGTGGGCTATGCAGTAGGAATGTCTCCCCCAGCATACGCTGTGTGTGAGGGGAAAGACGTGAGCTCAGCCAGAGAGGCAAGGCCTTTTGGGCCATGGTAAGTTTATACTTTACCTTAGGAAAAATAGGGACCCTGTGAGGCATTTTAAGCATGGGTTGATAGGATCAAATTTGTGTTTTTAAATGATCACTTTGGCTGTAGTGTGGAGGGCCGATTGGGTAGGGACAGAATAGGGGCCAGGAGTCCAGTTAGGAGGGCAGGACAATAACTGAGTTAGAGATAATAGTGGCCTGAACTAGCGCAGGGGCAGTAAGGATGACAAATTAACACAATTGATAGCTAATAAAGAGAGTTGATAGGACATGCTGATAACTTGGATAATAACAACAAACATACACAGCACTTACTATGGGCCAGACACTGTTCTAAACACTTTCTATATATTTAGTTCATTTGCTTTTGATAACAACCTTGTGAAGTAGGTACAGTTTTTATCCCCATCTTACAATGAGGAAACTGAGGCACAGAGAGGTTAAGTAACTTGTCCAAGATCCCACAGCTAGTAAGTGGCACAGCCAGGATGCAAACCCAGAGAATCTGGACCTAAAGTCAGTGTTCTTAACTTGATGCTAGAACGTCTACTTCAGGGTATAGTGGAGGGAGAGGGCTAGAGGTGAATCAGTGATGGCTGCCAGGTTTCTGGCTTGAATGCCTGGTGAGGTTATGGAGCCATTTGCAGAAGTGGGAAACCTAAGAGAAGGGAGCATGTTTAGGTGACAGACAGAAGGAGAAACTGAGTTTGGACATGTTGAATTTGAAGTACGTAAGTGGCTATCCAGTAGAAATGTCTCACCCAGGAGACATTTGGAGGGAAGGGTCTAATCTGGCTTGGAGTTATGAGTGCATAGAGGGCACATGGAGCCCTGGGAGTGAGAACAGTGAGGAAAAGTGAGGAGAAAAGAGTGCCCAGGTAAGAGGACCTAAGAAACTTCAACATTTAAGGACTGGGCAGGAGAAAAAGAGTTCATCGGGAAAAAGGAACAGCCAAAGACATGATTAAAATCACATCACATCCCTACTCATAGTGGCTGTTACTCCCCAGTTCTTGTGGCTACCCAGGAAAAGCCAGAGTGCTTTACAGTGGCCTACAACACCCTACTACATGAGTCTATTGCCTTTCTGACTTATTACTGTCCTCCTACCTCTCTACTCTAGAACACTCTCCTCCTCTCTGCTACCTTCGGAGTCTAGGGATGCTCCCACCACAGGGCTTTTGTACTTGCTGTTCTTATTGGGATGCTCTTCCTTCATAGCCACATGAGGGGCTTGCTCCCTTACTCCCTTTGGGTCTTTATTCAAAAGCCATTTTGTCAGTCTTTCCCTGTCTTCCCTATCTAATATTTCACCCTCACTACCATTCTTCCTGGCCCCCCCATTGTGTGTGTGTGTGTGTGTGTGTGTGTGTGTGTGTGGTGTGTATAGTTATATATTCACACATACATATTCCTCTATATCCCCCTTCCTGTTTTTTTTTCTACCTAGGTCTTCTCACTATCCAGCATACAATGTGTTTCACCAATTGCATTGATTTATCTTGTTTCTTGTCTGCCTCCCCACTAGAACATCAGCTCTATGAGGGCAGGGATTTTTGTATGCTTTGTTTTTTGTCTTCGTCTCACCAGCACCTAGACCAGAGCCTGGCGGATGCTCATTAAATGTCAGCTGAAGGAATGGGCACCAGCCAGATGGGACGTTATAGAAGTCAAGGATAGAGAGCTTGTCAGGTGGAGAGTGTACAGGGTTGGCAGGGCGAAAATGGTGCTAAGAGGTTAAGGGAGATAAAGCAGAGAAGTACTTATTGCATATATCAACAAGGAGGTCAGGAAACCAGTGAGATCTATTTTAAAGAAGGTGGGGACTAAGATCAGACTAGCAGGAGATGAATCACAAAGTGCATATAGCAACCCTAAAAAAGTATCGATTTGGCTCTGATAGAACACCTCTGGATACTACTAGGCAGCTAAGGGTGGGAGGGAGACTTTTTACTGTATATACTTCTGTACTCTGAGTTTTGCACCATGTACAGCTGTTACTTATTCAAAAGAGGAGTCATTATCAAGCTTCGTAGGTTTATTTACTTCATTTTTAAGCTGCATAGGTTTAAAGAAAGAATGTGTTTGGCTGTGAAGGGGCGGACAGAAGGGAGGGAGGATGGGAGGGCGGGTAGGTCTTGGTTTTTTAATTTGTAAACATCAATAGACTTGTTTAAATGCTATTGTGAAGAGAAAGAGAGAGATTGAAGATACTGCAGAAAGAAGGAATAATTGATTGAGAAGGTAAGAAAACATGTGACCCAGGTGGAAAACTTGGCTTTAGAAGGAAGGAAAGATAGTACTTTTGTTGTGATAGGAAAAAAAGGATGGGTGTAGAAGGAGGTAGATTGGTGATGAGAAGTTAAGGTAGTTCACCTCTGATTACTTAATTTTCTCTAAGAAGTAGGAAGTGCATCGCTTCTTGGTCTTTTGGCTAAGATCAAGTGTAGAAGTAGGAAGTGGCTGGCATGATGGCTCACACCTGTAATCCCAACACTTTGGGAGGCTGAGGTAGGAGGATCACTTGAGGCCAGAAGTTTGAGACCATTCTGGGCAACAAAGCAAGACCCCCTCTCTATAAAACACACGTACAGACACAAATTAGGTGGGCGTGGTGGTGTGTGCTTGTAGTCCTAGCTACTTGGGAGGCTGGGGCAGGAGGATCACTTGAGCCTAGGAGTTAAAGGCTGCAGTGAACTATGATTGGCACCACTGCTCTCCAGCCTGTGCAACCCAGTGAGACCCTGACTCTAAACAAAACAAAACAAAAACATTAAGGAACTCAAAGAATGAAAGCAAAGAGTGCTTAACAACAACAACAACAACAACAACAAAAGCCAAAACCAAAAACCAGAAGTAGTAGGAAGCAAGGTAATTTTTGAGAGAGAAGAGGCAGGTAGTGGGGTGAGAGATTTGACACAGCCACAGTAGATAATGAGAGAGAGTTGAGTGGGGAATTTCAGAAGGATTGTCAGGCAGCATGATCCAGATTTTTTTTTTTTTTTTTTTTTGAGATGGAATCTTGCTTTGTCGCCCAGGCTAGAGTGCAGTGGCATGATCTCGGCTCACTGCAACCTCTGCCTCCTGGGTTCAAGCTGTTCTCCTGCCTCAGCCTCCTGATTAGCTGGAATTATAGGCGCCCACCACCATTCCCAGCTAATTTTTGTATTTTAAGTAGAGATGGGGTTTCACCATGTTGACCAGGCTGGTCTTGAACTCCTAACTTCAGGTGATCCACCCGCCTCAGCCTCCCAAAATGCTGGGATTACAGGCGTGAGCCACCGTGCCTGGCCAATCCAAATATTTTGGACAGTGAATTTATGATGGCACCAATCCAATGGGTTATTTTTCTCTAGCCACATCTAGTGGTCTAGAGTTAGGTAGTTGTACTGAGCCAGGGTTAGGGTTTGCATATGGGGATGAAAGGCAGTGGGGCAAGTGAGGGTATCTGTAAGAGAATGATTGAAGTGAGGAATGCTGGAATCTCAACTAGATAGGGAAGGAGGGTAAAGTCAAGAATGTGTGAATAGGTGAAAAGTATGAGGATAAAGAGTTTTGAGGGCAAAGAACAGGTTGTAGTGAATGAGAGCTGGATAGATAGACTTGTGGTCAGAGAGGGCGATGTATGAGTTTCATATTCCAGAGGTACAGCAGTTGCTGGTGTTGACAGGGTCTGGGGGATGGTCATGAGAGTTGGTAGCTGAAATGGGAGTAGAGGTAACAGTCTCTGAAGATGAGAAGATCAAAGAACTAAGTGCCTGGAATGTTGTGTCTCCAGATGGATACTGATTTCATGTAGGATGTTGTCAGGACTCGGGATGGGGAAGATCTGAGCAGGTTCTTCAGCGAGTGAAGGGGTGTGTTGGGGAGATGGGTATGTGGCAGTGATGAAGAGGAGTAGGAAGTGGTATGGCTGGATGGTGTGGAACTCAGAGGAGTGGGAGCTCTTACACAAGGGTAGAGGAGAGATGATCTGGAAGTCTCACCAGAGAGTGAGAGGGATGGCTACCCACAACCCAGTCCTGAGTTATGAGGGTATGGGAGAATGTGCAGCTATAAGGGCTCTAGCACAATGCTGCTTAGATTTTCTGTGGCAAAGAACCAAGGCACTTTTAAAATTTCCAATCTATAATGGGCCGATCCTTTTATGATATAAAAAAAGAATTACTAGAAAAAAATGGTATGAACCGGCCGGGCGCAGTGGCTCATGCCTGTAATCCCAGCACTTTGGGAGGCCGAGGCGGGCGGATCACGAGGTCAGGAGATCGAGACCATCCTGGCTAACATGGTGAAACTCCATCTCTACTAAAAATACAAAAAATTAGCTGGGCGTGGTGGTGGGCGCCTGTAGTCCCAGCTACTCGGGAGGCTGAGGCAGGAGAATGGCGTGAACCCAGGAGGCAGAGCTTGCAGTGAGCCAAGATCGTGCCACTGCACTCCAGCCTGGGTGACAGAGCGAGACTCTGTCTCAAAAAATAAATAAATAAATAAAAATTTAAAAAAATGGTATGAACCAAAAGACATATAAAAGACAAGCCCAAAATTTTATTCTTAGATTGAACGGATATAAAATTATTCTGTTAAATTGCTGTAAAAACTTCTGCATAATAGTGATGCTTACTCTTACTTTCTGTACTTACCACAGACCTGTAGTAAATAGTTCACAGACCGGCATTAGTCTGTGGACCACACTTTGAGTGGCACCGGTGTAGAGAAAATGATTTTCCCGTAGGAGAAGCTGCATTCAGTTAAGCCTGGAAGGTGAAGGAGTGTTTGTTGAAGAGAGTGCCAATGTTGAGCAGTTTGTTTACCAAGTTGGGAAAGGGGATGAGCAGCGGGTGTTTAGAGTAGAGAAAGCACATAGCCACATAGGGTGAAAGTTTAGGGGAGAGAGAGGTGTCCAGAGGGAACAGGGGTATGAGATAGAAAGCATGCAGTCCAGGGAACTGAGTTAATGCTACAAGGTCTGGGGAATATCTTTGAAGAAGTTTTAGGCAGGTGAAAGGTGAGGTCCGGACTGGACTTCTAGCACTTACTGTGAAACCGGATACTTACTGTGTATCAGACTTTATGCTCACTGTGCTACACACATTAGTATTATTTTTGTAGAGATGGGGTTACCCTATGTTGCCCAGGCTGGTCTTGAACTCCCGGCCTCAAGCGATCCTCCCACTTTGGCCGCCCAAAGTACTGGGATTACAGGTGTGAGCTACCGCGACTGGCCATGCTGTGCACTTTATATACATTATCTTATTGAATCCTTAAAAACCCTACAAAGTTGATGGTGATATCCCTAGTTTATTGATAAGCTGCTGGTTTATAGGCATGAGATTATTAGTTGGGAATATATTTAGTTGGGATATTGGGAAGATTATTAGTTGGGAAGTCCTAATCCCAGGAAGTCCATTTATGAGCATGATCTTGGCTGAAACAACTTGAGCTCTGCCTTAATGTTCTCTGCTGTGTGTGGTAAACCAAACATTTTAAGACTTGGGTCTTCTTTTTTTTTTTTTTTTTTTTTTTGGAGACAGGGTCTTGTTCTGTCACCCAGGCTGGAGTGCGGTAGCACAATCATGGCCCACTGTAGCCTCAATCTCCTGGGTTCAAGGGATCCTCCCAGCTCAGCCTCCATGCTCAGCTAAATTTTTTTGTTTGTTTTGGTAGAGATGGGGGTCTCAATTTGTTGCCCAGGCTGGTCTTGAACTCCTGGGCTCAAGTGATCCTCCTGCCTCGGCCTCCCAAAGTTCTGGGATTATAGGTATGAGCCACTGTGACTGGCCTAGGTGTTTAATTTTAGCAAGAATTTATTTGGAGGGCTGCTGGTGCCTTCCCTAGTAAGGGAAGGTTGAATTTTGTGAGATTACCACCTCATATACATGCAAAGTCAAATTTTCAAAATTAAGTAAATCTTTTTAAGTCTTTAAAATGTGAAATAAGCAACAGATGTTTATTGTAGGAAATTAGAAGCACAGATAAGATAAAAAGGATTATCTGTAATTTTTCATTTAGAACTACTGTTGACTATAAATTTTTTTTTTTAGTCTTTTTCGTTTAATAAAGTATCTCAAGTTTAAAAATTAGGTTATAAGGCTGGGCGTGGTGGCTCACACCTATAATCCTAGCACTTCGGGAGGCAGAGGCAGGTGGATCACTTGAACTCAGGAGTTTGAGACCAGCCTGGCCAATGTGGTGAAACCTCGTCTCTACTAAAAATACAAAAAATTAGCCAGGCATGGTGGCACATGCCTATAATCCCAGCTAATTGGGAGGCTGAGGCAGGAGAATCACTTGAACCCAGGAGGCAGAGGTTGCAGTGAGCCATGATCACACCACTGCCTAATACAGTAACCCCTAACCACATGTGGCTGCTGAGCGCTTGAAATTTTAAATTTTATTTAATTTTAATGGATTTAAACATAAATAGCCACATGTACTTAATAGCTGTTCTACTGGACAGCACTGTTCTAGACCTCATAAAAAATAAAATTTCCATAAACCTTGGCTGTTTTTCTCTTTTTCAGTTGTGTTGGTGTTGAAGAGGAGAAGGCTGCTGACATTGACCTCTACCACTGCCCCAACTGTGAAGTCTTGCATGGGCCCTCCATTAGTAAGTAGATCTTAGGGTTTCCTAGAGAAGACAATCCAGAGGAGAGACAAAGGAAAGGAAATTTGGGGGAGTGATTGCTTTTGCCTGAGCACTTGTGATTCTTCTTCCTCAGGAAATAGCAGAAGCCTATGCAGGCTCCACAGGCCAGCACCTATCTCACTAAGAGGACAGAAGTTCATAACTTCACCTCCCTCCCTTCCTAAGGCTTATCTAGAGAAAGTACCCATCCATCTTCACCAGGAACTTTCCTGAATCTGTGAGGGCCTCATTGACTCCAGATGCTCCAAGGGGTGGTTAGATTGGAAGAGAAGGATCTGCTGAGGCCTTTGTTCTTGGTATCATAGCTCATGACCGTTCTGACTCACAATCTCTCATGTTTTTCTGGCTTAGTGAAAAAACGCCGTGGATCTTCAAAGGGGCATGATACACACAAGGGGAAACCAGTGAAGACCGGGAGCCCTACGTTCGTCAGAGAGCTCCGGAGTAGGACTTTTGACAGGTGAGGAACCCTGCCTCCAGTGGCTGGTGAATGCCAGGGCTCTGGGAAGCTGGAACTCACCTCTTCCCAGCTTTCCCAGTGGCTGTCCCATTAGGAGCTTCCCCAGTTTGTGAGTATCTTCAGGGCTCTGCAAATTCCTTCTGGTTTGGTCAATTCCTGGAAAACTTCTGGTAGTTGGGAGGCAGTATTCACCTAAGTTAGATACTTACATTCATCCAAGGAATGCTGACTAGAAGGAGTCTTAGGATCAGAAAGTTTAATTCTCTCATAGAGAAGAAGAAACTCTTTTAATATAAAAAAATTATTGGTCATATATCTCTTTTATGATCGAAAAGAGGTTTTATCTTTTTAAAATTAAGCTGGCCTTGTTAAAAGTAAATTACATGAAATAAGCAAAAATAATGAGTTAAAAAAAGGAACAAAGCATTCTCCTTTGCTTGGTTTTTTAATTCAGTAGACCATGTTCAGGTTTTTTAAAAATAATTGCAACTGGCCGGGCGCGGTGGCTCACGCCTGTAATCCCAGCACTTTGGGAGGCCGAGGCGGGCGGATCACGAGGTCAGGAGATTGAGACCATCCCGGCTAAAACGGTGAAACCCCGTCTCTACTAAAAATACAAAAAATTGGCCGGGCGTAGTGGCGGGCGCCTGTAGTCCCAGCTACTCGGGAGGCTGAGGCAGGAGAATGGCGTGAACCCGGGAGGCGGAGCTTGCAGTGAGCCGAGATCCCACCACTGCACTCCAGCCTGGGCGACAGAGCGAGACTCCGTCTCAAAAAAAAAAAAAAAAAAAAAAAAAAAAAAAATAATTGCAACTTTGATTTTAGATTCAGGAAGTACATGTGCAGGTTTGTTTACGTGGGTATATTGCATGTGTGAGGTTTGGGGTGCAAATGGTCCCATCACCCAAGTAGTGAACATAGTACCCAGTAGCTAGTTTTTCAGCCCCTTCCCTACTACCTCCCTCCCAACTTGAGTGGTCCCCAGTATCTATTGTTCCCATCTTTGTCTATGTGTACCCAATGTTTAGCTCCTACTTAAAAGTGAGAACAAAAGCAGTATTTGATTTTCTGTTCCTGCATTAATTGGCTTACGATAATGGTCTCCAGCTGCATCCATGTTACTGAAAAGGACATGATTTCCTTCTGTTTTATGGCTATGTAGTATTCCATGATATATATGTACCACACTTTTCTTTATCCATTCCACTGTTGATGGGCACCTAGTTTGATTCCATGTTTTACTATTGTGAATAGTGCTGCAGACATATCAGTGCATTCGTCTTTTTAGTAGATGGTTTATTTTCCTTTGGGTGTAAATCCAGTAATGGGATTGCTGGGTCGAATGGTAGTTCTCTTTTAAGTTCTTTGAGAAATCTCCAAACTGCTTTCCATGGTGGCTGAACTAATTTACATTCCCACTAACATGGTATAAGTATTCCCTTTGCTCTGCAGGCTTATCAGGATCTGTTATTTTTTTTTTTACTTCTTTTCAGGTTTTCTGTAACCAAAGTGTTAATTGGAATAAGTGTTCCTTCAACTTAATGTTTCTTGTTTTATTTGTTTATTTAAAGGCAGAAACTTCTCCTCTCTACTCTGGACTCCTCAGGTTCTTTCTCCAAAGTCAACCCGTTATTTGTAGATCCTTTCAGAAATGGTTTTTGCATATACAAACATAGATTTTTTTAATTCCTTTTTTTGACACAAATGGAAACAACTATATATTGTTCTGTATCTTGCTTTTTTTTAAAAAAATATATATTTGAGATCAATCCATAATAGCACATACAGATGTTCTTTTTCATGGCTGTTTAATATTACATTGCATGGTGTAACATTTATTTAACCAGTCCTCTACTGAGGGACGTTTAAGTTGATTCCAGTATTTTGCTATTAGAAAGAAATACTGTAATGAATATCTTTGCACTTAAGTTTTTGCATACGTTGCCAGTTACATCCATAGTGGCTATACCATTTCACACTCCCACAGATAATGTGCGGAGGGTGCCGATTTTCCTATATCCTAGCCAATATTTGTTTGTTTGTTTGTTTTATTTTATTTATTTATTTATTTTGAGACGATGTCTCGCTCTTGTCCCCCAGGCTGGAGTGCAATGGCGTGATCTCGGCTCACTGCAACCTCCGCCTCCTGGGTTCAAGCGATTCTCCTGCCTCGGCACCCCGAGTAGCTGGGATTACTGGCGCCTGCCACCACGCCCGGCTAATTTTTGTATTTTTAGTAGAGACGGGGTTTTTACCATGTTGGCCAGGCTGGTCTTGAACTCCTGACTTCAGGTGATCCACCCGCCTTGGCCTCCCAAAGTCCTGGGATTACAGGTGTGAGCCACCGTGCCCAGCCACCAATATTATTTATTATCAATTTTTTTTTTGCCTTTCTGATAAAATAAATCGTGAAATCCTGCTGTTCCCACTTGTACTTCTTTTCTTTCTTTCTTTTTTTTTTTTTTTTTTTTGAGGCGGTGTCTTGCTCTGTTGGCTAGGCTGGAGTGCAGTGGTGCAATCTCAGCTCACTGCACCCTCCGCCTCCTGGGTTCAAGCAATTCTGCCTCAGCCTCCCAAGTAGCTGGGATTACAGGCACGTACCACCATGCCCAGCTAATTTTTGTATTTTTAGTAGAGATGGGGTTTCACCATGCTGGCCAGGCTGGTCTCAAACTCCTGACCTCAAGGGATCTGCCCACCTTGGCCTCCCAAAGTGCTGGGATTACAGGTGTGAGCCACTGTACTCAGCTCACACTTGTATTTCTTTAATTATGAAGGAAATAAGTAGATTTTTTTTTTGAGACAGGGTCTCATTTGAGACAGGCTGGAGTCGGGTGGTGCAATCACCACTCACTGCAGCCCTGACCTCCCTAGCTTAATCCATCTTCCCACCTGCGCTTCCTGGGTAGCTGGGACTACAGGTGTGTGCCACCACGCCCAGCTAATTTTTTTTTTGTATTTTTTGTAGAGACGGGGTTTTGCCATGTTGCCCAGGCTGGTCTCCAACTCCTGGGCTCAAACAATCTGCCTTCCTTGGCCTCCCAAAGTGCTGGGATTACAGTTGTGAGCTATTGCACTCAGCCTTAGATTTCATACATTTATAAACCAGCTTGATTGTTTTCTCTGTGAACTACTTGCTTGTTTTATAGGCATTCTGTTGTGTTACTATTACTGATTTATAACAGCTTTCTTGGAGAAAATTTTAATTTCTATATGGTTAAGTTTATTACTATTTTTAATGACTGCTGGGTTTTTCCCAGGTTTTTCTACTCTTAAAGCTTTATTTTTTGGAATTTAATCTTTGGACCATCTAGGATTATGTAAAGAATGAGATAGGCAGGCCAGGCACAGTGGCTCATGCCTGTAATCCCAGCACTTTGGGAGGCTGAGGCGGGCAGATCACCTGAGGTCGGGAGTTCAAGACCAGCCTGACCAACATGTAGAAATCCCCTATCTACTAAAAATACAAAATTAGCTGGGCGTGGTGGCGCATGCCTGTAATCCCAGCTAGTCGGGAGGCTGAGGTAGGAGAATCGCTTGAACCCTGGAGGCGGAGGTTGTGGTGAGCCGAGATTGTGCCATTGCACTCCAGCCTGGGCAACAAGAGCAAAACTCTGTCTCAAAAAAAAAAAAAGAATGAGATAGGCATTGAGCTTGAGCTTAATATATTTGTCCCAACACAAGTTGTCAGAGTTGTCAAATACAAATCTTTCCTCCACCATGATTTAAAAGAAAACTATTTTCTGCACCATGATTTAAAGAAAACTATTTTCTTTCTTTTCTTTAAAAAAAAAAAAAAAAAAAAGACAGGGACTCTCTCTGTCACCCAGGCTGGAGTGCAGTGGCATGTTCAAAGCCCACTGTAACCTCAACTCCTGGGTTCAAGTGATCTTCCTGCCTCAGCCTCCCAAGTACGTAGGACTGTAGGCCTGCACCACCATGCCCTGCTAATTTTGAATTTTTTTGTGGAGACGGGTTTAGAAATGATGCCCAGGCTGAAACTCATTAAGTATGCACGTTGAGAAAGTTGTTGTATATGCATGTTGAGAAAGTTGTTGTAAAAATGTTGTTGTTTTGTTTAAATCAGTCTTTTCTCTTTGACAGTGTTTTAAATTGGGTAATGCTGCTCTTGGTTTGAACAAATCTGTCAAACTTGTCAGATGTGTCTTTTCTTTCTGGCCAGGCTGTTGACTGATTTCTTCTTGTCACCCAGAGAAGAGCACCATGTTGGCAGAATACTCCCCACCTCTGCCAGTGACCTGGTCTCTTGCCTTGGACAGATCATTTCTTCCCTGGCAGATGAGGTTTTTGGCATTAGTTGCCAGCTCACATTAAGTCCCCTCATAAAAACCCCACCTCTTGGGTGAGTGGCAGCCTCCAATAAGGCCTTTAGTGGGCAGGGCCTCAGGCTCAAGCTTTCTCTCCTGCGGCCCACAGCTCAGATGAAGTGATTCTGAAGCCCACTGGAAATCAACTGACCGTGGAATTCCTGGAAGAAAATAGCTTCAGTGTGCCCATCCTGGTCCTGAAGAAGGATGGGTTGGGCATGACGCTGCCCTCGCCATCATTCACTGTGAGGGATGTTGAACACTATGTTGGTAAGACACTACAGACCCTTTTAACTGTAACATTGTTCATTCCTGTCAAGATCTGTGTCCCTTCCCCTCCAATCTGTTTTTGCATTTCCTCTGTAACCATCTTGGGAATCTCAGGTGAAATGCCTTGTCCAAAGTCATTCTTTGGCAGAGATAGAGTCAAAATCCTAGTCTCCTCTTTGTTCTCCTTTCATGCATTCACTCATTCGTTTATCAGAGACAGGGTCTCGCCCTGTTGCCCAGGCTGGAGTACAGTGGCGCAATTAACTCACTGCAGCCTCCACCTCCTCCTGGGCTCCAGGGATCCTCAAACCTCAACCTCCTGAGTAGCTGAGACTACAGGGATGCACCACCATGCCTAGCTAGTTTTGTTTATTTTTTGTAGAGATGATGTCACACTATGTTGCCCAGGCTGATCTCCAACTACTGGGCTCAAGCGATCTTTCTGCCTCGGCCTCCCAACTGGGATTACAGGCGTGAGCCACCACGCCCAGCCCCTTCTCCTTTTAATAGTCCATAAAACCCCAGGTTGAGCTCCGTTTTTTACCTGGGAAGTTCTAGGGATCATTGTCTGTCTTCTGTTGAAATGAGAAAGCTTTTGACTGTTGTTCTCACATGCCACTTGTTGTCTGGGCATGAGTTTCTGGGGAGAGGAAGAGAAGAAATGGAGAAGCAAGGCCCAGGCAGATGGACTACTATGTGTGAGGCTGTGTGTCTGGTAGTTCCATTGCCCTAGCAGGGCACATAGATCTAAGGAAAGTGCGATGGGTTCCTTCCCCTGCCCCCCAAACAAACACACACATATATGTACAGTGTCAGTGGAGAGAAGCTTTGAGTGTAAGGCCATTCTAGGGACTGATGAGGGGACAAGAGAGTCTTCCACAGTCCCTGAGACTACTTGGTGCAGAACCTATCTCTTTACTCCAGGTTCTGACAAAGAGATTGATGTGATTGATGTGACCCGCCAGGCTGACTGCAAGATGAAGCTTGGTGATTTTGTGAAATACTATTACAGCGGGAAGAGGGAGAAAGTCCTCAATGTCATTAGTTTGGAATTCTCTGATACCAGGTAAGAGGTGCAGGAATAACAAAAAAACCTGACAAAGTGCCTGAAACTTGTGTGATATATCTAGTGTATATTCGTGTTTCTCTCTCTTTTTTTTTTTTTTTGAGACAGAGTCTTGCTCTGTCGCCCAGGCTGGAGTACAGTGGCACGATCTTGGCTCACTGCAACCTCCGCCTCTTGGGTTCAAGCAATTCTCCTGCCTCAGCCTCCTGAGTAGCTAGGATTACAGGCGCCCGCCACCATGCCTGGCTAATTTTTGTATGTTTAGTAGAGATGGGGTTTCACCATGTTGGCCAGGCTGGTCTCGAACTCCCTACCTCAGGTGATCTGCCCGCCTTGGCCTCCCAAAGTACTAGGATTACAGGCATGAGCCACCGCACCTTGCCTCGTGTTCCTTTCTCTTCTTCCTGGTGGTTTCTTCCTTTGGGATGGCGAGCTGGGTTATATTTTCTAGGGTAGCTGCTCACGTTGTAACAGTTGAGTCATATTTCTCCTCCACAGTTTCTAGCATTGGATAGATTACATAGTAGCTATTTTAATTAATTTTTGTCTCCTTTTTCAAGACCTTAGGACACCCTTCTTTGACCTTTTCCTCCTATATACAACAGTGCCACAGTCACTGTGTAACTGGTGGGATAGGTCCTCAGTTCCTGGAAATAGATTTACTAAAATTACCCCCATGTAGGTTTCTTACATTTAAAAAGAAAAAGAGAAACCTATTTACCTTTAAATGATTCTATCTGGACTCACACACACAGTAGATACGTATATAGTCTTCTCTTTGGGTCAGAAATGTGGGAAATACCAAGAAATCATAATGTATCTTTTTGCCCTTAGGAAACTTACTGTCTGATTATTTACATTTTTAACTTTTAATTTGTAGATTGATAGGAAGTTGCAAAAAAGTGTACAGGGAGGTCCTGTGTACTCTTTAGCCACTTTCCCTCAATGGTAACGTATTATGTAATTACGGTACAATATTAAGACCCTTGCTGTTGTGTTTTTTTTTTTTTTTTTTTTTTGAGACGGAGTTTCGCTCTGTCACCCAGGCTGGAGTGCAGTGGCATGATCTCGGCTCACTGCAAGCTCCGCCTCCCTGGTTCACGCCATTCTCCTGCCTCAGCCTCCCGAGTAGCTGGGACCACAGGCACCTGCGACCACACCCGGCTAATTTTTTATGTTTTTAGTAGAGACGGGGTTTCACTGTGTTAGCCAGGATGGTCTCGATCTCCTGACCTCGTGATCCACCCACCTCGGCCTCCCAAAGCGCTGGGATTACAGGTGTGAGCCACCGCGCCCGGCGCTGTTGTTTTTAAGATGCAAGGTTAAACAACCTGAGAGTGTTTAAAAACTGTATTTGTTTGTTTATACTTCACTTCATCCTGAAAGACTATTCAAGGTAGCTTACAGAGATGTGGAGAAGCCAAAAAAAAAAGAGAGAAAACTAGAACAAAAGTGAAATAAGATTGGGAAATAGAATGCATGTGGTGGGTGCTCAGCACATTTCCCGGTTGGTGGAAATGGACTATAGAGTTTTCAGTGAATTTCCTGAAGGTCAGAACAAAGAGAGGAGTGCAGTATTGTAAGATTTGTGGCTTTACGTAGGATAAAAGCAACAGATGTTTCAGAGAAACATTTCTTTACCTGGAACTGAGCCCTGTGAGGTTGCTCTAGTGGTTTCTCATAAAGAAGACACTATGAGATGGGGATAGTGCAATAACTTCTATAATCCACATGCCAAGTGAGTAGTCTGGAGTGGGGCTGGGGAGTATGAGCATTTAGTGGAGGAAATGAACACCTTTGACTGGAGAAGCCTGTGGAGCTTGGACTTGGGACTTCTGGAGATGAGTAGAATGAGGATACTGACCAGACTTACAGAACAGAAATAAGTGTCCTATGTGCCTTTGGGGATTCTGTGGAGGGAACTTGTTCTCTGACTTATCTGACCCTCACTGAACTGTGGGGTATTTTATTCAGGCCTCAATCTTCTCTTCCTAATCAGCTGACATCTGCTCTCCACCCCTTCCTTGGTAGACTTTCTAACCTTGTGGAGACACCGAAGATTGTTCGAAAGCTGTCATGGGTCGAAAACTTGTGGCCAGAGGAATGTGTCTTTGAGAGACCCAATGTACAGAAGTACTGCCTCATGAGTGTGCGAGATAGCTATACAGACTTTCACATTGACTTTGGTGGCACCTCTGTCTGGTACCATGTACTCAAGGTAGGAATGCGCATGGCTTCTGGAGGCAGCCAGGCCTTGGGCCTCCCTGTACGTGTCACATGGCAGCACAGAAACATTTTGAATCAGTTTGATTTACATTTTGAATAAAAAAAATTTGATTTGGCCGGGCGCGGTGGCTCACGCCTGTAATCCCAGCACTTTGGGAGGCCGAGGCGGGCGGATCACGAGGTCAGGAGATTGAGACCATCCTGGCTAACACGGTGAAACCCCATCTCTACTAAAAATAAAAAAAATTAGCCGGGCTTGGTGGCAGGCGCCTGTAGTCCCAGCTACTTGGGAGGCTGAGGCAGGAGAATGGCATGAACCTGGGAGGTGGAGCTTTCAGTGAGCCGAGATTGTGCCACTGCACTCCAGCCTGGGCGACAGAACGAGATTCCATCTTAAAAAAAAAAATTGATTCAAAAATGTTTGACGAATCAAACGTTTTTGAATAATAGCAGATGCCTGAGGTTTTCCTGGTTGTTACCTTCTTTTTTGTTGTTGTTGAGGCAGAGTAAAAACAAAGATTTTATTTATTTATTTGAGATGGAGTTTTGCTCTGTCACCTAAGATGACAGTTGCCAGTGCTGGACTGCAGTGGCGTGATCTCAGCTCACTGCAACCTCTGCCTCCCGGGTTCAGGCGATTCTTCTGCCTCAGCCTCCCAAGTAGCTAGGATTATAAGCGCCCACCACCACGCCTAGCTAATTTTTGTATTTTTAGTAGAGACGGGGTTTCACCATGTTGGCCAGGCTGGTCTCGAACGCCTGACCTGAAGTGATCTGCTTGCCTCCACCTCCCAAAGTGTTGGGATTACAGTCGTGAGCCACTGCACCCAGCCGTTCTTACCTTCTTAATTGAACCAGTTTATACTCATATCAGCATGTATGGAAATGTCCACATTTACTTTGGAAATTCCTGGTAACATGAGAAACTTCCCTTTCTCCAACATTATTGAGGTATAATTTATATACTATAAAATTCATCCATTTTAATTGTACAATTTGATGAATTTTGTCAGTTGTATATAGTCATTTAACTGCCACCACAGTCAAGATAAAACCTGTATGAGAAGTCTTTTTAAAGTCAGGATTTCCATAGTTTCATTTTTAGTAATTGTTACAATTTTGTAATTAGTGTATTGTCAGTGACTATGAAGGATTTTTGAGGTCTGGAAAACAAATTTCTTAAATGATTTTGGTTTTCACCATTGTTCAGATTATTTAGTTTTCTTTTTTATTATTATTATTTTTTTCTTAGAAACAGAATCTGTCTCTGTCACCCAAGCTGGAGTGTGGTGGTGCAGTCATAACTCACTGCAGCCTCTCACTCCTGGGCTCAAGGGATCCTCCCACCTCAGCCTCCTGAGTAGCTGGGACTATAGGTGCATGCCATCACTCCCAGCTAATTTTTTTTACCTTTTTTTTTTTTTTTTTTGAGACAGTCTCTCACTTTGTCACCCAGGCTGGAGTGCAGTGGCATGATCATGGCTCACTGCAGCCTCGACCTGCTGTGCTTAAGCTGTCCTCCCACTTCAGCCTCCCAAGTAGCTGGGACTACAGGTGTGCACCACCACTTCTGGCTAATTAAAAAAAATTATTTTTGTAGAGACTAGCTCTCACTATGTTGCCCAGGCTGGTCTCAAACTCCTGAGCTCCAGCAGTCTTCCCACCTTGGCCCTCAAAGTGCTAGGATTACAGACGTGAGCCACTGTGTCCAGACAATTTTTTTACTTTATTTTTTGTAGAGACAGAGTCCCACTGTGTTGCCCAGGCTGGACTCGAACTCCTGGGTTCAAGTGATCTTCCTGCCTCAACCTCCCAAAGTGCTGAGATTTCAGGCTTGAGCCAACATGCCTGGCCTAGTTTTCTTATCAGAAAAGTCAAAGGAAAGAATGGAAAACTTGGATTGTGGCTCTTGTCCAAGTGATCACAAGTCCTTACCTAGTTGTTTCCATTGGTTTATCATTTAGGAAGTAGAATGTGTAAATGAAAGTGCTATTATGCAAATGTTAGGTTTAACTCTTTTATTTTAAAATAATTTCATTTTATAGAAAAGTTAAAAAATAATGGGAAGAATGTCTGTCTGCCCTTCCCTGAGATTCCTCAAATGTTACCATTTTATTATATTCTCTCTCTAAAGCAAACACAATAAAATGGTTATATATATATTTTTTTCCTGAGACATTTGTGCGTAAAGACATAATATTTCTTTATATCTTAATAATTCAGTTGTAGTTCTTAACTACAAGTTTGTCTTAAAACTTTGTCTTAAAAACAAAGACAAAGTCTTAAATAATTTGTATAGTTATCAAAATCAGGAAGTTAACATTGATATACTAGTACCTAATCTACAGACCTGATTCAAAATTCTCCGGTTGTACACCTGATATTTCTAGTGTTACTTTTCTACATTGAAATTTATTATCATGAAATACTGGTTAAACCAATCATGCTGTGAGAATATATTTGTGCTACTGGGTTTTTGTTTCTTTCTTTTTTTTTTTTTTTTTTTGCCAAATTATCTTTCTGGTGTTTATCCAGGCAAAACACAATTAGGAAATAAATGTTCTTCCAAAAGATAATCACATAACATATAATCTTCCAGAAGTCCTTGGGCGATTACTGAACTTTTAAACTTTTATTAGCTTTGATTGCAGGTGTGGGAAGGAACACTCTGTAAATGGCATTTGAAGGCAAATTCAATTTTCTTCTCATCAGTAATGTGGCCTTAAATTCTCCTAAGGCTACTAGTATTGATCTACTCATCTGTAGAGGCCATTCTTTATTTGGCATTGTGTCTAAAATAGGAACACTTGGTGTACATATGTCTTAACTTGAACAATTTTGTTTGAAATGCCCTTTCCAATTTGTTTTTGTCAAGTTTATAGAAACTTAAAAGTACAAAAAGCAAAGTGACCTTTTGAAGTTTTCCAAATCCACAAAGAAATGATAATTGGATGGGTTTGGGCAAGAACTCTGGCATATTGCCATCGTTTTGGAGCATGGGAGAAATACCCCTTTGGAGTACCCGTTAAGGACTTTTCTGGAAACCCTTGGTATTTTTGTCACTTCAACCTCTTTTTGTTTCAGGGTGAAAAGATCTTCTACCTGATCCGCCCAACAAATGCCAATCTGACTCTCTTTGAGTGCTGGAGCAGTTCCTCTAATCAGAATGAGATGTTCTTTGGGGACCAGGTGGACAAGTGCTACAAGTGTTCCGTGAAGCAAGGACAGACACTTTTCATTCCCACAGGTCTTCCCTTGGGTGCTTCTGGGAGGGTTTGGGGAGGGTGGAAAGAAGAAGGGAGCTTTTGGCCCCACAGCATATTAATCTGATTACGTGGGATGTCTTTCTCATATCAGCGAAAGGCGCAGAACTGGGCTTCAAGAAATTTCATGTGGTAGTCAGTGGGCAGCATGGTCACCTGGGGAGGCTGAAAGTGGGGAATGTCCAGGAGGAGGCTGATGGACTTCTTTGTCCTGGGTTGATGTCATCTGGGTGAACAGAGAACATGACTCTAAGCCCCGTAACTCTAGGGATAGTGCCTGGGAGGCTGGCATTCTAGGCTCTAAGTCAGAATGACCTGTGGTGGGGATAGTGCTTTTTTTCCCTAAACAGTTTGTACCTGGGCTTCACTCTTAGAATTATGAATTCTTAGGTCTTGGGTGGGATCTGAGTATATTTATTGTGAAAAAATCCCCCAGTTGTCTCAATTTGGGGAGAGTTGACATCTTTACTTGATTAGGTCTTATATGAATACAGGGTATCTCTCCATTTATTTAGATTTTCTTTGATTTCTTTAATCAGAATTAGTGTTAAATTTTCTTAAAATGTATAGTAGAATTCTCTAGTGCAATCACATATGCCTGGAGATTTGTTTTCTTGGGAAGTTTTAAATTAACATTCAATTTAAAAAATCTTTAAGGTTATTCAGATTTTCTATTTCATATTAAATAAGTTGCGATCATCTGCTCTTCAAGGAATTGGTCTATTTAATCTAAATTGTCAAATATATGTGTGGAGTTGTTCATAGTGTTTTCTTTTTTTTGAGATGGAGTTTCACTCTTGTCACCCAGGCTGGAGTGCAGTGATGCGATCTCGTCTCACTGTGACCACTGCCTGCATCCCAGGCTCAAGAGATTCTCTTGCCTCAGCCTCCTGGGTAGCTGGGATTACAGGCTTGCACTACCACGCCCGGCTAATTTTTGTATTTTTAGTAGAGATGGGGTTTTACCATGTTGGCCATGGCTGGTCTCGAACTTCTGACCTTGACCTCAGGTGATCCACCCGCCTCAGTCTCCCAAAGCGCTGGGATTATAGGCGTGAGCCACCGCACCCAGCCATAGTATTTTCTTATTACCCTTTTGATGTCTTCCAAGTCTCTAGTGGTATTCTTTGTATCATTCCTGACGTTAGTTATTTGTGCTTTCTCTTTTGTTTGTGTCAATTTTCTATAGGTTGGTCAATTTTATTGATCTTTCCAAAGAGCCACTTTTTTTTTTTTTTTTTTTTTTTTTTTTTTTTTTTTTCTGAGACAGAGTCTCACTCTGTCACCCAGGCTGGAGTGTAGTGGTGCGATCCCGGCTCACTGCAACCTCCGCCTCCCAGGTTCAGGTGATTCTCTTGCCTCAGCCTCCTGAGTAGCTGGGATTACAGGTGCCTGCTGCCACGCCTGGCTAATTTTTGTATTTTTGGTAGAGTTGGGGTTTCACCGTGTTGGCCAGGATGGTCTTGATCTCCTGACCTCATGATCTGCCTGCCTTGGCCTCCCAAAGTGCTGGGATTACAGGGGTGAGCCACCGCACCCGGCCCACTTTTGGTTTTATTGATTTTTCTCTGTTGTCTTTTTGTTTTCAGTTGTGTTGATTTCTGCTTTTATCTTTATTTTTCCTTCCCTCTGCTTGCTTTGGGTTTATTTTGTTCTTTTTCTAGTCTTGAGATGAGAGCTTAGTTTATTGATTTCAGGCTTTCCCTAAATTTCCCTCTCAGCATTGATTTAGGTGTGTCACACAAATATTGACATGTTGTATTTTCATTAAGTTAAATGAGGTTTTGAAAAATTGAGATACATCTTAAATATTGTAAAATTTACCATTTTAAAGGGTACAATTCAGTTCTTTGTATATTTACAAGGTTGTGCAACATCACTGCTATTTAATACCAGAGAATGTTCATTATGTTATTTATCTCCTTTTTGAGATGGAGTCTCACTCTGTTACCCAGGCTGGAGTGCAGTGGCACAATCTCGGCTTACTGCAACTTCCGCCTCCCGGGTTCAAGTGATTCTCCTGCCTCAGCCTCCCGAGTAGCTGGGACTACAGGCTTGTGCTACCACACCCGGCTAATTTTTGTGTTTTTAATAGAGATGGGGTTTCACCCATGTTGGCCAAGCTGGTCTTGAACTCCTGACCTCAGGTGATCCACCCGTCTCAGCCTCCCAAAGTGCTGGGATTACAGGCGTGAGCCACTGTGCCCGGCCCGAATGTTCATTGTTTTTTAAAAAAACCCTATACTCATTAGCAGTCACTCTTTATTCATTTGTCTGCCAGCCCTTGACAACCCCTTTTTCACTTCATTTGTGTATGGATTTGCCCTTCTGAATATTTCATATAGATGGAATGTTGTAATATGTTGTCTTTTGTGTCTAGCTTCTTTCACTTGTAATGTTTTCAAGAATCATCCATGTTACAGCATTTATCAGTATGTCCAGGCTGGAGTGCAGTGGCGCGATCTTGGCTCACTGCAACCTCTACCTCCCAAGCTGAAGCGATTCTCCTGCCTCAGCCTCCTGAATAGCTGGGATTACAGGCACCTGCCACCACTGGCCTGGGTAATTTTTGTATTTTTAGTAGAGATGGGGTTTCACCATATTGGCCAGGCTGGTCTCGAACTCCCAACCTCAGGTGATCCACCCACCTAGGCCTCCCAGAGTGCTGGGATTACAGGCGTGAGCTACTCCTGCTCCCTGGCGAGTGCATCTTTTTTTTTTTTTTTTTTTTTTTGACGGAGTATTGCTCTGTTGCCAGGCTGGAGTGCAGTGGTGCAGTGGCGCGATCTCCACTCACTGCAACCTCCGCCTCCCAGGTTCAAGCGATTCTCTGGCCTCAGCCTCCCGCATAGCCGGGACTACAGGCATGCGCCACCATGCCCAGCTAATTTTTGTGTTTTTAGTAGAGACGGGGTTTTACCATGTTGGCCAGGATGGTCTCAATCTGTTGACCACGTGATCTGTCTGCCTCAGCCTCCCAAAGTGCTGGGATTACAGGTGTGAGCCACTGCGCCGACCACTTCGTTCTTTTTAACAGCTGAATAATATTCTGTGGTGTGGATATGCCACATTTTGTTTATCCATTAGTCAGTTGATAGACATTTGAGTTGTTTGCACTTTTTGGCTGTTATGAATAGTGTTGCTATGAACATTCGTGTACGAGTTATTGTGTGAACGTAAGTTTTCATTTCTCTTGGGTATATATCTAGGAGGGGAATTGCTGAGTCATATGTAACTCTGTGTTTAACTTTTTGAGGAACTGACAAACTGTTTTCAAAGCAGCTACATGTACCATTTTATATTCTCAACAGTAATGTATGAGAATTTCAGTGTCTTCACATCTTCCCCCAATGCTTATTGCTGTCTCTTTATGATTATAGCCATCCTAATGGGCGTAAAGTGGTATCTCATTGAGGTTTTGATTTCTGTTTTCTGGATGACCTTTGATGTTTAACATCTTTCCAAATGTTCATTGGACACTTGTATAGTTTTTTTTGGAGAAATATCTATTTAAATCTTTTGCCCATTCTTTAATTAGATTGTCTCTTCATTGTTGAGTTACAAGAATTTATATACTTTGGATACTAGACTTTTACCAGATATGTGATTTGCAAATATTTTCTCTCATTCTTGGGGTTGTCTTGTCACTTTTTTGATAGTGTCCTATGAAGGACAAAAGTTACAAATTTTGATGCCCAATTTATCTATTTTTTTTTCTTTATTTGCTTATGCTTTTGGTGTCTAAGAGGCTTGCTTAATTCAAGGTCATGAAGATTTATGCCTATGTTTTCTTCTAAGCATTTTATAGTTTTAGTTCTTACATTTAGATCTTTCATCCATTTTGATTTATATTGATTTTGTGTATGGTATGAGGTAAGGGTCCAATTTCTTTCTTTTGTATGTAGTTCTAGTTGTCCCAGAACCTTTTGAAAAGACTGTTCTTTCCCCATTGAATTGTCTTGACACCTGTGTCAAAAATCTGTTGACCAAAGATAAGGGTTTATTTCTGGACCTTGAATTCTATTCTGTTGATCCTTCTAACAGTGTCACACCATCTCAATTATTGTACATTTGTAGTAAGTTTTGAAATTGGGAAGTGCCAGTGCTCCAACTTTTTCTTTTTCAGGATTATTTGGCCCCTTGAATTTTTTTTTTTTTTTTTTTTTGAGATGAAGTTTTGTTCTTGTTGCTGAGGCTGGAGTGCAATGGTTGCGGTCTCAGCTCACTGCAACCTCAGCCTCCTGGGTTCAAGCGATTCTCCTGCCTTAGCCTCCCGAGTAGCTGGGATTACAGGCACCCGTCACCATGCCCGGCTAATTTTTTCGTATTTGCAGTAGAGACGGGGTTTCACCATGTTGGCTCAGCTGGTCTCGAACTCTAGACCTCAGGTGATCCACCTGCCTTGGCCTCCCAAAGTGCTGGGATTACAGGCGTCAGCCACAGGGCCCAGCCGGTCCCCTGAATTTTCATAAGAATTTTTTGGTTCAGCTTTCATATAGGTTTTCTAGTTATTTTGTAGTGTTTGCTCTAATTATTACTTTATACATACATAGCATATCACAGTCTACTAGTATTTACATATTACCTGTTTGAGGGAAGGGTTGAAACCATACCTCTTTTTTTTGAGACAGAATCTCATTCTGTCACCCAGCCTGGAATGCAGTGGTAAGATGACAGCTCACCACAGCCTTGACCTCCCAGGCTCAAGCAATCCTCCCACCTCAGCCTCCCAAGTAGCTGGGACCACAGATGTACACTACCACGTCTGGCTGATTTTTTTAGTTTTAGTGGAGATGGGGTTTTGCCATGTTGCCCAGGCTGGTCTTGAACTCCTGAGCTCAAGTGATCCACCCACCTCGGCTTCCTAAAGTGCTGGGATTATAGGCGTGAGTCACCGCACCGGGCCCAAAACCTTACCTCTTTTTACATCCCTTTATCCTTCGCATTTTTCTACAATTAGTCATGTTTTACATTTTTCCATGTATTTGTCTTAAATATTTCTCTTCATACATTGATTATGAGATTGACGTGCTACCCACTACACCAAGAGGGCTACTATCCTCTGCGTATGTTGAGAACTGTATCACAAAGTTTTATAATTTTTGCTTTCCCTATGAAACATAATTTAGAAAACTCAAGAGAAGGAAATTCTATGGTATTCACCCATGTTTTTACTCATCTGTTTATTCTGTTTTCCTTTCTGGTCTTTAGAGTTTCAGGGTAGGTCTACTGTCGACAAGTTCTTAGTTTTTTTCCATCAGTAAATGTCTTGATTTTTTTTTTCTTTCATTCCTGAAGGATATTTTTCTGGATATAGAACTCTGGGTTAATAGTTCTTTTCTTTCAACACCTAAAGAATGTTTTGCTGTTTCGTTCTGGCCTCTGTGGTTTCTGATGAGATTTTGGCTATCATCTGAATTGTTTTTCCCCTATAGATAATGTATCATTTCTTGATGCTTTCATTCTTTTTTTTTTTTTTTTTTAAGTTTTCTGCAGTTTGGCCATGCTGTGTTTTTTTTGGTGTGGATTTCTTTGGGTTTATAATGCTGAATGTGTTCACTGAGCTTCTTGAATGTGTAGGTTTATGTCTTTTGCTGTATATGTGAAATTTTTAGCCATTATTTCTTTTCCTTTTTTTTTCTTTTCTTTCTTTCTTTCTTTTTTTTTTTTGAGAGGGAGTGTCACTCTGTTGCTCAGGCTGGAGTGTAGTGGAGCGATCTCGGCTCACTGCAGTGTCCGCCTCCCGAGCAGCTGGGATTACAGGCATGTGCCACCATGCCCTGCTAATTTTTGTATTTTTAGTACAGACAGGGTTTCACCATATTGGCCATGCTGGTCTTGAACTCCTGACCTCAGGTGATCTGCCTGCCTTGGCCTCCCAAAGTGCTGGGATTACAGGCATGAGCCACCGCGCCAGGCTGCCATTATTTCTTGAAATACTTTTTTAGACTCATGCTCTAACTTCTGCTGGATCTCTGATTACATGAATGTTTTGTATCTTGTCTTAGTCCCGCAAGTCCTTGAGTTTATTTTTCTGTGTCTTTTTTCTCTTTGTTCAAGTTCAGATTGGGTAATTTCGGTTTCTCTGTCTTTGCATTTTCTGTTTCTTTCTTCTGTTGTCTCCATTCTTCTGTTGAGTTTGTCAATTGCATTAATTTTAGATACAGTATTTTTTTTTTTTTGACACAGAGTTTCTCTCTAGCACCCAGGCTGGAGTGCAGTGGCGTGATCTCAACTCACTGCAACCTCTGCCTCCTGGGTTCCAGTGATTCTCCTGCCTCAGCCTCCCAAGTAGATTACAGGCACGCACCACCATGCCCGGCTAATTTTTATATTTTTAGTAGAGACAGGGTTTCACCATGCTGATCAGGCTGGTCTGAAGCTCCTGACCTCGTGATATACCCACCTCGGCCTCCCAAAGTGCTGGGATTACAGGCGTGAGCCACCACAGCTGGCCCAGATACAGTACTTTTCATTTCTAAAATTTTCTTTTGTTTCTTGTGTATTTCTTTGCTGAGAATTTCTATTTCCTATTTTTGTGTCAAGCATGTTTGGAATTGCTCACTAAGGTATTCTTATGATGATTTCTTATGATGATTTCTTTCAAATTCTTGTTACATAATTCTATATTTGTCTAACCATATATTGTCTTATATATATTGGATTGTCTATTGTTTTACAAGTCTGTTTTTCTCTTCAATTATCAATATTATTGATACGATTTCATTGGTTTTTTAGAATGTTTAATACATGGTGAGGCAGGTCATTCACTCCCACCCAACTCCCACCCCCATCTGCTTTTCTCTTTTATAGTTTTCTGTTCCCAGGCATTTATTCATCCATCTTTGAATCCTTTGCCTGGTCTAGTCCATAATGACTTTTCTATACTGGGCATTTAGTAACTGATGGATTGAATTTGCCCATTAGCGGTTTGAGTTAATTAATTGACATCTTGGTAGAAATGCCCACACACCGGGTGCAATCTACTTAGGGCCACAAGCATTGAGTGTCTACTGTGTGCCCTGGTATTGGGCTAAGTGCTAAGGACAAAAGATTGATAGGCTGTTTCAGTATAATATTCTACTAGCCACAATAGCACCAATAGGGGTATTCACCACTAGTTTTGGAAGCACAGAGAAGAGTGCTTAGTCTAGCCATAGGTTTGTGAAAGTCTTAGGAGAGCAACACTAGAAGGGTGAGTAGGGATTAACTATGAAAAGAAAGACAGGAATGGCATTTCAGACATAGGGAAAGGTGGAAGAAAACCAAAACTGTGTGAAGCAGCTTATGGATACTAGAGCTTAAAGAGCAAGGGCTGGGGTGGATGAAAGTGAAAAGGTAGGCCGACTGAACTTACCACAGAGGCGATTGAGGGCCATTGAAGGTTTATTTAGTTTCTAATGAAATATTTCAGATGTACCAAAAGATATAAAGAACAATATAGGCCGGGTGCAGTGGCTCATGCCTGTCGCTGAGGCTGGAGTGCAATGGTGCGATCTCGGCTCACTGCAACCTCTGCCTCCCGGGTTCAAGTGATTCTCCTGCCTCAGCCTCCCGAGTAGCTGGGATTACAGGTGCCTGCCACCATGCCCAGCTAGTTTTTGTATTTTTAGTAGAGACGGGGTTTCGCCATGTTGGTCAGGCTGGTCTCAAACTCCTGACCTCAGGTGACCCACCCGCCTCGGCCTCCCAAAATGCTGGGATTACAGGCATGAGCCACTGTGCCTGACCCTAATTTATATTTTAGATATATCGCTTAGGAATGGATGTGAAGGATAGATTTGAGATTATTGTAGAGCAGTGGTTTGCAAACAGTCGGTATTCCTTTATACTCTTAAAAACTATTAAGGACCCAGAAGAGCTTTTTATTATGTGGTTTATATTTATCAATTTTTACCATATAAATTAAAATAGAAAATTTAAAAGTACTTGTTAACTTATTAAAAAATAATTATAAGCCCATTACATGTTAGCATAAATAAAATTTTTTTTATGAAAACTGTTTTCAAAAATGTTTAGTGGGAAGAATGACATTGTTTTACATCTTTGCAAATCTCTATAATATCTAGGTTAATCAAAAATTGTTAGAACCCCAGATCTGCTTTTGCTTTCATTCTGTTGGATGTCACATCATGTACTTCCTGGAAAACTCCACTGTATACCCATGAGAATAAGGGTGAAAAAGGCAAAGAACATCATAATATTCTCATGAATATAGTTCTGAGTGGCATCTCAGCTTCTCTCAAAGAGTCTCAGGGAGCCTAAGGATTCCTTGGACCACACCTTGAGAACATCTGGTGTTGGGAAGCCAGTTTGGAGGCTAACTGCTCTTAAGGAGTTGGGTTTGAGATGAGTAGGTAGTGGAGATAATCAGAGGAAGAAAGGCCCTCTTCCAGCTTTGATTTTGCCTTGTTACACTGCAGGGTGGATCCATGCTGTGCTGACGCCTGTGGACTGCCTTGCCTTTGGAGGGAACTTCTTACACAGCCTTAACATCGAGATGCAGCTCAAGTGAGTACTGAAACTGTGGTGATTCTATGTTGGCCATTCCTGTCTGCTAGAGTGAGGAGTATAATGTAGAAGGAGGGGACATGGCCAGAAAGGAATGGTTCCTCGTTCCTGATCATGTTCAGCTGAAGATTAACACCTTTTCTGCACTTAGTAGTTATTTGACTTTGGGCAAGTTATATAACCTTTGAACCCAAGTTTCCTAATGTGTAAAGTCAGATCTTGCAGAGTCATTTTGAGGATTAGAGATACAAAGCATCCAGAACAAAACCTGATTCATAGTAGGTGCTCAGTAAATGAATCCTTGTTTTTGTTGTTGGTGTTTCCTCCTTCTAGAGCCTATGAGATTGAGAAGCGGCTGAGCACAGCAGACCTCTTCAGATTCCCCAACTTTGAGACCATCTGTTGGTATGTGGGAAAGCACATCCTGGACATCTTTCGCGGTATGGAGCCCTTTGCCAACTGTCCTTTTTGCCCCTCTCCCCTGAGTGAATGAGTATGTGTGTATGTGTAAGTAACGCAGTCAAGACATGATACTATTTCATTACCAGAAAGATCTCAGTATATAAATTAAAATCATGTTGTGTACCGTAAATATGTTCAATTTTTAAAAAGTGATAATTAGTGCTTTAAAAAAAATCTCCCTAGTGCTACCCGCCCAGCCCCGAGCCCCTTCTTTTTTGAGATAGGATTTCACTCAGTCACCCAGGCTGGAGTGCAGTGGTGTGATCATGGCTCACTGCAGCTTCAAACTCCTGGGCTCAGGCAATCCTCCTGCCTCAGTTTGCCGAGTAGCTAAGACTACAGGCATGGGCCCCCACACCTGGATAATTTTGTAAATTTTTTGTATGAACAGGGTCTTGTTATGTTGACCAGATTGGTCTCAAACTCCTGGCCTCGAGTGATTCTCCCACCTCAGACTCCTTTTGCTGGGGTTACAGGCATGAGCCACAGTACCCAGCAATGCTACCCCTTTATAGTCCCTTTATAGTTTCACCCACTCTCCTCCCTTGTACCATCCGTAACTTCTGGAAACCACTAATCTGTTTTCCATTTCTATAATTTTGTCATTTCTTTTTTCTTTTTTTCCGAGACACAGTCTCACTCTTGTCACCCAGGCTGGAGTGCAGTGGCGTGATCTTGGCTCACTGCAACCTCCATCTCCTGGGTTCAAGCTTTGCCTACCTCAGCCTTCTGAGTAGCTGGGATTACAGACACCCGCCACCACACTCGGCTAGTTTTTATACTTTTTTTTTTTCTTTTTCTTTTTTTTGAGATGGAGTCTCGCTCTGTCACCAGGCTGGAGTGCAGTGGTGCAGTCTCTGCTCACTGCAAACTCTGCCTCCTGGGTTCAAGTGATTCTTCTGCCTCAGCCTCCAGAGTAGCTGGGACTATAGGCACGCGCCACTGTGCCCAGCTAATTTTTGTATTTTTAGTAGAGACGGGGTTTCACCATGTTGGCCAGGATGGTCTCAATCTCTTGACCTCGTGATCCGCCCGCCTCAGTCTCCCAATGTGCTGGGATTACAGGCGTGAGCCACCACGCCTGGCCAAATTTGTCATTTCAAAAATATTGTATAAATGGAATCATTATAGTACGTGACCTTCTTAGATTCACTTTTTTACTCAGCATAATACATGGCAAGGCATGGATTTTAACCTTTTTGTTTAGCAAGTGTGACTGAAAATATTGGATCACAGTGAAATGATCTCTATTTCCTGCTGGTTAAGATAAAAAGTTCAATTTGGATAGTCTGAGAGTTTCCTGGATCTGCTTCCCCTGGGGATAAGGCCCAGTCCTGACCGTCCTGGCATCATTGTTTTGGTTCCTGGGCGTTAGCCCAGTTGGAAGCCACTTTACTTACTGGGTTTCCTCTTTCCTTGTCTGATCCAGAATAGAATGGGTCCCTTACTTAGGCCTGAGATTCTTCAAGTTGACTTGGCCAGGAGAAATCAGTATTGATGAGTTATAAAGAATCTCAGGGGCCATGAGTACAGCCTCGTAGCCAATACCTCAAGCTCTTATTCTGCCACCTAGACTGTCACTTAAGTGTTCAATCAGATGCTGGATGACTAACTGCTCATTACTTATTCTAAACAGCTTGGTTCAGTAGAAAATTATTTATAGAGCCTAAATCTGGCTGTTTGTAGTAGCCTCCTGACATAAGGCAGAACACAGCTAATCCATCTTCTACATTAATGGCCCTTAAAGTCTGTGTAGGTAGAGCTCATAGTCCTCCTGAGTGTTCTCATTTTGAAACCCAGGAGGCACAGTAATGTCATGGAAGGGGCCCAAGCCTCAGATTCAAATACACATGGTTTTAGTCATGGCTCTAGCACTTGCTAGGTGTGTGCCCTGGGTCTTGACTTTGCCTCTCTGAACCTCAATTTTCTGGGCTGTATAATGAAGATAATACCTTGCTTACAGGATAGGTATAAGTGTTAAATGAGATAATAGATATCACATTCCTAGCACTTAGTAGGTACTCAGTGAATGAACACTATCAGAAGAACTGAGATCTGCAGTTGTGCTCAGAACCTTGAGCATTTTCTCTGGTTGTCTTAACAAAAGTCCCAAGTCCTTCACTTTCCTGCATGGCTTTGTTGACACTCTGCTTTCCTCTTTCCTCCTTTAGGTTTGCGAGAGAACAGGAGACACCCTGCCTCCTACCTGGTCCATGGTGGCAAAGCCTTGAACTTGGCCTTTAGAGCCTGGACAAGGAAAGAAGTAAATATGCATATTTCTCTACCTCCTCTGGAGTTTTGCCCTTTGTAGGGACTGGATTTGGGTAGATGTTTTGGAGAGACAGAAGAGACCAGAGAAGCTTGTGGGCTCCTGGGTGTAGAGTGGAGGTGTGGGCTAGGATTCCTTTGATTACATTTTAAAATCTTTCTTTCTGATGATAAAAAGTAATACAACATCACACTAGAGAATTAGAAAAATGAGGAAAAGCATAAAGAAGGAAAATTATCACCTATGATTTTTACACTCAGCGGGAACTGCTATTAACACTTGTGTACATTTCCTTCTGGTCTTTTTTATGTGCATTTTAAAAACATAATTACTGTCACACTGTGTGGTTGACCCTTGAACAATGTGGAGGTTGGGGTGCAGACCCTGCCCCCCAATGCAGTCAAAAATCCACATATAACTTTTGCCTCCCTAAAACCTTAACTGCTAACAGCCTACTGTTGACCAGAAGCCTTACCAGTAATATAGTCAACACATATTTTGTATATGTTATTTGTGTTGTATACTGTATTATTACAATAAAGTAAGCTGAAAACATGTGTTTACTGTTCATAAAGTGGAAATGAATCCTCATAAAGGGCTTCATCCTTGTCTTCACATGGAGTAGGCTGAGGAGGAAGAAAAAGGAGAGGGGTTGGTCTTGCTGTCCCGGGTGGCCCAGGCAGAAGAAAATCTGCATATAAACGGACCCATACATTTCAAACCCATGTTGTTCAAGGGTCAACTGTATATCCAGTTTTGTGTTTGAATCTATTGGTTTGTCTTAATTTTCCTGTGTCACCAAAGTTCTCCAGAAACATTTAATAGTTATGTGATATTCTTTTGCAGGAATGTACCATCCTTGCCTAACTACTTGCTTATTGCTGCTTCCTTTTTATTTCTTTGAGGGGATAGTTTTAAAGAATCAGACAGTAAATATCAGTCTTTGTCCCTCATTTCTTGATTGTTTCTTCAGGATGGATTCCTGGAAGAACAATTACTGAATCAAAGTATATGAAAAAATGTAAGGCTCTTGATGCATACTGCCAAAGTGGGTTTTAGAAATGTACAAATGTCCATTTATCCAACTGAACATTAATCAACTATAAAAAAAAATAAGAAAGCTCTGTATGTACTGATTTGGAAAGATCTCCAAAATTTGTCAAGGTGCACAACCGTGTGTATAGTGTGCCACTTTATATGTAAAAAGGGGAGAAATAAGAATTATGTTAGTATATACTTGCCTGGATATATGATCTGGGATGTAGAAACTAATGAAAATGGTTACCTGTGGGAGTGGGATGATGGGATTGATGGCAGGGGCAGGGTGGGATTGATGGCAGGGACAGGGTAGGAATGAAGCTTTTCAATATCATTTTATTTTATTTTATTTTATTTTATTTATTTATTTATGAGACAGAACCTCACTCTGTCGCCCAGGCTGGAGTGCAGTGGCACGATCTCAGCTCACTGCAGCCTCTGCCTCCCAGGTTCAAGCGATTCTCGTGCCTCAGCCTCCTGAGTAGCTGGGATTACAGGCATGTGCCACCACGCCTGGCTAATTTTTGTATTTTTAATAGAGACGGGGTTTCACCATGTTGGCCAGGCTGGTCTCGAACTCCTGACCTCAAGTGATCCATCCACCTCAGCCTCCCAAAGTGCTGGGATTACAGGCATGAGCCACCACACCTGGCCTGCCTTTCTTTTCTAATGTAAGCCTTTAGCTGTTAATTTCCTTCTCAGCACCAATATTTGATTTTTGACCTATGTGAACGAATTAACTTTTCAGAATACTGAATTTAAAAAACACACCAAGAAATCAAGAGAAGAAGAAATGTCAACATGTAATCTTAGGCTTCAGATACTCCCTTTCCTGTGTATACTGTGACCAAAGGTCACTGCACTGCAGGCTTAACTTGTACAATCTCCTTAGTTCCTGTTGCCAACCTTCCCCTCGGATATTCTTGGATTTCATATTTTGAGCCTTCCCTTGCTCCCTGGGCTCACCTACACCTGGACCTTAGCCTGTGATTCTGTTTCTCCACACCTCTCAGGTGTGGCTACCTTGGGTTTCATCTCTGACACCTCCCATGGAGTGAACTTTAGAGTGACTGTGTCCCAAAAACACCAAAAGGGAGGTGGGTGTGGCCCAAGCACTCATGACTCAGGATGGACCCAGGGACCAAGGGATGGCCCCAAACAGAGTGATCAGTGGGAGCTGGAGTAGAGTAGAACACAGTTCTGAGAAGCCCATGCTCATGGAAGGAGTCTTTTGTGAAGTGCAGATGATTTGTAGGGGAGGAACCTGCTCCCTCACCTTTCCAGAGACCCTGGTCTGGGAAGGAGGAAGCCATAAGATTATTTAGCTGGGTCACATGGATTCTCAGCTCCCCGCCTAGCCACCAAAATAAATTCCACCAGATAGATGAAAAGAGTTAAAGGGAAAAAAGAGAATTAAACCATGAGAAACAAGGAAATGCTGAGGAATTTTTTATCAGCCCTCTGGATACAGAAATGAAGTGAAAAGTGGTAGAAAAAAAATCACAAAGGAAGAAAACCTTGAGATCTACATAAAAATGTAAATCTCGGTACTCAAAAAGAGGGCAAACGAAAGAGAGACAACTAACAGGGATCGCTCTGGGTTGCTGTTGAGCTAGCTGTGGGCCAGCAGCTGCTCAGCACAGAGTTCTTTCCTCACAAGTGGAGAGGCTGGTTTGTCCCCACTGATCTCCCTGAGGTCCTTGACTTTTTTGAGGGGTGTGGCCCAAACCCACAACTTAGTTCCTAATACCTTTTGATACTCTTTTATTAGATAGATGTTTTACAAATATTTTCTCTCAGTCTGTGCCTTACAAAGTAGCAGAGGTGCTGAAATAGAGGTTTTTCAAAAAAGTTTTGCTTTTTAAGTCCAGTTGATCAACTTTTTTCTTTTCTGGTCCATGCTTATGTCCTATCTAAGAAATCTTTGCCTAACTGAAGGCCACAAAGAACTCCTCCTCTGTCTAAAGCAGGGGTTTCCAGCCGGGGTGCAGTGGCTCACGCCCGTAATCCCAGCACTTTGGAAGGCCGAGGCGGGTGGATCACCTGAGGTCAGGAGTTTGAGACCAGCCTGGCCAACATGGCGAAACCCCATCTGCACTAAAATTACAAAAATTAGCCGGGCGTGGTGGTACGTGCTTGTAATCCCAGCTACTGGGGAGGCTGAGGCATGAGAATTGCTTGAACCCAGGAGGTGAAGGTTTCAGTGAGCCGAGACCACCACACCACTGAACTCCAGCCTGGGTGGCAGAGTAAGACTCTGTCTCAAGAAAATAGTAAGAAGTAAATAAAATATAGCAAGGGTTTCCAACCTTTTGGCTTCCCTGGGCCACCTTGGAAGAAGAATTGTCTTGGGCCATACGTAACGATAGCTGATGAGCTAAAAAAAAAAAAAAAATTACAAAAAATATCATAGGCTGGGTGCAGTGGCTCATGCCTGTAATCCCAGCACTTTGGAGGCCAAGGCGGGTGGATCACCTGAGGTCAGGAGTTCGAGACCAGCCTGGCCAACATGGTGAAACCCCGTATCTACTAAAAACACAAAAAATTAGCTGGGCGTAGTGGCTCACTCTAGTCCCAGCTACTGTGGAGGCTGAGGCAGGAGAATCGCTTGAACCCGGGAGGCGGGGGTTGCAGCAAGCCGAGATGGTACCATTGCACTTCAGCCTGGGCAACAATAGTGAAACTCCATCTCAAAAAAAAAAAAAGTCTCATAATGTTTTAAGAAAGTTTGCTAATTTGTGTTGAGTTGCATTCAAAGCCATCTTGGGCAGTGGGTTGGGCAAGCATGGTCTAAAGGGTGTATAGTTTTAGGTTTTACATTTAGGTCTATGATCCATTTTAAGTTTGTGTTTGTGTGTATGGTGCAAGATAGGGATTGAGGTTTGTTTGTTTTTGTTTTTTTTTTTGCATGTGGATATCCAATTGGTCCAGAATCATTTGTTGAAAAGACTACTCTTTCTCCATTGAATTGCCTTGGCATATTTGTCCAAAATCAGTTGTCTCTTTATGTGTGGGTTTATTCCTCATGCCTCTTGTTTGACAGGCTCTGCCAGACCATGAGGATGAGATCCCGGAGACAGTGCGAACCGTACAGCTCATTAAAGATCTGGCCAGGGAGATCCGCCTGGTGGAAGTAAGGAGCATGGGGCAGGGAAGAAAAGGCATTTGGAAAGGCCTTGAGGCTCAAGTGGCAGGTTAGGCCTCTGCAGTTAGCATGAGAGCCCAGGGGAAGGGTCGGGAAGACCCTACCAAAGACCCAATTCATTCGTTCAAATAATTATTACTGTGTTTCAAGTGTGCCGCACATTGGGCTAGGCTCTTAAAATACGTAAATAGTGCCTGCCCACAAAGAACTCAGCCTAATAGAGGACCCTGAGCAAAGTTAACCTCTTTGAGTTTCAGTTTCCTCATCTCTAAAATGGGGATAATTGTACCTACTCGAGGATTGTTAAAAGGATTAAATAAGGTAATGTGGGTTGAGCACAAAAATAGAGTGCTTGGCACACAGTAGGTGCACAGTAAATTCTGACGGTGGGTCGTGGTGGTGGGTGGTGGTGGTAGTTGTAGTTGTTGTTATTATTAATATTTTGACTCAGTCTCTGCATTCTGCAAAATGACAGTTCTCTCGGGGTGAAGATGATTACAAAGCCATGTTTCAACAGGTGGCATATACCACGAGGCAGTAAGGTATAGTGGTAAGAGATTCAGAGAAACCTGGGTTCTGGTTCCTGCTCTGTCACTTGCAAGCCTTTCAGAGCCTCAGTTTCCTCATCTGTAAAGTGAGGATAACATCAACCTTTCAGGATTTTGTTAGGATCAAAAGCTAATATATGTAGAGCCCCTCGCACAGTGCCTGGCAGAGTAAGTACTCAATAAATGTGAGCCATTGTTATTAGTAGACTTTAATAGCAAAGAGAGAAGTTGGTGTGGGATGGTGAAGTAGCAGAGGCACCAGAGGAGAATTCCTTTAAGCTCAGAAGCTGTAAAGTTTTATTTAGTGCCCAGGATATATACATCCATGCTGAAGGGTGGTCAAAGTGAGCTGGGAAGTTGTGCTTCTAGCCTCAATGCTTGCAGCATGTTTCACTGCCTACACCATAGCTTACAGTGTCCACCTCCTACCTCTCATTTTCCTCCAGTCCCATCTGTCAAAATCATTCAGGATAGTTAAAGGCTTACCTTTTCTCCAGCGCCTCTCACTTAAACCACAAAACTTTGGGCTGGTTGGAAGAGGACTTAGAGATAGATTATATGTGGTCCATGGGCTTTCAAATGTTTTAAAGCAATGGAATCCTTTTTTTAAAATGACATCTTAGGTGGAAGCCCAATATTCAAAGCATAACTGCTTTGAATAAGATGAAGGTGGGAGGCCCAGGGCTCCACTTGTTCTTCTCATTCGCCTTCTACCTTCCCCCGATTCTCGGGGCTCCTCCCAAGAAGCTCAAAGGAGCCACAGAACATCTTCAAAAATCACCTTTCCAGTCTAGTCCTTTAATTTTACAGCTAAGCAAACAGTCTCAAATGGTCAGATAACTTTCCTGAGCTAGTTACAGAGCTAGCTAGCAGCAGAATTAGGACTAGAACCTCTCCTTCTCTCAAATCCTGTAGTCCTTAGAATTTGAACCACACAGATTAGTACTTGATTATTTTCTGTCTCATGTCAGCTACTTAATGGAGTATTTTCTCTCCAGTTTTGACAGTAGTGCTTTGCTCGTCTTCTTACTTGTCAATGGCTGGGTAAAGAAATGCCACCCAATAAATTCTTGATGACTCATTATGTAAAAGCTAGGGTGTGCATATGTGGAGCATCTATAAGCCACTTCCATGGCAGTACCACCAGTACCAGGAACAGACCTCTGCTGTTAGTGTTGAGAGAACCCTTGAGTAAGCTCTAACCCCCTCATGTACTAACACTCTTGTAGGACATCTTCCAACAGAACGTTGGGAAGACGAGCAATATCTTTGGGCTGCAGAGGATCTTCCCAGCCGGCTCCATTCCCCTAACCAGGCCAGCCCATTCCACTTCAGTGTCCATGTCCAGGCTGTCACTGCCCTCCAAAAATGGTTCAAAGAAGAAAGGCCTGAAGCCCAAGGAACTCTTCAAGAAGGCAGAGCGAAAGGGCAAGGAGAGTTCAGCCTTGGGGCCTGCTGGCCAGTTGAGCTATAATCTCATGGACACATACAGTCATCAGGCACTGAAGACAGGCTCTTTCCAGAAAGCAAAGGTGGGTGCTGGCCCATGGGTTCAGCCCAACCCTTTTGGGTGTCCCTTGGAAGAGCAGGGTTTCAAAAAGCAGGCTATCCTGTCTGGCTGCCATGTCCCTTAGACCCCCTGCTGTTTGGCTACCAGTCCCACTCATTTAATAGGCATTTATTGAGACCTTTTCTATGCCGGGCACTGTGATAGGTGCTGTGGATGTGACTCTCAAGAGGCTGACAGGCGAGTGAGAAAGACAGGCATAAAAACAAATGAGTGCAATCAAGTATTGTGAATGCCACAATCAGGGGTGTGTGTGGGACCCTGAGATACAGAGGAGGGTTGATTCTGTCTGGGTAGGGAAGATTTTCAGGAGCTCTTTTCAGAAAACATAACACTTAGCTGAATTTTGAAATGCTGGGACGGGAATGAGATTTGAAAACATTGCGTGTGTCAGGTTGTAGTCTTGAGCAGGTCCTTGAGAAAAGCCCTCCACCAGGGCTCCATCTTGCCTCAAGATTGTGATTCTCTCCATGGGCATCTGAAGATGTGCCCCCTCTTTTTTAAGGGAACATGGTTCACAAGATTGACAGGTGTCCCCTGAACCAACCACACATTTTCAACCTCCTGCTCCTGTGATCAGTGGGGGTATGGGGGGACAGTATAGCAGAAGGCCTTGGCTCAGGTGGTTTTGACAGTGAACTGAACCAGTGAAACCAGAGGGAACTTGCCATCGTGATTCCCATGGGAGTCCCAGACAGGTAACGGCTGAGTCTCCTACTTCTACAGTTCAACATCACTGGTGCCTGCTTGAATGACTCAGATGACGACTCACCAGACTTGGACCTTGATGGAAATGAGAGCCCATTGGCCCTATTGATGTCTAACGGCAGGTGAGGTGGGAAGGAGGAGCACAGAGGTACTGGGACTGTCAGTGGTAATATGCCACTGAGACAGGGCATGGAATTGGAATCTAGGGGTTGGGACATGGGTAGGAGGGACTGTACTTAGGGCAATACCTAGATATTATAATGTATTGTTGCTTAGTTCAGAGAACCATGGTGTGGTGTTGGAGGTGGGTAGAGTGAGAGGTCTGAAATCGAATTGGCAAGCCTGAGAAAGATTTTATCAGTTCTAGAAACTTCAGCAAGTCATTGGGAGAGAACCACTGGCAGCAATAAGTATAGCATACTTACTAAAAGCATTAGTTTTTTCTATACCTTTTGACTTTCGATTAGATTTTTAGGAATTTAGTTTACAGAAATCCTTGCACACAAGTGTGTAACGATAAATGTTCAGTGTTCACTGCACCATTGTTTGTAATAGTAATTGGAAACATCCAAATGTTCATCAGTAAGGGCTAGATAAATAAATGATGGTACATCTATAGAATGGAATATCATGTAGCTGTTAAAAAGAATGAGACAGTTAAATATTGACACAGAAAGATGTTCAAGGTATATTTTTAAAATCAGGTTACATAATAATACATAGGAATAGTTCCATTTTTACTTTTAAAAGGGCATGTATGCACATGTGTATATGTATGCACGTATGGAAAAGCTGTATATAGACATTTGTATTTTTTGAAGAGGTTTAAAAATGCAATATACAAGCGTTAGAAATAAAACAGTGTGAAAGAGCACACAGTGAAAAATCTCACACCCATCTCTCTTTCCCTGTTACCTTCCCATGGACAACCAATGTCAGTGGTTTCCTTCCAGAGATATGTATGTACATTTAGGCAAATAAATAGTGTGTTATATATATGTAAATACCTTTAAAAAAAAATAGAGATGGGGTCTCTGTTATTGCCCAGGCTGAGCTCTAACTCCTAGACTCAGGTGATCCTCTCACTTCAGCCTCCAGAGTGCTGGGATTACAGGTGTGAGCCACCTTGCCTGGCCTAGTTATATATTTTATACTTCTCATACCAAGTTTTGTTTTTTTTTTTTTTTTTTTTTTTTGAGACAGAGTCTCACTCTGTTACCAGGCTGGAATGCAGTGGTGCGATCTCAGCTCACTGCAACCTCTGCCCTGCTCGGTTCAAGTGATTCTCGTGTCTCAGCCTCCCAAATAGCTGGGACTGCAGGCGCATGCCACTATGCCCAGCTAATTTTTGTATTTTTAGTAGAGACAGGGTTTCCGCATGTTGGCCAGGCTGGTCTCGAACTCCTGGCCTCGAGTGATCCGCCCACCTCGGTCTCCCAAAGTGCTGGGATTACAGGCATGAGCCAACATGCCCGGCCTTGTTATACCAAGTTTTTAACAGTGGTTATCCCTGGAAAGTACAATAGGGAAGGTAAGAGCAAATTTTCACTTCAGTAGCATTTGAATTTTGTACAATGAGCACGTATTTACTTTTCTTTAAATATTTATTTACTTTTCTTTAAATAATTTTAAAAGAACAAGTTCTAAAAGAATAAAATAAAAGCTGTTTACAACAAAATTATGGACTTGGGAATCAGGCAGTCCGAGGTTTAAATCCCAGCTGTGACACATATTCAGTGTTCTACTTTGGCAAACTAATGAACCTATCTGAGCTTCAGTGTCCTCATTATATGTATTCTATAGTTAAAACTTACCTTAGGGTTGTTGGAGGATTAAATGAGATAATATACGTAGAACGTTAACCACAGGGCCTGCCATATAATTAATACTTAATACATGGTAGTTCTTATAAATATGATGATGAAGATAGAGACAAAAGAATTCTCCATGAAGATGGTGATAATGATGTGGGTATGACCAGAATCCAAGAAGATTGTCAGAAACCCTGAAATACATAGAGGCAGGGGAAGGCAGTAAGGGCTATTTTCTAGATACTCAGAACACTAGACATCAGCAGTCAAGAGCCAAGTGCAGAGTATGAACGATGTAGGAACACAAACAACAAAGGTAGCTTAATTGCCTCCTTGTAGGAAAAGGTTACCTTCAGGTCCATCTGGGCCCATCTGGGTGGAAAATAAGGGAAAAAGGAGTGAGAGTAGGGCAGATTCTGAAAGCAACAGAGCTATTCTTGGGGTTTGAGAATCCAGTTACTAAAGTGTAAGATTAGAGAGACCGTTGAATATTGCCTTTGTCCAGAACTCATGATAGGTCTCCTGGACAGGAGAAAATTCAGAGTCCTAGGAGTCTAGCCTATAATGGCTATTGAAGGTACAATAAGACATTTCCTGCCCCTGCCCCACCCCCAGCAGTCCTTCTTGTGCTGCTGCCTATTACCCGCTGCAGCTGTCAGAAGCTGTTAAGTGAACCCAGATAGTCAAAGTATAGAAATATTTACAGATGATGTGATGCTATGTCTGGGCTTCTCTCCAAACTTGGTGTTTTGAAGAGAATGAGGTGTAGATGAAACAAGACTGGCTGGGTTGATAATTGCTGAAACTTAGCTGAGTGATAGGTATATGAGAATTAATTCTACTTTTATATTTTTGTGTATTTGAAATTTTTCTTTAAAATTTTTTTAAAAATTATTAGAGACAGGGTCTTGCTGTATTGCCTGGGCTCAAGCAGTTCTCTTGCCTCAGCCTCTTGAGTTAGCTGATACTACAGACATGCACTACCACAACCCAGCTGAAATTTTTAATTATTAGAAGTTAATAAAAGATCAGGGCATACATAGCTGTCATTTATTGAGCATCTCCTCTGTGTCAAAGTCTATCTTAGCTGTTTATATACACTATTTTATTTAATCCTCACAACCCCAAAAGTAAGTAGTAGTATCCCCATTTTACTAAGGTGAAAACTGAGAGTCAGAGAACCTTATAATATTACCTACATGGAGCAGTTGCCATGGATCAAGCTCTGTATGAGCTCATTTAATCCTCAACCCTCTGAAGTAGAAAATAGGTCAGTTAAATGACAGACAATTCACTGAAAGTCAATTTAACCAAATTACTAGTTGCTAAATGTATCAATTTACTGATTTACCAAAAACATGTTTCTTTTTAACTGTTTATGAGGTTTTTTTCAGCAGTTTGTATTGGTTAATATCGTCTACTATGTGTAACAGGATTATCTAAGCCACTTTTTGAGTCCTGAACAAAGGCAGTGTTCATTTCAACCAGCAATCATGAGTGTCTTCACTTACTGGCCAACGTTTGTTGTTTTTTTTTTCTTTTTGACTGTAGCCATTGAGGTTTTTCCAGCAGTTTATATTGGTTAATATCATCTACTATGTGTAACAAGATTATCTAAGCCACTTTTGAGTTCTGGACAAAGGCAATGTTCATTTCAACCAGCAATCATGAGTTTCTTCACTTACTGGCCAACATTTGTTATTTTTTTTTTCTTCTTGACTATAGCCATTCCGGTGGATGTAAAGTGGTAACTCATTGTATGTGTTTTTTAAAAAATAAAAATTGTGGCCCGGTGCAGTGGCTCACAGCTGTAATCCCAACACTTTGGGAGGCCAGGGTGGGCGGATCACTTGTTAGGAGTTTGAGACCAGCCTGGCCAACATGACGAAACCCTTGTCTCTACTAAAATCATAAAAATTAGCCAGACATGGTGGTGGGTGCCTGTAATCCCAGCTACTTGGGAGGCTGAGACAGGAGAATTGCTTGAACCTAGGAGGCGGGAGGTTTTAGTGAGCCAAGATCATGCCACTGTACTCCAGCCTGGGCGACAGAGCAAGACTCCATCTCAAAAAGAAAAAAAAAAAAAGCAAATATAAAAATTGTCTATATTTAAGGTATACAATGTGATATTTGATAAAATCTATACTGTGAAATGATTATGCCAGTAAAGCTGATTAACATATGCATCACTTCACATACTTACCATTTTTGTGTGTGTTTGTGGTGAGAACACATAGGTCTACTCTCTTATGAAATTTCAAGTATACAATACAGTATTTTTTTTTTTTTTTTGAGACGGAGTCTTGCTGAGGCAAGAGAATTACTTGAACCTGAGAGGCGGAGGTTGCCGTGAGCTGAGATCATGCCATTGAACTCCAGCCTGGGTGACAGAGCGAGACTCTGTCTCAGAAAAAAAAAAAAAAAAATTTTTTTTTGGATACAAATCCTTTGCCAGATAAACGATTTCCAAATATTTTCTCCCAGTCTGTGGCTTATATTTTATTTTCTTAATGGTTTCTTTTGAAATACAAAAATTTTTAATTTTACTTAATCCCAGGTCATAATGATATTTTTCTGTGTTTTACTCTAGTTTTATAGTTTTAGGTTTTACATTTAGATCTATGATGCATTTTAAGTTAATTTTTGTATATGATGTGAGATAAGGGTCCACATTTATTTCTTTGTATCCATTTTTCTCAGCAACTTCTACTGAAAAAAACCATCCTTTCCCTCACTGAGCTGCTTTAGCACCTTTTGTCAAAAATCATTTGATCATAACTGTACGGGTTTATTCGGAACTCTTTTCCACTGCTGTATGTCTGTCTTTATGCTGGTATTGCATTGCCTTGATTACCATAGCTTTAGAGTAAATTTTGGAATTGAGCAGTATAAGTCATCCAATGTTCTTTTTCAAAATTATTTTGGCTGTGTTAGGTCCTTTCTATGTCCATGTACGTTTTACTATCAGCTTTTTATTTAAAAAGCTGGCTGGATTTTGATAGGGATTGTATTGAATCTGTAGGTCAATGTAGAGAGAATTGCAATCTTGCTAGCGACTAACAATACTGCTAGTGACTGTTTTTATGTTCTCCTTCCCTTCAGTACGAAAAGGGTGAAGAGTTTATCCAAATCTCGGCGAACCAAGATAGCAAAGAAGGTAGACAAGGCTAGGCTGATGGCAGAACAGGTGATGGAAGACGAATTTGACTTGGATTCAGATGATGAGCTGCAGATTGACGAGAGATTGGGAAAGGAGAAGGCGACCCTGATAATAAGACCAAGTGTGTGTCTGTTCTTTCTTTTTCCTCCCCTGCCCGTTTTTTTGTTTGTTTGTTTTGAGACGGAGTTTTGCTCTTGTTGCCCAGGCTGGAGTGCAATGGCACGATCTTGGCTCACTGCAACCTCCGCCTCCCGGGTTCAAGTGATTCTCCTGCCTCAGCCTCCTGAGTAGCTGGGATTACAGGCATGTGCCACCATGCCTGGCTAATTTTGTATTTTTAGTAGAGATGGGATTTCACTATGTTCATCAGGCTGGTCTCGAACTCCTGACCTCAGGTGATCCGCCCATCTCAGCCTCCCAAAGTGCTGGGATTACAGGTGCAAGCCACCACGCCCAGCCCTTGCCCATTTTATATTTGTTTTTGGCCCTCTTGATAGACTTAAGACCTTAGGCCTGAGCTTGTTGACATTTTGCTATACTATGTTCTGTAGGCCTTCATTGTTTCCTTTGTTCTAAAGATTTATTTATCACCTGATCCCTAACCTCTAAATTAGTCATCTGTGGTCATTACTTCCAAGAAAATTAGTCTTATTTTTTTCTTCTGGGTATTTGGCTGAAATGCTAATCATAGCTTCATAATAAGTGCATTCCATTGTTTTCTAGAATTTCCCCGGAAATTGCCCCGTGCGAAGCCTTGCTCTGACCCCAACCGAGTTCGTGAACCAGGAGAAGTTGAGTTTGACATTGAGGTAGGATTCTGCCCTGGATCTAGTCTTCTGCTCATTCTGGTGATAGAGACAGAAGACAGATTGTCATTCTAGTTGGGGGATATGCAGGGAGGAAGACATCCTTTGCATTCATTTCCTGAATAATTTATTTATTATTACTATTATTTTTTGAGACAGAGTCTCCTCGCTCTGTTGCCCAGGCTGGGGTACAATGGCATGATCATGGTTCACAGCAGTCTTGACCTCCGGGGCCAGCTCAGCCTTCTAGTAGCTGGGACCACAGGCTCACACCACCAATGTAGCTAATTCTTTAAAAAAAATTTTTTTTTGTAGAGATAGGGTCTCGCTGTGTTGCCCAGGCTGGTCTCAAACTCCTGGGCTCAAGCGATCTTTTGCCTTGGCCTCCCAAAGTGCTGGAATCACAGGGTGAGCCACTGCATACAGTGAAATATTTATTAAGTGAAAGATTGTGTGCCAAGTGCTGCTGAGCATATAAATGGAAGATTTCAATTTAGTTGAAATACCTTAAACATCCTTTAATACAGAATAGAATGAAAGTCAGTGTGGGCCGGGCGTGGTGGCTCACGCCTGTAATCCCAGCACTTTGGGAGGCTGAGGTGGGCGTATCATGAGGTCAAGAGATCAAGACCATCCTGGCCAATATGGTGAAACCCTGTCTCTGCTAAAAAATTAGCTGGGCGTGGTGGCACACCCCTGTAGTCCCAGCTACTTGGGAGGCTGAGGCCGAAGAATCGCTTGAACCCAGGAGGCAGAGGTTGCAGCGAGCCGAGATCGTGCCACTGCACTCCAGCCTGGCGACAGAACGAGGCTCTGTCTGAAAACAAAAAATAAAAAGTCAGTGCGATGTAGCAGAAAGAGTATGTGATATGGAGTATCTGATGTGACCTTACACAAATTATTTAACTTCCCTGAGCCTTAGTTTTCTTATCTGTTTAAAATGGGAGTATACTACCTAGCTCACAAAGATGCCTTGGAAATTAAGATAAAAGAATGAATATTCTGCTTAGTACTTGGTCTATACTTGGTGCTCAGAAGATATTAATATCAGGAGTCAGATCATCGCCCCTGTACTGGGGCCTTACCAGACCAATCCTGGGCAGCTGAGGTGATACACTCTCTCTCCAACAGGAGGACTATACAACAGATGAGGACATGGTGGAAGGGGTTGAAGGCAAGCTTGGGAATGGTAGTGGCGCTGGTGGCATTCTTGATCTGCTCAAGGCCAGCAGGCAGGTGGGGGGACCTGACTATGCTGCCCTCACGTGAGTACTGGCTTTTATCTCCCCTTTCCAGGCTATCAGACAGCAACCCCCGCTCCCGCCCAAGGTGCCAGGTCAGCCAATCAGTAGATATTTATAGAGCTATTTAAAGGGACAAAGAATTATCCAGGGCATTTGGGTGAAAGAATAAAGTAGGCATGAAACCACTCCTAAGGAACTTAAGATCTGATGGCAATAAGATGTATAGACTTCAAGAGGAATCAATTTTGGGCACTTAGGAAGTTGGGAAGAGGGGCTGGAAGAGTCAAGCAAGGAGAATTGTTACAAAAACAATGAAAGGAAAGAATGCAGCATGCCTAAACAGGGAGGGAAGTGTGCCCCTTTTTTGCCACCTTGCCTGCTGTCTGTGGAGAGACAACACAAAAAGGACTGGCTTTTCGTGAAAGCAATCTATGATACTGTCTTGATCCTTAAACTTAATTCCAAATTTTTCACTTTGGATGATTCTCCCCTTTTTCCTCCCACTTTGATCCTCATAGCTATCATCCCTCCTCCCTGAGTATTCTGATGACCGATTTACTCTGACAGCTAAAAACAACTCTCTCAGTATTTCTCCTCTGTTCCTTGCAGCGAGGCCCCAGCTTCTCCCAGCACTCAGGAGGCCATCCAGGGCATGCTGTGCATGGCCAACCTGCAGTCCTCATCGTCCTCACCGGCTACCTCTAGCCTGCAGGCCTGGTGGACTGGGGGACAGGATCGAAGCAGTGGGAGCTCCAGCAGTGGGCTGGGCACAGTGTCTAACAGTCCTGCTTCCCAGCGCACCCCAGGGAAGCGGCCCATCAAGCGGCCAGCATACTGGAGAACCGAGAGCGAGGAGGAGGAGGAGAACGCCAGTCTGGATGAACAGGACAGCTTGGGAGCGTGCTTCAAGGATGCAGAGTATAGTAAGGGCAGCTAAGCACATGGGTTCAGGCCAGAAGGGGTCTCCTCAGTCCCAGTCTCCATCCTAGTCCCAATAGAGGACAGCTTGTAGTGAACAAAGTCCTGGTCTTAAGCCTGATACTTAGTTTCTCTAAGCCATATTTTCCTAATTTGTAAAATGGGAATATCTCACAGGTTAATGTTAAGAATTTGAGATTATGCTCACACAGATCATCTGGCACAGTTTCTTGCTCATGGGAAGCCTTCAAAAAATGGTAGTTATAATTTGCTATCATCTATTTTTACTAATGTCCAACCTTTACCGCTGGTGACTCTTTTTTTCTCTTGCCTGTTTGACTGCCATCATCTGTGTCATTTGTGTCCTGCGTTGGCCAGTTTGTCCCTTGCAGAGATACATAATGACCTTTCAGTGAGCTTTTTACATTTAAGAGATGACTCCTTTTTTTAATCCAAGATTTTATTGAGTACCACAGTGTATCAGGCACTCTTGTGTAATACAGGTGACTGTATAATGTAAGTGCTTTTTGTTTTGTTTTGTTTTGTTTTTTTTGAGACAGAATCTCCCTCATTAACCCAGGGTGGAGTGCAGTGGTGCCATCTCAGCTCACTGCCACCTCCGCCTCCTGGGTTCAAGCAATTCTCGTGCCTCAGCCTCCCGAGTAGTTGGGATTACAGGCGTGTACTATCACGCCTGGCTAATTTTTGTATTTTTACTAGAGACAAGGTTTTGTCATGTTGGCTAGGGTGATCTCGAATTCCTGGCCTCAAGTGATCTGCCCGCCTGCCTTGGCGTCCCAAAGTGCTGGGATTATAGGCGTGAGCCATCGCGCCCGGCCATTGTTTTAATATTTCAAAAGTTATACAAATATGGTTAATGCTTATTGACCAAAATTAGAAGAAGATGGAGAAAGCAAAAATTCTTTTTGACTAACACTGTTTCCTCTCTGAACCCAAAGATAACCTTTGTCATCATTTTCATGTATACCTTTTATTTTGTTGTGTTTACATTCATATGTAGACAGAAGTGTAGTTTTAGTGTGTGTGGTTCTGCAACTTGCTTAGTTTTCTTTCAATGTCAGTGCAGAGATATACCTTATCAATACAGAGATCTATCTGCTGCATAGTGTTCTGTAATATAGAAATATATCATATGTTTAATCATTCCCTACTGATTGACATTTAAGTTGTTCCTAAGTTTTTACTTTTACTAACAATGCTGCAATGAAAATTCTTACAGTAACCTTTTGTACCTGTGTGCCAGTTAATATTTTTCTAGGGGGGATAGACCTGTTGAGTTGAAGGGTATGTAGAAGACAAATGTTAATAAATAGTGCCAAATTTCCCTCCAAAAGGGCCAGTACATGATCAGTGTATGAAACATACCTGTTTACCCATAGTCTTACCAGCAATGGATACTATCAGCCTTTTTAATTTTTGCCAACCTTATGGCAAAAGATGGTGTCTTGTTTGTTTTACGTGTTTATTGACTCTTCTTTATTCCTTTTCTGTGAATTTTCCATTCAGTCTTTCACCCATTTTTCTGTTGGGATGTTTTGTTTTTCTTATTGATTTGTAAGAGTTCCTTATATATTCTAGATGTGTTGGAGTATTTTTTGTATATTCTGGATTTATTGAAAAATATTTCCTTTTAGGTTTGTGTTTAATTTTATTATGTCTTTCTAGCATGTAGATGATTTTGATTTTTACATTGTCATCTTTATCAATTTTTTTTTTTTTTTTTGAGACACAGTCTCACTCTGTCTCCCAGGCTGGAGTGCAGTGGCGCAATCATGGCTCACTGCAGCCTCAGACCTCTGCAGTCCCACCTCAACCTCCCTGGTAGCTGGGACCATAGGTGCATACCACCACACCCAGCTTATTTTTTGTACAGATGGGGTTTCGCCATGTTGCCCAGGCTGGTCTCAAACTCCTGGGCTCAAGTGGTCCTCCTGCCTTGGTCTCCCAAAGTGCTGGGATTATAGGCGTGAGCCACTGCATCCAGCCATCTTTATCAGTTTTTAATAGTTTTTTGTATTTTATGTTTTGATTAAGAAGGCCTTCTTATATTTTCCCCTAAAACTTGTATAGGAGTTAAAATTTTAGCTCTTTATCTGGAATTAAGTTTTTGTGAATTGTGGGAGGTTAGAATCTAACTTTATTTTTTTCCACATCAGTAGTCATTTCCCCCAGCACCATTTATTGACTAATTCATCATTATCCCCCTGACTTGAAGTTCTACCTTTGTCATAAACGAAATTCCCATATATATGGGGATTTGTTTTCCACTTTAGTCCAAGTTCTGTACCTTAATAGCTATATGACCTTGGTCAGGCTAGTTAACCTCTCTATGCCTCTCTGTGATAGTCATACCTACCTCATAGGTTGTTATGAGAGTTAAATAAATATACAGAAAGCACTTAAAACATTGCCCAGCACATGATAAGTAAGTACTGTGTATTAGATATTATTAATATTATTCTGTTCCATAAAATCAACTTGTCAAAACAAATTTTTATTTTACCAAACAGATGCTAAAAAAGAAAATGAAAATCAACTTGTCTATTCCTGTGACAATACCATGTAGGTTAGTTACCACAGACTTTGTTTCTGGTAGAGCAAATCCCCTCTGCAGACCTTGCTGTGAACCTGAGGAGACCACAGATGCTCACCAAGGCTCTCATCTTTGAGCTAAGCTTTGATTTGTTTTAGGGACATGCCAGGTTCCCCTGGCCACCCACTCTACTGTGAGCAGTCAAATCACATTGACCTGCAGCTAAGATGTCTGGACTTGATTTAACCGCTCCTCTTAGAACAGCTCACTCAGCCTCTCCTCCCTCCTTCGCCTCCCTACTTTGCCCAGCAACCATGGAAAGGCAGCTTACCAAGGAGAGACCTCCCTACTTTTTCTTATTTTTCCAGAATTTCGAGGCTGCTGTTGAGCTTTTTCTATTCCAGATGGATTTTAGAATCAGCTTTTCAAAGGATTGCATGGTGTTTGTGGATTAATTTATGGAGACCTATCTTTCATCAGAGGCATTTCGGCTATACTGGGATTTGCGCATTCCTGAATATAACCTCATGTCCTGAAAATTTGTGCACTAAAAACAATAAGGCAGGCAAAAAGAGATTAGGGCCACAGCCCTCAAAATCTATGTGACTTTGAAGCCAAAATACAGACTCAAATAATAGCAGTTCTAAGTTAGAGCCCAATGGCATTTGTACCCGGCATTATAGTCAGTGGCTTCTCTATGGCCTTAAGCTCTGGACTCAGACTTCCTCTTTCCAAATCTGGATTCTTTTGAGGGCATTTGGTTAAATAGATACCAGCTTCATCAAATCAAAATCTGATCCAGGGCCTAGTCCCTATCAATCTTTTTTGGCAAAACAAACAAACAAAAAAAAAACAGAGGGAAATGTCTTTGCAACTTCTTTATCTGCTCTGTCAGGTAGCCTATCCCATCAGAACTAAATTTTGTAGAAAATAGTCACCATTTATTTTTTCTCTGGTAGGCAAACTTGTGTGATTTTTAATTTTTGTCTGTATGTCTTCTTATGTTGCTAAGGCTTTCTCTGTAGTTGTGAAAAAGTCTACCACTGATTGGTTGTAAACAACTATGGAAAATTGTTTTTGAACTGGTACAACTTCTGAACAGCATTGAAATCATTGTTTTGTCTTTTTGTTGTTGTTTGTTTGTTTGTTTTGAGACCGAGTCTCACTTTGTCGCCCAGGGTGGAATGAAGTGGCGTGATCTGGGCTCACTGCAATCTCTGCCTTCCTGGTTCAAACAGTTCTCCTGCCTTGGCCTCCCAAGTAGCTGGGATTACAGGCACACGCCACCACGCCTGGCTAATTTTTTGTGTTTTTAGTAGAGACAGGGTTTCACCACGTTGGCCAGGCCGGTCTTGAACTCCTGACCTCAAGTGATCCACCCGCCTCAGCCTCCCAGAGTGCTGGGATTACAGGCGCGAGCCACCAGGCCCAGCCAGACATCTTTCTCTTATTTACCTTTTGGGTATGAGCAGCAGCCATCTTTTGTTTCTGTCTTCAAACATAGTCTGTCTCTATTTATTCAGGTCTTCTTGTATGTATCTCTTCTTTGGTTTATTTCTTCTTCAGTTTATTTCTAGAAATTTTATTTTGGTTCGTAAAATTGGCATCTTTTTATGTATTACGTTTTCTAATTGGCTATTGCTAATACGGAGGACAGTAGTTGATTCTTTCCCATATCAATCCTGTATTGGACTACCTTATTATACTGTTATTAGTTCTATTTGTTTTCAGTTTATTGTCTTGAGTTGTTGAGGTAGATGATCTGTGTGTCCTGTATTAGTTTGATAGGGCTATCATAACAAAATATCACAGACTGGGTGGCTTAAACAACAGAAAGTTATTTCCTTACACTTTTGGCAGCTGAAAGTTGAAGATCAAGGTGCTGGCAGAGTTGGTTTTTCCTGAGGTCTCTCTGCTTGGCTTGCAGATGGCCTTCGTCTTGCTGCCTCTTCATGTGGTCATACTTCTGTGCATATACGCCCATGACGTCTCTCTGTATGTCCTAATCACCACCTCTTATAAGACCACCAGTCAGATTGGTTTAGGGCCTACTCTAATGGTCTCATTTTAACTTAATTATTTCTTAAAAGGCTCTATCTCTAAATATAGTTACATTCTGAATACTAGGGGTAGGTCTTCACCATATGAATTTTAGGGGACACCATTCAACCCATAATATCCTCCTCCTCTCCAGTATTCATACCTCTAGCTTCCAGTTTTATTACAGTGTTGAGTCATAGTGGTGATGGGGGCATCCTTGTGCTGTTTTCAGACTTTAAAGGGAATACTGCCAGTCTTTCTCCACTCAATATATAGGTCTCTGTTAGACTACTCTCATAGAGTTCAGGGGAGTCTCTAGCTATTTATTTACTTATTTAGACACAGTCTCGCTCTATCACCCAGGCTGGAGTGTAGTGGCGCAATTTTGGCTCACCGTAGCCTCCACCTCCTGGGCTCAAGTGATCCTTCTACCTCAGCCTCCCGAGTAGCTGGGACTGCAGGTGCACGCCACCACTCCTGGTTAATTTTTGTGTTTTTAGTGGAAACAGGGTTTTGCCATGTTGTCCAGGCTAGCTTTACTTTAAAAGATTTTTTTTTGTTTTAAAATCAAGAATCAAATTAGGTTTTACCAAATAATTTTGGCATATTTGGACATAAATACATAGTTTTTCTATGTTAATTTGTTAATACAGTGAATGACATTAATAAAATTACTAATTTTGAATCGATATTTTCTTGAGATTAGCTGTACTTGTACTTGGTTGTGGTGTTTAACAATAGTTCATCTAGTTTATTTGATTGCTAGTCTTTTCAAAAACTAGTTTTTTGGCTTTATTGATCATCTCTAGTGTTTGATATTTTATTCTCTTTTTAATTTTTCTGTATTCAACATCTTGAGTTGAAAGCTCTGTTGATGTATTTTCAATCTGCTTTTTGGTAAAGCGTTTTTTAAATTTTATTTTTATTTTATTTATTTATTTTTGAGACAGAGTCTCGCTCTGTCACCCAGGCTGGGGTGCAGTGGTGCAATCTCGGCTCACTGCAACCTCCGCCTCCCCGGTTCAAGCGATTCTTCTGCCTCAGCCTCCTAAGTAGCTGGGATTACAGGTGTACGCCACCACGCCTGGCTAATTTTGTGTATTTTTAGTTGAGACAGGACTTCAACATATTGGCCAGGCTGGTCTCAAACTCCTGACCTCAGGTGATCCACCCGCCTCAGCCTCCCAAAGTGCTGGGATTATAGGCGTGACCCACTGTGCCTGGCCTGAAATTTTATTTTTTAAATTAACATGAAGTAAAATTGACTCTCTTGGTATACACATGTTTATATTCTTCCAGCCACCATAATCAGGATACAGAGCCCTTTGATCACTCCCTAACCTCCTTTGTGTTACTACCCCCTTTGTAGTCATGCCTTCCCTCTACTCCCGAGCAACCACTGATCTGCTCTCTGTCACTGTGGTTTTTGCCTTTGCCAGAATGTCATATAAATGGAATTATGCAGTATGTAATATTTTGAGACTGGTATCTTTTGCTTACCATAATGCCTTTTTTTTTTTTTTTTTTGAGATGGAGCCTCGCACTGTCGCCTGGGCTGGAGGGCAATGGCGTGATCTTGGCTCACTGCAACCTCTGCCTTCCGGATTCACGTGAATCTCCTGCCTCAGCCTCCTGAGTAGCTGGGATTAAAGGCGCACACCACCACACCTAGCTAATTTTTTGTATTTTTAGTAGAGACGGGGTTTCACTATGTTGGCCAGACTGGTCTCGATCTCCTGACCTCGTGATCCGCCCGCCTCAGCCTCCCAAAGTGCTGGGATTACAGGCATAAGCCACTGCACCCGGCCCACCATAATGGCTTTAATATTCATTCATGTTGTTGCATATCAAAAGCTTGTTCTTTTTTATTGCTGAGTAATATTCCATTGTATGGATTATACCCATTGAAGGTCATTTCAGTTGTTTCCACTTTGGGGTGATTACAAATAGAGCTGCTGTGAACATTCAGGTATAGGTTCTTGTGTGAATATGAGTTTTCATTTTTCTAGGGTAAATACCTAGGAATGGGATTCCTGGGCGGTATGGGCAGTGGGTGTTTTAACTTTACAGGAAACCACTGGCTGGGTGTGGTGGCTCGTGCCTGTAATCCCAGCACTTTGGGAGGCCAAGGCGGGCACATCACGAGGTCAGGAGTTCGAGACCAGCCTGGCCAATATGGTCAAACCCTGTCTCTACTAAAAATACAAAAAATTTAGCCAGGTGTGGTGGCATGTGCCTGTAGTCCCAGCTACTCAGGAGGCTGAGGCAGAAGAATTGCTTCAACCTGGGAGGTGGAGGTTGCAGTGAACCGAGATTGCATCACTGCACTCCAGCCTGGGGGGACAGAGTGAGACTCCATCTCAAAAAAAAAAAAAAAAAGGCCGGGCGCAGTGGCTGACGCCTGTAATCCCAGCACTTTGGGAGGCCGAGGTGGGTGGATCACGAGGTCAGGAGATTGAGACCATCCTGGCTAACACGGTGAAACCCCGTCTCTACTAAAAATACAAAAAATTAGCCGGGCGTGGTGTCGGGCGCCTGTAGTCCCAGCTACTCAGGAGGCTGAGGCAGGAGAATGGCGTGAACCCAGGAGTCGGAGCTTGCAGTGAGCCGAGATCGCACCACTGCACTCCAGCCCGGGCAACAGAGCGAGACTCTGTCTCAGAAAAAAAAAAAAAAGCTACTGAACTGTTTCCCAGAATGGTTGTTTTACATTTCCACTAGCAATATGTGGAATTCCAGTTGCTCTACATACTCATCAGCACTTGGTTTTGTCAATATAGTTATTTTAATCATCCTAATAAGTATGTAGTGATATCTCATTTAGTGATTCATCTAATGGCTAATGATAATAAACAACTTTCTGTGTGTTTGCCATTCATATATCCTCTTTTTTGAAGTGTCATTAAACAGACATTTTGAATGCATTGTTAAGATTTCTTGTTAAGGATTTAACTATGAATTTTTCTTTTTGTTTTCTTTTCTTTGTTTTTTTGAGCCAGTCTTGCTCTGTCACCCAGGCTGGAGTGCAGTGGCACGATCTCGGCTCACTGCAACCTCTGCCTCCTGGGTTCAAGTGATTCTCATGCCTCAGCCTCCTGAGTAGCTGAGACTATAGGTGCGTGCCACCATTCCCCAGCTAATTTTTTTTTTCTAGTAGAGATGAGGTTTCACCATGTTGGCCAGGCTGGTCTTGAACTCCTGACCTTAAGTAATCCACCCACCTTGGCCTCCCAAAGTGCTGGGATTATTGGCATGAGCCACCACACCCAGCCTGGATTTATTTTCTTTAGTAGATATAGAATTTTCAGGTTATCTGTTTGATTTTAGGTGAGTTATTTATTTATTTTTTATTTATTTATTTTTTAAGACTAGCCAAGGGCAGTAGTGAAAAGAGGGGAAAGAGTTTGGGTGAGTTTTTATAGTTTGTATCTTTCAAGGAATTGGTCCATTTCATATAACTTACAGAATTTATGGGCATAGAGTTGTTTGTAGAATTCCCCTATTATTCTTTAAATGTCTATGGGGTCTTTAGTGATATCCCCCTTTTCCCTTCTCATTCTTGATATTGGTAAATTGTTTCTTCTCTTTTTTTTTTCCTTTGCCATTCTTGCTGGCACTTTGTCTTTTTTTTTTTTTTAACTTAAAAAGTGTTTTTAGGGCTACAGGTGCATGCCACTGGCTGTTTTTTTATTTTTATGGAGATGGGGGTCTCACTGTGTTGCATAGCCTTGTGTCAAACTCCTGACCTCAAGTGATCATCTCTTCTGGACCTCCCAAAGTGCTGAGATTACAAGTGTGAGCCAGGCCTTATTGTGTCAATTTAATGGATCTTTTCAATATTTTTGGTTTCATTTTCTATGTTTTGTCAGTTACATTCCACTCTTAATGTAGTTAAGATTGCTGTAGTTTTATTTTATTCTTTTTCTAATTTCAGAGATGATCGTTTAGATTATTTATTTGAGACCTTTTTCGTTTCTTTTTTTGCTATTTTTATTCTATTTTATTTTATTTTATTTTTTTGAGACAGAGTCTTGGTCTGTCACCCAGGCTGGAGTGCTGTGGCGCAGTCTCCGCTCGCTCCAACCTCCACCTCCCAGGTTCAAGTGGTTCTCCTGCCTCAGCCTCCCGAGTAGCTGGGATTACAGTCAGGCGCCACCATGTCCAGCTAATTTTTGCATTTTTAATAGAGGTGGGATTTCACCAGGCTGGTCTCGAGCTCCTGACCTCAAGTGATCGCCCTCCTTGGCCTCCCGAAGTACTGGGACTAAAGGTGTGAGCCACCATGCCCAGCCTTTTTTTTTTATTTTGGTATTTTATAAAGTTGATATATTAACAGCATATTGTGTATATTTTGGGGTTACATGTGATATTTTGATACATATATGCAATGTGTAATGATGAAGTTAGGCTTAGTGATATATCTATCATCAAACCTTTATTTTTGTGTCAGAAACATTATAATTCTCTTCTAGCTGTTTTGAAATATGCAGTAAATTATTAACTGTAATTTCTTGACTGTACTATTGAATGCTAGAATTTATTCCTTCTATCTAACTGTATTTTTGTACCCATTAACCAACTATTTTTCATCCCCCGCTTCCTTTCCCAGCCTCTGGTAACCACCATTCTACTCTCCACCTCTGTGAGATCCACTTTTTTAGCTCTCACATATGAGTGAGAACATGCGATATTTGTCTGCGTATTCCTGGCTTATTTCACTTAATATAATGACCTCCATTTTCCTTCATTTTACTGCAAGTGACAGGATTTCATTTGTTTTAATGGCTAAATAATATTCCATTGTTTATATATACCACATTTCTTAATTTTACTCATTTGTCCATTGATGGACACTTAGGTTGATTCCATATCTTGGCTATTGTGAATAGTATTGCAGTGAACATGGGAATGCAGATATCTCTTTGATATACTGATGTCTTTCCTTTTGGATATGCCCAGCAGTCAAATTGCTGGATCATATGGTAGTTCTATTTTTACTTTTTCGAGACACCTCCATACTGTTTTCTATGATAGTTGTACTACCTTATATTCCCACCAACAGTAGTATGAATGTTCCTCTTTCTCCAAATGCTGAAGAGTAACAAATCCTCTCCAGCTTTTGTTACTTTTTGTCTTTTGGATAATAGCCATTCTAACTTGAGGTGAGATGATTTCTCATTGCAGTTTTGATTTCTATTTCCCTGATGATGAGTGATATTGGACATTTTCCCCATATACCTGTTGGACATTTTTTTTCCAACTTTTAAGTTCTGGGGTACATGTGCAGGATGTGCAGGTTTGTTACATAGGTAAACGTGTGCCATGGTGGTTTACTGCACAGACCAACCTATCACCTAGGTATTAAGCCCAGCATCCATTAGCTGTTCTTCCTTGTACTCTCCTTCCCCACCACTGACAGGCCCTAGTATATGTTGTTCCCCGCCTCCCATGTGTCCATGTGTTCTCGTCATTCAGCTCCCACTTACAAGTGAGAACATGGGGTATTTAGTTTTCTGTTCTTGTGTTAGTTTGCTGAGAATAACAGCTTCCAGCTCCATCCATGTCCCTGCAGTGGACGTGATGTCGTTCCTTTTTATGACTGCATAGTATTCCATGCTGTATATGTACCAGCTTTTCTTTATCCAGTCTATCATTGATGGGCATTTTGGTTGATTCCATGTCCTTGCTATTGGGAATACTGCTGCAGTGAACATACGTGTGCACGTATCTTTATAATAGAATTATTTATATTCCTTTGGGTATATATCCAGTAATAGGATTACTGGGTCAAATGGTAGTTCTGCCTCTAGATCTTTGAGGAATCACCATGCTGTCTTCCACAATGCTTGAACTAATTTACACTCTCACCAACAGTGTAAAAGCGTTCCTTTTTCTCTGCAACCTCACCAGCATCTGTTGTTTTTTGAGTTTTTAATTGCCATCCTGCTGGTGTGAGATAGTGTCTCATTGTGGTTTTGATTTGCATTTCTCTAATGAACAGTGATGTTGAGCTTTTTTTCATATGATGGCCGCATGAATGTCTTCTTCTTTTTTTTTTTGAGACGGAGTCTCGCTCTGTCGCCCAGGCTGGAGTGCAGTGGCACAATCTCGACTCACTGCAAGCTCCGCCTCCCGGGTTCATGCCATTCTTCTGCCTCAGCCTCCCGAGTAGCTGGGACTGGGACTACAGGCGCCTGCCACCACGCCCAGCTAATTTTTTTGTATTTTTAGTAGAGACTGGGTTTCACCATGTTAGCCAGGATGGTCTCCATCTCCTGACCTCGTGATCCGCCCGCCTCAGCCCCCCAAAGTGCTGAGATTACAGGTGTGAGCCACCGCGCCCGGCTGAATGTCTTCTTTTTAGTGGGGTTGTTTTCTTATAAATTTGTTTAAGTTCCTCTTAGACTCTGGATATTATACCTTTGCCAGATGGATATATTGCAAAAATTTTCTCCCATTCTGTAGGTTGTCTGTTCACTCTGATTATAGTTTCTTTTGATGTGCAGAAGCTCTTTAATTTAATTAGATCCCATTTGTCAATTTTTACTTTTGTTGCAATTGCTTTTGGCATTTTTGTCATAAAATCTTTGCCTGTGCCTATGTCCTGAATGGTATTGCCTAGATTTTCTTCTAGGGTTTTTATAGTTTGGGGTTTTACATTTAGGTCCTTCATTCATCTTGCGTTAATTCTTGTATATGGTATAAGGAAGGGATCCAGTTTTAATTTTCTGCATATGGCTACCTGGTTCTCCCCAGCACCACTTATTAAATAGAGAATCCTTTCTCTATTGCTTGTTTTTGTCAGGTTTGTCGAAGATTAGATGTGTGTAGGTGTGTGGTCTAACTTCTGGGTTCTCTATTCTGTTCATTGGTCTATGTGTCTGTCTTTGTACCAGTTGCATGCTGTTTTGGTTACTGTAGCCTTGTGGTATGAAGTCGGGTAGCGTGATGCCTCCAGCTTTAATTCTTTTTGCTTCGGATTGTCCTGGCTATTTGGGCTCTTTTTTCATTCAATGTGAATTTTCAAGTAGTTTCTTCTAATTCTGTGAAGAATGTCAATAGTGGTTTAATGGGAATAGCATTGAATCTGTAAATTACTTTGGGCAGCATGGCCATTTTCACGATATTGATTCTTTCTGTCCAGGAGCATGGAATATTTTTCCACTTGTTGGTGTCCTCTCTCATTTCCTTGAGCAGTGGTTTGTAGTTCTCCTCGAAGAGGTCCTTCGTTTCCCTTGTTATGTGTATTCATAGGTATTACATTCTTTCTGTAGCAATTGTGAATGGGAGTTCATTCATGATATGGCTCTCTGCTTGTCTGTTGTTGGTGTAAAGAAATGCTTGTGATTTTTGCACATTGATTTTGTATCCTGAGACTTTGCTGAAGTTGCTTATCAGCTGAAGAAGCTTTTGGGCTGAGGTGATGGGGTTTTCTATATATAGGATCATGTCATCTGAAAACAAAGATAATGTTACTTCCTCTCTCCCTGTTTGAATACCCTTTATTTCTTTCTCTTGCCTGGTTGCCATGGCCAGAACTTCCAATGCTATGTTGAATAGGAGTGGCGAGAGAGGGCATTCTTGTCTTGTGCCAGTTTTCAAGGGGAATGCTTCCATCTTTTGCCCATTTAGTATGATACTGGCTGTGGGTTTTTCATATATGGCTCTTATTATTTTGAGGTATGTTCCTTCAGTACCTAGATAATTGAGAGTTTTTAACATGAAGGGATGTTGAATTTTATCAAAGGTATTTTCTGCATCTATTGAGATAATCATGTTTTTGACTTTAGTTCTGTTTATGTGATGAATTACGTTTATTGATTTGCATATGTTGAACCAACTTTGCATCCCAGGGATGAAGCCAACCTGATGGTGGCGGATAAGCTTTTAGATGTGCTGCTGGATTCAGTTTGCTCATATTTTATTGAGGATTTTTGCATCAGTGTTCATCAGGGATGTTGGCTTGAAGTTTTCTTTTTCTTTTTTTTTTTTTTTTTTTTTTTGAGACAGCGTCTTGCCCTGTCACCAGGCTGAAGTGCAGTGACGTGATCTCTGCTCACTGCAACCTCTGCCTCCTGGGTTCAAGTGATTCTCCTGCCTCAGCCTCTCGAGTAGCTGGAACTACAGATGCGTACCACTATGCCCAGCTAATTTTTCTATTTTTAGTAGAGACGGGGTTTCACCATGTTGGCCAGGATGGTCTTGATCTCTTGACCTCGTGGTCTGCCTGCCTCGGCCTCCCAAAGTGCTGGGATTACAGGCGTGAGCCACCGCAGCCGGCCGAAGTTTTCTTTTTTTGTTGTATCTCTGCCAGGTTTTGGTATCAGGATGATGCTGGCCTCATAAAATGAGTTAGGGAGGAGTCCCTTCTTTTCAATTTTTTGGAATAGTTTCAGTAGAAATGGTACCAGCTCTTCTTTGTACCTGTAGTGGAATTCAGCTATAAATCTCTCTGGTCCTGGGCTTTTTTTGGTTGGTAGGCTATTTATTACTGCCTCAATTTCTGAACTCATTATTGGTCTATTCAGGGATTCAGTTCCTTCCTAGTTCATTCTTCGGAGGGTGTATGTGTCCAAGAATTCATCCATTTCTTCCAGATTTTCTAGTTTATGTGCATAGAGGTATTTATAGTATTCTCTGATGGTTGTTTGTATTTCTGTGGAGTCAGTGGTGATATCTCCCTTATCATTTCTGGTTGTGTCTGTTTGATTTTCTCTCTTTTGTTCTTCATTAGTCTAGCTAATGGTCTATCTATTTTATTAATTTTTTCAAAAAAGAAGCTCCTGAATTTGTTGATTTTTTGTTTTTTTGAAGGGTTTTTCGTGTCTCTGTCTCCTTCCGTTCAGCTCTGATCTTGGTTATTTCTTGTCTTCTGCTAGCTTTGGGATTTGTTTGCTCTTGGTTCTCTAGTTCTTTTAGTTGTGAATTTTGAGATCTTTCTAGCTTCTTGATGTGGGCATTTAGTGCTATAAATTTCCTTCTTAACACTGGTTTAGCTGCATCCCAGAGATTCTCATACATTGTCTCTTTGTTCTCATTAGTTTCAAAGAACTTCTTGATTTCTGCCTTAATTTCATTATTTACCCAGGAGTCATTCAGGAGCAGGTTGTTCAGTTTCCATGTAGTTGTGTGGTTTTGAGTGAATTTCTTAGTTTTGAGTTCTAATTTTATTGTGCTGTGGTCTGAGAGACTGTTATGATTTCAGTTCTTTTGCATTTGCTGAGGAGTGTTTTACCTCCGATTATGTGATCAATTTTAAAGTGCCATGTGGTGATGAGAAGAATGTATATTTTGTTTTTTGGGTGGAGGGTTCTGTAGATATCTATCAGGTCCACTTGATCCAGAGCTGAGTTCAGGTTCTGAATATCTTTGTTAATTTTCTGTCTAGATGGTCTGTCTAATATCGTCAGTGGGGTATTAAAGTCTCCCACTATTTTTGTGTGGGAGTCTACGTTTCTTTGTAGGTCTCTACGAACTTGCTTTACGAATCTGGGTGCTCCTATATTGGGTACATATATATTTAGGATAGTTAGGTCTTCTTGTGGAATTGAACCCTTTATCATTATGTAATGCCCTTCTTTGTCATTTTTGATCTTTGTTGATTTAAAGTCTGTTTTGTCAGAAACTAGGATTGTGACCCCTGCTGTTTTCTGTTTTTCATTTGCTTGGTAAATTTCCCTCCATCCCTTCGTTTTGAGCTTATGTGTGTCTGCACTTAAGATGGGTCTCCTGAAGACAGCATACTGATGGGTCTTGACTCTATCCAGCTTGCCATTCTATGTCTTTTAATTGGGGCATATTTAGCCCATTTACATTTAAGGTTAATATTGTTACGTGTGAATTTAATCCTGTCATCATGATGGTAGCTGGTTATTTTGTAGACTTGTTTATATGGTTGCTTCATAGTGTCACTGGTCTGTATACTTCAGTGTGTTTTTACTAAAGTACTTCCTTTAGGAGCTCCTGTTGGCCATTTCTATGTCTTTTTTTGAGAAATGTCTGTTCTGGTATTTTGCCCATTTTTAAATTGGATTATTTGTTTTTTGCTATTGAGTTCCTTATATATTTTAGTTATTAATCCTAATCCCTTGTCAGATGGATAGTTTGCAGATATTTTCTCCCATTCTGTGGGTTGTCTCTGCACTTTGTTGATTGTTTCCTTTGCTGTACAGAAGCTTTTTGGCTTAATGTAATTATATTTGTGTATTCTTGCATTTGTTGCCTGTGCTTTTGAGTTCTTACTCCAAAACAATCTTTGCCCAGACCAATGTCCTATAGCATTTCCCCAGTATTTTCTTGTAGTAGTTTCATAGTTTCAGGTCTTACATTTAAGTCTTTTAATCCATTTTCAATTGATTTTTTTGTATATGGCAAGAGATAAAGGTCTAGTTTCATTCTTTTGCATATGGGTATTCGGTTTTCCTGACACCATTTATTAAAGAGACTGTTCTTTCCCCAGTGAATGTTCTTGGTGCCTTCGTGGAAAGTGAGTGGGCTATAAGTGGGTGGATTTATTTCTGGATTCTCTATGCTGTTCTGTTGGCCCATGTATCTGTTTTAATGCCAGTACCATGCTGTTTTGGTTACTGTAGCTTTGTAATATAATTTGAAATCAGGTAGTATGAGGCTTCCAGCTTTGTTCTTACTGCTCAGTATTGCTTTAGTTATTTGGCATCTTTTGCAGTTTTATGTGAATTTTAGGATTGCTTTTTCTATTTCTGTGAAGAATGTCATTGGTATTTTGTTAGGGATTGCATGGAATCTATAGATCGTTTTTGGGTAGTATAGACATTTTAGCAATATTAGTTCTTCCAATACATGTGCATATGCTATCTTTCCATTTTTTGTGTGTCCCCTTCAATTTTTTTCATCAGTGTTTTGTAGTTTTCCTTGTAGAGATCTTGCAATTATTTGGTTAAATTTATTCCCAGGTATTTTAAGTTTTTTGTAGCTATTGTAAAGGGGATTGCTTTTTTTAGTTTTTTTTTTAGATCATTCACTGTTAGCACATGTAAATGCTACTGATTTTTGTATGTTGATTTTGTATCCTGCAACTTTACTGAGGTGTTTTTTTTGTTGTTGTTGTTTTTGAGACAGAGTCTCGTTCTGTCACCCAGGCTGGAGTTCAGTGGCATGATCTCAGCTCACTGCAACCTTTGTCCCCCGGATTCAAGTGGTCCTTTCACCTCAGCCACCCAAGTAGCTGGGACTACAGGTGCCCACCACCACACCCAGCTAATTTTTGCATTTTTAGTAGAGATGAGGGTTTACCATGTTGCCCAGGTTGGTCTCAAACTCCTGAGCTCAAGCTATCTGCCCGTCTCAGCCTCCCAAAGTGCTGGGATTACAGGCATGAGCCACTGCACCCAGCCATCTTTACTAAATTTGTTTATCAGTTCTTTTATTTTTATTTTTTGAGATGGAGTCTTGCTCTGTCACCTAGGCTGGAGTGCAGTGGCGCAATCTTGGCTCACTGCAACCTCCGCCTCCTGGGTTCAAGCGATTCTCCTGCCTCAGCCTCCAAGTAACCGGGATTACAGATGCCCGCCATCACGCCCAGCTAATTTTTTGTATTTTTAGTAGAGATGGGGTTTCACCATATTGGCCAGACTGATCTCGAACTCCTGACCTCAGGTGATCTGCCCACCTTGGCCTTCCAAAGTGCTGGGATTACAGGCGTGAGCCACCGTGCCCGGCGAGGCCTGTAGTTTTAATTGTTGTATTTTTTTCTGGTTTTGGTATCAGGATAATGCTGGCCTCATAGAATGAGTTTTGTGGAAGTATTCCCTCCTCTTCAGTTTTTTGAGTTAAGGTAGAATTGTTGTTTTAATGTTTGGTAGAATTCAGCAGTGAATCCATCAGGTTCTGGGCATTTATTTGATGGGAGACTTCTTATTACTGCTTCAGTCTCATTACTTCTTGTCTGTTCAGGTTTTCTGTTTCTTCATGGTTCAAGCATGGTAGGTTATATGTGTCCAAGAATTTATCCATTTCTTCCCAGTTTCCAATTTGTTGGTGTATAGTTGTTCATAGTAGTCTCTACCTTTGTATTTCTGTGATATCAGTTGTAATGATTCCTTTCTCATGAGATATTTTTAATTTCTAATGTAAACATTTAGTACTTTAAATTTTCCTCTAAGCAGAGCTTTCTTTGCGTCCCCCAAGTTTTATGTTGCAATTTCACTTTTTTTTTTTTTTTAATTTTTATTTTTATTGATCATTCTTGGGTGTTTCTCACAGAGAGGGATTTGGCAGGGTCATAGGACAATAGTGGAGGGAAGGTCAGCAGATAAACAAGTGAACAAAGGTCTCTGGTTTTCCTAGGCAGAGGACCCTGCGGCCTTCCGCAGTGTTTGTGTCCCTGGGTACTTGAGATTAGGGAGTGGTGATGACTCTTAACGAGCATGCTGCCTTCAAGCATCTGTTTAACAAAGCACATCTTGCACTGCCCTTAATCCATTTAACCCTGAGTGGACACAGCACATGTTTCAGAGAGCACAGGGTTGGGGGGTAAGGTCACAGATCAACAGGATCCCAAGGCAGAAGAATTTTTCTTAGTACAGAACAAAATGAAAAGTCTCCCATGTCTACTTCTTTCCACACAGACATGGCAACCATCCGATTTCTCAATCTTTTCCCCACCTTTCCCCGCTTTCTATTCCACAAAACCACCATTGTCATCATGGCCCGTTCTCAATGAGCTGTTGGGCACACCTCCCAGATGGGGTGGTGGCCGGGCAGAGGGGCTCCTCACTTCCCAGTAGGGGCGGCCGGGCAGAGGCGCCCCTCACCTCCCGGACGGGGCGGCTGGCTGGGCGGAGGGCTGACCCCCCCACCTCCCTCCCGGATGAGGTGGCTGGCCGGGCAGAGGGGCTCCTCACTTCCCAGTAGGGGCAGCCGGGCAGAGGCGCCCCTCACCTCCCGGACGGGGCGGCTGGCCGGGCGGGGGGCTGACCCCCCACCTCCCTCCCGGACGGGGCGGCTGGCCGGGCGGGGGGCTGACCCCCCCACCTCCCTCCCGGACGGGGCGGCTGGCCGGGCAGGGGGCTGACCCCCCCACCTCCCTCCCGGACGGGGCGGCTGGCCGGGCAGAGGGGCTCCTCACTTCCCAGTAGGGGCGGCCGGGCAGAGGCGCCCCTCACCTCCCGGACGGGGCGGCTGGCCGGGCGGGGGGCTGACCCCCCACCTCCCTCCCGGATGGGGCAGCTGCCAGGCAGAGACGCTCCTCACTTCCCAGACGGGGTGGCTGCCGGGCGGAGGGGCTCCTCACTTCTCAGACGGGGCAGCTGCCGGGCGGAGGGTCTCCTCACTTCTCAGATGGGGCGGTTGCCAGGCGGAGGGTCTCCTCCCTTCCCAGATGGGGCGGCTGGGCAGAGACGCTCCTCACCTCCCAGACGGGGTCGCGACCGGGCAGAGGCGCTCCTCACATCCCAGACGGGGCGGCGGGGCAAAGGCACTCCCCACATCTCAGACGATGGGCGGCCGGGCAGAGACGCTCCTCACTTCCTAGATGGGATGGCGGCCGGGAAGAGGCGCTCCTCACTTCCTAGATGGGATGGCAGCCGGGCAGAGACGCTCCTCACTTTCCAGACTGGGCAGCCAGGCAGAGGGGCTCCTCACATCCCAGACGATGGGTGGCCAGGCAGAGACGCTCCTCACTTCCTAGACGGAGTGGCGGCCGGGCAGTGGCTGCACTCTGGGCACTTTGGGAGGCCAAGGCAGGCGGCTGGGAGGTGGAGGTTGTAGCGAGCCGAGATCACGCCACTGCACTCCAGCCTGGGCACCATTGAGCACTGAGTGAACCAGACACCGTCTGCAATCCTGGCACCTCCGGAGGCCGAGGCTGGCGGATCACTCGCGGTTAGGAGCTGGAGGCCAGCCCGGCCAACACAGCGAAACCCAGTCTCCACCAAAAAAATACGAAAACCAGTCAGGCGTGGCGGCACGCGCCTGCAGTCGCAGGCACTCGGCAGGCTGAGGCAGGAGAATCAGGCAGGGAGGTTGCAGTGAGCCGAGATGGCAGCAGTACAGTCCAGCTTCAGCTCGGCATCAGAGGGAGACCGTGGAAAGAGAGGGAGAGGGAGACCGTGGGGAGAGGGAGAGGAGGGAGAGGGAGAGGGAGAGGGACAATTTCACTTTTATTAATGGAAATATTTTCTGTTTTCCTGTGGGATCTCCTCTTTGACCCATGTTTATTTAAAAGTATGTTTAATTTTTATGTGTTAGAGGTATTCCAGTTATCTTTCTATTGCTGCTTTTTGTTCTTTTTGTTAAGACATCATTCTTCTGGTTTCCTTTTGTTCTTTGTCAGTGGTTTCCTTTTGCTCTTTCAGCCTAGTTGATTTAGTCTTTGTATGGTAAATACAATGTCAGAGCTTCCTTAGGGACAGTTTTTGTCAGTTTCTCTTTTTTTTTCCCCCGTAAATGGGCCATACTTCCCTTTTCGTTGCATGCCTCATGGTTTTTTTTGTTGGAAACTGGAAATTTTGAATATTATAATGTGGTTTACTCTGGAAGTCAAATTTTCCTTCCTCAGTTTGCTTTTGTTGCTTGTTATGAACTGCAGTCATCTATTATTTAGTGACTTTTCCCAACTACTTTTTACAAAGATTGTATTCCTTATTGTGCAGTTACTGAGTCTCCATTCCTTAGCCTCATTAGTAAGCTGAGACTTTCTGATAGAGATTTCCTGACAACTTTGTTTGTTTGGAAGGCAGGAGTACAGTGGCACAATCTTGGCTCACTGCAGCCTCCACCTCCCGGGTTCAAGCAAGTCTCGTGCCTCAGCCTCCCGAGTAGCTAGGATTACAGGCATGTGCTACCACGCGTGGCTAATTTTTGTATTTTTAGTAGAGACAGGGTTTTGCCATGTTGGCGAGGCTGGTCTTGAACTCCTGACCTCAAGTGATCCGCCTGCATCTGGAGTTTCTTAAAGACATGATTTAGCAGCCTTTTTCTTTGTTAATCACCCCTTGTTGTTGTGAGATTTTTATTGGACTCCAGAGTTCCATAAAAGTTGTTCTGACAGTTTTTGCCAGGTTGATGGTTGTTTCAGTGGAGGGACAGATCATTTTAGCTCCCTATTACTCCATTATCAGTGGTGTCACTCCTCCTTCCCTGCACCCTCTTCGTGTGTGTGTGCGTGCGTGTGTGTGTGTGCACACGTGCACGTGCATGTTCTTTTTTTTTGGTAAAAAACACATACCATTAAATTTATCATCTTTTTTCCATTATTTACCTTTAAGCTCCGTTAGACTTGACAAATTTACCATCTTAATCATTTTAAAGTGTATAGTTCAGTACTATTAAGTATATTCACATTGTTGTGCAACAGATCTCTATAACTTTTTCATCTTGCAACACTTAAACTGTATACCCCTAAACACTAATTCCTCCCTCTAGCCATTGGTCATCACCTTCTACTTTCTTTCTTTTCTTTTTTTTTTTTTTTTTTTTGAGGCAGAGTTTTTGCTCTTGTTGCCCAGGCTGGAGTGCAGTGGCACGATCTTGGCTCACTGCAACCTCCGCCTCCAAGGTTCAAGTGATTCTCCTGCGTCAGCCTCCTGAGTAGCTGGGATTACAGGTGCGCGCCACCACGCCCAGCTACTTTTTTGTATTTTTAATAGAGACAGAGTTTCGTTATGTTGGCCAGGCTGGTCTCGAACTCATGACCTCAGGTGATCCACCTGCCTCAGCCTCCCAGAGTGCAGGGATTACAGGCATGAGCCACTGCGCCCGACCTCTACTTTCTATTTCTATGATTTTGACACCTTTAGGTACTTTGTAAGAGTGGAATTGTATAGCATTTGTTCTGGCCTTTTTTTCTTAGCATAATATCTTCCATGTTCATCCATGTTGTAGTATGTGATAGCTTTCCTTTTTTTAAGGCTGCATAATAACTGCTGTGTGTACCTACCATACTTTCTTTTATTTTTCCTTTTTTTAAATTATACGTTTCTGGGATACATGTGCAGAACGTGCAGGTTTGTTACATAGGTATACATGTGCCATAGTGGTTTGCTGCACCCATCAACCCGTCATCTACATTAGGTATTTCTCCTAAAGCTATCCCTCCCCTAGCCCCCTTCCCCCTCACAGGCCCCAGTGTGTGATGTTTCCCTCCCTGTTTTCATGTGTTCTCATTGTTCAACTCTCACTTATGAATGAGAATATGCGGTGTTTGGTTTTCTGTCCTGTGTTAGTTTGCTGAGAATGATGGTTTCCAACTTCATCCATGTCCCTGCAAAGGACACGAACTCATCCTTTTTATGGCTGCAAAGTATTCCATGGTATATGTGTGCCACATTTTCTCTATCCAGTCTATCAGTGATGGGCATTTGGGTTGGTTCCAAGTCTTTGCTATTGTGTACAGTGCTGCAATAAACATACGTGTGCATGTGTCTTTCTAGTAGAATGATTTATAATCCTCTGGGTATATACCCAGTAATGGGATTGCTGGGTCAAATGGTATTTCTCGTTCTAGATCCCTGAGGAATCGCCACACTGTCTTCCACAGTGGTTGAACTAATTTACACTCCCACCAACAGTGTAAAAGCATTCCTATTTCTCCACATCCTCTCCAGCATCTGTTGTTTCCTGACTTTTTAATGATCACCATTCTAACTGGCTTGAGATGGTATCTCATTGTGGTTTCGATTTGCATTTCTCTAATGACCAGTGATGATGAGTATTTTTTCATATGTTTGTTGGCTGGATAAATGTCTTCTTTTGAGAAGTGTCTGTTCATATCCTTCACCCACTTTTTGATGGGATTGTTTGTTTTTTTCAGCCCAGGTGATCTTTTTGTTCCCTTTGTGTGCATTAAGTATGTACTGTTTATTTCTTCATTCACTTAGTAAACAGTTACTGAGAACTTGTGCTTCAGTGTGCTAGTAGGCTCCCTTAATTTGAAATAAATAATACATATTCCTGCCCTTATGGTAAATTGGAGGCAACAGATTTGCTAATCAGCTCTTAAATACCATATAACAGCTTCAGTAGAGGGATGCACAGGAAGCTATGGAGAGCCAAGTAGGAGGCATCTCAATCATGATTAGGAGAGGGAGGGAAGAGTTCTTGTGGAAAGTAAATCTAAAGCTGAATTTTGAAGGGTGAGTAAGTAAAGTAACTCATGAAGTTATTCACTAAATGGATGTTGGGTGAATGAATCAGAATTAGGTGAATCTAGGAGAAGGACATTTGCTGCAAGGATGCAAAGTAGAAGGGCATGAAATGTATGTGGTACATTCAGAGACTCTTGGAGTTGAGTATGGATTAAGTAAAAGGTACATTTGTAGGGGAAGGGCAGGAGCTGGAGTAGGTGTCATTCTATCTTCACCCTTTGGATGAAATCTCATTTTACCCTGTTTTCCCTTCTCCCTGCAGTCTATCCTTCACTGGAGTCTGATGATGATGACCCTGCTTTGAAATCTCGACCCAAGAAAAAGAAGAATTCAGATGATGCTCCATGGAGTCCTAAAGGTAATCTAGTATTTTGTCCCTTAAACTCTGTAGGGGTGGTCAGGAGGAAATAGACAAGGTAGGTGGGATATTTAATATCAGAAGACCTGATTCAGTCACTCATTTGTTTATTCAGCAAACATTTGTTGAGTGTCTGCTGTGTGTCAGGCACTGTGTTAGGTTCTGGAGCTAAAATGACTAATAAGACACAGAGTTTATGTAATTAGTCCAATAAAATCAGAGGTAATGGAGCATATTGCATTTGATATTATATGGTTTGAGGTGAAAGGAAGACCTTGAACAGATTTTAGCAAGCAGTCTGAGGCTTCTGAGAACGTTCTGATACCATCATCCCAGTACTCTGGTAGTTTTGTTGTCAAGGAGGGAAATTCTGCTGACTGTTGAGCTCTATAAGGCCCAAGATTATCACCTATACTGAGAGGCCATCTCTGAGGAGGGAAGAATGACCACTGAGTTGAACATGGAGTTTAGAGGATAATGGAAGAATTTTCTTCGTCTCCTTGGCTGGATAGTATTCACACTGAGGATGCATCCTTCAGTTAGTTTTTGCTGCTTAACAGTCTGCCCAAAACTTAGTGGCTTAAAATAACAGTTAATAATTTTTCATAATTCTGTAGGTTGGCTGAGCTGTTCTTCTAGTCTAGGCCAGATTCCCTGGGGCTGAATGGTCTCAAAAGTTCTCCTTCAGGTGTCTCAGACCTACTATCTAAGTCCTACTAAGACCTACTATCTAAGATGGCCAAGGCTTCTCTCTACATGGTCTTTAGTCTACCAAGCTTTTCCACAAGGTGGCAGAAAGGTTTCTAGCAGCAAGAGAGGACAAGCCCCAATGTGCAAGCACTTTTCAAGCCTTTGCTTAAGTCATATTTACTGTTGTCCCATTGACTAAAACAAGTTACGTGGCCAAGCCTTGATCCCATGGTTGGGAAATAGATTGCACCTTTTGAGAGGAGAACTGCAAAGTCACATCGCAAAGTATCATGCATACGAGGATACATGAGCACACTGAAGGCCATTACTGCAACAGTCTGCCATAGAGGTCATTGGGATTTCAGTACCTGTGGTTCCCCAGCAGATAAAGGGCTTGCTCTTCTCACCCTGCCTTATTTAGACTTTTTGGTGTTTGCTTGAGGTCGAGGGGGTGACATAGGGGTAGCAGGGCATTCCTCAGAAGTGTTATGTTAGTGAGTTAATCAGTAAATGTTTCTTTTTAAAAAAAAATTGGGGCCGGGCCTGGTGGCTCACACCTGTAATCCCAGCACTTTGGGAGGCCAAGGCGGGCAGAACACCTGAGGTCAGGACCAGCCTGACCGACATGGTGAAACGTCGTTTCTACTAAAAATAGAAAATCAGCCGGGAATGGTGGCGGGCGCCTATAATCCCAGCTAGTTGGGAGGCTGAGGTAGGAAAATTGCTTGAACCCAGGAGGCCAAGGTTGCAGTGAGCTGAGATTGCACCATTGCACTCCAGCCTGGGCAACAAGTGGGAAACTCCGTCTCGGGGAAAAAAAAAAAAATTTGGCTAGGTGCAGTGTGGCTCATGCCTTTAATCCCAACATTTTGGGAGGCTGAGGCGGGTGGATCACTTGAGGTCAGGAGTTTGAGACCAGCCTGGCCAACATGGTAAAACCCCATCTCTACTAAAAATACAAAAATCAGCTGCATGTGGTGGCATGTGCGTTTAGTCCCAGCTACTCGAGAGGCTGAGGCACGAGAATTGCTTGAACCTCGGAAAGCGGAGGTTGCACTGAGCCGAGACCATGCCACTGCACTCCAGCCTGGGCAACAGAGCGAGACTCCATCTCAAAAAAAAAAAGAAAACTTAGGCCTATTTTTAAATTTTATTTTCTTCTATCATTTCCAGGTTTATTTTTCCTGTCAAAGTAAATTTTTCTGGTTAGCACAGTAGAAAATTTAGAAAATATTGAAAATAAAGGGAATTATGAAGAAGGAACCACCCACGAGTCCGCCACCCAGAAGCAACCAATGTTAACATTTTGACATGTTTCTTTATAGTCTTTTCCCTATACATTTTTTAATTTTTATTGTTTAAATCACATGTGTGTACAATTTTTTAAATTTTTTTTTAAATTTTTTTTAAATGGAGTCTAGCTCTGTCCCAGGCTAGAGTGCAGTGGCGGGATCTTGGCTCACTGCAATCTCCGCCTCCCGGGTTCAAGCTATTCTCTTGCCTCAGCCTCCCAAGTAGCTGGGATTACAGGCAGGTGCCACCATGCCTGACTAATTTTTTGTATTTTTAGTAGAGATGGGGTTTCACCATGTTGGCCAGGCTGGTCTTGAACTCCTGACCTCATGATCTGCCCGCTTCAGCCTCCCAAAGTGCTGGAATTACAGGTATGAGCCACCACGCCTGGCCACATGTATACAATTATGCACTGTACTTTAAAATTTTGTTTGAGCTTTTGATCAAAGTAGTGGGTGTAGCATATCAAAAAGTATAGAGAAATTAGGCCAGGTGCGGTGGCTCACGCCTGTAATCCCAGCACTTTGGGAGGCCGAGGCGGGTGGATCACAAGGTCAGGAGATCGAGACCATCCTGGCTAACACGGTGAAACCCCGTCTCTACTAAAGATACAAAAACTTAGCCGGGCGTGGTGGCAGGCGCCTGTAGTCCCAGCTACTCGGGAGGCTGAGGCAGGAGAATGGCATGAACCTGAGAGGTGGAGCTTGCAGTGAGCCGAGATCGCGCCACTACACTCCAGCCTGGGTGACAGAGCGAGACTCTGTCTCTCACACACACACAAAAAAGTATAGAAAAATTTAGGAGGAAAAGCAATGTTCTTCTGCCCCTACTTTCCCCACCTGCAATCCCGTTCCCAAGAGACAACCTCATAGTTTTCGTTTCCTGGTAGATGCCTCCAAAACTCAAGAGAAGTATGCCACCCTTTCTTGGTTTATGAAGTCTATTTCTCCTTTAATCAACTTACATCATTCCCTTTTTTTTTTTTTTTTTTTTTTTTGAGGCAGAAACTCGCTCTGTGGCCCAGGCTGGAGTGCAGTGGTGCAATCTTGGCTCACTGCAACCTCCGCCTCCTGGATTCAAACGATTCTCATACCTCAGCCTCCAAAGTAGCTGGGACTATAGGCGCGCATCACTGCACCCAGCTAATTTTTTTGTATTTTTAGTAGAGATGGGGTTTTGCCATGTTAGCTAGGCTGGTCTCGAACTCCTGACCTCAAGTGATCCATCTGCCTCGGCCTCCCAGAGTGCTGTGATTACAGGCCGTCAATCTCTCTTGATTACCTACTTTGTAAGATACAGTTGTTGGTGACCCTACATCCATAGGGTCCTTTTGTAACCTTCTGTGAACCATTTTTTCCCTTGTGGGAAGTAAATCTAAAGCTGAATTTTGAAGGGTGAGTTAGTAAAGTAACTCATGAAGTTATTCACCACACTAAATGGATGTTGTGTGAATGAATCAGAATTAGGTGAATCTAGAAGGACATTTGCCGCAAGGATGCAAAGTAGAAGGGCATGAAATTGTATGTGGTACATTCAGAGACTCTTGGAGTTGAGTATGGATTAAGTAAAAGGTACATTTATAGGGGAGGGGTACATTCCCTTTTGTAACCTTCTGTGAACCATAATTTTTTGTTTATGCTGTCAAGTTTATTAACATATACATTGTTGTTACTACTCTACATTGACTAGAAATTAACTGTAAATATCGAAAACCAATAGAGACATCTGGTCTTTTAAGTTAATATTATATCATAAGCATGTTCCTATGCCATTGTTTATAAATAATATTTTTAATGGCTACAAGATATCAGTTCCATGGATATACCTAATATATATGTAATTTCTAACATATAGGCTATTTTCAAGTTTTTACAATTAGTACATTTGGAGTCAATATCTTTATATGTAAATGTTTATATCTCTGATTATTTACTCAGGATGGATCACCATGAAACCTTAGAGGGGCCAAAGTATGTGAGGTTATACAATGAAAAGTTTCCTTCCCAGCCCTGTTAGTAGCCTTCTACTTACCCACCTGGAGTCAACTAGTGTTATCAGCTTTTTTTTTTTTTTTTTTTTTTTTTTGAGAGGGAGTCTTGCTCTGTCGCCCAGGCTGGAGTGCAGTGGCGCGATCTCTGCTCACTGCAAGCTCCGCCTCCTGGGTTCACGCCATTCTCCTGCCTCAGCCTCCCGAGTAGCTGGGACTACAGGCACCCGCCACCATGCTAATTTTTTGTACTTTTAGTAGAGATGGGGTTTCACCGTGTTAGCCAGGATGGTCTCGATCTCCTGACCTCGTGATCCGCCCGCCTCGGCCTCCCAAAGTGCTGGGATTACAGGCATGAGCCACTACGCCCGGCCATCAGTTTTTTCATTTATCTTCTCAGAGACAGTTTGCACATATACAAGCAAATGCATGTATATGTTTTCCTACCTCCCCCTCCTTTTTTTTTTAACTCAGTTGGAAACGTATTTTATACGCTGTTATGTGCTTTGCTTTTCTCTCTTAAGAATACATCTGGGCCAGGCACGGTGGCTCACGCCTGTAATCCCAACACTTTGGGAGGCCAGGGTGAGCGGATCACGAGGTCAGGAGATCCAGACCATCCTGGCCAACATGATGAAACCCCGTCTCTACTAAAAATACAAAAATTAGCTGGGCATGGTGGCGCACGCCTGTAGTCCCATCTACTCAGGAGGCTGAGGCAGGAGAATCGCTTGAACCCGGGAGGTGGCGGTTGCAGTGAGCCGAGATTTTGCCACTGCACTCCAGCCTGGGCGACAGAGCAAGACTTCATCTCAAAAAAAAAAAAAAAATAGTTCTTGATACTTATTGCAGAAGTGTTTTCCAGAAAAGTTGTACCAATTTACACTTCCATCCGCAGTGCTTGTTTATGAAATGTATGCAGGCATTGAACACACCAGTTAGGAGTAGTATTTGATTATGAGTAATGTCTCAAGCATCCTTAGTGAGTGCTTGTTCTCTCAGAGTCACAAGATGGCTACTTCACCTCCAGCATTGGGGTCTGGGCTGCAGTCAGGAAGAAGGAGAAAAGCAAAAGGAAAAAGGGACAGGCATGCTGAGTGCTGAGCATTCCCTCTCCCCAAGGAGTTTTAAGTTCCACGTTTTTTACACATCTATTTGGCTGAAATTGTGTCAGATGGCCAAGACTATCAGCCAGAGATGCTAGGAGATACAGTTTTTATCTAGGCATATTGCTGTCCCACAAAATCAGTGTTTTTGTTAGTAAGCAGGAAAGAGAATGACATTTGGTTGAGAATGAGTAGTCTCTACCATGAGGGTTTTTTTGTTTGTTTGTTTGTTTGTTTTTTATTTATTTTGAAACAGTCTCGGTCTGTCGCCCAGGCTGGAGTGCAATGGCATGATCTTGGCTCACTGCAACCTCTGCCTCCCGGGTTCAAGCAATTCTCCTGCCTCAGCCTCCCAAGTAGCTGGGATTACAGGCACCTGCCACCACACTCAGCTAATTTTTTTTGTTGTTTGTTTTTTGAGACAGAGTCGTTCTGTCACCAGACTGGAGTGCAGTGGCGAGATCCCGGCCCACTGCAACCTCCGCCTCCTGGGTTAAAGCAATTCTGCTTCAGCCTCCTGAGTAGCTGGGACTACAGGCACGCACCACCGCACCCAGCTAATTTTTTTTTTTTTTTTGTATTTTTAGTAGAGACGGCATTTCACCATGTTGGCCAAGATGGTCTCGATCCCTTGTCCTTGTGATCCGCCCATGTCAGCCTCCCAAAGTGCTGGGATTACAGGCATGAGCCACCGCGCCTGGCCAGTTTTTTGTATTTTTAGTAGAGACAGGGTTTCGCCATGTTGGCCAGGTTGGTCTCGAACTCCTGACCTCAGGTGATCCACCTCGGCCTCCCAAAATGTTGGGATTACAGGTGTGAGCCACCACATCCGGCTTCTACCATGAATTTTTGATCCTTGGTAATTCATAAGCAAACAACAGTATCTCATTGATTTAATTTACATTTTTTTGATTAAGCATAGCCTCTATGTTTTATTAGCATCAGAGTTTCTTCCATTGTAAATTTTGTTTACATCCTTTGCCCACTTATCCATGTGGTTCTTCAAGGTTTTCGAGTTGCCCATTTTATATAGTAAGGGAATAGTCATCCTTTGTTTCATACACACACACACACACACACACACACACACACGCACATATTTTATACTTATAATGTGCTTGTACTTCTTCCTCATTCTACAGGAAAATTTGAATATTTCAGTATCAAGTGTTGATCATTTGTTTGCATATTCAGAGAGTAGATAATTAACACCCTTGTATTTTTTAAGCATAATTTTTAAATATCTAATGTGTTGATCTACAAAGAATTGCTTAATATATGGTACTGAGCAGAAGATATAAATTGGTATTCCCCCCAAAAAGATGACTGTTGGTGCTAGAATCACATTCCCACTAAGCTGAAAATGCTTTCTTTGCCATGTGTACTGACTCATACGTATCATGGGTTGTTTGAGGCACATCCATTTTGTACCATCAAAGTTCTGTCTGCTCTTGTGCTGGTATTTCACTTATTCACTACCTATTTATGACTTAGAAAAACCACAGACTTTTTTATTTTGAGGCAGAGTCTCACTCTGTTGCCCAGGCTGGAGTGTAGTAGCATGATCTCTGCTCACTACAACCTCCGCCTCCCAGGTTCAAGCGATTCTGCTGCCTCAGCCTCCCAAGAAGCTGGGATTAAAAGCACCCGCCACCACCATGCCTGGCTAATTTTTGTATTTTTAGTAGAGATGGGATTTTACCATGTTGGCTAGGCTGGTCTCAAACTCCTGACCTCAAGTGATTAGCCCGCCTCAGCCTCCCAAAGTGCTGAGAATTACAGGTGTGAGCTACCACGCCCAGCCAAAAAACTGCAAACTTTTAAAAAGTGGCTTTTAGTTAACTAAAAAGATAGTTCTTTAAAATGAAGAAGAACACCAAGTTTAACCCAATAGGATGAAACTGTAGAGCACAGATGCATCAACTGGTGTTCATGGACCTTTGAATCTCCTATTAATATTCTATTGAAATTTTATGTAAATGCATGCATCTATGTATGTATATTTCTTTAGTAATTTTTATCACATTTTCAAAGTGAGTTCTTAACTCAAAAGATGCATTCTACTAAGGCATTCTACTAAGGGGATTCCCATTAAGATCAGGAATAAGACTAATGTGCCCACTAACACTGCTATTATTTAGTATTGTTCTAGAAGTTCATGCCAGTGTAATTAGAAGTAAAGCAGAAATTAAAAAAAAAAAAAAAAAAAAGAAAAGAAGAGACCAAATCATGATGTGAGCCAGTAGGGTGAGAATCCTGTTCACTTTTGGCCATCATTGTATCTGTAGCACTTTGCCTAGTGCCTGGCCTGTAGGAGATGTTTAACAAATATTTGATGAGTGAAAGATAAGATATAATTGTATAATCGATATAGAAAACACAGGTATGGGGCTGAGCATGGTGGTTAATGCCTGTAATCCTAGCACTTTGGAAAGGTAAGATGGGAGGATTGTTTGAGCCTAGGAGTTCAAGACCAGCCTGGGCCACATAGTAAGACCCTGTCTCTACAAAAAATAGAAATAAAAATAGAGATATGATATAATTATGTAATATCAGAAAATGAAAGAGAATCAACTAAAAACTGCTAATACTGATAAGAGAATTCAGTAAATTGGGTAAATCATTGGATATATACCAGCTATCCAAAAATCAAGAAGTACTATATTAGTAATAACCATAATGTACTGAGAAAAAGAAATGCTATTGACAATAGCAACAAACATATAAAATATGCAAGAATAATTGTAAGAAGATAGTGTGGAACCGACATGAAGAAATAGAGATTTCCCATATGCCTGGTTATAAAGACTGAGTGTTGTAAAGAGTCATTTCCTTCCAAATTAATGTATACATTTAACACTAGCCTAAATCAAAATCCTAATGGAATTTTGTGGGGAATTCATTCTAAAAGTAATTTAAAAAGTAAACAGGTATAATTAGCTTAAAGAATATTGGGATAGAGAAAGTAAATGAAATATACTATAGTGCTACAGTAATCATAAGCACCAGAACAGTCGGTAAATACTTTTCCTTTTAAAAAATTTTTGTTATGAAAGTTTTCAAACATAAGATAAAATTCAAGAGGTTATTACCATGAACACCTATATATATATATATATATATATCTGTCACCCAGATTTAATGAACATTTTGCTGTATTTGCTTTATTCTTTTTTTCAAGGCATTTTAAGCAAAATCTTACGTGTTACGACATCTCTAGTTTTTTGCTGATTTTTTCTTTTCTTTTTTTTTTTTTTTTTTTTTTTTTGAGACAGAGTCTTGCTCTGTCACCCAGGCTGGAGTGCAGTGGCATGATCTTGGCTCACTGCAAGCTCCGCCTCCTGGGTTCACGTCATTCTCCTGCCTCAGCCTCCCCAGTAGCTGGGACTACAGGCACCTGCCACCACACCCAGCTAATTTTTTGTATTTTTTAGTAGAGATGGGGTTTCACCATGTTAGCCAGGATTGTCTCGATCTCCTGACCTTGTGATCCGCCTACCTTGGCCTCCCAAAGTGCTGGGATTACAGGCGTGAGCCACCACACCTGTCCGTTTTTTGCTGATTTTCTAATTGCTCTATCCATTATTGAAAATGTGGTATTGAAGTCTCCAGCTATTATTATTGAATTTATCTATTTTCTCCCATCAGTTTGGTCAGTTTTCACTTCATCTATTTTGAGCCTCTGTTGTAAGGTACACATATGTTTGTAATTGTTATACCTTGTTGATGGATTGACCTTTTTATCATTATAAAATGCTCTTCTTTGTCTTTAGTAATGATTTTTGTCTCAAAGTCTGATGTTAGTATAGCCATTGTAGTTTTCATTTGAGTACCACTTTTATTGTTATCTCTTTTTTCATCCATTTATTTTCGACCTGTGTCTTCAAATCTAAACTGTGTGTCTTGTATAGATAGCATATAGTAGGGTCATTTTTAATTCATTCTGCCAACATCTGCCTATCAGTTGGAGGGTTCTAATAGCTGCCAAAGTTCGACTCAATATCCATTTTGCTATTTGTTTTCTATGTGTCTTATTTTTTGTTCCTCAATTCCTCCATTAGTTACTGCCTTCTTTTATGTTTAATAGCTATTTTCTAGGACCCCCCCCGCTTTTTTTTTTTTTTGAGACAGAGTGTCACTCTGTCACCCAGGCTGAAATGCAGCAACGCGATCTTGGCTCACTGCAATCTCTGCCTCCTGGGTTCAAGCAATTCTTTTCCTGCCTCAGCCTCCTGAGTAGCTGGGATTACAGGTGCCTGCCATCACGCCTAGCTAATTTTTATATTTTTAGTAGAGTTGGGGTTTCACCGTGTTGGCCAGGCTGGTCTCGAACTCCTGTCCTCAGGTGATCCACCCATCTTGGCCTCCCAAAGTGCTGGAATTACAGGCATGAGCCACCGTGCCCAGCCCTAGGATCCCATTTTAATTCCTTTTTTTTTTATCTCTCTATATGTGAGGGGTTTTTTTTTGTTGTTGTTTTGTTTTTTTTTTTTTGAGATGGAGTCTTACTCTGTTGCCTAGGCTGGAGTGCAGTGGCACAATCGCGACTCACTGCAACCTCCACCTCCCGGGTTCAAGCAATACTCCCGCCTCAGCCTCCTAAGTAGCTGGGAATACAGGCACACACCACCAAGCCTGGGTGATTTTTGTGTGTTTAGTGGAGACGGGGTTTCACCATGTTGGCCAAACTGGTCTCAAACTCCTGACCTCAGGTGATCGGCCGCCTCAGCCTCCCAAAGTGCTGAGATTACAGGCGCGAGCCACCGCACCTGGCCAAGTTATTTTCTTAGTGGTTGTCCTGGGGATTAACAACTTAATTTATACCATTCTAATTCACATTATTATCACTTAATTTCTTTCTTTCTTTTTTTTTTTTTTTTGAGGCAGAGTCTCGCTGTGTCGCCCAGATTGGAGTGCAGTGGCACCATCTCGGCTCGGCTCACTGCAAGCTCTGCCTCCCGGGTTCACGCCATTCTCCTGTCTCAGCCTCCCGAGTAGTTGGGACTACAGGCGCCTGCCACCACACCCGGCTAATTTTCTGTATTTTTAGTAGAGACGAGGTTTCACCGTGTTAGCCAGGATGGTGTCCATCTCCTGACCTCATGATCCGCCCGCCTCAGCCTCCCAAAGTGCTGGGATTACAGGCGTGAGCCACCGCGCCCAGCCTATTATCACTTAATTTCAGTACTACACAGAAACTTTGCTGCTATATAGCTCCATTACCCTTCTCTTTTATGCTATTACTGTCACAAATTACATCTTTATACATTGTGTTCATGAACACAGGGTTATAGTAATTGCTTTATGTAATTGTCTGTTAATCCAGTTAGAAAAAGTTACAAAAATATGTTGATAATGTCTTTTAAATATACCTATCTAGTTACCTTTACCAGTGCTCTTTATTTCTTCATGTAGACTCAATTGTCTAGTGTCCTTTCATTTCAGCCTGAAGGTTTCCCTTTAACATGCCTTTTTTTTTTTTTTGAGACAGAGTCTCGCACTGTCGCCTGGGCTGGAGTGCAATGGCATGATTTCAGCTCATTATAACCTCTGCCTCCCGGGTTCAAGCAATTCTCCTGCCTCAGCCTACCAAGTAGCTGGGATTACAGGTGCCTGCCACCACGCCTGGCTAATTTTTTGTATTTTTAGTAGAGACGGGTTTCACTATGTTGGCCAGGCTGGTCTCGAACTCTTGACCTCGTAATCTGCCCGCTTCGGCCTCCCAAAGTGCTGGGATTACAGGCATGAGCCACCACACCTGGCCCTTTAGCATTTCTTATAGGTAAGGTCTACTAGTGTCAAACTATTTGTTTTTATTTATCTAGGAATATCTTGATTTCTTCATTTTTGAAGGATAGTTTTGCTGGATCTGGAATTCCTGATTGATAGTTTTTCTTTTAGCACTTAGAATATGTCTTCGCACTGTCTTCTAACCTCCATGGGTTCTGATGATAAAGAAATCACTTTATGTTGTGAGTCACTTCTGCCTTGCTGCTTTCAAAATTCTGTTGTCGTTGGCCGGGCACAGTGGCTCAAGCCTATAATCCCAGCACTTTGGGAGGCCGAGGCGGGCGGATCACGAGGTCAGGAGATCAAGACCATCCTGGCTAACACGATGAAACCCTGTCTCTACTAAAAATAGAAAAAAAATTAGCCGGGCGTGGTGGCGGGCACCTGTAGTCCCAGCTACTCAGGAGGCTGAGGCAGGAGAATGGCGTTAACCCTGGCGGCAGAGCTTGCAATGAGCCGAGATTGCACCACTGCACTCCAGCCTGGGTAATGGAGCAAGACTCCGTCTAAAAAAAAAAAAATTTCTGTTGTCTTTGGTTTGAGTTATGATGTGTAGCCTTTTAAATTTGTTCAGCTTGGAGTTCGTTGAGCTCTTGAATGTATAAATTGTTTTTCATCAAATTTGGAAAGTTTTTAGTTGTTATTTCTTCGAATAGGTGTCCTTCAGATCCCTTTGGCTCTGTTCACTTTTCTTCATTCTCTTTTTATGTGTGCTCATCAGACTGGATAATCTCAATTGACTTATCTTCAAAGTCAGTAATTCTTCCTTCTACCTGCTCAAATGTGCTATTGAAACCCTCTAGGGAAGTTTGCATTTCAGTTAAAGTTTGCATTTCAGTTATTTTACTTTTCAACTTCAAAATAACTGTTTGGTTTCTTTTTATAATTTCTGTCTCTATTGGTATTCTCTGTTTGGTGAGACATCATACTCATACTTTCCTGTAGTTCCTTAGACATGGTCTCCTTTAGCCTTTGAAAGCATTTAAAATAGCTGATTTAAAGTCCTTGTCTAGTAACTCCAACTATGTCTAGGAAGTCAGGGACAGTTTCCACTGATTGATTTTTTTTCTTGTGAATGGCTATACTTTATTTCTTTGTATGTCTTGTAATTTTTTGTTGAAAACTGTACATTTTAAATGCCGTGGCAACTCTGAAAATCAGATTTTCTCCACTCTGCTCCTCAGAGAACACTCTTTGTTGTAGTTGTGTTTTGTTTAGTGGCTTTTCTGAACTAATTCTGTAAAGTCTGTAAACTTTTTTGTGTGTGCACACTGATGTCTCTACTCATTTAGCTTAGTAGATGTCTCATGATTGGACACAGATTTCCTGAAATGCCTGGAACCAGTGAGTGCTCCCAGTGCTTGCTGAGGGGCTCTCTATGTGCATGTTGGAGCATGCCTTCACTCAGCCAGGCAGTTTACAACTCTGCGGTAGCCTTCACTTCTATTTGTGTAGCACCTCAAAGTCAGACAGAGGTGCATGCTTAGGGCCTTCTCAAGTCTTACAGCGCCAACACAGGCATGTGGTCTTATAATTTGCAGAAATGCGTGAGAACTTGTCAAATTCTTTATGGATATCTCATTCTTTAGCTTTTTTTTAACCATTTGGGTTAATCTATTGTTTGTCACAACTGTTATCCATCACCTTAAACAGCTATGACATTAAGCACATGCCTTTAAAATTCTTTTTTAAACACCCATCAGGGAGGGAGAGGCTTTTAGTACTAGGCTTTGAAAGAAAGCTCTAGCTCCTTTCTGCTCACTACATTGCTGGGAACTTGGACTGCTGTTTTTCAAGGTGTTCACTAAGCTGGGGTAAGGTAGATGTGTCTAGGGCAAGTTAAAATGCACAAAGCTCATTGTTCTTACTGAGATTCAGCTGTTTTTCTTGAATCAAGTGCTTTCCAGGTTGCTGCAAGCCTTTTGTTAATTTCCAGAGTTCTGAAAAAATTTATCCTGACAATTTTTGCTAGTTTTTTTGTTGTTTTTATTGGGGAGTGAATTCTTGGAGGTCCTTTGCCATGTTTACTGATGTCGCCCATCATAACATCTCATCCTTAATACTTAAATATGCATTGAATGATATTTTCTTCCATAACCACGGTGCCATTATATGACACCTAAGCAAAGTAACATTTATTTCTTTTTTTTTTTTTTTTTTTTTTTTGAGACGGAGTCTTGCTCTGTCACCCAGGCTGGAGTGCAGTGGTGCGATCTCCGCTCACTGCAAGCTCCGCCTTCCGGGTTCACACCATTCTCCTGCCTCAGCCTCCTGAGTAGCTGGGACTACAGGCGCCTGTCACCACGCCCGGCTAATTTTTTGTATTTTTAGTAGAGACGGGGTTTCACTGTGTTAGCCAGGATGGTCTTGATCTCCTGACCTCCTGATCCACCCACCTTGGCCTCCCAAAGTGCTGGGATTACAGGCATGAGCCACAGCGCCCGGCCAACATTTATTTCTTAATATCATCTAGTACCATGTACTTATTCAAATTTCCCCCAGTTGCACCAAAAATATCTTTTGTAATTGGCTTACTTAAACCAGAATCCATTCAAGGATTACACAATGCATTTGGTTATTATAAGCTCTTAGTCTTGTTCATTATTTAAAATTTGTTAATATGACAATTTTATTTTATTTTTTGAGACAGAGTCTCACTCTGTCGCCCAGGCTGAAGTGCAGTAGCGCGATCTCAGCTCACTGCAATCTCTGCCCTCGGGGTTCAAGTGATTCTCCTGCCTAAGCTTCCCAAGTAGCTGGGATTACAGGCACGTGCCACCACACCTGGCTAATTTTTTTGTATTTTTAGTAGAGACAGGGTTTCACCATGTTGGCCAGCCTGGTCTCAAACTCCTGACCTCAGGTGATCCGCTCACCTCGGCCTCCCAAAGTGTATTATGACAATTTTATTTTTTATTTTATTTTATTTTATTTTTATTTTATTTATTTTTTGAGACGGAGTTTCGCTCTTGTTGTCCAGGCGGGAGTGCAATGGCACGATCTTGGCTCACCACAGCCTCTGCCTCCTGGGTTCAAGCGATTCTCCTCCCTCAGCCTCCTGAGTAGCTGGGATTACAGGCATGCACCTCCATGCCCGGCTAATTTTTTGTAATTTTAGTAGAGACAGGGTTTCTCCATGTTGGTCAGACTGGTCTCGAACTCCTGACCTCAGGTGATCCACCCACCTCGGCCTCTCAAAGTGCTGAGATTACAGGCGTGAGCCACCGTGCCCGGCCGACAATTTTTAAACATATGTAAAAGTAGAAGGGATAGCACCTGAATACCCATAGTCTTAATACTCAGATTCTATAGTTGTAACATTTTGCTATAGTTGCTTGATTCCTCTATCTGTATCTATCTGGCTATCTATAGTTTTTGCTGAGCCACTTCAAAGTCATCATAACATATTTTACCCGATGGTTCACGCCTGTAATCCCAGCACTTTGGGACACCGAGGCAGGTGGATCATTTGAGGTCAGGAGTTTAAGACCAGCCTGGCCAACATGGTGAAACCCCATCTCTACTAAAAATACAAAAATTAGCCGGGCGGGGTGGTGGGTGCCTGTTATCCCAGCTACTTGGGAGGCTGAGAAAGAAGAATCACTTGAACCCAGGAGGTGGAGGTTGCAGTGAGTAGAGGTCACGCCACTGCGTGACTGTGAGACTCCATCTCAAAAAAATTAAATAAGGACATCCGCCATTCCCCGGTGTAACCACACTACTTTTTTTTATACTTACCAAAGTTAGTAATAATTCCCTAAGATCTTCAGATACCCAGTTCATAACCAAATTTCCCCAACTGTTTACACAAAATATCTTTTATAGGTTTTTTTCCCTCCCAAAACCCAGGTCTAATCAAGGAGGGTTCTTTTTTCCCCAGCTTAAAACAACCACCATTTTCTTATGTTCATGTATTCTGTGGGTCAGGAATTTGGAAATGGCACAATGGCGACAACTTGTCTCTACTGCATGAAGTCTGGGGTCTCAGCTGGAAAAACTTTGAAGGCTGGGGGTGACTTGTTGGCCAAGAGTTTGAGTCATCTGAAGTCTTTCACTTACATGTTTGATGCCTGGCCTGGGAGGACACAAAAGACTGAAAGTGCCAACATGTGGCCTCTCCATGTGACTAGCTTCCTCACTGCTCAGCAGCCTCAAGGCAATCAAACTTTTTACATGGCGGTTCAGATTGCTAAAAGCATGAGTGTTCCAACAAGCAGTGTGGAAACTGAAATTGCCTTTACTGACCTTGCCTCAAAAGTCATATAGTGTCATTTATACCATATTCTATAGCTTGCAAATAAGCCTGCTTAGATTCAAGAGTGGGGCACAGATCTCACCTATCAGTAGGAAAGGTGTGATGGGATTTGGGGTCATGTTTTAAAACCACCACACATACAAAACTATAGAGAACAATATAAAAGAGATCCAAGTATCCATGACTGAAAATTATGCGTCAACTTTTGGTAAATTTGCTTCAGATCATGTTTTAAACAAATGTTACCTTTAAAGAAAGAATTTCAGCCTTCCGAATTGCTTGTTCTAGAATCTGCATACTGCTTATCCAGAAATTCTCCTTTATAATAGCAATAGCTAACCAAGGAGTTTAAATCTAGGTCAGCAGTACCACCACATCTTTTTTCTGTGACATTAGTTTTTTTCTTTAAAAATATAATAAGGCTGGGCATGGTGGCTCATGCCTATGGTTTTGGAGGCCGAGGTGGGTGGATCACTTGAGGTTAGGAGTTCAAGACCATCCTGGCCAACATGGTGAAACCCCGTCTCTACTAAAAATACAAAAATTAGCCGGGCATGGTGTTGCATGCCTGTGATCCCAGCTACTCAGGAGGCTGAGGCAGGAGAATAGCTTGAACCCGGGAGGTGGAGGTTGCAGTGAGCCGAGATGACCCCACTGCACTCTAGCCTTGGGCGACAAAGCAAGACTCCATCTCAAAAAATAAATAAAAATAGAATAGTTCATTGAGCTCCTATATATCCACCAGTGAGAATGAACAGTTATTAATATATTGCCGTATTGGCTTCATTTATCACTATCTTGTTTTTTAAATTTTTTTCTTTGCTTGAAAGCAAACCCCAGTTATTATGCTGTTTCCCCCAAGTATTTCAGTATGTATTTCTAAAAAGTGGATATTTTCTCACCAAACCTTACAACCTGTTATTATACATAACAAAACTAACAATAATTTGATAATTCTTTATATAATTCCAAGTCCATAATCAAATTTCCTAAATTGTCAAACCATGAAAAGGTGTTTTTATATTAGATTTGTTTAAATCAGGGTCTAAACAGGGTCCATGTGGCATTTGAATGCCTTTTAACCCTCTCAATCTAGAGCACTCTCCCCTTTTTTGTTCTGTGCTATTGATTTGTTGTTGACACTGGTGTAATTGCCCTGTAGCATGTCCTACCTTCTAGATTTGTCTGTTTGCTTACTTGTGACATTGTCTTTTTAAAGAGACTAAGCCAGTTTATCTTGTAGAATGTCTGCTTGTTTTCTTCTGGTGTCATTTGTTTTTCTGTACCTGTTTCCTAAACACTGAAAGTAATATGAATGGCTTGCTATATTTTAGCTCTTCAACAAAACTACTTCTCAGGTGATGTGAATTTCCTATTGCTTCTCATCAAGAGGCGTGTGAAGTTGTGTTGTGCTTTCTCACTATTAGTGACAGTAAAGTTCATACTTAAAGTGGTAATCTCTTGATCTCATCATTATAAGTTTTTTCTTCTTGAGGTGAATGGGTAATATTTTGGTGCTGTGTGAATATCCAATTCCCTAGAATCAATTGTTTCATTAGGACTTGCCAGCTTGTGGTTTTCTAATTCTGTCATTCCTTCTACATTTAGTAGCTGGCTTTCTTCTGTAAAGAAGAGCTGTCTCTCATCATTTAGGGCTGTTTGGTTATCCTGAAATACACTTCCTTTTGAAATGGTGGGATGAGTATTTTTTTATTTCAGGTTGGTAAGGCATTATAAAAGAGTCATGCAAGAGGGTGGTCTTCTTCAGGAACTCATAGCCTGGCTGGTAGACAGAATAACACATCAGCATTAGAGAATGAGACAAGGTGGTATGTGCTATGTATCAAGTAATTTATACAGATCATAAGTTCAAAGGAAAAAGAGATCAGTGGAACCAAAGAGGTTTTGTGTAGGAGATTGATTTCAGCTTACCTTAAAGAATGGGTAGGTTTTGAATAGGCAGACAAAAAGGAAGATAGTACTCTAGGTGGTGTGGATTTTGAGGATGAAAGCATAGGGAGAGAGGATGAGCTGTACACACTCTGGAGATGTAATAAGGAAGCCATCCGTCTGGAGAAGCTGAGAATATGGATGTGGAAATAAGGTTGGAGAGGTAAGTGGGCCAGAAGCAGAATATGGGACAAACTTAAATGCCAGTTCAGGGAGATTAACTTTTTATTTTTATTATTATTTTATTATTATTATTATTTTTTGAGACAGAGTTTCACTGTGTCGCCGAGGCTGGTGTGCAGTGATGCAATCTCTGCTCACTGCAACCTCTGCCTCCCAGGTTCAAGCAATTCTCATGCCTCAGCCTCCTGAGCAGCTGGGACTACAGGCGTGCACCACCATGGCCGGATAATTTTTTTTTTTTTTTTGAGATGGAGTCTTGCTGTGTCGCCCAGGCTGGAGTGCAATGGCGCAATCTCAGCTTACTGCAAGCTCCGCCTCCCAGGTTCATGCCATTCTCCTGCCTCAGCCTTCTGAATAGCTGGGACTACAGGCACCCGCCACCATGCCTGGCCAATTTTTTGTATTTTTAATAGAGACGGGGTTTCACCATGTTAGCCAGGATGGTCTTGATCTCCTGACCTCGTGATCCACCCGCCTCGGCCTCCCAAAGTGCTGGGATTACAGGTGTGAGCCACCGTGCCGGCCAATTTTTATTATTATTTTATTACTATTATTATTATTATTTTTTGAGACAGAGTTTCACTGTGTCGCTGAGGCTGGAGTGCAGTGATGCAATCTCTGCTCACTGCAACCTCTGCCTCTCAGGCTCAAGCAATTCTCATGCCTCAGCCTCCTGAGCAGCTGGGACTGCAGGCGTGCACCACCATGCCGGGATAATTTTTGTATTTTTAGTAGAGACGAAGTTTTCGCCATGTTGGCGAGGCTGGTCTCGAACTCCTGGCCACAAGTGATCCATCTGCCTCAGCCTCCCAAAGTGCTGGAATTACAGGTGTGAGCCACTGCACCTGGCCTGGCTTATTGTTCTATTTTTAGAGACAGGGTCTCACTCTGTTGCCCAGGCTGGAGTGCAGTGGTACAATCGTAGCTCACTGTAACCTCAAACTCCTGGGCTCAAGCAATCCTCCCACTTCAGCCTCCCAAGTAGCTAGGACTACAGGCACATGCCACCACACCTGGCTAACTTTTTAATTTTTTGTAGTGACAGGGTCCCACCTCACCCTCCCAGAGCAATGGGATTACAGGCATGAACCATCATGCCCAGCCAAAGGAGGTTCACATTTTTTTTCTTTTTCCCTCTGGGAGGTTTACCTTTATCCTTTAATCAGTGTGTGCTTTGAGCATTGGTGAATTAGGTTCTTATGTGATGGCAAGCAAAATCTGGCTTCATAAAAAGCTAGAAGCAGGAAGACCAATGAGAGTACCTTTGGAGAGCTTGGAGGTAGGGAATATGGCTAGCCTTCGGATAAATGTCTTAGTGACACCTTCTCATCCTGTTTCCCTTGCAGCCCGCGTGACCCCAACTCTGCCGAAGCAGGACCGTCCTGTGCGTGAGGGGACCCGGGTAGCCTCTATTGAGACAGGTTTGGCTGCAGCAGCTGCAAAGCTGGCCCAGCAGGTAGGTGCTGACACCCCAGGTCACCCTGCAACTAATAGCAGTTTGACTTAGAGCCTCAACACTTAGACCTGCAGGCTGATAGGATCCCACCTTTGTCTCAATGGGGATTGAGTAACCTTTGATCTTTATCCTTGGCAGTATCCCAGCCCCCTCTTAAATCCCTCTTATCCCAACTCAATGATAAGCTACTTCCACAGGTTACACAGTTGACATGATTCAGGATGAAAGAAAATATTAGGCCAGAGAAAAACCCACTTACCTTTTTTGGTGTGTAAAAACCTCTCAGATGAGAAGGACCAGATCCTTCCTTTGCTCTCATATGAAGCCCTGAGGGGGTGACTCAGCTGAGTACGCTCAAGTTCTCAGCCACCCACCAGTATTGGAATTTGGTTGATTAGAAATTTTTCTTGTCCTCTTTATGAAATAATATTATCTTAATCTTCACCCACAAATTTTTTTTTTGTCCTAAAGAGTGATCTTCACTAGAATCAAATTCATCTCCTAGCATTACATCTAAAAGTTCTTTAATGTGCGTAATGTGCTTAGGAGCCTTTGGAGGTGAATTCTCTGGTTATCTTGCAATCAATATCCCGTTAGCTCCTAATCCCATATCCTATAGCTTAGAGCACTGTTAAGCATCTGCTTTGTTAGTTGCTTCCATATATAATGTGTAATGTAATCTATCTGCCCAATAGCCCTGTTCAACAGGTGATATTTTCATCATTTTATAGGTGAAGAAAATGAAGCTCTCATTAACTGACTCAGGATAATACAGCCAGTAAATGGAGGAGACAACTCAAACTCATATCCTCTAACTTCAAATTTCATATTACTTTCTATTTAAATAAATGCTTATGTAGTTCAGTCATTACATCCTATTTAAATAGTGTTTAAATCTTTGGCAATCTTCTTTGACCAGAACTTCTGTCTCTTATGTATATCCCAATACAGTGTAAGCTGTAATTTGAAAAAGGGGGTTCTACTGTTTTATATAAATATAAATTAAGTAAAGCTGTGAAAATTACTCTTAGTGCCTTTTAAGGAGCTAAATTCTGTTTGGGATGATCAGAGATAACCTCAAAGAAGAGGTTTTGAAATTGGGGAGGGGCTTTGCAAGCTAAGCTTCTGGTAGGGGCCAGGGAGGCATTCTAAAAGAAGGGACTTCCTTCGTATAGCACACAAAGCCCTCTTAAAGTCCTCTTGATTTGGTCTCTAGTCATCTCCCTGACCTCCTTCCAGCCCCTCATGCACACCTTTTATACAGCCATAGTGCACTGCAATACTCATAGTCCCCTCAGTGAGTATATCAGATTGTCTCATGCTTTTGTGCCTTTACACAAGATGTTCCTTTTACCCATTGAGAATCATACCCTATCAGATCCCTTACCTAACAGCCCTTCATACTACCTACCACCACTTTATTTCAGAGGCCTTTTTCTATATGCTTCTACAACATTCGTGGTACTTACAATCATAAATGTATGTTTTGGTGTTTCTTATTAAACTATGAATACTTCAAGAGTGGGAATATATTTAATTTAACTTGGTATCCCCACTATGGTCAGAAAATGTGTTTAGTCAGTATTGGGGTGGGTGGGTGAGTGAATGAATGAATGAACGAAAGAAAGAAACAGATCTTTCTGTATTGGAGATTTCATGTTGGGGAATTAGTTAAAATAAGTAATGATTATAAGAATGGATTCTAGAGTCAGCCTGCTTGGATTTAAATTATGTAATAGTTCTACCATTTGGGCAAGTTAATTTCTCTTTGCCTCATTTCCTCATAGACTTCATTTTAGGATTAAATGAGGTAATGTACGTACAAGCTCTTTTAGAATGGCAGTTGTTATGGAGTAAGTACTATAGGCCTGTTAGCTTTTTTCATCATTATCATTATGGGTTGGCTAAGTGTAAACAGCCAGACTGTGGAAGATCATGAATGTCAGGCCAGGGAGTTTGAACTTGGGCGGGGATCTGCTAACAGCTTTTTGAGCAACGGGATTGGCAAGGTGAAAGTGGTTCTGTCATAAGATGGTCTAGTTGTCTGTGGGAGTATCTGGATAAATTATATGTGAAAGAGATTGGCAGCAAAGGTAGCAAAATTTAGGCTAGTGATCTAGATATGAAGAGGTAATTCTGGATTTAAGTGAGAGAAAAAGGGACAGAAATGCAGTTCCTGGTATGGTTAGAATAGCAGTTTGGCTGAGGGAAGAGATTCTGAAGCCAAATGGCTTGGATGTGAATCCCAGTTTGACCACTTACTGGTCCTGTAACCTTAGGGAAATGACTTAGCCTCTCTGTGCCACAGTTTCTTCATCCTTCAAATGGGATTATAATTCTTACTTCTTGGGTATTTACAAGTATTAAATGAGTAATTATAGAAGAGTGGTTGACATGTATTACTAATATTGTTATTATTGTACCCCAGAAATGCCCGTGGTAGCCACAGCCTGTGAGATCTTCCGAAGGCAGGATTAGGCTTGTGTTGCCAAGAGAAGGCAAAAAAATGTGATCACTGAGTTGGTTTGTGTGGCTGTGTAGCATTTCAGAAGGTGAAGTGATTTACATGCTCTCAGCACCACCTTTCCAGGTTCTCAGGGCTCCAGATGCCCACTATACAAGTGTCCACCATGCAGTGGATAGTAGATCCATAGGGCAGTGGATGGTTGAAATACAAGGTATTGGGAGAAGTGACACAACTCCTTATTTGTCATTCCCATCCCCAAAGTGAGGTTTTTAGACCCAGTGACCTGGAGGATTGTCAAGCCCACTGTTAAAAGAAAAAGACCAGCAAGAGGAAGTGAAGCCATTATAAGAGATGAAGATAGAATAATAATTAACCACTTGTCGAATATCTACTATGTGCTGTGTATTTTTATGTCATCACTTAATCTTTTCAAAAATCCTAAAAAGCAGATATTATTTTACCTGTTTTATAGATGAGGTAGCTGAGATTCAGAAAGGTTAGTCAGTTTGACCATAGTCATCCAATTTAGGGACACAAGCCTGGATTTGAACCAGATTTATCTCATTCCAAAACTAATAATCTTTCTAATCTTTCTACGCTCAGATTTTCCACTTTGAGAAGTTTGCAAGGTGTCTCTTCAGATAGACCTGGTTAGATAGTGGTCCCAACTACTTTTCAGCTGTGAGGCTTTGGGCTCAAGTTACTTAATATCCCTGCACTTCCATTTTCTCATATGTAAAATTAGGATTTTTTCTTCTTAGAGCTGTTATGAGGATTAAATGAGATAAAGTATATAAAGTGTCTCAGCTGCTGATGTAAATTTAGTTATTATCATTAGACGTGTCCAAGGTCTACCTCATTAGTGGCAACACTAGGACCAAAATCCTAGTCTCCAAATTCATTTACAGCTTTCTTGGCACTGTACTAATAAGTGACAGTGGTGACTTAAGGATGGATGGTAACAAAGAGATGATCTCAGGTATTGGAAGGCCTGTTATGTGCTGTGTGTACATCCAGGCTAGACTTGGTGCAGGTAAGGGAGAGGGTGGCAGGTTGCACAACCATATTGGACATTGTCTAGTTAGTTCCTTTCCTGGGAACTTGTCTTCTTCACTCCTTAATCTCTCCTCCTACTTGGCTTGTGTTTCAGGAGCTACAGAAGGCCCAAAAGAAGAAATATATCAAGAAGAAGCCTTTGCTGAAGGAGGTAGAACAGCCTCGCCCTCAAGACTCCAATCTCAGTCTGACAGTACCAGCCCCCACTGTGGCTGCCACACCACAACTTGTCACCTCCTCCTCACCCCTGCCTCCTCCTGAGCCTAAACAAGAGGCCCTGTCAGGAAGTCTCGCTGACCATGAGTACACCGCTCGTCCCAATGCCTTTGGCATGGCCCAGGCAAACCGCAGCACCACACCTATGGCCCCCGGTGTCTTCTTGACCCAGCGGCGCCCTTCAGTTGGCTCCCAGAGCAATCAGGCAGGACAAGGTACAACGGCCATATGGTTGTAGAACCGAAGGATCTTAGAGCCACCTGCCCTAAATCCTAAGTGCTCTAGTAGATGACAATACCAGGGAGGGACACTGAAGGCCAACCTAAGGTGCTTGGATTTGATCTTATGGGCCATGGAGAGATGTTGACTGATTTGAAGTACAGACAAGATCAGGTTTTAGTTTTGAAAGATCCTTCTGGTGGCCAGAAGGAGGTAGAGGGTGGGCTAGAGATGGGAACTCTAGGGAGGAGGCACATATACAAGTTCAGGCAGGCAGGAAGAGTACCTGGGGCTCTGCCAGAGGGAATGGAGAGGAAGGAGATGAACTGATCAAATATGGAGGCAGTCAAATAGGACATGGGAGGGGATTTAATGTGGGGAGACAGAGACAACAAAGAGTTAGAGGACTGAAGCCTTCCTTTCCCTCACTTTGGTCCTCAAAGCCCAGTCCCTAGAGTACGCAGCTCAAGGGCATGGAGGTTGGTGTGATGTTGAAGGCTGATGAAGATGAGAGTTTCTAATGAAGCAAGGCCCTAGGGATGGCAACTTCAGGGACACTGAGCTCTAATCACTAACCAGGCACTTGTCCAGTCCTGGTGGGTAGGATAAGAGGGTATGGAAGTACATTTACCTCCCTGCAGGATCTTGGAAGGAAAATGATTGGGACCAGAGTAATCAGTGGAGAAAAAGAACTAGACAAACTGTAATCAGGGAGTCTTGCTGCTACAGGAGGTCATAGGAGGAAGAGTCAAAGCATGTGGTGTTGGTTGGAAGTAGTTAAGGAGGGCTTCCTGCCCAATATGGTCTAAGGATGGAGAAACTTTGTGGGTAGAGAAACAGGAAGGGGAGGTGGCCTGAGGGCAGTTGGTGCCAGATTTGATGTTGAAGCCCTTGCCAAAGCCCTTGCTTACTTTTCCCTTCCCCCACAGGAAAGCGTCCCAAAAAGGGCCTGGCCACAGCAAAGCAGAGACTCGGCCGTATCCTGAAAATCCACAGAAATGGCAAACTACTTCTGTGAGCCCTCCTGTGTCCCACCCCTCACCCCTTTACCCCCATTGCCTTCTCCATTGTCAACTCTTGGGGCACTCCTGGATCCTATCTGCCCTGGACAAGGTGCTGAGGTGCATTGTCCTGCTTTCTTGGGACTTACCAAAGGCACGGACCCCTCCACCGACTCCTTCTAGTTCCCTTCCCCACTTTCACTAGAGCATCCTGCCTGCCTTCTCCACTGAGGAGCAGGTAAATGGGAGAGGTTTCCAGCTGACTAGAACCCTCTTTTCTACTCGTCCAAACCACTCCCGTCACCTGCCTTGTCTGTTCTTTATTCTTCATCCCCCGCTAGAGCTGGAAGGCAGGATGAGGAGAGGTATGAAGGAGCCTGAGCCATGAAGTGGGAAGCCCAGTGCTTGACACTTTCTGCAACTCTAGCCCTATATCCAGAAGCCTGCCCACCTCCACCCATTCTGTTTGCCCCATTTCCCCAGTCCAGTGGACATGCCCCACCTCCAGACTTGCTCATGGGAGAAGGCTGTGGTCTCTGCCCCCTCTTGCCAAATGCTTCATGGAAATGAAGAGGAAGGCCTAGAGCCTCCTTCCTGCCCCACTGTGGGCCATTTCCAGAAGTGGCCTAGAAATGCCAACTTCACTTACCTTTCAAAAGAAAGGTGATTCCTATCACTTGTCAAGGTAGGGAGAGGTCAGATGCCCAAGCCTTTGACCACGGTTTTGTAGCCTGTTGGAGGAAGCTACTTTTAGCTGGCTACACATGAGGCCACTTGTTTTAGGGTGAGCTCCAGGGATTTGCCTGGATTTTGAAATCATGTAGAACATTATCCACGTGGCTGTGGCTGTGGCTGTGGCTGGGCCCTGGCAGGTGGAAAACCATCTCCCAGAAACCTGAAAGCACCTGCCAATGACGCAGATAACCCTGGCCCTACAGCCTGCTTGCTCCGCCTATACCACAGAGCACAGCCTGGACATTATGGAGGGTGTGGCGGGACGGCCCACACCTGGGTCCTCCATCGGGAACTTTTCATGCTTCTTTCTCCACCTGAGGTCTTGGTCTGAAGAAGACCTCAGGACTCACATCTTCACTCCTGGGCCTTTGCACTTCCAGACGACAGGTCATCGTTCAAGCAGAATGCAGACAGGCCATTCACGAGCCCAAGTTGAAGAGAAGAGACGCCCATCCGTGAAGGAGCAGACCATCCATCCGATCCTCCCCTTCCCCTGTCCTTCCTTCGTGGATTGTCTCCATTGTCCAGACAGTGCCCCCACCTCCCACCGCCTTGCCTCACTGGCAATCTGGACTCGATGGAGAACATCCCCCCACCTCCATTTGGCACTACCCAAGTGGAGTGTACCCTTGCCCTTTCCACCTGTACCACCCACTCCAACCTCACCCCAGCTTGCCCAATGCTTCTGGGGAATTTAATAGCTACCATGCAGGCCACAGGGAATTTGTGAGGCTTCTTTTGTCATCTTTGTATCTCCAGTTTGTCTTTCTTTTCTCCATAGCCCTGCCTCTACTTTCCTTCCTTGGAATCAGGGGTTCCTTTAGCCCATTTGCTTTCTCTACCTTGGGGACCCCAGGGGCCAAGCAGTTCTCCATCTAGTCACACCAAAGGCAAAAAGCCTGGCTACCTCCCCCCTAGCACGTGAGTCCCTACTCCCCTCCCCTCTGTTTCTGCCCAGCTTTGCTTATTTTGGGGATTTCAAGGCAGCAGAGGGTAGTGAGGGGAGAGCAGGAGAAGCCTCTGTCCTGTATAGGCAACTGCCTGACTATGCGGTGACTGCTGTAACCAAGATCAGGTCCCCAGCCCTTTTGTCCATTAACACCCCTTCTTGATCTTTCAAAGGCAGCTAATTGCTAGCAAATCCCCCCGATTCCGGCCTTTTCCCTCTATTTCTTTGTTAGAAGTTTTCTGTGGAGCTGAAACCCAGCCTCTGTTTGACTGGGTTTCATTTAGCTTAGTTGGGTTCTTAGAGCCCCCTGTTTGTTGTTTTGTGTTGTTTCCAATGAAAAGCAAGTTTACCCTCAGAGTTATGCTTTTCCAAAGAGGCTGATGTCTTTGTTTTTGTTTTTTTTAATGTTTCAGGTTCTAAGTGAAGTGAGTTGGGGAGGGGTTGGGAGTGTTAGTAATCAAGGTTTAGAACACCATGAGATAGTTACCCCTGATCTCCAGTCCCTAGCTGGGGGCTGGACAGGGGGAAGGGAGAGAGGATTTCTATTCACCTTTAATATATTTTTACAAAAAAAGCAAACAATTTAAAAACAAGCCCACCGCTTCTGTACATGTCTAAATATATTTTTAGAAGTGGGTAGGATTGTGAATTTCTGATGCAGGGCCTTTTTATAAATAGGTTAGGGTAGCATCATTCAGACTTCTCTGTTGTTTTTGTCCCTGTCTTTTTCTTATGTTGTGTTACTAATGTAATTTATATTTTTTTTAGATCCTCCCTTTCCTATAGAGATAAAAGTGATTTATCTTGGCAATTGCTTTGCTTGGCATTCTTTTTTTTTGTGATGAGGGTGGTGGTGTGGTGCAGGGTCTGGGAGTGCTGCCTTCTCCTTGTACTCTTTGTCTCTCCCTCAGCAAGTTGTCAGGCATTTCCCTGGTGCTCAGCCTTATGCTTGAAGTGGGAAGGGTATTCCCACCCTCAGGAGGGACACGCTTCACACACCTGAAGTAGATCATCAGAAGCAGACTGAGCAGAAAAGAAAGGGTGCAATAATTCAAAGGGGCCTAACAAGTTCAATGGGAGGGCTTTCCAGAGACTGCTTTTTCAAGTGTGTCCTCTTTCTGTGAATGTGGGATTTTTTTTTTCTTTCCCTCTCTCTTCCATGCACTTGTTGTGCAATCTGGACTTGATTACTGTGCTTAGGGCCAGTACATGGGTTAGAAGAATATAATTATCAGAGCTTGTTTTCACGATTATCGCACTTGTTTTCTTGTGCCAGGCACTGCTCTTAATACTTTATTGATTCATTTCATCCTCACCAACACCCTCATCCTGCCAGCGAAGAAACAAAGTAACCTTCCTGTATCATACATGAAAATTCTGGGACCAACCTGGTTCCAGAATGTGTATTCTTACCACTCTGTTCTACCACTTCTCACTGATAAACACTACCATTATATTAAGTGCCTTTTGGGTGCCAGGCATTGGGCTAGGGATTTTACTTAGGGATATCTCATTTAATCCTCACTGAAAAACCCCATGAGGATATTCGTCCTATTTAACAGTTTAAGGAGACTGAAGTTTGCCAGTGGTCTGCAGCAGGATCTGCCTGATTCCAAAACTTATGTTCTTTGCCTTCACCATATTAGAAAATCTTCTGAGGCTCAAGCACCCAACAGATCTTTATTAAGCCTCTGTTATGTGCAAGATGCAGAATTGAGAGTTATCTCCTAAGGAGAGCTCCCAGGGTGATCTTGGGAGCCTCAGTTTCAAATTCACCACCACCCTGACTCTGTGGGTGAGCCAGGGCAGGCTGCTTACTGTCTGTGGGTCATCTATTAAAGTATTTTGAACCCAGTCAAGATTTACTTCCTCCTGGAGATTCTGCTTCTGTGGGTCTGGAGTGAGGCTGTCTGGTTTTGGCACCTACTGGTTAAATGACCTCCTCCAGTTCTCACAGTCTGTCTCAGGAGTAGGTGGGGTTTTGATAATGTTCATGTCTGAAGCATAGAGAACTGTATTTCCTGGTAGAAAGGAAACAGGAAAGAAGGGCTTTAAAGCCTTTGCAGGAATGATGGGCTGGGTTATTTTTGTCACCAATTCCCACCCCACCTTCCTCAGTCAAGGGACAAAGCACTTTTTCGTGCTTTGTTTTTACCAGCCTCAGGTTAGAGGATAAGCTAGAATCTTGGTCACCTTATTCCTCAGTCCAGGCAGGAGGTGCCAGCAGTTCAGAGGTTCCTGTCTCAAAATTGGGAGGGAAACGAGGCACCCAACTTCAGTCATCCCCCTTTCCAGTATGGAGTGGAAAAGTGCACAGGACTTGTGGCTAAAGAGCCCTCCTTCTCAATGACTAACCAAGTAATTTGGGAGAAACTGCTTGTCTGTGTCTTCAGTTTCTACATTTGCAAGATGGAATTAACTATGAAGCCCTCTAGAAGCTTGGTTGCCCCTAAACTTTCTGGATGCTGTTAATTCCCAAACCGAATCCTCTAGCCCTAACTTGTTCTGAGTGCAGATCCCCATTTCTGCTATCTCATGTTGTTTCTCCTGCCTCAACTACACAGGCCCCTTCATCAGGACTCCATACACACCAAGTTAACTGAAATGGCACTTGCCCTCCAGTAAGTTGAATGGAGGACAGGAGCATCGTATGATACAGCACATTGATAGAGATGAGCAGGGAATCCATCCTAGAGAAACAAGGAGATTGGGGAAGCCTTCCTATTGGGTGGTGCCTGAGCTGAAAGATGAAAAGCAATTAGTTGGTTTAGCTAAGAACAATGGGAGAGTAGTCCAAGCCGAAGCAGTAGCTTGAGTAAAAACAGGTTGGGGTGTGTGTGTGTGTGTGTATAGATATAGGTCAACAATATCGTAAACTGCAGCAGGGACTCACCTGGGGGAACATCAGCACAATCCCCAAGAGGGAATATGTAGTTTGAGGAGGCATATGATCATAATTGGTTAGTTTTTAGGCATAATATTTATTTTAAAATCCCAGGTTATGGAGGATATGTAATTTTGATGTTTGTCAAAAGACCTTACTTTATCCCAAGAATGGCAGAGAACCTTTAAACGGTTTTAAGCAGAAAATCACATGATCCAACTTGGCGTTTAAAAAGGATCCCTTTGGGCCGGGTGCGGTGGCTCACGCCTGTAATCCCAGCTCTCAGGGAGGCAGAGGCGGGAGGATAGCTTGAGCCCAGAAGTTCGAGACCTGCCTGGGCAATATAGCGAGACCCCGTTCTCCACAAAAAGGAAGAAAAAAAAAGACAAAATAAGTGTGAAAAGGATCCCTTTGGAGGTGGGTGAAGACGGGGAGAGACTGAAGTCAAGAAGGCTAGTTTGGAAGCTACTGAAGGAGAGATGGGGACGGCACCATCTCATCTAGTGTCCCATCGAATGCCACTTTCCTAAGGAAACCTTCACCCAACTGTCCAGTCAACTTGGACCTTTTCCTGGACTCCTACATCCCATAAAAGGCAGAAATCCCAGGCCATTTCCAGGGGGCAGACCATGAGGTCGGCCACTCAACCCAAGAGACAGAAGATGGACTCCTATATCCCCTTCAGCTTTTTAATTCTCAAAATAACCTCAGACCCTCTCCTTTTCCATGGGACCCCATCGTAATGCCAGCACTCACCAATGAATGTGTTAAGAGAGTTACAGTACTCATTTTGTATTTTCCTTGTCAGGAGTCCAGTAGCCTCCCTCACACTAAATTCTGTCATACACAACCTTTCAGGAGTATCTCCCCAGAGTTCTATATTCATCATCCCCTCCTGCTTAAGAACACTTCATGACTTGCAACTGCTTATTACACCCTCTGGCTCTCAAGGCTTTCCAGAACCTGGCCCAACCTGGAGACAATGGGATGTGGTGGAAAGAGGATGTGCCTGGGAGTTGAGAAGACCAGTGATTATATTACAGCTCTGCTTCCTATATGATCTTGAACTGGTTGCTTCATATTTCCTTGCCTGAGTTTTGCCATCTGTGAAATGAAGATACGATCTCCCTACTTCACAGGATTCTTGGGAGGAATTATATTAGCTAGTGCCTTTAAAGAAAATTCTTAGTTCTGTCTGGCTTTTACCTAATATATATATATATATATACGTATATATATATTTGTATATGAAAATTCAATGTGTGGCACTCAGGTGATCAGCAAACATAGTTTATTTTTTCCCAGTCAAAATTTGCCCAACACCTAGAATCTCGAAGTACAGAGAAAGTAAATCTTTAAGGAATTAGGGAGAGTATTCCAAACTGGGGCGGGAAATTGAGTTGGCTTCATGAGGGAGGTGGTGGTTGAGAAACATAGGGAGATGGCTGAGTCAATAGGGGTGGTGGGCCTTAAACTGTAGTAGAGATAGCAAGCAAATCTATGACACAAAGTTGTTGGAAGGTTCCAGAGTGCCTTCCATGCCAGTTCAATATAAATTGTTCAGTTCTACAGTCGTTTATTAAAGCCTGTTGTATCAGACCCTGTGCATACCATTGGAGAGCTTGATCTTCAAAGAGTATGTAGTTTAGTATACAGACATGGAAACCCACATACATCATAGTGGGTAAATACTATGTTACGAATAAGTTTGAGGTGCTATGGGAGCATGAAAGAAGGAGACCGAACCCAGTTTGAGTGGCCAGAAATGCTTCTGGGAAGATGTAATGCCTGGATTAAGTTTGAAGAGCACTCACCAGGCAAAGAGGGCAGAGGATGAGTTGGAAAAAAGCATTCCAAGCAAAAGGAACAGCATGAGCAAACTTAGAAAGTCATAAAGTAGCCTGGTGTGTGAGTGGAACTACAAGCCCTTGAGTTGAGCTGGAGTACAGGCTGCAGTAAGGTAGCAAGTGTCAGGGATGAAGCTGAAGAGGTTGGCAGGGACTGGGTCACGGAAGTCCAGTGTTTTGGAAGATTCTCTCTGGCGATCCTTGGGATGAGGAGAGACTGCAGTGGGCTAACTTGGAGGCCAGTGTGAAGTTGATTGCAAGATTCCAGTTAAGATGTAATGAGGTCTAGGGCCAGGTGCGGTGGCTCACGCCTGTAATCCCAGCACTTTGGGAGGCCGAGGTGGGCAGATCACCTGAGGTCGGGACTTAGAGACCAGTCTGAACAACATGGAGAAACCCTGTCTCTAATAAAAATACAAAAAATTAGCCGGGCGTGGTGGCGCATGCCTGTAATCCGAGCTACTCGGAAGGCTGAGGCAGGAGAATCGCTTAAACCCAGGAGGTGGAGGTTGCAGTGAGCTGAGATCATGCCATTGCACTCCAGCCTGGGCAACAAGAGCAAAACTCTTGTCTCAAAAAAAAAAAAAAAAAAAAAAAAAAAAAAAAAAGATGTAATGAGGTATAAACCAAGTCTGTGGCTATGAAGATACCAGAGACCAGAGATGTTAACCCACATCTCTTATTTTTTTTCCCTAACATTTTGTGATGACCATTTTCAGACATAAAAGTCAAAATAATTGTACTGTGAACACCCATATATCCACCACCCAGATTCTACAATTAGTATTTTACTACACTTGGCTTTATCACATATGCATACCCATGTATCGACGCTTTATGCATTTCAAAATTTTGGACATGTGTACACATTCCTTTAAACATTTCAGCATGCATGCCATTTACTAGAGTTCAATATTTGAATCTTTTTTAAGGTAAAATATACGATGAAATAAATGCACACATCTTAAGAGTATAATTTCACATGTTTTGACAAATGTATAGACCTGTGTAACCCACATCCCTATCAAGATACAGAACACTACCATAATCCCAGAAAGTTCCCACATGTCCCTTCCTGGTCAGTCATAGCCCTTTCTCCTTCCAGAGTTGGCCTTGAGTTTGAAAGGGTAGGATTTGGAATGTGTGAAAATAGACATTCCAGGTGGAGTCAACCTAGGTGGCTTCCTCTCCAGCAAAGGCATGGAGGCAGGTAACTAGGGAGGGACACACAAATGTTAGTAAACAAAGGGATGGATGCCCTTCACCCTTCCACCTCTCTCCCTACTAAGCCTCATCTTTTTTGGGTCAAAGCATGAAACAGTGAAGCAGAAAGGAGTTGAGTCAAGGGACTGTCAGGCCCTCAGGAGCTAACAGTCTTCAGGGGAGGAGGAGACAAGCACTGACAGTCACAATTCAGTGTAATGTTGAATGTTATATCGTACCAGGGTCAGGGCTATAACCAAGGGAAGGGTGGAAAGTTAGGGAAAACACCACAAAAGTGCCACAGAGGTTTGGTGTGTGTGTGTGTGGGGTGTGTGTGTATGTATATGTGTGTTTGTCTGAGAGAGAGAAATGATAAGGTGAGTGACTCAGACTCTTGGGACTGGAGGAGCTCAAAGGAAAAGAGAGAAGAGCATTTGCCAGCCATGAAAAGTTCCCTGGAGGTAACGTGTGGAAGGATGTTGACTGTTAAGTGTGGTAGACATAAAGATGTTTCAGTTGCAGGTAAGAGAAAATGCGAGTCAAGCATAGGACATTGCCTCATGTAACTGATAAGTCTAGAGGTATGTAAGTTTTAGGCACAGTTTGATCAGAGCTGTGGTCCTGATCTCAGTGCTGCCCTATTTTGTGTGTGTTAGCTTTGTCTCCAGGATACTTCTTCATGGTCACAAGATGGCTGCCTGCCACAAATAGGGATATGGTCACTTTCCACAATCATTTTTCAAAGGGCCTGAATTTTGTTCCCGTTGAACTATCCCTGACTCAATCCCTGTGGCCCAGGAATTCCGTCTACTGACTGATGTAGGCCTGGATTATATGATGCAATCATTGTGGTGAAAAAAAGGACCCTCTGGAGTTGGGAGTGAGGTCATTTCACATAAACCACATGACTTCCACATAATACTTGTGCTTATTTGCCATCTCTATATATATCTTCTTTGGTAAAATGCCTGTTCAAGTCTTTTGATGTTTTTAATTGGGTTGTTTGTTACAATTGAGTTTTGAGAGCTTTTTATTTATTTAGGATATAAATCCTCTGTTTGATATGTGGTTTGCATATATTTTCTCCCAGTGTTTAGCTTCTCTTTTCATTCTCTTATCAGTGTCTTTCATGGAGCAAAAGTTCTAAATTTTGATAAATTCTAATGTATTGATTTTACTTATTTTATGGATTTCCCTGTTTAAGAATTCTTTGCCTAACCCTAGGTCATGAAAAATTTATTTTATATTATCTTCTAAAAGTTTAATAATTTTTACATTTATGTCTATGATACATTTTTAGATAATTTTAGTACATTGTAAGAGCTTTAGGTCAAGGTTCTTTTGCCAAAAATCAGGTGGCCATACTTGTATGGGTCCATTTCTGGAATCTCTATTCTGTTCTGTTAATCTTGTGTATCAATCTCTCCATCAATACCATACTGCTTTTATTACTGTACCCATATAGGAATTCTTATCACGTAGAGTGATTCCTCCCATTTTTTCTTCATTTTCAAGATTGTTTGGCTCTTCTAGGACCTGTGCCTTTTCATACAAATTTTAATACAAGTTTTTCTGTGCCTACACATACTTTGCTGGCATTTTGAAAGCAGTTGCATTAAGTCTGTAGATCAATTTGGGTTGAACTGATATGTTGTTGAGGGTTTAAAATGATTTTTGATTTTATGTACTTTTAAATTGAAGTATAATCTACATATAAAGAAAGGCACAGACTCTAAATGTACGGATTGGTTCACATCTAAACTACCTATGTGGTCCCAGAACCTACAACTTGTGAAATTAACAGGTAAATTGGTCTCTCTGGGCATCTGGCAAAAGCAAATACCAAACCTGTTAGTACAATCATGATTAACAAGCAAGGCTGAACAGGATTTTCATAGATAACCCCAAGTTGAACATGAATGAAGTAATCCACAATAAGCAAGAGCCACAACAAACAGCGAGATTAAACTTCCATGAACTTCATATAACAGAAGAACCTAATAGAGATAATAAAGTATGATAAAATGATTAAGTACATAAAAGAAGAAATAAAAACATAAAAGAACCAAACACTATTGAGAAAAAAAGAACAGGCAGATTTGAAAAAAGAACCAAAGCAGACTTCTAGAAAAGAAAAACACAATAATTGAAATTTAAAACTTAATGAATGAGTTAAATAGATATTAGACACTATTGAAGAGATCATTTAACTGAAAGATAGATCTTACGAAATTACTCAGGAAATAGCAATAGAGAGAGTTAAAAAGAGGCAAAAGATAAGAGGCTGGGATATGTGGAGGATAGAATTGCTACAGGACAGAGAAATATGTTACAGGAAAGGGGTCCCGATCCAGACCCCAAGAGAGAGTTCTTGGATCTCCCGCATGAAAGAATTCAGGGCAAATCCACAGTGCAAAGTGAAAGCAAGTTTATTAAGAAAGTAAAGGAGGCCAAGCACGGTGGCTCACGCCTGTAATCCCAGCACTTTGGGAGGCCGAGGCGGGTGGGTCACCTGAGGTCAGGAGTTCGAGAGCAGCCTGGCCAACATGGTGAAACCCTGTCTCTACTAAAAATACAAAAAATTAGCTGGGCATGGTGGCTGGCACCTGTAATCCCAGCTACTTGGGAGGCTGAGGCAGGAGAATCACTTGAACCCAGGAGGGGGAGATTGCAGTGAGCTGAGATCATGCCATTGCACTCCAGCCTGGGCAACAAGAGCAAGACTGCGTCTCAAAAAAAAAAAAAAAAGGAATAAATGAATGGCTAGTCCATAGAGCAGCCCCGAGGGCTGCTGGTTGCCCATTTTTATGGTTATTTATTGATGATATGCTAAACAAGGGATGGATTATTCATGCCTCCCCTTTTTAGACCACATACGGTAACTTCCTAACGTTGCCATGGCATTTGTAAACTGTCATGGCGCTGCTGGGAGTGTAGCAGTGAGGACGACCAGAGGGCACTCTTGTCGCCATTTTGGTTTTGGTGGGTTTTGGCCGGCTCTTTACTGCAACCTGTTTTATCAGCAAGGTCTTTATGACCTGTATTTTGTGCCAACCTCCTATCTCATCCTGTGACTTAGAATGCCTTAACTGCCTGGGAATGCAGCCCAGTAGGTTTCAGCCTCATTTTACCCAGCTCCTATTTAAGATAGAGTTGCTCTGGTTCACACGCCTCTGACATTTCCCCCCTCCCTTTTATAAGAGAACCCTTAATCCTAAGGGTTTCAGAGGGATGAAGATCCATCTTCTGTAACTTCTTCAGGTTGAGCAGGGGCCATGATATTCCTGCCTAACTATGAGGGTCTCTTGCATTCAGGGTAGAGAGGAGCTCGGTCAGAAAGCATCATTATGGTAAGGTCCATTCATAACTCTTGAGTTTCAACAAAAGGTGATATCTGGAAGATTAATATGTGTTTAAGAAAACATTCAGTAAGTTCGTCCTGTATTCCTACACAGAGTATAGCAGCAATATATTCCACAAGAGTAAAGCAAAATAAGTAGTTATTCCAAGGGGGTGTGGCTAACTCCACATGTCCCCAGGCCTTATCTAGAATCTAATGGAGTTAAGGTAGGTAAATTGAACAAGTTTCAAAAGTCAATGAAACAGTTTGATTTTAAAGCATTTAGCAAATCTGATATCTGACCTCAATTTAGACCAAATGTCTACATTTTCAAGACATTTTATTTTACCAGTAATCTTTTTTTTTTTTTTTTTTTTTTTTTGAGATGGAGTCTCTCTCTGTCGCCCACACTGGAGTGCAATGGCGTGATCTCTGCTCACTGCAACCTCTGCCTCCCGGGTTCAAGTGATTCTCCTGCCTCAGCCTCCCGAGTAGCTGGGATTACAGGCACCCGCCACCACGCCGGGCTAATTTTGTATTTTTAGTAGAGACAGGGTTTTACCATGTTGGCCAGGCTGGTCTTCAACTCCTGACCTCAGGTGATCCACCCTCCTTGGCCTCCTAAAGTGCTGGCATTACAGGCGTGAACCACTGCACCCACCCAACCAATAATCTTTAAAACTGTCTTTATTTCCAAAAGATTACTAAAGTCACATGAACAAAAAGGCATTAAAGCTTCTATTTTTTCTGACAAAATATTTGATTTAAGAGCTTATTTTTCTAAGCCAATTAATTAGAGCTCTTTTATATATAAACAAACAACACATATAAATACACAGACAGAAGATTCAGCACTTGTAAGATTTTTCATTTGCCATTTTCTTAATTGTATGACTGGCTTCAGGGCGGAGCCCTTGGAGGAACAGGGCCAGGAAAGCATGCAGTTTCCAGAGCCAAATAAGCAGCAAATAAGCAGCTGAAGGCAAATACAGATCCCCAAAATTAAGGGTGCCATTTTATAATGGTTCCTGGATCCCCAAAAGGAGGGAAATACCACAGAAGACAGTGCAGTGCTTCTACCTTGCATCTCATTGCAAGGCAACCCAAAGCCAATCAGCCCATTTTGTAATCAGCCCATCCCTCATGGGAGTCTCATCTCCCAGTGGGGGGTGGGGATGTTTCCTTATCTTCCAGGTGGCCAAGAACATGCTTCTCTGATCCAAGTGTGCAGAGTCAAGTATCCCTCTATAAGTACTATTAGCCATCCCTTAAAGCATATTTCCTACCTAGTTATTATACACCGAAGCTCTCTCATAATGCAGAGTAATTTCTGATACCCACAAAACTCAAAACCATCAGATAACACAATGCAAAACAGAAGAGGGCCTTTGATTTTGAGAGGGATCTATTTGCTTTTAATTCCTGGAGTTTCATGAGGAAAACAGAGGTTTTTTCCCAAAATGGAGTCTGTGGCGCCTCCTCTGTTTTTCCCAAGGAGTCCCAGGCTACCAGAGTTATCTTAGGGCCTCTCGTGTGTGCATTAAGAGTGGCAAGACAAAAAAAAAAAATGGAGAAAAATAATTCAGTTGACTGAGAAGAAAAAAACTTTTTCCAGAAAAACAAGTTTCAAGAAGAGAAAAACAGAAAGGCCTTTTAAATATATCTATAGCTTGGATATATCTATATCTATATTCACTTTTAATTAAGCTGACTTTTAACAATAGTACTCTCTAAAAAAGAAATCCTTTCAGATCTCTTATTATCCGACTTTAGCCATGCCAAGTGGCCAATATTTCTAGCTTCTGAACTTTACCAAAGGTAACCTCCTAGGTGCTTAGAGAAAGGAAAATTTAAGACACTCCAAGGAGGAGAAGAGAATAAACAAGGTCACACAGATATTAAACCAGAAATGACTTACTTCTTAGTGGGGAATGGAACCCGGACCACTAACTGTGAAAGTGCAAGACCTTAGCTACAGAGCTACAGCACAGGGCAGTCTCTGTTTGCTTTCCCAGGCGGAGTCTAGAGTAGTTAATTTTCAGCTTGCAAAGGCTTTTAACTATTTAATATGATTTTTAGAGCTAACTATGACATGAACCCTAAAATTCCTGTTCCCTGAAAGGCGGAGACCAAGAGAAAGTACCGCCACGTGGTTGAAAGGTCAAGCTCCCAAGGACATAAAAGAACGCGGAGACTTCATCCAGTTTTTTGTTTGTTTCAGGGACCCGCAGCCAAGTTTGTTACTGACCAGCTTGCTGGGCTGTCTTGAAAAGCGGGCTTACAGGTGTTCTAAACCCACGTTTTATCCTAAAGTATCCCCTTGACACAGAAAAACGAATTCATGGCACAAAATACACCAGCTTAAGACTAGACTTAGAATTCTAATTCTTTTTTTTTTTTTTTGAGAAGGAGTTTCACTCTTGTTGTCCAGGCCGGAGTGCAATGGCACGATCTCGGCTCACTGCAACCTCCGCCTCCCAGGTTCAAGTGATTCTCCTTCCTCAGCCTCACAAGTACCTGGGATTACACGCATGCACCACCACGCTCGGCTAATTTTGTATTTTTAGTAGAGACAGGGTTTCACCATGTTGGCCAGGCTGGTCTCGAACTCCTGACCTCAGGTGATGTGCCCACCTCAGCCTCCCAAAGTGCTGGGATTACAGGCATGAGCCACCACCCCTGGCCTAACCTTAGACTTCTTTTTCGCATTAATCAAAACTTTACAGAGGAGATAAACACTGTTTTTTTTTTGTTGTTGTTGTTGTTGTTTGAGACAGAGTCTTGCTCTGTCACGCAGGCTGGAGTGCAGTGGCTCAGCTCACTGCAACCTCTGCCTCCCAGATTCAAGCAATTCTCCCACCTCAGCATCCCGAGTAGCTGGGATTACAGGCACACACCACCATGCCTGGCTAATTTTTGTATTTTTTTTAGTAGAGACAGGGTTTCACCATGTTGGCCAGGCTGGTCTTAAAATCCTGACCTTGTGATCCACCCACCTCGGCCTCCCAAAGTGCTGGGATTACAGGCGTGAGCCACCTTGCCCGGCCTGTTTTTGTTTTCGTTTTGTTTTGTTTTTTGTTTTTCCATTCATTCAACCATTTGCACAGAGAGAGAGAAGCCAGAAATCTGACTGGTAAGAAATTCTTACCCTTTCGTCGGCATGCCAGGCTTCTGGGTTCCCTTTCCCTGAGTGGCTCTAGTGATCCGGCTTGCGGCACCATTGCCCTGGGGGCCAAGCTGCATCATAAAGGGAAATTATTTTTTTTTGTTCTGGCCAGAGCAAGCTACGTGCGATAAAACAGAGACATTAGCCACTCTGCTTAGCACCCAATATCAAACTGGCAAGGCTTAAATTTGCCCCCAGATGGGCCCCGTCATCTTTAATCCAACCTCTGGCTTGGAGTTTCAACACATGGTCTCTGGGCAAGATGGTTGCCCTGAGTAACAGAAAAGAAAGGGAAAGGCAGGCCGGGTGCGGTGGCTCATGCCTGTAATCCCAACACTTTGGGAAGCTGAGGCAGGCGGATCACTTGAAGTCAGGAGTTCGAGACCAGCCTGGCCAAAATGGAGAAACCCCGTCTCTACTAAAAATACAAAAATTAGCTGGGCGTGGTGGTGTGAGCCTGTAATCCCACCTACTTGGGAGGCTGAGGGAGGACAATCGCTTGAACTCAGGAGGCGGAGGTTGCAGTGAGCTGAGATGTGCCATTGCACTCCAGCCTGGGCACAGAGCAAGACTCTGTCAAAAAAAAAAAAGGGAAAGATGAGTGAGGGGGAAAGCAAAATGATCAGGGAGGCCAGAGAAAGACCTACCAATTGCCGAGACACTGAAAAGTTCAGGCAAGGGTTTTTCCAGCAGTCCTGTCAGCTCTCAAGGTTTCCCCTTTTAGGGAGGAAAAAAAGCTCCCCATGTCCCACAGTCCTGTACAGGCCTAACCCTGTCACCCATAGGCATCAGCAAAGAATGCAAGGCAGATTAATCCAAAGAGAATAGCAGTTAACATCCCATAGTGTGGAACCTGTTCTTAGCCAAGAGGGACTTTACCGAGTGGGACTCTCACCCTCCTAAATTGGGCCTCTAACCCAAGGTCGGTCAAGCGTCCTTGCCGTTTATTAAGAGGAGCCTCTAACCCACTCTGTCTTAGGAGAGACTCTAACTCCCCTAAATTGGGCTTTTTTGAGGGGGGTGGGGACACAGTTTTGCTCTTGTTTTCTAGGCTGGAGTGCAATGGCATGATCTCAGCTCACCGCAACCTCCGCCTCCCGGGTTCAGGCGATTCTCCTGCCTCAGGCTCCCAAGTAGCTGGGATTACAGGCATGCACCACCACACCCGGCTAATTTTCTATTTTTAGTAGAGACGGGGTTTCTCTGTTGGTAGGGCTGGTCTCGAACTCCCGACCTCAGGTGATCTGCCCGCCTCGGCCTCCCAAAGTGCTGGGATTACAGGCATGAGCCACCATGCCCTGCCCCAATCCCATTCTTTACTCGGGTATATGCACCCCACTTACCTAAAGTCAGCCAACTGGTGCATGCAGATGATTTTCCTTTGGGTCGGGGGTCTTCTCAGTATCGTCCCTTCCGTGGGTCGCCAGAAATATGTTACAGAACCCCAATACTTACCCAAAGGTAGCCATTGAGTCAGGGTTTCTGCACTATAGCCCTTTCTGTGGTCGCCAGAAATATGTTACAAGACAGAAAAATGTGTTACAGGAAAGGGGTCCTGATCCAGACCCCAAGAGAGGGTTCTTGGGTCTTGCACATGAAATAATTCAGGGCGAGTCCTCAGTGCAAAGTGAAAGCAAGTTTATTAAGAAAGTAAAGGAATAAAAGAATGGCTACTCCATAGAGCAGCCCTGATGGCTGCTGGTTGCACATTTTTATGGTTATTTCTCTCTCTCTTGTCTTTTTTTTATTTTTTATTATTATTATTTTTTGAGACGGAGCTTCACTCTGCGACCCAGGCTGGAGTGCAGTGGCGGGATCTTGGCTCACTACAACCTTTGCCTCCCGAGTTCAAGTGATTCTTCTGCCTCAGCCTCCCAAGTAGCTGGGATTACAGGCGCCTGCCACCACACCAGGCTAATTTTTTGTATTTTTAGTAGAGACAGGGTTTCACCATGTTGGCCAGGCTGCCCTCGAACTCCTGACCTCAGGTGATCTGCCCACCTTGGCCTCCCAAAGTACTGGGATTACAGCCACTGCGCCTGGCCTCTGTTTATTTCTCGATGATGCGCTAAACAAGGGGTGGATTATTCATGCCTCCCCTTTTTAGACCATATACAGTAACTTCCTGACGTTGCCATGGCATTTGTAAACTGTCATGGCGCTGCTGGGAGTGTAGCAGTGAGGACGACCAGAGGGCACTCTCGTCGCCGTTTTGGTTTTGGTGGGTTTTGGCAGGCTCCTTTACTGCAACCTGTTTTATCAGCAAGGTCTTTATGACCTGTATTTTGTGCCGACCTCCTATCTCATCCTTTGACTTAGAATGCCTTAACTGTCTGAGAATGCCGCCCGGTAGGTTTCAGCCTCATTTTACCCAGCTCCTATTTAAGATGGAGTTGCTCTGGTTCACACGCCTCTGACAGAATGGGATGATTTCACAAATGAGTAATTGTAGTTGCAGAAGGAATAAATAGGGAAAGGTCAGGGGGATGTAACATACAGTTGCCTATTCAATATTTTCACTTGGAAATATATCCAAAACTTAACTCTTAATCATCTGTTCCCAAACCTGTTTTTCTCTCGGCCTCCCTCATATTAGTAGATGGCAACTTCATCCTTCCAGTTGTGAAAGCCAAAAACCTTGAGAATCCTTAATTCAGCCCTTTCTCACACTTCATATCCAAGCTGTAAGCTGTGAACCCCAAAAATCTGAGACAGGTCTCAGTTAATTTAGAAAGTTTATTTTGCCAAGGTTGAGGATGCATGCCTGTGACACAGCCTCAGGAAGTCCTGATGACATGTGCCCAAGGTGGTCAGAACACAGTTTGGTTTTATACATTTTAGGGAGACATGAGACATCAATCAACATATGTAAGATGAACACTGGTTCGGTCTGGAAAGGCGGCACAACTGGACCAGGGAAGGGGGGTTCCAGGTTGTAGGTAGATAAGAGACAAATGGTTGCATTCTTTTGAGTTTCTGATGAGCCTCTCCAAAGGAGGCAATCAGATATGCATTTATCTCAGTGAGCAGGCGGGTGACTTTGAATAGAATTGGAGGCAGGTTTGCCCTCAGCAGTTCCCAGCTTTATTTTTCCCTTTAGCTTAGTGATTTTGGGGCCCCATGATATTTTCCTTTCACAAAGCAAATCCTGTTGGATTTACCTAAAAATATTTGCAGACTCTGACATCTTTTCACCATCTCTGCTGCTACTAACTACCTTGGCCTTCCACTTCTGAGAAGATGGAGTAGACATACTTTTTCCTATTTTGCCCACTAAGTATAACTAAAAACTCTAGATATTATATATAAAACAAACACGGCCAGATGAAGTGGCTCATGCCTGTAAATCCCAGCACTTTGAGAGACTGAGGCAGGTGGATCGCTGGAGCCCAGGAGTTCGAGACCAGACTGGGCAACAAGGAGAAACCCCGTGTCTACAAAAAATACAAAAATTAGCTGGGCATGGTGGCACACGCCTGTAGTCCCAGCTACTCAGGAGGCTGAGGTGGGAGGATCACTGGAGCCCGAGGAGGTCAAGGCTGCAGTGAGTCATGATCTCACCACCCCACTCCAGCCTGGGCAACAAAGTGAGACCCCGTTTCATCAACCAATCAATCAATCAAACATAAGACTTTGAAAGGTGGAGAGAAGGCAGAACAACTACGGACATTGGGACCCAAGAAACAACACATTGGTGAGTTCTTTGGTTTTCTTTTTGTCTCATACATACTAGACTGGATACTGGAGAAGCCTGCAACCCACAAACACCAACAGATGCAGACCAAAAAAATAGCCTTTCTCCAGATAAAGGACCAAGAAAGGGGCAGCCTGGCAACGCAGAAAACTTAGATAATGACCATTGTACTCCAGCCACACACAGTGGAAAAACTCTGGCTCCACCCCCACCCTCACTGAGAGAAGAGCCTAGAGTCTCCAGGCTGTGTTGAGGTGCTCAAATGTCCCTCCACTCACTGAGGTGGTGTCAGAGAAAGCCAAGTGGAGAACATGAACTTCTACCTCCATCTGGCATTAATGAGGTAGCACCACACCTTTTCCTGCCAGACTCTGCTCAAAGGAGTTCAACTCAGAAGATTTTACTGAATTCCAGAGTCTTATAACATAATACCCCAAATATCCAGGTTTCAATAAAAAGTTGCTCATCATACCAAGGATCAGGAAGATCTCAAATTGAATGAGGAAAGACAATCAACAGATGTGAACACCAAGATACAGTTGACCCTTGAACAACATGGGTTTGAACTGTGCAGGTTCACTTATATATGGATTTTCTTCCGCTTGTGCCACCTCTGAGACAGCAAAATCAGCCTGTCCTCTTCCTCTTCCTCTTCCTCAGCCTACTCAATGTGAAGACAAAGAGGATGCAGTCAGGCGTGGTGGCTCACGCCTGTGATCCCAGCACTTTGGGAGGCCGAGGCGGGGGGATCACCTGAGGTTGGGAGTTTGAGACCAGCCTGACCAACATGGAGAAACCCCGTCTCTACTAAAAATACAAAATTAGCCGAGTGTGATGGCGCATGCCTGTAGTCCCAGCTACTCGGGAGGCTGAGGCAGGAGAATCGCTTGAACCTGGGAGGCGGGGGTTGCAGTGAGCCGAGATTGTGCCATTGGACTCTAGCCTGGGCAACCAGAACGAAACTCCATCTCAAAAAAACAAAAACAAAAACAAAAAAAAAAAAAAAAAAGAGAATGCAGACCTTTATGATGATCCACTTCCACTTAATAAATAGTAAATATATTTTCTCTTATGATTTTCTTAATAACATTTTCTTTAGCTTAATTTATTTTAAGAATACTGTATATAATACATATACAAAATATATATTAAGTTTTGGGGCAGTCAAAAGTTATGAACAGATTTTTGACTGTGTGGGGGGTTATGGTTGTTGCCCTTAACCCTGCATTGTTCAAAGGTCAACTATACACAGATTATAAAATCATCTGAGAAGTATAAAGGAGCCATCATAAAAATGCCTCAACAAGGGCCAGGCACGGTGGCTCATGCCTGTAATCCCAGCACTTTGGTTGGAGGCCAAGGTGGGCGGATCACCTGAGGTTGGGAGTTTGAGACCAGCCTGACCAACATGGTGAAACCCAGTCTCTACTAAAAATACAAAAATTAGCCGGGCGTGGTGGCACGTGCCTGTAATCCTAGCTACTTGGGAGGCTGAGGCAGGAGAATCGCTTGAACCTGGGAGGTGGAGGTTGCAGTGAGCCGAAACTTGCCATTGTACTCAGCCTGGGAGACAGAGTGAGACTCTGTCTCAAAAAAGAAAAAAAGAAAGAAAGAAAGAAAGAAATTCTGAAACTTTCCTAAATGTGGCAAATTTATACTTTGGATGAGGTTCTGTTCTGTGATGCTGAACCTGTGGCTGGAGTTCACACAAGGGAGCACCTCAAGCTGTCCTGAGGGCTGGTTGGGATGCTAAAGAAAGAAGCACTAAATACCAAAGTGATCAGTCCAAAGCATTTATTAGAGGAACTTAGAGTGCTGCAGCAATCCTCACAACAGACAGCGAGAGAAAAGGAGTGTTCTACCTGCGAATGTCTGCATCAAAAGTCTTGCTTCAATGTTGATGGCTGCTGACTGATCAGGGTGGTGGTTGCTGAAGGCTGAGGTAGCTGTGGCAATTTCTTTCTTTTTCTTTCTTTCTTTCTTTTTTTTTTTTTTTTTTAGGCAGAGTCTCCGTCTGTCACCCAGGCTGGAGTGCAGTGGTAGGATCTTGGCTCACTGCAACCTCCGACTCCTGGGTTCAAGTGATTCTCCTGCCTCAAACTCCAGAGTAGCTGGGATTACAGGTGCATGCCATCATGCCCAGCTACTTTTTGTATTTTTAGTAGAGACAGGGTTTCACCATGTTGGCCAGGCTGGTTTCAAACTCCTGACCTCAAGTGATCTGCCTGCCTCGGCCTCCCTAAGTGCTGGGATTACTTAAGACAACAGTGAAGTTTGCCAAGTAAGTTAACTCTTCCTTTCATGAAATATTTCTCTGTAGTATGCAGTGCTGTTTGATAGCATTTTACCCACAGTAGAACTTCTTTCAAAATTGGAGTCAGTCTTTTCAAACCTTGCTGCTGCTTTATCAACCAAGGTTATAAACCAGTACATCAGGGTATGGAATTTACATAAGAGTTTAAGGAATTTGGTTCAAGGCCAGGGCCAGTTTCTTTCAGTGTTTTGGACAACCTAGATAATACCTTTATCAGTGTCTGGGAATGTTCAAGGCCCAGTTTGGGTTCAAGCTTGCTGGGAGAAAGCTGCAGTTGAGTGGGTCAGGGCACTCTGTAATTTTCAGTTAGGGCACAGAAAAAAAGTGAGTGCAACAAGGGGACTTTACAGATTCTAATATCATTTACAGATTGCATTTATGGTGAATCCAAGCTGGGTAGAAATGAAATAGTTTCCTTCTTAAAAAGAATTATTAACGTTTTTTACTACTACATAAATGTAAGTTATTTATATTTATCATGTTCATTTTAAACATAAAAGAAGACTGGTTGCTGATTTTTATAAAATTTACTCTTAGAGCGTAAACCATGAGGCGAAGTAAATTTTATGTAAATCTTTTTTCTGAAGAAATTCTATTTTATATTTTCAATCAGAAAAATGAAGAATTTTCTCAGATTTCATTTACATTTTGCTGTATTGTGATCTGTAAATAAATGTGTATGATTTTGTTTTGCATAAAATTACTATAGATAAATAAGAATGGATTTCTGAAAAATGTTCAAGTAACCATCAGGAAGACAGATAAAGCAGAGAAACGAAAAACAGTTTAAACAGAAAATACAAATAAAATGGCACACTTCACCCTTATTTTTTTCTTTTATAAAATCACAAGTCATCAAGCAATTCACTCATAATATATCAATAATTAGGTGTAAATGGTCTAAATTCACAAATTAAAAGAGGTTGACAGTGGATAAAAAAGCATTACCCTGGCCAGGTGCCATGGCTCATGCCTGTAATTCCAGCACTTTGGGAGGCTGAGGTGGGTGGAACACTTGAGGTCAGGAGTTTGAGACCAGCCCGGCCAACATGGTGAAACCCCATCTCTATTAAAAACATAAAAATTAGCTGGGCATGGTGGTGTGGGCCTGTAATCCCAGCTACTCAAGAGGCTGAGGCAGGAGAATCGCTTGAACCCGGGAGACGGAGGTTGCAGTGAGCCGAGATTGTGCCTCTGCACTCTAGCCTGGGTGACGGAGCAAGACTCTGTTTAAAAAAAAAAAAAAAAAAAAAAAAAAAGGTGGAATTGTGGAATTGTGACCTTTAAAATGATGAATTTCATGGTATGAGAATTATATCTCAATAAAAAAGTACAGGCTGGCGTGGTGGCTCACATCTCTCATCCTAGCACTTTGGGACACCAAGGCAGCAGGAGGATTGCTTGAGGCCAGGAGTTCAAGACCAACCTAGTCAACATAGCAAGACCCTGTCTAAAAATAAATAAATAAAAATAAGTACATAGATCTGAATGAAAATGAAAATACAACATTTCCAAATCTGTGGGATGCAGTTGAAGCAGTGCTGAGAGAGATTATTTATAGCACTAAGAATTTACTTAGAAAACTTTCAAATCTCACCTCAAGAAGCTAAACAAAAGGAGACCAAAATAAACCAAAACCAAGCCAAAGGATAGAAATAATAAAGAGTAGAAATCAGTGAAGTTGAAAACAGAAAAACAGAGAAAAATCAAAAGCAGGTTCTCTGACAAAATTTATTAAAGTTGACGAACCTTTAGCAGGACTGACAAAGAACAAAAGAAGAAACGGATTATTAATGTCAGGAATGAAATGGAATATCACTACAGACTTTGCAGACATCAAAAGGAAGATAAGGCAATACAGGCATACCTCACAGATATTAGGGGTGTGGTTCCATACCCACTGTAATAAAATCAATATCTAAATAAAGCTTATAAAAGTTATGTTTGTACTATACTGTAGTCTATTAAGTATGCAATAACATTCTGTCAAAAACAATGTGGCCAGGCACGGTGGCTCACCCCTGTAATCCCAGCACTTTGGGAGGCCGAGGCAGGCAGATTACGAGGTCAGGAGATCGAGACCATCCTGGCCAACATGGTGAAACCCCATCTCTACTAAAACTACAAAAATTAGCCTGGTGTGGTGGCATGTGCCTGTAATCTCAGCTACTTGGGAGGCTGAGGCAGGAGAATCACTTGAACCTGGGAGGCAGAGGTTGCAGTGAGCCAGATCGTGCCACTGCACTCTAGCCTGGCGACAAAGTGAGACTCCGTCTCAATAAAAAAAAAGAAAAAAAAGTACATATCTTTTTTTTTTTTTTTTGAGACGGAGTTTCGCTCTTGTTACCCAGGCTGGAGTGCAATGGCGTGATCTCGGCTCACCGCAACCTCCACCTCCTGGGTTCAAGTGATTCTCCTGCCTCAGGCTCCCGAGTAGCTGGGATTACAGGCATCCACCACCAGGCCCGGCTAATTTTGTATTTTTAGTAGAGATGGGGTTTCTCCCTGTTGGTCAGGCTGGTCTCAAACTCCCGACCTCAGGTGATCAGCCTGGCCTCAGCCTCCCAAAGTGCTAGGATTACAGACGTGAGCCATGGTGCCTGGCCTACAATGTACATATCTTAATTAAAAATACTTTATTGCTAAAAATTGCTGCTGATCACCAGAGCCTTCAACAAGTCATGATCTGCTTCTTGGTGGAAGGTCTTGCTTCAAATGTTGATGGCTGCTGATTGATCAGGGTGGTGGTTGCTGAAGGCTGAGGTAGCTGTGACAATTTCTTTCTTTCTTTTTTTTTTGAGATGGAGTTTCGGTCTTGTCACACAGGCTGGAGTGCAATGGTGCGATCTCAGCTCACTGCAACCTCTGCCTCCTGGGTTTAAGCGATTCTCCTGCCTCAGCCTTCTAAGTAGCTGGGACTACAGGCACTCACCACCATGCCCGGCTAATTTTTGTATTTTATTTAGCACAGACAGGGTTTCACCATGTTGGCCAGGATGGTCTCGATCTCTTGACCTCGTGATCCACCCACCTCGGCCTCCCAAAGTGCTGGGATTACAGACATGAGCCACAGCACCCAGCCTAGACAATTTCTTAAAATAAGATAACAGTGTGAAGTTTGCCACATCAGTTAACTCTTCCTTTCACGAAAGATTTCTCTGTAACATGTGATGCTGTTTGATAGCATTTTACCCATACTAGGACTTCTTTCAAAATTAGAGTCAATCTTTTCAAACCTTGCTGCTGCTTTATCAACCGAGTTTATGTAATATATTCTAAATCCTTTGTTGTAATTTCAACAATGTTCACAGTATCTTCACTAGGAGTAGATTCCATCTCAAAACACCACTTCCTTCGCTCATGCATAAGAAGTAAGTCCCTATCTGTTCAAGTTTGATCATGAGATTGCAGCAATTCAGTCATATCATCAGGCTCCACTTCTTTTTTTTTTTTGAAACAGGGTCTTGCTCTGTTGCTTAGGCTGGAGAGCAGTGGTGCAAACATGGCTCACTACAGTCTTAACTTCCAGGGCCCAAGCAATCCTCCTACCTCAGCCTCCTGAGTAGCTGGAACCATAGGCTGGAACCACTGTGCCCAGCTAAGTTTTTAAAAATATTTTGTAGAGATGAGGTCTCCCTATGTTGCCCAGGCTGGTCTTGAGTTCCTGGGCTCAAGCAATCCCCCTGCTTCAGCCTCTCAAAGTGCTGGAATTACAGGCATAAGCCACTGTGCCTGGCCTCCACTTCTAATTATAATTCTCTTGCTATTTCTACCACCTTTGCAGTTACTTCTTTCATGAACTCCTCAAAATTATCCATGAAGGTTGGAATCAACTTGTTCCAAACTCCTGTTAAGGTTGATATGTTGATCTCCTCCAATGAATCACAAATGTTCTTAATGGCATCTAGAATGGTGAATCCTCTCCAGAAGGTTTTCTGTTTATTTTTCCAGATCCATCAGAGGAGGCAGTATTTACGACAGCTATAGCCTTACAAAATGTATTTCCTAAATAATAAGACTTGAAAGTTGAAATTACTCCTTGATCCACGGGTTGCTGAATGGATGTTGTATTAGCAGGCATGAAAACAACGTTAATCTTGTACATTTTCATCAGAGCTCATGGGTGACTGGGTGCATTGTCATTGAGCAGTAATATATTGAAATGAATATTTTTTTTCTTAGCAGTAGGTTGCAACAGTGGACTTATAATATCCAGTTAACCATGCTTTAAACAGATGTGTTGTCATATAGCCTTTTATTTTTTCCATTTATAGAGCACAGGGAGAGTAGATTTAACATAATTCTTAAGATCCCTAGGATTTTCAGAATGGTAAATGAGCATCGGCTTCAACTTAAAGTCACCAGCTGCATTAGCCTCTACCAAGTGAGTCAGCCTGTCCTTTGAAGCTTTGAAGCCAGGCACTGCCTTCTCTCTAGCTATGAAAGTCCTAGATGGCATTTTCTTTCAATGTAAAGCTGTTTCATCTACATCAAAAATCGATTGTTTAGTGTCCCCACCTTCATCAATTGTTTTAGCTAGACCTCCTAGACAATGTGTGCAGCTTCTGCATCAGCACTTGCTGCTTTACCTTGCATTTTTATGTTATGGAGATGGCTTTTCTTAAACCACAGGAACCAATCCCTGTTAGCTTCCGACTTTTCTTCTGTAGCTTCTTGACCTCTCTCAGCATTCGTAGAATTGAAGAGAATTAGGGCCTTGCTCTGGATTAGGCTTTGGCTTAAGGGAATGTAGTGGCTTGTTTAAATCAACAACTTAGAACAATGGACCAAATCCTCAAAAAGTACAAACTGTCACCACTCACTTAACATGAAATAGATATTTGAATAGCCATATAACTATTAAGGAAATTTAATCTTATTTAACTCCCCTAAGCACCCCCACCACCCAAATCTTCAGGCACAGATGGTTTCACTAGATAATTCTAACAGACACTTTAAGTAACAATTCTACACAATCTCTTCCAGAAAACAGAAGAGGAGGAAACACTTTCCAACTCATTGTGTTCAGCCATTATTATACTTATACCAAAATCAGATAGTATGAGGACACCAATGTCCCTTGTAAATATAGACACAAAAATTCTTACCAAAATATTAGCAAATAGAATTCAGCACTATATAAAAAGAATAATGCACCATGACCAAGTGCGTTCATTCCAAGGATGCAAGGTTGGTTCCATAATTGAAAATCAACCAATGTAATCCACCATAAATCAGGTGAAAATGAAAAATTGCATCATCATATAAATTGATCCAGAAAATAGCATTTGACAAAATTCAATACCCATTCATAATAAAAACTAAAAAATAGAGGAGAATTGGAATAGAGGAGAATTGTCTTAGTCAGCTCAAGCTTCTGTAACAAAATACTATAGATTGGGTGGCTTAAACAATAGGCATTTATTTTTCACAGTGTGGAAGGCTGGAAAGTCTGAGATAAGGGTGTCAGTATGGTCGGGCTCTGGTGAGGGTTCTCTTTCCAGCTTGCAAACAGCTGCCTTCTGCTATGTCCTTACATGGTGGAGAGGGGGGAGTGAGAGACAACTTTACTCTTCTCTCTTCTTAGAAGAATATTAATCCCGTCATGAGGATCCCTCCCTCATGACCTCATCTAAACCAAATTATCTCCCAACATCTAACATCCTAACACCATCACACTGGGGGTTAGAGCTTCAACATATGAGTCTTTGGGGGACACAAACATTTAGTCCATGACAACTTTCTTTTTTTTTTTTCAGACGGAGTCTTGCTCTGTCGCCCAGGCTGGAGTGCAGTGGTGTGATCTTGGCTCACTGCAGCCACCGCCTCCCGGGTTCAAGCAATTCTCCCACCACAGCCTCCCAAGTAATTGGGATTACAGGCACCTGCCACCACGCCCAGCTAATTTTTGTATTTTTAGTAGAGACAGGGTCTTCCGATGTTGGCCAGGCTGGTCTTGAACTCCTGACCTCAAGTGATCCGCCTACCTCGGCCTCCCAAAGTGCTGGGATTACAGGTGTGAGCCACTGCGCCCGGCCCTGTAACAACTTTCTAAGCTGAATTAGAAACATCTACAAAAAAGCTATAACTAACATATTTACTGGTCCTAAGATCAGGAACAAGTAAGGATGTCTGATATACTATTCAACTTAGTATAGAAGACATAGCCAGACCAATTAGTAAGGAAAATTAAATAAAAGGCATACATATTGAAAGAGAAGAAATAAAACTGTTCTTATTTGCAGATACAATGATTGTTTATATAGAAAATCCCAATAATCTACAAAAAAAAATTCCTGGAACTAAGTGACTTCAGCAAGGCGACAGGATACAAGATTAACATATAGTGACCTCCCCCCATTGTATTTCTCTGTACTAAGCAATCAACACCTGGAAGCTGAAATTAAAAATATGTAAAAATATGCAAACTAAAAATGTACAATCACTAAAAAATGTAATGCTTAGGTGTAAATATAACAAAATTTGCACAGGAATTGTATGCTGATATCTACAAAATGCTAAATGCTAATGAAAGAAAGATCTAAATAGAGAGATATTCTGTGTTCGTTGGTTAGAAGACTCAACATAGTAAGGATATTAATTCTCCCAAATTGACACACAGGTTTCATGCAATTCCTGTCAAAACTTTCAGCCCAATTTTTTGTAGATATACAAAAGATTATTCTAATGTTTGTATGGAAAGGCACAAGAACTAGAATAGCTGTAGTAGGTTGAATGTTGGGCCCCAAAAATATTTGTCCACATCCAAATCCCTGGTACTTGTGAATATGACTTTATTCAGTAAAATGATTTTTGCAAATGTGATTAAGAATCTTGAGATGAGGCCAGGCACGGTGGCTCATGCCTGTAATCCCAGCACTTTGGGAGGCTAAGGCAGGTGGATCACCTGAGGTCAGGAGTTCGAGACTAGCCAGGCCAACATGGTGAAACCCAGTCTCTACTAAAAATACAAAAATTAGCAGGGTGTGGTGGTGCACGCCTGTAATCCTAGTTACTCGGGAGGCTGAGGCAAGAGAATTGCTTGAACCTGGGAGGCGGAGGTTGCAATAAGCTGAGATTGTGCCACTGCACTCCAGCCTGGGCAACAGAGTGAGATTCCGTCTCAAAAAAAAAGAATCTTGAGATTAGATCATCCTAGATTATCTGGATGAACCCTAAATCCAATGGCAACTTTCCTTATAAGACGTAGAAGCAGAGAAGACACAGATACAAAGGAGAAGGCCATATGAAGATGGAGGCAGCGATTGGAGTTATGCAGCCACAAGCCAAGGAACACCGGAACCACAGTGATCAAGACTGTGTGCTATTAGTGAAGAGATAGACACATAGATCAATGTAATAGATAGAAAATCCAGAAATAACCATGTTTCCAGATTTCAATTTAAGTGGTACTTGAGAAACAGAGAATGTTGAATGTTTTATTTGAATTATAACTTGAAGTGTAAAACATAAATTATAAAACTCTTACAAAATAACATAGGAGAAAATCTTCAGGACCTAGGGCTTGGTGAAGAGTTTTTAGACATGACACCAAAACCATGTCCATAAAAGAAAAAAATCGATAAATTGGACTTCATCAAAATTTCATGCTATGAAAGACACTGGTAAGAGGATAAAAAAGCAAGCTACCAACTGAGAGAAAATATTTGTAAACCACATATCTGACGAAGGACTCATATCTAGGGTATATATACAAATTCTCCAAACTCGACATTTAAAAAACAGTCAAAAGTCATGAAGAGACATTTCACTGAAGAGGATATATGATGGCAAACGAGCACATGAAAAGATGTTCAATGTCATTATCCATTAGGGAAAAGCAAATTGTGACTCCAGTGAGATATCTCTACACACCTATTAGAATAGCTAAAGTAAAAAATAGTGACAATCCCAAATGCTGGCAAGACTGAGGAGAAACTGCATCTGTCATATATTGCTGTTAAGAACAAAATGGTACAGCCACCCTGAAAACAGTTTCCTAAAAAACTAAACGTACATTTACGATATGACCCAGCAATCCCACTCCTGGGCATTTATCTTAAAGAAATGAAAATATATGTCTGCATAGAAACCTGTACACAAATGCTTGCAGCAGTATTATTTGTGGGGTTTGTTTGTTCGTTTTTGAAACAGAGTCTCTCTCTGTCGCCCAGGCTGGAGTTCAGTGGCACAATCTCGGCTTACTGCAACCTCCATCTCCTGGGTTCAAGCGATTCTCCTGCCTCAGCCTCCTGAGTAGCTGGAATTACAGGTGGGCGCCACCACACCCGCTAATTTTTGTATTTTTAGTAGAGACGGGGTTTTGCCATGTTGCCCAGGCTGGTCTCAAACTCCTGACCTCAAGCGATCTGACCGCCTCGGCCTCACAAAGTGCTGGGATTACAGGCATGAGCCACTGTGCCTGGCCTTATTTGTAATAGCAAAAAACTGAAAATAACCAAAATATCCACCAGCAGGCGAATGAATAGAGAAAGTCTGGCACATCCCTACCATGGAATACTACTCAGCAATAAAAAGGAATGAGTCCTGAAGCACACAACAACTTGTATGGACTTCAAGGGCATTATGTGGAGTGAAAAAAGCCAGGCCCTAAAGGTCACATACTATATGTCCATAGGTAAATGGTTAAACTGTGGTACATCCATGCCATCAGATACTACTCAGCAACCAAAAAGAAACTATTGATACATGCAACAACTTGGATGAGTCTCAGGATCATAATGCTGAATGAAAAAAGCTAATTTTACAATACAGTTTAGTACATAATTGCATTTATACAATATTTTGGAAACGACAAAATTACAGAGATAGAAAAAAGATGATTGGTTGGCAGGGATTAGAGATAGTTGTGGGGGAAGTAGAGTGTATAACTATAACGAGGAAGCAGAAAGAAGATATTTGCGGATGGAATAGTGTTGTATCTTGATAGTGGAGGTTACATGAATCTATATATATGATAAAATGACACAGAACAATACATAACACAAAAATGTAAACTTCCTGTTTTGTATTGTACTATAATTGTGTAAGATCCATCCATCAGAGCAAAATGGGTGAACATGGGACCTCTCTGAGCTATGTTTGCAACTTCCTGTGAATCTATACTTTCAAAATAAAATGTCTCAAAATGTAAGTCAAATCATATCACTCCTAGCTCAAAATGCTGAAGATTCCTCACTTATTCGGAGTCAAAGTCCCAAATCCTTAATTTGCCAGGACTTGTCTGTCACCCGTGTCACCTCTCCGACCTCCCTGTCTTCAACTCTCCCCTTCACTCCCTCTACTCTAGCCATATTGGCCTCCTTGCTGTTCCTTGAAAGTGCTAGGCATTCTCCTGCCTTAGGCTCCTGCCCTAGCTGGACATTTAAGACCCTTAGTTCTGGAGATTTTTTTTTGAATTATTGATCACTTCTTTCCACCTGTTTTCTCCTATTCTTTCTGGAATCCCTATTATTTGGATGTTAGATACTCTGGTGTAGACCTCTTATTTCTCCTCTCCTATTTTCTTTTCCTTCCTCCTTCCCTTCCTTCCTTCCTTCCTTCCTTCCTTCTTTTTCTTTTTTTCTTTTTTTTTTGAGATGGAGTCTCCCTCTATTGCCCAGGCTGGAGTGCAGTGGCACAATCTCAGCTCACTGCAACCTCTGCCTCCTGAGTTCAAGCGATTCTCCTGCCTCAGCCTCCTGAGTAGCTGGGATTACAGGCGCCTGCCACCATGCCCGGCTAGTTTTTTTGTATTTTTAGTAGAGACGGGGGTCTCACCATATTGGCCAGGCTGGCCTCGAACTCCTGACCTCGTGATCCACCGGCCTCATCCTCCCAAAGTGATGGGATTACAGGTGTGAGCCACTGCGCCCGGCAAAAGCCTACAGTACCCAGTAATCCCAGGTGGTCTCCCATTCAACTACCAGCCAGGCCTGACCCAGCTTAGCTTCCAAGATTGGCATGTTCTGGGTGGTATGGCCATAGACATTGGCCACCTCTCCTCTCTCTCTCTCTCTCTCTCTCTCTCTCTCTCTCACTCTCTCTCTCTCTCTCTCTCTCTCTCTCTCTCTCTGTCTCTCTCTCTCTCTCTCTCTCCCCCTCCCTCCCTCCCTCCCTCCCTCTCCCTCCCTCCCTCCCTCTCTCTCGATCTATCATGTGCCTCTACTTACTAATTCATTATTTGGCTTTACTTTCTGGAAGATTTCTCCAAAGATGAGTATCATTCAACACTTCTAAAAAGTTTTTCATTCATATATATATAATATATATATTATATATATTTATATTTATATATATTTATATTTATATATATTATATATATAATATATATATATTTATATATATTATATATATAATATATATATATATATTTATATTTATATTTATATTATATATATATGTAGAGAGAGAGAGAGAGTCGCTCTGTTGCCCGGGCATGATCACAGCTCACTGAAGCCTTGAACTCTGGGGCTGAAGCAGCCCTCCCAGCTCAGCCTCCTGAGTAGCTGGGAATACAGGCATGAACCATCATGCCTGGCAATTTTTTTCCTTTTTTTTTTTTTGTAGAGGCAGGGTCTCGTCATGTTGCCAGGCTGGTCTCGAACTCCTGGGTTCAAGGGACCCTCCCACCTCGGTCTCTCAACATGCTGGAATTACAAGCATGAGCCACCGTGCTGGGCCTTGATAATACATTTTAATTTCCAAGAACACATTTTCTAATCTACAATGAACTCAAACAAATTTACAAGAAAAAAACAAACAACCCCATCAGAAAGTGGGTGAAGGACATGAACAGACACTTCTCAAAAGTGCAGCCAAAAACACATGAAAAAATGCTCACCATCACTGGCCATCAGAGAAATGCAAATCAAAACCACAATGAGATATCATCTCACACCAGTTAGAATGGCAATCATTAAAAAGTCAGGAAACAACAGGTGCTGGAGAGGATGTGGAGAAAGAGGAACACTTTTACACTGTTGGTGGGACTGGAAACTAGTTCAACCATTGTGGAAGTCAGTGTGGCGATTCCTCAGGGATCTAGAACTAGAAATACCATTTGACCCAGCCATCCCATTACTGGGTACATACCCAAAGGACTATAAATCATGCTGCTATAAAGACACATGCACACGTATGTTTATTGCGGCACTATTCACGATAGCAAAGACTTGGAACCAACCCAAATGTCCAACAACGATAGACTGGATTAAGAAAATGTGGCACATATACACCATGGAATACTATGCAGACATAAAAAATGATGAGTTCATGTCCTTTGTAGGGACATGGATGAAATTGGAAATCATCATTCTCAGTAAACTATCTCAAGAACAAAAAACCAAACACCTCATATTCTCACTCATAGGTGGGAATTGAACAATGAGAACACATGGACACAGGAAGGGGAACATCACACTCTGGGGCCTGTTGTGGGGTGGGGGGAGGGGAGAAGGATAGCATTGGGAGATATACCTAATGCTAGAAGACGAGTTAGTGGGTGCAGCGCACCAGCATGGCACATGTATACATATGTAACTAACCTGCACATTGTGCACATGCACCCTAAAACTTAAAGTATAATAATAAAAAAAAAAGAATAAGACAGGGAGCCCAGCTCCCTGAATGTGAAAAAAAAATAAAAGAACACATTTTCTGTTTAAAAAATAGTATCTTAAGCTGGTCCTGGTGGCTCACGCCTGTAATCCTAGCACTTTGGGAGGCCAAGGCTGGTGAATCACCTGAGATCAGGAGTTCAAGACCAGCCTGGCCAACATAGCAAAACCCCTTCTCTACTAAACACAAAAATTAGCTGGGCATAGTGGCGGGTGCCTGTAGTCCCAGCTACTCAGAAGGTTGAGGAGCCGAGATCATGCCACTTAACTCCAGCCTGGGCGAAAGAGCGAAACTCCGTCTCAAAAAAAAAATAAGTAAATCAAATAAAAACAAAAAAATAGCATCTTGCTCTGGTTTTATGGATATATTATTTTGTCTTACTTCTAAGGCAGGGGTCCCCAACCCCTGGGCACTGGACCAGTATCGATCCGTGGCCTGTTAGGAACTGGGCTGAACAGCACGAAGTGAGCAGTGGGTGAGTGAACATATTACCACCTGAGCTCCGCCTCCTGTCAGATCAGCGGAGGCATTAGATTCTCTTAGGAGCGGAACCATTCTGTGAGCTGCACATGTGAGGAATCTAGGTTGCATGCTCCTTACGAGAATCTAATGCCTGATGATCTGAGATGGAACAGTTTCATCCCGAAACCATCCCCCCATCTCTTCCTTGGTCGGTTGAAAAATTGTCTTCCATGAAACAGGTCCCTGGTGCCAAAAAGGTTGGGGATTGCTCTCTGAGGAATGGTTAATGGCTTTTTTAAAAGGCTTCCTATTACTGCATAGTTTCTTTCTAGTTTCTTCCTGTCCCTCTCTATCTTTCATGTTAGAAACTTTCCTCGGATGTCTGATAATCTGTTTGATTATGTTCACTTAACTCCACTTTGCAATATGGGATTTTTAACCTCAATTATGCCTGGAGTCCCCCATTCCAGAGCTCCTCTATTTTTCCCCTCCTAACAATAATCCTTGAATCTTCTTCCGGGGCGCAGGAGATAAATCACCCAGTTAGCAGAGTGAGGGGAGTATCTGGAAATCTAAGTGCTTCTTAAACAGACTTTCATGCAACCTTTCTGTTTTTAACCCTTCTTTCATCTCCACTTGCAGAAGTACCAAAAGTATCCCAATGGCCTTTTTTTGCAGAAATAGAGAAGCTCATCCTAAAATTTACATTGCAAGGCCCTCCAAATGGCCAAAACAATCTTGAAAAAGATCGAAATGGGAGGACTCGCACTTTCCTATTTTAAGACATAATACAAATCCCAGCTACTCGGGAGGCTGAGGCAGGAGAATTGCTGGAACCCGGGAGGCGGAGGGGGCAGTGAGCCGAGATCACACCACTACACTCCAGCCTGGGTGACAGAACGAGACTCTGTCTCAAAAAAAAAAAAAAAAAAAGATTGGGAAGCTGAGATGGGTGGATCACCTGCGGTCAGGAGTTTGAGACCAGCCTGGCCAACATGGCAAAACCCCGCCTCTACTAAAAATACAAAAATTAGCTGGGCTTGGTGGTCCGCTCCTGTAACCCCAGCTGCTCAGGAGGCTGAGGCAGGAGAACCCAGGAGGCACAGGTTGTGGTGAGCCGAGATGGAGCCACTGTACTCCAGCCTGGGCAACACAGTGAGACTCCATCTCAAAAAATAAAAATAAATAAAAAAGTAAATAAAAAAATGAAACTCTTAGAAGAAAACACAAGAATAAATCTTCATGACCTCGCATTTGGTAATCCACAAGCACAAGCATCAGAAGAAAAAAATAGATAAATTGGACTTTATCAAAATTAAAAGCTTTTGTGCATCAAAGGGCACTATGAGGGAAGTTAAAAGACAACATGTAGAGAAAATATTTGCAAATCAATATCTGATAAGGCTCTAATATCAATGATACATAAAGAACTTTTATAACTTGACAACAAAAAAGTCAAACAACACAATCAAAACATGGGCAAAGGACTTGAATAGACATTTTTCCAAGGAAGATTTTTAAAATGACCAACAAACACATGAAAAAATTCTGAACATCGTTAGTTATTAGAGAAATGCAAAGCAAATCCATAATGATATGCCATTTCACACGCAGTAGGATGGCTACAATAAAAAATAAAACAAAAACCAAAAACAAAACCCAGAAAATAACTACTGTTGGCAAGGATGTGGAGAAATCAGAACCTTGTACATTGCTGGTGGGAAAGCAGTGTGGTGCAGCTACTGTGGAAAACAGGTTGGCAGTTCCCCAAAACGTTAAACAGGTAATTACCATATGACCAAACAATTCCACTCTACAGTATATACCCCCTAAAATTAAAAACAGGTACTCAAACAAATGCTGGTACATGAATGCTATTAGCAGCACTATTCACAATGGCCAAATATCTTTTTTTTATGAGATGGAGTCTTGCTCTGTCACCCACACTGGAGTGCAGTGGTGTGATCTTGACTCACTGCAAGCCCTGCCTCCTGCTTTCAAGTGAGCACGTCTGGCTAATTATTTGTATTTTTGTTAGAGACAGGGTTTCACCATGTTGGCCAGGCTGGTCTCAAACTCCTGACCTCAAGTGATCTTCCCGCCTTGGCCTCCCAGAGTGCTGGGATTACAGGTGTGAGCCACCACTCCTGGCTGGCCAAATATCTTTTAACAGATGAATGGATTTAAAAAGTGGTATTACTATAATAGAATATTATTTCATCACAAAAAGATACTTCATACTTAATGAATACTTAATGATATGATAATGAATACTTAATGATATGATACTTAATGAATACTTATATGAATGATATATGATATGATTGAATAATGATGATACTTAATGAATACTTAATAATACAAAGTACTTCATATTTTATGAAATCTTCATATTCATAAAGATACGAAATACTAACCTTCCACCACTAAATACATAACCTATCTCCATTGGCCCCAAGCTTCTCTCCTTGCCTCTTATTATCCAAGCATCACCTCACTTAGTATCCTTCCTGCATAATCAGCATTGTGCTGTGTGGATTATCCCCTTGTGTTGCTGATTTACAACCTTACCATCTCTGTTGGATTCATCTCATGAGTTTTTTGTTGTTGTTGTTGTTGTTGTTTTGTTTTGTTTTGTTTTTTGAGACGGAGTTTTGTTCTTGTTGCCGAGGCTGGGGTGCAATAGCATGATCTCAGCTCACTGCAACCTCCACCTCCCAGGTTCAAAAGATTCTCTTGCTTCAGCTTCCTAAGTAGCTGGGATCAGAGGCGCCTGCCACCATGCCCGGCTAAATTTTTTGTATTTTTTTTAGTAGAGATGGGGTTTCACCATGTTGGCCAGGCTGGTCTCGAACTTCTGGCCTCAAGTGTTCTGCCCATCTCGGCCTCCCAAAGTGCTGGGATTACAGGCGTGAGCCACCACACCCGGCCTCATTTCATGAGTATTAAAACACATTTATGTTTTTTATGTGTCCTACGTGACACGGTCCTCATCTTCTAACATTCATACACTTCTCAACCCACTTCAGTGTGGTTTGGCCATCCAGCAGTATTAAAAGTGCTCTTGCAAAGGTCCCAGATAACCAACAAGTTACTAAACTCAATGGCCACTTTTTAGACCTCATCTTATTGACCCCCATCAGCATTTGAACACACAGTTGGTCATTCCCATGTTGAACATGTCACCCTAATTTGATTGAAAACATATTTCTACCATTTTACCTGAAACGTTTACTACAGCCAATCATTAACTGTGAAAACTCTTCAGAAATTTCCCTAATATTCTTCTTTTTTCATCTTCTGTTTTAATGTCTAGTGTTTCTCCTAAGCAATCTTACATGCAATGATGCAGCTAAGAACTACCTGTGTGATGATGAAAAAAAAATGTTCATTATGAGAAATTTAATGCAGAAGCCACTAAAATTGCCTCTAATTAGGAAAATAATAAATGGTAGCTTTTCTTCTTGAAGAAAATGACAACCTATCAAAAGAAGAAAACCTTTTCCCTCTTTTTCCTGTCTTCCTGCCTTGGACTTGGATGTGTTGAACAGTATTTGTGATCATGAGGAAAAGGCCAAGAAAATTACGGAGATGTCAGCATTGACATTTTAAATCACTGAACCAATTCTAACAACCAACTTCATCTAGACTTTTTTCATAAAGCTTTAAGCCCTGTTTGGGTATCCTGTTGGTATGTCTCTTGGTACCTGCTGACAAAAGGATTACTGACTCAGACACATTTATTTCAAATGCATCACAATGAACGTAAGTGAACTCATGATCCTCTCCACTAAACTTGATTCTCTTCCAGTCTCTCCCATCTCAGTAAATTGTACAACATCCACCCACTCGCCTATATGAAAAACACGAGTTTCCTTGCATTCCTCTCCCTGCACATACACATCCCAACATTCCATTACCACACGTTGTCAATTCTGTCTTTTCACCATCTCTCAAATCTGTCCATATCTGCTGCCCCTTCTCCAATCCAAGTCACCAGTCATCACATGGACTACTGAAAAATAGTCCTGGCCACATCTCCTCTGGCCCATCTCTGATACATTCTCCAAAAGCAGCGGTAGTAATGTTTTACAGAAAACCTTTCTGATCATGTCTGTCCTCTTGCTTAAAGTTCTGTAATGGCTTCCCATGTAAGTGGTAATTAAGTCCAAACTCTTTACAGGGCTTGTAAGACCTTACATGATGTCAACCTTACCTACCTCTCTAGCTTCCAGTCAACTTCGGTCCTCCTCAATCTCTACACTGGCAATACTGACTTTCCTTTACTTTCTCAACCACTTAAACTCCTTTAAGTTCCCTGTTTTGTTGCCTGGTATACTTTTCTCCCAATCTTTGACTCAGTAACTCTTCCTCATCACTTAGGTCGCAGCTTAAACATCATATTCTTAGTATGTCTTCCATGGAGTCCTGCAACTAGGTTAAATCCTTCACTGAATCCCACTACGGCACCATGTTCACTTTAAGCACATGTAACTTCTAATTACTGACTGTTTTTCTGCTGGACTGTAAGCTCCAGAGCACAGGCACCATGTCTGTCTTAAAACAAAGCCCCTCATCTTCCCATCATTAAAATGTTAAATCTATGTTACTTCTAACCCAACTTCCTCCTCTGGTTACAAGGGAGAAAACATTTCTCCTCTGATCCCTTCACGTGCACTTTGATTTCCATCCCACTTCAAGTACTTTGAGCCTTTGACTCCCTGCCTCCAAATACACGGTTTTCAGAATCATTCATTTCTTCCTTCCCTCAACATCATTAACATAGGCATTTAAGCATATTCTAGTAGATCTCACTTAAAAAACCCAAAACACTGATTACATCAGTAAACATTAAAAAAAGAGGAACAAGAAAAGAAGACCACAGATGAAGACCAAACTCTACCTCTTCCTTTGGCTACTATAATATTTTTCTACTCTAGATACTTCACACTAAAGAGATGAGCAAATTTTTTCACATTTAGAAAACAATGAGTGATGCCAGGCACAGTGGTTCATGCCTGTAATCCCACCACTTTGGGAAGCTGAGTAGGGCGGATCACCAGAGGTCAGGAGTTCGAGGCCAGCCTGGACAACATGGCGAAACCTGGTCTCTACTAAAAATACAAAAATTAGCCGGGTGTGGTGGCAGGCACCTGTTTTCCAGCTACTTGGGGGGCTGAGGTAGGAGAATCACTTGAACCTGGGAGGCGGAGGTTGCAGTTAGTCCAGATCAGGCCACCGCACTCCAGCCTGGGCAACAGAGTGAGACTCCATCTGAAAAAAAAAAAAAAAAGAAAGAAAATACTGAGTGTTAACGAGAATATGGAGCAAAGGCATAATCACTTGAGAGAGTAGAATTTAGATAAGTATTTAGAAAATTTGAGTCAAATCAAAGATGCCAGTAATCTAGGTCCAAGAATTCCACTTTTAGGTGTATGTGAGAACATTTTTCAATTGCCGGCTATGACACTATAGTGGATGTGTTGTGGAGTTACTTTAGTGGGTTGTGATGCCATTAAACAAGTGAACCGGAAGAAAATAGAATAGAAAATATCTGATTGCATTGCATGCAGTTAGGGTGAGTACTACTTTATGAAAATGTTATTTCACTGGCATATACGTGTGTGCTTATATGCATGTGGGTAGGCAAGCTTGTGTTCTCCAGGGCACAACACAAAATACATTTCTTCCTGGGGTTTCTGTCAGAAAAGCTTTCAAAACTCTCTTCTAGGAGCTCTCTTGAATATGTGCCAAAGGAAGTCTGTCTGTACAAGAGTATTCACTGCACTGTGGATGAAAACACCAGGAAAGAGCCTGAATGGCTTTCGCAGACAGTCCTGTGTATTTCACTTAATTATTAGGAGCCTCTTCACAGTCCATTTCCACATGGCTCCTGCACGTCCTGCAGAGCCCTTCTTTAGGCCAGGCTACCGAGTTTTCTCCCCAGTCACTGAGTTATGAGAAACTCCCAATGAACCCATGGGTGTGGGTTGAAGAACAGGTGGCAGCACGGGGAGGAATAAAAGCCCAATTTGGTATATATGATTTCCCTTTGGGGATGGGGTTGTACTGGTTACGCTAGACTTTACGGCTTGGTGGATTAGTCAACGCCCAGTTCATGATGGACAGCTCAGATCACATGACCAATTTGGTTTCTCATGGCCAGTCTACCAGGGCCGGTAGCAAGCTAGGAACAGTCTCTCAAAAAACAATAGTTCCTTGCTGATGAAGGCATGGATTTGCTCCAATCACAGGGTTTACTGACATGTTTCTCTCAACAGGGATTACTCCCAACTCCATAAGGTGTCATGACCTGTTACAGACATTTCAAGCACCTTTCGGATCCCTTGAGTCATAAGGGCTTGGTGGCAGATCTGGGTGAACTGCAGCCTGGGACAATGGGAGAGCCTTCATTTACCCTGGGCCCCACTGAATACTGGCCATTTTTCTTGTTACCTACAAAATGGGTTGGAGCAGGACACACAAATATGGCAAATTTTATCTTCAACATCCAGATTGGCCCACCAAGCACTGTGCCTCATTACTGGTATGGGATGAAAACGGAAGCCACTTGGCCTCCACATTTGGAGAAATATCTTGACGTGCCTCAAGTCACTGGACCCCTCCAAATTTCATAGAGGTGGCAGGCTTCTGTGATTTCAAAGAATTGAACTCAAAGTCTCTGGGCCCTCATGAGTCTTTCCAAAGTATCTAGATACCCATACTTTCTCTTACCTAGGTCCTATCAGCATGATATCATCAACAGAGCAGACTAGAGTAATTCCCAGTGGAAGGTGGTGTGGTTAAAATCTCCAAAGACTAAACTAGAGCTCAAACTTGGAAAAAATGATATATCTCTGTGCATGACAGTAAGTGTATAGAATTTTCTATGCTAAGGAAAGCAAGGTGCTTTTAGTGTTCTCTGCTTGCTGGAATGTAGAAAAGAATATTGATTTACTCCATTAAGGAGGTCACATCTGGGATAGCAACTGCAATCAGCAATCACCACCTGATTATATTTATGATAATCCACATGTACACCCCAAGGTCCATTCATCTCTCGCACTGGCCAGAATTGGCATGTGAATGAGATACAAATGACTACTTCTGTGTCTTTTACTATTTTCTGCATGGCATGCTTTTCCTGATATTTCCACAGGCATGTGATATTTCTATGGATTTCGTATCTTGGCAAGAAGTAAGGGTGGGGGGAAATCCAGTAATTTCTTAGCCTTCTTTAGCATAATAGCTCTTACTCCATGGTGGGTTACAGAGGCAACGTGGAGATTCTTGCAGCTTCTGAATAAGTGTGTGTGCATGTGCGCATGCACCTGGGGGCACGTGCTCCACAAATACTTGCAGGAACTAGAGAAACAACCATGAGACGAACTTTGTTCAAGATTTCATCCATCATCTGATCCTGATAAGCCTCCCTCTGACTGATGGACCATGGTGGCATTCTGCATTCCGAGCCATTAGTATTAGCTTAGAGTCAATATCCAATAATGACTAACTGTTTCGGTGTTTCCCTTTTCTGCAGTGCCTATGTACCTAACTAACTGGCTGCAAGTCTCTCAGAGAAATACTAGAATGAAGATTCACATTATACATTGAGTTTGCTCTGTGACTTTCTCTTCATTTGAGGGCCTCTGGGTCTATAAACTGACTCAAGTCAGGGACAGAAATTCAGTGGATGGTGGTTCAAATGACTCTTCAGTCAACAGACTTCCAGGGTCTTTTAAATTGCTGTATTGACACAGATAAAATATGCTGGTTTGCAATGGGCTTTATTTCAGTCAGTTTCTTTGCTTACCATTTGTTCCCTCATCTCAGTTCTTCTGGGCACAATCTTCTTTCTCTTGAAGCACCTGTTTAAAAGTTCTCTCAGCCCATGCTTGTCAGAAAATATCTCTGTGTTTCTCTCGCTCTTGAATGATAGGGTAGCTGGGTATATAATTCCAGACTGCTTCCTGACTTCTATTATTCCTTGCAAAGTCTTCAGTCAGTCCAATTTCCATTCCATCATGGTAATGTGCATTGCCTCCCTGCCTGATTTGTCTTTGGTGTTTTCTAGTTTTACTATGATGTGCCTAGTTATAGATTTCTTTCTTCAAAAATCCTGCTCAAAACTTTTGCTCCCTGAATCTGAGTATTCATGTCTCTCAGCAATTCTGATATATTCTCAGCCATTAAGCTTTTAAATATTCTCTCTAGACTCTTCTCCTGGAACATCCATTAGATGTATGTCAGTCTCTCCTCCATGTCTCTTAACCAGTCTGTCATAGTACCCACGTTTATACCCCCTTGTGCTGTATTCTAGATAATTCTGTCAGATCTATCTTCAACACCATTATGTCTCTCTTCAGTTTAATGTTCTGTTTAATTTGTATATTAGGTTTGTTTTCAATGACTATACTGTCCAGTTCTAGAAGCTTTCTTTGACTCTTTTCACACCTGTCTTTTAAAAATACCATCTTGCTCTTTCTTCTTACATTTGCATGTCTTCTTTCATGGCTGTTACTTAAACATACTATCTCTTAGTTTCTGTGTGATAATCCTATCAGCTGACATTCCTAGGGGTTTAATTATGCTGTTTGTTGTTTCTGCAGCTCTTGCTCGTGGGAAATTGTTTCTTCCTGCGTTATTTTGTGATTTTGAAATTCGAGCTCCTATTTGGCAGGGCCTTGTGGGAGTCCTGTGGAGAGTGTCCCTCTAGAGACATGTTTGCTTCTGTCAGGCAGACGGCCCAAGGTCTCACCAGCCTGGGAGCACATTTAACGTTATTTTATCAGGTTGAGGGATCCTGGACCATAAGGACAGTATAAATTCTAACTAAAAATTACATGAGACACAGGCTCATCTTTGTTTCCAACTCCCTGCCAACAGTGTCTTGAACGCCATTCTGTCATCCTCACATGGCCATTAAAACCCAAAAGCTATGTTACCAAGACCAGTAACCTGGCTCGGGAAAGCCATGCTGTCAGCTCATGTGCTTATAGCATTGTGTTTTGGCTTCCTCTTCACTCTTGCCCCCTGTGTATTGCCCTTAATCTTTTTGTGACGTCAGCTATACACTTGAAAGAATGCTTGCTCCATTTTCTCTAACATGTCCGAGAGTTTTGGAGTATGTCGGGGGAGGAGGGGGGAATGGTAAATCAGGATATTTAATCTTCTCTATTTCTAGATGCAGTTGTTCTTTTTTTCTCTTTTCTTTTTTGAGGTGGAGTTTCGCTCTTGTTGCCCAGGCTGGAGTGCAATGGCACGATCTCGGCTCACTGCAACCTCCGCCTCCCGGGTTCAAGCGATTCTCCTGCCTCAGCCTCCAGAGTAGCTGGGATTACAGGCGTCTGCCACCGTGCCCAGCTAATTTTTTGTATTTTTAGTAGAGATGGGGGTTCACCAGGTTGGCCAGGCTGGTCTCGAACTCCTGACCTCAAGTGATCCACCTGCCTTGGCCTCCCAAAGTGCTGGGATTATCGGTGTGAGCCACCGTGCCCGGCCCGCAGTCGTTTTTCAAACATGCCATTCTCTCTCTCTGTCTTCCATACATGCTATTTCCTCCATGAAGAACATACCTTAGCCCTCTCTTTGCCTGGCTAACTCCTTGTCATACTTCAGGTTTAAGTTCAGCAGTCGGTTCCTCTAGGAGAAGACTTTGACCATCCCTGCCATGTCTGTGCTCCTCTAGCCCCTGTACTTCTCCAACTGTGATGCACTTACACTGCTTCTTATTAACGTGCCTACCTTTCCTTCTAGCCTATGGTAGTAGGCATCCCGGCTTGTGACTGTTCCCCCCGTGTCTCCACAATGCTTAGTACAGACTTGTTGATTAATAACTTTTTTTTTTTTTCGAGACAGAGTTTCACTTTGGTCGCCCAGGCTGGAGTGCAATGGCGCAATCTTGGCTCTCTGCAACCTCTGCCTCCCGGGTTCAAGAGATTCTCCTGCCTCAGCCTCCCAAGTAGCTGGGATTACAGATGCCCACTACCACGCCTGGCTAATTTTTTTTGTATTTTTAGTAGAGACACAGTTTCGCCATGTTGGCCGGGCTGGTCTCGAACTCCTGACCTCAGGTGATCCACCTGCCTTGGCCTCCCAAAGTGCTGGAATTACAGGCGTGAGCCACCGTGCCCAGCCTAATAACTATTTTTTAAATGCATGAACTTTCCCTCAGCCACTCCAGCTTTGAGAACTTAGGAATGGGCCCAGAATCAGCACACCAAGCTATCTGCCTCACTCCATCTCACCATGTCAACCCTGTTCTCCTTACAAGGGATGTGACCATCTCAAAGACTTTTCCAAACCCCCTAGGACCCCAGTGCGACGTCAGCCAATTTTGTTCCTCCGGACTCCATGATTAATTGAATACAATGTGTGATCTCTCATATCAGGCCACTCTGACTACTATCCTGACCTTGCTGCCCATTAGGGTCACCACACCAACATTCCTGGTAAGGGCACCCAGGTAAGTGCCATTACCTCTGCCACTCAGGATACACATCCTTATCAAAAGCAGGGATTCCAATTCAGCTGCAATGGTTCCCATCAGCATTCTGTGGCCACTGAGAACAGCTGATGGAGCATTTCAAAAACACATCACCATTTTCTTCACCCAGTGTAGTCTCAAACTGTGGAGGGAGACTCTGCGGTCCCACTCAAGTTTGACATAGTCAGGGGGTAGGGTGACATACATGACAGTTTCCCTCTAGCTTTCCCTAACATTTTAAATTACTTTATCTACAACATGCCAAGGGATTTCACACGGTGCAAATTCTGCAAAGCCCATCCATATTGACAATTCACCTCAAACTAAAGTCGTGTTCCCCTACTTGGTCAAGCACTCTCAAAATCCATTCCTACGGTAGCCATCATGTTGTGTTGGCCTTCTTTTCACGTTTGACTCTGCTTTTGTCCCCAAGCGGTTTTGGGTCCACTGCAAAGAATATCCACAAATCCTCCCAGAGACGCCCATTCCAAATATCAAGGTTTCACTGTTTCCCAATTAACACTCTGATTTTCACAGATTTCTGGCTAGGCTGTACATTCAACTGGTGTATATATATTTGTACATGGTCAAACTGTACAATTAGGTTTTGTACAGTTAGCCCCAGGAATCAAGCAATGTGAGATTCTTTAGCATAATCACAGAAAGTACTTGAGGGTTTTTTTGGTAACTTTTATTTCAGTTTCAGGAGTACATGTGCAGATTTGTCATATGCGTAAATTGTATGTCATAGGGGTTTGGTGTCTTGATTATTTCATCGCCCGGGTAATAAGCATAGTACCCAATATGCACTTTTTCGATCCTTACCCTCCTCCCTCCTTCCACCCTCATGTGGCCCCGGTGTCTGCTGTTCCCTTCTTTGTATCCATGTGTACTCAATCTTTGGCTCCCACTTGTAAGTGAGAACATGTGGTATTTGTTTTTCAGTTCCTGTGTTAGTTCTTTAAGATATCACCAAACTGCTTCCCACAATGGCTGAACTTATGTTCCCACCAGCAGTGTATAAGTGGTGCCTTTACTCCACAACCTCACCAGCATCTGACCTTTTTTTGACTTTTTTTTTTCTTTTTTTTTTTTTTGAGATGGACTCTCACTCTGTCTCCCAGGCTGGAGTGCAGTGGGGCGATCTCATCTCACCACAACCTCCCCCTCCCTGGTTCAAGTGATTCTCCTGTCTCAGCCTCATGAGTAGCTGGGACTACAGGTGTGCACCACCATGCCCAGCTAATTTTTGTATTTTTAGTAGAGATGGGGTTTCACTATGTTGGCAAGGCTGGTCTCTAACTCCTGACCTCGTGATCTGCCTGTCTGGGCCTCTCAAAGTGCTGGGATTACAGGTGTGAGCCACCACACCCGGCCTGACCTTTTTTAAAAAAAAAAATTTTTTTTTTTTTTTTTAGGAGATGGAGTCTCACTCTGTTGCCTCTGCCTCAGGCTCCCGAGTAGCTGGGACTATAAGTATGCACCACCACGTCCAGCTAATTTTTGTATTTTTTAGTAGAGACAGGGTTTCACCATATTGGCCAGGCTGGTCTTGAACTCCTAACCTCAAGTGATCCTCCCTCCTCGCCATCCCAAAGTGCTGGGAATACAGGTGTGAGCCACTGCGCCTGGTCTTTGACCTTTAAATAATAGCCATTCTGAGTGGTGTGAGATGATACGTCATTGTGGTTTTGATTTGCATTTCTCTAACGATCAGTGATGTTGAGCATTTTTTCATGTACTTGTTGGCCGCATGTAAGTCTTCTTTCTAAAAGTGTCTGTTCATGTCCTTTGCACACTTTTTAATGAGGCTGTTGGTTACTTTAGCCTTGTAGTACAGTTTGAAGTTGGGTAGCGTGATGCCTTCAGCTCTGTTCTTTCTGCCTGGTATTGCCTTGGCTATCTGGGCTCTTTTCACCTTTCATATATATATATATTTAATTCTACTTTAAGTTTTAGGGTACATGTGCACAACGTGCAGGTTAGTTACATATGTGTACATGTGCCATGTTGGTGTGCTGCAACCATTAACTCGTCATTTAACATTAGGTGTATCTCCTAATGCTATCCCTCCCCCCTCCCCCCACCCCCCAACAGGCCCCGATGTGTGATGTTCCCCTTCCTGTGTCCATGTGTTCTCATTGTTCAATTCCCACCTATGAGTGAGAACACACGGTGTTTGGTTTTTTGTCCTTGTCATGGTTTGCTGAGAATGATGGTTTCCAGCTTCATCCATCTCCCTACAAAGGACATGAATTCATCCTTTTTTATGGCTGCATAGTATTCCATGGTGTATATGTGCCACGTTTTCTTAATCCAGTCTATCATTGTTGGACATTTGGGTTGGTTCCAAGTCTTTGCTATTGTGAACAGTGCTGCAATAAACATATGTGTGCTTGTGTCTTTATAGCAGCATGATTTATAATCCTTTGGGTATACACCCAGTAATGGGATGGCTGGGTCAAATGGTATTTCTAGTTCTACATCCCTGAGGAATTGCCACACTGACTTCCACAATGGTTGAACTAGTTTTCCACCAACAGTGTAAAAGTGTTCCTATTTCTCCACATCCTCTCCAGCACCTGTTGTTTCCTGAGTTTTTAATGGTTGCCATTCTAACTGATGTGAGATGGTATCTCATTGTGGTTTTGATTTGCATTTCTCTGATGGCCAGTGATGATGAGCATTTTTTCTTGTGTCTTTTGGCTGCATAAATGTCTTCTTTTGAGAAGTGTCTGTTCATATCCTTTGCCCACTTTTTGATGGGGTTGTTTGATTTTTTCTTGTAAATTTGTTGGAGTTTATTGTAGATTCTGGATATTAGCCCTTTGTCAGATGAGTAGATTGCAAAAATTTTCTCCTATTCTATAGGTTGCCTGTTCACTCTGATGGTAGTTTCTTTTGCTGTGCAGAAGCTCTTGAGTTTAATTAGATCCCATTTGTCAATTTTGGCTTTTGTTGCCATTGCTTTTGGTGTTTTAGACATGAAGTCCTTGTCCATGCTTATGTCCTGAATGGTATTGCCTAGGTTTTCTTCTAGGGTTTTTATGGTTTTGGGTCTAACGTTTAAGTCTTTCATCCATCTTGAATTAATTTTTTATAAGGCGTAAGGAAGGGATCCAGTTTCAGCTTTCTACATATGGCTAGCCAGTTTTCCCAGCACCATTTATTCAATAGGGAATCCTTTCCCCATTGCTTGTTTTTGTCAGGTTTGTCAAAGATCAGATAGTTGTAGATATGCGGCATTATTTCTGAGGGCTCTGTTCTGTTCCATTGATCTATATCTCTGTTTTGGTACCAGTACCATGCTGTTTTGGTTACTGTAGCCTTGTAGTATAGCTTGAAGTCAGGTAGCATGATGCCTCCAGCTTTGTTCTTTTGGTTTAGGATTGACTTGGCCATGTGGGCTCTTTTTTGGTTCCATATGAACTTAAGTAGTTTATTCCAATTCTGTGAAGAAAGTCATTGGTAGCTTGATGGGGATGGCATTGAATCTATAAATTACCTTGGGCAGTATGGCCATTTCCATGATATTGATTCTTCCTACGAATGAGCATGGAATGTTCTTCCATTTGTTTGTATCCTCTTTTATTTCATTGAGCAGTGGTTTGTAGTTCTCCTTGAAGAGGTCTTTCACGTCCCTTGTAAGTTGGATTTCTAGGTATTTTATTCTCTTTGAAGCAATTGTGAATGGGAGTTCACTCAGGATTTTGCTCTCTGTTTGTCTGTTATTGGTGTATAAGAATGCTTGTGATTTTTGCATGTTGATTTTGTATCCTGAGACTTTGCTGAAGTTGCCTATCAGCTTAAGGATATTTTGGGCTGAGACGATGGGGTTTTCTAGATATACAATCATGTCATCTGCAAACAGGGACAATTTGACTTCCTCTTTTCCTAACTGAATACCCTTTATTTTCTTCTCCTGACTGATTGCCCTGGCCAGAACTTCCAACACTATGTTGAATAGGAGTGGTGAGACAGGGCATCCCTGTCTTATGCCAGTTTTCAAAGGGAATGCTTCCAGTTTTTGCCCATTCAGTATGATATTGGCTGTGGGTTTGTCATAGATAGCTTTTATTATTTTGAGACACGTCCCATCAATACCTAATTTATTGAGAGTTTTTAGCATGAAGCATTGTTGAATTTTGTCAAAGGCCTTTTCTGCATGTATTGAGATAATCATGTGGTTTTTGTCTTTGGTTCTGTTTATATGCTGGATTACGTTTATTGATTGGATTACATTTATTGATTTGCGTATGTTGAACCAGCCTTCAATCCCAGGGATGAAGCCCACTTGATCATGGTGGATAAGCGTTTCGATGTGCTGCTGGATTCGGTTTGCCAGTATTTTATTGAGGATTTTTGCATCGATGTTCATCAGGGATATTCGTCTAAAATTCTCTTTTTTTGTTGTGTCTCTGCCAGGCTTTGGTATCAGGGTGATGCTGGCCTCATAAAATGAGTTAGGGAGGATTCCCCCTTTTTCTATTGATTGCAATAGTTTCAGAAGGAATGGTACCAGCTCCTCCTTGTACCTCTGGTAGAATTCGGCTGTGAATCCATCTGGTCCTGGACTTTTTTTGGTTGGTAAGCCTCAATTTATTGAAATTACTGAAATTATTGCCTCAATTTCAGAGCCTGTTACTGGTCTATTCAGAGATTCAACTTCTTCCTCGTTTAGTCTTGGGAGGGTGTATGTGTATCAGAGCCTGTTATTGGTCTATTCAGAGATTCAGCTTCTTCGTGGTTTAGTCTTGGGAGGGTATATGTGTCCAGGAATTTATCCATTTCTTCTAGATTTTCTAGTTTATTTGCGTAGAGGTGTTTACAGTATTCTCTGATGGTAGTTTGTATTTCTGTGGGATCGGTGGTGATATCCCCTTTGTCATTTTTTATTGCGTCTATTTGATTCTTCTCTCTTTTCTTCTTTATTAGTCTTGCTAGTGGTCTATCAATTTTGTTGATCTTTTCAAAAAACCAGCTCCTGGATTCATTGATTTTTTGAAGGGTTTTTTGTGTCTCTATGTCCTTCAGTTCTGCTCTGATCTTAGTTATTTCTTGCCTTCTGCTAGCTTTTGAATGTGTTTGCTCTTGCTTCTCTAGTTCTTTTCATTGTGATGTTAGGGTGTCAATTTTAGATCTTTCCTGCTTTCTCTTGTGGGCATTTAGTGCTATAAATTTCCCTCTACACACTGCTTTGAATGTGTCCCAGAGATTCTGGTATGTTGTATCTTTGTTCTCGTTAGTTTCAAAGAACATCTTTATTTCTGCCTGCATTTCGTTATGTACCCAGAAGTCTTTCAGGAGCAGGTTGTTCAGTTTCCATGTAGTTGAGTGGGTTTGAGTGAGTTTCTTAATCCTGAGTTCTAGTTTGATTGCACTGTGGTCTGAGAGACAGTTTGTTATAATTTCTGTTCTTTTACACTTGCTGAGGAGTGCTTTACTTCCAACTATGTGGTCAATTTTGGAATAGGTGTGGTGTGGTGCTGAAAAGAATGTATATTCTGTTGATTTGGGGTGCAGAGTTCTGTAGATGTCTATTAAGTCCGCTTGGTGCAGAGGTGAGTTCAGTTCCTGGATATCCTTGTTAACTTTCTGTCTCACTGATCTGTCTAATGTTGACAGTGGGGTGTTAAAGTCTCCCATTATTATTGTGTGGGAGTCCAAGTCTCTTTGTAGGTCTCTAAGGACTTGCTTTATGAATCTGGGTGCTCCTGTATTGGGTGCATATATATTTAGGATAGTTAGCTCTTCTTGTTGAATTGATCCCTTTACCATTATGTAATGGCCTTCTTTGTCTCTTTTGATCTTTGTTGGTTTAAAGTCTGTTTTATCTGGGACTAGGATTGCAACACCTGTCTTTTTTTGTTTTCCATTTGCTTGGTAGATCTTCCTCCATCTCTTTATTTTGAGCCTATGTGTGTCTCTGCATGTGAGATGGGTTTCCTGAATACAGCACACTGATGGGTCTTGACTCTTTATCCAATTTGCCAGTCTGTGTCTTTTAATTGGAGCATTTAGCCCATTTACATTTAAGGTTAATATCGTTATGTGTGAATTTGATCCTGTCATTATGATGTTAGCTGGTTATTTTGCTCGTTAGTTGATGCAGTTTCTTCCTAGCCTCAATGGTCTTTACAATTTGGCATGTTTTTGCAGTGGCTGGTACTGGTTGTTCCTTTCCATGTTTAGTGCTTCCTTCAGGAGTTCTTTTAGGGCAGGCCTGGTGGTGACAACATCTCTCAGCATTTGCTTGTCTGTAAAGGATTTTATTTCTCCTTCGCTTATGAAGCTTAGTTTGGCTGGATATGAAATTCTGGGTTGAACATTCTTTTCTTTAAGAATGTTGAATATTGGCCCCCACTCTCTTCTGGCTTGTAGAGTTTCTGCTGAGAGATCCGCTGTTAGTCTGATGGGCTTCCCTTTGTGGGTAACCCGACCTTTCTCTCTGGCTGCCCTTAACATTTTTTCCTTCATTTCAACTTTAGTGAATCTGATAATTATGTGTCTTGGAGTTGCTCTTCTCGAGGAGTATCTTTGTGGCGTTCTCTGAATTTCCTGAATTTGAATGTTGGCCTGCCTTGCTAGATTGGGGAAGTTCTCCTGGATAATATCCTGCAGAGTGTTTTCCAACTTGGTTCCATTCTCCCCGTGACTTTCAGGTACACCAATCAGACGTATATTTGGTCTTTTCACATAGTCCCATATTTCTTGGAGGCTTTGTTCATTTCTTTTTATTCTTTTTTCTCTAAACTTCTCTTCTCGCTTCATTTCATTCATTTGATCTTCCATCACTGATACCCTTTCTTCCAGTTGATGGAATCGGCTACTGAGGGTTGTGCATTTGTCACGTAGTTCTCGTGCCATGGTTTTCAGCTCCATCAGGTCCTTTAAGGACTTCTCTGCATTTGTTATTCTAGTTAGCCATTCGTCTAATTTTTTTTCAAGGTTTTTAACTTCTTTGCCGTGGGTTCGAACTTCCTCCTTTAGCTCAGAGTAGTTTGATCATCTGAAGCCTTCTTCTCTCAACTCGTCAAAGTCATTCTCTGTCCAGCTTTGTTTCGTTGCTGGTGAGGAGCTGCGTTCCTTTGGAGTAGGAGTGGCACTCTGATTTTTAGAGTTTCCAGTTTTTCTGCTCTGTTTTTTCCCCATCTTTGTGGTTTTATCTATCTTCGGTCTTTGATGATGGTGACGTACAGATGGGGTTTTGGTGTGGATGTCCTTTCTGTTTGTTAGTTTTCCTTCTAACAATCAGGACCCTCAGCTGCAGGTCTGTTGGAGTTTGCTGGAGGCCCACTCTAGACCCTGTTTGCCTGGGTATCAGCGGCAGAGGCTGCCGAACAGTCGATATTGGTGAACAGCAAATGTTGCTGCCTGATCGTTCCTCTGGAAGTTTTGTCTCAGAGGAGTACCCAGCCGTGTGAGGTGTCAGTCTGCCCCTCCTGGGGAGTGCCTCCCAGTTAGGCTACCCGGGGGTCAGGGACCCACTTGAGGAGGCAGTCTGTCTGTTCTCAGATCTCCAGCTGCGTGCTGGGAGAACCACTACTCTGCCTTTCATGTTTTTTCTTCCTTTTTTTTTTTCTTTTTTTTGAGACAGAGTCACACTGCCACCCAGGCTGGAGTGCGGTGGTGCAATCTCAGCTCACTGCAATCTCCGCCTCCTGGATTCAAGCAATTCTCGTGCCTCAGCCTCCCAAGTAGCTGGGAATACAGGCACATGCCACCACACCGGGCTAATTTTTGTAGTTTTAGTAGAGATAGTATTTCGCCATGTTGGCCAGGCTGGTCTCGATCTCCTGGCCTCAAGTGATCAGCTCCCCTCTGTCTCCCAAAGTGCTGGGATTACATGCGTGAGCCACTGAGCATGGCCAATATGAATTTTTTTTTTTTTTGAGATGGAGTCTCACTCTGTCACCCAGCCTGTAGTGCAGTGGCACAATCTCGGCTCAGTGCAACCTCCATATGGATTTTAAAATAGTTTTTTCTAGTTCTGTGAAGAATGTCATTGGTAGTTTGATAGGAATAGCATTGATTCTGTAAATTCCTTTGGGCAGTATGGTCAGTTTAACAATATTGATTCTTCTAATCCATGGGTATGGAATATTTCTCCATTTGTTTGGGAAATCTCTGATTTCTTTCACCAATATTTTGTAATTCTAATAATAGAGGTTTTTTTTTTTTTTTTTTACCTCCTCGGTTATCTGCATTCCTAAGTATTTCATTGTTTTTGTGGCCATTGTGAATGGGAATGCCTTTCTTATTTGGCTCTCGGTTTGACTGTTGTTGGTGTACAGGAATGCTAGTGATTTTTGTACATTGATTTAGAACTGAAGGGAGAAATAGCAATATAATAATATGGGAGAAATTTAATACCTCACTTTTGATGATGGATAGATTATATGAATATGGAAACAAAGAAGCTGAACAATGCTTTAGATAAGATGGAACTTACAGACATATATAGAACAGTCCATCCAACAGCAGAAGAATGTACATACAGTTGTTCCTCAGTATCTATGGGAAATTCATTTTAGGACCCTGGGCCATGTAGACCAAAGCCCACGGATGCTCAAGTCTGTTATATAAAATGGTATAGTATTTCCATATAACCCATGCACATTCTCCGATATATTTTTTAAAAATCTTTTTTTATTTTTTATTTTTGAAACAAAGACTCACTCTGTTGCCAAGGTTGAAGTGTGGTGGCGCGATCACGGCTCACTGCAGCCTTGACCTCCCAGGCTCAAGTAACCCTCCCACCTCAGCCTTCTGAGTAGCTGGGACCTCAGGTGCGCACCACAATGTCCAGCCCAGCTGATTTTTGTATATTTTTTTGTAGAGACGGGGTTTCGCCGTGTTGCCCAGACTGGTCTCAAACTCCCAGGCTAAAGCCATCACCCTCCTCGGCCTCCCAAAGTCCTGGGATTACAGGCGTGAGCCACTGTGCCCAGCCAACCTCCCATATACTTCAAATCAAATCAAAATTACTTATAAAGGCTGGGTGTGGTGGCTCATGCCTGTAATCCCAGCACTTTGGGAGACCGAGGCAGGTGGATCACAAGGTCAGGAGTTCCAGACCAGCCTGGCCAATGTAGTGAAACCCTGTCTGTACTAAAAAAATACAAAAATTAGCTGGGCATGGTGGCAGGCGCCTATAATCCCAGCTACTCAGGAGGCTGAGGCAGGAGAATCACTTGAATCTGGGAGGCAGAGGTTGCAGTGAGCTGAGATCGAGCCACAGCACTCCAGCCTGGGCAGCAGAGAGACTCCATCTCAAAAAAAAAAAAAAAAAAAAAAGATTACTTATAATACCTAATACAATGGAAATGCTATGTAAATAGTTGTTATGCTGTATCCTTTAGGGAATAACAGCAAGGAAAAAAGTCTGTATATATTCAATATGGACACAAGCACCCATTTGTTTTCAAATATTTTCAATCCATGGTTAGTTGAATACACAGATGGGGAACCCACAGATATGGGGCCAAATGTACTTATCAAGAGCATGTGGAACATGTTTCCAGAAAAGATCATATGTAGACCACAAAATAAGCCTTAACAAATTTAAGAAGATTGAAATAATATCAAATATCTTTTCCAATCAAAATGCAGTATAAAACTAGAAATCAGTAACAGGAGGAAAACTCACAAGTATGTGGAAAATAAACAACATGCTCTTGAGCAACCAATGGGTCAAAAAGAAATCAAATGGGAAAGCAGTATATGTCTAGAGACAAAGAAAAATGAAAATATACCAAAACTCACGTGATGCAGCAAAAGCAGTACTAAGAGGGAAGTTTGTAGTAATATATGTCTACATTAAGAAAAAAATTAAGATCCCAAATAACTAGACAAATAAGAACAGACTAAGCCCAAAACTAGCAGAAGGACGGAAATAACAAAGCTCAAGGCAGAAATAAATGAAATAGAGACCAGGAAAACAATAGAAAAAAAGCAACAAAATTAAGGGTTGATATTTTGAAAAGATAAAAATAATTTTGACAAGCCCTAAGCTAGAATAACCAGGAAAAAAAGAGAAAAGACTCAAATAAATATAATAAAAAATGAAAGAGAAGACATTACAACTGATACCACAGAAATTCAAAGGATCATAAGAGACTACTACGAACAATTATAAGCCAACAAATTGGATAACCTAGAAGAAATGCAGAAATTTGTAGAAACATAAAACCTACTAAGATTGAATCATGAAGAAATACAAAGTGTGAACAGATAATAATGAGTAAGGAGATTGAATCAGGAATCAAAAATTTCTCCAAACAGAAAATCCCAAGTCAAAATAGCTTCACTGGTAAATTCTACCAAACATTTAAAGAAGAACTAAAGAACTAACACACCAATCTTTCTTCTTTTTTTTTTTTTTTTTTTTGAGGCAGAGTCTTGCTCTGTCACCCAGGCTGGAGTGCAATGGCACGATCTCAGCTCACTGCAACCTCTGCCTCCCGGGTTCAAGCGATTCTCCTGCCTCAGCCTCCTGAGTAGCTGGATTTACAGGCGCCTGCACCTCACCTGGCTAATTTTTGTATTTTTAGTAGAGATGGGGTTTCACCATGTTGGCCAGGCTGGTCTCGAACTCCTGACCTCAGGTGATCCACCCACCTTGGCCTCCCAAAGTGCTGGAATTACAGGCGTGAGCCACCTCTCCTGGACACACCTATCCTTCTTAAGTGATTCCAAAAAAATGAAAAGGAGGGAATACGTCCAGACTCACTTAATGAGGCCAGTATTACTCTTATGCTAAGGTCAGACAATGATGCTACAAGAAAAGGAAACTACTGGCCAGTATCTTTGACGGACATGGATGCAAAACTCCTCAACAAAATACTAGCAAACTGAATTTGACAGCACATTAAAAGGATCATACACTGCCATCAAGTGATATTTATTCCCAGGAAGCAAGGATGGTTCAACACACGCCAATCAATCAATGTGAAACACCACATTAACAGAATGAAAGATTTAAAAATCATTGGACCATTTCAATAGATGCAGGAAAAGCATCGATAAAACTCAACATCAGTTTATGATGAAAACTCTCAACAAATTAGGTATAATATGAATGTATCTGAACATCATAAATGTTAATATATGACAAGCCTACAGCAAACATCATACCCCATGATGAAAAGCTGAAACCGTTTCCTCTAAGATCATCAGTAAGACAAGGATGCCCACTTTCACATCTATTCAACATAGCCCTGGAAGTCCTAGCCAGAGTAATTAGGCAAGAAAAAGAAATAAAAGGCACCCAAATCAGGAAGGAAGATGTAAAATTGTCTCTCTTTGCTAATGACATGATCTGGTATATAGAAAATCCTAAAGACTTCACAGAAAAAATACTGTTAGAACTAATAAAAACAAATGTCATAAACTTGTAGGATACTGAATCAACATACAAGAATCAGTTACATTTTTATATGCCAACAGTGAACAATTCAAAAAAGGTATTAAGAAAGCAATCCCACTCACAGTAGCATCAAAAAAGTGAAGAAAATTTTAGGAATACATTTAACAAAACAGGTGAAAGATCTGTACACTGAAAAGTATAAAATATTGATGAAAGAAACAGAAGACACAATTAAATGCAAACATGTCTCATGTTCACGGTTTGGAAGAATTAATATTATTAAAATGCCCATACTACCCAAGGAGTTCTACAGATTCAATGCAAACCCTGTCAATTCCAATCATATTTTTCATGGGAATAGAATGAAAACAATCCTAAAATTCATATGCAACCACAAAAAACCCAAATAGTCAAACCAGTCTTGAATAAGGAGAAATGGCAGCATCATGCTTTCTGATTTCAAATTATTTCACAAAGCTATAATATCAAAACGACATAGTACTGGCATAAAAACAAACACATAGACCAATGGAACAGAACAGAAAACCCAGAAATAAACCCATGCATGTACAGTCAACTAATCTTTGACAAGAATACAAAATGGGGAAAGTACAGAGTCTTCAATAAATGGTGTTGGGAAAACTGGATATTCACATGCAGAAGAATGAAAGTGGATCCTTATCCCACACCATATACAAAAATCACTCAAAATGGATTAAAGACTTAAACATAATACCTGAAATGGCAAACCTCCTAGAAGAAAACATAAGGGAAAGGCTCAGTGACGTTGGTCTTGGCAATGATTTTTTTGTACGAAATCACAGGCAATAACAGCAAAAGTTAACAAACACAATTATATCATACAAAAAGCTTTGCAGAGCAAAGAAAATAATTGACGATGGCAGAAAAAGGCAACGTACAGAATAGGAGAAAATGTTTGCAAACCATGTATCTGATAAGGGAGTGAAACCCAAAATATATAAGGAACTCCTGCAACTCAATAGCAAAAAAAGAACCCAAATAAAAAGTGGGAAAAGGACCAGAACGAACATTTCTCAAAAGAAGATATACAAATGGCTGACAGAAATATGAAAAAGTGCTCAACATTTACTAATCGGGAAAATGCAAATCAAAACCACAATGGGATATCACCTCATACCTGTTAGGATGGCTATTAGTGAAAAAGCAAAAGATAACAAGTGTTGGTGAGGATGCAGAGAAAAGGGAATCCAGGTAAACTGGTGGTGGGAATGTAAATTGATGCGATCATTATGAAAACCAGTATGGAAGTTCCTCAAAAAATTGAAAATAAAACTACCATAGGATCCAGCAATCCCACTTCTGGGTATTTATCCAAAGGGATTGAAATCAGGATCACGAAGAGATACCTGCACTCTCGTGTTTATTGCACAACAGCCAAGATATGAAAACAACCTAAATGTCCATTAACAGATGAACAGATAAAGAAAATGTGGTATATATTCACAATGAAATATCATTCAACCTTTAAAATGAAGGCGATCCTGCCATTTGCAACAACAGGGATGGACATGGAGGACATTATGCTAAGTGAAATAAGCCAGGCACAGAAAGAAAAATACTGTATTTTTGTGTATAAGTCTTCCACACCTTACATGTGGAATCTAAAGCAGTCAAACTCATAGAAGCAGAGAGTACAATGGTGGTTGTCCAGGGCTGGTTGGGGAGGGCGGGGGTAAATAAAAAGATGATGGTCAAAGGGTACAAAGTTTCAGTTACACAAGGTAAATAAGTCCTGGAGATCTACTATACAGCATAGTTCTTATAGCTAACAATACTGTATTGTATACTTAAAATTTGCTAAGAGAGTAGTTCTTATGGTAAGTGTTCTCGCCACAAGAAACAATTATAATAATGAAGGGGGCAGGAGGAAATTTTGGGAGGTGGTGGACATGTCTATGACCTTGATGGTGGTGACAGTTTCACAGATGATATACCCCAAATCATTGAGTTGTGTACATTAAATATGCACAGCTTTTTACATGTTAATCATACCTCAATAAAGTGGCTTAAAAATAAAGAAAGAAAGAAGGGATGGATTTAAGTCCCAGTGGCAATAACTTAATGTGTGACTGTGGGATAATTGTTCTAACTTTCTGGGCGTTGCTTGTCTCATAATAAAAGGGGACAATAATACTACTCTTACATCATTGGTTTTCTCCTAAATTCAGGAGGTGTGTGTGTGTGTGTCTGTGTGTGATATACTTTTCCTAGTGTCTTCAAATTTTTGCTAAAGGCTCAAGTCTGAAATAAGTATGACAAAACTTCCACATTCTAAAGAGGAGCTGCCAGACACACTTTTGCTCATATTTTAGTGGAGGACACAGACAACAAAGCAAAGAAATTTGTAAAATCTGCGAAAAGTCTAGGGTGGTCAGTGCTATGGAAAAAATAAAGCTGGGAAAGGCAACCAGGCATGCTGGCATGCCCGGATTGCAACATTAAATAGGGTGGGAAGGGCATGCCTCACTGAGAAGGTGACATGTGAATAAACAGAGGGAGCTGAGGGAGTGAGTCAGGCAGATAAGAGGGGCAAGAGCATTCCAGGAACAGGGAAACACAGACGGATGCAAAGCATCTGAGGCAGAAGCATGCCTATCCTGTGCAAGAACCAGCAAGGAGGCTAGTGCGGCAGGAGCCAGGAGACTGTGGGGGAGAGATTGTTAGGAGAGGAGGCAACAGAGATTGTGTATATAAGAGAAAACTGCAGGCCGGGTGCGGTGGCTGACTCCTGTAATCCCAGCACTTTGGGAGGCCGAGGCGGGTGGATCATCTGAGGTCAGGAGTTCAAGACCAGCCTGGCCAACATGGTGAAACCCCGCCTGTACTGAAAATACAAAAAATTAGCCAGGTGTCTTGGCACATGCCTGTAATCCCAGCTACTTGGGAGGCTGAAGCAGGAGAATCACTTGAACCCGGGAGGTGAAGGTTGCAGTGAGCTGAGATTGTGCCACTGCACTCTAGCCTGGGCAACAAGAGTGAAATTCCATAAAAAAAAAAGAAAGAAAGAAAGAAAGAAGAAAGAAAAGAAAAGAAAGAAAGAAGAAAGGAAGAAAGAAAGAAAGAAAGAAAGGAAGAAAGAAAGAGAAAGAAAGAAAGAAAGAAAGAAAGAAAGAAAGAGAAAGAAAGAAAGAAAGAGAAAGAAAGAAAGAAAGAAAAAAGAAAAGAAAAGAAAAGAAAAAACAAAACTGCAGATTCCTTGAGAGAAAATTACATGAAGGGAATTTGTAGGCACAATGAGCACTTTGGCCTTCCCAACCTAAACCTAGTGTGGGCCACCCCAAGAGAAACGCTCACAGTTTGGGGTTGTTGTTCAGAAAGAATAATGGGCAGGGCTTTCCCTGAGCTGCAGAAACATGGAAGTCTGTGGCATGTTTCTTCCAGAGCCAAACATGAGACAATTCTTGATATGTGATCTCAGGATTTGGGGGTGTATGTAAAGACAGAAACTGGGGCCTGCATGAAGAATTGCCTGGGAAACCTGGCTGTCTAGGAGGTAGCTGAGCATGCAGTCCTCTGGAAAGGATCTCATCCAAGAAGATGGCCTGCCAGGGTGACAGAGAACCAGAAGAAAGAGGCAGTGAATTGCAAGGGGAGAAGGAACAAGAAGGTGGGTGGGGAGAGGAGAGAACAGTTGAAAAGAGTATTGTTGACGAAAAGAGTCAAACTCTGTAAAATATTTGAAGAGATTTATTCTGAGCCAAATATGAGTGACCATGGCCCGTGACGCAGCCCTCAGGAGGCCCTGAGAACATGCGCCCAAGGTGGTTGGGTTACAGCTTGGTTTTATATATTTTAGGGAGGCATGAGACATCAAATACATTAAGAAATACATTGGTTTGCTTTAGAAAGGCAGGAAAACTCAAAGCGGGGGCTTCCAGGCTATAGGTAAATTTAAACGTTTTCTGGTTGACAATTGGTTGAGTTTGTTTAAAGATCAGGGATCCATAGAAAGGATTGTTCAGGTTAAAGATAAAGGATTATGGAGACCAAGTTTTATTGTGCAGAGGAAGCTCTTAGATAGCTGACTTTAGAGAGAGTCGGTTGTAAATTGTTTTTTTATTGGATTAAAAGGGTGCCTGGCTCTTAGTTGATTATCTCCTGGATCTGGGAAGGAAAAAAAAGGAAAACAAAGGGGGAAGGGGATTCTCTATTAGAATGTGGGTTTTTCCCACAAAAGACTTTGCAGGGCAATTTCAAGGTATGACAAGGAAATATATTTTTGGGGTTAAATATTTTTTTCCTTGTCTCATAATATTATGCCAGACTCAGATTGAAAAGTAAGTCACAATAGGGTCAAATAAAACCCATCTGATGAGAATTTATAGTTTGTAGGGCATGACTCCCAGACCCCTTAGATAAAAATTTGGGCAAGATAAAAAATCAGAACTCAGTCCTCAGTATCACCTGCTTGGGGGAATGTGGCAGTGCAGAGGTCCCCACAGAGTGACTCTGAGGTACCAAAAATGCAGCCTGTAAGAAGGAGCCAGCATCTGGACTCCTGCTGCAGCCCAGGGTGCTAATGTTCAGAATAAATAGACATAGTTACTTTTCCCCTTTTCCGCTAATAATTCCCCTCGCCCCCACTTCTGGAAGAGACAGTGGGGTTTGAGGGGAGAGAGTGGAGGTGTTAAAGGACAGATCAGCCAGACGCAGTGGCTTAGGCCTGTAATCTCAGCACTTTGGGAGGCTGAGGCGAGTGGATCACCTGAGGTCAGGAGTTCGAGACCAGCCTGGCCAACGTGGTGAAACCCCGTCTCTACTAAAAATACAAAACTTAGCTGGGCATGGTGGCGGCTACCTATAATCCCAGGGACTCGGGAGGCTGAGGCAGGAGAATCTATTGAATCCAGGAGGCAGAGGTTGCAGTGAGCCGAGATCAAGCCATTGCACTCCAGCATGGGTGACAAGAGTGAAACTCTGTCTCAAAAATAAAATAAAATAAAATAAAATAAAATAAAATAAAATAAAATAAAATAAAATAAAATAAAATAATAAAATAAAATAAAAGAACAGACCGCATCCTCTGCAAGTCCTGGAGCTAGGGACCTTCAGCCTGAACTGAATGATGGAAAAGAAGATGATTTAAATTGATGAGAAGCTGAAGCCTTTACTTAGAATGGACTACACTTAAAAAAAATTCTGAGTAGTTTGTGTGGATTTTTCAAATACTGTATCTGAAAATGAGACTTATTTTTTATGAAAGTGATAGGAAATTGTGGTATCAACATGAGATGCTGCCAAGAGGCAGAGAAGTATATATTGTAGAATGTATTTAAAGGCAAAAGTGAGAAAAATGTAAGAGGATTTCCCAACTGTGTCCCCATTGAGTTCATTCCATTCAAGAAACCACTTACATGTGTAAAGTATCTGGAATCTAGGAGGCTTTTGCTACTATTTCTTCATACTACTAAAAGCCAGAAGCTGGATCTGTAAGTTACAGTATTCTTGCAATAAATTCCTTTTGTGTTCTAATTAGCTAGCATAAGGTTTTGTTGCTTGACCCCAAGAACTTTGAGTCCTCACAGCATTTCAATCTCTGGTTCTATTGTTCTTGAGATCTCCCAGCATCTTTGCATTTCTTATAATTTGATCGTTTACAGATTTAAGAGTTCCTTGGATTCAGTGAGGCAATGAACCTTTTTTTTTTTTTTCCCCTTAAGAGTTCCAGCAGCCTGGTGGCTCATGCCTGTAATCTCAGCACTTTGGGAGTCAGAGACAGGCAGATTACCTGAGGTCAGGAGTTCGAGACCAGCCTGGCCAACATGGCGAAACCCATCTCTACTAAAAATACAAAAATTAGCCAGGCGTAGTGGTGCGTGCCTATAGTCCCAGTTACTCGGGAGGCTGAGGCAGGAGAATTGCTTGAACTCGGGAGGTGGAGGTTGCAGTGAGCCGAGATCATGCCATTGCATTCCAGCCTGCGTGACAGAGCGAGACTCTGTCTCAAAGAAAAAAAAAAGAGAGACAGAGAGAGAAGAGAGCACCTGCTGTCTATTTAATCGTCTGAAACCATGGCCTAGAGGTGCATTTGGGCCCCTGGTTGCACCTGACAGAACCAATATCTATCACCTCAATTCATCAGGAGCTTCCCATACTCCATTTCCACACTATGCCCAGCCCTCAACTGATTCGTTTCATTTCTGCCCCTGAATTTTTTCTGACATATCAATTAAGATCAGGTTCAGGTGTATGAAACACACACACACACACATACACACACACATACATACACACAGCACACACACACTTGTTTAAGAAAACAGAAGCTGACTCCCATCTGACATAAAATAAATCTGGAGGTAATCAGTCCAGGATGGGGTTGGGGTTCCGTGAACCCATCAGGGACCAGCTTCTCTCTGGCTCTTGGCTCTGCCATCCCTACAATGTGGCTCTCTTCCTCATGCTTAAGATGGCACTTGGAACTCTAACCATCTCACCAACATTTAACTAGCAGGAATGAGGAAGGGTAGAACTATGTGGGGCCTCCCTTTAAAATCACTTCCCAGAAGTGCTATATCCTTCTTGATCTCGTGTACACAGAACTTAATCACATATACACAATTTGCTATGACAGAAGTTGAAGAATGTAGACACTCTGTGACATTTTCTACATGCACTTTCACATATCTCTTGCCCGGCTCTCCTTGTCTTAAATCCTGCAATCTTGATCCTTCCATGTCCTTGACAAACTGACCAAACAATTAGTGCTAAGCATTACTCAGTACAGATCTTACCTGTGACCATCTCACCTTCTAGGCAAAATAAAAAATCAGATATAATAACTGAAGTTTTGCCCCTTGAGAGGAATTCCTTTCTCAAGTGTCTTTCAGAACCACCCCTAAGTGGGACTGTAATACTGCAGTCATCTATTTCCTGCTGGTCAAATTACATGTTCAATCTCAGGTCTATGGATCAGCAAGTGAGGTAATGAGAAAAGGAAAGATTGAAGATTCATCAACACCAAAGCAGTGTGTTCACTGGGCTTTTCCTGAAATTACAAGGTCACTGCTTCCCTCTATCCTCATTTCACTTACTTTCTCCTCATTCCCAAGCCTAATCCACTCTTCTCTTGTTGATTCCTTAAGACACACACAGCCCCACCCAGTACCAACACATACTTTCAATAAACTCCCTTTCGCTTGAGTTGCCCAGAGTCAGTTTATGTTGTTCATATTCAACAATCCTGGGTGACACAGGAAATAGTATCAGGAAGTAGGATTCAGGCAATGACTTCCAGGAAATTTGGAATTTCTTATCTGGTTGATTTGGGACAGGAGACAGTAAACCTCCTATTCATATAACAGGAGTATAGAGGTAAAATCACTAAGTTTTTGCTTCTGAGCACCTGGAAAAAATGTCTATGGTACACAAGCTTTAAATGATCACATAACTTCTGCCAGGCGATGTGAAGAAAGCATGAAGGATTCAAGCACCATAGGTCATGGTGCTTGCATCCGACCTCACTAATTAATTTTAAGGAAGAAAGTAATGAACTCCCTTAATCATCAACACAAAATATGGATTAAAACTCAAGCATTTTCACTGGAAGTGCTAGCCAGAGCAATCAGGCAAGAAAAAGAAATAAAAGGCATCCAAATAGGAAGAGAGAAGGTCAAACTGTCCCTGTTTGCAAAAGATATGATTCTATGCCTAGAAAACCCCATAGTCTCTGCCCAAAAACTCTTTATTCTGATAAACAATGTCATCAGTTTCAGGATACAAAATCAATGTACAAAAATCAGTAACATTTCTATACACCAACGACATGCAAGCCGAGAGCCAAATCAAGAAAGTAATCCCCATTCACAACAGCCACAAAAAGAATACCTGGGAATACAGCTAAACAGGGAGGTGAAAGATCTCTACAAGAATTACAAAACACAGCTGAAAAAAATCAGAGATGTCACAAATAAATGGAAAAACATCCCATGCTCATGGATAGGAAGAATCACTATTGCTACATGGCCATACTACCTGATATAGTCTGGATATTTGTCCCCATCCAAATCTCATGTTGAATTCTAATCCCCAGTATTGGAGGTGGGGCCTTGTGGGAGATGATTCAATCATGCAGCTGGTTTCTCATGAATAGTTGAGCACCATCCCCTTGGTGCTGTCCTTGTGATAGTGAGTGAGTTATCACGAGATCTGGTCATTTAAAAGTGTGTGGCACCTCCCCACCCCTCTCTTGGTTCTGCTTTCACCATGTGACATGCAAGCTCCTGTTTGGCCTTTCACCATGATTGTAAACTTCCATAGGCCACCCCAGAAGCAGATGCCAGAGCTATGCTTCCTATACAGACTGCAGAACTGTGAGCCAATTAAACACTTTTTCTAATAAATCACCAAGTCTCAGGTATTTCTTTATAGCAATGCAAGAAACATCCTAACACATTTCCCAAAGCAATATAAAGATTCAATGCTATTCCTATCAAACTACCAATGACATTCTACACAGAACTAGAAAAAATTATTTTAAAACTTACATGGAATGAAAAAACAGCCCAAATAGCCAAGGCAATCTTAAGCAGAAAGAACAAAGCTGGAGGCATCACTCTACCTGACTTCAAACTATACTACAAGGTTACAGTAGCCAAAACAGCATGGTACTGGTACAAAAACAGGCACATAGACCAATGGAAGAGAATAGAAAGCCCAGAGATAAGGCTGCACACCTACAACTATCTGATCTTCCACAAAGATGACAAAAATAAGCAATAGGGAAATGACTCCCTATTCAATAAATTGTGCTGGTATAACTGGTTAGCCATAGGCAGAAGATTGAAACTAGACCCCTTCCTTACATCACACATAAAAATCAGCTCAAGATGGATTAAATTCTTAAATGTAAAATCCAAAACTATAAAAACCCTGGAAGACAATCTAGGCAATACCATTCTGGACATAGGACCTGGCAAAGATTTCATGACAAAGATACCAAAAGCAATTGCAATGAAAACAAAAATTGACAAAAGGGACCTAAATAAACTAAAGAGCTTCTGCACAGAAAAAGAAACTATCAAAGGAGTAAACAGACAGCCTACAGAATGGGAGAAAATATTTGGAAACTATGCCTCAGACAGAGGTCTAGTATCCAGCATCTGTAAGGAACTTAAATCTACACACAAAAAGCAAACAACCTCATTAAAAAGTGTGCAAAGGACGTGAACACTTTTAGAGAGAAGACTTACATACGGCCAACAAGTATATGAAAAAATGCTCAACATCACTGATCATTAGAGAGATGCAAATCAAAACCACAATGACATACCATCTCATACCAGTCAGAATGGCTATTATTAAAAGGTCAAGAAGGCCAGGTGCAGTGGCTCACGCCTGTAATCCCAGCACTTTGGGAGGCCAAAGTGGGCAGATGACCTGAGGTCAGGAGTTCGAGCCCAGCCTGGCCAACATGGTGAAACCCCGTTTCTACTAAAAATACAAAAAATTAGCTGCATGTGGTGGCGCACGCCTGTAGTCCCAGCTACTAGGGAGGCTGAGGCATAAAATAAAAGGTCAAAAAGTATCAAATGCTGGTGAGCTTATGGAGAAAAGGGACCAGTTATACACTGCTGGTGGGAATGTAAGTAAGTTCGGCCATTGGGGAAAGCAGTTTGGCGATATCTCAAAGAACTAACACAGGGACAGAGAGTCCCTGGAAGAGTGTTTTGCAAACTTTTCTGACAGAAACCCCAGGAAGAAATGTATTTTGTGTTGTGCCCTGGAGAACACAAGCATGCATGCCTGCATGCATGTAAGCACACACGTATATGCCAGTGAAATAACATTTTCATAAAACAATACTCACCCTAACTGCATGCAGTGCAATCGGGTATTTTCTATTCTATTTTCTTCCAGTTCACTTGTTTAATGTCGTCACACCCACTAAAGTAACTCCACAACACATCCACTATAGTGTCATAGCCAGCAATTAAAAAATGTTCTCATATACACCTAAAAGTGGAATTCTTGGACCTAGATTACTGGCATCTTTGATTTGACTCAAAATTTCCAAATACTTACTTATCTAAATTCTACTCTCTCAAGTGATTATGCCTTTGCTCCACATTCTCATTAACACTCAGTATTTTCTTTTTTCTTTCTTTCTTTTCTTTTCTTTTTTTTTTTTTTTGAGATGAAGTCTCGCTCTCACTCTGTTGCCCAGGCTGGGGTGCGGTGGCCCGATCTGGGCTAACTGCAATCTCCACTCCCAGGTTCAAGTGATTATCCTGCCTCAGCCCCCCGAGTAGCTGGAATTACAAGGAGTCCGCCACCACGCCCAGCTAATTTTTGTATGTTTAGTAGAGACGGGATTCACCATGTTGGCCAGGCTGGTCTCGAACTCCTGACCTTGGGAGATCCGCCCGCCTTGGCCTTCCAAAGTGGTGGGATTACAGGTGTGAACCACTGGACCAGGGATCACTCATTCTTTTGTAAATGTGAAAAAATTTGCTCATCTCTTTAGTGTGAAATTGTCTAGAGTAGAAAAATATCACAGATATCACAGTAGCAGAAGGAAGAGGTAGAGTCCAGTGAGGTTGCTTCTTTTTTTTTTTTTTTTGAGACCGAGTCTCACTCTGTCGCCCAGGCTGGAGTGCAGTGGCGCGATCTCGGCTCACTGCAAGCTCCGCCTCCCGGGTCACGCCATTCTCCTGTCTCAGCCTCCTGAGTAGCTGGGACTACAGGTGCCCACCACCAGGCCCAGCTAATTTTTTGTATTTTTTTTTTAGTAGAGACAGGGTTTCACCGTGTTAGCCAGGATGGTCTCGATCTCCTGACCTCGTGATCCACCCGCCTCTGCCTCCCAAAGTGCTGGGATTATAGGCGTGAGCCACCGCGCCCAGCCGAGGTTGCTTTTTTATTTTGGGTTTTCTTGTTTTGTTTTCGTTCTTGGTTTTGGTTTTCATTCCTGTGCCTTCTTTTCCTGTTCCTCTTTTTTTCATGTTTGTTGATGTAAACAATGTTTTGGGTTTTTAAAATGAGATCTACTAGAATAAGCTTAAATGCTTATGTTAATGATGTTGAGGGGAGGAAGAAATGAATGATTCTGAAAACCGTGTATTTGGAGGCAGGGAGTCAAAGGCTCAAAGTACTTGAGGTGGGATGGAAATCAAAGTGCACGTGAAGGGATCAGAGGAGAAATGTTTTCTCCCTTGTAACCAGAGGAGGAAGTTGGGTTAGAAGTAACATAGATTTAACATTTTAATGATGGGAAGATGAGGGGCTTTGTTTTAAGACAGACATGGTGCCTGTGCTCTGGAGCTTACAGTCCAGCAGAAAAACAGTCAGTAATTAGAAGTTACATGTGCTTAAAGTGAACATGGTGCCGTAGTGGGATTCAGTGAAGGATTTAACCTAGTTGCAGGACTCCATGGAAGACATACTAAGAATATGATGTTTAAGCTGCGACCCAAGTGATGAGGAAGAGTTACTGAGTCAAAGATTGGGAGAAAAGTATACCAGGCAACAAAACAGGGAACTTAAAGGAGTTTAAGTGGTTGAGAAAGTAAAGGAAAGTCAGTATTGCCAGTGTAGAGATTGAGGAGGACCGAAGTTGACTGGAAGCTAGAGAGGTAGGTAAGGTTGACATCATGTAAGGTCTTACAAGCCTTGTAAAGAGTTTGGACTTAATTACCAAGTATGGGAAGCCATTAGAGAATTTTAAGCAAGAGGACAGACATGATCAGAAAGGTTTTCTGTAAAACATTACTACCGCTGCTTTTGAAGAATGTATCAGAGATGGGCCAGAGGAGATGTGGCCAGGACTATTTTTCAATAGTCCATGCGACGACTGGTGACTTGGATTGGAGAAGGGGCAGCAGATATGGACAGATTTAAGAGATGGTGAAAAGACAGAATTGACAATGTGTGGTAATAGAATGTTGGGATGTGTTTGTGCAGGGAGAGGAATGCAAGGAAACTCGTGTTTTTCACATAGGCGAGTGGGTGGATGTTGTACAATTTACTGAGATGGGAGAGACTGGAAGAGAATCAAGTTTAGTGGAGAGGATCATGAGTTCACTTATGTTCACTGTGACACATGTGAAATAAATGTGTCTCAGTCAGTAATCCTTTCGTCAGCAGGTACCAAGAGATATACTAACAGGATACCCAAACAGGGGTAGCTTAAACAAATGGGGCTTCAAGTTTTGGTCTTTTTTTGAGGTGGAATCTCACTCTGTCACCCAGCCTGGAGTGCAATGGTGCGATCTCGGCTCACTGCAACTTCTGCCTCCCGGGTTCAAGCAATTCTACTGCCTCAGCCTCCCGAGTAGCTGGGCCTACAAACACGTGCCACCACACCTGGCTAATTTTTGTATTTTTTTTTTAGTGAGACGGGGTTTCACTATGTTGGCCAGGCTGGTCTCGAACTCCTGACCTCATGATCCACCCATCTCGGCCTCCCAAAGTGCTGGGATTACAGGTGTGAGCCACCACACCTGGCAGGGGCTTAAAGTTTTATGAAAAAAAAGTCTAGATGAAGGTGGTTGTTGGAGTTGGTTCAGTGATTTAAAATGTCAATTCTGACATCTCCATAATTTTCTTGACTTTTTCTTCATGATCACAAATGTTGATCAACACATCCAAGTCCAAGGCAGGAAGACGGGAAAAAGAGGGAAAGGATTTTCTTCTTTTGAAACGTTGTCATTTTGTTCAAGAAGAAAATACGCCATTTATTATTTTCCTAAGTGAAGGCAGTTCTAGTGGCTTTCACTTGGTTTCTTCCCACCATAATATCCCTAGCTCCACATATCAGGGAACCAATGTGGGGATTCTGCCTGCTGATGTGTATTCCAATTATGCATTCCATAACTTGGGTAATAACCACTGCATGTGTTCACAGACCCACTGAGCCCACCAGGAGACAGACTTGAGCTACAACTCCACTGATCACCTCACCAGCATATGCCCCACTGTGGAGGGCCACAGTGATGTTTTGGGCCTCCTGGATTAGTGTCAGTTCAGAGCCAGTGTCCTTAGCCCCTGATAGTCCTGAGTTTTCGTTTTCATCAATGCACAATTACCCATGTAAAAGGCTGTAGGTCTTTTGAGGAAGGGTTAGATAAAGACTGCACTATTACTTTTTGATAGTGTGCTGGGGTCTTTCCTCAAGAGGACGCAGCCTCTCCTTCATTAAAGGGGTTCTTGGCTTGTAACCTGGCTCAACTCTAGGAATCAATTGAGAGACAATGATGCTCTCTCTGTTCTTATGATTCAGGTTGGATTTTTGTCACCCCAGCATAGAACATTTCTGATTATACATATCAAGTAAGAATTTAGTAGGTTTCCTATCTGTTTCACTTTTTAGGAATACCATGATGAACTATCCAATGCCATAGGTCTGTGGGAGTCAGACTATTCTGATTGCTGCTCTGACTCTGCTGTCCATTATGGTAACTGCACCCATCTTGCCTTTCGTGGTTGAGTGCTGCCACTTGGTCCCTGCCAATTTGGGATCCAGTTACTCCGTTGCATTCAAGTCTCCCAATTGAACAGCTGTGGCTCTCACTGTAAGGTCTGGCCTACAGAGAAAATAATCACAGAGCCCTTCGAATGCTGGGCCCTTCCTCACAAATTTATTTCTCACAGTATTGGTAAAATGCATGTCCTTGTGTCCAAAAAGCTTATGACAAAAAGCTGACTATCACTGATCATTAAAGAAATGCAAACCAAAACCACAATTAGATAACATTTCACACCAGTCAGAATGGCTTTTTTTTTTTTTTTTTGAGACAGAGTCTTGCTCTGTCGCCTAGGCTGGAGTGCAATGGCGTGATCCCTGCAACTTCTGCCTCCTGGGTTCAAGCAATTCTCCTGCCTCAGCTTCCCAAGTAGCTGGGATTACAGGTGCCCGCCACCATGCTCGGTTAACTTTTCGTATTTTTAGTAGAGATGGAATTTCGCCATGTTGGCCAGGCTGGTCTCAAATTCTTAACCTCAGGTAATCCACCCACCTTGGCCTTTCAAAGGGCTGGGATTACAGGCATGAGCCACAGTGCCTGGCCCAGAATGGCTATTATTAAAAAATCAAAAAATAACAGATGCTGGTGAGGTTGCAGAGAAAAGGGAACACGTATACACTGTTGGTGGGAGTGTAAATTAGTTCAACCATTGTGGAAAGCAGAGTGGTGATTCCTCAAAGAGTTAAAAACAGAACTATCATTTGACCCAGCGATCCCATTACTGGATATATACCCAAAGGAATATAAATTGTTCTACCATAAAGACACATGCATACATATGTTCATTGCAGCACTATTCACAATAGCAAAGACGTGGAATCAACCTAAATGCCCATCAATGGTAGACTGGATAAAGAAAATGTGGTACATATATACCATGGAATACTAGGCAGCCATAAAAAAGAATGAGATCATGTTTTTGTGGAAACATGAAGTGGGCTGGAGGCCATTATCCTTAGCAAACTAATGCAGAAACAGAAAACCAAATACTACATGTTGTCACTGATAAATGGGAGCTAAATGACAAGAACACATGGACATAAAGAGGAGAAGGACACACACTGGGGCCTCCTTGAGGATGGAGAGTGGGAGGAGGGAGAGGATCAGAAAAAATAACTATTAGGTACTAGGTTTAGTACCTGGGTGACAAAATAGTCTGTACAACAAACCCCCATGACACGTTTACCTATGTAACAAACCTGCACATGTACCCCTCAATCTAAAATAAACGTTTGAAAAAAAAGAAATGCATGCCTTCTGGACCCTAACAGTGTGGGTGAGTAGGTCTTAAATGACAAATGCACTCTAACATTCCAGTCTCTCTAAATCTTTGTATCTCTTCCTTTACATTAAATTAAGGCAGGTCATGGCCGGGCATGGTGGCTCACAGCTGTAATCCCAGCACTTTGGGAGGCTGAGGTGGGTGGACCACCTGAGGTCAGGAGTTCGAGACTAGCCTGGCCAACATGGTGAAACCCTATCTCTACTAAAAATACAAAAATTAGCTGGGCCTGGTGGCACATGCCTGTAGTCCCAGAGAGGACTGAGGCACAAGAGGCTGAGGCACAAGAATTGCTTGAACCCGGGAGGCAGAGGTTGCAGTGAGCTGAGACCGCGCCACTGCACTTCAGCCTGGGTGACAGAGTGAGACTCCATCTCAAAAAAAAAAGAAAAAATTAAGGCAGGTCAGGAATTTCCAGTTCACTCACTGTGGGCCATCTTCTTGTCCATATTTGAGACGACCAACCAAACAAATTGTTAGAGCCCTTTCTAACCCCCTGAGATGCACCATTAAATGCAGAATCTCTACTTACTGAGCCCCTATCAATAAATTTGGTCTGATCCAACTTTAAGTTCCTTCCATTATTTCACTCAGTGATTATCCATTCCTATACATGTTCCCTGGATTTCCGGCTGTATAAATTAGGAAACTCAGATAGTTCTTTTGGAGTGTAGCACGCTGTTTCTTGGGTCACACATTGTACTTCACCTTTAGGGACCACTGAGACTTGAGTCTAGTTATAGGTCTAGAAGCAAAGAGGGGTGGTGGTGGGGTGGGTTCTTGAGGAGAATCAGCATTGCCTTGCATGGTAACTATCTTGGAGGAGACCATTACAGTTTCCTCGGGCAAAGCATCAGTCATCCTCTCAGACCGTGATGGGAAGGCTTAATACCACTGGGAGCAGAGAGGCCAAAACCACTGGTGAGGATTTTTGTTCTATTCAGGCCTTCAGTGGATTGGATGATGCCTACTCACATTGGGCAGGGCTCTCCATTTTACTCAGTCCACCAACGCAAATGCTAAATCTCTTTTGGAAACACCCTCACATAAACACTGAGAAACAATGTTTAATCAGATATCTAGGTACCTCATAGCCCAGTCAAATTGACACAAAATCAACCATCACATTCAGGAAGGCAAGCTTCTCCGTAGTAGAATTCCTCTTGTATCACATTAGCCTCCCTTGCATGTCTACCCTTAGGCCCATCAATAACTAAGAGGGGCTGGGTGCGGTGGCTCACATCTGTAATCCCAGCACTTTGGAAGGCCGTGGCAGGTGGATCACTTGAAGTCAGGAGTTTGAGACCAGCCTGGACAACATGGTGAAACCCCATCTCTACTAAAAAATACAAAAATTAGCTGGGCGTGGCTGGGCGCAGTGGCTCACACCTGTGATCCCAGCACTTTGGGAGGTCGAGGCGGGTGGATCACGAGGTCAGGAGATCGAAACCATCCTGGCTAACAAGGTGAAACCCCATCTCTACTAAAAATACAAAAAATTAGCCGGGCGTGGTGGTGGGCGCCTGTAGTCCCAGCTACTCAGGAGGCTGAGAGAGGAGAATGGCATGAACCCGGGAGGCGGAGCTTGCAGTGAGCCAAGATCGCTCCACTGCACTCCAGCCTGGGCGACAGAGCCAGACTCCGTCTCAAAAAAAAAAAAAAAAAATTAGCTGGGCGTGGTGGCGGTAATCCCAGCTACTCGGGAGGCTGAGGCAGGAGAATCTCTTGAACCCAGGAGGCACAGGTTGCAGTTAGCCAAGATCGTGCCACTGCACTCCAGCTGGGCAACAGGAGTGAAACACGATCTCAAAACACAAAACAAAACAAAAGAAACAAGCAAAAACTAACTAACTAAATAAATAAATAAATAAGAAGATTGAGAACATTATCATTTATTTAGATCACTTCTAATTTTGTCCACGAAGTCAGGGGATGCCTGTGAAATATCTGAATAGAGAAGGTGGGACAGGATATGTTTGTTGGGTAGGCCAAAGACAGTGATCGCCACCACATAAGAGATATTAATGACCCTGTTAGTTATATGGACCTAGAGAACAAAAGAGAAGTCTAGATTGGAAGTATAAGTTACTCTATCAGCTGCCAGAGAAAGATATGATGGTATAAAGTCAAATCTCAGAATTTCCCTCCTCCAATGCCTAATAAAGGAAAAGTGGTAAAGGCCAGCAAAATGCACACCAAACTACAACAAAACAAGATAAGAAGACCGCATGCCATAAATATGAAAATGGTAGGGCCCAGACCCTCCAAGTAAGTATTCACCACCGCTACTACTACCAACACCCTGTGAACCCTTAAGCTACAGTGAGATAAATAGCTAGACACATATCTTAAAATGTAGTCCTGAGAAGGGGGCAAAAGTTTTCAGATAAACTAAGTGTGGAGTGTGGGAGAATGCATCCACCTTATATCAGAGAAAATAGCAGACTAAACAGGGCTTCCCATTTAAGTAGGAGCAAGTTGAAAAGAAAGAGACTATTATGAAGACACAGCAAAGCAAAAAGGAAAATAAGAACATAATATGCAGACAAGCTTAAAACCAAATTTAGAATAAGATCTAGTATTAGATAGCACAACAGGGTGATTATAGTCAATAATAACTTATTTGTACATTTAAAAATAACTAAAAGGGTACAATAGGTTTGTTTGCAACACAAAGGATGAACGTGTTGAGAGGATGGATACTCCATTTTCCATGATGTGATTATTACACACCGCATGCCTGTATGAAAATATCTCATGTACCCCATAAATATAGACACTTATTATGTACCCATGACATTAAAAATAATAAAGTTTTAAAAATCCAAATGTAAAAGACAACACAATCCAAGGCACAGAAGAAAATTGGCCACTAGTACTGATGTATTGCCCAAGTTTTTTGATACATCCTATCAAAAAACTTAATATTTTCTTATGCACTGGGAGATGTCTGAAATGTTCATCTAATGTCAATGCTTGTCTGGGTGTGTGGCTTAAAATTTTTTTTTAATTTTTAATTTTTGTGGGCACATAGTAGGTATATATATTTATGGGGTACATGAGATATTTTCTTTCTTTTTTTTTTTTGAGACGGAGTCTTACTCTGTTGCCCAAGCTGGAGTGCAGTGGCACGATCTCAGCTCACTGCAACCTCTGCTTCCTGGGTTCAAGCAATTCTGCTTCAGCCTCCCGAGTATCTGGTATTACAGTTGTGTGACACCACACCTGGCTAATTTTTTATATTTTTTGTAGAGACCGAGTTTCACCATGTTGGCCAGGCTGGTCTCAATCTCCTGACTTCAAATAATCCACCCTACCGAGCCTCCCAAAGTGCTGGGATTACAGGTGTGAGGCACCGTGCCTGGCCGAGATGTTTTCATACAGGCATACAATGTGTAATAATCACATCGGGGTAAATGGGGTATCCACCAACTCTTGTATTTATGTTACAAACAATCTAGTTGTCCTCTTTTAGTTATTTTTAAATGTACTATAAATTGGGCAGGGTGCGGTGGCTCACACCTATAATCCCGGCATGTTGGGATGCCGAGGCGGGCCGATCACGAGGTCAGGAGTTCCAGACCAGCCTGACTAACATGGTGAAACCCCGTCTCTACTAAAAATACAAAAATTAGCCAGGCATGTTGGCGCGTGCCTGTAATCCCAGCTACTCAGGGGGTTGAGGCAGGAGAATCTCTTGAACCCAGGAGGCAGAGGTTGCAGTGAGCTGAGATCACACCACTGCATCGCATCCTGGGTGACAGAGTGAGACTCTGTCTCAAAAAAAAAAGTACTATAAATTATTGTTGATGGTAGTTACCCTGTTGTGCTATCAAGTACTAGATCTTATTCATTCTATGTAACTATATTTTTGTACCCTTCAACCATAGCCCCTACTACCCTTTCCAGCCTCTGGTAGCCATCATTCTACTCTTTATCTCCATGAGTTCAGTTGTTTTAATTTTTAGCTCTCACAAATAAGAACATGCAAAGTTTGCCTTTTTTTGCCTGCCTTATTCCACTTAACATAATGACCTCCAGTTCCACCCATGTTGTTGCAAATGACAGGATCTCATTCTTTTTTATTGCTGAATAGTACTCCATTGCGTATCTGTACCACATTTTATTTATCCATTCATCTGTCGATGGACACTTAGATTGCTTCCAAATCTTGGCTACTGTGAACAGTGCTGCAATAAACATGGGAGTGCAGTTGTCTCTTCAGTACACTGGTTTCCTTTCTTTAGGGTATATACCTGGCAGTGAGATTGCTGGATCATATGGTAGCTCTATTTTTAGTTTTTTTGAGGAAACTCCAAACTGTTTTCCATAGTGGTTGTATTAATTTACATTCCCACCAATAGTATACAAGAGTTTCCTTTTCTCCATATCCTCACCAGCATTTGTTATTGCCTGTCTTTTGGAAAAAAGCCTTTTTAGGGCCGGGCACAATGGCTCATGCCTGTAATCCCAGCACTTTGGGAGGTCAAGGCGGGTGGATCACGAGGTCAGGAGATTGAGACCATCCTGGCTAACATGGTGAAACCCTGTCTCTACTAAAAGTACAAAAAATTTGCTGGGCGTGGTGGCAGGTGCCTGTAGTCCCAGCTACTTGGGAGACTGAGGCAAGAGAATGGCGTGAACCTGGGAGGCGGAGCTTGCAGTGAGCCGAGATCGTGCCACTGCAATCCAGCCTGGGCAACAGAGCAAGACTCCGTCTCAAAAAAAAAAAAAAGCCTTTTTAACTGGGGTGAGATGATTCTCTCATAGCTTTGATTTGCATTTCTCTGATGATCAGTGATGTTGAACACCTTTTCATATACCTGTTTGCCATTTTTATGTCTTTTTTGAGAAATGTCTATTATGATCTTTTGCCCATTTTAAATTAGATTATTAGATTTTTTTCCCTATAGAGTTGTTTGAGCTCGTTATATATTCTGGTTATTAATTCTTTGTCAGATGGGTAGTTTGCAAACATTTTCTCCCATTCTGTGGGTTGTCTCTTCACTTTGTTGATAGTTTCCTTTGCTATGCAGGTTTTTAATTTGATGTGATCCCTTTTGTCCATTTTTGCTTTGGTTGCCTGTGTTTGTGGGATATTACTCAAGAAATCCTTCCCCAGACCAATGTCCTGGAGAGTTTCCCCAAATGTTCTCTTTTAGTAGTTTCAAAATTTGAAGTCTTAGATTTAATTCTTTAATACATTTTGATTTGATTTTTTTATATGCCAAGAGATAGGGGTCTAGTTTCATTCTTCTGCACACAGATATCCAGTTTTGCCAGCACCATTTACTGAAGAGACCGTCTTTTCCCCACTGTATGTTCTTGGCATGTTCTGGTGAAGCAGTGAGTCAAGGGTGGAGGATCCCTGGGCAGGGCAGTGGTGCCACAGGTGTGCGGCTAACATGGCACCTGTGGCTCAGGGTCATTTGCCCAGAAGATGGCTGTTGGGTCCGCCCAGGTCACACTCCCAAAGCTGGGCCTCCCTCCCCTCTCTACCCCAGGGGCAGGCCTGACCGGTTAGATTTGTCCCAAGCCTTCTATGAGCAGATTGCTGGGCTGTTGCCTGTGTTCTGGACTGCGGGGCTCCCTCAGGCAGAAGCTGCAGCTGGCCAACAGGCTACACCCTTCTGGGACCTGCCTTTCAGAGGGAGGGGTGCTCAGCTCCCGTACCAGGACACGAACTGGCACCTCACTTGTCTCAGTGTTCTGGACGTCGGGGCTCCCTCAGGCAGAAGCTGCAGCTGGCCAACAGGCTACACCCTTCTGGGACCTGCCTTACAGAGGGAGGGGTGCTCAGCTCCCGTACCAGGACACGAACTGGCACCTCACTTGTCTCGGTGTTCTAAGAGTGGGGTCTCCTCCCCTGCTCAAGCTCAGGCCATAGATTTCAGCTCCATATCCCTGGGCGATGTGCTCAAACTCTGGGGGTGGGAGGAGGTGGGACCAGGCCCACAGCTTTGTCCCCTGGCTCCTCGGAGTTGAGCACTGGTTGTACTGAGGGCGTGGGGGGCAAACTGTTCCAAGGCCACTGGCAGTGGAGGCTGTACTGTGTGCACCTTCTTATGGGAGCAGGTAGGCAGGCAGCCTTGGGAGAGGCCAGCAGATAAGGGGCAGGCAGTTCAGATGTGCCCCAGCCCCATTGGAAAAGCAGCCCTACTCTCATCTAGCCTGGATGTCAGCAGGGGCTAGAGTCCCTCACAGGAAGATGGAGAGCTTTGGGGGATGGGTGCCTATGGTCACATTTTGCTGCAGCTGCCCCATGTGAAACCTGGGCGCCACTTAGTTTTTTGGTTTTTGTTTTTGTTTGTTTGTTTATTTTGAGACAGAGGTTTACTCTTGTTGCCCAGGCTGGAATGCAGTGGCGCAATCTCAGCTCACTGCAACCTCCACCTCCCGGGTTCAAGCGATTCTCCTGCCTCAGCCTCCCGAGGAGCTGGGACTACGGGAGCCCACCACCACGCCTGGCTAATTTAAAAAATATTTTTAGTAGAGACGGGGTTTCACCATGTTGGCCACTCTGGTTTCGAACTCCTGACCTCAAGTGATCTGCCCACCTCAGCCTCCCAAAATGCTGGGATTACAGGCGTGAGCCACCACGCCCGGCCCTCCACTCATCTTTGAGCTCTGGTTCTGCCTACTCTCTGGGCAGTTCCCCTTCCCAGTTCAAATGTCTATGGGAGTCATGGGATCTCTGTGGCTAGGATCCCAGAGGTCTGTGGTGAGAGTGAGGTGCTCTAGAGTTCCTTCACTTACCACTTCTTTAGGACCTTTTCAGGACTGGGAGCCAGTCTGGGTAGTCAGTGACTCCGTGCTGGCTTTCCAGCTTCACCTCTCTATTGACTTAGTGTTTTCTCTCAAAAAGATCTGTTCAAAGTGTGATGATTTACTTGATATTTTGGTTTCTCTAAGTGGGAGAGGCATTACCTGGCTGTGTCTAGTTGGCCATCTTGTCCCTACTGAGTATTTTTCATCAGCACACAGGTGGTTCTTAGATCCATAGGTGCCTGTGAGATCGCTTAGGAAAAACGATTAGACAAAACTAGAAGATGAAAAAAAGAAGAGGATTAGGAAAAATCTCTGAAGAATTTTCAATTAGTGATTGGCTATTGTAAATGTTTCTGGCAAAATGGTAGGAACATGTTATGAAAGAAGTTAAGGCCAGATGTTCAAAATGGGAGTGACCAACTCTGTGTCAAATGTTGATGAGGGGTCAATGAGATGAGGAACTACAAAGTGGCAGTTTAGTTTAGCAACCTGTTGGTCACTGGTGACTTTAGCCAGAGCACTTTTAGTGTACCTGGATGCCCAAATCAAAGTGAAATGGGCTGAGAAGTGTATTAAAAATGCAGAAATGAGGAGAGGGCCACATGTAACACTTAAAACACATAAGCGTGTTTTAATACTCATGAGATGGGGCCAGTAGAGAGAGAAAGGTGGAAATTACAGCAATACAAGTGAATAAACAATACTTCAAGATACTGGGAATGTAGGAAGGGCAGAGTAAGTACCAGTGGTGGGTGAATGTTAGATAAGACAAGGGAAGGAGGAGACATTGAATGCAAATTGAGTCAGGTTTATAGATTTCCTGGCGGAAAGTTGAGATTGTTTGCAACTGAGAGTTTCTATTTTCTCCGTGAAGGAGGAGGGAAGATCATATGCTGAGTTTGAGAGGAGAGGTGGTGAATGGTGAAGTGAATTGATAAGAGGAACAGGATAAGATCACCAGTCAGTTTGGAGGGTCCATTTGACATTCACTACCATTTATCTAGAGTGGTAACAGTCTGCCACATTATGTAACTTTCTCCAGTTATGCTTGGCAACCAAGAGGAAGCAGGGAGAAAACATAGTCATCTGTGGTTTGGATTTGTTCTGTTGGGTGCAAAGAAAAGTCAATGAGGTGGGGGGGCGGGGTGGCAGAGCAAGATGGCCAAATAAAACCCGCCAGCAATCATCTGTGAAAGGAAAATATCTTGGGGCCGCAAAATCACTAGGGAGAACTCAAGCTGGAAACTGCTTAGGCCAAAGCTGCCTCCTATTCTATTCAAAGCTATCCCTCTGCTCACTGAGATAGATGCATATCTGACTGCCTCCTTTGGAAAGGCTCATCAGAAACTCAAAAGAATGCAATCGTTTGTGTATCACCTATCTGTGACCTCGAAGCTCTCTTCCCACCTTTGCTTCAAGTTGCCCCGCCTCCCAGACCAAACCAATGTACTTCTTACATATACTGATTGATGTCTCATGTCTCCCTAAAATGTAGAAAACCAAGCTGTGCCCCTACCACCTTGGGTACATGTCCTCAGGACTTCCTGGGGCTGTGTCACGGGTGCGTCTTCAACCTTGGCAAAATAAACTTTCTAAATTAACTGAGACCTGTCTCAGATTTTCTGGGTTCACACATCCCACCTGCAGGATCACCAAACTCAACAACTATCCCCACACAAGAAAGTACTTTCATAAGAACCAAAAATCAGGTGAGTGGTCACAGTACCTGGTTTTAACATCATATCAAGAAAAGAGGCACTGAAGAGGGTAGGAAAGACAGTCTTGAATTGCCCACACCACCCCTCTCCCATCCCCCAGCAGTGGCTGCAAGGAGTGGAGGGACAATCTGTGTGCTTGGGGGAGGGAGAGCAACATGGTTGTGAAACTTTGCACCGGAACTCAGTGCTGCCCTGTCACAGTGGAAAGCAACATGGAGCAGAATTCAGCTGGTGCCCATGGAGGGAGTACTTAGGCTAGCCCCAGCCGGAAGGGAGTCATCCATCCCAGTGGTCAGAACCTGAGTTCTGGCTAGTCCCACCACTGCAGGCTAAAATGCTCTGGGGTGCTAAATAAACTTGAAAGGCAGTCTAAGTAATAAGAATGGCAATTCTTGGGCATGTCCCAGTGCTGTGCTGGGCTCAGCACAGACTTGGGGTGCACATGACCTAGTGAGACACCACCCTGGGCAGCCAAGGGAGTGCTTGTGTTATCCTTCCCCCAGCACAGGCAGTGCAGCTCACAGCTCTGGGAGAGAGTCCTTCCTTCTGCTTGAGGAGAGGAGAGAGGAGAGAAGAATAAAGAGGACTCAGTTTTGCAACTTGGATGCCAGCTCAGCCACAGTAGAATAGGGCATCAGGCAGAGTCCTGAGGCTCCCATTCCAGGACCTAGCTCCCAGATGACATCTCTAGACACACCCTGGGCCAGAACGGAACCTGCTGCCTTGAAGAGAAGGGCCTATTCTGACAGGATTCATTATCTGCTGACTAAAGAGCCCTCGGGTCTTGAATAGACATCAGTGATAGCTAGGCAGCATTCACTGTGGGCCTTGGGTGAGACACAGTGCCATGCTGGCTTCAAGTGTGACCCAGCACATTCCCAGCTGTGATGGCTATGGAGAGAGACTCCTTCTGCTTGAGGAAAGGAAGGGGAAAAGTATGGGGGACTCTGTCTTGCAGTTTGGGTACCAACTTGGCCACAGTGGGGCAGAGCACCAAGTGAGCTCCTGGGGACTTGATTACAGGCCTTGGCTCCTGAATGCCATTTCTGGACCTGCCCTTGGCCAGAGGGGAGCCCACTGCCCTGGAGGGAGAGTCCCAGGCCTGGCAGCATTAATCACAAGCTGCCTGAAGAGCCCTTGGGCCTGGAGTGAACATTGATGGTAGCCAGGTAGTACTTGCCATGGGCCTGGGGTGATGGTGGTCATGGGGAGACACTTCTGTTTGAGGAAAGGAGAGGGAAGAGTAGGAAGGACTTTGTCTTATGGTTTGGGGGCCAGCTATGCTGCGGTAGAGTAGAGCACCAAGTATATTCCTAAGGCTCCTGACTCCAGCTGCTGGCTCCTGGATGGTATTTCTGGACTGTTTTGGGCTAGTGGGGAGATTGCCACCCTGAAAGGAAAGACACAACCTGTCTGGATTCACCGCCTGCTGATTGTAGAGCCCTTGAATAAACATTGATGGTAGCCAGGCAGTGGTTACTGTGGGCCTTGGGCAAGACCAGTGCTCTGTTGGCTTTGGGTCTGACCCACCATAGTCCCAGTGGTGTGGCCACAGGGGTTCTTGAGGCACCACCACCCCCAGCTTCAGGCAGCTCAGCACGGAGACGGAGACTCCATTTATTTGGGGGAAAGTAAGGGAAGAGAACAAGAATCTGCCTGGTAATCTAGGGAATTCTCCAGAATCTTACTCAAGACTGCAAGACAATACCTTCATGAATCTGTAAGAATCACAGCGCTACTGGGCTTGGGGTGCCTTCTAATGCAGATACAGCTGCAGTGACAAAAGACTTATCACAATGCTCAATTCCCTTTGAGTACTTGGAAAGGCTTCCCAAGAGGGGTGGGTACAAACAAGCCCAGACTCTGAAGACTGTAATAAATACCTAACTCTTCAATGCCCAGACATTGATGAACATTCACGAGCATCATAACCATCCAGGAAAAGATGACCTCAACAAATGAGGCACCAGTGACCAATCCCGAAGTGACAGAGATATGTAACCTTTCAGACAGAGAATACAAAACAACTACTTTAAGGAAGCTCAGTGAAATTCAAGAAAACACAGAGAAGAAATTCAGAATTCTATCAGATAAATTTAACAAAGAGATTAAAATAATTAGAAAGAATCAAGCAGAAATTCTGGAGCTGAAAAATTTAATTGGCAGAGTGAAGAATGCATCAGTCTCTCAACAGCAGCATTGATCAAGAAGAAAGAATCAGTGAGCTTGAAGACAAGCTCTTCGAAAATACATAGTCAGAGGAGACAAAAGAAAAAAGAATAAAAAATAATGAAGCACACAAACAGGATTTAGAAACTTGACTCAAAAAAGCAAATCTGGCTGGGAGCAGTGGCTCATGCCCGTGATCTCAGCACTTTGGGAGGCCAAGGCAGGCAGATTTCTCAAATTCAGGAGTTCGAGACCAGCCTGGGCAACATGACGAAACTCCGTCTCTATCAAAAATACAAAAATTAGCCGGGTGTGGAGGCATGTGCCTGTGGTCCCAGCTACTCAGGAGGTTGAGGTGGGAGAATGGTTTGAGTCTGGGAGGTGAAGACTGCATGAGCTGAGATTGCACCACCACACTCCAGCCTGGCGACAGAGCCAGACCCTTTCTCAAAAAAGGTGGGGGGTGGCAAATCTATGAATTATTGGCAAGAGAAAAGAAACAAATAACATACAAAGGAGCTCCAATACATCTGGCAGCAGACCTGTCAGTAGAAACCTTACAGGCCAGGGGAAAGTGGCATGACATATTTAAAGTGCTGAAGGGGGAGGAAAAAAACTACTTTTACCCTAGAATAGTATATCCAGTGAAAATATCCTTCAAACATAGAAATACTTTTCCAGACAAACAAAAGCTGAGAGATTGCATCAACACTAGACCTGTCCTACAAGAAATGCTAAAAGGAGTTCTTCAATCTGAAAGAAAAGGAAGTTAATGAATAATAAGAAATCATCTTAAGGTACAAAACTCACTGCTAATAGTAAATACACAGACAAATACAGAATATTATTAACTAACATAGAATAACATAACACTGTAACTGTGGTGTGTAAACTACTCATATTTTGAGTAGAGACTAAAAGATGAACCTATCAAAATAAAAACTACAACAACTTTTCAAGACATAGGCAATATAATAAGAGATAAATAAAAACAACATTAAAAAATGGGGTGCTGAAGTTAAAGTGTAGAGTTTTATTTTCTCTTTGCTTGTTTGTTAATTTTTTGGTTTGTTTTTGTGATCAGTGTTAAGTAATCATTAGTTTAAAATAATGAGTTATTGGCTGGGCATAGTGGCTCACGCCTGTAATCTCAGCACTTTGGGAGGCTGAAGTGGGTGGATCTCTTGAGGTCAGGAGTTCGAGACCAGCCTGGCCAACATGGTGAAACCCCGTCTCTACTAAAAATACAAAAATTAGCCAGGCATGGTGGCATGTGCCTGTAATCTCAGCTACTCAGGAGGCGGAGATTGCAGTGAGCCGAGATCGCACCACCGCACTCCAGCCTGGGTGACAGAGCAAGACTTCATCTCAAAAAATAAATAAATAAAAAATAAAAATAAAATAGTAAATTATAAGATGTTATTTGCAAGCCTCATGGTAACCTCAAATCAAAAAGTCTGCAAGATATACGCAAAAAATAAAAAGCAAGAAATTAAAACATGCCACCAGAGAAAATCACCTTCACAAAAAGGAAGACAAGAAGGAAAGAAAGAAGGAAGAGAAACCACAAAACAACAAGAAAACAAATAACAAAATGGCAGGAGTATGTTCTGTTTATCAATAACAACACTAAATGAAAATGAACTAAACTCTCCAATCAAAAACTATAGAGTGGCTGAATGAATAAAAAAAACAAGACCCAACTATCTGTTGCCTATAAGAAATACACGTCACCTCTAAAGACACAAATAGACTGAAAATAAAGTGATGGAAAAAGATATTCCATGCCAATGGAATAAAAAAAAATGAGTAGGAGTAGCTTTACTTACATTAGACAAAATAGGTTTCAAGACAAAAACTATAAGACGAGACAAAGAAGGTCATTATATAACAATAAAGGAGTTGATTCAGCAAGAAGATATAACAATTTTAAATATATATGCACCCAACATTTGAGCACCCAGATATATAAAGCAAATATTGTTAGAGCTAAAGAGAGAGATGGGCCCCAATACGATCATAGTTGGAGATGTCAACACCCCACTTTCAGTACTGGACAGATCTCCCAGATAACCAACAAAGAAAAATTGGACTTAACCGGCACTATAGACCAAATAGACCTAATAGATATTTACAGAACATTTCACCCAACAGCTGCAGAATACACATTCTTCTCCTCAGCATATGGATCAATCTCAAAGATAGACCATAAGCCATATGTTAGGACACAAAACAAGTCTTTAAAAATTCAAAAAATAAAATAATATCAAGTATCTTCTCTGACCACAATGGAATGAAGCTAGAAATCAAAAACAAGAGAAATTTTGGCAAGTATACAAGCACATGGAAGTTAAATAATATGCTCCTGAATGCCCAGTGGGTCAACGAAGAAATCAGGAAGGAAATTGAAAAATTTCTTGAAACAAATGATAATAGAAACACAACATACCAAAACCTATGGGTTACAGAAAAAGGAATACTAATAGGGAAGTTTATAGCAGTAAGTGCCTGCATCAAAAAAGTAGAAAAACTTCAAACAAACAACCTAATAATGCATCTCAAAGAACTAGAAAAGCAAGAGAAAACCAAACCTAAAATCAGTAGAATAAATGAAATAATAAAGATCAGGGCAGAAATAAATAAAATTGAAATAAAAAATACAAAATATCAACAAAATGAAAGCTTGGGTTTTTGAGAAGATAAACAAAATCAACAAACCTTTAGCCCAAGAAAAAAGAGACAAGACCCAAAGGAGACATTACGGCAGATACCACAGAAATTCAATGGGTCATTAGAGACTACTATGAGCAACTATATGCCGATAAATGGGAAAACCTAGAAGAAATTCATTAACTCCTGGACACATACAGCATTCCAAGATGGAACCATGAAGAAATCCAAAACCTGAATAGACCAATAACAAGTAATGAGATTGAAACCATAATAAAGGGTGTCCCAGGAAAGAAAGTTCAGGGCCCAATGGCTTCACTGCTGAATTCTACTAAACATTTAAATAAGAACTGATACCAATCCTCATTTGCAGCAACCTATATGGAATTGGAGACCATTATTCTAAGTGAAGTAACTCAGGAATGGAAAGCCAAACATTGTATGTTCTCACTCATAATTGGGAACTAAGCTATGAGGATGCAAAGGCATAACAATGATACAATGGATTTTGGGAACTCAGAGGAAGGACTCAGGGCAGGGGTAACAGATGATAGACTATACATTGGGTACAATGTACACTGCTCTGGCAATGGGTGCACCAAAATCTCAGAAATCACCACTGAAGAACTTATTCATGTACACAAAATAAAATAAAATAAAAGTGTGCCGGTCTTACTCAAACTATCCCAAAAATAATAAAGGAGGAGGGAATATTTTCTTTTTTTTTTTAATTTATTTTACTTTAAGTTCTGGGATACATGTGCAGAAAGTGCAGGTTTGTTACATAGGTATACTTGTGCCATGGTGGTGTGCTGCACCTATTGACTCATCCTGTAAGTTCCCTCCCCTCTGGAATACTTTTGAACTCATTCTAGAAGGTCAGTATTACCCTGATACCAAAAACAGACAAAGACACATAAAAAAAAATTATGGGCCAATAACTCTGATGGATATTGATGCAAAATTCCTCAACAAAATACTAGCCAACTGAATTCAGCACATTAAATCCTTCATCATGACCAAGTGGGATTTATCCCAGGGATGCAAGAATGGTTCAACAAACACAAATCAATGTGATGCATCATATCAACAGAATGAAGCACAAAACCATATGATAATTTCAATCGATGCTGAAAAAGCATTTAACAAAATTCAACATCCCTTTATGATAAAAATCCTCAAGAAAATGGGGTATAAAAGGAACATATCTCAACACAATAACAGCTGTACAAGACAGAGCCATAGCTAGTATCATACTGAATGGGGAAAAACTGAAAGCCTTTCTTCTAAGATCTGTACAGGACAAGGATGCCCACTTTCATCACTGTTATTCAAAATAGTACTAGAAGTCCTAGCTAGAGCAATTAGACAAGAGAAAGAAATTGGAAAGGAAGAAGTCAAATTATCCTTATTTGTAGATGATATGCTCTTATATTTTGAAAAACCTAAAGACTTCATGAAAAAATCTGTTAGAAATGATCAACAAATTTAGTAAATTTGCATGATAAAAAAATCAACATACAGGCTGGACACAGTGGCTCACGCCTGTAATCCCAGCACTTTGGGGGGCCGAGGCAGGCGGATCATGAGGTCAGGAGATCGAGACCATCCTGGCTAACACAGTGAAACCCCGTCTCTACTAAAAATACAAAAAAATTAGCTGGGCGTGGTGGCGGGTGCCTGTAGTCCCAGCTACTCAGGAGGCTGAGGCATGGGAATGGCGTGAACCCAGGAGGCGGAGCTTGCAGTGAGCCGAGATCGCGCCACTGCACTCCAGCCTGGGTGACAGAGCGAGACTCTGTCTCAAAAAAAAAAAAATCAACATACAATCAGTAACATTTCTACATGCCAAGAGTGAAAAATCTGAAAAAGAAATCAAGAAAGTAACCCCATTTACAATAGCTACAAATAAAATACATAGGAATTAACTTAACCAAAGAAGTGAAATATCTCTACAATGAAAACTGTAAAACACTGATGACAAAAAATTGAAGAAGATACCAAAAAATGGAAAGATATTACATGTCCATGGACTGGAAGAATCAATATTGTTAAAATGTCTATACTACCCAAAGCAATCTATGGATTCAAGGCAATACCTATCAAAATGCCAATGACATTCTTCACAGAACTAGAAAAAAACAGTCCTTGGCGGGGCTCGGTGGCTCACACCTGTAATCCCAGCACTTTGGGAGGCTGAGGCAGGAGGATCATCTGAGGTCAGGAGTTCGAGACCAGTCTGACCAAAATGCAGAAACCCTGTCTCTACTAAAAATATAAAAATTACCCAGGCATAGTGGCACATGCCTGTAGTCCCAGCTGCTCAGGAGGCTGAGGCAGGAGAATCACTTGAACCTGGGAAGTGGAGGCTGCGGTGAGCAGAGATCACACCATTGCACTCCTGCCCAGGCAACAAGAGTGAAACTGGGGGTGAAGCCAAGATGGCCAAATAGGAACAGCTCCAGTCTACAGCTCCCAGCGTGAGCGACGCAGAAGACGGGTGATTTCTGCATTTCTAACTGAGGTACCGGGTTCATCTCACTGGGGAGTGTCGGACAGTGGGTGCAGGACAGTGGGTGCACTGAGACATCGCCTCACCCGGGAAGCTCCAGGGGTCAGGGAATTCCCTTTCCTAGTCAAAGAAAGGGGTGACAGACAGCACCTGGAAAATCAGGTCACTCCTACCGTAATACTGCACTTTTCCAATGGTCTTAGAAAACGGCACACCAGGAGATTATATCCTGCGCATGGCTCGGAGGCTCCTACACCCACAGAGCCTCGCTCATTGCTAGCACAGCAGTCTGAGATCAAACTGCAAGGCGGCAGCGAGGCTGGGGGAGGGGCGCCCGCCATTGCCGAGGTTTGAGTAGGTAAACAAAGTGGCCAGGAAGCTCGAACTGGGTGGAGCCCACCGCAGCTCAAGGAGGCCTGCCTGCCTCTGTAGATTCCACCTCTGGGGGCAGGGCATAGCCAAACAAAAGGCAGCAGAATCCTCTGCAGACTCAAATGTCCCTGTCTGACAGCTTGAAGAGAGTAGTGGTTCTCCCAGCATGCAGCTGGAGATCTGAGAACGGACAGACTGCCTCCTCAAGTGGGTCCCTGACCCCCGAGAAGCCTAACTGGGAGGCACCCCCCCAGTAGGGGCAGTCTAACACCTCACACGGCCGGGTACTCCTCTGAGACAAAACTTCCAGAGGAACGATCAGGGAGCAACATTTGCTGTTCACCAATATCTGCTGTTCTGCAGCCTCCCCTACTGATACCGAGGCAAACAGGGTCTGGAGTGGGCCTCCAGCAAACTCCAACAGACCTGCAGCTGAGGGTCCTGATTGTTAGAAGGAAAACTAACAAACAGAAAGGACATCCACACCAAAACCCCATCTGTACGTCACCATCATCAAAGACCAAGGGTAGATAAAACCACAAAGATGGGGAAAAAACAGAGCAGAAAAACTGGAAACTCTAAAAATCAGAGCACCTCTCCTCCTCCAAAGGAACACAGCTCCTCACCAGCAACCGAACAAAGCTGGACGGAGAATGACTTTGATGAGTTGAGAGAAGAAGGCTTCAGACAATCAAACTACTCTGGGCTAAAGGAGGAAGTTTGAACCCACAGCAAGGAAGTTAAAAACCTTGAAAAAAAAATTAGACGAATGGCTAACTAGAATAACAAATGCAGAGAAGTCCTTAAAGGACCTGATGGAGCTGAAAACCACGGCACAAGAACTACGTGACAAATGCACAAGCCTCAGTAGCCGATTCCATCAACTGGAAGAAAGGGTATCAGTGATGGAAGATCAAATGAATGAAATGAAGTGAGAAGAGAAGTTTAGAGAAAAAAGAATAAAAAGAAATGAACAAAGCCTCCAAGAAATATGGGACTATGTGAAAAGACCAAATCTACATCTGATTGGTGTACCTGAAAGTCACGGGGAGAATGGAACCAAGTTGCAAAACACTCTGCAGGATATTATCCAGGAGAACTTCCCCAATCTAGCAAGGCAGGCCAACATTCAAATTCAGGAAATTCAGAGAACGCCACAAAGATACTCCTCGAGAAGAGCAACTCCAAGACACATAATTATCAGATTCACCAAAGTTGAAATGAAGGAAAAAATATTAAGGGCAGCCAGAGAGAAAGGTCGGGTTACCCACAAAGGGAAGCCCATCAGACTAACAGCTGATCTCTTGGCAGAAACTCTACAAGCCAGAAGAGAGTGGGGGCCAATATTCAACATTCTTAAAGAAAAGAATGTTCAACCCAGAATTTCATATCCAGCCAAACTAAGCTTCATAAGCAAAGGAGAAATAAAATCCTTTACAGACAAGCAAATGCTGAGAGATTTTGTCACCACCAGGCCTGCCCTAAAAGAACTCCTGAAGGAAGCACTAAACATGGAAAGGAACAACCAGTACCAGCCACTGCAAAAACATGCCAAATTGTAAAGACCATTGAGGCTAGGAAGAAACTGCATCAACTAATGAGCAAAATAACCAGCTAACATCATAATGACAGGATCAAATTCACACATAACAATATTAACTTTAAATGTAAATGGGCTAAATGCTCCAATTAAAAGACACAGACTGGCAAATTGGATAAAGAGTCAAGACCCATCAGTGTGCTGTATTCAGGAAACCCATCTCACATGCAGAGACATACATAGGCTCAAAATAAAGGGATGGAGGAAGATCTACCAAGCAAATGGAAAACAAAAAAAGGCAGGGGTTGCAATCCTAGCCTCTGATAAAACAGACTTTAAACCAACAAAGATCAAAAGAGACAAAGAAGACCATTACATAATGCTAAAGGGATCAATTCAACAAGAAGAACTAACTATCCTAAATATATATGCACCCAATACAGGAGCACCCAGATTCATTAAGCAAGTCCTTAGAGACCTACAAAGAGACTTGGACTCCCACACAACAATAATGGGAGACTTTAACACCCCACTGTCAACATTAGACAGATCAACGAGACAGAAAGTTAACAAGGATATCCAGGAACTGAACTCACCTCTGCACCAAGTGGACTTAATAGATATCTACAGAACTCTGCACCCCAAATCAACAGAATATACATTCTTTTCAGCACCACACCACACCTATTCCAAAATTGACCACATAGTTGGAAGTAAAGCACTCCTCAGCAAATGTAAAAGAACAGAAATTATAACAAACTGTCTCTCAGACCACAGTGCAATCAAACTAGAACTCAGGATTAAGAAACTCACTCAAAACTGCTCAACTAACATGGAAACTGAACAACCGGCTCCTGAATGACTACTGGGTACATAACGAAATGAAGGCAGAAATAAAGATGTTCTTTGAAACCAACAAGAACAAAGACACAACATACCAGAATCTCTGGGACACATTCAAAGCAGTGTGTAGAGGGAAATTTATAGCACTAAATGCCCACAAGAGAAAGCAGGAAAGATCTAAAATTGACACCCTAACATCACAATTAAAAGAACTAGAAAAGCAAGAGCAAACACATTCAAAAGCTAGCAGAAGGCAAGAAATAACTAAGATCAGAGCAGAAGTGAAGGACATAGAGACACAAAAAACCCTTCAAAAAATCAGTGAATCCAGGAGCTGGTTTTTTGAAAAGATCAACAGAGTTGATAGACCGCTACCAAGACTAATAAAGAAGAAAAGAGAGAAGAATCAAATAGACGCAATAAAAAATGACAAAGGGGATATCACCACCGATCCCACAGAAATACAAACTGCCATCAGAGAATACTATAAACACCTCTACGCAAATAAACGAGAAAATCTAGAAGAAATGGATAAATTCCTGGACACATACACCCTCCCAAGACTAAACCACGAAGAAGTTGAATCTCTGAATAGACAAATAACAGGCTCTGAAATTGAGGCAGTAATTAATAGCTTACCAACCAAAAAAAGTCCAGGACCAGATGGATTCACAGCCGAATTCTACCAGAGGTACAAGGAGGAGCTGGTACCATTCCTTCTGAAACTATTCCAATCAATAGAATAAGAGGGAATCCTCCCTAACTCATTTTATGAGGCCAGCATCATCCTGATACCAAAGCCTGGCAGAGACACAACAAAAAAAGAGAATTTTAGACCAATGTCCCTGATGAACATCGATGCAAAAATCCTCAGTAAAATACTGGCAAACCGAATCCCGCAGCACATCAAAAAGCTTATCCACCATGATCAAGTGGGCTTTATCCCTGGGATGCAAGGCTGGTTCAACATAGGCAAATCAATAAACGTAATCCAATCAATAAACGTAATCCAGCATATAAACAGAATCAAAGACAAAAACCACATAATTATCTCAATAGATGCAGAAAAGGCCTTTGACAAAATTCAACAACCCTTCATGCTAAAAACTCTCAATAAATTAGATATTGATGGGATGTATCTCAAAATAATAAAAGCTATCTATGACAAACCCACAGCCAATATCATACTGAATGGGCAAAAACTGGAAGCATTCCCTTTGAAAACTGGCACAAGACAGGGATGCCCTCTCTCACCACTCCTATTCAACATAGTGTTGGAAGTTCTGTCCAGGGCAATCAGGCAGGAGAAGGAAATAAAGGGTATTCAGTTACGAAAAGAGGAAGCCAAATTGTCCCTGTTTGCAGATGACATGATTGTATATCTAGAAAACCCCATCGTCTCAGCCCAAAATCTCCTTAAGCTGATAGGCAACTTCAGCAAAGTCTCAGGATACAAAATCAATGTGCAAAAATCACAAGCATTCTTATACACCAATAACAGACAAACAGAGAGCCAAATCATGAGTGAACTCCCATTGACAGACTGCTAGCAAGACTAATAAAGAAGAGAGAAGAATCAAATAGATGCAATAAAAAATGATAAAGGGGATATCACCACCGATCCCACAGAAATACAAACTACCATCGGAGAATACTATAAACACCTCTATGCAATATACTAGAAAATCTAGAAGAAATGGATAAATTCCTCGACACATACACTCTCCCAAGACTAAACCAGGAAGAAGTTGAATCTCTGAATAGACCAATAACAGGCTCTGAAATTGAGGCAATAATTAAATGCAGGATGACTCTTCAAAGAGAAAAAAATACCTAGGGATCAAACTTACAAGGGAGGTGAAGGACCTCTTCAAGGAGAACTACAAACCACTGTTCAATGAAATAAAAGAGGATACAAACAAATGGAAGAACATTCCATGCTCATGGGTAGGAACAATCAATATCGTGAAAATGGCCATACTGCCCAAGGTAATTTATAGATTCAATGCCATCCCCATCAAGCTACCAATGACTTTCTTCACAGAATTGGAATAAACTACTTTCAAGTTCATATGGAATCAAAAAAGAGCCCACATGGCCAAGTCAATCCTAAGCCAAAAGAACAAAGCTGGAGGCATCACGCTACCTGACTTCAAACTATACTACAAGGCTACAGTAACCAAAACAGGATGGTACTGGTACCAAAACAGAGATATAGACCAATGGAACAGAACAGAGCCCTCAGAAGTAATGCTGCATATCTACAACCATCTGATCTTTGACAAACCTGACAAAAACAAGAAATGGGGAAAGGATTCCCTATTGAATAAATGGTGCTGGGAAAACTGGCTAGCCATATGTAGAAAGCTGAAACTGGATCCCTTCCTTACACCTTATACAAAAATTAATTCAAGATGGATGAAAGACTTACATGTTAGACCATAAAACCATAAAAACCCTAGAAGAAAACCTAGGCTATTGCCATTCAGGACATAGGCATGGGCAAGGACTTCATGTCTAAAACACCAAAAGCAATGGCAACAAAAGGCAAAATTGACAAGTGGGATCTAATTAAACTCAAGAGCTTCTGCACAGCAAAAGAAACTACCATCAGAGTGAACAGGCAACCTATAGAATGGGAGAAAATTTTTGCAAACTACTCATCTGACAAAGGGCTAATATCCAGAATCTACAATGAACTCCAACAAATTTACAAGAAAAAAACAAACAACCCCATCAAAAAGTGGGCAAAGGATATGAACAGACACTTCTCAAAAGAAGACATTTATGCAGCCAAAAGACACATGAGAAAATGCTCATCATCACTGGCCATCAGAGAAATGCAAATCAAAACCACAATGAGATCCCATCTCACACCAGTTAGAATGGTGATCATGAAAAACTCAGGAAACAACAGGTGCTGGAGAGGATGTGGAGAAATAGGAACACTTTTACACTGTTGGTGGGACTGGAAACTAGTTCAACCATTGTGGAAGTCAGTGTGGGGATTCCTCAGGGATCTAGAGCTAGAATTACCATTTGACCCAGCCATCCCATTACAGGGTATATATCCAAAGGATTATAAATCATGCTGCTATAAAGACACAAGCACACATATGTTTATTGCGGCAGTATTCACAATAGCAAAGACTTGGAACCAACTCAAATGTCCAACAATGATAGACTGGATTAAGAAAATGTGGCATATATACACCATGGAATACTATGCAGCCATTAAAAAGGATGAGTTCATGTCCTTTGTAGGGACATGGATGAAGCTGGAAACCATCATTCTCAGCAAACTATGACAAGGAAAAAAACCAAACACCATGTGTTCTCACTCATAGGTCGGAATTGAACAATGAGAACACATGGACACAGGAAGGGGAACATCACACATCGGGGCCTGTTGTGGGGTGGGGGGTGGGGGAGGGATAGCATTAGGAGATATACATAATGCTAAATGACGAGTTAATGGGTGCAGCACAACAACATGGCACATGTATACATATGTAACAAACCTGCACATTGTGCACATGTACCCTAAAACTTATAGTATAATAAAAAAAAAAGAAAGAAAAAAATAAGAAAGAAAAAACTGTCCTAAAATTTACATGGAAAAGATCCAGAACAGCCAAAGCCATCCTGAGGAAAAAGAACAAAACTGGAGGAATTACATTGCCTGACTTCAAATTATACTGCAGAGCCATAGTAAGCAAAACAGCATGGCACTGGCATAAAAACAGAAACTTAACCCAATGGAACAGAGTAGAGAACCCAAAAATAAATTTGTACATTTACAATGAACTCATTTTTAACAAAAACCCCAAGAACATACATTCGGGGAAAAGACAGTCTCTTCAATAAATGATGCTGGCAAAGCTGTATATCTACATGCAGAAGAATGAAACTAGACCCCTATCTCTCACCATACACAAACATCAAATCAAAATGGATTAACGAATTAAATCTAAGATCTCAAACTGTGAAACTACTACAAGAAAATATTGGGCAACATCCAATTGGACATTGGATTAGGTAAAGATTTCCTTAGTAATAACCCACAAGCACAGGTAATCAAAGCAGAAATGGACAAATGGGATCACATCAAGTTAAGAAGCTTCTGTACAGCAAATGAAACAATCAAGAAAGTGAAGAGACAACCCCCAAATTTGAGAAAAGATTTGCAAAGTACCCATCTGACAAGAGATTAATAACTAGAACATATAAGGAGCCCAAACAACTCTATAGAAAAAAATCTAATAATCCTACTAAAAATGGGCATAAGATCTGAATAGACATTTCCCAAAAGAAGACATACAAAAGGCAAACAGGTATATGAAAAGGTGCTCAATATCACTGACCATCAGAGAAATGCAAATAAAAACTACAATGAGATATCATTTCACCTCAGTTAAAATAGCTTTTATCCAAAAGACAGGCAGTAGCAAATGCTGGTGAGACTGTGGAGAAAAGGAAACTCTCATACACTGTTGGTGGGAATGTAAATTAGTACATTCACTATGGAGAACAGTCTGGAGGTTCTTCAAAAATCTAAAAACTGAGCTACCATATGATCCAGCAATCCCACTGCTAAGTATATACCTGAAAGAAAGAAAATCATTATATCAAAGAGATATTTGCACTCCTGTGTTTATTCAAGCTCTAGTCACACTAGGCAAGATTTGGAAGCAATCTTAGTGTCCATCAACAGATGAAGGGATAGAGAAAATGTGGCACATATACACAACGGAGTACTATTCAACCATAAAAAAGAATGAGCCCAAAAAAGGAATGTTGTAGTCATATGCAAGAATGTGTGGAATCGGGGTCATTATGTTAAGTAAAACAAGCCAGGCACAGAAAGACAAACTTCACATGTTCTCACTTATTGATGGGAGCTAAAAATGAAAACAATTGAACTCATGGCTATAAAGAGTAGAATGATGGTTACCAGACGCTGGGAAGCATTGTGGTGGGGTTGGGGTAAATGGGAATGGTTAATGGGTACAAAGAAATGGAAAGAATGAATAAGATGTAGTCTTTTGGGGTTTTTTTGAGACAGAGTTTCGCTCTTTTGCCCAGGCTGGAGTGAAGTGGCACAATCTCAGCTCACTGCAACCTCCGCCTGCTGGGTTCAAACGATTCTCCTGCCTCAGCCTCCCAAGTAGCTGGGATTATAGGCTCCTGCCACTGTGTCTGGCTAATTTTTGTATTTTTAGTAGAGACGAGGTTTCACCATGTTGGCCAGGCTGGTCTCAAACTCCTGACCTCAGGTGATCCACCTGCCTTGGCCTCCCAAAGTGCTGGGATTACAGGCATGAGCCACCGATAGCACAACAGAGTGGCTACTATCAACAATAATTTATTGTGCATTTAAACATAATTAAAAGTATATAATTGGATTGTTTGTAACACAAAGGGTAAATGCATGAGGTGATGGATACCTCATTTACCTGGATGTAATTATTTTGATACAGTCATAAAATGGGAAATATTACATCCAGGTAAATGAGGTATCCATCACCTCATGCATTTACCCTTTGTGTTACAAACAATCCACCTATTATGTACCCACAAAAAATAAAAATTAAAAAAGAGAAAAATTACACAAAAATAACAAAGATAGGCACAGAAAAACAAACTTTTCATGCTCTCACATATCTGTGGGAACTTAAAATTAAAACAACTGAACACGTGGAAATAAAGAGTAGAACAATGGTTACCAGAGGCTGGGAAGGCTAGTGGTGGGGTGGAGTGTGGGGTTGGTTAATGGGTACAAAAATACAGTTAGATAGAATTAGTAAGATCTAGCATTTGATAGCACAACAGGGTGAATACAGTCAACAATAATTTATAGCACATTTTAAACAATTAAAAGAGTATAACTGGAATGTTTGTAACAAAGAAAGGATAAAGGCTTGAGGTGATGGATACCCCATTTACCCTGATGTGATTATTACGCATTGTATACCTGTATCAAAACAAAACATCTCATGTACCCCATAAACATATTCATTTACTATGTAGTATAAAAATTAAAGATAAAAATTTTTAAAGAGGAAAACAAATTGGGGTTATTTACAAGGCATTCATTGAAAACATGAACCATGGATTCTTAGTGGATGGGGAAAAAATTGACACAGCAGAGATATAAAGAAAGGTAGAAAGATGAGTTAGTTCGCCTAGCAATTTTGACGAAGTGTAAGAAGAGATGAAGTGAAGGCAGTAATGTATCAGGCTGTAAGGAGAGAAGGCTTTGGTCCCACCAGGATATTTAAATAGGAAGTTTCTGAGGCAGAGAAGTTTCAAGTTATGATAAAACTCAGGATGTAACTGTAGGCATAGGTGACTGAGATGAGTGTAGAAAAAGGACATTAGAGATGAGGTCATGGAAGAAACAGGCCAAGTGGTTGGACAGGATGAATATTGAATTAATTCAGAACGATGGCAGGAGTTGTGATGAAGAGAGCTGTTAGCCAAGTGCCAAGGTTTTAAATGTATGAAAGGGTATATCATAGGTTTGTAGGTGACAGTGATGAAGAGTAGTAGAGCCAAATGGCCAGAGCCTCAAAGGAACATGATCCTTTTCATAGTAGAGAGGGAGTATTTGTTGGCAGTAGCATTGTGGAGTCATGACACTGTCTTTTTGTTTCCACCCTGATATATAAGGGCAGTATAAGAATGAGCAGCCTCGGCCAGGCGTGGCGGCTCATGCCTGTAATCCCAGCACTTTGGGAGGCCAAGGCGGGCAGATCACCTGAGGTCAGGAGTTTGAGATGATCAGCCTGGCCAACATGGTGAAACCCTGTCTCTACTAAAAATACAAATATTGGCCGGGCATGGTGGTGGGCGCCTGTAGTCCCAGCTACTTGGGAAGCTGAGGCAGGAAAATTGCTTGAACCTGGGAAGTGGAGGCTGCAGTGAGCCGAGATCTCGCCACTGCACTCCAGCCTGGGCAACAGAGTGAGGCTCCATTTCAAAAAAAAAAAAACAAAAAAATAGAATGAGCAGCCTCACTGTAGAGAGCTGCAGTAGAAGTAGGGTGACTGGGGATTATCAGGGTTAAGTTAAGGTAGAAAGAACAAGTAACTTCCATCGAAATTGAGAATGTAAAGGAGTTGTGCGCCACCGAGCAGGAGTTTCAGGGAATTTGTTGTAAGGATCTGAGAGAGCAAGGAGAAGGTCTGGAGTGTAGTACATGAAGGGAAAGGAAGCCAAAGCATTAGGGAGAGAGGAAAAACAACAAAATGCATTGATCTGGGCAGGGACTAGGGAAAATAGGGATTGGAGGCAGGATAAAATTGACTGGGTCACCAGGTTGTCAAGGTCGTAAGTCCTGACCATGGGATAATGGACACTAACACTCAGAATTCTGTTGCAGACTGGTGGATAGACTCCCAAGTCGGCACAATAGACCATATATTTCTGGCTCCAGAAACTTTAAGGCCCTTCACACTGTAAAGATAGATGCAGTGGTGTTGCCTAAGTGCTCAGAAATCACGGGGTCTGTGGGAGTGGAGAGGATGCTGTACAGTCAGGTAGGTATCTAATTGGTGGAGAGTAGTAGGGCTGTGGATGGAGATCATTGTTGACAAGTGCATGGCTCTGGGAGTTGGGTGCGGGGTTGGTGATGGAAATGTTTAAAGAAATAACTCTAGGTTCAGGGAGTTTAAAGGATTTACCAAGAACACAGCTGGCAAGTGGCAGAGCTGAGACTCAAAATCCAATCTGCGCTTATGAATCTGTAATTATTTCAAAATAAAAAGGTTTTTGTAAAGGTTAAAAGAATCAGAGCTATGTAGTTCTGAATCATTATGCTGACTTTTCAGACAGAAAGGAATGCCACAAAAGAAAAAATATCAAACTGCCTTCAGTGGTTTCATTCCCAAATCTGAATGCTGGAAGATAGTGAAACAATGTCTAACATTGGCATATGGACAGCAGAGTCCTTCAAAATAAAAATTGACAGGCCACCAACAAGGAAAGCCGCCAAGTCTTGACCCAGCATGGCAGGGAGTCCTTGCTCCTCTGGAAATCCCAGTGTTCAGGAGAAAGATGCCAGCCCCCGCCAGAGGTGGGCTGTTACAGCCATATAATCCCCTGGGATCAATCATCTCCAGTGTTCCTCCTGGGACTGTCCCTGAAGGACAGGACAAGGAAAATCTGCCAGGAGGAAGAACCTAGGGAATCCAGATTTGCTGACAAAAGACTTGTTTCTCTTCTAAGGATGTAATCCAACAATTGATGACCATGAGATTCACTGTCCTGTCACTTATGTGTCCCGCAGGATGTAATAAATGCACTGACCAGGTGATGCTGAACTAAGGTCTCTCTCTGTTTGTCTCTCCTCCTCCTCCCCCCAACCCTTTCCCTACTTTCTTCTTTCTTTTTTAAAATTGGAGTTTTGTTGGGGTTGCACTGTTTTTCTTCCACCATTTTAATGGGTCAATCTTCTGAGTTTATCTCCCAGGAATTTCGTTTATTTTGGTATAATTTGTATGGTATTAAGATGGTATGATTATCAGAAGACCCAAGGAGATTAGCATCTTTCCCCAGACCACTGTCATCACTCTCTATAAAATTCTAAATGGAGAGGTATGTCCAGGGGAAATGACAAATGAAAAATAAGATGCACTTCCAAATACCTGCCGACTTGAGAGCATCTACTCCTGTAATGATAGGATCTCATTCCTACCCCAAAGTATCCTGTAGTTATTTATCCTTTTAAAGCCATCGCTCAGGACCCCCTCCTGGTCACTGTCTCCCCAAATGTTAGCCAGTACCCTAGACTATTAATATTTTAAATAAATTTTACCTGTTTTTAAAATTTATGTTTGTGAGATGCATCCTAATTGTGTCTAAGTAGTTCATTTATTGTCATTGTTACAGAGTTTTCCATCTTGCAATACACTTTTTTGTTGTTGTTAAAAAGAGACATTCTTCAAAGTAATGGGGCTTTAAAAAGTCATTTAGATGGGAAAGGAAGTGCCAGTGATTGACTTCTGATTTGATAAAGCAACATTACAAATAATTATTTAAATTCTTTAGTCACACAAAGATGTCAATTGCAACATTATTACAAGGTCAAAAAATTATCAAACAAGACCGCCAATCAGAATTATAGGTTTCTTTTGAAGGCTATTTTCACAGGACATGGCAACAATTTGTAAAGTTTTTTTTTTTGGCATCTTGCAAGATCCTGTTGTGCAAATGATACTTCCAAGGCTAGATTTGTATGAAGAAATAATGTGTCAATTGATAACCACTACTGAAAACACAGAAGCCTCTATTTTGCACAGAGGGAAAAAATATATATTTCTGTGAGAGTTTTAAACCTAACATTTTAACAAGTCAGATTGTTTTAAATTGTCTGGGATAAAGAATAGTGACTATTTATAGCTACAGAAAAAAGGAGATAACTGCTTCATCTGTTTCTGAGACTCTTTTTAAAAATAATCTTTGTATTATGAAACAAAACATAGAAACAGAAAACCACATGGATCAAATATATGGCTTAATGAATTACTAAAAGGTGAAAAGCACCCAGATATGAAATAGAACTTTGCCAGTCACCCAGGAAGCCCCTTCTATGTGCCACATCCCAATCATAGTCCCCACTATCCATAATAAGTAACTACTATCCTGGTTTTTATACCAATTAATTTCTTGTAAGTTTGTTGTAGTTTTATCATCCCAATGTCACTTCCTTAGGCACTATAGTTGTTATTGTCCACAAATCCATGTACCTTTCCTTCATCATCTTTTTAATTTTTTACCATTTAAATTTATACTAATAATACTACCAATATAAATACTGGAGATATTAAAATATTTTGGGCATATGATCTCTCCATTCTCTACTACCAATTTTTAAAAATAGTCATACAATATCTATATTGTCAGAGCACATAGCCTACATAATATATTCTCTCTCTCTTAACACATGTTTATTCTTAGTTCTATAATAATTATACATTTCATGCTTACAACCAGTCCTATGCTTGGTTATAAACATATATCTGGTTATCTGGATCTGGTTATCTGGGCCTGGTTTTTTGGTAGATTCTTCAGGAAGGTTTCATGGGAAAAATATTCCCTGAGTTTTTGCATAAGAGCTTTTCTGTGTTGTTTATACTTGAAAGTCAGTTTTGTGGTATATAAAAATCTTTATTTTATTTTATTTTTTATTTTTGTGGGTACCTAGTAGATGTATATATTTATGAGGTACATAAGATTTTTTTTGTTTTCTTTTTGAGACAGGGTCTCACTCTGTCACCCAGACTGGAGTGCAGTGGCACGATCTCGGCTCACTGCAACCTCCACCTCCTGGGTTCAAGTGATTCTCCTGCCTCAGTCTCCTGAGTAGCTGGAATTACAGGTGCACCCCACTACCGCCAGCTAATTTTTATACTTTTAGTAGAAATGGGGTTTCACCCTGTTGGCCAGGCTGGTCTTGAACTCCTGATCTCAAATGATCCACCCGCCTCAGCCTCCCACAGTGCTGGGATTACAGGTGTGAGCCACCATGCCTGGCCTACATAAGATATTTTGATGTGATGTGATGCATAATCATCACATCAGGGTAAATGGGGTATCCATCACCTCATGCATTTATCCTTTGTGTTATAAACAATTCTATTATACTCTTTTAGTTACTTTTAAATGTACGATTACATTATTTTTGACTAGTCACCCTGTTGTGCTATCAAATACTAGGTCTTATTTATTCTTTCTAACTATGCTTTTTGTACATGTTAACCCTCCCCACTCCCCCTTCACCTCCTCTACTACCGTTCCCATCCTCTGGTAACCTTCCTTCTACTCTCTACGTCCATGAGTTCAATTGTTTTGATTTTTTGATCCCGCAAATAAGTGAGAACATGTGACGTTTGTCTCTGTGCCTGGCTTATTTCACTTAACATAATGATCTCCAGTTCTATGCATGTTGTTGCAAATGACAGTATCTCATTCTTTTTTATTGCTAAAAACTCCATTGTGTATATTTGATTCTTAGTTTAAAATATATCTACATTCTGACTTCTTAACACTTTCACTGTTATCATGCTGATCTAATTCATCTCTTACTTAAATAATTTCAGTAGCATCCTAATTGTTCTTCCCTCTGCCTTTGCTCCTGTTTAGCCTTTTTCTTATTGTAGGGACATCATAGATACATCTTCAGCAAAAAGTCCTCCCCTATGAAAGCAAATTCAAATAAATGGAAGAAGTGCCTGTTACTCCAGATGTACAGATGTCAATGTAAGGACACAGGAAACATGAAAAAGGAAATAAATATGACACCTCCGAAGGAAGATAATAATTCTCTAGCAAGAGATCTCAATCAAAAAGAAATGTACAAAACCTGGAAAAATAATTCAAAATGTCAATTCTAAAGAAGCACTGTAAGACATAAGAGAATACTGAAAAATAAGACAAAGAAATCAGAAAAACAGCTCTGGATATAAATGAAAAAAAATTTTTTTTTTGAGACGGAGTCTCGCTCTGTTGCCCAGGCTAGAGTGCAATGGCGCTATCTTGGCTCACTGCAACCTCCGCCTCCCGGGTTCAAGCAATTATCCCACCTCAGCCTCCCGAGTAGCTGGGATTACAGGCACCCACCATCATGCCTAGCTAATTTTTGTATTTTTAGTAGAGACAGGGTTTCACCATATTGGCCAGGCTGGCCTTGAACTCTTGACCTCAAGTGATCCGCCTGCCTTGGCCTCCCAAAGTGCTGGGATTACAGGCGTGAGCCACCGATAGCAAAATATATTTGAAGGCTTCAACAATAGATTAGATCAAGCAGAAGAAAAAAATCTCAGAACTCAAAGACAGGTCTTTTGAAATAACTCAGTCAGAAAAAATAAAGATAAAAGAATAAAAATAATACACAGACCAGGTGCAGTGGCTCATGCCTGTAATCCCAGCACTTTGGCAGGCCAAGGCAGGAGGATCATTTGAAGCCAGGAGTTCAAGACCAGCCTGGGCAACATAGCGAGATCCCTTCTCTAAAAAAAAAAAAAAAAAATTAGCCAGGTGTGGTCACACATATCTGTAGTCCTAGCTACTCAGGAGGCTGAGGTAGGAGGATTGCTTGAGCCCAGGAGTCTGAGACTTCAGTAAGCTATGATTGTGCCACTGCACTTTAGCCTGGGCAAAAGAGCAAGACACCGTAGAAGATGAAGAAGGAGGAGGAGGAGGCAAAGGAGGAAGAAGAGGCACAAAGCCATATGATACATGGGACACCATGAAGCAACCAAATATTCGAATTTTCTGTGTCCCAGAAGGTGAAGAGAAAATGAAAGGGTTAGAAAATCTATGTAATGAAATAACAGATGGAAACTTCCCAAGCCTAGCAAGAGTTTTAGACATCTGGACACATGAGGCTCAAAGATCCCCAAACAGATACAATTTAAAAGGTATCCATGGCACATCAAACTGCCAAAAGACAAAGAGAAAATTCTAAAAACAGCAAGAATAAAGTAGCTAGTCACTTATAAGGGAACCCCCATCAGAACAACAGCAGATTTCTCAGCAGAAACCTTACAGGCCAGAAGAGAACAGGATGATATATTTGAATGATGAAAGAACAAAACTGTCAGACAAATATTACACCCGGTCAAGCTATCCTTCATAAATGAAGGAGAAATAAAGTCTTTCCTAGAGAAGCTGAGGGATTAATCACCACTAGACTGGCCTTTTAAGAAATGCTCATGGGCCAGGTGTGGTGGCTCACACCTGTAATCCCAACACTTTGGAAGGTTGAGGCGGGTGGATCATGAGGTCAGGAGTTCAAGACCAGCCTGGCCAACATGGTGAAACCCCGTCTCTACTAAAACTACAAAAAAATTTAGCTGGGCATGGTGGCACGCACCTATAATTCCAGCTACTCAGGAGGCTGGGCAGGAGAATTGCTTGAACCCGGGAAGCAGAGGTTGCAGTGAGCCAAGATCGCGCCTCTGCACTCCAGCCTGGGCTACAGAGAGACTCATCTCAAAAAAAAAAAAAAAAAAAGAAAAAAGAAAAAAGAAAAAAGAAATGCTGCTTAAGGAAATACGACGCCCAGAAGCAAAAGAACAATAATTATCATCATGAAACGCACAAAAGTATAAAAGCTACTGGTAAAGCAAACAAAAAAAAGGAAGAGAAAAAACTCAAACATTACCACTACAGAATACCACCAAACCACAAAGATAAACAATGAGAGAAAGAAAGGAACAAAGAATACACAAAACAACCAGAAATCAATTAATAGAATGATAGGAATAATCCTTTGCATGTTGATAATAATCTTGAATGTAAATAAATGAAAATTTTCACTTAAAAGTTATGGCTGAATGGATAGCAAAACATGACTCAACTATATGTTACCTATAAGAGACTCATCTGACCTATAAAGACACATATAGACTGAAAATAAGGGATGGAAAAAGATATTCCATGTAAGCAGAAACCAAAAGCAAGCAGAGTAGCTATACTTACATCAGATAAAACAGACATTAGGCCAAAAACAGTAAACAGGCACAAAGAAGGTCATTATATAATGATAAAGGGATCAATTCTGCAAGACGATGTAATAATTCTAAACATATATGCACCTAATGCTGGAACAGATATATAAAGAAAATATTAGATCTAAAGGGAGAGATAGATTCCAATACAATAATAGGACTTCAACCCCGCTGTGTCAACATTACACAGATCTATTCAGAAAATCAACAATGAAACATTGAACTTAATTGGCACTATAGACCAAATGGACCGAACAGATATTTACAGAGCATATCATCCAACAGCTACAAAATACACATTCTTCTCAGCACATGAAGTATTCTCCAGGATAGACCATATTGTAGGCCACAAAACAAGTCTCAATAATTTTTAAAAATTTGAAATTATATCAGGTATCTTCTCAGACCTCAATGGAATAAAACTAGAAATCAATAACAAGAGCAAATTTGGCAACTGTATAAATACATGGAAATTAAACAACATGCTCCTGAATAATATTTGAGAAATTAAGGAGGCAATCAAAAATTTATTAAAATAAATGAAAATTGGGATACACCATTTACCCTGATGTGAATATTACATACTAGATGCCTGCATCAAAATATCTTATGTGCCCCCAAAATATATACCTACCACATACCCACAGAAACTAAAAATTAAGAAAAAAGCAAGTGAGAATTAAAACTCAACATATCAAAACCTATGGGGTATGGCAAAAGCAGCACTAAGAGGGAAGTTTATAACAATAAGCACCTTCATTAGAAAAGCAAAAAGATTTTAAATAAACAATCTAATGATGCACTTCAAAGAAATAGAAAAGCAGGAAAGAACCAAATCCAAAATTAGAAGAAAAGAAATAATAAAGAGCATAGCAAAACTTAAAAAATTAGACACACATTGCCGGGCGCGGTGGCTCACGCCTGTAATCCCAGCACTTTGGGAGGCCGAGGTGGGCAGATCACGAGGTCAGGAGATCGAGACCATCCTGGCTAACACGGTGAAACCCCGTCTCTACTAAAAATACAAAAAATTAGCCGGGCGCGGTGGCGGGCGCCTGTAGTCCCAGCTACTTGGGGGGCTGAGGCAGGAGAATGGCGTGAACCCGGGAGGCGGAGCTTGCAGTGAGCCGAGATCGCGCCACTGCACTCCGGCCTGGGTGAAAGAGCGAGACTCCGTCTCAAAAAAAAAAAAAAAAAAAAAAAAAAATTAGACACACACACACACACACTACAAAGGATCAACAAAACAAAGAGTTGGTTTTTGGAAAAGATAAACAAAATCGTTAAATTGTAGCTAGACTAACCAAGATAAAAAGACAGAAGATACAGGCCGGGCGCAGTGGCTGACGCCTGTAATCCCAGCAATTTGGGAGGCCGAGGTGGGTGGATTACCTGAGGTGAGGAGTTCAAGACCAGCCTGGCCAACATGATGAAACCCCGTCTCTACTAAAAATACAAAAATTAGATAGGCATGGTGGTGCACACCTATAATCTCAGCTACTCGGAAGGCTGAGGCAGGAGAATCACTTGAACCCGGGAGGTGGAGGTTGCAGTGAGCTGAGATCGCATCACTGCACTCCAGTTTGGGCGACAGAGCAAGATTCCGTCTCAAAAAAAAAAAAGATACAATTAAAATCGAAAATAAAAAGAAGACACCTTCACTTATAACACAAAAATATAACAGAGCATCAGAGACTATTATAAAGTGATACACTAACAAACTGGAAAACCTAGAGGAAATGGATAAATTCCTGGAGAAATAAAACCTGCCAAAATTGGACCAGGCACGGTGGCTCATGCCTGTAATCCCAGCAGTTTGGGAGGCTGAGGCGGGTGGATCACCTGAGTTCAGGTGTTCGAGACCAGCCTGGCCAACATGGTGAAACCACCCCCCCGTACTAAAAATACAAAAAAATTAGACGGGCATGGTGGCGGGTGCCTGTAATCCCAGCTACTCGGGAGGCTGAGGCAGGAGAATCGCTTGAACCCGAGAGGCGGGGGTTGCAGTGAGCCGAGAACACGCCATTGCACTCCAGCATGGGCGACAAGAGTGAAACTCCATCTCAAAAAAAAAAAAAAAAGAAAAAAGAAAAAGAAAAAAATCAATAAACCTACTAAGATTGAATCAGAAAGAAATAGGAAACTGAAACAAACCAATAACAAGTAATGAGATTAAGCTAGTAATAAAAAAAAGTCTCCGCAAAACAACAACAAAAAAGACTAGACCAGATGTCTTCACTGCCAAATTTTACCTAATATACAGAGAAGAACTAACACCAAAGCTCCTCAAACTATTCCAAAAGACGGAAGACAAGAGGATTTTCCGTCTCATTCTACAAGGCCAGCATTACCCTGTTACCAAAACCAGACAAGGATGCAACAACAACAAATAAAAAACTAGAGGCCAATATCCCTGATGAACATAGAAGCAAAAATGCTCAAGAAAATACTATCAAACTGAATCCAACAGAACATTAAAAATATAGTGCACCATGATCAATTGAGATTTATCCCAGGGATGCAAGGGTGATTTAACAGATGCATATCACATCAACAGAATGAAGCACCAAAACTATAAGATCATCTCAATAGAAAAAGCATTTGATACAATTCGTTGTTATTTCATGATAAATAACTCTCAAGAAACTAGGCATAGAAGGAACATATCTCAACATAATAAAGGCCATGTATGACAAACCAACAGATAACATCACACTGAATGGAGAAAAGCTGAAATCCTTTTCTCTAAGAAATGGAACAAGACAAGGATGCCCACTTTCACCACTCCACCACTTCACATAGTACTGGAAGTCCTAGCCAGCATAATAACAGAAGGGAAAGAAGTAAAAAGCATCCAAATTGGAAAAGAGGAGGTCAAATCGTCCTTCTTTGCATGTGACATAATCTTATACATAGAAAAACCTAAGGAAAGTCACAGACACAAAATTAACTAACAAAAATCAGTAGCATTTCCATACACCAATGAAACCAGCTGAGGAAGAAATCAAGAAGGCAATCCCATTTAAAATAGGTACAAAAATACCTAGGAATAAGTTTATCCAAGGAGGTGAAAGATCTCCACAAGGAAAACTGCAAAACAGTGATAAAAGAAATAGAAGAGGACACAAATAAATGGAAAGGTATCCCATGCTCTTGGATCGGAAGAATTAATATCATTAAAATGACCATACTATCCAAAGCAATCTACAGATTTAATGCAATCTTTATCAAAATACTAAAGTCATTTTTTTCATAGAAATAGAAAAAACATTTCTAAAACTTGTATGGAATCACAAAAGACCCCAAATAGCCAAGGAAATCCCAACAAAAAAGAACAAAGCTGAAGGCATTACGCTACTTGACCTCAACATATATTACGAGGCTATATTACCCCAAACAGCATGGTATTGGCATAAAAACAGACACACAGACTAATGGAGCAGAATCGAGACACAGAAATAAATCCACATATTTACAGCCAACTGATTTTCAACAAAGGTGCCAAGAACATACGTTGGGGAAAGAACACTTTTCTCTTCAATAAAGATGCTGGGGAAATTGCATATCCATATGCAGAAAGATGAAACTGCACCCCTATCTTTCACCATATTAAAAAATTAACTTAAGACGGATTAAATACTTAAACATAAGACCTGAATCTCTATAACCACTAGAAGCAACCATAGGAGGAAAACTTCAGGACATTGGTCTAGACAAAGATGTTATGGCCAGGACCTCAAAAGCCTGGGAAACAAAAACAAAAATAGACAAACGGGACTATATTAAACTAAAAAGCTTCTGCAGGCCAGGTGCGGTGGCTCACGCCTGTAATCCCAGCACTTTGGGAGGCCGAGGCGGGGGCTCACGAGGTCATGAGTTTAAGACCAGCCTGGCCAATATGGTGAAACCCCGTCTCTACTAAAAATGCAAAAATTAGCCTGGCATGGTGGCACGCACCTGTAGTCCCAGCTACTCAGGAGGCTGTAGCAGAATAGCTTGAATCCAGGAGGCGGAGGTTGCAGTGAGCCAAGATTGCACCACTGCACTCCAGCCTGGGTGACAGAGTGAGACTGTTTCAAAAAAAAAAAAAAAAAAAAAGCTTCTACATAGCAAAGGAAACAATCAACAGAGTGAAGAGACAAACTGTTAAATGGCAGAAAATATTTGCAAATTATTTATCTGACAAGGACTAATATCAAGAATATACAAGAAACACAAACCATTTAAAAATAACAAAAAATAATCCCATTAAAAAGTGGGCAAAAGACATGCATAGGCATTTTTTAAAAGAAGACATACAAATGGCCAATAATTATATGTAAAAAATGCTCAACATTGCTAATTTTATATGTAAAAAATGCTTAACATCGCTAATCATCAGGGAAATGCAAATTAATCTTACCCCAGTTAGAATGGCAAAAAACAACAAATGGTAGCAAAGATGTGAAGAACAGGAAATTTTTTTTTTTTTTGAGACGGAGTCTCACTCTGTTGCCCAGGCTGGAGTGCAGTGGCACAATCTCAGCTCACTGCAACCTCCGCCTCCCGGGTTCAAGCAATTCTCCTGCCTCAGCCTCCCTCCCAAGTAGCTGGGATTATAGGTGCCCGCCACTATACCTGGCTAATTTTTTTGTATTTTTAGTAGAGACAGGGTTTCACCATGTTGGCCAGGCTGGTCTTGAACTCTTGACCTCAGGTGATCCACCCGCCTCGGCCTCCCAAAGTGCTGGGATTACAGGCGTGAGCCATGGTGCCTGGCTTGGAAATTTTTATACATTGTTGGTGGAAATGTAAATTAATACAGCCACTATGAAAAACAGTATGGAGATCTCTCAAAAAACTAAAAATAGAACTAAGATATGATCTAGCAATCCCACTACTGGGTATTTATCCAAAGGAAATTAAATTAGCATATTAAAGAATACCTGCACCCCCCCATGTTTATTGCAGGACTGCTTACAATAGCAAAGATATAGACTCAAGGTAAGTGTCCATCAACAGATGAATGGATAAAGAAAATGTGGTATGTATACACAGTATAATATTATTTGGCCATAAAAAATGAAATCATGTCATTTATAGCAACATGGATGGTATTGGAGGTCATTATGCTTAGTGAAATAAACCAACCACCAAAATACAAATATCACATGTTCTCACCCATATGTGGGAGCTAAAAAAGTTGATCTGGAGGTAGAAAGTAAAATGATATATATTAGAGGTTGAGAAGGATATGTGTTAGGGAGATGAACCGAGAGGTTGGTTAATGGGTACAAACATACAGTTATACAGAAGGAATAAGTTCCAATGTTCAATAACAGAGTAGGATAACTACAGTTAACAACAATGTATTGTATATTTCAAAATAGCTAGAAGAGAGGACTTGTAATGTCCCCAACACATAGAAATGATAAATACTTGAGGTGATGCATACCCTAAATACTCCAACTTGATCATTACACATACATGCAGGTAACAAAATATCACATGTACCTCATAAATATGTACAAATATTATGTATCAATAAAAATTTGGAAATTAAACAACACACTCCAAATAATCCATGGGTAAAGAAATAAATCATAAGGGAAATTAGAAAACTGTTTTGAACAAAATGAAAATGAAACACACAACAAATTAAATTTTATGGGATTTAGTAAAAATAGTGCTTAGATGGAAATATATGCTTGTAAGTGTTTCTATTAGATAAGTAAGATCTAGGAGTGATGTCAGCAAAGTGGCAGAATAGGAAGTCCTAGCCCTGATCCCACCACAGAAACACCAATTTAACAATACAGAGACCAAAATACCTTTATTAGTAATTCAGAATCCAGTTAAGAAATTGTCGTTCTTCAAAAAAGCACAAAATCAGTAACAGCCACATTGAAACAAGTAAGAAAAGGAATTTCACTTTACCTGCGTAAGCCACCCCCTTACACTGGGCCAGCTCAGTGCTGAGAGAGATGGTCTCAGCCCACGACTTCTTCTTCAGGAGGAAGATGTAGTGGAACATGCATTCAACATCCTTAGTATTTTGAGGCACTACCTGAGGGACCTGTTTCTGTCCTATCTCAACCAATCTCCAGTATGAGATTTCTGAGGGAACTGGCATAGTTTGAACACCTGGGGGCAGCCAAGAGAAAAGATAAAAGGTGGACAGCATACCGCAGCCAGTACAGTTCTGTAGGATCAGGAGAAGGAACGGGACCCCGAGACTTCTTCCTCAGGAGGGAGGGAGAGGAGTGGAGCATGCATCCAATGTTACAGCCTTTCAGTGTACTGCCCTAGGAAAAAGAAGGTAGCTTACTGTTGCCAACAGGACTCTATGAGATTGGGAGAATGTGTATAACTGTGAGCATGCACATCCACAGTAAAGGTTTGAGAGGCTCTCAAGGGATTAGTAACCAGAATATATAAGGAACTCAAATAACGACAGCAAAAAACCCAATAATAATACAATTAAAATATGGGCAAATGATCTGAATTGACATTTCTCAAAAGAAGACATGCAAATGGCCAAAAGGTATATGAAAAAATGCCCAACGTCACTAATCAGAGAAATGCAGATCAAAACCACAATGAAACTTCATCTCACCCCAGTTAAAATGGCTATTATCAAAAAGACAAATTAGAATATGTGGAAAGCAAAAAAAAAAAGAAAACAAAAACAAAAAGACAAAAAATAACAAATGTGGATAAGGATGTGGAGAAAAGGGAACTCTTATACATTGTTGTTGGGAATGTAAAGTAGTGCAGCCATTATGGAAAAAAAGTGTGGAAGTTTCTCAAAAAACTAAAAATAGAACTACCATATAATCCGTAAATCCCACTGCTGGGTATTTATCCAAAAGAAAGTAAATCAATATATCAAAGAGATCTCTGCAACCTCACGTTTATTGCAGCACTGTTCACAATAGCCAAAATTTGTAATCACCCTAAATGTCCATCAGCAGATGAGTGGATAAAGAAAATGTGGTACATATACACAGTGGAATACTATTCAACTATGAAAATGAATGAAATTCTGTCATTCATGGCAACCTGGATGAACCTGGAGGATAGGATATAATGTTAAGTGAAATAAGTCAGGTACAGAAAGATAAATGCCAGAAATTCTCACTCATATGTGGGAGCTAAAAAAATTCAGCTTATAAAAGTAGAAGGTAGAATCATGGTCATTAAAAGCTGGAAAGGGGAGGGAGGAAGGTAGGGTAGGGAAAAGCTAGTTAACAGAAACAAAATTATAGCTAGATGGGAGGAATAAGTTCTAGTGTTCTATAGCACTATAGGGTGAATATAGTTTGCAATAATTTATTGTATATGTTTAAAAGCTAGAAAAGAGAATTTTTAATGTTCCCAACACAAAGAAATGATAAACGATTGAGGTGATGGCTATCCTAATGAACCTGGTTTAATCATTACACGTTGTATTCATGTATCAAAGTACTACACTGTGCCACATAAATATGTATAATTATTATGTGTCAACTAAAAGTAAAATGAAAAAAATAAACACATGACTTAAGGCCGCCCCCTAAAAAAAGTAAAACTAAAAATAGAATTACTATATGATACACCAATCCCACTACTGGGTATATGCCCAAAGGAATTGAAATCAGTATGTCAAAAAGATGTCTGCACTCTAATGTTCATTGCAGCATTATTCACAATAGCCAAGATATGGAAAAAACCTAAGTGACCATAAAAGGATGAATAAATTTTAACGATGTCATATATATATATATATACACACACACACAATTGAATACTACTCACCCTTAAAAGAACAGGAGATTCTATTTGTAACAACGTGAATGAATGAATAAACCTAGAGAACATTACGTTAAGTGAAATAAGCCAGGCACAGAGAGACAGAAACCATATGATCTCACTTTTATCTGGACTCTAAAAGAGTTTAACTCCTAGAAGTAGAGAGTAGAATGGTGGTTACCAGATGCTGGGGGGAAAGGGGTGGGAATGGACAGGCAAAGGGGAGATGTTGGTCAATGGTTACAATGTTACAGTTAGACTAATAAGTTCTGGCGTACCATTGCACAGCATGGGGACTACAGTTAATACTAATGTATATTTTAGAATAGCTAAAAGAGAAGATTTTAAAATGTTCTTTCAGCCAAGCATGGTGGCTCAGGCCTGTAATCCCAGTGCTTTGAGAAGCTGAGGTGGGAGGATCACTTGAGTTGAGGACTTTGAGACCAGCCTGGGCAACATAGTAAGACCCTGTCTCTATCAATCAATCAATCAATCTTCTTCCCACAAAGAAATAATAAATATTTGATGTGATGTATATACTAATTAGCCTGATTTGATTATTCCACATGTATACAAGTATCAAAACATTACATTGTACCCCATAAGTACATACAATTATTATTGGAAATTAAAAATAAAACTTTTTTAAAAAGCCATACAAAAGCACAGTTGCAAATGATACGGTGTAACCATGAAGTGCTGGCAGAAAGACCATCTCAGTGTGCAATAATCTGAAATATGATCAGTGTTTTTAAAGCTTAAAAACATAATAGCTACAATAATTTGTTAAGGGATATACAATATAAAAGACGTAAATTGTATCATTGTACACATAAAATGTGTGCAGGGTGGAGTTAAAGTTTACAATTGTTTAATGTGATCAAAGTTAAGTTGTCATCAGCTCAAACTAGCTTGTTCCATCTGTAAGATGTTTTATGTAAGCCTCATGGTAACCACAAAACAGAAACCTATAGTAGATATACAATGATAAAAAGTAAGTAATCAAAGTATACTACTAGAGAAAATAATCTAATCATAAAGGAAGACAGCAAGAGAAAGAAAAGAACAAAGGCTCTATAAAATAACCAGAAAGGCCAGGCACGGTGGCTCATGCCTGTAATCCCAGCATTTTGGGAGGCCAAGGCAGGCGGATCACCTGAGGTCAGGAGTTTGAGACCAGCCTGGCCAACATGGCAAAATCCATTCTCTACTAAAAATACAAAAGTTAGCCAGGCGTGGTGGTGGGTGCCTGCAATCCCAGCTACTAGGGAGGCTGAGGCAGGAGAATCGCTTGAACCTGGGAGGCGGAGGTTGCAGTGAGCTGATATAGTGCCATTGCACTCCAGCCTGAGCAACAAGAGCAAAATTCTGTCTCAGAAAAAAACAAAAACAAAAACAAAAAACAGAAAAACAACAAAATAGCAGTAGAAGTTCTTATCTATCAATAATTATCTTGATTAAATTCTCCAATCAAAAGGCATAGAGTGACTGAATGAATAAAAAACAAGACCCAACTATGTGTTCCCTAGAAGAGACTCACTTAACTTTTAAGGTCACACATGGATTGAAAGTGAAAGGATGGGAAAAGACATTCTATGCAAATGAAAACCAAAAGAGAACAGGGGTAGTGATACTTATTTAAGAAAAAATAAACTTTAGGTCAAAAACTAAAACAAGACTGATATTGTTTGGATCTGTGTCCCCACCAAATCTCATGTTGAATTGTAATCCCTAATGTTGGAGGTGCGGCCTAATGGGAGGTTTTTGGATCATGGCAGAGGATTTCTCATGAATGGTTTTGCACCATCCCCCTTGATACTGTCCTTGTGATAGTGAGTGGGTTCTTGTGAGATCTGGTTGTTTAAAAGTGTGTGGCAACTCTGGCCCTCTCTCTCTTGCTCTTGCTCTTGCTCTGGTGACATGACTGCTCTGCCTTAGCCTTCTGCCATGATTGTAAGTTTCCTGAGGTCTCCCCAGAAGCCAAGCAGATGCCAGCAGCATGCATCCTGTACAGCCTGCAGAACTGTGAGCCAATTAAACTTCTTTTCTTTATAGATTACCCAGTCTCAGGTATTTCTGTATAGCAATATGAGAATGGACTAATACAGAGACTAAGAGGGTCGTTATATAATGATAAAGGAAACAATTTATCAAGAAGATATAACAATTTTAAATATATATGCATACAACATTGGAGCACCTACATATATAAAGCTAATGTTAATAGATCCAAAGACAGAGATAGACTATAATATAATAATATTAGGAAACTTCAATATCCTACTTTCAACAATGGACAGATCATCAAGTCAGGAAATTAATAAGGGAATGTTAGACTTGAAATACGCTTTAGACCAAACGGACATAGCAGACATATAAAAAACATTCCATTCAATAGCAACAGAATACACATTCTTCTCAAGAGCACACAAAACATTCTCCAGGGTACAGCATACGTTAGGTCACAAAACAAGTCTTTTTTTTTTTTTTGAGATGGAGTTTTGCTCTTGTTGCCCAGGCTGGAGTGCGATGGCATGATCTTGGCTCACTGCAACCTCCGCCTCCTGGGTTCAAGCAATTCTCCTGCACTAGACTCACAAGTAGCTAGGATTACAGGCATGCGCCACTAGGCCCGGCTGATTTTTGTATTTTTAGTAGAGATGAGGTTTCTCCATGTTGGTCAGGCTTGTCTTGAACTCCTGACCTCAGGTGATCCGCCCGCCTCGGCCTCCCAAAGTGCTGGGATTACAGGCGTGAGCCACCGCATCTGGCCAAAACTAGTCTTAACAAATTTAATTAGATTGAAATACTATCAAGTGTCTTTTTCAACCAGAAAGGTATGAAACTAGAAATAAATAATAAAAAGAATTTTGGGAAATTCACAAATAAATGAAAATTAAACAACATGTTCCTAAACAACCAATTGGTCAATAAATAAAGACAAAATTTAAAAATATCTTGAGACAAACAAAAATGGAAACAAAACATACCAAAACTTATGGGATTCAGCAAAGAGGAAATTTTATAGCAATAAACACCTACATTCAAAAAGAAGAATGATTAGCCAGGTGCGGTGTCTCATGCCTGTAATCCCAGCACTTTGGGAGGACGAGGTGAGCACCTGAGGTCGGGAGTTCGAGACCAGCCTGACCAACATGGAGAAACGCCATCTCTACTAAAAATACAAAATTAGCCGGGTGTGGTGGCACATGCCTGTAATCCCAGCTACTCTGGAGGCTGAGGCAGGAGAATTGCTTGAACCTGGGAGGTGGAGGCTGCAGTGAGCTGAGATGATGCCATTGCACTCCAGCCTGGGCAACAAGAGTGAAACTCCGTCTCAGAAAAACAAAACAAACAAACAAACAAAAAAACAAAAAGAAGAATGATCACAAATAAACAACCTAAAGTTATGTCTCAAGGAATTCATTCTTTTTATGGCTGAATAGTACTCCATTGTGTATAAGTACCATATTTTCTTTTTTTTCTTTTGAGCCAGAGTCTCACCCTGTTGCCCAGGCTGGAGTGCAGTGGCTCGCTCTCTGCTCACTGCAACCTCTGCCTCCCGGGTTCAAGCAATTCTCCTGCCTCAGCCTCCCGAGTAGCTGGGATTACAGGTGCCCGCCACCACGTCTGGCCCATTTTTATATTTTCAGTAGAGACTGGGTTTCACCATGTTGGCTAGGCTGGTCCCAAACCCCTGACCTTGGGTGATCCGCTCGCCTTAGCCTCCCAAAGTGCTGAGATTACAGGCATTAGCCACAGCGCCCGGCTCACATTCTCTTTATCCATTCATCTGTTGATGGATACTTAGGTTGTTTCCAAATCTTAGCTATTGTAAACAGTGCTGCAACAAGCATGAGAGTGCACATAAGTCTTTAATATACTGATTTCCTTTCTTTTGGGTATAGACCCAGCAGTAAGATTGCTGGATCATGGTAGCTCTATTTTTAGTTTTATTGAGAAACCTCCAAACTGTTCTCCTTAGTAGTTGTACTAATTTACATTCCCACCAACAGTGTATTAGTGTTCCCTTTTCTCCACAACCTCACCAGCATTTGTTATTGCCTGACTTTTGGATAAAAGCCTTTTTTTTTTTTACTGTAAAATAAGTTTATTGGTGGTAATGTGATAGAATTTATTCCTGATATCTGATGTTACAAACTTTAGGGTCCTTGAGATATGCAGGATCTTTGTATGTAACTGGCATAAACCCCATTATTTGAGCTCTCTTAATTGCTTTTGTGATTTCTTTCTGTTTCTTCCCACAAAGACCTGTAACGTGCCTTCCATAAATGCATCCAGTAAATGGAGAAACAAACTGGGACAAAAGCTGTGCATTCTTATAATTTACATGCTTTCCACACAAGACACACTTCTTAAGAGATTCTTTATAAGGGTTTTCCATTGGAGTGGGCAGGTCCTCAATGCTGGATACCTGTTTATATTGTGAATAACCCCTTCTCGAAAGCACCATGGGAGTCCCGGGATGTGTAAGGCTGACAGCAGCCGTTACCAGGTGTGTCAACTTCTTCCTCCCTAGACCACCGCAAACAGCAACCATAGCAGTCTTGGTTCTGCCTGGGTAAAAGCCATTTTAACTGAAGTGAGATAATATCTCACTATAGTTTTGATTTGCATTTCTCTGATGGTCAGTGATATTGAGCACCTTTTCATATGCCTGTTTGTCATTTGTGTGTCTTCTTTTGAGAAATGCCTATTCAAATCTTTTGCCCATTTTTTTATTGGAGTATTAGATTTTTTTCCAATACAGTTGTTTGAGCTCCTTGTTTATTCTGGTTATTAATCAATTCCCTTGTCAGATGAGTAGTTAGCAAATGTATTTTTTCCCATTCTGTGTATTGTCTCTTCACTTTGTTGATTGTTTCCTTTGCTGTGCAGAAGCTTTTTTTTTTTTTTTTTTGAGATGGAGTTTCGCTCTTGTTGCCCAGGCTGGAGTGCAATGTGCGATCTTGGCTCACTGCAACCTCCACCTCCCAAGTTCAAGTGATTCTCCTGCCTCAGCCTCCCGAGTATCTGGGATTGCAGGCATGTGCCACCACGTCCAGCTAATTTCGTAATTTAATAGAGACAGAGTTTCTCCATGTTGGTCAGGCTGGTCTGGAACTCCCGACCTCAGGTGATCCGCCTGCCTCGGCCTCTCAAAGTGCTGGGATTACAGGCGTGAGCCACCATGCCCAGCCTTTGACTTTTTAATAATAGCCATTCTGACTGGTATTCAAGTAAAGCCCAAGGGCTCTTCTGTCAGCTTTTGGTGAATGCTGCCTGGCCTGGGATTCACCCTTCAAGCATTGGGCTCCCCTCTGGCCCAGGGCAGGTCCAGAAATGCTGTCCAAGAGCCTAGGCCTGGACTCAGGGAACCCAAGAGCCTGCATGTTGTTCTACCTCATTGTAGCTGAGCTGGTACCTAAAGTTCAAGGCAAAGTCTCCTTTACTTTTCCCTCTGCTTTTCTCAAACAGAAGGAGTCTTTCACCTTAGCCGTCACAGCTGGGAATGTGCTGGGTCACACCTGAAGCCAGTACATCTCAGAGCTCGAGGCCCACAGCATACTCCCTGCATATTACTGCTGGTTATTCAGGGCCTAAGGGCTCTTTAGTCAGCACATGATGAATCCTGCAGGACTGGGTCCTTCCCTTCAAGGCACTGGGTTCCCTTTTGGCCCAGTATGTATCTAGAAATGTCATTCAGGAGTTAGGGCCCAGAATGGGGGCCTCACAACTCTGTCCAATGCCCTGTCCTACTGTAGCTGAGCTGGTATCCAAGATGCAAGACAAAGTCCTGCTTACTCTTCAGTCTCCTCTCCTTAAACAGAAGGAGGGAGTCACTTTCATTGCCTTGAGCTGCACTGCCTAGGGTTGGGGGAAGAATGGCACAAGCACTCCCTTAGCTACCCCAGCTGGTGTCTCCCTGGCTCTAAGCCCAGCCGGACACTAGGATTTGCCTAGGAATGGCAGTTCCCATGTCCTAGACCGCATTTCAAGTTTACCTAGGACCCCAGAGCACTTCAGCCCATGGTGGTGAGGCTTGCTGAGAAACTCAAGTTCTGACCACTCAGATGGCTGACTTCCCTCTGGTCCAAATGCTTCCTCCATGTGCAGGTGCTGGCTGAGCCTAGTACAGCTTTATTCTCTGCTACAACAGGGCAGCACTGAGTTCAATGTGAAGTCGTCCCAGTCTGCTGCACTCTCCCTCTCCAAAGTACACAGATTATCTCTCTGCACCACACAGACACTGCCAGAGGATGGGAGAGGTATGGTGTCGGCAATTCAAGACTGTCTCTCCTGCCCTCCTCAATGCCTCTTTCAGAGATATGAAGCTAAATCCAGGTACTGTGATTGCTCACCTGATTTTTTGTTCTTGTGATGGTGCTTTTCTGTATGCAGATAATTGTTAAAATTTGGTGTTCCAGTTGGGGTCGGGGGAAGAATGGTGTAGGCTTCTATTCCACCATCTTCCTCTGCCCTCCTAATTCGAAAAGGTTTTTTGAGAAGATAAACAAAATTGATAAACTACCAGCTAGACTAACCAAAAAAAAAAAGACCCAAATAAACAAAATCAGAAACAAAGAGGATTTATTACAATGGATACTACAGAAATACAAAAGATCATAGAGTCTATTATGAACAACCATATGCTAACAAACTGAAAATCCTAGAAGAAATGGATAAATATTTGGACACAAATGACCTACCAAGATTGAATCAAGAAGAAAAAACCTGAACATATCAATAATGAGCAATGAGATTACACCAGTAATAAAAAGTCTTCTAAGAAAGAAAATCCTAGGTCTGAATAGCTTCACTGCCACATTCTACCAAACATATAAAGAAGTAATACCAATTCTTCTCAAATGATTCTTAAAATGTTAAGCAGAATTTATTCTATGAGACTAGCATTACTCTAATTCAAAAATCAGGCATAAACACAACAAAAAAGAAAGCTACGGGCCAATATCCATGATGAACATATAAGCAAAAATGCTCAATAAAATACAAGCAAATCAAATCCAATAACACACCAAAAAAAGAATACACCATAATCAAATGGGATTTATTCCAGGGATGCAAGGATAGCTCAACATATGCAAATCAATAAATGTGATACATAACACCAATAGAATGATGGAAAAAAATATGGTCATCTTAATAGATGCAGAAAAGCATTTAATAAAATTCAACATCCCTTAATGATAAAAATTCTGAGCTAATTATGCATAGATGGAACATACCTTCATTTATGCTAAGTAAAATAAACCAGCCATGGAAAGATAAATATTACATGATCTTCCTTATATGTGGAACCAAAAACTCCAACTTACAGAAGTAGAGAGTAGAATGGTGGTTATCAGGGAGTGGATGAGTGAAGGTGGGGAATGGGGAGATGTTGATCAAAGAGTATAAGGTCTCAGTTAGAAGTAATAAGTTTTCAGTATCTATTGCAAAGCATAGTGACTATAGTTAGTAATAATGTATTGTATATTCCAAAATTGCTTAAAAAATAGATTTTAAATGTTTTCACTACAAAAACAATAAGTGTGCTAGGTGATGGATATGTTAATTAGCTTGATATAATCATTCCACAATGTCTATGTCCTAGTGTTCCATGGAAGTTAGAACTTGTGAGCAATGAAATTGGATATTTAACTGATGCCATTTCTTTTATTTTTTTATTTTTTATTTTTTTTGAGACAGAGTCTCACAGTGTTGCCCAGGCTGGAGTGCAGTGACGCGATCTCGGCTCACGGCAACCTCCGCCTCCCAGGTTCAAGAGAGTCTCCTGCCTCAGCCTCCCGAGTAGCTGGGATTACAGGTGCCCACCACCACACCTGGCTGATTTTTTGTATTTTTAGTAGAGACGGGGTTTCACTATGTTGGCCAGTGGTCTCGAACACCTGACCTCGTGATCCACCTGCCTCAGCCTCCCAAAGTGCTGGGATTACAGGTGTGAGCCACCACGCCCAGCCCATTTCTTTTTTTTTTTTTGAAATTGACAAATAAAAATAGAAATATTTATGGAGTACATCCTGATGTTTCAAAATATGTATACATTTTGAAATGGCTACACCTAGCTAATGAATATATGCATTACCTCACATACTTAACATTTTTGTGTGTGGTGAGAACACTTAAAATCTACTCCTTTAGTGATTTCCAGGTATACAATACATTGCTGTTAACCATAGTCATTATGTTGTACCACAGATCTTTTGAACCTATTCCTCCTGTTTAAATGAAAATTTTTATTCTTTGATCAATATCTCCCAATGCCCAATCACCATTCTACTCACTCTTCCATGACTAGCTGAAGCTAATTCTAAGCAGAGTGTTGAAGGAGCAACCTGTTCCTTTTGCCTGGTTATAGTCAAATGAGAGAAGAGAGAAATGATTTAAGAATGGAATTGTTAATCAAAATGGAAGCAGAACTTAAAAATTTGGAAACTTTTCAGCCTATCCATATTGAAAAGAAATGAGAAAGCCTGATTGGAGATAATAAGGGTATGGCCAGATTACTATTGCTTTTTTTTTTTTTTTTTTGAGATGGAGTCTTGCTCTGTTGCCCAGGCCGGAGTGCAGCAGTGCTATCTCGGCTCACTGCAATCTCCGCCTCCCAGGTTCAAGTGATTCTGCTGGCTCAGCCTCCCAAGTACCTGGGATTACAGCACGCACCAACACATCAGGGTAATTTTTGTATTTTTAATAGAGACAGGGTTTCACCATGTTGACCAGACTGGTCTCGAACATCTGACCTCAAGTGATCCACCCACCTCGGCCTCTCAAAGTGCTGGGTTTATAGGCATGAGCCACTTCACCCAGCCCCCAATTTACTGTTAGATAAGGAAATTAGTATGGCTGGCCCCATCACAATGGAAATCAGGTGTTATTCATCAACACAATGGAATAATGACCCTAAAGGCATTTCAGGGCTCCTTGAGGCGGCCTCTCCCATCATAAGCCCAGACTGCAAGGGCCTGGGGAGCAGATCTTTTTACTGTCTCCATAGTTTTACCTTTTCCAGAATGTCATGTAGTTGAAACCTTTTGGGATTATTCTTTCCTGTTTGCTTATTTTGGTCTCTGTCTTTGATGTTGCAGTCTTTTCTCAAATGCTTGCTGATCAGTGGTTGTTGGCTGATATTTAAGAATGCAGCAATAAAAATCTCATTGGAAGCTCTGTGCATGGGGACAGGGCTAGGCAACCGGTGTCTTTTTTTTAAGTATAATTAAGGATCTGACTATTATACTGCAGACTCTCCGAATGCCAAATGCCATGGTCTTTTCTCTAAGGTTGTTCAGTTTCATTAGAGAAGAACTCTACATTTTTTGCCTAATAGGTAGACACCTGGCTGCTGTAAATTGTACACAAAGGGATGAGTTGACAGTTTTATATATAGACTTTCAATTAAAATCCCTGTATTCAGCCCCACATCTCACTCCCACCCTTCATCATACCTGGCATTGTCAAGACCAAGACGCTCCAGGCTCCTGCAGAGAAAGAGCAACTCCTTCCTCTGAAGCATCACCTCCATGCGTACCCCAGGCTGTGGCTTCCTCCACCATGCTCCATCAGTCACCATTCCTCCATTTACATCCTATCATCCACAAATCAGATGAAATCTCTCTTCTGCTGATGAACCTGCTCCCATTGTATTCATCATTGTGTTTTTTTACCTTTTTAAAAATTTATTTATGGCTGGGTGCGGTGGCTTATGCCTGTAATCCCAGCACTTTGGGAGGCCGAGGTAGGCAGATCACCTGAGGTCAGGAGTTCGAGACCAGCCTGGCCAACATGGTGAAACCCCATCTCTACTAAAAATACAAAAATTAGCCGGGTGTGGAGGCTCACACCTGTAATCCCAGCTACTCGGGAGGCTGGGGCAGGAGAATCACTTGAACCGGGAAGCGGAGGTTACAGCAAGCTGAGATCGCGCCACTGCACTCCAGTCTGGGAGACAGAACAAGACTCCGTCTCAAAAATATAAAAAATAAGTAAATAAACATAAAATTTATTTATGATCATTTTTAGCAGGGTCTCAGGAGAAAGTGGAGATAAACACGTGGTAAATCTGTCTTCTTGACCTGGAAATCTACTAGTCTTTAACTGTTTGTTTTATTGTTTTTTTTTATGGTAATTATCTTAATATCTCTAAATATATACAGATTTTTCTATTTATTAACTTATTTATCAATTTTAGTCATTATCTACTGACTTCCCGTTATTTATACCACCCAAATGCCCTCTTCTCATTTCCCCAATATAGCCATGTCACTAATTACATATTCTCTATTCCTTACCTTTGTGCCTTTAACTAATAGACTTATATTCTCCTTTCTATATCTTAACTTCTGCCATCTGTACTTTTACTTTTATATTAACAAGGTTAATACTTTTTTTTTTTTTGAGCCTGAGTTTTGCTCTTGTTACCCAGGCTGGAGTGCAATGGTATGATCTCGGCTCACTGCAACCTTCCCCTCCTGGGTTCAAGTGATTTTCCTTCCTCAGCCTCCCAAGTAGCTGGGATTATAGGCGCCTGCCAGCACGCTCAGCTAATTTTTTTGTATTTTTAGTAGAGATGGGGTTTCACCATGTTGGCCAGGCTGGTCTCGAATTTCTGACCTCAGGTGATCCACCCGCCTCAGCCTCCCAAAGTGCTGGGATTATAGGCTTGAGCCACCGCACCCGGCCCGAAGGTTAATAAATTATATCCTGTTTATAACCATAATTATGTCATCCTGAGACAGGAATAATATAGGATGGTTACAGGAGAATAGAAAATTCCAGGCAGCGGTTTCACATGAATAGCAAAAATGAAACTGTTAAAATAGCTGCATAATCTGGGGTTGATAAGTGTTTACACTATTGTGATGATATAAATACTGTTCCAGAAAGATCCAATTAGCATAGCATGATTATTTATTTTTTTCCTTTTTTTTTTTTTTTTGAGACAAGGTCTTGCTCTGTCCCCCAGGCTGGCGTGCAGTCGGCTGCACGATCACAGCTCACTGCAACCTCAATCCCTGGGGCTCAGGTGAGATCCTCCTTCCTCAGCCTCCCGAGTAGCTGGGACTACCAGGGTGTGTCACCATGCCCAGCTAATTTTTTTTGTAGTTTTGTAGAGACAGGGTTTCTCCATATTGCCCAGGTTGGTCTCAAACTTCTGGGCTCAAGTTATCTACCTGCCTCAGCTTACCAAAATGCTGGAATTACAGATGTGGGCCACCATGCCTGGCCTATATTTCTTTTCTTGTACAGTTTTTTTCCCCTGGAGTTTCTAATTGTCTTTCTTTTCTTCCTTGCATTGTCTGACTTTGTCACCTAAAGTTATTCCAAATTCTCAAGGAAAGTATAAAATAATTTGAATCCCCCTTTTTCCCAGATACCTTCTTCCTGGAGTCCTCCATCTTCCTGTTCCAATTTGGACTGATTGCTCTGTAGGCCTGCGGTGCAGCTGTCATCCTGGGACGTCTCTTCATTATTCTTCTAGGTTGGACTCTGATATAGTTTGGATATTTGTCTTCACCCAAATGTCATGTTGAATGCTGGAGGTGGGGCCTGGTGGGAGATGTTTCAGTCATGGAGGCCGATCTCTCATGGTTCAGTACTGTCTTTGCAGTAGTGAGTGAGTTACTGGGAAAACCGGTCCATTAAAAGTATGTGGCACCCCACACCCCAACTCTCTTTTGCTCCTGCTTTCACCATGTGACATGCCTGCTTCCCCTTTGCCTTCTGCCATAATTGTAAGCTACCTTAGGCCTCTCTAAAAGCCAACCAGATGCCAGCACCATGCTTTCTGTAAAACCTGCAGAACCATGAGCCAACTAAACCTCTTTTCTGTATGAATTACCTAGTCGCAGGTAGTTCTTGGTAGCAATGCAAGAATGGCCTAATACAAACCCAATCTTTCTTGGACCCCATATCTTCCTCTTTCTTAGTTTACTCCCTTGTGGACATTGTAGTTTTTCTGCAGCATCCATTCCACTCCTCCCGCACTATGGGATGTGAGTGGGATTGACCCCACCACCAGCTCTAGGTGTAGGCCTTTATTGGTATAAACTGATCTGAGTAATTTCACCCTCCTAGCCACAGTGATGACTGGTTCAGGGATGACCCAATCACAATGAGGCTTAGGACTTTTATTCAGCTTTTGAGGGAGGAGATGACCTATCTTCCCTTGGATAAGAACAAAGAAGCATGTAGCCTGGTTGCTGCTGTTAGCCATCTTGTGAACATGTGGAAGGCCTACCTGAGGATGGAGCTGAAAAATGGAGGAGGCAGAGCCAAGAGAATCACAGAAATGGAACCATATTCCAGATCATGCCATGCCTGAAATCTCCCTGCCTGTGGACTCTTCAGTTAAGTCAGCCAATGAATTGCATTTACTATTCAAGACAGTTTGAGTTGGGTTTTCTATTGCTTGCCCCTGAAAGCATTCTAATTTATGTTTTTGGTTTTCTCACTCTGGAAAGGGGATGGGTGCATGTTTGGTTTATATGAGGTATATTTGCACTGTATTCAGTGGAAACATTTTTTTCAAAGTGTAAGTATGGGAGGAAGAGTATATGTGGATATTAGACAACCAAAGGAATGAACTCTAGTGCTCCCGAACAACATTTCATCCTGTTTTGGGGAATTTCCCTCTAGAGTCTTGGTGAGAGGTGGGATCCCACTTCCTACTATGGAAACTGATGGTGGTCAGATACTTCCTTTCCCTGACCACGAGGCAACAAGGACTGACTAATCTTTTCACGGCTTTGAATCTGGAGCCAGCAACACAAATAAGCCAGAAATATTACAAAACTAACACAAGGATGATAGATTAGGAGAATATGTTTGTGATAGGCAAACCTGACAAAAGAACAATAAATAGAAAAAGAAGATAGTAAATGCAATAGGAAAATGGGCATAGGATATGAAGAATAAGTTACAGAAGGGGAAACTTGAGTTTACACAAGGGGAAATTTGAATATATTAAGAGATTTTTATCCCTACTAATGATTTGAGAAATGAAAATTAAAATAACGGTGAGAAGTCACTATAGCAATGGTAACAGATAGAAAGTCAGATATTATCAAGGGCTGATGAGGATGTGAGGAAAAGGACAAACATGATTTGGGATGTAAACTGGTACGGGTATTCCAGAGAGAGTTTGGCCGTACCAAACCATGAAATTAAGTATGTGTATACCCTATAACCCAGCAATCCTGCTTCTGGGCATATATTCCACAGAAATTCTCACACAAGTCCTAAGGAAATGTAGTTGAGGTTGTTCATTGCAGCACTGTTTGTGGTAGTGAGGAATTGGAAGCAATCCAGGTGTTCATCACCATGGGATGGGGTAAGCAAACTGTTGTATATTCATAGAATAGAAAATTACAAAACAATTAAAAGTAATAAGCTAGATTTACATAGAGCCACATGGATAGGTCTCCAAAACCCAGTACTGAGTGAAAAAAGTAAGAAACAGAGACTTATAGCATAATTCTCTTTATGAAAATGTAAAACAACACTGTGTATTTTCATGGATATACACACAAATAAACATATGAAAGGTGGGTTGAAAGCATACATATATGAATTACACTAAGAGGCTAAGTGTAATTAAGTCGGGCAGGAGAATGAGAGTGAGGATACGGACTGATGGGGAAGAAGAATAATAAAACAAATAAGGTAAAAGAGCAGCCTTCAGTGAACTGGTGATAATGTGCCGCGAATTGTAGATTATGATTTTTTTTTTTTTTGAGACGGAGTCTTGCTCTGTCGCCCAGGCTGGAGTGCAGTGGCACGATCTCGGCTCACTGCAACCTTCGCCTCCCGGGTTCATGCCATTCTCCTGCCTCAGCCTCCCGAGCAGCTGGGACTACAGGCGCCCGCCACCACTCCCAGCTAATTTTTTGTATTTTTAGTAGAGACGGGGTTTCACTGTGTTAGCCAGGATGGTCTCGATCTCCTGACCTCGTGATCCACCCACCTTGGCCTCCCAAAGTCCTGGGATTACAGGCTTGAGCCACCGCACCCGGCCTGCAGATTATGATTAACTCAACTCTGAAGTCCACAACAAATAAACCAAAACACCAGATGTCAGGACAATTAGCGCTCCTTTGCAGTGCCATGTGCTGGTAGGCTAAGGTTCACTGGTAGGAGCAGTAGGGGTACTAGTACCAGCAGTAGCCTTCTAAACCAGGCTGTTTCCATGGTAGGCCCTTAGCTGTGGTTCCTCCTGCCTACCTTCCTGGCTCCCACTCTGTGTTTTCAGCCTGATTCTCCAGACTTCTGTGAGCTAACTGATAACTTCATAAAAAATCCCTTTTCCGCGTAAGTTAACTAGAGTCTGCTTCGGTTACTTGAATCCAAGAACCATGACTGATACATCATGCACTTTGTTGGAGAACATCCTTAAGTAACTTCTCTTCTTTTTCCTGTACATACATACCTGTGATAAAGTAACTTCTTAGCCCATTTATGTCTGAGGTTGCATTTTTTTGAATTTTTGCCATCAGACCTTGGCAATGAGCTTGAGCAGTACGATATAAATAATTCTTACATGCTTAGTGTTCCAAAAATGGAACACTAAGCTTACAGAAAGGTAAATTTGGGGTTCTTTGCATGTCTGAAAATGTAGTTATTTTACCTTCATAAGGACAGTTTAGCTTTAGAATTCTATGTTTAAAATATTCTTTCATCTGAATTTTGAAGATAATGCTTTCAGTGTGCATTGTCATCATTGTTGATTAGAACTCAGATGTTAATATTATTGTTATTGTCATTCCTTTCTTGGCAACTTGTTTTCCCCACTTCTGAAAGCTTAAAATTTTTCTTGATACCTAATGTTTTGAAATGTCACAGTGACCTACCCAGAACTTGGATGTTTTTTCCATTATCTGTTTTGCTGAGCACTTGTGAGTGGACTTTTTTTATCTGAAATTCATGTCTCTACTCTGAAATCATTGTTTTATTTGTTTGATAATTTCCTTCCTTTTATTTACCCTGTTCTCTTTTCTAGAACTCCATTAATGTATAATTATATACATTTAGTGTATATAATTAGTTTAATTATATACATTTATGTATAATTAAACTGTATAATTGTGTTTTTCCTCTCTTTTTTTCTCATATTTTCCATGTCTTTGTGGAGGTTTTTAAAAAATTTATTGAGATAATTGTAGATTCACATTCATAGCCAGTTGTAAGAAATAATATACTGTACCCAGTTTTCTCAATAACATTTTGCAAAACCTTAAATGATATCACTACTAGAATAGTTTTTAAATTAATAGGCTTTACTTTTTGAACAGTTTTATGTTTACAGAAAAATTAAGTGGGAGGAACAAAAGGGGCGAGTGAATACAGCACCTTCAACTGAAATACCCAGGTTCTCCCATTGAGACTGATTAGGGAAATAACTGGACCCACGGAGAACGAAGAAAAGCAGGGTGGGGCGACAGCCCACCCGGGAGCAACACCCCCACACCAGGCCAAGGAAAGCGGTGAGTGATTGTGTGACCCTGGAAACCGTGCTTCTTCCATGGATCTTTGCAACTTGTGGATCAGAAGATCCCCTTGTGAGCCCACGCTTCCAGGGCCTTGGGTCTGACACACACAGCTGTGCCGAGTCTGGGCCGAGCAGCTGCTCAGGCACGCACAGACCCAGGAGCTTTACATACTCCGGCCCAGAATCCCCAACAAATATGTCTGCAACTCAGACAGGAGGCAGGAGACAAGGCAGGAGGTCCCCCACATACCCCTAGGAAGGGGGCGGAATCCCGGGAGCTGAGTGGCGTCTCTCTCTCTTTTTTTTATTTTTTATTTTTGAGACAGTCTCACTCTGTTGTCCAGGCTGGAGTACAGTGGCGGCATCTCCGCTCACTGCAACCTCTGCCTCCCGGGTTCGAGCGATTCTCCGGCCTCAGCCTTCCGAGCAGCTGGGATTACAGGTTCCCGCCACCACGCCGGGCTCATTTTTGTATTTTTAGTAGGGACAGGGTTTCGCCATGTTGGCCAGGATGGTCTCGAATTCCTGACCTCAAGTGATCCACCCGCCTCCGCCTCCCAAAGTGCTAGGATTATAGGGGTGAGCCACCGCACCCAGCCTGAGTGGCGTCTTTCTGGAGGCCCCATTTCCACTGCACCTCACAAGATAAGACTCACTGGCTTGGAATTCCAGCCAGCTACTGGCAACAGGGTGAAGCCTACCTGAGACCAGACTGAGCCACCTTGAGGATGGGCAGGCGTCATCTCTGTTGTTTGGTCGACTCAGCTGTTCCAGCCTGTGGGCTTTGGAAAGTCCAAACGGCCCAGACAAGGAAGAGTCCCCAAAACAGAGCACCACAGCAGCTTTGCCAGATCGTGGCCAGACTGCTTCTTAATGTGGCACAGGATCCATTCTTCTTCACTGGGTGGGACCTCCCAGCCAGGCCCTCCAGCCACATCCCCCGCACATATTAGGGACAGAACTCTGATCTCTCCCTGGGACAGAGTGCCTGAGGGAGGGGAAGGCCGCCACCTGTGTTGGTTGAATGACTCAGCCATTCCAGCCTGCAGGCTTTGGAGAGTCCAAATGGTCCAGAGGAGGAAGGGTACCCCCAGCAGCGCGGCACAGCAGCCTTGCCAGATTGTGGCCAGGCTTCCTCTTTAAGCAGGGCCCCATCCATTCCTCCTTACTGAGTGGGACCTCCCAGCCAGGCACTCCAGCCACACCCGTCCTCAGGTATTAGGCACAGAGCTCTGATTTCTCCCTGGGACGGAGTGCCTGGGGGAGGGGAGGGCTGCCACCTGGGTTGGTTGGACCAGGACTTAGCTGTCCAGCCTGCGCGCTTTGGAGAGTCTAAGGCGACAGGGGCAGAGGCAGTTCCCCACCACAACACAGCTGTTTTGTCAAGGCGTGGCCAGGCTGCTTCTTTAAGTGGGACCCTGATCCACTCCTCCTCGCAGGGCAGGTCCTCCCAGCCGGGTCCTCCCAGCTGGGGCCTCTGGCCACCCCCACTCACGTTCTACAGGGCCGACAGAGCTCTAATTTCTCCCTGGGATGGAGTGCCTGAGGGGCAGGGCAGGCCACCACCTTGGCCGTCTGGGCTTCTCAGCCGGTCCAGTTTGTGGGCCTTCGAGAGCCCAAACCATCTGGGGACTGAAGGGATCCCCAACACAACACAGGTGCCTTACCAAAAAGCAGCCAGACTGCTTCTTTTTTTTTTTTTTTTTTTTTGAGACGGAGTCTCGCTCTGTCACCCATGCTGGAATGCAGTGGCGTGATCTCGGCTCACTGCAAGCTCCACCTCCCGGGTTCACGCCATTCTCCTGCCTCAGCCTCCCGAGTAGCTGGGACTACAGGCGCCCGCCACCACGCCCGGCTAATTTCTTTTTTGTATTTTTGGTAGAGACGGGGTTTCACCGTGTTAGCCAGGATGGTCTCGATCTCCTGACCTCATGATCCGCCCGCCTCGGCCTCCCGAAGTGCTAGGATTACAGGCGTGAGCCACCGCGCCTGGCCAGCCAGACTGCTTCTTCAAGCAAGCCCCTGATCCTGTTCCTCCTGACTGGATGAGACCTCCCAACTGGGGTCTCCTGCCATCTCCTACAGGTGTGTTCGGGCTGGCAATAGGCCAGTACACTCCTGGGACAGAGCTTTCAGAGGAAGGGGCAGGGTGCCATCTTTGCTGTTTCACCAGTGATACCTCCAGGTACAGGAAAAACCAAGGCAACTAGGGTCTGGAGTGGAGCCCCAGCAAACCACAGCAGCCCTGTGGAAGAGTGGGAAGACTCTAAAAAGAAAAACAAACAGAAAACAACAACAACAAACACAAAAACCCCATCAAAAGGTCAGCAACCTCAAAGACTGAAGGTAGATAAGCCCACAAAGATGAGAAAGAATCAATGCAAAAACGCTGAAAACTCAAAAGGCCAGAGTGCCCTTTTTCCTCCAAATGACTGAAACACCTCTCCAGCAAGGGCTCAGAACTGGGCTCCTATTCAAAACAGTATTGGAAGTTCTGGCCAGGGCAATGAGGCAAGAGAAAGAAATAAAGGTATTCAAATAGGAAGAGAGGAAGTCAAACTATCTGTGTTTGCAAGTAACATGATCCCATATCTAGAAAACCCCATTGTCTCAGCCCCAAAGTTTCTTAAGTTGATAAGCAACTTTGGCAAAGTCTCAGGATACAAAAATCAATGTGCAAAAATTGCTAGCATTTCTATACACCAACAGGCAAGCAGAGAGCCAAATCATGAATGAACTCCCATTCACAATTGTTACAAAAAGAATAAAATACCTAGGAATACAGCTAACAAGGGAAATGAAGGACCTCTATAAGGAGAACTACATACCACTGCTTAAGGAAATCAGAAAGGACACAAACAAGTGGGAGCTGAATGATGAAATCACATGGATACATGGTGGGAAGCAAAACACACTGGGGGCTGTCAGAGGGTGGGAAGTGAGAGGAAGGAGAGCATAAGGAAGAATAGCTAATGGATGCTGGGCTTAATACTTAGGTGATGGGATGATCTGTGCAGCAAACCACCATGACACACGTTTACCTATGTAACAAACCTGCACATCCTGCACATGTACACATGTACCCCTGAACTTAAAATAAAAGTTGGAAATAAAAACAAAAGAAAAATTGAGTGGAAAGTATAGAGAGTTCCCATATACCACCTCACTCTGCTTATTTTTTGTATTATTAACATCTTGAATTAGTGTGGTATATTTGTTAGAATTGATGAATCAATATGGATATATTATTATTAATTAAAATACATAATTTACATTAGGGTTGATTCTGTGTTGTACCTTCTATGGGTTATGACAAATGTAATGTGTAATGAATGTGTCCACCATTACAGTATCAAACCCTAAAAATCACCTGTGTTTCACCTACTCTCTCCCTACTACCACTTCTGAATCTCTCTGAACCTCTAACCTTGTTACTGTCTTCATAGTTTTGCCCTTTCTAGAATGTCATATAGTTGGAATCCCAGTATGTGGCCTTCTCAGATTGGCTTCCTTCATTTAGCAATCTGAACTTAAGATTCATCCTACTTTTTTATGACTTGATAGCTCATTTCTTTTTAGTATTGAATAGTATTCCATTGTATGGATGTACCAACAGCTTGTTTATCACTATTGAAGGACATCTTGCTTGCATCCAAGTTTTGGCAATTATGAATAAAGCTGCTATAAAAAATCTCATGTGAGGGTTTTTGTATGGATGGAAGTTTAGAACTCATTAGGGTAAATACCAAAGGGTGTGATTATAGCATCATATGATAAGACTATGTTTAGTTTCATAAGAAACTGCCAAAGTGTATTTCAAAGTGGTTGTAACATTTTGCATTACCACCAGCAATGAATGAGAGTTCCTGTTGCTTCACATCCCCAGCAGCAATTGGTGTTGTCAGTGTTTTGGATTTTAGCCCTTATAATAGGTATGTAGTGGTAATTGCAAATTAAAATAACAATCAGAAACCACTACACATGTATTAGCATTGGTCTATATGTCTGTCTTTATGTCAGTACCACACTGTTTTCATTACTGTAGCTATGTAATTTTTTTTTTTTTTATTTTGAGATGGAGTCTGGCTCTGTCACCCAGGCTGGAGTGCAGTGGCATGATCTCGGCTCACTGCAAGCTCTGCCTCCCGGGTTCATGCCATTCTCCTGCCTCAGCCTCCTGAGTAGCTGGGACTACAGGTGCCCGCCACCAAGCCCAGCTAATTTTTTTGTATTTTTAGTAGAGACGGGGTTTCACCGTGTTAGCCAGGATGGTCTCAATCTCCTGACCTGGTGATCCGCCCGCCTCAGCCTCCCAAAGTGCTGGGATTACAGGCATGAGCCACCACGCCCGGCCGCTATGTAATATGCTTTGCTTTGAAATCAGGAAGTGGGAAAAATACAACTTTGTTCTTTTTTAAAAGATTGTTTTGGGTATTTGGGGCCCCTTGAAATATTAATTTCAGGATACATTTTTCTATTTCTGCAAAAAATACTATTGTGACTTTGATACTAATTGCAATAAATCTGTAGATCACTTTGTGTACTACTGACATTTTAACAATATTATTTTCCAATCCATGAACACAGTTCAGTTCAGTTTTCTTCAGCAACACTTTGTAGTTTTTGTTTTGTTTTGTTTTGTTTTTGAGACAGAGTCTCATTCTGTTGCCCAGGCTGTAGTGCAGTGGCACAATCTTGGCTCACTGCAACCTCTGCCTCCCGGGTTCCTGCCTCGGACTCCCGAGTAGCTGGGATAACAGGTATGCCCCTCCACGCCTGGCTAATCTTTGTATTTTTAGGACAGACAGGGTTTCGCCATGTTGGCCAGGCTAGTCTCAAACTCCTGACCTCAAGTGATCTGCCTGCCTCAGCCTTCCAAAGTGCTGGGATTACAGGTGTGAGCCACTGCACCCGGCCTTTTAATGCTATTCTAAATAGAATTTTAAAATTAATTTCCTTTTCAAATTGTTCATTTGTAGAGATGTTCATAGTGTAGAGAAATGAAACTGATTTTTGTGTGTTGATTTTGTATTCTGCAACTTCACTAAATTTATTTTTTAGTTCTAACAGGTGTGTGTGTGTCTATCTGTGTGTGTCTGTGTGTGTAATCTTTATGGTTGTCCACATATAAGATATATCATTTGTGAACAGACATAACTATTTCTTCCTTTCTAATTTAGATGCCTCTTATTTCTTTTTCTTTTCTAATTACTCTGGCTAGAACTTCCAATACAATGTTGAATAGAAGTGATGATAGTGGATATCCTTGTTTGTTTCTCATCTTACAGGAAATGTTTTAATTCTTCCACTGTTAAGTATGATGTTAGCTGTGGGTTTTTCATATATGGCCTTTATTATCTTGAGGTATTTTCCTGCTATTCATTCCTAGTTTATAAAGTGTTTTTATCATAAGTGACTGTTAAATTTTGTCAAATGTTTTTCTGCATTAGTTGAAGTGGTAATGTGGGCTTTTTCCATTATTCTGTTAATGTGGTTTACTACATTGATTGATTTTCATATGTTGAACCAATCTTGCATTTCAGTAATAAATCCACTTGTCATGATGTATAATTCTCTTAATGTGCTGTTGAACTCTGTTTGCTAGTATTTTGTTGAATATTTTTGAATCACTATTTATCAGAGATATCGGTCTATAGTTTTCTTGTAGTGCCTTTGTCTGGCTTTGGTATCAAGATAATGCTGGTCTCATTAAATGAATTTGGAAGTTTTCCCTGCTCTTCATTTTTTTTTCTTTTGGAAGAGTTTCAGGAGTATTTGTGTTCTTCTTTAAATGTTTTGTAGAATCCATGAGTGAGCCCATAGGGTCCTGAGGTTTTCTTTTGAGAGGTTTTTGATAGCTGATTCAGTGTCCTTGCTACTTACATATTTGTTCAGATTTTCTATTTCTGCATGATTCAGTCTTGGTAGGTTTGTTTTCTAGGAATTTGTCCCTTTCATCTAGGTTATCCAATTTGTTGACCTACAATTATTCACAGTAGTCTCTTAAGATCCTTTGTATTTCTGTAAAATTGTTTTTTCTTGCTATGAATTTTAAATTTTTTATTTTTGTTCTGGAAATTTTATGTTTACTTAAACCTTATATGTAATAGAAACATAATCCATTGAGCCTTTGGATACACAAAATTTTCAGCGTTTACTCATAATATATTCTTCAAATTATCCCGCACAAAACTGCTTAGAAAGAATGTGTTAAACTATATTGATGATTAAAAAACAAGCACAACAACATAAAGAATCTTCCTCTATTTCAGGATAAATGATTTACTGTGAAGTTATCCTTTTAACATCTTTGGTGTCAATTCTGGGTGAACCAAGATGGTCACTTTCTGTCTCGTTCAATCATCCTCTTGCCCTGATCTTGTTCAGACGGCGTCTCTCCTGTGTACAGCACCATAGTCTCTATGGTGGGAGCCTTAAAACGCCTCCCTTCTTGTTTCCGTCTGTCGTCTGATTTCTGCAGTCTCCTTGCGCACTTTCTCATAGCAGTAGCCACAAAGGACATATTTCTGTTTCAGGTGACCACATTCAGGACCAAACATCTATATTGTTCTTTTTTTTCATTTTCTTTTTGAGACGAAATCTCGCTCTGTCGCCCAAGCTGGAGTGCAGTGGCGCGACCTCGGCTCACTGCAACCTCCGCCTCCCGGGTTCAAGTGATTCTTCTGCCTCAGCCTCCCGAGTAGCTGGGACTACGGCGCCCGCCACCACACCCGGCTAATTTTTTGTATTTTTAGTAGAGACGGGGTTTCACTGTGTTGGCTAGGATGGTCTCGATCTCCTGACCTCGTGATCCGCCCACCTCGGCCTCCCAAAGTGCTGGGATTACAGGCGTGAGCCACGGTGCTCGCCTATACTGTTCTTAACTTTAATAAGCTTCTGAGGGTTTCTTCTCCTACACAGGTTAACTTCAATGGTGCGTCTGTTTTTGGGAGCTTCAATCCAAAAGATACTATACAAAAGGCTGGAATTCTCTTTACTTCCACTGGTATCATTTGCTGGCTCTGTAAATATGGCTGGGCCCTGTACTGCTAATGCTGGTCCCCACGGAGAACTAGGAAAGCCCGGCAGGCTCTGTGGAAGCTTCCGCAGTAGTCGCTCCCAGTAGTTTCGAAGCAGTCCCTGGGCCACAGGCCATGGTGGAACCGTAAAATTGGTTTTAACGTCCACTCTTTATTTCTGATTTTAGTTATTTGGGTCTTCTCTGTTTTTTTCTTAGTTAATCTGGCTAACAATTTGTCAATTTTGTTAATCTTCTCAAAGAAGCAACTCTTGATTTTCTTGATTTTCTCGATTATTTTTCTATTTACTATTTCATTTTTCTCTGCTCCATTATTTCCTTCCTTCTTCTAGCTTTGGGTTATTTTGTTTTTATTTTTTTAGAGCCTTACATTATAAAGTTAGATTGTTGATTTGAGATCTTTCTTTTTTTTAGTATAAGTGATTACAGCCATAAATATCCCTCTTTCCAGTGCTTTTGCCACATCCTACAAGTTTTGGTAAGTTGTATTTTCGTTTTCTTTTTCTTTTTCTTTTTTTGAGACGGAGTCTTGCTCTGTCGCCCAGCCTGGAGTGCAGTGGCATGATCTCACCTCACTGCCACCTCCGTCTCCCAGGTTCAAGCGATTCTCCTGCCTCAGCCTCCCAAGTAGCTGGGATTACAGGCGTGTGCCACCAAGCCCGGCTAATTTTTGTATTCTTAGTAGAGACGGGGTTTCGCCATGTTGGCCAGGCTGCTCTTGAACTCCTGACTTCAGGTGATCCACCCACCCCAGCCTCCTAAAGTGCTGGGATTAAAGGCGTGAGCCACCGCACCGGGCCTGTATTTTCATTTTCATTCATCTCAAGATATTTCCTAATTTCCCTGGTGATTTCTTCTTTGATCCATTGGTTGTTTACAAGTGAGTTGTTCAATTTCCACGTTTGGTAATTTTCCAGTTTTCCTTCTGCTGCTGATTTCTGGTTTCATTCCATTGAGATTAGAAAAGATGCTGGGCGTGGAGGCTCATGTCTGTAATCCCAGCACTTTGAGTGGCTGAAGTGGGTAGATCACTTGAGCTCAGGAGTTTGAGACCAGCCTAGCCAACATGGTGAAACCCCACCTCTCCTAAAAATATAAAAACTAGCCGGGCATGGTGGTGCGTGCCTGTAATCCTAGCTACTCAGGAGGCTGAGACAAGAGAATAGCTTGAACCCGGGAGGTGGAGGTTGCAGTGAGCGGAGATTGTGCCACTGCACTCCAGCCTGGAGGACAGAGCGAGACCCTGTCTCAAAAAAAAAAAAAAAAGAAAAAGAAAAAGAAAAGATACTTTGTATGTTTTCAATATTTTTAGATTTATTGAGACTTGTTTTGTGGCTTAACATATGGTCTATCCTGGAGAATGTTCCATGTGTACTTGAGAAATATGTGTATTCTGCTATTGGTGGGTAAGTGTTCTGTTTTATGTCTGTTATATCTAATTGGCCTATAGTGTGTACAAGTCCTCTATTTTTCTTATTGATCTTCTATATGGTTGTATTTTCCATATGAATATGTAGTCTTGGAGCCCCCTACTATTATTGTAGTTCTGTTTATTTCTCTGTTCAATTCTTTTTTCTTTCTTCTTTTCTTTTTACTTTCTTTGTTTTTTTCTTTGAGACAGAGTCTCGCTCTGTCGTCCAAGCTGGAGTGCAATGGCACGATCTCAGCTCACTGCAACCTCTGCCTCCTGGGTTCAAGCAATTCTCCTGCCTCAGCCTCCCAAGTAGCTAGGATTTCAGGTGCACACCACCACGCCTGGCTAATTTTTTGTGTTTTCAGGAGAGATAGGGTTTCGCCATGTTGGCCAGGCTGGTCTTGAACTCCTGACCTCAGGTGATCCACCTCCTTGGCCTCCCAAAGTGCTGGGATTACAGGCATGAGCTGCCATGCCCAGCCTTCTCCGTTCAATTCTATCAATGTTTATTTTATGTATTTAGGAGATCTGATATTTAATGAATATGTTGACAATTGTTCTACTTCTTGGTGCATTGACCATTTCATCATTATTTAATGTCCTTCTTTGTCTCTTGTAACAGTTATTGCCTTAATGTCTATTTTGCCTTATATTTGTATAGCCATCTCTCTCTGCTCTCCTTTGGTTAGTCTTTGCATGAAATATCTTTCTAAAAAAATTCATTATAGTAAGAACACAACATGAGATCTACTTTCAACAAATTTTAAGTTTACAAAATTTACAGTATTGTTAACTATAGGCATGACGTTATATAGCATATCTCTACAACTTATTCATCTTGCATAACTGACACTTGATACCCATTGAATAGCAACTCCTCATTTCCCCTTTTTCCCAATCCCTGGTCACCACCATTCTATTATCTGGTTTTATGATTTTGATTATCTTAAATACGTCCTCTAAGTAGAATCACACAGTATTTGTTCTATCACTGGCTTCTTTTACTTAGCATAATGTCCTCAAAGTTCATTCATGTTGTCATATGTGGCAAGATTTCCTCCATTTTTAACACTGAATAATATTCCATCATATGTGCATACCGCAGTTTATTCATTCATCAGTTGATGGACATTTAGGTGGTTTCCGTATCTTGCTTGTGAATAATGATGTGATGAACATAGGAGTGCAAATATCTCTCCAAGTTCCTGATTTCAATTCTTTGGAATAAATAGCCAGAGATGGAATTGTTGGATTATATGGTAGTTCTATTTTCACCATGAGTATGTTTGTTGTGGGCTTTTCATTATGACCTTTATTACGTTGAGGTATTTTTCTTCTATTCCTAGTTTGCTGAAAGATTTCATCATGAAAATGTGTTAAATTTTCTTTTTAATTTTTTTAAATTTTATTTTAGATCCAGAGGATACATGCACTTCTTTGTTACATGGGTATTACATGAATAATAGTGGGGATTGGGCTTCTAGTGTACCCATCACCCAAATATTGGACCTTATATCTAACAGGTAATTTTTCAACCCTCACTCCCCTCTCAGCCTCCCCCTTTTTGAAGTCCTCGGAGTCTATTTTCTCCATCTTTATGTCCATGTGTACCCTTTGTTTAGCTCTCATTTAATAAATGAGATATGCAATATTTGATTTTCTGTTTCTGTGTTAGTTCACTTAGGATAATCGCCTCCACTGCATCCATGTTGCTGCAAAGGAAATTATTTCATTGTTTTTTATGATTGCATAGTATTCCATGGTGTATCTATATCACATTTTCTCTTTTTTAACATTTATTTATTTATTTATTTATTTATTGAGACAGGGTTTTGCTCGTTGCCCAGGCTGGAATGCAGTGGTGTGATCTTGGCTCACTGCAATCTCTGCCTCCCGGGTTCAAGTGGTTCTCCTGCCTCAGCCTCCCAAGTAGCTGGAATTATAGGTGCTCGCCACTACGCCCGGCTATTTTTTGTATTTTTTAGTAGAGACAGGGTTTCACCATGTTGGCCAGGCTGGTCTTGAACTCCTGACCTCAGGTGATCCACGTGCCTCGGCCTCCCAAAGTGCTGGGATTACAGGCATGAGCCACTGCTCCCAGCCCTTAACTTTTAAGTTCAGGGGTATGTGTGCAGGCTTGTTAGATAGGTAAACTTGTGTTACAGGTGTTTGTTGTACAGATTACTTCATCACCCAGGTATTAAGCCTAGTACCCATTAATTATTTTTCCTGATCCTCTCCCTCCTCCCATTCTCCACCCTCCAATAGGCCCCAGTGTCTGTTGTTCCCCTCTATGTGTTCATGTGTTCTCATTTAACTCCAGCTTATAAGTGAGAACATGCAGTATTTGGTTTTTTGTTCCTGTGTTAGTTTGCTAAGGATAATGGCCTCCAACTCCATCCATGTTCCTGCAAGGAACATGATCTTGTTCTTTGTTATGGCTGCATAGTATTCATATGGTGTGTATGTACCACGTTTTCTTTATCCAGTCTACCATCATTGATGGGCATTTAAGTTGATTCCATGTCTTTGCTGTTGTGAATAGTGCTGCAATGAACATACACGTGCATGTGTCTTTATGATAGAATGATTTATATTCTTTTGGAAATATACCCAGTAATGGGATTTCTGGGTTTGGTTTTGTTTTTGTTTTTTGTTTGTTTGTTTTGTTTGTTTTTGAGACACTCTTGCTCTGTCACCCAGGCTGGAGTACAGTGGCGTGATCTCAGCTCACTGCAACCTCTGCCTCCTGGGTTCAAGCAATTCTCCTGCTTCAGCCTCCCGAGTAACTGGGACTATGCGCCACCATGCCCGGCTAATTTTTGTATTTTTAGTAGAGACGGGGTTTCACCATGTTGGCCAGGCTGGTCTTGAACCCCTGACCTCGTGATCCGCCCACCTCGGCCTCCCAAAGTGATGGGATTACAGGCGTGAGCCACCGCGCCCAGCTAGTAGTTCTGTTTTTAGCTCTTTGAGGAATTGCCCCACTGCTTTCCACAATGGTTGAACTACTTTATACTCCCACCAACAGTATATAAGCATTCCTTTTTCTCTACAACCTTGCCAGCACCTGTTATTTTTTGACTTTTTAATAATGGCCATTCTGACTGGTGTGAGATGTTATCTCATTGTGGTTTTGATTTGCATTTCTCTAATGATCAATGATGCTAAACTTTTTTTTCATATGCTTGTTGGCCACATGTATGTCTTCTTTTGAGAAGTGTCTGTTCATGTCCTTTGCCCACGTTTTAATGGGGTTGTTCTTTTTCTTGTAAATTTGTTTAAGTTCCTTATAGATGCATAATTTGGAAACATCTTCTCCCATTCTGTTAGGTTGTCTGTTTACCCTGTTGATAGTTTCTTTTGCTGGGCAGAAGCTCTTTAGTTTAATTAGCTCCCATTTGTAAATTTTTGCTTTTTTGCATTTACTTTTGGTATCTTTGTCATGAAATCTTTGCCCATTTCTATGTCCAGAATATGCCACATTTTCTTGATCCACTCCATTGTTGGTGCAGGCTTAGGTTGGTTTCATGACTTTACTATTGTAAATAGTGCTGCAATAAACATATAAGTTCTGGTTGTCTTTCTAATATAATGAATTATTTTCCTTTGGGTGGATACCCAGTAAGTGGGATTGCTGGGTCAAATGATAGTTCTATTTTCAGTTCTTTGAGATATCTCCACACTGTTTTCTGTAGAAGTTGAACTAATTTACATTCCCACCAGCAGTGTATGAGTGTTCCTTTTTCTCTACATCCATGCCAACATGTGTTGGTTTTTAACTTTTTAATAAAAGTCATTCTGGCTTATGTAAGATGGTATCTCAGTGTGGTTTTAATTTGCAATTTTCTTAAATGCTTTTTGTGCATCTATTGAGATAATTATGTGATTTTTTAGCTTTTATTCTGCTAATGGGGCGTATCACATTAAATGATTTTCATCAGTTAAAACATCTTTGCTACATTGGTGTTGTGTGGGAAGTAAAATTTAGAAATCCTTGCATCCCAGGGATAAATCCCACTTGGACATGCTGTATAATCCTTTTAATGTGCTGTCTGGTTCAGTTTTGTAGTATTTTATTGAGGATTTTTGCATCTATATTCATCAGAGATATTGGCCTGTTGTTTTCTTTTATGGTAATGTCTGGCTTTGTATCAGGGCAATGCTGGCCCCATAAAATGGGTTTTAGGCATTCCCTCTTCTTCATTTTTTGGAAGAGTTTGAGAAGAATTGGCATTAATTCTTCTTTAATTGTTATTAGGATTCACCAGTGAAGCCATCTAGTTCTGGGCTTTTCTTTGTTGGGAGGTTATTTTATTACTGACTCAAAGTCCTTACTAACTATAGTTCTGCTCAGATTTTCTATTTCTTCATGCTTTAGTCTTAGTAGGTTGTACATTTGTAGGAATTTATCCATTAAATTTATCCATTAAATAAACTCTTCTAGTTTATCCAGTTTGCTGGCATATAATTGTTCACAGTAGTCTCTTATGATCCTTTTTATTTCTGTTGTGTTTATTTTATATCTGTTGTAATGTCTCTTCATTCATTTATGATTTTATTTATTTGAGTCTTCAATAATTTTTAGTCAATTTTACTTATCTTTAAAAAAATTTTAGTTTTGTTGATTTTTTCTATTTTCCAGTTTGTTTATTTCTGCTCCAATTATTGTTATTTCTTTCCTTCTCCTAACTTTGGGCATAGTTTGTTCTTTTTTTTTCTAGCTCTTTGAGTTGAAAGACAGGTTGTTTACTTGAGATATTTTTTCTTTTCTAATGTAAGCATTTCTTCCTATAAACTGCTCTCTCAGTACTGCTTTTGCTGCATTCCATTAGTTTGGATATGTTTTGTTCTCCTTTTCATTTGACTTGTGATATCTTCTCATTTCCTTTTTGATTTCTTTGACCCAATGGCTGTTCCAAAAGAGTATTGTTTAATTTCCACTTATTTGAAAATTTTCAGTTTTCCTTCTGCTATTGATTTCTAGTTTTATTTCACTACCATCAGAAAACTTATCTGGTAGGATTTCAATCTTAAATTTGCTAAGAAATGTTTTTGACCTAACATGTAGTCTATCTTCGATATTCTTCCATACGCACTTAAAAAAATGTGTATTCTACTATTGTTGGGTGGAATATTCCATATATGTCTCTTAGGTCCATTTGGTCTATGGTGTTATTTAAGTCCTTTCTTTCCCTATTGATCTTCTATCTTCGTGTTTTACCCATTAATGAAAGTGGGATATTGAAGTTTCCTACTATTGTTGTATTGCTGTCTATTTCTTCCTTCAGCCTGTCAATGTTTGCTTTATGAAATTAAGTGAACTGATGTTGGGTGCATATATATTTGTAACAATTATAACTTTCTGGCGGATTAGTCTTTTTATCATTATATGATGCTCTTCTTTGTCACTTGTGACAATTTTTGACTTAAATTATTATTTGTCTGATATGAGAATTGCCACCCCTTCTCTCTTTTGTTTACCATTTGCATGAGATTTTTTTCCATGCCATTACTTTCAGCCTCTTGTGTCTTTAAATCTAAAGCAAGTTTCTTTTAGACAGCATGTAGTTTGCTCTTTTCTTTTTTAATATGTTCAGTTACTGTATGTCTTTTCATTGGAGAGTTTAGTTCATTTGCATTTAAGGTAATTATTGATAAAGAAGAATTTACAATTGCCACTTTGTTAATTGTTTTGTGTTAGTCCTGTAGTTCTTTTGTCTGTCTTTTCTTCTCTTGTTGTGCTCCTTTTTGTTTGTTTTATATTTTGTATTGCTATGATTTGATTCCTTTCTCTTTTTCTTTTGTGTTTCCTGTACAGGTATTTTTGTGGTTGTCATTACCTTGGAATTTATATAAAAAATTTTATAACAGCCTATTTTAAGCTGATAACAACTTCAACTGCATACATATATGCTACATCGTAACTTTTCCACTCCATATATTTTATTGTCTTATTGTCAAGATTTTCACCTATTCACATTGTGTACATTTAAATATATTTTAGTTATCATTATTTTTAATATTTTAATCTTTCAACTCATACTGGAATTAAAAGTGGTTAACCCACCATCATTACAGTAATATAATTTTCTATATTTCTCTATATATTTACATTTATCAATGAGTTTCATACTTTCTTATGCTATCATGTTTATGTTTAGCATCCTTTTGTTTCAACTTGAATAACTCTCTTTAGCATTCTTGTAAGGAAGATCTGGTACTGATGAAATTTCTCAGCTTTTATTTGTGTGAGAAAGTCTTTATTTCTCCTTCGTTTTTGAAGGACTATATTGCAAGATATAGTATTCTTGGTTGGAAGATTTTTTGTTTTTTTTTTCAACACTTTGTGTATATTATCTCATTCCTTTCTGGGCTACATAATTTCCTTTTTATTTAAACTTTTTAACTTTTAATTGAAAAATTAGAATTGTATATATTTATGGGGTACGTTATGATATATGTATACAGTGTGAAGTAATTAGATCAAGTGAATTGACATATCCATCACCTCAAACACTTATCAATTTTTGTAGTGAGAAAATTTGAAGTTTGCTCTCTTAGCAATTTTGAAATATGCAATACATTATTATTATTAACTATACTCACCATGCTGTGCAATAGAGCTCAAAATAATTTATTCCTCCTGTCTAACTGAAATTTTGTATCTGTTGACCAACATCTCTCAATTCCCCTTAACCCCTGGCCCCTGGTAACCACTATTCTGTTCTCTGCTTCTATAAGTTTGATTAAATTTGATTAACAGGTATATTAAGTTTTAGATTCCACATATACGTGAGATCATGCAGTACTTGACTTTCTGTACCTAGCATATTTTATGTAGCATAATATCCTCCAGGTTCATCTTTTTTGTTGCAAATGGCAGGATTTCCTTCTTTTGAAATACTAAATAGTATTTCATTGTGAATGTATACATTTTCTTAATCCATTCATTTGTTGATGGACATTTAGGTTGATTCCATATCTTGGCTATTGTGAATAATGTTGCAATAAATATGGAAGTGAGGATATCTCTTTGACATACTGATTTCAAATCCTTTGGCTGTATACCCAGTAGCGGGATTTCTAGATCATATGGTAGTTATATTTTTAGTTTGTAGAACGTCTACACAATTTTCCATGATGACTCTACTAATTTACACTCCCACCAACAGCATACAAGGGTTGCCCCTTCTCTGCATCCTTGTCAACACTTGTTATTTTTTGTCTTTTTGATACTAGCCTTCCTGACGGGTGTGAGGTGATACCTCATTCTGTCTTTAATTAACATTTACATAATGATTAATGATTTTGTGCATTTTTTCACATATCTGTTGACCATTTGTATGCACACACGTCTCTCAAGAACACATAATAATTTTCAGTGACAGTCTAGTCTAAAACTATGTTTGGGATAAAAAATTAACTCAGTGGAAGCATAACATTGTTAAAGTACACCCAGATTTTGTCACTACACAGAGCATTTAACTTTTCTTTTTTTTTTTTTGAGAACGGAGTTTCGTTCTTGTTGCCCAGGCTGGAGTGCAATGGCATGATCTCAGCTCACTGCAACCTGCACCTCCCAGATTCAAGTGATTCTCCTGCCTCAGCCTCCCGAGTAGCTCGGATTACAAGCATGCAGCACCACGCCTGGCTAATGTTGTATTTTTAGTAGAGACGGGATTTCTCCATGTTGGTCAGGCTGGTCTTGAACTCCCGACCTCAGGTGATTCGCCTTCCTTGGCCTCCCAAAGTGCTGGGATTACAGGCGTAAGCCACCACACTCTGTCCAGAACATTTAACATTTTAATCATAGTAGTTAATATTTTCTGAGTGCTTACTCTGTATCGGGCACTAGAATTATCTTCATTTCATAAAAAAGGAAAGTAAGGCTTCCAGGTGTCATTCACTCAGGGTCACAAAGCTAAAAAATGGAACAGGAAATGGCACCAGGGCTGTCTAACCACAGTCAACACACATAACTACATCACAGAGCTGTCCTGGTTTCCACCAGTCACATTTAGATTAATAGTGATAGCACAACTTTCTCTAAGATCAGTGGGGATACCTGAGAGACCATAGTTTAAGTAAAAAGACTATTCTGGTAAGTTTGCTTCCACGGTGAATTGACGTTGTTTCCTCTGGAGACAGAAAACTTCTACCAGCTTTTATTTAAAAAAATTTTTTTTCATAAAACCATAACACTTAATTTTTTTTTTGTTTTTGAGACAGAGTCTCGTTCTGTTGTCCAGGCTGGAGTGCAGTGGTGCAATCTCGGCTCACTGCAATCTCCGCCTCCCAGGTTCAAGCGATTCTCCTGCCTCAGCCTCCTGAGTAACTTGGAGTACAGGTGCGTGCGACCATGCCCGGCTAATTTTTGTATTTTTAGTAGAGACGGGGTTTCACCATGTTGGTCAGGCTGGTCTCGATCTCCTGACCTCGTGATCCACCGCCCTCGGACTCCCAAAGTGCTGGGATTACAGGCGTGAGGCACCCTGCCCATCCAACACTTAAATTTTAGTTTTTATCAAAGTAATATATGCACATCATTAAAAGAAATAAAATGCTGCTAAAGGGCTCATAACAAAACCTAGCAATATCCTGTAGCACTTCTTCCCACTGCGTGTCCTGCAAGAAACTGCTTTCAATACTTTTAGCTGTTTCTTCCGAATTTACCATCCCCAAATCCCTTCTCCTTTGCCACCTCCAATTCAGAGGCTAAACAACCAGCTGTTTGCTTTCTTAGCTTCCTTTGTAGCTAAGGATGGCTATATTATCCAGCTATAGCCAATGAGATGTTTGCTGGGGGCCTTTTACTTCCTGAACAAAGACACTTACATAGCTAATGCCATCCCCTTCCTTATTTCTGCTTTGAATATAGTCGTGCTGTCTGGAGCTGTAACAACCATCTTGTGACTATGTAGGGATTAGCATGAGGATGAAGACAACATGTTAAGGAAGAAAGTCAGAAAGAACCTGATTTCTTGATAACATCATTGAGCAGTTGAACCCATGCCGCACTTCCTGTTAACTGAAAAATAAATAAAGCCATATGTGTTTAAGACACTGTCAGTTGGGTGTTTTGTTTGTTTGTTTGTTTGTTTGTTTGTTTTTACTTATGGCTGAAAGGAGTTTTAAGTGACGGACCACCATGATTCTTCATAATATTCTTCATAATATACTTATATTAGTATTTTTCTAACTTAGCAATTAGAGACATTATCTTTTGACATCTCCTTATGGTAGAAGAGGATTTATCTCTTTTCCATCCCCTATTTTCCCTCCATTTACTCTTTTCATAGGTTTATTTCCCAATTCCTAGTAAATCAGTAGTCACTACAAAGTCAAGACATGTACTACAATTACCTTAAAATTTTTAAAAATGTTTCTGGTTTTAATAATTGCTTGATTTTTTTTCCACTTGAATGTGCCTAGCCTTTGTTTTTCACATTTGCTTCATCAGTTCATTTATAAACCTATTAGCATATTTTTTCATAAATGTGCAAGCTTATCAGCCCATTGATTTAAGAACACAATAAAATGCTGACTCGGAGCTCTGTGTAAGGGGAAGGGGCTTGTCAAGTCTACTATTGGGCTTTCCTTTAAGGTGACTGGATGGAGACTTGTACAATCTGCCAGAGGACCTCTAATTACAGAATGTGGAGACCATTGCTCTGGGACTGTTTGATTTCTTTGGTGAACTCTCTGATATTTTGCTGGAGTGTAGATACTTGGCTCTTGTGATTTCTACCCATGAAGTAAGGGGAAGGTGGAGGGAGATCAACTGTTCTAATACACACTTTCAATTATCCCCTGTTTGAGGCTTTATGTCTTGCTCCCACCATCAGGATACCTTTACTGCACCTCTCCAGGATTTGGCAGGGTAGATGAGCTCTCTCCCGGTGGATCCCTTCCCACATGTGGACTCTGCTCATTCCTTCCCCTGCCCTGCTTTCTCAGTTACCACCCCTCCCGCCCCTTTCTGCTTGCCAGAAAGTTATTGAAATCTCTTCACCACTGATGGGTACTCCTCCAGCTTTCTTTGGAGTTGTGAGTTTATACATTTGATTCCTTTACTCTTATTTTTTAGGATCTCAAGAGTTAGAGGAGACAAATGCATTCAGTCTTCTTGAATGGAAACCCAAATCTGCCACAGACTCTTTGGATATGTCAGGTCTGTAGAGCAACATCTGTGAACCATTGACAATGGAAACAGCGTGTGTTTGGGAATCTTATGGATTTGAGTTTGAATTCTTACTCTCTGACCTCTTTACTCAACTCACTTGTATCCATGGACCTTAATTTTCTCCTTTGTAAAGTGAGAATAATAATGTCTAATAATAATGTCTACTTGTTGGAGTTCTGGGAAGATTTCTGCAGATATTGTATGTATATAAAGCATTCAACAAAGGACATGGTAGGTGTAGGTTTCAAAAAAACAGGAGTGATCATTTTTTAATGGAAGCAAGTGATTGGAAAGATTTAAATCAAGTTTTGTGAGGGGTGGGGGGCTTGGATGCCAGGATTTACTATTCTTGACATTGAGGAGCCTTGGCAGGCTTCTGAGCAAGAGAATGACTTGATCCCAAATAATTTTTAGGATTTTCCCTCATCTGGTCTAAGGAGGAAGCAAGAAGCCCTTGGCCCAGCAGCTCTTGGGTTAAAATCTTCATCTGCATCTGAGTTATTTGTAACTGTTGTCATAGCAACGAGTTTGGCAATTGAGCCAGTGCTGCAAGCTCCTGACAGTCTGGAGCGGAGGGCAGTGAAAAAAGATGGAAGATTCAGAACTGGAGTTATCTGTAACTAGCATCTCACTTTCCTGACTTATCTGAAGCTTCCAGGTTAAGATGAGGGTGAGAGTCCTTCAGGGTATGTCATTGGGTGTTAGAGACTCTCCTGTGCAATCAGGAGATTAGAGATATTTCTGATGTGAAAATAAGCTCTGAGAGGTCCAGCAGCTGACTCAAGGACACAACAAAGTAGGAATGGAGACAGGACTAGACTTTTAAAAAAGGACTTAGGGCCATGGAACTGAAGCAAAATAAACCGGGAGGGGACCTTTGCAAATGTTTCGCCACCTCCCCACCAACACACACATGCCTTTTTGTGTTGTTAATATGAGGAACCTGGACCCAGAGTGGTTCAGAACAGACTCAGCTTCACACAGCAATTCTGGTGGTGACTTGGGAACAAAACCCAGAAGACTCGGGCCTCGCAGACCTGGGTACTTCCTGAGGAAGTGGCAGTCTAGGAGTCACAGTCCAGAGAAGCCCCTCTCTGCTAACTGCCAAGACAGGGCCTCCCAGGGTAACATTGATTTGACTGCCTTGGCCTTTGAGCTCCTCAAATCCAACATGCATGGGTCCAGGTCACATTTCCCCTCCCCCATGCCCTCCTTTGTCTGCATGTATATGTGTCCTCCTGCCTGTGGCATCGCTGTTGCCCAAATGGCAGCCCAGCCCCACCCAACCCTGGACCAAGCACACCTGCCACATGCTTCCCATCCATATTGCCTACAGGGCTAGGCATTTCTTGAACATTCTCTTATGTAATTCATTCCTCCCAATTATCATTCTCCATCTCCCAGTTTAGCAGGTGGAAACCTAAAGGACCAGAGAAAGATAGTGACTGGTCCAAAGTCACACAGTGAGTCTTAGCCCGAATCCCTCCTCCTCATAATGATCCTCCTCATTTTACATGTTTCTGCCCATTCTATCCCACACTGATTTCTCAGCCCTCAGAGTTCCTCTGGCACTTATCTTTGTCTTAATCACCCCCTTAAACTTGTGCAATTTCCTCTGTGCCCTCTGCCTTATGTGCAGCCTAAAATCCTCCTGTTTCCTCATAGCTGATCCACCAAGTCTAGTTGACTTTCTCCTTTCTGCCTTTCATATCCACCTTCTTTCCTCATCCTCTGCCACTGTCCTGTTTCAGTCTCAAAACCCCTCAAATGAACAACCTCAAGTCTACTCCCTAGCCCCCTGCTTCCAGAGTGGCCATTCACTGCATGAATTCAGGTGCATAAATGGTTGGATGATGAATGAAATTTGGATTCAGCTCTGTGATTGTGCATTGTTGCTTAAGAGAGCCTGCGTGACATCACTTGTTGCCTGCCAGTTTTCCCTCTGCTCCAGGATGTGAATTCTCTAGGAGGGGGTTTGGGTCAGTTAATTCAGGGTAATGTGACCCAACAGTCCAAATTAGATCTAGTTAGACCTTGAGCAATGAGGTGTGGTGGAAGAAAAGGCATGCAGGATGGAAATTGAGAGGGCTTATGAAGTAGGTGCTATTATTTCCCCTCGCCCTTATAGGTAAGGAAACTAAGGCCCAGGGAGACAGTTCTAAGAGGAAAGTTTGTAACAGTGAACATATACATGAAGAAAAAAGAAACATCTCAAATAAATAACCTAACCTTACACCACAAGGAACTAGAAGAGCAAACTAATTCCAAGGTTAGCATAAGGAAGGAAATAACAAAGATCAGAGGATAAAGGAAATAGAGCCTAGAAAAGCAATAGAAAAAAAATCAATACAACTAAGAGTTGGTTTTTTGAAAATACAAATAAAATCAAATACTTAGCTAGACGAAGAAAAACAAAGGAGGCTGGGCGTGGTGGATCACGCCTGTAATCCCAGCAATTTGGAAGGCAGAGGCGGGCAGATCACCTGAGGTCAGGAGTTCGAGACCAGCCTAACCAACATGGTGAAACCCCATCTCTACTAAAGATACAAAATTCGCTGGGCATGGTGGTGCATGTTTGTAATCCCAGCTACTCGGGAGGCTGAGGCAGAAGAATCACTTGAACCAGGGAGGCGGAGGTTGTGGTGAGCCGAGGTTGCGCCATTGCACTCCATTCTGAGAAATAAGAGTGAAACTCTGTTTCAAAAAAAAAAAAAAGAAAGAAAGAAAAAGAAAAAAGAAAGGCTATACATATAAAATCAAAAATGAAAGAGGAGACGTTACAACTGATACCAAAGAAATATAATGGATCATAAGAGACTTCTGTGCACAATTGTATGCCAACAATTTGGATAACCTAGAAGAAACTGATAAATTTCTACAAACATACAACCTATTGAAACTGGATTGTGAAAAAGTAGAAAATCTGAACAGACCAATAACAAGTAAGGCAATTGAATCAGTAATCAAAAATCTCCCAGTGAAGAAAAACCCAGGATCTGATCGCTTCACTGGTGAATTCTACCAAACATTTAAAGAATAATTAATACCAATTCTTCTCAAACTTTTCCAAAAAATGGAGGAGGAGGAAACACTTCCTAACCCTTTAACAAGACCAGCATTATCCTGGTACCAAAACCAGACAAAGACACCTTAAGAAAAGAAAACTGACTGGGCCCGGTGGCTCACACCTGTAATCTCAGCACTTTGGGAGGCTGAGGCGGGTGGATCACCAGAAGTCAGGAGTTCGAGACCAGCCTGGCCAACATGATGAAACCCCGTCTCTACTAAAAATACAAAAATTAGTCAGGGGTGGTGGCTACTAGGGAGACTGAGGCAGAAGAATCACTTGAACCCAGGAGGCGGAGGTTGTGGTGAGCCGAGATCGCGCCATTGCTCTCCAGCCTGGGCAACAAGAACAAGACTCCGTCTCAAAAAAAAAAAAAAAAAGAAAGAAAAGAAAACTGCAGGCCAATATCCCTGATGAACATAGAGACAAAATTCCTCAACAAAATCCTAGCAAACTAAATTTAACAGTATATTAAAAGGATCATTCACCACAATCCAGTGGTATTTATCCATGCAATCTTTATCATGCATCACACACAAAAATCAGTTCAAAATGGATTAAAAACTGAGATGTAAGATCTGAAACCATAAAACTCCTAGAAAAAAACAGGTGAAAAGCCCCATGACATTGTTTTTCTCAATGATTTTTTGATGTGACACCGAGAGCACAGGTAACAAAAGCAAAAATAAATGAGACTACATCAAGCTAAAAAGTTTCTGCACAGCAAAGGGAATAATCAACAGAATGAAAAGGTAACCTATAGAATAGGAGGAAGTATTTGTAAACCATATATCTGATAAAAGATTAATATGGATGAACCTTGAAAACTTCATGCTAAGTGAAATGAACCTGACACAGAAAGACAAATACTGGCCAGGTGCGGTGGCTCACGCCTGTAATCCCAACACTTTGGGAGGCTGAGGTGGGTGGATCACGAGGTCAAGAGATCGAGACCATCCTGGCCAACATGGTGAAATCCCGTCTCTACTAAAAATACAAAAATTAGCTGAGCATGGTGGCGGGCGCCTGTAGTCCCAGCTACTCTGGAGGCTGAGGCAGGAGAATCACTTGAACCCAGGAGGCAGAGGTTGCAGTGAGCCGAGATCGCACCACTGCACTCCAGCCCGGTGACAGAGCAAGACTCCTTCAAAAGAAAAAAAAAAAAAAGACAAATACTGCATGGTCTCATATATATGTGTAATCTAAAAAAGATGAACTTGTAGAAAAAGAGTGTAGAAGTATAGTACCAGGGACCAAGAGCTAAAGGAACCAGGGAGATGTTGGTGAAAGGATGTAAACTTTCAGTTAAAGATGAATAAGTTCTGGGGACCTAATGCACACAGCCTGATGACTACAGTTAATAATGATGCATCATATACTTGAAATTTTCTAGGAGAGTAAATATTAAGTATTTTTACCACAAAAAATAACTATGTGAGGTCATAGATATATTATTAGCTTGATCATGATAATCATTTCACTTTGTATATGTTAATCAAAACATCACATTGTGCATCTTTATATATATAATAAAAATTAATAAATGGATGAATGAATGAATTGACTTAAAATTTTAAGAAAAAGAAAATTTGGGGCCAGGTGCAGTGGCTCACTCCTGTAATCCCAGCAACTTGGGAGGCCAAGGCAGGCAGGTCACTTGAGGTCAGGAGTTCAAGACCAGCCTGACCAACATGGAGAAACCCCGTCTCTACTAAAAATACAAAATTAGCTGGGCATGGTGGTGCATGCCTGTAATCCCAGCTACTTGGGAGGCTGAGGCAGGAGAATTGCTTGAACCCAGGAGGTGGAGGATTCAGTGAGCTGCAATTGCGCCACTGCACTCCAGCCTGGGCAGTAGAATGAGACTCTGTCTCGAAAAAGAAAGAAAGAAAAAGAAAAAGAAAATTTGGGGAAAACCACATACTATCTACCACCCAAACACAACCAGTGTTAGCACCTTGGTGTATTTAGTCTATATTCTAGACCTTAACAAATAAACAGAACATAGTTGGGATCAGGCTGTACTGTCAATTTTATGCTGCAATTTGCATGTAAATATTTTCCCATTAGAATTCTTTATAAACATTATTTAAATGGCTCCAAAAATATGTCACTGAATAGATATACTTACGGAATTCCTTCCTGTGTGGGTTTCAGCATTTCTTTTTTTTTTTTTTTTTTTTTTAATTTGTTTGATCATGTTTTAGGTTTGATTTTCTGTGTCTTATTTTGGGAGGTAATGTAAAGAAGGATTGTTGTTTGAAAGAGGTTAAGAAAAATAAGTAGGCTTTTTGGAAACGGTAGTATTTGAGGGGAACTTTGGAGTGTGTAATACATGCACAGGATAAACCCTTCAAACAACACAGGAAAGTATACAGTGAAAATTAAGTTTCTTTTTCACTGCTCACCCTCAGGTCCCCAGTTCTCCACTGGGGATCACCACCGTTACCACTTTATATGGCCTTTGTGTGGCTACTCTAAGCCCATGCAAGTATGTGTGTGTGTTTTCTTTTATATATGTATTTTGAAAATTTCAGGCTTACTCAAAGTTTCTAAGAAAAGCACAAGGAACTCCTGTGTACTCTTCACTCAGATTCCCCAAATGTTAACATTTTCTCACATTTGCTTTATCCTACTCCATTTATCCCTGTCTCTCATATATGTGTCTGTGTTTGTATGTTTACTTCTTTTTTCCCCTCAACAAGTTGAGAATCAGTTGCAGACATAGTACTACATTACCCTTAAATAATTCTGGGTGTATTTTCTAAATCAAGGGATTATCTTATGTAAACAGAGTAATTATCAAAATCAGAAAACTAAAAAATACGTAATACTATTAAATACATAATCTACAGACCTTATTCAGAACTAGCCAATTTCCTCAACAACATTCTTTATAGCAAAAGAAAAAAACAAATCATGTGCATTTAGTTGTCATATCTCTTTAGTCTCCTACAATCTGGAAGAGATCCTTGGTCTGTTTTTTTTTAGATGGAGTTTTGCTCTTGTTGCCCAGTCTGGAGTGTTAATGGCAAGATCTCGGCTCACTGCAACCTCCGCTTCCCTGGTTCAAGCGATTCTCCTGCTTCAGCCTCCCAAGTAGCTGGGATTTCACAGGCATGCACCACCACGCCCAGCTAATTTTGTATTTTTAGTGAAGACAGGGTTTCACCACGTTGGTCAGGGTGGTCTTGAACTCCTGACCTCACGTAATCCACTCACCTTGGCCTCCCAAAGCACTGGGATTACAGGTGTGAGCCACTGTGCCCAGCCTCGGTCTTTCTTTATGGTTCATAACATTGTCATTTTTGGAGTTCAGGCTAGTTATTTGTAGGCTGTCCCTTAATGTAAGTTTGTCTGATGTTTCCTCATGATTACATTCAGGTTATGGATTTTTTTTTTTTTTGAGACAGAGTCTCGCTCTGTTGCCCAGGCTGGAGTGCAGTGGGGTGATATTGGCTCACTGCAACCTCCGCCTCCCAGGTTCAAGCGGTTCTCCGGCCTCAGCCTCCTGAGTAGCTGGGATAACAGGCACCCACGACCACGCCAGGCTAATTTTTGTATTTTTAGTAGAGGCGGGGTTTCACCATGTTTGTCAGGCTGATCTCCAACACCTGACCCTGTGATCTGCCTACCTCAGCCTCCCAAAGTGCTGGGATTACAGGAGTGAGCCACTGCGCCCAGCCAGAGATTTTCAAATGCATTCTTTTTTTTTTTTTTTTAATTTTACTTTAAGTTTTAGGGTACATGTGCACAATGTGCAGGTTTGTTACATATGTATACATGTGCCATGTTGGTGTGCTACACCCAGTAACTCATCATTTAGCATTAGGTATATCTCCAAATGCTATCCCTCCCCTCTCCCCCCACCCCACAACAGGCCCCAGTGTGTGATGTTCCCCTTCCTGTGTCCACGTGTTCTCATTGTTCAATTCCCACCTATGAGTGGGAACATGCGGTGTTTGGTTTTTTGTCCTTGTGATAGTTTGCTGAGAATGATGGTTTCCAGCTTCATCCATGTCCCTACAAAGGACATGGACTCATCCTTTTTTATGGCTGCATAGTACTCCATGGTGTATATGTGCCACATTTTCTTAATCCAGTCTATCATTGTTGGACATTTGGGTTGGTTCCAAGTCTTTGCTATTGTGAATAGTGCCGCAATAAACATACGTGTGCATGTGTCTTTATAGCAGCATGATTTATAATCCTTTGGATATATACCCAGGAATGGGATGGCTGGGTCAAATGGTATTTCTAGTTCTTGATCCCTGAGGAATCCCCACACTGACTTCCACAATGGTTGAACTAGCTTATAGTCCCACCAACAGTGTAAAAGTGTTCCTATTTCTCCACATCCTCTCCAGCACCTGTTGTTTCCTGACTTTTTAATGATCACCATTCTAACTGGTGTGAGATGGTATCTCATTGTGGTTTTGATTTGCATTTCTCTGATGGCCAGTGATGATGAGCATTTTTTCATGTGTCTTTTGGCTGCATAAATGTCTTCTTTTGAGAAGTGTCTGTTCATATCCTTTGCCCACTTTTTGATGGGGTTGTTTTTTTCTTGTAAATTTGTTGGAGTTCATTGTAGATTCTGGATATTAGCCCTTTGTCAGATGAGTAGATTGCAAAAATTTTCTCCCATTCTATAGGTTGCCTGTTCACTCTGATGGTAGTTTCTTTTGCTGTGCAGAAGCTCTTGAGTTTAATTAGATCCCACTTGTCAATTTTGGCTTTTGTTGCCATTGCTTTTGGTGTCTTAGACATGAAATCCTTGCCCATGCCTATGTCCTGAATGGTAATGCCTAGGTTTTCTTCTAGGGTTTTTATGGTTTTAGGTCTAACATTTAAGTCTTTCATCCACCTTGAATTAATTTTTGTATAAGGTGTAAGGAAGGGATCCAGTTTCAGCTTTCTACATATGGCTAGCCAGTTTTCCCAGCACCATTTATTCAATAGGGAATCCTTTCCCCATTTCTTGTTTTTGTCAGGTTTGTCAAAGATCAGATGGTTGTAGATATGTGGCATTATTTCTGAGGGCTCTGTTCTGTTCCATTGATCTATATCTCTGTTTTGGTACCAGTACCATGCTGTTTTGGTATCAGTACCATGCTGTTTTGGTTACTGTAGCCTTGTAGTATAGTTTGAAGTCAGGTAGCGTGATGCCTCCAGCTTTGTTCTTTTGGCTTAGGATTGACTTGGCCATGCGGGCTCTTTTTTGGTTCCATATGAACTTTAAAGTAGTTTATTCCAATTCTGTGAAGAAAGTCATTGGTAGCTTGATGGGGATGGCATTGAATCTATAAATTACCTTGGGCAGTATGGCCATTTTCACGGTATTGATTGTTCCTACCCATGAGCATGGAATGTTCTTCCATTTGTTTGTATCCTCTTTTATTTCATTGAGCAGTGGTTTGTAGTTCTCCTTGAAGAGGTCCTTCACCTCCCTTGTAAGTTGGATTCCTAGGTATTTTATTCTCTTTGAAGCAATTGTGAATGGGAGTTCACTCACGATTTGGCTCTCTGGTTGTCTGTTATTGGTGTATAAGAATGCTTGTGATTTTTGCACATTGATTTTGTATCCTGAGACTTTGCTGAAATTGCCTATCAGCTTAAGAAGATTTTGAGCTGAGACAATGGGGTTTTCTAGATATACAATCATGTCATCTGCAAACAGGGACAATTTGACTTCCTCTTTTCCTAATTGAATACCCTTTATTTCCTTCTCCTGCCTGATTATCCTGGCCAGAACTTCCAACACTACGTTGAATAGGAGTGGTGAGAGAGGGCATCCCTGTCTTGTGCCAGTTTTCAAAGGGAATGCTTTCAGTTTTTGCCCGTTCAGTATGATATTGGCTGTGGGTTTGTCATAAATAGCTCTTATTATTTTGAGATATGTCCCATCAATACCTAATTTATTGACAGTTTTTACCATAAAGGGCTGTTGAATTTTGTCAAAAGCCTTTTCTGCATCTATTGAGATAATCATGTGGGTTTTGTCATTTGATCTGTTTATATGCTGGATTACGTTTATTGATTTGTGTATGTTGAACCAGCCTTCTTGCATCCCAGGGATGAAGCCCACTTGATCATGGTGGATAAGCTTTTTGATGTGCTGCTGGATTCGGTTTGCCAGTATTTTATTGAGGATTTTTGCATCGATGTTCATCAGGGATATTGGTCTAAAATTCTCTTTTTTTGTTGTGTCTCTGCCAGGCTTTGCTATCAGGATGATGCTGGACTCATAAAATGAGTTAGGGAGGATTCCCTCTTTTCCTATTGATTGGAATAGTTTCAGAAGGAATGGTACCAGCTCCTCCTTGTACCTCTGGTAGAATTCGGCTGTGAATCCACCTGGTCCTGGACTTTTTTTGGTTGGTAAGCTATTAATTATTGCCTCAATTTCAGAGCCTGTTATTGGTCTATTCAGAGATTCAACTTCTTCCTGGTTTAGTCTTGGGAGGGTGTATGTGTCCAGGAATTTATCCATTTCTTCTAGATTTTCTAGTTTATTTGCATAGAGGTGTTTGTAGTATTCTCTGATGGTAGTTTGTATTTCTGTGGGCTCGGTGGTGATATCCCCTTTATCATTTTTTATTGCGTCTGTTTGATTCTTCTTTCTTTTCTTCTTTATTAGTCTTGCTAGCGGTCTATCAATTTTGTTGATCTTTTCAAAAAACCAGCTCCTGGATTCATTGATTTTTTGAAGGGTTTTTTGTATCTCTATTTCCTTCAGTTCTGCTCTGATTTTAGTTATTTCTTGCCTTCTGCTAGCTTTTGAATGTGTTTTCTCTTGCTTCTCTAGTTCTTTTAATTGTGATGTTAGGGTGTCAATTTTAGATCTTTCCTGCTTTCTCTTGTGGGCATTTAGTGCTATAAATTTCCCTCTACACACTGCTTTGAATGTGTCCCAGAGATTCTGGTATGTTGTGTCTTTGTTCTTGTTGGTTTCAAAGAACATCTTTATTTCTGCCTGCATTTCGTTATGTACCCAGTAGTCTTTCAGGAGCAGGTTGTTCAGTTTCCATGTAGTTGAGCAGTTTTGAGTGAGTTTCTTAATCCTGAGTTCTAGTTTGATTGCACTGTGGTCTGAGAGACAGTTTGTTATAATTTCTGTTCTTTTACATTTGCTGAGGAGTGCTTTACTTCCAACTATGTGGTCAATTTTGGAATAGGTGTGGTGTGGTGCTGAAAAGAATGTATATTCTGTTGATTTGGGGTGCAGAGTTCTGTAGATGTCTATTAAGTCCGCTTGGTGCAGAGGTGAGTTCAGTTCCTGGATATCCTTGTTAACTTTCTGTCTCGTTGATCTGTCTAATGTTGACAGTGGGGTGTTAAAGTCTCCCATTATTATTGTGTGGGAGTCCAAGTCTCTTTGTAGGTCTCTAAGGACTTGCTTTATGAATCTGGGTGCTCCTGTATTGGGTGCATATATATTTAGGATAGTTAGCTCTTCTTGTTGAATTGATCCCTTTACCATTATGTAACGGCCTTCTTTGTCTCTTTTGATCTTTGTTGGTTTAAAGTCTGTTTTATCCGAGACTAGGATTGCAACCTCTGCCTTTTTTTGTTTTCCATTTGCTTGGTAGATCTTCCTCCATCTCTTTATTTTGAGCCTATGTGTGTCTCTGCATGTGAGATGGGTTTCCTGAATACAGCACACTGATGGGTCTTGACTCTATTCAATTTGCCAGTCTGTGTCTTTTAATTGGAACATTTAGCCCATTTACATTTAAGGTTAATATTGTTATGTGTGAATTTGATCCTGTCATTATGATGTTAGCTGGCCATTTTGCTCATTAGTTGATGCAGCTTCTTCCTAGCCTCAATGGTCTTTACAATTTGGCATGTTTTTCAGTGGCTGGTACTGGTTGTTCCTTTCCATGTTTAGTGCTTCCTTCAGGAGCTCTTTTAGGGCAGGCCTGGTGGTAACAAAATTTCTCAGCATTTGCTTGTCTGCAGAGGATTTTATTTCTCCTTCACTTAGGAAGCTTAGTTTGGCTGGATATGAAATTCTGGGTTGAACATTCTTTTCTTTAAGAATGTTGAATATTGGCCCCCACTCTCTTCTGGCTTGTAGAGTTTCTGCCAAGAGATCAGCTGTTAGTCTGATGGGCTTCCCTTTGTGGGTAACCCGACCTTTCTCTCTGGCTGCCCTTAATATTTTTTCCTTCATTTCAACTTTGGTGAATCTGACAATTATGTGTCTTGGAGTTGCTCTTCTCGAGGAATATCTTTGTTGTGTTCTCTGTATTTCCTGAATTTGAATGTTGGCCTGCCTTGCTAGATTGGGGAAGTTCTCCTGGATAATATCCTGCAGAGTGTTTTCCAACTTGGTTCCATTCTCCCCGTGACTTTCAGGTACACCAATCAGACGTAGATTTGGTCTTTTCACATAGTCCCATATTTCATGGAGGCTTTGCTCGTTTCTTTCTATTCTTTTTTCTCTAAAATTCTCTTCTCACTTCATTTCATTCATTTGATCTTCCATCACTGATACCCTTTCTTCCAGTTGATCGAATCGGCTACTGAGGCTTGTGCATTCGTCACATAGTTCTCGTACCTTGGTTTTCAGCTCCATCAGGTCCTTTAAGGACTTCTCTGCATTGGTTATTCTAGTTAGCCGTTTGTCTAATTTTTTTTCAAGGTTTTTAACTTCTTTGCCATTGATTCGAAATTCCTCCTTTAGCTCACAGTAGTTTGATCATCTGAAGCCTTCTTCTCTCAACTCGTCAAAGTCATTCTCTGTCCAGCTTTGTTCTGTTGCTGGTGAGGAGCTGCGTTCCTTTGGAGGAGGAGTGGCACTCTGATTTTTAGAGTTTCCAGTTTTTCTGCTCTGTTTTTTCCCCATCTTTGTGGTTTTATCTACCTTTGGTCTTTGATGATGGTAACATACAGATGGGGTTTTGGTGTGGATGTCCTTTCTGTTTGTTAGTTTTCCTTCTAACAATCAGGACCCTCAGCTGCAGGTCTGTTGGAGTTTGCTGGAGGTCCACTCCAGACCCTGTTTGCCTGGGTATCAGCAGCGGAGGCTGCAGAACAGCAGATATTGGTGAACAGCAAATGTTGCTGCCTGATCGTTCCTCTGGAAGTTTTGTCTCAGAGGAGTACCCGGCTGTGTGAGGTGTCAGACTGCCCCTACTGGGGGGTGCCTCCCAGTTAGGCTACTCGGGGGTCAGGGACCCACTTGAGGAGGCAGTCTGTCCGTTCTCAGATCTCCAGCTGCATGCTGGGAGAACCACTACTCTCTTCAAAGCTGTCAGATAGGGACATTTAAGTCTGCAGAGGATTCTGCTGCCTTTTGTTTGGCTATGCCGTGCCCCCAGAGGTGGAGTCTACAGATGCAGGCAGGCCTCCTTGAGCTGCGGTGGGCTCCACCCAGTTCGAGCTTCCTGGCCACTTTGTTTACCTACTCAAGCCTCAGCAATGGTGGGCGCCCCTCCCCCAGCCTTGCTGCCGCCTTGCAGTTTGATCTCAGACTGCTGTGCTAGCAATGAGTGAGGCTCCGTGGGTGTAGGACCCTCCAAGCCAGGGGCAGGATATAATCTCCTGGTGTGCCGTTTGCTAAGACCATTGGAAAAGTGCAGTATTAGGGTGGGAGTGACCCGTTTTCCAGGTGCTGTCACCCCTTTCTTTGACTAGGAAAGGGAATTCCCTGACTCCCTGTGCTTCTCGGGTGAGGCGATGCCTCGCCCTGCTTTGGCTCATGCTTGTTCCACTGCACCCACTGTCCTGCACCCACTGTCCGACACTCCCCAGTGAGATGAACCCAGTACCTCAGTTGGAAATGCAGAAATCATCCGTCTTCTGCATCTCTCACGCTGGGAGCTGTAGACTGGAGCTATTCCTATTCGGCCATCTTGGCTCCCTCAAATGCATTCTTTTGACATGTATTAATTAGTTAACTTTCCAGTCTAAGGGAGCACTTTCCCTTCTACATTTATTTATTTATATCCTCATGAGCTCATGGTTGTTGACTTAGTTCATTTTGTGTTGCTATAACAGAATCCCTGAGGCTGGGTAATTTATAAAGAAAGGAGGTTTACTTAGCTCCTGATTCTGCAGGCTGGAAGTTCCATGGCGTAGCCCTGGCTTCTGATGAGGACTTTTGTGCTGTGTCATAATGTGGCAGAGAAGGTCGAAGAGGAGGTGAACATATGCAAAGAGACAAAATCGGAAGGGGTGCCCTGGCTTTATAACAACCCACTCTTGGGGTAATTAATTGATTCCTGTGAGAACTAACCCAGTCTTGCCAGAGTGAGAACTCACTCGCTACCTTCAAAACAGCATGAAGCGATTCATGAGGAATCTGCTCCCACTGACAAACACCTCCCACTAAGCCTCAACTCCCAACACTGCCACACTGGGGATCAAAATTCAACATGAGTTTTGGTGGGAACAAACAAACCATATCCAAACCACAGCAGTTGTCTATTTTACTCAATTGGTTATAACACATTAATAAATATTGTTCTTTATTCTGATGTTCAAATACTCTATATTTGACCAGTAGGAAGCCCTCCAAACTCCTGTGTCCTTTGGCATGTCTCCATCTTACTTTGAGCACCTCCTTGATTTCTGGTACCACAAGATGCTCTAGGTCCATCTTGTATTTTAACTACCACATCCCTGGAATCAGCCAGTTTTCCAAAGAGTCCTGATTCTTTTTGGTAGAGAATAGAATTTTTAAAAAAGAGCAGGAGTAGCTATACTTATTTTAGACAAAATAGATTTCAAGGCAAAAACTCTAAGAAGAGACAAAAAAGTCACTATATAATGATAAAGGGGTCAATTCAGCAAGAGAATATGACAATTTTAAGTATATATGCACCCAGAACTGGAGCACACAGATATATAAAACAAAGATTATTAGACCTAAGAGAGAGATAGGCCCTGATATAACAGCTGGAGACATCAACACCCCATTTTCAGCATTGGACAGATCTTCCAAACAGAAAATCAACAAAGAAACATCAGACTTAATATCCACTATAGGCTAAATGAATCTAATAGATATTTACAGAATATTTCATCCAATGGCTACAGAATACACATTCTTTTCCTCAGCACATGGATCATTCTCAAAGATAGATCATATGTTAGGTCACAAAACAAGTCTTAAAATGTTCAAAAAAATTGAAATAATATCAAGCATCTTCTCTGACCACAATGGAATAAAACTAGAAATAAATAGCGAGAGGAATTTTGGAACTATAAAAATATATAGAAATTAAACTATATGCTCCTGAATGACCAGTGGGTCAATGAAGAAATTAAGAAGGAAATGAAAAAAAATTATTGAAACAAATGATAATGGAAATACAAAAAACCACCAAAGCCTATGGGATACAGCAAAAGTAGTACTAAGGGCCGGGTGCGGTGGCTCAGGTCTGCAATCCCAGCACTTTGGGAGGCTGAGGCGGGTGGATCATGAGGTCAGGAGATCGAGACCATCCTGGCTAACAAGGTGAAACCCCGTCTCTACTAAAAATACAAAAAAAAAATTAGCCGGGCGCGGTGGCGGGCGCCTGTAGTCCCAGCTACTCGGGAGGCTGAGGCAGGAGAATGGCGTGAACCCGGGAAGCGGAGCTTGCAGTGAGCCGAGATTGCGCCACTGCAGTCCGCAGTCCCGCCTGGGCGACAGAGCGAGACTCCGTCTCAAAAAAAAAAAAAAAAAAAAAAAAAAGTAGTACTAAGAAGAAAGTTTATAGCTATAAATGCCTACATCAACAAAAGAGGAAAAACTTCAAATAATCTAATGATGCATCTTAAAGAACTAGAAAAGCAAGAGCAAATCAAACCCCAAATTAGTAGAAGAAAATAAACAATAAAGATCAGAGGAGAAATAAATGAAATTGAAATGAAAAAAACAATGCAAAAGATCAGTGAAAAAATGTTGATTTCTTGAAAAGTTAAACACAATTGCCAAACCTTTAGCCAGACTAAAAAAAAAGAGAGAAGATACAAATTAATAAAATCAGAAATGAAAAGGAGACATTTCAACTGATACTGCAGAAATTCAAAGGATTATCAGTGACTACTATGAGCAACTCTATGCCAATAAATTGGAAAATCTAGACGAAATGGACAAATTCCTAGATACACACAACGTGTCAAGATTGAACCAGGGAAATCCCAAAATCTGAACAGACCAAAAGCAAATAACAAGATTGAAACCATAACAAAAAGTCTCCCAGTAAAGACAAGCTAAGGACCTGATGGCTTCCCTGCTGAACTCTAGCAAACATTTAAGGAAGAAGTAATACGAGTCCCACTCAAACTATTCCAAAAATTAGAAGAGGAAAGGCTGGGTGCGGTGGCTCACACCTGTAATCCCAGCACTTTGGGAGGCCAAGGCGGGTGGATCACCTGAGGTCGGGAGTTCAAGACCAGCCTGACCAACATGGAGAAACCCCATCTTTACTAAAAATACAAAAATTAGCCGGGCGTGGTGGTGCATGCCTGTAATCCCAGCTACTAGGGAGGATGAGGCAGGAGAATCACTTGAACCTGGGAGGCGGAGGTTGCAGTGAGCCAAGAGCGCACCATTGCACTCCAGCCTGCACAACAAGAGTGAAACTCTGACTCAAAAAAAAAAAAAAAAAAGACGAGGAAAGAATACTTTAAAATTCATTCTACAAGGTCAGTATTACCCAGATACCAAAACCAGACAAAGACACATCAAAAAAAGAAAACTACAGGCCAATATCTCTGATGAATATTGATGCAAAAATCCTCAACAAAATACTAGCAAACTGAATTCAACAATACATTAGAAAGATCATTCATCATGACCAAGTGGGATTTATCCCTGGGATGCAAGGATGGTTCAACATATGCAAATCAATTAATGTGATACATAATGTCAACAGAATGAAGGATCAAAACCATATGATCATTTAAATTGATGCTGAAAAGTATTTGATAAAATTCAACATCCATTCATGATAAAAAAAAAACCCTCAAAGACTGGGTATAGAAGGAATATAACTCAACATAATAAAAGCCATATATGACAGACCCACAGCTAGTATCATACTGAATGGGGAAAAACTGAAAGCTCTTCCTCCAAGATCTGGAAAATGAAAAAGATGCCCACTTTCACCAGTGTTATTTAATAGTACTGGAAGTCCTAGCTAGAGCCATCAGATAAGAGAAAGATATAAAGAAAAAAGACCCAGACCACAAAAGACCCAGAACAGCCAAAGCTATCCTAAGCAAAAATAACAAAACTGGAGGAATCACATTACCTGACTTCAATTTATACTACAGAGTTATAGTAACCAAAACAGCACGACACTGGCATAGCAACAGACACATAAACCAGTGGAACAGAATAGAGAGCCCAGAAACAAATCCACACATCTACAGTGAACTCGCTTTTGACAAAGGTGCTGAGAACATATACTGGGGAAAAGACAGTCTCTTCGATAAATGGTTCTGGGAAAACTGGATATCCATATGCAAAATAATGAAAGTAGACCTCTATCTCTTGCCATATAAAAAATCAAATCAAAATGGATTAAAGATGTAAAACTAAGACCTCAAACTATGAAACTACTACAAGAAAACATTGGGGGAAGATCTCCAGGACACTGAGCTGGGCAAAAAATTCTTGAGCACAACAACCCACAAGCACAGGCAACTAAAGCAAAAATGGGCAAATAGGATCATATCAAGATAAAAAGCTTCTGCACAGCAAAGGATACAATCAGCAAAGTGAAGAGGCAATCCACAGAATGAGAGAAAATATTTGCAAACTACCTGTCTGACAAGGGGTTAATAGCCAGAATACAGCCAGGCATGATGGCTCACACCTGTAATCCCAGCACTTTGGGAGGCTGAGGCAGGTGGATCACATGAGGTCAGGAGTTCAGGACCAGCCTGGCCAACATGGTGAGACCCCCGTCTCTACTAAAAATACAAAATTAGCCGGGCGTTGTGGTGCATGCTTGTAATCCCAGCTACTCAGAAGAATCGCTCGAACCTGGGAGGTGGAGGTTGCAGTGAGCTGAGATTGCACCATTGTACTCCAGCCTAGGTGACAAGAGCGAAACTCTGTCTCAAAAAAAATAAAAACCAGAATATATAAGGAGCTCAAAAAATGGGCAAAAGATTTGCATAGACATTTCTCAAAAGAAGATATACCAATGGCAAACAGGTATATGAAAAGGTGATCATCAGAGAAATGCAAATCAAAACTACAATAAGATATCATTTCACCCCAGTTAAAAAGGCAGGCGAAAAACAGGCAGCAACAAATGCTAGTGAGGATGTGGAGAAAAGGGGACCTTCATACACAGTTATTAGGAATGTAAATTAGTACAATCACTATGAAGAACAATTTAGAGTTTCCTTAAAAAACTAAAAATTGAGCTATCATATGATCCAGCAATCCTACTGTGGGTATATATCCAAAAGAAAAGAAATCGTCATATCAAAGAGATATCTGCACTCCTGTGTTTGTTGCAGTACTGTTTAAAATAGCTAAGATTTGGAAGTGACCTAAATGTCCATCAACAGATGAGGGGATAAAGACAATGTGGTACATGTACACAATGGAATAATATTCAGCCATAAAAAAGAATGAGATTGGCCGGGCGTGGTGGCTCACACCTGTAATCCCAGCACTTTGGGAGGCCGAGGCAGGCAGATCACGAGGTCAGGAGTGCGAGACCATCCTGGCCAACATGGTGAAACCCTGTCTCTACTAAAAATACAAAAATTAGCCAGGTGTGGTGGCATGTGCCTGTAGTTCCAGCTACTTGGGAGGCTGAGGCAGGAGAATCGCTTGAACCTGGGCGGCAGAGGTTGCAGTGAGCCAAGATGGCACCACTGCACACACCAGCCTGGCGACAGAGCAAGATCCCATCTTAAAACAATTGAACTCATGGGCATAGAGAGTAGAAGGATGGTTACCAGAGGCTGGGAAGGGTAGTGACAAGGGAGGAAATGCAGGGAAGATTAATGGGTACAAAAAAAATAGTCAGAAAGAATGAATAAGACCTACTTATTTGATAGCACAACAGGGTGACTATAGTCAATAATAATTGTACATTTTAAAATAACTAAAAGAGTGTAATTGGATTGTTTGTGACTCAAAGGACGAATGCCTGAGGGGATGGATACCCCATTCTCCATAATGTGCTAATTTCTCATTGCATGCCTGTAACAAAACACCATATACATAAATATACACACCTACTATATCCCACAAAAATTAAAAATAGAAAGAGGAAAGAAAAAGAAAAGCACATAGAAGAAAATGAAGATAAAGTACCAAAAATATCACCAGAAGAAATCACCATGTGCATCTTTGTATGATTACATCATCTTTGTATATAGTTATAGATATATTTTACAAATATAAATTATGATTTTTGTAACTTGTGTTGTCACTATTAAAACTTTCACAAATGTTAAAAAATAGAGAATTCTGCAAATAAAGTAGATTGTATCCATATAATGGAGGAATACTATGCAATCATTCAAATGCATGCTAAAGGCAGACAAAAAAATTTGAATTGGGTTATGGTCAAAAAGAACCTTAGCCTAACCTTAAAGCTTTAAAAAATTTTAAGGAGCCCGGCGTGCTGGCTGACGCCTGTAATCCCAGCACTTTGGGAGGCCGAGGTGGGCGGATCACGAGGTCAGGAGATCAAGACCATCCTGGCTAACACAGTGAAACCCCATCTCTACTAAAAATACAAAAAATTAGCCAGGTGTGGTGGCGGGCACCTGTAGTCCCAGCTACTCGGGAGGCTGAGGCAGGAGAATGGTGGGAACCCAGGAGGCAGAGCTTGCAATGAGCCAAGATCGCGCCACTGCACTCCAGCCTGGGCAACAGAGCAAGACTCCGTCTCAAAAAAAAAAAAAAAATTAAGGCCAGGTGTGGTGACTCATGCCTGTAATCCCAGCACTTTGGGAGGCCAAGGCAGTAGGATCACAAGGTCAAGAGATCTAGACCATCCTGGCCAATGTAGCGAAATCTCATCTCTACTAAAAATACAAAAAATTAGCTGGGCGTGGCATGCGCCTGTAGTTCCAGCTACTTGGGAGGCTGAGGCAGGAGAATAGCTTGAACCTGGGAGGCAGAGGTTGCAGTGAGCTGAGATTGTGCCACTGCACTCCAGCCTGGGTGACAGAGCAAGACTCCATCTCAAAAAAAAAAAAAAAAAATTTAAGGAGAAGCTAGTTCTATATTACTTGCATAATTAAAAATTATTTAAAAATAAAAATAAGGATAAAGGAATAAGAAAATTACACATCTACAGGCTGAGCACGGTGGCTCACGCCTGTAATCTCAGCACTTTGGGAGGCTGAGGTGGGCAGATCATGAGATCAGGAGTTTGAGACCAGACTGGCCAACATGGTGAAACCCTGTCTCTACTAAAAATGCAAAAATTAGCTGGGCGTGGTGGCAGGAGCCTGTAATCCCAGCTACTCGGGAGGCTGAGGCAGGAGAACCGTTTGAACCCGGGAGGCAGAAGTTGCAGTGAGCCAATATCGTGCCATTGCACTCCAGCCTGGGCAACAAGGCGAGACTCCGTCTCAATAAAAAAAAAAAAGAAAGAAAGAAAGAAAAGAAAATTACACATCTACATATCTTTGAAAGATATCAAAGTATAGTATTAAGTTAAAAAGGAAATTGCAAAACAATAGCTGTAGTGTGATCCTATTTTTGATAAAAATCTATTTCCTATTAGTAGGATATAAAGAAAAATATATACCAAATATATAGTTATATATATAGTATATGTAATGCATATAACTATGTAAGTATATAGTTATATATAAAAATATATACCAGATATATATCAAATATATAGTTATCTTGGGAGTGTGGGATTATGAGGGATTTTTCACTTTCTACATTGAATATTTATGTAACGTTCAATTTTTTTATTTTTTTATTTTTTTGAGACAAGAGTCTCACACTGTTGCCCAGGCTGGAATGCAGTGGTGTGATCTTGGCTCACTGCAAATTTTGCCTTATGGGTTCAAGCGATTTTCCTGCCTCAGCCTCCCGAGTAGCTGGCATTACAGGTGCTCACCACCAAGCCTGGCTAATTTTTGTATTTTTAGTAGATACGGGGTTTTGCTATGTAGGCCAGGCTGGTCTCGAACTCCTGACCTCGTGTTTCACCCGCCCCGGCCTCCCAAAGTGCTGGGATTACAGGCATGAGCCACTGCACCCAGCCACGTTCAAATTTTTATAACATGTATGTATCACTTTTGTAAGCAGAAAAAAATTGAAGATATATATCTTTAAATATTCTCACCCCCATATCCTTTACTAGTCAGAGTTCTTGAATGAAAGCAATGGCAGTAACTCTGGTTAAATGTAGCAGAAAACACTATTCTTAAAAGATGTGGTAGAGTCAATTACTGTTTGCTGAATTTCCCAATCCTCTTAGAGGAAGAGGAGGCCATGTCACTAGCTCTGACCAATGAGCCAGAGAACTGGTGCTCAACCCTCCTGCACTCTCTTCCTCTGCTATGACATCCATAAAGGCCTCGGGTACTAGATGAGATAGCCACAAGATGATGGAGCTTCCATCAGCCTGGATACTTTAGTTACCTCTTGGAAGGGAGCTGTTCTGACCTGCAGTACATTTTGCTTAAGCAAGAAATAAACTTGTGTGTGTCAAGTCATTGAGATTTGGGCTTTTAAACTGTTATTGGCCAGACACAGTGGCTTATGTTTGTAATCCCAGCACTTTGGGAGGCCAAGATGGGCAGATGGCCCAGGAGCTCAAGACTGGCCGGGACAACATGGCAAAACCCTGTCTCTACAAAAAATACAAAAATTAGCTGGGTGTGTTGTTGTGCACCTGTGGTCCCAGCTACTTACTTGGGAGGCTGAAGTTGAAGCATCACCTGAACCTGGGGAGATCAAGGCTACTGTGAGTCATGATCACACCACTGCACTTCAGCCTGGGAGACAGCATGACACTCTGTCTCAAAAAAGTAAAATAAAATAAAATATTATTATTCAAAGCATAAGCCAACCTACCCTGACTAAGAGAAAGGGGTGTCAGGTAATCCAGGGGATCCATGAGAGGCCTGGAGAACCAGGCAGGGTCAGGAACCAAGGATGACGTGACATAACACAGCTAAGATTTCCATCACAGCCCCAACTGCAGATGAAAATACCTTCCATCTTCTCTAGGTCAATCCTGGGCCCATAAATTGCTCTGTCGGGAGCCACTAAAAACTCACATTCCCCAACTTCTACCCGGCCCTCTATGCTCTCTGGCAATCTTGTTTCCTGATCAGTTCTCCAAATCTTCATGGTCGCTCTGCCAAACTCCCATCCTCCTCAGCGTTTTCACAATTCTACTTTACCTTTACCCTCGGCAGATGACCTCATCTCCTACCGAATTGAAAAGAGAAGACTTCAGACAACGATGTCTTCTACTCCTTGACATGGAGTACATACAAACTCCTGAGCATCCCAATCTGACTACTCTTTGCTCTTTCCCTCCTATTCCAGGGGAAGAGGTGCCCCTTTTCTTGTTGACTAATCCTTCCACCTGAATTCTGTGCCCCATTCCCTTCTACTTTCTCAGGAAACTTGATCTCTGAGTTCCCTCTCTCCCTCCCTTCTGTATTTTCAGCCTTTTCCTTTCTCTGACGTGGCCTTCAAACATGTTCAAGTCTCTTGAATCTTTTTTTTTTTTTTAGATGGAGTCTCACTCTGTCACCCAGGCTGGAGTGCAGTGGAGGGATCTCAGCTCACTGCAACCTCCGCCTCCCAGGTTCAAGCAATTCTCTGCCTCAGCCTCCCTAGTAGCTGAGATTACAGGTGCCTGCCACCACGCCTGGCTAATTTTTTTGTATTTTTAGTAGAGATGGGGTTTCACCATCTTGGCCAGGTTGGTCTTGAATTCCTGACCTCGTGATCCACCCGCCTCAGCCTCCCAAAGTGCTGGGATTATAGGAGTGAGCCACCGCACCCAGCCTAAGTCTCTTGAAACTTAAAAAAAAAATCCTTCGCTATTGTTTCTTAAAAAGTCAAAATTAAATTTACCATGTGACCCGGCAAGAGAAATGGAAATACATGTCCACACAAAGACTTGTACTTGGGTGGTTATAACAACATTATTTATGATATCCAAAAGGTGGAAACAACCCAAATGTCATTCAACCAGTGAGTGCAGTTAAGCAAAATATGGTATATTTATTAAATAAAATACTATTCAGCAATTAAAAACAATAAAGTACTGATATATGATACACCATAAATAAACCTCAAACTCAAAAACATTATGCTTGGTGAAAGAAACAAATCATAAGAGAACACATATTGTATGATGTCATTTATATTAAATTCTCCTATCTAAAAGGCAAATCCATAGACAGAAAGTAGTTTAATGGCTGTCTGGTGTGATAGAGAGGGACTACAAGGGATGTTTTGGGGGTGGTAGAGATGTTCCAAAAGTGGATTGTAGTGATGATCGTACGACTTTGTAAGCCTGCTAAAATTAATTTAATTGTATACTTAAAGTAGGTGAATTTTATGCATTGCAATTATACCTCAATAAATATATTTAAAAATAAAAACACTGACTCAATTCCTCATCATTCTTTAGCTTCTGCCCTATTTATCTCCTCCCTGTCATGGGCAAATACAGATGTTCCTTGACTTTGATGGAGTCACGTCCAATAAACCCATTTGTAAGTTGAAAATATCATAAGTCAAAAATGCATTTAATGCATCAAACCTACCAAACATCATAGTTTAGCCTAGCATACCTTAAATGTGTTCAGAACACTTATATTAGCATACAGTCAGGCAAAATCATCCAACACAAAGCCTATTTTATAGTAAAGTGTTGAACATCTCACATAGGAGTATCGTACCACCTATCACTAGCCCAGGAAAAAATAAAATTCAAAGTGTAGCTTCTATTGAATGCATATCACTTTTGCACATCTTAGTCAAAAAATCATAAGTCAAACCATGGTAAACCAGGAACTGTCTGTAGCTTAAGAATATTGTTTGCAGCTGGGTGTGGTGGCTCACGCCTGTAATCCCAGCACTTTGGGATGCCAAGGTGGGTGGATCACCTGAGGTAAGGAGTTCGAGACCAGCCTGACCAACATGGTGAAACCCCCTCTCTACTAAATGCAAAAAAATTAGCCAGGCATGGTGGTGCATACCTGTAATCCCAGCAACTTGGGAGGCTGAGGCAAGAGAATCACTTGAACCTGGAGGCAGAGGTTGCAGTGAGCCAAGATCGCACCATTGCACTCCAGCCTGGGCAACAAAAGCAAAACTCTGTATAAAAAAAAAAAAGGGCGACTGGCCGGGCAGAGGGGCTCCTCACTTCCCAGGCCGCCCCGTCCGGGAGGTGAGGGGCGCCTCTGCCCGGCCGCCCCTACTGGGAAGTGAGGAGCCCCTCTGCCCGGCCAGCCGCCCCGCCCGGGAGGGAGGTGGGGGGGGGTCAGCCCCCCGACCGGCCAGCCGCCCCGTCCGGGAGGGAGGTGGGGGGATCAGCCCCCCACCTGGCCAGCCGCCCCGTCCGGGAGGTGAGGGGCACCTCTGCCCGGCCGCCCCTACTGGGAAGTGAGGACCCCTCTGCCCGGCCAGCCGCCCCGTCCGGGAGGGAGGTGGGGAGGTCAGCCCCCCGCCCGGCCAGCCGCCCTATCCAGGAGGTGAGGGGCGCCTCTGCCCGGCCGCCCCTACTGGGAAGTGAGGAGCCCCTCTGCCCGGCCACGACCCCATCTGGGAGGTGTGCCCAGCGGCTCATTGGGGATGGGCCATGATGACAATGGCGGTTTTGTGGAATAGAAAGGCGGGAAGGGTGGGGAAAAAATTGAGAAATCGGATGGTTGCCGGGTCTGTGTGGATAGAAGTAGACATGGGAGACTTTTCATTTTGTTCTGTACTAAGAAAAATTCTTCTGCCTTGGGATCCTGTTGATCTGTGACCTTATCCCCAACCCTGTGCTCTCTGAAACATGTGCTGTGTCCACTCAGGGTTAAATGGATTAAGGGCGGTGCAAGATGTGCTTTGTTAAACAGATGCTTGAAGGCAGCATGCTCGTTAAGTGTCATCACCACTCCCTAATCTTAAGTACCCAGGGACACAAACACTGCGGAAGGCCGCAGGGTCCTCTGCCTAGGAAAACCAGAGACCTTTGTTCACTTGTTTATCTGCTCACCTTCCCTCCACTATTGTCCTATGACCCTGCCAAATCCCCCTCTGCGAGAAACACCCAAGAATGATCAATAAAAAAAAAAAAAAAAAAAAAAAAAATTTCAAAAAAAAAAAAAAAAAAAAAGAAGAATGTTGTTTGCACTATTGTCCATAATTCCTCACCTCTGGTTCGCTTTTTAATCCTTTTTTCGTCTGTCACCTCTTAACCCATTGTATTTTGCCTTCCACTTTTTCCTTCTTAAGCCACTGTCATTTGCCATCCACTCCCACTACTCCATGGAAAGTGCTCATCACCAGTGGTCTTGTTGCTAAATCTGGTGGATTTAAATCAGACCTTGTCTGAGTAACATTTGGCACTGTTGAGCTCTCCCCTCCATTTGGAAGGAGATTTGCCCTTGGTTTCTGTGACACTGCACTCTCCTGGCTTTACTCTTTACTCTCTGGCCACTACTTCTCAGTTCCTTTTGTGGGCCCCTGTTTCTCGGCCCTTTTGGTAAATGTTTTTGTTTGATAAGGTTATGTCCAGCCCTTTTCTCTTCTCATTCTGTGCGGTCTTGGTAGACGACCTCACCCATTCCTATAGCTTTGATAACCATCTGCATGTTGATGGTTCCCAACTCTATCGCTCCAGCCTACATTTCTTTCCTGCATTTCATATCCATATGCCCAACTGTAGCAGGACAAGCCACAGACAAAACCCCTCAGACATCGAGTTAAAGAAGGAAGGACTTTATTTGGCTGGGAGCATCGGCAAGACTCACGTCTCAAAAACCGAACTCCCCGAGTGAGCAATTCCTGTCCCTCTTAAGGGCTTACAACTCTAAGAGGGTCCATGTGAGAGGGTAGTGAACGATTGAGCAAGCAGGGGGTACATGACTGGGGACTGCATGCAGCGGTAATTAGAATGGAACATAACAGGACAGGGATTTTCACAGTGCTTTTCCATACAATGTCTGGAATCTATAGATAACATAACTGGTTTAGGTCAAGGGTCAATCTTTAACCATGCCCAGGGTGTGGCACCGGGCTGTCTGCCTGTGGATTTCATTTCTGGCTTTTAGTTTTTACTTCTTCTTTATTTGGAGGCAGAAATTGGGCATAAGACAATATGGAGGGGTGGTCTCCTCCCTTACAACTGCCTCCTGGAAATCTCCCCTTGGACATTCCAGACACTTAAAATTTGGCAGGTCCAAAATTGAATTCAGTATTTTCCCCAGAAACCTGTTCCTCTTTGGGTGTTCTCTGTCTCAGTGGATGGTTCCATCATCCACTCAGCTACCTCAGCCATTAAACCCAGGCTTCCTCTCCGACCCACTCTGTCAACCATCACATACAATCCATCACTAATCATGTTGATTTTTATCTCCTAAATATTCTATATGTCAGAGATTTGACACACAGGCTTATGGACCCTTGAGGATTCCAAAGCATTCATGAATGTGCTGAATTGTAGACAAAATTTGGTCTACAATATCTAGTGGCATTTTTCTGGGGAGAGTGTGCAGGCCATGGCTTCCATTCACAGACAGGTCTATGACTGAACAAAAGGTTTAGAACCACTTCTCCAAATGCATCCATTCCTCCTCATCCATCCTCCCACCCTGACCAGATGTAGTCACTACAGAGGACTATGTCTCCCAATAACAGCCTCTTTGCTCTCTTAACAGCTGCAAATAAGGAGGGGATCTTGCTGTGGCCATGGGCAGAGGCCAGCAGTGCTGGATGCTCTGTGCCCCAGGTGTGCCATTGTGGCCTGCTCCCCTCCCCACATGTCCACAGGTCACTTACTCTTTTTTCCTTTTCCTCCCCTCCCCCATCTCTCTTTCTTCATCTTCTTTTCTCTTTCGCTCATTCTCTTTCCCTTCCCCAGCTTGTCTCATGCTTCCTTAACGCTCTGATTGTAGGGCATTGGGATCTTTGACACACATAGCTTGAAGCCTCTTAAAACCAAGACTAGAGGCAGCATTCACCCTGCTCATTGGCTCCCACTGGCAGAGCCCTCAACACCCCCTCCATGGAAGAGGAAAGGGAAGTGGGAGGGAGGCTGAGCTTGGAGATGTGGGGCCAGTAATTAGGGAGACCTCAGCCCCAAGAATAGCTGTAGTGTTAGGAGGAATATGGGGGGCAGCTCAAAGAATCATAGACCCGAAAATCCTTGATTAAAACTTAAAGTTGGGAAGACATTTTACGTTCTCTAACCTGATCTTTCCCCCATCTCTTACAGACGGTGCTTGATTCCTTTTTTTCCTCAACTCATATTTCCAACAACAAGTCCTATTGGCTTTACCTCAAAATATATTCCACTCTGTTCTATTGATCTCTGTATGCATTCTTTCTTTAACACCACGGTGATTATTATAAAATGTATATTTGGTCTTCCCCATTTCCTGACATACAACTCCTAAAATCCTTTAAAATCTCCAAAGTGATGTCTTTTTATATGTCAATGAGTTGGCTGATGGCCAACAGCCCCTAGGTAGCTTCAGGATTGGGGATTGGTCCCCAAAAAACCAAGGCAGGATTAGAGAGTTGGGACTTTCAGCCCCATTTCCCCACCTCAGGGGAGGGGAGAGGGGCCCGGAAGGTTCAGCTGATCACCAATGACCAATGATTTAATCAATCATGTCTGCATAATAAAGCCTCCATAACAACCCAAAAGGCCAGAGCTTGGGGAGATTCCAGATAGCAAAACACGTGGAGACTCCTGGAGGGTGGCACACTCGGAGAAGGCATGAAGCACTGTGCCCCTTCCCACAGGCCTTGCCCCATGCATCTTTTCATCTATATCCCTTGTAATATTCCTTATAATAATCCAATACCCTTTTGCTGCCTGACCGCTGCCATCATGGGTCACATGCATGCTCCTGGTGGCTGACGCTGACTTCCGATGACGTGAAGGAGCAGATTGACAAACTGGCCAAGGGCCTGACTCCCTCATGAATCAGATAAGGATGCTAAATGCTATCTGATTCTGATAGAGAGCCGGATTCATCATTTGGCCCGATATTATAACACCAAGTGAGTCCTCCCTCTTGATTGGAAATATGAGTCATCCACAGCCTCTGCCCTGGTCGCATAAATTGTCTATGTACTCAAGCAATAAAATCATTGTTTAACTGAAAAAAAAAACAAAAAATCTAATCAATATAAGTAAGTGTTTCCTTGAATTCTGTGAACTACTCTAACAAATTCATGGAACTCAGTGAGGGGGTTGTGGAAACCCAATATATAGCCAGTTTGTCAAAAACACTGATACAATAACCTGGAGCTTCCGAGTCACATCTGAAGGCGGAGGTGGGGATCAGGGAGGGGATGTGACAATCTTGGAGACAGCTCTCAACCTGTGAGATCTGACGCCATCTCCGGGTAGTTAGTATCAAAATTACATAAAATTAGAGGACATTCATCTGGTGTCCACTAGAAAACTGATTGCTCATTTAGTGTGTGTACTCCCACACATCTGGTCACAGAAACCTTTGTTGATTGTTCTGTGAGAGCAGAGCAAAATCAGTTTGTATTTTTCCACATTCAATCACACTGTCTTCTGTACTGTAGCTTTATAGTACTGTGGGGTCTTGACATTAGATAATGCGAATCCTCCAACTTTTTTTTTCAGTATTGTGTTGGTTTTGCTAGGTCTTTTGCTTTTCCATAAAAACTTGAGAATCATTTTGTCTATGTCTACAATATAGCTTGCTGAGATTTTGATTGAAATGATACTGAATGTATACGTTAAGTTGGAAAGAAATGACATCCTAAAAGCATTGAGTCCTCTTCGTCATGAACATGGAATGGCTCTCCCTTTATTTAGATTTCTTTGATTTCATTAATCTGTGTTTTGTAGTTTTCTAGATTTGGGTCCAGTATATATTTTATTATATTTATTCCTAAGTATTTCATTGTTTTGCTGCTGTTGAAAATAGTATTGCTTTCCTAAAATTTGAAATTCTAATTGTTCATTGCTGGTATATAGGAAATCAACTGATTTTTTGTGTATCGACCTTGTACCCTGTGACCTTGCTATATATATTCTTATTAGTTCCAGGAGTGGTGCCCACCCCCAGAGATTATTTGGGATTTTCTATCATCCCACAAATTTTAATAAATTGCAGTTTTATTTTCATTTAATTTGAAATATTTAAAAATTTATCTTGAGACTTCTTCTTTGACCTATATGTTATTTAGAAATTTGTTATTTAATTTCCAGATATTTGGGGATTTCCCAGCTGTCTTTCTGTTACTGGTTTCTGTTTTATTTCTATTGTGGTCTGAGAGCATACTTTGTATGATTTCTATTCTTTTAAATTTGTGGGTTTTTTTTTTTTTTTTTTTTTGGAGACAGGGTCTCAATCTGTCACTCATGATGCTGGAATGCAGTGACATAATCATAGCTCACTACAACCTCGAAATCTTGGCCTCAAGGGATCCTCCTCCCTCAGCCTCCTGAGTAGCTGGGACTACAAGTGTGCACCATCATGCCCACCTAATTTTTTATTTTTAATTTTTTTGTTGAGACAGGGTCTCGCTATATTTCCCAGGCTAGTCTTGAACTCCTGGCCTCAAGCGATCCTCCTACCTCAGCCTCCCCAAAGTGCTGAGATTACCAGTGTGATCACCACACTCGGCCTTTTGAATTTGTTAAGATGTGTTTTATGGCCCAGAATACAGTCTATCTTGGTTCATGTTCCATGTCAGCTTGAGAAGAATGTGTATTCTGCTGTTATTGGATGGAGTCTCTATAAATTTCAATGGGATCAATTTGATTGGTAGTGCTGCCCAGGTAAAAATCTATTCCAAAACTGTCCACATATCTTTCTCCACAATCACTATCCTAGCCCAAGCTCTCATGGTCTCTTGCCTGGACTGTCTAACTGGTCTCATAACTAGCTTCCTAGATGGCCTTCTTGTTTCCAGTTTTGCTCCCACTAAAACTCATTCTCCACACATCAGACAGAGTAAGCTTTAAAATACAAAATTCAGATCACGTCACTCCCAGCTCAAAACCCTCCAATGGCTTTTCATTGTACCTCGAATAAAAGCTAAATCCCTTCCATGGCTGACATGGCCCTACACTAGCTTACTCCAGAACTTCTTTCCTACCTCATCTAGTACCAGTCTTTCCTCTTGCTGCCTCCAGTTGGACTTCTTTCTGGATTCCCTTAAATACACCAAGCTCATCTGTCACCCTGGGATGCCATGCCTCTGGGTCCTCATGAAATGACTGATGTCTTCTTGTCATTCAAGCTCACCTCAACTCTCACCTCCATGGAGAATCCTTCCCTGACTAAACTATTTCATCTTGTTCTCCACCCTCACCCCATTACACTACCCTTTGTCCTTTTTTTAAAATTGTTTTCAAAGTATTTTTGACTTTGTGAAATGACTTTTGTTCATGTATTTATTTGATTGTTTGTGACTGTCATCCTCTCTCTAAAATGTGAGATCTAGGAGAGCAGGGACCTTCTTCACCACTCAGTAGCCAGCACCTAGAACAGTGCCTGACACCTCACTCTCCTGATTTAAGGACTGAACATAGGTGAGACAGGGAGAATGAGAGCGAGTCTAGTTCCAGGCAAGTAGAAAGTGGCCAGATCAGGGAAGAAGGAATAGCAGAGGAAATGGGAACACACTCTCATTCATGTTTTTGCCACCATTATCAACCTGTAGGTCATTACTATAATGAATGAACTCCCACAATTTTCAGTCTTTCCTTCAGTATATTATTAATTAAATTCCAAGCAATTCTAGATTGTATCTACCATTTTGCTAGGGCTGGACAGATCCACTAAAGTAGTTCTCCATCTATTTTTCATTATTGCCCCCTAAAATGTTAATATCACAGGTATATTATATATTTAATAACTATTTGCATATTTGCAATTTATACCTAGAAAGAGTAAGTATAAAAGTTACTCTTTTTATTCGATACAGGGTTAAGAATAACTAAATAAAAGTTTTAATTAATTTAGGAATATAAAAAACTATTAACATTTAATTTTATAACTGTATCTGCCAAGCAACTTTAAATATAATTTATTTACCTATATAGATTTTAATGTGTCAAATTATATATGTATATTAGCAACTTGTATAACTACATAATAACAATAACTTTGTAAGTTAAATTTTAAAAATTATCCCGTTTTATTTTTCCAGAAAATATGTAATAATTTTAAAATTTATTTCTTAAAAATTATTGTTAGTAAAAGTAACTTTTAACTTTTGCTTGTTAGAAAAAATAACTTTTAAATAAGGCCTACTATTTGATAGTATAGCAGGATGACTATAGTCGATAATAACCTAACTGTACATTTAAAAATAACTAAAAGAGTGTAATTGGATTGCTTGTAACTCAAAGGATAAATGCTTGAGGGGATGGTTTCCCCATTCTTCCTGATGTGCCTATTTCACATTGCGTGCCTGTATCAAAATATCTCCTGCATCCCATAAATATATACACCTACTATGTACCCACAAAAATTAAAAATTAAAAAATGTTTTTAAAAACAAAATAACTTTTAATATAGCTAGCTGCAGATAGTCGTTCACGTATTGTTGACATTCTTTCTGTTCAGTACTTAACACAATTAGTGATGAACTGAATGATTTTTGTACAATTAAATTTACTCTATTTATATTTAATTATCAAAACTTGAGTAGCAGATAAAAACACTGAAGATCAAGCATAAATTAGGTAATGGCAGACAATAGGCAGCAGGTCAACTCTTGCAATAGGACTTTAAGAATTAGTACTTGAAAGAAAGTCCTCCAATCAGAATCATTTATTCAACACGGCTCTATATCACTGATCTTCCATACATTTAGCATATCTTCAGTAAAATCAATGTCAGTGCTTTTCATGTGATACCCAAGAAAACCCAGCAAGACAAACTATATACTAAGGAATGAGATTTTGTCAAGTAAGGCTGAGCTTTAGAGGGCCACAGTCCATTCCAATAGCAGAGATTTTTTTCTGATGAAGGACAAACTTTCACTTGTTTTGGATGATATCACCTCCTTTGAAAATGAATGCCCTAGAGTAGTATTTTGCCTTGACTGAATAAAACAAGATAGAATATGAATAATGGGTAGCCAGAAAACAAAAAGGAAAGAAAACAAGAAGTACTTAGTAGAGACCAGCCCTTTATGAGGGCAAAATAGATAGCAAGCTTTTCCCTAAATTAACACTTCCAAAAGTGCCTTGTTCCAACATAATGCTACTAAAGTATATGTAATCACTATTCACTCCTTCTTTAAAAGGATATTATCTCAAATCTTATCCTCTATTATCTCTGGCTCTAAGTCCAAGAATTTAGGTGATATCCTTTCCTCTTCCAGTCACCTTGCGATTTCTTCTAGATATGCTGCAAGCTATAAACTAAATTGTACGTTGAACCACTACTCACACACTATATTCTACAATATATAGTGTGAAGATAAAGAAAGAGAATGGAAGTAAGTGTATGTATATGCATATATACAAACAAACACACACACACACACACACACAGAGAGAGAGGGAGAGAGAGAGAGAGAGAGCAAAGAAGGAAATAAGGAAACTGCTTGTAGTCCTTATTACATCTTGTCCAGAGACCAGAGCTGGTGTTTCTGACTTCCCTTTCTCTCTATTAAATCCATAGGTTCCCCTTGCTTTAACAAGTACCTTAGCTGGTCATGGTTATTTTCTTGGTAAGGCGAGGCTCTTTGTGGTCCTGTATGTGTATGGCTACTGTATTCTTTGGCTAACCTTTATCACTGGATGTGGTGGGAATGAAAGCACCCGGGTGATTTCCCGGGACTCATAAAAGGTACATTGAGTCCTTCTCCACAGGCCCAGTAATCTTGAACATGCCTTGTTCGAGTTGTGTATTATGCTCCTAAGGGACTCTAGAAGTTGTCTCCGCAATGATTATGTGGAATCTGAGCTTTCAGAAGTCCCACCTTTATTGAGTCATTAAAATCTGCATGAACTTTTGCCATTGGACATGGCAGAACTAGGGTCACACAGTGAATCCCCTAGGTCCCAGAAAATGCTCTCCCCAATCCCGTTGTGTAGCAGACTCCCCATTTCCCCTTGATAATTAAGATCACTCATCCCAGCCAACATAGGAACCTCACTCTCCCCATTTTTGCCCATTGATTCCATGGCATGAGGAACTCCAGATGGCCAGATGGAAGTCTTAACTTCCTATGAATCAAAAGTTTTGCAAGTTTTACTAATCGAATTGGTGTCAGGTGTTACTCCCATTTCTACTCTTTGGTTTCTAGACATACAATATTCTGTTTATGGGATAAAAAGCAGCATATATGGGTTGTTAATCCAGAGAACATACTGAATTCTATAGAATGGCATTTAGATCTCACAAACTATTTCCTAATTGTCACCATAACCATATAGTCCATAGGCCATTCCACCTTTCTGTAAGAGCAATTGTTTATAGGTGATTGTCTATGTCATATGAACAGAGAACCTCATAGTCATGAGACCATTATCTTATGTCTTTCACTGTGAAATGTGTTCCTTGATCAGAAAAAAATATTGCATGGGATATTGCAGTGGTATATAAGCTGTATAAAGTAATTAGAAAATTGAAGGATGATGGTGCTGATAGACGCACTGTAGGAATGGAAGGCAAATACATTCCAGAATACGTGATTATTTCAGTGAGGATAAATTAATGCCAGTTCCATGATGGAGGGGATCCGATGCAATACTCCTGTCATTCAAAGACTTGGTCTCTCTAGGCAATGGTGACATATTGGGGTTTCTGCTGTTGAGAGACTGGGCACTCAGCAGTGTTGATAGCCAAGGCAACATAAGTGAAGGTAAATCAATGTTGAACTGGTGCATAACATCCATCCCTTCTACTATGATAATTTTGTTCATTGGCTCATTGAACAAGCACTGCGTGTCTGGAGAAGAGGTTGACAGATTTCCAAGGGCTGGGTAATCATGCTCCTTTTGGTGAGTACTCACGTGGGACACAGATATCCCCACACAACCCATCCTGAGAGATCTGTCCACTTGCTCCACATATATATGCAGGCAAAGCAATTAGAACTGTGCCTTGCACATAATGAGTACTCTAGGTATTTTATTACATGGTCATTATTGCTATCAATTCTCCAATCTCGTTCCTTCCCAGTCTCTATCTGGCAGACGCAATCTGTATTGATCAGTGCCCCTGGCCAGGTCGCTTTCTGGACAGAGACCAACCACATGCACGGCTGTTGAGGTTATATATATAACTTTAAATTCTAAGGTACATGTGCACAACGTGCATGTTTTGTTACATATGTATACATGTGCCATGTTGGTGTGCTGTACCCATTAACTCGTCATTTACATTAGGTACATCTCCTAATGCTATCCCTCCCCCCTGCCCCCACCCCACAACAGGCCCCAGTGTGTGATGTTCCCCTTCCTGTGTCCAAGTGTTCTCATTGTTCAGTTCCCACCTATGAGTGAGAACATGCGGTGTTTGGCTTTTTGTACTTGCAATAGTTTGCTGAGAACAGGCAACCTACAGAACGAGAGAAAATTTTTGCAATCTACTCATCTGACAGAGGGCTAATATCCAGAATCTACAAAGAACTCAAACAAATTTACAAGAAAAAAACAAACAACCCCATCAAAAAGTGGGCAAAGGATATGAACAGACACTTCTCAAAAGAAGACATTTATGCAGCCAACAGACACATGAAAAAATGCTCATCATCACTGGCCATCAGAGAAATGCAAATCAAAACCACAATGAGATACCATCTCACACCAGTTAGAATGGCGATCATTAAAAAGTCAGGAAACAACAGGTGCTGGAGAGGATGTGGAGAAATGGGAACACTTTTACACTGTTAGTGGGACTGTAAACTAGTTCTACCATTGTGGAAGACAGTGTGGCGATTCCTCAGGGATCTAGAATTAGAAATACCATTTGACCCAGCCATCCCATTACTGGGTATATACCCAAAGGAATATAAATCATGCTGCTACAAAGACACATGCACACGTATGTTTATTGCGGCACTACTGACAATAGCAAAGACTTGGAACCAACCCAAATGTCCAACAATGATAGACTGGATTAAGAAAATGTGGCACATATACACCATGGAATACTATGCAGCCATAAAAAATGATGAGTTAATGTCCTTTGTAGGGACATGGATGAGGCTGTTGAGTTTTGACTCTGAAGAGGATTTCCTTTTTTTACTTCCCGTCAGGGTCACACCTGAGTGGGGCTGTTGCACCACAGCTCAGCCTCCAGCTAGTTCCTGCTTATCATGTGTGTCATTTGCAAACCATGCTCCTGGGCTTTTTTCCTTCTTTGGAAGCTGGTTGTTGGGAACTCCATACAAGGCCCTCAGTGTGAGCTGAGGGAGGGCAAGCAATGTGGCAGGAGAAGGTGTTATGGGGAGGGTGAGCCTCCCGTAACTCACTTGTGCCTGCAGGACCTGCTCCGGTCTGATCTCCTCTGACCACTGCCCTTTGGTGACGAAGCATTGTCATTGCCTGCCTGACTTTATGGTTTGGTGGATAAGATGGCACAGGCCTAGGGTGAGCAGCTCAGGTGCATGGTCACTTGGGGTCCCGTGGTTAAGTGCTCATACTCTACCAGGAGCCAGTAGTTCAACCTTGTTGAATTAATCGTCAGGTGCCAGGTGCCACTTCTCAAAAGGTGAGCGGTTATTTGATGAAGAGAGCATGGCTTTTGCTCCAAAATGCTAGAAGCTCGCACTTTGATTCTCCAGATGGGGCTTCTCACAGGCTCCACACAGCATCCCAATCTGTCAGACATTTATTTGTTCCTTCAACTGCCATGTATAGTGACTGCAGGGTTCCATGTAGTGAGCACCCTGTGCTGGGTGCTGGGGTGTTCCTGTTCTCAAGACGGCCAATCCGGTGAGGGAAACACTGGCAGCACCGAGGGGAACCATAAAGGGCTGTGGGAGCCCAGAGGAGCTAGTGATTTCCTCCTCTGTGTATAGGCGTGTTGTTAACCGCTGATGGCATGTGTTAGGAACATCTGCACAGGTGCATAGGTCCAGGCACACATTTCTATATGCGGCTATAGGCGTTTCATACATACATTTCATTATGGACATGAGTCAGCAGTCAGCGTGCTCTGGTGGAAGGAGCCCTTGACTGGGAGGAAGGAGCCGTAGGGTAAACTCCCCCAGCTCCCTTACATGGTCCCTTGTGCCCTCGGACACGTCCCTGCCCCTCTCTGGCCTCATATCCAAAGAGCATTGGCTCACCCGGCCTGCTCTCTGGGGGCCGCACTTTAGATAGTGGGTGGGGAGCACCCAGACCGTGGCCTGGTACACGGTGGGTGCTGCGCAAGTGAGAGTTACCTCGACGGGGAGGTGCTTTGTAAACTGGGCCTGGTGCTCTGTGATGAACATGAAGGTGGTGCCGGTTGTGTGCATGCACACACAGGGTTGTGTGCAGGGAGGCATGCCCTGTGGAGATGGCCACGTGTCTAGCTGGGCTCCAAGCTGTGTTGGCAAGGCCAGGCTGGCTCCAGCCAAGATGGCCCTGGCTGCAGGGGCTGCCATGGGCCAGGGTCACACTTCCTGCGGCCTCTGACTCTGCTCTGAGGAGTGGGCCATGGGGGAGTAACAGGTCAGAGTCTACCTAGCGGGGAGGCTGTCAGTCTGGAGGTAACAGAAAGGGAACCACTAGGACGGGGCCATCAGGGCAGTGCCTTGCCTGGGGCACCCCCACCTCTCCAATGGGGGAGCTGAGGGCAGGCGGGTAGGCCCAGCTTTCCGTCTGGGATTTGTCTTGTCCTGGCCACCTGCCCTGGGGCTGCTCTCTGCTCCTCTCTGGGCCTCAGCTTCCTCATACTTGAACCGGTGGCAGGAATGCCCACCCCACGGAGCTATGGTGAAAATGAAATGAGCCCCACGTGCAGAAGCAGATGGCACCATAACTGTGCATAGGTGTCCAATAAATGACAATCATGACAACAACTGTCCTTCCTGCACTTCATTTCCCACCTGTCCCACCCCCAAGCAGTCCTGCCAGCAGGAACAATACCTGTGCTAACAAGCTGAGGCACAAGGCCAAATGCTGTAGAAATGGATCCCTTTATTCAGCCAGCAATAAGAACGTGCAGGTCAAAAAAAAAAAGAACGTGCAGGTCACTGTGCTAGGCTGGGGAGAAGAGACTCAGGTCAAGAGAGCCACACATGGGCCAGAACTGGGAGAGCTGGAGCCCAGGGCATGGCAACCTGCCTGGGAGGGAGGAGAAGATGGGGAGGGCTTCCTGGACCACACCATGGAGTGGGTGCTGGGCCTTGGAAGGGAGTTGGGGGGTGGGCAGGAAGGACAGAGTCATGGATGGGGACAGGGGCTGCCACTGTGACACCTGTGTTGCGGTGAGGTGGGAAGGGCAGTATCCACCCTGAGTTGGGGAGAAGAGTGATTCAAGGGTGGGTGTCTCAGGGCAGCTGTCTGTGTGACCAGTGATGGTCACCCACCGACAGACGGAAGAGAGGAGGGCAGTCTAGGTGGGGAAACTGCACCAGCAAAGGCACAGAGTTGTGAGAAAGATGAGGGGACCAGTCAGGGAGGGCCAAGAGGGTCACTGTCATGGAGCAGCTGACTTTGGGCAGGCCTTGTGTGCTAGGGCCAAGCTCTTAGACCTACAGAGCAGGTGGCATTGGGAGCCATTCGGCAGCTGAGGCGAGACTGAGTGGCTGATGGGTGGAAAAGCAGGAGTGACGAAATCTGCTTCTGCCCCATCCCTGGGTCACCCACCTCAGGACCCAGAATGTGGCCACCCCTACACCTCCAGCCCACCTGGGACAGCCCAGCCAACCCATCTGGGTGTGTGTGGCCCTCCCTACCTGCTTGCCTCCAATGCGGCCTCTGAGGTTGAGTTTGCTCTCACCATGCCGGCATAGATATATGGAGTGGGGCGTGATGGGATGTTCATGAGGTAGTAGACTGTGTGGCTCTGGATGTGATCCTGCCCTTGGTTACCATGTAGCATGTGCCCACATTGAAGATCTTGAGGTGGGACAGGTGGCTGGGCCAGACCCAAGCAGGAGGAAGGGCTGCTCAGGGGCTAATGGTGGGGGACTGTCTTCATTACTCCCCACTTGCCCCTCTAAATCCACTCCCCATCTATGCCTATCCCGCTCTGTGCTTCAGGAGACTGACCGTTGCTGATTGTATCATCTGGGCTCCTTGTCCTGCAAGTGAGAGACAATGGCACCCGATGCTCAGAGGTCACAGCGAGAGCTTTCGGGTATTTATCCCTATGCCTCCCTATCTGCTGGGTTGTGCTTTAGCTGTCGCGAGGCTCCCCTAACTCGGGCCATCAGTTCCCATGGGCCGCTCTTCTTCCGTGGCTGTGACTCTTGTCACTTTCTTTTAACTGCCCTTGCACCTTGACCCTTCAGGGCTTGAGGTGGTAATGGCTTTTGGCAGATTCAGTTCCTCCGTCTCTGCCCATCCCTTGTGGGTCCTCTAATGCCACCTACCTCTGTAAATTATGTCCTCATGAGTTTACCATCAGTTTGCCCATGGAGTTTGCCATGTGTTTTGGGACAGCATTCTGCCTGACACAGAGAGTGAATGTGAGTGTAAAAAGGAATGAATAAATGTGAGCGAAGGAAAGAGTGGGTGAAAGTAATGCCAGTAAATGCAGAATGAATGAGAAAATAAGTGTGAATGAGGAATTTTTGTGTGAAACTTTCCCTGTTTATTCTGCTGAGGTTGTAGAAGCCACACTGGCCAAATCATGCTTTTCCCTGGATCCCCACTGAGAATGGCAGGTCAGTGAGCGCACAGCAAGTGCAGGCTCTTTGGAGGACACCGTCTCACACCCTGGAGGGAAGAGGAGCGTCCTGCCTCACAGACTTGCTTCAAATTTCACCCAGAGGTTTTGGAAGGCCAGACTGGCTACCTCAGAATCACAACATGGGCTCCTAGAAATGCAGATTCCTGGAGCCCAAACTTCAGGGTCTGGTTCAGTAGCATGGGGGTAGGGCCCAGGAAGCTATGTCATTAACCAGTCTCAGGCGGCCCTGATGTCCAGCCAGGTTGGAGAATCACGAAGCTGGCCTGCTCACCTCATCTAAGAGATGAGAGGATAGATGCAGAGAAATCCCCGGCGCATGTGGCTTCCCCTACAAAGCTGTTTAGCATAGGAGGTCCCAACTCATTCGACCCTGTTGACAGGCACACAGACAGACACACAGACTGGATCCAAATCCCAGCGATGACACTCCCCTGATGTGGGACCATCAAAGCCAGCCTCGACTTCACTTTTCCCATCTGTAAAATGGACGAGATGCCATCTACAGCTCAGGACCACTGTGAGACTTTGAGAGAATTCCTCCCTCCCAATTATATGCTGCAGAGAAGATTGCAGGATCATTGTACTCGTTAGCATTAGGTGGCACTCACTGAGATGCAGGTATGGCTCCAAACGCTTTACATGAATGGCCTCATTTATTTCCCACAAGCACTGCCTATGAAGTAGGAGCTGTGGTCATGCCTGTGCTGTAGATGAGGAGCCAGAGGTTTAGAGAGAATGAGTTGCTTGTCCAGGGACACACAGCAGCAGCTGGAACCTGGGCCCATAGGCCATCTGAGTCCCTGCAGCCTGCACTCTTCAGCCCTAAGCTATAAATGGCAGGTCCCTCCCCCATTCTCCTTAAAGGTTAAAACAGAGGGTAGAACCAATCCTGTGGGGGAGAAAACAGAACAAAGAGCTCTGAGAGGAAGGAAGCCAAGGGAATGTATGTGAGCAGGCGCCTCAGAGAGTATGGGGCTCAGTGTGCCCTGAGCTTCCTGACAGCTGTAGCAGGAAGGAGGGGGAGCAGAATTCCCAAGTTTCCATATTCTGGAAAAAAAAAAGGAGGCACAGAGACACTTCTTTGTTTTGTTGTTTTGTTTTGTTTTGTTTTTTTCTTTCTTTCTTTTTTTTTTTTTTTTGAGAGAGAGTCTCGCTTTGTCGCCAAAGCTGGAGTGCAGTGGCGTGATCTTGGGTCACTGCAACCTCTGCCTCCCAGGTTCAAGAGATTCTCCTGCCTCAGCCTTCCAAGTAGCTGGGACTACAAGCATGCGCCAGCATGCCCGGCTAATTTTTGTAGTTTTAGTAGAGATGGAGTTTCACTATGTTGGCCAGGCTGGTCTCCAACTCCTGACTTTACATGATCTGCCCACCTTGGCCTTCCAAAGTGCTAGGATTACAGGCGTGAGCCACCACACCCGGCCAGGAGACATTTCTAAGTGGACATTTGCCTTGGAATAAAATTCCAAGGCAGTTGATCTTGTGGCCAGCTCAACAAACATCCAGGACCAGAAATTCATTTGTGATTTCATGAGACATTAAAAGAAGTACTCACACACATAATTCTGAGCATCTCCCATTGAAGGCAGAGAAAATATGAAATTCTAGCCCGAGTCTCCACAGCAGTTTTGCCAAATCCCCATTCTCTTCAGCCTTCCCACTCCTCTACCTCACCCTCACACTCACTGTCATCTCACCTTCTCTGCATTGAAAATAGAAGACAACAGACAGGAATGTCCTCAACTCCTTACAACAAACTACTTACAAACTTGACCATTCCTACCTGTCCTGTACTCGCTCCTTCCCCCTGACACAGTGGAAGAGGTGCTCTTTTTCACGTCGACTACTTCTACCAGTGTTATATGTCCTATTCCCCACTATCTCATCTGGAATCTTGATAAATCAGTTCCTCTCTCACTTCTCTATCTTCAGCCTCTCCGTTTCTCCTGACTCAGCCTTTAAACATGTTCAATTATCTTGCATTATTAAAAAAAATATGGCCAAGATGTGAAGTCCACTTCTAGGACAGTATAGTGAGCTCCATGGACCCACACCCTAGCATACAAGCAAAACTGATGAAAATGATGGAAAGAACAGCCATTTTAAATGTCTAGAAATTGAGCAAATGAAGAAGCATTCATTCAAGAAAATTCACTCAAACTTGATAAGAACAGTAAGAGTCTGTGGCTTTTGAGCTACAACCCACTCACTCCCTCCTTCCTCATTTTCCCACTCGAGTTGATGGAAGCTCCACTCCAGGTGGGTGTGGCCAAGAAAGATGAGCTCCCTCTCTTCTCAGCACCCAACCAACAATTACCATACCTCACCTGGAGGGACAAGCCACTGGAATTTCTCATCCCTTCCAACTTGAAGAGGCTAAATTCCTGGCGAGTGCAGTCAAAAGGCATGGGAGCTCCCTTCCTCCACTTAGCTCCTGCTCGTAGGGCAGAGGCTCTACCCCAGGGATGAAAGTCCAGGAATACAGGTGGCCCAATCAACTTCACTCCGGTTCAATCATAGAACAGAGGTTCCACTCTGGAAGAGGCAAGCTGAGAAGACAAGGGTCTACTGCCTTGCTCAGTGCCCAAGTAGGGGCTCAGAGATTTTTTCCTAGGGAGAGAGGAAATATATAAGAAAAGGAGCTCCTGGCTCATGCCTGTAATCCCAGCACTTTGGGAGGCTGAGGCAGGCAGATCACCTGAGGTCAGGAGTTCAAGACCAGCCTGACCAACATGGCAAAACCCTGTCTCTACTAAAAAATACAAAAATTAGCCAAGTGTGGTGGTGTGCGCCTGTAATCCCAGCTACTCGGGAGGCTGAGACAGGAGAATTGCTTGAACCCAGGAGGCAGAGATTGCAGTGAGCTGAGATCGAGCCACTACGCTCCAGCCTGGGCAAAAGAGCGAGACTCCATCTGAAAAAAAAAAAGAAAGAAAGAAAGAAAAGGAGCTCCAAAGCTCTCCCAAAAGAACTGACTTTGTCTGTAATAGAGTGTGAGGAAGTCGAAAACTGAGAACACTTGAAAACAGTAGCTCCTCTTAATTAAGAGCAACAAGCAAAATCATAGGCCAGCTAGTTCACCTGACAGAAACAGGGAACTATACAGCTATGAAGAACCCTGCTGGGATTATAACAAACCTCATAGCCTGGCCTTAAAAACTACCCCTGCCTGAAACTCACTGAATCGGACTGTGGAGCAAATTATGCCCCACAACATTGTCAAATAGAATAGAGCAATCCACCAGGAAGTAGTGGAGACTGACAGCTGTGTGTGATACCAAGTGAAGTAGATACTTTGACAGAGAGATCAGGGAAAGAGACTGTCAAAATGAGCCCTGCTAAAAGCACTGTCATCTCATGGGGACTGTGCACATGCCCAAGTCAGAACCCTGAGGAGCAACACCAGAGGTTTCATACTGTAGGGAGATAGCCTTCAATAAAATAGTTTAGTTAAGCTACCAAAAAATATGCAGAAAACAATGACAACAACAACAACAACAACAACAACAAAAAACAAGCAACTACATAAACAAACATTGGACAGAGGGGAGGGAAATCAGTATCTAGAGTTGCTACAATATATTACCAAAGAAACAGGAAAGTGTGACCAATAATGGAAAAAAAAATCAGGCAACAGAAGCTGCCTAGAGAGGGGCCAGATATTGGATTTAACACAACAAGCAGGCCGATCGCTAGGCTCAGAACAAGCCTAACTAATTGGTAAGGATGGCATCAGCAGAGGGCCAGTCTGCAAAGATTAGGAGAGGTGGTTGATCTCTTTCTCTTTCTCTCTCCTTGGATTTTTTGTTTGTTTGTTTCTCTGTTTCTACCCCTGGAATTCAGAGGAATTTCTATCAAAATATTAGCTGAACACAAGCTAAAGGAACAGAGATTATAATGAGCACGTGTGACAAGAAATAGTCTTTGAAAAATAGTTTGGAAAGATCGAAAAGCAAACAGACTCCTACAGCCTTCAACTGAAAAAAAAAAAACAGAAAACCCTAGGGAAATGGGAGAATTTGATTTCCAGAGTTATTACATTATAATAATAAATGCTCAATTTTGAACAAAAAAAATCACAAGGAATACAAAGAAACAGGAAAACATGGTTCATTCAGATTAAGAAAATGAATTGACAGAAACCATCCCCTTGTCATTTTTTTCAGAAATAAGAAACCTTATCCAAAAAGTCGTATGGCTCTTAAGAGACCCCAAATACCTAAAACAACCTTGAAAAAGATCAGCATTGGAAGACTCACACTTCCGGATTTCAAAACTTACCACAAAGCTACAGTAATCAAAACAGTGTAGTACTGGCATAAAAACAGACATATAGACAAATGGAACAGACTTCAGAGCCCTGATATGAACCCTCATACATATGGTCAAATGATTTTTGAGAAGGACACTGAGACCAGTCAATGGGAAAATCTTTTCAACAGTTCACTCTAGGAAAACTGGATATTCGTATGCAAAAGAATGAAGATGGATCCTTATCCTACACCATGTACAAAAGTAAAATAAAAATGGATCAAAGACTTAAACATACGAGCTACACTTGATCTTGGCCAAAAGACTGAAAGGTTATAAACATAGGAGCTAAAACTGCAAATCTCTTAGAAGAAAATAGGAGGAAATCTTCATGACACTGGATTTGGCAATGATTTCTTGGATACGACACCAAAAGCACAGGCAACAAGAGAAAAAATAGATAAATTGGACTTAACTTTTGTGCATGAAAGGACACTATCAAGAAAATGAAAAATGCCTGTAATCCCAGCTACTCGGGAGGCTGAGGCAGGAGAATCACTTGAAACCGGGAGAAGGAGGTTGCAGTGAGCCGAGATCACACACCACTGCACTTCAGCCTGGGAGACAGAGTGAGACTCTGTATCAAACAAAAAAAAAAAAAAAGAGAGAGAGAGAGAGAGAATGAAAAGTAACCCACAGACTGGGAGAAAACATTGTATCTGCTAAGGAATTGTTATGGGCTGAATTGTGTCCCCTCGATGTAACTGTATTTGGAAATAGGGTCTTAAAAGTGGTAATTAAGGTTAAATGAGGTCATTAGGGTGGGCTGTAACCCAATTTGACTGGTGACCTTATAAGAAGAGGAAATTAAGAGACGGATAAACACGGAGGAAAGACCATGTGAAGACAAGAGAAAATGGCCATCTACAAGCCAAGGAAAGAAGCCTCAGAATGAAACCACCCTTGATCTTGGATTTCTAGACTCCAGAATAATGAGAAAATAAATTTATGTTATTTATGCCACCGAGTCTGTAGTTTGTTACGGCAGCCCTAGCAAACTAATACAGGGAATACTATCCATAATATGTAAGGAACTCCTACAACTCAACAACAACCAAAAATAACCCAATTAAAAACTGGGCAAAGGACTTTACATATTTCTCCAAATAAGATATACTCATGGCCAATAAGCACATGAAAAGATCTTCAACATCCCTAATCACTGGGCAAATGCAAACCAAAACAAACATACCAAAAAAAAGAAACAGAAAATGACAAGTGTTGGTGAAGATTTAGAGAAACTGGAACCCTTGTGCATTATGGTGGGAATGGAAAATGGTGCAGCCACTGTGGAAGATAGTACAGAAGTTTCTCATAAGATTGAACATAGAATTACCATATTATCAAGCAATTACACTTCTAAGTACATACCCAGAATATTTCAAAGCAGGAACTAGAACAGATATTTGTAACTAATATTCATAGCAGCATTGTTCACAATAGCCAAAAGGTGGAACCAATCCAAAAGTCCAGCAAAAAATGAATGGATAAACAAAATGTGGTATATACATACAATGGAATATTATTCAGCCTTAAAAAGGCAGAAATTCTGATAGATTTTGCAACATGGATGAACCTTGAAAATATTATGCTTCAGGGAAATAAGCCAGACAAAAAAGGACATACATTGTATAATTCCACTTATATGAGATACCTAGATTAGTCAAATTCATAGAAACAGAAGGTAGGTTAATGGAAACTAGGAGGGAGGGAAGAATAGGAATTTACTGTTTAATAGCTATAGAATTTCAGTTTGAGATGACAAAATAGTTCTGGAGTCAGATATGGTGATGTTTGCACAACAGTGTGAATGTACTTAATGCCACTGAATTGTACACTTTAAAATGATTGAAATTGTAAATTTTAGTTTATGTATATTTTACCAAAATAAAAATATTAGCAAAGTATCTGAATACATATTTATCCAGGCAAGATATACAAATGGTCAATAACCACATGAAAAGGTGCTACACATCATTAGTCATTAGGGGAATACAATGAAAACCACGATGAAATACCATTTCACACCCATTAAGGTGACTATAATTTTTTTTTTTTTTTGAGATGGAGTCTCACTCTATCGCCCAGGCTGGGGTGCAGTGGTGCAATCTCGGCTCACTGCAACCTCCGCCTCTTGGGTTCAAGTGATTCTCCTGCCTCAGCCTCCTAAGTAGCTGGGATTACAGGCGCCCACCACGCCTGGCTAATTTTTCCATTTATAGTAGAGATGTGGTTTTTACCAGATTGGCCAGGCTGGTCTCGAACTCCTGACCTCGTGATCCTCCCGCCTCGGCCTCTCAAAGTGCTGGGAGTACAGGCTATAATTTTTTTTAATGGAATATAAAATGTCGTTGAAGATGTGGAGAAATTGGAACCTTCGTACCTTGCTGGCAAGAAAGCAAACTGGTGCAGCCATTGTTGAAAAAGTTGGGTGGTTCTTCAAAAAGTTAAACATAGAATTACTGTATAATCCAGCAAATTCCACTCTTAGGTATATGTCCCCCAAAACTGAAAGCAGGGGCTCAACTATTTGTACACTCATGTTTATAGCAGCATTATTCACAATAGCCAAAAGGTGGAAACAATCTAAATATCCGCTAACAGATGAATGGATAAACAAAAGGTGGTATATACATACGATGGAATATCATTGAGCAGCAAAACAGAATGAAATTTTGACATATGCTACAACATGGATGAATGTCAAAGACATTGTGCTAACTGAAACAATCCAATCCCAAAAGGACAGATATTGTGAATGTAATTAACGCTATGGAATTATAAACTTGAAAATGGTTAAAATGGATTATTCTAATTTGCTCATTACATGTTACATGTATCAAAATATCACATGTACCCCATAAATATGTACAATTATTTTGTATCAATAAAAACGGTGAAAATGGCAAATTTTGTATGCATATTTTATCACAATAAAAAAGTAAATAAAACAAAATAAAATAAAAAGAATAAAGTAACAATCAGTGAAATCCAAATTTTGGGAAAATCTATAGTGCAAACAACCTGGTTTCTTCAAAGGATAAATTTCAAAGAAAAAAATAGGTGGAGGGGAAACCTATAGATCTAAAGGAATGTGAGAGATATATCAACTAATTACAATGTTCAGGCTTTATTTATATCCTCATTCAAGAAAGCAAACTATAAAACAAAATATGGCATCTATGAGACAGTTGGAAATTGGAATACTGATTGGGTATTTGATGATATTAAAAGCTTGACTATTTCATAATGTTTTAAACTTCTTCATTTTTTAGGCATGAAATGGATACTGTAGTTACTTTTATAACAAATGAGTCATCTTTAGAGATTAATACTGAAATATTTACAAATTATGGAAAAAATGAGGTTGAAATGAAGACATTTTCAGTCAAACATAAGTGAATTTGCCATGAATAAACCCTGATGAAAGGACATCTTTTAAAGAATGTATTTCAGGAAGAAGGAAAGTGATCCCAGATGGAAAGACTGAAGATGGAAAAGGAATGAAGAATGAGTGTTGGTAAACGTTAATGTCTTCAGGAGTTAAAAACAAACAAGACAAACTAAAATACAGGACAACATGGCACCCTTTAAAAGTATAAAATGTAGGTTTTTTATTTTTATGAAGTCCAATTTATATATATTTTTTCTTTTGTGACCCTTGCCTTGGGTCATATTTAAGAAACCATTGCCTAATTCAAGACCATGAAGATTTATTTCTATATTTTCTTCTAGAGTTTTAAAGGTTTAGTTTTTGCATGAGGTCTAAAATCCATTTTGAGTTAACGTTTGAATATGATGAGAAGATGTGAATATATAGCTGTTCCAGTAACATTTGTTGAAAAGTTTATTGTTTTCCTCTGAATTGCCTTGGCACCCTTCTCAAAAATCACTTGGCCATAAATGTAAGGGTTTATTCTGAATTATCAATTCTCTTCCATTGGTCTATATATCTATCTTTTTGCCAGTAGCACATAGTCTTGATTACTGTAATTTTGTAGTAAGTTTTGAAATAGGGAAGTGCAAACCCAAATTTGTTCTTAATTTGCCAAATTATTTTGGCTATAATTGTGTATATTTAAGGCATATGATACGATTTATATATATATATAAATATATATATTTATATATTAAAAAAACATATTTATATTATATAAATATATATTTATAATATATAAATATATATATATTTTTATATAATAAATATATATAAATATATATTTGTATAAATATATATATTTATACATATATATTTATAAATATATTTTTATATATATTTATACATATATATGTATAAATATATATAAATATATATAAATATATATATAAATATATAAATAAATATATATAAATATATATAAATATATATAAATATATATATAAATATATATATAAATATATATAAATATATATATATAAATATATATATATATATATATAAATATATATAAATATATATATATATAAATATATATGTAAATATATATAAATATATATATATAAATATATCTATAAATATATATAAATATATATATAAATATATATAAATATATATAAATATATATATAAATATATATATAAATATATATAAATATATATAAATATATATAAATATATATAAATATATATATAAATATATATAAATATATATAAATATATATAAAAATATATATATAAATATATATATAAAAATATATATAAATATATATATAAAATATATATAAATATATATATAAAAATATATATAAATATATATATATAAATTTTATACATATATAAATATATATATATAAATTTTATATATATATATATTTTATATATATATATAAATTTTATATATATATATATATATATATATATATATAAATGGGCCAGGCGCGGTGGCTCACGCCTGTAATCCCAGCCCTTTGGGAGGCCGAGACGGGCGGATCACGAGGTCAGGAAATCGAGACCATGCTGGCTAATACGGTGAAACCCCTTCTCTACTAAAAAATACAAAAAAATTAGCCGGGCGTGGTGGCGGGAGCCTGTAGTCCCAGCTACTCAGGAGGCTGAGGCAGGAGAATGGCGTGAACCCGGGAGGCGGAGCGTGCAGTGAGCCGAGATCGTGCCATTGCACTCCAGCCTGGGTGACAGAGCGAGACTCCGTCTCAAAAAAAAAAAAAAGATATATATATATGTGTATATATATGTATATGTGTGTATATATATATATATACATATATATACACATATATATATAGATGGCCACCATAGTGGAACAAATTAACATATCCATTATATCCCATTGTTACTCACATTTCTCCCCTGTGGCAAGAGCAGCTATAATCTACTCATTTAGCAAAAATTCTGAGTACAATGGACTATCAGTAACTGTAGTCTTCATATTGAACATTAGATTTTTTGACTTGTTCATCCTAAATATCTGCTACTTTGTATTTTTTGACCTACATCTCATTTCCTCCCTCTCCACTCCCCTGCTAGTAACCACTATTTTATTCTCTATGGCCTTTTTAAAAAAGATTCTACATATAAATGAGATCATGCACTATTTTTCTTCCCTTATCTGGCTTATTTCACTTAGCATAATGTTCTCCAGGTTCATTCATGTTCTGGTAAATAGCAAGATCTTCTCCTTTTTAAGACTGAATAATATTCTGTGGTATAGACATATATATATGTATACACCCCCCCCAACATGTATATATGTGTGTGTGTATATACACACACACATACACACACCAGTTTCTTTTTTCGTTCATCCAGTGATGGACACCTAGGTTGTTTCCCTATTTTAACTATTGTAAATAATACTGCAATGAACATGGGAGTGCAGATTTCTTTACAAGATGGGGATTTCCTTTCCTTCAGTTATGTACACTGAAAAGGAATTGCTGGTTTATATGGTATTTCTGTTTTTAATTTCTTTCTTTTTTTTGAGATGGAGTTTCGGTCTTGTCGCCCAGGCTGGAGTGCAATGGCATGATCTCGACTCACTGCAAACTTTACCTCCTGGGTTCAAGTGATTCTCCTGCCTCAGCCTCCCGAGTAGCTGGGATTACAGGTGCCCACCACCACACTTGGTTAATTTTGTATTTTTAGTAGAGATGGGGTTTCACCATGTTGGTCAGGCTGGTCTTGAACTCCTGACCTCAGGTGATCCACCCGCCTTAACCTCCCAAACTGCTGGGATTAAAGGTGTGAGCCACCACACCCGGCAAAAGCAATCCACATTCAGTAGAAACCATAGTTTTTTTTCTTGAGGAAAACTACAAAATAGTGGTGAAATAAATTGAAGAGGACACAAAGAAATGGAAAGACATCCCATGCCCATGCATCAGAATTAACATTGTTAAAATAACCATACAACCCAAAGCAATTTACAGATTCCATGCAATTCCTGTCAAAACACCAAGATTATTTTTTAAAGAAATAGAAAAAACAACTCTAAAATTTATATGGGAACATGAAAGAGCCTGAATAGTCAAAGCAATCTTGAGCAAAAGGAACAAAGCTGAATGCATCACACTACCTGACTTCAAAATGTATTACAAAGTTATTGTAACCAAAACAGCACGGTATTGGTGTAAAAACAGATACATAGACCAGTGGAACAGAATAGTAGAGAGCCCAGAAATATACCCACCTATTTACAGCTAACTGATTTTTGATAAATGTGCTAAGAACATACATTGTGGAAAGAACACTGTCCTCTTCAATAAGGGTGCTGGGAAAATTCGATATCCATATGCAGAAAAATGAAACTGCACTCCTATCTTTCACCATATACAAAAATCAACTTCAGATGGATTAAAGACTTCAATGTAAGACTTGAAACTATAAAACTACTAAAGAAAACATAGGTGAACATTTCAGAACATTATCTAGGCAAAGATTTTTATGGCTAAGACCTCAAAAGCACAAGCAACAAAAATAAAAATAGACAAATTAGACTATATTAAACTAAAAAGCTTCTGCATAGCAAAGGAAACAATCAACAGAGTGAAAAGCCAACCTGTTGAATGGGAGAAAATATTTGCAAACTATTCATCCAACAAGGGACTAATATCCAGACAATACAAGGAACTCAAGCAACTCAACAGTAAAACAAGCAAACAATCCCATTAAAACGTGGCCAAAGGATATAAATAGATATTTCTCCATAGGGAACATACAAATGGCCAACAGGTATATGAAATAATGCTCAATGTCACTAATCAGGGAAATGCAAATCAAAACCACAATGAGATATCATCTTATCCTGGTTAGAATGGCTATTATCAAAAAGACAAAAAATAACAGATGCTGGTGAGGATGCAGAAGAAAGGGAACTTTTATACATTGTTGGTGGGAATGTAAATTAGTAGAGCCACCATGCAAAACAGCATGGAGATTTCTCAAAGAACTAAAAATAGAACTACCATATGATCCAGCAATCCCACCACTGGGTATTTAGTCTAAGTAAATATATCAATATATCAAAAAGATACCTGCACCTCCATGTTTATTGCAGCACTATTCACAATAGCAAAGATACAGAATCAACCTAAGTGTCCATTAATGGACAAATGAATAAATAAAAATGTGATATATATACATAATGGAATACTATTCAGGCTTAAAAAAGAGTGAAATCATGCCATTTGCAGCAACATGGATGGAACTACAGGTCATTATGTTAAGTGAAATCAGCCAGGCACAGAAAAACAAATATTGCATGTTCACACTCATATGTGGGAGTTAGAAAAGTTGATCTCATGGAGATAGAGTAGAATGATAGCTCTACAGCATACCACCCTGAATGCACCTGATTTCATCTGATCTCAAGAGTAGAATGACAGATATCACAGCCTGGGAAGGGTGTGTGGGTAGGGTGGGGGAAGATGAAAAGTTGATTAATGAGGCCGGCTGCGGTGGCTCATGCCTGTAATCCCAGCACTTTGGGAGGCCAAGGTGGGCAGATCACGAGGTCAGGAGTTCAAGACCAGCCTGGCCAACATAGTGAAACCCCATCTCTATTAAAAATACAAAAATTAGCCAGGGATGGTGACACGTGCCTGTAGTCCCAGCCACTCGGGAGGCTGAGGAAGGAGAATCGCTTGAACCTGGGAGGCAGAGGTTGTGGTGAGCTGAGATCGTGCCACTGCACTCCAGCCAGGACAACAGAGTGAGACTCTGTCTAAAGAAAAAAAAAAAAAGAAAGAAAAGAAAAGTTGGTTAATGGGTACAAACATACACCTAGATAGAAGAAATAAGTTTTAATGTTCGATAGCAGTGTAGAGTGACTATAGGTACCAATAATGTATTGTATATTTCAAATAGCTGGAAGAGAGCACTTGAAATGTTCCCAACACATAGAAATGATAAACACCGCAGGTGATGGATGCCCTAAATACCCTGACTTGATCATTACATATTCTACGCATGTCACAAAATATCACATGTACTTTATAACATGTACGAATATTATATATCAAGTAAAAATTAAAAAAAAAAACTAGAGTGAAGTAGGAAGGTGATTTTTTTACCATATAGCCAAGATTTATTTTAAAGCTATAGTGATTAAAACAGTGTGAGTCTGATGTGGGAATAGTCAAATGGATTACTGGAAGAGAATAGAAAACCCAGAAACAGGTTCATGGAACTTAGAATATTATAGAAGTGGCATTTCAAACACTAGGGAAAGGAAAGAATATTCAATAAGTGGTGTTGCAAAAACATATTTTTACATGGAAAAAATAAAATTAGATCACTACCTTATATCTTACACAGAAATAAATTCTAAATATACTAAACCTCCAAATGTGAAAAGCAACATTTTAAACCTGTTAAAGGAAAATATATGAGAATTTATGACCTTGGAGCAGGAACAATTTTCTTATCCAAATTATAAAAAGCCCAAACCATAAAGGAAGAGAATCGGTTTGACTTTATTAAAATTAATATTACTGTAAAATAAAAGCACCATAAGCAGATTAATAAGACAAGTGACAGTCTGGGAAAAGATACTCGCAACACATATCTTAGACAAAAAAAAACCCCTCCAGAATGTATTAAGAATTCCCGTAACTCAATAAGAAAAAGACAAATGAAACTCAACAGAGAAAGAAGCCAAGTAAATGAAAAGACTATTACAGAAAAGGAAAACGAAATGAAAAGGTACTAATACTCACTGAATATCAAGAAATGTACATTCAAATAATGAAATATCATTTCACCTTTATTGCACTGGCAAAAATTTAAGTCTTTTGACACAGAATATGTAACAACAGAAACCCTCACACACTGCTAGTGGAAGTGTAAATTGAGACGATCACTTTAGAGGACAATTTGACACTATTTAATAATATAAAAAGTATATTTACCATATTACCCAGTAATTTTACTCCCAGTTATTTTCCCTACAGAAACTCTCCAACATGTGCACCAGGAGAATGTGCTAAGATATTCATTCGAGAATTGTAATAGTATAATATTGGATAATGTGGCTGGGCGCAGTGGCTCATGTCTATAATCCCAGCACCTTGGGAGGCCGAGGTGGGCGGATCACGAGGTCAGGAGATCAAGACTATCCTGGCCAACATGGTGAAACCCCGTCTCTACTAAAACACAAAAAATTAGCCGGGCATGGTGGCACGCACCTGTAGTCCCAGCTACTTGGGAGGCTGAGGCAGGGGAATCACTTGAACCCAGGAGGCCTAGATGGCAGTGAGCCCAGATGGCGCCACTGCAAGACTCCATCTCAAAAAAAAAAAAAAAAAAGGATAATGTGTAAATGTTCTGAATAAGTAAATAGATAAATAAAATGTGGTACACTCCTACAATCAAATACTACATAGCAGTTAAAAGAGATGAACTGGATCTATATATTATCAACATTTGAGTGGAAAAGCAAGTTGCACAACAATATATATTATGTATATGTATAGTCCGAAAGTATTTCTGTAAAATTAAGAAGTACATAATGCAATACTTTATTGCTTACAGAGACATAAATGTGTATAAATAGTATTAAAATATGAAAACCAAATTCACAATAGTATTTGCCTTCAGATGTGAAGAGGGAAGTAGGATTGAAAATGAGGGGGATAAAGGATGCTTCAACTTAATTGCTTAATTGTTTTTATCACTTTTAATAATGCAGATTTGAATGTGTTATGAATGTGTGTAAATGTGATAAAAGGTTAACAATTGAGAACCCTGGGTAGTTTTTATTGGTGTTTCTTATATTATTTTTTGCATTTTTCTGTATTTTTAAATTATAAAATAAAATATGCCATACAAGGCAATATTAGAGGCTCTTCTCAGATGATGCTGACAGAGGGTCACATTTTAGAGCCAATTCCAAGATGTTTGTGCTTAGTAGCAACCAAAAGTGTAAAAGGAACAAAAAGAAAAGAAGATGATATGCATAATCACCACACTGTTCCCATGGACACGCTACTCAAGTATTCTTGTCTATTTGCAAATCATATTAGTCCTCCCAAAGCTTAAAATGATATGATGAGATGACTCATACACCATTAATATTCTTATGTGTTCTATGAGGAGAAGCTTCTAAGGCTTTGGGCAGCAACTCTATAAAATGTCAAATTTTATAGGAACATAAAATATAGATGTACAAAATTGTTGAAAACCTTGCATATTAAAACAGGATTTCTAAAGGGGGGACTTGGTAGAGTAGAAGCCCTCTTATCTGATGCAGCTAATGGAAAAAGTCAGTAAAGCAGGGAATAACACATATGATACATTAATACATTAAAAATGTTAAGTTAAAATATATAAATATATAAATGTGCATTATTCGCCTTTTTTTTTTTTTTTTTTTTTTGAGACAGAGTGTCTCTCTGTCGCCCAGGCTGGAGTGCAGTGGCATGATCTCGGCTCACTGCAACCTCTACCTCCTAGGTTCAAGTGATTCTCCTGACTCAGCCTCCCGAGTAGCTGGGATTACAGGTGCGCACCACCATGCCTGGCTAATTTTTTGTATTTTTAGTAGAGACGGGGTTTCACCATGCTGGCCTGGCAGGTCTTGAATCCCTGACCTCATGATCCGCCTGTCTTGGCCTCCCAAAGTACTGGGATTATAGGCGTGAGCCACCATGCCAGGCCTTATTCACCAGTCTTTAAGATCAAGGCATTTTCTTTGTGTGTTCTTCCACTGATTGGCCTTTGGCCTCATTTTTCCAACATAAACCATACCCACAGTGCATTATCTATGAGATATAGTTTTGGTTTCTTTAAAGTGGAGCAAGAATTTAAAGAGGATTCTGAAGCAATCCAAGAGCAGGATCCTTTCAGAATTTTAAGTTCTCTAAGTGTAATGATACTGAATGTCTTTTCATATGCTTATGTGTCATTCATATATCCCCTTCCATAGAATGTCTCTTCATATCTTTTGCCTGTTTTCCAATTGGATTGTCTATTTTTCACTATTTAATTTTGAAATTTCTTTATAAATTCTGCATTTGTGTCAATCGTATTTAATGACTCCGTTTTAAAAAATGGATTTGCTTTTATCAAGTCTTCCCAAAGCACTCAACTTAGTTTTTAAAGTAACTACAACTCTCATTTTTTCCACATTTTTATTTTAACAGTTTATGTACTATTTAACCAAATTATGTTATTACCATTCCAAGTGCAATGGCATCAATAGGTTTGAGAATAATAGAACTGATTCTTAGTAATCATACAATCCATCTTGTGAAAGCAGAAGTGTGGGCATACTCGAGAGGAGCCTACTAGCTGTTAGAATTCTTTGTATTAGGTGCATCAATTAGTACGCTTTTATGGAAGGGCTGTAGAGATCTAATGGTAATTAAGACAGCTTCTGTTGTAAATGACAAATGAAGTATGACAAGCCAGTTGGGGAGGGAATGGGGTTTTCAACAAATGGTACTGAAAATGTTGCATAAGTATTTGCAGGAAAATAATAAAGTTCACTTGTTTCCTCTCTACCTGGAAAATATGATCAAGAAACAAATAGGTCTGAAAAGAGCCCAAGCAGACTTTCTAGAAATTAAAAATCTAATAACTGAAATTAAAATGTATTGGCTAAAAAAATGTATAACCTGAATCTAGTTATGAAAACACATTAGACAACCCCAGAATGAGAGACGTTCTACAAAATATCTGGCTTGTACTCTTTAAAAATGTCAATGTCATTTTTTTCCTATAAATGACATTACTGGGTGGTAAAATTTGAGTGAGGTCTGTTGATTACATGATAGTACCGTATCAATATTAACTCTTGATTTTGATAATTGCACTATGGTTATGGACACTGTGGATGTTCTTGTTTAAAGGAAATACACTGAAATATTTATGGATAAAAGGGCACTAGGTCACAGTTTACTCTCAAACATCTCAGAAAATATATATATATATACTGCGCCCGGCTGACTGATGGTATTTTTAGCACATACTGAGTCCTTGAAAATCAATAAATTCGGCTGGGCGTGGTGGATCACTCCTGTAATCCCAGCACTTTGGGAGGCGAAGGCGAGTGGATCACCTGAGGTCAGGAGTTCGAGACAAGCCCGGCCAACATGGTGAAACCCCGTCTCTACTAAAAATACAGAAAATTAGCCAGGCGTGGTGGTGGATGCCTGTAACCCCCAGCTACTCTGGAGGCTGAGACTGGAGAATCACTTGAACCTAGGAGGTGGAGGTTGCAGTGAGCTGAGATCGTGCCACTGCACTCCAGCCTGGGTTACAAGAGCAAGACTCCTTCTCAAAAAAGAAAGAAAGAAAGAAAGAAATTTAACAAAATAAGTGCAAGACTTGTACACTGAAAGCTACAGAACATCATTGAAATACATTTTAGGAAGACCTAAGTAAATGGAGAAAATACTGTGAAGGATTCAGCTTAATAAAGATAGAAATTTTCCTAAAATTTATATACAGGTTTAGTGAAATTCTTTTCAAAATCCCAGCAGGATGTTTTGTAGATATAGACAAGATTATTCTAAAATTTACATGGAAAAGCAAAGGAACTATAATAGCTAAAACAATTTTGGAAAAGAATAATAAAGTAGGAGGACTCACTTCACCTAATTTGAAAACATATCATTTGGCTACCATAATCAAGATTGTGAGTTATTGGTAGAAGAATAGACACATTGATGAATGGAACAGATAGAGAACCCAGAAGTGGACCCACACAAGTCTCAGCAATTGATTTTTGACAAAGACGCAAACATAATTCAATGGAGGAAACAGCCTTTTCAACAAATGGTGCTGGAGCAATTGGATATACATAAGCAAATAAATAAACCTCAACCTAAACCTCAAACCTTATACAAAAATTAACTTAAAATTAACTATAGATTGAAACATAAAATGTAAAATTTTAGTCATCTTAGAAGAACACATAGAAGAAAATCTTCAGAACCTAGGGCTTGTTGAAGTGGTCTTAGACTTGACACCAAAAGCATGATCTGTAAAAGGAAAATATCAACAAATTGCACTTCATCAAAATTTTAAAATTTTTCTCTGCAAAACACCTTGGCAAGAGGATGAAAAGGTAAGCTATGGACTGGGAGAAAACATTTGCAAATCACATATCTGCTAAAGACATATCTAAAATTTATAAAGAAACCTCAAAACTCAATTGTGCAAAATAAACGATTCAATTAGAAGGTAGACAAAATATATCAAAGGAGAGTTTCACTAAAGAGGATGTATGGATGGCACATAAGCATATGAAAAGACATTCAACGCCATTAAGGAAATGGAAATGAAGATGACTACACACCTATTACAACAGCTGAAATAAAAAAAATAGTGACAAACCCAATGCTGGCAAGGATATGGAGAAACCGGATCTCTGATGATGGGAATGCTGGTGGGAATGTAAAACGGTACAGCCACTCTCAAAAAGTATGACAGTTTCTTATAAAACTAATCATGCAATTTTGATATGATCCAGGAACTGTACTCTTAAACATTTATCCCAAAGAAATTAAAAATTATGTTCACACAAAAACCTGTACACAAATGTTTACAACAGCTACAACCAGAACATCTTTCAATGACTGAATGGCTGAACAAACTCTAGTACATCCATACAATAGAATCCTACTCAAGAATAAAAAGGAGTGAACTATTGATGCATGCTACAATTTGGATGGCTCTCAAGGGCATTATGCTGAATGAAAAAAACTAATCACAAAAGGCCACACATGTATGATCCATTTACATAATACTCTTGGAAAGACAAAACAATAGTGATGTAGAATAGATTAGTGGCTGAAGGCTTTTAGGATAGTAGGGGATGGGGAAGGGCTAGGTATGACTAAAAAGGCATAGCACCAGGGGATCTTTGTGGTTATGGAATAGTATTGTATGTTGACTGCAGTGGTGGCAACACATATCTACATACTTTATACTAATGTCAATGGGGGAAACAGGGTAAGGATATACTTGATCTCTTTGTACTATCTTTTTAACTTTCTGTGAATCTATAATTCTTTCAAAATAAAAAGTTTCTTTAGAAGACAAAACAGGTTGCTTACAAATCAAGCTGACCTTCCCTGTAATACTAAATTCCAAAAGACAAGAGATCTATGTCTATAGTTTTTGACGGAAATGGTTGTGACCCAAGAATTTTATACTTAGAAAGATTCTTTCATATGTAAAGTAAAAAAAAAAGATGTGTTCAGTTTCATTCATTTATTCTGTAAGATATTTGAGCTCCTACTCCATGCTAGACAATGTGCTAGCTATTGGAGATAAAACAGTTCACAATGCAGATATGTTTCCTGACCTTGTGAAGCCCAAAAAAGTCTTGTGGGGTAGACTTATAATTTAAAAGTAGGCCAGGTGCGGTGGCTCACACCTGTAATCCCAGCACTTTGGGAGGCCGAGGCGGGCGGATCACCTGAGGTCAGGAGTTCGAGATCAGCCTGACCAACATGCAGAAACCCCGTCTCTACTAAAAAAAAATACAAAATTAGCCAGGCGTGGTTGTGCATGCCTGTAATCCCAGCTACTCGGGAGCTGAGGCAGGAGAATCGTTTGAACCCGGGAGGTGGAGGTTGCAGTGAGCCGAGATCGCGCCATTGCACTCCAGCATGGGCAACAAGAGTGAAAGTCCGTCTCAAAAAAAAAAAAAAAGCAAAGACATAAATGAATAAATAACTTAAAACTGAGATAGTGTCCAAGAAGAAAACAAATAGTCATGATTCAGAACAACATGGGACAACCTAATTTAGAAGATATGACAATCACTCACTATTGGTTTCCTGCCCCAGTCATTTCATTTCTTTTCTTTGTTAACAGTCTAGACCACTTTTTTTTCTTTTTTTTTTTTTTGTTCCTAGGATGAAAACACATGCATATTTAATGAACATGCAAGGGGGTAAATCACAGGAGAGCAATGACTCAACAATCCAAGGATGGCCAGATGCCCCCATACCCTTCTTCACAGGAGCCAGGGAGATGGGGGAAGGAAGGTAATATTGAGGGGTAGTCAATATTTTTAGGGTTGGGGGATGGAACTTCCAGGAGGCAGACATTAGCTTATCAATGACTCTCTTTGGAACTTGAATGAACTGGATCTCTTGTGAAAGTCCTCCAGGTGGGATTGTATTCATATCTTCCCCCTGCCATCCAGAATGAGATATCTGGGAGGGAATGAAAGGCCATTGTGTTTTCCTTGGCAGGTTGGTCTTGAGGCAGATAAGTAAATATCAGAAGAAAGCCTCTTGGGGAACCTGCTGATCTTCAAGGGACTTGAATTGGAAACAATTAATAATCCTGGACTGTCCTACGTAGGCTGACACTCTCTGGAATCCTTCAAAGCCAATATATCAGGATACACCAGAAGGTGGTTATTCTGGCTTTTTAAATTCATCCTGAGTATTAAACCACAATAACACCGGATGCTTTCAGACACGTCTTCTTCTTAGGAAGACATAACATAATGTTTAGTAAAGATGAACTGAAAACCAGGTTGAGAACCACTGGAGCCATCTGGTTGAGTGTAAGGATCTTCTTCCCTAGAAAGGGACTCATCTGTTATAGGAAAAACATGAGTACATTCTCTGCATGTGTAATTCTTCTGGAAGATACATTCTCCGCTTATCCATGACCCATGTGGCCACAGCCTCCAGGAACAATTCCCTGGCTGTGTGTTTGATGTGGGAAATCATAGATTCCTTGGAGAACAGCATGAGTGCGCCTTTTTGCCTCCCTCCTCATGGTGATTTCAGTTCTGAAGTATCTTCTTTTTATGGAAGTCACCAAAATTCATCAAATGATTCCTAGTTGGCCACAGAGAGGATGCAGGAGGCAGATGGGTCCCTCCAACAGTTCTGAAGAGCAGGAAGAGGCATTCGAAGAGCACAGCACTGGACCATAATTAAGTGCACAGGAGAGTGGAAAGGATGTTTTTGTCAAAAGCTTTTGTGTCTGAAGATAGGATCATTGCAGCTCTTTGAACACTGGGGAGCTCATGAGTGGTCCCTACGGACAGTCAGCTTTTCTGATTTTACACAAAGAATTCATGAGAAAGACCCAAAAATTCTTAGACCACTTTTCATCATAGAGGCTGAGAAAGCTAAACATTCACTTTGCAACTAGGCGGTGGACCCAATACTGGCCAATGGGACCCAAGGAGTCCGCTGTGAGATTTCTTGGAAAGATTTCTCTCTCTGATACAAAGGAAAATTTTTTTCTTTCCTGTCTTTGAATGTGATTGCATGGGAGATCGATGTCCAGAACTGGGGCCACCACATGCAGATAATAGGTTAAGGACAAAAGCCAAAAAGTTTTCTGCAATTAGGCCACCATTTTCCTGGCCTTTTGACTAGATGGGAGAGGTTTTTCTTGGAGCTTTTTTGTGTGTGCTGTTGGCAATTTGGGGTTGGAAGCATCACCAGCACCCTCACCAATCAAGAAATATGAGGAGCACTAAGGAAACCCAGGGAACTCACTGCTGTGTCATTCCTCAAGTCATAAGATCCCAGGGCAGTGTGCCTTCTTCTTTCTACTTTTCAGAGCCTTCCCATGCTTGTTTGTTGAGTTCTGTCCAAGGTTTGCCAGTTTTAAGAAGGAAGACCAGGAAGGAATGGGATTATTCCACATTGGCAAGAACTGGAAGTCCAGAAATAAGATTAAAATGTTAATTCTGGTTGCTCTGTAGAGCTTGGCCTATATGGAGGCAAGGATGAAGCACAAACACTTGCTGGAAGACTGTTGCATTATTCCAGGACACAGAGGGTAGCTTGGACTACAGTGATGGCAGTGGAGTGGGATAGACACAGACAGATCTGAGGTATACGTTAGAAATAGAATTAGATAAATTTACTATTGGATTATGAGGAGTGAGAAAAAGAAAGAAATCAAGTAAAACCATTAAATATCTCTGGCATTTTCTGAGCTGGAGAAGACTGGGGCAAAGCTGGGCTTCAAGGAGAGGGGAGAGAAAAATCAGCATTTTCACATGTTAGATTTGAAATGTCTATGAGACATCCTAGCAGAGATGTCACTAGGCAGTTGGATGTATTAATCTAGATCTTGGAGGAGTGGTATGGGCTAGAGAGTTTAAATTAGGAATCTATGAGACTGAATGAAATCACTTAGGGGCATACATTTAGAGAGAGAAGAGGGTTCAGGAGCAAGTCTTGAGGAGCTCCAAAGTGTAGAGGAAGGGAAATCATAAAGAAGTACAAGAGGCAAACCTACAAACCTTCTGTGTCTGTAGCGTCACAGTAGCTGAGGGAGAAAACATTTCAAGAAGGAAGGAGTGGTAAACTGTGTCAAATCCTGTTGAAAGTAGGAATTAGAAGGCAGTAAGATGGCCATTGGATTTGGCAATATGGAGTCCATCAGTCATATTGACAAGAGCCATTTCAGTTGAGTTATGGGGGTAGAAACCAAATTTAAAGGGGGTGATAAGGGAAGTCAAGAGGTGGTAGCAATAAAGAAGAGTACAGACAACCATTTTTAGAAGTGTGGCTCATTAAGAACAACAGAGATATTCATTTATTCACTCCACAAATAGTTACTAAATGACTAATAAGGCCTAGGCATTATTCTAGGCTCGGGGATGTATCTGTGAACAAGAAAGGCTGGCACATCCCCTAATGTGGAAGTATCTGCAGAAGGACTCAAAGGATGATTGTTAAGTTTAGAGAAGCTAGGGTATGGCAAAAATCTAGTTGAGAGGGAAATACTGATTGTATGACAGAGGGCATAATTCAAGTAGAGACGTTTTAAGAAGGCAAAAGATAATCATAGGCTCAGAAAATATACATCACCAGTACCTTCTTGTGAAAATTACTTGAAGATGTTCTCCAAACAAATGTGAAGCGAAGTTAAGTTTAAGAATTTATTTCCAGGCCAGGCATGGTGGCTCACGCCTGTAATCCCAGCACTTTGGGAGGCTGAGGCGGGCGGATCACCTGAGGTCAGGAGTTCGAGACCAACCTGGCCAACATGGTGAAACCCCCTCTCTACTAAAAATACAAAAAAATTAGCCAGGCATGGTGGCAGGCGCCTGTAGTCCCAGCTACGTAGGAGGCTGAGGCAGGAGAATCACTTGAACCCAGGATGTGGAGGTTGCGGTGAGCCGAGATCATGCCACTGCACTACAGCCTGGGCAACAGAGTGAGACTCTGTATCAAAAAAAAAAAAGAATTGATTTCCAGTTTAAAGATAATGATGTTTCAACATTGTATTATGATATTGTTCAAATATATAACAAATTATAGATATTATATAGTGAACACTCATACTCATCACCTGGATTCTAGAATTAATATTTAGCTATATTTGTTTTATCACATATATCTATCCATCAACTTATCTTATTTTGATGCATTTCAAAGTCAGTTGGAGACATCAGTATACATCATCCCTAAGCACTTTGGTATGCAGAGAAGATAATGATTTCAACACACATGTTTAAGTCTCTTTCTTTCATAATCTCTGATTGAAATAACCATAGAAGTGTAAAATGGGAAAAAGTCTTTCTCAGTTAACAACGAATATATCAGAAACTTTATAAAACATCTAAAAGACAGTTTGATAAAAGCAGCAACTAACATACAATTCAACACAGGCAAAGTAGGGCTCAGTTTTTTAAAATTTTATGTATTTACTTTTTTGAGACGGAGTTTTGCTCTGTCGCCCAGGCTGGAGTGCAGTGGCGTGATCTCGGCTCACTGCAACCTCTGCCTCCCAGGTTCAAGCAATTCTTCTGCCTCAGCCTCCGGAGTAGCTGGGATTACAGGCATGCACCACCACGCCTAGCTAATTTTTTTATATTTTTAGTAGAGACAGGGTTTCACCATGTTGGCCAGGCTGGTCTCGAACTCCTGACTTCAGGTGATCCGCCTGCCTTGGCCTCCCAAAGTGCTCAGATTACAGGCATGAGCCACCGCGCCCAGCCAGTAGGGCTCATTTAAAAGGTAAGAGGGCTATTCCCCAGAAAAGATTTGGAAATGTTCAAAGTTAGCAGCAGGAACTGGGAGCAGAGAGATGCCACAGAGGGACCCAACGGATTGTAATAACTGTCCCAGCATTTCACATCGGGACCAACTAGCTGAAGCCTGACCCCAGCCTTCATTTGCTGCAGATGGCATGAAAAGTGGGAGGCATCACCACAGCAAGATCCTAAAGAAGGTCGTTGAACCAGTTAGAGGAGGGGTATTATGCCCCAATTTACTGCAGGCTATCATAATAAACATTGGCACATCAGGAAGGTTCTTGTACCATGAGCTCCCTATTTTCCATGGGCAATTACACTTATGATCTGACACAGGAACTCCAAACCTCAGACAGCAGGAGCCTGAGGCAAAAATGGAAGGAAATCTCACTCTAAGGAGAAAATTCAAGTCATGAGAAACATTGGGAACTACACAACATTGCACTGGCCCACAGACTACTTGAGGGGAGAAAGCTCATCATTTCAAAAAACAGTTAAAATCCCTGGCATATAACTACATTTTGGTAGCTCATGTCATATTCCTCATGTCACAGTTGAATCCCCCAACATAGAAAAATAAAACTACAGAAAATATGAACTTTCTCTTTTCTCCTTTGTCTGAAATACCATCTCAGAGAGAACCTGTCTCTAATGCCAGTAATAGACAAACATTAAGTCCCCTCTTCAGAATGAGCAGTCAGAGACAAATCGTGAGCTCATGAAAAGACTCAAAAATTTAAGAGAGGGGACAATTCTGAGAAAACATTTCCTTTTTTTCTTTTTTTGAGACAGAGTTTCACTCTTGTCACCCAGGCTGGAGTGCAACAACGCGATCTCGGCTCACTGCAACCTCCACTTCCTGGGTACATTGCAATTCTGCCTCAGCCTCCCGAGTACCTGGGATTACAGGTGCCAGCCACCAGGTCTGGCTAATTTTTGTATTTTTAGTAGAGACGGGGTTTCACCATGTTGGCCAGGCTGGTCTCGAACTCCCGACCTCAGGTGATCGGGCTGCCTCGGCCTCCCAAAATGCTGGGATTACAGGCATGAGCCACCACATCCAGCCACATTGAAATGGACTTGTTGCAATAAATAGGAGGTAACTTTAGAAAATTGCAAATTACAGTTCACCCTCGGACAATGTAGGGGTTAGAGTACTGACCTCCACACACTCAAAAATCCACATATAACTTTTGACTCCCCAAAAACTTAACTACTGTTGATTAGAAACCTTACTGATAACATAAACAGTTGATTAACACATAGTTTGTATGTTATATGTATTATATACTGTATTCTTACAATAAAATAAGCTACAGGATAGAAAATGTCATTAAGAAAATCTTAAGGAAGAGAAAACATATTTACTATTCATTCAGAGGAAGTGGATCATCATAAAGGTCTTCATCCTTGTTATCTTCACAATGAGTAGACTGAGGAGGAGGAAGAAGAGGGGGGTTGGTCTTGTTGTCTCATGCGTGACAAAGGCTGAAGAGTTGGAGGAGGTGGAAGGGGAGGCAGGAGAGGCAAGTACATTCTGTAACTTTACAGAAATGCATCATAATTTCTGTCTGACTGTTTTGCTTTTTCATTTCTCTAAAAATGTTTCTATTCAATACCAGTCTTTCTTCCACCATTTGCTTTAGTTTCAGTGCCCATGTCATAGAAGGGTCCATGTCATAAAAGAAGTCAAAAGTATTCTTGAATAATCGGAAACCTTCTGCCAGATTGTCTAATGTCAGTTTTCTGGCACTGCTTCTACGTCTTCTTCCTCATCGTCTGGTACTGGTTCAGAAGCACTCATCCCCATCAAGATGTCTTCTGTTATTTCCTTTGGTGTGGTGTCTATTAGCTCTTGAATTTTTCCAAGATCCATATCTTGAAACTATTCACCCCCCACCTTTTTGCTGTATTGACAATCTTTTTCATGATTTCCTTGATTGGCTCTGTCATAAACCCTGTTAACTCTTGCACAACATCTAGACAGTTTTTTTCCAGCAGGAATTTATTATTTCAGGTTTGATGGCTTTCATAGCTTTTTCTATAACAACGATGGCATCTTCAATGGTGTAATCCTTCCAGACTTTCATGATGTTCTATCTGGGTTCTCTTCCATAGAGCAATCCTTTCCATAGGGTACTGCATGTAATAGTCTTAAAGGTCCTTATGATCCCCTGATCTAGAGGCTGAATTAGAGATGCTGTGTTTGAGGGCAAGTAGACCACTCCAGTGCCTTTGTTGATGAACTCATGGAGTGCTGGGACACCAGGGGCATTGTCCAATATCAAAAGAACTTTAAAAGGCAATCCCTGATTGGCATGGTACTTCCTGACCTCAGGGACAAAGTTTCGATGGAACCAATTCAGAAAAAGGGTTCTCATTGCTCAGACCTTCTTGTTGTGCAAACAAAAGATTGGTAGCTGGTGTTTATCTTTTCCTTTCAAGGCTCAGGGATTAGTAGCTTTATATTAATAGATAAGGGCAGGCCCGGCGTAGTGGCTCACGCCTGTAATCCCAACACTTTGGGAGGCCGAGGCGGATGGATCACCTGAGGTCGGGAGCTCAAGACCAGCCTGACCAACACGGAGAAACTCCGTCTCTACTAAAAATACAAAAAATTAGCCAGGCATAGTGGTGCATGCCTGTAATCCCAGCTACTCGGGAGGCTGAGGCAGGAGAATCACTTGAACCCGGGAGGCGGAGGTTGCAGTGAGCCGAGATCACACCATTGCACTCCAGCCTGGGCAACAAGAGCTAAACTCCGTCTCAAAAAAAAAAAAAAAAAAAAAAGATAAGGGCAGTTCTGATCATAAACTCAACTACATTTACACAAAACAGGAGAGTTAGCCTATCCCTTCCTGCCTTAAAAATCCTGGTACTCACTTCTCTTCCTTACTAGTAGATGTGATATGCGATTTGTGGCTTTTTTTTTTTCTTTAGAATAGGGCACTTTCACCTTCATTAAAAGCCTGTTCAGGCAGATATGCTTTCTCCTCAATGATTTTCTTTCTTTCTTCGTTTCTTTTTTTTTTTTTTTTTTTTTTTTTTTTTTGAGATGGAGCCTCACTCTGTCACCCAGGCCAGAGTGCAGTGGTGCAATCTCGGCTCACTGCAACCTCTGCCTCCCAGGTTCAAGCGATTCTCTTGCTTCAGCCTCCCGAGTAGCTGGGTTACAGGTGCATGCCACCACACCCTGCTAACTTTTGTATTTTTAGCAGAGGCGGGGTTTCACCATGTTGGTCAGGCTGGTCTCGAACTCCCGACCTCAGGTGATTTGTCTGCCTTGGCCTCCCAAAGTGCTGGGATTACAGGCGTGAGCCACCACGCCTGGCCTCCTCAATGATTTTCTAAATGGCATCTGGGAACTCGTCTGCTGCCTCTTGGTCAGCAGAATCTGCTTCTCCTGTTATCTTAATATTTTTAAAACCAAAACTCTTGCCAGCTGCGGTGGCTCATGCCTGTAATCCCAACACTTTGGGAGGCCGAGGCGGGCAGATCACGAGGTCAAGAGTTTGAGACGACCCTGGCCAACATGGCGAAACCCCGTCTCTACTAAAAATACAGAAATTAGCCAGGTGTGGTTGCGGGTACCTGTAATCCCATCTACTCGGGAGGCTGAGGCAGGAGAATCGCTTGAACCTGGGAGGCAGAGGTTGCAGTGAGCCGAGATCGCGCCACTGCACTCCACCCTGGGCGACAAGAGCAAGACTCCGTCTCAAACAACAACAACAACAACAAAACTCTTTCCAAAATTATGGTTTCATCCTTTGCTGGCAATGAATTGTTCAGCTTAGATCTTCCACCTTCCTTTTGCTTATGTTGCCATATAATGACTTCACTTTTTCTCACATCATATTAGAATCTATACATATCACTTTCTTACAGGAATCCTGCACCCACATAAAAGCTGCATTTTCGGGGCCGGGCACAGTGGCTCACGCCTGTAATCACAGCACTTGGGCAGGCCGAGGCAGGAGGATCATGAGGTCAGGAGATCGAGATCATCCTGGCTAACACAGTGAAACCCCGTCTCTACTAAAAATACAAAAAATTAGCCAGGCATGGTGGCGGGCGCCTGTAGTCCCAGCTACTGGGGAGGCTGAGGCAGGAGAATGGTGTGAACCCGGGAGGCGGAGCTTGCAGTGAGCCGAGATGGCGCCACTGCACTCTAGCCTGGGCGACAAAGTGAGAGTCCATCTCAAAAAAAAAAAAAAAAGCTGCATTTTCAATAGAAGATAAAAGGGTATTTCACAGAAGGTACAAGGTTTTCACAGCTGTTGGTTTTTACTTTTCTCTCTCTCTCTTTTTTTACAATTATCCTTACACTGGATTTATTTGAAATGACAGGCAATAGCAGCTGAAGTCCTCAATCTACAGAACACATCAAGCAGTTCAACTTCTTCTTGTAATGTCATGACTTTTCTCTGCTTCCTGGGGACAGTTCCAGCATCATTAGTGGCACCCCATATGGGTTCCATACTGTTACTCAAGGTTTACAGTATTGCAGTAAATATTACGAAAAATATGCAAGAACTATGAGGGATCACTTTTTACTGGAGATATGAATTACTCACATGGAGATGATTAGTGTCACATGGCATTTTAAGCAGATACTTGCAATACTTGAGCTCACCTCAATAGTGGTGATTACAAAATTATTACAGCATACACAAATACATTGTATAGCTATACAAAAATATTTTCTCTATATTCTTATTCTATAAGTTTTTTTATATTTTTAATTTTTTTACTTTCTAAACTGTTTTGTTAAAAACAAAGACACAAACACACACATTAGCCTAGACCAACACAGGGTCAGGATCATCAAGACGTCACTAGGTGATAGGAATTTTTTAGCTCCATTATAATTTTAGGGGACCACCATAGTATATGTGGCCTATTCTTCACCAAAACAACATTACGCTGGCACATGACTGTCTGATTTTCTGTCTTTGGCTGTCTACAGAAGTTGCCTCCGCCTCCCAGGTTAAAGAGATTCTGCTGCCTCAGTCTCCTGAGTAGCTGGGATTACAGGCCCAAGCCACAAGGCCCAGCTAATTTTCGTATTTTTAGTAGAGACAGGGTTTCACCATGTTGGTCAGGCTGGTATCAAACTCCTGACCTCAGGTGAGCCACCTGCCTCGGCCTCCCAAAACGCTGGGATTACAGGCGTGGGCCACTGCGTCTGGTCTATGATCCCCATTGTTGAAGGTGGGACCTGGTATGAGTTGTTTAGATCCTCGGGGTGGACCCTTCATGAATGGCTTGGTGCCATTCTTGCAGGAGTGACGGAGTTGTCACTCTTAGTTTCCATAAGAACTGCTTGTTGAAAAGAGCCTGACACTGGCTGGGCACAGTGACTCATGCCTGTAATCCCAGCACTTTGGGAGGTGAGGTTGGGGGGCTCACCCTGAGGTCAAGACCAGCCTGGCCAACATGGAGAAACCCCATCTCTACTAAAAGTTACAAAAATTAGCCAGGCATGGTGGTGCACGCCTGTAATCCTAGCTCCTCGGGAGGCTGAGGCAGGAGAATTGCTTGAATCTAGGAGGCAGAGGTTGCAGTGAGCTGAGATCATGCCACTGCACTCCAGCTTGGGCAATTGAGCAAGACTCCATCTGAAAAGAAAGAAAGAAAGAAAGAAAGAGAGAGAGAGAGAGAGAAAGAAAGGAAGGAAGGAAAGGAAGGAAGGAAGGAAGGAAGGAAGGAAGGAAGGAAGGAAGGAAGGAAGGAAGGGAGGGAAAGAAAGACAAAGAAAGAAAAAGAAAGAAAGAAAGAGAAAAGCCTGACGCCTACTCCTGTCTTTCTTTCTTTCTTTATTTCTATCTTGCCATGTGATCTGCACATGCAGGTTCCCCTTCCTTTCTCTGGACACTGAAACTTGAGTTTCACATAATTTTCACACGTCACAAAATATTATCCTTCATTTAATTCTTTTAACCACCTAAAAATATAAAAACCACTGTTATACCATAGGCTGTACAAAAACAGGCAGCAGGCTGGATTTGGCCCACTAGCAGTAGTTTGGCAACCCCTGATATAAGGGGTTTATGCTAGTCTAGTTTGTAGATGGTTATGTGACCCAGTGCTGGTCAATGAGATGTGAGTAAAGGTCTTCTGGGCTTCCTCTAAGAAAGGTTTCCTCACTCTTAATGAAAGACAGATAGAAAAGATGGTCTAGATTCTTCCTTTCTCTACTGCATGTCTGGATGTGATGCAAGGAACTTCAGCAGCCACCTTGCAACTATGAGGTGACTAGCCTGAAGAGTACCAGGAGCCTGAGGATGGCAGAGCAGAAAGATTGAAAAAAAGAATCTGGGTCCTTGATAATATTGCTGAGAAGCTAAATTAACCAACAGTGGAGTCATCCTACTTCAGAATTTATTACAGGTAGAGTATTCCTAATCCAAAAATTCAAAACCTGAAATGCTCCAAAATCTGAAACTTTTTGAGCACTGATTTGGCACTCAAAGGAAATGCTCACTGGAGCATTTCAAATTTTTGGATGTTTAAATTAGGGATGCTCAGCTGGAAAGTATAATGCAAATATTATAAAATCTGAAATCCAAAACACTTCTGGCCCCAAGGACTTCAGATAAAGGATACTCAACCTGTATTATAATAAGTTGGAGATAATAAAATTTTCTTTTTCTTTCCTTTTTTTTTTTTTTTTGAGGCAGAGTTTCACTCTTGTTGCCCAGGCTGGAGTATAATGGCACAATCCCGCCTCACTGCAACCTCTGCCTCCCAGGCTCAAGCAATTCTCCTGTCTCAGCCCCTTGAGTAGCTGGGATTACAGGCATGTGCCACCACCATGCCTAGCTAATTTTGTATTTTTAGTAGAGACAGGGTTTCTCCATGTTGGTCAGGCTGGTCTCGAACTCCCACTCAGGTGATCCACCCACCTCAGCCTCCCAAAGTGTTGGGATTATAGGCGTGAGCCACCGCGCCTGGCTAATAAAATTTTCTTATAGTTAATTATTGTTTTCTTATTGAGTTATGTTTTCTGTTAGGCATTCTAACTAAAACAATGAGTCAAAAATTCTCACTTCATCAAATAAAGAATTCTACTGTTTGAAAGACACTGTTAAAAGAATGAAAGGACATACAGAGTGGGAATGAATATTTGCAAATTATATATTTGATAAAGAACTTGAATCCGGAATACAGTAGTCCCACCTTATTCACAGGTAATATGTTCTAAGACCCCCAGTGGACACCTTAAACTAGGAATAGTACTGAACCATATGTATACTATGTTTTTTCCATCTGATAACCAAGCTAGCTACTAAATGACTAATGGGGTGGGGAGGTAGCATAGACAGCATGGATATGCTGGACAAGGGGATGATTCACAGCCAAAGGCAGGACAAAACAGAACAGCGTAAGATTTCATCATGCTACTCAGAATGGCACAAAATTTAAAACATATGAGTTGTTTATTTCTGGAATTTTCCATTTAATATTTTTGGACTTCAGTTGATCTCAGATAACTGAAACTGCAGAAAGTGAAACTGCAGATAAGTGGGATGTTCTAGTCTGTGTTGCTATAAAGGAATGCCTGAGGCTGGGTAATTTATAAAGAAAAGAGGATTATTTGACTCATGGTTCTACAGGCTGTACAACAAGCATGGCGCACTCAGCTGGGCGTGGTGGCTCATGCCTGTAATCCCAGCACTTTGGGAGGCAGGAGGATTGCTTGAGCCCAGGAGTTCAAGACCAGCCCTGGCAACATAGCAAAAGGCTGTCACTACAAACAAACAAACAAAAAATTTAACCAGGTGTGGTGGCACGTGCCTTGTAGTCCTAACTACTTGGGAGGCTGAGGTAGGAAGATCCTTTGAGCCCAAGGGTTTGAGGCTGTTGTGATCTATGACCATGCCACTGCACTCCAGCATGGGTGACAGAGCGAGACCCTGTCAAACAAAAAAACAAAAAAACAAAACAAAACAAAAACTATGGCGCCAGCACCTGCTTCCAGTGAGGGCTTCAGGAAGCTTCCAGGAAGCTCCCAATCATGGAGGAAGGCAAAGAGGGGGCAGCATCACATGATAAGAGAGGAGGGAAGAGAGAAAGAAGGAAGTGCCAGGCTCTTTGTTAACAATCAGTACTCATAGGAACTAATACAGCGAGAACTGACTCCTGACCATGAGGATGGCTCATAAAGAGCCATCCCAGGATCCAAACACCTCCCACCAGGCCTCAACCTCAATATTAGGTATCAAATTTTAACATATCCGAATATATCATTCCGCCCCTGGCTACCCAAATCTCATGTCGTTCTCACATTGCAAAATACAATAATTCCTTCCTAATAGTCACCAAAGGTTGTTTTTTGTTGTTGTTGTTTTTTGACACAGGGTCTCACTCTGGTTGCCCAAGCTGGAGTGCAGGGGTGTAATCTTGGCTCACTGCAGCCTCAATCTCCCGGGCCCAGGTGATTCTCTCACCTCAGCCCAAGTAGCTGGGACTACAGGTGTGCACCACCACACCCAGCTAAATGTTTTTTGTATTTTTAGTAGAGATGGGGTTTCTCCATGTTGCCCAGGCTGGTTTTGAACTCCTGGACTTGAGCAATCCATTTTCCTCGGCCTCCCAAACTGCTGGGATTACAGGCCTGAGCACCAACCCAAAAGTCCAAAGTGCAAAGTCTCACCTGAGACTCAAGGCAAGTTCCTACCAGGTAAGATCAAAAACAAGTTATTTACTCCTAAAATACAATGGTGGTACAGGCATTGGGTAAATATTCCCATTCCAAAAGGGAGAAATCAGCCACAGGAAAGGAGCAACAGGCCCCACACAAGTCTGAGACCCAGCAGAACAGACATTACATCTTAAAGCTCCAAAATAATCCTTGATTCCATGTCCCACATTCAGGGCACACAGATGCAAAGGGTGGGCCCTCAAAGCCTTGGGCAGTGCGACCTCTATGGCTTTGCTGAGCACAGCCCATGTGACTGCTCTCAGGGGTTGAAGTTGAATGGCTGTGAGTTTTCCAGGCTGAGATTGCACGCTGCCAGTGGCTCTGCTATTCTGGGGTCTGGAGGGCAGCAGCCCCATTCCCACAGCCCTACTAGGCAGTGCCCTGGTGGGGACACTTTGTGGTGGCTCCAACCCCACATTTCCCCTCAGCACTGGCTTAGTAGAGTCTCTCTGTGGGGGCTCTGCCCCTGTGGCAGGCTTCTGCCTGGACACCCAGGCTTTTCCATACAACCTCTGAAATCCAGGGGGAAGCTGCCAAGCCTCCGTGGCTCTTGCATTCTGCGCACCTGTGGACTTAACGCCACATAGAAGCCACCAAGGTTCATGGCTTGCATTCTCTGGAGTGGTGGGAGTCGCTCCTGGGGCTGTTTGAGCTGCAGCTGGAGTCTCAGCAGCACAGATGCAGGGAGCAACGTTTGAAAGTGGCACAGGGCAGTGGTGCCCCAGCTTAGCCTCCAAAACCATTCTGTCTCCCTAGCCCTCTGGGCCTGTGATGGGAGGGGTGGACTGGAAGTCTTCTGAAATGGCTTGGAGACCTTTATCCCATTGTCTTGACTATTAGCACCTGGCTCCCTTTTATCCTCTATCTAGCAAGTGGTTGTTCTCCAGCACCCTTGGATTTCCCTTATGAAGATGCTTTTTCCTTCTCTACCACATGGCCAGGCTGCAATTTTCCAAACTTTTATGCTCTGTTTCCCTTTTAATTATAAGTTCCAACTTTAGGTCATTCTTTCTTTTTTTTTTTGAGATGGAGTTTAGCTCTTGTCACCCAACCTGGAGTGCAATGGTGCTGTCTCAGCTCACTGCAACCTCTGCCTCCTGGGTTCAAGTGATTCTTCTGCCTGAGCTTCCCAAGTAGCTGAGATTACAGGTGCCCACCACCATGCCCAGCTAATTTTTGTATTTTTAGTAGAGACAAGGTTTCACCATGTTAGCAGGCTGGTCTCAAACTCCTGACCTCAGGTGATCCACCTGCCTCAGCTTCCCAAAGTGCTGGGATTACAAGCACGAGCCAAGGAGCCCGGCCAGTCATTCTTTTACTTCCATATATGATCATCTGCTTTTAGAAACAGCTGCATTGCTTTTTGAATGCTTTGCTGCTTAGAAATTTCTTCTGCCATAAGCCCAAGGTCATTGCTCTTTTTTTTTTTCCAAGACGGAGTCTCACTCTGTCGCCCAGGCTGGAGTGCAGTGGCATGATCTCGGCTCGCTGCAACCTCTGCCTCCCAGGATCTAGTGATTCTCCTGCCTCAGCCTCCCGAGTAGCTGGGACTACAGGCGCATGCCACCACGCCCGGCTAACTTTTTGTATTTTTAGTAGAGACGGGGTTTCACCGTGTTAGCCAGGATGGTCTTGATCTCCTGACCTTGTGATCCGCCCGCCTTGGCCTCCCAAAGTGCTGGGATTACAGGTGCGAGCCACCGTGCCCGGCTGGTCATTGCTCTTAAGTTTGGTCTTCCACAAAGCCCCTGGGCATGGACATAATGCACTCAAGTTCTTTGCTCAGGCATAACAAGTGTGACCTTTGCTCCAGTTCCCAATAACTTCCTCATTTCCATCTGAGACTTCGTCAGCTTGACCTCTCCTGTCCATATTTCTACTAGTATTTTGGTTACAACCACTTGACCAGTCCCTAATAATTCCAAACATTCCGTGGACTTCCTGTCTTCTGAAGCCTTCAAATTTTTCCAACTTCTGCTTATTTCCTGACTCCAAAGCTGCTTCTACATCTTCAGGTATCTTTACAGCAACATTCCACTCTTGGTACCAGTTTTCTGTCTTAGTCCATTTGTGTTGCTATAAAGTAATACCTGAAGTTGGGTAATTTATTTTTAAAAAGGTTTACCTGGTTCATGGTTCTGCTGGCTACACAAGAAGCACGGTATCAGCATCTGCTTCTGGTGAAGGCCTTGGGAAGCTTCCACTTATGGCAGATGGCAAAGAGGAGCAGGCATCACATAGTGAAAGATGAGGGAAGAGAGAGAAGAAGACGTGCCAAGTTCTTTCTAACAATCCGTTTTTGCCAGGCACAGTGGCTCACTCCTGTCATCCCAGCACTTTAGGAGGCCTAGGTGGGAGGATAGCTTAAGCCTGGGAGTACAAGACCAGCCTGGGTAACAGAGCGAGACCCCATCTCTACAGAAAACAAAAAAATCAATAAATAATAAAAAAAAATCAGTTCGCATAGGAACTAATACAGTGAGAACTCGCTCATTACTGCAAGGATAGTTTATAAGGGATCTGCCCGCATGATCCAACCACTTCCCACCAGGACCCACTGCTAACATTTGGGATCAAATTTCTTTCTTTCTTTTTTTTTTTTTTTTTTTTTGAGACAGAGTCTCACTCTGTCTCCCAGGCTGGAGTGCAATGGCTTGATCTTGGCTCACTGCAAGCTCCGGCTCCTGGGTTCACGCCATTCTCCTGCCTCAGCCTCCCGAGTAGCTGGGGCTACAGGCGCCTGCCACTACACCTGGCTAATTTTTTGTATTTTTTAGTAGAGACAGGGTTTCACCATGTTAGCCAGGATGGTCTCGATCACCTGACCTCGTGATCCTCCCGCCTCGGCCTCCCAAAGTGCTGGGATTACAGGCGTGAGCCACCGCGCCCGGCCGGGATCAAATTTCAACATGAAATTTGGAGGGGACAAACATCCAAGCAACATCAGGTATCTACGGTATGTAAAGAACTTGCAAAACTCAGTAATAGAAAGCAAACAACCCAATTACAGTTTTAAAAAACAGGCAAAAGATTTGACCAGACACTTCACCAAGGAAGATATATAGATGGAACTTAAGCACATGAAAAGATACTTCACATCGTTAGAATTAGGGAAATGAAAATTAAAACCACAACGAAATACCAATACCCTCTTATTAGAATGACTAAAATTAAAAAGGCTAACCAAATCAGTGGAACTGGAACTCTCACACACTGCTAATGGAGTATAAAATAATACAGGAACTTTGGAAAACAGTTTGTTTTTTAAAAACTTACATATATACCTGCCACATGGTTTGACCATTCTATTTTTTTTTATTTTTATTTTTTTAGTATTTATTGATCATTCTTGGGTGCTTCTCGGAGAGGGGGATTTGGCAGGGTCATAGGACAATAGTGGAGGGAAGGTCAGCAGATAAACAAGTGAACAAGGGTCTCTGGTTTTCCTAGGCAGAGGACCCTGCGGCCTTCCGCAGTGTTTGTGTCCCTGGGTACTTGAGATTAGGGAGTGGTGATGACTCTTAACGAGCATGCTGCCTTCAAGCATCTGTTTAACAAAGCACATCTTGCACCGCCCTTAATCCATTTAACCCTGAGTGGACACAGCACATGTTTCAGAGAGCACGGGGTTGGGGGTAAGGTTATAGATTAACAGCATCCCAAGGCAGAAGAATTTTTCTTAGTACAGAACAAAATGGAGTCTCCTACGTCTACTTCCCTCTACACAGACACAGCAACAATCTGATTTCTCTATCTTTTCCCCACATTTCCCCCTTTTCTATTCAACAAAACCGCCATCGTCATCATGGCCCGTTCTCAATGAGCTGTTGGGTACACCTCCCAGACGGGGTGGCTGCCGGGCAGAGGGGCTCCTCACTTCCCAGACGGGGCGGCTGGCCAGGCGGGGACTGCCCCCCACCTCCCTCCCGGACAGGGCGGCTGGCCGGGCGGGGGCTGCCCCCCACCTCCCGGACGGGGCGGCTGCCAGGCGGAGACGCTCCTCACTTCCCAGACGGGGCGGCTGCCGGGCGGAGGGGCTCTTCACTTCTCAGACGGGGCAGCCGGGCAGAGACGCTCCTCACCTCCCAGACGGGGTCGCGGCCGGGCAGAGGCGCTCCTCACATCCCAGATGGGGCGGTGGGGCAGAGGCGCTCCCCACATCTCAGATGGGGTGGCGGGGCAGAAGCGCTCCCCACATCTCAGATGATGGGCGGCGGGGCAGAGACACTCCTCACTTCCCAGACGGGGTTGCGGCCGGGCAGAGGCTGCAATCTCGGCACTTTGGGAGGCCAAGGCAGGCGGCTGGGAGGTGGAGGTTGTAGCGAGCGGAGATCACGCCACTGCACTCCAGCCTGGGCAACATTGAGCACTGAGTGAGTGAGACTCCGCCTGCAATCCCGGCACCTTGGGAGGCCGAGGCTGGCAGATCACTCGCGGTCAGGAGCTGGAGACCAGCCCGGCCAACACAGCAAAACCCCGTCTCCACCAAAAAAATACGGAAACCAGTCAGGCGTGGTGGCGCGCGCCTGCAATCCCAGGCACTCGGCAGGCTGAGGCAGGAGAATCAGGCAGGGAGGTTGCAGTGAGCCGAGATGGTGGCAGTACAGTCCAGCTTTGGCTCGGCATCAGAGGGAGACCGTGGAGAGAGAGGGAGAGGGAGAGGGAGAACGTGGGGAGAGGGGGATGGGGAGGGGGAGGGGGAGGGAGAGGGCTAAAGACCTGACCGTTCTATTTTTAAGAATTTACCCAAGAGAAATGAAAGTACTATGTTTCCATATGAAGACTTGTACAAGAATGTTGATGGCCACTTTATTTTTAATAACCCTGAACTGAAAACAATACAAAGGTCCTTCAGCAGGCGAATTAATAAGCAAATTGTGATACATTCATACAGTGGAATTCTACTCAGTAATAAAATGAATTACTGGCCAGGTACAGTGGCTGGTACCTGCAATCCCAGCACTTTGAGAGGCTGAAGCAGGAGGATCACTTGAGGCCAGGAATTAGGGATCAGTCTGGGCAACATAGCGAGATGTCCATCTCTACAAAAAAAAAATTTTTTTTAATTAGCCAGGCGTGGTGGTGTGCGCCTGCAGTCCCACTGCTTGGGAGGCTGAGGTGGGACCCTTGAACCCAGGAGGTCAAGGCTACAGTAAGCCTTGATTGCACCACTGCATTCCCGGCTGGGCAACAGAGCAGCCAGAGCTGGGCAACCTCGTTTCTGAAAAAAAAAAAAAAAAGAAAGAAAGAAAAAAAAAGAAAGAAAGGAATAAATAAACCTAATCTCAGAATAATAAAGTATGCTGAATGAAAAAAGCCAGACAAAAAATACTGCTTATTATACTACATGATTCAATTTATCAAAAAGTCTAGAACATGCAAATTAATCTATAGAGACAGAAAGCAAATCAGTGATTCTCTGTGGATGGGGACAGAGGGACAAAGGTGAGAGGGAGAGATTACAAAAGGACACAAGGGACTGGATGTGGTGGCTCACGCCTGTAATCCCAGCACTTTGGGAGGCTGACGCAGGCAGATCACCTGAAGTCGGAACTTCGAGACCAGCCTGGCCAATATGGTGAAACCCCGTCTCTACTAAATACACAAAAATTAGCCAGGCATCGTGGCACACACCTGTAATCCCAGCTACTTGGGAGGCTGAGGCAAGAGAATCACTTGAACCCAGGAGGCGGAGATTGCAGTGAGCTGAGATCATGTCATTGCACTCCAGCCTGGGCAACAAAGTGAGACTCCATCTCAAAAAAAAAGGTCACAAGGAAATTTTGGATGGTATGATGGTTAATACTGAGTGTCAACTTGATTGGATTGAAAGATGCAAAGTATTGTTCCTGGGTGTGTCTTTGAGGGTGGCCAAAGGAAATTAACATTTGAGTCAGCGGCCTGGGATCGGCAGACCCACCCTCAATCTGGGTAGGCACCATCTAATCAGCCGCCAGGGCGGCTAGACTAAAGCAGGCAGAACATGGAAGGACTTGACTTGCTGAGTCTTCCGGCCTTCATCTTTCTCCCATGCTGGGTGCTTCCTGCCCTCGAACATCAGACTCCAAGTTCTTCAGCTTTGGACTCTTCGACTTACACCAGTGGTTTGCCAGGGGCTCTCAGGCCTTTGACCACAGACTGAAGGCTGCACAAAAGAAGGCTTCCCTACTTTTAAGGTTTTGGGACTCTGACTGGCATCCTTGCTTCTCAGGTTGCAGACAACCTATTTTAAGACTTCACCTTGTGATCCTGTGAGTCAATACTCCTTAATAAACTCCCTTCAGATATACATCTATCCATAAAATTCTGTCCCTGTAGAGAACCCTGACTAATACAGATGGTGATGGATATATAAATTGATTGTGATTATATATATATACCAAATTGGACACCTAAATATGTCCAATTTAATACATATCAATTCAATCTCAAGAAAACTGTTAAATTAAAAAATATTTGTTTGCTTGCCAGTATTGGTGGGTTTTCTATTACTTTTTTTTTTTTTTCTTTTTGAGACGGGTCTCACTCTGTCACCCAGGCTGGAGTGCAGTGGCACGATCTCAGCTCACTGCAACCTCTGTCTCCTGGGTTCAAGTGATTCTCCTGCCTCAGCCTCCCAAGTAGCTGGGATTACAGGCACTCACCATCACGTCCGGCTAATTTTTGTATTTTTAGTAGTGACAGGGTTTCACCATGTTGGCCAGGCTGGTCTCAAACCGCTGACCTCAGGTGATCCTCTAGCCTCAGCCTCCCAAAGTGCTAGGATTACAGGCATGAGCCACCGCACCCAGCCTTCTATCACTTTTAACTGAAAAAAATCTGAAATGATACAGTCCTCATGGTTGGGCAAACCATATTTAAATTATACTTTTAAGCAAACTCCAATATAGACAGTGCACAACAGTAGAAGGAAAACCAGATAACTGAAATTAAAACTACCATTTGGAGTTGGCAGACGGATGAGATGGTATATGGAAACTCTCTGTACTTCCTGCTCAATTTTTCTATGAACCTAAAACTGCTCTAGAAATAAAGTTCATTAATTTGAAAACAAACCAACAACAACAACAACAAGAAGACACCTACCATTTGGAAAAGGGAAGAGGAAACAGCACATAGCAGTCACTACCAGTCCAAAGTCCTGACTACACTGGGGTAGCAAAGATCCTCTTCCCTGATAGTAGAGTGAGTGCCTTGATCAACCAATCTCTCTGCTCCCAACTCTGGCTCTGTCTTGGGAGAATTCCTCTGGCCTGTTGTCCCTCTTGGTCCCATGGAAGATGATTATTGGGGAGAATTCTCCTTCTTGGGACTGTATCCACTTTAGTGGCCCATTTCTTGTTGGCAGGTTCAGTGTTTCTTAAAGTATGATCTGTGATACACCTGAATCAGAATCACCTGTGTAAAATGTACACTTCTGGACCTCATGCCTGAACTACTGAATCAGAATTGCTGGGAGTAGGGCCTAGGAATGTACATCTTACCAAGCATTGTAGGTGATTCTTATGCATACTATATTAAGAAACATTAGATTAAGCCTTTAGTCATCACTCCTCATGTCACACAAAGAAAAGTCCAATTTAGGTTTCAGTATTACTTCTTCTCATATTGAGAATCTCTTCTGAGACTGTCCTAACCTAATGTTTCTCAAACTAGGGTCCATGGTCTTCTGGGGATCCAAAAATGTATTCTCAGCTGTTCATAAATTCTTCAAATACATTTTAATTTTGTATTTTTCTTTTGATAATAATCTAAATACAACAATTATAAGCATGTTCTAGATTTGGATGACTGCCTTATAATTAAGTCCAGCCATATAGTTTTAGTACCCACATTGTCATTGGTTTTTTATTTTTGGAGATGGAGTCTCACTCTGTCTCCCAGGCTGGAATGCAGTGTGGGATCTTGGCTCACTGCAATCTCTGCCTCCCATGTTCAAGCAATTCTCATGCCTCTGCCTCCCGAGTAGCTGGGATTACAGGTGCCTGCCACCACATCGGGCTAATTTTTGTGTTTTTGGTAGAGACAGGGTTTCACCACGTTGGCCAGGCTGGTCTCAAACTCTTGACCTCAGGTGATCTGCCTGCCTCAGCCTCCCAAAGTGCTGGGATTACAGGTGTGAGCCACCGCACTCAGCCTGCCATTGCTTTTTATAATAAGGTTGGTATCACAGCCTAGTATTTCAGTTTGCAAGGGTGTAACAATGTCTATGCCCCCTATCCCTAGCTGGTGATGTACTAAATGTCCCAGTCCATGTCACAAAGTGTAGACATAGGAGCTCCTCTCTGACACCAGTAGATGTCCAGGGTGATCTAAAAGCACTCCTTCAAGTGCTGTGGCTAAAAGTTCTCACACGTTGGCTAGATGACTGTGGTACAAGGTCTCAAAGCACAGACAGCATATTGTTTCCATTTATGTGACAAGAGGGTAGTGATAAGGTGAGGTCCTAGAGTGCAGCAAGGACAACAGTTCTCTCATGTATTCACAGAGGCGTGGGTAGCAAGATCTTGAAGCACAAGTAACATAATGTTTCTATTCATGGGATGGATGCCCTTGAGACTCAGCTCCTGGCCATGGGTGTAAGTTTGGTTCTGTGGTCCAAATCAGTGTTTCTCATGGTACTACTCCTTCTGGTCCATTAGCCTGGCCCTTCTCAAGCCACTGACCAGCTACATTACTACACCCAGTGGCTGGTCTTCATTACCTTGAAGGACCAGTAAATGTTTCATTTTGTTCAGGATCTCGGCCTACTCCCAGGGACTCCTTGCCACAAGGTATTTGCCAAAATTTGAGCTTTCATAACCTGCTGCTACACTATGTTCTCAGTAAAAATCTTTGTGCCTACACACACACACACACACACACACACACACAATTCACTCTCCATCCCACGACCCTTTCCCAGATAAAATGGGATGGGTCATTTTCTAGAATTAGTACAAAAATTCCTACATGGTGGTTTCAGAGCTGACTGAATCATCAATCAAATGGCATCATCAAAGGCACAGGGGCTTTCATTCTTTTTTCTCTGCCTTCCTCTGCTGACAGCAGATGTTGCTTCCTGGTTGCAAGGTGGCTGTAGCAGTGCCAGCATTGCATGCAGACCACATCCTGTCAAGAAGAGGGGAGTTTCCTCCCATAAATCTCTTTTTATTACAAGGAAACCCTTTCCCAAAAGTCCCCAGAGACTTCCCCTCAGGTCCCAGGACTATGTCACATACCCATACCTAACCCAATCACTGTCAAGGAGCATGAGTCCATCAATTACTGGCATTGACCATTCAAGATTCCACCATCACCGCAACACAAGGCAAGGGTAGAGTCCTTTCCCTAAGCACATGACCACAACAGGACCAAGCCAACAAGGAAGAAGGGGGAGAAATGGATTTGGGCAGCCAGACAGCACTGTCTGCTTTACCCGCCTACCTCCATGTATGAATTGTTTGGTTCAAAGGGTGCTGCACAGGATTCCTCAGGGCTACACGTGAGTAGGCAGCTTGATAGGTGGCTGTCGCCCTCTTCTTACTTGAATTCACTACCCAACTCCCTCACTTTCTCATGGTTTAGATGAAGTTTTCCTCAATTTCATACAAAGCTGTATCCCTCAAGGGATTTGTTCTTGCCTTCTGTTCTGAGTGGGTAGAGGTGGGGAGGGGTTGTTCTCTGTCTACCCTGGAGTATGTGGGGATAATTTTTCTAACCAATTATTTTATAAGCAAGAAGTTATTTTGGTAGATCACTTTATCTGGATTAGCCCCACTTTGTGTCTACACCTTGTACACAGCAGAAAGGCCCAAGTTTCCTTACCACATGCTAGGAAATAGGTAGCTAGTGATGGCTCTCCAGGCAGCCCCAAGTTTTACGGCAGCACTCAGTCTCCTTAGCCTGCTGTTACCCTTGCTTTTGTTTTTTCTTATTCATAGTGAGCAGCAGTAATGGCTAAGTGGTAGGACCAAGGGTGGCTGAACACTGAGTGAAGTTTCCTGTAGTCTTGCCACCCTCACCCATTTCAAATCAGAGATCAGTGGGCAGCCAAGTGTAATATCCAAACACCTAGATGCAGCAGCAAAACCTATGGCACTAATTCATCCTTGTGGCATTTCAGGTATGTACCAAGAATGCCTCATATTTGTTCCACTGCTGTTTCTGACCAGATCTGAGCATCCCAAATATGTTTAATAAAAGTCAGTTAAATCCCTCTGGTTGTGGGTCTCTTCAGGGATGGTGAGACTCAATTTTGTGCTTCTGTACTCTCGCTGATCCAAGTACTGTTGTCAGCAAATGTGAATCTAGGTAAGAGTTGATAGACTAAGAATGTTAGAGCAGAAGTTCCCTAGAATTGTTATATCTACACTTCTTATCTTTGGAACTAAATGACTGCAACTAGAAACGATATTGTGGTGCCTGACTTTGTCCCCAGTTATGTTTAGGTGCAGCCCATCGAGTGATCAAAGGCAATGGCTTGCTGAGAAAAGTACAAGTCACTCTAAAAATCTCTCTCCCCACCCACCACTACCACCCACTCACCCCCAGACCACCCAAGTCAGGATGCCAGGCTCTCTAGACAAGGAAGTTGTATTCTCAGGACAACACCGATTGCTTTCTCTGAGTTGTACCAGGCACTGAAGCTCCTGGTACAGCTCCCCTCTCCTTTAGTCAGTTCTAATTTCCTCCAATCTTGCAGCAAAATATTAAGGCTCTGGAGGGAAACAGAGCTCTTGTTTCTTTCTTTGATCAGTTTCCTCAGCTCAGGGTCAGCCTACTCTGCCCCCAAATGAGGTAGCAATGACTAACTTAGTGCCACGTGACACCAAGCAGCCTCCAACTGTCAGCCTGTGCTGGGTCATTTGCTATTCTTTTTGGGTGTACATTTGAACCCACTTCCTCTGGTTGGGGACTTCCCCATCTTATGATTCTTGGAAGGAGGCAGATCCTACCTCCCTCTACATTCACTCTCCCTCACAGCTAGGGGGCTGGCACATACCCCAGCCCAGTCACTCTCAACTTTGCCTTAGGAGTTAAAGACAAAGATTCAAGGACCCTGGAAGAGTCTCTCTGTCAAGGCAGTGCTGGCATCTGCAGCAAGATAGAGCTCCCTGCAGGGTGTCCCTGGTGAAAACTGCAGACAAGTGCTCTGAGGTGCTGCTGCAGTGGGCTCCTCACCAGACCAGTTCTGCAGCGTGGTTTGAGTGTTGTTCCTGGCTGCAAACCTGCTTCTCCAGCCCGCCTACTGATTCTGGAAGCTGCCCAAATATCCTTTTAATGAATTCCTTTTCTGCCTAAATCATCTAGAGTCCAATTCTGTTGCTTGCAATCAAGGTTCTAGACTGATACGCACCTGTAACTCCTTCAGGAATTTGTCCTACTTCTGAGAAGTCCCAAAGGGCTTTGTCCCCAAGGACAGTTTCTATGACAAATCTACAAAGGGGATTCTCTGTAAATGCCCATTCTGTTATGAATACTAAAATTAGAGACCGTAAGGCTAGCCACCATTGTTCCATAGTATCTAGTTTAGTACCAGCGAGCACATATGTTCTAAGCAATGCTGGAAAGCCCCTTTCAAATAACTTTTGCCTTGGCAAAAGACGTTGTAATGCTTCTTGAAATAGTTTCATGATGTCATTTACGTAGTAGACCTGATTTCTGCGAACACATTATTTTGAAATGAGGATTTAAATTGTGCTTTGGCAGGAACTGAATATTCAAATGTAATGAGTTTAATTGATTATGAGAATGTTTCTTTTAAGATGATGCAATAACTGCCTGGTATTGAGCCTGCTGCTCCAGTGTGCACTAGTAGAAAGGCTTTCAAAATTGATCTTGGTACATTTGAAATCTGGTAAGCAATTGATTCTCTCTCTAAGCCTCAGTATAGAATCTAGTTCTAAGTGATAAGGCACTAACAATGCCCTGAAACCAGACCAAAATGGGTCTGCCTCTTGCTAGAGCTTTGAATTCCAGCCATGGGAGTATGACTGGGGAGAGATTCAACCTGTGGGGCCATCTCCTCCTCTCATGACTGCGTGGACCCACTTTCCCCATTTGTCTCTACCTGCTGTGCCCACTTCGGGAGGGCCAAAAGTGTGCTGTATTCGAGGCTGTACCAAAGATGTTACCAGAGCTGCTGAGCATCTGAGACTTAGCGGGTATAGAGGGTGTCTGCAGGCCAAAAATATATGTGCTGGCAAAGGAATCTTGGAGGGGCAAGAAACTGATCTATATCTTGATTGTGGTGGTGGTTATGACTCTAGGCATCTGTTTAAACTCATAGACCTGTACACTAATATGAGCAAATTTTACTGTATGCAAATTAAATATAAACCAGGCATGTCGATTTGCACGTGTAATCTCAGGTACTCGGGAGGCTGAAGTGGAAGGATTGCTTGGGGCCAGGAGTGCAAGAGCAGCCTGGGCCGCATAGCAAGACTGCCTCTAAAAAAAATTAATTAGGCCGGGCGCGGTGGCTCAAGCCTGTAATCCCAGCACTTTGGGAGGTCGAGGCCGGTGGATCATGAGGTCAGGAGACGGAGACCATCCTAGTTAACACGGTGAAACCCCGTCTCTACTAAAAATACAAAAAATTAGCTGGGCATGGTGGCAGGCTCCTGTAATCCCAGCTACTCGGGAGGCTGAGGCAGGAGAATGGCGTGAACCCAGGAGGCGGACCATGCAGTGAGCCGAGATCGCGCCACTGCACCCCAGCCTGGGCGACAGAGCGAGACTCCGCCTCAAAAAAAAATTAATTAATTAAACATAAATTTTAAAACAAGAATATGTGTGCTGGAATATCCACTTTCCACATGTGAATTGCCGTACAGTGGCACAGTGTGCAGGCACATGACCACAGTGTCTCCAATCTAATCTGGAAGCATTATGTGGCTCAGTTCACACTTCAATACCCAGCTCAATTATATAATTCTTTTTTTTTTTTTTAAGACAGCGTCTCACTCTGTCACCCAGTCTGGAGTAGAGTGGTGCCATTAAAGCTCACTGCAGCCTCAAACTCCTGGGCTCAAATGATCCTCCTGACTCAATCTCCTGAGTAGTTGGGACTTTGGGTGCATGCCACTGAGCCCAGCTAATTTTTAAAACCTTTTGTAGAGACAAGGTCTCACTTTTTTGCCCAGGCTGGTCTCAAACTCTTGGGCTCAAGTGATCCTCCCGCCTCAACATCCTAAAGTGCTGGATTTGCAGGCATCAGCCACCATGCCCAGCCTCAATTATGTAATTTTTTTTTAATAGAGACAAGGTCTCCCTATGTTGCCTAGGCTGGTCTTGAACTTCTGGGCTTAAGGGATCCTCCCTCCTCAGCCTCCCAAAGTGTTGGGATTACAGTCATGAGCTACCGTGCCTGGCCCCAATTATGTAATTCAAAAATTTGTGAGTGACTGCCCACTTTAGGGCAGAGAATTAACATGTGTGAGGAAGGTACGGGGCTTGGTTTTCTTGTGGGCTCCTACTGAAGGCCAAGAGAATCTGCTCCTGGCTGGGCTCGGTGGCTCATGCTTGTAATCCCGGCACTTTGGGAGACCAAAGCAGGAAGATCACTTGAGCTCTGGAGTTCAAGACTAGCCTGGGGAACATGGTGAGACCCCCCCATCTCCACAAAAAGTAAAACAATTAGCCAGGTGTGGTGGCATGCACCTGTGGCCCCGGTGACTCGAGAGGCTAAGCTGGGAGGATCACTTGAGCCAGGGAGGTCAAGGCTGCAGTAAGCTGTGATTGTGCCACTGCACTCCAGCCTAGGCAACAGACTGAGACCCTGTCTCAAAAAAAAAAAAAAAAAAAAAAAAAAAAAAAGCATCTGTTCTATAGTACTATTCCTAGAACCTAAAAACTGACATCTTATGTGTATTGATGAAAAACTTGGTGGGATCACCAAATGCTAAGAAAATGTTGTTTGTAATCAACAGTCCACAAAGACCCAAATTCCCGGTCATAGAACCAACTTTCCCCAAAAGTTTTGTGGGGTGGCTGCATTCCTACCATTCTCCTGCTTTGTTGGCAAAGCCCTGGTCTCTGTTCATCTCCAGCTGCTGTGCCATGCAACTCTTGGTTGACCTCTGAGCCCAGTAGTTTTCAACCTTGGCTATAGTTTAGAATTGCCTGGGGAGCTTTTAAAAACCTCATAATCTGGCCACCACCCAGACCAATTAGATAAGAATCTCTGGAATGTGGGGCATAAGCATGAGTATTTTTTAAAACCCCTCAGGTGATTTCTATACTTTTGAAAGAGGGCAAGTTTCTATTTCGCGTGCCGGTAGGAACATAGGAAGAGGTATGTATTCGTCTGCTCAGGCTGCTGTATCAAAATACCACAGACTTGGTGGCTTAAACAGCAGAAACTGGGCTGGGCGCGGTGGCTCACACCTGTAATCCCAGCACTTTGGGAGGCCGAAGCGGGCAGATCACGAGGTCAAGAGATCGAGACCATCTTGGCCAACATGGTGAAACCTCGTCTCTACTAAAAATACAAAAAATTAGATGGGCGTGGTGGCGCCCTGTAGTCCCATCTACTCGGGAGGCTGAGGCAGGAGGATCGCTTGAACCTGGGAGGCAGAGGTTGCCGTGAGCCGAGATCATGCCACTGTACCCCAGCCTGACGACAGAGCGAGACTCCATCTCAAAAAAAAAAAAAAAAAAAAAACAAAACAGAAATTGATATTCTCACAGTTCTGGAGGCTGGATGTCCAAGATCAAGCTGCTGCCAGCCTGGTTGCTTTCCTCTGAAGCCTCTCTCTCTCCTTGGCTTACAGATGGCCTCTCTCTTGCTGCCTCTTCACATGGTTGTCTCTCTGTTGTCTCTCTTTGTAACCTCATCTCCTCTTCTTATAAGGACACCAGTCAGATTGGATGAGAGCCCACTTCAACAGCCTCGTTTTAACTTAATTCCCTCTTTAAAGGCCATGTGTTTCCAAATACAGTCACATTCTGAGGTACTAGGGGTTAAAGCTTCCACATATGAATTTTGAGGGGGCACCATTTAGCTCATAACAAGGGAGATCATGGTTCCTCTAATAATCTTCACACTTTTTTTTTTTTTTTGAGACGGAGTTTCGCTCTTGTTGCCCAGTCTGGAGTGCAGTGGCGCGATCTCAGCTCACTGCATCCTCTGCCTCCTGGATTCAAGCGATTCTCCTGCCTCAGTCTCCCGAGTAGCTGGGGCTACAGGCGCCCACCACCACACCTGGCTACTTTTTGTATTTTTAGTAGAGACGGGATTCTCCATGTTGGTCAGGCTGGTCTCGAACTCCTGACCTCAAGTGATCCACCTGCCTCGGCTTCCCAAAGTGTTGGGATTACAGGCATGAGCCACCACGCCCAGCCAATCTTCACACTTGTGTTATCTTAACCTGTTGTTTTTGATAGCCAAAGCCATGGGCCATTAGAAATGTGGCTGCCTGCATCAGGGATAGAAGACTAGAGTTCAGCAGGCCAGTCCAGGTTCTACTTTCGTGAAACCATTCTCCCAATATCAACTACTGCTTCTCTTAGCACTAACACTGGGACAGTTCTGCTTTGCCTCCAAAAAACTCTGAAGTGGATCAGAGTAGGACATTAATTAAATTAACTCCAAGTTCCCTGCTGCATCCCAGGCTGTAAAAGCTATCCCTGTTGTATTTCCCATCCTGAATTATGCCCAGCCACATTTTCCAATGGAGTTCACCAGAAGTTGCATGTTCAGCCCAAATGATAGCATTAAAATGTTCCAAATAATATATAAATGTCCAAATTTGAACAATACAAAGTCTCTCCACTTATGAAAATCTTGGGAGAAAGATTAATTCCAAAATGCCAGAGAAATTTAAATCCAAAACTATTTCCTCCCCGATTTCTGTTTCTGCTCAGTCTCAGCTAGAAGGATCTTGCTCTGAGGTGTGGAGAGATTGGAGGTTCCTTCGGCTACTGCAACCTGGGCTCTCATCCACTGAAATCGGTGAAGTTCCTGTAGGACCTTCAAGACAAAATTAATCCAGTGTCAAGATTCTCATATGTCCCACTTTCTAAGAGTTCAAAGAGTTAATTGGGCACATAAGATTTTCCCAGCATCAATGACACATGCACAAAATTTAGAAGAAAACAACGCAAAAAAGCAATCAGACAAATCTCGTAAGTGGAACAGTCTGCAGAACTATTGGCTTGGTATCTTCAGCAAAGTGGTATCATTAAAAACTGGTGTCTGTTCTAGATTAAAAGAGACTTAAGGGACATAAACCAGATGCAATGCATGGTCTGGATTGGGTACTGATTTGGATGAAACAACTGTATAGGACATTTTTAGGTCATTTGGGAAAATATGAATAGAAGCAGGGTGTTAGAAGGGTTGGAAATGTACTGAAATAGCAAAAGGGAGGTTAATGATTGAAAAAAACAGACTGAAGAACATTATGTGTAGTATGATCTCAGTTTGGTAATAAAATAAAAGCATGCATAGACACACATGAACAGATCCTGTAGGTTATACACTAAGGTCTTACAGTGGTGATCTCTGGGAGGTGGAAATTTTACTTATTTATTTATTATATTTCTGCTTCTCTATATTTTCTAATTTTCTACAATGCATATATACTGCTTCTGTATTAATAAAAGGTTAATCAAAGAAAAAAATTCTTGGAGGCCGGACATGGCGGCTGACACCTGTAATCCCAGCACTTTGGAAGTCCAAGGCAAGAGGATCCCTTGAGGCCAGGACTAGGCAACATAATGAGACCCCATCTCTACAAAAAATTGAAAAAATTAGCCAGACATGGTGGCTTGCACCTGTAGTCCCAGCTACTCAGGAGGCTGAGGCAAGAGGATCGCTTTAACCCAGGAGTTTGAGGCTGCAGTATGATCGTGCCACTGCATTCCAGCCTGGGTGACAGAGTGAGACTCCACTTCAAAAAAGAAATTTTTAAATTCTTAGAAGTCACAAGCAGGGCCAGGCGCACTGGATCACACCTGTAATCCCAGCACTTTGGGAGGCCGAGGCAGGGGGATCACTTGAACTCTGGAGTTTGAGACCAGCCTGGGCAACATGGCAAAACCCTGTCTCTACAAAAAAATACAAAATTAGTCCGGCGTGGTGGCACACGTCTGTAGTCCCAGCTACTCAGGAGAGGCTGAGGTGGGAGGATTGCTTGAACCCAGGAGGTACAGGCTGCAGTGAGTTGTGATCGCCACTGCACTCCAGCCTGGGCAACAGAGGGAGACCCTGTCTCAAAAAAAAAAAAAAAGTAACAAGCAAACCTCAACCCCAAAGCAGTTATTATAAGTAAAATTATGGTACTAGAAACCAGTACATAAAATACTGTACTGGTATATCAGACCCACATTGCTGACAGAAAGCAAAGCTTATAGCAGAGACAATGATCTCTGGGGGAAAGAAGAATAAACATAGCAAACGTGAGAGCAAAAAACAACCTGCCTTGCTTTCAGCTTCAACAGGAGACAAGTTAAATTGTGCTAGTTGTCTAGGGTCCACAATCTCTTAAGCTTAAACTCTGCTGAGATTTATCTAGAGACTAATTATGGCACTTGGTTTACCAAACGGGAGTAGGGTGGAGTTCCATGCATGTTTACTGTTTCCTCCCTCAGAAGGTGACATTTGCGACATTCCTGTGTTCTTGAAAAGTTAGATTTTCCTGGGGTGACACCCATAGTCCTCAGGCCATCCTCAAGGCTTCCTTCTTCAAAATCCAGGCTATTTGGCCAGGCGCGGTGGCTCACACCTGTAATCCCAGCACTTTGGGAAGCCGAGGCGGGCGGATCATGAGGTCGGGAGTTCGAGACCAGCCTGGCCAATATGGTGAAACCCCATCTCTACTAAAAATACAAAAATTAGCCGGGTGTGGTGGCGTGTGCCTGTAGTCTCAGCTACTAGGGAGGCTAAGGCAGAAGAATCGCTTGAACCCAGCGGCTGGAAGTTGCAGTGAGCCGAGATCGCACCACTGCACTCCAGCCTGGGTGACACAGCAAGACTCCGTATTAAAAAAAAAAAAAAAAAAAAAAAAAAAATCCAGGCTATTTAAAACCTCTTAAATCCCCATTTTGAACCTGTGCTTCTGGCATCTCAGCATAGCCCTGAGGCTGCACTCAGTTTGGTGACACAGCTTTTCCACACTCTCCTGTGAGCAGCCACCTCCTTTTCGAATAGTCATGGCTCCGAGTGTGATTCAGACCCTTGCTGTATTAGTTTACTGTTGCTGCCATAACAGATTACCACAAACTTAGTGGCTTAAAACATGCATCTATTATGTTACAGGTCTGTAGGTCAGAAGTCCCACGCAGGTCTCACTGGGCTATAATTAAGGTGGGCTTCTTCTGTGAACAAAAGTTCTCTGAAAAGGAATTTAGAGGAAAGAGACTTTAGTCCAGTGAACAGTTTGCAAACCTGGGTCACAGCCTCCAGTGTAAAATGAAGGTGCATTCCAGAGAACAAAAGGAAAGCTTATTTTGTTGTTGTTGTTTGCTTGCATGTTCGTTTTTCAGAGACACAGTTGCCCAGGCTGGAGTGCAGTGGTGTGATCATAGCTCACCGTAACCTGGAATCCCTGGGCTCAAGTGATCCTCCCACTTCAGCCTCCCATGTAGCTGGGACTACAAAGGAATGCCACCATGCTCCAGTTTCATAGTAAAAATTCCTGCCCAAGTTCCCAATAAGGCCTGTTTATGCCAACGAAAGATTGAAAGTCAGTTCTCATTGGTTGAGGCAGCTGAGTTCTGATTGGTCAATACAGCCAAGCCCTGATTGGTTGATACAGCTGAGCCCTGATTGGCTAAGGCAAGTGAGCTCTGATTGGCTGGTTCTGATGAGTTCTGAACGTCCCGAAGTTAAAAGATGTGAGCTTCCGGTCGTGGTGGCTCACACCTATAATCCCAGCACTTTGGGAGGCCGAGGTGGGTGGATCACCTGAGGTCAGTTTGAGATCAGCCTGGCCAACATGGTGAAACCCCATCTCTACTGAAAATACAAAAATTAGCTGGGCATGGTAGTGCATGCCTTTAATCCCAGCTACTCAGGAGGCTGAGACAGGAGAATTGCTTGAACCCGGGAGGTGGAGGTTGCAGTGAGCCAAGATCACACCACTGCACTCCAGCCTGGGCAACAGAGTGAGACTCCGTCTCTAAATAAATAAATAAATAAATGTATGACATATTTTACAATGATGCTCTTGGTCTTTCCTTCATAAATCTGTTCAAATTTTATGTACCACTTTATATGATGGTATGTAGTAGTTTCCTATTGTGAAAGCCCACCTCTACTAAAAATACAAAAATTAGCCAGTTAGCCAAGCATGGTGGCAGGCGCCTGTAATCCCAGCTACTTGGGAGGCTGAGGCAGAAGACTTGCTTGAACCCAGGAGGCAGAGGTTGCAGTGAGAGGAGATGGTGACACTGCACTCCAGCCTGGGCAACAGAGCAAGACTTTGTCTTAAAAAGAAAAAAAAAAGATGTGAGCTTTCTGGAAACTCTGAGTATATGTGGGACCTCTAGTCAGCAATGACTGCAATGGCTCTATTTTAAATTTAGGCCCAGTTAGCCACTTGGGTTCCATCTTGAAAAATTGGCTCTTCCAGGTTCACAGTTCATAGCTTCTTTCTGGAGTCACTAGGGGAGAATACCCTTTGTGTTCATTTGGGCTTTTTGGGAGAATTCAGTTCTTTGCGGATGTTGAACCAAGGTCACCATTTTCTTCCTGCCTATAAACTGAGGTCACCTACATTCCTCGGCTTGTGGCCCCTCCTCCATCTTCAAAGTCAGCAACCATAGAGTCAGTCCTTCTCATGTGATTTCTCAAGTGATCCACTCTTCTTCCATCATCTTCTACTTTTAAAGACTTGTATGATTACGCTGGGTTCACCCAGGATAATCTCCCCATCTCAAGGTCCTTAACCTTAATCACATCTGCAGATTCTCTTTGGCTATGTAAAGTAATATATTCACAAATTCCAGGGATTAGTACATAACCATCTTTGGGGGATTGTCATTGCATTCTGGGCACATCATCTTTTCTTGGTCTGGGATTGGCATTTCTTCACATCTAGTTTTGTGCCTCAGTGGTTACTGCCACTGTCTCTTGCTCTGGAATTCCTTGATTACATAAAGCCTGCCTCTTAGTGGTGGTTTCCCCTCTACTTCCAATATATTTTATGTGACAAATTGCCTTCAGTGGACTCCTAAAATGACATTCAGAAGCTTGTGCCCTTTGGTCCTGGGGAGGAAAAATTTATCTGCCTTGGGCTTGCCGCCCTTGCAAAAAGCCTTCGAATTTTCTAGGCCTTAAGTGGAACTTCAACAACAGCAGTAACAGTTCTTTCTGTCCACTCTTGTAGCTCCCTTTCTCCTTTGGAGCAGGCTCAGCTGAAGTTTCCTCTTTCTTTTTAATTGTGAGAAATGTGAAAACTACAGAAAAAGTACAAGAATATTATAATAAAAACCCATATTCCCATCTCCCAGAATTGTAGACATCTTGTCATATTTGCTTTCTGCAATTAAAAAAATCTTAGAAATCTAGCTAAAATTTTGTTTAGCTACCACCTGCATTGCCATGCTCGTCTGAGGCAACTGCTATGGTCTGGAGTGTAGTCTCATCCATTTTTATACTTTACAAACATCCATCCATCCATAAACTATGTATAGTATTTTTGTGCATATCCATTTACATAATTGTATCTTTTTTTTATTCAACGGCATGCTTTTGAGACCTGTCCATATTGCTATATGTAGATCTAGCACCACTTCAGTGCAGTGTTCCATTGTATGACATCATCAGATTTTATTTTTTCACAACATTTTGACAAATTGCTCTCTAAAGTGGTTGAACCAGTTGATATTTCTACCAGCAGTGTAGGAGTATGCTTATTTCCCCACATTCTTCCCAATGCTTTGGGGAGATCTTTTTTTTCTTTTCTTTTTTTTTTTGAGATGGAGTTTTGCTCTTATTGCCCAGGCTGAAGTGCAATGGCGCGATCTCGGCTCACTGCAACCTCTGCCTCCCGGATTCCAGCGATTCTCCCGCCTCAGCCTCCCGAGTAGCTGGGATTGCATGCATGCGCCACCACGTCCGGCTAAGTTTGTATTTTTAGTAGAGACGGGGTTTCTCCATGTTGGTCAGGCTGGTCTCGAACTCCCAGCCTCAGGTGATCTGCCCACCCCAGCCTCCCAAAGTGCTGGGATGACAGGCATGAGCCACTGCCCCCGGCCGCTTGGGGGAGATTTTAAATATTTGTCTGTCTAATGGGTAAGAAATTACACCTCGTTTTTGTTTTAATGTTCATGTGTGAAGTGTTGCTCACTCTAGGTTGATTTCCTGACACATGTAGGGCCTCAGCTCCTCTGTCTAAGCAGGAACTGAAACTCCAGCCCCTATAGCCGGTGTCAGTTCTGGCTTCTTCATCTGCACACATATCTATCTCTCCTTTATAGGTTCTCATTCTGTTTCTGACCCCTGGAGATCTCCTTTTTTTTGTTTTCAAGCACAGCTGTTTATTTTTTAACCTTAAAAATATTTTATAAAAAGATGGGACAAATTCCAACTGTTCCAAAAAACTGTTCCAAATTCAAACAAAAACACATAACGAAATGCACTGCATGAACCTTAACTGGATCCTGGTTTTTTAAAAAAGCTATGAAGACATTGGGGAACAATTAGGGAAAGCAAAATATGATCTAGATGATGTTATTAGACTACATTAAAATATTGTTAGAATATTGTTCATATACTTAGTTGTGATAAAGGTTTTATAGTTATACAGGAGAACAACCTTTGAAGATACACACTGAAGTACTTAGGAGTGATGTAGTCAACTCACTTTCAGATGGTTCAAAAAATTAGATAGATAGACAGATAGGTAGAGCTAATAGAGCACAATGTTAACAGTTGTTGAAATTGAGTGATGGGACCGGGTGCTGTGGCTCACGACTGTAATCCCAGCACTTTGGGAGGATCACCTGAGGTGACCCCAGCACTCAGGCGGATCACCTGAGGTTAGGAGTGGAAGACCAGACTGGCCAACATGGCGAAACCCTGTCTCTACTAAAAATACAGAAACTGGCCGGGCATGGTGGTGTGCACTTGTAATCTCGGCTACTTGGACTGAGGCAGGGGAATCGCTTGAACCCAGGAGGCGGAGATTGCAGTGAGCCAAGATCGCACCACTGCACTCCAGCCTGGGCAACAGAGCGAGACTCCGTCTCAAAGAAAAAAAAAAAAAGAAGCAATTGAGTGATGGGCATGATGATATTCATTGTACTAGTTTGAACTTTTCCATATATTCCAGATTTTTCACAATAAAAAGTTGGGAACATTTACACAAGATTTCTAGGTATTTGAAACAGGGCTGATAGCAGGTTTTAGCAAATGCTCAAATCACTATATATTTTTTTTGAGACAAGGACTGGCTTTGTCAACCAGGCTGGAGTGTAGTGGCACAATCACAGCTCACTGCAGCCTCAACCTCCCGTGCTTAAGTGATCCTCCCACCTCAGCCTCTCCAATAGCTGGGATTACAGGCATGCTTAGAGACAAGATTTCACCATGTTGCCCAAGCTGGTCTCAAACTCCTGGGCTCAAGCAATCCTCTCGCCTCCGCCTCTCAAAGTGCTGGGATTACAGGCATGAGGCACCGTGCCGGCCTCAAATCACCATCTTGAGCCAGATGCTCAGCTAAGGTGTTTGTTTTAGACAGGATCTTACTCTGTCACCCAGGCTGGAGTGCAGTAGCACAATCACAGCTCATGCAGCCTCGAACTACTCTGGGACTCAAGCCATCCTCCCACCTCAGCCTCTCCCCAAGTAGCTGGGACTACAGGTGTGCACCACCATGCCCGGCTAATTTTTTAATTTTTTGTAGAGACAAGGCCTCACTATCTTGCTCTGGCTGGTCTTAAACCCCTGGGCTCAAGTGATCCTCCTGCCTCAGCCTCCCAAAGTGCTAGGATTATAGGCATGAGCCACCATGCCTGGCCTCAGCTAAATTTTCAACATTTTAATCTGCTCCTTGGGTTGGTCACCTTTCCTTGCCTAACATGTACATGGCTATGTTAGTTAGGATATAGGTCCAGCTTCTTGTAACAGTAACACAAATGAACAGAAGCTTAAATACAACAGAACTTTATTTCCCTCAGATGTAACAGACCAGAAGACAGTACAAGGCTAGTGTAGTTCCATGAGGCTATCCATTCATTTACTCTTTTCGTCATCGCTAGAATGATGCTCCCATCGTATGCTACAAAATAGCTCACAATTTTAGTTAACAGGATGAAGAAGGGAAGGAAAGAGGATCCACCTTTCACTGTAAGGGCTCAACCCAAAATATATGAGTACACATCTTTTCCAGTCTCATCTCATTGACTAATATTTAATCATAATTAGCTGCAATGGAGAATGGGAAATGCAATGTTTAGCTGAGGATGCATACACATTTCTAAAATGATAATAACTTTAAAGGAAAGTGAGAACAGATATTAGAAGACAATTAGCAGTGTCTGACATTATGGCCACTCCTTTCTCAATCACTGTGTTTTCTTTCCTTTCTTCTTTAATTTTTCTTTCACATGCAACCATTTGTTTTCCTAACAAACTCTTTGTGACTTGGAGGTTCATCATTAGTAAAAGATATGCAGTCAAGAAATTTTGGATCTGGCAAAAGCATCCACTGTTCAACAATTCTTATCTACTTTCACCTTATTGGAATTGTATAATTCCACCAGGAGGTATTCTCTGACCAAAATCAATATATATTCCAGGTTTAACTCAGTCTATCATTAGCTTGCCTGATTCCCCTGTAGTATGTCTCATCTTCTGTGTTTCCTTCTCGTGGAGTTCTAACTCTACACATGTCCTGAGCATGTACCCACAAGGACATGCCATACCTGCTTCTCGGCCCATAAATGTGTTGCCTTGAAACTCATCTAAAATGCATGACAGGCCAGGAGCGGTGGTTCACGAGTGTGTAATCACACCGCTTTGGGAGGCCGAGGCAGGTGGATCACCTGAGGTCAGGAGTTTGAGACCAGCCTGGACAACATGGTGAAACCCCATCTCTACTAAAAATACAAAAATTAGCCAGGCGTGGTGGTGGGCGCCTCTAGTCCCAGCTACTCGGGAGGTTGAGGCAGGAGAATTGCTTGAACCTGGGAGGCGGAGTTTGCAGTGAGCCGAGATAGCGCCACTGCACTCCAGCCTGGGCAACAGAGTGAGACTCTGCCTGAAAAGAATAAAATCAAGTAATAAATAAAATGCATGATATATTTTACAATGATCCTCTTGGTCTTTCCTTCATAAATCTGTTCAAATTTTATGTACCCACTTTATATGATGGTATGCAGTAGTTTCCTATTGTTGTTAGAACAGACAACCAGAACTTACAGGCTTGAAAATACAAACTTGTTCTCCTACTGTTCTGTAGGTCAGAAGTCTGGATTGGCTCAACTGGTTTCTCTGCTCTGGGTTTCACAAGGCCATAATCAAGGTATCAGCCAGCTAGACTCTCTTATCAGGAGGCTATGGGAAGAATCTGCTTCCAAGATCATTCAGGTTATCAAAATCTAGCTCTTTATGTTGATAGAACTGAGGACCCTGTTTACTTGTTGGCTGTCAGCTGGGAGCCATTCTTGGCTCTCAGAGGCCTCTATCCCATCCTTGCACATGGCCCCTACATCTTATGCTTGGAATTTCTCTGACTTTTCCTTCTGCAATATCACTTTTGCTGCCAGCCAGAGCAGGTTCTCAGCTTTTAAGAGCTCATGCCAAAATGAGATTGGGCCTACCTGGGCAATCCAAGATAATCTCCCTATATTAAAGTTTGTACCTTAATTACATCTGCAAAGTCCCTTTTGTCATATTAATATATCATATTCACAGGTTGTAGGGATTAAAGTGTGAGCAGCTTGGGGTCGGGGAGGGGTGTGCATGGGGGCGGGGATGCATTTTTCTACCATGTGGTTTTTTTCTAATTGCTCTAAATTTATATGGACTCTTTAAGTGCACCTTTAGGAGGACACCACTCAATAGTATTGTAGATCTGGATTCCAACCAGTAGAGTAATTCCAGTGCTTTTTTTTCTTCTCTCCCTGTCTTTCCCCGGTCTCTTTGAGACCTAGATAACCTCTATGACCTAGTAACAAAATAGCTCCCTGTTTTCTAGTTACATCTTTAAGAACCTTTAGATCTTGGGTGTATCTTCTTTTTCCTTTCATCTCTGTCTAGCTTGTTCTCCAAGATCACATTTTCATAAGAATTGATTCCTAAGGATAAGAATTCCTAAGGATGAGAATTTTCCTTCTCCATCTTAAACAGTATATCTTCTTGTACTTTTTTTCTTTTATTGTCTCACTGCTCTTGTTCTGACAGTAAGACCAAAGCTTATTCTTACTTTTTCTGGTGATTTACTATGGGAAATTTCAAACATATACAAAATTAGAAAGAATACTATAACAAACCCATATGAATAGCATAATGAATCACTCAGCTTCAATAATTATCAACACTTTACACATTTTAATTCATCTATTCATGCATTTTTTGGAATATTTTAAAGTAAATCCCAGGACATCATGTTATTTCACTCACAAATAAATTGATATGAAGCATTATTTTGAAAGAAATTCAGTACCTTCTCGATTTTAGGAACAAACCATATTCCTAGAGAAGTTAGTCTTTAAAGGTTTTTGCTTGGCCTCTGGAATTTTAATAATTTCATGACTTGTTTCTCCACCTCAATACAAGATGATATATCCTTTGTATTATAAACACTCCCATTCCTCTAGCTGTAACTTGATAAAAATCACCTGCCTTCCTAGGTTAAACGCATTGTCTGGGTCTTTAAAATCCAAAGTCATGGTCATGGCTCCCGTAATTAATAAATCCAGAGCCACCCTGAGGCCATGCAGAGGTGGTGGTAGGGGGGTGAATCTAGGAATCTGTGAATGTGCCACAAAAATTCAAGAAGGCAGCCCCTTCATAGTTGTGTTTTTGTTGTTGTTGTTGTTTTGTTTGTTTGTTTTTGCTTGCCTCTTGAATGGGATGCAATTCAAAACAAGATAGAGGCCCGCATCGCCAAGTCAATCCTAAGCCAAAAGAACAAAGCTGGAGGCATCACACTACCTGACTTCAAATTATACTACAAGGCTACAGTAACCAAAACAGCATGGTACTGGTACCAAAACAGAGATATAGATCAATGGAACAGAACAGAGCCCTCAGAAATAATGCCACATATCTACAACTATCTGATCTTTGACAAACCTGAGAAAAACAAGAAATGGGGAAAGGATTCCCTATTTAATAAATGGTGCTGGGAAAACTGGCTAGCCATATGTAGAAAGCTGAAACTGGATCCCTTCCTTACACCTTATACAAAAATCAATTCAAGATGGATTAAAGACTTAAACATTAGACCTAAAACCATAAAAACCCTAGAAGAAAACCTAGGCATTACCATTCAGGACATAGGCATGGGCAAGGACTTCATGTCTAAAACACCAAAAGCAATGGCAACAAAAGCCAAAATTTACAAATGGGATCTAATTAAACTAAAGAGCTTCTGCACAGCAAAAGAAACCACCATCAGAGTGAACAGGCAACCTACAAAATGGGAGAAAATTTTCACAACCTACTCATCTGACAAAGGGCTAATATCCAGAATCTACAATGAACTCAAACAAATTTACAAGAAAAAAACAAACAACCCCATCAAAAAGTGGGCGAAGGACATGAACAGACACTTCTCAAAAGAAGACATTTATGCAGCCAAAAGACACATGAAAAAATGCTCATCATCACTGGCCATCAGAGAAATGCAAATCAAAACCACAATGAGATACCATCTCACACCAGTTAGAATGGCAATCATTAAAAAGTCAGGAAACAACAGGTGCTGGAGAGGATGTGGAGAAATGGGAACACTTTTACACTGTTGGTGGGACTGTAAACTCGTTCAACCATTGTGGAAGTCAGTGTGGCGATTCCTCAGGGATCTAGAACTGGAAATACCATTTGACCCAGCCATCCCATTCCTGGGTATATACCCAAAGGACTATAAATCATGCTGCTATAAAGACACATGCACCCGTATGTTTATTGCGGCATTATTCACGATAGCAAAGACTTGGAACCAACCCAAATGTCCAACAATGATAGACTGGATTAAGAAAATGTGGCACATATACACCATGGAATACTATGCAGCCATAAAAAATGATGAGTTCATGTCCTTTGTAGGGACATGGATGAAATTGGAAATCATCATTCTCAGTAAACTATCTCAAGAACAAAAAACCAAACACCGCATATTCTCACTCATAGGTGGGAACTGAACAATGAGATCACATGGACACAGGAAGGGGAATATCACACTCTGGGGACTGTTGTGGGGTGGGGGGAGGGGGGAGGGATAGCATCGGGAGATATACCTAATGCTAGATGACGAGTTAGTGGGTGCAGTGCACCAGCATGGCACATGTATACATATGTAACTAACCTGCACAATGTGCACATGTACCCTAAAACTTAAAGTATAACAAAAAAAATAATAAAAAACATTCCTCATAGAAGGTGGAATAATAAAAAAAAAAAAACAAGATAGAGGAACAGCACTGATAGAATGCCACCTACTAAAATGTAGAAGATACAATCTCACTCTAGTACTTTGTGGTTCACATGGAATTTGGCTACTTTTGCAGTTTAAAGTCCTGGCCTGTAATCCTGGCTGAGAAATAGAGGAAAGGGAGCAAATATTTTTCAGCCTTCTGATAGTGAAAAGTCTGATTATTGAAACTTTGTTTTGAGGCAAACCTTAGCCAAGGCTAAAATATTATTTTCCTGATACTCTTATCCATGCCTCAGCCACAAAAGCATGCACAGCCTGTTCTTACTTAGGGTTTGCATGGGCCTATCTGCTTTTAGATACCAGCTACGATTGCAAGGTCAAAAACCTTTGAGACTTATGTTTTCTAAGGCCACTGTCTATGAAAAGCAGTTATGTGCCTGCAGACACCAGTTATCATATAAACTTCTGTAAACTCCCAAAGTCAATGATGCACATGGCCAGTACTTTCTAGGGCCTGCCCTTATGAAAAAGAAAAAAAAACAGCCAGAACACCTTTGCATACCAGCCACTATACTGCTACAAAGAGAACTGCCTCCCTCAAATGCCAGTCATTGCATCCATTTCTCAAGGTTTCCCCATTCATACACCGTGGGATCCCTCCAAAGATCATATAATCACACCAGTCTCTCCCTCCACTGAATTCCTAATTGAGAAATAGACACAGGAATTAAAGAGGAATCAGAATATTGAGATGTATTGTTGTTAAGACTGGTTTGGAGAACAGGTCTGTGGCCTGTAGCCTGAATTAGGTTTCCAACTCGTTCATCCCAAACCTAGACTTTTGCACCCTCCTGAGGTGACAGATAGATCTGTACAGCAGACCCTCACCCCACCAGTCACAGAAAGGGTGCTCATCCACCTGCAGGCCTCCCTACCCTCGTAGGCTGACCACATGGAGGGGCAGAGAGAACATAGGTGTGCTGTGGGCAAGGGAACTCTGAAAAAGAGAGAGCAGGGAGCTCAGCAGGGGCTGAGCAACAAGCACTCAGTCCTATCTTGGAACCTCACCAATGAAGCCACTGTGGGGAGGAGGTGCGGAGGGGCTGCGGGAAGCTCTCTTCACAATACTTCTGAAAGAGCAGAAGTTCCTATTTCGTGGACAGGTGGGAATACAAGAATGGGGGATGTCAGCTAATTTATGGCTGCGGTCAAAGGGAAGAGCCCAGGGATGGGCCCCCTCCCCCAGAGGTCAGGGCTTTCTCTAGTGGCCAGCCTTACAGCCTTACATTCTTACTGTATGACTGAAACAAACTGGAACAGAAGAATAGGTAGAATTGGGTGTTCTGGTGCTCAGTAGAGAGAGTAGAACCGACTGGTTTTGCTCCATGAACACCTCTTAAGAGCCTTTGCCTAATTGCTGTGCCTATCTGGGAGGGAGAGAACTTTAGAGTTAATTTAAGCCCAGTTATTGTTTTTGTTTTTGTTGGCCTCAGATGGCAGAGGACATCAAGTCCAAATGCAAGGCAGAGCATGAAAGAGAGTTTAAAACACAACTTGCAAACTGGTAGCCTGCTGAATAGATCCAACCCACAGATGTGTTGGATTTAGCCCATAAGAATTTTCAAAAATATTTTGTAAATTACTTGTCAGTATATAAAAATTGGTAGAGTTCATATAAAGACCCAGATTTTATGGCTTCTCTGGAACAGTTCAAAGATTCTGGCTATGTGGATGTGCATTTCTATAGGGCAAAATAAGCTGGATGGAATAGCCACTGCTTCATTTAGGAGGGGGTACAGTTTCCATCCAGGCTCTTGTATGACCTGCTTAGCCCCTGCCTACGTTCGAGTTTGTGTTCTCTCAGTTAAATTGGCCAGCACTAGAGGTTGTTTGTGATCTGAAAGAAATGCAAATCATCCATCTCTGTGAGTGTCTAATCATGTCAGAGCGAGTATTTGGCAATGTGGAGAGTGCCAGGGAGGTGTATGCCAAGAATCTGACCATCCATCGGGAGGGGGAGGAATGAGGAGACATCTGTCTATATAATGAGGATGCAGAAATTGTTAAGAAAGGCAGGAGAAAAGGGGGCCACGGTCCATAGTGCAGAGAAGCAGGCTAGGCTGGAGCAGGTGACTGCGGGAGTCAATTACAGCCAAGTGTTGCTAGGGCAACTCAGGCTCCGCGCACAGCCTGGAGGGCCTCCGGCCTTCTCACTGCTAAGGCAGCTGATTTAGGAGGCCGGAACTCTGAAGTCTGAGAAGCTGATGAGGAAAAAGACAAGGTTGCAGAAGCATTGTTTTAGGTTGGGGCTAAAATCTTGAAGCAGACACAAAGGGAGCTACAACATCCCACACGGGGCTACTGGTGGTCATTCTAAAGGCCGCTGGAATTGGGAACCATTACATCTCACCCCTTTAGGGCAGTTCTTTCCAAACTGCAGGTCTTAAAGCATTGGTGGGCTGTGAAATCAATTTAGTGGAGTGAAATCAACATTTAACATAATGAATAGAAATATGAAAAAAAAAAGAAATAGTTTTTTTTTTCTTTAAACAGAGTGCATTACATAATAAAGGTAAATATTGTTTTGTGAAACACTGGCTTCAGATGTGTGTGTGTGTGTGTGTGTGTGTGTGTGTGTGTGTGTGTGTTTGCATGCACAGGTATATGTACTGAGTTGTGATGTCAAATATGGTATGTTTCTTATTCTGTAAATTTATCTCAAAAACCTTTGAAAGCCACTACCACAGGCCACAGAGTCAGTCACCATGGCTAGCTGACTGGATGGGCATGTCCAGTCGACTTATTTTCTCTTTATTTTTTGTTTTTGCTGTTGTTGTGAGCAAGATGGGCAGATGTAAACCAATCATAGCTTTCTAAGGAGCCACTGTCTGGTATCAGAAAAAAAAAAAAAAACCGCAGATAATGTTGAGCTTGCTGGGAAACAGGTTTTGGGGTGTGGCTTCTCAGACAGACACAATTGCTTGGGATTCTACACCCTGGGAGTGGTAGCACTACAGAAGAGCGTGCAAGTAAAGCCAAAAGGAGAGCCTGCTCCATGGTGCTGGTCCCAAATTCTGTTCTTGTGTGGAATTTTCCAGGATTTCTAGGAGCAATATCATCCCTACCATTTTCTGTATGGCCCACACTACTGATGTCCTACCCAATGGCCATCCTTCACTTTCTTCCTCCCTCATAGAGACCCCATTTTTGTTCTCACATAGGGCAACACTGTACATCAAGGGAGCAGGGATTCTCAAATGAAGACCTACAAAATACAAGCCCCAAATTTGTATTAGCTTCAAAAGACATAACAATTACTCAATTTGTTATACAAGTTTCTAAATGTGTATTCTCAACTTCTGTATTCAGCTTGTCACAGTCTGTTAACCAACAGTTTACAGACTAGCACCAGTCCAGGGACCACACAATGAGTGGCACTAGTCTGAGCTAACTAATCATGATAATTCTATTTCCCTTGCCAAATGATTGGTTTAGGCATGGGCGTGAGACACAATTTCTGGCCAATAAGAGGGGATATCTACTGGGGGCATAGGGAAAGTTTCTCTTGGTCTTAATAAAGGACACATAACAGTTATGTTCTTTCTTCCAGACTCTTAATGCTTTTGTATGGCCTTGGGATACCTGAGTACCTATGGATGTCTTGTAATCATAAGGTGAAGGACTAATAGGCTGAAGATAGTGGAACCAGATGGAAGGAAACTAGGTCCTTAGTGACATTGCTGGGCTGCTGAATTACTTGCCCTGGAATCCCTCTATAGCTGGACTTATGGGAAATAATAAAATACTGTGTGTTTGGCTTTGCTATTATTTGTAACTGAAAGAATTCTAATGATGCACCTTGTAGAACAAGACAGGGTTAACTGGATTGAGCACAGAGGCTTACCTGTACTAAGGATATTTTACAGTGAGCTTAGCATTCCCAGAAGAAATTGTAAGGGTAAAAACATGGTTAGATAAACCTAAAGTTGTGTACTGACCTACAAGACATAGCAGGTGTCATTCTAATTATAGCATCATTTCCTGTACTTTTATCAATACAGTAAATTTGACGTTTTGTGTATAGTTCCAAGAATTTTAACACATGCATAGATTAATGTAACCACCACCACAATCAGGATACAGAAAAGTTCTATCACCTCCAAAAACTTAATCTTATTATTGCTTTGAATTCGTATGCCTCCATGCCTAATCTCTGACCTGTTCTCTATCACTATAGTTTGTCTTCTGAAAAAATGTCATATAAATAAAAACATACAGGCCGGGTGTGGTGGTTCATGCCTGTTATCCCAGCAATTTGGGAGGCCGAAGGGGGCAGATTGTTTGAGGTCAGTAGTTTAAGACCAACCTGGCCAACATGGTGAAACCCTGTCTCTACTAAAAATACAAAAATTAGCCAGGCATGGTGGCACACGCCCGAGTCCCATCTACTCGGGAGGCTGAGGCACAAGAATCTCTTGAACCGGTAGGCAGAGGTTCCAGTGAGCCAATATCATGCCACTGCACTCCAGCCTGGGCAACAGAGCGAGACTCCATCTCAAAAAAAAAAAAAAAAATTAGCCTAGCGTGGTGGCGCGTGCCTGTAAGTCCCAGCTACTGGGGAGGCTGAGGCAGGAGAATCGCTTGAATCTGGGAGGCGGAGGTTGTAGTGAGCCGAGATTGTGCCATTGCACTCCAGCCTGGGCAACAAGAGTGAAAGTCCCTCTCAAAAAAAAAAAAAAAAAAAAAAAAAGAAAGTTCCAGATTTTCCCCTATGTTTTCTTATAGTTTTGTGATTTATATTCAGATCTATGCTCCATTTTGAGTTAATTTCTGTATAAGGTGTGAGGTTTTGATCAAGATTTGTATGAGTCCATTTATGCATTCTCTATTCTGTTATGTTAGTCTATATGTCTGTCTCTTCTCCAAAACCGTACTGTCTTGATTACTGCAGTTATGTGGTAAGTCTTAAAATCAGGTATAGCAGTGTGATTCCTCCAACTTTATTAATCTTTTCAAAATTGCTTTGGCTATTCTTGTTCTTTTGCCTTTCCATGTAAAGTTTAGAGTCGATATATATCCACAAAAGATCTTGCTGGGATTTTAATAGGAATTGCATGAAGCCTATAGATCAACTTAGAGAGAACTGACATCTCTAATATGTTAAGTGTTCTAGTCCCTGAATACGGTCTATCTCTCCATTTATTGAGGACTTCGGAGATTTCTTTCATCAGCATTTTGTAGTTTTCGGCATAAAGGTCCTGTACACGTTCTGTTAGATTTTTACCTAAGCATTTTATTTTTGGGGAGCTATTACAAATAGTATTGTTCATTGCTAGGATAAAGAAATGTGATTGATTTCTGTGTGTTGACTTTGTATCCTGCAACCTTGCTAAATTCATGTATTAGTTCTAGGGAAGTGTGTGTGTGTGTGTGTGTGTGTGTGCGTGCGCACGCTATTTGGGATTTTCTGTGTAGACAGTCATGCCATCTGTGAATACGGATGGCTTCATTTTCCTTTCCTCTTTTCTCCTCTCCCTTCCTAACTACCTAGAGTTAAGATACCTAGGTTGGACAACATATGAGGATGAGGGATAAGTAGAGTTGTAATACGTCATCTCCAAATTGTTCAAGTTGATTAACAGTCACTCTACAAGGAGATAAAAATATTATGTGCAGATCATGTGATTGTATACTATGAAAAATAAAAAGCAATACTAAAAATTTAAGAATAATAAATACTACAAAAATACCAAATACTTACTGAAGGCCAGGAACAGTTCTAATCATTGTACATAAATGAACTTATCCGGTAATCACAACCCTATGAGGTGGGTACTATTATCCCCATTTTACAGAAGAGGAAACTATGAATGGCAGAGCTGGGCTCAAATCCAGCTCCAGTGCTGGCACTCTTAACTATTACACAATGGAACAGAAGATTCTACAAATGCATCCCAAAATGTCAGGGAATTTAGTATTTGATAAAGGGGGCATTTTAAGTTAATGAGTGAAATGTCAACTATTCAATAATTATGAAGAACAATTGGATAGATTTTGAGAAAAAAATAAAGTTGGAATCCTACGTTTGTACTACACGCCAAAATAATACCCACATGAGACAAATATTGAAATGTAATATTCAAAACCATAAAGGCGTTAGAAGAAAACATAGATGAAGAGTTTTCTAGTCTTGAAGTGGGCAAAGCCTTTCAGAACACAGCACTTAAACCAGCTACTATAAATAAATGAAATGATAACAAATTTGATTATATAAAGGATGTTAAACTTGTATGTTCTAAGAAACAGCTTTATAAGGTTAAAACACAAACAAAAAAATGAAGAAAATATTTATGACAGGAAGACAAGAGTATTATCCGTGATATAAAAAGAGCTATTCCAACTCAACAACAAGACTATTCAACAAAAAACATGGGCAAAATGTACAAACAAGCTATACATTTAGAAGAAGAAGAATACAAATGGCCAAGAAACTAATTAAAAGATATTCAACCTCGCCAAAAATCAAAGATATGAAAATGAAAAGAATGACATATCACTTTGTAAGTATCAGATTACCAAAGAAAAAAATTAGTGAAAATGCACAGCTCTGGCAAGGGTATGGGGGCGGAAGGCACTCTCATACTTGGGTACTACAAATATAAATTCGCGTAATCTCTTTTGGAGGGCAATTTGGCAATATCTATCCAATTGTAAAATGTGCATTCCCTTTGCAGGAATTCAATTTCTATTTATTTATTTATCTTATAGGAGTACAAACATGTGTAAAGCTATTACTACAAGAATGTTTATTTCAGCACTCTCCATAATAATGAAAACTCAGTAACAATCCAAAGGAATATCTACCCTATGTGAATAATTTAAAACTAAGGAAAATATGTTATGTATTGGCGTGTTAAGGCACTCATAATCTGTTGTTACCTCTATTTATTTCTGAGTAGCCTCAGGGGATTTCTTATAGGACAACTGTTACTTAATTTGCACAGCTTTCTAACCTGTAAAATGGGCATAATCGCATCAAAAATATTTATCGAACAGATATAATTGCCAGGCACTATAATAGGTGCTGGTGTATGAGTAGGAAAAAAAACAGGCTTGGTCCCTGCCTCTGAGGAGCTCACTGTTCAGTGTAGAGGTGTGAGGTGTGTGTGTGTAGGGTGGTGAGGAACAGATATTAATCACACAACTGTACAATTGTTTTGGGTGGTTTGGGAGGAAAATAGCAGAGTACTATGAACGCGTATTACAGTGGACCTTGATCCAGTTTTGGCGGGGCGGCGGGGGTCAAGGAAGGCTTCCCTGAAGCAATATTTAATTTTTTTAAAAAAAGCAAGTGATGGGCCAGGCACTGTGTAAGTGCCAGCTCCAGAGATCAATTAAAAAGAATAAGGTAAACGTATAGACACTGACAGAAAGAATTTCAAGAATGCATTGTCAATAAGGCAAGTTGTAAAACTTAAATATATCTTTATTTCTCCTTTTTTGGTTTAAAAAATCTGCATTGTAATATAGGTGTAAATGTATATATAGAAAAAGTTCTGAAAGAATATACATCATGCCATTAACTCTATTCGAATAATTTGTGGATTTGTCTGATCTTCTGTAATCAGTTAAAAAAAAAGATATTTACATATACAAAAATGACAGCATGAATATTAGAAAAATTGGTATTCAGGCTGGGCACAGTGGCTCACACCTGTAATCCCAGCACTTTGGGAGGCTGAGGTGGGTGGATCACTTGAGGTTAGGAGTTCGAGATCATTCTGGCCAACATGGTGAAACCCCATCTCTACTAATAATACAAAAATTAGCCGGGTGTGGTGGCACATGGGCCTGTAATCCCAGCTACTAAGGAGGCCGAGGCAGGAGAATCGCTTGAACCAGGGAGGCAGAGGTTGCAGGGACCCGAGATTGCACCACTGTACTCCAGCCTGGGTGGCAGAGTGAAACTGTGTCCTGTGTCTCAAAAAAAAAAAGAAAGAAAGAAAGAAAAATAGTATTCAAGGAAAAAAAAAACTTTAAACAGGGTAAAGAGAGATACTGAAGAGTTTGAGGTGACAGTGAGCTATGATTGTGCCACTGCACTCTAGCTCTAGGCACCAGAGTGAGATCCTGTCTCTAAAAAAAGAAAAAAAGAGACTATCTACCAAGACTATCTTCTGTCATAAACATACATAGCAACCAATATTCCATTAAATGTATGAAGAAAACAGTTATAAAAGCACATAAATTGTACGCTATAAAGTTTTTAAAAATGCCTATGCAACTCTTGCCAAGATTGATCAGGTACTGAATCATAAAAGAAAGCACAATGCATTTCCAATAGTAGAAATAATAAAAGTCACATTAATGGAACACAGTGCAGTACAGCTAACCTCTAACCACAAAAACATCCAGATAAGAAAAAATTTGAGTCACCTCACAAAGAAAATACTTCTAAATATCTCATGGTCAAAGAAGAAATCAAACCTAAAATTATAAACTAGAAATTAATAAGAATGAGAGCACTTCATATGAAGTAAAACACTGAAAAAAATAAACTTAGAGAAAACTGGAGGAAGATATTAATAAACATTAAAGCTGAAAATAATAACTTAAGTAGAGAATGGGAAAAATGGTAGAACAGAAAAATAAATCTAAGAAATAGTTCTTTGAAAATATCAACAGAATAAACTCTGGAGAGTTTAGTTACATGAGAAAGAGAAATGCATACAAATAAGATGGCTTGATTGGTGGATAGATAAATGACATATATGTAGTAAAGTTATAACAAAACATGGTAAAATCAATGTGGTGGGTATACAGATGTAAAATTCTTTCAACGTCGTATGTTTGAAAACTTTCATAATAAAATAGATAAAAATCTCTTGGGGCACAGTGCGGTGGCTCACGCCTGAAACAACACTTTGGGAGGCTGAGGCAGATTGGAGAGGATTGCTTGAGCCCAGGAGTTTGGGACAAGGCTGGGCAACATAGTGAGACCTCATCTTGTTCCCCACTCCCCCCTCCCCCCCCAAAAAAAATTAGCCAGGCATGGTGGCTTGCACTTGTAATCCCAGCTATTCAGGATGCTGAGGCAAGAAGATCCCTTGAGCCCAGGAGATCGAGGCTGCAGTGAGCCATGATCATGCCACTGCACTCCAGCCTGGGAGACAGAGTGAGACTGTCTCAAAAAAAAAAAGAAAGAAAGAGAAAGAAAGAAAAGAAAGAGAGAGAGAGAGGAAAGAAAGAAAGAAAGAAAGAAAGAAAGAAAGAAAGAAAGAAAGAAAGAAAGAAAGAAAGAAAGAAAATACTCCTTAGCTAATAATCAGGGAAATGTAAATAATGAGACATTTTTCACCCATTATATTGGCAAAATATTAAAATGATTGGTTAATATCGAGTCCGGGTAAGAATTTAGGGAAATGCTAATTCTTACTCACTGCTAGTGGAGGTATAAACTGAAATAGTCGTTCTACGTGGCAATTTGTCATTTGACATTATGTATTAGAATTTCAAAATGTGCTATCTTTGGGCAGAGAATAGTGGCTCACGCCTGTAATCCAAGCACTTTGGTAAGCCGAGGCAGGAGGATCACTTGAGCCAAGGAGTTTGAGACCAGCCTGAGCAACGTAGTGATACCTCATCTCTACAAAAAATACAAAAATTAGCCAGGCGTGATAGCACACGCCTATAGTCCCAGTTACTCGAGGGAAGACTGAAGTGGGATGATTGCTTGAGGTGGGAGGATCGCTTGAGCCTTGGAGGTCAAGGCTGCAGTAAGCCCTAATCGCACCAGTGCACTCCAGCCTGGGTGACAGTGAGACACTATCTTAAAAAAAAAAAATGTGTGCTACCTTTATCCAACTATTTCATTTCTCCATGTTTATCTCACAGAAATATTTTAGCATCTGCAGAAAAAAGCATGTACAAGGAATTTTATTGCAGCATTGTTAACAGTAAAAAAAAAACCCCACTGTAATAGTCAAAGATTGAAAATAACATGTGTTTATCCATAGATGAATGATTACAGTATATTCATTCAATGGAATACTATGCAGTAGGTAAGATAAATGAGGTAGATTTATATATATTGACATGGAAAGATCTTCAAGCTACATTAAGTGAATAAAGCAATTAACATAACAATACATAAAAAGGATGCTATTTATTTTTTAAATGAAAAACAAAAACAAAGCCATGCTTTTCTATTTGTGTATATGAATGTAAGGGGAACTTTAAATTTATCCGTGTTTTACAATAATCATGTGTAATTAGGAAACCAATTTTAAAATGAAAAAAGAACAACCGAAGTTAATTACATGCTAAAGAAAGTATAGCTTCATGTTGCCACTAAATGTTACAGATGGGCCGGGTCTTTCGCCTGTAATCCCAGCGCTTTGGGAGGCCGAGGCGGGTGAACTGCTTGAGCCTAAGAGTTTGAGACCAGCCTGGCAACATAGTGAGACCCCGCCTCTACAAAAAATAAAAAGTTATCCAGGCGTGGTGGCGCATACCTGGAGGCCCAGCTACTTGGGAGACTGTAGGCAGGCAGGAGGATCCTTGAGCCCAGGAGGTCGAGGCTGCAGTGAGTCGTGACCGTGCCACTGCACTTCACCCTGGGTGACAGAGTGATGCTTTGTCTCAAAAAAAAAAAATTGTAAAAATATTCAATGAAACAGTGTATCTCGAAGGGGCCCTGTACATCTCCTGAGATCATATACAAAATTTTATGTGTAAGTATATATTGGGGTGGGGGACCCATTCATTAGATTCTCAATTCGAGGGATGAACCACTGCTCTGGAGGGCTGGAATTAGAGAAGTGGAGGGTATAATCACAGTTTTTATTTCCTCGATGTCTCAGGAGTTCTTTTAATAGTGCTTTTGTCTTTAAATACTAAATTAATACATACTTTTTATTAAAAATTGAAACCTTATCGAAGTAGCTAGAGTTCCAAGTCAAAGTTCTTCGCCCCTCCAATGTCGTCCGCAGCCCACAATAATTAAGTAGGGTTAACAGGTGATCTCCCACCAGGTCCTTTTTATTCCCATGTATTTACAGATGCAGATCCTCTACAGGATCCTTGTCAATCGCACTGCCGTTCCAAATAATTAAAGGAGGAAAAAAGAATGTTTATTGAGGGCTTACTATGTGCCTGAAGTGTTTTAAGGGTTTGCTCGCGTGAACTCTGGGTGGTCGGCTTCCCACGTCGTCTCCCACCCTCCGCTCTGGGTCCAGCCTTGCCCTCTTGCCCCACACTCCCCATTCTTCACAAGGCATCTGGCGAGGTCGTTAATTTTTAAAGGTAAATCAGATCAAATCATGTTCCCTTCCGCGGCTTCCACCGTGCCTCGAATCAAATCCCAATTCTTAGCGACCCTATCATCCTCTATGGTTGCATTTACTGGGCCTTGGGTAGCTCAGGCGCGGTCCCCTGCAAGGGACCCGACTTCACCGCGGAGGGAGCTCCCTCCCGAGGGGCAGGGGCGGGGCTTCGCTTGCGGTGGGTGGAGCCCCAAATCGAGTTTGAGCTGAGCCGAAGCGAGGAGGCTTTCGACTGAGGGCTAGCGAGGGGAGCAGGGCTGGAGCAGGGCTGGAGCAGGGCTGGAGCAGGGCTGAAGCAGGGCTGAAGCAGGGCCGCGGACCCCGCACGCTCCTGCGGGCCCCGCGGAGCCATTGCGGCCGAGGTGAGCGTCTATCCCTGGGCTGGAGGGCGAGCTCTGTACGCGCGGCCGTTCTCGGTTTCTCGCGGGTGGCAGTGGCGAGGTTGGGGGGGGAGTTCCCACGGGACCCTGCGCGGAGGCGCGGAGGTGGCGGCCTTGGGGAGCCTGCGGGAAAGGCTGCTGGAGGGGCAGGGCGGCCTGCCCCAACCCTCCCTGAACCCCGCCTCCTCTCCCCTCCCCCAGGCCTCGGCAGGCGCCAGCGGAGAGCTAGCCGCATCTTCGGGGGCAGCCCGGCAGCTGCCGGCGGCGCGGCGAGAGAGCGGCTGACAGAGGGGATGCGAGGTACCGGCATTAGCCATGGCCAAGTGGCCCTAAAGAGAGAGTAGAGGCCGGGCCTTCAGCGTTTCTCACTGGTTCGAGGAAGGCGGCCTCAGAGGAGAGGGAAGGTGAGGGGCGGGCAGGCAGGCTTCGCGGGTAACTACTAGGCGTTGCATATATATGTTTTGATATCTAAATGGTACTACACACACACACACATTCATTTCGACTAACTGCTTGTTTAAAAATCTGAGAATATGTCTTGTAGATCTTCTTATATCCGGGAATCCAAATTTATGTTGGGTTTTAAACAGCTGCATTGTATGATTGTACTACAGTTTATTTAACCATTTCCCGATTGATATACATTAGCTTGTTTCTCTGTTGGGGGAGGGAGGGGACTATTACAAGCAATGCCATAATGAATGGGTTTGTGTATATGTATCATGCCATGTATGAGTATTTCTGTAGGAGAAATTCTTAGAAGAGTAACCGCTGGGTCAGGGTGTATATGCATTTTGAATTTTGATAGATTTGTCCAAATTGCCTTCCCAAAAGCCTGTACTAATTTACACTCTTTAATGTTGTGCGAGAGTGCCTATTTTTCCACAGTTATGCCAACACGTATTATCAATCTTTGTAATTTTAGCCAATTTAAAGGGCAAAAAAATCGTATGTCATTGTTTTCATTTGCATTTCCCTGATTACTGGCGAAATTGATCATATTTTTGTTTGTAAATAGGCAAATATCAATAGTTTATATAGGCAGTTTTCCTATCTATAAGCAATAAGCATTTTGAAATTTTAATAATAAAAAACCTGTTCGCAATAGCAAGAGAAACGAATAAAAATACCTAGAAGTAAACTATAAAACTTTATTGACGAATACCATAAAAGAACATCTGCATGAAAAGAGAAGGAATACTATGCTTCTGAATAAGAAGGCTCAATATTTTAGTGATGTCCATTTTTCCTATATTGGTTTATACAGTTGATGCAATTTCAATAAATATACCAAGTTTTTTTGGAACTTACTATGATTCTAAAGTTCATCCGGGGGAAAAAAATGGCTAAGAATAACTGAAAAAAAATATTTTAAAACGTAAGTAAAGATAGGGATATTTGTACTACTGGCTATTAAAATGTACTCTAAAGGAACTATTTAAATTAGAACGGACAGAACAATGCATTAGAATGGAAAAGCCCACAAATCAAGCCAGATTGGATCCCAAGATTTATTGGAGAAACACTGTTGGCTAGACGTGGAAAAACTGCCATATTAAAAGCTTCAGGCATTTCCCCCCATCCCCGAAGCTTGAATATTCCTTTGAGGGCAGACTCCTTTGTTTGGAGAAAACCACTTTATTGGATCTTTTTGGTTATGCCAAGGTAAAGCTTCAGTAGTTAAAATTGGTGGCTTTGGAACTAGAACTAATGATATGGCCTTTAGTTAGATTAAGATGGATTCAGGTTAGCCTGCAGTGCGGCGAGGGAAGGAGTCTGGATAATGTAGGTTTAAAAATTTTTTTCCCTATCTAATGGGCAAAAAATGTTATGTCATTGTTTTCATTTGCATTTGTGTGCTTACTGTGAGATTGAACGTCTTTTAAATGTTAGTCCAGGATAATATGTTATTCCTGGAGACAGGTAACAATGGGGGACTCTTTGCTCCGCTTCCAGAATGGAGTTTGGCTAATTGGTACAGCCTTGCCCGGAAGCGTGAGAATAAACAGGTTGACTTTTTAAATTTTCCTCAAGCACTAGGCTCTAGACACCTAGATCGGGGGCGGAGGCAGTTTTCAGGACATGGCCGAGATTTGGCGCTGAGCTGTGTCATCGCGAGGTTTGGCAGCCAGCTCCGCAGTGGGTCGGAAACCTCGTGGTAGGCGAGATCCCTGCAGGACGGGAGGGTTCCTCCCTTCCCCCGAAAAACTCCCAGTCATTTTCATGAAGCTCCGCCTTTCTCCTTTTTAGGAGTGTGCACCAGGTCTCGCGATATCTCATGTTTCCTAAAGGCGAGGCGCGGGCGGCATCCTGCGGTGAATTAAGAAGGTCTCGCCGAGGCTAAAGCGTAATATCGCGATAGTTCTCAACGCATGCGGGAGCCGGCCGTGGTAGGTTGGCTCCGCCCCTCACTGCTTCGTTAGGTTGTGCGTCATTTGCTTTTCGCTTCGCGTAGGGTGAAGCTGTAGCTACTTCGGCTTTGGTGGGAGGGAGGAGGGGTCTGGAAAGGGCTGGGCTCAGGCTTTTCCCGTCCGGTAGAGGTTCTCGCGGGATCGCGCGGAGGCGGCGGTGGCTCGGTTACTGACTGCAGTAGCCGCGGAGGCGGCGGCAAGGTCTTCGGCTCGTGCCGTTCTAAGCCGGAGAATTCTCGCGGGAGCAGGGTTACGTCCTCGTGGGATTCGTTGGCGGTGGCTGAGGTAGCTCGCGGGTGGGGGGTGGGGGGGCAGTGACTAGGGTCGGTCCGCCTGCTGTTAAGATGGCGGCGGAGGCTGATGTCTGTCCGGCCAGGACCCAGCACAGAGGTGTTGGCTATCTGCCTTTATGACGCCTCTGAGGTGCCCAGCGTTAAGGAGGTGACGATTGGCGAAACGCCGGGGTGCCGGTAAACTAGACCTGAGGCGAAGACCACCTCGTTTCTTGTCCGTTGAGGCGACACCATTTCCTGGGCCTCGGCCGCGTGTGGGCCCGCCTTTGCCCCACCGATCGGTCAACGCCTCCGTTGTCGCCGCCGCAGTGGGCGGATTGGGAAGGGTGGGAGGGGAGTCTGGAGTTCGCTGGGGAGTGGGGTTGGGGGTTAAATTGAACGGTGGGAAAGAGGAGCAACCAATGAAGAGTGGCCCCTTTCCCCTACCTTTTCTGCCGGCCAACCTCCGTTCTCAGCACCTCCGACGACCCGGATGAATACCCTGGTTTTTCTCGAGGTGGGGTCATCTTCGCCAACTCTCGCGGTTTTAGAGCTAAGGCTTAGGGTTCAAGCAGTAGTGTCACTGGTGTACTCCTCCTCCTCTCCCCACACCCCTCCTAATTCTGTCGTCCCATCTAATCTTCATCTACGTGGATAGTTGAGGCTGGTATTTAAGGGAGGGGGGAGTCAAAGCTTTTCCCTGTGACTCCTTCCCCAGTTCTAAATTCGAGTTTAGCCTAAGTCCTCTAGCCCGCTCTGTCTCCCCCTTCCATTGGTCCCCTTGGCGCAGGCGTTGAATAGAGCTTATCCTGTTGCCTGCATTTACTCCATCTTTGTGGATGGTGCCATAGTAGCCTTCCATTTCCTCAAGTCTTCATGTTTGTATGACTCTGATCCGGATTTCTTAGCTCTGCATGCTGCTAAACCACTATTAAGCGAAACTATGAACGGGTCGGTGTTTGGATATTGCAGTTTAAGTGGCCTTTTCGTTTACGGCCATTAGCCTTGCCTTCCTCATTCCTCCCCCTCAGAAGGCTGTAGAGGATAACTCTCCAGTAAACCCGCTTTCTGTCTTCCCTGCCTCTTCCATTTCCCCTGCAAGCCTGGGAACCGCCCCTTTTCCCTGCCTTGCTCTGAGTTTCTGGAGCCTCTTGGTCTGTGGACATCTATTTTTGCTGCTGAGCACCTCTTACCTGCTTCTCACTTCTTAATCTTTCTATCCCCCACTCCCCATACTCCTTTTCCAGGAGCTGAATCCCTTAGAAGGAAGATAACCCTCCTCTCAGGCTCCACTACATTTTACCCCTTCCATTTACTAGAAAACAGCATTGATTGTCCTGCCCCCCAGTCTGCCCTGTTCTTTATTTCCTCTTCCCCCCATGCCACCGTTACTATAGGCAGTTAATTCCCTATCATTTGTTTCTCCTTTGTAGATTACATGTTCAGCATTGTTTTCTTTTAGCCCCAGTGTTGCATAGATTGAGGAGATACCAACATTCCCCAGTCATAGGCGGCGGTCTGGTATGGTGAAATTAATAGTGTGTGTTTTGGGTGTGTTTTGGGTTCACATTGAACCTTGTGACCTTGGGCAAATTTTCAGATTCTCAGTTCATCTATATAATGGGAATAGTTGTGCTTACATTAGAGGATTGTTGCTAGAATTAGTTAAAATAAAATAAAATAAAATGTTTAGCTCATGGTAGGCACATAATAAATTAGGATTACTTTTTGGTGTAAGAATGCATTGGTAGATGTACCTGTGTCATATGCTAATTTTATGACCTGGGAAAGAGTAAGAGATTTTTGTTTCTTTAACTGTACATTCTTGGTGTATTTCTAGGCCAGATCTATAACGTTTATATTTTTTTTCCTCATAGGCCAAACTTTTTATCTCCAGTGGTTCATGATGTTTGAACGTGATTCCCACTCTTTGTTTCCTTCTAATGGTCTAGGAATTTCAGTGCGTAATCACTATCCTGGAATGACCACCAGCCATAATGTTCCTGTCAAGAACCACACCCAAGTGTTCTACCTTTTGGAAGGGGTGCCTCATGCCCTGCCTACTCATTTCTTCCACTCCTTCAAAGGCAGTCTGTCCTGTCATTCACTCTACAAAAGTAATTTGGTGTCATGCATTTCACAGTGGTAAAAGGAACTTCTGTTAGCTAGTTTTGAAGTATTCATGCTACTTTTCACCTCCCTCATTTGTTTGGTTCCTCAGATCAGTGTGGGGATCTGCTATTTGGCATCTTCTTACCTGAGCAAGATAATTCCTGTCCGAGAGAGAAAGATCATTTGGAATACCCAGCTTCTTTTCCATAGCAAATTACTGCTGGCTCTTTAATACACTACTTCCTGTTGTGTTATTGCCATTTTATATTTTCTAACGTACTTATTAAACAGATGTGACTATTTGACTTGGAGAAAGTTTTCCTTACTTTTTTTTTTTTTTTTTTAAGATGGAGTCTTGCTCTCGCCAGGCTGGAGTGCAGTGGCGCGATCTCGGCTCACTGCAACCTCCGCCTCCTGGGTTCAAGCGATTTACCTGCCTCAGCCTCCCGAGTAGCTGGGACTACAGGCGCGCGCCACCATGCCCAGCTAATTTTTGTATTTTTAGTAAAGACGGAGTTTCACCACGTTGGCCAGGATGGTCTCGATCTCCTGACCTCGTGATCCGCCCGCCTCGGCCTCCCAAAGTGCTGAGATTACAGGCTTCCTTACTGTTAATATATTGATTAGACCAATATTAAAGTGTAGCATTTTACAATTTTTTTTTTAACTAATTCTAGCAACAACCCTTTAATACAAGCACAACTATCCCCATTATTTTACTTCGGCTGGGTGATGGGAATTGAAGTAGAAACGTGGTGAAAAGTTTACTAGGATTTAAAATTTACAGGAGGTAACCATCCCACAATTAGCTGTATGTGGACTCTAGTTTCGAACTTCAGTTCGAAATAAACTGCTTTATTTAATTTGAAGTGCTTTGTAGGTAATAAAATTTTCTTCCATTTTCATTGGAGGGCAGGAAATCACTTTCTGTTTTGAGATTTTGCATTGGTGCATTTTACCGTGGGTTAAGCAGTGATCACAAATTTATTAAACCTCAATTTCAATTTGACCCTTATTGAGCAATAGAATAAATCTGGGAATGATAATCTAGGTGTGACCTAAAAGTTTAACTTATTCTAGGTAGATCTCTGAGAAGAGAGGAAGGAGTGACAATACCAAATAAAAACTTTGTCTAAGGTTCAATGGCAAAGTTCAACCTGAGTTGCCAGGATGTTTATCGTTTGTCTCCCAATATGGCCAAAAAGCATGTATGAAGGTGAAGAATAATTTTTATATGTACAGTTGTTGTTTTTTTTCACAGAAACAATGAAACAAATACGTCCTTAGTGTTTATATTGAGGGTATAAACTTGTCTAAAAAATAAACTGTCTTCTATAATTTCATTTGGGTTGAGAACTCAGTTTTCAGGAATGTTGTCTAAGCGTTAGAAGTATTAGAGTTGTTGGTTCTGAATTCCTCAGTTACTTCTCAAAGCAGGTCCTAAAAAATGCAAATAGATATGTAAGGACTATTGCTTTAGAAATAATAACTAGTTATGTTTGAACATAATAGAATGGTTAACCCTCCTCACACACCCTAATAAATGTGTTGTGTATCTCACTCCTCTCCCCCAACTTTTTTTTTGTAGGTCCTCCAGCAGCCTGACCTGAGTGGGTTAGTGATCCAGAGAAACCAGCAGGCCAACTTGGTCAGGAAGGTTCGGGAAGCTGTTGGAGCAGTGTGGGGAATTTCCCACCAGGATGAGTATGATTGGCTGTGATTTTAGGTTAGTTTTTGTAAATCTTGTGGGAAGTATTTGTATTTTACTTCCTGGAATGGAGATAGTAGGGGTGGATGTATTCCCATTCTGTAATGGAGCTACTTTGGTTTCTTCCATTCTCTGGATCTGATGTGGTACTGGTTGCTTCTTTTTTTAAAGTGGAGCTCATTACTGAATTAAAGGGAATTGTTTAAATGAATGATGTCTGTACATGATTTTTTAAATCACCCTAGGCATCGTTCAAAAAATAAAATTGCAAGTCATTATGTCTAACCAGTTCTTATTAAAGTTACGAAAAATTTCAAACATGCAAACATTGAATAGTATAATAATCCCCCCACTTACCCATCACCAGCTTTAATAGTATCAACTTGCACATTCTATTTCATCTATACTTCTGTTTGTTTGGTTTTTTTTAATTTTTTTAAATTGAGATGGGGTTTCATCGTGTTGCCTAGACTGGTCACAAACTCCTGGGCTCAAGCCATCCTCCCTTCTTGGCCTCCCAAAGTGTTGGGATTACAGGCGTGAGCCACCAGGCCCAGCCTGTTTCATCTATACTTCTAACCACTGCCCCCCTCAATGGATTATATTGGAATAAATCCCTGTCATATTTATTTGTAAAATACTTGTTTGTATTTCTAAAAGGCAAGGGCTCTTTAAATATAAGATCAAAACTATTATCACAACTGAAAAAATTAACAGATATTTAAAAATATCAAATATAAAATGTTCAGATTTCTGATTTTTTTTTAAGCTTTGTTTTTTTTCTTTTACAGTTTGTTTGAATCAGGATCCTGAGAAAGCACATTTATTGCAAAGCATTGATACAGCTGTTAAATCTATTTTAATCTGCAGGTTCTGTCTTTTGTTTTTTTTTTCTTCCAATTTATTTGTTGAAGAAATTGTCCTATATATAGTTTCCCGCCCCCCATATTTGGGGATTACAGCCCAGTAGTGGTGTCTAACCCATTCTTGCTCAATTAAAGACCCTGGAGGACCCATTATAATGGAACAATGGCTATAATCTCCTGTATCCTAGTTGGAGTTGATAGTGCTGTCATAGGCACTATCCTAAAATAACTAGTCATGGATTCCTTTTTCTGTGGCAAAGTCTGATTTGATACCTGACTTCAGTTCCATGTCTTGGCCTTGCTCATTGCTCCACATGAAAAGTAGGCCTCCTGGTGGAAGAAGCTAGTGTTTCCTAATGACCTGATTGTGCCTTTGGGGTTTTTCATGCATGGTTTCAATTTCCTTAGGTGATTTAGTTATTTTTATACTACTTTATAATGTTGCTTTTTATTCTTTTGATGTTAGTGTCTCAGCTGTTCTGACCCATAACTTCTAAGCTATTAAGACCTAATAATGAGTTCCTGGCTGTCATACAGTTCTTGAAATGGCAATACTAAAACAGTTTTTGAGAGCTTCTACTTACATGTTGATTTTCAGCTATTATACACAACCTTAGTTTTCCTACTGTGATTTTTCATTTCATTTCATCTGAAATTTATGTTTCCTTAGCATAAAGTCCTTTAAGGACTTTTAGGCTGCTTTATGATGATCTCACTATCTATAAGGTTGATATTCATAAGTACTTGGGCTTTTGGTGTTTTGCTGTATTATTCGTTGTTTCCTCAACGACTGGTTACTAGATGTTTATATATGTTAATGTCAGGAATAACTCAACTTTTAAGTCGTTTGATGTTTCATAGGTGGTGTTGTTAAAACTTGATGTACTTGTTGACCAGCTTGGTCTTCTGGATATAGAAATCCTTTCAGGTAGTGAAGAAGTGGCTCTATGAGTAAAACAACTGTAGGTTTTGTTTGGGCTGTTAACCTGAGCATTTTCAACTTTTAAGTTCTCTTTAAAAGTTTTTAGTCATTTGGCTTTAAAAATTACAGTTGGTGGCATAGAATGATCCCATAATGTGATTTTACAGAAAGTTGGAATGTTTTAATTTATTATGAATGTACCATTACGTGGAGATTGGGATTGTAGATCTGATTCAGTCTGGATTGCTGATTGAACTAGATGAATGTTAAAATTCTTCAACTCTGAGATTCTGATGGTATAATCTTAGGTATTGAAAGACAGCAGTTTTTCCTTTCAGTAGTCATTAAGTAAATGGTGACTAAAAGTAGGGAGATGAATTATTCTGGAATGACCTTTCACTATAACCATTTAGATTTAAAAGATTGATGAGTCTGAGGATACTGTCATGAATTTATGTACCACCTTTAGCACAATCCAGGTTTTAGGTCCTTGTGATTAGATATCAGAGATAATTGCCCCAGAAGTGCGTGGGTATATTACATTTGGTGGCTGTTAATGTTTTGGAATGATTTTGGAAGATTACTTTGGGTACATTATTTGCTATGATTATTTTCTTATATTCCTGTCTATTTTATAGTGAGGCATGTTTCTCCTGGTCTTTGCTTTTTTTTTTTTTTTTTTTAAACTTCCAATATTCTTTATTACGGCATTCTGACAATTGAGTTCTTACAGGTGGAAAGACCTTTCAGCACAGCGATTAAGAACATGGACTCTGGAGCTAGATTCACAGAGTTCAAGTTCTGACTCCCATTTCTTACCAGGTGTGTCATGTTGTGCAAATTACTTAACTGCTTTGTGCCACACGGTCCTTCATCTGTAAAATGATGATAATACTGCCTGCCTTATAGAGTTCTGAAGAAATTTAGCTGAGTTAATGCATATAAAGTGCTTAGAACAATGGTTCTGAAACTTTAGGGAACATCAGAATCACCTAGAGGACTTCCTAAAAGATTGGCTGGTCCCCACTCCCAGAGTTTCTGATTCTGTAGATCTAGGAGGGGCCCCAGATTTTGCATTTCTGATAAGTTCCCAGGTGATACTTCTCTATTTCCTGCAAATTGGCAGCTGGATCCAGAGACTTGATAAATTTCAGGTTCGTTCCCTTTGGCAAATATATTGCGGGGGGGTGGGGTGGGGGGGTGTTCATTCACAACATTGATTATGTTACGATGACTTGAATTTTTTGGATCCATTAATTTGTTGGGGGGCTACAAAATGGTGACGTTCTGATGCTATCATTTTGTTTTCATCTGTTAGCTGGAATAATTTTGTTTCCCCTCATCTTTTATTTGGTTACTCAGCAATATAGTTTATATAGGAAGAGCAGGATAAATACTCAATTTTTTAAAACATTGCTTTCAAGATGATGAATTGGTCCCCTGTCATCTTCAAAAGGTTACACATATAAGTGTATATATAACTATGCATCCATAGATGTAAACATTTGATGGGTTTCAATACATTGCAGTTCTGATCCTTAGCGAAGTTCAAATTGCCCTTCTTGTGGCTAGTGGAACTCTCTTAAAGTTGGCTCCTGATTCTTACTGACATGCTCTCTAGTAGTCTTTGATAGCTTCCTTGCTATCTGGTATGTCAAGATGTTTCCAGGCGCATTCTTGTGCATTTCTGCCCCAGACCTGGAATTAGCTAATGGGATTAAGATAAAAGGTGAAGTCAAAAGAAATTCTGTTTTTGCCAAGGGTAGCTTGGAACTTTCTATCAAGTTCCACTTTTCTCTTTCCACTTAACCTCCCTAGCCTGCCTCTTCATTCTTCTCTACCTTTTTATTAGAGTTAAGGTGGAAAGGTTTGAGAAGCCTTGATAATCATAGGAAGATCATGGAGCCCAGGCAGTTCCGGATTTGGGGCCTGGCCACTTACTAGGTCTGTCAGTTTGGGCAAGTTAACCTATATCAGTTATGATGTGGGGGGAAATACCTTATTCATATGGTTATTGGAATTAAAGAGAAAATGTAAGGTGTTAGTACATGGTAGGTGATCAGTAGATGGTAATTTATTTAATGTACTATTTTACTTAACTCCTTCAACAGCTCAGAGGTGGGCAGTCAGGGTGGTGAAAATAATGGCCATTTAACAAAATGTGTCTGGACCCTTTAGGTCTGTGTGGGATCATCAGTGGTGAGGCAGGATAGGGTTTGTTCTTGAGTTATTTTGGGTCTGAGACTTTGGCCAGTGATAACTGAATGTTCCATAGAGTAGTTTTTCACTTTGGAACTCCTTAGGAGTCACATTTATACCCTCTGAAGGGTCTTAGCTAGTTCTGTAATGTGTATTACATTGGTTACCTTGATCTCTCTCCGTCTATACTGGCCCCTCCTATTCAAGGTGTTCAAGGTTCTGTTGTAACCTTAGTAACCTATAATAAGTATTCCTAATAGTCATCAGTATCACCACTGTTAACACATTTGGGCAGCACCATGCATGGCAGGTCAGCAAACAGGTAAATCTTATTTTTTTAAACATTACACATAATATCTAAAGTATAGTTTGTGGCATGTAATAAGTGCTGCTGAATAAATGGAAGTCATTGTTCAGTTTTTAGCTTAATATATCTTTTTTTTTCTTTTAACATAACATTTACTGAATGTTGCTAAGTATAAGGAGTAAGGGACATAAAATGAATGAGACTTGGTCTCTGCCCTTGAGAAACTCACAGTCGAGTTAAGGACTGTGAAATCATGTTTAAAGTTCCTTAGCCTTTTCCTTTGTGTCATCATTTCTTCCCCTGCACTGTCTATGCATGATATAGCCTGTCCATTGTTTCTCACAGCTTTCCTAATTCTGTGTGCCTCCCCAGCCTTTGAGACTGCTGATATGTGAGAAAGCCAACAATTGTCTTCTATTAATACAGGGTAATATCAAGAAAAACCTTTGGGCCAATATTGGATTTCAGAGTGGCATGTGCAGTTGACATTACAATACCAGTTTATGGTCTTTAGATGGGCCTGTACACCTGGGCTCCAGCCTCTTTCCTGTGCCTTTAAACTGCCTTACTTCCATCTTTCCTCCCCTATACCCTACCCTTAATGTACTTGGTACATAAAAATAGAGGCTCCCATACCCAGGTAGTGATCAAGTACAATGTAAAGAAACAGCTGTACTTCATATAAACTAGGATTCGAGTGGGCCTAGGGTATATCACTAAATTTCCATTCTTATCTATAAAACAGTAATCGGAAAGCCTATTTCATAGGTTGCTGTGAGCATTAAAGCGAGATGATGTATTTTTAAATGCTTGTAAAGTACGAAGATAAGGTCATTATAATTTATATAAAATACTTAGTAGCTATGTTACTTGGGGCAAATTACCTCATCACTGAGCCAGTTTCCTCATCCTTTAAATGAAGATGGTGATATTCATTTAACAAATATTTATTGAGGACGTAGTCATTGCAGCTACATCCTGGGAATACAAAGATAAGTGACTGGAGAATGTAGGACAGTGTGGTCTAGGGGAAGGAGACTTGCAAATCACACAAAAGGGTCAGTATGGTAATATGAGGAATGAACAAAATGTGCTATAGCAGTTTACAAGAAGGCATCAGAGAATGTCACAGAGTTTTGTTAGGGTTAAGCAAGATAAATGAAAAGTACTTCATGAATTCAAAAATGCTATACAAATAAGTTAGTTAAACGTACCCCAAATGAATCAATAGTCTCAAACCATTATTGTTTCATTTCTTCACAAGACTTACTCTTTAGATGCATTTATTTCTTTGAGCTAGATTTTATGACCTCCTTAAGGGTAACCTGTAGTAGAGTATCCTGAAAGTTAATGCTTTTGTCTAAAAGGATTTTTTTCATCCATTTTATCATTTTCTAGTTTTTAATCACTGAATTCAGGAAAAACTAGAAAATGTGTGCATATTTGGGGAGAGGATATACATAATTCCACCACAATGTTTAGTCACTGTTAACATTTTGGTGTATTCACATCTTAATGATAAGGGTAGTGTTTAAGGAATAAGAAAAGAAATCTAGTAGGAAATTTTAAGGATAGGCATTTCCCAGAATAGGAAACTAAAAACGTCCACTAACAAGAAATGGTACTCAAACTAATAATCAGAAATGCAAATTTAAATAAGGTCATTTTTAGTCATTAGATTGATAAAAAATAATTTGATAATATCAAGTCATCGTAAAAGGTATAAGGAAGAGTCTGGCCTTATAATACTGCCTACAAGTGGCGTAAATTGATACAGCTATTTTGGAGGCAATTTTGGCAAGTTGCAAGAGAGTACATACTATGTGATGCTATTTATGTTTTAAAAAAAACCATGGCAAACTGACAACTTTATTTGGGAGGAGGGATCGTGGGGAACTTTACCTTTTTCTGTAATATGTGCATTTCTACTTCTGAAAAATATACTGAGAAGTACAGAGAATAATACAACAATCCCTGTCCCTACCCCCACTCCAGAATTGATCATTTTTAACATTTATTTTTGCCTTACATTTTTTTGTGGAGTTGGAAGTAACACAAGTTGAGTGTCCCTAATCCAAAATTCAAAATGCCCCAAAATGAGTTTCAACACGATGCCACAAGTGGAAAATTCTACGCCTAAGTACTTAACACTTTGTTTCATGAGCAGAATTATTAAAAATATTGTATAGGGTACAACGAACATTATTTGGGTGATGGTTACACTAAATGTCTAGACTTCACTACTGCACAATATACCCATGTAACAGAACTGTACTTGTGCCACCTAAATTTATACGAGAAATTGTGTAAAATTACCTTCAGGCTGTATGTATAAGGTGTGTATGGAACATGAATGGATTTCATGTTTAAACTTGAGCCGCATCCTCAAGATGTCTCATGATGTATAGGCAGATATTCAAGAATCTGAAATCTGAAATCCTGCTGGTCCCAAGCACTGGATAGGAGATACTTAACCTGTATAGGTAAACAGGAGATACTTTTTTAATACCCAGCATTCCCTTCCCCCCTTACAATCAGTACAATGAATTGCTTGAATTTTTCTACTGTGAGAATGGTATAAATTATGAATGTAAGTAAAAGTTCAAAACCGATGTGGTGGCCACACAAAAACCTATTATTAAATAATATTAAATTTGTACAGTATTTTAGAGTTTGTAAGAAGCATTCTGATTTTAGTAAGAATGCTTTGGGAATAGAACTTTTTTTCGTTTGCTCATTTTCTTGTTAACTCTTGTTTGAAAACGTTTTCCTGAATTTGTTTTTAAGTAATCTTCATGACTGTAGAATTATACATGGCTTATTGTTGAAAAATACAGATAAACAGACAAATTTCCGCAAACCCCAAACTCACAGATAAAATACTCTTAACATTTTGGTATGCAGTATCTTCTTCGAAGGCTTTTCTTAACTGCTCTGTAGCCATATTATATATTTTTTCAGAAATGCTCTTTTTAAAATGTAATTCATTACCTCCCTTCCAGCTTTCAATTTTGTATGAAAAATTTCAAACAAAAATGCTGAAAACATAGCACAATGAACATCTGTATACCATCAGCTGGATCCAACAATTAAGTATTTGCCATATTAGATTTATATGTACAGATGTGTGTTTAATTTTTCTCAACATTAGAAGTAAGGATGACACTTTATCCTTAAATCTTTCAGCTGCATGTCTTAAGAATGAGGACATCTCAGCCGGGCGCAGTGGCTCACACCTGTAATCTGAGCACTTTGGGAGGCCAAGGTGGGTGGATCATTTGAGGTCAGGAGTTCGAGACCAGCCTGGCCAACATGGTGAAACCCTGCCTCTACTAAAAATAAAAAAATTAGCTGGGTGTGGTGGCACCTGTAGTCCCAGCTACTCGGGAGGCTGAGGCAGGAGAATCACTTGAACCCAGGAGGCGGAGGTTGCAGTGAGCTGAGATCACGCCACTGCATTCCAGCCTGGGCGACAGAGTGAGACTCTGTCTCAAAAAAAAAAAAAAAAGTAAGGACATCTACAAAACCACAATACCATTATCACGCCTAGGGAGTTTATTTTTTCTTAATATTATCTAATATCCGGTTCATATTCACATTTTCTCAGTTGTCCCCAAACTGTCTTTTTTTCCAAGCTGTTTTCTCCAAACTAGTGTAGAAATGGTATTTTTAACTTTGCTCTTCCCACATATTGACCCCTGTTTCATGTCTTTGTCATTATGTATACTTCTGTAGCATTTTTAATGGCTACATTGTATTCTATTGTATGCAGAATTTATTTAACCAGTTTGCTTTGTTCACACCTTTTGCTGTGTTCATACTTTTCCCTCAGGTGTCCCCAAACTGTCTTTTTTCAAGCTGTTTTCTCCAAACTAGTATAGAAATGGTATTGTTAAATTTGCTCTTCCCACGTATTGACCCGTTCCATGTCTCTGTCATTATGTATACTTCTGTAGCTTTTTTTTTTTTTTTTTTTTTTTTGAGACGGAGTCTCGCTGTCGCCCAGGTCGGAGTGCAGTGGCGCGATCTCGGCTCACTGCAGGCTCCGCCCCCCGGGGTTCACGCCATTCTCCTGCCTCAGCCTTTTGAGTAGCTGGGACTACAGGTGCCTGCCACCTCGCCCGGCTAATTTTTTTTTGTATTTTTAGTAGAGACGGGGTTTCACCGTGTTAGCCAGGATGGTCTCGATCTCCTGACCTCGTGATCCGCCCGCCTCGGCCTCCCAAAGTACTGGGATTACAGGCGTGAGCCACTGTGCCCAGCTTCTGTAGCATTTTTAATGGCTACATTGTATTTTATTGTATGCAGAATTTATTTAACCAGTTTGCTGTGTTCACACTTTTCCAGTCCCAGTTTCTCATGATTTTAAGTAATGCCTCCTAACATACAGGTAATTCAGCATTCAGTAAATAAGTGTCGAATGAAAGAAGCATAGGTACATCCTAATAGATAAATATTTATGAGATCCATATTTAATATTTTTAATTTTTTATTTCCATAGGTTTTTGGGGAACAGGTGATATTTGGTTACATGAGTAAGTTCCTTAGTGGTGATTTGTGAGATTTTGGTGCACCCATCACTGGAGCAGTATACACTGAACCCAATTTATAGTCTTTTATCCCTCACCCCTTTCCCATCCTTTCCCCCTGAGTCCCCAAAGTCCATTGCGTGACATCCATATTTATATCCTTAAGAAATTTCTACAACCGGAATGTAAAAATGTAAGGCTTTTAATACTCATTGCTAAATTGGCCTTTAGAAAGGCTAACCTTGCATTTTTCACTGTGATATGTTTAGTATATGATCCATCATGATTTACAATATTGTAGCACATCAGGATAAGCCTTGATAAATCAGAAGAGTATAAATCTGGATATAGCCAGTATCGTTGTAGATGGCTCACTGCATATATACACGTATATACATATACGTACGTACACGTATATACATAGACATATACATATCTGCTGCCATATTTTTCCAGGGGCTAGTTTGACTCTTCTACTTTGGAGGGCTTTGCAGTTTGTTAACCCAATCTGGAGTCCAGGCCCCGGCTTCTTACATTTCTTTAAATATCTTGGTGAGACCAGCCTTAAAAGGAAGTATAGTCTGGAGAGATGCAGACATCACTAGAAGATATCCTTTTACGTAGAGAATTTTAGATTTTTGCTTTTAAAAAGTAAAGACAGGCTGCTTTTATGGGTGAATTCAGATCTCTCCCTCTAGCAAATTACCAACAGCTTTAAAAGGGTAGTCTTCATGTCCAACAGAAAAGCTGGATGATACCCTATATTTCCTATTATCCATATCAAACTCCTTATTTTATAGGCCCAGTTGTAGGAGTAATAACATATCCATGGTAACATGGCTGGATAGTGGTGAAATTGAGCATCAAACCCAGGTTACCTAGTCCAGTATTGTTTTCACTATGTTTTATCTCTCCTTAAAACTGAACTTTATTTCTAAATGTGCCATCTGGTGTCATCTGTAGAAATACAAAGTAAGTGGTCCTCTTCCTATGAGAAAGTTACTCCCCAAATAGGGGAATTTTAAAGTAGAAAGTCAACGTGAGAAAGGCAAAAATCCAAAGAAAGCTCAGTTTCTTTGCCCTTTTAACCGTAGTTACTACTTTCTGACATGAGATCAACTTGGAGCTCTTTCATGGAACAGTTCGATTTGGCCATGTGTTTTCATGCATTTATGGATGCTATAAATCAGTAGATGAGACTGAATTTCCTGCTTGTAAAACTTTTTCAAATTAAAGGGCTGCTTTCTAAGTCCATCTTATTTTCCCTTCCTTTTTTCAACTGTTTTAAACTATAACATGTTTGCTATTTTTAAAAAGATTGAAACAAAATAATAGTTTACACCTTTTAGCATTATAGTTAAGTATTACTGTGTTAAGTATATACTTATGTTAAGTATTTTTATACTATGTTAAGCTTTTTATGCTGAAGTAATGGTGTGAAGTAGGTGTGTACTTTTATTTTCATCCAAATGGTTAGCCAGTAGCTCCTGTTTTTCTTCCTGGCAAAGTCTATTTGATCTTTAAAAATATTCTTAGCTTAAAAGTGAATTATTTGCAGAAGTGTAGTTTTATTTTTTAAAAACCTAGGAATTTGTGGCAAGTAGAAAACTAGCATGGTTACTTTTAGCTGTTTAGTTTTTGAAAATAATTCAGATTGTTCATGTTTAATATTTAACATTTGTCTTAGACTGAAGGCAAAGTACTACAGATAGTGCTTTAAGGGATCTTAGTTATTGTACTTCCATTTTACATCATGTTGGAAGCCCAGAATGTCATAAGGTCTTAAAGCCAGTTGGTGGCTGAGAACTAGAGTACCTTTGCATACTTCACTTTCATTTCTAGCAAGCATCTTTCATGTAATAGATATGTTTTAAAGCAGTAGATTGTTCAGAATTGTCTGGTTTATTTAAGAACATTTGAAATAACTATGTGTCAGGCTGTGTGGAGCACCATAAAATTTACTCAGACAGCCATTTTTTTCTATATGTTGGGACACCTTTGTTTTTAAAGGCTTTGTTTTACAACTTTCTTATCAGTGAACTAATTTGAGCCTCATAACAAACCTGTGAAGTTGGAATTCTTTTCAACATCCTGGAAAGAGTTTGCTGCCAGGTTGATAATTGCTATAAATAACTTGCTCTTTTAAACCATGCAAAAGAATCTTTGTCTCCATTCCTTCCAAATTCATTTGAACCAGCTCAAAACAGTTGAGACCCAGTTAAAATTTTTGATTAAGTGGCATGGCCTGCACATTATTTAGTAGACTGTTTACCTTTTGCAGAACTGTATAATTTGAGAATGAAACTGGAGCCTCCCAATCTCATTGTCATCAAAGTAGAGTTTAAGTTGTTGGTTGTCTGCAGTTATGGCTAACAGTATGGAGATTAGTATATACTGTATGTTCTCCTTCATATGCAGGTAATGTGTAGAAAGATTGAGAAGGCCAGCTCTTTTGCATATGATCAGATTTATATATCTGTATTTCTGTCTTATCAATCTGTAGAATACCTAGCATAAGGTTTCTGCCTTTAGATTAATCTGGAGCCAAAAGAAATAGAACAAATAGCAATACGGCTTACTCTTTGCTGGGCACAATCCTATGAGATAGACTTGTTTATTTTACAGAGGTGACTGGACTCAGAGATGTATGGCAACTTGTCTAAGATCACACACCTAGTAAATGGAATTTAGGCCCAGATCTGTCTGTTTCCCAGGCTTTTCCATTATGCTGTTGTCCTTTACTTCATTTTTACTTTTCTTCCAGTGGTAGTCTTCAGCCTCTACTTTTTTTTTTTTTTTTTTGAGATGGAGTCTTACTTTGTCACTCAGGCTGGAGGGCAGTGGCATGATCTCGACTCACTGCAACCTCCACCTCCCGAGTTCAAGCGATTCTTCTGCCTCGGCCTCCCGAGTAGCTGGGACTACAGGTGTGTGCCACCACGCCCAGCTAATTTTTGTATTTTTAGTAGAGACGGGGTTTCACCATGTTGGCCAGGCTGGTCTTGAACTCCTGATGTCATGATCCACCCACCTCAGCCTCCCAAAGTGCTAGGATTATAGGGGTGAGCCACCGCGCCCGGCCGGGGAGGTTTGATCTTTAGAGATGCTGCTTGTTTCTCTGCAAACCCAAGGACATGAGAGAATTGGAGCTGAATAATGCAAAAGGGGTGGAATTCTGTTTCTTTGGTATCTGGTACCATCTTTATTGTATTTGACAGTAGTCTATCATGTGGCTTTGGGAAAAAAATACCATATACCTGTGTTTCATAAATGAAAGGGAAATACAAGGGAAAACATTGTCATGGCTAGATAGACAGTGTCTTAACTTTCTTTAGGGCATTGGTTCCTAATGTTCTTCAGGTCATAGATCCTTTTAAGAAGCCAATGAAAGCTGTTGACCGTCTTCTGGGAAAAAGACCAACATATGTAAAATTTCCCACAGAATTTCAGGGTTTTTGTAGTGGTCATCCTTCAGTATAGGATGAGGAATTCTAAAGATTCCTCTACACTTGTTTTTCTCTATATGTCATTAAGATGTCTAAATTGCTATGTTGTTTGTTCTTGTATTTCTTAGTACAGGCGTCCCCGACTTAATGATGGTTCAACTTAGGATTTTTTGACTTTACGATGGTGTGAAAGCGAAACACATTTAGTAGAAAGCATACTTGAGTACCCACATAACCATTTTGTTTTCCACTTTCAGTCGATATTAAGTTACATGAGACATTGAACATTTATTATAAAACGGGCTTTGTGTTAGATGATTTTGCCCAACTATAGGCTCTAATGTAAATATTGCAAGCATGTTTAAGGTAGGCTAGGCTATGATGTTTGGTCGGTTGGGTACAGTAAGTGCATTTTTGACTTAGATATTTCCAGTTTACAATGGGTTTACTGGGATATAATCCCATCATATGTTGAAGAGCAACTGTATATATTTTTCTAGACTTATTTTTCTACACAGTGGTCAAGGGTAAGCTTGGCTAACTGTGTCACTTTTGCTTAAAGATATACTCTGTATTATGCAAATTTAATTTATCTTCTGTATTGATCTTATAATTGGTTGTGTTTTCAGCCTTTGGGCATGAGGAAGTTGTAATTCTCTTTTTTTGTGTATTGACTTCGTTGCCTTTATATTACGATTGCTTCTAATCTATTTTATTTCTGATTTTTTTCCTTATTTTCTACATTTCTGTACACCTGGCTATCTGAGTATTCATCTCAATGCCCTGCATATAGTATGTTTATAATTGTTGAATGGAAAGATGAAGGTTAAATGAATCTAAATTGTTTTTTTCAGTTCACCAAGAGTTTAATGTGACTTGGATTTTTTTTAGTTTTGTTAAGCATTTACTGGATAGTTATTCATTTATTAATCTGCTATTAATAAATGACAGTTCATATGCTGGTACAGGAATGCAAAGATAAATATGATACAGTCCCACTCTTGCAGAACTCAGCAAGCATAGTGGGGAGACTGTCAGGTAAGTAAAGAGGTGTGCTGATTGAGGATCAATATGCAGGATATAGTTGGGGCTAAATAAAGCATGTGGGGAGCTGAGGGAAATATTATGTAATATCATAGCACTGGTAAGAGAGGTAAGCAGGGACCAGGTCCTAGAGGTCTTGGATGCTGGTTTAAATAAGGAGTTTGTACTTGATGTAGGTAGGTTTTGAGTTTTAGGGAGATTGCTCTGGCAACAATGTGGAGGATAGAATGGATGGATCCAGCAGGAAAAAGTCTCACTTTAAAATAACTTCAATTTATGAGACTTTTCAAAACATATACAAAAATAGAAAAAAGCATAATGAACACCCATGTAACTGTCACCCAGCTTGAACAGTGATCAACACAGGGCTATTGTTCTATTTATACCCCGCTCCTCCCCTCTATTTTTATTAAAGCAAGTTCCTAAGTCACAGAATGGCAAAGCATATATTGAATAATAATCTAATGCCATGGCTCTCAAGGCTGGCCTGTGCTGCCAAATCACCTGTACAGCTTGAAAAAAATAATCCCCACTTCAGACCTACTGAATTAGATAGCTTTGAAATGCCTGTGTGGTCAGGCATTTTTAGTTTTCAAAATAAGTCTCGGGTGAAGTAAGTTATTTTTAAGATAATTTTAAAATAACTTCTGACAAATGAAAATACTTTCCTGAACTCATTGAATGCTGCCTGTGGCCCTTCTGGGTGAAATTCACCTATTCGATACAGGCAGGCTTTTCTTATAAATTTTTATTTATTTTTTGTAGAGACGGAGGTCTCACTCTGTGGCCCAGGCTGGTCTCGGGAAAACTCCTGGCCTCAAGTGATCCTCCCACCTCAGGCTTATCCTCCCACCTCAGGCTTCCAAAGTGCTGGGATTACAGGCATGCAGCCAGAAACTGACAATTCTTAAGGTGTAGACTAGGAATATTCCAGAGTACCAATTTAAAATGTGTAGACAAGGAGTCTGTTCCTCTCCTGCTTAATTTGCTTAACTTACACTTAGGCATTGCTGTTTTTATTTTTTGTTGAGAATACCAAGAAGGGCTCCTTAGCATGCTGTCATTTCCTCTGTATTGGTAAAATTGATAATCTGCAACTTTGGTGAGCCATGTTTGGTTGCCTAGTTCTTCTGATGCCAGTTTCTCTAAGTAATTGGGAGTATCCGGGAAGGATAACTCCCAGATCTGCAGCTTCCCCAGACTGTTTGAATAGAGGATGTGGCAGGAGATGTGTTCTCAGATACTATTCTCACGTTCAAAGTCAACATTGGAGGTTTCAGATTCCTCTTTCTTAGTATCCCTCCCTGCCCATATTTTCCTTGCTTAAGCATAACTGCAGTGCAGAGAAACACCCAGAGCCAGCATAAACTCTTAATCTGAGGTATAGTGTGTTTTCAGATTTTAAATGAGAGACTCCTTCAAGGTATTTCTGCAAATAATTTCCAGATTTGTCTTGGGTGAGTAAAGGCTATTTTTCAGTTGCTTTATTATGACACTTTACTGTCAGTGCCCAGTAAAACCTAGGTCAGCAGTTCTCAGGGCACTTGAGAGTCATGTTTTATGTGGCTAAGGATAGGGAGACTGGTGTCTGTAGGAGAGGGGCGTAGCAAGGTGGGCTGTGCATATAGACATTATGTGCAATGTAGAGTTGTGGAACAGATTTGGGTTTGAATCCACGTTTTACCACTTAATAGGTATGTGGCCACTCTCAGTAAACTGGGCACAGTCTTCATCTCCAAGGATTAAAGATAATGCACAATAGGTATAGAGTAAGTGTTAGCTATTTTTTTATGATCATAAATGTTTTTCACAATATTTGTTGAGTGGATATTAATGTATTAATAGATAATCAGAAACTAGATAGGATGGAAAGGCCTGACAATTATGTGGTGTCCCCTTTAACAAATCATAATCAGTGACACCTATTCCTCTATAATCAAATAGTGAATAGCAGGCTGGATTTCAAGATGCATCTTACTGCTTGTTGACATGAAGAATGCTCAGGGCAGCTCTCACCTGAATTTACTTTCAGAGACTATAAGGCAAAAGGAAATCGTTGCAAGGCAAAAAATAAAGTATTTTGCTTTGTGGTACTTTGGAGTTTAGTTTTCTCTAAGCATTTTTTGTTTAAGAACTGCCGTAATGCTTCCATGATTTCTATGGGGATTTTAGGCTCATTTTGATTCATCCCCACTCCCGTACTTACGTGCAACATCTCTTACCTGCTAATAATCAACCAAAGTGCCTCCTGTGTGCCAAGCTCCAAACACCAGAAGATGTAGGGAAGAAGCTCCTAGAGTAGGCAGCAGCTAATCTAAGGCATTTGTTTAGATGGTGTTCTTAATCTGGTGCATGTCCTTTGGCTCAGGGGCCAGTGTTTTCTTCCTTAAGGAAAATTTTAGGCCTGGCACAGTGGCTAACGCCTGTAATCTCAGCACTTTGGGAGGCTGAGGCCAGGAGGATTGTTTTAACTCAGGACTTCGAGACCACCCTGGACAACATGGCGAAAACCCTGTCTGTACAAGAAATATAAAAATTAGCCAGGCGTGGTAGAGTGTGCCTGTGGTCCCAGCTACTCTGGAGGCTGAGGTGAGAGGATTGCTTGAGCCTGGGAGGTTGAGGCTGCAGTGAGCCAAGATCATGCCGCTGCACTCCAGCCTAGGTGACAGAATGAGACCCTGTTTCTTTAAAAAAACAAATTACAAAAGGAAATCTGATTATAAATGGATCCATGATTTATAGGAAATTTGGAAGGATTAGAAAAGCATGAAGCATAAATAAAACTATGTGTTACCCTGCCAGCTAGAGGCAACCATTAAAGGCCAACTACTAATAATGTGTATTTCTTCCCTTCCCAGGTTTTTTTTTTTTTTTAACTTTCCCACCCTGTGGCAGACATTTTCTCATAAATAGGGAAGTGATAGGTACAGAGTACAATGTAATCACATATGGTGGGATATCCAGTCAAGATTTGAGGGGTTCGGGAGAAGATTGTCCAAATTCTGGATATCATTCTGTTCAAACCTGCATAAGTGCTTATTATATTACAGTGAAATAGAGGCTAAATGGTCCCCTACCCCCAATTTTCAAAGGGATTCTTACAGTTACTCCGTCTTTTCAAGACAGTTTGCAGCCACTTGAGAACATAAGCTAGTGTCTTTATTTACCTTTTCCTCTACATTTCAGTGACCCCATAATTCTCTGCTTCCATTTACAGCCTATATATATATTTTTTCCCCCGAGATGGAGTTTCACTCTTGTTGCCCAGACTGGAGTGCAATGGTGCAATCTCGGCTCACTGCAACCTCCGCCTCCCGGGTTTAAGCGATTCTCCTGCCTCAGCCTCCGAAGTAGCTGGGATTACAGACATGCGCCACCACACCCGGCTAATTTTTTTGTATTTAGTAGAGACGGGGTTTCACCATGTTGGTCAGGCTGGTCTCAAACTCCTGACCTTGGGTGATCCACCCGCCTCGGCCTCCCAGAGTGCTGGGATTACAGGCGTGAGCTACTGCCCCTGGCCCAACATTTTCAGAAGAGGTTTTTACACATACCATTTATGCTTTCTCACTTTCCATTGATTCCCTGACTCTAGTCTGGCTTCCATTCCCTCCATCCCACTGAAACAATTGCTTGTCAAATTGTCTCTATTACCAATTTCAGTGGACATACCTCATTTTGACATTTGATGCAGTTGATCACTCTTGCCATCTTTCGTCTCTCGTGATAGCATAATTAGCTAGTTTTGCTCTTTCCTCACTAGCCTCTCCATTGCTGGGTTTTCCTTCTTTCCTTACCTTTACACTTTTATTGTATTGTATTTTTTTTGGTAGAGATGGGGTTTCACCATGTTGCCCAGGCTGGTCTCGTTTAAGGAATCTGCCCTCAGCCTCCCAAAGTGCTAAGATTATAGGCTTGAGCCATTGTACCCGGCCCCTTCTTTGCCTTACCTTTAAATGCTAGAGCAAATAACTCAGTTGCGGGCCTCCTCCTTTCCTTCTTTGTAAGCAGTCATCTCCAGACCCATGGCTTCAAGTAATATATGTGTGCTGACAATCACAGATTTTATTCTTAATGCATACGTCTTTCCTGAACTCCATTCTACAAATATTTGCATACCTATCATGTGGAAGATACCGTGCTAGGTACTGAGAGCTTAACATCTTAGAAAATCAAACCAGTAATTACAGTTGATACTTGTTATGAAGGAAATTGGAAATAAACTGGGTGCTATAATAGAAAAATTACAGTGGGACCAACTTGAGGTGGGTTGTCATGGAAAGCCTCTCTGGGTCTTAGTTTAAATGTCAGTTCCTCAAATGGAACTAGTTGTGGGAAAGGAGGGGTGGCAAAAACATTCCAGCGGCGAACTTAGAAATTAGAGTGTTCCAAGAACTAAATGGAAAGAATAATTACACAGTTGAGGAAACAAGCATAGAGAGGTGGATTTGTCTGCGGTTATGCAGTGAGTAAGTGATATAGCAGGGATTCTAGCCCAGGTTTTCTGAGTCTGTATTCTGATCTAGTGCTTCTCAAACTTTGTTATATGGATCACCTAAGGATCTTGTTAAAATGCGGGTTCTGACTCCTCATATCTAGGTGGGGCCTGAAATTCTGCAACTTTTAATAACTCCCAGGTGATGTCAGTGCTGCTGATCCTTGGACCACACTTGATTAGTAAGGCTAGTCTTTCACTACATCCAACTGCTCTTGAGCCAGATTTGGGAACTACAGGTGTCCTGTGCCCTTAAACTGATTCAGTATTGAAAGTCATTATTTTTAAATATTATCAACTGGAGGTGATTACTATAGAATATGAGTCACGCTTTGAGTGGCTTCCCTCAGGATATTTTAGTTGTGTACACTTGTTCTGCAGGTAAACTGTACAAAACCAAGATTCAAACCTCAGGGGTGTAAGGAAAGGTTGGGGGAATAAGGAAGTGAAAAAAAATATTAGATAAAAGTATTGAAGTAATGGTAATAGATATGGATGGTGATTCATAGTAATTCACTTGTTTTCTTTTAAGTTGGCTATCTTTCTAACCTAAGTTTAGGAAGCAATGTTTATTATATATAGAGATTGCTTGGTGCCCTGAGTTCTGGTTCTGACCCAACAAAGGCAGTAGGCCATTTCTAGGAATTTGTTTCAAACTAACTTATTTTTATGGAAGGATTTTTTTTTAAATGTAATAGGGTTTTCACCTGATTAACTTCTAAGAGGTAGAACTCATTCCCCAGTTACTGTTCCTTTCATTAGTGAAATTACAGCATCTCAGCTTCTCATCTTGGGCCCTAGTTTCCTCTCTTGGAGTAATTTTTTCAAACAAATAGGATTCAGCAGTCTAGAAGAATCTGTCACAAATTTTTATTCTTATCTGCCAATATTTTGTAGTAATAAAACTGGTTTTAAAAAAAGGTGAGGCTGGGTGCCGTGGCTCACGCCTGTAATCCCAGCACTTTGGGAAGCCGAGGCGGGCGGATCACAACGTCAGGAGATCGAGACCATCCTGGCTAACACAGTGAAACTCTGTCTCTACTAAAAATACAAAAAATTAGCTGGGTGTGGTGGCGGGCGCCTGTAGTCCCAGCTACTCGGGAGGCTGAGGCAGGAGAATGGCGTGAACCCGGGAGGCGGAGCTTGCAGTGAGCCGAGATTGCGCCACTGCACTCCAGCCTGGGCGACAGAGCAAGACTCCATCTCAAAAAAAAAAAAAAAAAAGTGAATCGCATGTTATTAAAGCATGGACTTGGTAGTCAGACCTGGATTTAGATCTTGGTGCTAACATTTACTGACCAAGAAAGGTACTTTTTTTCTCTCTTACTTCAGTTTTCTATCTGTAAATAGAGGCAAAACTTGACTTGAGTGGTGAGGACTGTATGAAAAAATATCATATGAATTCCCTAGGTAGCATGTCTCAAACTGTATTCTTTGGAATACTTCAATTGGACTTTGAGTAGATGCCACTTGAGAAAATGGTTCTGTGTGCTAATAAGCCTCCTTTACCTAAGATGTCTTAGAGCCATTAATAATGTCAATTAGCTATGTGACTGCCCTAGTGGAAGAGAAATTCTGTCTATAACATTTCCCAAATTACAGGATTCTTGTCTCCCTTTATAGAGCAAGACATTCTAACACACTTTGGGGAACTCCAGTCTCAGTATTGTCTGGCTTGTAATGGACACTCAGTATACTAACGTTCCCCCCTCCCACTGTTGAAACCAGTTTTAGAAATATGAGAACACAACAACTTCTAAATTTTTAAAGTTGATGTCTCATGGACAGTGATGTCTTGGTTTTTTAAACTACAAATGTTTCTTGCAGTAGAATTATAGACACCAAGGTAGGACTGCACTTGTTATGGGAACATTTGTGTGTGTGCATTCATATTGGCTCTGTTATTTTATTGGGTGCATCAAATGCTTACACTTGGGACTTAGAGTCTAGCGCCACTCATGCAAATAACCTGAGATGATTTAGAATTATGCCACCAGCATAGTTTCTAGGCATCCAGAGTCTTGTGTTGGCAGCAGAAGTACCCCAAGCTAAGCTGTTTCCGTGGGGGGTCTGGCTGTAGTTCCAGGCTCCCTAGCTTCCTTGGTTCCTCTTAGTTTTCTGCACGTGGAGCTCTAGCCTTCTGTCAGTTCTGTGAGCTATCAGATACTCTCCAGTAAATTACTTGGCTGCATTAATTATCCAGTCTTTCTGTAGTTACAGACACTTGACTAGTATAGTACACTAGGTCAAAACAGCATTAGAGCAAGTTGCTTATTTGTTTGAAGATTCATCAGTGACTCATCTGCATTAAAAAAGTAAAATGGTTGTGATTTGCTTATTTCAGTGCATAAGTTACTCTGTGCTCTTGTTTTGGAGGATTGTTTTTTTAAAATAGACTTTATTTTTAGAGTAGTTTTACATTCCCAGCAAAATCGAGCAGAAGGTACAGAAATTTCCCATATACTGCCTGCCTCCACACAGGCATAGCCTCCCTTGTTATCAACATCTCCCACTAGAGTGGTACACTTGTTACAATTGATTAATCTACATTGATACATCATTATCACTCAAAGGCCATAGTTAACATTAGGGTTTACTCATGGTGTATACTTTTGGGGTTTAGACACATAATAACATGTGTCCACCATTGTAGTATCATACAGAGTAGTTTCACTGGCCAAAAAATCCTCTGCGCTCCACCTCTTCATTCTTCCCTCCCCACTAACCCTCCTCAACCACTGATCTTTTTACTGTCTCTATAGTTTTTTCTTTTCTAGAATGTCATGTGGTTGGAATCATACAGTATGTAGCCTTTTTGTACTGATTTCTTTCACTTACTAATATGCATTTAGGTTTCCTCCATGTTTGTTCATGGCTTGATAGCTCGTTTCTTTTTAGTACTGAATAATACTCCATTGTCTGGATGTACCACAGTTTATCCATTCACCTACCAAAGGACATTGTGGTTTCTTCCAAGTTTTGACAATAGTGAATGAAGGTACTATAAACATCCATGTGCAGGTTTTTGTGTGGACATAAGTTTTCAACTCCTTTGGGTAAATACCAGGGAGTATTGATTGCTGGGTCATGTGGTAAGAGTAGTTTTGTAAGAAATTGCTGAACTGACTTCCAAAGTGGCTGTACTATTTTGCATTCCCACCAGCAATGAATGAATGTTCCACTTGCTCCACATCCTCACAAGCATTTGGTGTTGTCAGTGTTCTGGGTTTTGGCCGTAGTGATATATCATCATGGTTTTAATTTGCATTTCCATGATGCCGTATGATGTGGAGTATCTTTTCATATGTTTATTTGCCATCTGTCTGTCTGTGGTGAGGTGTATGTTAAGGTCTTTGGCCCATTGGCCCATTTTTAAATCAGCTTGTTTTCTTACTGTTGAGTTTTAAGAGTTCTTTGTGTATCTTGGGTAACAGTCCTTTGTATGTCTTTTGCAAATATTTTCTGTCAGTCTGGCTTGTCCACTTATTCTTTTGACAGTGTCTTTTACAGAGCAGAATATTTTACATTTAGGTCTGTGATCCATTTTGACTTAATTTTTGTGAAACATGTAATTTCGGTTTAGATTTTTTTTTTCGCATGTATGTATCGAGTTGTTCCAGCACCATTTGTTGAAAAAACTATCTTTTGTCCATTATATTGACTTTGCTTCTTTGTCAAAGATCATCGGTTGACAATATTTATGTGGGTCTACTTCTGGGCTCCCTAATTCTGTTCCATTGATTTGTTCATTCTTTTACCGGTACAGTACTCTTACTTACTGTTGTCTTATGATAAGACTTGATTTTGGGTAATGTAGGTCTTCTGACTTTGTTCTTCTCCTTTGATATTGTGTTGGCTATCGTGGATCTTTTGCCTCTTCATATAAATTTTAGAATCAGTTTGTCAGTATTCATATAACTTGTTGAAATTTTAATTGGAGTTGCATTGAATCTGTGGAGTTGGAAATGACTTAACATTTTGGCAGTATTGAATCTTCCTATCCATGGACTTGGAATATCTCTCCATTTAATTGTTCTTTGATTTCTTTCATCAGAATTTTATAGTCTTCCTTGTATAGACCTTATACATATTTTGTTAGATTTATATCTAAGTTTTTCAGTTTTGGGGTGCTAATATAAATGTTTTTTATTTCAAATTCTGCTTGTTCGTTGCTGGTATATAGGAAAGCAATTGACTTTTTTTTTTTTTGAGACGGAGTCTTGCTTTGTCGCCCCAGGCTGGAGTGCAGTGGCGCCATCTCAGCTCACTGCAAGCTCAGCCTCCCAGGCTCATGCCATTCTCCTGCCTCAGCCTCCCGAGTAGTTGGGACTACAGGCGCCCGCCACCACGCCTGGCTAATTTTTTGTGTTTTTAGTAGAGACGGGGTTTCACCGTGTTAGCCAGGATGGTCTCGATCTCCTGACCTTGTGATCCGCCCGCCTCAGCCTCCCAAAGTGCTGGGATTGCAGACCTGAGCCACCGTGCCTGGCCAGCAATTGACTTTTGTATATTAACCTTATATCCTGCAAACTTGGTGCAATTGCTTGTTAGCTCCAGGGTGTTTTTCCTTATTTCAGATTTTCTGCATGTATGATCATGTCATCTCTGACAAAAAGACAGTTCTGTATCTTCCTTCCCAATCTTTATAATTTTTATTTCCTTTACTGCTTTAGCTAGGACTTTCAATACAGTGTTGGAAAGCAGTGGTAAGAGAGGACATCTTTTTCTTTTTTGAGACGGAGTCTCACTCTGTCGCCCAGGCTGGAATGCAGTGGCGCGATCTCAGCTCACTGCGATCTCTGCCTCCTGGATTCAAGCAATTCTCCTGCCTCAGCCTCCTGAGTAGCTGGGATTAAGGGGTTTTGCCATGTTGGCCAGGCTGGTCTTGAACTCCTTACCTCAAATGATCTGCCCACCTAGGCCTCCCAAAGTGTTGGGATTACAGGCATGAGCCACTGCGCCTGGCCTTTTTTGTTTGTGATTATTTAAGGGGGAATGCTCCTAGTTCCTGACCATTAAGATATTAGTTGTAGCTTTTTTTGTAGATATTTTAATCAATTTGAAGAAGTTCTCTATTCCTAGTTTACTGAGATTGTTTGACTTTTCACTGTTGAATTTTGAGAGTTCTTTATGTATTTTAGATACTATATATGGTTTGCAAATATTTTCTCCTAGTAAATTTTATTGTCCTATATTTAAGTGATTCATTTTGAGTTAATTTTTTATATAAAGTGTGAGGCTTAGGTCGAAGTTCATCTTTTTTGCCTGTGCATGTCTGCTTTCTCTGGCACCATTTGTTGATAAAACTATCTTTCCTTGACTGAATTGTTTTTTTTTTTAACCTTTGTCAAAAATCAGTTGGGCATATTTGTATGAGTCTATTTCTGGGTTCTCTATTCTGCTCTATTGATACTTGTATATATATCAGTACTACTTGATGTCTGTAGCTATATAGTAAGTCTTAAAAGTGGGTAGGGTAATTCAATTCCTCCCTCTTTTATTTTTTTCCAAAATTGTTTCAGCCATTGTTGTTCTTATACAACATATACACTTTAGAATAATCTCAGCTTATTTACAAAAAAACATCTTGCTGGGATTTGAATAGGAATTATATTAAACCTATATAACAATTTTAGGAGATTTGACATCTTTACTAGAGTCTTAGATCTCTCCATGTATTTAGAGCTTTGATTTTTCTTTTTTTTTTTTTTTTTTTGAGACTGGAGTCTCGCTCTGTCACCCAGGCTGGAGTGCAGTGGCACTATCTCGGCTCACTGCAAGCTCTGCCTCCCGGGTTCATGCCATTCTCCTGCCTCAGCCTCCTGAGTAGCTGGGACTACAGGTGCTCGCCACCACGCCTGGCTAATTTATTTTTTTTTATTTTGAGATGGAGTCTCGCTCTGTCGCCAGGCTGGAGTGCAACGGTACAATCTAGGCTCACTGCAACCTCCGCCTCCTAGTTTCAAGCAATTCTTCTGCCTCAGCCTCCCAAGTAGCTGGGATTACAGGCTTGTCCTTCCACGCCCGGCTACTTTTTTTGTATTTTTAGTAGAGACGGGGTTTTACCGTGTTAGCCAGGATGGTCTCCATCTCCTGACCTCATGATCCGCCCGCCTCAGCCTCCCAAAGTGCTGGGATTACAGGTGTGAGCCACTGCGCCTGCCTGGCCTTTGTTTTTTTAAGATGGAGTCTCGCTCTGTTGCCCAGGCTGGAGTGCAGTGAGCCACTGCGCCCATCCTCTGGGAGGCTTTTAAAATAGATTTCTTGGGTTTTCTATGTGGATGATCCTTTGACATCTGCAAATAGGGACCATTTTTATTTTTTCTTTTCTTATCTGTGTGCCTGTTATTTCTTTTTCTTACTGTATTATATTGGCTAGAACTTTCAGCAGTATGTTGAATAAAAGTCATGATAACAGACATCTTTGCCTTGTTCCTAATCTTAGAGGGAAAGCATCAGTTATTTGAGTTGTATTGAGGCTGGCTGCTACGTCTTGCAGCAGGGGCAGTTTAATAGCCTCCCTGCAAATGACTGAAGCGACAATAGTGTGACAGCCACTTGCGTAAGACGTTTATGAGAAAAGGGGAGGAAAAAAGCCTTGAGAGTAAGCGTACAAATAGCTCAGCTTATAGTTTCCACCACATGGACAGGATTGTTGCCAGAATCCTGTTGGCTTCATTTGAGATATTTTGAGGTTGTTGGCATCAGGCATTTTGTTCATTTTGTATTGATACTGAGATAACTTTTTAAAAAGTAATCTGGAATTACACACCCTAAATATCAACCATAGAAAACATTTTTTCTTCTTAAGGAATGGTCTCTGCAGAAATGTTTTAGAACGTATTCTGAATTTTTCACAAACTCTTCCTTGAATGCCTGCTGATTGAATGGATACAGGTCGTACAGGCAAATACACGCTATTTCCATAGTACTGAGTATATTGGACTAAATCTAGGCAAAAAGCTGCCTAAAATTTATACTGTAATTGGTCAGCTTTATATTATGGCAGCCTTCTCGGGGGAGGAACATTGATTTCTAGTGACTGCCACTGAGTTAAATACATTGTTAATAGCAGAATCTTTTGTGTGTAAAGAGCCTGCAACCCACTTCTACCTCTGTGCATGTGTCTTAGTTGCTAACAGGAGAAACTTATTTCTTCTTGTGCTTTGGAGGACTTGTCTGCCATCAAAGATCTAGGGATTATACAGTGGATCTGATCAGGCTGTTGTCTGCTTTTGAGCCTTCCAAATTACATGGCTTAATAAAATGATTGTTTTCTGTGCTCAGAATATTTCTGTTGTGATCCTTATACTTCATTTTCTAGTTGAAAAAAGTGTTGTTTTGCCTTTGCTCTTATGATACAACTAATACATTTTTATTGGTAGGAACAGTAAAAGGTGCATAGGTAAAACAGTCATACTTAATCCTTTTGGTTAACAATGAATTAATATTCTGATGCCTAGCACCTCTAAGCTGTTTTCTTTAGACATAAGTTTTATACCGTATGTTCTGTGTTGTAATCTTTTTATTTCATCATGAACATCTTTGTGTATTACATAGTTTGCAATATTTTTAACAGTTGTGTGACATTCCATTTTAAACCAGTCGTATTTTGGACATTTGATCTTTTTTTTAGCCTTGTGATGGAACAGTAGGTCTTTTTCAGTCTTTTACTATTATACATGGTCATGCAGTATGGATTCTTGTGGTTAAATATTTGTGTACATCTTTACGACTTTCTTTGGATTAATTCCTAGAAATGGAAGTTATCAGGGAACTGCAGGGCTATGGTGAATTTTTCCATCCTGAGATGTGTTGCAAACATTGTACACTCTTATTTTCAATTAAGAGTTTGAGATGCTTGTAAAAGAGAAAAAATTTTCATTTTGACCTGATTTGGTTTCAGTCTTGTGCAACATAGGGATGTGGGCCAGTTTGATCTGGAGAGATTCTTTACCTCTCTCTACCTGATAGCTGTGCCTCTGAGTTGGCATAGCATCATAACTCCAGTGTTTTTACTTTAAGCATTTTGCATTGCTCTTCATTCTGTATTGTCTGTGTCCAAGCTTGTAGAGCTCAAGATTGTAGCTTTAAGTTCTCACTTCTTTTGGGATTTTCTTTTTTCAGATCGTAAAGCTGAAAATTGAAATCATGAAAGTAGACAGGACTAAACTGAAGAAGACACCTACTGAGGCTGTAAGTATCCAAAAGTTTACTTTGCTTATTTTTTCTTCATTAAAAAATAAAAAAATATTTGTGAACAGTTCATCCATGCTCTTCAAATCTCATCACCCATATATACAAAAGGCAGTAAAACAACAACTTGTCTAGAAACAGTAAGATTTTCTTTTGAACTTCCCTGGATCAAAAAAATGGATAGCCAAGAGACCAGTGGAAAGTGAACACCGATCAGTTAGTTCTTCGTAGCTGTGTGTGCCTGAAGTCAGCTCTCAGGCTGCTGTGCAATTCCTTCCTATGCAGAAAGGATGTGTGGTATAATGGAAAGAGCAGATATGGGTTCAGATTTTTAATGTACTTCTGGGATCTTGCAATTTTGTTTTTTAGAAAATGAAAGTGGTAACATCTTTCTTACTAGTTTTTTTGTTAAGGCCAGTGTTTTAGCTTGTCTTTATTACTGATTCTTAATCACACAATTCAGCTTAACTTGTGTATTGGGTGGTCATATCAATTAACCCTTTGTCGACAGTAGAAATCCCAGCTTTAATCTAGTAATATTCCACCAGCTAGCTTGAACTGCTTTCTAAGGTTGAGGAAGTGGTATTGCATTGTGATAGTCCTGTTGACCCCTTGTGCTTAGTTCAGAGAGCACAAGCTTTGAAATTAGACCTAGGTTTGAATCTTACCAGACTTTTGTGGCTGAGAGGTTATTAACTTGCCTGGTTTCCACAGCTGCAAAATGGGGCTGAAAATTTTTTCCTTCTTGATGTGAGGCAATTGCTTAGCATAGTATCTGGCACATAAGTTAGTTCATATCGTAAATACAAGCCACTTGGTTTTCAAAAAATGTAAAAGTACCTGGCAAGTATCACCAAAAGATAACAATAACATTTTGCTGCATTTCTTCCAGTTTTTTTTGTTTGTTTGTTTGTTTTGAGACAGGGTTTTGCTCTGTCACACAGGCTGGAGTGCAGTGGCACGATCACAGCTCACTGCAGCCTTGACCTCCCAGCTCAAGCGATGCTCCCACCTCAGCTTCCTGAGTAGCTGGGACCATAGGTGCATGCCACCATGCCTGGCTAATTTTTTATTTTGTGTAGAGACAGGATCTTGCCTTGTTGCCCAGGCTTCTTCCAGTCTTTTAAAAAATTATTACATGTGCACACACAATTATCCTGCCCTTTTCATTTAGCATTGTACTAATGAGTATGAGCAGCACTTTCTTCATATACCCTTGTCAGTATTACAGATTGTCTTTTAAATTTTTGTTAATTTCATAAGTGGGGAAGAAAGTATTTCACTGTTCTATATCAGTTATCTTCTTGTGCCATTCATTTTGTATCTGACATTGGAATATCAGTGTTTCTCTTACTGAATGCCATATATATTGAACGTACTCATTTTCATATCTGTTGGAAATATCTTCATTTGCTTTTGATTTTGTTTTTGATGTGTTTTGGCATCTAGAAGTTTTGACAACTGTGTACTTGAATGTCTTTTACTAAAGGACAAAAAGAAAACTTGCTTAAGAAACTATAATTTAAAAATTTAAAGTGGAACCAATGTAAGAATCTACTGCTACGAGAATAGAAGACCTAGAAAAGTGATCCTAGTGTATATAAGAACTAGATATATGGTAATAGAGGGATTATAAATTGGAAAGAAGGGACAGTATTAGGAAACCATGCTAGAATGATTATCTTGTAGAGCATGTGGGACTATTATATTGCGATAAATTTTAGATAAACCAAAAGTCAAATGTTTTTAAAAGAAATAAGCTATAGGAGAAGTAGAACATGTAGGTGAATGTTTACTTTGTCTTAAGTGGGCATGGTCTTTCCAAGCATTAAAACAAAGGAAAAAAACCATAATGGAAATGTTAAATACTGTATCCAAAATTAAAAAGACATGACAATAGCCATCCTAATAGGTGTGAAGTAATATCTCATTGTGGTTTTGATTTGCATTCCCTTGATTTCCTTGATAGGGAGCACCTTTTTATATATTTTAAAACTATTTGTATGTAAATAGACATCTGGATAAATGTCTATTCAAGACCCTTGCCCGTTTTTAAATTGTGTTATTTGGGATTTTTTTGCTATTGAGTTGCAGGAGTTCCTTATATATTTTGGAAATTAATCCCTGGAAGACATTAGGCAAAGTGAAATAAGTCAGCCGCAGAGGGACAAATAGTGCATGAATCCTCTTATATGAGGCATCTAAAATAGTCAAAGGTGTAAAGGTAGGCAGTAGAATGATAGTTACCAGGAAATGGTGGGAGAGAGAAGGGGGAGTTGCTGCTCAGTGGGTATAAAATTATACCAGGCAAGTTCGTTCCAGAGATCTGCTGTAGAACAACATAGTGCCTATAGTTAACAGTCAGGTATTGAGTATAGTCTGCCCTCCGTGTGTGGGTTCCACATTTGCAGATGGAACCAACTGGATAGTAAATATTTGGGGGAAAAAACAATAAAAAAGAACAATACAAAAGTAAAAATAGAAATTTTGAAGCAATGCAGTGTAACAGCTATTTACATCGAATTCAGTATTGTAATACTAGAGATGGTTTAAAGTATATAGGAGGATGTGTATAGGTTATATACAAATACCATTGCCATTTTATACAAAGGATGAGCAGCATAGATTTTGGTATTCATGGGGGTCCTAGAATCAATCCCCAGTGGATACAGAGGGACTACTCTACTTAAAAATTTGTTACGAGGGTAGATCTCACGTTAAGTATTCTTACCACACACAATCATGCACACACACGTAGGGACACAAGGAAACTTGGAGGTGATGGATATGTTTATTACCTGGATTGTGGTGATGGCAACGTGAGTGTATACATACATCCAAACTCACCCAGTTGTATGCATGAATTACGTGCAGTTTTTTTGTATACCATTTACCCCTTAATAAGCTCAGGTGGGGTGGGGGAGGGGGAAGACACATGACAAGCTGGGGAAAATATTTGTAACCCAGTGTAGTTAATATTTTCAGTAGCTAAATCAGGAGAAATTAATATCCCAATGACAAAATGGGCATAGGGCATTTAAGAAAAGAACAAACCCAGTAAACGTCCAGCAAGATTCAACTTAGCGGGTAATTGGAGAAATGCAAATTAAAAAACAATTTTTAACCTAGTGGATTGTAAGGGGTTGCTCTTGGAGTCATATACTGATTTCTGGCTCTTATTTCCTAGTTACTAGCAAGTTACTTAGCATAAACTCCTAGAAGTGGAATTTTTATGTCACTGGTTATGGACATTTTTAAGACTTGAGTTGTCTATTTTCCTTGAGCAGCATACATGATTGCCCCCATTTCCCATACTGTGGTCAATGCTAGGTACTATTATGAAAGGCTTTTATTGATCACTTTGTGTATCAGTAGCTGTGCAAAGGATTTTTTCCCCAGATTTGGTATCTATTGAAATAAATCACTGTAAACCCTGGCAATTGTTATTGAGCTATCGAACTGGCAAATGCTTTCTTATATCTTAACGTTGTGCTTGCTGCTTTCTCCTGCAAAATGCAAGGGACCTTGATAGTCTGATAAAACAGAGACCATAGTACTGGTACATTAAATTGATGCCATTATGCTAACTGGATCTTGTGAGCAGAAAACACAAGCACACCTTAGATGCCTCAGACATATTTGTGCCAGAGAGTCAGAAACAAACCTTGTGGAAGCTTGAGGGCCTTTTCACATTAGGAAAGTTTCTAGTGGCCCCAGGGTTTGGGAAATATTGGGATATCCCTTCTAAAGTGAGAGGGAAGTTGCTGTACCTTGTACCACACACTGTGAAGAAAGAGGAACAATGTGTGATGCGTTTGGATTTTGGAGCCAACATATTGGTTGGTCACATTTAGGCATGCTATTTTGACCTATTTACTGGATAACCTCTAACACATTTAGTGGGGAACCACTAAAGTGTTAGTAAGGTTTGGATCTAGAAAAGACTCTGCAAAAGGTCCAGGCTATGATACAAGTTGCCCTATCACTTGGACATTATGACCTAGTAGACCCAGGTGACTGACTTAGGTGTCAGCTAAAGATGCCATGTTGTGCTTTTGGCAAGCCCCAATAGAATTACAAGTAAGACCCCTAGATTCTTGGCTGTGCTGTCCTCTGCCACCAGCTATTCTACATTCACAAAAGCAGCTTCTGGCTTGCTACTGGGCCTTGGTAAAGACTGAATGCCTGGTTATGGGACATACCAAATTATTACAGGATCCAAATGTTCATCATGAACTGCATCTTACCTACACATCGTAAAATTGGATTTGTACAGCTGCATTCCATTAGAAATAGAAGTAACACGTTTGATGCTGGACCCAAGTAGGTCCAGCAGGCACAAGTGAACTGCATAAGCAGGTGGTTCAAATTTCCATGTTATCTATTTCTGCTGCTTCACTGCCTCTCCCTCAACTTACATCTTAGAGGAGAAGAGGAAAAAGTGCAGGCCTGGTTTATGGAAGGATTTTGTGCCAAGGATTTTACATATATTTAATTACCATGAACATTTGAGGTAGATCTTAATAATGCTTAGAGGGAGAAAAGGTTTGGACTTAGCTTAAAGAAACCCCTGTTAGGTTCCATGTTGTTTCAGATGCCGAAAATACGTTTCTCCCAGTTTGAATCTCACGACAGCATTGCTGGATATATAGGTACATGTTAGTTTATTTTGCAGAAGAGGATGCTGAGATTCAAAGAGGTAGCTTACCAACTACCTGATTCCAAGGGTCATACTCTTTTTAATAGTATGCTGTCTCTGAATATTTAAGCTCCTGTAATGGGAGATAAGTATTTTATGTATGTGGCAGACGTTTGAGTTTCATATTTGTGAGGTAGCTATTAGGTCTGTTTTTCTGATAAGAGAGCTGTGGCTTAGAGGTTAGACTTGCTCATGATCAAACAGCTTAGTAAACATGAAGTTAAAAAGTGAATCCAGACTTGTTTGGTTCCAGACCTCTGGTCCATTCCCAGGATGCTGTACTGCCTTTATGGAGTTAAAGAACAAGTGTAATAATCACTTCTCCCAGCTGCCATTCATTAACGGAAGGCTTCTCTCTCCCAGCCCCTATCCCTTTCCCTCCTTCCACTTTCAGAAACTTGACTATAAATGCTCAATCCACTCCTTGTTACCTGACAAATGGACCCATTCATCAGTAGAAGAGAGCAGAAATGTATGGAAATAGGAACCCCAAGAAAGAATGGAGTCCTAGTTTTACGAAGTTCGGAAGCTGTTTACCATCTTACAAGTGAAGGATTTTATGTAACAGAAAAATATAGCTAGTGCTAATCTTCACCTTTAATTGTGAATTCACTAGGACTTTTCAGTCTCTGATTCAATATAACCTACCAGGCATTCTGGTTAACTTTCAGACCATGGTATAGATTCCTTAATTGTTTTTTTTTTTTTTTTAGATGTTTAACTTATTATTGTTTTTGTTGTCAGCACCTTTCCAAATAGTTTGTCTGCATCTACCTTTATCCAAATCCAAGGTGGGTTTTTGTTTTGTTTTTTGTTTTTTTTTGTTTTTTTTTGTTTTTTAAGCCCAGGTGGATTGTTGGGGGAATAAAAGCATTTTCTCATGAGGTTTCCATTTTAATCCCAAGAGATTGTCTGGCACATCTCGTTTTCTTAAGTAGTAAATCCTAGCAAAAGGAAAATTGCTGTGTGAGCTTAAGGGTTCCTTTTCTGATTCTCCTTATTTGCAACTCCCTCATTCCAAAACATCTTTTGTGAATACTTTTCTTTTCTCAGCCTGCAGACTGCAGAGCCTTAATAGACAAACTCAAAGTTTGTAATGATGAGCAACTTCTCTTGGAACTGCAGCAGATCAAAACATGGAACATTGGAAAGGTATGTGAAGTCAAGCTCCCAAAAGACAGGACTCACCATACTAATACATCATTTTGTATGCTCTGATATGGAATAAGAAACCACAATGGGATAGCCTCATTCAGCAATTAATAAGCATCTAGCATGTGCCATGTGCCTAACACAGCTTTAAACCAGTGGCAAGGAAAATTTTGCTGGCTGAGGATGGAGAATTGATTTCACAGGTGATGCTTAAGAATCTCAATCACAGAATTCCTGTGGTTTGACAATATAAGTTTGAGATAATTTCTGGATTTTTAGTTTAGAAGAATTTTTATTAGATAACTCTAAAAATGAATTTTTCTGATAAAATGGATTCTGGCAAGGATAGTTCTCTTGTCTTCGTAGATCTTAGAATGTAACCGGAGTTCTCCATCTAAAGACCTAGCTCTAGGGGTTTTATGGTGTCTATTGGTGTTAGCACATATATCTAGATGGGTATGACAATGAACTACAGCACTTTTAGCTCAGAGTATGATCTTTCTCATATGGGCAAGGGTGGGACGTGAACTTGTCTAGGTGTCATGCTCAGCAATCTCTTGTAACAAAGCTCAGTTAGAAAGCACCCATGCGGCGCTTCTACCTTATTCTTACATCCTCTTTTTCCTCCCCTCTCCAGTGCGAGTTATATCACTGGGTGGACCTGTTGGACCGCTTCGATGGAATACTGGCAGATGCTGGACAGACAGTGGAGAATATGTCATGGATGCTCGTATGTGATAGGCCAGAAAGAGAGCAACTGAAAATGCTTCTCTTGGCTGTGTTGAACTTCACAGCCTTGCTCATTGAGTACAGCTTTTCCCGGCATCTGTACAGTTCCATAGAGGTAGGGGAGGTTAAAGCCTGTGTACCCTGTTCTTGACTAGAATTGTGTACATCCAGAAATAAGGAAATTGCTATTTCTATTGCTTCTTTCCTTTTCATTGTGGAGCTCTGGGTTTTTCATTGTCAAAGATAATAGTAGAATGTTTCTTGGATATAGATACTATCCTTCATAGGGTTGATGGGAAGATTCTGTACTATCACCTTTGCTTTGCCTTTTCAAGATTCAAGAAATGAATGAGAAATGTTATATATGTATTAAAGTATTTAAGGAAATTTGCATGAATTGATTTTTGCCCTAGGTTGTTAGAGCAGCCCCACATTACTTTTAAATTCCTAGAAATAGTTTGATTTTCTCATCACATTAATGTACTTACTACTCCTCTAAGTGTTAGTGTGCTGCTTTAAAGTCTCTCTGTACTCTGCCACACCCATCCCAAAATATATATTCATAGCATCCTTTGTGTCCTTGAAGAGTAAGGTAGGTGCAGCAATCAGTGAGCTTTTTAATTGGTTAAAAATCACTGTAAGAAGAAATTATTTTCTTTTTATAGAAGCCCAACTTTAGACTTTTTATCATCATTAGTTAGGTGCCCTGTTAATTTTAGGTGTGTTTTCCTACGTCTTCAGTAGAGAAACAGAATCAGAACAAACAACTTAAAAGAAAATGGCTTAGGAAAAGAAGTGGGATAACTGAACTAAAGGCCTAACATACAGAGCTTTAAGTGGGAGGTAAATAGGCAGTCTGTTGAAGATGAAATAGATATGCTGCCCATGGAAGTCCATGACCTTCGGTATAATTGGCAACTGGAAATGCCTTGGTTCATTTCTAGCTATATTACATACTGATTTTAATTCTGACCAACTGCTTCAATGTATTGGTGAATTTTAATTGTATTTAAAAGCCAAAGTAAGGCCAGGTGCAGTGGCTCATGTCTGTAATCCTGACACTTTGGGAGGTTGAGGCGGGAAGATCACTTGAGCCCAGGGGTTCAAGACCAGTCTGGGCAACATAGTGAGACCCCATCGCTACAAAAAATACAAAAATTAGCGGGGCGTGGTGGTGCGTGCCTGTAGTCCTAGCTACTCGGGAGACTTCGGTGAGAGGATTGCTTGAACCCAGGAGGTCAAGGCTGCAGGGAGCTATGATCATGCCTTTGCACTCCAGCCTGGGCAACAGAGAGACCCCGTCTCCAAACAGCAACAACAACAAAATCCAGAGTAGTCACTCAGGTTCCTTATGAGCATATACTGTACTGTAACACTTATATGTTATATAATTGCCACGAGCTGTTATCGATATCTTTAGCTTCTATATGAAGGACCCTGTTTTAATTAATTTCAATTTTATGTTTGTCATAAAGGATACAGAAGAGAACATAAAATATCTTTCTTTCACAATACTTTTAGTCCAGTTAGAGACTTAATGTTCTTCTTGAGTCCCACATGTGTATTTGTCTCTTTTCCTTCCTGTGGGAAAACCTGCGCAATTTTGAACCACTATTTACGTTTTTTACTTTTATTGCACTTTATAGCTAACTGCCAGATTTTAAGCTCCTTGGGGATAAGGTTGCATGTTGTAGATTATCAAATACATATATATATATATATATATATATATATATATATATATATTTTTTTTTTTTTTTTTCTTTTTTTGAGACAGAGTCTCCCTCTGTTGCCCAGGCTGGAGTGCAGTGGCGTGATCTCGGCTCACTGCAAGCTCCGCCTCCCGGGTTCACACCATTCTCCTGCCTCAGCCTCCCGAGTACAAATACTTATATATTTTTTGTATTGTTGTGACTAAACTTCTTGATAGCTTTGTAAATGTTGACAAGTACATTTTGTTTTGTTTTCAAGGCCAGTTGTGCCTGATACCTTGAGCTTTGCCCTTTTTTGTCCCTTTAGCATTTGACAACTTTATTGGCTTCCTCTGATATGCAAGTGGTGCTGGCAGTCCTCAATCTCCTATATGTATTTAGCAAAAGATCAAACTACATCACTCGTCTGGGATCTGACAAGAGGACCCCGCTGCTAACTCGGCTACAACATTTGGCAGAGGTGAGTCTTGGGTGAAGAGTTGGAGGGGTGCAAAAATTGGAGCATATGGTTCCTTTCAACAGGTGTTTCTTGGAGTGTTAAAATATATTAGAATCCCTAAGTTAACTTCACTGGCCTAATTGAGTTAGAACTATTGGTGCCCTGTTTTAAAACCTAAGTATTCTCAGTTATTAAGTAATTTTGAAGGAATTCTTTAATCTCTGCTCACCAAACAAAATCTCTCTGTTCAAAAGTGGCAATTTCACTTCTGAAAGGAAAGTTCAAAATTAGATTCAATTCTGTGTGAGAAGGAAGTATAATGCAATAATAAGATCTAGATTTGAGTCCTGGCCCTGCTTACTAGCGCCGACACTGGTTTCCTCTTCTGGGAATTTAACATATCTACTTCAGGGTTGATTTAGAATGAAATGAATTGTGGGGTACTCAGTGCTGTGATCAGTAAGTCGTAGTGATTGTAATTGAAGCCAGAAGCTCTCATATAAAAGTTCAGCTCTACCAAACTATTGTCCAGTGTTCCCAGAGGCAACTTCTTAATACATACTTAGCTTTGAGAGGTAACCCACTGTTGGAAAGCTTTCTTAGAAGAAAAGTGTTATGGCTGGCTTTTTAAAAGCATATTTAATGCTTACCTCAAAGTAACTCAAGTTTTCAGGCTAATTCAGGTGCCATGATTACTTATAAATTAGTTTTGTATAATTATAAATATAACATGTATTCTGAAAATTCTAGGAAAATGTAGACAAAATGTCAATCACCTATAATTCATCCCTATGAGACCTCCCTTAAAGTTGGAGCATTTTTTTCTTGCATTTGGAAACACATGTATACATGCATGTGACCTGTTTTCTTAAGATACTGTAAATATTTCCTCTTACTATTAAAAACCACAAGGAGGTTTAACATTGGATTCCCAAGTCCACAGTTAAAAGGAAAAAGGAACTATTACTCAATAGATGCTTCCAAAGCACTCGATAAAATTTATCTCATTAACAAAAGCTTCATATAAACTTTAAGAAAACTAGAGTTACCTACCAGAAGTCATAATGGGGGAGCTGAGGCATTTCCATTGGATTCAAAAGTCACACAAAAATGTCAGACATTAACTTCTGTCATTTACATTTGTAGTACAGATGCTAACCAACAGAAAAGAAAGAAGCGAAGAATACATATTAAAAGAAAAAATTTGGGCTGGGCATGATGGCTTATGCCTGTTATTACTGGCACTTGGGGAGGCTGAGGCAGGCAAATCGCTTGAGCCCAGGAGTTTGAGACCAGCCTGGGCAACATGGCGAAATCCCGTCTCTGCAAAAAGTACAAAAATCCGCCAGGTGTGGTGGCACACCCCTGTGGTCCCAGTTACTTGGGAGGCTGAGGTAAGAGGATCACTTGAGCCTGGGAGGTGAAGGCTGCAATGAGCCAGGATCGTGCTACTGCATTCTAGCCTGGGCAACAGAGTGAGACCGAGACTCTGTCTCTAAAAAAGAAAAGAGAATATTTGTTACTATTTGTATGTAGGTGATGAGTCTCTTTGTTTCTTGGGGAGATAATGTAAAATTATTATAACTAGTAAAAGCACAGTGAGGTAGCCAAGAGATCAATATACAGAAACAGATAGCTCTTCCATGTATTAATAGCAACCAATTAGAAAATGATTGGTGAGGCCAGGCGTGGTGGCTCACGCCTGTAATCCCAACACTTTGGGGGGCCGAGGCAGGCAGATCACCTGAGGTCAGGAGTTTGAGACCAGCCCGGCCAACATGGTGAAACCCCATCTCTACTAAAACAATACAAAAATTAGCTGGACGTGGTGGTGGGCACTTGTAATCCTAGCTACTCAGGACGGTAAGGCAGGAGAATCGCTTGAACCCGGGAGGCGGAAGCTGCAGTGAGCCTAGATTGTGCCACTGCATTCCAGGCTGTGTGACAAGAGCAAGACTCTATCTCAAAAAAAAAAAGAAAATGATTGGTGAAAAGACCCCATTCACAGTATAAGCAAATATTCTGTCTGTAAAATAAGTCATATTGGCTAAAACTGTAAATTTAAGAGCAGTTAATGTAGGAGGTTGTGTTGTAATAACAATGGTGGGGAAAGAATTCTTAAAATCCCCATGGCATAAACCTGAAAGTAAAATTTTGAATATTGTATTTAAAAATATACTTCCCAACAAAAAACACATAGCTCCAGGCTACTCCTTAGGCCCTTACACTAGAATATAAATCAACACACTGCTTCCTTCATCAAGAAAAATGTCAGTTGTACTAAATAGTATAGTTACCAATGTAGTTAAATAACATTCTGGTACAACCTCATTTTGTCATGGACCAATAAAACTTGCAAACAATTGGTGTAATAGCAAGCAGCTGGTCTGCATACAAAATTAGGCAGCACTTTGTACAACAGAAGTTAACAGACCCATGGTAGATTAAAAATGTTTAACAGTGTTTTAAAACTGAAAAGGGACTGCTAATGTAGAATATCCAAGGAACTCTTCCAGATCAACAAGGATGAGCAAAGGATATGGATAGGCAATTTATAGAACAGGAAATTCATGTGAGTAGATGCCCATACTCAGTAATTAGAGAAATAAAAATAAAACAAGGTACAGCTTTGTAAGCATCAGATTTGCAGAAATTAGAAAACTATATAATGGTAAGTCCTGGCAGGTATGTGAAGCAATGGGAACCCTCATACATTGTTCATAGGAGTGTAGACTGGTTCTCATGGGTATATATTTCAAAGGTGAGATCGCATCATTTCCATAAACGTGATCTCTGTCAGAGTATTGCATCATCATTTGTGGTAGTGAGGAGTTGGAAGCAACCTTGGTATCCATCATTAGTAGATACTCAAATAAGTAAAATGTGGCACATGCACACTATGGAGTATGTAGCAGTTAGAAACAGTGGACCAAATAATACAGCAACATTGATGGCTTCTAAACATAGTGGTTAGTGCATAAAAAAGTAAAAGCAACAGTTTTCATTGCTCAGTACCATTTCTGAAACTTAAAAAGATGTACACAATGCAACATATAGTTTCAAGAAAGAAAAATTAACAGACATCAAAAGTTATACCTTTGATAGAAGGGAATCTGAATGGGCAATAATGGGACAGATACATGAACAAGTACAGTAGTCTCCCCTTATCCGAGGTTTCGATTGCCATGGTTTCAGTTACTTGCAGTATAATACAATAAGATATATTAAGAGAGAAGCCACATTCACATAACTTGTATTATAGTATATATTAAACTTTATCATCAGTATGTATGTATAGGGAAAAAATGTGTGTGTGTGTGGGTGTATTATATAGGGTTTGCCACTACCTGTATTTTCGGGTATCCACTAGGGGTCTTGGAATGTATCCCTATGGATAAGGGAAAATAAATCTTACCAGCAGTATTTAAGATCTGTTAGACCAACACTAAACCTTTACTTACAGATTTAAAAGATGGTCTAAATAGAGACAAGTAACATTTTTTAAATGGGAAGACTTAATGTAGTAGAAGCCCTTTAATGAAATTAGGACCAATGATTGGTAGTTTAATTATTTTAAAAATCTTGTTAAAGCAGGAAATGTTTAAAAAGTGATTGATACATATGATTTTTTAAAAACTAAAATAATTCCCTTTCCCATCTTATGTGGGCCATAAGACTTAGTAAGAAGCAGTCTGTTTTCTGACATAAACTACAACTATAATCTGTGATTACTTTATGGTGTTGCACCGATTGAAGAAAAGGAGCCTGCATACAGGATTCTAAATTTTTTAGAGTTTACCCCTGAATCTCTTCATAATTTGACACTTTTTATTTTAGCATCTTGCCTTTTAGATGAATATTTTGCAAAATATTCGACTTAGTTTTTGTGAAATAATTCCCTTTCTCATTTAAATCAGTCAAATTGATTAAGTGGAAGTCTGTTAATAGCATCAACTGAGACACAGAAATAAATGAGAAAACACTGATAATGAATCAGGGTGAGTTGCTGTATCAGATAATATCATAAAGCTATAGTGGTTTTATTATAAAGCCAAGTTTTTATCATAAGGCTTTTTATGATTAAGCCAAGTCTTGCAGTTGGCACAGGAATAGACAATACATCTGCAAAATGAAAGAGTATACCTTATGTTGCTTAGAACAGTGGGACAGTAGGCTGTTTTGAGGGGAAAATGTGTTTAGAACTTTTCTTCACACTTGACATAAATCCTAGGAACGTATTTAGAGGTAAATACAGGTGACTTTTAAGATCTTTGATAAGAGTTTGCTAAGAAAGTTAACAGACCTAGAAGTCATTAAAAATACAGCTTTGATCATGTTAATTTGGTTATTTGTATAGGACCACAATAGCATCTGACAGAATTCACATCACCCTACTTTTAGGCTGATATAAACACACTAATATTTCATACTTTAATTAAATGTTCTGACAATTTAAGTAGAAGTTAAAATGCAAACTGTTTTTGGTATAAGTGGCTCACATATATAAAGTATCGGGTATGTTTCTTTGTTTTGTTTTTTAGGTAATTCAGATCCAGTTGTTGTTCTTCCTTTGGATGATTTTACCACAGAAAGGACTGCTTAAATGATTGCTTTTTTGTCCCTTTGCATTTTTGACACTTTTTACCTTTGAGAGGCTTGCTACTTTTTGCTCTGAATTGATCTAAAGAGATTGTAGATTGGAGGTTAATTTCTAGTCCTGGAGAATTTGGAATCTTGACAGGTGCAGTACATTGCAGCCTTTGGTAATAGATTGATGTGTTTGGTGCTTTGCAATAAAAGATTTTTACAGGTTTTTGAGGTTTAGAGATAATTAGGTATTTAGTAATGGTACCTCCAATACTAATATCCCTCATTAAAATTTAAAAATTTCATGTTTCTCTAAAATGTAAAATTTCTCTAAAAACTTGACTTGTTCATGTGGGCTTCTTTTATTTATGTATTTATTTTTTTTGAGACAGAGTCTCACTCCATTACCCAGGCTGGAGTGCAGTTGCACGATATCAGCTCACTGCATCCTCCGCTTCCCAGGCTCAATTGATCCTCCCACCTCAGCCTCCCTAGTAGCTGAGACTACAGGCATGCACCACCACACCCGGCTAATTTTTTATATTTTTTGTAGAGATGGGGTTTCACCATGTTGCCCATGCTGGTCTCCAACTCCTGAGCTCAGGCGATCCACTCGCCTTGGCCTCCCAAAGTGCTGGGATTACAGGCGTGAGCCACTGCCTGTCCTTGTGGGCTTCTTTAACAATGCTCATAGAAATCTTGGTTCATGTCTTTTCAGTCTTTTCAGGCAACTTCCTTTGCAACAAACACATTCACTTGCATGTGTATAAGAACCTGGATTTGGATGTGAAACCTACTTTTGCCAACAAATATTAACCTGTTTCTGTGTCTGTAAATTGGGGGTTACAATATCTACCTCATAGTTTTTTTAGGATCAGAGTAAAGGAAGTCATAAATAAAACCTGTAGGGTTAATGCCATCATGTTGGAAGTACTTAATAAACAGCTGTCATTTGTAGATGGATGTCAACCAGAGAAACTACATGCCATTCTTTTGTATTTGCTTTCTTTTAAAATGTTACACATGCATTATTTTATAAGTGCATGCATATTGTCACATGATTATTTTCAGTACAGCCTTTTCCCTCTTGGTTCACCTCCCCATAACCTCAAATGTATTCTTCTCTATATATTATCTTCATATTATATTGACTGTTGAGGGTGTTTTTGTCCTTCAGTTACAAATGCAGGATACCTTACATCCTTGTTTTCTTATTTCAGACCTTGTTCAAAAATCACTTTAAAGTCACCTGTATAACTATAGGGTTCTTTTGATGGCTGCATAGTATTCCATGCTTTGGATGTACCATATTTTACTCAAGTTCCCTATTGATGCATGCTTATATTTGTTATGAATGATGCTACATTAAGCAATCTTATATATGAATTTAGTTACTGATACATTTAATATGATATTATAAGAGATGATATGGAGATCATAAGATAGAGTCCCAGAAATCTCAGTGTGACTTTATTGGCACTTCACTGATCAGTAATGATTTTGAGCATCTTTATGCTTGGCCATTAGGATTTGTTCTTGTGAAAGGTTTTATCTTTTGTCCATTTTTCCATTTGGTTACTTTTTCCTACTCTGTAAAACCATATTGGAGATATTAGTCCTTTGTCATCTTAAAAGTATTTTTTCCCCTAATCTTCATGTATATTGTCTTTGTTTATTGTGTTTTGTATGTGATGTTTTCAAAAATGGTTCAGTCAATGCTTTTATATAAAAGATTGAATATCGTGTTTTGGTCTTTATGAAAAGTGACTTTGGATATGGTGTCTTTCCTCATAGTAGTTTTTAATGACTAGGTCAACCCAGTGATGTGGGCTAATTGTGAATGTGAACAGTGATTAGTTAACTACAGATGTAGGGAAAATTCTCCAGAAAGACTTGTTGAATCAGTTGAAAGCCAGTTGGCTGGCTTTTGTGAAGGTCTGGTATACTCTAGGTCTAGTAAACTTGAGGATGCATCAGAATCACTTTATTAAAAAATATATTAGTCTTCCTCACCTCCATCCCACCTAACTCCTGAGTTGCTGATTCATTAGGCTTGGAGTGGGCCTCAGAATTTGCATTGCTATAAAGTTCCCAGGTAATATTAATACTAACCTGCTGGTCCAGGGAGAACCACTGGCCTAGTCTATTTTATTAAGTTACAAACTTTTATCAAATTCTTATAATTCCATCTTAGAGAGCATCAAGCCTTTTTCCTGATGTCTGAATATTTAGCAAATCCTGTCTAGTGTGAGGTAGTGTTGTATATGCCTCTGTGGCATAATGAATATAGTTATTTATGGGTTATCTACTTAAGGGCTAGGATGTTACAGTAACACTACCAGATAGGTGAATACTGTGAGGCTCAGAAGTTACTTATGTATTTTTTTTTTGTTTTTTGTTTTTTTGAGACGGAGTCTCGCTCTGTCCCCCAGGCTGGAGTGCAGTGGCGCGATCTTGGCTCACTGCCAGCTCCACCTCCTGGGTTCATGCCATTCTCCTGTCTCAGCCTCCCAAGTAGCTGGGACTACAGGCGCCCGTCACCATGCCCGGCTAATTTTTTTGTATTTTTAGTGGAGATGGGGTTTCACCATTATTTTTGGACAAAGGCCCTGGGCTCTTTGCTTCTGCTAAAATGTGAAGAATAATATCTGTTCTTCCTGTCTTAGGCATTTGGGGATTCTTTGAGCATGGTCATGTTCGTTTTTTTAAATAAAAACAAGCTTACTTAGTACTTGAGAAAGCAAGATAAATAGATAATAAATTAATAATAATAAGGGCAAAGAACTAGTGTTATTCTGAATAGTACTGACTAAAAAGTACCCTAGAATCTTAACATTTAATATGTTGATTTTGTTGGCAGCGAAACAAACTTGTCTTCCTGATAAAAATAGGTGCTTGGTGTTTTATGTATGCAACAAAATTTATCATAATTGTGTATCTACTCATTTTGGTATATTTTCTTAGTCTTTATCTGATGAATATTTCTTCACAAGAAACATTTCTTTATATTTCATATAATGTTACTAGTTCATAAATATAACAACAGCACAGACTTTCGTGAGTCACGTTTGAGTTGGCAGGGTTTTTTAAGGATCTCAGCTTACCAAAACTTTCTAATTAAAGGTGCTTGTTTTTTATCAAGTTGCAAAAGTTGGCAAGAAGGATTTTGTGGTGACACTAATAAAAGTATTCTGAAACAATTAGTTGGAATAACAGAAGAAACAAAAGGAAAATAATTGTGTAGATACACAGCCTTTCAAGCTTATTCTGCCTTGCAGATTCAGACTTTTGGTTTGACTTACCTGTCTGTTCTCTGTAGCATCAAGCCTTTATACCCTCATCCTTACTTTATGGTTTTCAGCAAATTGCATGTGTCTTCGTCTTCACTAGATGTCCTGGGAAGAGCCAAGAAAATATTGAAAATGTAATGAAGTACTTATTAGGTATTAAACCATTTTATAAAGCTATAGTAATTTAAATAGTGTGGTAATTAAGAGTGGAATTGACCAATCAGTAGGTTCCAGAAGCAGATCCAATGTGTAAGAATCGAATTTATGGTTAAGATGGCATTTCAGATTAGCAGAAAAAGAATGGATTATTCAAATAAGATGGTGTTGTAAAAACTGGCTTACTCTTTGGGAGGCAATTAAGGTAGATTCTACCTCATCAAAGTAAAATTAAGATGTAATAAAAAGCTGAAATGTTAAAAACATGAAGTTATACAAGCATTGAAAGAAAGTATAACTGCATGGTTGTATGCTGCTTGAAGTGGCAAGATATTTTCAAGAATGAGACTAATGCCATGAAAGAAGAAATTGATTCCATTACAGTATGATTTTATACCTTCTGTCTGTGAATATTTTAGGTACTGTCAATTGTGCCATCTATGGTTATCTCAATTTACTTCACAGTTTTCTTCTTACTTAGGTAATTTCCAGTATTTTTCTGTGGTAAATAATGCTACAGTGAATATCTTTAATACGTGACTATTTGGCCATATTTAGCACCAGGTGTTTGTTACCTTTTTTGGGGTCTCACTCTGTTGCCCAGGCTGGAGTGCAGTGGTGCAATTTCAGCTCACTGCAACCTCTGCCTCCCGGGTTCAGGCCATCCTCCCACCTCAGCCTCCCTAGTAGCTGGGACCACAGGCATGCACCACATGCCTGGCTAATTTTGTATTTTTAGTAGAGACGGGGTTTCACCATGTTGGGCAAGCTGGTGTCGAACTCCTGACCTCAGGTGATCTGCCCGCCTCGGGCTCCCACTGGCTGAGTGCTGGGATTACAGGCATGAGCCACCGCACCTGGCCGTCTGTTAAACATCTTAATGAATGTCGAACCTTGTATTTTACAGATTCTTGTCTCATTGCCTTAAACTTCCCTAGTTGTTTTAAACTTCTGATTATTTTTTAGAGTTCTGATAGACTTGAATTCCGACAGTCAGTTTATTCACTGTTTTTGTGAAGGTGTGGGCTTATGGGGTTCCCCATTCTGCCATTTTCACTGACAGCATTCCTAGTAGAACAGTCTGTTTTTAACCAGCTGGGAGTGGGGGATATACATATCTGTGTCCAGGCAGACTTTCTCACTTAGGTTTTCACTAGAGAAGTAAGCCCTAATGCCCTAAGGTATCCATTATTAATGTAGCAAAGAGACTTCTCTCTTGTGCATCTAAGGTGGTGCTAGTTATGTACCATTATTTGGAGAATAAAATGATCATTCACCATGTTCTGTGTTTCATATATGATACCTGGATTGAGAAATGCTGCCAGTAGATCAAGTGTAGTTTGAGAAAGCTTATTTCTCACAGGATAGTCAGATGATGTTTTATTTATTCATTTATTTATTTACAGGTTTAGAAATAGCATTCTATAGTAGGTACCTTTGTGACTGGCATCTTCAGTGGTTTACACTGTTTGTTTTTGAGACTTCTTTGGCAAGTAGTGATATAATAGCATTTAACAAAGAGGAAACACTTAGATGTAGAGAGAGAGCCATGTTAGTTCATGGTGGCAGCCCAGATCCGAGGTGATTGGGACCCACACTAGACAGGAATAAAATGAAGACATAGAATATAAGTAGCATTTTGTGCTTCAATCATGCCAGACTTAAAAATATGATAATGCTTGGCTGGGCAAGGTGGCTCACAGCTGTAATCCCAGCACTTTGGGAGGCCAAGGCAGAAGGATCACTTGAGGCCAGGAATTTGAGACCAGCCTGGGCAACATGGCAAGGCTCCTACAAACATTTTTAAAATGTAGCCTGGCGTGGTGGCAGCATATGCCTGTAGTCCTAGCTGTGTGGCAGGCTGAGGCAGGAGGATCCTTTGACCCCAGGAATTTGAGGCTGTGGTGAGTTGTGATTGTGCCACTGCACTCCACTCCAGCCTAGGCAACAGAGGGAGACCTTGTCTATCTCTCACACTCTCTTCATATATAGCTACATATATATAATTTTTATTTTTATAAATTTTATATAAAATTTATATAATTTACATATTTATAATTTTTTAAAAATATACAAAATATCTTTTTATATGAAATGTTTTATATTTGTAATATAAAAATCTCTTCAGTTTGACATAACAAATTAATAAATTTGTTTCAAATAATATCTCATTTCTTTCACTTCGTCAATTGTTTGCCTGAACTATATGCCTTGCCCCATGAGGCAGGGAGATATATATTTTTTACATATATAAATACATATTTTATGTAATATATGTAAAATAATTATGAATGATTTAAAAATAAAAATACGTTAATGCTCTTAATGTTAAAGTGATATTTTAAAGGCTGTTAAGATGCAGGCTAGTTAGTAAGTGAGACTATGTGGCTGAAGTTTTGTATTTAGAAGCCAGTTGAGCCACTCCCCCCATTATCTCAGGAGCTTGTTGATGAGGTTTTAGATTTGAGTGGCAAAGTACAGTAGTAATAAATAAGGTAGAATCTGCTTTGTAACTCAGCTCATGTCAAAAAGAGAGGAACTGGAAAGCATGATTTCCTCCCTAGTGCTTTCCTCCCTAGTGCGGAAGGTGAGTAGGCAGAGCCTCAGGCAAGGCCTGATAGGACAGGAGGGACCTGTCAGCACACGTGACTACAGGGGTATGGAATATAATGGCTGGCAGTTGCTGCTTGAGTTCTTCCTAGGAGCATCCTCACTGAACAGTGAAATTGATCTCATTGAAGAAATCACCTTTAGGCAGACCATCTTGCCTTGATTCTTAAGTTCTTATTTCTGTTCGTTTTTTCCTCTTGTTTGACTTTCACATTGGATGTCTTCTCAACATTATGTTCCAAGCAGCCACACACTCTTAAATATATATATGTATGTGTATATACATAGAGAGAAAGAGAGATAAGGTCTCACTCTGTTGCCTAGGCTGGAGTGCAGTGGCGCAAAGTCACCATAAGCACTGTCTTAACACTATCTTTTTCCTTTTTCAAGAGCTGGGGTGGAAAGGAGAATGGCTTTGGACTTGCAGAATGTTGCAGAGACTTGCATATGATGGTAAGTAACTCTTTGGGATATGGGTGTCTTTTGACAGAGCTGTGGCCTCTCTGTGAACCTTACTTTACAATGAATTGTGGTATATGAAGTGACGCCTTCACATCGAGACCTTTGAGGAACCTAAGATCAGTTCAGACATAGCTGAACCACGTCTATAGGAAGCAGTCTAGCAGTGCTTGGGCTCTTGATGTGCTGGTGGTAGATAAAAAAATCTGAGAAATAGAGTGTGTGTTCATACCCAGTTCTTGAGTAGGTAGCTGTATTTGTTGAATTAATTTTAATGTGATTTTTTTTAAATCCCAGAAAGTATGTTCGCTTGCATTCTCACACTGGAACTATTGTATCAGAACTCTGGACAGTGTGGTGTGATTTAGGAATGGCTGCTTGGAGAGCAGTTCTACCATTAGGTTTATTGAGAACTTATAATGTTTTATGTGCTTTCCTTGTTTATCTCTCTGCCTTTCACCCATGTTTAAGTTATGAGCTCAGGCCATCCTCCTTTCTGCTTTGATATGTTGCTGTGGAGCTACAAAACACAATTTGATTTTCAATAATTATTTTGCATCTGGAAGCAACTATATTTTCCACGTGGGATTTGTCTTGTCAGTTTGTCGTGTTTAGCACAAATGGCTGCAGTGAAATTTAGTGTATTTATCTTAGCAAGCCTTTTTTTCCTAAAGAGAATGGCTCTTTTCTGGTCTCAGAAAACCACAGATTAGATCAAGTTACTTTCCCACGTTAGCTGGCATACTTTTCTTTAGTGATTATTTTATGAAGAGATATTGGGTGATACAGTAGGTGAGTGTTGTCTGTTTAATAATCAAAACTACATAAATCTTGAAGTATATTCAGAGTTTGGAATTCTAATTATGACAACATAAAGGTTAACGTGTACTTTAAAAGGAAGTAATACATATACATGTTAAAAAATTCAGAGTATAAAGAGGTATGCAGTGGTAACTTCTTAATTTTCCAGAGGCAACCACTGCAAGTGGTGTCTTTCAGTGAGACATTTTAGTGGGCATTCTGCTGTCATCTTAATTTTGTTCATCATGTTGCTTTTCTAGAGTTAAAGAGAATGTTTTGTCAGGGTCTGGTTTATGTTGTCTTGGTATCTACCTGTGCAGAAAACATACCATGAGAAGTGGTGTAGAATGGTATAGAAGGAAAGTGTTTGAAGAATTATGAAGATATGCCTATGAGGCATACTTTGAATTAAATATTTCAGAAGGCTGATGATAGGTACAAGGTTTTTCGTAGGAATGTTCTTTTCCATTCTTTAGCTGGTTTCTGGGCCCTGGTATTTGTTCTCCATCCTTTCTTGGATTCTTATTCATTACTGCTTGGCAGTCTTGCCCCTCTTTTCCCCCTTGGGAATAGCCACAGTCAAAATTGATCTCTTAAAGGGAAACTGGAAATTTATAAGTATGAAATGCAGAAGGTTTGGGAGCTCTGGGCTCTGTCCTTTTGATTCTGTTTGAAAAGTCTCATCCTATCTGAGCTCTGCTCTAAGACAAACAGTTAAAGGCACTGTAGGTACTGAATGTACTGCTTATTCTTCTGCCACAATAAGTTGAACAAGTGGCTAGGACTTTGAGGGAAGATGTGGGGGATAATGTTTATAATCAGTTGAAACTCAATGTCTGATTCTTTGATGTGCTTTATACACAGAAATATCCACCCAGTGCAACTACACTACACTTTGAATTCTATGCAGATCCTGGGGCCGAGGTCAAAATTGAGAAAAGGGTGAGTCTGATTCAGATTTGTTCTGACAAAGTCTACAATTTACTGTAACTGGGATTGCCTCTTCTAGAACTCCTCAGTTAAATGAATAAATGGTTTTGAGCTACACTGCTGCCCTCGCAAACTATAAATATACCTAGCAGCTCCTCAGGAGTGTTAATTGCATCCCCAACTCTGATAGGGTTGGGTCTTATGTTGGGAGCTGCCAAAAGATGCAAGTCCCATCCATTATGAGGCACTGCTATGACCTATGTGCTTTTCCCACAGTCTCTGAGAATTCCAACATGTAGTATAGTAGTTTGGATGGTGATGGCTCAGGTTTCTCTAATTAGGAAGCCTGCAAAAGTCTTTATGTATTGTGGATAGTGTCCTGCTTAAATTATCTGGTCATTTTGTATTGTTTGAGGAGGTACTAAAGAGTTTGGTTTAGAAGTAGCTTAGTGAAAATACAATTTCTCTTCTACCTATACTATTCAATAAATAAATAATCTTTCTAGCTTAATTGCCTTGAAAGCAACTCTAATACATATTCAGAGAGAAAATATTTTCATGAATTTGGTCTTTGCTATTAATACTGCTATGGATATTAAGTCAGTGGAGGGTTAAAAAAGGACAAAGAAGAATATGAAATGTGCCTGGCTATGTGCATTATAGTTTGATACTACTGGTTTTAAAGGAGCTTTCCTAAGAATATTCTACATATAAGATGGATGTTTTGGAAGATTCTCAATTTACCTTGATTTTAAGAGCATTCACTTAGGCTTCAGCCTATTAGGTGACATCTTGGTTTTCAGACAGCCCTTTGGAGCTCTATGGAAGGGGAAGCTAGAGTGTTCAGTGACTCCTTACAGCTCTCTTGTCTTTTTTAATTTTAGACAACTAGTAACACACTACATTATATTCACATAGAGCAACTTGACAAGGTAAGAGGAATCTTTGACTCTTGGCTCGTTTCTTAATGTTTGGTTCACTTTTTGTTCCTAACTATATCTTTTTTTTTAATGTAGATTTCAGAAAGCCCTTCTGAAATCATGGAATCTCTTACCAAAATGTACAGCATTCCTAAGGATAAGCAGGTATGATGTGGCTTTAAAACATCCACAGGATGTGGTTGTTATCTAAATAGATTAATGATATGTACTGGGGTGGGAGATTGCATAGCAGAAAGAATGTCAGCTTTGGAGTCAGACCATGGGCAAATTGTTAGCTTCTCTGAGCCTTAGTTTCCTTGTCTTTTATGAGGTTAACACTTAATAACTTCCTAGGCCTTATGAGAGTTTGAGGAAAACATAAACTACCTCACCGTGAGCAGGTAATAAGTGGTGGTAGCTTTCTGAACACTTCGGATATCAAAGGAGAAAACGTTTAGTTGTGTTGTTTTTTGAGTTAGCCCTCATAAAGAATATTCACCTTTTTCATTGATGTTTTTAAAATGTATGTCTTATCTCTCTACAGATGCTGTTATTTACACACATACGACTGGCCCATGGCTTTTCTAATCACAGGAAGCGATTGCAGGCAGTTCAGGCCAGACTGCATGCAATATCTATATTAGGTAAGAGAAGAATACTTTAATTACCAGGCCGTATTAGACAGTTTGGGCCTGATTTCCTTTGAACTTCATTCATCTTTGTTGCTATGAGTCCTATTATAGTTACCTAGGTAGCAACTTAAATACTTCCACCCCTCCCAGTGTTCACTGTATTTATTCATTATCCTTGAGCTCCTTAATGTTGGACGAGAAAGAGGGTATGATGATGTTGATTGACATGTCACCTGGGTTTATTCTTGGTATTCGTCTCTTTTTTTTTTTTTTAATAGATATGCTTGTAGCTATCGTTCACTGTCCCCCTACTCTTTCTCTTGCCATTGTGTCTTCCTCCTCTCTCATCCTTTCAGGGATATCATCTTGAATTAAGTCACAAAATATTCAGTAGTCAATACTGTGCATTTAACTTCTTTTACTGTGGCACAGTAAAATGGAAAACACGTGGTTTTGTAATCAGTCCTGTACTCTGTCCCTGATTCTGTAGATTATTAGCCACACTTATCCTCTCAGCCTCAGCTTATTCGTTTAATATTGAGGTACTCACCGTAGAGGCTGGTCTAAAGATTAAATGAAAACCTAGAAAGCAATCTAGCACAGAACAAGCACATAGAAGATATAAAATGGTAACCATTGCTGTTATTATTGATGTTCATTATGTTATGACTTGCCTTCTCTTAAACTATGAGTTTCTTGGCGTGAAATTCTTGCTCTTTTATGTGTACTCATATCTAGCATGATTTCTGGCATGTTAGTGGGTGCTCAGGAAATCTTTGTTGAAAACTAAATGAATATGCCTAAATCCCATTAGTTTATGCTTCAGGGTACTGTGTCCGGTATTAACCTCATCGTGGAATTCATTGAATGTGAATTACACACATTCTGAAGTTTTACTACAGTGTCACACAAATTTCTGACTTACTCTGCAATGGTCCATAAATTCTGTTCTTTACAAGTGTTTACAGTAAAAGCAGAAGCATAGGAAGAGGCTAAAATGGAAATCTTATATTGAAGGCATAGTGGAGTTACATCAAGTAGTAATGTTATGAAAAATTAACTCAGAGCTTTTCCTATTTCCATCCCCAAAATTCTTTCTCAAGACTAATAATACCTTTAGTAGTGGAATCTGTCAATTCAGTGTCTGTTTAGAGATTATCAGTTGTATTTGATCCAGTCCTTCAGAATTTAATTTGGTGATGATTCTGCCCTCCATTGCTGGTTGGGAATGGAATTCTTCCCCAGAACCTATAGATACCAAAAAGTTTGTTATTGGGCAGTGGCTTGACCACTGCCTTCTTGCCTAAAGTGTTTGTTTCTCCTTTTGCAGTGTATTCCAATGCCTTGCAGGAATCAGCAAACAGTATCTTGTATAATGGCTTGATAGAGGAGTTGGTAGATGTCCTTCAGATAACGGATAAGCAGCTTATGGTAAGTATTTTACAGGTTGAGTAACCCTTAGCTGTAACACTTGGGACCAGAAGTATTTTGGATTTGAGACTTTTTTGGGGGGGGAGGGGATATTTGCATATACATAATGAGACATCTTGGGCATGGGACCCAAGTTTAAACACGAAATTCATTGATGTTTCGTATACACATTATATACGTAGTCTTAAGGCAATTGTATACAATATTTCAAATAATTTTGTGCATTTTAACTGTGACCTGTCACATGAGATCAGGTGTGGAATTTTCCACTTCTGGCATGCAGGTATTCCCAAAGTTTTGGATTTGGGAATATTTCAGATTTTTGAATCAGGGATCCTGCATTAATGTTCTCTGTATATCAGGCTTATACTTGTTTGCCTTTTGGTTTTTCCCAGAGGGTTAGAAAGAACTCCCAGTACTTCCCTCTTTGGGTATTAAACTGCAAAACTAACAAATACTAGATTTTCGTTGTTGCTCTCAACAGACCTCCATCCCCTCAAGCAGTTACCAGTAGAATGACTTATATTTTAAAGTTTGGATATTAGCAACTGGAACTTGGTTCAGTCATCTTATTATATTTGACACATTATGTGTTTACCTTCTAATTTAATAGGAGATTAAAGCAGCTTCTTTACGAACATTAACATCAATTGTCCACTTGGAGAGAACTCCCAAACTCAGCAGTATTATTGACTGTACTGGAACTGCCTCCTACCATGGATTTTTGCCAGTGCTTGTAAGGAACTGTATCCAGGCCATGATTGGTAAGTTTTGATGGTGATTATCTTAGGCAAGAAGAAACATTTGCCCTCTGCCTTTGTCTTTTTAATATCCTGCCTGCTTAACAGCAATTTTGAGCTTGTTTTTGTTCTCCCTCTCCCCACCTCCCTTGTAGATCCTTCCATGGATCCATACCCTCACCAGTTTGCCACTGCTCTCTTCTCTTTTTTATACCATCTGGCCAGCTACGATGCTGGTGGTGAAGCCTTGGTCTCCTGTGGAATGATGGAAGCCTTATTGAAGGTGCTGTACTTTTTTTTTTTTTTTTTTTAAACTACATGGGGAAATCAACTAAGGGTGTAGAGATGCAAGTTTGGGGTGTTTCACAGTGAGGGCAAATAATATAAGAAAGCTTATCCAGAAAAAGTTATACTTAAGTAGAAGGCCAGTTTGGCTTTCTAGTTATCTAATTAACAATGTTTAAGAGCAGCTACTTCCATTATTGAGACTTTTATCATAGTGTAGAATGGTCAGGAGGTCATGGGTTCTGGTTAAAACATTGCCACATGTTATCATGCCTTTACACAACCATAGGGAAAATATATGTCAGGGTACTTTGTAAGTTGTGTTGTAGTAGTAATAGCCTTTACTATGTGCAGGGCAATGAGCACCAGCTTTTTTCTCCCTAAATATCTTACTTAATCCTGCAAAGTAATTGATGTCCCCATTACCTCAGAGGTTGAGTCGCAGAAGTCATAGAACTGTCATTTGGCAGGCACCAAAAATAAAACACATGTTTTCCCCCATACTGTGCTGCCTTACTGAGGCCCCAGACTACATGTATACAAAAGCATGCAATTTTTACAACTTTGTGTCTTTATAGTTCATTGTTTTTGCCTCTTTTTCTCCGTGATAGGTCATAAAGTTTCTTGGCGATGAACAGGACCAGATAACATTTGTCACCAGAGCCGTCAGAGTGGTTGACCTTATCACCAACCTGGATATGGCAGCTTTTCAATCCCATAGTGGACTTTCTATCTTCATTTATAGACTTGAGGTATTATTATACAAGGAATGCTTTGCACAGAATTTAATACTCAGAGCTGAACCTAAGGATTGTCCTGATAACCCTAAAGAGCGATCTTACAGTCTCTTCTGTTTCTAGAAATCAACTGTGTATCTGCTTGCAGTGTTTTTCCATTATAATAGTTTTTAATCCCTGAAAAAAAAAATATATATATATATACTTGATTTTCTTATAACCTTTCTCTTGATTGTAGCATGAAGTAGATTTGTGCCGAAAAGAATGTCCGTTTGTGATCAAGCCAAAGATCCAGAGACCCAATACTACACAAGAAGGAGAGGAAATGGAAACTGATATGGATGGTAATTAACAGTTATTAAGTCAGTATTTTTGTGCTTGAGATTTTTTGTCATCCCACCCCAGTTTTCATTCTTCCTCATAAATTCCAAAGTACACAATTAACTTGAGTATATACTTTCAGCAACAAAAATTTTTTTTCTATGTAAGTGATTTGCAAATTTGTTTTTCACAAAGATAATAAGAAAAGAAAGGTACTAGTTCTTTGGAGTAGAGATGGCAGGTAAAGCAGATGCTATAGCTGTGGTGTTAATCTGTTTTATTTCATCACGTAATTTTCTTATGTATTTCTTATTGTCTTATTTCTACTAAAATTCAAGCTCCATGGGATCAGGATATTGTCTTTTTCACTGCCGCAGTGCCTGATAACATCCTAGGTGTTAGAAATATGCTTGGTAGAGAGAGAGAGACTAAAATGGGACCTTTTAAAACTTTACCTATTTTGAGAAGAGAAAGGAGAGGTAAAAAGGTTGTTGGGTAGGCAACAACATCCGTTAGGCTGGCACATCACTTGAGCCCAGGGGTTCGAGGCCAGCCTGGGCAACATGGCAAAAATCTTGTCTTTACGAAAAATACAAAACTTAGCCGGGTGGGGTGGCATGCACCTGTGGTCCCGGCTACTTGGGAGGCTGAGTTGAGAGGATCATCTGAGCCTGGGAGTTTGAGGCTGCAGTGATTTCAAAATGTAAATAGTATTTTATCACTGATGGAGCCTTAATACATTTTATAAACTGTAGTCAATGATTGTGTATCTTATACTCAGTTATTCAAGTGTATAAAGTAAAAATGAATGCTCACTTACCTACCATAGCTACTAGTTTCGGTGCGGATCTTTCCAGGCTTTTTTATGCATATTCAAATACATGTTGATGTTAAGTATGTATGTAGTATTTTAGAATGGGAAGATGAGATCATAAACATACTGTTCATCTTGCATTGCTCATTCAGTGTTTCATAGACATTCTTCCAGATCGGAATATTGAGTATTAATCTTTTCATGCTTTTTATATTTATTAATTACTCTTTTGAAAAGCTGTACCTATTTGTATACTACCAACTAGTAGTATATGAAATTGCACATTTTACTTACCACTCTCCCCCTCTTCCCCAATTTGGTAGGTGAGAAATATTGAAGGACTTCTGTAGGATTGTTAATTTACACACACACACACACACACACACACACACACACACACACGTGTATGTATGTACGTATTAATACATGCAACTAGTGATATATTTTCATTTTGGGGTTCAGTATTCCTGATCTTCATTTTTATATTCATTTCACATTAATGGAAGAAATTTTCTCAAACAAAATTTTTCTTTTTGTGGTACCTTTTATTCTAGTAAGTTTCTTTATCATAACTTGTACTTTAGTTGCAGATGTGGCTATGGAAAGCAGTCCAGGCTCATCCATCTCTATGGAGCACAGGCTGGATGTTGAATTAAGGGCATCAGGTTCCAGCAGCAGCACTAACATCTCTTCTGGCCCCAGCCCTGGTCCCAGTCCCGGCCCCGGCACCGGCCCTGGCCCCGGCCCCGGCCCCGGCCCCGGCCCTGGCCCCGGCCCCGGCCCCGGTCCTGGTCCCGGCCCTGGCCCCGGCCCTGGCCCTGGCCCCCGTCCTGGTGCGTACACACATAGATGTGCAGTCTTTCAGAGTGGTAGAGTTATTAAACTATTGAAGAAGGCGGCTTTAGGCAGAACTTAAATGGTACATTTGGAGGTTAGCATCCCATGACTATTCATGCTCCTTCACCATTCTGGTGTTCCATTTTCTTATATTAACATGTCTTTCATAGCATTTTATACTTTTCCAACAATTTGCACATTGATTATCAAAACAGCCATGTTGGAGGGCAGATAATATCCAAAATGGGAACTGAGTGAGGTAAAAAAAAAGTTGAACCTTTTTACTTTGTAATTTTTCTTTTTTACTTTAGACTTTTAGTATTGGTAAAATTAAAAGTATTAGTAATTTTTCCAATTTCAAAGCTTAATTAAGTATTCTTCCTAACATTCAGAGACCTCACTTCGAATGTCTTCTAATTTTATTATAGTGTATTTGGATCTCTTAAAATTTTGTTTTATGTGCTTGATCATTGTGGTTTAATGGCGAACTCAGCATAATTCTTTTGTCTTTCTTCATTGCCAGGAGTCCAGTGTATTCCACAACGAGCAGCACTTCTGAAATCCATGTTGAATTTCCTCAAGAAGGCCATCCAAGACCCTGCTTTCTCAGATGGCATACGACATGGTATTTGATTCCAGATAACTTTTTTTGGAGGATATTTTACTCTCTCAAAGATTGGTTCTTTTCATACTATTCTGGCACCTGTTGTTTTACAAGGCAGTCTTTGGTAAAGGCCATGCCATTTTCAATAGCTTTTAGTTGTTTTGTGTCACTTTTCCTAGATGTAAGTGTTGCTTAGCTATTTTCATAATGATTTACCCTTTTTTTCCCCTTTTCCAGCTTTCGACTCTGTGCTTAATTCCGTCTTATTACCCCTTTCTGACTCTTAAGTGTTTGTGTTCTTTCTTTTTTTAACCCGTGTTAGAAAGCCTATTGCATGGACAAATAATAAAATAGGAGGAGACAACTGGGGGCCATTAGATTAGAATTAACACAGGCTTTGAGGACCACAGTGTGATAATACATAACATATCACTCAATTATCCCCACTCCTCACACCTTTCCAGACTATTCGTATTCTCCATAATGTTCACTTTTCTTTTAGTGATGGATGGTTCTCTGCCTACCTCCCTGAAACACATCATCAGCAATGCAGAATACTATGGCCCATCACTCTTCCTCCTAGGTAAGTGGAGTTGATAGTTGGTTATAACAATTTGGGATAACCTGGCAGAGCTCTCTCTCTCTGTATTTACTTACTTACTTATTTACTTATTTATTTTTGAGACAGAGTCTCACTCTATTGCCCAGGCTGGAGTGTAGTGGCGCAATCTTGGCTCACTACAACCTCTGCCTCCCGGGTTAAAGCGAGTCTCCTGCCTCAGCCTCCCGAGTAGCTGGGATTAGAGGTGCCTGCCACCATGCCTGGCTAATTTTTGTATTTTTAGTAGACAAATATGAATAGTAAAATCCTGCAAGGATATAAAACACAGAGAGGCCGGGCATGGAAGCTCCTGCCTGTAATCCCAGCACTTTGGGAGGCCGAGGCGGGTAGATCACCTGAGGTAATGAGTTTGAGACCAGCCTGGCCAACATGGCAAAACCCCATCTCTACTGTCTACCTGGACAGTAGACAAATGTCAATAGTAAAATCCTGCAAGGATATAAAACAGAGAGGCCGGGTAGATATCTGTCTTATTGGTGATGAAATAAAGGTCAGAATTCAGTTTTAAGTAAATACCTATTTTCTGGGTGCTGAATATACCTTCGATAAGTAGTACATTTGTAGTAAGTAACATTATCATACATTTTGTTTATCTGTGCTAGAATTCTTAAAACGCTAAAGGAATTTAGTAGGAGACGTGGAAATAGGGAAAGTCTCCTTGTAGTAGCAAGCATTGTGTTTTACAGTTTGGGGTGTTGGGGAGACTAGTTTTGGCTACTACAACTTAGATACTTCCTTGCCCCCTTGCTGAAGAAATTTAGGATTTTTGTATATTAACCTTGTATCTTTTAATCTTGCACAGTTCACTTATTAGTACATACTTGTTTTGTTTTCTTAGAATATTCTACATAATCTTGTCATCTGCAAATGCATTTTTACTTTGTTTATGGTCTTTGTGCCTTTTTTTTTGTCTTATGACATTAGCAAAGATTTCTGATACAGTGCTGGATAGAAATAAGAATGGGCCTCTTTGCTTTGTTCCTGAATTTAGAGGGAAAAGCATTTAATATTTCACCATTAAGAATGAAGTTAGCAGAGGTTTTGTGTTGAAGGTTTTGTCAATTTTGTCAGGTTGAGGAAGTCTTCTTGTGGTGTAGCAACTCTACCATGCTATGGAAAAGCTCTCTGCTAAGGTTATGTTCAGATGGCAAAATTCAGACAATAGTTCTTTGGGGTTTTTTTGTTTTTTTTTAAGATTTGTTTTACGGTGGGGACGTCTCAAGGCCAGGGGCAGGGAGAATGCCCGTCTTCTGGGAGAAAGTCCAGAACAGAGAGAAAGAGAAAAGGATACACAGGCATTTTTCTATAAATGGGAAGCTTAGAAGAAGGAGCAATTGCCATTGACAGGGATATTGTTTAAAAGAGGGAGGCAGCAAGAGGATATAGTGCTTAGGTGCTGGGATAGTGGTGAGGAGCAGGTGAGCCCTATGAGGATGATGCCAGAAGTGAGGGACACGGGCAGGAAATGAGACTTAGAGCACTAAATCAAAGGTCAGTGAAGGTCCAACTTCCTTCCCTATGGTTTTCTTAATTCATCCCTCACATTTAAATTAGCATAGCAACCTCCCAGTTTTCCCATAAAATACACTTGTACTTGAGAGAGAACAAATTTGCAAAGCGAAACCTAAATAATTAGACTAGCCATTGTTATTTTAGCTCCCCAAATGATAGTACAGAGCCTTTCACTCCAGGTGGAAGGAGATGGCCCAGGAAAGACATCAGGGAGTTCTGAGAACCTCTTGGAGTATTTTAATAATATAATTGGCAGTTTGGGTTTATTTTTGTTGAACTATTCTGGATACCTTTTCTTTATTAATGATCATGCAACAGGAAGTCCCTTTAAGGCACAAGCACTATCTTGAAATGCCAGTAGGTAGTTTCATGCCAGTCTGTTATCAACTATCATAGTAACTAAACTGCTTTGTCCCTCATTGAGGGCTTCTTAGGCCTGAACTGTTTGGTTAATGTGGTCTGTCAGGAGTTACAACATGTCTCGGTAACCTCTATGAGTTGAGTCTGTGTTACAGAATTGGAAATACCTAAACTTGTGCCCGTTACACCAAAGATTCTGATGAGGCCCAGAATAGGTAAAAAGTGCTCCTTTTTGTGGCAAGACTTGATAAAACAGCTAGACTTTCTAGTTGAATTTGAGGTGCCCTGGGCACTAAATGTCCATAGTACATAGGTCAGCTTGTATGGGTAGAAGGGAACAGGATCGCTGAATAAAATGTATAACCCTGCTGAGCAGGAGTTGTAACACAGAAGAATCAGTAGCCCAAGAGGTTGGAAGTTGGAGTTTCTAGGGGGCAAACTTATATCAGGGTGGACATTCTCAACAGGGGGGCATCATTGTATGTACTATCAGTTGGTGGCAGAGGCTGGGAAAGACATGAAATCCTTAAGGGGGAAGTTTAATATGGAAGCACCCAGTGAGGTCACGATGTCCTGCTTATAATTTCACACTCAAACCCACTAAATATTCTGACTCCTTCTCCCTCACGTGTCCGACCTCTGGCTCTTCTATGCCACTTTTAGCCACCTGTATTTCATTTGTAGTATCCCATTTAACTTCCCCAACTCCCCTCTCTTCTTTCTCACCTCCTGCCTTACCCCTCATGTTATCTGTTCGGGTCTGTTTGTAGCCTATGCTAACGTCATCATGCTTATGATTGACCACTTAACCAGAGAGTGTAGCAAGTTGTCAATATGAGTATTGAAATCCTCCAAGGGAGCAAGATATAGTTGTATGAGTAGTTGCCTGGGCTAGGGTATCTGTTAGTATTGCTGGAGGTTTAGTATGTAGGTGGCATTCTCTGTTACTAATACATAGATACAATCTATCAGGTTGAGTGAGGGGAAGCAGGAAATATAGGTAGTGACTGGAATAGTGAAATTAGAGTGTAAATAGTGAAAGTGGAGTGTGGGCTGTCAAAGAGTTGATGGGGCAGTGGAGTTATGATGAGTTATGTGGGGGCAGTTACAAGGGCAGTTACCATCTTGAGGGTGTTAGCGTCAAGGCTGGGACTGTCAGTTGTACTGAAATCATCATCTAGGATGCTTTGGTATGCTGGATGGATAGAAGCCCTAGGCTCGCACTTGAGAAATTATTATAAAAGTAACTCAGTATCCCTTTGCCTACAAGAGTTTTAGAATAATTTCAGATAGGGAAGCTATGCACTGATTACCCCTAAACAAGTGGGATCACAGCATGGGCAAAAAGGAGCCCAAGAAGTTTGGCATTGAGCTGGGGTAGTAGTATCCCAGACCCAGACCATGAGCCAAATGAGGTATAGACAGGCCAACTAGAGCCAGAATATTCCACAAAGATATTTTCAGGCCTGTGGTGCGTAGACTTTTGGCATGCCGAAGTGCCAGTTTATTATGGGAATCACAGGCATTGCCATCCCATATCCTGCAATAGTCTCCCATTCAATACCTCTGTAATAAGGTGGTTCCAGAACTGGCTTCCTGTCTAAGAATGTTGGTACTAGGAACTAACTTAAGATTTTTCTTTCCTCTTTGGAAGAACCATACAGTTGTGTATGTCAACCCAGGCAGAGAGACTAAGACCTTCATTTCCTATGAAGAGGGATCTCCAGTTAGCAGTCCTTTAAAACCATCATATTAGGAAAGGACTTTGGCAGAGACCTTCTGCATAGTCTTAGAGGGTGAGGGCCCTCAATTTTCTGTGGGTCCCATCCTGTTACCTACTTTCAACCTAGGCTCCTGTCCACCGTGGATCGCACCAATATCAAATGAGGAGGTGTCGTTAAGTGAGGGGGATTCTGTTTGGGTATTATAGACTCATAGATGGAAAGTATCTCATTTTGAGGCTAGAAAGGGGACAAAGGAAGCACTAATTGTGTTTTTTCAGATGTCATACAACTAAGGCAATCGGCAAAAGAGAGATCAATTTAAGAGACCATTGTCCATTTAGTAAGTTTAAGAGAGCATTGAACAAGCCATTATGCCTCTATTAGGCCTGCTTTCTGTGAACAGTACAACAGATGGGCCAGGCACTGGCTCACACCTGTAATCCCAGCATTTTGGGATGCTGAGACAGGCAGATTGCTTGAGCCTTGAGCCCAGGAGTTTGAGACCAGCCTGGGCAACATGGTGAAATCCTGTCTCTACAACAAATAAAAATGTTTGCAGGGCATGCTGGTGCGCTACTCAGGAAGCTGAGGTGGGAGGATCACTTAAGTACTGGAGGTTGAGGCTGTAGTGAGCTATAATTGCACCCCTGCACTCTAGCCTGGGGAACAGAGTGAGACCTTGTCTCAAAAAAAAAAAAAAAAGACAAATGGAAGCTCCAAGGTGATGCCTTGTTTGAAAAGGCCCATGCCCAGACTGAATGAGCGGTAACGTACGTACCCTGGTCAGAGTCGGTGTTACCAGAAGCCCAAAGGGAACTAACTGAGGGCTATAATAGTGGTGGTGTTGGCAGTAGTTGGGCAGGAAGGATAAGCCAAGAATGGGTCTGTATAACAATCAGTTGTGAGGGCATAGCGATTTGTGCCAGCAGATTGGGGCAGTGGCCCAATAAAATTGATTTGCCAGTGAGAAAAGGAGTGTTTACCTCTGGTATGGTGAGCCCCCACTGGTGATGATGCCGATGGCACGACAGGGCACAAAGAACATATTGGGAGGCTAGGGTTTGAGTAGGGCTAGTGGCATGGGGATGCAATGGCATTTGGGCCCAGGGACTGTGATGACCTTCTGCCTTCCTTTACTCTCTTCTCTGTAACCTTGACTTTCCAAACTCTGTTGGATTCATTTTCAGTTCTATTGAAGTACATCTGTGGGTAATTTTTAAGGTGTCAGACTTCTCTTTCAGAAGTTGGTGGCTGTTTTCTTCATTGTATTCTAATGCTACATTATTGTAGATAACCATGGTGTCACACTGGTTCTTGTTCTTATCTGTATATAGTTCCTGCTTCTGCCTTTTTTTTTTTTTTTTTTTTTCTTCTATTTCTCTGATTCCTTTTAACTTTCTCCTGGAAACCCTAATTACCTTTTTTCCATTTCTTAGTTGCTTGGTTCCACACACAGCTGGTTGCTCTGTGCGTGTATATACCCTTTAATTCTAATTCTTGGTTATCAGTGTTTTTGTATAGGGGTCCCAGTGCATAGTGTCGTTGCGACTTCTTGATAAAATAACAGGTTTGATGTCTTAGTAATTGCTTGTAGAACACTAATTTTAGTTTTTAAATACTCAATTTTAGTAACTCTATAGAATTCATACATTTCTACAAATGTAAGTCAATCGAGGGGAGTGTCATACCAATAGGAACCCCAAAAAGGACTTAAATTTTTCAGAAGTTTATAGCCCATGAGGAATCCCAAAGGCCATTGAAAACTGTTGGTCCCCGGTAACTGCTATATATCTGCCATTCCCCTAGCATTTGGGATAAAGGAGAGATGCTGTATTCACCATCTTGAATAGAAAATCCTCTGGTTTCTTTTAGATCTTAGGCATCACCATAAACAAGTTTGTTCTGTATACATGGTTTATGGGTGTTGTATGTATATTCCTCTTCATCAGGTTTTTTAATTAAAGTTATTGTAGTTATTGTAGTCTTATGAGTTGGGAAGCTTTGTCTTAATTATTCCTAGAAGGTTTAATAAAACTATTGGCTTGGTGCCTCTCTATTACCTGGATTTTTTTTTTTTTTCCCCTTTTAAAAATTCTGGAACGGGCACGGTGGCTCACGCCTATAATCCCAGTACTTTGGGAGACTGAGGCGGGCAGATCACCTGAGGTTAGGAGTTCGAGACCAGCCTGGCCAATCTGGTAAAAACCCCATCTCTACTAAAAATGGAAAAATCAGCCAGGCGTGTTGGGTGCCTGTAATCCCAACTACTTGGGAGGCTGAGGCAGAAGAATTGCTTGAACCCAGGAGGTGGAGGCTGCAGTGAGCCGAGATTGCACCACTGTACTCCAGCCTGGGCGACAGAGTGAGACTCCGTCTAAAAAAAAAAAAAAAAAAGAAAATTCTTACTGGTCTAGTCTGCTTTGCTGTCACTTCCTGAGATTTGATTTTTATGACATTTTCTTATTAAACTATACATTTCACTTGTTGGCATATAGTTTGTAGAATATATTTTTCTGTATCTAGTTAAATCTCCTTTCTCATTCATAACGTATATTACTGCTCTTTTTTCTAATTTATATTATTTCACTTGTTGGCATACACTTTGTAGAATAAATTTTTTTTTTCTGTATCTAGTTAAATCTCCTTTCTCATTCCTAATGTATATTACTGCTCTTGTTTCTAATTTATATTATTGCTCTATTTTCTATAGGTTTATAAGCTTTTCCAGTGTCTTCACAAAGCTAGATATTGGCTTCGTTTATCCTTTTTGCTTTCGTTTTCACTGAATTCTTTTTTCTGTTAATTCTTCATAGCTTGTTTGGTTACTTTTTAATAAATACTTTAATGCTGTACTATTTCCTCTTGAGTAGAGTTTTTCCCATGTTCCAGAAGCTTTGGTAGTTATTACTGCACATTTTAAAATATTATAATGTCAAAAACTGATCAGATTAATATTCAAGGACTCTTGCATTGCTGGTGATAGTTTAAAATTGTTGAATAACCTTTGTATGAGGCAGTTTATCTATTTTCATCAGTAAAGCTTGCATTTGCTTTAACCCAGCAAGCCCACATCATAGATTTTTTTTCCTGTTAAAAGCAGACAAAAACGGATATATGTTTAGGTTTATCATTTTCACAATTGAGGACTGGTTTTTATACATGTGGTACATGCATTTAGTGGAATAGTAGGCAGCCATTCAAAATGAATGGGTCGTTGTGTCGGGAGAGGACATTATACGGTATGACAGTTGTGGGGGAAAAGCAAAATATATAAAACAGTGTAACCTCATTTATGTAAAAATATGCCCATAAAAATCCTGTAAGTGTAGTCACTAGATTCTTTATAGTATTGAATCTCTGATGGAGCAGTATTAGGATCTTTAATTTCATAGTAAGCACAAGGGTTTAAATTGCTAGACATTGAGTATGTATTTTTTTTTAAGCTTTTGGTGTTTTGTTTTCAGTTTCTGTGAGGAATCTCTCAGTTTTCCATATTTTCTCATCTTTTTTTAGCTACTGAAGTGGTGACTGTGTTTGTATTTCAAGAACCATCACTGCTCTCCTCACTCCAGGACAATGGATTGACAGATGTCATGCTGCATGCACTGCTTATCAAAGATGTAAGTCTTTTCTGCTACTCTGTAAAGAATGTCTTAGGGCGTGAAAATCCTATCTCTTCTGTGTGTAGTGTTGAATCTAATTGGGACCTGGTTGTCAAAATTCCTTCTATCTCAGCTTGATACCCATGGCCGGATTTTCCTAGCATCTACACTCTTTTAGATGCATTCAAGCTCACTTTGTTTTCTCTTTAGGTTCCTGCTACCCGTGAAGTCCTTGGCTCCCTCCCAAATGTATTCAGTGCACTCTGTTTGAATGCCCGAGGTCTTCAGTCTTTTGTTCAGTGTCAGCCTTTTGAACGCCTCTTCAAAGTTCTTCTGTCTCCAGATTACCTCCCAGCCATGCGGAGGAGGAGAAGTTCTGATCCCCTTGGTAAGTTGTTAAGATTTATTTTATAGTAGAAAATTGATTTAGTTTGCAAGGAAACTCTTCCTTGATCATCTCTCTCATCGTTTTACTGGTTAGGTGTGCTAAGTTTAATGGGAATTATCATCATACATTCTATTATACTTCAGAAGGAATACTTCAGCTTCTCTGCTCATAATATTTCCATGCTTCTCAACAGTTCACCATTGTACTTTCATGGTACTGGTAGAAAATAGGTATTAAGAAGCAGTGGTAGATTTCCAGGTTCACCATCTGGTCTGCAGCAATGAGAAATATGGAGTCCTGAGGTGTTCATCTGGTAATCTAGTGTTCTGATGTCCAACTCTCTAAGATAACGACACATGGATATTTTTTTTTTACTCAGTATACTTGAGACCAGATAATTGAGAGATTATTAGCAAAAAGGTAGGGCTCCAGAAAGATTACAGTTTTCAAAAATGTGCTTTGTACTTTTCAACCACCACTGTAGCATTTAGACACTATCATTCTTAACTGGAGCAGCCAGAGGGTTAATGGTTTGTACATCTTTCTTCTCTCTCACTCTGTAATACTAGTTTAGATCTTGACAGCAAAGATTGCCAGAGTAGAGTGCAGCACACATAGTTACTTTAAAATAGTTTACTAAACTGATTCCTTCCTTTTCCCTAGTGATTTGGGGGGATAGGGGCTGGGTGTAAATTCATTAAAGAAGTTGTGGCATTAGAAAATCACAACCAAAAAAAAAAAATAGGAAAAAAATATCACAACAGCCTGGCCTGGCACAGTGGCACACACCTACCATTTTGGGAGGCCAAGGTGGGCAGATCACTTGAGCTCAGGAGTTTGAGACCAGCCTGGGCAACATGGCCAAACCCCATCTCTACCAAAAAAAAAATTTCTCCAGTCACGGAGGCGCACACCTGTAGTCCCAGCTACTTGGAGGGCTGAGGTGGGAGGATCGCTTGAGTCCAGGAGATCGTGACACTGCACTCCAGTCTGGGTGACATAAAGTCTTTAAAGGAAAGAAAATCATAACCAGGCTCAGTTTCTTCTTTCCACTTTATATGTTGGTACAGAAAAGAGCCCAAGCTCTATTTTCTTCAGTCTTTCTAATTCTAACAGTTCATTTTTTGCCTTAAGGGGATACTGCATCCAACCTGGGGAGTGCTGTCGATGAGCTCATGAGACATCAGCCCACCCTTAAAACAGATGCAACGACTGCCATCATCAAGGTAGAAAGTGATAAGGATGTGACCATGAGCATGAGAGAGCAGAGAAGGGGAAGGTTTTAGAAGATTGGCCTACTAGAGGTCATTAGGATTCTTGGGCTATAGCTGTAAGAGCATTATGTCTGCCTCATTGTTTCCATGTCCTTAGGTTGGTCCTTTATAAAAAGATGTTGTCATTTTAGTTCATCTTAGAAAGAAGTCTCTGTTAAAATTTTTTTAGCCTGGGTGCAGTGGCTCACGCCTGTAATCCTGGCACTTTGGGAGGCTGAGGCTGGTGGATCGCTTGAGGCCAGGAGTTTGAGACCAGCCTGGACAACATGGTGAAGCCCCGTTTCTATGAAAAATACAAAAGTTAGCCGGGTTTGGTGGCGTGTGCCTGTAGTCCCAGCTACTCTGGAGGCTGAGGCAGGAGAATCACTTGAACTCGGGAGGCGGAGGTTGTAGTGAGCCAAGATCATGCCACTGCAAGACTCTGTCTCCAAAAAAAAAAAAAGTATTTTAGATTGAGAATTGTTTTCCTTAAAAATTTTTTTCCATTTAATGTAACCTGTATATAATGATTTCTTTTATATATTATATGGACAAGCAGACATGGCTTAGATTAAGTTTGTAAAGCATATTACCCTTTCTAGTCTCCGTTTGTTGATCCCTGTGGCTGCCCCCCACCCCCGCCTTATTAGCTCTGCCAGTTTCCTTTTAGAATTGTTGTTGAAATTGGTATATAAGTTCCTGGTGCTTGGTGAATTGGGACAGGGAGTCAGGTTCGTCAGTCACTTATACAGCCGTGTGACGCTCAACAAATTATTTAAGTTTGCAGCACTTCTATTCCCTTGTTTATAAAATGTAATTAATGACCATATTCTGGGAATTATGTATATAACATGTATACAAAGTGTTTGGGCAAATACACAACACATAGAAAACGCTCTAAATATGTTAGCTGTCTCCTCCTCCCCATTCCATGATTACTAATAAGTAATCTTATTTCCTGTGCCTTTCAGTTACTTGAAGAAATCTGTAATCTTGGAAGGGACCCCAAATACATCTGTCAGAAGCCATCAATCCAGAAGGCAGATGGCACTGCCACTGCTCCTCCCCCAAGGTCTAATCATGCCGCAGAAGAAGCCTCTAGTGAGGATGAGGAGGAAGAGGAAGTACAGGCCATGCAGAGCTTTAATTCTACCCAGCAAAATGAAACTGAGCCTAATCAGCAGTAAGTGTTTACAGAACAGATCATCTAGCCATATAATCGTGGGCATGTTATCACCTCTCTAAGTCTTAATGAACACTTTCATCTATAAAAAGCAAGAGAGTTGTATTAGATCATTTTAAAGTTCTAACCGGTTCTAAGAATGTATTAGTTTTTCCTTTTTTGACCCTTGTGTGTCATTTGTGCTTTGGTATTTAATTGTATTGGTTGCCTTAGGAAGTGATCTTTTTTTAAAAAAATTAATTAATTTTTAATTTTTATTGATTTTTTTGAGAGAGAGTTTTGCTCTCGTTGCCCATGCTGGAGTGCAATGATGTGGTCTCGGCTCATTGCAACCTCCACCTCCTGGGCTCAAGCAGTTCTCCTGCCTCAGCCTCCCAAGTAGCTGGGATTACAGACACCTACCACCACACTTGGCTAATTTTTGTATTTTTAGTAGAGATGGGGTTTCACCATGTTGACCAGGCTAATCTCAAACTCCCGACGTCAGGTGATCTACCCACCTCGGCTTCCCAAAGTGTTAGGATTACAGGCGTGAGCTACCGCATCCGGCCAGGAAGTGCTCATTCTTAAAAGCTGTTGATGAAATTGAATCAGAATTTGGTCCATCAAGTTAATGGACTTTGCACAGAGACCTTATTTTCCCTTTGTTGATTTGATATTCCACATCGACTGCTTGATTTTTTTCAGGCACGTGTGAAAAACAATGTACTTTTGAAGCCTGTCTCCTAAGAAGTCCTTAAGGGGTGTGTGAAGATTTGTTGTTGCTTGTTGTTTTTTTATTTTTGTTCATTTTGTTACTATCTGTTCGTTCCAGATTAATTAGTAGAAGGCTTTGGAATTTACTATATGACTGTAAATAGTCAAGAATTGACTGCTTAGATGGAAGCAGGGAGTTTGCTTAAAGGCTTAGTGATTGGTAGGGGGTAGTCCACCAGGCTCTTTGAGCAGTATTCACATACCAGGGATGAACTGTAACTGTATACCTGTAACTTTTAGTCACCTGCATGCTGAAAATGGGATTGATCTTTCTGGACAGTCCTGCACTCCCTCATATAATAAGTGGTCTTTTAGTGTGTAGGTAAGTCATTCTGAGAAAAGCTTGAGCATTTTAGGCACAGCTATGAATGCATTTGAGCTGGTCCTGAATGGCACCTTGGGACTTAAAATTTAAGGTGGAGTTGACAACAGGAGCAAAGGCCTAGAATCCGAAACTGGTATGTCCTCTTGGAACTCTAAATAGTGATGAGCCTGTGGGTGTCAAGTGTTTTAAGGAGAGGCATTAACTACTAAGTATATTGCTTTGTTGAACAGATACCTTACCCTGTCTGAGAAGGCAAACCTATCTTCATTCTAGCAGTATCTTTTGTTCTCTTTTAAATGTTCTTTTTCTAGAAGAGGAGGACACCCTGGAAAAAAGCACGACTTTTTTTTGTAGACGAGTCTTAGTGCTTCCTTTGTCACACCCTTGAATGTCAGTGACCCTACTGGAGTGTGGGGTTCCTTTTCCTGGCTACAAATAAGGAAAAATTTTAAGGTGTAGGTGGTGGTGGTTTTAATTCAAGCTCATATATATTCATCTGCATGTGACGTCCCTACCTGGATATTTTCCAGATGCCTTACATCTGATGTGCCCAGATTTCAAGCTGACACAGTTAATCAGCACACTACCCTCATTTGCTTACCCTCCTTTCCTTTCTTGGGCTATCATGTATCACTGTGTTCTATCCACAGCCATCCCCATTCCCACATCACCTCCTTTTACATCCACCAGATTTCTGTAAGGCTAGTTCAAATGTCTTATTCTTGAAGGAGGTAGGTTGGTTGGTTGGTTGGTTGGTTTTTTACCTCCAAATGAGAACTCAATCTTGTGTTCTCCCAACAGTTTTGTTAAAATTATTCATACATGTTAATGGTTTTCCTCACTCACCTATAAGCTCCTCAAGAGCAAGACATTGCCTCATTCACCAGTGTATCCCTATCACTTTGTATATAGTAGGTAGTCAGTAGGTTTGTTTATTGAAATGAATAAAGAGCCTTAAATGAAGGATTCCTGAAGTCTTAAATGCTTAGAGAGCTAGGCCTAATGAGACATGAATGAAAATGAAGAGAAATTAGAAATATAAACCCAGTAGCATTAATATTCTACCACAGTGATAGTTATATGTAACTTCTAAGATGCAGAGGACTCTAGTAGTTACTGTACCCCAGTATCAGTAGTTTTCTACATTCTGGATGCTCATCACTGCCTCATTTGGATAATCCAGGAGTCTCACAGATGTTGACACATACATTTTTTCACTTTTGCCATCTTCAGAGGCCTAGATTGGGTCACTAAGTAAATTATTAGGGAAGGAAGAAAAAGCAAGAGACTGTCTAAACTTAGCTTCATTTTGAAAACCACAATATATTAACAGCAAAAGTTCTTTTTATCTTCTATCCCAGGCAATTGTTATAGGGGAATTGTGTACTTTCTCACAATATGGTGAAAGGGCTTAGAAAGATTTGGAATATGTGTCACCCTTCTCCCCAGAAGTCTTGCCCATCCCTTCCTCCATATCCATAGTTCTTCCGAATTTCTGTTTCCCATGCTCTCATTTGTTTTCCAATGCCTTATACACACATAAAATGATTAACTTTTATCTTTATTTTATTTTATTTATTTATTTTTTTTTTTTTGAGACAGAGTCTCACTACATCACCCAGGCTGGAGTGCAGAGGCACGAGCTCAGCTCACTGCAACCTCCGCCTCCCGAGTTCAAGCAGTTCTCGGTCCTTAGCCTCCTGAGTAGCTGGGATTACAGACACGTGCCACCATGCCTTGCTAATTTTTGTATTTTTAGTAGAGATGGGGTTTTGCCATGTTGGCCTCAAACTCCTGGCCTCATGTGATCCACCCACTTCGGCCTCCCAAAGTGTTGGGATTACAGGTGTGCACCGCCGCACCTGGCCAATTTATCAGCAGTTTAAATTCAGGTATGATTTCCATACAGATTTTACATTTCCAGTTTCCCTGCCCAAAATTGAGACTGTTACTCATCTTACTTCTGTCATCATATTATTATGTCTATTCCAGAATATGTTTAAATAAAATGACCATATAAAGTCTTATGTGTATATTATATCTGACGTATATACCTTCTTGTATCTAGCTTCTTTGTTTGATGTGTTTTGGAGGTTCATCCATGTTATTGCATCTGTCAGCAACTTGTTACTTTTCATTGCTGAGTAGTATTCTGTTATGTGATAATTGTATAGTGATTATCCATTTTCCTGTTGATGGACTTGGGTTTCTGAGTTTTTTCCAGGCTTAGACACTACCCTTTCTTTTTTTTTTTTTTTTTTTTTACAAAATCAGCAGCTAGTATTTGCAAATGGTGTTTGTATTTACTCTTGAAATACATGGTTTTGTGCTGGAGATTTGGAGTAAGGAAACTTAGGCACTATAGTCTACGCCAGGTACGTGGGGTGCCTTTCTACACTCAGACTCACTCACCACAAGTAGTTCTAAATACCTGTCTTTTGCCCCCTTTCTTCTGCCTTCTGAATTGTTTGATCTCAGAAAATCTGATATTGCTGGGGATGAATATACTTAGCAGTTAAGTAACCAGGGTTTGTAGTTGGTGCATCACGGTTCACTTTGTGGTTGATTGCATTAGTGTGCCTAGCTTACCACCCACCACTCATGAGCAGCTTGAAAGAAATGGACTATATAAAGTCTTTGTCATCTTTAGAACTTGAATAGCAATTGTCTGGAATTTAAAGGCAATGAGTGCAGAGACGCAGTTGTTCCCTGAAATGTGGCCCACTGGGAGGGCTCCTTTGTCAGAGTCAGCTGTCTCCTCAAAAGCTGGAGGAAGCACCTGACCATCCCCCCATCCCAAAAAACCCCATATACATCATACTATGACACTAAATTGATATCCTCCTTTACTTTTGATGGGGGCATGAGCTGGGGCTCCACCACCATAAATACTGAAAATTGACCAGAGTTTGGGAATGTGTGTATGTTTGGGGAAAGGGAGAGAGACAGGAAGTTTAGAAGGACTTTTCTTGAAATCAGTTGGTAAGTTGAGTCCTGTTGGAAAGAGTTGATCATTTTGATTATTCCTGTATGGCTTCTTGGGCCTGAGAGCCAAAAGATGAGGGGAAGGAGAAAAGTGGTTACTGAACAAATTTATTCCTGAAATTATATTAAGAACCACTATTGGTTTGCTTTCTCTCTGTTCTTCTCCCCAGTTTCCATGTAGCAAATGAAGGGGGCATATAGGTCTCATTTGATTTTACTACTTAGGCTCTTTGCCATTATATCTGGCTTCTTCAAAGGGTTGGGTGTCTCTGGGCGGGATCCACACCTGCACTCCTTATCGATAGAGGTGGATCTATATAGGTAATTGATATAAGTAACATGGAATGCTGCAGTGGTTCTGAGGAGGAACTTAAAGAAAGGTTTGTGGTCTTCTCATGGAATCATTTCAGTCTTGCCTTATAGGTATACTCCCTTTCTACAAAGTTCTTCCCCACATTTTTCATTGAGGAGGTTCACAACATCCTACCCAAACCTGGTTCTGGGTATTTTTGTCACTGAAGTCATTCATAATGCCTCTCCACTCTCTTTTCCTGTTCTATATTCTGCTGCCAAATGTTCTTGTGCCTGGCAAATCTTTGTTTACATTTTGTCTTGCTCAAAGATGAGAACTACTAGCTTCTTGCCAACTTTCTTGTCTTCTTCCTCTACCTCTCCCTCTGTCTCTGCCCCATCCCGCTCTCCTGCACCCTGTGCCCAAATCTGTTTCAAGGGCCTGTGTCCAAAATACTCCATTTTCTAAAGTATTTGTTCCTTCCTGGGGTTTATCTTAGAGGTATATTTTGATTCATCACAATATACTATATGTGTAGTTTTTTGCATTGAGCTGCATTTTCTGCAGCTGTGGCATGTTGTAGCCTTCTCATCTGCTGTGCAATATTGAAGCAACTGAAAAGACAAAAGACCTGATCAGTTTTTTGATAGTTCAGGAACTGTCATGCTGCAAATACCAATTGTTAGGGAAGGGAGACCTCAGGTGTATGAATCTTTGAACTAAATTAAATTGTATTTCCTACTCTCCATAACTTTAAACGTGATGCAAAAACATCGTATGATGTTTAAGTGTTTCTTTGTCTAGCCTCTTTCTTCAAGCAAATGTTGAGTCTTTTAATTGAACTTATTTTTAGTGTTCTCATGTGGATAAATTTCCCTAACAGTAGTTTGCCAAAGATAGGATAGCTTCTCTTGTGATGTATACTAATGTTGAGTTTTTAAAGGCTTGGTTGTCCCCTTTATGCTTTCAACCTTGGTCAGGCTTGGAAAGGTAGATTCAGGATTGATTTCAGCTGTTTTTTTCCTGCGGTATATGAGTCTAAAGGCTCATCTCTACCCCATAAGCCTGGGAAGCAAAGGCTGCAGTGAGCCATGATTGTGCCACTGCACTCCAGCCTGGGTGACAGCAAGACCCTGTCTCAAAAAAATAAGCAAATAAATAAATAAATAGAAAAAGGCCTAGAATTTTATACAGTGCCTCCTCCTCTGTTCTCTTAATATTGGTATTGTGAATTTCTGTGTAACTCACTCTTTTCTCCCCTAACAGGGTTGTTGGTACAGAGGAACGTATTCCTATTCCCCTCATGGATTACATCCTTAATGTGGTAAGATTCAACACAGGGCAAACTGAGTAAAGATGTATATGTGCTTTTCTGGAAAATGTGTTTCGTTATCAGAGTCCAGTAATTACCGTATTCATTTTAATTGGAATCCAATTAAGAGGGGAAAGATGTGCCACCCTTTTGTTTTTGTTCTAGACTGGTTTGCCAGAAATTAGCCAACACAAGCCCCATTATTTTGTATTCCAGATTTTTTTGTTCACTGTTACCATTCTCCATTAGAATCCAGACAGGAATCTGTAACAGGTTTTGTTTTGCCAGTCTAGTACAGGCTGATCATCCCAAATCCAAAATGCTCCAAAATTTGAACCTTTTTGAGTACCAACATAACACTGAAGGGAAATGCTCACTGGAGCATTTTCAGCCTGTACTGTATAATGCAAATATTCAAAAATAAAAATCTGAAACACTCATGGTGCCCAAGCATTTCGAATATGAAATATACAACCTGTAATATGTTTTCCAAATGTGTCCAACATATATTTTCCCCCTTTTTTCCCATTACTTCCTGGGTATCTCACCAAAAAAGTGAAGAGTTTGAATTTTCCCAGAATTGTTTACCAATAAGGGAGAGACCTCTTAGCATTTGTTTCAGCCTACTAATCACTTCCAAGACTTCCAGAGATAGTTTGTCTTGTGCCTGTGTGTTTATTGCCCACATTTTACTTTTTTACTCTTAAAAAAATTCTTTGTTTGAAACAAACTCTTCCAGAGTTCAGTGTTTCATTTGCATTATGCGTTTCATTTGCATTATAAGCACATTTGGGGGAAATTTTCCATGATGTTTGCCTGCAGGAGAGAGGTAGGCAAGGAGCACTAAATAGCAAATTAAGAGATTAAACATGATTGTACCACTAATTCATAATGTGGCCCTGAGCAAGTCACTTAACTTCTCTGTTATCTCGAAATATCTGATTCTTGGTGTGCTTGAAAATGGAGATTGGGCAGAAATTGTAGATATTCTTTACTTCCTGGATGTTTTAGAATCCGTATCATACATCTGGTTTATCTGAGGTTTTGATACTCTATAGAAAACACTAATATCATGACTAGAAGGCTACCCCATCCTTATTCCAGGCTGGCCATTTAGTTCCACCTGTCAGGCTCTAACTTCTTTAAAAAATTTTTATTACCTAGATGAAATTTGTGGAATCTATTCTGAGCAACAATACAACAGATGACCACTGCCAGGAATTTGTGAATCAGAAAGGACTGTTGCCTTTGGTTACCATTTTGGGTCTTCCCAATCTGCCCATTGACTTTCCCACATCTGCTGCCTGTCAGGCTGTTGCAGGTGTCTGCAAATCCATATTGGTAAGAAGCATCTGGCCAAATGTTTTCATTTCTTTCTGGAAATCAATTTTGCGATACTTCTGTATATATGTTTTTACTATGGTCTCCCTTCAACTAAAAAATAATGAATAAATTTGTGTTATGTTGTATAAGTGAATTTTGTGACTAATATATAGTGTGCCATGTTATTTCTCATTGAAAAGTCAAAGTATTTTTTCTTTGTTCATCGGTTGGGTATGTAGTTCTACATCATTAGAGTTTATTGGAGGGAAAAGTGTATCTCCAAGAAAGCTTTTCTAGTTGGGTTTTATTAGTACCTCTCCCTTCTTTGTTATAGGTGCATTTTAAACACATTTTATGTTTATGGTTATGTTTAACCATGTATTTTCCTCCCCTTTCAAGCTTGGTAGTCATGTATTTTAAGCATAATTGACATGTAGTTCATTGCCGATACTTAATTCCCCCCTTTTCAAGCCCGATAGTCATGTATTTTAAGCATAATTGACATGGTAGTTCATTGCTCATATTTTGCCAAAAATGAAGCTTCTTTATTTTTTCATAGTGGTAAACTACACATAACATGAAATGTATCATCTTAACCATTTTGAAGTGTAGAGTTCAGTAGTGTTATGTGTATTCATATTGATGTGCAGCCAATCTCCAGAACTCTTTTCATCTTGCAAAAATGAAATTCTGCCATTGAACTTCTCATCCTCCCCTCTCCCCAGACCTTGGCAACTACCATTCTATTTTTTGTCTCTAAATTTGACTACTCTAGGTACCTTATATAAGTGGGATCATAAAATATTTTGTATGTGCGACCGGCTTTTTTCACTTAGCATAATGCCCTCAAGGTTCAACCATTATGTAGCATGTGTCATAATTTCCTTCCCTTGTAAGGCCTAATAATATTCCATTGTGTGTATATACCACATTTTGTTTATCCATTCATCTGTTGATTGACACTTGGGTTGCTTTCTCCTTTTGGCTGTTGTGAATAATAATGATGCTGTGAACATGGATGTACATGTAACTCTTTGAGACTCTACTTTTAATTCTAATTTTCCCACATCCTAGCCAATACTTATTTTCTGTTTTTTGATAATAGCCATTCTGGTGGGTAGGAAGTGTATCTCATTTTGTTTTTCACTGGCATTTCCCTAATGCATAGTGATAATGAACATCTTTTCATGTGCTTGTTATCCATGTATATATCTTCTTTGTAGAAATGTCTATTCAAATTCATTGTTCTTTTTTAATCGTGTTATTTGTTTTGTTGAGTTGTAAGAGTTGTGTATTCTTGTACACGTATTAATACCTGATACTAATTTCTTCTCAGGTATATGATTTGCATATATTTTTCCTGTTCTGTGAGTTGCCTTTTCTTGGTTGTCTTTGGATTCACAAACATTTTTAATCTTGATAAAGTTCAGCTTCTCTTTTTTTGTTTTTGTTGCCTGTGTAAACACCTGTGTTTTTGGTGTCGTGTCCACAAAACCATTGCCAAATCCGATGTTTTGCAGCTTTCCCACTGTGGCTTCTTCTAGGAGTTTTATAACTTAGCTCTTATATTCAGGTCTTTAATCCATTTTGATTAGATTTTTTATATGGTAAAAGTCTGTCCTTTCCTATTGCATGGTCTTGGTACCTTTGTCAAAAATCATTTGACCATATATATGTGAAGATTTAATTCTGGGCTCTCTATTCTATTCCATTGGTCTTTACGTCTGTCTTTATGCCAGTATCACAGTTTTGATCACTGTAACTTTGTAATAGAAATCAAAAAGAGTGAGACCTCCAAAAATTTTTCCCCAACTTGTTTTGGCTATTTGGGGTCCCTTAAGATTTCATATAAATTTTAGAAGGGATTTTTCTATTTCTGCAAAACCAAAACAAAAAACAGCATTGGAATTTTGATAGTGATTGCATTAAATCTGTGAAACTCCTTTGTTAGCTGGGCTGCAGAGTGATAAGTAATTCCTGCTGAATGAGAAATCCATTTGCTTACAGACTTGGAAAGATCCATAATTGTGACGTGACTTCATTTAGTTTATTTTGTTTTACTCTTTGAAATATTGAATTAAATGCTCTTCATCACAGAGAGGGGAAAATATCCTATAAGATGCTGTGGAAGGATAGATAGATTTATTTAAAGCCATAGGAAGGCACATGATTTCTCCTATCTTTGCATGGCAAGTGATGGTGTTTTATTGTCAGATTTTTCTCCAGACTTGAGAGGAAATCACAAGGGTCGTATAATCCTTGGGTTGTCTGATAAAAACAAATTGCCTACCTGATTCCTATCTCAGAATAATCGCTTTTGTTTTAAGAAGAAAAGAACAGTGTAATAGTGACTCACTTCCATGCTTTGGAACTTTGCCTAACATTGTTTCCTATCGAGCAAAATTTGGAATTAATCCTATAGTGTAGAATCCTTGCCGTAACAGTATTCAGTTTGACCATCATAAGCTTTTAAGTGTTATTGGCTCACCAAGTTTGAAAGTAGTGTGTTGCTCTAGAAAGAGATGTTAAGGTATGTTGTACCTGACTTCATATTTGGGTTCCACCATTTACCAGGTGAGAGACCATGGCCATATCCAAAATCTGAGAGGCTTCCATTTAATTGTCACTTCCATTGTGACTATTAAAAGACATGATGAATTTGAAGTTCATTGTATATTAACACTTTAATTATTCTTCCTGTTTCAGACACTGTCACATGAACCCAAAGTCCTTCAAGAGGGTCTCCTTCAGTTGGACTCCATCCTCTCCTCCCTGGAGCCCTTACACCGCCCCATTGAATCCCCTGGGGGCTCAGTGTTGTTGCGAGAACTGGCTTGCGCAGGCAATGTTGCTGATGCTACCCTCTCAGCCCAGGCCACACCTCTGCTGCATGCACTCACTGCTGCCCATGCCTACATCATGATGTTTGTTCATACTTGCAGAGTTGGACAGGTAAAAATAACCTTAGGGGTGAACATATTAATTTAAAGGCAGTGAAATATCTAGGGCATACACCTAGCAGGGTTACTATGCTTGAAAGGAGGTCTGCCTGAGGTAGCAGCTAAAAGAACAGTCCAATTTAGGATGAGATTTTTTTGACTGTCAAAAAGTTGAGTGACTATATAACTTATTATGTGATGAAGTGGACTTTCTTGAGAGCGAAACATGTTATTACAGACAAACATCAATTGGGTATTCATCTGGCCTTAGTACTTTCTAATCTTTCCACCAGTCCTTATAGGTCTGATAATGGGATGGCATAGGTAGGACATTTTACCAAAGAACATTTAAATCAATAGTAATTAACAAATTACTAAAAATTTTCTACATATCAAACGTTTGACCTGTAATCCATAATCCATAGTTCCAGAAAGAAGGCATTTTGTGTATGTCCTCACAGTTTTACTACATTTATTCCTCAGATAATTGATTCTAAAGATTTATGGTATCAACATTAAACAAAACAGGGTTCAACAGCCCTGTTTTATGCTATTGAGCAGGAGTGTGTTCTCTGTTAATTGTGAATCAATCAAATCTGAAGTTTAAAAAAGCACAAGTATAAAGGATTTAGAAAATTAAATTACTTAACAAAGCTTAGGGATTGATTTTTATGACTTCTTTATTAAATGAAATAAAATGAAAATGAAACATTCAAGGAATTAAATAAATCTAGGTACTTACTGAAGTAAAGAAATTGAATGGAAATAATAATACCCCTACCAAATAATTTAGAAAGTAGTTAATGAACCTGTAAAACCATTTCTTTGATTCAGAAAAAAAGAGTAGCCTCTGATGCCTTTCTTTCACTTTATAAAAAACAATGAGAACGGATGTTGTGGAAATAGTTTGTAAATATTGTAAGAGGATACCTTGTGGAACTGTCGTCTTGAGTGTGGACATTTTGATGAGGTGGATAACTCTGAGAATAGCAATGAAGAAAAATCCCTTACCCTTATAAAACTGTTGAAGGTCAATTTTTTTTTTTAAGTATAATTGTTCAGAGAACATCCCAAAGGTGAAATTCTTGTTATGATTGCAGAGTGAAATTCGTTCCATCTCCGTAAACCAGTGGGGCTCTCAATTGGGTCTGAGTGTTTTGAGCAAGCTGAGCCAGTTATACTGTTCCCTGGTGTGGGAAAGCACTGTCCTCCTCTCTCTGTGTACCCCAAACAGGTAAGAGAATGGCTCTCTCTCTTATTACTTTGTTATCTAAGTTCGGTGAGCCTGGAGGATTGCTTTGGTTGGGGATAGGAGGGTATGGAAGAGAGTTCAGAGGCCTCCTTGTCCTTCCCTCTTCCCAGCCTAGGAACTTGATGACAAATGCTTTGTCGTCATGGTAGATGTTTAAAATGTGTTCCTGTTATTAGCCAGATACAAAAAATTGAGTTGTGGCTGGACACGGTGGCTCACGCCTGTAATCTCAGCACTTTGGGAGGCCAAGGTAGGCAAATCAAGAGGTCAGGTGTTCGAGACCAGCCTGGCCAACATGGTGAAACCCCATCTCTACTAAAAATACAAAAAATTAGCTGGGCGTAATGGCGGGCGCCTGTAATCCCAGCTATTTGGGAGGCTGAGGCAGGAGAATTGCTTGAACCCCGGAGGTGGAGGTTGCAGTGAGCCCAAGATCATGCCACTGCACTCCAGCCCAGGCGAAAGAGTGAGACTGGGTCTCCAAAAAAAAAAAAAGAAAAAAAAAAGAATTGGAAAGCTTGTGGGGTGCTACCTCAGGAATTATAGATGCTTTATTACATTCAGTTTAACCTGCCTGCTATAGGAGGGATAGTGTCAGCCAAGCAAATTAGAGACCATTTACAATATAAGAGGTGAATTATCAGTATATATATATATATATTTCTTTTGCTCAGCATTTCTCTTTTTGCAGCCTACCATCTGGGTGTGAATTTGGCCAGGCAGATATGCAGAAACTGGTTCCAAAGGATGAGAAGGCAGGTACGACCCAGGGCGGAAAAAGATCAGGTAACTCTAAGAAACTAAAATGTTAGTCATTACTTCTAAGTTTTGTTCCTACGTCTTTATAGGTTTATTATGAAAATTTTTAGTTAGTTCTATCATCCATAGTCTAGTTTTCATCCTCTCACTAATTTTTAGTCATTTCTTCCATAAAAACATATATACATAATGGTAAAATTTAGAAAATGTAGTTGAAAGAATTACCCGTATTTCTGCCACCAAAAAAAAAAAAAAACATTTTGGAAGTGTCTGCCCGTCTTTTTTCTCTGAATACATTTGCCAGTGTCTTAGATAAAAACATTTCGTAGATCTCTTTCTTCACTTAATGTTAGGTACCATATAAAGGTACACGAATTAACTATTCCCTGTTAAGTTTCTAATATGCTATTTTTAAAAAATGAACATTTTTGTATCTACTTTTCTACAAATGTAAAATTGATTCCTAGAAATTACTGTATCAGAGGGTATTAACAAATACTTTTTAATGTGGCTACTAGAAAATTTAAATTATATATGTGTTTCATGTTATATTTCTATCGACAGTGCTGTTTTATAAAGAAGATTGCTTTTATATTATCTCATGATAAAAATTCCAAATTTTGGCCGGGCTCGGTGGCTCACGCCTGTAATCCTAGCACTTTGGGAGGCTGAGGCGGGTGGATCACCTGAGGTCAGGAGTTCAGACCAGCCTGACGAACATGGAGAAACCCTGTCTCTACTGAAAACACAAAAAATTAGCCGGGCGTGGTGGCACATACCTATAATCCCAGCTACTCGGGAGGCTGAGGCAGGAGAATCGCTTGAACCTGGGAGGTGGAGGTTGCAGTGAGCCGAAATCGCGCCATTGCACTCCAGCCTGGGCAACAAGAGCGAAACACCGCCTCAGGAAAAAAAAAAAAAAAAATTCCAAATTTCAGTAAGTAGAAATCATACACAATTTTCTGACTCTAATGCTACAAACCTAAAATGAATACAAGCAACTTTTCCAGAATGTTTTTTCTCTGGTGTTCAGTATCAATGAGGAAATAAAAAAGGATAAACTATTAAGAAAGCAATGAAGATAATTCTGTGTATAAAAATGCATCAGGCCAGGCACAGTGGCTCACGTCTCTAATCCCAACACTTTGGGAGGCTGAGGCAGGTGAATCGTTTGAGCCCAGGAGTTCGAGACCCGCTTGGGCAACATGACGAAACTCTATCTCTACAAAAAAAATACAAAAATTAGCCGGCCATGGTGGTACATGCCTGTAGTCCCAGCTACTAGGGAGGCTGAGGTGGGAGGATCGCTTGAGCCCAGGAAGTTGAGGCTATGGTGAGCCATGAGTATACCCCTGCACTCAAGCCTAGATGACAGAGCGAGACCCTGTCTCCAAAAAAAAAAAAAGGTATCAGGCTTAAAACTTGTACAGAAATTACTAGAAAGGGAAATTTCTAAGGAACTAATAAAGCTGACATAGGCTTAGAACCAACAAACAAGGACTTACATATGACAGCTGGTTATTGTGAGGGATGGGATAACATTAATAAACTATAAAGAAACCTGACAAAATGAGAATTTCAAATTTAGTCAAAACATACTAAATTTAACTCAGGGAAAGAATAAATTGACTAAGAACTGAGAATGAAATTAGATTCACTGTCAAAGAATTGCCTCTCTAACAGATATATTTTTTCTAGCAATTTAACACATTTAACAAAAACGACTCAGCTTCTCCACAGTTTTTCTGGAATGTTAAGAGAACAACTTGGTGACTTGTTTTATAAGTTTGCATAAAGCTCATTCTTAGATCTAAGAGCAAGCATATACCAAAGAAAAAGACACATGTCACATTCATATACATAATTCTTAAATGCTAGGAAATAAAATTGTCCAGTGGTAATCTGTGATGTCTAGTTTGAACTTAACAAGCTATAACATTCTAGTAGGGCATCCACATTGACAGCATTGGGTACTGTGCACACTGTAGTCCATGTGAATGGTACCCCCTGGGTTGGGCTGTGCCTACAACAGTCTTCCAAGGTAGCCCTGGGTTAATACTATTCATATGCTGTCATTTGAAGATGTCAGCATTAGGTACTTAGAACTCCAGAGGAGCATATCAGTAAAATATTTGGGTCGTGTTTTTGTTTTTCAAATTTAGGAAGCCATGGGAATTGAAAGAGTAACAAAAACCATAGGTAATCTTGTCAGTACTTCTCAAGGAACCAGGTAAATGTTGGCTCTACATTGTCCTATTGCTCCCCTCTTATACATCTGTAGATGGGGAACAGGATGGAGCAGCTGGAAGTATGGATGCTTCTACCCAGGGCTTATTAGAAGGCATTGGGCTAGATGGTGACACATTGGCTCCCATGGAGACAGATGAACCTACTGCTTCAGACTCTAAGGGCAAATCTAAAATCACACCAGCAATGGCTGCCAGAATTAAGCAAATCAAGCCTTTGTTATCAGGTGAGTCATTCTCCTTTCTCCTACCTTTTCTGGCTTTCAGTCCCTTAGTCTTGAAACAGATTGAGTTGGAAAGGCTATGTTGTTTCACCTAAGGAAGTTTAAAACTTCTGTGACTCATTTTTAAGTGTCCTTTGTTGAGTGGCTGCTATGTGACAGGCTTTGTACTAGCTGCTACGGATACAGACATGACAGAATCCCTTCCTGAGAGCCATATCTACTACCCTCCCTTCTTTAATTTCTTCCTCCTACTTACTCTTCAACTATTGCATATTGTTGCTGCTCCTTCCATTTCACTGAGATGTCTCAGCAAGGCATCTACAACGTCCTTGTCCTAAGTCCCTTCTCACTTGTCTGCAGCATGGTAGTTGACCCACCATCTCCATCTAGAAATATTCTTCCTTTGGTGCTTGTGTTATTAAGCTATCTTGATTCTCGGATAACTATCTGGCTCTTCCACCTAGTCTTCTCTTTTTGTGTTCCTTGAACATAACTGGCAAGAGACATAGTCTGATAGGTGTTTTATATTAAAGTCACTTTGGCAGCTTTATTGAGACTGTATTGGCAGCATACAAAACTGCATTAATGATTTGCACTGGTCTGTTTGCCCTTTTTTTTCCCCTTTAATGTAATACCAATGTTTGGGAACCTATTTGTGTGTTCGTAAATTGTCGTCACTTTCTGGCACCTTAATATAGAGGAAAATGGAGACCTAACTTAGAGGAATCTGGGGCCCTTCGTAAAAGCAAACAGAAAATGGCCTTTGGTGTTTCCATTTGTTACCTCAAATTCCCATTGCATTTTACATTTTACTTTTAATTAGTTTAATTCTCCATTTATTTTAATTTGAAAGTCTACCAACATTACCTTCAAAGGAAAATTGACCAAGCAAGAAGATGTTCATATTTCTCTCTCCTTGCTTTGTCATATTTCTTTGATCTTGGAGCATTCAGAGGTTTCTGTGTGAACCCAGTCCATATACTGTTTCTCTTTGGTTACTGGCCTTTTGCCATCCTCTTGTCTTTGGACTACCTTTAAGCACTTTGCTATCTGTTCACCTGAAAGCAGTGGTGAGAAAGTGTAAACCCAATGATTGGATTCATTAGGTTTTCAAAGTCTGGGTATACCCATATCTGTAGACTATTCCCTAATTAGGATAAAGAAATCTTAATTTGGATGTAATAGGAAGAAGAAAGGACTGTTTTCCTTGTTCCTATACTGTATACATTTGAGCTTATTACTAAATTTTAGCAGGATATGTAACCTAGGCTCAAGTAGAGCCTATTTTTACACACTGAGTTTATATGTGCATGTATATCCTGAAAAGACATAGATTTAACCCTTGAGCAACATGGGGGTTGAGGCAACTCCTCCACACAGTCAGAAATCCATGTATAACGTTTGACTCCCCAAAAACTTAACTACTAATAGCTATCTATTGACCAGAAGCCTTACCAGTAACATAAACAGTCGATGGACACACGTTTTGTATATGTATTATATCCTGTATTCTTAAAGTAAGCTAGATAAAGGAAAATGTTAAAATCTTCAGAGAAAAATATATTTACTATTCATTAAGAGGATCATCATAGAGGTCTTCATCTGGGTGGTCTTCACATTGAGTAGCTGAGGAGGAGGAAGGAAGTGGGGGGATGTTGGTCTTGCTGTCTCTGAGATAGCAGAGGCAGAACAGGTCAAGGAGGTAGAAGGAAAGGCAGGTATGCATGGTGTAACTTTGTGGAAATACACAGTACTTTCTTTCTGACTTGGTTGCTTTTTCATTTCTCTAAAAATGTGTCTGTACAATACCAATTTTTCTTCCACCGTTTGCTTTAGTTTCGGTGCCCATATCATAGTAAGGTCCACATCATAAAAAGTCAAAAGTATTCTTTAGTAATCAGAACCCTCTGCCAGATTGTCTTATGTCACTTTGGTTCCTGGCACTGCTTCTACATCTTCTTCCTCATCATCTGGTATCGGTTCAGAAGCACTCATCTCTATCAAGACGTCTTCTGTTACTTGCTCTGGTGTGGTGTTTATTAGCTCTTGAATTTCACTGAGATTCATATCCTGAAATTCTTCACCCATGACCTTTTTTTTGCTATATCCACAAACTCGTGATTTCCTTGATTGGCGCTGTCATAAATCCTGTTAAGTTCTGCACAATATCAGGACAGTTTTCTCCAACAGGAATTTATTTCAGGCTTGATGGCTTTTTCTGTGACAATGATGGCATCTTCAGTGGTGTAATCCTTCCAGACTTTCGTGATGTTCCCTCTGTCAGGGTTCTCTTCCACAGCATTAACAATCCTTTCCTTAGAGTACTGTGTGTAATAGCCTTAAAGCCCCTTATGACTCTCTGATCTAGAGGCTGAATTAGAGATGTGGTTTTGGGGGGCAAGTAGACCACTTCAGTGCCTTTTGTGTTGAATTCATGGGGCTCTGGGTCACCAGAGGCATTGTCTAATGTCAAAAGAACTTTAAAAGGCACTCCCTTACTAGCAAGGTACTTCTGACTTCAGAGACAAAACATCAATGGAACCAATCCAGAAAAGGGGTCTTGTTGCCCAGGCCTTCTTGTACAACCAAAAGACCAGCAGCTGGTAGTTTATCTTTCTCCTTCAAGGCTCGGAAGTTAGGAGCTATATAGGTAAGGGCAGTCCTGATTATAAACCCAGTAGCATTTGCACAAAATAGAGGAGTGAGTCTGTCCCTTCCTGCCTTAAATCCTTCTGCTCACTTCTATTCCTTACTAATAAACGTCCTTTGTGGCCTTTTTTTTTTTTTCCTTCAAAGTAGGGCACTTTTGTCTGTATGAAAAACCCTTTCAGGCAGATACCCTTTCTCAATGATGTTCTTAGTGGTGTCTGGGAACTTATCTGTTGCCTGTTGGTTGGTTGTCAGAAGCTGCTTCTCCTATTATCTTGACATTCTTTAAGCCAAATCTCTTTCTAAAATTATCAAATTATCCTTTACTGGCTTTACATTCTCCAGCTTTAGATCCTTCACTTTCCTTTTGCTTTAAGTTTTCATATAGTGAGTTCATTATTTTCTTGAATTGCATTAGAATCTATAGATTTGTCTTTATTATGGCAATCCTGTACCCACATAAACGTGCATTTTCAATATGAAATAAAAAGATTTCACAAAAGTGCAAGGTTTTCAAGCCTGCTGGTGTAGCTGCAGCAACAGCTTCACTAATTTCCTTTTGTTTGTTTTACAATGGTCTTTACACTGAATTCATTTTTCCTGAAGTGGTGGGCAATCTGCAATCCATATCAAATAATTCAACTTTTTCTTGAAGTGTCATGACTTTTCCCTGCTTCTTGGGAGCACTTCCAACGTCACTAGTGACACTTCATATGGGGTCATAGAGTGACCCAGGTTTATTCCAGGTTTTCAGTATTGCGGTAAACATGAAAAACAATGCGAGAACCATGAGAGATCACTACACAATTTACTGGAGAGATGAACTGTTCATGTAGAAGTGCTTAGCCTCACACAGTGTTTTAAGCAGATTGTGGCAACACTTGAGCTCACCACAGTATCAGCAGGTCGTGGCTACAAAATTATTACAGAGTATAATATGTACTAAATTTTATCCAGTTACTCAATACTGCTTATTTACTGCAAATGGCACCGTGTATAAGTGTATGTGCATAAGTGTGATAAATATTAAATTTTTATAATTTGTGTATATTTTATGGTAGTAAATGATAAAATAGACTAGTATCTACATATATTTTATGCGTTTATGACATACCTAACTTTTTGTTAATTTTTCAATATTTTGAGGCTACATGTTTCATCTGAGAGTTTTTTCAAATTGTCACCAATCTCCAAAATTTTCAGTATATCTATTGAAAAAAAATTCACACATAAGTAGGCATCTATAGTTGAAAACCTGTGTTGATCAAGCGTCAGCTGTACTTTGATTCAGACCTAGCCCTTCTTGTCTCTGGATCATGAAATAACGTTTCATGAAAAAACGTGAAATAACGTTTATTTTTAAAATGCTATGGCAACATTTTCATTTATGATTTTAAAAGTATATTTCATTGTAGAAATATAAAAACACATGAAATATTTAAAGAGAAGCTGGAAAGCACTCAGTTTTTTGTGTTTTCTTTTACATATGTTTATATTTGTATGCTGCCTTTTCCTTGTTGAATTATATATTGAAAAGCATCCTATGAAATGGAAAATTTGAGATGTCCATAATCTGCCCAATTCCTTAAGAAGCTACTTGTAAAAATTTTCCTGCTTTTCCTAGTTTATTTTTTCCTCTGGGACTACATATTTTTTGTTGTGATCAGACTATGTATATTGTCAGTGATCTTTTCTTATCTAAGTGGCTAATCATTTTTGGCATTTTAAAAGTTTTCTGTAGGCATTTTAAGTGACTTTATCATCCACTAGATATCATTTAACTTAAATATGGTTTCAATTTATGTTCCTCTAGCAGTATGAGTGCTTATTTGTCTTTTACATTTGGTATCTGTTGAGTGCCACATATCTGTCTCCTACCGTCAAAAGTGGCATTTGTTCCTTGTGGGACTTCCTTTTTGGATTATTGAATGTAGAACAAATCCAAGTGTTAACTAGGGGTTGTAGGAGGAAGTGGTGAGTCATAAAAATATGTTAATGGTAATATGTCTGTTGTAATTAAACCATTCTGAGAATACTGTACAGTCTTATTCTGATTTCTGGGTTTCAGCTTCCTCCAGATTAGGCCGAGCACTTGCTGAGCTATTTGGACTTCTTGTTAAACTTTGTGTGGGATCTCCTGTCCGCCAGAGAAGGAGCCATCATGCTGCCAGCACCACTACAGCACCGACACCTGCCGCGCGATCAACAGCCTCAGCTCTCACTAAGCTCTTGACTAAGGGGTTATCTTGGCAGCCCCCACCATATACACCTACTCCCCGATTCAGGTGAAGTTCAGCTTGAGATTCAGGGACTAGAAAGTTACAATAAAAAATATGTAAGTTGTTCCTATACTACTTAAAATGGAGTGTGAGCCACTGAATTTGAGAATTTGGAGGTCCCTTGTTTACTCTAGAAAATGAAGTGTAAGTTACTTGTTTTGGTTGTACCTAGTACAGAACATGGGTAATATTTTAAGTATTTACAGTCAAACTGCATTTCAGTGGTCTTATATAGGTAGTATCCCTTATCCAAAATGCTTGGGGCCAGAAAGTGTTTTGAATTTTGGAATTTTTTGGGTTTTGGAATATTTGCGGAATACTTATCAGTTGAGCATCTCTAATCTGAAATGCTCCCATGAACATGTACTTTGAGCGTCACGTCAGCAATCAGAAGTTTCAGATTTTGGAACATTTTGAATTTTCTGATAGGGATACTCATCCTGTATTCTTTAGTAGGTGGGAGGTGTCACTTCAGTGTGTAAATTTTACTCTTGCCTTTTACATGAATTTCCTATTGCTTCTGTCTCTGCTTTACAGAAGGTTAAAGTTTTGCCTTTTTTTCCACTTTCAGGCTGACATTCTTCATCTGTTCAGTTGGTTTCACATCCCCAATGCTGTTTGATGAGAGGAAGTATCCCTACCACCTCATGCTGCAAAAATTTCTCTGCTCCGGAGGCCACAATGCTCTTTTTGAGTAAGGATCAAGTTGCTTCACAGAGGAGCATTTCTTGGAGTTTGATCTTTGCTGTGTGCCTTCCCAGCCCACTGCTTTTAAGTACCCTATCTTGTAACAGTGGGATATATAGAAATAGCTATTGGTTGTATCCTTCAGTGTTCTGGGAAGTAACCATGTTTGTCTCCATTTACCTTGGAGGGTAGGATTTAGCCTCCCCTAGAGTTGTGTTTGTAAGGGTCTCTGCTTTTTCTCATGTGGCTTCCAGTTCCAAGTATGGGTTTTTAAAATAGGTTTGTCTTTTTCTGTTGTTTCTCTGAATATAATTTTTCTGCTATTCTTGGTCAGATGATTTCAAGATGAGTTTCACTGGTTTAGGTTTTTTTGTGTTTTTTTTGTTTTGTTTTGTTTTTTGTTTTTTTTGAGATGGAGTCTGGCTCTGTCGCCCAGGCTGGAGTGCAGTGGCGCAAACTCAACTCACTGCAAGGTCCGCCTCCCGGGTTCATGCCATTCTCCTGTCTCAGCCTCCCGAGTAGCTGGGACTACAGGCGCCCGCCACCACGTCCAGCTAATTTTTGTATATTTAGTAGAGACGAGGTTTCACTGTGTTAGCCAGGATGGTCTCGATCTCCTGACTTCGTGATCCACCCGCCTCAGCCTCCCAAAGTGCTGGGATTACAGGCGTGAGCCACCGCGCCCAGCTGGTTTAGGTTTTTAAGACTCTAAAAAGTAACGGAGGAGAGGCGGAACAAAAGAAAAAAATAGTATAGCTGAAAACTGTTGGACAGATTAGACGTAATAGCTCTAAGAAGAGGGACGTGTAGGGCCAATATAGAGATTGGGGACCTTTTAGATGTAAACCCCCCTTGCCAGGGTAAAATACTAATATTCTGTCTACTTTTCCTTATTTGAATTTAGAACTTTCAACTGGGCTCTGTCCATGGGAGGTAAAGTTCCTGTTTCTGAGGGATTGGAACACTCAGACTTGCCTGATGGCACAGGAGAATTCCTAGATGCCTGGCTTATGCTGGTGGAGAAGATGGTGAATCCCACCACGGTGCTTGAATCTCCACATTCGCTGCCTGCCAAATTGCCTGGAGGTGTCCAGAACTTTCCCCAGTTCAGTGCACTGCGCTTCCTTGTGGTAACTCAGAAAGTGAGTATTCAGTATTCTAAAATCAAAAGGAATTTCTCATGCTAAGTCGTTCCCACTCTATTTTGTCCTGCTTAATGAAATAACATGCTTATTTAAGAACCACTGGATCCAACTCCCAGATAGGGCTGCCTTACGTAAGGGAATATAGACCATTTGAGAATTTTCCGTGATAAACATTTGAGCTGTAAATTTCAGATTGGTACTTGCATTAGGCCGTTCTTGCATTGCTATAAAGAAATACCTGAGACTGGGTAATTTATAAAGAAAAGATATTTAAGTGGCCCACAGTTCTGCAAGCTTTGGAAGCATGGTGCTAGCATCTGCTGGGCTTCTAGGGAGGCCTCAGGAAGTTCACAGTCATGGCGGAAGGTTAAGTGGGAGCTTGCATGTCACATGGCAGGAGCCAGGAGGTGGAGGGGGTGGTACACACTAACTCACTATCATGAAGACAACACTAAACAATGAGGGATCCACCCCCATGACCCAAACACCTCCAGCATTGGGGATTACAATTCAGCATGAGATTTGGGCAGAGCAAATATTCCAAACTGTATCACTGCTTAAGGTTGAGTAAAATGCCTCTTCTCTGTGCCTCCTTAGACCTCCTCATGTTGGCCAATTATTTTGTTGCTGGTACTAGTTGTGGAAGGACTGTTCCATAGGTCTTTAACTTAATCCTTCTGAGCTTTGAATTGAAGCAAAATGATTTTCACACACTTTTCAAATTACTTACAGGCAGCCTTTACTTGCATCAAAAACTTATGGAACCGGAAACCCCTGAAGGTATATGGTGGACGAATGGCTGAATCGATGCTGGCCATTCTATGCCACATCCTCCGAGGAGAACCTGTGATTCGAGAGAGACTAAGCAAGGAGAAGGAGGGGTCTCGAGGAGAAGAGGATACAGGGCAAGAGGAAGGTGGCTCCCGCCGGGAACCTCAAGTCAACCAGCAACAACTGCAACAGGTAGGGTACTGGCCTCACACTCCAGGGTCCAGACTTTGCACCCAATGGAGTGTGATGCTTACGGATTTTCTAAGCTCACATACCACTGAGTCCCTGGTCACATTAACCAGGAGACAGTTTAGATTTCCTCCTTCTCTTAGTATTTATTTTTTTTCTCCTGAGGAAAACTGGAGTATAGTCCTGATGCTCTGCACAGGTAATACTCCTTTCAAGCATGTTGATGAGTATTCTCAGTAGCCTCCTGCTGCCTCAGTGGAGGCAAACTGTCCTCAGTTACTTTCTGGTTAACCTGTAAAGAGAATGGATATTGTGAACCAGATTTATTCTCCAACAAGAGCTTTCTGAAACCTTAGTCACCTACAAAACTTTTGTTTTCACTTGCAAATAAAATGTATAAGGGGCATTTTAAAAATTGGGAGGCCAGAAAGAGGAGAGGGGAAAGGCATGTAAAGTCCTGCCACTTCCATCTCAAAGAGCATTTTAAGATTTTCTTCCTGGAGTTTGTATGTATGTGTGTCAGCTTTTATGTCTGGAGTCCTGTTCAAATCTGTCTACTATATACACTTGTCCCGTTTTTTATCATTAAAGTAATAAATACTCTCATTACCAAATTTGGAAAATACAAGACTTTTAAAAGGCATTCGTAATTTTATCACACAAGATAGTCATTGTCTCCTTTTTCAGTCAGTCTTGTGCCTAATTTTTACGTCGTTAACATCAAATAATACATATACTTGTATTGCTGTTATCAAGAACTTTTTTTTACTAATTGGTCATTCTTTTATTGTTGGATGCTAATTTTCTTACAGTTTGATGTTTTAACACTGTGTTGTATAGTTTCCTTACGTACCAATCCTTACATACATCTCATGATTATTGCCTGGTAGTAGATTAACTAGGTCAGTTTTTCAGGCACTTGCTCTGTTACCAGTTTGTTTTCCAGAAAGTTGGGACCAATTTATACTTCTTTGTATGAGTCTCAATCTTTTAATTATAATAACCCTGTTAATCATAATAACCATGCATCCCCCCCTAACTTTCTTAGAGGATGAAATCGAGAATCTTCTTGGCTCCTTACCCAATGTGTAGCTTAGAATGCTATAGAAGCACCAAACAGAAAGGATTGTTCATTTTACCTAATTGCCCTAGCTCATAAATGCTCTCAGCCCAGATGAAGTTAGAAAAAGTTATTTCCATCTTGAAAAGGTTCCTTCCTTTTAAAAATGTATTTGGATTTCCGTTATGTGATTCTGAGCCCTTGCATTCTTTATGTAGCTCATGGACATGGGCTTCACAAGGGAACATGCAATGGAGGCACTGTTGAACACCAGCACCATGGAGCAGGCCACAGAGTACCTTTTAACCCACCCTCCTCCAATCATGGGAGGAGTTGTTCGGGTAAGTTGGCTCAGAAGCAGTGATTTTCCAGGATATTGGTTTGACTGCTGAAGTCCTTTTTCCCCTTATTATTCTGTCATTGGTCTTCCTTTCTATAAACTGCTTCTCATTTTCAGACATGTCCATGCCAGTATTTTCTTTTCATAATAACAGAAGTTTTCTGTCCCCCAGCAATACAAATTACTATACTTTGTTTGCACAAGAACCCCCAGTCACAAAACAATAGAAGAGGCACACTTTTCTAAGATGTAGAATAGATGATCACACTGTAAGCCTCCTTCCTATACTTAGTTTTACGTGTGATTTTCCTCATCTGTTCTTGTTTGTAGTAACCACATAAGCCTGATAGGGTTTGACTTATACAAGAGCAGCATTTTGAGGCCCTTCCTCTCTCTTTAGCTTGAGCACAAGATGTCTGATTGCCTGTGAGTTGCAGTGGTCTTGTTGGGTTTCTTTGTTTTGAGTGTGTATCCTTACTGGATATTCTCTTAACACTCTAGGATCTCAGCATGTCTGAAGAGGACCAGATGATGAGAGCAATTGCTATGTCTCTGGGACAGGATATTCCAATGGATCAAAGGGCAGAGTCACCTGAGGTAACTATGGAACACTGCATCCTAAAGGGCTTGGCACATGAATCTTAGTATTCTGTGAACATTCTGCTAGTATTGCAAACTAATTGATAGAATTCAAATCTAAAGGAAGACATGAGAAGAGTACTAATTCATCCCAGCTTTGCCATCCATTATTGAGCTACCTTGTATTGACCTGAAGCTTTAAGGGAGGCATATGAAGCGTTAATCTTTATTGTCAAATAAGAGACCCAATGTGTACTCAGTAGTGCCATTAGGCCGAACTTGGCTGTATATTTCTAGGTGACAGTTACTTTAATTTTCCCTGCTGGCACAGAATATAGAACAGTGTCTAGAAATGATTTTGCGGGAGGTAGTATAGAATGCTACAAGTGACTTGACAGTGAAAGTTGTTTGAAGCATCCCTCCCTTCTACCTTCCCTGTCTTGCCTTAAACTTTGTGGCTGCCACATCCTGGATGAAAGTATCAACCGCTTGAGGAGAAGGTTGAGGGTAATCATATGGTAGAGCAAAAACATTCTCAGAGTCTCTCTTATCTTTCCTCCTTCACCTCTCCTGTGTATTATTCACACTTCCTTCCCTGCTTCCAGGAAGTTGCTTGCCGGAAGGAGGAAGAGGAACGGAAAGCTCGGGAAAAGCAGGAGGAGGAAGAGGCTAAATGTCTAGAGAAGTTCCAGGATGCTGACCCGTTGGAACAAGATGAGCTCCACACTTTCACAGATACTATGTTGCCAGGCTGCTTCCACCTTCTTGATGAGCTGCCAGACACAGTATACCGTGTGTGTGACCTGATCATGACAGCAATCAAACGTAATGGAGCAGATTATCGTGACATGATTCTGAAGCAAGTAGTCAATCAGGTGAGCTCTCAAGGGGTCAGAAGAGGGGAGTATGTGAAGTGGTTTGCCTGCCTGTGTCAAAACCTGATTTCTGAAAAATCAGCATATTTTCATTCTACCTGATATGGGTATATTCTCTATTTGGATTCTTTCGATCTGGTAATCCTGAAACAGTGTGTTAACTACATCGCACACACAAAAATGTCTTTAGAAGGGAAAAACAAAGCTCTCCTTTTCTACTTTTCTCTTAAAATGTCTAAAATGTGCCTCACCCTTGAGTCAGGTTCGTCCCCTGGACTAATACTGAATAAATGTTTTTTCCTATGTAACAGCCGCTTGAACAACTGAGTCCCCATCCTGATGAATACTTGTGACCTGATATTTGTCCTCTTTTTCTTTTCTCTCATTATGAAATTATGCTAATTATAGAAGTGGGATAAGAAAGGAATTACCTTAAATCCCCACACCCAGATAGCCAGTTAACATTTCGATTGTATTTAAGTTACTGGAATCTTGTTTTATGTAATGTTTCATTCTAGAAGCAGGGAAAGAAATTAAAAAAGGGAAAACTTTTTTCTGGGCTTTGTAAAATAGAACTTTAATGCACAAGAACACAAGTAAAGGAAAACTGGATAAAACATTTTTTCACAGAAAGTTTTAGTGTCTATTTTTTAACAATAATTCTGAGAGAGAGAGATAAAATGAAAGATTGCTGATGGAAGTATAAGTTGATAGAACCTTTTTGGGGTTGACTGTATGCACCAGGAAGTTTTAAAATACTCATTTCCTTTAACTTAGATTTTAGGCTGCTTATAGTCTAGCCTAATAAAGTAATTGTTTAGTGGTGATCCTTTAGTAGCATACATCTTTTGATATAGATTCTAAATCCCTATGGTAAATATGTTAGATTTACCTACCTTTCTTTAGTGAATGTGTTGGAGGCAGAGGGAGTATTTTAAAAGGTTGAGAATATTTTCAGAAACCTCATCTTGCTCTGCGGTTCCGTGACTTAACCCTTTTTTTGCTTTTCTAGGTGTGGGAAGCTGCTGATGTATTGATCAAAGCTGCTCTTCCCCTGACAACAAGTGACACAAAAACCGTGTCAGAGTGGATAAGTCAGATGGCCACACTGCCCCAGGCCTCCAATTTGGCTACTAGAATCTTGCTTTTAACGCTACTTTTTGAGGTAAGATTTAGATCTTTGGGGCCTTGTAATTCATTCATGAAAGAATTATCAAACACTTAACATATATGAGGCATTGAAGACGATAAAGCGAAGAATAAGGCATGAGTCCTGCATTTCATGAGCCCAGTTTCTGATAGGCTGAAATGCATATAATTACGTATAAAATACAGCATTCTGTGTTAGAATGATAACAGTTTTATCTGGGTTTAGGAAAGTCATATGCATCACTTTGGATTCATGTGAGAAGGGCTTCTGAGAACAAGCATTAATTGAATTGAGTCAGAATTGTGAGGTGGTAGTTTAAAAAAAAAGTATTTAAATTACTAACAGAGCTTGGTCATAGAATATTTTTTGCTCTTCTGAGGAAACCTAACTGGCAGCCACATAGTAGAGTAGGGTATGCAAATTGGATGTGGTCAATATTGAGGTAATAGACATTAGATGAAATCAGATTCCTCTCTCTTTTCCTTGCCTATTTAGTCAGCAGATTATTTGAGGCAAGAGAGTGGTTTGGGCAAGACCTGATCCAACCAACGTAGGAACTAGGAGGCAATTGACCTTGGACAAATGACTTCATTTGTGGCTCATTATCTTTAAAACCTGAACTTAATGAACTGAACCCTTTACATACAGCAAACTCAGGGGATAAATCCAATATAAGAGTCAAACTGTGTAACAGCTGTCTTGGGGGTTTCCTTTATCATGGAAGTGATAACTCTTACTGTAGCACTTTGTAAATAGATACTTGTGGGAAAGGTTTCAGAGTACTAAAGAGAGAATCATTCATGGACCCCCATCTAAAACAAATCACAAGTAACAGTCTTGTATTTTCTTTTAGTGTTTTTTCCTGTTCATTTAAGCAATTGGGATAAGACTGTATAGAAAGTTTTATATTCTTTTTGTTAAGTATTATGACTATTTTCCCATTTGCTATATACATTAGTCCATCTTTTGAATGTTCTCTAATTTATTTAAATAATTACCTATCCTTGGACATTTACTTCCAGTGATTTCCTGTTAAAAGTAACACTTTGGTGTAGCCCCAGTAAGACGAACCATTAACTGTGTTTAATTATTCCATTTTCCTTGAAAGATTATAAAATTTCTCTGTAAATCTAAAGCTTTACAACTTCAACATAGACTGCACAACCTTGGTGATAAACCATTTCCATATTAAGCATATACATTAGTGCCAGGCACTGGGTACTTTATATTAATATATATAAAACCTCAATCATCACAATTATTCTGCAGGTAAAAATTATTTCCTCTGACCCATGAGGAAACCAAAGCCTAGAAAATTTAACACATCTTAGATTACACAACTGGTAAATGGTAAGAGGTAAAATTTGAACTCAACCAATTCTATTATTATTTACCCTTATGTTCCCCTCCCCTATCCCATGCTAATCTTTGTTACTGAGTAGAAATTGGTATCTGGTTGTTGTTGTTTTTTCCCTTTGATCTATCAGGAGTTGAAGCTACCTTGTGCTTGGGTGGTTGAATCAAGTGGCATCCTTAATGTCCTAATCAAACTCTTGGAAGTGGTTCAGCCCTGCCTCCAGGCAGCCAAGGAGCAGAAGGAAGTCCAGACCCCAAAGTGAGTAACCCTATATCTACCCTAGTTTCGTTTCTATTTCCCTGGGACATGGGCCTGAATCAGGCACTCTTCTGGGGCATGTATGGGGCAAATTTGTGGTACTTCTGTAGTTTTAAAATTATAAAGGAAGCATCTGATGAAATTAAGATATATTTTCCCAATTTGTGCAGGTTTCTTGCTTTCCCAAAACAGATCATTTTTCTTTTTTAGGTGGATCACACCAGTGTTGCTCCTGATTGATTTCTATGAAAAGACAGCCATCTCCTCAAAAAGGAGAGCCCAGATGACTAAGGTGTGTAATGTAGTATGTATGACTGCAGGACGGTTTAGCTTCCTGAGGCAAGAGTAGACCAGAAGAGAATATGAGAGAGTAGTGAAGAATATAGAAGTCTCTGACCAATGTATAAATCTCTTAAGGGATTTTCATAGCTAGGTTTCTCTTCTGAATAATTTACTCTGGAAGTAAATTTTGAAGGAGTGTGCTATCTCCAGAGGAGGAGCGGCTTTTCTGTTATGTAAGGGACTGAGTATACAGCAATCCTACCAAAAAGCAAACACTCCTTAGATGAAGATTATTGTGCCACATCATCTCACTACCTTCTTGGAAACAGAATTTTTGTTTCAGTACATCTCAGGTGAACATTCCCCTTTTAGGGAAAATCAGTAGAAACAAAAGGAAAGTAGAAAATGGCAAGATAAGGGGCTGTAGATAGTTTTTTTGTCTAGGAAAAGTATCTTAGTCCGTTTTGCTGTTGCTATAACGTAATACCACGGACTAATTTATAAACCATAGGCTGGGCACTGTAGGCTCACGTCTGTAATCCCAGCACTTTGGGAGGCTGAGACAGGTAGATTACTTGAGTTCAGGAGTTCAAGACCAGCTTGGGCAACACATGGTGAAACCCCATCTCTCCAAAAAATACAAAAATTAACCAGGCATAGTGGTGTGTGCCTATGGTCCCAGCTACTCAGGTGGCTGAGGTGGGGAGATCACTTGAGCCTGGGAGGCAGAGGTTGCAGTGAACCGAGCCGGCATCGCGTCACTGCACTCCAGCCTAGGTGACAGAGTCAGACCCTGTCTCCAAAAAAAATATTTAATATAAACTGTACAAGTTTATTTGGCTCATAGTTCTAGAGGCTGATCTAAGGGACCACATCTGGTGACAGCCTTAGTGCTGCATCCTTCTATTGCAGAAGGTGGAAGAGCAAGAGGTGTCCAAACTCGCTTTTATAACCAACCCAGTCACAATAACTAACCCAGTCCGTGGATAATGACATTAATCCATTCATGAGGGGCGGAGTCCCCATGACCTAATATTATCTTTTATTAGGCCCCACCTCCCAGCACTGTTAAATTAGGGATTAAGTTTTCAACACCTGAACTTTAGAAGACATGTTTTTAAGCGTGTAGCAGAGAGACTAAGGAATGTGAGAGTAAATGCATATGAAAAATGTTCTTTTGGTTTTTAAAATTTATTGTCCAGTATATTTCTTTTTCCTGGGTGAGTTTTAGCAGTGAACACTGATGAAGTTACTATTTCTTCTAATCAACCTTGAAAGAAATACAAAGAAACTTTGTACTTTTATGTTTAGTACCTGCAATCCAACAGCAACAACTGGCGCTGGTTTGATGATCGCTCTGGGCGTTGGTGTAGTTACAGTGCAAGCAACAATAGCACTATTGATTCTGCCTGGAAATCTGGAGAGACAAGCGTGCGATTCACTGCAGGCCGAAGAAGATACACGGTCCAATTCACTACAATGGTGCAGGTACATGCTCACTCACCAAGCTTGTCTAACCCGTGGACCACAGGCCACATATGGCTCAGGATGTCTTTGAATGCAGCCCAACACCACACATTGAGGTTTTTTTGTCGTTGTTCTTTTTAGCTTATCAAATATCGTTAGTGTAGTTTATGTGTGGCCCAAGACAATTCTTCTTCCAGTGTGGTCCAGGGAAGCCAAAAGATTGGACACCCCTACTGTAAACTTTATCAAAAAGAGGGGTATGTGTTTTGGTTTTCTTCTTTCTGAACCAGCATTCCTAACGTGTTAGGAGGAGGAGAGTTACCATTACCTAATTAAGTATAGATTTCAGAAAATCGAGTCTTCCTAAGGTCATTGATTAGACCTTGGGTCTGTAGCAATTTGATACTATCCCTCTTAGAAATGATTTTAAGTGTTTAGTCAAGGGCTAGGGAGTGGTTAGGGATGGTATTTGCTCTGTTGGAAGGTCTACAGTTCATTATAAGGCCTTGTGTATGCCACTTGCCTTCTGGGGACTTTCAGGTTTTTTCTCTGTAAATGATAAAGGTGGGATAAATTGCCAGAGTTCCTTCCTGTTGTAGCATTTTACCTGGGAGATGTCCCTCCCCTCCCCCACCTTTATAATTCATTTTTGGTAGAGGTTTTTTTAATGTCTGTTTGAATTCCTAGGTTAATGAGGAAACAGGGAACCGACGCCCTGTGATGCTGACTCTCCTCAGGGTACCTCGGCTGAATAAAAATTCAAAAAACAGCAATGGACAGGAACTAGAGAAGACGCTGGAAGAAAGCAAAGAAATGGATATCAAACGTAAAGAAAATAAAGGCAATGGTATGTACCAAGAGTGTTTTACCTAAAGCTAATGTGCCTTTGTGGCTTAAGGTCTGGCCAATTTCATTGTGAGTTATTTTCATCAGCTTGATTAACAGATTAAAGATACGTAGGCCTCCCTTATGCTTTTTCATCTGATCTTAAAATTGGTATTTGGCATGCTTCTCTTAATAGGACCCAAGTGCTTGGCCAATTACTTAGGAGGGAGGCGTGGGAGGAAATAAACATCAAGTTAAACTGTCTAAAACTGTTATTTTCCCATTTTATAGATACCCCTTTGGCCCTAGAGAGTACAAACACTGAAAAGGAGACAAGCCTGGAGGAAACAAAAATCGGGGAGATCCTGATCCAGGGCTTGACAGAAGATATGGTGACTGTTTTAATCCGGGCCTGCGTGAGCATGCTGGGAGTCCCTGTGGACCCAGATACTTTGCATGCCACCCTTCGTCTCTGTCTGAGGCTCACCCGGGACCACAAATATGCCATGATGTTTGCAGAACTGAAGAGTACCCGCATGATCTTGAATTTGACCCAGAGCTCAGGCTTCAATGGGTTTACTCCCCTGGTCACCCTTCTCTTAAGACACATCATTGAGGACCCCTGTACCCTTCGTCATACCATGGAAAAGGTGAGTGTGTTTTGTATCAGATTCTGGTTTAGCTTTACATCATACCTATGTTCTCCTTGGTCTGAGAACAAATAGACTTCTGGTTCTTCTTAGGGTATATAGCTAGATATGTATACTGTATACTCCACCCAACAGAATTTTCCAACTCTATGCTTGGGAGCTTGCTTAGGTATGGTAGGATGATCCTATTGCTAGAAAGTCCTCTCCAGCAATCTGGTTTTCTTTTTTTTCTTTTTTTCTTTTTTTTTTTTTAATCTAGGTTTCATTAACCAAGCCAAAAACCGTTAGTAAAGAACTGGGATACCTTCCCCCAAGTTCATACCTTCAGAATCATTCCTTTGTAGGAGTACCTCTCGGGTGTTCAGCCAAGAGACTATTCTCAAAACACTGTATTTTGGAATATAAAAGTATAGTTAAAGCTTTTTGAATGTTTGTAATCTGCCAGGCACTGTGATAGACACTTAACAAATATCCATTGTGCAGATCAGAAAACAGGTTATTATATTTTAGGAAACTTACAAACCAGTGGAAGAAATAGCAACGTACTTATAAAAAATAAAAACATTTGTAAAGTTAAGACAATAGTCTGGGTGTGGTGGCTCATGCCTCTAATCCCAGCACTTTGGGAGGCAGGTAAATCACCTGAGGTTAGAAGTTCAAGACTAGGTGGGTGTGGTGGCATGCACCTGTAATCCCAGCTACTTGGGAGGCAGAGGTTGCAGTGAGCCGAGATGGTGCCATTGCTCCCCAGCCTGGGTGACAGAGCGAGACTCTGTCTCAAAAGAAAAAAAAAAAGAAGACAACAGTGGAGGGTTGAGGGGCAAATGTCCTAGTAGTGAGGCTTTTCCTCCTCAGTACTTAATACAAAATCCTTTCTTCTGCTGATTCTTTGTCATCAATAATGACTGTTAATAGACTTTGCTTCCGTTTTCCTCTCTTGGGACATTGTTTCCCACATTTATAAGCAGTGTTGCAATATGCGTTTTTGTGCCTAACTTTGTTCATGTTTAAGATCGTTACTTAGAGATTTTTAGTAATTGGATCAAAAGGCATTACAAGTATTTTTTAACTTGCTTGCCAGAAAAGTGGTATCAGTTTTTGTATATCTGAGTATACATTTTAGATTCTTCAGACAGTTCTTTACACAGCCTGCTTGATTTCACCTCACATGTGCCAAATCAAGAGAAAGAGAGCTGTTAAAGGTAGCTTGTATGGTGATCCACAGTCCAGGAGATAACCCAGCAGGGAAGGAACAACTATATACAACTAAATTCTGATTTTAGAAACTTGAAATGCTTGAAACGCTTTCTATAAAGAAATGTTTAAAAGTTACAAGTTCAAAGTGCTAGGAGAAAGTGTAGGTCCTCATTGGATGAGGGAAAACTTTTAAAGTTTTAACTTTAGGTAAATTATAGTTGGGGTGTGGGAAACAAAGGAACATCAGTGACAGTCTTAACGTATCAAGATGGCAAAATGTAAAGTCTTGGTACTATTCATTGCTAGTACAGGTGTGGAAAACCAGGCATACTCTTAACTTTCGGTAGGAGTGGAAATTGGTGTAGCCACATGGGAGGGCAATTTGGTACTCTTGGTCTAAGATATCCTTTGACCTAGAAATTCTATGGCTAAGAATTTATCTGATAACTAACATCAAGTATACCAAGATGCATATATAAGAGTGTTCACTGTGGAATTGCTTGTAATATCAAGAAACTAGAGGTCTAATGTCCAGCAGTTGGGGGCTGGATAAATTATGGCTTATCCTTAATATTGAAATTAAACTTTTCTGTGTTTATTAAATGGAAATTATTTTATAATTACAGCCAGACAGGCAAGATACAGAGGGTATAATGTGCTAAAGGGCATGATTGATTTGGTTTAAAAAAAAAAAATTAAGATACCAAAAGATGTTTTTCATTGTGAGCATGTAGTTTGTGAAATAACAGATAATGGAAAATAATACAATTGAGTTATTTTCTTCGTGCTTTCATGGATTTTTCCATTATTAACAAGCAATTTTATGAGAAGAGCAGAAGCATAGCTATATGTAAGCCCTGTGTTATCAAGGCAAACAATATATAAATAGTTCAGTATCTCCAGTGGCTATCATTATCTCAGACTGATGGTTGACTTTGAGGCATAAAGAAAATATTTAATTGTGTTCCTGTACACTAAGTGGATTACAGTGTTACATGTTTTTGAACCATTCTGGTTTAAAATTGTGACAGCATTTGGAGAGGCTCAGGAGCTGACATTTTAATGTGGAAGTTATGTGGGGTTTATAGTCTTGACACATCTCCCAGTTTCTATAAAGATCACATGCAGTCTGGTCTAATAATTGATAGTTTTGAGACATGCTGCAACTTTTTTATAAGCCAGGTTTTTTGAATCAAGAAGGGATGGGACGGGACTTAAAAATAAAATGTCATTCTCCCCAAAATCAAAAGCTTTTAGTCTTGGTAACTCTTGACTGCAGTTGTATTTTTAGAAAGTAGTGTTTAATCGACAGTGTTTCTTTCTCTCTTTACTAGGTTGTTCGCTCAGCAGCTACAAGTGGAGCTGGTAGCACTACCTCTGGTGTTGTGTCTGGCAGCCTCGGCTCTCGGGAGATCAACTACATCCTTCGTGTCCTTGGGCCAGCCGCATGCCGCAATCCAGACATATTCACAGAAGTGGCCAACTGCTGTATCCGCATCGCCCTTCCTGCCCCTCGAGGCTCAGGAACTGGTAAGTTTCGCTTGCTCCTGGCCTTTGATATTAAGTTTGTGGCCTGGTATAAATCCAGAAATTTATTTATGAGGAGGTCTGTAACTTGAAGAGCCTCCTTAGGCAAGTATTAGGACATTTGCTGGCTAATTGATTGTTTGGGTCAATTTATTAGGTACTTCAGTAGCTTCTCTGGGCCTTGCCCTGTTGTAATCCCTGCCAGAGACACTGAGGACTCATTCATTCTAGTCCTTCACTTCAAAGAGCTCATTTTGGTGGGGCAGTAGGCTTTACATATAGTTAATGGTTTACAAATCAAGTGATAATTAAGGGTTAAATGGATGTATGTCTCGTGTAACACAGTGCGAAATAGACGTCATCTGTGTATTCCTGCCAAGAAATGTTTGACCTGTATTTAATTATGAGGAAACAATTAGATAAATACAAATTGTGAGATGTTCTATATAAGACAACTGGCCTAGACTCTTCAAAAATATTAATGTTATGAAAGAAAAAATACAGGATCATTTCTTATAGAGAAAAGTAGACTAGAGAGATAATCACCACCAGCCTTGGTTGGGCTGTGGATCCAGATAAAAGATTTGGAGAAATTTGAGTGCTATGTATTAGGTAATGTAATTGTATCTGTTAAATTTGGGGGGTATTATAATGGTATTGCAGTTCTGTATAAAAATACCCTTGATCTCCCCTCTGCTGACTTTTTTGGTAATAAAAAAGAAAATATATGTCCTTGATCTTAGGAGCTACAAGTAGATGTATTTAGGAGTAGTCACTTGGTAATTCTGGATGAAAAGTATATAGATGTTTATTATACTATTCGAACTTTTCTGTAGGTTTGTTGGATTTGTTTTTTTATTTTATTTTTTTTTTTTAATTTTTTTTTTTTATTGATCATTCTTGGGTGTTTCTCGCAGAGGGGGATTTGGCAGGGTCATAGGACAATAGTGGAGGGAAGGTCAGCAGATAAACAAGTGAACAAAGGTCTCTGGTTTTCCTAGGCAGAGGACCCTGCGGCCTTCCGCAGTGTTTGTGTCCCTGGGTACTTGAGATTAGGGAGTGGTGATGACTCTTAACGAGCATGCTGCCTTCAAGCATCTGTTTAACAAAGCACATCTTGCACCGCCCTTAATCCATTTAACCCTGAGTGGACACAGCACATGTTTCAGAGAGCACAGGGTTGGGGATAAGGTCACAGATCAACAGGATCCCAAGGCAGAAGAATTTTTCTTAGTACAGAACAAAATGAAAAGTCTCCCATGTCTACTTCCATCCACACAGACCCGGCAACCATCCGATTTCTCAATTTCTTCCCCACCCTTCCCGCCTTTCTATTCCACAAAACCGCCATTGTCATCATGGCCCATCCCCAATGAGCCACTGGGCACACCTCCCAGACGGGGTCGTGGCCGGGCAGAGGGGCTCCCCACTTCCCAGTAGGGGCGGCCGGGCAGAAGTGCCCCTCACCTCCCGGATGGGGCGGCTGGCCGGGCGGGGGGCTGACCCCCCCACCACCCTCCCGGACGGGGCGGCTGGCCAGGCAGAGGGGCTCCTCACTTCCCAGTAGGGGCGGCCGGGCAGAGGCGCCCCTCACCTCCTGGATAGGGCGGCTGGCCGGGCGGGGGCTGACCCCCCCCACCTCCCTCCCGGACGGGGCGGCTGGCCGGGCAGAGGGGTCCTCACTTCCCAGTAGGGGCGGCCGGGCAGAGGCGCCCCTCACCTCCCAGACGGGGCGGCTGGCCGGGCGGAGGGCTGACCCCCCCACCTCCCTCCCGGACGGGGCGGCTGGCCGACCCCCCCCCCCGCCTCCCTCCCGGACGGGGCGGCTGGCCGGGCAGAGGGGCTCCTCACTTCCCAGTAGGGGCGGCCGGGCAGAGGCGCCCCTCACCTCCCGGACGGGGCGGCTGGCCAGGCGGGGGGCTGATCCCCCCACCTCCCTCCCGGACGGGGCGGCTGGCCGGGCGGGGGGCTGACCCCCCACCTCCCTCCCGGACTGGGCGGCTGGCCGGGCGGGGGGCTGACCCCCCCCCACCTCCCTCCCAGACGGGGCGGCTGGCCGGGCAGAGGGGTCCTCACTTCCCAGTAGGGGCGGCCGGGCAGAGGCGCCCCTCACCTCCCGGACGGGGCGGCTGGCCAGGCGGGGGGCTGATCCCCCCACCTCCCTCCCGGATGGGGCGGCTGGCCGGGCGGGGGGCTGACTCCCCCACCTCCCTCCCGGACGGGGCGGCTGGCCGGGCAGGGGGCTGACCCCCCCTCCCCCCTCCCGGACGGGGCGGCTGGCCGGGCGGGGGGCTGACCCCCCACCTCCCTCCCGGACTGGGCGGCTGGCCGGGCCGGGGGCTGACCCCCCCACCTCCCTCCTGGACGGGGCGACTGGCCGGGCAGAGGGGCTCCTCACTTCCCAGTAGGGGCGGCCGGGCAGAGGAGCCCCTCACCTCCCGGACGGGGCGGCTGGCCGGGCGGGGGGCTGACCCCCCCCCACCTCCCTCCCAGACGGGGTGGCTGCCGGGCGGAGACGCTCCTCACTTCCCAGACGGGGTGGCTGCCGGACGGAGGGGCTCCTCACTTCTCAGACGGGGCGGCGGCCGGGCAGAGACGCTCCTCACCTCCCAGACAGGGTTGCGGCCCAGCAGAGGCGCTCCTCACATCCCAGACAGGGCGGCGGGGCAGAGGTGCTCCCCACATCTCAGACGATGGGCGGCCGGGCAGAGATGCTCCTCACTTCCTAGATGGGATGGCGGCGGGGAAGAGGCGCTCCTCCCTTCCTAGATGGGATGGCGGCCGGGCAGAGACGCTCCTCACTTTCCAGACTGGGCAGCCAGGCAGAGGGGCTCCTCACATCCCAGACGATGGGCGGCCAGGCAGAGACGCTCCTCACTTCCCAGACGGGGTGGCGGCCGGGCAGAGGCTGCAATCTCGGCACTTTGGGAGGCCAAGGCAGGCGGCTGGGAGGTGGAGGTTGTAGCGAGCCGAGATCACGCCACTGCACTCCAGCCTGGGCACCATTGAGCACTGAGTGAACGAGACTCCGTCTGCAATCCCGGCGCCTCGGGAGGCCGAGGCTGGCGGATCACTCGCGGTTAGGAGCTGGAGACCAGCCCGGCCAACACAGCAAAACCCCGTCTCCACCAAAAAAAAAAAACGAAAACCAGTCAGGCGTGGCGGCGCGCGCCTGCAATCGCAGGCACTCGGCAGGCTGAGGCAGGAGAATCAGGCAGGGAGGTTGCAGTGAGCCGAGATGGCAGCAGTACCGTCCAGCTTTGGCTCGGCATCAGAGGGAGACCATGGAAGGAGACCGTGGGGAGAGGGAGGGAGAGGGAGAGGGAGAGGGAGAGGAGGGAGAGGAGGGAGAGGGAGTTTTTTTTTTTTTTTTTTTAATAAAACGTTGGGAAGGGGATGAAATTATTTTGGAAGTTCCAGCTATGTGCCTGCCCCTGTGCTGGGCATTTCTCAGTTATATCCTCATTTAATCCTCAACATAAATTTGGAGAGTGAGAAAATTGAGGTTTGTTGAATTAACAACTGGATTTCAAAACCAGTTTTCTCTAACTCAAGCCTTTACTATTTGGTACTGCTATATTAAATCCTGTGGAATTTAAGGAAAGTATAAACCAGGTTTTATAGTAGAGTACTTGAACATTAATTGAAAATGGTCTCCTATCTCAAGCCTTCTATATCATACATGCCCCCTTCTGAGTCTTTATTAGTAACCTAGTTTAGGTACTGCTTCATGATTGACTGGTTTTTCTCTCTCATTTTGGCTTAGCTTCAGATGATGAATTTGAGAATCTTAGAATTAAAGGCCCTAATGCTGTACAGCTGGTGAAGACCACCCCTTTGAAGCCCTCACCTCTGCCTGTCATCCCTGATACTATCAAGGAAGTGATCTATGATATGCTGAATGCTCTGGCTGCATACCATGCTCCAGAGGAAGGTATGTGGCTAGCCTACCTCAGGAGGCTGGGCACTAGAGGATATGTTACTTTGCCTGGGTCATTTCAGCCAACTCATGGCTTAGTGAGCACTCACTATGTGCCCATACTCTGGGGCTCAAGATGAATAAGATACCCATTGCATGTCTGTGAAGAAGCTAATAGTCATATAGTATGACATACCAGGATGGTGGTAAGTCCTTAGGGTGAGGCACCTTACCTAGTGAGGGTGCACAGGTAAGAAAATTTCTTTGTGTACATGATTTCTAAAATGAACCTTGAATGGATGAGATTGCCAGAGTTCTGTTATATGAGAATACACACCATACGGGGGAAGAATGAACAAAGATTTAGAAGGAGATAATAGCATTCTGTGAGAGGTTGAAAATAAGACACCAGGAAGTCTCTAATGTTTTCATACTCAAGCAAAACCTTTTTATTGTCTGAAGAGCTGGAGGCAATATTAGGAGGTGTGTCTGAGTTTCCTAACTGTTGAGACCACCACACCCATCCACCTTTATTCCTAGTTAAGGTGCATCTTATAAGCATTAGGAAAGTCATGATTGATTTGCTTGGAACATAGGTTTCCATTATAGTAAGGTCCTTCTGGATTTTATTCAGGACATACTTATTTGATAGGTCCACAGAATTGCCAAAAATTGATGAATGCTGCCTTTAATAAGCAAAAGAAATCTGAGTCTTGACCTTGGTGCTTTTCATCTGTACAGAACCCTGATCCATATAGAATTCCTTGGTTCTCCTATCACCCCAGAATCTTTACCCTATCTCTTATCACCTCCCCGAAATAGTTTAGCTATATAGCTGTGGCAACCATTTATTGACCCACCACTGCATGAGCAATAGTGCCAGGTATGTTCACTTAAGGTTTGTAGTTACAGCTTAGGAAAGTGAGACTAAGTTAATTGCCTGTGGTCACAAGACTAGTTTTTGTAATTTTAGGGTGAGGCACTCTAACATTATCTGTAATAGCACCATGTAAACAGTCATAGCCACTTGATGTGAAATTGACCAAGACTGACTAGATAGGCCTTAACATTGTCCAATTGTAGAAGAGGTTTATTTTGTTTTTGATGGTTGTTACTGTTTTCCTAGCAGATAAATCTGATCCTAAACCTGGGGTTATGACCCAAGAGGTTGGCCAGCTCCTGCAAGACATGGGTGATGATGTATACCAGCAGTACCGGTCACTTACGCGTCAGAGCAGTGACTTTGATACGCAGTCAGGTTTTTCCATTAATGTAAGTCAATTCCAACAGCGTTTTATCTTTCTTCTCATTTTTCAATGCCTGTGTGGTCTCAGTATTTAGGGCTATCCCCGGGGAATTTCAAAGATATTAATTGTGATGTATCTGTAAATTATCTGTTGCCTGTAAAGACAAAATTGGGGTGTCCCTGGAGACTTTTTTTTCTCTCCTAGGATTAGAACTGTTCTTTAATTTTTTTTCTTTTCCCTTTCCTTCCCCGCCTCCCCCACAGTCTCCCAGTCACTGTATTTATAATAGCCTCCCACAGATTATAGTATAAAGGTGTAAGGTGGTTAAAAGGTTGGCCAAAGAGAATCTGTGGCATTCCCAGCCAGTGCCCTGGGAAGGAGTTCTGCCATTTGCAGACGGGTGCTTTTGAAATTCATAATAGCTCAGGAGTTTTCTTCTTCTTCAGAGTCAGGTCTTTGCTGCAGATGGTGCCTCCACTGAGACTTCCGCATCTGGGACCTCCCAAGGAGAGGGTAATGATTTGCTTTTCTCACTACCATGTTCTTATTCCTTAGGAAAACAACTTGAAAAAACTGTAGGTGTCCTGTGCAGGGGGTAGGAGAATACAGACTTAATTATTACGTTTACTGGTCTAAGTGAACTTTCTCAGGTGAGCTCAGTGTTCTGTAATAAAGGGTCTCTATATGCTAAAGTTAATGGAACTGTAAGTTAACCAACCTAGTAATGGTTGCTGTGGTAACATATTTTAGTTTTACTTTTTAAATCACACCATAATTATTTGGGGGGTTTCTAAAAACTGGCTTATAGAGATTTTATGCCAGTGATATTGTTCTAGCTACATGCTTTACGTGGTGGATGCCTGTCTTCCAGCAATGTTAACAGAGCCCATTGACTACTCACCATGAACTAGAAAAATGTCCCTGGGAGTAAGTCTAATGAGACCTTTAAAGAGCTGCTTCTCCTTAGATAGGAAAGGTCTTTGTGATCCAATTTAGGAGACATTTTGTTTAAAATCATACTAGTTCCTGGAGATAAATTTAAAAGGCTAACATTAGTGAAATAATTGGTTAACTCATTTTACTGGGTTTACTGGCCATATGTAGTGTATAGCGTGGATGATGGTGCTGATTCAAGGGAAGCATTACCCACTATGTGGCAGACTATATTGGACACCAAAATGGATCAGATTTGTTCCCTGTACTTAAAGTACTTTGTCCAGTGACTGAGACCTGCAAGAGTTATAATGCAGGATAACTGCCAGAATGAAGGCATACTTGGATAAGATATAATGGACATGTAAAGTATCTCACAGTATGTCTAGATGAGACAGGAAAGCATTTATGGAGGAGGTCAGCATTTGAGCTGAACTAGATAAAAGTGTGCCAGGCAGACGGAAGAAAGAAGTAAGGGAGCAAGACAAGTTTGAAGAACTGTTAGTAGAGTGTTTCTGGAGTATGTAAAAGGAGGGAAATGGAGGGAGATGCACAAATAGTTGGACAAAGCATCCCTGTTGTACTGTAACCACATAAATCTGAGACCTGAGTTATCCTGGTTCTCTGCTCTTGCACTGCAGTGTCACGAGAGCATTCAGTTTGTACAGGTGGCTTAAAGTGGAGGAGAAATAGCATTCTTTTCCACCTAAGACTTGATTTTGCCAGTGTTCCAGTGTGGAATTGAACCAGTGTTTGACTTTTCTCAACAGCTTCAACTCCAGAGGAGTCTCGAGATGGGAAGAAAGATAAAGAAGGGGACCGGGCCTCTGAGGAAGGCAAACAGAAAGGCAAGGGCAGCAAACCTTTAATGCCTACCTCCACTATCCTTCGTCTTCTGGCAGAGTTGGTGAGGTCCTATGTTGGTATTGCTACCCTGATTGCCAACTACAGCTACACTGTGGGCCAGTCTGAACTGATCAAAGAGGTAATATTTCCAACTTCTATTTAAGATGTTACACTGTACTTCCATCATTTGGGTACCGCCTGTGTCAGACACTGCTGGGAAGCTGTGCATGCTAAGTGCTAACCCAAGTAATGAGTGAGAAGAGGCATCTTCAGACATGCAAGGCCGGGTGCGGTGGCTCACGCCTGTAATCCCAGCACTTTGGGAGGCTGAAGCAGGCGGATCACCTGAGGTTAGGAGTTCGAGATCAGCCTGGCCAACATGGCAAAACCCCATCTCTACTCAAAATACAAAAAGAAATTAGCCAGGCGTGGTGGCGGGCACCTGTAATTCCAGCTATTCGGGAGGCTGAGGCAAGGGAATCACTTGAACCCAGGAGGCAGAGATTGCGGGAATCACTTGAACCCAGGAGGCAGAGATTGCGGGAATCACTTGAACCCAGGAGGCAAAGATTGCAGTGAGCCAAGATCGCACCATCGTACACCTGCCTGGGTGATAAGAGCAAAACTCTGTCTCAAAAAAAACCTGAAAGAGCTAGGCCTTTTTTCATTAGGTTCACTGAGAGAGAGAGTTAATGAGATTTGTTCTATTGAAAGTCCCTTTTTATGCATTGTGGAGATTGAAGAGGGAAGACTGGAGTCAGAGAGAACAGTTAGGAATCTGATAGAGTAATCTAGTAACGTACGATCTTGGTGAAGTTGGAGGAAAATGGGTGAGTTGAAGAAATATTTTTAAGGTACAAATGGACAAGAATTGGGTTTGGAAGATGAAAAAGGAAATTAAGACTCAAGGATGTTTCTTGATTTGTGGGGGTTTTTTTAATTGCTTTTATGGGTTGGCATCTAACAAGAAAATAGAATGGGGTGGGGAAGGTTTGAAGAGAAAATGAGGAGTTTTGAGAAGTATCTGTGGGACATCTAAGTAAAAGTGTCTAAAGGACAGTTGAATAAACCATATAAATAAGAATATAGGTGTTCATCTTCCAGATGTACTCACACATGTGCAAAGACACCAGATGTGGTAGCAGTATTGGTAATAAAAATAAAGGAAAAGCCTTAAATGTTCATTAGTAGAGCTGTGGAAAAGAATGAAGTGTCCTGATGCAGAATTATCCTCAGGTTAGATTTTTTAAGTGAGTGGGGCATTTTGAGAAACTGTATCACATGTTCCCGCATATGTAAAATGGGTGCCCAAATATTTTTTCCCGTAAGGGTGCCTTGTTTTGTGGATCACATTGTAATTTTATGGTTAGTAAGTGGCAAAAGGGTCTGAGAGTGAGTAGGGGCACTAGTGTTGCCATCTTTGAAAGCAACCGCCATTTTTAAAGCTATTCTTACTTTAATCCAAGTTTAATATACATAGAAAAATACACAAATCTTAAATAGTCTGTTTTTCCTAGGTAACCACTAGCCAAGTTAAATAAAGCATTACAAGCTCCCTAGAAGCTGCCCTCCTTGTTCTTTAGTGCATCTCCTCCCACCCATTTCACCTTCACTCAAGATAACCATTATCTTGAGTTCTCGTGCCGTAATTTGGTTTTGTAGTTCATGTAAATGGAATCTCATAGAATGTACTCTCTTTTTTGCCTGGCTTCTTTTGCTTAACATACTTGATTCATTTTGTGTGCAGGTGAAGTTTATTTTCATCTGTATAAAATTCCACTGTGGAATGTACCATGTACCAAAACAAATACATCTTTTACCCATTCTACTGCTAATAAACATTTGGGTAATTTTGCCTTTGGAGCTATCACAGATAGTGCTGCTATGAGCATTCTTATGAATATATATAAGTTCGTGAACTACCCAATTTCTGTTGGGTAGTATATGCCTAAGAGTAAGAATTGCTGAGCTCTAGAGTATGATAGTTGTTCTGCTAATGCTAAAAGTTTTCCAGAGTGGCCAGGTCAGTTTATATTATTACCAGCAGCATATGGGAGATCAACAGTTGGTGTTTTTTCATTTTACTGATTTTAATGGGTTTGTAGTGGTATTGCATTATAGTTAAAATTTACATTTCCCTGTTGACCATTTTTTTCATGTCTTTATTGGCCATTTGTTCATTCTCTTTTGGGAAATGTCTATTCAGCTCTTTTACTCTATTTTCCTATTGAGTTTTTAAAATATATTCTGGACATAAGTCCTATAAATACATAAATAGGCTTCCTTTTTTTAAGAGTCTCACTTTGTCTCCCAGGCTAGAATGCAGTGGTACAATCATAGCTCACTGCAGCTTTGAACTCCCAGGCTCAAGTGATCCTCCCACCTTAGCCTCTCAAGTAGCTGGGACCTATAGGCACATGCTACCACGCCCAGCTAATTTTATTTTTTGAGGTCTTGCTATATTGCCCAGGCTGGTCTCAAACTTCTGGCCTCAAGTGATCCTCCCGCCTCAGCCTCCCAAAATGCTAGGATTACAGGCATGAGCCATCACACCTAGCCAGGCTTTATTCCAAAGCTTTAACTCATTTATGCCAGTTGTATTCATAATTTATAATAGTATTACCTGTGGGTTAACATATTTAATTACAAATTTATTAAGTATCTGCCTAATATGTGTCCAGTGTCCTACCAGTACTGGGTACTGGTAAGTGCTTTATAAATACTATTGTTAATCCTCACCTCCACACTGCAAGGTTGTTGATAGTGATCTCTTTAATAGAGGAGAGAAGGCTCAAAGAGGTAAGTAACTTGCCTGGGACCATACTACAGAGTAGCAGAGCTAAAATTGGAAGCTAGGGCTATGATTCCAAAGCTAAGTCCTTTCTACGTGGTTATTGAGAAAATAGTTTTAACTTTGTATGTATTCACTACTGGGAAATTAATTGTTATTTCTAATTGTTTTGTTTTGACAAGGTCACTTTATTCAGTTTCTCAGACTCTCAAATTATTCAATGCATTTTCTTTATTGAGGTAAAATTTATATAAAGTCAACCATTTTAAAGTGTACTGTTGAGTGGCATTTAGTACATTCGCAGTGTTGTGCAACTGTCACCTATGTAGTTCCAAAAATGTTCAGTGTATTTTCATCCAAAATTTGCTTGAATGACAATAGAATTTGTTTCTAAGATAAGGAATTGTCTAGGCAGGAATTGTAGTTAGAGAAAAAAGAAGAGTCTGACTTAATTTCCTTCCTCTATTGAGCCTTTTTCGTTACTTTAAATAACCTTGCATTAAATATTTTTGCATATTAGTTTCTGTGACTCTGCTGTCTCTTGCTCAGCTCTTACCAGCTTCTATTGTAGCACAGGGTCCTGGGCACATTGTAGGTGTCAGTAAATAATTTCAATTTAATTGAACACTGAAGGGTTTATAGCACTTAATTAAGAATCAAGGTTTGAATCCTCAGCCCTTGATTAAATTCTTCTGTGCAAGCCACTTCTTTAGGGGGCTTCAGATTACCGCTTATCAAATGAGAAAATACTTATCTATTTATAGATTTGCTGTAAGTAGTTCTATTAAATATCACATGTGAAAATATTTTAAGATAGGTGCAATAGCACATGCCTGTAGTCTCAGCTACTTGGAAGGCTGAGGTGTGAGAACACACACACAGGAGTTTGAGACTGTGGTGTGCGATGATCATGCCTGTGAATAGCCACTGTACTCTGGCCTGGGCAATATAGCAAGACCTCATCTTCTTAAAAACATTTTAATAAAAATAAAGTTTTTAAAAAATGTTTTTAAAAATACATGACATCTACATAACAGTGTATAAGCTGTGCAGTGGGAAATGGGTGGCATTTGGAAGTTTTCTAAAATCTGGGTTTGCTCCTTACTTGCTTGTATCTTTGAGCCTTGGCTTCTTCATCTATAAAGTGGACCTAATAATCACTCATTGGGTGACTTAAGGAAATACTATGTGTGTGTGTATCTTTGGTCCTGTGCAAATGATATGGCATAATTGTGCTTGTAAGTAAATGTCGTGATTCATGACTTTTCAGGACTGCAGTGTGCTAGCTTTTGTTCTGGACCACCTGCTCCCACATACCCAGAATGCAGAAGACAAGGACACCCCTGCCTTGGCCCGCCTGTTCCTCGCAAGCCTGGCTGCTGCAGGGAGTGGCACAGATGCCCAGGTGGCCCTAGTGAATGAAGTAAAAGCAGCCCTTGGACGGGCACTGGCTATGGCTGAGAGTACAGAGAAACATGCCAGGTAAGATTCATACCTGTCCCAGGGCTAATAGCCAAGAACATCCCCTTATTCTTCTTCTTAGTCCATGGGTGGTTTTGCACTTGAACAAAACTTCTTGTCATACTGGCATCATATACTCTCTGGTCCGCTCAAATAGTTCTGGCGGTTGGAAATAGCCAGAGCACTGATTACCATTAGAGTAAGTGGGTAAACCTAGAGAAAACAAAGGGAAATGTTAAGTGTACTTTTAAGGTCTTCAAGGAAGTTGAGCAGGTTATTTGATCTTATATTTTAAATTTTATTTAAAGTAGGGGCTGGGCACGGTGGCTCACGTCTGTAATCCCAGCGCTTTGGGAGGCCAAGGCCGGTGGATTGCCTGAGCCCAGGAGTAGGAGTTGAAGACCAGCCTTGGCAACATGGCGAAACCCTGTCTCTACAGAAAATTAGCTGGGCGTAGTGGCACGCTCCCGTAGTCCCAGCTACTCGGGAGGCTGAGGTGGGAGTGTCACTTCAGCCCAGGAAGGTTGCAGTGAGCCAAGATTGCGCCACTGTACTCCACCCTGCTACAGAGTGAGACCCTGTCTAAAAAAGAGAAAACGAATGCTATCACCTTAGGGAGTGTGTTCTCACCTGTTTGTTTAGATGTTATTTCCAGAAGGAAATACAAAAGTTACAGGAGGGTTATCTGAGGCTATTTTGTGAAGACTTGGCCTGAGAAATGGCTATATTCATATGATAGAGATGTCAAAACTTCTCTCCCAGGCTTCAGGCAGTGATGTGTATCATCAGTACTATCATGGAGTCCTGCCCCTCCACCTCCAGCTTCTACAGCAGTGCCACAGCGAAGACCCAGCACAATGGCATGAACAACATCATTCGGCTTTTCCTGAAGAAGGGACTGGTTAATGACCTGGCCAGAGTACCTCACAGCTTAGACCTGTCCAGGTAAAATCATGCCCCAGCCCCAGGCTTTTCCTTCTCTTCAGCCTCACTACACGAATGATGTGGAGGTAGCTGGTGTAGTGGGAAAACTTTGGGTACAAGTGGGAGACCCAAGTCTTTCTTATTGTGGCTTTTAGCACTTGTCTTTCTTAAAGCCTTGGTTCTTACTTGCTATAAACTCAAGAGTTGAACTATAATAGTGATTTTTTTTTCAAGCTTCCCCCCACTTTAAAAATTACCACTTATTAGAAGATTATATGTATATTATAAGAAATACAGATGAGTAAAAATAAGAAGTAGACACTGTATTCCTACCACCCAGATACCATGATTACCTTATTGGTTTATTATTCAGTGTTTTTCTTTGCATGCATAAATAATGTATTCTTTACTAACATGATATGATACATGCTATTGTGTTGGGGGAAATTTGGGGCATTTTCGTTTTTATTTTCAGTTACTGGTCACTTCCTTGCTATGAAAATAAGTTTCATCCTACCTAATGCCCAAATCCATAATTAAGCATTTTTCTCCAAACCAGAATCCAATTAAGGACTTGTATTACATCTGGCTATGTTTTCTGAATCTCTCTTATTCTAAAACAATTTTTTTTCATTATTTCGATCTTTATTTTGTTTTTGTTGTTCATGATTCCAGCTTGTTGAAGCGACCGTGTTTTTGCCTTCTAAACTTGGTGCAGTTGCTTCCTTGCAGTGTAGTTTAACTTAATCCTTTACTTCCTGATATTTTCTGTAAACTTCTAGTTAGATCTAGAGGCTTTAGAGGCTTATTGAAGCAGTTTAAACATTTTGGGCTGAAATGTGTAGCCTAGGTGATGTATAGCTCATATTGTATCGTGGGAGACACATCTCCCATGATAATTGTCACTTTTTGTTCTTACTAGAAAGTCATCTCTGTTGTTATTTTGGCACTTTACAAATGTCTACACTATCAATCATATACCTAAATAATAGCCTTAACATCAGTTGATAATTCTTGCCTGGATCAATTAATTTCTTTGAGGCTTATGAATAAAAGCTTTCTAATTTCTCATTTCGAATACATTATTAACTGGCATTTTTCTGTGTTAGCCTCACAGGGAATGTCTGGTTGTGCTAAAATATAATTTCTATTATAAAGGCAGTATAAAAACTTAATTTCTTTCTATTTACATTTGAGATTCAAATGTAGGTTTTTTTCTGGCTTTCTATTTTTAAGTCGTATTATGGACTCGACTTTTCATGTTTGTTTTGTTTTGAAACTAGTGATTGAATTTATTTGGATCACTGCAGTCACTTTTTCATGCTCAAAATTATTACACCTTTGACCTATGTGGCCCCTTCAAGATGACTAAATTGTCCTTTTGCTACAAACCTATCAATTTTTTGAAACATTTATAAATGTCAAACTCACAGTACTGTAATGAACACCATGTGTCTACCTAGATTAACCACTGCTGAACATTTTGCTTTATTTCTTCCCTTCCTGTCCTTTCAGGAGCTGAATCATTTGAAATTAGTTGAAAACACTGTAAAACTTTACCTCTAAGTACTTGATCATCTGTCTCCTAAGAACAAATATTCCTTTATATGGGTACAGTTCCATTGTCATATCCAAAAAATTTACCAATAATATAATAATACTAAATTTATACAATTTTATATACACATACTCCCAGTTATTTCAATTATGTCTTTATACTCTGAGGGAGAGTGTTTTGATCCGGGATTCAGTGAGTATCACATGTTGCATTTGGTTGTCACATTTTTTTTTTTTATGACATTTTCCTGTTTTGATGAATCCAGGCTTGATGTCTTATAGAACATCTCACAGTCTACATTGATGTAATTGCTCCCTTAATGGTTAGGGTCAGGTTAAACATTTTTGGCAAAAATACTACATGGGTGATATTTGCCCTTCTCACATCACGTCAGGAGACAGGTGAATACCACTTGGTCCCAATACTTGTGATGCTAAATTTGATCACAGCCGAGGCTGGTGGATCACTTGAGCCTAGGAGTTCGAGGCCAACCTGGGCAACATAGTGGGACCCTGTCTCTGCAAAAAAATACAATAATTAGCTGGACATGTACGCCTGTAGTCCCAGCTTTTTGGGAGGCTGAGGTGGGAGGGTGGTTTCTGTTAGATTTCCACTTTGTAATGAATAATTCCATTACTATCATTATTCTTTCTGATACTCAGCTGGGCCTGTGGTAATGATCCCATTAATTTTTTTTCCCCATTTTTGTTGTTATTTTTCCTCTTTATAGAAACAGGATCTCACTATGTTGCTCAGGCTAGGCTCAAGCAATCCTCCCATCTCAGCCTCCCACAGTGCTGGGATTACAGGTGTGAGCCATCACGCCCAGCTGTCCCATTAATTTTTGAAAGCTTTTTGGCACAATGAGATATCCCAGGCTTACCTTATCCCTTCCTTGCCCTATTCCTGGGATCACTTGTTCTGACGAGTCTTGGTTACTTTTAGTGTGATGTGATATCAGAGACTGCCATCTTGGTACTACTAGTGAGCATATATATATATATATATATATATATATATACACACACACACACACATACATACATACATACATACATACATAGACTCACACATAAATACACACATAAAGCAGATAAAAGCAGAGCTGCTCTGGTGTTAGTGGGCACCTGGTTGGTCTCACACACCTTATTACACTTAGAAATCATACCACACCTCCAACTGCAGCCCCTATTGTACTTTTATTGAACTCTAGGAAGCCCTACAGAGTATAATTTGAAATTCACAGGACTTCAAACTGTTATCAGCCGGGCGAGGAGGGCAGGTTGCCTGAGCTCACGAGTTCGAGATCAGCATGAGCAACATGGCGAAACCCCATCTCTACAAAAAATAGAAAAATTAGCTGGGCATGGTGGCTCACGCCTGTAGTCCCAGCGACTTGGAAACCTGAGGTGGGAGGATCACTTGAGCCTGGGAGGTGGAGGTTACAGTGAGCTGAGATTGTGCCAATGTACTCCAGCCTGGGTGACACAGCGAGACCCTGTCTCCAAAAAAAAAAAAGGAAAACTTTTATCATGTTCCTTCCTTTGAGCTTTTAGGGTTTGGGGACTAAATGCTGGTGGTTTAAAAAAAAAAATCCTGAGTACATCCGAGAAGTGGCTTGCTTGCATGTGGTCATCCAGAATACATTCTGATTTCCAGTCAAGAATTTGTTACTCATGTGCTTTCCATGGCCCCATGAAATATGGCATTGATTTAACTCTTGCTTTTAGGGTGGGTTCCTTGAAGACATTTAAGTCAAAATTTTTTTTTTCTAAACAAAAGTAGAGTGTTAGTTGTACGACCTTATGCCCCTTTTCTCTTAGTAGATTCCATTGTAAGAAGCTTAGTGTCATTTAGAAGATAGACACCTAGTATTTCTGTGCTCAGTCCATCTCTTTATCTTCCCTTATCTCAGTCCCAACATGGCCAACACAGTCAATGCTGCTCTGAAGCCTTTGGAAACACTTTCCCGGATTGTGAACCAGCCCAGTAGCCTTTTTGGCAGCAAGAGTGCTTCTAGCAAGAACAAGTCTGAGCAGGATGCCCAAGGAGCCTCTCAAGATTCCAGTAGCAACCAGCAGGACCCAGGTAGGGAATCAGAGCCAATGGACTGGAGAGGTGGGAGTAGTTGCTTTATGGGCCTGGGATCACAACTGTTCTGGCTTGGTGGTGTTTCCCTGGGAACTTGCTGGCCTTCCAGAGATCTGTCATAGTGGCGTGGGAATCTGCCCCACAAAGAATTCCTTCAAAATGCAGCCTTGTTTGGCTATCCTCACACGTAGCCTTGTCTTTTCCTTTGTCACCCATTCGTTTATTCTCTGAGAACTTACAAACTTGCCCAAGGAAGGGACCTTATTGTCTTTGCGCTTGCCTCATGGTGCCCAGCACATAGGCACTCTTTGATTATTTTGCTGGTTGGTTGATTGTTTCAGGCGAGCCTGGGGAAGCAGAAGTGCAGGAGGAGGATCATGATGTCACTCAGACAGAGGTGGCAGATGGGGATATCATGGATGGGGAGGCTGAAACCGACTCAGTGGTGATTGCTGGGCAGCCTGAGGTGCTCAGTTCACAAGAGATGCAGGTAGGGAGGCAGATCACCCAGCATTTCCCTGTTGCGGCGCTGAACCAAACCCTTGCCAGGTGGTGTGGGTGGGTGAGTACTTTAGATCCTTGCCTCAATGCTGGCTGCTTTGCAGAGGAGCATGGGTGATATGCTTAGTAGATGCTCAGTAAATGTGTTTGTACTGTATTAAAAGAGGGGTGGGGGCAGGGCCAGGATGCCATGTACTATGAAATGATATAGATCCCAACCAGAAAACTTAGGCACAGGTGAAATGTTGAAGTAGAAAGCTGACCTGAGACCGTTGGGCCCCGGGTCTTTGATTTACTTTGGCTCTGGTCATTATTGGAAGCTCCTTAACACCACCTTATGCCTATAGCACCAGCTCTTGCTGGGGCATTAAAACAGCAGTCTTCTAAAGACCCTAAAGGAAAGCATTGTAATTTCTGGAGCTGGTAGCATTGGGTAAGAAATTGGGCCTGTGGTCCTAAGCTGCTGGCTTTAAAGAGATCTATTATGTCTTCCTGGACAGTATAAAGACAACCCAGTATCAGATAACTGGGATGGACCCATTTGAAGGATAGTCTGGTTGTGGATTGGTAGCACGTGGTAGTTTCTGTGCTAATTAGCACCGAATGTGTGGTTTCACGTAACATCCTCTGTCACATGTTATCCTAGAAATGTATGCTGCTTTGCTGGCCTTTTTTAGGGTTTCGGTGCTAGCACAATGATAGACTTGTGTGCATCCATATATATGTTCTATTTCTCTCCAGGTTGAGAATGAGCTGGAGGACCTGATAGATGAGTTGCTTGAGAGGGATGGCGGATCTGGGAACAGTACAATTATAGGTGAGAGCCCCAGAACTGAGTATAGCCTCTTCCTTTGCCTCAGTCTCTCTTGGGAGGACCCTTTTTCTCATCATCTGCTTGCTCAGCTCTGCCTAAGGGCTCATAGCCAGCCTAGATCGCTGCTTGTCTTGATGTTGACGGTCTTACAGATGAGAAATTCACAAGACGTCTACAGGCCTGTGGCAGTCTAAAGTGTTGCCTGTGTGGGGGAGGTGGTGGGAGTGGCCATTGATACAGATGATACATCAAGCACATCAAAAGAGTGTTTATTCATGGAGGCCTAGAGGAGGCTGTAGGGTGAGAAAGCGCTGCCTTTCAGTTCTTCAATGAAGTCCAGGGGCTTTCTGCCCCTGAGTCTCAGTAGTGTAAAAAGAATGATCATTCCCTGAGGGTGGCCCTTTATAAATCTCAGAGGGAAAATGGCAAAGGTACCCTACTGTCACCTGGCTCTGAGGGTGTATGTGTTACTTGTTTTTACTTTGTTGATCAAGGAAATCAAAGGATAAATGGAAGTAGACACGTATTCTTAAGTTTTACAAAGCTTTTTTATACCCAGTATCCTCTGTGGTTTCACAATTAGTGGGATTGGCAGGGCAGATGTGATCATCCTGTTTTACAGATGAGGAAACTGAGACTCAGACAGGTAAAGTGACTGGCCAAGCTCACCTAGCTAGCTGACAGCAGACAATCCAGGTCTTCTCCCTCATCCAAAAAAAAGTGGATATCTGCTAGGTGTACATAGCTACTTTAGACGCACCCAGTCTGGAAAGGGAAGTCCTCTGTTGTTCAGTGAAGGCTCTGCTCTGTAACCTTCAGTGAGCAGAAGTGGAGAGGATGAATCACAAGAGGACGTGCTGATGGATGAAGCTCCTTCCAACCTCAGCCAAGCTTCCACCTTGCAGGCCAACCGAGAAGGTGAGAGTGCCGAGGCCAGAAAGGCCTCCCTTCTTGCCCTGCACGTCTGACAGACACTACACTAGGGTTTTCCTGGAGGCAGCTGCCCACATGTGCAGAATAAGGAAGCATCTGTCTGCATGCGCTGACATACACCATCCACTTTATCCTCAGCCAGTTTTTCAAATAACATGTTACTACTGCTTGCCCAAAGTTTGTCACTTCTTACTTGGTTCGCTTTCTTCTCACCCACCTGCTATCATCGCTCCAGGTTCCCTCTTGCCAACAGGATATAGTCAATAGCAAAGTAGGGCTGAAAAGGCAAGGGGGCACCAGCAGACTTGGCCAAGTCCTAGACCATGGCTCCTCAAGCACCACCCTCTAGCCAGCCTCCACATTCAGCCACCCTGCTCAGTGTGTTGATGCATTGATTGGCACTCTCAGGAAATCGGGTCTGGCTCACTAAGTCTGTACATCACCCCAGATCTGGTTCTTCCTCTCATAGAGTCAGATATCCCATCACCTTCCCACTCAGCCTGCTGGCCTGCACAGTAGCCTGTTTTCTAGCTACTCAGTTTAGTCCTCCAATGTGCTCCCTTTGTTTTAGATTCCATGAATATCCTGGACCCTGAGGATGAGGAGGAGCACACTCAGGAAGAGGACAGCAGTGGCAGTAACGAGGATGAGGATGATAGTCAGGATGAAGAGGAGGAGGAGGAGGAAGATGAGGAAGATGATCAGGTGAGGGGGGACTGCGTTTGGGTTGGTTCAGATGACCTCTTCCATGGGAACATAGAGCTGCAGAAAACCAACAGTCTGGGTTGCTAGCCTCAGCGTCTCCCTCCCTCATGTGCACATGTGGCCATGGCACCAGGCTTCAGAAAACCCTTACCTCCAGCAATTCTCCATCTCCTATTTTCCCTTAAGGAGGATGATGAAGGTGAAGAGGGAGATGAAGACGATGACGACGATGGCTCTGAGATGGAATTGGATGAGGATTATCCTGATATGAACGCTTCTCCCTTGGTCCGATTTGAGCGCTTTGACCGGGAGGATGATCTCATCATTGAGTTTGACAACATGTTCTCCAGTGCTAGTAAGATACAGGGGCTCAGCTGGGTTTTTCTCTCTTGATTCTTATACCCTTCTCTAGGGTAAGCCAAGCAGTGGACCAAACCGATCCGATACAGACAGCACTTCTTTTCCTATGCTGACTTCCTGGGGCAAGGGATATCTGAATCCATCTGTCTCATTAGTGTATACTTAGGAGAAGGAATAGTGAGAGGCTGCTTTTGTTCCCTTCACCTCAGTAAATAGGCAGCCATTTTAGAGCCTGGACAACTTGATGATTTGCTTGATTAAAAAAAAGAAAGAGACCAAGGCTGACTGCATCAGGCACCCATGTGCACACCACAGTGGCAGGGCAATCAATAATCCTTATGTCCATAACACAAGATCTTGAGGGTTTGAATGGTCACCTTTGAGCTTGGCTTTGGGGAGCAGATTTGAACATACTCACTCTATTCATCCAGGATGCGTCTTTTCGGGAGAACGAGTGAATCTCTTCCTCCCCCATCACCGTGAAACTTCCCTTTTAGCGTCAAGTTAGAATCGAGTTCTTAGAATCAAGCTGTCTTGATAGGGCAGGTCTTGACAACTTAAATCACAAGCATGATGTAGCAGAAAACACTGAACTGTTCTGGTCTGTTTTCTTGGCCAATTAATCTCTTACCTCTTTGAGCCTCAGTTTGTCACCTGTAAATGAAAAGTTCGAGAAAAAAATGGGTTGGATTAGATAACTTTGAAGATAACATCTATGATTATTTTGCATTTTTGTGATTTTCATCAGTTTCCCTTAGAGTTGAGCCTCTGTCCATTCAGCAAATTGAACAATATTTGAGGAGTGCCTACTGTATCCTAGGTACTAGGGATACAGCAGTAAAGAAGAAAACAGTCCTCGTTCCTCATAGGAGTGGTTTATTAGGAATCATAACTAAGCAGGCATTACATTGCACTATAGTAAGAGAGCACAGAGGTAAAGAGTTACCTAACCCAATCTGTGGAAGTCAGGCTTCACAGAGAAAGTGACATCTTAGGCCAAGAAGAGAAGAGCAGGTAAAGAAGCGGGAGAGGAGTCTTCAAGGTGAAGGGAGCAGCATGTATCTGAGGGGCCTAGAAGCATCACTGTGACTGTAGTGTGGAAAATGGATTGGGAGAAGGTACTATTTAGGAGGCCGTTGCAGTATCTAAGTGAGAGATGATGGCATAAGCTATGGTAGTGTCAGTGATTGTAGATGAGTTGTGGGAATGAGGGAGAAAGGACAAAGCTCAGGTTTCCGTGTGAGGAAGTAAGGCCCAGGAGACATGATTCTGCTTGAACAAACATGGAAGAAATTTCTTTTTGACACTGACCCTTTTACATATTGTCCTTGCAGCAGACATCCCCCCATCCCCAGGAAATATCCCTACCACCCATCCACTGATGGTGCGCCATGCAGACCACAGTTCTCTGACACTGGGCAGTGGCTCTTCAACAACTCGTCTCACCCAGGGCATCGGGCGCAGTCAGAGGACCCTAAGGCAGCTGACGGCCAATACTGGCCACACCATTCATGTTCACTACCCTGGGAATCGCCAGCCCAACCCTCCTCTTATACTGCAGAGGTGAGTTACAGAGATCTGTTGGATTCATCGGAGCTCTTGTAAGAATTTTCACTGTGCTTTAGCATTGTCTTAACCTTGGGGGAAATAGTCCATCACTTAATGTTCTTGTCATACACACAAATAAGGTATTTGTTCCATTTCTTTGTGGATTACATGTGTAGCCTTTTGGGGAGTGCAGCCTTTTGGGGAATACCAAATTATGTCAATAGTTCTGCGCATGTATTTAGCAATTATTAAGTGTCTCATGCCAAGCACTTAACACTTTAGATATAGACGGGACAAGATCCCTGCCCTCAGGCTTAGAGTTTAGTGAGACAAACAATCTTAAGAAGTAAAAGAAAGGCATATAAGTGTTGTAATGGTTGGTGTACAGACGACAGAGAGGGTGTAGTGGAGGCAATGTGACCTGACGCAGTGCCTGGCACGTGGGAGCTTATTGACACCCACTTGGTGCCAGGAACTATGGAATAATATACAACTTAAGTACAAAACCAGGGTGGTATTCAGAAAAATAACTTAGACTTGTGTGCACATCATCAGGTTTATAATCATGTTCTGCATTTAATAGAGGATGCATGAAGAGGATCTCATGGTAACAGGTTGCAGGGCACCTCTGGACTTAACAGTGATCATGGTACCCACCATTACCCTACAGGTTGCTTGGTCCCTCAGCTGCTGCTGACATCCTTCAGCTGAGCAGCAGCCTTCCCCTACAAAGCCGGGGTCGGGCCCGCCTCCTGGTAGGCAACGATGACGTCCACATCATCGCCCGTTCTGATGATGAGCTGCTGGATGACTTTTTCCATGATCAGAGCACAGCTACCAGCCAAGCAGGCAAGTTTGTGTGGTGAAAGGGAGGGTAGAATTTGTCAGATTCTACTTTTTCCCTGCTGAGGAAAAGCAAGACAGTGTCTGCCCTATAGAAAACCCCCATTTTATAGGAGCCAGAACCACTCAGTGACTTAGCCATGGGCAACAAAAACTTTATTGTCTCTAGGTACTTGTTATGTTCTAAACATTGTGATAGACCTTGGGTCCTTTTAGGGAAATACTGCAATTTTTGGATCGGTGGATCAGTTAATGCTTGACAAGGCCAAGAATCTCATTCCCCTTTGCTGTCCCTACAGGAACCCTGTCCAGCATCCCCACAGCCCTGACCCGCTGGACAGAAGAATGCAAAGTTCTCGATGCTGAGAGCATGCATGACTGTGTTTCAGGTGCGTGGCAGCTTGGTTATCAGGGCAATAGTGAGCCTTCCAGAGCTAGGGCAAACGTGTGGAGAGTTGTTTCCCTGGTTCTCTGTGGCTACAAGCTCTGCCTCTTGGCTTCCTCCCTGACCCCACCAGAGCAGCCTTTGATTTTTGCCTCTTTGAAACAGTGGTTAAAGTGTCCATTGTCAATCACCTGGAATTCCTGAGGGATGAGGAGCTGGAAGAAAGGCGAGAGAAGCGCAGGAAACAACTGGCTGAGGAAGAAACAAAGATAACTGATAAAGGCAAAGAAGATAAGGAGAACAGGGATCAGAGTGCACAGGTGATTCCCAAGGGCTGGGAGGATTCATCTTTGACTGTGTCTGCCGTAATGTGGTTTTGGCATACACATGGCACCAGGAATCACTGAAGAATCCTAGAACGTTCACGTTGAACCTGGGAAATTTTTTATTTCAAATTCACCATACATTGACCTGGTTTTTAGGGGAAAGAATTCAAACCTAGAGGGGAGATTTCTCAAGTGTCAAGGGAAAAACTGGAGCCAGAAGCAGAATGGCTTCTCACTCAACAGTCACACTGCATAGTCTCTACCGCCAAGGACAGCATCAAGACAAGGAGAAAAACCTTATCTAAGTCCATGCTCTTAGTCGCCCACTTCCATTTCTGTCGGTGAACTGCCAGTGTGGGGAATCTTACCGAGATGACCCCATTCCGTCATTTGAGTAAGATCAGCCTAGGTGTCAGATCAGAGAAAATGTTTGTACTCTGAACCCCATCACCACATGTCATTTTTTCTAGGGCTCACATGTATAAAATCACTAATACAATTTTGGTTTAGAAGGAAGTTACCTACTTTTTTCTGAAACTTCTGGGACCTCAGACAGAGATCTTTTAAATGTCTGAGTAAATGTTGATAGAATTATACATTACAGTGTATCACTTGATATAAAAGGGGGAAAAACTGATAGAAATACAAAGAAATAAGACTTGAGAGTGAAAGACTTTAGTATACCCTACTCAGCAGTTAAGGAATCAGGTAGATTAAAAATAAGGGTAGTGAAGTGTTCAGTTAAAATAACAAGGTTGATCTAACAAATATCTTTATATAGAACTTTTTACCTAATACACACATTGTTTCAAACTTGATATAGGATGAAAAATAAGTGAACCTAGCCTGTGACTGAAAAGACTAGAGTGGACAAAATAAAAAATAAGCCCCATGAAGGGAAAAAATACATAGATGAAACCAAGAAATTCTTGCTAGAATGATCATGATCGTGCCCATCCCTAAGGGGTTTTTATTATCCTTTCCTTCCATATTTATTTCCCCCTCAGCCCCAAACAATTCTTGAACCTGAGTATGTATAGAGAAATTGGTCATATATTTGCACAGTGAAATGATCACCTTCCTTTGGTCACATGGCCAAAGCATTCTCCATTAGATCACTGAACTCCTAGATGGTCTGGGTGGAGGATGGTGACTATTACAGTTGACCTCTATCTTAGGTGCTTGCAAAGTCCCACATTGGTCTATCCCTTCTTTTTGCAGTGTACTGCATCTAAGTCAAATGACTCCACTGAACAGAATCTCTCAGGTAACTCTCCTTCCCTTTCTCCCTTCTTACTAATCAATTGGTTGCTTCTTTATCCTGATAGTTCCGAGTAGCTGGCCCACATAGGCTGAAGATGGACACTGGTGCTCTGTGGGATGAGGTAGTAGATTGTATAGTTTTAGGGTCATACCCCATCTTGGAGATAACTATACAGTCTACTGTCTTTCCCACGGTGGTACACTTCTTCTCCGACTGGCTCTGTTCAGGTTCTTGTTCTGGTTATTATCTACTTTGTTCTGGCATGGGTAATGAGGTCATGTGTCTTGTTCATTTCCTGACTGCAACTCTGTCCTCTGAAACAGCATGTTCATGTACATCTTTGAAGTGGCTGGTCCTTTGATGACCACCATGGTGTGGCACTTCATGAGAATAACTGATGACAGTGGTTCTCAAATGCCAGTCCTCTGTGGAAACGAACAAAATCAAGGAGCTTTAATGCCTTTTTCATAAAGCTGAATTTATTCCATTTAAAAGGCTGTTTTTGTATTTAGAGATCATATTCCTAATTCTGTGGTACCAAAATATTTTTATTAAATGATGTTGATTGGATGTTTTTTCTTACATGGCTAAACTAAAAGTTGGCAACCCCTACATTAGTCTCTACTTTTTGTTCTTTTTTTAATTAAATTTTATTGGTCCATGGAATCTAAAAGTCTAGGAACATTGTCTTGGATAGTGTGCTGTTCATGAAGGTAGCTCTCTGGGCTTAGTGGTATGACTGCCGTATGTTTCCTATTCCCTCTGATCTTCTTAACAATGGTCAGTAGCCATTTTGTGATTCTATCAGTTGGTTCATGTGATATCATATGTCTCCCCCACCCATATTTCCTCAGAACATTCTTCTGCCTCCCTACACCTGTCTCCTTTCGCACTTGAGTTGGAAAATGATTGTACCAAAGCCTGCACAATATTTTTTAAAGCAGTGAAGTAGGGTAGATGCCTTGGTACCCTTAATCTAGCAAAAGATCTTTAAAAGAGTCTGTCACCATGTAAAATGGCCTTTTGCCTGCTGCCCTTATTAGAGGATTCTGCTCATGCCAGGGTGAGGTAGTAAGTTGTATTGTTGTGGGGTAGGGATATTAGGCCCCAATTAGAAGATAACTATACAACTTACTACTTTCCCTGGTGTGTGGCATATTCACACTTAGTCTTAGCAGTGTTGCCTCCATCAGACAAAGTTGTAGATGTTCCTTGGATAATTTGGACTGGAAGAAAAGAGACATGGAAGGGGACAGATGGTGTTTAGGGTGAGGCAGATGTCATTATAAAGTGACTTGTCTTTCATTAATTGGAGCATATAATTATTTTACCTTTGGGCATGAACTCATTTTGCTATTCTTCAACTGTGTAATGATTGCATTTTATTAGTAATAGAACAGGAATGTGTGCAAGGGAATGGAAAGCATACTTTAAGAATTTTGGGCCAGGCGCAGTGGTTCATGCCTGTAATCCCAGCATTTTTGGGAGGCCGAGGCGGGTGGATCACCTGAGGTCAGGAGTTCGAGACCAACCTGGCCAACACGGCGAAACCCCGCCTCTACTCAAAATACAAAAATTAGCCAGGCTTGGTGACACTCGCCTGTGGTCCCAGCTACTCAGGAGGCTGAGGCAGGAGAATTGCTTGAACCCAGGAAGTGGAGGCTTCAGTGAGCTGAGAACACGCCACTGCACTCCAGCCTGGGCAACAGAGCAAGACTCTGTCTCAGGAAAAAAAAAAAAAAAAAAAAGATTTTGAAGGGCTGGACGCAGTGGCTCACGCCTGTAATCCCAGCACTTTGGGAGGCCGAGGTGGGTGGATTGCTAGAGCTTAGGAGTTTGAGACCAGCCTGGGCAACATGGCAAGACCCTGTCTCTACTAAATATACAAAAAATTAGTCAGGTATGGTGGCACATGCCTATAGTCTCAGCTACTTGGGAGGCTGAGGTGGGAAGATCACCTGAGCCCGGGAGGTGAAGGCTGCAGTGAGCCATGATTGTGCCACTACACTCCAGCCTGGGCAACAGTGAGACCCTGTCTCCAAAAAAAACAAATAGAGTTTTGAACGAAATTCTGACCATTTCTTGCTCCAAATAGATGAAGTGGGAGGATCAATAGGATTTTGGTAGTTAGATTTTCTGTGTACCTATAGGTCAGAGACATTTAGCCTCACCCTATATGGCCTGAAATCTTCCCCCTTCCACCTGCAGGGCACAGAAAGGATTTTATTCTTAGAATCCACAGAGTCAGAGCTCCAGTTCTTGCATTCTTGGGACAGAGATAGCACTGTGCCTTAACCTTCATCCTTAGTATACCAGACCAGAGATGTTCCTTGGAGTATTTTTGTTGTGGGGATGATCACTGGCTGGGTGGGATACTTATCAGGCCACATTTGCTGATTGGGGTGGCTCCCCTCATCATTGGCTGGTTGCCCCTTAACCACTATTATTGTTCTTTCCGAGAAAGATGGGACGCCTATGCCTGACAGCTACCCAACAACCCCATCTTCAACTGATGCAGCTACATCTGAGTCCAAGGAGACCCTTGGCACTCTGCAATCCTCACAACAGCAACCAACACTCCCAACCCCACCAGCTTTGGGAGAGGTTCCTCAGGAGCTGCAGTCTCCAGCTGGAGAAGGGGGCAGCTCTACACAGCTATTGATGCCTGTAGAGCCAGAGGAATTGGGTCCCACAAGGCCAAGTGGGGAAGCAGAAACAACTCAGATGGAGTTATCCCCAGCTCCCACTATAAGTGAGTAGAATTTCAACATTTGGGGAGGATGAAACAAGAGGGAAGAAAGGATGTCTTTGTAGCTTCTCTTTGCTCTTTTGCTTGAGAGAAATAGTAGGAGTTCAACTTCTCAAATAATAAGATCTCGTCTTGCGCATTCACTTTCTTAAGTGAAGTTGAGGTCCTGAACTGGTGATAGTTGAATGTCTAATGATATTGGTGATGATACCAACAGTTCATTGAGGCAATTACTCTGTTTCTGGGCTATCACCCCAGGCTTATTATTTAAAAACAACTCTCCAGCTGGGTATGATGACTCATAATCCCAGCACTTTGGGAGGCTGAGGCAGGGGGATCATTTGAGCTCAGGAGTTTGAGACCAGCCTGGGCAACATAGACCCCATCTCTATTGGGGGGAAAAAAAAACTCTCCAAAATCGATGGTGTTATTTACATGAGTAAACTGAAACTCAGAAATGAAATAATTAGCCCAAGTCACTCTGTAAGTGGTTGAACTAGAATTAAAACCCAGATCTGTCTGACTTTAAAGATTACTCTCTCCTTCCACAGTTCCCAGGATGGCAAGCATGTCATCCCACACTTAGAGCTCTCCCATTCTCCTGGCAGACACTGTTTATCTCATGACACTATTTCTCACTGGTTTGAAATGGGGCCTGAAAAGTCTTCTCAGCAGTATTTCAACAGGATAAATTGATACCTGCTTGCCATCCCTGCTCTATACCATCTTGCTTGTGAAGTTCTCTGGAGAGACCCTAAGGTGTCAGTTTTTTCTTTCAAGGAACCTTGTTTATTTTATTTTATTTTATTTTATTTATTTATTTTTTGAGAAAAAGTCTCGCTCTGTCACCCAGGCTGCAGTGCAGTGGTGTGGTCTTGGCTCACTGCAACCTCCGCCACCCAGGTTGGAGTGATTGTCCTGCCTCAGCCTCCCAAGTAACTGGGACTACAGGTGCACGCCACCATGCCCAGCTGATTTTTGTATTTTTAGTAAAGATGAGGTTTTGCCATGTTGGCCAGGCTTATCTGGAACTCCTGACCTCAGGTGATCCACCCGCCTCGGCCTCCCAAAGTGCTTGGATTACAGGCATGAGCCACTGCGCCCTACCGAAACCTTGTTTATTTAGAGAACTACAGGGATATGCACGTGCAAGTGGTGCCTGCAGTGAATCAAAGTGAAAAAATCCCTTACCCGGGCTGGGCGCGGTGGCTCACACCTGTAATCCAAGCACTTTGGGAGGCCGAGGCAGGTGGATCATGAGGTCAGGAATTCAAGATCAGCCTGGCCAAGATGGTGAAACCCCATCTCTACTAAAAATACAAAAAACTGGCCGGGCGTGGTAGCAGGTGCCTGTAATCCCAGCTCCTCAGGAGGCTGAGGCAGAGAATTGCTTGAACCCAGGAGGCGGAGATTGCAGTGAGCCGAGATTGTGCCACTGTACTCCAGCCTGGGCAACAGAGTGAGACTCCATCCCCCTGCCAAAAAAAAATCCCTTACCTGGTTTGCCTAGGGAAGATGTTTCACAGGCATGCCTGGAACACAGTAAATGTTCAAGAATTGATAGAAAGGGCTTCAGCTGAACCTTAGAAATCTCAAAGTGAGATTGAGAGGGGGACAGCAAGGGAGAAGTGAGAAGTCTGAGCTGAGATGCCCCTAAGGAAGCAGCCCTATCAAAGACCTTATCTGTCATTTTGCCCCGGTTCCAGATAGAAACCTAACCTCTCCCTGCAACTTCTTCCTAGCCTCACTTTCCCCAGAGAGAGCTGAGGATTCTGATGCACTGACGGCTGTCAGCAGTCAGCTAGAAGGCTCTCCTATGGATACAAGCAGCCTGGCTTCCTGTACCTTAGAGGAGGCTGTGGGTGACACTTCAGCAGCTGGCAGTTCTGAGCAGCCCAGAGCAGGCAGCTCCACTCCTGGGGATGCCCCACCAGCTGTGGCGGAAGTGCAAGGCAGGAGTGATGGGTCAGGGGAATCTGCCCAGCCACCTGAGGACAGGTAAGCATGTGTGGGCAAAAGAAGGGTAGGATATATTGGAGGGTCTTTCAAAGCACATTTCATACTCGTCAACTAATGGACATGCTTGTTATGCTGGGGAGATAAAGCTGGTTTCTGTGAGAAAGGGGTATTGTAGCAGTGTTTTATAAACGAGAAGACATAATACAGACAGCAACCTGAGCATGATTTCCCTCAGCTCCCCACCTGCATCCTCTGAGAGCTCTTCCACCAGAGATTCTGCCGTGGCCATTTCTGGAGCAGATTCCCGAGGAATCCTAGAAGAGCCGTTGCCTTCAACAAGCAGTGAAGAAGAAGATCCCCTTGCGGGTGAGTTCCGTGTATGCCCAGGTCATCCTGGGATTGTTTTGGCTTCTAGTAGCCCTTGGCATGGAAATGCCCACCAGCCAAACAGTTCCATTTAGATGGAGGGCATGTATGTGGGAGGACTGACAATAAGCGGGGGTGCTGGTATGGCATAATGAAACGGGTCCAGCCTTAGGAGTCAAACTGATCTTGGCTCACTCAAATTCCCCCACTCTGCCACTTCTACCTTTTACAACCTAGGGTCATTATTTAATTTCTGTGATCATGAATGATACCGAGGGGGTGATGATATCTGCGTGGTAGGTTATTTATGAAGGGTAAGTAACAGTGCATGCAGTCTAGCAAATAACAAAAGCTGTTCTGAGCCCAGGGAAGGTGGGGTGGGCCTTCTCTGTGTCCCATGTCTTGCAAGCAGTGAAGACATATACACTGGTTTCCCTCAAGGAGTGACATGGGTTTATTTTCTCCAAGTACATATTAGGCACCAATAGAGGTGTGAGAGGCTGGGCGCGGTGGCTCGTGCCTGTAATCCTGAAAATTTGGGAAGCAGAGGTCAGAGGATCACCTGAAGCCAAGAGTTTAAGACCAGCCTGGGCAACATAGGGAGACCCCATCTCTACAAAAATATATATGTAAATTAGCCAGGCATTTTGGTGCATGCCTGTAATCCCAGCTACTCAAGATGCTGAGGCAGGAAGACTCGAGCCCAGGAGCTCAACACTGCAGTGAGGCAAGGGTTGCACCACTACACTCCAGCCTGGGCAACAGACCAAGACCCCGTCTCAAGCAATTAATAAGGCGTGAATCCCTTTACATGTTATATCTCCCTTCAGGTATCAGTCTCCCTGAAGGTGTGGACCCCTCTTTTCTGGCTGCCCTGCCTGATGACATCCGTCGGGAAGTTCTACAGAACCAGCTAGGCATTCGTCCACCAACCCGGACTGCCCCCTCCACAAATAGCTCAGCGCCTGCAGTGGTGGGGAATCCTGGTGTGACTGAAGTGAGCCCTGAGTTTCTGGCTGCCCTGCCTCCAGCCATTCAGGAGGAAGTATGTGAGCGGGAAGGTGGTGGGGCCAGGCTGCCTGGCAGGAGAAATGCCCTCATTGACTTTTTCTGCTCCATAGGTACTGGCACAGCAGAGAGCTGAGCAGCAGCGACGAGAACTAGCACAGAATGCCAGCTCAGACACCCCTATGGACCCTGTGACCTTCATCCAGACTCTGCCCTCAGACCTGCGCCGTAGTGTCCTAGAGGATATGGAGGACAGTGTGTTAGCTGTGATGCCACCTGACATTGCAGCTGAGGCTCAAGCCCTGAGACGAGAGCAAGAAGCCCGGCAGCGACAGCTCATGCATGAGCGTCTGTTTGGGCACAGTAGCACCTCCGCACTCTCTGCTATTCTCCGAAGCCCGGGTACAGAGGGAGGCAAGTGGGAGGGCTCTGGAAAGCTTTAGCCAGATGAGGCTATGTTTTCTTACCTTTGTATTACCTATATCCAGTTTACACCCTCTCCACAATCTCAGTTTTCTTTTTCTTTCCTTCCAGCTTTCACCAGTCGCTTAAGTGGCAACCGTGGGGTCCAGTATACTCGCCTTGCTGTGCAGAGAGGTGGCACCTTCCAGATGGGGGGTAGCAGCAGCCATAACAGGTACCTTTGTCTATTTTTACCTTACCATATCACCACTCAAGTCTATTAGCCCAGCTCCCTTAGTTTTATAGGTGGAGAAGCTGAAATCCTGACAGGCAGGATGGATGGTCTCTCTAAGCCATTTCCTTGAATAAGTGAGAGAGCCAGATCTTTGGACTCCCCATTCAGAAAACTACACCTTTTGGTTAGTCTTGCTACCAAAGACCACAATCGCAAAAGCAGGCCGGCAGCAGGTGCTAACTATGGTTTTAACAAGAAGGAACACCACTTGTCTCCCATGCAAGTAGTAAAACAACTAACCACCTGCCTTGAGTTTGTAACACCTAGGCTAAGGAAGTATAGAGGAGTGAGTTAGCCAGGCTAAAACAGAGTGGGCCTGACATGCCAAAATGTGAAAGGAGTGATTGGTTCCTACAAGGCCACAAACTCCTGGTAGTCTAGAGAAGGCAGAAACTAGCATTGTCTCCTAGACTTAGGTATGGTCAGATTTTACCAGTCGATGGATGATACCTGGGCTGGAATCTCTGCTGTCTTCTCAGTCGCCGTGTGATGTAGGGCAAGTCACTTAACCTGTTTGAGCCTCTTGTTTATCATCTCAAAAATGGGTGGTTCTCGGCCAGTTGTCGTGGCTCACACCTATAATCCCAGCACTTTGGGAGGCTGAGGCAGGTGGATCACTTGAGTCCAGGAGTTCAAGACCAGCCTAGGCAACATGGCAAACCCAATCTCTACTAAAAATACAAAAAGTAGTCGGGTGTGGTGGCGCGCACTAGTAATCCCAGCTACTCGGGAGGCTGAGGCACGAGAATCACTTGAATCCTAGGGGGTGGAGGTTGCAGTGAGCCGGTATCACGCCACTGCACTCCAGCCTGGGTGACAGAGCGAGACTCCATCTCAACAAAAAGCTGGTGGGGGTGGGGGGCTTCATTCTCTAAGCTGTACAGCAGCCCTGAAAGGATGATGTACAGTCATTGTAAAGTGCCTGGTACATAGTAGACACCTAAGAGGGCAGCTGTTACTATGAAGAGCCCTTGGACTGGACACCCACCTTTCTCAAGCCTCCTTGGAGATACCTAGCTCATTCCCCTCCCCCATTCTTATGCCTAATCCCAGAGCTCTAGCCACTGAAGTGTTACCCAAAAACCATGTTCTGTTTCCAGGCCTTCTGGCAGTAATGTAGATACTCTCCTCCGCCTCCGAGGACGGCTCCTTCTGGACCACGAAGCCCTTTCTTGTCTCTTGGTCCTACTTTTTGTGGATGAGCCAAAGCTCAATACTAGCCGTCTACACCGAGTACTGAGAAATCTCTGCTACCATGCCCAGACCCGCCACTGGGTCATCCGCAGTCTGCTCTCCATCTTGCAGCGCAGCAGTGAGAGTGAGCTATGCATTGAAACACCCAAACTCACTACAAGTGAGGAAAAGGGCAAAAAGTCGAGCAAGAGCTGTGGGTCAAGTAGCCATGAGAACCGTCCCCTGGACCTGCTACACAAGATGGAGTCAAAGAGCTCCAACCAGCTTTCCTGGCTCTCAGTATCCATGGATGCAGCCCTAGGCTGCAGGACTAATATATTTCAGATCCAGCGTTCAGGGGGGCGTAAACATACCGAGAAGCATGCAAGCGGTGGCTCCACCGTCCACATCCATCCCCAAGCTGCTCCTGTTGTCTGCAGACACGTTTTGGATACACTCATTCAATTGGCCAAGGTGAGGGTTTCAAACCCAACTCCTGGGGATGGAAGAAGGGTGGCAGCAAGAGCCTGGGTGAAAGTTGAACACTAAGCAGGCTAGCGTGTCTTTTTGCTCTTATTTTAAGTGTTGAGCCCTGTATTGTTTCTAGGGGATTGTCCTATATATTTCTGGGGTTTTTTCTTCATTCTTTTCCATTTTTATGTATGTCTTATTTAGTCATCAAAACAACTGGGCTGTATGATTCCTGTTTTACAGATGAAGAACCTGAGATTCAGAACATTTTATTCATTTTGTCTTATGATTAGAAAGTGATGGAGCTGGACCTAGAATTTAGTGTTCTTTCAATAATAAGCATTGCTGCCATCTATCAAAGGCCTGCCTTGTGCCAGGCACTGTGCAAAATACATCATGTCGTTTAATCTCCAACAACTTTGCAAGGAAGTGTAGTTATCTCCATTTTATAAGTGCGAGACTAAAGCTCAGGAAAAGTTTGCTCGTGAGTCTGTATTGCTACAAAGCCCTCATTCATTTCTCTAGGCTGCTTTACTGTCTGTTGGATAAAACTCTTATATGACATATCCCCCAATATTTACCAAAATTGTCTGAAGGAGTCTGGGAACCAGTTGTCTTTTCCCTATCAGGAAGGCTCATCCTCTGTGAAGACGTCCTAGACCAAGCCTTGTCCTCCTTTTCCCGGCAGGTATTTCCCAGCCACTTCACACAGCAGCGGACCAAAGAAACAAACTGTGAGAGTGATCGGGAAAGGGGCAATAAGGCCTGTAGCCCATGCTCCTCACAGTCCTCCAGCAGTGGCATTTGCACAGACTTCTGGGACTTATTGGTAAAACTGGACAACATGAATGTCAGCCGGAAAGGCAAGAACTCCGTGAAGTCAGTGCCAGTGAGCGCTGGCGGTGAGGGGGAAACCTCTCCATACAGCCTCGAGGCCTCTCCACTGGGGCAGCTCATGAACATGTTGTCACACCCAGTCATCCGCCGGAGCTCTCTCTTAACTGAGAAACTCCTCAGACTCCTTTCTCTCATCTCAATTGCTCTCCCAGAAAACAAGGTGTCAGAAGCACAGGCTAATTCTGGCAGCGGTGCTTCCTCCACCACCACTGCCACCTCAACCACATCTACCACCACCACCACTGCCGCCTCCACCACGCCCACACCCCCTACTGCACCCACCCCTGTCACTTCTGCTCCAGCCCTGGTTGCTGCCACGGCTATTTCCACCATTGTCGTAGCTGCTTCGACCACAGTGACTACCCCCACGACTGCTACCACTACTGTTTCAAGTAAGTGTGGATGTAGACTGGGAGCTGTGGGGTATATACTGTGGCACCCACTTCACCCCCTTTTCCATCCAGATAGTTCTCCCTCAGTGATAGCAATCAGCTTGGTTTGTGTTTGTGAGAACAGAATGTGTTCATTCTCACCCTCATCTGTCCCAGTTCTCTCACTCTGTCTCCCTTCCTCCATCCCCGTCTCTCTGTGTCTCTCTCTTTCTCTCTCTCCCCTGCCTCTCACACACACACTCTTTTGAAGGTCAGCAGGCATTCACTGAATGTAGCTTCCCTAGGCTAGGCACCAGAAGGAGGAAAGAAAGTTAAGTTCCATCCTCAGGGAATTCCCAGCCTTTCCAGTTGTGTTGAGGGAGCCAGTTCTCATGGGAAATAGTTCAAGGGCGGGCAGGATACAGTGTGATTCAGAGTAACCAGATCATCCCAGGAAATAAAGGTAATGAGCCCTGCCACAGATTAGTAAGAAAGAATTATCTGAAGAAGTAGGTTTTAAAGAATAGAGTGGGCCATGATGGTGGGGGAATAGTTGGAAGAAATGCCTGGGGTTTCTTTTTCAGCTTAGAAGTTACAGTCATAAGAGTCCTCTTTGAGTTTATGGTGAGACGTGATTGTGCCACTGCATTCTAGCTTGGGCAACAGAGCGAGACCGTGTCTGTAATAAAAAATAAAAAGCCTTTATCATCCCAAGTCATTTAGATTTGCCTTTGGTGGGTGGGTTTTCTTTTTCAGTACTTTCCCATTTTGAAGCCCTGGGCAATTCAGCGATTCCTTGATTTTGTCACTTAGTCCCTGGCTTGTGAGTTTCAGAGAGGCTTACAGTGTTCTGTCTGTTTCCTCAAAGTTTCTCCCACTACTAAGGGCAGCAAATCTCCAGCGAAGGTGAGTGATGGGGGCAGCAGCAGTACAGACTTTAAGATGGTGTCCTCTGGCCTCACTGAAAACCAGCTACAGCTCTCTGTAGAGGTGAGTCCAAGCTCTTCTGATCTGCTAAGACTTGGGGAGAAAGGATAAACAGGGTAGATAATGATTTTGTTCTCAGGCTGGGGCTTACTCCTTCTGTCTTCTTTTTCTCAGGTGTTGACATCCCACTCTTGTTCTGAGGAAGGCTTAGAGGATGCAGCCAACGTACTACTGCAGCTCTCCCGGGGGGACTCTGGGACCCGGGACACTGTTCTCAAGCTGCTACTGAATGGAGCCCGCCATCTGGGTTATACCCTTTGTAAACAAATAGGTAATAGCAGAAGTAAAGCATTTTCTCTTTCTGAAGGTTTCCACTTAGGTGCTTCCTCTTTCTGGAATCCTTTCCTGAATCCCCAAGCTGAATCAGATACCTCCATATCCCTATAACACAGCCTCCATGCTCCCTCTGTCGTAACACAGATTACCCTGGGTTATCATCTGTTTTCCTCTGCTCAGTTGTTTGAAAGCAAGGCTGGGTTTGTCTCCTCATCCCCGCTGCCCGGCACACAGTGGTGCTTAATGAAGAGAAAAGAGAACACATGGGAACAGCAGCGCCTCCTTTCTTCTCCATGCTGGGCACTCGTAAGAGCCCCATAAGACAGCTGAGGCAGCTTCACCCCTTCAAAGTATGTCCCTACACTGCATTCAGCCTCAGGAATTACAGAGTCAGAATAGTACTCTCTGCTTTTGTGTAATTTTGAGGGTATAAAAATTCTAAGAACAGTTACAAATTACCTCGTTTCTATCATCTTCCTCCCTGTTTTACTGAGAAGAAAGCCAAAACCCAGGGTGATAAAGTGATTGGACCAAGGAGTACAGCCAGGTTTTCTTTCAACATAGAGTCTGTCTACCCTGTCCCACCCTCATCCCAATCATGAGTCTCCCTAGATCTTGGCTACATACTTAGTTCTCTCTCTCCTTCACCCCCATGTCCCTAAGTCTGGGGTGATAGGAGAGTTGGTTGGCCTGTATAACTCAGGGTGTTCTTTGCTGCATGAAAATTACAACGTTCTTCCAGAAAGAATTTGGCCTCTGACCTTTCTCTCTTGGCTGCCACCATCTATTCCACACCTATGGGCCAGGCACTGTCTAGGCACTCTACCATATAATTATCTCTTAATTGTCACAGCAACGTTATGAGGTTAGGCAGTAATATTCCCATCCCAGTATTAATATTGGTTAGCAAATTGGGTAAGGGGTCAAGAAATTTGCCTGAAACCACCACAGAACCTCAGTAATTTTGAGAGATATATGGGATTTCAACCATGGTCTGTTTAGCTCCAGAGGAGATACTGTTTCTCTTCTACATGAAACTCATTTCATGCAGATTCAGCAGATCCCTGTGGCCATAGGTAAATTGGTAGTCCCAGGTGACGGTTCGTGGACACGCATAATAAGCTGAACAGAGCACGATTCCAGCTCACTCTAGGTTCTCTGCAGCTGAGCAATGAAGAGTGGCCTAAGCAGGTGTCTTAGAGAGATTTGGCTTTTAGCCACTTTACCAGGGGAGTCTCTGAACACTTGCTGACTCCTCTGCCTGCTCAGGTACCCTGCTGGCCGAGCTGCGGGAATACAACCTCGAGCAGCAGCGGCGAGCCCAATGTGAAACCCTCTCTCCTGATGGCCTGCCTGAGGAGCAGCCACAGACCACCAAGCTGAAGGGCAAAATGCAGAGCAGGTGGGTGGTAGCCACCCTTTGGCTGGGGGCTTGAATCTGGGATATTCTGGAAGATGGCTCTTGCTGGTTTCCTGGTCTTTTTTATTTCTCTGGGTGATTTTCGTATCTTTCCTATACACACTTGACCCATTTTTTTCTACTTCCTACTTGGAAGATTTCCTTCTGAGTTTCCTTACCCCTCTGGTTGACACCAGGAAGCCTTGCTTGCTTTGGGTGTTTATACTTTGATGCTGTCAATATACGCAAGCCACCTCTACACTATCCAGGTTTGACATGGCTGAGAATGTGGTAATTGTGGCATCTCAGAAGCGACCTTTGGGTGGCCGGGAGCTCCAGCTGCCTTCTATGTCCATGTTGACATCCAAGACATCTACCCAGAAGTTCTTCTTGAGGGTACTACAGGTCATCATCCAGCTCCGGGACGACACGCGCCGGGCTAACAAGAAAGCCAAGCAGACAGGCAGGCTAGGTATGGAACTAGAGTGTCCAGTTGAGGGGAAGGGTTGGTGGCGGTAAAGCCAGATTCCTTGGAGGTGCAGGACTTAACGGCCTGTCTCCTTCCTGTTTGACCTTTCCAAAAGGAAAATGATTATCCTTTTTTCAGAATGTTGATGGCTGCATTCTACATCTCATTCAAGCTATCTGCGTAGGAAATTCATTAGGGGGAGTGGGAATTAAGGGGGAGTGGAAATCTGGCAGGGAAGTTGGGGGCCAGCCTTTTGCTGAACAAGACTTAACTCACTAGGTGCATCTCCTTTCTGCTTCCTTGGTCATTTCTAACTAAGCCGTGGCTTGACAAATCATTTTCCCTACCTCTTTCCTCCTGTCCCACAGAACCCTCTCGCACAAAACCATCCGTCTGTCTAGCATCATGCCCCCTGCCCTTATCTGTAATGGTAAATCTTAGCGCCTGATGATGAGCACTCTGAAGCTTCCTGAGCTAAAGCTCAAAAGACCTCAGCAAGATGCCCTGTGGCAGCCCAGGAGATAGGAGAGAGAATATTGGGCTTTCCCTCTTCCTATATTTTATATCTTGCCTTCCTCTTTCTCTTTCTCCCAGGTTCCTCCGGTTTAGGCTCAGCTAGCAGCATCCAGGCAGCTGTTCGGCAGCTGGAGGCTGAGGCTGATGCCATTATACAAATGGTACGTGAGGGTCAAAGGGCGCGGAGACAGCAACAAGCAGCAACGGTTAGCATGATGCCTGTGGCCCCTCATTCATTTGTCTCTCCACTCATCCCCCCACCATGTCATCAGTGGGGTTTCATTGCCTTTACCTTGTATGCTTTTGCATTAAGTTTGCTATATGAATGCTTCTGGACAAAAGGGTTACTTTCTGTTGGTGTTTTCCTATTTGTTGATTGGTTTGTTGGTTTGATTTGATTTAAAGCTTGGCCATCATACCCCACTCCCAGCTATCCAGTCAACAGTGGCGCTTTTGCAAACTGCCTGATGCTAAGTGTTGTCTGGGTTCTGAGGGGTTATGGGGTGAAGTTTTTTTTCAGTCCCATGGAACAATGCAGGTACATCAGAAACATCTCAGGAATCCTACCATTGAAAGTCCCCCAAGCTTGGTACATATCCCACACAGCCACTTCTGTCTGTGGCTGCTCCCTCCACCCTGCCCTCTGCCTTTATTCTCCATAATCCCTTGGCACCTAGGCACTCAGGCACTTTTAGGAGGAAACCTTCAGGTACTTAAGTAGCCAGCTCAGTGTTGGGGTCCCGGCATTGAGTGGCTGCAGTAAAAGCCTGGCATCACATGTGTATGCTGTGGCACTCCCTCATTGTTTTCCTGTCCTTGCAACATGTAAGTTACCTTTCCAAGATCCAAGAAAGGTATCCTAAGACCCGATATTTCTTTGCGTATAATTACTATTATACAGTATGGTTTTATTGAGTAGGCAGGGAAAAGCCTTGAACTTAGGGGCAGTGACTCCAGGAAGGTAGAAAGGGAAAATAAAGCTGTTATTCTGGAGTATTTTTTCTGCCGAGTCTCTTTCCCATTACACGAAAAGATGTCGGCTTTTTAAATAATCCCGCTCATGAGAGGTTGCTCTAATTCTCCTATTATTTCCCCTTTTGTGAGCAAACAGAAACAAAGAGCAGACCTACCTTCCACCCATCTGAATTTTTTATACACACACACACACACACACACACACACACACACACACACACACACAACAGAAGAAGACTTGAAGTCTATATACAGGAGGCTAGTTCTGACTGGTCACAGGTCTGGATTGTAGACTGTAGGAAATGTAAGCATCCAAGGAGCTGTTGGGAAAAGCTTACAAAACACAGTGGAGAAAAGCAGAAGAGTTGGGAAAGGCATCCTTTTGTCCTGGATAGCTACAGTTTTCCCCACCCAAATATGGGAAGCTTCTTTGCAAGCTCAATGTATGAGAAGTGGAAGGGCCAACCTCTAGCCTGTCTCTAAGGAAAGCAGAGTTGCACCCTTATGTGATTTTTGTCTCCCTTTTATCCAGTCGGAGTCTAGCCAGTCAGAGGCGTCTGTCCGGAGGGAGGAATCACCCATGGATGTGGACCAGCCATCTCCCAGTGCTCAAGATACTCAATCCATTGGTCAGTACTACTTCCTGTTTCCAGCCGAGCAAAAGGGATAGCCAGTCTTCTGGAATGTCTGCTGAATCCCCTGCTCCCAGCATATATAAGCCCAGTGTTTTCCCATTTGTTCCAGTAAACCCTGGTTTCTGTAAATGATGACAGGTGTTTGACAACCAAGGCACACTTTTCTTTCCTGTAGTAAAGGAAAGAAAATGGTGGGATATCATGCATTCAGACAGCATGTTTTTATGGGGTTTTCTCTTGTTGTGGTGGTTGTTTTTGAGACAGTCTCCCTCTGTCGCCAGGCTGGAATGCAGTGGCACGATGTCTGCTCACTGCAACCTCTGCCTCCTGGGTTCAAGCAATTCTCCTGTCTCAGCCTCCCAAGTAGCTGGGATTACAGGCGCCCACCACCACACCTGGCTAGTTTTTGTATTTTTTTTAGTAGAGACGAGTTTCGCCATGTTGGCCAGGCTGGTCTCAAACTCCTGACCTCAGGTGATCCACCTGTCTTGGCCTCCCAGAGTGTTAGAATTACAGGCATGAGCCACTGCGCCCAGCCCAGCATGTGTTTTAAATCTTTTGTTTTATTATTGAGGCAGGGTCTTTCTCCATCACCTAAGCTAAGATACAGTAACATAGTCATAGCTCACTGCAACCTCAAACTTCTGAGCTCAATCGATCCTCCTGCCTTGGCTATCTGAGTAGCTGGAACTGTAAGGGACAGGCCACCATGCCCAGCTAATTTTTTTTATCTTTGTAGAAATGGAGTCTCACTATGTTGCCCAGGCTGGTCTTGAACTCCTGGCCTCAAGCCATCCTCTCACTTCAGTCTCCCATGTCTTCTTTCTTTCTTTTTTGTTTTTTGACACAGAGTCTAGCTCTGTCTCCCAGGGTGGAGTGCAGTGGTGCAATCTCGGCTCACTGCAACCTCCGCCTCCTGGATTCAAGTGATTCTCCTGCCTCAGCCTCCCAAGTAGCTGGGATTACAGGCGCCTGCCACCATGCCTGGCTAATTTTTTTTTTTGTATTTTTAGTAGAGACAGGGTTTCGCCACATTGGCCAGGCTGATTTCAAACTCCTGACCTCAAGTGATCCACCTGCCTCGGCCTCCCAAAGTGCTGGGATTACAGGCATGAGCCACGGCCGACCAGCCTTAGTCTCCCGTGTTTTAAATCTTGGCTCCCCCATTTACTGCTTCTGGGACCTGAGGCAAACCTCTTTGTTAGGTTTCCTTGTTTAAAATAGGAATGTTCAGTTGTTAGGATTAAATGAGTTAAAACATGTATAGTGGTTAGAGAAGCACACGATGAATGCTATTGTTAGCAGCATTTCTCAAAGTCAGTCATACATAGAATACATTTTGGCACCCTCATAACACATTCCCATGGAATAGTATTCTTGTAGGACAACCATTGTTATCCTACCTTTCATCAGGATTTGGGGAGATAGATATTATTTTCGTGTTCTGTATTCACCTTCTTTTACCTAAGGTCATATGATTTGCAAGTACCGGAGCCAGGATTCAAACCTAAGGCTGTCAGAACCTTGAAGAATAGTCAGGATTTGGGTAAAGGATGAACAGCAAAGGTCAGGAAGAAACCTAAGCAGGGCCAGGTGTATGGGGATCAGGGGTTGATGAGAAAACAGTCACTTACTCCCCACCCAGAAGATGGGGTTGTGTCTTGCTGCTTAGCTACTGAGCAGAGGTTAGAATAAGCCCCCAGTGAGTATCAGGAAAAGTACCAGCCATGGGATTCCATCTGTCATACCATGGCTTCTCAGGGTTTTAAACTGCCCCAGGACAAGATGACTAATTTAGAAGGCATTAGAAGGCCGGGCGTGGTGGCTCACGCCTCTAATCCCAGCACTTTGGGAGGCCAAGGCAGGTGGATCACGAGGTCAGGAGTTCAAGACCAGCCTGACCAACATGGTGAAACCAAGTCTCTACTAAAAATACAAAAATCAGCCGGGCATGGTGGCTTGTGCCTGTAATTCCAGCTACTCAGGAGGCTGAGGCTGGAGAATCGCTTGAACCCAGGAGGCGGAGGTTGCAGTGAGCCAAGGTCGCACCACTGCACTGCAGCCTGGGCGACAGAACGAGACTGTCTCAGGGAAAAAAAAAAAAAGGCATTAGACTTAAGGTTAGAAAGATTTAGTTTGATGTCCTGGTGCTGTCTTCCTCAGAAACCAAAATGAGGAAAAGACAGCCTACTTTCCAAGGCCAGCTGTCAGAATTCAATGACAAAAGTGTCCTAAAACATCCTGTGTAAACTGGAAGGCAACCATCCAAAGCTCCACTGTTGTTACATTACCCTGAAATAATCCACAGATTCTCTTGAAACTAGTGAGGCAGTGACTAGACTAGCACTATCTGGATCTGCAGTAGCACCTGTGGCTTTTGAGCACCTTAAATGTGGCTAGCGCAACTGAGGAACCAGATTCATTATTTTATTTATTCTGTTTAATGTAAATGCCATCCAATGCAGGTCCTAGACCTTGTTTCAGATGTTGCTCGGTGAGTACCACTCAGTGGCCAGTGGTCCCCTCTACTTGTTCTGTATATTAGTTGGTGCGTGTGGTCTAGAAAGATCTAAGCAGAAGGGAAATTTTGAAGACTTTCTGACTCTCTTCTGTGTGCCCTCCAGCCTCCGATGGAACCCCACAGGGGGAGAAGGAAAAGGAAGAAAGACCACCTGAGTTACCCCTGCTCAGCGAGCAGCTGAGTTTGGACGAGCTGTGGGACATGCTTGGGGAGTGTCTAAAGGAACTAGAGGAATCCCATGACCAGCATGCGGTGCTAGGTGAGTTGTGTCCTAAAGGCCCAGGTCCCAACCCAGTGGTCTGCTCTGGGGCCCTTCCTGCCAGCTTGTTTTTCTTCCTTCCAGGTTACTCCTCTCCCTCAGTGTCTCTGTAATGAGAATTCAAAAGAGAAGTGTTTTTTCTCTGACTTCAGTATAAAAAAGATTGACCTTCTCTTTTAATAGTTGGTGTCTTTCACTTTATAGACAAGGGGAATCTTTATAACTGGTTAGCTATCCCATTTTTCTTTGGCTTCAAGGAAGTTCCTCTGTGACTTGATTCTACCATATTTCCCTGCAAGTTCTCATTGTTTCTTTTTTTTTTTTTTTTTTTTTTTTAAATCAGAAATGAGGTCTCACTATGTTGCCCAGACTGATCTCAAACTGCTGGGCTCAAGCAATTTTCCCACCTCGGCCTCCCAAAGTGCTGGGATCATAGGTGTGAGCCACCACACCTAGCCTAGTTTTCACTATTTCTTCTTCCTTATTTATTTTTATAATTTGTTTATGATGGCAAAGAGGTTTGCATGTTGAAGTTTGCAGAGTAAAATGTTACTTCTCCATCATTCCTAACCCTAGTGCTACAGCCTGCTGTCGAGGCCTTCTTTCTGGTCCATGCCACAGAGCGGGAGAGCAAGCCTCCTGTCCGAGACACCCGTGAGAGCCAGCTGGCACACATCAAGGACGAGCCTCCTCCACTCTCCCCTGCCCCCTTAACCCCAGCCACGCCTTCCTCCCTTGACCCATTCTTCTCCCGGGAGCCCTCATCTATGCACATCTCCTCAAGCCTGCCCCCTGACACACAGAAGTTCCTTCGCTTTGCAGGTACAGGGAACTTTTAGGCTGCCAGGTGTAGAAGGCTTCATTTTAAACAGGATTGTTTCATACAGTTAATCCTTAGTTGATGAGAGAGAGAGAGAGAGAGAGAGAGAGAGTGTGTGTGTGTGTGTGTGTGTGTGTGTACATACACACACCCGTGCACGTAAACCCTGCATGGTTTCCCTTGGCCTCAGGATACTCAGGTTTAGAATAGAAATGCTCAGATTCACGTTCACACCTCAAGGGCTGGCCCTTGGTTTTGACTAGTCCTTTTAGAGCCCTGAAATAAGGAAGAGGAAGGAAGAGAGAGTTGCTAGCTGGTTGGCTGTCTTACAGCTTCTGGGGCAGATGATGTGCTTAATTCCTGCTGTCACTTCTCCCCTCAGAGACTCACCGCACTGTGTTAAACCAGATCCTACGGCAGTCCACGACCCACCTTGCTGATGGGCCTTTTGCTGTCCTGGTAGACTACATTCGTGTCCTCGACTTTGATGTCAAGCGCAAGTATGTGTCCTGGATATTGGGGGGTAGAGGGGTGGTGAGAACTCCCCAAATGGTAACTCGCCTCTGAAGTTACTCTTGAGGCCACAAATTTCCTTTGGTGACAGCACTTGGAATGGTGGTGGTGAGGAGGGAAGAGACAGCTGTAGCATTGATGGCCATCATACCTAAATACTCCTGGGCTTCTCCACCCCATCTGCATTTTTCATCAGCAAAACAGAGTCACATGATTTTTGAACCACACAGTTTCTAAAGTTCTGTTCCATCCGTTGGGGGTAGTACAGGAGGCACAGGTGGCCATAGAACACACACAGCAGGGTTCCAGGGGCTTCCACAACACTCCTGGAGTCATCCCTATGCCTCTCCTTCTCCTCGTGCATGTATACATGCTTACCTGCTTGTGGCAGAAATCACATGTCACAATCTTTGTGGGCCCTTACTCAGTGGAGGTAAGAAAAATTTAGAGTTGGTAATGAGTGATCTACCTCTCCCAACTACTGGGCATTTCCCAAACAGGTGTGGAGCAGAGATCAAAGTGTTTGGAGGATAGAAGGAGCATCATTGTGGGTCTTCTTCCTAATCACACAAACAAATTTGTTCTGCCACCCTTAATCCTATCTTCCTTCCTTTTCTACCTCCCAAGATATTTCCGCCAAGAGCTGGAGCGTTTAGATGAGGGGCTCCGGAAAGAAGACATGGCTGTGCATGTCCGTCGTGACCATGTGTTTGAAGACTCCTATCGTGAGCTGCATCGCAAATCCCCCGAAGAAATGAAGAATCGATTGTAAGGGCCCAGGAACGGAGAAAAGATGGCGGGTGGGAGGTGGGGCCTCCTGCACAGTAGCGATGGCTTGCTCTAGCCTCAAATTTAGGGAGGTGCTGCCCTCCCTAATAGGAATTCCCCATAGGAATCTGGTTTTAGATAATCTTACTGAGTTGTCTCCTATCTTCTGGGCCTGCCCTGCTGGCTGGCCCTTTAGCTAAGCTACCCAACAATTCCCAGACAGACAGGAAAGTCTTTGGTGTTTATAAGGATATACCTGCTGGCTTTGCAATGAGAGCTTTAATATTGCTATACTAGGAATGACCATGTATGAGTGGCCTCCACCAAACTGGTAACTGCTCACTGGTGATTCTGAAGCCACCTAGAGGAGATCAGCAGTTTGTAATACTGAGCGTAGGAGCTGATGAGATGAAAGACCTATTGGAGTTGTTTAATGATTCCTCCCCATCTCTTGTGGTGTGGGCTCTCCAACTGTGTAATCACAAGAAGTCAGGGAGTCTCCCTAGACAGACTGTATGCCATGTTCTTCCACCACCAAATACCTTTAGAGAATTTGGACTCTGGGCTTATCCCTCTCTAATACCACTTTTCTCCCCTCCCCACTTCACCTAAGCAAGGCCTCATTTATTTCTCTGATACCTTTCCTATTGGTGTTTTCTGGAATATCTGTTAACCTTGACTATTTTGGGACATCTCCTCTGTCAGTGGTGCTTTTGTTTGCTCCCAGATCTCCACCCCATTTCTGGGCTGTCCTGGCACTCTCTGTTTACCTCTTCATCTGACACTGCACTCCCCAGACACTGCTTCACAGTCTCTCACTCACACAAATGACTGGATGTATCCTGGGTTTTCTGCACAGCTCTTTTCTGCTTCTGCTTTCTTATGCAGGTATATAGTATTTGAAGGAGAAGAAGGGCAGGATGCTGGTGGGCTCCTGCGGGAGTGGTATATGATCATCTCTCGAGAGATGTTTAACCCTATGTATGCCTTGTTCCGTACCTCACCTGGTGATCGAGTCACCTACACCATCAATCCATCTTCCCACTGCAACCCCAACCACCTCAGCTACTTCAAGTTTGTCGGACGCATTGTGGCCAAAGCTGTATATGACAACCGTCTTCTGGAGTGCTACTTTACTCGATCCTTTTACAAACACATCTTGGGCAAGTCAGTCAGGTGAGGATGAGGCATAGTCCTGGGACTGTCTTCAGTCCTGGGGGTCTGGTCTTTTTGTGTCCCATCCTTGTGCTCCTTCTTCCCCCCCACTCGCAAACCATGACCCTGTATAATTGTGTTTTTCTAGATATACAGATATGGAGAGTGAAGATTACCACTTCTACCAAGGTCTGGTTTATCTGCTGGAAAATGATGTCTCCACACTAGGCTATGACCTCACCTTCAGCACTGAGGTAGGTCAGGAAATCCTAATCACAGCACATCCCAGCCAATCTGGAAGATCCATTCCAGGTTCACCTTAGAACTAGCACTGCGTGACCTTCTCATAGTTCTAAGGAAGCATCTTGACTTCTTAAAGCTGTAGCAGGTGTTTGTGAGTGACATCACAAACAGGAAAACCAGAATTTGCAGGCCATTTCCTAGTTTCACCTTTATTAAAAAAAAAAAAAAAAAAAAACTCCAGTACATAATTCCTCATTCCCAAGGGTAGGTCTTTGTAGAAAAATCGTACAAATGTAAGTGGGGGGAAAATGAAGGCAGTTAAGGTTACTCTTCTCCTAAATTCTTTTCCTAAGAGATTACATTCCGTTACATATGTTAGCCATTCCCTTTTCCCTTTTACCACTGATAGTTGCCTTACTCTCTTCTGCCTTTTTTGTAGGTCTTAGAGCCAAAGAGTATTTTCCTCTTTCCTACCCAAAGCCTTTCCCTATAAGGGGAGTTGCGAGCTATGAGTAGTAGAAAAAGTCACTGTTTTGTATGGACTTGCCTCATCTCTCTGCCTAGGACATGGCAAGGGGTTTAGGGTGTGTTCCTAGGTATCTAATCCCATCCTAGATGAAGTCTGATATGTATGATTGGTGTTTTGGTTGTTCTAGGTCCAAGAGTTTGGAGTTTGTGAAGTTCGTGACCTCAAACCCAATGGGGCCAACATCTTGGTAACAGAGGAGAATAAGAAGGAGTATGTACACCTGGTATGCCAGATGAGAATGACAGGTAGGGGAAATGTTCCTAGACCTCTAGTTGCTCAATATGAGAAGAGGTCGGACTTGATTCATTTGATAGGCATGTTTTGTTTTCCTCTGCTATGACAGAGCCACAAATGCCTTGCACAAAAGACAAAACACTTGATCAAAAATACTTAACTTTGGGCACGGTGGCTCACACCTATAATCCCAGCACTTTGGGAGGCCAAGGTGGGCGGATCAGTTGAGGTGAGGAGTTTGAGACCAGCCTGGCCAACATGGTGAAACCCCGTCTCTACTAAAATAAAAAATTAGCCAAGTGTGGCAGCGTGCGCCTGTAGTCCCAGCTACTCGGGAGACTGAGACAGAAGAATTGCTTGAACCCGGGAGGTGGAGTTTGCAGTGAGCTGAGATCGCACCACTCTTCTCCAGCCTGGGCAACAGAGTGAGACTCCATCTCAAAAAAAAAAAACAAACCCAGCTTAACTTCACTGGACACAGTGGCTCACATTTGTAATCCTAGCACTTTGGGAGGCTGAGGCAGGAGGATAGCTTGAGCCCAGGGGGTTGAGACTAGCCTGGGCAGAATTAACCAGTTGTGGTGGTGCATGCCTGTAGTCCCAGCTAACAGTGGTAGATGGGAGCCAGATGGGGGATCTCTGACCTCTACGGTTGTGTGAGTTTAGAAGTCATTTGGCTTTTTGGTTATCTCACCAGGAGCCATCCGCAAGCAGTTGGCGGCTTTCTTAGAAGGCTTCTATGAGATCATTCCAAAGCGCCTCATTTCCATCTTCACTGAGCAGGAGTTAGAGCTGCTTATATCAGGACTGCCCACCATTGACATCGATGATCTGAAATCCAACACTGAATACCACAAGTACCAGTCCAACTCTATTCAGGTGAGCTGCTGCTGGCATCCCTCCTCATATGGTCCTCTTACCCTAGGCAACGCTAGTTTGTGTGATACCAAATAAACCAGTAGTACTCTTAGAGGAAGTTGCATGTAGAAGACAGTCTACCTATATCTAACTCTTTGTTCTCCTGAAGCATAGCAGACTTCTCTTGGCCGTCTTATGAATGAAAGGAGCTAAAGCTCATCCCACAGAAGGGACTTGCCTCAGATACCAAGTCCAGTCCTGTTTCCTAGATTCCATCCCCCCCACCCTGCTTCTAGGAGCTTTCTACCTAACACTGGCTTCATGGGTCCCTTCCTACAGATCCAGTGGTTCTGGAGAGCATTGCGTTCTTTCGATCAAGCTGACCGTGCCAAGTTCCTCCAGTTTGTCACAGGTACTTCCAAGGTACCCCTGCAAGGCTTTGCTGCCCTCGAAGGCATGAATGGCATTCAGAAGTTTCAGATCCATCGAGATGACAGGTCCACAGATCGCCTGCCTTCAGCTCACACATGGTAAAAGGAAGGGTTTGTTTCTCCTTTTCAGTGCTTAGGTTGAGCTTGCATACTTGATGTTTTCAGGACCCTACCCAAGATTGGGAACACAAATGTGGCTGAGTCCTGGACCTTGGGTAACTCACAATTTGGTGTTTCTATGGAGGTGATGTTTGAGATGAGATGTGCTAGACACAGTGGGGGCTGGGGAGACACTGTCAGGTAAACAGCACCACAAGAGAGCATGGTGTATTCCAGGGCCAGCGTGACTGGAGCAAGGAGGAGTTGCAGGGAGCAAAAGTCTAAAGAGCTCAGCAGAGGTCCGATTACCAGTGACTCTGAAAACCACCTTCAAGTTTGCACTTTAGCCTATGGGCGAGTGAGGCCAGGGTGTTTAAGGAGGAGTGACAGGGTCAGATTTTTGGTTTTGGTGCCTGATGGCCAGTTTGGGAGCCAGATAAAGGGGGACATACTGGGCTGAGACAAGATTGGGAGTCATCAAGAAGCAGGGAGTTGGTTTCTTCAGGGAGGGGAGGGGCTGGTGGGCACCATGGGAACACACAGATTTGGTTATCTGTCATCCCTCACCACAAACTGATCTTTCTTCTTTCCTTAGTTTTAATCAGCTGGATCTGCCTGCCTATGAGAGCTTTGAGAAGCTCCGCCACATGCTACTGTTGGCTATCCAGGAGTGCTCTGAAGGCTTTGGGCTGGCCTAATAAGGCCCTGCCCAACTCCGTGGGGTTTTTTTTACCATTGTTGGACCTGGGGAGGGGGGAGTTAAAAAAAGAACCAGAAAGAAATTGTCAAAAACCAATAAATGAAATCCACCAACTCACCGTGTGTGTCCCAGCTGCCCCATCTTCCCCAGCGCATACCTGTTCCTCTTCTCATTCTCTCCCCGCCGCCTGTTTCCTCACCTTCTCTCCCCTTTCCATGCCGTCCATGATCCCCACCCCATGTGTTTTAAAAAGGCAGTAGCCTTTGCAGGGACCTGTCTGTCCCAACTGTTTGAACAGTGTGCTCCTCAGATTCTGTGTTCAGAAGGATTTGCTGCATTGAGACTTGAAACCTTTGGATAGGGGAAAAAATTATATATATATATATTTTTTTGTTCTGTTTGCATTTCTTAATTTGTGCTTGGAATGTGTTGATGTGCACAGCTAATGATTCAATGCGAGACAAGATTGGCGTCTGTGTTGTGGAGGTTTCAAATAAAGAGCACTCTTCATAACTCACTTTTCACAATGGAGTTTTTTTCAAACTTAAAAAAAAAAACAAAAAACTCTTAAGCACATGCTAGGCATCTGGAGAAAAGATGGATTCTCCAGGAAACCATCCCTGCCCTACCCGCTTGCCCACCTGCCTCCACCACTGGTGCAACTTCCTCCTTCAGAGTCAGTTTCTGCAGTCAGGAGAGATGAGCAGTTCACCAGGAATTGGGGGTGGGGGCATCTGTTTTTTTTTTTTAGAATGGGAGCTGCACTTGGGGATGGTGATGGTGTTAGAGATTGCAGCCCAGGACAAAGCATCACCTTGCTCAAGGGGAACAAACTGCAGCAGGTTGTACAAAACATTCAGAGAGCTCACTTGACCCAACCGAGGGTTTTACTTGGTGAGCCTTTCTAGTAGTCTTGAGTCTGGGGCTCAGTTTTAGATTTTTATTTCATTAATGTTTGTTTATTTCTAATAAATTTTAATAAGCGAGTAATTTAACTAGGTCGCCAGAAGACCATTATTTTTGTTTGTCTATTTTTGTTGTCGTCACTCCCTCTCTCGTCATCTGTCTGCCAGTCTGTTCACAGATCACCTTGTAGTCCCTTGTGGTTTTTACTCCATCCAGTGCTTAAAGCTGATCTAAGGACTTCGATGGTTCCAGCCTTCAAAGAAAAAATAATTTAATAAAAATTTAGTTAGAAAAAATAACCCCAAGTGGTGCTTGCCTTGTGTGGTTTTTCTCATTTTCCTGGGGTGCTACCTCTGAACAGATTGTCCCCTTGACCTTGTCCCAAAGTGTGGGTCTAGGAAAGAAAGGGTGTGTCTTTAACCTGATCCCCTGGTCCTGGAGCCAAGGCTGCTAGCCATTTTCCCCTTTTTTAGTGTTCCCACTCTTTTGTGCCTGGCCCTGCTTTGATGACTGAGAAGGCAGAGGAATTGCCCCATCCGTGTTACTGAGCTTCTAGTAGGGAGGCGAAGACAGTGATTAGTTTTGTGACAGATGAAGAAAGGGGTCTCAGTGCACATAGAAGTGCCTGACCTAGCCTGGAGAGTCAGGGAAAGCTTTCCATCGTCGGTGCACTTGGATTGCAGCCTAAAGCTGAGCAGGAGTTGAGGTTAAGCAGAGAGGGGTCATATAATTCAAGGCAGGAGGAGTTTAGTTGCTTAGAGTCCAGCAGGACTTTAAAATGGAAGAGATACACCAGGTGCGGTGGCTCACGCCTGTAATCCCAGCACCTTGGGAGGCTGAGGCGGGTGGGTCACCTGAGATAAGGAGTTCAAGACCAGCCTGGCCAAAATGGCAAAACCCCGTCTCTACTGAAAATACAAAAATTAGCCAGGCGTGCTGGCGTGCGCCTGCAGTCCCAGCTACTGGCAGTCCTAGCCACCGCGCCAGTCCCAGCCAGGTTCCGTGACTCACGCCTGTAATCCCAGCACTTTGGGAGGCTGAAGCAGGAGAATCGCTTGAACCCGGGAGGCGAAGGTTGCAGTGAGCTGAGATCACGCCATTGCACTCCAGCCTGGGTGACCGAATGAGACTCGGTCTCAAAAAAAAAAAAAGAATAAGCAGAGAGTAGAATTTGTCAATAAGCAGTAAGATTAACTGGTTCTTTGAAATAAAGGTCTGGCAGGTAATTTAAATTTGAAAGTAAAGGGGGGGTTCCTGGGTTGGAGGTTGGGGGTTGGATGTGGAAGCTGGGAGTACAGATGGAATAATCCTATGGGAAATGGAAGCAAATCTCATTCAGTGGGATACTACAAAAATAGAGCATGATCAAGTGTGATTTGCCCCTGGGATATGTGTAGTGTAATATTAATCGCCTCATTGTCAGTTGAGAAATCTTTGTCCGTAGATGGCAAGGCATTTGTTCACATTCAAGAACCATTCCTGGCAACCTTTAAAGGTAAAGCTAGCTTGATAAGGTAGTTTCAGACCAACAGCCAACATCACACTTGAAAGATAAGGTGGCTAATTATCACTATTAGTGCTGTTCTGCTATTCTGCAGTTTTCTATTTCAGTAAAACAGGAAACAAAAGGTATAACTTAAACCATTTGCTAACGGAGTCAAAAGTTATTGGAGCAGGGCATGGTGGCTCATGCTTGGAATCCCAAGGCTTTCAGAGGCCAAGGTGGGAGGATTGCTTGAGCTCAGGAATTCAAGACCAGCCTGGGCAACATAGCAAGACCTCTCTACTGAAATTTTTTTTTAATCTAGGCATGGTGGCACACACCTGTAGTCCCAGCTACTCGGGAAGCTGAGGTGGGATGATCGCTTGAGCCCCAAAAATCGAGGCTGCAATGAGCTATGATCACGCCATTGCACTCCGGCCTGGGAGACAGCGAGACCCCGTCTAAAAAAAAAAAAGTATTGGAACTTAAAACAGTCTAGCAAGAAACTTGGCTATAATGAACAAACTATTCACATAAACTTATTACCTAACATAAATGAATTGTGACAAATTCCTACAATGGAATCCTACACAGTAGTAAAAATATCAATTGCATACATCACATGCACAATCTCAATGATAAAGTTTCAGGCTGGGCGTGGTGGTGCGTGCCTGTAGTCCCAGCTACTTGGGAAGCTGAGGCGGGAGTATCACTTGATCCTAGGAGAGAGGTCAAGGCTGCAGTGAGCTGAGATCATACCGCTGCACTCTAGCCTGGGTAGCAAGTGAGACCCTATCTCAAAAAAAGAAAAAGTTTCAGGAGGGTACATACATATAAGACCTGCTCAAAAGTTGCAAAATCATGCAACATGTATGAAGAGTATGAAAAACCATGAGGATGATAAAATCTTGCACAATGTTGAGGATAAGTTATGGGACAATGCAGGGGTAGACAGAGGGGATGTGGCTGGGAAGAGGCACGTTACACAGGGCTTCAACTACATTGGTGATGTTTTCTCTCTTTTTTTTTTCGAGTCAGAGTCTTGCTTTGTCACCCAGGCAGGAGTGTGGTGGCGCATGATCGGCTCACTGCAACCTCCACCTCCCAGGTTCAAAAGATTCTCCTGCCTCAGCCTCCCAAGTAGCTGGGACTTCAGGTGTGCACCACCACGCCTGGTTAATTTTTTAAATTTTTAGTAGAGTCAGAGTTTCTTCATGTTGGCCAGGCTGGTCTTCAACTCCTGGCCTCCTGTGATCTGCCCACCTCAGCCTCCAAAAGTGCTGGGATTACAGATGTGAGCCACTGCACCTGGCCTTTTTCTTTTCTTTTAAAGTAATATTTTGTCTTTGTTGAGTCTGAGTCTCAACTCTGTTGCCCAGGCTGGAGTGCAGTGGTGCGATCCCGGCTCACTGCAACCTCTACCGTCAGGGCTCAAGCCATCTTCCCACCTCAGTCTCCCAAGTAGCTGGGGCTACAGGCACATGCCACCACGCCTGGCTGATTTTTGTATTTTTTGTAGAGACAGGGTTTCACCACATTGGCCAGGCTGGTCTCGAACTCCTGGGCTCAAGTGATCCACCCACCTTGGTCTCCCAGAGTGCTGGGATTAGAAGCGTGAGCCACCGTGCTCAGTGATGTTTTGTTTCTTAAGCTGGGTTGTGCTGGGTACGTGAGTGAATTTTCCTTGTAATACTATGTACTGTGAAACTTCATAACTTTTATACATCTGAAATGTTTCATAACACCCTTTTTGAGATATATAATTTATTAAATTTTACAATGCATTTGAGATAGGTAGCAGGGAGATATCAGTCCTGTTAAATAAAAATTATAGGAGGCCATTGGTTTGAACTAAGCTCCTGCACTAGGCTCCAACAGACCAAACAAAATAAAAATGGAGTCACCCATACTAAAGTTCCACTTCACCAAACCTAAACTAAGTTATTACCTGACCTTCCAACAAATCAGGAGAGAGAGATAACATCCAATTTCCCCAACAAGTCAGTTTAAATCTTCAATCAGCATGATAATAAAGCTCCCTCTGCTTTAATCCTTACACAAAAAAGCCTGAAGTTACCTGATGTTAACTACAATTGACCCTTGAACAACGTGGGGGATGGGGGACTGACCATCCGTGCCAATGAAAGTCCACGTATGACTAGACTCCCCAAAAACTCAAATACTAGCCAGGCACAGTTGGCTCACACCTGTCATCCCAACATTTTGGGAGGCCAAGGCAGGAGGATCACTTGAGTCCAGGAGTTCAAGACCAGCCTGGGCAATACAGTGAGACCATGTCTCTACAAAAAATATAATAATAAAAAAAAAGATGGCCAGGCTTGGTGGCTTACCCCTGTAATTCCAGTACTTTGGGAGGCTGAGGTGGGCAAATCATTTGAGTCCAGGAGTTCGAGACCAGCCTGGGCAACATGGTGAAACCCCGTTTCTACAAAAAATACAAAAAAATTAGCTGGGTGTGGTGGTGCACACCTGTAGTCCCAGCTACTCAAGAGGCTGAGGTGGGAGGATTGCTTGTGCGGGGAGGTGGAGGTTGCAGTGAGCCAAGATCATGCCACTGCCCTCCAGCCTGGGTGACAGAGTGAAACACCATTTAAAAAAAAAAAAAATCCTTAAATAACTAATAGCCTACTCTTGACCAGAAGCCTTACTAATAACATAAACAGTCTGTATTAGTCTGTTTTCACACTGCTATAAAGAATTGAGACTGGGTAATTTCTAAAGGAAAGAGGTTTGATTGACTCACAGTTCTGCATGGCTGGGGAGGCCACAGGATACTTACAATCATGGCAGAAAGCAAAGGAGAAGCAAGGCACCTTCTTTGCAAGATGGCAGGAGAGAGCACAGGGGAACTGCCACTTTTAAGCCATCGGATATCATGAGAACTTCCTCACTTCCTCACTATCATGATAACAGCATGGAGGAACCACTCCCATCATCCAATCACTTCCTACCAGGTCTCTCCCTCGACACATGGGATTACAATTCAAGATGAGATTTGGGTGGGGACATGGGGCCAAACCATATCATTCCACCCCTGACCTCTCCAATTCTCATGTCCTTTTCACATTTCAAAACAAATTATGCCTTCCCAACAGTCCCCCAAAGTCTTAACTAATTCCAGGATTAACTCAAAAGTCTGAGTTTAAAGTCTCATCTGAGACAAGGAAAGTCCCTTCCACTTATGAGCCTGTAAAATCAAAAGCAAGTTAGTTACTTCCAAGATACAATGGGGGTATAGGCATTGGGTAAATGTTCCCATTTCAAATGGGAGAAATTAGCCAAAACAAAGGGCCCCAGGTCCCATGCAAGTCTGAAACCCAGTGGGGCAGTCTTTAAATCTTAAAGCTCTGAAATAATCTCCTTTGACTCCATGTCTCACATCCAGGCAACACTGATGCAAGGGGTGGGCTCCCAAGGCCTTGGGCAGCTCTTCCCTTGTGGCTTTGCAGGGTACAGCCCCCACGGCTGCTTTCACAGGCTGGCATTGTGTGTCTGCGGCTTTTCCAGGTGCATGGTGCAAGCTATCAGAGGATCTACCATTCTGGGACCTGGAGGACAGTGACCCTCTTCTCACAGCTCCACCAGGCAGTGTCCCAGTGGGGGGACTCTGCATGGGGGCTCCAACCCCTCATTTCCCCTCTGCATTGCCCTAGTAGAGGTTCTCCATGAGGGCTTCACCCCTGGATCAAACTTATGCCTGGACATCCAGGTGTCTCTATACACTCTCTGAAATCTAGGTGGAGGTTCTGAAACCTCATCTCTCTTTTTTCTTTTTTTTTTGAGACTGAGTGTTGCTCTGTCACCCAGGTTGGAGTGCAATGGTATGATCTCAGCTCACTGCAACTTTTGCCCCCCAGGTTCAAGCAATTCTTGTGCCTCAGCCTCCAGAGTAGCTGGGATTATAGGCATATGCCACCATGTCTGGCTAATTTTTTGTATTTTTAGTAGAGACAAAGTTTCACCATGTTGGTCAGACTGGTCTTGAACTCCTGACCTCAAATGATCCACCCGCCTCAGCCTCCCAAAGTGCTGGGATTACAGGCATGAGCCACCACGCCTGGCCCCAAACCTCAACTCTTGTCTTCTGCACACCCGCAGGCCCAACCCCACATGGAGGCTGCCAAGTCTTGGGGCTTGCACCCTCTGAAGCAAAGGCTGGAGCAATACCGTGGCCCTTTTAGCCACAGCTGGAGCTGGAGAGGCTGGGATGCAGGACAGCAAGCCCCGAGGCTGCACAGAGCAAGGGGCGGGGTGGGGGGGGGGGGTGCCTGGGTCTGGCCCACAAAACCATTTTTCCCTAAAAGGCCTCTGGGCCTGTGATGGGAGGGGTTGCTTTGAAGACATGCCCTGGAGATATTTTCCCCATTGGCTTGGTGATTAACATTAGGCTCCTCTTCACTTTTGTAAATTTCTGGAGCCAGTTTGAATTTCTCCCCAGAAAATGGATTTTTCTTTTCTACTTCATGGTCAGGCTGCAAATTTTCCAAACTTGTATGCTCTGTTTACCTTTTAAATAAAAGTTCCAGTTTCAGATAATCTCTTTGTGAACATTGACTGAATGCATTCAGAATCAGCCAGGTCACCTCTTGAATGCTTTGCTGCTTAGAAATTTCTTCCACCAGATACCCTAAATCATCTCTCTCAAGTGTAAAGTTCCACAGATCTTTAGGGCAGAGGCAAAATGCCACCAATCTCTTTGCTAAAGCATAGCAAGAGTGACCTTTACTCCAGTTCCCAATAAGTTCATCATCTCCATCTGAGACCACCTCAGCCTGGACTTCATTGTCCATATCACTATTAGCATTTTGGTCAAAACCATTCAACAAGTCTCTAGGACGTTCCAAATGTTCTCACATCTTCGTGTCTTCTTCTGAGCCCTCCAAACTGTTCCAACCTCTGCCTGTTACCAATTTCCAAAATCACTTCCACATTTTCAGATTATCTTTATAGCAGTACCTGAGTCTTCCAGTACCAGTTTTCCATATTAGTCCATTTTCTCGCTGTTATAAAGAGCTGCCTGAGACTGGGTAATTTATACAGGGAAGAGGTTTAATTGACTCTCAGTTCCACATGGCTGGGGAGGCCTCAGGAAACTTACAATCATGGCAGAAGACGAAGGGGAAGCAGGCACCTTCTTCACAAGGTGGTAGGAGAGATATTGAGAGAGAGGGATAGCTCAGGGGAAACTACCACTTTTAAACCATCAGATATCGTGAGAACTCCCTCATTATCACGAGAACAGCATGGGGGAAACCACCCCATGATCCAATCACCTCCCATCAGGTCCCTCCCTCGACATAGTCAATTCACACATTTAGTATGTTATATGTAACATATACTGTATTCATGCAGTAAAGTAAGCTAAAGAAAATAAAACATTAAGAAAATCATAAGGAAAAGAGATTTACTGTTCATTAAGTGGAAGTGGACCATCATAAGGGTCTTCATCCTCAATCTTTGTTGTTGAGTAGGCTGAAGAGGAAGAGGAGGGGTTGGTCTTGCTGTCTCAGGGATGGCAGAGGCAGAAGAGGTGGAGAAGGTGAAAGAGGAAGCAGAAGAGGCAGGCACACTGGTGTAATTACAGAAATACATTGTAATTTCTGTCTGACTTTTGCTTTTTCATGCCTCTAAAAATGTTTCTATATGGTACCAATCTTTCTATATGGTTCCACCGTTTGCTTTAGTTTCAGTGCCCATATCATAGTAAGGTCCACATCATAAAAGAAGTCAAAAGTATTCTTTGGTAATCAGAACCCTCTGCCAGATTGTCTTATGTCACTTTGGTTCCTGGCACTGCTTCTACATCTTCTTCCTCATCATCTGGTATCGGTTCAGAAGCACTCATCTCTATCAAGACATCTTCTGTTACTTGCTCTGGTGTGGTGTTTATTAGCTCTTGAATTTCACTAAGATCCATATCCTGAAGTTCTTCACCCATCACCTTTTTTTGCCATATCCACAAACTCGTGATTTCCTTGATTGGCGCTGTCATAAATCCTGTTAAGTTCTGCACAATATCAGGACAGTTTTCTCCAACAGGAATTTATTTCAGGCTTGACGGCTTTTTCTGTGACAATGATGGCATCTTCAGTGGTGTAATCCTTCCAGACTTTCGTGATGTTCCCTCTGTCAGGGTTCTCTTCCACAGCATTAACAATCCTTTCCTTAGAGTACTGTGTGTAATAGCCTTAAAGCCCCTTATGACTCTCTGATCTAGAGGCTGAATTAGAGATGTGGTTTTGGGGGGCAAGTAGACCACTTCAGTGCCTTTTGTGTTGAATTCATGGGGCTCTGGGTCACCAGAGGCATTGTCTAATGTCAAAAGAACTTTAAAAGGCACTCCCTTACTAGCAAGGTACTTCTGACTTCAGAGACAAAACATCAATGGAACCAATCCAGAAAAGGGGTCTTGTTGCCCAGGCCTTCTTGTACAACCAAAAGACCAGCAGCTGGTAGTTTATCTTTCTCCTTCAAGGCTCGGAAGTTAGGAGCTATATAGGTAAGGGCAGTCCTGATTATAAACCCAGTAGCATTTGCACAAAATAGAGGAGTGAGTCTGTCCCTTCCTGCCTTAAATCCTTCTGCTCACTTCTATTCCTTACTAATAAACGTCCTTTGTGGCATCTTTTTTTCCAAAATAGGGCACTTTCATCTGCATTTGAAACCTGTTCAGGCAGATATCCTTTCTCCTCAGTGATTTTCTTTATTATTATTACTTTTTTTTGAGACAGGGTCTCACTCTGTTGGCCCAGGCTGGAGTGCAGTGGCACAATCATGGCTCACTGCAGCCTTGACCCCCTGGGCTCAAGTCATCCTTCCACCTCAGCCTCCTGAGTAGCTGGGACTACAGGCATGTACCACCATACCCAGCTAATTTTTTATTTTTTGTAGGGAAGGGGTCTTGCTATGTTGCCCAGGGTGGTCTCAAACTCCTGGGCTCAAGTAGTCCTCCCACCTCAGCCTCCCAAAGTGTTGTGATTACAGGCTTGTTACCACACCTGGCCTCAATGATTTTCTTAATGGCATCTGGGGACTTGTCTCTTAGTTGGCAGAAGCTGCTTCTCCTGTTAGCTTGACTTTTTTTATTTATTTGTTTGTCTGTTTGTTTATTATTTGTTTATTTATAGAGATAGTGTCTCACTATGTTACCCAGGCTGGCCTCAAACTCCTGGTCTCCTGGGCTCAGTTGATCCTCATGCCTCAGCCTCTCAAGTAGATGGGACTACAGGCTTGCACATGCCTGGATTATCTTGACATTCTTTAAACCAAACCTCTTTCTTATTTTTATTTTTATTTTTATTTTTCGAGACCAGGTCTTACTCTGTCACTCAGGCTAGAGTGCAGTGGCATTATCAGGGCTCACTGCAGCCTTGACCTGCTGGGTTCAAGCACATTTTTTTGAACTTTTAGTAGAGACAAGGTCTCACTATGTTGCCCAGGCTGGTCTCAAACTCCTGGGCTCAAGCGATCCTCCCACTTCAGCCTCCCAAAGTGCTGGGAAAGTACAAGAGTGAGCCACCGTGCCCGGCCGCCAACGCTCTTTCTAAAATTATCAAACCATCCTTGCTAGCATTAAATTATCCAGCTTTAGATCCTTCACCTTTCTTTGTCATATAATGACTTCACTTTTTCTAGAATTAGAATCTATAGGTATGCCTTTCTTATGGCAATCCTACACCCACATAAAAGCTGCACTTTAAATACAAGATAAAAAGGTATTTCACAGAAAGCACAAGGTTTTCATACCTGCTGCCAAAGCTGCAGCAATGGCTTCAAAATTTTCCTTTTCCTTTTTACAATGGTCCTTATCTTGAAATGGTGGGTAACTCCAGCTGCGGACCTCAATCTGTGGCACATATCAAGCAATTCAACTTTTTGGAATGTCTTGACTTTTCTTTGCTTCTTGGGAGCACTTCCAGCATCACTATTGGCACTTTTTATGGGTCCTGTGGTAATATTTAAGGCTTACAGTATTGCACTAAACACAGTAAAAATACTTGAGAACTGTGAGAGATCACTTTTTCTGAGATACACTATTTACTGGAGAGATTAACTGCTCAGGGAGAAGACTGGCATCACACAGCCTTTTAAGCAGATACTTGTAAAACTTGAGCTCATCACAATAGCAACAGGCTATGAAATAATTACAGTAGTACAGCATGTACTACAGTTTTATGCAGTTATAATCTAATACCGCATCTTTACATTTGTTTATATTTCTTTCAACTGGGAAGGGTACCATGTACAATCTTTAAGTGTGTGCCTCAGTTTTTTTGTTTTTTTTTTTCCAGCTTCCCAAGTAGCTGGGAATACTGGTGTGCACCACCACACCCAGCTTCTGTGCATGTTTTGTTTTGGGTTTTTTTTTTTTTTTTGAGACAGGGTCTTGCTCTGTCACCCAGGCTGGAGTGCAGTGGTTTGATCACCACTCTCTGCAGCCTTGACCTCCCAGGCTCAAGTGATCCTCTCACCTCAGCCTCCTGAATAGCTGGGACTACAGGCATGCACAACTACGCCCAGCTAATTTTTTATTTTTTGTAGAGACAGAGTCTCGCTACATTGTCCAGGCTGGTCTCAAACTCCTGGGCTCAAGCAATCCTCTACCTCAACCTCCCAAAGTACTGGGATTACAGGCATGAACCACTGCACCTGGCCCATAAGTTGTGATAAATTTTAACATTTTATGGTAGATTTGTGTATATTTGATGGTAGTATATGATAAAACAGACTAGCATCTACATGTATTTTATGCATTCATGACACACCTTTTTCTTAATGTCTTCAATATTTCTAGGCTATGTGGTTTTGTTACAGTAGGGTAGGGTAGCTAGTCAGACATGAGCAGGGCAGGAGAGGGCCCTGCCCCCTCCCCCCTAACCAGGAATGTCGGGTGACCATCAGGTGATGGTCAAGTGGTTGTTAACTATCTCTCTAAAATAATAATTGGTTGCAGCCAGTGCCAGGGAAAGGCAGTCTCCTGATAGATAGAAAAACCTGAAACTGGTGATCAACAGCTTCCCAATATCTCAGGAGTTTGACAAGTGGACTCACGCATGCACAGTAAGATGTATATGACTTTCTAGGGACATTTGGTAAGGGAAGAATGCCTCAAGTGAGCACGCGTACAACTCCAGTAAACACACTGTGCATGCTCCTCTCCCAAGCGCCGGCAGGCTGCTATGCATGCTCACGCCCACTCCCAGGGAAGAATCAGGGGAGAGGGAATGCAAGATCCCAGAAGCGTGCCAATGTATAAAACCCCAAGTCAAAGGTCAAACTATGCACACTTGATCTCTCAAGTTGCCCGCTACATCCTCTTCCAAATGTACTTTACTTCTTTTGATTCCTGCTCTAAAGCTTTTTAATAAACTTTCAGTCCTGCTCTAAAACTTTCCTCAGTCTCTCACTCTGCCTTGTACCCCTCAGTCAAATTCTTTCTTCAAGGAGGCAAGAATTGAGGTTGCTGTTATAAATAAAGTTTCAGTGCTGCAAAAGAAACAGCACTTGAATATAAAATATTCTTTTTAATTCTCAGCAAGGCAATGTACTTCTATAGAAGGGTGCACCCTTACAGATGGAGCAATGGTGAGCACACACTTGGACAAGGGAGGGGAAGGGGTTCTTATCCCTGACGCATGTGGCCCCTGCTGCTGTGTCTTTTCCCTATTGGCTAGGGTTAGACCACACAGGCTAAACTAATACAATTGGCTAATTTAAAGAGAGTAATGGGGTGAGTGGTTTGGCAGGAAAAATGGTTATGGCAGAGCAGGAAATCGGAATGAGTCAGGGTGGAGAATGAGCAGGTAATCGGAATGAGTCAGGGTGGAGCAGGTAATCAAAAAAGGTTGCTTTACAAGGAAGTTAAGTTTAAAAGTACAAGGCAAAGAATTGAACATACTGACATATTGATTCTTTGAAGAGAAATTTAGAATTCATATCTAACATTGCCACAGACACATATGGATTTGCTGCCACTAACAGTTTTTTGTTTGTTTGGTTTTTTGAGACAGAGTCTTGCTCTGTTGCCCAGGCTGCAGTGCAGTGACACGATCTTGGCTCACTGCAAGCTCCTCCTCCCGGGTTCATGCCATTCTCCTGCCTCAACCTCCCAAGTAGCTGGTGTAGCAGGACAAGCCACAGACAAAACCCCTCAGACACCGAGTTAAAGAAGGAAGGGCTTTATTCGGCCGGGAGCTTTGGCAAGACTCAAGTCTCCAACAACCGAGCTCCTCAGGTGAGCAATTCCTGTCCCTCTTAAGGGCTTACAACTCTAAGGGGGTCCGCGTGAGAGGGTGGTGATCAATTGAGCAAGCAGGGGGTATGTGACTGGAGGCTGCATGCCATCAGTAATTAGAACGGAACAGAACAGGACAGAGATTTTCACAGTGCTTTTCCATACAATGTCTGGAATCTATAGATAACATAACTGGTTAGGTCAGGAGTCGATCTTTAAGCAGGCCCAGGGTGCAGCGCTGGGCTGTCTGCCTGTGGATTTCATTTCTGGCTTTTAGTTTTTACTTCTTCTGTCTTTGGAGGCAGAAATTGGTCATAAAACAATATAAGGGGTGGTCTCCTCCCTTATTCCCCCACTTTGAGAACTTCACTCATTAGTGGGAGTTCTCACTTTCATTGTCACTACCCATGTCTTCTTGCAAGACAGATCAATAGTGATTCATATAGTACACTTGTGCTGAAGCATTTTGGTGAACTAAGGCAGCAATGAAGCTTTTTATTGTTTGAAGAAGTACAGGTAGCAAACAAGGGAGCAGTAAGCAGGTTTCTATTACTATTATAACTCCTATTATAAGAGTTTTAAATCTTTCTAGTGCTGGGAACCATTTTCCAAACATGGCCCCAGGATCAAATCCATGCCACACTTGCACAGGCACATGTGCCAGTTTTGTCATATTTCTAACTATGTCTTTAACTACTTGCCCTTGATCATCTAGGTGTAGACAGCAATTAGTAAGATTAAATTTTCTACAGACCTCTCCTTCAGCTGCTAGCAAGTAGTCCAAGAGCCAATCTATTTTGATAGATAGCATTTCTCATCTGAGTTTCTTGCCAGGCTAGAATAGTCAAGGCTCTGCCGGTCTTATTAGTGATTATTTCTTTTTTTTTTTTTTTTTTTTTTGAGATGGAGTCTTGCTCTGTCGCCCAGGCTAGAGTGCAGTGGCACAATCTCGGCTCACTGCAACCTCCACCTCCCAGGTTCATGCCATTCTCCTGCCTCAGCCTCCTGAGTAGCTGGGACCACAGGCGCCCGCCACCACGCCCGGCTAATTTTTTGTATTTTTAGTAGAGACGGGGTTTCACCATGTTAGCCAGGATGATCTCGATCTCCTGACCTCGTGATCCACCCGCCTCGGCCCCAAAGTGCTGGGATTACAGGTGTGAGCCACTGCACCCAGCCTAGTGATTATTTCTAAGACAGCTTGTAACCATATGATTTGGTTGAGCATGTAAATGGGGGTCCGGTATCCCCACGAGCCGTCTTGTGCCCAAGTAGCAGGCCCATAATATTGTATGATTTTCTCAGGGAGCCATGTATTATCTTTCTTATTTTTTATAGCTATGCTTCTCTTTTCACGGGAAGCATATACAGGGAAGCCCAGGAATTCACCTGTCTTTATGGGCATTAGGAAGAAAGATGGTTTAATAGTGCCAATAACACAACTACTTGCCCACTGGTAGGGTAATTTGGCATAAGGTCTATGCCCACATATCCAGTATAATCTAGTGGGGGCTGTCCAGTCCCAGTGGGACTCCGGGTGGGTCCACACAGTTTGCAACTTTGGTAATTTACTAAATGGATTTTTCTTAGTATTGTTTGAAATCCACTAGGTGGCTGTTTTGTAGTACTATTATACAGTTTTTGCCCAAGGCAGCTGAGTCTTCCCACAGGAAGGGTGAAGTCCTTCCCCACTCTTGCTGTACAGTATTGTCTAATGATTGAGGCTTTTAGGACCCAGAAGTTACCAGCATGATGCTTTTGAGCCGGGAATTCATCAGGAACTGGGTCTATAGGTACTAATTCTCCGGCTTGCCATGGCCATTGGTCTCCCATTACAGTTCCTCGACATACATAACATGAAGTGACATTGAGAGACTGGGCTACATGCTCGGCTAATTGAAAAAACAAATTTCTTGTTTTTCCTGGAATTTCTGGTACTGGCACATTCAGTTCATCATAGAAGGTTTGAAATACTGGCTCAGGAGAGCGTTTATAAACTTCTCCTCAAACTATGATATTTACTTGAGCATCCAGTCTAGCCCCATCGATTTCCAGGGTTACACGTTCCCTTTTTTTCCAGTGAGGATTAAGGGAGTTAGTTATTACTAGTTCTAAGGGGTTACACTGACCACTGGTACGGGAAGGGCCACTTTTCCCTTGCTGAAGGTGACAGGATTTTTTCCATTTTTTATCTAAGTAGCCTAAATGACAAGACCAGTATCCACATTATTTCCGCACAGTCCTAATTCATGACAAATGTACTTATTTTCTGCCATATAGCCTCTTTCTTAATTAAGAGAACCACATCCTATTCCTAACTTATTACTATTAATGACAGCACAGGCATCAAGTTTCAAGGTGACTTGTTTGGGCACCCCTTTTTCTTCTGTTTTGGCTAACACTTTACTCGTATCGTTTATGAGCCCCCATCAGTCCTCAGTTCTTAATCTTATTTTAAAAACCGTGGTCATGGGGGCTCAGATGGGTCATAACACACATTAGGTTGGTCATTTCCTGGGCTATGTACCTTGTATAGAATAACATTATACAAGCAAGTTCTTTTTAGAGTTCCAGCACACTTATAATAACCATAAAATAATAGGACCGTAGCAACCTTTTGTCCTACTTCAGTGACTTGATGTATACACTGGGAACAGTCCTCAGTCCAAGGAAGGTCAGTTGAAGTCCTTACTGTACAAGTCCAAATTTTAAGGAAAATGAGTCCCGCGATGAGTTGTCTCATGCTTCAGCCGTGCGTGGACCAGTCAGCTTCCGGGTGTGACTGGAGCAGGGCTTGTCATCTTCTTCAGAGTTACTTTGCAGGGGTTGGCGAAGCTGCTCCCGTCCACATACCGCTCACAGTCTACTGATGTTCAAGGATGGTCTCGGAGGTTGGGCCCACTAGAATAAACTGAGTCCAACACCTCTACACAGTTATGTTCAACCAGGCTCTCTGATACTGGGAGCAAGGTGGTGGGGTTTAGGGTGTTGCAAACTTCAATGGTTATGTGGGGATTTTCACAGATCAAGCTTTGGTACTTGGTTAATCTAGCATTTGCTAACCAGTGATGTCCTTTGGTATTCATCAAAGTTACCACAGCATGGGGGGCCTTTATATTCAGGTTTTGCCCAAGGGTTAGTTTATCTGCTTCTTGTGCTAACAGGGCCATTGCTGCCAGGGCCCTTAGACATGGGGGCCAGTCTTTGGAAACCCCATCTAGTTGTTTTGAGAGATAGGCCACTGGCCTTGGCCAGGGCCTCACAGTCTGGGTTAGAACTCCAACTGCCATTTTTTCTCTTTCTGACACATAGGGTGTAAAGGGTTTTGTCAGGTCAGGTAGCCCCAGGGCTGGGGCTGACATGAGTTTTTCTTTTAACTCATGAAAAGCTTGTTGCTGTTGGTTGTAATAGATGTAGTTTATCTAACCTACATTTTTATTAACTGTCACCCACCAAAACATTGATTCAAATCCTGCAGCTATTTCATTTCAAGCTTTAAATTGATCTGGTATTCCCCGTGGGACTCCAATTGCGTCTAAATAGACAAGAGAGTTGAAAGACCCATAAGGGGCTTCTCTTGCTTTACGATGTCTTATTTTTCCTCCCTCTGGTTGATGAAATGCCAGGGTGAAAGGGATAGCCAATTGGACTAAAGTACAAGTGCCACTCCAGTTATTTGGCAGAGTGCCCAGTAAAGGTCCACCCCAATACCACCACACATCCACTCAGGGATGAACAAGCGCTGACTGATTGATAAGCTCTTGAAAATTATTAAGCTCACTGCATCCCTTCGGGTCTCCAAGGAGCACTAAGTTTCCTCCCTGTCGTGAGAGACACGAAGTGAACTTAGTGTTGGGAGATGGAGGCTGGATGGCCCTTGGGGGCTGACCCGCAGGGTACTGGACTTTGGAATATAGCAGAGAGAGCTTGGCATGACTTATTACTCCAGGCTGTAGAATCCTGGAAGAGAGCTACCATGCAGCCTACACCTGGTCGACTGGAGGACCACCTTAGTGGAAAGGGGACAATCTGGGCCTCTGACCTGCCATGTGCACAAGCATAACAATTGCTTTTGTTTAAGGTGCGGATGGAATATTTGATCCATTCCAACCAGGCATTTGCATCTTGGTATCCTGTCTTAATTGCCAAAGTTTGTTTTAAGTCTATAACTTCTATGATTATCTAGTAAAATGAATGTATGATTTTAGGAAATTACAAAAACCAGTTGGGGCAGTCCATCCTTGCTCTTTAGTGGTCCACAGAACTTTGGACCAACTATGGCATAAAAGCTCTACACTGGGGAGCAAGACTCCTGGTTGACACTAGAGTCTTTATTGAACTTTCCTCGGATTAAATGGTCCTAATTTACTAATGCCCAGTCTGAGGAGAGTCAGGAGGGACAGAGGTACTTTTCTGAAGTAGAGAGCTGTCTTTGACTTGGCAAGTCCCCACAGGGTATAACAAGACAAGCATTAAATGCAATAGTTTGAGGCAAAATTGACTTGGTTATGTTAATAACTAGATGGTCAGCAATAGAGCAAGGAAAGAAGAGTAATAGAATAGATGAAAGAGTTAAATTTTTCTTAGCTTTAGTTTGGTAGGGTTTTTCCCCTGGGACTATGGCCCATGACTCTGGAGGGGGTGGCACTTTCTTCACACAGGTGTGATGAGTCCATCCTTTTTAAGCTGTACGAACAGCAGTCTCGGTGGTTAGCACAAGGTAGGGGCCTTCCTAGGCTGGCTCGAGTTTCCTTTCTTTTCACCCTTTGATGAGAACGTGATCTTCAGGCTGGTGCTGGTTTACTGGAAATTCTAGGGGTGGTACATGTGCTAAAAGACTTTTAGTTTTGAGGGAAAGGAAAGTGGAAGATAAACCAAGTATATAATTTCTAAGAAACTGACCTTTTGTTTTTAATGTGGGGACATCAGCAGTGGACTTTATAGTTCTTGGTGCCTTTCTACTGAGAAATTTCCTTTAGCACCTATTTTTATTAGTTTTTGGACTAAAGAAGCCAAACAACATTTTATATTTGACAATGCTTCCTGTATGATTTTTATACCAGATAAGCTAAACTTCACCTTTATATTAGTGTGTTATTAATGTTAAACTTAGTTTTAATAAAACTTTGTATACATATTTATTCAATTTTTAATGTTGGACCATAAGGTAAGATTTTTATAGACTCTTTTTAACCTTTTATAATTTTTGTTAAAGAGTAGGTTGGTGCTTTAAGAAAAACTCATTGTGTTTTTACTTTAACGTCCAGTTCACAGAAAAACTGGATGATACCCCTTTAACTTTAACTAATATGTTTACACACAGAATTTCCTTTACAATTAACATTTTAAAATTTGCTTAAACCTTCAAAACAATCATTTTTTTAACCTTTTAATGTAGGTAAAGTTTACATTCTTATGCCTCCTTATAATCCTTTTACCAAAGGTATATTTTACTTTCCTTATATACCTTGCACATAAACTGTTTTTTTTCAATAGTTTTACATTCAAGAGGCCTAGTTACTTTTAAATTATACAACATTTCTTTCATAAATTCTTTTTTTATAACATTTTTATCTTTCACGACTTTTGCAGACAATTCTTTGACATGCCTCAACTTTCTGACTTATTACAAACATTTCTTTCTTTAAACAACCAGTTAATTTATTTCAGGACAAGAATTTACCATATAACACTCTTTTTACATAAATTCTGCCCCCCCTTTTTTTCCCTTTTTTTTGAAGATGATTACTATTCTTTTCCAAAGCGAACTTCCTTTATGTCTGTGGACTAGACTGTCTAAGGCCACAAGATTAGAAGTTACTATAATACATGTTACACTGTTAACTTTTAGCAAACTTTACTTTTGTTGAAAACCTTGTAAATTTGGGATTTAAATTATCTTTTGCTATTAATAAGACCTTGTTTAGTCCAAATTAACTTAGAATTGGTATAGATGGCTTTTTTTTTTCTTTAATTACCTGGGAGGAACCATCTATCGTCCTGTCCTGAAGGGAGTTCCTCCTAGGTCTGGTCGGACCTTTGTATGGTAATTAAGATTTAGATCCCCTGTTAGGAAACCTGCTGGGTTAAGGGAATTATCAGTGGTTATTGTTAAATCATCCTTTTTTTTTTTTCCTTAAGATACTTCTGAACTGGTGAGGTGTGCTCACAATGAGGTTTCCTCTAAAAGTTATTTTTTTTACTTTTTTCTGTTAGCAAAGCAGTTGCCACTACAGATTGAATGCATTTGGGCCATCCACGGGTTACTGGGTTAAGGATTTTTGATAGGAAGGCCTCAGTGCTTTTGGGATACGCCCTTGTTCACACTGACAATGAAGTGGTATTGGAGTGTTACAGGGTTACATGGAATACCTTCAATTATCAATTATAAGTTTTAGATTTACCTTGGCTTTTAAAGGAATAGGGTACACTGTTTTTTTTTTTTTCCTTAACTACTTGTATATCTCTTTCTTTCTCTGATTTTGTCTCTTTTTCTCTTTGACTTTCCTTTTGCTTCTGTCTCTTTCTCTCTGCCTCCCTCTTTCTCTTTCCTTGACTCCCTCTTTGTCTGTCTCTTCCTATCTGTCTCTTCCTCTCTCTCTTTGCCTCTTTTCCTCTCTGTCTCTTTCCTTTCTCTCTCTCTGCTGGTCTTTCCTTGCCTCTGCCAGCCACTTATGCTGCTGTTTTCTCAACCACTGTGGTGGGAGGGGTGGGGGGTGGCGTCTAAAACCAGCTGTAACCAAGTGTCTATGTACGGGAACTGGTCTGGGTGCCCTGGCTTACAGGTTACGTTGTGCCATACCTTTGAAACAAGGGACCTGTCCAGGCTTCCTTCTGATGGCCAACCCACCTCTAATGCTGGCCAGTCTATCTTACACAAAGTTTTAAGCTTTCCTGGTGTCATAGTACTCCATAGTCTCCCTTAAATCCTTTCTTGAAATTTTTCAACATAGTTCCTAGTGGGGTGGGCTTACTTTGTGCCTGACTCATGCTCCTTTGAGACAAAACACCATGCTCACACCACATGCACACCACAGAACAAGGAACAGGTAAAAAGGGCACACACACACTTTTACAGTTTACACCAAACCAAAATCAAAACCAAAATCAGAGTATCCAGAAATCCAAGCCAGGTCAAAACCAAAACCAAAGTATCAAGCAATCCAAGTCAAGTCAAAAACAAAAACCAAAGTGCCAGTACAGGCATACCATGGGTGCTCAGGCCACGCTTCCACTCAAATGGAGTGGGCAAGTTCCAAAGACTAGTCTTACCAAGTTTCAGATGTCCGGACTCCAAGTGCCTGTTCCTTCCCAGTGTTCAGCCACTGCGTTGATCCTCCACAGGGGCCTGCCACGTGCTGCTCTGGCAAAGCGTTCCACTAGGGCAATTGCCTACCTGGGAGCGCTCTCAGGATCCGCGTTGCTCAAGCTGGCCAGAGTCCCCCACAGGGCAGGCCTAAGCCACCTAAGGGACTGCCTCAACCGTACATTAATCACCTCGCTTCCTAGTCAGGGAACCAAGAAATGTAGCAGGACAAGCCACAGACAAAACCCCTCAGACACCGAGTTAAAGAAGGAAGGGCTTTATTTGGCCAGGAGCTTTGGCAAGACACACATCTCCAACAACTGAGTTCCCCGAGTGAGCAATTCCTGTCCCTCTTAAGGGCTTACAACTCTAAGGGAGTCCATGTGAGAGGGTCGTGATCAATTGAGCAAGCAGGGGGTATGTGACTGGGGGCTGCATGCACCAGTAATTAGAACGGAACAGAACAGGACAGGGATTTTCACAGTGCTTTTCCATACAATGTCTGGAATCTATAGATAACATAACTGATTAGGTCAGGGGTTGATCTTTAACTACCAGGCCCAGAGTGTGGCACTGGGCTGTCTGCCTGTGGATTTCATTTCTGCCTTTTAGTTTTTACTTCTTCTTTCTTTGGAAGCAGAAATTGGGCATAAGACAATATGAGAGGTTGTCTCCTCCCTTACTGGGACTGCAGGTGCCCGCCACCATGCCCAGCTAATTTTTTTTTTGTATTTTTAGTAGAGATGGGGTTTCACCATGTTAGCCAGGATGGTCTCGATCTCCTGACCTCGTGATCTGCCCACCTCAGCCTCCCAAAGTGCTGGGATTACAGGCGTGAGCCACTGTGCCTGGTCTGTGTTTTGTTTTGTTTTGTTTTAAGACAGAGTCTCCCTCTGTCACCCAGGCTGGAGTGCAATAGCACAATCTCGGCTCATTGCAACCTCCACCTCCTGGGTTCAAGCGATTCTCCTGCTTCAGCCTCCCAAGTAGCTGGGATTACAGGCATGTGCCACCATGCTCAGCTAATTTTTGTATATTTTTAGTAGAGACACGGTTTCACCAGTTGGTCTTGAACTCTCAACCTCAAATGATCTGCCCACCTTGGCCTCTCAAAGTGCTGGTGGTATTACAGGCATGAGCCACCACACCCAGCCTGCTTTTTTTTTTAATTGTCACAAGTATCCAAAAATGTTTATTATATATTTTTTGAAAAAGATCTGCATATGAGTGGACCCACACAGTTCAAATCTATGTTGTTTAAGAGTCAGCTTTAATCAGCCTTACTTTGCTTTGTCTCCCTGTCTCCCCTTTACAAAAAAGCAGCTTTGGAAAGACTAATATGCTCTTCATTCTTTGCTTCCACTTTCTTCAGTCTCTCTCTATGAAGCCAACCTCTTCTGCTTAGCTCATTGGAACACTTATTCAGTTTTATGGAATGATATGTGGCCTGGTTCTAGAATCGTGAATAAAGACAACTGAGATCTTTAAACTACATTTGTTGTAATTTGTCTTCTGACAGTCCTATACTACAGATGAGGAAAGCATTTTTCTTTTTCACAAAAGCATTTTAACCACTGACAAAAAAAAGTATGATTAACTCCTTGTAGGGACTGAGGGAAAACTTCCCCTTCACTCTCTGAAGATTCACTGAAAATCAACTGGCAAGAGGCAGATTAATAAGAGAAAAGGCATACAAAATGTATTAATGTGTACACATGTGCATGGGTGATATGGTTTGGTTCTGTGTCCCCACCCAAACCTCATGTTGAATTGTAATCCCCATGAGTCAGGGGAGGGGCCTGGTGGGAGGTGATTGGATCATGGGGGCAGACTTCCCCCTTGCTAGTGAGTGAGCTCTCACAAGATCTGAGTATGGCACTTCCCCCTTTGCTCTTTCTCTCTCTGTCCTGCTTCACCATGGTAAGAAGTGCTTGCCTACCCTTCACCTTCCGCCATCTTTGTAAGTTTCCTGAGGCTTCCCCAGCCATGCAGAACTGTGAGTCCATTAAACCTCTTTTTGGCCAAGTGCGGTGGCCCACGCCTGTAATCCCAGCACTTTGGGAGGCCGAGGTGGGTGGATCACTGGAGGTCAGGAGTTTGAGATCAGCCTGGCCAACATGATGAAACCCCATCTCTACTAAAAGTACAAAAATTGGCCAGGTGTGGTGCAGGTGCCTGTAATCCCAGCCACCCGGGAGGCTGAGGTGGGAGAGTCGCTTCAACCTGGGAGGCGGAGGTTGCAGTAAGCCGAGATCGTGCCATTGCACTCCAGCCTGATGACAAGAGCAAGACTTCGTCTCAAAATAAATAAATAAACAAAACAAACAAAAAACCCTCTTTTCTTTATAAATTACCCAATCTCCAGTAGTTCTTTATAGCAGTGTGAGAACAAACTAATACAATGGAAGTCATATGAAATAAGAAAACTCAAAGAAAGAACCAGAAGATTGAAGTTTTATACCATCCTGAGGTTACAGAAATAATAGGGGAACAAAGCAAGACTGGTTATGGGAGGGAGAGGAGAGGAAAGACCTGAGTAGCAAAGGTGGTCTTGTTATGCAGAAGAAACCTCACTGGGCTGGGAGCGGTGGTTCATGCCTGTAATCCTAACACTTCGAGAGGCCAAAGTGGGTAGATCATCTGAGGTCAGGATTTCGAGACCAGCCTGGCCAATATGGTGAAACCTCATCTCTACTAAAAATACAAAAAAATTAGCCGTGTGTGGTGGTGGGTGCCTGTAACCCCAGCTACTGAGGAGGCTGAGGCAGGAGAATTGCTTGAACCCAAGAGGCAGAGGCTGCAGTGAGCCGAGATCACGCCATTGCACTTCAGCCTGGGCAACAAGAGCGAAACCCCATCTCAAAAAAAAAAAAAAAGAAAGAAAAAGAAAAAAGAAAGAAACATCACTGGTAGCAGCTTTCAGAATACGTTTCTGTCAGACCCCCATAGGTGTCAGACTCTCAGTCTCTCTCTCCCACAAGCCAATCCTTGCTAGATCCGGACAAGAGGGTGGGGGTGGAGAAAGCCCGGCTCTTTATTTCATCAATGCAGATTTTGTCTACAGATGCAAATGTCCTCCACAAAAGGCAGTTTGCAGGGCTATTCCTGTCTGCAGGCCCTCTGAATAGCCATCTCAAAATATGTCAAAGAAGTATATTTTGGGGTGCAATATTTTTGGTTTTTTTTAGTCCCCCATTTGAAACTTTATTTTTGGAAAGTTTCACATATTAAAGTAGAATTGGTAGCTATGGAGAGATTTGGGTTAGACATTCTGAGATAAGAAATAAGCACAGGGGGAGAAAACATAGATTTGAACAAGTAGGAAAAAAAATTGAGTGTGCTGTTCTGTATCTTCTTTTTTATTATTATTTTTTATGTTAAAAAAATTTTTTTGTAGAGACAAGGTCTCACTATGCTGCCAAGGCTGGTCTCGAACTCCTGGTCTCAAGTGATCCTACCACCTCAGGCCTCCCAAAACGCTGGGATTACAGGCGTGAACCACCACAGCCAGCCCCATATCTTCTTGAATCATGCTTTTAGTCCTGAGAATAGCTTGATTCAGGGTTGGTTGGTTGGTTGGTTGGTTGTTGTAGGGATAGAGTCTTGCTCTGTCACCTAGGCTGGAGTACAGTGGCATGATCATAGCTCACTGCAGCCTCAAACTCCTGAATTCAAGGGATCCTCCTGCCTCAGCCTCCCATGTAGCTAGGACTACAGGCATGTGCCACCATGCCATGCTAATTTATTTTTTATTTTTTGTAGAGATGGAGTCTCACTGTGTTGCCTATGCTGGTTTCAAACTCCTGGCCTCAAGCAATCCTCCTGCCTCGGCCTCCCAAAGTGCTGGGATTACAGATGTGAGCCACTGTGCCCAGCCTGTTCAGTTAAATAGTTGTGTCTCATTTCAGGAGATGGTGTTGCAGATGCGCTCTCAAAGCTAGGTCTTTATATATGAGGCAGGCAAATAGATCTTAAGAGGAATTTCTTTTTTTTTTTTTTTTTGAGATGGAGTTTCACTCTTGTTGCCCAGGCTGGAGTGCAATGGTGCGATCTCAGCTCGCTGCAACCTCTGCCTCCTGGGTTCAAGCGATTCTTCTGCCTCAGCCTCCCAAGTAGCTCGGATTACAGGCATGTGCCACCACACCCGGCTAATTTTGTATTTTTTTAGTAGAGACGGGGTTTCACCATGTTGGTCAGGCTGGTCTCGAACTCCTGACCTCAGATAATCCACCCCATGTCGGCCTCCCAAAGTGCTGGGATTACAGGCATGAGCCACAGCGCCCGGCCTTTAAGAGGAATTTCTATGAAAACAGAAGAAAAACAAGGGTTAATGTCTGGAGTACTCTATAAACTAGTATTTCTAGAGTCTGGAGGAAGTCAATTGTGAAAATTAGTGGCAATCTGACAGGTTTTCTGGTTTGTGCATACAACATTTGTCCAAATATAAGCTGTTGGAGTGATGTTTCTTCAAAGCCAAGTTGACTAGCTCCTGCTTGTAGGGCCTTAGGGAAAAGGTAGTTTTAATTTGTAGTGATAACGTTGGGGCTCAGAAACTGATACCCCAAAATATGGCATTTTAACATGCTGAACTGGAGAAACCTCAAGGTTTCTCTGACCTCCCCACAAATCCCCCACTGTTTCTCCCATATAAGTTGAAGTCCTTTATCTGCCTAAGATCCAGACCCACCAAGGAGAACCATTGTTTTTTCTTCTCCTCCCTGTTCTCTCATCACCTTTTGCAGAAAAGAAGACCAAGATGAACCACACCTGAACAGACCCTTTTTTAAGATAATGACTGTTGGCCAGCGTGGTGACTCAACGCCTGTAATCCCCAACACTTTGGGAGGCTGAGGCGGGTGGATTTTTTTTTTTTTTTTTTTTTGAGACGGAGTCTCGCTCTGTCGCCCAGGCTGGAGTGCAGTGGCGCGATCTCCACTCACTGCAAGCTCCGCCTCCTGGGTTCATGCCATTCTCCTGCCTCAGCCTCCTGAGTAGCTGGGACTACAGGCACCCGCCATTATGCCCGGCTAATTTTTTGTATTTTTAGTAGAGACGGGGTTTCACCGTGTCAGCCAGGATGGTCTCGATCTCCTGACCTCGTGATCCACCCGCCTTGGCCTCCCAAAGTGCTGGGATTACAGGCATGAGCCACCGCGCCCTGCGGTGGGTGGATTTTTTGAGCCCAGGAGCTCGAGGCCAGCCTGGCCAACATGGCTAAACTCCATCTTTACAGAAGATTTTTAAAAATTAGTCAGGTATGGTGGTGCGTGCCTGTAGTCCTAGCTATTCTGCTGAGGTGGGAGAATTACTTGACCCCGGGAGGTTGAGGTTGCCATGAGCCGTAATTGTGCCACTGTACTCCAGCCTGGGCAACAGAGCCAGACCCTGTCTCAAAAAAGAAAAGAAAAGAAAGAAATGAAATGAAATGAAACGAAAAGAGAAAGAGAGAGAGAGGAAGAAGGAAGGAAGGAAGGAAGGAAGGAAGGAAGGAAGGAAGGAAGGAAGGAAGGAAAGAAGGAAGGAAGGACTGAAGAAAGAAAATAATTGTCTCCGAGGATCATTTAAATTCCGAAAAGAACTATTTACAAGTTAATTTCTGTCCCCTGATCCAAGATCCAATCATTCTCCCTAGTAATCATTTTCTGCTCCTCAATAGAATTCCTCTTCTCCCTCCTCCCATAACCTGTTTTACTAGGATCCAAGCCACCATTGTCTATAACCTCATGATGGTATATGAGCTTCTGAACCTCATGGGGAGGTTGGGTCTTCATTCGGAAGGCTCCTGTGTATGCACATTAAATAAATGTATATGCCTTTTTTCCTGTTAATCAACTGCCTTATGTCAGTGGTTTTCAGCAAACCTTTAGGGGGCCAAGAGCCTTAGCCCCCACAATTCCAAGTCAGAAGGGTGGGAGAAAAATTAAAAACATTCATCTAGAGAGTCACAGCCAGACATTGGAAGAAACTAAAATTTTTAGATTCAGTCCAAATAATTTTTAAAAACCAAAAAAAAAAAAAAAAACCAATGAGCAAGGCTAGAATCTTGTTCACTAGAAACAGTAACTAAAAACAGTTCTAACTAGAAACAGTTACACTATAGTTTTCTTCTGAAATATAATTTTTCTCTCTCCAGTCCCCTTCATCCATTTTTTACCAAAGATAATCGTGGTAAGATTAATTTGGGTTTTTTTTTCGTTGCTGTTGTTTTTAATTTTTTTTTTTTTTTGAGTCGAGGTCTTGCTCTGTCTCCCAGGCTGTAGCACAGTGGCACAATCTCAGCACACTGCAGCATCTGACTCCTGGGTTCAAGCAATTCTCCCACCTCAGCCTCCCGAGTAGCTGGGATTACAGGTGTGTGCCACCATGCCAGGCTAACTTTTATATTTTTAGTAGAGACAGAATTTAGCCATGTTGACCAGGCTGGTCTCGAACTCCTAGCCTCTGGTGATCTGCCCACCTCGGCCTCTCAAAGTGCTGGAATTACAGGCATGAGCCACTGCACTCAGCCTGTTTTTTGTTTTTTGTTTTTTGTTTTGAGACAGAGTTTTTCTCTGTCGTCCAGGCTGGAGTGCAGTGGCACAATCTCAGCTCACTGCAGCCTATGCCTACTGGGTTCAAGCGATTCTTGTGCCTCAGGCTCCTGAGGACCTGGGATTACAGGTGCCCACCACCATGCTCAGCTAATTTTTGTATTTTTTGTAGAGACGGGGTTTCACCATGTTGGCCAGGCTGATCTGGAACTCCTGAACTCAGGTGATCCACCCACCTCAGCCTCCCAAAGTGCTGGGATTACAAGTATGAGCCACCATGCCCATAAAATTAATTTGTAAAATAACTTTAGTTTCATTAACTTGGCCTGATTATACATAAAGTGAATTAAGAATAGGGATTTTTTTTTTTTTTTTTGCTTTTTTTGTGTGTTTTGGGATGGAGTCTTACTCTGCTGTCCAGGCTGGAGTGCAGTGGCACGATCTCGGCTCGCTGCAACCTCTGCCTCCTGGTTTCAAGCGATTCTCCTGCCTCAGCCTCCCAAGTAGCTGGGACTACAGGCACACACCACCACACCCAGCCAATTTTTGTATTTTTAGTAGAGATGGGATTTCGCCATGTTGGCCAGGCTGGTCTCGAACTCCAGACCGCAGGTGATCCACCTGCCTCGGCCCCCCAAAATGCTGGGATTACAGGTGAGAGCTACCTTGCCTGGCAAGAATAGGGATTTATTAAATGGGCTCTTTTAAAGTTGGCTTTGCTGGAACTTTTTCACAAGGAATCAGATTCCTTTTTTTAAAAAAACCTCTTGAGGCTAAGGAGCCAAGCCAAGGATTTGACTTGCCCTCAGACTGTTTGTAATATGTGCATGAATTGGGTGAATTACTCTCTTCTTCAGGTCCCCAAAATACCTTGAGCTTTTGGGCCTGTCACAAAGTGACATTCTTTACTTTCCACAAGGTTGGGAACCCTGGGAACCCTGTAAGGGAACCATGTAGACAAGGTACCAGGCCAGTTTTTCCAAGGGGCTTTTCATTAGCTCTATTAAAAAACAAACAAACAAACAAACAAACGGCCAGGCACGGTGGCTCACGCCTGTAATCCCAGCACTTTGGGAGGCCAAGGCAGGCGGATCATGAGGTCAGGAGATCAAGACCATCCTGGTTAACATGGTGAAACCCTGTCTCTACTAAAAATACAAAAAAAATTAGCCTGGCATGGTGGCAGGCAGTCCCAGCTACTCTGGAGGCTAAGGCAGGAGAATGGCGTGAACCCAGGAGGCAGAGCTTGCAATGAGCCAAGATCGCACCACTGCACTCCAGCCTGGGCAACAGACCAAGACTCCATCCCAAAAAAAAAAGAAAAAGAAAAAGAAAACAGGCCGGGCGCAGTGTCTATAATCCCAGCACTTTGGGAGGCTGAGGCGGGCGGATCACCTGAGGTTAGGAGTTCGAGACCAGCCTGGCCAATGTGGTGAAACCCTGTCTCTACTAAAAATACAAAAATTAGCTGGGTGTGGTGGCGCATGCCTGTAATCCCAGCTACTTGGGAGGCTGAGGCAGGAGAATCGCTTGAACCCAGGAGGTGGGGGTTGCAGTGAGCCAAGATCACCTCCATTGCACTCCAGCCTGAGCAACAAGAGCAAAACTCCGTCTCAAAAAACAAAACAAAACACTTCAATCCCTCAAATCAGAGTCTGGTCATATCTGAAAATATGACATTTCAGTCAAAGCCTTGGTAAAATAACCAGCATTTCCAATTGTGTACTGTTACAAAAGAAAACAGATTCTTTTTTTTTTTTTAATTGATCATTCTTGGGTGTTTCTCACAGAGGGGGATTTGGCAGGGTCATAGGACAATAGTGGAGGGAAGGTCAGCAGATAAACAAGTGAACAAAGGTCTCTGGTTTTCCTAGGCAGAGGACCCTGGGGCCTTCCGCAGTGTTTGTGTCCCTGGGTACTTGAGATTAGGGAGTGGTGATGACTCTTAACGAGCATGCTGCCTTCAAGCATCTGTTTAACAAAGCACATCTTGCACCGCCCTTAATCCATTTAACCCTGAGTGGACACAGCACATGTTTCAGAGAGCACGGGGTTGGGGGTAAGGTCATAGATCAACAGCATCCCAAGGCGGAAGAATTTTTCTTAGTACAGAACAAAATGGAGTCTCCTATGTCTACTTCTTTCTACACAGACACAGCAACAATCTGATTTCTCTGTCTTTTCCCCACATTTCCCCCTTTTCTATTCGACACAACCGCCATCGTCATCATGGCCCGTTTTCAATGAGCTGTTGGGTACACCTCCCAGACGGGGTGGCGGCCGGGCAGAGGGGCTCCTCACTTCCCAGAAGGGGCGGCCGGGCAGAGGCGCCCCCCACCTCCCGGACGGGGCGGCTGGCCGGGCGGGGGGCTGACCCCCCCACCTCCCTCCCGGATGAGGTGGCTGGCTGGGCAGAGGGGCTCCTCACTTCCCAGAAGGGGCGGCTGGGCAGAGGCGCCCCCCACCTCCCGGACGGGGCAGTGGCCGGGCGGAGGCGCCCCCCACCTCCCTCCCGGACGGGGCGGCTGGCCGGGCAGGGGCTGACCCCCCACCTCCCTCCCAGACGGGGTGGCTGCCGGATGGAGACACTCCTCACTTCCCAGACGGGGCGGCTGCCGGGCAGAGGGGCTCCTCACTTCTCAGACGGGGCGGCTGCCGGGCGGAGGGGCTCTTCACTTCTCAGATGGGGCGGCCGGGCAGAGACGCTCATCACCTCTCAGACGGGGTCGCGGCCGGGCAGAGGCACTCCTCACATCCCAGATTGGGTGGCAGGGCAGAGGCGCTCCCCACATCTCAGACGATGGGCGGCCGGGCAGAGGCGCTCCTCACTTCCTAGACAGGATGGCGGCCGGGCAGAGGCGCTCCTCACTTCCTAGACGGGATGGCGGCCGGGAAGAGGCGCTCCTCACTTCCCAGACTGGGCAGCCGGGCAGAGGGGCTCCTCACATCCCAGACGATGGGTGGCCAGGCAGAGACGCTCCTCACTTCCCAGACGGGGTGGCGGCCGGGCAGAGGCTGCAATCTCGGCACTTTGGGAGGCCAAGGCAGGCGGCTGGGAGGTGGAGGTTGTAGCGAGCGGAGATCACGCCACTGCACTCCAGCCTGGGCAACGTCGAGCACTGAGTGAACGAGACTCCATCTGCAATCCTGGCACCTCGGGAGGCCGAGGTTGGCAGATCACTCCCGGTTAGGAGCTGGAGACCAGCCTGGCCAACACAGCGAAACCCCGTCTCCACCAAAAAAATACGAAAACCAGTCAGGCGTGACAGCGCGCACCTGCAATCGCAGGCACTCGGCAGGCTGAGGCAGGAGAATCAGGCAGGGAGGTTGCAGTGAGCCGAGATGGTGGCAGTACAGTCCAGCTTTGGCTCAGCATCAGAGGGAGACCGTGGAAAGAGAGGGAGAGGGAGACCGTGGGGAGAGGGGAGAGGGGAGAGGGGAGAGGGGAGAGGGGAGAAAACAGATTCTTATTGAATGTACGCAAATAGCTACATTGCCTTCAGAGGCCTTGGAACAAGAGTGACTCCCTCTTGCATAGGGGCTGCATAAAATAAGGCTGAGACTTACTGGGCTGTATTCCCAGGAGGTTAGGCATTCTTAGTCACAGGATGAGATAGGAGGTCGGCAGGATTGGTATCACAAGATACAGATCATAAAGACCCTGCTGATAAAACAGGATGCAGTAAAGAAGCTGGCCAAACCCTGCCAAATCCAAGATGGCGACAAAAGCGAACTCTGGTCATCCTCACTGTTTATATGTTATTTATAATACATTAGCATGCTAAAAGACACTCCCACCGGGACACCGGGATAGTTTACAAATGCCATAGTAATGTCTAGAAATTACCCTATATGGTCTAAAAGGGGAAGGAACCCTCAGTTACAGGGGAAATCCCTGCCCCTTTCCCAGAAAACTCATGAATAATCCACCCCTTGTTTAGCATATATAATCGAGAAATAACCGTAAGTATACTCAGTCGAGCAGCCCATGCCACTGCTCTGTCTGGAGTAGCCATTGTTTTGTTTCTCTACTTTAATAAACCTGCTTTCACTTTACTCTATGGACTCACTCCAAATTCTTTTTTTTTTTTTTTTTGAGATGGAGTCTCACTCTGTGAGGCCATTCTCCTGCCTCAGCCTCCCAAGTAGCTGGGACTACAGGCGCCCGCCACCACGCCTGGCTAATTTTTTGTATTTTTAGTACAGATGGGGTTTCACCATGTTAGCCAGGACGGTCTCGATCTCCTGATCTCGTGATCCACCCACCTCGGCCTCCCAAAGTGCTGGGATTACAGGTGTGAGCTACTGCACCTGGCCGACTCACTCCAAATTCTTTCTTGTGTGAGATCCAAGAACCCTCTCTTGGGGTATGGATCAAGACCCGTTTCCGGTAACATTGCCATACAATAAGCATACTCACAAATAGTTTCCAAATTCTGAAGAGGTCAGGTAGAGAGAAAGGTTAATGTTTCAATTTTGTTGACAAAAGTATACTTTACCAAATTGCTGTAAAGCTATATAGATAGCTTAGAAGGAAAAAAGTTGTCTTGAATCTGGAAAACAAAACATAAAAAGAATCAGCAATGTTTCAAACAAAAAGAAGTCAATAAAAAAACTAGGCTGGGCACGGTGGCTCACACCTGTAATCCCAACAGTTTGGGAGGCCAAGGCAGGCAGATCTCTTGAGGTCAGGAGTTCAAGACCAGCCTGGCCAACATGGTGAAACCCTGTCTCTACTAAAAATACAAAAAACTAGCCAAGCATGGTGGCGAGCACCTGTAATCCCAGCTACTCGGGAGGCTGAGGCAGGATAATCTCTTGAACCTGGGAGGCGGAGGTTGCAGTGAGCCGAGATCACACCACCACACTCCAGCCTGGGTGACAAGAGTGAGATTCCATCTCAAAAAAAAAAAAAAAACAGGTCAGGAGATTGAGACCATCCTGGCTAACACAGTGAAACCCCGTCTCTATTAAAAAAAAAAAATTAGCTGGGCATGGTGGCAGGCCCCTGTAGTTCCAGCTACTGGGGAGGCTGAGGCAGGAGAATGGCGTGAACCCTGGAGGCGGAGCTTGCAGTGAGCCAAGATCGCGCCACTGCACTCCAGCCTGGGCGACAGAGTGAGACTCCATCTCAAAAAAAAAAAAAATGCACCATCAGTTAAGTCCCATGTCATTAATTCTTATTGTGCTTGTTGCTGCATTAGCAGTTTTATGAGTCCAGTTTTTTCCACTGGAGTTTTTGAAATTCTTATCCAGTACTATTGAATAATATGAAAGTCATCACCAGAGGTCTATATTTCAGTGTCTTTATTTCAGAATACTCATCAGATTCTTTTTATCCTTTTCATGAACCTCCATGAAGACACAAAACTTTAACATTATACTTGCTTATAAAGTATACTTTTAGAAGTATCAGAATAAAGCTATTAACTATGGACAATAAAATTTTTAAAGGTATGGTTAAAGACACACTTGACAAATACATTTGGTTATGTTCTATGGGCTTACAACAATTTAACATAATAATCATAGTTATGACAGATAACATATATCAAGACATATCAATTTTTAGGAATCCCATACAATTCTGGAACACATATTAATAACATATTCATATAAATATACCTAATAAAGACAGCACAACACACACAGAATCTGTTTCTCTCTCCACTTTTTTTTTTGCAGTTTACACAAAAGGTGAACAAAATATTTTATCTATTATTAATACCACGTGAAGAGAAAACCAATTTTACTCTTTTATTAGTGTTTTTTGTTGTTGTCGTTGTTGTTTTTTGAGACAGGGTCTCTCTCTTTCACCCAGGCTGAAGTGCAGTGGCATGATCTCAGCTCACTGCAGCCTTGACTAAGCGATCCTCCCACCTCAGCCTCTCAAGTAGCTGGGACTACAGGCATGCGCCACGATGCCCAACAATTTTTTTTTTTCTAGACGGAGTCTCACTCTGTCACCCAGGCTGGAGTGCAGTGGTGCGATCTCGGCTCACTGCAACCTCCATCTCCCAGGTTCAAGCGATTCTCCTGCTTCAGCTTCTCAAGTAGCTGGGACTACAGGCATGTACCACCACACCCAGATAATTTTTGTACTTTTAGTGGAGACGGGGTTTCACAATGTTGGCCAGGCTGGTCTTGAACTCCTGACCTCAGGTGATCCACCTGCATCGGCCTCCCAAAGTGCTAGGATTACAGGCGTGAGCCACTGCACCGGCCCCAACTAGTTTTTTTCTTATTTTCTGTAGAGACAAGGTCTCAATATGTTGCCCAGGCTGGTCTTAAACTCCTGGGCTAAAGTGATTGTGAGCCTTCTGCCTCAGCCTCCCAAAGTGCTGGGATTACAGGCGTAAGCCACTGTGCCCGGCCTTTTTTTTTTTTTTTTTTTTTGAGACTGAGTCTCACTCTGTTACCCAGGCTGGAGTGCAGTGGCGCGATCTCAGCTCACCACAACCTCTGCCTCCCATGTGCCTGGCCTTCTTTTAGGATCATAATGTATAGAGCAATTTCATTTCTGCCACTAGGCCAGTAACAGACCTAATTCTGCATGAAGGCTAATTAATGGCTGCTTGCCCAATAGGATTAAACATGTCTTTTTTTATCCTCTAAGAATTCCCTCCACTGATCTGTTTGTGCATTATGATTACCATTGATTATCTCCTTATTAAAAGAGTCTCTTTCTCTTATAATTAATGTGACCATATAAATTATAATCTAAAGTTAGACAAATTTAAGAATAAAAGGAGTACTATTAATAATTATACTAGAGGCCTGGTGAGGTGGCTCACACCTGTAATCCCAGCACTTTGGGAGGCCAAGGTAGGGAGGATCACTTGAGGCCAGGAGTTCAAGACCAACCTGGCCAACATAGTGAGACCCTGTGTTTTATTTTAAACAAAAATTTTAAAAATTAGCTGGGCATGGTGATACACACCTGTAGTCCCAGCTACTTGGGAGGCTGAGGCAGGAGTTCAAGGCTGTAGTAAGCTCTGATCACACCACTGCACTCCAGCCTGGGAGACAGAGCAAGACCCTGTCTCTAAAAAAATTTTTTTTGGGCCGGGCGTGGTGGTTCACGCCTGTAATCCCAGCACTTTGGGAGGCCAAGGCGGGCGGATCACCACGTCAGCAGACGGAGACCATCCTGGCTCATATGGTGAAACCCCATCTCTACTAAAAATACAAAAAACTAGCCGGGCGTGGTGGCACGCACCTGTAGTCCCAGCTACTCAGGAGGCTGAGGCCGGAGAATTGCTTGAACCTGGGAGGCGGAGGTTGCAGTGAGCCGAGATCATACCACTGGGTGATAGAGCGAGACTCCATCTCAAAAAAAATTTTTTTAAATAATAATTATGCTGGGCAATAGGTGTGAACAAACCACATAAACTGGGATGTGTGGCTCTGTTTTATTTTATTTTCAATTTATGATGGGTTTATCAGGATATAATAGCCTTGGAAACTGAGGAGCACCTGTACAGCTTTAGCCTCTCTCTAGTCCTCCCTCCTTCTAGATAAGATTTATTCATATACCCAATCATAGAATTACTTCCACTTCTGGATAGCATTCAACTTAACGTAAAACCTCACTTCCTTAAGCCCTCCCCCAAAACATCTAACACAAGCCCAAATCCCATAACACATCTGTTCTGACACTCTCTTCCCGAGATGCCCCGTAGTTCTCTATGGTGTGCATTCTCCTCTGCTGCAAAAAGTAATAAACCCAACTTGTTCAACTAAGGGCATGTTCATATTCCCAGTCTTTGGCTGCAGGGCACTGACAATGACATATTACAGGGCATTCACGCCTGTAATCCCAGCTACTTGGGAGGCTGAGGCACGAGAATCACTTGAACTCAGGAGGCAGAGGTTGCAGTGAGCTGAGATCATGCCACTGCGCCTGGCCCATCTTTTTCTTTTTGAGAGAGGGTCTCACTCTATCGCCCAGGCTGGAGTGCAGTGGCAGGATCTTGGCTCACTGCAGCCTTGACCTCCTGGGCTCAAGCAATCCTCCTACCTCAGCCTCCTGACTAGCTGGGACTACAGGTGCATGCCACAGTGCCCGGCTAATTTTTGTATTTTTTGTAGAGATGGGATTTCACCACGCTGGCCAGGCTGGACTTGAACTCCTGGGTTCAAGCGATCCACTCGCCTCGGCCTCCCAAAGTGCTAGGATTGCAGGTGTGAGCCACCAAGCCCAGCCAGTGAGTGACCTTCTTATGAGTCTTTCAGACCAGCTGACATCAGTAGTTTTACTGGCATGCAGGATCTAAAACAATATTTCAAAGGGAAAACAATGTTTTATAATGTTCAAGTTGTTATCTATAGAGTAGTTAAGGGCAGGATAAACTAGGGGTTATGTGATTCTGGGAAAATGGGCAGCAAACAACTCTGAGGAAGCAGGTCAGGGAGCAAGCTGACCTCTTGGTGAATGCTGAATGTCCTGCAAGCTTGGTTTATTTTTGTTTCTCCCCTTCCCTTCTTCCCTGATTAATTTTCTTTTTTAAGTTTATGGGATAGTTTCAGCTCCCCTGAACTTGATTATCCCTCAGTCCTGAGGTGAGAGTTAATATGGTGGGAATCGGGCAAAGACCACTCCAGCTTTTTTCTTTCCTGGCAAGGGGCATAGTCGGAGTGAGATTCAGGATTAGAGGAATGAAACTGCCTGGCAGTAACCTGTAAGTATCTACAAGTGCCCCGTCGAGGATTTCAGGGGCATGAACACATTAGTGCTCCTGTGCACTGTCTTAGCATAGCATTTAATGATACAATGGACTATAAAATAAATTATAAACCCTCTTGTCAGAAACCGGAAGCCAATTTTTTTTTCTTTCTTTTTTTTTTTTTTGAAATGGAGTTTCGCTCTTGTCACCCAGGCTGGAGTGCAGTGGTGTAGTCTTGGCTCACTGCAACCTCTGCCTCCTGGGTTCAAGCAATTATCCTGCTTCAGCCTCCCGAGTAGCTGGGATTACAGGTGCCTGCCACCACGCCCAGCTAATTTTTGTAATTTTAGTAGAGACGGGGTTTCACCATGTTGGCCAGGCTAGTCTCAAACTCCTGACCTCAGGTGATTCACCCGCCTCAGCCTCCCAAAGTGCTGTTATTACAGGCATGAGCCACTGCCCCCAGTCTTTTTTTGAGACAGACTCTCACTCTGTCGCCAGGCTGGAGTGCATGGCTTGATCTCCGTTCACTGCAACCTCTGCCTCCAGGGTTCAAGGGTTCCTCCTGCCTCAACTTCCCGCGTAGCTGGGATTACAGGCTTACACCACCACGCCAGGCTAATTTTGGCATTTTTACTAGAGATGGGGTTTCATCATGTTGGCCAGGCTGGTCTCAAACTCCTGACCTCAGGTGATCCGCCTGCTTTGGCCTCCCATAGTGCTGGGATTACAGGTGTGAGCCACTGCATGGGAGCCCAGATTTTAAAAGTCCTTGTAAAACAGACTGAAAACCTTGGGGTAGCCATGAGATTTTATTTGACAGAGCCTGTTTTGTCAGTTTTATGATCTGATCTCTAGAGATCTTAACATTAATGCTGGTCAGCTGTTGTGTCTAAACCATAAAAGAGAGGGGGTATAATGAGGTGTGTCTGACCTCCTGTCCTATTATGACTGGAACTCAGTTTTAAGCTTTTGGGGGAGTCCTCAGCTAAAAGAGGGTCCATTCCATTGGCTGAGGGGACTTAGGGTTTTATTTTTCATTTACATTTCCCCTTTTGTGGCCAAGATTTGTCAGAGGCAGCACTGATAGCCAAATTTTTAATTTTGTCCCATATCATCGTTAGGGTGGTGCAGCTACCTAGCCTGAGTCCACCTTGTCCCTTGGTAAGACCCCTGTGGCCAAGGGACTTAGAGCCAAAAGAATGATAGCCAATTAAATGTTTTAGGGCAGATGGGAGTGGAGGTGGGCAGACATTCATTAACCCTTAAAACCTTTTAAGTAATATCTGTCAAAAGCCAAAAGCCAAAAAAATAAGGTGGCCAGGTGCAGTGGCTCACACCTACAATCCCAGCACTTTGGGAGACAAAGGTGGGCAGATCACTTGAGCTCAGGAGTTCCAGACCAGCGTGGCAACATGGTGAAACCCCATCTCTACAGAAAATACAAAAATTAGCTGTGTGTGGTGGTACACACCTGTAGTCCCAGCTACTCGGGAGGCTGAGGCGAGAGGATGGCTTGAGCCCAAGAAGTCGAGGCTGCAGTGAGCCATAAGCCAAGATCCTGCCACTGCACTCCATTCTGGGCAACAGAGAGAGACCCTGTCCAAAAAAAAAAAAAAAAGGTAAGTTTATAGAATTGAATCCTGGTCTTAGCTATTGACTTTTAGTAATTAGGTATATAAAACATTAATATTTTGTTAAACTCATTTGAGTTAAGAAATTTAGAGAGGCAAAGTTCCTCAGTTTGTCAGCTGTTTAAGCATCTGTGTGTCTTTCCTTGATTTGGAGGGTCTGAACTAATTGCATCCCTCAAAACCAGCCCTTATAATCTCACATGCCCATCTCTTCCGTGATAGTCCCTGGGCCTAGATGGAGGGTGTTTTAACATTGTATAGCTTTAGCTGCAGTGTGTTGACGACAGAAAACAGATGGTCCCAGTGGGATTGAATAGTTTTAAATTCTGGTCCTGTCTCTCATGAAAGCAGTTAATTTTTTATTTTTTTATTCTTTAGTAGAGAGACAATCATGTCACATGCAAAAGATAATCAAATGATCTTTTTATTATCTTTTTCTGATGTTGGGATGAACACAATGTCTTTTATCCTTAAGAATGAGGTTGGCTATAGTTTCTATGTAAGTGCCCTTTCAGAAGTTGAGGTAGGTCTCTTCTATTCCTAATTTTTTAAGAGTTTGGTTTTGTTCAGTTTTATTATGTTTCATTGAGTCAGGAATGGATGTTGACTTTTATCAAACACTTTATTAGCATCAATTGAGATGATCATATTTTTTCCATAGTCTGTTAATATGCTGAATAACACTGATTGATTTTCTTTAACTTTTTTCAATTATTTATTAATTTATTTAGAGACAGGGTCTCACTCTGTTGCCCAGGCTGGAGTGCAGTGGTGTGATCTCAGCTCACTGCAGCCTTGACCTCAGGGGCTCAGGTGATTCTTTTACCTTAGCCTCCCAAGTAGCTGGGACTACAAGTGCATGCTACCAGGCCCAGCTAACTTTTTGTATTTTTTGTAGAGATGAGGTTTTGCCAAGTTGGCCAGGCTGCTCTGGAACTCCTGGGCTCAAGTGACCAACCCACCTCAGCCTCCCAAAGTGCTGGAAGTACAGGGATGAGCCACCACGCCTGGCATGATTGATTGTCAATGTGTCAAACCAACCTCATGTTCGTGGGATAACCCCCAGTTGGTTGTAATATATTATCCTTTTTTTTTTTTTTTGAAATGGAGTTTCCCTCTTGTTGCCCAAGCTGGAGTGCAATGGCGTGATCTCAGCTCACTGCAACCTCTGCCTTCCGGGTTCAAGTGATTCTCATGCCTCAGCCTCCCAAGTAGCTGGGATTACAGGCGCACACCACCACACCTGGCTAATTTTTTGTATTTTTAGTAGAAACGGGGTTTCACCACGTTGGCCAGGCTGGTCTCGAACTCCTGACCTCAGGTGATCTGTCTGCCTCGTTCTCCCAAAGTGTTGGGATTACAGGTGTGAGCCACTGCACCTGGCCATATATTATCCTTTTTATGAATTGTGTTGGATTTGATTTACTCGAATTTTGTTAAAAATTTGCATATCTATGTTTGTGGGAGATATTTGGTCTGTCAATTTTTTTTTTGTGATGTCTTTGGTTTTGATATCAGGATCAAGGTAATGCTGAACTCATAGAATATGTTGGGAAGTATTCCCTCCTTGTGGTAGACAGAATTCTAAGATTCCCAGCCACTGGTGCACGTGCACACCTCTAGTTATTTAATTAAACACGAATCTAGCTACTGCTGCTAAGGGATTTTGCAGATGTAACTAAGGTCCCAAATCAGTTGATCTTAAAATAGACAGATTATTTGGGTGAGCCTGACCTAATCACATGAGCCCTTTAAATTTGTGTCTGAAAGAGAGAAGAATGAAATGTATTTCACACATTGTTGCTGGCCTGAAGACACAGGAGGCCCCATGGCAAAAAATGTGAGTGTCCTCTAGGAGATGAGAGCAGCCTTGGCTGACAGCCAGCAAAGAAACAGGATCCTCATTTGCACAACTGCAAATAACTGAATTTTACCAACAACAAGAATGAGCTTGGAAGTGTGTTTTTCCTCAGAGCCTGCAAACAAGAGCTCAGCCTGGCTAACACCTTGATTTCAGCTTTGTAGTACTTTGAACAAAAAAAAAAAAACCTGTTGTTTGGGACTTCTAACCTACAGAAGCTGAGATAATAAATGGGTATTGATTTAATGTGTTATGCGGCAACAGAAAATTAATATATTTCTCTTTTATTTTCTGGAAGAGTTTGTGTACAACTGCTATTATTTCTTCCTGCTTGGTCAAATTCACCATTGAAGCCATCTGGGCATGGGGTTTTCTTTTGTTTGTTTATTTGTTTGAAACAGGGTCTTGTTCTGTTGCCCAGGCTGGAGTGCAGTGACGTGCTCATAACTCATTATAACCTTGAACTCCTGGGCTCAAGCAATCCTCCCGCCTCAGCCTCCCAAGTAGCTGGGACTACAGGCACACACCACCACACCATGCCCTGGGACTACAGGCACACACCACCACACCATGCCCGGTTAACTTCTTTTATTTTTTTTTTTTAGATGGAGTGTCGCACTGTCAACCAGGCTGGAGTGCAATGGTGCGATCTCGGCTCACTGCAACCTCCACCTCCCAGGTTCAAGCGACTCTCCTGCCTCAGCCTCCTGAGTAGCTGGGATTACAGGCACCTGCCACCATACCCAGCTAATTTTTTTTTTTTTTGTATTTTTAGTAGAGACGGGGTTTCACTATGTTGGCCAGGCTGGTCTCGAACTTCTGACCTCATAATCTGTCCGCCTTGGCCTCCCAAAGTGCTGGGATTACAGGGGTGAGTCACCGTGCCTGGCCCTCGCTAATTTTTAAACTTTTTGTAGAGACAGGGATCTCGCTTGGTTGCCTAGGCTAGTCTTAAACTCCCAGCCTCAAGTGATCCTCCCACCTCAGCTTCCCAAAGTGCTGGGATTATAGGCGTGAGCCACTGCACCTGGCCAGGGAATGGGGTTTTCTCTGTGGGAAAGTTTTTAACTACAAAATAAATTTATTTAAAGACAGGGCTATTCAGGTTGTCTTTTGTCTGGAGTGAGCTTTGGTAGCTTGTATATTTTAAGGAATGTATCCACTTCATCTTCAATGTCAAATTTATGAACACAAGTCTCTTGTTTTGGGATTCTCCTGCCTCACCCTCCCGAGTAGCTAGGATTACAGGCATCTGCCACCACGCCCGACTAATTTTTGTATTTTTAGTAGAGATGGGGTTTTGCCATGTTGGCCAGTCTGGTCTTGAACTCATTACCTCAAGTGATCTGCCCGCCTCGGCCTCCCAAAGTGCTGGGGTTACAGGCATAAGCCACCGCGCCCAGCAGCCTTTATCTTTATTATTTCCTTTTATCTGTTTACTTCGGGTTTAATTTCCTCTTTGTATCATAGTTTCTTAGTGTACAAGCTGAGGTCATTGATTTGAGACCACTTCTTTCTAATATAAGAATTTAGGCTGGGCACAGTGGCTCACACCTGTAATCCCAGCACTTTGGGAGGCCAAGGTGGGAAGATTGCTTGATGCTGGGAGTTTAAGATTAGCCTGGGCAACATAGTGAGACCCTGTCTCTACAAAAATAAAAAAAAATTAGCCAGGTGTTGTGGTGCATGACTATGGTTCCAGTTACTTGGGAGGCTGAGGTGGGAGGATCGCTTGAGCCCAGGAAGTCGAGGCTACAGTGAGCTATGATCTCGCCACTGCACTCCAGCCTGGGCAACAGAGTGAGACTCTGTCTCAAAAAATAATAATCATAATTTAATGCTATAAATTCTTTTCTAAGCAGTCCAACTTTGTTTTTCCTTCATTCCATAAATTTTGGTATGTTGTGTTTTCATTTTAATACAGTTCAAAATACTTTCTGATTTCTTCTTTGACCCATAATATGCTGGTTATTGATTTATTGCCTCTCAACTTCAAATTCAACTTTCTGTCTGCTCTGTGAAAATGGAACATATTTTAACTATTTTTTCCTTTGCCAGCTGCCACTGAAGCTTTCTCAGAGGGTGCTGGAGAGATATTGCAAAAGGAAAAGGGGCCTCCTTCCTGATTCCTGTGCTCACTCGGCAGGCTCCCGCTGCCTGGCTTTTTTTAACTCCTCCAGTGCTCACAGCCTTTCCAGTGCCTGGTTCCTACAGTGCATGGTGGCCAATAGCACCCAGTGACCAGCAGCTTTCCCCTTCCTCCAGCACTCACTCTCAGTTTTGTAGCAGAGTGCCTCTGGATCCCACAGCACTCACAGCTTCCCCAGTGCCGGGCTCCTGCAGTGGACAGATACCAGCAGCACTCAGCAGCGAACAGCTTTCCCCAGCACCATAGCTAACAGATTTCCAGAGGGTAGATTTCCAACAACTTCCATCAGTGCAGCACCACAATGAACTTCTCTACCATTCAGTAACTACAGCCATGGTTTTTCCAACAAGCTCTGGATCTCAGCCTCATCGGTGTTCTGTCTCAGCCTAGGGATGGTGACTACGCCTTATATCTGTTATTCCTGTATTCTTTAGAGATCTTCTTACATCTTAGTAGCCAATCCCTTGTTATTCTAAATCCCTGTTATAGGTTTTTTTTTTTCCACCCAACTACACCAGAACAGAGGTAATTTTTCTTTTAATTTTTTTTTTTTTTTTTTTAGACAGGGTCTCAGTCTGTCACACAGGCTGGAGTGCAGTGGTACGATCATAGCTCACTGCAGCCACAACATCCTCAACTCAAGTGATCCTCCTGCCTCAGCCTCCCGAGTAGCTGGAACTATAGGCCTGCATCACCATGCCCAGCCATTGTTGTTTATTTTTTGTAGAGATGGGGTTTCGCCCTGTTGCCCAGGCTGGTTTCAAACTCCTGAGCTCAAGTGATCCACCTGCCTCAGCCTCTCAAAGTGCTGGGATTACAGGTGTGAGCCACCATGCCTAGCCCAGGGGTAAATTCTTATATTAAACTTTCTCTGCTCAAATTCCTGTGTCATTCTGTCTCCTAACTGGACTAAGACTGATACAGAATTGTTGCCAGGAACGGTCCCAGGAAATGTACCTGGAGAGATTGGACTTGGGGATTGGTTTGTTCATGCTCTGGGCTTGAGCATAGTGCTGAACTCTTTGCCAATGAGAAATGGATGCTAATAATCCCTGGCATAAAGAGGCATCACAATTAATTAACCTAGGGTTGATTGTGATGAAGTGCCAACTGAAGCACATGCCTTGGGAGCCCAAATGACTGCCGCACTTGACCACCATGACAGCAATCGTGACTATAAGGACTGTGTTGTGGGATGGATTGTTCTGAATGCACTTGAGCACTTACAAAGAGAAAATGATGGGCCAGGCGTGGTGGCTCACGCCTGTAATCCCAGCACTTTGGGAGTTCGAGGCGGGCGGATCACAAGGTCAGGAGATCAAGACCATCCTGGCTAACATGGTGAAACCCCGTCTCTACTAAAAATACAAAAAATTAGCTGGGTGTGGTGGCGGGCACCTGTAGTCCCAGCTACTCGGGAGGCTGAAGCAGGAGAACTGCTTGAACCCAGGAGGTGGAGCTTGCAGTGAGCAGAGATCACGCCACTGCACTCCAGCCTGGGTGACAGAGCGAGACTCCGTCTCAAAAAAAAAAAAAAACAAAGAGAAAATGATGGCCAGACACAGTGGCTCACGCCTGTGATACCAACACTTTGGGAGGCCAAGTTGGGTGGATCACGAGGTCAGGAGTTCAAGACCAGCCTGGACAAGATGGTGAAACCCCATCTCTACTAAAAATACAAAAATTAGCCTGGCATGGTGGCAGCCACTTGTAATCCCAGCTACTCGGGAGGCTGAGGCAGAATTGCTTGAATTCGGGTGGCAGATGTTGCAGTGAGCCAAGATCGCACCACTGCACTCCAGCCTGAGCGATAGAGTGAGACTCCGTCTCAAAAAAAAAAGAAAAGAAAAGAAAAGAAAAGAAAAGAAAAGAACAAGGTGGGGTCCATTGACTTCTCAGCTCAAGTCACAGTCTGAGAACCAGAGAACTTTCATGATGCCTAATGGGCTGATACTACTGACAATCAAACACAACATTTAATTGTGCAGTGCAAGTTGAACTCACAGTCTTGACAAGTCTCTCATGTGAAAGATAAAGAATGGGATCCTGAAACTTGGATCTGGAGGGGCATCTGTTTGGTCTCAGATGAAACTGACAATCTTGAACTACCAAGTCACTCTGAGTCTCCCGTACTAATAGAAATAGCTTGTCCTTCAGTGTTTCAGTGTCTGAGACTAGTCTTTCTCTCCTTGAAAACACTGAGATAAACTGACCTGGGGAGGATGCCTTGAAAGGGAATGCCCATTCTCCCCTCTTCCTGCCACGACCACCCCCTATTGCCACAAGACCAATAATTAAGGTTAAATCTCAGCATGGTCCAGGGGAACAAGTGCACACTATGAACAAGGAGGAAGCAGCTTATACACCAAAAGCATTGTAAGATTGCTAATATACATTGACAGAAATATAGGGAATATATGCAGAAGTGGTTTCCAAGGTTATTAGACAAAGGAGAGCAAAATATAATACTAGATAGGGCAGAATTCATTGAGATAAGTACACTTATTAGAGACTCTGTATTTAAAGTGTCAGCTTATGCAGCTGGAGGTAGCTTTAAGAGCTTATTTGGTTGATTGCCTGAAGCTTGGACTCAATTATGGCCCTACAGTTAATTAAGTTGAGAAGCCTGAGCTGCCCTGGTGTGATATGGGAAAGGGAATCCAAAGGCTTAAGGGGATAGGAATGTTGGAGATTTATTATGTTCGACTTGCCCACAACTCCTAACTATGTTCCATGAAAATGGTTGAAAGACACTCCCTTCACCAAGGCATTGAGAAATCCATTACTGAGAAAAACACCTGCATCCTTGGAAAGCTCTATGGCTGCTCTTCTTTGTAGGCAAGGTATGACTGTAAGGGATGGGCTCCCTGGTTTCAGTGGGGTTCATGGAGTACCAAAGTAACAGAGGTCAAGTGGCAGCATTTAACTGCCAAATACAGCACCGTGGATGTTCAGGCACATTGACCACCATTTCCCTGGGCATGAAACAGATGGATACCCTACTAGAATATTGTTCAGTCTATATGATAGAAAAAGTTATAGATCTAGTAGCCAAAAAACTGACTCAAGTCACCACAGTGGAGAGTCAGCCTGTCACTCAGTGTCCAGACTGAAGTCAATTCACAGATCAAGAGCCCCTCTTTTTTTTTTTTTTTGAGACGGAGTCTTGCCTTGTTGCCCATGCTGGAGTGCAGTGGTGCGATCTTGGCTCACTGCAAGCTCCGCCTCCCAGGTTCATGCCATTCTCCTGCCTCAGCCTCCCGAGTACCTGGAACTACAGGTGCCCGCCACCACGCCCGGCTAATTTTTTGTATTTTTAGTAGAGTCAGGGTTTCACTGTGTTAGCCAGGATGGTCTCGATCTCCTGACCTCGTGATCCACCCGCCTCAGCCTCCCAAAGTGCTGGGATTACAGGCGTGGGCCACCGCGCCCGGCAAGCCCCTCTTTTTTAAAAAAATTATTTTATTTTATGGTTTTTAGAAATGGGGTCTCGCTGTGTTGCCTAGGCTGGTCCCAAACTCCTGGACTTAAGACTTAAGTGATTCTCCTGCCTCAGCCTCCCAAAGTGCTGGGATTACAGGTGTGAGCCACTGAGACTGGTCTAGAGCCCCTTTATTGAAGGGGCAGCCAGGTCCTCTTGAGGGAGAAGCCTGCACCATTGCCACACAAACATACTGTAAATCTTCCTCCAAGCCTTCCTGAAAGGGACCTGTGGCCATTTACTAGAGTGACTGTACCTTGGGGAAAAGGAAATACCTAGAACTTTTGAGAATTACTAGATACTGGCTCTGAATTGACACTAATTCCTGGGGACCCACAATGCCATTGTGGTCCATCAAAGCAGGGGCTTTAGGGTGGTCAGGTAATAGTCTTAGCTCAGGTTTGATTCACATTGGGCCCAGTTGGTCCAGTGGCCCACCTTATAGTTATTTTCCCACTTCCTGAATTTATCATTGGAATAAACATACTTAGAAACTGGCATAACTGGATGAGCGTGGTGGCTCACACCTATAATCTCAGCACTTTGGGAGGCTGAGGTGGGAAGATAGCTTGAGCCCAGGAGTTCCAAGACCAGCCTGGGTAACACAGCAAGACCCCATCCCTACAAAAAAATTGTAAAAATTAGCTGGGTGTGGTGGCACCTGCCTGTGGCCCCAGCTACTCAGGAGGCTGAGGTGGGAGGGTCACTTGAGCCCAGGAGGTTGAGGCTGCAGTGAGCTGCGATCGTGCCACTGCACTCTAGCCTGGGTGACAGAGACAGACTCTGTCCTCCCACTCCCAAAAAAAGAAACTGGCATAACCCCCACATCAGTTTGCTGATCCACGGGGTGAGGGCCATTACAGTAAGAACGGCTAAGCCAAAGCCCCTGGAACATCCACTCCTTTGAAAGCTAGTAAACCAGAAGCAATAATGCATACCGAGGGGAATGCAGAGATTAATGGCACCAGAAAAGACTTGAAAGAAGTAGGGGTGGTGACACCTATCACATCTCCATTTAACTCACCAGTTTGACCAGTGCAAAAGTTAGATGAATCTTGGAGAATGACTGCAGACTACTATAAACTTAATTAGATGCTGACTTCACTTGTAGCTCCTGTCCCAGATATAGTATATTTACTGGAACAACTCAACACAACCCCTGGCACTTGGTATGCAGGTACTGGCCTGACTGATGACCTTTTCTCTGCACCAATTTTCAAAGACTACCAGAAACCATTTGCTTTTACCTGGCAAGAACAAGAGCATAACTTTACGGTGTTGCCTCAGGGCTGTGTCAATTCTGCTCTCTGCCATGATATAGTCGGCAGAGATATGGCTCATCTTGATACTCAATTAAACATCACACTGGGCCACTACACTGATGACATGTAGATTGGATCTGGTGAGCAGAAAGGAGCAAATAGTTTAGACGTCTTATTAAGAATGAAAGGGGAACAGGTGCAGTGGCTCATGCCTGTAATCCCAGCACTTTGGGAGGCTGAGGCGGATCACTTGAGGTCAGGAATTTTAGACCAGCCTGGCCAGTATGGTGAAACCCCATTTCTACTAAAAATACAAAAATTAGCCGGGCGTGGTGGCACGTGCCTGTAATCCCAGCTACTGGGGAGACTGAGGCAGGAGAATTGCTTGAACCCCAGAAGCAGAGGTTGCGGTGAGCCAAAATCACACCATTGCACTCCAGCCTGGGTGAAGAAGCAAGACTCTGTCTCAAAAAATAATAATAATAAATAAAATAAAAAAGAATGAAAGGGCTGGGCACAGTAGCTCATACCTGTAATCCCAGCACTTTGGGAGGTCAAGGTGGGAGGATTGCTTGAGTCCAGGGCTTCGAGACAAGTCTGGGCAACATAGTGAGACCTTGTCTCTACAAAAAACAAAAACAAGGCCAGGTGTGGTGGCTCATGCCTGTAATCCCAGCATTTTGGGAGGCCGAGGTGGGCAGATCACGAGGTCAGGAGATCGAGACCATCCTGGCTAACATGGTGAAACCCCGTCTCTACTAAAAATACAAAAAATTAGCTGGGCGTGGTGGCAGGCGCCTGTAGTCCTAGCTACTCAGGAGGCTGAGGCAGGAGAATGGCGTGAACCCAGGAGGCAGAGCTTGCAGTGAGCCAAGATTGCGCCACTGCACTCCAGCCTGGACAACAGAGCGAGACTCTGTCACAAACAAACAAACAAACAAAAACAAAAAAAGTTAGTCAGGCATAGTGCACATGCTTGTAGCCCCAGCTACTTGGGAGGCTGAGGTGGGAAGACTGCTTGAGCCCGGGAGGTGGAGGCTGCAGTAAGCTGTGATCGTACCACTGCACTCCATCCTGAGCAACAGAGCAAGACTTTGTCTCAAAATATATATATATATATATATATATATATATTTTTATATATATATATATTTTTATATATATATATATATATATATATGTAAATTGGTGGACTTTGAGTGAAACAGATTGCCCTCTATAATTTGGGTGAGCCACATCCAATCAGTTGAAGGCCATAATAGAACAAAGACTGACCTCCACCAAGCAAGAAGGACTTCTGCCAGCAGGAGACCTTTGAACTTAAACTGTATCATCAGCTCTTCCTTGGGACTCCAGGCTGCCAGCCTACCCTGCAGAGTCTGGACTTGAAAAAATGCCAGCCTCCATAATCACATGAGCCAATTCCTTAAAATAAATCCCTCTCTAAATATATACACATTCTATTGGTTCTGTTTCTCTGAAGAACCCTGCCTGATACAGTTGGGTATAAACCTCACAAAAATTCAGGGGCCTGCCACCTCAATGAAGTTTCTAAGAGTTAAATAGTCTGAAGAATGTCAAAAGATTTCCTCCAAGGTGAAAGACAAGTTGCTATACCTCACACCTCCTACCACAAACAAAAAGTTACAACCCTTGGTAGGCCTTTGTATTTTGGAGGCAACTTTTTTTTTTTTTTTGAGACAGGGTCTCACTCTGTCGCACAGGCTGGAGTGCAGTGGCATGATCATGGCTCACTGCAAACTCCGTCACCTGGGCTCAAGCAATCCTCCCACCTCAGCCTCCCAAGTAGCTGGAACTACAGGTGCACGCTACCACACCTGGCTAACTTTTTTATTTTTTATTTTTTGTAGAGATGGGGTTTTGCCATGTTTCCCAGGCTGGTCTCGAACTGCTGGGTTCAAGAGATCTGCCGACCTCAGCTTCCCAAACTGCTGTAATTGCAGGCATAAGCTACCACACCCAGCCTTGGAGGCAACATTTGGGTGTGCTACTTCATTTTTTTTTTTTTTGAGATGGAGTCTTGCTCTGTTGCCCAGGCTGGAGTGTGATGGCGCGATCTCGGCTCACTGCAACCTCCACCTCCTGGGTTCAAGCGATTCTCCTGCCTCAGCCTCCCGAGTAGCTGGGATTACAGGCACCCACCACCACACCTGGCTAATTTTTGTATTTTAGTAGAGACGGAGTTTCACCATGTTGGCCAGGCTAGTCTTGAACTCCTGACCTCAAGTGATCCACCCAACTCAGCCTCCCAAAGTGCTGGAATTACAGGTTTGAGCCACCATGCCTGGCCTGAGTGTGCTACTTCAAATCCATCTATAGAATCACCCAAGGTTCCCAGTTTTGAATAGAACCAGACAAGAGAAAGCTCTGCAATTCAGACTGCAATACAAGCTGCTCTTCCACTTGACCCAGCAGATCCCATGAAGTGTCTGTGACAAATAAGAATATTGTATGGAGTTTCTAGCAAGCACCAATGAGAGAATCACAGGGTAAGCCTCTAGGACTTTAGAGCAAGTATGTGCTCTCTTTCGCAGAAAACTATTCTCCTTTCAAGAAACAGCTCTGGCTTACTGCTGGGCCTTGGCAGAGATTGAAACACCTAACCATGAGATATTAGGTGACCATACAGCCTGAGACTCTCATCATGAACTGGTGTCTTCTTTGACCCACATAGCCATAAGCTTAGGCATGCATAGCAGCAATCTATTATTGGATGAAAATGGTACATAAAAGACTAAGTTGAGCAGGTCCAGTAGGTACAAGTAAGTTGCATGAGCAGATAATTCAGACTCTTTTGACACCAACTCCTGTTGCTTTGCCTCCTCTCCTTCAATCCATGCCTATGATATCACAGAGTGTTCCTATGACCACTTGACTGAGGAAGGAAAACTGAAGCCTACCTTATATATGGGTCTGCATGTTATACTGGTACCATCCAAAAGTAGACAGATGCAGCACTACAACTGTACTCAGGGGTGACTGGATGACAATGGTGAAGGAAGATCCTCTCCAGTGGGCAGAACACTGAACAGTATGTTTAGTTGTCCACTATGTGTGGAGTAAGAGATAGTCAGAAGTATAGATCTACACTGACATGTAGTTAGGGACTTGAAAAGAACAAGATTGAAAGATTGGCGACAAGGAAGTCTGAGGAAGAGAAATGTGACCAGCCTTCTCTGAGTGGGGACAGACTGAAGATATTTGAGTCCTATGTGAATGCCCACCAAAAGGCATACATTGCATAGGAGACTGTTATGAATCCAGGGGACAAAATGATGTGGTCTGTTGATGTGCATCAGCCTCTTTCACCAGCCACTCCAGTATTTGCTCAATGGGCCCATAAAGAAATAGGCCATGGGCAGGGACAGAGACTATGCCTGGGCTCAACAACATGGACTTCCCCTTACCAAGGGTGGCATGGTTGCTGAGTGCCTAATCTGCCAACAGCATCAACCAAAATTGAGTCCCTGATATGGCACTATTCCCTATGGGGACCAGCCAACCACCTGGTGACAGGTTGATTACATTGGAAGTCTTCCATCATGGAGGGGGACAGAGATTCAGTCTCACAGAAACAGATGTATTTTCTGGATATAGTTTTCCCTACTCTGCCCATAATCCTTGTGCCAGCACTACCATCTGTAGACTCTTCTGCACGGCTTTGCTTCTGGTTCGCAGCAAAGTAAGTGCAGCAATGGACTCATGCCTATGGAATTAACTGGTCTTACCACATACCACATCATGTTAGAGTAGCTGGCCTACTTGAAGGGTGAAATGGCTTACTGAAACTTGGTTTTGATGCCAGTTGGGAAATAACATCTTGAAACAATGGTATACTATTTTTTGGAATGTAATATATACTTTGAGCTAGAGACTATTATACAGCACTATCTCTCCCATAGCCAGAATAAATGGGTCCTGAAACCAAGGGGTAGAAGTAGGAGTAGCTCCTCTCATTATTACAACTAATAACCTACTCACAGAATTTTTGCTTCCTGTCTCAGCAATTTTGAGCTTTGCTAGTTTGGAGATCTTAGTCCTCAAAGGGAGACTGTTTCTTCCAGGGGACACAACAATAATTCCAGTGAATTGGAAAGTGAAAAATGTGTGACATTTTGGGCTCCTTATGCCAATGAAACCACAAGCCAAAAAAGGGGATGAGGTAAGACTTAATTTACTGGCTCGAGTGATTGATCCTAATTACCAAGTGGAAGTTGAGCTGTTGCTACACAAGGGAGGCAAAGAGGACCATGTTTGCAACCCGGAGAATTATCTGGGGTGCCTCTTAGTACTTCCATGCCTAATAGTAAAGTTTTGTTATTGTTGTTGTTGTTGTTTGTTTTGTTTTTTGTTTTGAGACGGAGCCTTACTCTGTCACCCAGGCTGGAGTACAGTGGCACGATCTTGGCTCACTGCAACTTCCGTCTCCCGGGTTCAAGTGATTATCCTGCCTCAGGCTCCTGAGTAGCTGGGACTACAGGCGCATGCCACCACGCTTGGCTAATTTTTGTATTTTTAGTAGAAACGGGGTTTTGCCATGTTGGTCTCAAACTCTTGACCTTAGGTGATCTGCCTGCCTTGGCCTCCCAAAGTGCTGGGATTACAGGTGTGAGCCACCGTGCCTGGCCCCCATAGTAAAGATTAATGGTTAAACTCCATTAAAAGGTTAAACTCTAGTAACTCAAAACAGGCAGGATGATCAAGTACTCAGACCCTTCCAGAATGAAAGTTTGGGTGACTCCTTCAGGTAGAAAAGAGCATCTGAGGTTCTGAATGAAGGCAGGGGAAATGCAGAATGGATAATAACAGAAGAAGGAAGCCATAGATGTCAATTACAGCCTTGAGATCAATTACAGAAATGAGTACTATATTACCTTTCCTCATTTGCCTTCTGCTTGTTATATGTATGTGTTTATTTGCATAATCTAGCCATGTTCTTTTTCTCTTTTTCCCATTTTTATTTTATATACAAGAAGTTGGAAGGTAATTTTACAATTTACTCTTTAGGTACTAGGATATCAGCAGGACCATGGCTAAATTTGAGGAGTAATTAATACAGAAAGTGATGTGTCTTCTCATTTGGGTGAAAGGGTAACAACTTCCTCCCTTGTAAGAAGGATAGCTATATCTTGTTGGGTAGGAGTAAAGTTGTGTTATTCTCTTTTTTTTGAGACAGAGTATTGCACTGTCACCCAAGCTGGAGTGCAATGGCGGGATCATAGCTCACTATAACCTCAAACTCCTGGCCTCGAATGATCCTCCCACCTCGCCCAAGCTGTTTTGTTGTACAAGAATTCAAATATGTGCACATGAAAGCCAAGAAGTCAAAGGGGTGGACTGTACCACTTACCAATTTTTACCTCTCAGCTTCAAATTCACTCTTCTGCCTGCTCTGTGAAAACAGATCTGGTCCCTTTACTTGTTTCCTTTGCCACCTGGCACTGAAGCTTTGCCAGTAGAGGGCACTGGAGAGACATTTCAAGAAGGAAAAAGGTTTTGCTTCCCGGTGCTGGAGTGCCCACTTTGCAGGTTACTGCAGTGTCTGCAGCTTTCTATAGCAACAGAGTCCTACAACTTCTCCAGTGCCTGGCTCCCACAGTGTGTGGTGACCAGCAGCACCCAGTAGCCAGCAGCCTCCCTCTGGAATTCCCCATCAGATGGGTTAGTAGCAGTTTGCCTCTGGCTCCTGAAGGACTCACAGCTTCTCCATTTTCCAGCTTTTGTAGTGCAGGGCAGCCAACAGCACCCAGTAGCCAGCAACATCCCCTGGCACTCTCCCTCAGGTAGTTTTGTGGCAGAGTGCCTCCAGTGAGACACCTCCCCATGAACAGCTTTCACTGGCACTCTAGATGGTGGATTTCTGGCAAGTTCCAGCAAGCAGATTTCCAGCAAATTCTGCCATTCAAAGAGTCACAGCCGTATTCTCTCCAAGGACTGATCTCAACCCTGAACTAAGGTGGGTGCAGGGACAACAGGGAAGGGTCTTCCTTTGGTGCTCGATTTCAGTCATACTCATGCTTTCCTATGCCTTTTTTTTTTTTAAGAGAGAGAGACAGGGTCTCACTCTGTCACCCAGGCTGGAGTACAGCAGAGCTGTGATCACAGCTCACTGCAGCCTCAAACTCCTGGGCTCACATGATCCCCCTGCCTCAGCCTCCCGAGTAGCTAGGACTACAGGCACATGCCACCATTCCCCGCTCCTATACCTTCTTGAATGTATGGAATATATTTATAACAGCTGTTTTCACGTCCTTTTTCTACTCATTCTATCATCTGGATCATTTCTGGGTCATGTTCTGTGGATTATTTTTCCCCTCATTATGGGTTGTATTTTCCTGTTTCTTTGCATGCTTGATAATTTTTTATTGGGCGTCAGATGTAAATATTGAAACGGGAAAAGTTCCCTATCCCCTTAGCAGGGTGTGAGAGCGGGGTGTGGCTCGCTTCTTTGGTGCACCACTGCTCAAACCTCTAGGGGGAGCATGCAGATGGGCAGGTTGTGGGGCTCCAGCCCCACGGCAGTGTCTAGGAGTGAATGTTTACAGCTGAAGCCCCAGTGGGCATGTGTTACAGAATGCTCTTTTAGTTTTGCTGTCTGTAGGCAGTTTGTGTTAATCAGCTCAATTAGACCCTTTGCCTTATCCCAAGGACAGAGGGCTTTCTGTATCCCAGGGTTCTTGCCTTGGTGTACTGGAAGAACCGGATCACATGTGGGCTTGGAGAAAGAGTGCAAGGTTTTTTATTGAGTGGTGGTAGCTCTCAGCAAGGTGGATAGGGAGGCCAGAAGGGGGATACAGTGGGAAGGTGGTTTTCTCCTGGAGTTGGGCCGCCCAGCAGCCAGACTCTCCTCCAACCCCCAGCCAAACTCCGTGTCATTCCACCAGTTGATGGCCTGCCGGCATCTGCCGGTGCCTGTTGGTGTGCTCTTCTGCAGGTGTGCTCTTCTTGATGTCCAGCTGTTTGTGTCTGTGCCCCCTAGGGTCTCGGGGTTTTTATAGGCGCAGGATGGGGGCGTGACAGGCCAGGGTGGTCTTGGGAAATGCAACATTTGGGCATAAAAACAGAAATGCCTGTTCTTACCTAGGTCCGTGGGCACAACCCCAGGGTGGGACCCCTAGCCAGGGACCCACCCTTCTCTACCCAGCACTTCCCTACCCCACTCCCATATCAATATTACCTTATTGGGTGCTGACTTTTTTGTACTTAAAAATTTTTTTGTTTTGTTTTTGGCCGGGCATGGTGGTTCATGCCTGTAATCCCTGCACTTTGGGAGGCTACTAAGGGGGCTGAGGCAGGAGAATAGCTTGAACCTGGGAGGTGGAGGTTGCAGTGAGCTGAGATCATGCCACTCCAGCCTGGGCGACAGAGTGAGACCCTATCTTAAAAAAAAAAAATTTGTTTTGGTCTAAGACACAATTAATCAATTTGATCTTTTTGAGGCTTGTTTTTAAGGTTTTTTGTTGTTTGTTTGTTTTTTTCTTTGAGACAGGGTCTCACTCTGTCACCCAGGCTGGAGTGCAGCAGTGTGATCATGGCTCACTGCAGCCTTAACCTCCTGGGCTCAAGCGATCCTCCCATCTCAGCCCCCTGTGAGCTTAGTAGCTGGGACTACAGGCATGTTCTACCACACCTGGCTAATTTTTGTAATTTTGTACAGACAGGGTTTCACTATGTTGCCCAGGCTGGTCTCAAACTCCTGGGCTCAAGTGATCCACCTGACTTGGCCTCCCAAAGTGCTGGGATTATAGGCATGAGCCACTGCACTTGGTCTGCCTTTAAGGTTTTTTTTAGGCAGGACCTGCATAGCCTTTAGTCTAAAGCTAGTTTGGTACTGAGGCAATACCATCCTGAGCTTTCTACTCAATGTCTTATGTGTTAGGAGGTTTCTCCACTCAGGCTAGTGTGGAGATAAAGTATTCCTGGCTCTGAGGATTATTATTCCTCCTGATCCTTTGCATTGGCCTTTCCCTACGAGGCAGGAGAATAGGGTCTGGAAGCAGGGAACCTAAGGCCGATTCACACTGACTTCCTAGAACTAATTCAAAAGGAAAACCCCAACTTCCCAGGCCCAAGTAACAAAAAGATCAGAGGCTACTCCCTTTGCAACCCACCCCCTTCTTCTGCATCACAGATGAGAAAGGAAAGTACCTTTGATTGGTCTCCTCCCACAACCAATCAGACTGGTTGTGGGCCTAGTCTTCATTTGCATAGGGGTGTAACTTTGTAACTTCACTTCAGCCTCTGATTGGGCCCCTCCTATAATCAACCAGACGTTTGCATAGGGTGTAACTTTGTAATTCACTTCAGCTTCTGATTGGTCACCTTCCACGACCAATCAGACTGATCGTGGGCCACTACTCTATTTACATAGTGTAAACCAAGTAACCAATGGGAAACCTCTAGAGGGTATTTAAATCCCCAAAAATTCCGTAACCAGTGCTCTTGAGCCGCCTGCTCCAGCTTGCTCCCACTCTGGAGTGTACTTTCGTTTCAATAAATCTTTCCTTTTGTTGCTTCATTCTTTTTTTTCTTTTCTTTTTTTTCCTGAGACAGAGTCTCGCTCTGTCACCCAGGCTGGAATGCAGTGGTGCAATCTCGGCTCACTGCAACCTCCGCTTCCCAGGTTCAAGCAATTCTCCTGCCTCAGCCTCCCGAGTAGCTGGGATTACAGGCGCCCACCACCATGGGCGGCTAATTTTTCTATTTTTAGTAGTGATGGGGTTTCACCATGTTGGCCAAGCTGGTCTTGAACTCCTGACCTTGTGATCCACCCGCCTTGACCTCCCAAAGTGTTGAGATTACAGGTGTGAGCCACCACACCCAGCCTGCTTCATTCTTTTGTGGCTTCATTCTTTCGTTGCTTTGTGCGTTTTGTCCAATTCTTTGTGCAAAACGCCAAGAACCTGGATGACTCCACTTTGTTCGAAATGCCCAATTCTTTCTTCAAAATGCCAACACCCTCCACTGGTAACACCTGGACTTCAGATAGTTTCCTCATATATGTGTGCTGATCAGAATTCAGCTGAAGGCTTGAAAGGAACCCCCTATAGATCTCCAGAGCTTTCTCTCTGTGTGCAGCGCTCTCCTCTATGGTACTCTGGGCTGCCCTGTGTATTCTGGCTGCTGTCACTGCCAGAAACTCATTTAACTATGTCATCTAAACTCAGAGAGGCCACAAGGCTCTTTTTTAGTCCTCCTCACCGCCCCGCCCCCGCAACCAACATACGCCTGGAAACTCTCTCCAGGCCATCATATGGTTCACTCAGTTGTTTCTCTTCTCTCATGGGATCATGGTCCCATGCTTCCTGTTGTCTAATGTCTGGAAACCTTTGTTTCACATATTTTACCTGGTTTCTTAGTTGTTTAAGGCAGGGGAGTAAATCCAGTCCCTGTTACTCCATCATGGTTGGAAATGTAAGTCTTCAAATGCCCTTTTCTGACCCATATCCTGAGACTTTGCCTTCTGGAACTCACACTCAGTCATCAGCAGAATCCATTAGTCTAGAGCTGAAGGATACTTCTCTGAAGGTTGAGCTCACCTTCTTGCTCCAATGGGAACATGAGTGGGTCTTCCTTGACAATACTGCATCACTCTTAAGCAGTGGCCAGTTTTCTCTTCCACAGCTCTCATCACAGTGATTCCAGAGGCATAAGTGTCCTCCATGCACTTCATGCACTCCTCCCAGACCATGGTCCCTCTCTCCTCAGGAACCCCCCACCCCCAGCTCCTCTGAGGCACAAGCATTAGACTCCACAGCCTTCTACTCATCTTCATCACAGTCATCTACCAAGCCCCTCATCACTCCCCTTTGGTTTATCCCTAGCTCACTGTCACCCTCTCCAATACCTCTCTTGTCCAGAACTCTTGGTGATTTCAAAATACACATTGATAGTGGATTAAGGCCAGGCACAGTGACTCACACCTGTAATCCCAGAACTTTGGGAGGCTAAGGCAGGAGGATTGCTTGAGTCCAGGAGTTCAAGACCAGCCTGGGCAACACAGCAAGACCTTGTCTCTATTTTTAAAAAAAATAAAGAATAAAGGCTACTCTGGGCACACTGCCTGTGGGGTAGCCCTGCTTCGCAAGGAGCAGTTATTAAAAAAAAAAAAAAGGTAGGGGATTAAAAATCCACAGTCTGGCGGGTGTGGTGGTTCACGCCTATAATCCCAGCACTTTGGGAGGCTGAGGCAGGTGGATCACTTGAGCCCAGGAGTTTGAGACCAGCCTGGGAAACATGGCAAAACCCTGTCTGTACTAAAAATACAAAAAGTATCCAGGCGTCGTGGCATGCACCTGTAATCCTGGCTACTCGGGAGGCTGAGGCATGAGAATCATTTGAATCCAGGAGGTGAAAGTTGCAGTGAGCTGAGATCGCACCACTGCACTTCAGCCTGGGCAACAGAGATAGACTCGGTCTCAGAAAAAAAATCCAGAGTCTAACCCTGGTCTCTTTGTTCTGTGAGCTCTACTCCACTGATACTGTGCCCACTCCACTTCAGCCACGCACACCACTGTTGTACCATTGACCTTGTGGTTAACAATAGCTGCAGCCTCTCCATAACCTCAGTTTCAAAGTTTTCACTTGTTGACCACTACCTCTTCAACTTCCAGTTCACCTCCCCATTGTATTAGTTAGGATTCTCCAGAAACAGAAACAATAACTTGTAAAGATATATACATGTCCATATACAGGGGGAGATCTATTATAAGCAAGTGGCTCATACAATCATCAAGGCTGACAAGTCCCAAGATCTGCAGGGTGAGTTGGCAAGCTGGAAACCCAAGAGAGCTGATGGTGTATTCAGTCCAAGTCTGAAGGCCTGAAACCCAGGAGAACCAATGCTGTAGTTCCAGCTTAAAGGCCAGCAGGCTTGAGACCCAGGAAGAATCAATGTTTCAGTTTGAGTCCAAAGGCAGGAAAAAGCGAATGTCCCAGTTAGAAAACAGTCAGGCAGAATTCTGTCTTTCTTCTGGCGGGCGGGGGTGGGGGGTCAGCCTTTTTGTTCTATCCAGGCCTTCAACTGATTGGATGTTGCTACCCCACATTAGAGCTAGCAATCTTCTTTACTCAGTCTACTGATTTAACTGTTAATCTCATCCAAAAACATCCTCACAGACACATTCTGAATCACGTCTGACCAAGTATCTAGGCATCCTGCAGCCTAGACAAGTTGACACATAGAATTAACCATCACAAATCCATCTCTTGCCAACGAGACACCCACACACATACCTTTAAACCATACTTAATCTCCAATAAAGACAATAACAAGGTCATAATTCCACCTGACATGATGCAACTATCCTGTGCACAATTGAAAAATGCATTAACCCCTTCTCCAAAAGATGTGAAGTCCTTGAGTGACATTTATTCTTTTCCTTGATAGTGTGTAACTTAAATACTATGATGTAAAGTTAATACATCTTAAATTACATGATATAAGAATAAGAAAGGGGGCCGGGTGCGGTGGCTCATGCCTGCAATCCCAGCACTTTGAGAAGTCCAGGCAGATGGATCACCTGAGGTCAACCTGCCTCTTGGGTTCAAGCGATTCTCCTGCCTCAGCCTCCCAAGTAGCTGGGATTACAGGCACCCACCGCCACGCCTGGCTAATTTTGTATTTTTAGTAGAGACAGGGTTTCACCATGTTGGCCAGGCTGGTCTTGAACTCCTGACCTCAAGTGATCCACCTGTCTCAGTCTCCCTAAGTGCTTTAAGTGCTGGGATTACAGGCGTGAGCCACTGTGCCCAGCCAAAAAGAATTTTTTAGTAAGGAAGAAATACTCATGCCAATTACCATCTTCATTTCTGTAACCAGTCATGTGATCATAGCTGGTGTTCATAACTACCTTCTTCCACTAGCCATTCCATACTCCCTTTGCCTTCAGCAAGCACCTCAGCTGGCTATGGTTCTTACCTGGTGGGGTGACCCAAACCTTCATTCCTGAAGGGTCTGGGCCATTTATAGTCCTGCCTGGATTGGGTTGTAGTTTTTCATTGACCTTAATCACAGGGAATGGTAATATTCAGAGATGCCCTAAGGGATCGCCTGCATTCCAGAATACTCTTCCTTCCCTCCATTATGAAGTAGTAGTCCAATGTCCCCTTGGTAGGCAGGATTGATCACCCCAGCCAGCATAATAACTCCCTTCTTTGCCTGTTGATTCAAAGACACGAGGAGGCCGGGTGTAGTGGCTCACACCTAAAATCCCAACACTTTGGGAGGCCGAGGTGGGCAGACCACCTGAGGTCAGGAGTTTGAGATCAGCCTGGCCAACATGGTGAAACCCCATCTCAACTAAAAATATAAAAATTAGCCGGGCATGGTGGTGCATGCGTGTAGTGCCAGCTACTTGGGAGGCTGAGGCAGGAGAATTGCTTGAACCTGGGAGGCGGAAGTTGCAGTGAGCCGAGACTGTGCCACTACACTGCAGCCTGGGCAACAGAGCGAGACTCTGTCTCAAAAAAAAAGAAAAGAAAAAGAAAAAGAAAAAGAAAGAAAGAAAGAAAAGGAAAAACAAAGACACAAGGAGCCCAAAGTAGCCACAGACTTAACTTCTAGTTCAATGGAATCATTGTTGTGTCTCCTGGTGGAAGCCTTCCCTCCTCTGGGATTACCACCTCTAGGCCAGCAGAGGATAAAGTCATAAGAACAAGAAGCACCTTGTGGCCCAGTCAAAATGACAAATAAAATTAACCATCACACCCTTCGACCCCATTAGGATCTACAATTTATTGATCTTACTACCTTTTCAGTGTTTCACACCTCTCTTGTGTCCTCACTTCCCTCTTTACCCAGCTTAAATTCTAGAGTCCATAATTGTGGTTCCTCTTTTTTTATTGTTCCTCTCTTCATTTAACCCAACAGGCAAAACTACAGCTTAGCTTCTTTTTCTGGAGCGCAGTGGTGCAATCATGGCTCACCACAACCTTGAACTCCTGGTCTCAAGTGATCCTCCACCTCAGCCTCCCAAGTAGCTGAGACTACAGGCATGCACCACCATGCCCTGCTAACATATATATGCTAATATATATATATGCTATATATATATATATTAGAGACAGGGTCTCACCATGATGCGCAAGATGGTCTTGAAGTCCTGGCCTCAAGCGATCCTCCTGCCCTGGCCTCCCAACGTGCTGGGATTACAGGCATGAGCCACTGTGCCCAGCTTCCAACTTAGTTTCTAAAGAAACCCTGGATCTAGCAGTGATCACCAATGGTTGCCACAGCCCCAAAAGAAACACTGTGTATCACTGATGTGCATGACTATATTCCCTTCTACAGTATAGTGTGTTTTGGGATAACTTATTTAGCCAGGTCTGGGTGCATGTGAGCCCTGTCTGCATACCCCTTTGCTTCTCAATACCTCTGCTTGTGTGTGTGTATCTATGAGGCTGCATCTGCACAGGTCTGTGTTTGGTATCACTGTATGTCAGCCTGTGTGTGGCTCTGCCCATGTCTATGCTAATGGGCTGTGTGTCTCTATATGGCAGGTAGGTCTCAGTGTGACTTGTGTCTCTTTGTGAGTGATTGATGGTTACTATACTGGGTATCTCTGAGTGACTGTGCCTGTATATGTCTCTGTTTGCTGCTGCCATATGTCAAAGTGTGTGTGTGTTTGTGTCTGTGCTTGTGTGCTATGGGTTTGTGTGTGTGTGTGTGTGTGAGAGAGAGAGAGAGAGAGAGAAAGAGAGAGAGAGAGAGGGTATCGTATGGTCACTGTACGTAGGTATCTGGGTGACTCAGAGGCTGTGCCTGTGCTGGCTTCTGTCTATTCATCTGTGCCTCTGACTGAAGAGAGAGAGAGAGAGAGAGCTGGCAAGAACACCTTGATCTAGAATCTTCTCCCCACCTACTCCCATAAGCCAAGACTGCCATCTTGCAGCCTCAGGCATGTGCCACTGGAGTCAGGTGACCCACTGGGTGAGAGGCACCTGCCACCTGCACCCATGGCTCTCCTCAAAAGCAGGGCTTCCAGGGAGGGAGGGAAGGAAGGAAGGAGGACGGAGGGAGAGAGATAAGTGAGGTGGCCCCTTAGGGCTCTCCCAAGGGTTCAGGAAGACCTTACTCTACCTTTCCACCATCCCCTCTCCAGTTCCAACCCTGACTTTCCCAGCCCTCAAGGCATAACTCTATAGTGGCCCTACTCCAGCAGAGTCACCCAAATGCCATAAACCCATACCTACCTCCTTTGCTCAAGGCATTTCCTGCCATCACCTGCACCTACCCCACTTCAGGAGAGCCTCTCTCCTCCCTCCTTTGCCCTTCACCCTGCTCCCCCAGCACTACCAGATTGGGCCAAACTGGAGTGTTTGCCTGGCAAAATCTGAGCCCCAAGTATTTCTGCCCTTATTGGAACTTTGTTACTAGCCAAGTTCATTCCCATCTCAGGACCTTTACACTGTCCCTGCCTAGAACACCCATCCCCTAGACTGATGCACAGCTGGCTCCTTCAGCTCAGGGTTCCAGTCTCGGGTCATGTGTCACCTCAGTGAGGCCTTCCCTGTTCACCACTGCTGAGTGCCCACCCACCTCAGTCTGCTCTACCTCACCTCCCTGCTTCATTTTCTTCAGGGCATTACTCACTACCTAACACCGTCACCGCTGCCCCCACCAGAATGACACCTCTCTGAGAGCAGAGATTTATGTCTGTTCTGTTCACCATGGTGTCCCCAGAACCCAGGACAGGACACTCAATAAGGAATTGGCTGGATGAGTTAAAAGATCTCCCAATATTAGATGCAGACTCCAATCTCCCCTCATCCCCGGCTGTTGATCTCGCCATCCATAGCTCCAAGGAAGGTAGAATGGACTGGACTGAAGGTGAAGTCACAGGACCGGTGAGGTCAAGGGCACCAAGCCAGCCGGCACCTGGCAGTTCCCACACCAGGCACCCTCCCTGCGACCACCCCCAGCTCTTAGGGACCTTACACGGGGCAGGGAGGGGCTGGTTAGGGATGTTGCCCTAACTATGCCTGCTCAGGTCAGCAATATGGAGATGCTGTTTAGCTGAAAGGAGCCTTTGCTGGCCTGGGGTGAGGACCAGGCCCAGAGTCCCTCCAGAGAAGGTTCTCCTGCTTCCCCCACCCAACACAGACCCTGAAAGTGGCAGGAATGGAGGGACTTCCACCAGAGTTTTCAGATGCCCACCATGGCCCTGGGGTAAACAATCATATTCACTTATGATTTATCCTTCCTGTGTTTCTTTTTGCAAAAATAAGCAGATACATGTCTATATTCTCATTTCTTCACTACCACAGACTTTCTCTCTTCTCTTCTCTTCTCTTCTCTTCTCTTCTCTTCTCTTCTCTTCTCTTCTCTTCTCTTTCACAGGATCTCACTCTGTCGCCCTGGCTGAGTGGAGTGGTGTGATCATGGCTCACTACAGCCTCAACCTCCTGGGCTCAAGCAATCCCCCCACCTCAGCCTCGCAAGTAGCTGGGACTATAAGGTGTGCACCACCATCCAGGCTAATTTTTAATTTTTTTTTGTAGAGATGAGGTTTCGCTATATTTGCCCAGGCTGGTCTCGAACTCCTGGTCTCAAGCAATCCTCCTGCTTCAGCCTGCCAAAGTGCTGGGATTAGAGACATGAGTCACTGTGCCCAGCCTAGCCCTTTCTTTTTTTTTTTTAATCTTCTTTTTATTCCTTTTTATCATTCCTTTCTTTCTTTCTTTCTTTCTTTTTTTTTGAGACGGAGTCTAGCTCTGTCACCCAGGCTGGAGGGCAACGGCACGATCTCGGCTCACTGCAACCTCCGCCTCCCGGGTTCAAGCGATTCTCCTGCCTCAGCCTCCTGAGTAGCTGGGATTACAGGCACCCGCTACCACGCCAGGCTAATTTTTGTATTTTTTAGTAGAGATGGGGCTTCACCGTGTTGGCCAGGCTGGCCTTGAACTCCTGACCTCATGATCTGCCCCAGCACTTTCTTTTTAAAACCCAATTGACTAAATGACCAATTCACCAAATTATCAAATCTCCTAGAATCCAAATGACAAAAGCTAACTTGCTACAAAATCAATGTGCTGAATTCTTGAGGATTTGAGGAAATGTTGAGTTTCCCTTTCAATTTTTGAGTTTCTTTCCCAGGTGGTACAAAACACATTCAACCAAGTCTAGGTTAATTCACTACAGCTGTTTGGCAGCCAGAGGCAGCATGGTTGACGTGGTCTATTGATGATTGAGCATCCTGGGGCGGATCCTGGGCAGCAGGGTGGCCTAGAGCCAGGGTGGGGCTGGAGGTCAGGAAGTGAAGATGAGCAGTGGCAATGTCCATCTGAAAGTGGAGCAAACATTTTCCAAGCTACTGAGAGCCATGAACTGAACCCCACCCCAAGAAAAGGCTCTAGTAAATTTTCATCCTCTTGGATTGGACAATGGATTCCTAGCTATGACACCGAAAGTACAGACAACAACAACAACAAAAAAAACCAGATAAATTGGACTTCATCAAAATTGAAAACTTTTATGTATCAGAGGACAGTATTAAGAAAGTGAAAAGACAACCTATAGAATAGGAGGACGTATTTGTAAATCATATATCTGACAAGGGTTATGTATCCAGAATATATAAGGAACTCTTACAACTCAATGACAAAAACAAAAACAACCAGATTTTTTTAATGAGCAGAGGACTTGAATGGATATATCTCCAAAGAAGATATACAAATGGCTAAGAAGCACATGAAAAGATGCTCAACATCACTAGTCAGTAGGGCAATGCAAATCAAAACCACAGTGAAATACCACTTCATCACCACTTGGATGGCTATAATCAGCAAAACAGAAAATAAGTGTTGGCAAGGATGTGGAGAAACTGGGACCCTCATACATTGCTGGTGGGAATACAAAATGGTTCAGCCACTGTGGAAACAGTTGGGCAGTTCCTCTAAAAGGTAACCATAGAGGCCGGGCGCAGTGGCTCACACCTGTAATTCCAGCACTTTGGGAGGCCGAGGCGGGCGGATCACGAAGTCAGGAGATCAAGACCATCCTGGCTAACATGGTGAAATCCCGTCTCTACTAAAAATACAAAAAACTAGCCGGGCGTGGTGACATGTGCCTGTAGTCCCAGCTACTCGGGAGGCTGAGGCAAGAGAATCGCTTGAACCCAGGAGGCGGAGGTTGCAGTGAGCCGAGATCGCACCACTGCACTCCAGCCTGGGCGACAGAGCGAGACTCCGTCTCAAAAAAAAAAGATAAAGAGAATCATCATCTTGTAGCAGGATGAGCCGCATACAAAACTCCTCAGACACCGGATTAAAGAAGGAAGAGGTTTTTATTCGTCTGGGAGCGTCGGCAGACTCGCGTCTTAAGAGCCGAGCTCCCCGAAAAAGAAATTCATAGCCCTTTTAAGGGCTTACAACTCTAAGGGGTCCACGTAAAAGGGTCATGATAGATCAAGTAAGCGTGAGGAACGTGACTGGGGGCTACATACATCAGCTAACAGAACAAAAAGTTTTACAGTGCTTTCTCATACAATGTCTGGAATTTACAGATAACACCAGTAATTTTGGTCAGGGGTTAATATTATTATTATTATTTTAACCACCAGGGCCAGGTGGTGGCGCCAAGGTCGTCTAGCTATTTATCTTACTTCTGTTTCTTTCCAACTTTTTGCTTTCTCCCTTTTCTCATGTCTTATAAACTAGGGAAAAGGGAAGGTGGGGGAGAAGCTGGGAAGGACAACAGGAGAAGTGTTGGTCTCGTTCCAATATGATCTAGCAATTCCACTCCTAAATATATACCCAAAAGAACTGAAAACTGATACTCAAGCACATCTAACACATGTTCATAGCAGCGGCATTCACAACAGCCAAAAGGTGGAACCAGTCCAAATGTCCATCAACAGATGAATGGCTAAACAAATTGTGGTACAGTTTGAGTATCCCTTATCCAAAATGCTTGGGACCAGAAGTGTTTTACATTTTGGATTTTTTTTGATTTGGGAATATTTATACATACATAATGAGATATCTTGGGGTGGAACCCAAGTCTAAATATGAAATTCATTTATGTTTTACATTCACCTTATACACATAGCCTGAAGGTAATTTTATACAATATATATGTATGTGTGTGTGTGTATGTATGTATTTCTTTTTTGAGATATGGTCTTGCTCTGTCACCCAGGCTGGTGTGCAGTAACGTGTTCTCAGCTCACTGCAGCCTCAACTTCACAGGCTCAAGCAATCCTCCCACCTCAGCCTCCCGAGTAGCTGGGACAACAGGCATGCACCACCACATTCAGCTAATTTTTGTATTTTTTATAGAGACAGGGTTTTGCCATGTTGCCCAGGCTGGTCTTCACCTCCTGAGCTCAAGTGATCCACTCACCTTCGCCTCCCAAAGTGCTGGGCCAGGTGCAGTGGCTCATGCCTGTAATCCCAGCACTTTGGGAGGCTGAGGCAGGTGGATCACCTGAGGTCAGGAGTTCAAGACCAGTCTGGCCAACATGGTGAAGCCCTGTCTCTACTAAAAATACAAAAATTTGCTGGATGTGGTGGTGCATGCCTGTGATCCCAGCTACTTGGGAGGCTGAGGCAGGAGAATTGCTTGAACCTGGGAGGCAGAGGTTGCCATGAGCCGAGATCAGGCACTCCAGCCTGGGTGACAGCAAGAATCTGTCTCAAAAAAAAAAAAAAAAATACAGTGCTGGATGACAGGCATGAGCCATCGCGCCTGGCCAATTTTATACAATATTTTAAATAATTCTGTGCATGAAACAAAGTTTGTGTTAAGTACTTATTTGTGGAATTTTCCACTGTGGCATCATTTCGGATCTGAAAACATTTTGGATTTTGAATTTTCAGATAAGGGATGCTCAACTTGTATATACATACAATGGAATATTATTCAGCCATGAAAAGGAATAAGGTGTATGCTACATGATGCCAAAGATCAATAAAGCCAGATATTAGTTAACAGTGGTGAAACCTGGCCCAGTGCGGTGGCTCACGCTTGTAATCCCAGCACTTTGGGAGGCCAAGGTGGGCAGATTGCTTGAGGCCAGGAGTTTGAGACCAGCCTAGTCAACATAGCAAAACCCTGTCTCTACTAAAACTACAAAAATTAGCCAGGCATGGTAGCGCACACTTGTAGTTCCAGCTACTCAGGAGGCTGAGGTAGGAGAATCGCTTGAACCCAGGAGGCAGAGGTTGCAGTGAGCTGAGATTGCTCCACTGCACTCCAGCTCGGGTGACAAGGGCAAGACTCCGTCTGAAAAAAAAAAAAAGTCACATATCGTATGATCCCTGAATAGGTAAATCCATAAAGACTGAACACACATGAATGATTGCCAGGGGCTGAGTGGGGCCGGTCTCGGGTACATGGTGCAAGAAATGGGGAGCAACTGCTTAGTGAGTATAGGGCTTTTCTTTGGGGTGATGAAAATGTTTTGTAACTAGACAGAAGTAGTGGTTGCACAATATTGTAAATGTACAAATTGCTACTAAATTGTTCATTTTGCAATGGTTAATCTTATATGGAATTTCACCTTGATTTTTTTGTAAAAAAGAAGAAAAGGATCTAACTCCCTGGTGGAGCCTGGGGGAGTGGGTTTTCTTTCAGATTATCACAGTAATTCATGAGCATGGGAATAAGTCCCATATCCTGAGGGGATTTTGATAAAAAGCAAAGTTTCTGCCTGTCCTTCCTGAACCCCAGTTCCAGCCCTAGAGACAACTGTTTCTACCTTTTCAACCTCTTTCTGATTTTAGTTCTTCCAGAGCTTTCTGTCATAACTCTAGACCAGCACCGTTCAATAAAACATTCAGCAATTATGGAAATGTTCTCTATCTACACTGTCCAGTATGGTAGCCACTAGCCACATATGTCTATTGAGTATTTAAAATGTGGCAAATGGGCCGGATGCAGTGGCTGACACCTGTAATCCCAGCACTTTGGGAGGCCGAGGCAGGCGGATCACCTGAGGTCAGGAGTTCAAGACCAGCCTGGCAAACATGATGAAACCCTGTCTCTACCAAAAATACAAAAAAAATAGCCAAGCGTGGTGGCAGGTGACTGTAATCCCAGCTACTTGGGAGGCTGAGGCAGGAGAGTCACTTGAACCCGGGGGGGCAGAGGTTGCAGTGAGCCGAGACCACACCATTGCACTCCAGCCTGGGCAACAAGAATGAAACTCCGTCTCAAAAAAATAAAAAATAATAAAAATTAAATTTAAAAAAATTAGCCAGGCGTATTGGCTCGTGCCTGTAGTCCCAGCTACATGGGAGGCTGAGGCAGGAGAATCGCTTGAACCCAGGAGGCAGAGGTTGCAGTGAGCCGAGATCATGTCACTATACTGCAGCCCCTGGGCGACAGAGCAAGACTCTGTTTCAACAACAAAAAAAGAACATTTGCTTTTTTTTTTTTTTTTTTTTTTTGAGACAGAATGAGACTCTGTCTCCCAGGCTGGTGTGCAGTGGTGTGGTCTTGGCTCACTGCAACCTCCATCTCCCAGGTTCAAGCAATTCTCTTGCCTCAGCCTCCTGAGTAGCTGGGACTACAGGCACGTGCCACCACACCCGGCTAATTTTTTGTATTTTCAGTAGAGACAGGGTTTCGCCACGTTGGCCAGGATGGTCTCGATCTCTTGACCTTGTGATCCACCTGCCTTGGCCTCTCAAAGTGCTGGGATTACAGGCGTGAGCCACTGCGCCTGGCCGAACATTTGTATTTTTATGCAACCATCACCACCACACATCTCCAGAACCTTTTCTTCTACCCAACCTGAAACTCATACCTGTTCAGCCATAACTCCCCATTCCCTCCTTCTCCCAGCCCCTGGCAACCACCACTCTACTCTCTGTCTTTAGGAATTTGACTAAGTAGCTCATATAAGTGAAATCACTTTGTGATTGGCTTATTTCACTTAGCATATGGTCCTCAAGCTTCATCCATGTTGTAGCTTGTGTCAAATACTTTACTTAATCTAATTATTTTTTAAAAATAGAGACAGGGTCCCACTCTGTCACCCAGGCTGGAGTGCAGTGGCACGATCACAGCTCACTGCAGCCTTGAACTCCTGGACTCAAGCAATCCTCCTGCCTCAGCCTCCTGAGTAGCTAAGACTACAGGCATGCTCTGCTAATTTTATTTTTTGTGGAGACAGGGTCTTATTTTTATTCTCAGGCTGGTCTTGACCTCCTGGTCTCAAGCAATCCTCTCGTCTAAGCCTCTCAAAGTGCTGAGATTACAGGCATGAGACACTGTACTAGGCCATAATTTTAATTAATTTAAATGTAAATAGCCACATGTAGCTAGTGGCTACTATTTACTGGACAGTGCAGCTCTAGATAATATGCTTTATCATTTTGTGTCAATTTATCAACATGATATAAACTGCTGCATAGTAGTGAAAAAGGAAATTCTCCAACTGACTTACAGCAACTCAAGTACTGGGAATTTTCCTAGACAATGTTGATAGGATTTTATTTCCCACCCTCCTCCTATGCCACCCCACTTCCAGGAAAAGAAAAACAGAAATCAGCCGGGCACCGTGGCTCACGCCTGTAATCCCAGCACTCCAGGAGGCTGAGGCAGCCGGATCACCTGAGGTCAGGAGTTCGAGACCAGCCTGCCCAATGTGGTGAAACCCCGCCTCTACCAAAAATACAAAAATTAGCCGGGCAAGGTGGCAGGCGCCTGTAATCCCAGCTACTCAGGAGGCTGAGGCAGGAGAATTGCTTGAACCTGGGAGGCGGAGGTTGCAGTGAGTGGAGATCATGCCACTGCACTCCAGCCTGGGTGACAGAGCAAGGCTTCGTCTCAAAAAAAAAAAAAAAAAAAAAAAAAAAAAAAGAAAGGAAGGAAGGAAAAAGGAAAACAGAAATCATATTTAGGATTGAGGAAGTATGTTTTGGGCCAAAATGTGCAAATAGCCTTTGAAGATGAGCTATGAACCTCACTTCTGTCTTAACATCCTGGGTGGAGGGTCTTGGAAATAAGATGCCCACCTGCCTCTGATAGAGTGTGTAAGAGAATTATCTTTCTTTTTCATTTCTCTCCCTCTCTTTTTTTTTTTTTTTTTTTGAGACAGTGTTTCACTGGAATGCAGTGGTGTAATCACAGCTCACTGCGGCCTCGACCTCCTGGGCTCAAGTTATTGTCCTGCCTTAGCCTCCCAGGTAGCTGGGACCACAGGCATGGGCCACCACACCCGGGAACTCCTGGGCTCAAGCAGTCCTCCCACCTCAGCCTCCCAAAGTGCTGGGATTACAGGTGTGAGCCACCACGCCCAGCCTATCTTTTTTTGAGACAGGGTCTCGCTCTGTTGCTCAAGCTGGAGTGCAGTGGTGCAATCATGGTTCACTGCAGCCTCCAACTCCTGAACTCAAGGGATCCTCCCACCTTAGCCTTCTGAGTAGCTGCTACGGCAGGCACGTGCCACTGTACCCGGTTAATAGAATTATCCTGAGGGCTGAGCTGGGCTGGGGCTACTCCTCTGATATTCTGCCAGATCCATTCATTCATTCATGCATGCATTTATTCCATGGATGTTTATGAACTGCTTAGCTCTGTACTAGGCTATGTTCTAGCTGCTGGGGACACAGCAGCACAGCAATGAGACAAAGCCTCTGCCTTCATGAATGTCACTTTCTCACAGGACAGAGACAGATAATAAACAAATAATACAAATAAGAAACTCGAGACAAGTGTGGTAGCATGTGCCTGTAGTCCCAGCTACTTGGGAGGCTGAAGTAGGATGATTGATTGAGCCCGGGAGTTCAAGGCTACAGTGAGCTATGATAATACCACCGCACTCCATCCTAGGTGACAAAGCAAGACCCCATTGATTTAAAAAATAAAAAATAAAAATAAGAAGGTCAGACCAGTCATGGTGGCTCACGGCTATAATCCCAGCACTTTAGGAGGGAGAGGCGTGCAGGTCATTTCAGGTTGGAAGTTGGAGACCAGCCTGGCCAACGTGGTGAAACCCCGTCTCTACTAAAAATATAAAAAATTAGCCGGGCGTGGTGGTCCCAGCTACTCAGGAGGCTGAGGCAGGAGGATCACCTGAGCCTGGGAGGTGGGAGTTGCAAGGACCTGGGATCGCACCACTGCACTCCAGCCTAGGCAACAGAGCAAAACTCTGTTTCAAAAAACAAAAAACAGGCTGAGTGCAGTGGCTTACGCCTGTAATCCCAGCACTTTGGGAGGCCGAGGCGGGTGGATCACCTGAGGTCAGGAGTTCAAGACCAGTCTGCCCAACATTGTGAAACCCTGTCTCTACTAAAAATACAAAAAAAAAATTAGCCAGGTGTGGTGGCGTGTGCCTGTAGTCCCAGCTACTCAGGAGGCTGAGGCGGGAGAATCACTTGAACCCGGGAGGTGGAGGCTGCAGTGAGCCGAGATCACACCACTGCACTCCAGCCTGGGTGACAGTGAGACTCCATCTTAAAAAATATCAAAAAACAAAAACAAAAGACCTTTAAAATGACAGAGCCTCCACACTCAGGGACATTACACTGTCAGAATATTAAAACCTGACCATCAGAGAAGGAGGTCCACAAAGGTTGAGAGTCCCCATCTCCTGTATAGCAAAAACACAAAAAGCCCAGAGGCCTTATACCCAGGTAGAAAATAAACAAACTGACCTGGAGAATTCACAGTCTAGAAAACAGGGCACCAAATAGCTTAGAAACCTCATACCTGGCTGGGCCCGGTGGCTCATGCCTGTAGTCCCAACACTTTGGGAGGCAGAGGTGGGTGGATCACTTGAGCCCAGGAGTTTGAGACCAGCCTGGGCAACACAGCAAAATCCTGTTTCTACAAAAAAATACAAAAATATTAGCCAGGTGTGGTGGTGCTCGCCTATAGTCCCAACTACTTGGGAGGCTGAGGTGAGAAGATCCCTTGAACCCAGGAGGTGGAGGTTGCAGTGAGCTGAGATCGTGTCACTGCACACCAGCCTGGGTGACAGAGCAAGACCCTGTCTCAAAAAAAAAGGAAAGAAAAGAAAGAGAAAGAAAGAGAGGGAAAGAGAGAAAGAGAGAGAGAGACAGAGGAAGGAAAGAAAGAAGGAAGGAAGAAAGGAAGGAAGGAAGGAGAAACAGAGAAAGAAAGAGAGAGAGAAAGAGAGAAGGAAGGAAGGAAGGAAGGAAGGAAAGAAAGAAAGAAAGATAGAAAGAAAGAAAGAAAGAAAGAAAGAAAGAAAGAAAGAAAGAAAGAAAGAAAGAAAGAGAAAAAGAAAGAAAGAAAGCCAGCCTTACACCTTGGACAGAGATTTCCCCAAAAGCTTAGAGACCTCACACTATGTGACACAAGACACAAAAGAGCTCAGAGATTTCACTCCGTGGAAGAAAGACCCAGGTAACTCAGATACCATACACCATGGTATAGAGACTCTCAAACAGATTAAAGATATCACAGCCTGTACAAAGACCCTCAAGCTACTCAGGGACCTGGCACTCTAGCACACAGAACTCCCCAACAGCTAATATCACCACATGATAAAATGCTCCCACCAGTCTTTGAGATTTCACAACTTGAAATACAGACTCCCAAAATTACTTGTACATTTAACATCCTACAAAAAGATACTGAAGAGCTCATTGGCCAGGCACGGTGGCTCACACTTGTAACCCCAGCACTTTGGGAGGCTGAGGTGGGTGGATCACCTGAGGTCAGGAGTTCAACACCAGCCTGGCCAGCACAGTGAAACACCGTCTCTACTAAAAATACAAAAATTAGCTGGGCGTGGTGGCAGGTGCCTGTAATCCCAGCTACTCAGGAGGCTGAGGCAGGAGAATCGCTTGAACCTGGGAGGCGGAGGTTGCAGTGAGCCGAGATCGAGCTACTGCACTCCAGCCTGGGCGACAGAGCTAGACTCCATCAAAAAAAAAAAACAAAAGAAAGAAAGAAGAAAGAAGAAAAGAAAGAAAGAGAGGGAGGGAGGGAGGGAGGAAGGAAGGAAGGAAGGAGGGAAGGAAGGAAGGAAGGAGGAAGGAAGGAAGGAAGGAAGGGAGGAGGAAGGAAGGAAGGAAGGAAGAAAGAAAGAAGCTCATTGTCCTCACATTTTAGATATAGTCAATAAATTGGCTCAGAGACCTGGTATATGGGTAAATATGCCTTGGAAGAACAATGTGGCCTCAAACTCAAGGAGAGAACCTCAAAAGTTCAGAAATGTCCACGGTCAGGGATACCAATCCTCAAAAATGGTAATCACCTCACAATGATGAAAATGGACCCATAAAGAGTTCAGAGAACTAACACCATGATAAAAATAAACCAGCTCATATGTTGCGGTAAACTGAGGAACAGAGAGACCAATATGGAGTAGAGGAGAATTGTTGTTTATTTTAGGTACACACTGGCTCAGCTTTTTGAATATGAATCCACTGAGCCGGTGCGTACCTAAAATAAACAACAATCCTCATGTACTCCATATTGGTCTCTCTGTTCCTCAGTTTACCGCAACATTTTTGGCGACCACAAAAGGACTGGAGAGGGCCCACGGGTCTCAAACCACCCAGAGAGGTTGGTTTCCTAACCATGGAAAGCATTGTCGAAGTAACCGCTGAGCTAAAGCCAGCCCCTAGAGGCAAAGGAGACATTTATAAAACATAATAATGCTTAAGAAGCCTGGGAAAAGAGTAACAGTAAAAGAATCTGTCTTTCTCTTTTTATTCCTTCAACCTTGCTCTGGAAGTTGGCGGGGCGGGGTGGGGGTGTCTGGAGCCCATCCCTTTGGCCTTGGGTATTCGGACAGCATTGTATTAAAACTGTCTTTGAAGTGAACTTGCTAGGCAGAGGAAAACTTGTTCTTTTCTTTTTAACCCTTGCCTTGCCTGTTACTTTTCTTGGAATGAATAAATGCAGTACTTATTATTACTATTAGTAGTATTTTAAAATTTCTGCCTCACGTAGAACTCACATTCAAGGAACTGTGAGATGTCACATGTTGGGAGGTAGAACCCTAAAGGGTTCAGAAGCCTCACAGCCTGGCCTATAGATCAGAGACCTGGGAAACAGCCTACAGTCTTCACACCCTGAAACTCAGACCCCCAAATATCCCAAGAAATTCATAGTCTGAAAGAAAAATATTTCAGTGACTTCACATCTTGTGACACAGGCTCCTAAACACCTCAGGACCTCATACTGTTGGTCAGCCACCTCCTGAGGTCAAATACCTCAGAAAGCTCACACCTTGGAAAAAAAATGCAAAGTACTCAAGGTCCTCACATTATTGCTATGAAAGGTGTCAGAATCTAAATGGAGTCACTTATGTTTAAAAAAAAACCAGAAAAACAAAACAACAAAACAACAACAACAACAAAAAAAAAAAAAAAACAGAGCCAGGCACGGTGGCTCACGCCTGTAATCCCAGCACTTTGGGAGGCCGAGGCGGGTGGATCGTCTGAGGTCAGGAGTTCGAGACCAGCCTGGCCAACATAGTGAAACCCCGTCTCTACTGAAAATACAAAAAATTAGCAGGGTGTGGTGGTGCATGCCTGTAATCCCAGCTACTCAGGAGGCTGAGGTAGGAGAATCTCTTGAACCTGGGAGGTAGAGGTTGCAGTGAGCGGAGATCGTGCCATTGCACTCCAGCCTGGGCAACAAGAGTGAAACTCCATCTCAAAAACAAACAAACAAACAAACAAACAAAAACTGGCAAATAGAGCTGGGGAAGAAAGGGTTCTCAAGTTTGTATACCTGATAACAAAAAGTATCACCAAAGACTGCAAAAAAAAAAAATCCTGTTTGGGTGTGGTGGTGCACACCTGTAATCTCAACTACTTGGGAGGCTGAGGTGAGAGGATTGCTTGAGCCCAGGAGTTCAAGACCAGCCTGGGTAACATAGAGAGATCCCATCTCAAAAGAAAAAAAAGAAAAAAGGCCTGGTGCAGTGGCTCACGCCTGTAATCCCAGCACTCTGTGTGGCTGAAATGGGAGGATTGCTAAAGGCCAGAAGTTCAAGACATGCGTGGGCAACATAGCGAGACCCCATCTCTAAAACAATTTTTTAAAGAAAAAAAATTTTTTTGAGGCAGGGTATCACTATGTCACCCAGGCTAGAGTGCAGTGGCATGATCACAGCTCACTGCAGCCTTGGTTGAGGCTCAATTTATCCTTCCACCTCAGCCTCCTGAGTAGATGGGGCTACAGGAGTGCACCACCACTCCTGGCCAAAAAAATATATTTAAAAAAGAAAAAACCCCCACAATTTTGCACAAAGGCCATTACAACCTTAAGCAAAAAATACTTTGAGGACATCTGCCTAGCAACTGCCTATCCAACTCTGGATTGGTATCACCCTTGTTACTGATTTTGTGGCCAAGGACAATCATTTGAAAACAATTACATAACTCTCCTCATTTTTCCTTTAAAAACCTTTGCTTTCCTTTACCTCCCTGAGTATGTACATAGTTTACTATGGCACACATATTCCCATTGCAATGCCCCATCCCTGAATGAACGTATTTTTCTTTCTTTTTTTTTTTTTGAGACAGAGTCTCACTCTGTCACTCAGGCTGGAGTGCAATGGCACGATCTTGGTTCACTGCAACCTCTGCCTCCCGAGTTCAAGTGATTCTCCTGCCTCAGCCTCCTGAGTAGCTGGGACTACAGGCACCCGCCACCACGCCTGGCTAATTTTTGTATTTTTAGTAGAGACGGGGTTTCACCATATTGGCCAGGCTGGTCTCGAACTCCTGACCTTGTGATCCGCCTGCCTCGGCCTCCCAAAGTGCTGGGATTACAGGCGTAAGCCACCGCGGCCAGCCAAATATCTTTTTCTTTAGAGAGCCTCTCTGTTATTTAGGTTAACCCTGAGAAGCAGAACCTCAAATAGTTTGTAGATATCACACCCTAAGACACAGATCCCCAAAGAATTAAGAGATCTCGTACCTGAGACACAGTCCCTCAAATAAGCCTTACACTTTCCCCTGTAGATTAAGCCGTTTGTTCCGTAAGGGTAACAGGCTACGTGGTCTAGGAAGTGTGGTAACTGTTTCCCTCCTCCAGCCAGCACCACAGGGAGCAAGAAGGAATCTTTCTCCAGATTCTCTCTGTTCATCCAGTGAGAGTCTGGTGAGGTTTCTGGAGTAAAAACCTGCAAAAGTTAGCCAGGCATGGTGGCTCACACCTATAATTCCAGCACTTTGGGAGGCCGAGGCAGGTGGATTGCTTGAGCCCAGGAGTTCAAGACCAGCCAGAGCAACATAGTGAGACCTTGTCTCTATTATAAATAAATAAATAAATAAATAACAATTTTAGACCGGGCGCAGTGGCTCATGCCTGTAATCCTAGCACTTTGGGAGGCCAAGGCAAGCGGATCACCTGTCAAGACCAGCCTGGCCAATACAGTGAAACCCCGTCTCTCTAAAAATACAAAAATTAGCTGGGCGTGCTGGCAAGCGTCTATAATCCCAGCTACTCAGGAGGCTGAGGCAGGAGAATAGCTTGCACCCAGGAGGCAGAGGTTGCAGTGAGCCAAGATCGCGCCACTGCACTCCATCCTGGGCAACAGAGAGAGACTCCATCGCAAAAATAAATAAATAAAAATAATAATAATTTTAAAATAACCTGCAAAAGGGTGGGAACTCCCCTATGACAGCGGTGCCCAAAAGCTTCACACTCTTTCCGTAGCCTGCACTCGGCCTCCAGAAATCCATCAACATTTCAAGTTAAAACTTCCTATCAGCTCATATAGCATCTGGTGGCTTCAGCCTGGGGTAAGCAAATGCTCCAGTCCTGTGTCTCTCTGCAGGTACTGTGTCTCTCTCCAGATTTCAGGATGGTCACCTGTCCTGTGATCTCAGTTCTCTGATGAGTTCGTGCAGTTGTTCATTTGCTTTCTGCCCAGGTTTTTTCATGTGAGGTTAGGAGTTTCTTTTCAGTTCTTTTTACGTCCATGTTAAAACCGGAAGCCTTTTATTTCTTTTTGATCTTAAAATCTTTTCTCCTTTTCCTCTCAAGCCATTATCTGTTGTTTTTATTTGCTCTTATGTTACTTCTAGTTTGTTTGTTTTTAGAGAGAGAGTCTCAATCTGCTGCCGAGGCTGGAGTGCAGTGGCGCAATCATGGTTCACTGCAGCCTCAAACTCCTGGGCTCAAGTGATCCTTCCACCTCAGCCTCCCAAGTAGTTGGGACTACAGGCATGTGCCACCACACCCAGCTTCCTTCTAGTTTAGTCTGCATTTCTGAAATGACTTTTTGTTTTGTTTCTAATTCTTTCTCAAATTCTATTACCCCATTTCTGAATTTTTCTCTTTCTGATATATGCTGTTCTTTCTTATCTTTTATAATTTCTTAATCTCTGAGCTCATTTGGCAATATTAGGATAGAATTTTCATCTGTTTTGCAGGCACATCTTTCTGGCATTCTCCCATTGTCTGTAGTGAGGTCATTCTGCTCTGTATTTTCTATTTTCTTACAATAACTTTTTACGGGATTTGACTTCCATCTTTTTATACGACATTAATTTTCTGGCATGTTTAGAAGGAAAGCTCTTCTAAGTTCACGGTTATAGCTCCCTCTTCTGTTTCTGTGAAAAGCTCCAAATGATGGGAGCTCGCTTTCAGAGATAGTCAGGTTCTGTTGTCTCTCACTTTTATATGAACTTTGTTTTTCCTTGATTTATATGTTCCCCCTACTCACGTTGGATTCTATTTCCAGTTTTTCCAGTGTGCCTATTTTGACAGTTCATGGGACCCAGAATGTTCCAGCCCTTTCAGAAGTATTCTTTATTTTGGTTTATGTTTTAAAAGTTCTATTAATAAGTTATAAAAATCTATATCTGACACACACACATACACAGAAAGCGAAAGAATGAAAACACTAGAAGATTACATAATAAATGACTAATAACGATTAATGGTGGGATGGACACTGGGTAGATGGACTGTGATGGCAGGAAGCTTTCCACTGCCCTTTTTGTTTTTTTGGTTTTTTTTGAGATGGAGTCTTGCTTTGTCGCCCAGGCTGGAGTGCAGTGGCGCAATCTTGGCTCACTGCAACCTCCGCCTCCGTTCAAGTGATTCTCTCCTGCCTCAGCCTCTCAAGTAGCTGGGATTACCGGCACCCACCACCACCCCCGGCTAATTTTTGCATTTTTAGTAGAGACACGGTTTCACCAAGTTGGCCAGGCTGGTCTCAAACTCCTGACCTCAGGTGATCTGCCCACCTCGGCCTCCCAAAGTGCTGGGATTACAGGTGTGAGCTACCATGCCCAGCCCACTGCACTCCTTTTCACCTTTTCACCTTTGCTTCTGAAGCATATGCGTATCACATATTCAAAAATTAAGTAAGTCTTTAAAAATGTGCCCACACACTGGGTATATACCCAAAAGAAAAGAAATCGTTCTACCAAAAAGACACATTGCAGCACTAGTCACAATAACAAACACATGGAATTAGCCTAGATGCCCATCAACAGCAGATTGGATAAAGAAAATGTGTCAGATATACACCATGGAATACTACACAGTCATAAAAAAGAACGCAGTCATGTCCTTTGCAGCAACATGGATGCAGCTGGAGGCCATTATCCTAAGCAGATTAATACAGGAAAAGAAAAACAAATACCACATGTTCTCACTTATAAGTGGAAGTTAACACTGAATACACATGAATGTAAAGATGGGAAAAATAGAAGAAGCATGCTTAGTTTGCATGCTGAGCTCTGCACTGTGGCCCCTGCTGTCTGTGAGGTTAGATGAACCTGGAAAGAAAATCCAGGAGCGTCCAGAAAGGGAGGAAAGCCAGAGGAAAAGATGCTAGAATCACAGGAGAATGGCATGATTGACCTTCCAGATTATGAGCATGTAGAAGATGAAACTTTTCCTCCTTTCCCACCTCCAGCCTCTCCAGAGAGACAAGATGATGAAGGAGCTGAACCTGATAGTCAGGAAGTGGAGCACTTGTTCCTGTACCTCCAAAGAGAGCAGTTAAAAGAAATATATCCGAGCTGGATGCTCACAGATTAATTTCAGAGAGAGGGCTTCCAGCCTTAAGGCATGTATTTGATAAGGCAAAATTCAAAGGTAAAAGTCATGAGGCTGAAGACTTAAAGATGCTAATCAGACACATGGAACACTGGGCACGTAGGCGATTCCCTAAACTGCAGTTTGAGGATTTTATTGACAGAGTTGAATACCTGAGAAATAAAAAGGAAATTCAGACCTGTTTAAAATGAATTCGACTTGATCTCCCTATTTTACATGAATATGTTGTTAGCAATAATGAGGAAGTTGGGGAAAATAATGGACATTGTGTAACTGCTACTGAATTAGATCCCTTTCTGACAAACTCATCTGAAAGTGAGATGTTTGCTTCTGAGTCAAGTAGAAGCCTAACAGATGAGCAACAACAAAGGATTGAGAGAAATAAACAACCGGCTTTGGAAAGAAGGCAGGCAAAGCTGCTGAGTAATAGTCCCTAGGAAATGATAATGTTAATGAATACACCCAGGGTACAGACAATTGAAGAGGTTAATACTGATGAAGATCAAAAGGAGGAGTCAAATGGATTAAACAACGACATTCTAGACAATCTATGTAATGATGCTCCTGCCAATACTTTAAATGAAGAGAATGATTTAACATGAGAGGAAACACAGCTGGACCAGTCTTTTAAAAATGTGCAACAGTGGCCAGGCATGGTGGCTCATGCCTTTAATCCCAGCACTGTGGAAGGCCGAGGTGGGCAGATCACCTGAGGTCAGGAGTTCCAGACCAGCCTGACCAACATGGAGAAACCTTGTCTCTACTAAAAATACAAAATTAGCCGGGCATGGTGGCACATGCCTGTAATCCCAGCTACTTGGGAGGCTGAAGCAGGAGAATCGCTTGAACCCGGGAGGCAGAGGTTGCTGTGAGCCGAGATTGCACCATTGCACTCCAGCCTGGGCAACAAGAGTGAAACTCCATCTCAAAAAAAAAAAAAAAAAAAAAAAAAAAGGCTGGGCGCAGTGGCTCACGCCTGTAATCCCAGCCAAGGCAGGCGGACCACGAGGTCCAGAGATTGAGACCATCCTGGCCAACATGGTGAAACCCCGTTTCTACTAAAAATACAAAAAATAGCTGGGCGTGATGGCATGTGCCTGTAGTCCCAGCTACTCGGGAGGCTGAGGCAGGAGAATGGCTTGAACCCGGGAGGCGGAGGTTGCAGTGAGCTGAGATCGCACCACTGTACTCCAGCCTGGTGACAGAGAGAGACTCTGTCTCAATAAATATAAAAAAATTAAAAAAAAAAAGTGCAACAGTAACTTGATGCTTCATCCAGAAATGCTACTGAAGCTAGATAGGTTTCCATTAAGAGAAAATGTATCTGTTAACTCCCCATTCTGCAAGCTTGGCGTTACTATGTATTTTTTCTTCTTTGAGTGAAAATCCTTAGGTAGTAAAACTTTTATAGATTACTATTTAAAATCTGGTAATCTGGTATTTATTTATAAGTATGCCTGTCACTTTAGTTGTCTGTTCTCTTTAGTGTTTGTTTTTATACAGATATGACTTCATAAAATGATTATTAGGTAATAAGCAGTTTCTGCTGCTGGTCTGCCATTGAATGCCTTGTTTTCACTAAATTGGGAGATTTTGTTGTTGTTTTTTACTGCTCCTTACAGAGCAGGACTAACCCATGGACAGTGTGCCCAGAGTAGCCTGGGTGAAGTTTTTTTTGTTGTTTTTGTTTGTTTGTTTGTTTGTTTTTTGTTTTTTGTTTTTTTATGAGATGGAGTCTTGCTCTGTCACCCAGGCTGGAGTGCAGTGGCGCGATCTCAGCTCACTGCAACCTCTGCCTCCCAGGTTCAAGTGATTCTCGTGCCTCAGCCTCCTGAGTAGCTGGGATTACAGGCATGTGCCGCCACGCCCGACTAATTTTTGTAAACCTGGGTGAAGTTTTAAGGTATACATATATATTGAATATTAATGTCCATTTTTTAAAAGAAGTAAAAATAAAAATTATCTTGCAAACTAAAACAAAAAAAGATGGGAAAAATAGATACTGGGAACCATTAGATGGGAGAGGGAGAGAGAAGGGCGTGGACTGAAAAACCACCTGTTGGGTACTATGCTTACTGCCTGGGCAATATGATGATTGGGACCCCAAGCCTCAGTGTCATGCAATTTACCCATGTAACAAATCTGTGCATGTACCCTTTGATCTATAATAAAAGTTGAAAAAAAATCCACATTTAAATATCAGGATTTTTTTTTTTTTTTGAGACAGAGTCTCGCTATGTCACCTAGGCTGGAGTGCAGTGGTATGATCTCAGCTCACTGCAACCTCTGCCTCTTGGGCTCAAGCAATCCTCCCACCTCATCCTCCTGAGTAGCTGGGACTACAGGCGTATGCCACCACGCCTGGCTAATACTTTTTGTAGAATGCGGTTTTGACTTGTTGCCCAGGCTGGTCTCAAACTCCTGAGCTCAAGCAATCCACCCGCCTTGGTCTCCCAAAGTGCTGGGATTACAAGTATGAGCCACCACACCTGGCCCTAAAATATCAGGATCTAATTGGGAAAAAAGAAACAAACACCACATGTTCTCACTTATAAGTGGGAGCTAAACATTGGATACAAACAGACATAAAGATGGGAACAATGGACACTGGGGTCTCCAAAAGGAGAGAGTGAGGGAAGGGGGGCAAAGGTTGAAAAACAACCTATTGTGGCCAGATGCGGTGGCTCACACCTGTAATCCCAGAACCTTGGGATGCCGAGGCGGGTGGATCACCTGAGGTCAGGAGTTCGAGACCAGCCTGGGCAACATGCGAAACCCCGTCTCTACTAAAAATACAAAAATTAGCCAGTGTTGGTGGCACATGCCTGTAGTCCTAGCTACTTGGGAGGCTGAGGCAGGAGAATCGCTTGAACCCAGGAGGTGGAGGTAACAGTGAGCTGAGATGGCGCCACTGCACTCCAGCCTGGGCAACAGAGCAAGGCCTTGTCAAAAAAAAAAAAGAAAAAAGAAAAGAAAAAAAGAAAAAGAAAGAAAAGAAAAGAAAAAGAAAAAAGAAAAACTACCTATTGGGTGCTGTATTCATTATTCAGGTAACAGGTACAATAGAAGCCCAAACGTCAGCATCATGCAATATACCTATGTAACAAACCTGTACATGTACCCCTGAATCTAAAAAAATGTTTCTTTTTTTTCGAGACGGAGTCTCACTCCATAGCCCAGGCTGGAGTGCAGTGGCGTGATCTTGGCTCACTGCAAGCTCCGCCTCCCAGGTTCACGCCATTTTCCTGCCTCGGCCTCCTGAGTAGCTGGGACTACAGGCGCCCGCCACCACGCCCGGCTAATTTTTTGTATTTTTAGTAGAGACAGGGTTTCACCATGTTAGCCAGGATGGTCTCGATCTCCTGACCTCATGTTCCACCCGCCTCGGCCTCCCAAAGTGCTGGGATTACAGGCTTGAGCCACCGCGCCCAGCATTCTAAAAATTTTTTAAGTGCCAACATACTCTTATACACTGCAGGTAGGAATGCAAAACAGTACAACATCTACAGAGGACAATTTGGCAACACCTATTTAAATTACAAATGCACATCTACCTACCCCTTAACCCAGCAATTTCATTTCTGGGAATATGCAAAATGGCACATAAACAAGATAATTCATTACAGCATTTTGATAGACAGAAACTGAAACCAATCCAAGATGAAATCAAGTGGGGTACATGCACACAAAGAAATGCTAATGAGCTGTTAAAAAAAAAAAAAGAATGGGGAAGCTCTCTATGTACTGATGTGTAATGATTTCCAGGATATATTGTTCATAAAAGCAAGGCACAGAAGGTGTAAAGAGTATGCTACCTTTTTAGTGCATGCCTGTAATCTGAGGCAGGAGAATTGCTTGAACCCAGGGGCCAGAGGTTGCAGTGAGGCAAATCATGCCACTCCACTCCAGCCTGGGTGACAGAGTGAGACTCTATCTCAAAAAAAAAAAAAAGAAAGAAAGAAAGGGGGAAATGTGTATGGGTACTTGCTTGCAGATGCATAAAGAAAAATTCTGGATGAATACACATTGAACTAACAAAGGTGATTACAGAAGAAAAGCCAACCTCTTGGCCTGGAATACAAGCCCTTCTAGGATATGCCTTGAAAGCCACACTGCCACTTTGGCATATGACGTTGCACAAATTATGTTTCCACAGCTGCAACACAAGGATGATAATAGTACCCATCCTCATAGAGTTGTGAAGATTAAATGGATTAATATACACTAAGTGAATGGTACACAGTTAACATTCAATAGGCCAGACGAGGTGGCTCATGCCTATAATCCTAGCACTTTGGGAGGCTGAGGCAGGAGGATCACTTGAGCTCAGGAGTTCCAGACCAGCCTAGGCAACATAGCAGGACTCTGTCTCTACCAAAAAATTTTAAAAATTAGCTGGGCAAGGTGGCACATGCCTATGGTCCCAGCTACTCAGGAGGCTGAGGTGGGAGGCTCACTTAAGCACAGCAGGTCAAGGTTGCAGTGAGCCGTGATTGCACCAGTGCACTCCAGCCTGGGCAACAGAGACCACATCTGAAAAAAAAAAATCAATAAACATTAGCTAAGTTATAGTCACTGGTATCTGGCTCTAGCCGACCTTTCCGTCCATGTCCTCAACAGCTCCCCTACAGCTGTGGCTCTCAAGCCCAGCTGCAGATTATGATCACCTGGGGGACTTTTAAAATATACTGATGCCAGGACTGCGCTACCAGACCATATAAATTAGATTCATCTTGGAGGATGGGAGGGGAGTAGAGGCCAGGAATTGATATTTTATCCTTTTTTCTTTTTAAAATTTATTTATTTATTTATTGAGACAGGGTCTCACCGTGTTGCCCAGGCTGGTCTTGAATTCCTGAGCTCAGGCAATCCTCCCACCTCGGCCTCCACAAAGTGCTGAGATTACAGGCATAAGCCACTGCGCCAGGCTTTTTTTTTTTTCTTAATTTAAAGTAAGTGTATTCAGAAAGTAAAGAAATAAAAAAAGATATTTTGGCCAGGCACAGTGGCTCATGCTTGTAATCCCAGCACTTTGGGAGGCCAAGGCAGGTGGATCACTTGAGACCAGGAGTTCAAGACCAGCCTGGCCAACATGGCAAAATCTCATCTCTACTAAAAATACAAAAATTAGCCAGGTGTGGTGGCATGTGCCTGTAGTCCCAGTTACTTGGGAGGCTGAGGCAGGAGAATCAAATCAACCTGGGAGGTGGAGGTTGCAGTGAGCCAAGATCACACCACTGCACTCTAGCCTGGGCGACAGAGCCAGACTCTGTCTCAAAAAAAAAAAAAAAAAAAAGATTTTTTAAAAAAGTGCCCCAGATAGGCTGGGCGCGGTGGCTCACGCCTGTAATCCCAGCACTTTGGGAGGCCGAGGCGGGTGGATCACGAGGTCAGGAGATCGAGACCATCCTGGCTAACACGATGAAACCCTGTCTCCACAAAAAAATACAAAAAAATTAGCTGGGCGTGGTGGCAGGCGCCTGTAGTCCCAGCTACTGGGGAGGCTGAGGCAGAATGGCGTGAACCCAGGAGGCGGAGCTTGTAGTGAGCCGAGATCGCGCCACTGCACTCCAGCCTGGGCGACAGAGCAAGACTCCGTCTCAAAAAAAAAAAGTGCCCCAGATGACTGTGATCACTCCTACCAGAGGATCGGTTCCTTCACTGTGTCTGACACATGTCAAACTCATCCTGCCTCCACATCTTTGCTCACACTTTTCTCTGCTCCTGTCCCTTCTTGGGAAGCCTTCTTCTCCATCCCACATCCCTGCCTGTTGAAATTCTACTCATCCTCCAAGACCCAGCTTAGATGCCACCTCTCCATAAGGCCCTCCCTGCTCTCCCTATATTCCTCACTTCGATGATGCCTGGCTGCCTACAGAGTCAAGCCAGGACTTCTGGGTATGGCACACAAGGCCCCCATCTTTCCAGCCTCATCACCAGCTTCTCCCCTGCCACATTTGTGTTCCATGTGCTTCTACCACCCTAAGCCTTTGCACATGCTCTTCCTAACTCCCAGCCTCAACCATGCCCTTAACCAACTCCTACTCAACCTTCAAGACTTGGTTCACTCATGCAGCCCTCCTGTGAAGCCTACCCTTAGCCCCTCTGCCAGTCTTCCCAAGGTAGAGTTAGGTGTTCTCTGCTTTCTGTTCCTTGGACTTATCTCTAGCACTTAGCCCATTGAGTTAATTGTTTGTATATATGTCCAGGTTGCCTGTTTGTCTGAGCTTCTTGAGGGCAAGGATTATGATTTTCTCATCTCTGTCTTCCTTCCCTGTAGCACAGGCCCAGCATAAAGGAAGTACTTAGAGTGTTTGCTGAATTCTGTTACTCTGTAGAGGTTTACTGGTATTCATTGTGAAAATTGCTGGTCTCTCCTTCAAGTCAAAGCCCCAGTGACTGAACACAATAGTGTAAGACTAGTATGAACAACCCTAAGGAAAATGGATTATCACCTCCTTCATTTTAGCCCATTTCTGTTGATAGAATCTAGGCCTAAGATCTCAATACCTTATTTACATCGTATTATCAAGCCAGCCTTCAAGGTGTAAGATCTTATTAATGTTAACAAGCCAGCCTTTGAGTTTCGCCCCCTCAGCCAATTCACTGCCTGACAAATTGCTTTGCTTAGTCAATGACTTGCAACCCCAACTATACATTCAAACCAGCTGGGGAGCTTTTAAACATCCTCCTATTCAGTCCTCCCTCTAGGCCAATTATGTTAGAATTTCTAGGGGTGGATTCCAGGCATCACTAGTTGGCGAAGCTCCCCTGGTGATCCCAATGAGTGGCCAAGGTTGAGTATGAGAATCACTGATAGATTTAAAGCTATACAGCTCCCTCGGCTGGTTCTGCCCCCTTTTTTTCCTTCCCTTGTCTACCCTTCCTTTCTACCCTCTTCTCCATGCTCCTTTCCTCTCTCTCCCACTTGCCTGCCCTCTGGTTACTCACCCTTCTTGTCTTAATGATGCGACTCATGGTATTATTCAGATAGCACCCAAGCAGAGGAGCCACAGTGAGCGAGGAGTCAGAAACCTGGGGCTCTGCCCCTTTGTGGTCTTCACTTCACTCTCTGAGTCTCAGATTCTTCTTGAGTCCTGAGGGGGTCATGACATTTGTTGTGAGGATCATAGAAAATAATGGACCCTGAAGTCCTTGGATGCTGGAGAGCACCATGTCAATTAAGAGATATCTAGAGCTATGTGTACAAATATAGACAACGTTGAATGATAAAAAGCAACCTGCAGGAGGGGCCCCACAGTGTCAATACGGGTCTAAGGTTTCAAGACACACAAAACAAGACCATATCATGTTCTTTAAATTACTAGAAAATATTTATGAATACATTCATATAAAATTGAAGGACAAAACATGCATGGGAATGAAAAACTCCAAATTCAGGACAAGGGAAACTGAGGGCTTACAGGGGATGCATCTTGGGGACCTAGGGAAGGGAACCAAGGGAGAGTCAACTGGATCTTTCATGCTTTATTTTAAAAAAATTAAACCTAGGCCGGGCGTGGTGGCTCACACCTGTAAACCCAGCACTTTCGGAGGCCGAGGTGGGTACATCACCTGAGGTCAGGAGTTTGAGACTAACCTGGTCAACATGGTGAAACCCCATCTCTACTAAAATTACAAAAATTAGCCAGGCATGGTGGCAGGCACCTGTAATCCTAGCTACTTGGGTGGCTGAGGCAGGAGAATCGCTTGAACCTGGGAGGCGGAAGTTGCAGGGAGCCGAGATCATGCCATTGCACTCCCACCTGGGCGACAAGAGTGAAACTCCGTGTCAAAAACAAAAAAAAAATTAAATCCAAAGTAAACATGGCAAAATGTGAAGATCTGATATAACTGGGAGTGTTTTATTTTCTATCATTCCCTTCTGCACACTTGAAAAGAAGATAAAATATATACAACATAAATATAATAATATAAACTTTTTTTTTTGAGATGGGGTCTTGCTCTGTCACCCAGGCTGGAGTCCAGTTGCGCGATCTCGGCTCACTGCAACCTCCGCCTCCTGGGTTCAATTGATTCTCCTGCCTCAGTCTCCCAAGTAGGTGAGATTACAGGCACACACCATCATGCCCAGCTAATTTTTGTATTTTTCGTAGAGACGGTGTTTTGCCATGTTGTCCAGGCTGGTCTCAAACTCCTGAGCTCAAGCAATCTGCCCACCTCTGCCTCCTGGGTTCAAGCGATTCTCATGCCTCAAGCTCCCAAATAGCTGGGATTACAGCCTCCCAAAGTGCTGAGATTACAGGTGTGAGCCACCACGCCTGGCCTATAATATAAACATTTTTAAAGCAAAATAAATAAAAGGAATTCTTATCATCTTGCCCTAGCTTAGGTCTGCTGTCCATCCTGGTATAGTGGCAGGAGAAGATAAATCTTGGAATTGACAGCTGCTCCAAATCCTTTTTGTAAGATAGAGATGCATAAATTGATAACTCAATAAATTTTTTTTTAAACTTGTCTGTTTCCTCTACCTGATTTTGGAGACATCACTGAGGACATTTTTGCATGTGCTGTACATACTAGTGCTTAATAAATGCTCTGTTGAAGAAATAAAAGGAGGCCGGGCATGGTGGCTCATGCCTGTAATCCTAGCACTTTGGGAGCCTGAAGTGGATGGATCACTTGAGCTCAGGAGTTCGAGACCAGCCTGGCCAACATGGTGAAACCCCATCTCTACTAAAAATACAAAAACTAGCTGGGCGTGGTGTGCATGCCTGTAATCCCAGCTATTTGGGAGGCTGAGGCATGAGAATCGCTTGAACCCAGGAGGCAGAGGTTTGCAGTGAGCTGAGATCGCACAATTGCTCTCCAGCCTGGGTGACAGAGCAAGACTGTCTCAAAAAAATAAATAAATAAAGGAATGTGAGAGAGACTGAGGAAGGTCTTGAGTGGGGAGAGAGAAGGGAATGCAGGAGGAAGAGGGGAAAGAGGGGTTCATTCATCTGGATGAAGTCACTCTCAAATATCAATGAGTACCTGAACATATCATCCTTTCCCTTGTACAGCTGTCACAGCAGTTTCTCCATGGAGGTGCTGAACATGCCCATTGAACAGCCACTATGGGCCATTGTAATAATTAATGTAAAATAAACTCATTTTTCATGGCTATCTTTTCTTAAGACAGCTGCCTCAGCTTTTTCAATAACCTCATAACTGGTCTGCTACCCTGGCAACTGCTAGCTCAGCGCCTGGCCCACAAGCCACAGCTAACCCATAGAACACCTTCATACTATTTATTATTATTATTGGTTTTTTTTTTTTAGACAGAGTCTCACTCTGTCACCCAGGCTGAAGTGCAGTGGCAAGATCTTGGCTCACTGCAACTTCTGCCTCCCGAGTTCAAGCAATTCTCCTGCCTCAGCTCCCAGAGTAGCTGGGATTGTAGGCACACATACCACACCTGGCTAATTTTTGTATTTTTAGTAGAGACAGGGTTTCACCATGTTGGCCAGGCTGGTCTTGAACCCTTGACCTCAGGTGATCCACCCGCCTTGGTCTCCCAAAGTGCTGGGATTACAAGCGTGAGCCACCGTGTCCAGCCCCCTTCATGCTATTTAGACAAAAATGCCTGTCTTAGTCTATTTGGGCTGCTATAACAACAACAACAACAACAAAACCATAAACTGGGTAGTTTATAAACAACTGAAAATCATTTCTCACAGCTCTGGAGGCTGTAAAGTCCAAGATCAAGGCACTGGCAGATTCAGTGTCTGATGAGGACCCACTTCCTAGTTCATAGATGAGACCTTCTCACTGTGTCCTCACCTGGTGGAAGGGGCAATTGAGCTCCTTTGGGCCTGTTTTATAAGAGCACTAATCCCACTCATGAAGGTGGAGCCCAGCTCCCAAGGGGTCCCATCTCCCAATAACATCACCTTGGGGGTTAGGATTTCAACTTATGAATTTAGTGGTGAGGGGGCACAAACATTCAGACCACAGCAGTGCCCCTCTGGGCAGATGCAACCCCTCTGGCTCACAGTTTGCCTAACTTGTGGTTATTGGGAAAAGGCACCCTTTTCTTCTGGCTGACTTAGCCCTGTACCAGGATGTACTGTTCAACTTGGTGAACATAGTACAGGTGCAATTTTAGGTCCCTGTCCTCATCCCTTCAGCACAAGCTGCCCTTATACAGTGTAAATTTGCATGAGTTTATGGGGTGGGCCTGCTGGCACATAGTCCTTGTGATCTGGCCCCTGAGTATCTCCAAGATCTCAGACTTCAATTGTTCCACCATCCTCTGCCTTAGTCTCACCCTGTTCACTGCTTTCATTGAGTGCTACCCGTGCTCCAGGAAAACGGGACTTCCCTCCTGCCCTGGCAAAAGACAGGCCTGGTCCTGCCTCGGGGCTTTTCACTTGTTCTTCCCAGGCCTTTGTATTTCTGGATTCTCAGTTCACCAAAATAGTCAATTCCTTCTCCCAACCTCCCTTGTCTTCAAATATCACTACCTGAAAGTCATTTACATGTTTATTGTTGGTTCCACACTCCCCCTCAAGCTGCACAAACTCTATGCAGAAACACTGCATTCAAATCCCTGCACTAAGAGACTTGACCAAACTTTGTCATAGCTTCTAGTAGCCTAAGGCTACCGCTTGGGGGCAGCCCAGCTCCCTTTTGAGTTCCAGTCTGAAAAAGCTCAGGGCTGTCAAAAGAGTGTTATCATTCGTCCTAGCCAACACCTGACAAGGATGGGTCCTGACCACCTTCTTCCTTAGCTCTAAGAAAAGTTTACCATTATGAGGCCGCGGTGGCTCACGCCTGTAATCTGAGCACTTTGGGAGTCCGAGGGGGGTGGATCACAAGGTCAGGAGATCGAGACCGTCCTGGCTAAAACGGCGAAACCCTGTCTCTACTAAAAATACAAAAAAAATTAGCCAGGTGTGTGGTGGGCACCTGTAATCCCAGCTACTTGGGAGGCTGAGGCAGGAGAATGGCATGAACCCGGAGGCGGAGTTTGCAGTGCGCTGAGATCCCGCCACAGCAATCCAGCCTGGGCAACGGAGCAAGATCTCAAAAGATAAAAAATAAAAATAAAAATAAAAAATAAAACTCCTAGTCATGGACCGGGTGCAGTGGCTTACGCCTGTAATCTCAGCACTTTGGGAGGCCAAAGTGCGTGCCTGTAATCCCAGCTACCTGGGAGGCTGAGGCAGGAGAATCACTTGAACCTGGGAGGATGCAGTGAGCCGAGATCGTGCCACTGCACTGCAGCCTGGGCAACAGAGTGAGACTCCATCTCAAAAAAAAAACAAAACTCCTAGTCACCTCTGTGCAAATAAGAATGAAGCTCAGCTCTTTCCTCTACTGTCAGTAGTTACTGAATAAAATCGGTTTTTACCACTAACTAATGTTGGCTGTGTTTCTTTACCTTCACCCTCCTTCAGAGAGTTGCAGACAGGGACCACGTGTATTTTGTTCACTGCTGAGTCCTCAGTGCCTCCGAGAACACCCAGCATAATAAACATCTGCTGAATTAACAAATAAATGTTTGTTAAAATGCATGTAGTGGGCCGGGCGTGGTGGCTCACGCCTGTAACCCCGGCACTTTGGGAGGCCTAGGTGGGTGGATCACCTGAGGTCAGGAGTTCGAGACCAGCTTGGCCAACACGGTGAAACCTCGTCTGTACTAAAAATTAAAAAAAAAAAATTAGCTGGGCGTGGTGGCCCACACCTGTAATCCCAGCTACTCAGGAGGCTGAGGCAGTAGAATTGCTGGAACCCGGGAGACAGAGATTGCAGTGAGCTGAGATTACGCCACTGCACTCCAGCCTAGGCAGCAGAGCGAGACTCCGTCTCAAAACAAAACAAAACAAAAAAATGCATGTAGTGAAAGGCCCCAAGGCTGGAAGAGACCTTGGATCTTCATCTCATCTTTTGTCTTGGTTAACTAATGTGTTGCCTGAGTCAGGCTGCTTCATCAACTTGGTCCAACTACTACTTGTGTGACCTAGGGCAAGATTAAAAAAAAAAAATTTTGTAGCCGGATGCAGTGGCTCATTCCTGTAATTCCAGCACTTTGGGAGGCCTAGGTGGGAGGATTGCTTGAGCCTAGGAGTTCAAGACCAGCCTGGACAGCATGGTGAGACCCCTTCTTTACAAAAAAAAAAAAAACAAATTAGCGAGGCATGGTGGTGCACACCTGTGGTCCCAGCTCCTCTGGAGGCTGAGGCAGGAGGATCACTTGAACCTAGGAGGTCAAGGCTGCAAGTGAGGCAAAATTGCGCCACAGTACTCCAGCCTGGGTGACAGATCAAGACCCTGTCTCGAAAAATCCCAAAACATTTTTTGGGGTAGAGATGGGGTCTCGCTATGTCACCCAGGCTGGTCTTGAACTCCTGGCTTCAAGCGATCCTCCCACCTTGGCCTCCCTAAGTGTTGGGATTGCAGGTATGTGCCACCTTGCCCAGCTGGGCAAGATATTTGACAAAGACTGTCTCCTTTGACCAAAACCTTAGTCAGTCTCCTCCATGTACTCTGCTTGACTAGGCCTGACCTGTCCTTATAAAGGTCCTTATAAGGACTCTCTCTATCCTTATTGAATCTAGTTTGAGCAAGAATCCTGCTAAGTCAATTTAGGGGAAATTTCCCACCCTTGGTATCTGACTACCCTGGATTCTTATCATCCTGGCCTGCCTTCAGCAATAATCCTATCAAGTCAGTTTAGCCAGAAACCCCTTGTCCTAGATGTTTCCTCTTAGTAGTTTCTCATCCACTGACCCTACCCTGCTCCTTGGTTACAAATCTCCACTTGTCATTGTTGGACTTAGAGTTGAGTCCAATCTTTCTCCCACTGCAAGACCCCATTGCAGTGGTCTGCATACCTGTCGCCATGGCCTTGAATAAAGCCTGGCCCTACCATCTTTAATAAGTGTCATGAGTAATATATTTCTTTAAAAATATGTAACCTCTCTTTGCCTCAGATTCATCCCTCACAGGGTCATTTGGAAGATTGAAATAGTGTGAGAGAAGGTGCTTAGGAAATGAGTTCCAATCTTGACCTCTACTGGGTCTCTCTTATCTGTTCTCTTCCCCAGAGCAGTATCACTTGTGTTCAAAAGAGTGCAGACTCTGGAGCCAGACTGCCTGAGTTTGAAGTCCTGCTTTGCTTCTGACTAGTTGTGAGAACTTGGGAAGTGGCTTAACTTTTCAGTACTCACTTTCTTCATCTGTAAAACGAGGAGGATGGTAATGCCTACCTCATAGGGTTGTTGTGAGGACTAAGAGTAAATATGGCCGGGCGCGGTGGCTCAGGCCTGTAATCCCAGCATTTTGGGAGGCCGAGGTGGGCGGATCACAGGGTCAGGAGATCGAGACCATCCTGGCCAACATGGTGAAACCCCGTCTCTACTAAAAATACAAAAACTAGCCAGGCGTAGTGGCACATGCCTGTAATCTCAGCTACTCAGGAGGCTGAGGCAGGAGAATCGCTTGAACCCGGGAGGTGGAGGTTGCAGTGAGCTGAGATCGTGCCACTGCACTCCAGCCTGGCAACAGAGCGAGACTCTGTCTCAAAAAACAAAACAAAACAAAAAAGAGTTAATATGGGCCGGGTGCGGTTGCTCATGCCTGTAATCCCAGCACTTTGGGAGGCTGAGGCAGGTGGATCACCTGAGGTCAGGCGTTCGAGACCAGCCTGGCCAACATAGTGAAACCCTGTCTCTACTAAAAATACAAAAATTGACCAGAGTGGCTCATGCCTGCAATCCCAGCACTTTGGGAGGCCAAGAGGGGCAGATCACCTGAGGTCAGGAGTTCGAGACCAGCTTGGTCAACATGGCGAAACCCCATCTCTACTTAAAAAAATAGCAAAAAAAAAAAAAAAAAAATTAGCCAGGCTTGGTGGCACGCACCTGCAACTCCAGCTACTTGGGAGGCTGAGGCAGGAGAATTGCTTGAACCCGGGAAGCAGAGGTTGCAGTGAGCTGAGATCAAGCCACTGCACTCCAGCCTGGGTGACAGAGTGAGACTCTGTCTCAAAAAAATAAAATAAAATAATAAATAAATAAATAAATAAGTAAATAAGAGTTAATATGCTCACAACAGATCCTGAGACATGGTATGTGAGTTAAACAGTACTACTGGGTATGAATGTTTCTCATTCATAAGAACCATTAGGTTTTAAGGTCCCTGAAGCCTCAACCTACCATCTGCAGAAGGAGCAGCCAGAGGCTCCCTTTCCTTTGCTTACAGGGGTCTGGGGTCAAGGTCATTAACCCAATCTCCCACTGTCTTAACTTCCTGAATGGTGGTCTGGAGTTATTCTTCTGGGTGCTTGCCAAGGCCCATCTGCGGGTCTTCCTCAGTCTCAGTGGCAGATGAGGAAGCAGTGGTTTCCCCAGGCCAGAGACATCTCCACAGCAGGTTCCTCAACTCCACCCTGCCCAATGGACCCTCCTTTTTGACTCAGAGGCCCCCAGAATGTGGGGTGGGCCTTTGGAGCTGACTGAAGGACTCCAAGGGGATAGGGTAGGGCGTGGTTACCGCCCAAATTTAGCCTTTAGTCAGGGAAGGGGGTGGTGGGGGAGTAGATGGTTTGGGGACGACTGGACCTCAGACTGGGTCCCTTGTAAGGATGTGAGGGCAGGCTCAAGAGGGGTTTCCTCCGAGTCAAACACATTCACTCCCCTCCGTCTTCTGGTTTTTAGTCCCTGCCAGGGGACCACACAGGTGAGTCCAGGTGAAAGGAGCAACCACAACTGCCGGCCACCTCTACTCCGCGCCAGACGAAACCGCCCCAAGGGCGCCGCACTTTACCGCCCTCTGTGACCTGTCGCTGTCACACACCGAGTGAGTGTGAGAAGACGAGACCTCGGGAGAAGGAGGGCGACAGCGGGCACCAAGATACACAGGTCCTTTATCCATACCTCCTAACAGCCACCCGCTATGGGCCGGGCCTCCGTCCTCCCAACTGCCAGCTCCACTGGAGACACTCCAACCGCACTGGGAGCGCCTTGTGAGCAGGACACGCATGCGCGGGTAGCACCTCCACCAGCCAGCCGGCTGACCCCGCCGGGGACCTGGCAGGGATGGGGAGCGCATGCGCAGATGGCGCGCACCGCTCCCAAAAGACAGGGTGTGGGTGGCGACTAGACTCTGGACCTGTGGATCTCGGTGCCCGCTGTCGCCCTCCTTCTGCCGGGTCTCGTCTTCTCATGCTCACTCGGTCAGGTCTATAGTACAGCCTCGTACTGGAGTCTTAGTGTAAGTCCTTCCGTTTAATCAGCAGTCCCTCTAATAAAGAAAATGAATGAGTGAATAGCAAACATGGTAAATCTAAGGTGACTTTGCTTAAAGCGGGTGAGGCCAGTACATCGCCACCCAACCCTTGGTTCCGGAGCAGGCGTCTTTTCTTCCTCACCTGGAAGTGGCAGAAAAAAAAGAACTTGTCTTCTGCCCGTGCCCGATCAGGGGCTCCCCACTGCACCCCACATCCCCGCCTTTGGGACAGTCTCACATGGCGAAAGTGGCCTAGGGTGGAGGGCACTGCACTAAGCACGACCCTGACTACTGACTGACCGCTTTTTATAGCCCAGGCACCTTGCAGACATGATTCGTTTCGGATAAGTCAAGTATTCATATTCCCACTTCACAGTGGAGGAAATTGAGGCTGACCCCAAAGCCGCCCCTTTAGTGGGTGCGCGATCAAGACTTATTACATAAACTGCCTTTAAGAGATGGCACCACCACCCCGCGGGCCCCCTACTTCTGGTTGTTGCCCAATCACACTGGCAGGGGTTTCACTGGCAGCTGCAGCCCCGCCCGGCTGACTCATCTTCCCCAAAGCCGTTTAATTCTGTTCCAAGTCTTTCCTAACTCGACCTTGGCGGGCGCGGAGCGGAAGGCATTATTGTCCTCCCGATTTGGGGCCGGGGGAGTTGGAAAACTAGTCTAACTCCCGGGCTGGAGAGCTAGGAAGCCCAAGAGGGCCAAGTCCTGGCTGTCTGCCTCTGACGACGAGCAAGGTGGAGGCCCTTGGTTAGCAGGATGGGTGGTGAGGAGTCCGGGAAGGAGAAGAAAGGCTCAGCGCGGCTTGCCTGAGCCTCCCTCCTCCCAGCTCCCGGCCCCTGCTGCCGGCGGCTGTCACTCCTCGCTGTGGTGCCAGCTGGCTCCCGCTTCCTCGCCTTTATTCCTACCTGCTTGCTCTCCTGCCTTCCTTCGGGCTTTTCACATCCTCTTCTTTTCCTCTCTTGCTCCCCTCCTGTTTGCCTTTCTCGACTTTCATATCGCCAGAAGATGGTCGTCTCCCTCCCGTTCCTCCCAACTCTGAATAAAAAACAGAAAACCCAACTGGTCCTATAATGGCTTCCCTAAGTCTACAGATGACTCCTGGCTTTCTAGCTCACCTGCTGGGGGGGATGTGTAAACCATGAGGTGATTTTTCCAAGACTGTGAAAGGAAGGTGGATATAAGCGGAACTGACACCGTATACTGATCACAACACTTACTGATTCCACCGGAAGATACAGGTTTATTGCTATGTCACACATATGCATTCATTCACTTAGCAAACACTGCCATCTGTTCTATGCCAGGCTCTCTGTGTTGCGTAGCAAGAATACAGAGATCAGAATAGATCCTCAGTCTCTCAGGTGGGTAAGTGTTGGTTCAGAGCTGTGGGACCCTCAGAAAGGGCATCGCACCATCCTGGGGGTTATCTGTGGGGTAGGGTTGCCACATTTAGCAAATAAAAATACAGGGTGCCCACAAGTCTGAATTTCAGATAAATAACAAATAGTTTTACAATATAAGCATGTCCCAAAGATTGCATGGGGTTACTTATATGAAAAAATTATTCGGCCGGGCACAGTGACTCACACCTAGTACTTTGGGAGGTCGAGGTGGGTGGATCATCTGAGGTCAGGAGTTCGAGACCAGCCTGACCAACATGATGAAACCTCGTCTCTACTAAAAATACAAAAATTAGCCGAGGGTGGTGGTGGGCGCCTGTAGTCCCAGCTACTAGGGAGGCTGAGGCAGGAGAATTGCTTGAATCCAGGAGGCAGAGGTTGCAGTGAGCTGAGATCGTGCCACTGCACTCCAGCCTGAGTGACGGAGCAAGATTCTGTCTCAAAAAAAAAAAATTCATCTTTATCTGAAATTCAAATTGAATTACTGAGCATCCTATACCTCATCTGGCAACACTACTGTGGGGGTATCAAGTAGTGTGTTGTTACTGGAAAGTGTCGTGTTATAGAGGCCGAAGTTAGCCAGCAGCCATCGGATTATGGAAAGCCTTAAAAGTGAGGAGGTGGGGGCCGGGCGCGGTGGCTCACGCCTGTAATCTCAGCACTTTGGGAGGCCGAGGTGGGCAGATCACCTGAGGTCATGAGTTCGAAACCAGCCTGGCCAACATGGTGAAACCCTGTCTCTACTAAAAATACAAAAATTAGCCGGGTGTGGTGGTGGGCGCCTGTAGTCCCAGCTACTCGGGAGGCTGAGGCATGAGAATGGCTTGAACCTGGGAGGTGGAGGCTGCAGTAAGCCGAGATTGTGCCACTGCACTCCAGCCTGGGCGACAGAGCAAGATTCCCTCCAAAAAAAAAAAAAAGTGAAGAGGGGGCACTGAAGGGGTTTGAAAGCAAGTGGGTAACAATAAAAATTGGGTTTTAGGAAGAGGCTTCTGCTGGTTTCTTGGATGATCCTTTTAAGAGCAACAATAGTGGAGTCTGACCAGTTGCAATTGTACAGGCAAGAGATTTTGGATGGTGATAATAGGAAAGTAGGTGGGAGGAGGTGCCAGATCCAAAAAGTATGTAGGAGTTAAATCAGCAGGACTTGGCAGTTGCTTAGATGGGGTGAAGAGGGCGTGAGTCCCAGGATCTGGCTTGGGTGTCTGGGAAGTTAGTACTGCAACCAATTGAGATACAGCAGTTTTAGGGGGCAATGATTGAGTTTAATTTAGGGCATCTGGTGTAGAGGGCCAGCAAATTATTTGCTATATGATTCTGAAGTTCAGTGGAGAAGATGAGCTCAAAGTAGAGACTGGGAAGTCCTCAGCAGAGAGGGAGTATTGAAACCAGGAGATGGATAAGCTCCCCAGAGAGGGGGCAGAAGAAAAAGAACCCAGGGAAGAGACAAAAGAACAATCAGGGGAGTACAAGAAACCAGGAGAGTCAGGCTTCCTGGAAGCCAAGTGGGAGTTTCTAGGAAGAGCAAGTGATGAATATGTCAAATGCAGCCAGAAAGGTCTGATTACACAAAGCCTGAAAAATTACAGTTGATTTAGGCAACGGTAAAGTCACCATAACCTGAGGCTGTCATCCTTCAGGTTCATTCAGACATCAGCCCCATTTATTCAAGTGGCAAACACTCAGCCAACATGCGTCCTCAGCATCCTCTCAAACGCTCGCCACAGTAATTTTCATGTCCCCTGCAGTCCTTCAGCGTTTAAACCAATCATTCAGATTGTGCCCCAGCTCACTCAGAAATGACAGGCTCTGTATAATCATCACTTGGGGTTCTTCTTTTCCCCTCACATAGATGATGATATAATTGGGATTCTTTATATTTGTCAATGTCACCTCAGAGCCAGCTGGAACCAGTGCAGCTCTGTCTTTGCAGAGGTAACTGCAGGTGCCCACAAGAGTTAAATGGGTTATCTTGTGGTTTTTATCTCCCAGGAGTGAAGACCACCCAGGAGTAAAGACCACCTTTATTCTTCTCTGTTTCCTGGCAGGGCTAATTTGACACAATGCTGCGTGTTGCTTGTTTTGGTGTCCTTGCTGGGCCCCTTTGCGCACCTCTGGCCCTCAGGTTCCCATGAGACATGCATCCAAACTGTTGAGTATGTGCGTGTAAAGGTTGACATCACTTTATTCCCTATTTTTTTGTGTGTGTGGAGACAGGGTCTTGCTATGTTGCCCAGGCTGGTCTCAAACTCCTGGGCTCAAGACATCCTGCTGCTTCAGCCTCCCAAAATGTTAGGATTACAGGCGTGAACCACTGCACTCAGCCCCTATTCCCTATTTTCTAATGGTTTTGAGACAGAGGTGCGTGCAATCAAGAGAGAGGATGCTCAGTAGCAGAAATCCCCAAGAAAGTGGGAGGGGCTGGGACACAAAACCCAGTGGAAGGGTGAGCCCTAAACAGGACATCTCTGAGACCCAAGGAAAGGATGGTGTGGGTGGGTAGAGACAATTTTGGAGGTGGCAAGAGAGAAGTATTCACTAATGGCTTCCGTTTGCTCTAAAAACAGTTCTTTTAATTGTGCAGCCCTCAGAACCAGAAGAAGTTCAGAGAGCTCCCTCTAAACACAGTTCTTAACCCACAATCCAAAAGACCCCTGAGGAGTCAGTGAATAGAATTCAAAGAGCCCATGGACTTGGATAGAGGGGAAATTGCATCATTATTTTCACTATTACTAACAGAAATATAGCATATCCTTCCAGGGGATGTGGGTAACAAACTGCAGTAATATTAGCACCTGTGACTTTGACACTAAGAGAGATCAGATTTTCATTATTACGGTTGTTGCATATCTCTCAAAATAACATCACTATTTCAAAAATCATGGTTGTCACTAGACCTGTTGATAGAGCTTGCTATTTAATGTGTTAATAAAGAAGCACATATATTACTACATTACAGGTGCGTTTCCTTTTATTTTGAAAATTGTACCCCAATATAATTGGTTTCTTTTGTAATCCTACTTATAGGACGCATGCATTATTCTGGGAAGGGGTTCCTAAGACTTCACCAGACTCCCATAGGTGTCCGTAGCATAGAAAAGGATGAGAAACACTGCTCTGAAGAGTAACCATAGCTAACACTTATATAGCTCTTGCTAAAGGCCAAGCACTGTTCCAAGTCCTTTTTAAATACATAGTTGTTAACTCATTTATTCCTAACAACCCTACGAATAGTCATTTGTTTATACTCATTTTACAGAAGAGGAAACTGAGGCACATCAGTTAAGTAACTTGTCCAGGGTCATTCGGCTAGTAAATAATAGAGCTGAGGCTGGGCGCGATGGCTCATGCCTGTAATCCCAACACTTTGGGAGGCTGAGGCAGGGCGGATCACCTGAGGTCAGGAGTTCAACACCAGACTGGCCAACATGGTAAAATCCCATCTCTACTAAAAATACAAAAATTAGCCAGGCGTGGTGGCCCATGCCTGTAATTTCAGCTACTCTGGAAGCTGAGGCAGGAGAATTGCTTGCACCCAGGAAGCGGAGGTTGCAGTGAGCCAAGATGCGCCACTGCACTCCAGCCTGGGCAGCGGGAGACTCCATCTCAAAAAAAAAAAAAAAAGCGGTAGAGGGGAAGAGATCCAAGACAACTCGAGAACATGGTCAGAGAGAGAAAAGATGGTGTGTAGATGCTGGGGAGGGCAGGAGGTTATTCCAGGGAATGACAAGTGCAATAAGGTGGCCTGGACAGGTGGTTAAAGTAGAGAGGAGGTGAAGGTTCCCGGAGTTGGGCAGGTGAAAGAATCATGAAACTGTGCCTGGAAATTCTTCCAAGATTAATTCATTAATTCATTTATTTCACACATTTGTTTTAAGTGTCTTGTACACGCCAAGCAGTGTTCTCGGCATTAGGTGAACCAGCTGGACAAGCCCCTGGTGCCATGGGGCTTACCTTCCAGCAGGGGGAGAACTACACAAACAAGGCCAGGTTAGCGGAGCATGCAGGCTCACAAGCCTGTAGGCACAATCCTGCAATGCCAAAACTTCTGAAAAGCATAAGGTTGTTTTTTCATACTTTGGAGCCCAAACTCAATAGATGACAAAACCTGACCTGAAGTAGTGTGAGGCTATTTATAGTCTTTATTCACACTTGGTGTGAATTTTCATACCTTTCACTTCAGAAATATTAATATTTCATTACGATGCTCCAGGCTTTTCTCAATAGTTATATAATATAGACTATACAAAAAGTTATGTTTGACTAGTTTTTTTAAAGAGTTATGTAATATAAATTACATGTCTTCCTTTCTCAAATTGAAAAAAACTCTGAATTCCACAGCACATCTGGCCCTAAGGTTGGAAAATGGATTACGGACATGCAAGTGCTATGAAGATAATTCAAATATGCAATGGGATAGTGTCTAGGTGGCTACAGTTTGAATATTTAGGGAGGACCCCTCTGGGAAGGTGATATTTAAGCTTAGTTCTGAATGAAAAAAAATAAAAGCAGTCATGCAAAGATCAGGGGAGAGCATTCCAAGCAGAGGGAGCAGCTAATGCAAAGATGAACACAAAGGAGGCCACTGTGGCTACAGCATATTGGGCCGGATGAAGAGTGCTATAAATTGATGGAAGCACTTCATGTAGATAGGAAAATTGTGAGACCGGTGTGCTAAATCCTTTGGTAAATACGGTGTAGTGATTATGAGTGTGGTGGCTGTCAACAACTAGAAGGCCTGGAGGGGAATCTTCCTGGGTGAGAAAGCAAGTGGGGGGAGATATTTCAGATAGAGAAAACATAAAGCAGTTCTGAGGCTGAAATGGTGGGCTAAGATTTATGGCCTGAAGACCTTGGTTTGAGGAAAAGTATAGAAGGAAGACAGATTAGATATCTGGGCTCAAGACTCTAATGACATAGCTTCTGGAAGCTGCCTGAAAGATGTTCTAGGATGACAAAGACCTGGGTCTTAAATAATAGTCTCTGGTTGAAGTCCAATCTGCAGTGTGTGATCTGGGCTTTTGGACTTAAATTAGACAAAGATAGAGGAGAGTAGCAAAGCCTGAACTGATGAAAGATGTTTTTGCCTCTTTAGGTTTGTGCTTCTCAGCAGCTGTCCTAGAATGTCTGTCTCCAAGCATCTCTCTTAGCGGCTTTCCACATTCATCTCTCTGTGATCCTACCTGGCATCTCTCTTCCTATCTCGGCCTCAACATATTTCTCTTTACATGGCTCTCTCTCTCTCTAACTCAGACTCCTCATCTTTGGATCTCCTTGTCTGAGTGTCCCAGAATCTGGTTCCGTCCATTCGTCTGTGTCTGTACTGTAATTCTCTTTCTCCACCTGGACTGTGCCCTCCTGGAAGGCATGAATCTTTTATTATTCCGCTGGGTATCCCAGGTGCCCCGCACACCGTCTAGCATATAGGAGTCTCAAATACATTCATACTTGAATTAAGACTTTTTCAGAGGAGAAAGGCATCCGTTCTCAATATCCACCCCTCTTCCCCCACGCGGAGCAGGCCACTTGCCAAAAGGCCAGCTAGAGAGTAGGGCGAGGGGTGTTGTGGTATTGTACTTCTGCTATTGGTCTCTTTCCCCAGTTGAAATAACTCTGGGGATACCTTAGCAGGCGGAATCCGCCCTCTGGCCAAAGGACTAGCGTACCAGGCCACGCCCCCACGTCTCATGCGGCAGCGGCAGACGCCCCGGCCCGTCGCATCCGCCCCTTCCGCCGCTTCGCCTCGGCCAATCAACGAGCGCCCGCGCCCCCATCCCCATCCCGTGGAGTGGCCGGCGACAAGATGGCAGCAGCGTGTCGGAGCGTGAAGGTAGAAGGTTCTTTGCCTCTGTTGCTTGCCTTCCTTTACGGGCCGGGACAGCGCGGCCGTGGAACTAGGAGAAAGAGATCGGTTTCGAGGGAAAGGGTCATGCTTATGTAGGCCTGGTATTGTGGCCGTTGGGCTCAAGAGGTGAAAGTCAGCACTCCGCGGCGCATCTGTCTGTCTGTCTGTCTGTCTATCTATCTATCTATCAATCATCTATCTATCTATCGTCACGGGACGGGCTGTCTGGGGATGAGATCCCTTCTGCCCCCGAGGTCCCAACGCTGAGGAGAAGCAGCACACCTAGTTTACCCGCAGGGGTGACCACGACCTCTCCCCTCCCCCCTTCTCCTCAGAAGCCTGGAGAACAGGCAGGCGACAGCGTGGGGATGGTCTGGGCAATGTAACAGCTGACCCTGACCATGTCCCTTTTGACAGGGCCTGGTGGCGGTAATAACCGGAGGAGCCTCGGGCCTGGGCCTGGCCACGGCGGAGCGACTTGTGGGGCAGGGAGCCTCTGCTGTGCTTCTGGACCTGCCCAACTCGGGTGGGGAGGCCCAAGCCAAGAAGTTAGGAAACAACTGCGTTTTCGCCCCAGCCGACGTAAGTGGGGTCACCTCTCCTCTCCCAGGGTGTGCATGAGGTCACCAACACCGGCCTGGGAACCTGTGGGGGTCCCTCCCATAAGGGTCTCCTCTATGGGGGCGGTAGACCCATCTCCTTGTCTCTTTTGGCCTGAGCCTTCAAGCACTGTGGGACCACCTGTGATAAGGATTCTCTAAAGCTGGGATTCACAACAATGAGGATGGGGATTGGACGTAACAATCTCCTGGAGGAGTTATGTATGGTTTGAAAATGCATTTTGTGCCTTGTAATTTTATATTTACAAAGTCAAAAAACTTGTTTTCATGAAACAAACTACAGAAAGTGAAACTTGATGAAATCATCTTAGCAGGTAAGGATACAAAAAAGCTAGTTTATCTTCCTATCAATAATTCTCACAAGAGGGTTATTTTTTATTTTTATTTTTGAGATGGAGTCTCGCTCTGTTGCCCAGGCTGGAGTGCAGTGGCACAATCTCAGCTCCTTGCAACCTCCATCTTCTGGGTTCAAGCGATTTTCCTGCCTCAACCTCCCAAGTAGCTGGGATTACAGGCACCTGCCACCACGCCCAGCTAATTTTTTTTTTTGTATTTTTAGAAGAGATGGGGTTTCACCATGTTGGCCGGGCTGGTCTTGAACTCCTGATCTCACGTGATCCGCCCGCCTCGGCCTCCCAAAGTGCTGGGATTACAGGTGTGAGCCACTGCACCCAGCCTCACAACAGGGTTGCATTAGTGCTCTGATCCACAGCAATTAAGAATCTTCAGGAGCATGTGAATTTATCAAGAAGGTATTGATTTGAAAAATGTTTTTGCAACACTGCTCTATATTACCTAATATTTTCACCTTTGACCTACTCTCTCAATTTTTTTTTTTGGGACAGAGTCTCACTGTTGCCCAGGCTGCAGTGCAATGGCACGATCTCAGCTCACTGCAACCTCTGCCTCCCGGGTTCAAGCGATTCTTCTGCCTCAGCCTTCCAAGTAGCTGGGATTACAGGCATGTGTCACTATGCCGGCTAATTTTGTATTTTTAGTAGAGACGGGTTTTCACCACGTTGGCCAGGCTGGTCTCAAACTCCTGATCTTAAGTGATCCACCAGCCTCGGCCTCCCAAAGTGCTGAGATTACAGGCATGAGCCACCGCACCCAGCCTATCTCTCAAGTTTTACAACCTTTCTCTTGGCCTCTCCCTTCTCACAAATCTCTTCTCACCCAAGGACTGGGCATGCCCTGCCCTGCCCTCCCTCAGGTTTAGTGGGAAGAGTGGGTGCTGGGAGATGAATACCTTCTCCACTTCTCTCTTTGAAGGTGACCTCTGAGAAGGATGTGCAAACAGCTCTGGCTCTAGCAAAAGGAAAGTTTGGCCGTGTGGATGTAGCTGTCAACTGTGCAGGCATCGCGGTGGCTAGCAAGACGTACAACTTAAAGAAGGGCCAGACCCATACCTTGGAAGACTTCCAGCGAGTTCTTGATGTAAGGCCTTGGAAGTTCTCCAGGGATAGTGGTAGTAAGAAGTATCTGGCTGTGGAGGACCCCAAAGTTTTTAGGGGACAAAGGCTTCTTCTGCCTCAGGTCCTATAGCATGTCTCCATCTGTCCTACAGGTGAATCTCATGGGCACCTTCAATGTGATCCGCCTGGTGGCTGGTGAGATGGGCCAGAATGAACCAGACCAGGGAGGCCAACGTGGGGTCATCATCAACACTGCCAGTGTGGCTGCCTTCGAGGGTCAGGTGTGTGGGCAGGGGTAAGACTTATGCCTCCTAAGTGACTTGTTGGGGCCCTCCCACCTATGACTTCTACTCTTTCTCCAGGTTGGACAAGCTGCATACTCTGCTTCCAAGGGGGGAATAGTGGGCATGACACTGCCCATTGCTCGGGATCTGGCTCCCATAGGTATCCGGGTGATGACCATTGCCCCAGGTAGACATATCCCCTCTCTCCATCATACCTGGGATTGGGTGGGATCCATGGACAGTTGAGAGGGGAAGGTATCCACCACCTAAGCAGCAGCAGCCTTTTATCTTTGGGCCCCAGAGAAGCACCAAGAAGTAGGGCTAAAGTAAGGAAGAACCAGGTAATCATGAAAGCAAGGGTGAGTCTCTGAATTTGGCTATATTGTTTAGGTCTGTTTGGCACCCCACTGCTGACCAGCCTCCCAGAGAAAGTGTGCAACTTCTTGGCCAGCCAAGTGCCCTTCCCTAGCCGACTGGGTGACCCTGCTGAGTATGCTCACCTCGTACAGGCCATCATCGAGAACCCATTCCTCAATGGAGAGGTCATCCGGCTGGATGGGGCCATTCGTATGCAGCCTTGAAGGGAGAAGGCAGAGAAAACACACGCTCCTCTGCCCTTCCTTTCCCTGGGGTACTACTCTCCAGCTTGGGAGGAAGCCCAGTAGCCATTTTGTAACTGCCTACCAGTCGCCCTCTGTGCCTAATAAAGTCTCTTTTTCTCACAGAGTGTAGGCAGTGTTGTGTGCTAGGGGGCCTGGCATGGGGAAGAAATGTGAAGGCTGTGACAGGGTTGGATGCTCAGAGCTCCAGGGTGGGGTGGGAAAGGCAGTACCTTCATAATACTTTGTGTCCTGTTACAACATGTGGACTTGATTTTGAGTGCAGAACTTTATTACCTAGGTTAGAAGGTGGGAGTATGCAGCATTTTTCTCTTTGACTCCTAACCACCTGTGAGCTTGATGGAGGAGAAGGGAGAGAGAGATAGACATCCTGAACTTAGCGGCTGCTGGTGTTAAACTGCTGGTGATACTGGGCTGTAGGTTGATTGGTGTAGATTACTGAATTCAGGTAATCCTGCCTGTGAAAGAAGTCCAGAGGTCTCAGCTGACATGCTTTCCCTCTCTCCATGGTTCCTCACCATCCCTCCTCTCCCTCCCTTGGCATTTATCTCCACCACTACCACCTAGAACTCACTGGGCTTTTTGCTCATTAGCCAGCTGCTGGTTGAAGGATCCTAGACCCCTTTGAAATACAGCACACAATTCCCTCTCCTGCTCTTCTAGCTCCAGCACTGCCTGGGCTGAGCTCATGGTCTGGCTTTTCCATTCAGTATCCAGTGTTTTCTCAGCCTGACGGTGTGCTTGCTTCTTAGAGCGTTGTACTTCCTGCTCTTTCCTGATGGCAGCTTGCTGCTCTGGAGTCATGCCCTTCCAGCAATAGGGCAGGACCCGGTAGGGAGCCATAGGGTGTTGGGCGACCTGGGGGTTTTCAGTCAGTAGGTCACTCGTGCTCTGGTGCTGGATCTCCGCAAGGTTGGCCTTCTGTTCACGCTGACGCTCACAGCGCTGACGCCCAGCCTGCACAGCTGCCTGGTGGAGCCCCCAAATGCAAACATTTGGGTGCCCAACCTCAGGGAACTCTGTCACAGGGGAGGGGGGAACATGGCCCTACTCTTCCATCTCAAGGAGAAAGAACAGATACTGCATGGCCTTTCAATGCCCCTAATATGTGTTGGGGAGAATGGGCAGGGAACTTCTCTGCCTTCAGGAAGCCTTTAGACTGGGAAGCGGAGGATGAGAGGGCAATGTTCTATTCTCAAGTCATCCTGCTTCTGGAGGTGGGGAGAAGTGACTTGTACCCTAAGAGGGGCCTTCAGTGAAGGGGGAGTACTCAGATGAGAGGGCTGATGCTGATTTAAGAGGGGATGTAAGAGGAAGAATATGGCTAAGGTTCTCCAGGATTTTGTTCAGGAGTTGGGGAGAGCCCAAGGTACTGCATGGCTCAGGCCATACCTGCGCTTTGTTGGCGTTGGCCATGGCACACATCATGGCCGCACGACAGGACTCCTCCAGCCTGGCCAGATGGGTGGCCTGTGCATCCATGGCGAGGCGCAGCTGGTTACTGAGCGCATCTACACAGAGAAATATGGCCGGGGTACTGTACTGGCTTGCTCCATTCCTGTTTCACTCATCCAGCCATTTGTTCAGCAAGTTTTGTGTTTGTGTGTGTACGAATGTTTAGGAGGGGGTTAGTGTCCGAGTTGTAGGGATGTGGAAGGAACTAGGTGCAGCAACAACGATTTCTCAAGCGCATAACTAAAAGATGCCTCCAATGGACCTGGGTCCCAATGTCAGTTCTGCTGCTTCTGAGCTGTGTGATTTTGGGTAAATCATTTCATATCTCTGAATCTCAGTCTAAGGGCCATGTGCTGGGTTCTAATGATACCATCGAATTAAATCCTGTCCTCAGAGAACTCCCTGTCTAGTTGGGGACACAGATCAAACATAGACCACAATCTGGCAAGAGCAATGGCAGGGATGTACACAGGGTATTAAGAGGGTTTTGGATGGTGGAAAAGAGGAAGGCTTCCAGGAAGAGGTGATCCTTGAAATACATTTTGTATACAGGCTAAAAGAGCAAAGGGCATTCCAGGCTGAGGGCATGGCATGAGCAAAGGTACTGACAATTTTTTTCTGCTCCAGCCACACTGAGCTCCTTGCTGTTCCTAAGACCTGTCAGACACTGTACTATGCAACTGGGAGATGGGTAGACATGAAAGAGATGGTTCATCTTCAGTAGGCTGACATTTTAGGGAGAAGACAGATATTAAACAAATACTTTCACAATTAGCTACAACTACAATAAGTGGTCCAGCAGAACAGAGTGCTGTAACAGGGTTGATGTGAAGGGTGAACAGTGCAAGTAGATAAGACATGGTCCTTGCCCTTGAAGGGCTTCTTCTAATGGAAGAGAAGGATGTGGCCACAGACAATATCATAATAGTAGCTACTCTATGTGGTATAAATTATTATTCTCATTTTAAAGATGAAGAAACTGAAGCACAGAAGGGAAAATTCATTTGCCCAAACCAGCTAGTAAGTGGCAGAGCCATTAGGTCTGTCTGCACTGTGCTGCCTCCACGTAATGGAGTGCCAAACTAATCAAGAACAATGCTACACTGTCAGTTACTGAAGGAAGTCAGGGAGGTTGGGGTCTGCACAACCTAACATTTCAGCACCAACCCTATGGATAAGTGGACCTCCCCACACAGTTCTGGTCCCCTGGCTGCTGTACTCAGCTTAGGACAGATCCCCACTAGGCCTCAGGTCTCTGAGTCTGGAGGGCCGGGCTGCTTACCTGTATAATTCTCATCAACCTTGGCTTGCTGTTGCTCCTGCTGTTGCCTTTCCAAGTTGTACCTGAACTGCCCCTGCTGCATTCTCAGCCGTGTGTCCCTGTCTAGGTCTTCCCCAGAGAAGTACTGCAGGCTGGCTGGACCAGGATAGGTATTACTGTAACTAAGATAGGTTGGAAGCCCCTTCCAGACTTGGCCTGGATCCCAAAGACTAAATTCACGCCCGTTCTTGAGCTGCTGCTTCTGCTCCCGAAACTCCTGGACTTTCTTGGCCAGCTGACGTGTTCGATCTGCCTCTTCCTTCTCTAACATCTGGACTACCACATCATACTGCACCTGGCTGGTACCTGGGGGTGGTGAGCAAGGATATGGAGAAGATACCCCAGGAGGGACAGAGTCCACTTAGCATGTCCTCTACTCTCAAGGTCCATCCAATTTGTCCCACCACCCCAGGGCCTCAGGCCACAGAGGCAGAACTGCCCTACCTCAGCCCACTCGAGCTCTTTCTTTACACCCTTGTCTGGCCCCTGGCTTTTGGCTTTTACCATAAGCTGCCTCCTTGCTTCTTTCTGCTGCTTCCCGACGCTTTCGGTCTCCCACCTGGTTGTTCAGGGCCTGGACATCCACCTGATCCCAAAGAAAGGAGCACAATCAGAGTAGGGGCCCAGCAGGGGGCCTTCAATGTCCTACCACAAACTAATTAGAATTTACCTGTTTCAGAATCCTGTAGCTCCCCAGTACCTACTGGATAAAGTTCTAGCTCCTGAGCATGGTTTGTAAGCCTCTCCATGGTCTAGCCTCTGCCTCCTTCTCTGGCCTCATCTCTTAGTCCCACCTTACCCTTATGAGCTGTGCTTACAGTTCCCTGAATATCTTAGGCTGTTTTGAACCAATAGCCTTTGCTCAAGCTGCTCCCTCCACTTGGAACACTTTCCTCCCCTCTTTACACAAATTCCAATTTGTCCTTCGAGACCAGCTCAGCCTTCACTTTCCTGACCCCTCAGGCAGGTTCTACTCCTGTAGAATCTAGAACCCACTGTCTACATTATATTGATGTTCGCCTCTCTGTATTCTCTCCTCCACCAGACTGTGAACCCTTTCAGGGCAGAAACTGGGCCTTAGTCATTTTCGTATCCCCACTGCCCAACACAGTGCTTGGCACAGAGCAGGCCCCGAGGAAATGCTTGTCAGCTTGTCAGCTGGATCTCAATCAGAACACTAATACCCTAGCCAACTTCTTACGGCAGGCACTATGCACTGGTTTTCAAAGCTGCCACTCTGTGTTAACACTCACCTGACTTCCTTCAGCCTCATTTTACAGAAGAGGAGCCTGGGGCTCAGAGAAGACAGGTGATTTATCCAAAGCCACACACATAACAGTCAGCAGACCTGGCCTTAAATACTTACGGGGTCTTTTCCAGAATACCATGCTGCATCCCCCCTCTATCCACTCACCTAGCAATCTTTTGTTTCTTAAACTATCAATATTTTCTCTTTTATTATAATTCATTTATCACATTTCAAAATCATACAAAAAGGAATACAGTTTAGTGAGGCGTAAGTGTCCCTTCCATCTCTGTCTCTCAGCCTGGTTAAGTTTCTCAACATAGCCTTGCAGAGATAGTTTAGGTATATGCAGTAATTTTGAGACAGGGTCTCACTGTTGCTCAGGCTGGAGTGCAATGGTGTGATCTCGGCTCACTGTAACCTGCTCCTCCTGGATTCAAGTGATTCTTGTGCTTCAGCCTCCCAAGTAGCTGGGATTATAGGCATGCACAACCACGCCCAGCTAATTTTTGTATTTTCAGTAGAGACAGGGTTTCACCACGTTGGCCAGGCTGGTCTTTAACTCCTGACCTTGTGTGATCTGCTCACCTCAGCCTCCTAAAGTGCTGGGATTACAGGTGTAAGCCACTGCACCCGGACTCCAAATATTCTTTAGGCCTCTTTTAGCTCCATGTTGCCTGTCTCAAGAACCAGGTCACATGGCCCAGAGCTGACTGGAGAAGGGTCAGCCGTCTCCCCTAGTCTCTTCCCCTGCACTGACCTATCCCTCTTCCCAAGCTCTTCCCAGGCCTGTAGGGGTGGGTGCCTTCTCTCCCTCTCTTTCCTTTCCTGCCCTAGGGGCCTACTTGAATCAGGGGAAGGGCTATCATGGGCACTGTTACACATTCCTCTCCAGGTGTAAGAGTGAGGTGGCCCTGATCCTGAGCAACAGTCCCTACTACCCACTCACCCCCATGACTCGGTTCCGCACATTGAAGAATCGGTTTTGTCGCTCTTTTTCTCGATTTCTTCTAGCCTCGATGGCTGCTGCTTCCTTGGTATCTGTTGACTGTTTTATGTTATACATCTGGAGCAAAAGGGAGGTGGAATGGCCCATCAGTGCCGACCACCGTCTTTGACTACACGCCACCCCCATTCCTTTCTCCCTATAATATTTCAGCAGTTATTGATTCCTACTGATTTTACTTCCTGATATATTTCGTATCTGTGCCCTCCATCTCTGCTGTCACCAGCTTAATTCAGGCCTCACAATCTGGTGTCAGGCAGTATCTCAGGAGCCCCACTGGGTTCTCTTGCTCCAACGTTACCCTCTCTGCACTGGATTTCTCTGCACTGGCTACCAGAGTGATCTTTGGGAAGCAAATCTGACCATGGCACTCCTCAGCGTAAAGCCTTTGAAAGCACCTTTAAAGCAATGGCTCCCCAGTGCTTATAAGGCCCAACCCCCTTTGCCAGATTTATAAGGTTCTTCATGATCTGACCCCTGCTCACCTTTCTAAGCCTCAAACACATCTACAACACTCCTTTTTCATTATACTCTATTCAGTTTTCCTTATTTCAGTAAGTGGCACCACCATTCACCAAGTTGCTCCGGTCAAAAACCTAGGAGACATCCTTTAATCCTTCCTTTCCCTCACTCCTTCTTCTTTCAAAATAACCCTTATCCAAGCCACCATTGCCAGCTTCCTGAATAACCACAACTGTCTCCATGTTGGTATTCCAGCTTCCTCTATTGACTCCTATAGCCCAATCACAGAAACCAGAAGCAGCTTTCTTTTCTGAAATATATGTCCCCCCACCCTTTTTTTTTTTTTTTTTTTTTTTTTTACTTTTATTACTTATTTTCTGGTCAAATGAAAGGCTAGAAAGCTAAATTTGCCTGTGTTCCTTCATATTTTGGGAAGCTCACTTTTGGCATGTAACCCAGCCAAAGCTGCAGCCAAAAAAACTTTAGCAAACATAAATCTGATCATGTCTCTCACCTGCTTAAATCCTCCACTAGCTTCCCACTATACTTAGAATCAGATCCAAACTCCTTACTGTGGGCTTTCAAGATCTAGTTCCTGCACACCTCTCCAATTTGTCTCAAACCACTGTCTCCCTTGCTTACAGTGCTCCAGGCAAGCTGATCAAGTCCTCCAACACAGTAATTGTTCCCACCCCGGGGCCTTTGTATGTGCTGTTCCTTTGTTTGGAGCGTGATTCTTTAATTCCTCCTATAGCTATTTGGATCTTTTTGGTGTTTTGTTTTGTTTTCCATTTTGTAACTGTGAAGTAGTTGAACATATATGCCCGGCTGATTTTTGTATTTTTAGTAGAGATGGGGTTTCACAGTGTTAGCCAGGATAGTCTCAATCTCCTGACCTTATGATCCACCCTCCTTGGCCTCCCAAAGTGCTGGGATTACAGGCATGAGCCACCACACCTGGCCCCATTTAATTTTTTTTAATATAGATGGGGTCTCACTATATTGCCCAAGCTAGTCTTGAACTCAAGCAATTCTCCTGCCTCGGCCTCCCAAAGTGCTGGTATTACAGGCATGAGCCATTGTGCCCGGCGTCACTTAGGTTTTTAATCCACTTGGAGTTGCATTTTGTGTATGGTGTGAGATAAGGATCCAATTTAATTTTCCCCCCAAGTGCCATCTCATCTTTTTTAAATTTAAAATTTTATTTTATTTTTGGCCGGGCGCGGTGGCTCACGCCTGTAATCCCAGCACTTTGGGAGGCCGAGGCAGGTGGATCAGGAGGTCAGGAGTTCAAGACCAGCCTGGCCAACATAGTGAAACCCTGTCTTTACTAAAAATACAAAAAAATTAGCCAGGCGTGGCAGTGGGCACCTGTAATCCTAGCTACTTGGAAGGCTGAGGCAGAGAATAAAATTTATTTTATTTTTAATTTGTTTTAGATGGGGTCTCTCTCTGTTGCCCAGGATGGAGTGTAGTGGTGCAATCATGGCTCACTGCAGCCTCAAACTCCTGGGCTCAAAGGATCTTCCTGCCCCAGCCTCCTGAGTAGCTGGGACTACAGGTGTGTGCCACCATGCCTGCCTAATTTTTAAAATTTTTTTGTAGAGATTGGGTTTTGCTATGTTACCCAGGCTCACCATCTCATCTTTTAAAAGGGAACAGTATTTCCCCATGGATTACATGAGATTGCTGTCTTTTAGCCATTTTATCCCCTCAGCCTGATTGTTTCTCCCAGCTGAACTTCATTTATGGCTCCCCTACTAGATTCCATCTACCAAGCTTCCTCCCTTTATTTATTTTTGAGACAGGGTATTGCTCTGTCACCTAGGCTGGAGTGAAGTGGTGCGGACACCACTCACTACAGCCTCAACCTCCCAGGCTCAAGTGATCCTCCTGCTTCGGCATCCTGGGTAGACCAGAGGTGAGAGCTGCCACACCCAGCTAATTTTTTAATTTTTAGTAGAGATAGGGTCTCACTATGTTGCCCAGGCTGGTCTTGAACTGCTGGTCTCAAGTGATCCTCCTGCCTTGGCCTGCCTCCCTCACGATGGGATTACAGTTGTCAGCCACCATGCCCAGCCACTTCCTCACTTTCCTGGACTTGTCCTAAGTCTTTAGGACTCTTTCTAGCCTTCGGACATAATTTAATAAATAGTTAAAGGAATAATTATGGCAACCACCAGATCCTTTCCATGTTTAAGTCTGAGAATGGCACCAACTTACCTACTGGTTTCACCTGCCATTACAGTATAAGGTCACTGAAGGGGAAGATTCAGCTGACATTTTAAGCTTCTTGGATTGCTAAGGCCCCTGCCTTATTAATGATAGAGAGCAGAGAGGGAAGAGAGGTAAGGTGGCATTGTGGTATAGAGCTGTGGGAATGGGATGGGGGAGAGGCATGGAGGCAGAGGTAGGTGGAGGTGGAGAGCGCTGGCTTAGGGACCCTGACTCCTGGGGGTTCACACAAAATACCTTTCTCAGTAAGGAATCCCGATTTTGAAGCTCTTAGGTTGGCTCTGCATGCAACTTTGTTCTTGGGTTACGGCGGCAGTTTCTGAACTCTGCTTGGTACAACAGGAGGGAGGCAGGGGATAGGGGTAGTATCTCAGGCCGTAGCCTTCCCCAGCCTGTATCCCTGTTGCCTGGGAGTAGCCCCAGTCCCATTCACAACCCGTCCGCCTTCGCAACCCGTCCCGCCACCAATCCCACCCCACCATTAGCAAAGTCTGAGCTCACCTAACACTGAATCCTCCCGTTGGCCCCTCCTTCCCGTCCAGCTCTCCGCTCCCCCCGGGTCCTTCCAATTCCCGACCCTGTCCTTGTCCTAGCCTTGAAAGCTGGCCAGGCTAAAGCCACAGCCGAGCTCCCACCTTCCTCTTGCCCTGAGGGGCATAATCCTGCTGTGACTTCTGTCTCAGCAAGCGTGAGCTCAGGTCTCCCCCGCCTCCTTGAACCTCAAGAACTGCTCTGACTCCGCCCAGCAACAACTCCTCCGGGGATCTGGTCCGCAGGAGCAAGTGTTTGTTGTTGCCATGCAACAAGAAAGGGGGGCGGAGGCACCACGCCAGTCGTCAGCTCGCTCCTCGTATACGCAACATCAGTCCCCGCCCCTGGTCCCACTCCTGCCGGAAGGCGAAAATCCCGTTAGGCCTGGACGTATTCTCGCGACATTTGCCGGTCGCCCGGCTTGCACTGCGGCGTTTCCCGCGCGGGCTACCTCAGTTCTCGGGCGTACGGCGCGGCCTGTCCTACTGCCGCCGGCGCCGCGGCCGTCATGGGGTTCCTGAAACTGATTGAGATTGAGAACTTTAAGTCGTACAAGGGTCGACAGATTATCGGACCATTTCAGAGGTTCACCGCCATCATTGGACCCAATGGCTCTGGTGAGATAAACCTGGCCGCGGCCCTGCGCACGTCCCGGCCTGGACCCCTTATCCGGTGCCGGAGTAGTACAACCCAGCCCATGTAACCTGAAACGTCGCGGACCCTTACGGGTTCCTTGCCCGTCCAGAGGGGGTTCTGCTCGAACCCACTCTCCCCGCGCGGGTGCTCTAACTCGAACCCCTTCCAGGTGTCACTTGCCGCTTCCTGCGCGGCCCCCGCCCCGGCCCAGTGGTACAGGCCGAGCTGCCAGTTACCCCGCCTACTTCCCCCTCCCGCCAAAGGAGTCGCGTCTGGAACCAGCTTCCCGCCAGCTCAGTCCTCCGCCGCGCGGCTCCCCGCCGGACCGGCCGGAGCCGGCTTCCCAGCCTTACTTGACCCCCTCCGGAGAATGTGGGGACGCTGGTAGCTCTCCCGTGGCCTTCGGTCCCAAACGGTGCACTTCTGTTTCAGCCCAGCGTCCTCTCTCGCCTCGCATTGGTACACTCCAACTCCTTTCTACTCTTCTCTGGAGGCGGCACTTTTGAATTTCAGACCCAGCGCTCCAGTCTTTAGAATGCTTGAGGTGTCGATCCCCACCCCCCACCGCTATGTCAGAGGTAGTTGCCTCGAACTCGCCCTTTTCCTACCACCGAAACCGTCAAAAGCCGAAATTAACTAATTTACCAAATTTGTTGAATGCTTATTGTTTATCAGGAGTTATTCAGTTGCAAGTTGTGGAAACAGCGGAGAATAGAATAAACCAACTCCATGCTCACAGGGAACTTATATTCCAGAGGGGAAAGAAGATAAGGAGAAAATAAGATGGTTTTAGGCTGTCATAAGTGCTATACAGGAAATGAGACAGGTGGATGTGATAAAGTGACTTAGGTGGTGTCTTTAGAAAGGGTGGTCAGGTAAAGCCTCTATTTTGTGTCTTCCCAACTCTAAACGATACACCGTGGATTCCTCTCACCTCAGATGTCCATTTGGAATCCTGCTGTATTCTTCCACCCCAGAGATGTTCTAGCTGAATGATATCCTAGCCTAAGAGGCTGCCCTTGCTGAAGTAGCACATACTGAGTACCTTTCCTGGAGACTGAGTGTCTCAACAGTGGCACTATTGACATTTCCAGCGAGATAATCCTTTGCTGTGGGATGTGCTCTGTGCATTGTAGGATGTTTAACAGCATCTCTGGCATCTACCTGCTAGATAACAGTAGCACCCCTGCTCCCCAGGCATGACAATCAAAACTGTCTCTAGACATTGCTAGATGTCACAGAGGGTGTGTGTGATTCCCCCAACCCCCCAACTTGTTTGAGAACCACTGGCCTGGAGGGCTAATGCTTGGTGTCCACCCAGTTTCCTCGGGTTTTAGTGTAGTGGCCCCTGTTGGAAGAGCTAGGATGTACCTCTTGGCATTCAGTCCCCTCAGCATTAGTAGATTTGTATTCCCAGCTGTTCTGAAAAGGGCTATGGCACTCCCCCACTTGCCCCCGTTCTTCAAGGCCCACCTCTACAAGCCATTCCTTTAGTCCCTTTGGTGAGTGAGTCTTCCTCTGTGGCATACCGTAGACACTTGGTACACGTTAATGTTTATTAAGTCCTATATTGATGGTGCATGTTTTTGTATCTTCATTGGCCTGTGAGTACCCTAAAGCAGACATTCCTTGAAACGTTTTACTGGTGTTCAGTCCATAATATATATTACAAAAATGTTTACCATATTGATTGTGATTAGAGAGGCTTGGGGTTGTGAGATGATGTTGTCCTCCCTGGAAATGATGGGAGAAGCCCAAAGGTTGGATATTGGTTCCTAAAAGGCTGACTCCTGGTCTGCATGATGTGCTAGTCCTGCTGTGATGAGGGAGACAGCTGAGTCCAGACTTAGGATAGGACTAATTAATTGAGTACCTACTCTGTGTGTCAAGTACTTTATTTATTGGGACCCTGTTTTTTCTTTTTCTTTTTCTTTTCTTTTTTTTTTTTTTTGAGACAGTCTTGCTCTGTTGTCCAGGCTGGAGTGCAGTGGCATGATGTTGGCTCACTGCAACCTCTGCCTCTTGGGTTCAAGTGATTCTCGTGCCTCAGCCTCCCAAGTAGCTGGGACTACAGGCGTGCGCCACCCCATCTGGCTAGTTCTTGTATTTTTAGTAGAGTTGGTGTTTCTCCCAGTTGGCCAGGCTGGTCTCAAACTCCTGGGCTCAAGTGATCTGCCTGCCTCAGCCTCCCAAAGTGCTGGGATTACAGGCATGAGCCACTGCACCCAGCCAAGGGACCCTTTACAATTAAATTCTCAAAATGACCCTAGGAGGAAAATGCCAATAGCTTCGTTTTATACATGAGGAGACTAAGGCACAGAGGTGTGATAACTTGTCCGTGGTTCTCAGAACCCATGCCTGTGCTCCTGCCACTCCAATAGAGAAGTATGTGCCGCACATATTTTTAGACCCGTGAATTGTGGTTTTTTTCATCTTTTTCCAGGTGAGGGAATGGAAGGTCAGCTAAGTGGTAGTGAAAGTAAGATTAGAACCTGGTCTGTTGGTTCTAAGCCCAAGTTTGCAAGCTTTTTTAGATGGAGTCTCACTCTGACGCCCACACTGGAGTGCAGTGGCATGACCTCGGCTCACTGCAACTTCTGCCTGCTGGGTTCAAGTGATTCTTTTCTTTTTTTTCTTTTTTTTTTTTTTGAGATGAAGTCTTTCTCTGTCGCCCAGGCTGGAGTGCAGTGGCGTGATCTCAGCTCACTGCAACCTCTGCCTCCCGGGTTCAAGCTATTCTCCTGCCTCAGCCTCCTGAGGAGCTGGGATTACAGGCGTGCACCACTATGCCCGGCCAGTTTTTGTATTTTTAGTAGAGACGGGGTTTCACCACGTTGTTCAGGCTGGTCTCAAACTCCTGACCCCGTGATCTGCCCACCTGGGCCTCCCAAAGTGCTGCGATTACAGGTGTGAGCCACCGCGCCTGGCCTATTTTTTTTTTTTTTGGAGTCAGGGTCTTGCTCTGTCACCAAGGCTGGCATACAGTGGCACAATCATGGCTCACTGCAGCCTCAACTTCTCGGGCTCAAGCAACCCTCCCATCTCAGCCTTCCCAGTAGTCAGGACAACTGGAGTGTGCCACCATGCCGAGCCAATTTTTGTATTTTTTGTAGAGATGGGATTTTGCCATGTTGTCCAGGCTGGTCTCAAACTCCCGAGGTCAAGTGATCCACCCACGTCTGCTTCCCAGAGTGCTGGGATTACAGGCGTGAGATGCCGTGTCCAACCTAATCATAGTCTTATACCGTCTCTATGGAAGGACTTGGGCTGCTGTTTTTATGGCTGAGTAGAAAGGTGTTGGAAATCAGATCTTCAGTTCAAAGTCATATATAAGTTCTTTAGGGACAGTCTTGAGATAGAAATTATAGAGACTAAACTGTTCCTCCTTATCCACCAGCCCGACTAAACTTTTTTTTTTTTTTTTTTTTTTTTGAGACAGAGTCTCTCTCTGTCGCCCAGGTTGGAGTGCAGTGGCGCGATCTCAGCTCACTGTAACCTCCACCTCCTGGGTTTAAGCGATTCTCGTGCCTCAGCCTCCCGAGTAGCTGGGATTATAGGCACACAACCGTGCCTGGCTAATTTTTGTATTTTTAGTAGGGACGGGGTTTCACCATGTTGGCCAGGCTGGTCTCAAACTCCTGACCTCAGGTGATCCGCCTGCCTCGGCCTTTCAAAGTGCTGGGATTACAGTCATGAGCCACTGCACCCGGCCTAAACTTTTAAAACAATATCTATTTTTTGGCCAGGAACGGTGGCTCATGCCTGTAACCCCAGCACTTTGGGAGTCCAAGGTGGAGGATCTCTGGAGCTCAGGAGTTTGAGACCAGCCTAGGCAACATAGGGAGACCCTGCTTCTGCAAAAATCCAAAAACTAGCTGGGCATGGTGGCTTATGCCCATGCTTCCCGCTACTTGGGAGGCTGAGACAGGAGGATCACTTGAGCCAAGGAGGTCAAGGCTGCAGAGAGCTGTGATACTGCTACTGCACTCCAGCCTGGGTGACAGAGTCAGACCCTGTCTCAATAAATAAATGAATAAGGTCTGGGCGTGGTAGCTTATGCCTGTAATCCCAGCACTTTAGGAGACCGAGGTGGGTGGATCACTTGAGGTCAGGAATTCGAGACCAGCCTGGCTAACATGATGAAACCCCATCTCTACTAAAAATACAAAAATTAACTAGGTGTGGTGGCACACGCTTGTCGTCCCAGCTATTCAGGAGACTGAGGCAGGAGAATCACTTGAACTTGGTAGGTGCAATCTAGCGTGGGCGATAGAGCGAGACTCCATCTCAAAAAATAAATAAAATAAGTAAATGAAACCTTTTTTGTTTTCGGATTCTAAAATGAACAAAGTAAAAGCTGTAACTCCACTACTGAAAAGATAGCCACTGTTAATGTTGAAAACCTTATTTATTTGAATAGCTGGTACATGTACATGGTATACAATTTTAAAAATCCTTAAGGATATACAGTAGTAAAAAGAAGACTCCCTTGACCCTAGCTGCTTAGTTTCCTTTTCAGAGGCAATCACTGCTGCACTGTTTACGTTTTCATATATTTGTTTCCTATGCCTTCTCTTCTCCCAAGTTTTATTATGAAAATTTGCAAGCATATATGTGCATTACTTAGTCATTTGGAAGTAAATTACAGACTCAATTACATTTCACCCCTAAGTGCTTCAGCATTCACCTCTTAAAATCATCATTCTCCTGTACTACCACTATTCAGTTATCACAACTAAGAAAATTTCCTCATGTCATCAATTATCCAGTTTATATTTAAGCTTCCTTAACTTGCTCCCCAAATGTCTTTTTGTTATTTTGGAACCAGAGTCCAGTCAAAGTTTGTGCACTGTTTACCTATGTCTCAGAAATCTCTCATGTTTTGGAATGGTTCGCTCACTTTTTTTTTTTTTTTTTTTTTGAGATGGAGTTTTGCTCTTGTTGCCCAGGCTGGAGTGCAATGGCGTGATCTTGGCTCACCGCAACCTTTGCCTCCCAGGTTCAAGCGAGTCTCCTGCCTCAGCCTCCTGAGTAGCTGGGATTACAGGCATGTGCCACCATGCCCAGCTAATTTTGTATTTTTAGTAGAGACGAGGTTTCTCCATGTTAGTCAGGCTGGTCTGGAACTCCCCAACCTCAGGTGATCCGCCCGCCTCGGCCACCCAAAGTGCTGGGATAACAGGCGTGAGCCACCGTGCCCGGCTCACCCTTTCTTTTTAGACACTGACTTTTTGAAAAGACCAGGCCATTTGTCTTTGAGAACATCCCACATTCTGTGTTTGTGTTAAGATTTCCTCATGAAAACCTTACTATGTTCCTCTATATTGTATTGCTGTATTTCCTAGGAACTGGAAGATAAGTCTGAAGGCTTGTTTAGATTCAGATTAGGCTGGATATGGTGGCTCATGCCTGTAATCCCAGCACTTTGGGAGGCCACGGCGGGAGGATCACTTGAGGCCAGGAGTTCAAGACTAGCCTGGGCAACACAGCGAGACCTTGTCTTTATTATAACAAAAAATTAAAAAAAGGAAAAAAATAGATTCAGGTTAAATATTTTTGGTAAGATACATCATAAATGATGCTGTGTGTTTCATATTGTTTCACAACAGGAATATGCACTTTTTTTAGATGGTGGTAAAATACACATAAAATTTCCTAAATTAACCATTTTTAAGTGTGCAGTTCAGTAGTGTTAAATATATTCACGTTTTTGTGCAAACGATCTCTAGAACTTTTTCATCTTGCAAAAATGAAAATCTATGCCCATTAAAAAACAACTCCCAGGCCAGGCGTGGTGGCTCATGCCTGTAATCCCAGCACTTTGGGAGGCCGAGGTGGGCGAATCACAAGGTCAGAAGATCGAGACCATCCTGGCCAACATGGTGAAACCCTGTCTCTACTAAAAATACAGAAAGTTAGCTGGGTGTGGTGATGTGTGCCTGTAATCCCAGCTATTCGGGAGGCTGAGGTGGGAGAATCCCTTGAACCAGGGAGTCGGAGGTTGTGGTGAGCTGAGATCACGCCACTGCACTCCAGCCTGGCAACAGAGCAAGACTCCATCTCAAAAGAAAAAAAAACCTCCCATTTTCCCCTCCTCCCAGCCTATTTTTAAATTTTACTTTACATTATTATTATTATTATTATTTTATTTTATTTTATTTTTTTTTTTTGAGATGGAGTCTTACTCTGTTGCCCAGGCTGGAGTGCAGTGGCACGATCTTGGCTCACTGCAGCCTCCACCTCCCAGGTTCAAGCGATTCTCCTGCCTCAGCCTTCCAAGTAGCTGGGATTACAGGCGCCCGCCACCACGCCCAGCTAAGTTTTGTATTTTTTAGTAGAGACAGGGTTTCACCATATTGGTCAGGCTGGTCTTGAACTCCTGACCTCAGGTGATCCACCTGCCTCAGCCTCCCAAAGTGCTGGGATTACAGGCGTGAGCCACCATGCCCGGCCCACTTTATATTATTTTAACATCGTTGAGTTTTGTGTCTTGTTTGTTTCACCTATTGTGGGCTTTTGTCCATGTCATTAAAGGTTGTAAAACTATCCATTCTGTGAATATACCATTTCTTTAGATTGGGTTCTAGCTTCTTTTTTTAAACTATTCTTTCCTCTTTTTTTTTTTTTTTCACTATTTTTTTAAAGAGAGTCTTGTTCTGTCACCCAGGCTGGAGTGCAGTGGTGTCATCATAGCTCATGCAGCTTTGAACTCTTGAGCTCAAGCGATCCTCCCTCCTCAGCCTTCTGAGTAGCTGAGACTACAGGCGCATGCCACTATGCCCAGCTAATTTTTTTTTTTTTTTTTTGAGATGGAGTCTCGCTCTGTCGCCCAGGCTAGAGTGCAGTGGCACGATCTCGGCTCACTGCAACCTCCGCCTCCCAGGTTCAAGGAATTCTCCTGCCTCAGCCTCCCGAGTAGCTCATGCCCAGCTAATTTTTAAAGTTTTTGTAGAGACTGGGTTTTGCCTTGTTGTCCAAGCTGGTTTCAAACTCCTGGCCTCAAGCGATCTTCCTGCCTCGGCATCCCAAAGTGCTGGGATTACAGGTGTGAGTCACTACGCTTATCCTGGGTTCTAGCTTCTGGCTGCTATATAGTAACTGCAAAAGGACTGTTTTTCCTAAGCCTTTGACCCAGAGGTTTGGTTGTGCTCAGTCTTTATGGGGACAGAGGAGTAGTCTCTCTTCCCATTAGTCTGAGTACTGAGTGATTAGGGGACATTTTTGTTCATCTCAATATCTTTATTCCTTTTCCTCTCCTCTTCATCCTGACTTTCCCTCTACTGCCTCGTCCCTCTTCCCTTAGGTAAGTCAAATCTCATGGATGCCATCAGCTTTGTGCTAGGTGAAAAAACCAGCAACCTGCGGGTAAAGACCCTGCGGGACCTGATCCATGGAGCTCCTGTGGGCAAGCCAGCTGCCAACCGGGCCTTTGTCAGCATGGTCTACTCTGAGGAGGGTGCTGAGGACCGTACCTTTGCCCGTGTCATTGTAGGTGGGTGAGGCTGGCCAGAAAGCTCTCCTTGGGTCCTGGGAGGTGGCTAGACTAGTTGATTGGGACAGGAAGGAGGCCTGACCCTTGCCAACTCATGCATTGTCTTGTAGGAGGTTCTTCTGAGTACAAGATCAACAACAAAGTGGTCCAACTACATGAGTACAGTGAGGAATTAGAGAAGTTGGGCATTCTCATCAAAGCTCGTAACTTCCTCGTTTTCCAGGTGGGCGTTTTTAACAGTTATTGGCTATCTGGTTTTTGCCAGACCATGTCCCATCCCCACTCTGTCTGCTCCATCTCAGGCTTTATCATCTCTCCCTTGAACTAATGTAGCACCTTGTTCACTGAGCTTCCCAACTTCAGTCTGGCCCCTGAGCCAGGTTCATCTTATGAGGACACACATTTGTTTTGTTTCCCCTCCCTTTTTTCCTTAAAACATTTCAGTGATTCCGTATTGCCTTACAATGGTGGTTCTTAAACTGTAGTCTCCAGACCAGCAGTATCAGCATTACCTGGTAACATGTTAGAAAATGCACATTCTCAGGCCCTATCCTAGACTTCCTGACTTGGAAGAAACTGTGGAGTGGGGCACAGCAGTTTGTGTTTTACCAAGCTCTCCAGTTTATTATGATGTCGGCCGAAATTTGAGAACTATTGCCTTAGGATGAGATCCAAACTCCTAAGCCTATCATTTAGGAAACACCATCATCAAAATCCAAATACCATCTGCATGTTCTTCTCCAGCCTTGCACTCCAGCCTACTTAAACCATTTATGGTTCTGCAAATTCACCTGCTTTCTTTGGCCTACAGGTCTTTGCATATTACTTTTCCTCTTCATAGAATAACTTTTTCTCTGTTTTTTTTGTTTGTTTGTTTTTTGTTCTTGTTTTTTTTTTTTTTTTTTGAGACGGAGTTTCGCTTGTCACCTAGGCTGGAGTGCAGTGGCACGACCTTGGCTCACTGCAACCTCCGTCTCCAGGGTTCAAGTGATTCTCCTGCCTCAGCCTCCCAAGTAGCTGGGACTACAGGCGCCCGCCGCCATGCCTGGCTAATTTTTGTATTTTGGGTAGAGATGGAGTTTTACCATTTTGGCTAGGCTGGTCTTGAACTCCTGATCTCAGGTGATCTGCCTGCCTCAGCCTCCCAAAGTGCTGGGATTACAGGTGTGAGCCACCGCGCCCGGCCACCTTTTTTCTTTTATTTTCTTGGTTAGTTTCCCTCCAGCTTCCAAACTCAGCACAGATGTCACCTTTGGGAAGCCTTCTGAGATAGATATCCCTATCAGTCTCCTACCCCCAAGCTTCATTTTGTCCTTTTCCTATGCTGCTTCTGTTACTGCACATAACACTTTGTTGTCTTTGTCCCTTTGGCTCCCTGTGCTCCTCAGAGGGCAAGGAATTTGTCCTCAAAGCCCAGTGTGAAATGTGGCAGCAGGGGCATGGGAGAGAAAGTTGGTAACTTTTTCTGGGTGAAGGAGTGGAAATGGGTAAGGTGAACTGGGTTGGCTGGGGTCTGAAGTGGAAGAGTGTTTCGACCTTTACTAGGGTGCTGTGGAATCTATTGCCATGAAGAACCCCAAAGAGAGGACAGCTCTATTTGAAGAGATTAGTCGTTCTGGGGAGCTGGCGCAGGAGTATGACAAGCGAAAGAAGGAAATGGTGAAGGCTGAAGAGGACACACAGTTTAATTACCATCGCAAGAAAAATATTGCGGCTGAACGCAAGGAAGCAAAGCAGGAGAAAGAAGAGGTAGGTGGCCAAGCTACCTCTTGGCTCTGAGGGACCAGGATGGAGCCAGTGCCTTATCGATGCACCCCTGCCACCATTCCCCTGTTTGCACAGGCTGACCGGTACCAGCGCCTGAAGGATGAGGTAGTACGGGCTCAGGTACAGCTGCAGCTCTTTAAGCTTTACCATAATGAAGTGGAAATTGAGAAGCTCAACAAGGAACTGGCCTCAAAGAACAAGGAGATCGAGAAGGACAAGAAGCGTATGGACAAGGTGGAGGATGAACTGAAGGAGAAGAAGAAGGAGCTGGGCAAAATGATGCGGGAGCAGCAGCAGATTGAGAAGGAGATCAAGTAAGAGGCAGACCTGGGCCTGCAACTTGTGGGAAACCAAGAGGCCGTGCTGTTTATTAGGGTTCCTCTGAGCCCGGAGTTCAGTACCTATACTCATTTCTCTGTTATTCTCCTAACTTGCTTTTGTAAGAACCAGGCACATTTCTTGACTTGCAGTTTAGACAAATAGAATATTTAAGCACTCAGGCCCTGGGTAGACAGGTGCTCAGATGAGGGAGAACTCAAAAGGGGTGGTGGCCTTGCCAAGAAAGAGGAACCAATGTGAGGCCGAGCCAATGGAGTGGCTGAGAAGGCCTTCCTAGAAGAGGAAACTGAAGCTAGAAGTTTAAAGGATAGGAATTTGAGGGGCCAACTAAGTAAATACAGGATGTTCTTGGGAGTTGTTAATGAGCTTCCTGGCCAGGGTTGAGGCAGAGTTGGTAGCTTTGCCTTATGGAGTGGCTGGAATGCCAGGCTGAAGTCATACCTTTCAGGGAGTAGTCAGACTGCCCCTTTTTTTCAGGATCTGTGGGGCATTACGCCCATGTTCTTTTAAGTAATTCCCTGAGGTTGGCTCAGGGGCTCAAGCTCTCCTTTGGGTGAAAAGCCTGGGAACCCTCCCTTCTTCCATAGTTCTCACTGGTTTCCCCCACCCCTCTGGCAAAAGGGAGAAGGACTCAGAATTGAACCAGAAGCGGCCTCAGTACATCAAAGCCAAGGAGAACACCTCCCACAAAATCAAGAAGCTGGAAGCAGCCAAGAAGTCTCTGCAGAATGCTCAGAAGCACTACAAGAAGCGTAAAGGTGACATGGATGAGCTGGAGAAGGAGATGCTGTCAGTGGAGAAGGCTCGGCAGGAGTTTGAAGAACGGATGGAAGAAGAGAGTCAGAGTCAGGGCAGAGATTTGACGTTGGAGGAGAATCAGGTAAGCTCTGGAAGGGGTTGGCAGGGAGGAGATCCCTGGGCTGACATCTGCTGACTTGGTCATCCCTGTTCTCCTTCCCTGTCCCTAACACAGGTGAAGAAATACCACCGGTTGAAAGAAGAAGCCAGCAAGAGAGCAGCTACCCTGGCCCAGGAGCTGGAGAAATTCAATCGAGACCAGAAAGCTGACCAGGACCGTCTGGATCTGGAAGAACGGAAGAAAGTAGAGACAGAGGTGGGCTATAGTTATAAGATTAGGGATGATGGTCCACAGAAAAGGATATATATAGGTTGAGCATCCCAAATCCAAAATAATCCAAAATCTGAAACGTTTCCGGTCCTAAGCATTTTGGATTAGAGTTACCCAACCTGTAATGATAGTCTTTTTTTTTGTTTTTTTGTTTTTTTGAGACAGAGTTTCGCTCTTGCCCAGGCTGGAGTGCAGTGATGTGATCTCAGCTCACCACAACCTTTGCCTCCCGGGTTCAAGCAATTCTCCTGCCTCAGCCTCCTGAGTAGCTGGGACTACAGGCGTGCGCCACCATGTCCAACTAATTTTTGTATTTTTAGTAGAGACAGGGTTTCACTACGTTGGCCAGGCTGGTCTCGAGCTCCTGACCTTGTGATCCACCCACTTCGGCCTCCCAAAGTGCTGGGATTACAGGCTTGAGCCACTGCGCCTGGCCATGATAATCTTAATGATAATGACAATGATAATGACAGTAGCTCACATCTGTTGAGCACTTACTGTATGATAGGCAATGTTCTTTACATGTATCCACTCATTTAATTCTTCATTTATTATTATCTTTATGGAATGGCTACTATTACCCTATTTTATGAATGAGGAAATTACAACACAGAGTAATTTGCCTAAGGTCACAAGATTATTGTTATTTTTGAGACAGAGTCTTTCTCTGTCATGCAGGCTGAGGTGCAGTGGTGCGACCATGGCTCACTGCAGCTTCGACTTCCCAGGCTTAAGCAATCTTCCAACCAGAGCCTCCTGAGTATCCAGCATTACTTGTGCTTGCCACCATGCCTGGCTACTTTTTTTTTTTTTTTTTTTGAGACAAAGCCTCACTCTGTTGCCCAGGCTGGAGTGCAGTGGCATGATCTCAGCTCACTGCAACCTCTGCCTGTCGGGTTCAAGTGATTCTTTTTATTTTTTTATTTTTATTTTTATTGTTTTTTGAGACGCAGTTTCTCTCTTGTTGCCCAGGCTGGAGTGCAATGGTGCCATCTCGGCTCACTACAACCTCTGTCTCCCAAGTTCAAGCAATTCTCCTGCCTCAGCCTCCCCAAGTAGCTGAGATTACAGGCACCAGCCACCATTCCCGGCTAATTTTTGTATTTTTAGTGGAGACGGGGTTTCACCTTGTTGGTCAGGCTGGTCTCGAACTCCTGACCTCAGGTGATCCACCCGCCTTGGCCTCCTAAAGTGCTGGGATTACAGGTGTGAGCCAACGCACCCAGCCCGGTTCCAGTGATTCTTGTGTCTCAGCCACCCGTGTAGGTGGGATGACAGGTGGGTGCCACCACACCTGGCTAAATTTTTTGTAGTTTTAGTAGAGATGGGATTTCACCATGTTGACCAGGCTGGTCTTGAACTTCCGAACTCAAGTGATCCGCCCGCCTCGGCCTCCTAATTTTTTAATTTTTATAGAGTCAGGGTTTCTGCTTGTTGCCCAGGCTGGTCTTAAACTCCTGCCTGCCTCTGCGATCAGCCTGCCTTGGCCTCCCAAAGTGTTGGGATTACAGGCGCGAGCCACCGTGCCCGGCCACTCACATAACTATTAAGTATCAGAACCAGACCCTGGGCATTGTAGCTCTAAAGCCCACACTCTTACCAAATATACTTTACTTACTGCCTCCCTGATATCAATATTGTAATAACAGCAATGATAGAAAGTTGTCATAGTGTCCCAGGAGTGTACAGTGTTCAGGCATTCTGCTAAGCACTTTTAAATATTTAAAAGAATGTTGGCCAGGCGTGGTGGATCACTTGAGGCCAGGAGTTTGAGATCAGCCTGAGCAACACAGTGAGACCCTGTCTCAAATTTTAAAAAATAATAAAAATTTTTTAAAAATAATGTGATAGTCATTAATATTAATAACAACCCTATATTAAGCACTTAATGTGTATTCTATGCAGTGGAGATTACCCACATTTTGCAGATGAGGAAACAGGTACAGAAAGGCCTGTGAAGCTTTATCTTGATTTGAGCCTCCATGGTTGGTGAAGAAGATGCCTTGGCTGGGTAGAACACCTATGAGAGGTTCTGGAGCTCTGGGAGGCCCCCATCATTAGTTAGTAGATCAAACCGAACACCATCTATGTCTGCTTTTTAGTAGGCCTCCTATATTAGTGACAGATTGTCCTGGACTGTTCGGCTCTTGGATGAGTGGGCACATAAAGGGTGTGATCTAGAGCCCCCATGGTCTTGGCGTAAACTCGTGCAGCCCCTGATGATGGAATGTTTGTTTCCCAGGCCAAGATCAAGCAAAAGCTGCGGGAAATTGAAGAGAATCAGAAGCGGATTGAGAAACTGGAGGAATACATCACCACTAGCAAGTATGTAGCTCTGCATCTGTCCCCCTTACTTCCAGGCCTGTTCTTGTGACCCTACCTACATGCCCCTCTTCATGCAGGACCCCCAGAGCTCTCTGAGCCAGGAGTATTTTCTCACCAGCAGGAGTAACTCCTGTGTGCCCTCACTTTGTAGGCAGTCCCTAGAAGAGCAGAAGAAGCTAGAGGGGGAGCTGACAGAGGAGGTGGAGATGGCCAAGCGGCGTATTGATGAAATCAATAAGGAGCTGAACCAGGTGATGGAGCAGCTAGGGGATGCCCGCATCGACCGCCAGGAGAGCAGCCGCCAGCAGCGAAAGGCAGAGATAATGGAAAGCATCAAGCGCCTTTACCCTGGCTCTGTGGTAAGAGCAGAGAGGGAACTCATTTCCTGAGCACTTACACTCACTGTCACACGATTTTCCCAGCAGCCCTGTAAGGACAGGGTTGCCAATCCCATTTTTATTGTTGGGGGAAATGAGGCTCGGAGAGGTTTAAAAAAGCACCGCTTCTAAGAGGAAGAACTGCAGTTCAAACCCAACTTGTTCTCCTGAGCTCATGTTCTTTTTTTTTTTTTTTTTTTTTTATTTTTCAACCTGTCATACTAGGCAATCATGTTCTTTTCATCATACCAATTGCGTCTTTCTGAAGGTTTTGTCTTGCTATGTCTATGCCTCTGGGAGGGGAATTGGAAAACCAGGAAAGATTTTGGAAGCAGGTGGGGCCATGGGGCTGGAATTACTCTCCCAGGAAGTAGCTCTGTGCAGTCTTATAAAGGGGCTCCCTTGGCATGTATTAACTGGTCCAGTAGCTTTTAGGGACACCCTGAGCTTTATCAGATCTCTTGATCTTTTGGCCTCTTTCACCAAATCCTGAGTTCCCAGGTTCCCTGAATATTATCCCATACCTGGGTTCAACTTAGTTTGGTTCCACTAATATTTCCCTATCACTTCTCTAGACACTGCTGGGGAGATAAGTATGGTTAGAGTCAGTCCCTGCCCCCTTAATCTGATAGTTCTTAGGGAACCAGGCTTGGTTTTGGAGGCTGCAGGAAGGGAACTGGTAGAAGAGATTGATTGATTGATTGATTGATTTTGAGATGGAGTCTCGCTCTGTCGCCCAGGCTGGAGTGCAGTGGCACAACCTCGGCTCACTGCAATCTCTGCCTCCTAGGCTCAAGTGATTCTCCTGCCTCAGCCTCCCAAGTAGCTGAGATTACAGGTGCTCGCCGCCATGCCCAACTAATTTTTTTGTATTTTTAGTAGAGACGGGGTTTCACCATGTTGGCCAGGCTGGTTTTAAACTCCTGACCTCAAGTGATCTGCCCGCCTCGGCCTCCCAAAGTGGTAGGGTTACAGGCGTGAGTCACCACGCCCAGCCAGATTTATTTTGCTAAGTGCTTGTGAGAATTTGAAATAATATATATAAGATACTTGGCATAGTGCCTGGGTGGTGGTGGTCTGTAAAATGGTAGATGTGAGGTTTAGAAAGATGATTCTGGATTCAGACACGACTGCCTGAAGTCATTGCTTGGGAACCAGAATAGGCTTTTCCTTGATAGCATGGGGGCTGTGTTCTTCTGTGAGATAGGAAAAAACCAAAGTGTTTTTTCTACTCTCACAACCAGCACAACACTTCACTTCTGACACCAGAAGTGTGGGGGTTTTTCCTCACACACCAAGCAATTCTCCAGCAGACACCAGCTGGGTGACCTATAATTCACTTCAGCTCTGACACTATTTATCTGGAGATAGCATCAGATCCTGTGGGTTAGGGGCTCAGTCCAAGACTTCAGGTGCCAATTGCAAGTCTCAGGTTGTGACTTGTGGTTCTGACTGACCTGCTATAAATTACAGTTCCCGAGAATCCCTCCCTGGGTTCGATTAATTTACTAGTGCAGCTCACAGAACTCAGGAAAATGTTTTACTTATGTTTACCCATTTATTATGAAGGATATTACAAAGGATACAGAGAACAGCCAGATGGATGCATAAGGCAAGGTATGGGAGAAGAGATGTGAAGCTTCCATGCCCAATCTGGGCAAGCCACCCTCCAGGTACCCCCACACAGGGGCTTCATTATGTAGTCATGATTGATCAGATCATCAGCCATCGGTGATCAGTTCAACCTTCAGCCCCTCTCCCCTCCTGAAGGTTGTAGGGGTGGAGCTAAGAGTCCCAAATCTAATCCTGCCTTGGTCTTTCTGGTAACCAGCCCCTATCCAGAAGCTATCTATGGGCCTCCAGCCATAATCATCTCATTAACATACAAAAGACACTGCTCATTCCTGAGATTCTAAGGGTTTTAGGAGTTGTGTGTCAGGAACTCACGGGTAGAAGACTAAATATATATTTCATAAAACCACAGTCCACTTTGATCTTCAAACACAGATCCCTTACATCAGAACAATCATGTAATAAATAGAAAGATGCTGGGAGCGGTAGCTCACGCCTGTAATCCTCGCACTTTGGGAGGCCGAGGCGGGCAGATCATCGGAGGTCAGGGGTTTGAGATCAGCCTGGCCAACATGGTGAAACCCCGTCTCTACTAAAAATACAAAAATTAGCCGGGCATGGTGGCGGGCACCTGTAATCCCAGCTACTCGGGAGGCTAAGGCAGGAGAATCACTTGAACCTGGGAGGTGGAGGTTGCAGTGAGCCAAGATTGCGCCACTGCACTTCAGCGTGGGCAACAGAGTGAGACTCCGTCTCCAAAAAAGAGTAGAAAGATACTGGCACATTACTAGAATCCCACTGAGTCATTAATTAATAATTAGTCTAGTCCATGATCATGTCATGTAAAAATGTCTCCTAGGGTGAGGCCATTCAGGTTTGCAGGCTTCTATTCAATCTTGTTAGGTTCCAAAACCAGGAGTGTTCTCGGCAAACATAGCTTCATACTTTCAGGCATCTGGGATAATTGTGCTAAGAGACAATATCATCTCTTGCTCTGAACCTCTTTTGAGGTGTTAATGTAATACTGAGTTTCCCTCATTACATAACTCATTTATTCATTTCTTTACCTCCCTTCTCTTACCCAAACTTTTCCACCTTTCAAAGGGACGTTAGGATTGGCCACTGTGCTGATCTGGAGTGCACACAGCAAGCTAGTCTGCAATTGCCTCCTCCTCAGTCCATACAGTCTCATTCAGATAGGGTAGGGTTGCATGGGTACAGAACTAGTGGGCTGTCTTTTTTGTTTGTTTTGAGACAGGGTCTCATTATGTTGCCCAGGCTGGTCTTGAACTCCTGGGCTTAAGCTGTCCTCCCATTGCAACCTCCCAAGTAGCTAGGATTACAAACACACACTACCATGCTTGGTATTGGGTTATCTTAACCACTAGGCAATACAGTTGCATTCACTTCCTGATATAGATTCTAGTCTGTCCCCCTTTCCATACTGGGAATTAGGATTCCTGAGCCAGCTTCCAAAAGCTTCATACTTCAGTTTTCCCTTCCTACTTTACTCAGTACGGCCGCCTCATTGACCTATGCCAGCCCACACAAAAGAAGTATCAGATTGCTGTAACCAAGGTTTTGGGCAAGAACATGGATGCCATTATTGTGGACTCGGAGAAGACAGGCCGGGACTGTATTCAGTATATCAAGGAGCAGCGTGGGGAGCCTGAGACCTTCTTGCCTCTTGACTACCTGGAGGTGAGGCTTGTTGGGGATTGGGTCAGGCCAGTGTTCAAGGGCCCCTCCTCTAGTACTCCCTGTTTGTGTTCTGCCACTGACTGAGCTTCTCCCCACAGGTGAAGCCTACAGATGAGAAACTCCGGGAGCTGAAGGGGGCCAAGCTAGTGATTGATGTGATTCGCTATGAGCCACCTCATATCAAAAAGGCCCTGCAGTATGCTTGTGGCAATGCCCTTGTCTGTGACAACGTGGAAGATGCCCGCCGCATTGCCTTTGGAGGCCACCAGCGCCACAAGGTGTGGATTCCCTTGCCCAGGCTGGAGCTGGACAGGCTCAGTACTGGAGATTCATTTGTTCAGCTTCTCCCCCTCTTCTCTCTTCCCCCTGCTGTGTGTAGACAGTGGCACTGGATGGAACCCTATTCCAGAAGTCAGGAGTGATCTCTGGTGGGGCCAGTGACCTGAAGGCCAAGGCACGGCGCTGGGATGAGAAAGCAGTAGACAAGTTGAAAGAGAAGAAGGAGCGCTTGACAGAGGAGCTGAAAGTAAGCCACAGGCAGTGCTGTTTTTAGCAGTGGGAGTCCTAAGCCTAGGTCAGCCACCACCTTACCACCTAGCCCTTCTTTCTTGTTCCCTTCAGGAGCAGATGAAGGCAAAACGGAAAGAGGCAGAGCTGCGTCAGGTGCAGTCTCAGGCCCATGGACTGCAGATGCGGCTCAAGTACTCCCAGAGTGACCTAGAACAGACCAAGACACGACATCTAGCCCTGAATCTGCAGGTGGGGCCTGGCCTTCAGCCCTGTTCTCCAAAGGCCATCCACACATTCCTGGCCTAGGTTTCTCTGGGGGTGGGGAACTTGTTTCACTTCCCCGTCTCCTCCCAGCCTGCCGCAGGGAGTCAGGTATAGCATAGAGTCAGACAGCCAGGGGTTCAGAGCTTGGCTCTGCCTTGAGTTTGACATTAGGCAAGTATTTTCACCTTTCAGTGTCAACCTTCACATCTTTATCTGTGAAATGCGAGTTAAGATGATACCTACTCGGCCGGGCACGGTGGATCACCTGTGGATCACCTGAGGTCAGGAGTTGGAGACCAGCCTGGCCAAACCTGTCTCTACTACAAATACAAAAAATTAGCTGGGCGTGGTGGCAGGCGCCTGTAATCCCAGCTACTTGGGAGGCTGAGGCAGGAGAATTGCTTGAACCCGGGAGGTGGAGGTTGCAGTGAGCCGAGATCATGCCATTGTACTCCAGCCTGGGTGACAGAGCGAGACTCTGTCTCAAAATAAATAAATGATACCTACTTTATAGGGTCATTATTGAATGAGTTAACATGTAAAGTGCTTAAGACTACCATGTGTTCAGTTTATGTTATGTGCTATTGTTAGCATAATTTATTCATTCAACAAATTTGAATTTTTGAAAGTGAGCTATGGGCATTTCAGTCCCTGCTTGTGGTAGTGGGCGGGGCGGGGGGGGACTGTTCTAGGTATATTAATGTGTTTTGTTTTTTTTACTGACTACTTCCCCAGACCGCCCTAGAGGTTTTATATGTAGTGTGTGTATTTATATATCTTTTTCTAAACTCAAAAAATCTAAACTGAATTCTGAAACAACTCTGCCCCCAGGGGTTGTAGATCAAAGACTGGGACCTATACCTAATGATGTTTACTGTGTCCCCAGCCCTGTGGATTGAAGCTGGCTGAACTGGATGCCAGGGAAGAAGCCATGTGATGGCTTCAGTGCAACATCATGGAGGCTTGACTAGGGCAGTAGTGCTAAGCCAGGTTCTCTCAGTTGTGGAGAGCTAGCCCTTCCTGACTGTGGGGCCAATGCAGTCAAGGTAGCTTTTTCTCCAAGGAGCCTGGTCTGCTTTGTCCTCTCAACCCATTGCCTGTAGGAAAAATCCAAGCTGGAGAGTGAGCTAGCCAACTTTGGGCCTCGCATTAATGATATCAAGAGGATCATTCAGAGCCGAGAGAGGGAAATGAAAGACTTGAAGGAGAAGATGAACCAGGTTGGTAGGGTGTGGGCCATGCCAGCGTGTGTGTCAGGGCAGGACTGGGACTGGAAGCAGGACAGACTAAAAGGGCCGATGCCCTCCCTGGCTTCTCTTCTCAGGTAGAGGATGAGGTGTTTGAAGAGTTTTGTCGGGAGATTGGTGTGCGCAACATCCGGGAGTTTGAGGAAGAAAAGGTGAAACGGCAGAATGAAATCGCCAAGAAGCGGTAGGTGGGAGGATTGGTAGAAGAGATTGGCATGCCCTTGAGCCTCTAGCTTGACATCCTTGGAAAACCAGATGCTGTCATAGGCAAGGGTCAGCTCTTAGAACTATGTGAGTTTATGTAGCTAGGCCTTAAAGAACAGAAATCAGGAGGGCAGTATGGCATAGTTATAGTGGTTAAGAGTGCCAACTCTAAACTTGATTTTCTGGATTCCTGGATTACAACCCCAGCTCCACAACTCGTTATCTTTGGCAGTGACTTGACTTCTGTAAGCTGCAATATCTGCAAAATGGTATAATGATACCTATCTCATGGCATTGTTGGGAGGATTAGGTGAAATAATTTTTTTTTTTTAAGATTACCTGTTTTACCTTTTTTTTTTTTTTTTTTTTTTTTTGACACAGGATCTCACTCTGTTTCCGAGACTGGAGTGCAGTGTCAATCTTGACCTTCCCAGGCTCAGGTGGTCCTCCCACCTCAGCCTCCTGAGTAGCTAGGACTACAGATGTTTGCCACCACGCCCGGCTAATTTTTCTTTTTTTGTTTTTTGTTGTTGTTGTTATTGTAGAGATGGGGTTTTGCCACATTGCCCAGGCTCGTCTTGATCTCCTGGGCTCAAGTGATCCTCCTGCCTCAGCCTCCCAAAGTGCTAGGATTATAGGTGTGAGCCATATTGCCGGCCCTTTTTTTTTTTTTTTTTGAGACAGAGTCTTGCTCTGTCGCCCAGGCTGGAGTGCAGTGGCATGATCTCGGCTCACTGCATTCTCCACCTTCCGGGCTCCCGTGTTCATGCAATTCTCCTGCCTTAGCCTCCTGAGTAGCTGGGACTATAAGTGCACGCCACCATGCCCGGCTAATTTTTCTTATTAGTAGAGATGGGGTTTCACCATGCTGGCCAGACTGATCTCGAACTCCTGACCTCGTGATCCACCCGCCTTGGCCTCCCAAAGTGCTGGGATTACAGGATGAGCCACCACGCCTGGCCCCAACCCCCGCCTGGCTTTTTTTTTTTTTTAACCTTTTTAAAAGGTATTTAGCAGCTTACATATCATCTACTAAGAGCAAGAAATAGTAGCTTTTGTTGTTATTATCATAATGGGCAACGTGAGGTGGAGGGAGGCGGGAGATGAAATTCTTGGTTGAAACAATAGTCAGAAGAAAATAATCTTCTCATTTTTCCTCACTTTAGTTGATTCATTCATTCAACAAACCTTTGTTGAGTACCTACCTTGTGCCAGGTTGTCTTGTGCTAGGTATTGGAAGGGGGACAAGGGAGATGGAGGTAAGACAGATGAACACAACACAGTCTTTGCTGAAGGAGGTCATCCCTTGTACCCTGGGCTTCAGTTAGCAGTTTAGCCCTTTGCCCATACAGTAAATATTCATTGCTGTCCTACTTCAAGCCAGTCTCAAGGGATATAGAATTGAATCAGACTGTATTTCTTTCCTCAGGAAACATATAGAGTACTGGGGGAAACATCAATTTGAGGACAGTGTGATCAATGGTGTAATTAAGGTAGATACAAAATACTGAAGAAATTTTCAAGGAACTGCAAATCAACAACAGGAAAAATAAAAAACAATGACAAGAAACCCAATGGAAATGTGGCTAAGTACTTATGATACCCAATGCAATGAAAAAAGTAAAAAAAAAAAAAGTGGCAAATAATATAGATAGGCTTTCATGGAAAGAGAAGTTCAAGTGGCTAATGACCATAGGAATTGAGGTCTAACCTCTTAATCAGAGAAATGCAAATTTAAAAGTCTGACAGTATTAGGTGGAAATCTATAGATGTCCTGTGTAGTATGTGAAAAAAATATATGTGTATATATATAATGTATATATATACACATATATAAAACCTATGGGTATATATCCCTGAGAGAGTCTTGCCATAGGGTCCCAAAGAGATACACATTCAGTGTCATTCATCTTGGCATAACTTGTAGTAGTGGGACATTGGTGGCAATGTAGATGGCCATTACTGGGGGAGCATAAGTCAAATGAATATATAGACTGGAATACTGTGTGGGAGTTCACAGCAAGAACTAGATTTGTGGGCAGTAATGGATAACTTATAAACCTGGTATTGACCAGAAAAAAGAATAAAATTTATAACACAGTAGATTTGTGTAAATTTTAGAACTAAGACATTTTACAAGGATATGCATTTTTAAGGAATGCATGTGTGTATGTCACTTTGTGGTGCATGTTCACAGTAGGGAAGGTAATGGGAATGGAAATTGGGGATTGAAACAAAGAGGACAAGGGAAGGGTCTTGCCCAGGCAGTGGTGATAAGTGTGTTATGAACTGTGGGATATGATTAACTTGCTTCTGCACCTAAAGTCTAAAAAGGGAGGAACCCAACAAAGTGTAATAGAAACTAGGAACCTGCTCAGAACCGTCAGGAAAGGTTTTACAAAACAGGGAGTGATGACTGGAGACCTGAAGAGTGAGTAGGATTTAGCCAGCCAGGCAGCGACAGAAAAAGTGAATTCCAAGCAGAGAGAACAGCATGCTTGGAAGTGTGAGAGAGCATGCCTTGTTCTGGATACTAAGTAGTTTTTAATGTCTGGAGCATAAAAGCAGGGTCAGGAAGAAGGTGGGGAGTGGTGGAGAGGTCAGCAGGGGCCGGATCACAGAGGCCTTTGTGAGTCATACTTAGGAGATTGGATATAAAATTGCATAGCTCAAAATTATAGAGTTAGTTATATTTCATTTGGATTATAGTGGCTAATAGGTTTAAGCTGCTAGCATGACATCTGGCAACATCTGTCACACCATATTGGGAGTTGGAGAGGGCAATTGGAAGTTAGTCCTGCCTGGCCTGCCAGTGCCTGTGTATGCTGGTTGCATACTCTTGAGTTTCTGAAGAGATGGAGAGGAGGACAATAGCAGGAATCCAGTATTTTCTCCATGTTTTTGTACTATCCAAGTTCTGCCCTTTAAGAGGTTCTGGGACCTTGGGGCAGAAGTTGGGATGCTGTAGTTGAAGCCCTTGGACAAAAGTAAGCTGAGTACAGTCAATATACCTGGTGATAATGGTAACTAAAATTGATTGAGTAGTTATCGTGGACTCGGTGTGGTTCTAAGGACTTTATACATATTAACTCATTTAAAAATCTCCCAATAACCCTGAGGTAGGTACTATTATTATGTTCATTTTGCAGATGGGGAAACAGGTCTGGAGAGTATAACCAACTTGCCTGAATGACATTACTAGTAAGTGGCAGAGTTGAGATGCCAGTCTTCTTAATCCACTACATTATGTTGCAGTGGTGGTATACTAGAAAGAGCCCGGGTTTTGGTGTTAAATCTGGGTTTCAGTCTCACATGTGCCATTTACTAGCTGTGTGGCCTTGGGCAAGGTCTTTTACCTCTTGGCCTAAGTTTTCCTCATTTGTAAAATTAGGATAATAATGCCTACTTGCAGAGCTGTTGATTAGAGGATTAGAGATAATGTATGTAAAGTACATAGAAGCCTAATAGGAATTACCATAGCTGGTAGAATCAGATGGACTCTTTTATGCCTCCTTGTAGGAACTTGGAGGGCGCTGGGGTCTTCATTGTTTAAAGGGGGATAAATAAGGTTTGGCCGAATCTTCCCTGCCTTATGCCATGTCCACAGGGCTAGGCTGAGGAACTTAGTTCTTCAGCTTCAGGGGACCGTTTTATGTGCATATGGATGGATGAAGCAAGTTGTGACTGAAAATCAGTAACTCTGGGTCCCTGAGCCCTGGGTCTAGTTTCCCTTTCTTCCCATAGTTGGATTTTGTACATTGGTTATCTCTGGCTGATGAGATTATGAGTGATTCTCCCCCCACCTTTATACACAGTTTGGAGTTTGAGAATCAGAAGACTCGCTTGGGCATTCAGTTGGATTTTGAAAAGAACCAACTGAAGGAGGACCAAGATAAAGTACACATGTGGGAGCAGACAGTGAAAAAAGATGAAAATGAGATAGAAAAGCTCAAAAAGGTAAGGAAGGAAAGAATTAAAAGACAGACTAATAACTGGGAGGAAAAATGGGAAGAAATACGACAGACAGAAGGATAATGTCCACAACTTAGAAATTTCTCATCTAAATCAATAAGAAAAATACCAAGACCTAAACGGGAAAAATGGATAAATGTCACAAACAGTTCAAGAAGACTTTCAAATAGTCCCTAAACACATACAAATAATTTAGTCTTACTAAAGAAATGCAAATTAAAGCAACAATTAGATACAATGTATTTTGTAACACATCGTGGAAAATGTAAAAACAGAAGACACAATGCTCAATACCAGCCATGGTATAGGAGACCAGTATTCTTTTTTTCTTTTTTTGAGATGGAGTCTTGCTCTGTTGCCCAGGCTGGAGTGCAGTGGCACTATCTTAGCTCACTGCAACCTCCGCCTCCCGGGTTCATGCCATTCTCCTGCCTCAGCCTCCCAAGCAGCTGGGACTACAGGTGCCTGCCACCACGCCCAGCTAATTTTTGTATTTTTAGTAGAGACGGGGTTTCACCATATTGGCCAGGCTGGTCTCGAACTCCTGACCTCATGATCCACCTGCCTCGGCCTCCCAAAGTGCTGGGATTACAAGCATGAGCCACCGTGCCTGGCCAGGAGACGAGTATTCTTATGTAATGTGGCACCATCCTTCAAGAAGCTTCACAATGCATTTATACTCTGTAACTCAGTAGTACCTGAGGAGATCATCCAAAATGCTGGCAAAGCTTTATGCAAACACTTTGATGTTTATAACAAGCATTATTTATAGTTCCAAATTGGAAACTACTCAGTGCCCCTTGGAAAGTGGGAATTTAGCAAATCATGCTACGTTTGTAACATTATTTATGTAGTGTCTTCAAACTTTAGTAATACACAGACCCTTTTTAAAGGAAAAATAGTCCCTAAGATTGCCAGTGTTGCCTTAAATCCGTGATGTTACTTAAGTATATATAAATATATATACTTAGAACACTTAACCAAATGCTAAGACAAAGTTAAAAATTAAATACTAACAAAATGAGCAAAATTTAGATTGACCATGTAAATTCAGTGCAACAAATGATGATGTTTTGCTGAAACCTAGTCACTTCACAGTGTGACTGTGCTACTGACTGCTACAGCTCAGTTCTTTTGAGTTTAGCATGCCTGTGCCACCATGTATTGTGTGATGACTCAATTTTCTCACACCCTTTCTCTTTAAACTACTATGAAGCCTTTGTTCCTTACAGCATTCCCTCCTGAGGTGATTTGGCCTTCTCTTGGTTTGAACTTATTGTTTGACTTATGTCTGCCTATGTTTGTCGCTTGTTTCTGTGTTTTCATCATTAACCCCTGATGATTAAAGTAGTCCTCTTTAGTGTCTGAAATCTTTTTTTTTTTTTTTTTTGAGACTCAGTTTTGATCTTGTTTCCTAGGCTAGAGTGCAATAGTACTTGGCTCACTGCAGCCTCTGCCTTCCAGGTTCAAGCGATAACTCCTGCCTCTGCCTCCTGAGTAGCTGGAATTACAGGCACCCGCCATCACGCCTGGCTAATTTTTTGTATTTTAGTAGAGATGGGGTTTCACAATGTTCGCCAGGCTGGTCTGGAACTCCTGGCCTCAAGTGATCCGCCCGCCTCTGCCTCCCAAAGTGCTGGGATTACAGGTGTGAGCCACCACGCCCGGCCTGGTGTCTGAAATCTTAAATGCAGTTGTAGCTTGGGCAGTAAAATCCTGAGGCAAGACAAGTTAGATACCTAGATGATTTGGGATATTACATATATGTAATTTTTTTACTTTTTATTTTGAAATAATTTTCAACTTTGCAAAAAATTGCAAGGAATAGTACAAAGAACTCCTATCTACCCATCACCAAGATTCATCGGTCATCAACATGTTGCCGCATTATCTTTTGCATTCTCTCTCTATATATATGCTTATTATTTTTTATGAGCCATTTGGGAGTAAGTTGCAGATATGTCCCCTTTATGTGATTATTATTTTTTTTTTTGAGACAAGGTCTCGCCCTGTCGCCCTGTTTAGAGTGCAGAGGCACGATCTCAGCTGACTGCAACCTCCGCCTCCCAGGCTCAAATGATCCTCCCGCCTCAACCTCTCAAGTAGCTGGGACCACAGGCGTGTGCCACCACACCCAGCTAATTTTTGTATTCTTTGTAGAGACGGGGTTTTGCCTTATTGTCCAGGCTGGTCTCGAACTCCTGGGCTCAAGCAATCTGCCCACCTTGGCTTCCCAAAGTGCTGGAATCACAAGTGTAAGCCACTCCACCAGGCCCCCTTTATGTGACTTAAGATCAAAATGAAAACAAAAATTTTCCTTTGTAAAAATCAGAACATTATACATAAGGCTATAATCCCCTTTGGCTGACCACTCTTCATCCTAGTCCCCTTCGTCTTGCCAGAGGTGATTCTTCCAGACCCTTTAAGGATTTACTTAAATACTTGTACATTTACATATGTGTATTCATAGAAAATGCACAGTATTGTTTGTGTGGGTTTAAAAAAAAAACAACAACAACAAATGTTACCATACTGCACATGACAAAGTTTTGATGTAGAAAAAAATGCTCAAATATAACATTAAGTCAGAATACAGAGTTTTAATTACAGTCTAGTCTCAACTATGTAAAACTGTCTGTAAATCAAATGCTGAAAGAAAATGTGCTAGAATGTTAATTGATTATCTAGCTGATGAGATTGTGAGTGATTCCCCACTTAATACTTTCTCTATACTTTTCTACATATATTAGATAACTTGTAAAATTGGGGTGTGTGGGAGAGGACAACCAAATTTTAAAAAGATAGGAGGCTGAGGGGTGATGGGGGTGTGAAAGCAAAGCTCATTGACGAGTGACTCCAATAAACTGCCTAGTAGGAAGGGTGGGAGCAGGAGAATATCCCAGGGTAAGATGGGGAAAGTCTTCACCTATTGTCCTGTTCCCACTGCTGGGACCAGGAGGAACAAAGACACATGAAGATCATAGATGAGACCATGGCTCAGCTACAAGACCTGAAGAATCAGCATCTGGCCAAGAAGTCGGAAGTGAATGACAAGAATCATGAGATGGAGGAGATTCGTAAGAAACTCGGGGGCGCCAACAAGTGAGTGGGTTCAGGCCTGGGGTGGGAGGACGTAGATAGAGCAGGCAGCCTGCCAGATTTGGGTCTCACCTAGCCCCTGGACCTTTTTTAGGGAAATGACCCATTTACAGAAGGAGGTGACAGCCATTGAGACCAAGCTTGAACAGAAGCGCAGTGACCGTCACAACTTGCTACAGGCCTGTAAGATGCAGGACATTAAGTTGCCACTGTCAAAAGGCACCATGGATGATATTAGTCAGGAAGAGGTGAGTATTGTGGCTGGTGGTGGGAGTGGGCGATGAACATCATTAACCAGGGATGGGGAGTGAAAGTGACCAGGAAGGGCAGTGAGAGAGAGAAAGATGGTGGGCAGATGGTGAAGGGACATGAAAAGGGATGCAGCAGAAATGAGGCAAGGTGCAGTGGTGAAGGCAGGTGAGGCGAAAGGTAATAATGGCTTTGGTGTGAGAGAGAAGTTGAATTGGGAGTAAAGCTGCAAGCCAGTGAGTGGGTGGTGAGAGAGTTGAGCCAGGAAAGAATGAAGTAATTCATTAACCTTAGGGACCTGAGCTATATTAGCTCCAGCAGGTGACAGAAATTGGTAGGAGTGGGAATTGAGGGACATTAGCCAAGAGCAAAGGAAGACAGAAAGCTAGGGGACCTGAGGGTGATAGCTTAGCTGCAGTGAGGAAGATTGGCCAGGAGAGGGTTAGGTAAGGGACATCAGCAATGCAGAGGTGAGGAAGTTTAGTTATAGGAAAACCAGAGATACTAGCCAAAGAGGAGCAGTGGAAGCAAAGATTTGTAGCAAGGGGATGGGAAATGTTAACTGAGAGGAGGTTTGCATATATTAATATCTTGTCTTAGACCTGGTTATATATCTCAGTCCCATGTATCTTTCTCCCTCCTCACTTTCCAAATGGCATTTCAGTTTAATTCAGTAAAATATTTTGAATACCAGAAATGTTCTGGGCATCATGGTAGCATGTGACATAATTACCCCAATCCTAACCACAGACCTGCCAGACAGGCATTATCCCCACATTACAGGTGAAGAGACTCAGGATCTGAGAATGTGACTTGCCCAAAATCACAATGTTAGTAAGTGTAGACCTCAAATTTTTTTTATTTATTTTTATTTTTATTTTTTGAGACAGAGTCTTGTTTTGTCACCCAGGCTGAAGTGCAGTGGCGTGATCTTGGCTCACTGCAGCCTCCGCCTCCCAGTTTCAAGTGATTCTTGTGCCTCAGTCTCCCATGTAGCTGGGATTACAGGCATGCACCACCACTCCTGGCTAATTTTTGTGTTTTTAGTAGAGACAGAGTTTCATTATGTTGGCCAGGCTGGTCTCAAACTCCTGACCTGAAGTGATTCACCTGCCTTGGCCTCCCAAAGTGCTGGGATTATAGGCGCAAGCCACTGCACCTGGCCATAGAGCTCAATTTTGAACTTGAGTCATTCTGCCTGCAAAGCCTCTGTTCCTTCTGCCATGGTGCTTTCTAGCAAGGTGCTTTCTCAAAGATTGAAGGCTGCAAAGGAGCTCCCTATAGAGGTGCACTCTCATGGCCAGTCTGCTCCACTTGACTCTCCGTTGCCATTGCAGGGTAGCTCCCAGGGGGAGGACTCAGTGAGTGGTTCACAGAGAATTTCCAGTATCTATGCACGAGAGGCCCTCATTGAGATTGACTACGGTGATCTGTGTGAGGATCTGAAGGTGAGGATCAACCACAGGGGTGTGGTGGGGGTGGGGGTTGGGTGGGAGTGGGACTATCTTCCTAGTTGTCCAGAGAGGAGGTCAGCCCATCTGGGGGCTCTGTGAAGACCATGGCTGGAAAGAGGGGAAAGCTGGCAAGGGTGGGAGGATTCAGTTGTGAGGCAGGATCTCCACCTCATATATTCAAACAGACATATGCACATTCCCTACCCCATACCCCAAGTTGCCCCTGCCCTTGCCTGCTATCAGTCTTCCCCTTCCATGTGTGTATATAACTAAGCTAAGCCTAGGTCCACACAGAGAAGAGACTTCAGTACAGTGAACAGATTGACCTCAGGTGTTCCTCAGGGCTCTTTCCTCCTCACTTGGCATTCTTTCATCCTGGATATCACTTTACTTCCGTGGCTTCCGCTGCAATCTCTATGCTAGGTCCCACAGGTACCTCAAGCCCTAGCCTTCCTCCCCATATTTACCCATCTCCTCAGTGCCACTCACATGCTCAGCCAGAAATTTGAGCCTCATCCTTGACTTCTCCCTCTTTCACTTTACATAATCAATTAATTACCAAGCACCAAGCCCTATGGATTCTGCCTCCTAAATATCTTTTTTTTTTTTTTTTTTTTTTGAGACGGAGTTTCACTCTTGTTGCCCAGGCTGGAGTGCAGTGGCATGATCTCGACTCACTGCTGCAACCTCTGCCTCCCAGGTTCAAGCGATTCTCCTGCCTCAGCCTCCCAAGTAGCTGAGATTACAGGTGCCCGCCATCATGCCCAGCTAATTTTTAGTAGAGGCGGGGTTCTACCATGTTGGTCAGGCTGGTCTTGAACTCCTGACCTCAGGTGATCTGCCTACCTTGGCCTCCCAAAGTGCTGAGATTACAGGTGTGAGCCACTGTGCCCGGCCCTAAATATCTATTGAATTCTGGTTTTTGTTTCCACTGTCTAATGCAGGCCACTTTCATCTCACATAGCCAACTACAGGAGCCTCCTAAATAGTTTATGATGTGTTTCAATCATCATTATATTCAGGAGGATTTGATTTTTTTAACTTATGGAAAATTTCAAGCATATGGAAGTAAAGAGAATGATAATAATGAACCTCAGGCACTCAGCTTCAACAGTTAAGCAATCTTATTTTTTATACCCCCCATTGGAGTATTTTAAAGAAAACTAGACATTACTCCATCCATAATTACCTCAGCATGTATCTCTAGAATATGAGAACTTTTAAGAAAAACAACCATAATATTATATCTGAAAATATTTAACAATAACTCCACAATATCATCTAATCAGTAAATGTTTAGATTTCCATGAAAGTCCCATAATATTTTTTTATTTTTATTTTTTTTGCAGTTTATGTGTTTAGATCAATATTCCAGTAAGGTCCATATGTTAAAATTGGTCTCTGCTAGTCTATAACATTTTCTTCTTCGTTTTTATTTTATTTTTTTCCTTCGTATTTATCTATGGAAGGAACTGGGTCGTTGGTACTATAGAATTGTCTGCATTCTAGATTTGGCTGATTATGTCCCCTTGATGTTACTGAACATGTTTTTTCTATTCCTTGTATTTCCTATAAACTGGTAGGTAAATCTAGGGTTTGATTGGATTCAAGTTCTTTTTTTGGCAAGAATATATCATAGGTGATGTTGTGTACTTGTGAACTTCCTTCTACATCACATCAGTAGACACCTGATGTCAGTTCTCACTTTCTTTGTAATGTTAACATTGACCAGTGTTCAACATTAGCTATGAAGTATTCTTGCCAAAAAACAAACGTGGATCTGATCAAGCTTCTATATCCAATCCTCCTGAATATGATGATTGAAACACATCATAAACTATTTAGGAGGCTCCTGTAGTTGGCTATGTGAGACGAAAGTGTCCTGCATTAGAGACAGTGGAAACAAAAACCAGAATTCAATAGATATTTAGGGCCGGGCACAGTGGCTCATGCCTGTAATCTCAGCACTTTGGGAACACTATCAGAAACACTGGTGCCAGAGGAATGTTAAAAAAGCACTTGAGGGTCAGGCGCGGTGGCTCACGCCTGTAATCCCAGCACTTTGAGAGGCTGAGGCAGGTGGATCACCTGAAGTCAGGAGTTTGAGACTAGCCTGGCCAACATGGTGAAACCCCGTCTCTACTAAAAATACAAAAATTAGCCGGGCATGGTGGTGCATACCTGTAATCCCAGCTACTCAGAAGGCTGAGGCAGAATCGCCTGAACCCAGGAGGCTGAGGTTGCAGTGAGCTGAGATTGTGCCATTGCACTCCAACCTGGGTGACAAGAGCAAAACTCCGTCTCAAAAAAAAATGCACAGGGATGTAGTTAACCAAATCCAGACTGGGAAATTTGTTTTTTTGTTTTTTGTTTTTTTTTTTTGAGACAGTCTCGCTCTGTCACCCAGGCTGGAGTGCAGTGGCGTGGTCTCGGCTCACTGCAAGCTCTGCCTCCCAGGTTCACTCGATTCTCCTTCCTCAGCCTCCCACGTAGCTGGGACTATGGGCACCTGCCACCACGCCCGGCTAAATTTTTTTGTATTTTTAGTAGAGACGGGGTTTCACCGTGTTATTCAGGATTGTCTCGATCTCCTGACCTCATGATCTGCCCACCTCAGCCTCCCAAAGTGCTGGGATTACAGGCGTGAGCCACTGTGCCCGGCCGTGGAAATTGTTAATATTTTTAAGTGTAATAGTGGTATTACTATTTTTTTTAAGTCCTTATCTTTTATAGGAGTGGTTCTCATTGAGAGGGTAGATATTTTGTTCCCCCAGGGGACATATGACAATGGCTGGAGATACTCTTGTCACGCCTACTTGTCGTAACTGGGGTAGGGGGGTTACTACTGGCATCTAGTGGGTAGACACCAGGGATGCTGCTAAACATCCTACTGTGCTCAGGACAATCCCTACAGCAACGAATTACCTGACCCAAAATGTCAATAGTTCAAGACCCTGTCTCAAAAAATAAAAAAATAAATAAATGTTGGCCAGGTGTGGTGACTCATGCCTGTAATCCCAGCACTTTGGGAGTCCAAGGCAGGAGGATTGCTTGAGCCCAAGAGCTAATTTTTAAAAATTAGCTGGGTGTGATGGCATGTACCTGTAGTCCCAGCTACTCAGGAGGCTGAGGCAGGAAGATCGCTTGATCCTGGGAGGTTGAGGCTGCACTGAACCTAGATCACACCAGTGCGCTGTAGCCTGGGTGACAGGGAGAACCTGTCTCAAAAAAGAAACTTCAATGTTTAGATGTCTTTTATGTTTCAATCTGTTGGAGTCATTTTTCTTCTTCTTCTCTTTTTTTTTTTTTTTTTAACGTGGAGACAAGGTCTCACTGTGTTGCCTAGGATGGTCTCGAACTTCTGGCCTCAAGTGATCCTCCTGTTTCAGCCTCCTGAAGTGTTGGGATTACAGGTGTGAGCCTCTGCACCTGGCCCATTTTTCTTTGTTTTTGTTTGAGACGGAGTCTCACTCTGTCACCCAGGCTGGAGTTCAGGGGCATGATCTCAGCTCACTGCAGCCTCTTGCCTCCTGGGTTCAAGTGATTCTCCTATCTCAGCGTCCTGAGTAGCTGGGATTACAGGCATGCGCCACCATGCCCAGATAATTTTTTTTATTTTTAGTAGAGACGGGGTTCTGCCATGTTGGCCAGGCTGGTCTTGAACTCCTGACCTCATGTGATCCCCCTGCCTTGGCCTCCTAAAGTGCTAGGATTACAGGCATGAGCCACCACACCTGGCCCCATTTTTCTTCTTTTTTTTTTTTTTTCTTTTTCTTTTTTTTTTTTTTTTTTTTTTTTGAGACGGAGTCTGGAGTTCAGTGGCGTGATCTCAGCTCACTGCAAGCTCTGCCTCCCGGGTTCACGTCATTCTCCTGCCTCAAGCTCCCAAGTAGCTGGGACTACAGGCACCCACCATCGCGTCCAGCTAATTTTTTGTATTTTTAGTAGAGACGGGGTTTCATCATGTTAGCCAGGATGGTATCGATCTCCTGACCTCGTAACCCACCCGCCTCAGCCTCCCAAAGTGCTGGGATTACAGGTGTGAGCCACCGCGCCTGGCCCCCATTTTTCTTCTTGATGCTCACATTGTTCATCCTTGGCCAGTGGGAACCACTTCAAGTTTATTTTTTTGTTGTTATTTTTAGATTTTTATTATGGAAAATTTTATATGCAAAAGTAAAATACTACAGTGCTCCCTCATATAGCCATCACCAGTTTTAACAACAGTCAGCTGCTGGCCAAACTTGTTTAATGTGCACCCCCACACAGTTCTTTTTTTTTTTTGAGATAGAGTCTCACACTGTGGCCTGGGCTGGTGTGCAGTGGCACAAGCTTGGCTCACTGCAACCTCTGCCTCCCAGGTTCAAGCGATTCTCTTGCCTCAGCCCCCCAAGTAGCTGGGATTACAGGCGCCCACCACCTCGCCTGGCTAATTTTTTTGTATTTTTATTAGAGACGGGATTTCACTGTGTTGGCCAAGCTGTTCTCGAACTCCTGACCTCGTGATCCGCCCGCCTTGGCCTCCCAAAGTGCTGGGATTACAGGTGTGAGCCATGGGGCCCGGCCCCCCCGCCCCCTGACACTTTATTATCCCTCCCTATCCCTAGGTTATTTTAAAGCAAATTCTGGGCCGGGTGCGGTGGCTCACGCCTGTAATCCCAGCACTGTGGGAGGCCGAGGCAGGCGGATCATGAGGTCAGGAGATTGATCCTGGCTAACACGGTGAAACCCCGTCTCTACTAAAAATACAAAAAATTAGCTGGCCGTGGTGGCACGTGCCTGTAGTCCCAGCTACTTGAGAGGCTGAGGCAGGAGAATCACTTGAACCCAGGAGTCAGAGGTTGCCGTGAGCCAAGATCACGCCATTGCACTCCAGCCTGGGTAACAGAGCAAGACTCCGTCTCAAAAAAAAAAAAAAAAAAAAAAAAAGAAATTCTGGACATCATATTTCATTTGCAAATATTGCAGGATACATCTCTGAAAGAGATAGGAATTCTTAAAAATAATTAGAACCATTACATATCTAAAAATAATTTTTTTTTTTGAGACAGAGTCTCGTACTATCACGGGCTGGTGTGCAGGGGCACAATCTCAGCTCTCTGCAACCTCCGCCTCCCTGGTTCAAGCGATTCTCCTGCCTCAGCCTCCTGAGTAGCTAGGATTACAGGTGCCCGCCACCATGCCCGGCTAATTGTTTGTATTTTTAGTAGAGATGGGGTTTCACTATATTGGCCAGGCTGGTCTTGAACTCCTGACTTTGTGATCCGCCCGCCTCGGCCTCCTGAAGTGTTGGGATTACAGGCGTGAGCCACCACGCTTGGCAGTAATTTCTTAATAATTAGTGTTACACATCCATGATGGTCACACGCAAACACACACTCTACAGCTTACCTGCTTGAATTGGAAGTCAAATAAGATGATTGATCAATAGTTAGTGGATGATTGATAAAGCCATTAATTGATATGTCACTTGAATCTCATTTAACTTATAGGATCCCCCTCCACCTGTTTTTATTTTTCTTTGCACTATTTTTTTGTTGTTGTAGAAATTGACTCATTTCTTCTGAAGGATTGTTCACATTCTATACTTTACTGATTGTGTCCTGCAGTGTTTAAAATGTTCCCTTCACCCCCCCGACCAAAAAAAAAAAAAACAAAAATGGTTCTGCTATCCTCTGTAGTTCTTGTAAGTGGGTAGTTAGATGTAGATCAGTGCTGTTCGGAAGAGGTAAAATGTGATCCACATATGTAATTTTTTTTTTTTTTTTTTTTTTTGAGATGGAGTCTTGCTCTGTCGCCCAGGCTGGAGTGCAGTGGCGCGATCTTGGCTCACTGCAACCTCCGCCCCCCAGGTTCATGCCATTCTCCTGCCTCAGCCTCCCAAGTAACTGGGACTACAGGCGCCCGCCACCACGCCCGGCTAATTTTTTTTGTATTTTTAGTAGACGGGGTTTCACCGTGTTAGCCAGGATGGTCTCGATATCCTGACCTTGTGATCCACCCGCCTCGGCCTCCCAGAGTGCTCGGATTACAGGTGTGAGCCACCGTGCCTGGCCAATTTTCGATTTTCTAGTAGCCACATTTTAAAAATAAAAAGGCAAAGGTGAAATTAATTTTAATACTATATTATGTTTAGCCTAGTGTCCTCAGGAGTATGATTTCAATGTGTGAACTATATAAAAATTATTGATGAGATATTTGATGATCCTTTTTTGTACTGTCTTCAAAATCTAGTATGTATTTTAACACAGCACGTCTCAATTCAGATGCTAAAATTTCCTCAGAAATACTTGATCTGTATTTAGATTTCCTAAAATTTACAATTGAAAAAGGAGACCCACATACCCAAGTTGTTCCAAATATCCATCAAAGTTTTCCAGTAACTGAATTGAATATCAGGTTTTCAATTTAAATGAACTAAAATTTCATAAAATTAAGATTTTATCTCCTCAGTTGCACTAGCCAAATATCACGTGCTAAGTAGCCACATGTGGCTACTGGCAACCGGATTGGACAGCACAGTGGCTTGGTTAGATTCAGATTTTGGGGTTCGCTTGTTTGTTGTGGCTACGGCTCCTTCACAGCTGGTGGTGTTACTTCCATCAGAAGGTACTTAATGTCCATTAGTGGCTCTTTTTGTGTGGTTTGCAGCCATGCTTCTTATTGCATAGATCCATTAATTAGTCAGGGGTTGCAAAATGGTGACCTTACTCTATCATTTCTGTGTTTACTGGCTGGAATACTATAAAGAGAGACTTCCTCTCATCATTTATTTGGTTATTCTGAGATACAGTTTGTATAGGAAAGGCAGGCTATATATGCTTGATTTTTTCCCCCCTTTATCAGTTTATAAAATAAGGAATTGCTTCCTTGGCTTTCTCAAGATTTGTCCACTGAGTTCTCATATCATTATGAATTTAAATATATTTGGTGTCTTTCAGTCTGTTGTGGTTATTATCCTTCTTGGTGCTCAGGTTGTCCCATCTTTGGCCAATGGTGACTCATTCAGTTTGGCTTCTGAATCATTTCAACACAACCCTGGTAGTCTTTGATATCTCCCTTGCTTTCCAATATGTCCAGATTCATCCTCCCCATTTTCCACCCAGACCTGGAATCCACTATTTCTCCAGGAAGCTCTGACTTCCTTTAGTGGGAAATGCTATTATTTAGCAACTACCATCTGGATATTGGAGTGTTCATGATTGCTGAGTTTATTAGTGCTTCTAGAACTTTTCAATAGATTGGGCTATTAAATGCGGTTTTTTTGTTGAAGGAAAAATGCATCATGAGTTCATATTGATACTTTGAATTGAAATTGTAATTTTTAGTTTAACGTCATTGATTTTCTTTTTGAGTCTTCCAGTTATTGTTGCTGAAAATCTCAGTTCCTAGCAACACTAACATAATAACACATTTACTTTATCCTACTCTGTATATACTAGTTTGAAAAATCACAATAAGATATTATTAGTAAAAGGGCCAGGCGCAGTGGCTCACGCCTGTAATCCCAGCACTTTGGGAGGCCGAGGTGGGTGGATCACAAGGTCAGGAGATGGAGACCATCCTGGCTAACATGGTGAAACGCCATCTCTACTAAGAATACAAAAAATTAGCCGGGCGTGGTGGCAGGCGCCTGTAGTCCTAGCTACTCGGGAGGCTGAGGCAGAAGAATGGTGTGAACCTGGGAGGCAGAGGTTGCAGTGAGCTGAGGTCGCACCGCTGCACTCCAGCCTGGGCGACAGAACAAGACTCCGTCTCAAAAAATATATATATTATTAGTAACAATTTGATTATTGAATGTAATTTTAAATAGTTTAAGATTTTCTGAGATTCTTTTTATTATTAAGCTAAGGAAAGCCTCATTGGGAATGTATAGTCATGTTCCTATGTTTTAAAGTAATTTGAAAGAATTATCTGAGTGTCTAACCAGCTTAATATATAGTTAGGTTTCTTTGTTTTAGTTTGTTTTTCATTTTTAGGGATTACTCTTTTTAGCATTTTGATTTTTTTTCCAGCTTTAATTTTGAGATGTTTCAAGCCTATGGAAAACTTGAAAGACTAGAATAGTGAACACTCATATGCCTTTCACCTTAGATTCACCAGTGAATATTTTACCACATTTGCTTTTTCTCTCATCTTTCCCCTGTCTTTCCCCTCCTTCCCTCTTGCCTCCCATTACTTGCAGTTTTTTTGTTTTTGCTGAACCTTTTGAAGGAAGTGTGGTCGTGATACTTCAGCCCTAAATACTTCAGCATACTAAGAGCAAGGGATTGTCTTACCTAATCGTAATTTCATATTATACCTAAGAAAATGAATAATTAGGTTTCATAATATTTAATCTTCAACCCATATTTGAATTTCTCTAGATGTTCTAAAAGTGTCTTTTGTAGTTTTTTTTCTTTTTGAAACTAGTATCCAATCAAAATTTATGAATGTCTTTTATTTATTATGTCTCTTTAGTTTCTTTTAATATGGAGCTATCCCTTTACCTTTTATTCATGGCATTGATCTTTTAAAGAGTCTATGAGAGTTTTCTTGGAAAATGTCCCACATTATGGATATGTTCTTTTTTTTTTACAATATTATTTAACCTGTTCTTCCAACCCTTGTATCTCCTGTAAATTGGAAATTTCATCCAGTCTGGAGGCTCAATGGATTCATGTTAAGTATTTTTTGGCAAGAACATTTCATTGGTGAACTTGATGTGGCATCCCTCCAGGAGGTACATCATGTCAGGATGTACCCACTATTAGTGATACTGAGTTTGATCCCTCAGTTAAAGTGTCAGTTGCTAGGTTTTTCAACGCTAAATGTACACTTTTACCTTTGTCATTAATTAGTAATCTTTAGAGTGATGCTTTGGCATCTTATGAATATCTTGTTCCCCAACAATTTTTTACCCAGTGGTTTTCACATTTTGATTTAATTTTGCTTTAATAGTTATATATAACATCTTTATGTGTTTCTAAAATCAAAAGTATAAAACAAGGTACATGAAGAGAATTCTTGCTTCCATTCCTGTCCCCTTCACCTCTCTTTCTCGATAGATAACCCTTTAATTAGTTTTTGGATTATTCTTTTTCTTGCCGTTATATGTTTAAAATAGAAATATATTTGTATTCCCTCTACCTTCACTTCAATAAAATATAGATACACTATTGTGTAGCTTTCATATTTTACTTAAAAATCTATCCTGGGGCCGGGCGCGGTGGCTCACACCTGTAATCCCAAGCACTTTGGGAGGCCTAGGCGGGCGGATCACGAGGTCAGGAGGTCAAGACCATCCTGGCTAACACGGTGAAACCCCGTCTCTACTAAAAATACAAAAAAAAAATTAGCCGGGCATGGTGGCGGGTTCCTGTAGTCCCAGCTATTCGGGAGGCTGAGGCAGGAGAATGGCGTGAAACTGGGAGGCGGAGGTTGCAGTGAGCCTAGAGCGCGCCACTGCACTCCAGCTTGGGCGACAGAGGAAGACTCCGTCTCAAAAAAAAAAACTTAAAAAAAAAAAAAAAAAACCTATTCTGGAGACCACTCCAAAGTAGTGTATAGAGATCTTCATAAGGGCTTTCTAAAATGTACATAAGTTTATGTCCTTCTTATTCTTGAAATCATTCACTGGTACCTCACCTTTCTCAGGATAAAGTCTAAACCTTATAAGGCCCTTTATAATCTGGCTTCTACTTGTCTATCTAGCATCTTCTCTTTCTGTGCCCTCCAACACACTTGTACGCATGCACATACACACACAATTGCTACTACTGCCATATATATATATATATTTTTTTTAGCTTTCGAAGTTTATTGAAGTTGATTACTCTTTTTTTTTTGAGACAAGGTCTTGCACTGTCATCCAGGTTGGAGTGCAGTGGCACCATCATGGTTCACTGCAGCCTCGATCTCCTGTGCCTAAACAGTCTTCTCACGTTAGCCTCCCAAGGAGCTGGGACCACAGGCATGTGCCACCACGTCTGGCTAATTTTTTTATTTTTGTAGAGACGGAGTCTCCCTATTTTGCCCAGGCTGGTCTCAAATTCCTATTCTCAAGTGATTTTCCTGACAGGCTCCCAAAATGCTGGGATTAAAGGCATGAGCCACCATTCCTGGCTTGCTTTCTCTTTTGAATTATTTTCAGTTTGATGAACGGACCATGAGCAACCTCCCCTGGCTATTTTTTTGTGATGCTCCCAACTGCATAGAAGTCTGTTCCTGGCCGGGCATGGTGGCTCACACTTGTAATCCCAGCACTTAGGGAGGCTGAGATGGGTGGATCAGTTGAGCTCAGGAATTTGAGGCCAACCTGGGCAACATGGTGAAACTCTGTCTCTACAAAAAATACAAAAATTAGCCAGGCATGGTTGTGCGTGTCCGTAGTCCCAGCTACTTGGGAGGCTGAGGTGGGAGGATCACTTGAGCCTGGGAAGTGGAGCTTGCAATGACCAGAGATCATGCCATTGCACTCCAGCTTGGGTAATAGAGCGAGACTCTGTCTCCAAAAAAAAAAAAAAAAGTCTAAAAAGGTCTATTCGTTTTCTCTGTCTTCACTTGTTCATCCTGTAGTCCTTAGCTTAAACATATTCCTGGAAGCCTACCTTAATTTTTATCACCCGATGAGGTAACCATCCAGAACACCTCAATGCAGGCACATATTCTATACACTAGTGGGATCCCTCCCTCTACTTATTATACTTATTTATACCCAAAATACCCTAGGCTCACTAAATATAATAGTACTAACATTCACCACTCAAGAACTATCAATCTCCTGATCTCTGAGTTAGGAGTCTGAGTCCTCCTGAGTCTGAGTTAGGTGTCTTTCTTGTGTGCTAAGTCAACACTGCCTGCTTATCATTGTTTTCACATTCATCCTACAGTATTCTGGTTGTTTACTTATGTGCATTCCTCTGTTAGACCCCTGAGCTCTGTGAGCACAGAAACCAGGGCTCACAGGACAGGATGGCCCCAGTGTCTGGCACTTGGTAGGCATTCAATAAATATTTATTGACTGAAAGTGGCAGAAAGGCACAAGCCCAGACATGCATTGCAATATCCATAAGAACTAAAACTAAACTCTAATGGAATTTGCTCAAATGTAGTGATCTAAGCAGAAAACGTGAATTGCCTTACTTATTGTGGAGCTGTAAGTGGAGTCCAAAGCGGCCAGTGTGGGAGCCTCCAGGTCACCCTGGGTTGGTACTGGCTCATGGCCTGGGCTGAGAGCCAGAGAGGGGCACCACCAGCTGCTCCTCCTGAGAGACAAAGCGGTTGGCAGGGCCTGGGGGAAGGGCTAGAGATTAGAAAGCAGCTAGAGATTAGAAAGCAGCCTCAGCCTATAATTTCCAGAGATGGTGGGAATGGTTACTATGGGTAGGATCTGGTGGAAGGAACCGAGCTGGAGAAGAAGAACCTGCCCTCCGTATAGGAGCAGGCGCCCAGGCCACACTCAGTCAGTCATCTTTCGGTGGGGGCCTTGGCACAGGGGCCAGGCCCTTCTTGACATTGCTGGGCCTGGGGCTTACAGGATGCCCAGGCTGAGGAAGAGATCAAGCAAGAGATGAACACACTGCAGCAGAAGCTGAATGAGCAGCAGAGTGTGCTTCAGCGTATTGCCGCCCCCAACATGAAGGCCATGGAAAAGCTGGAAAGTGTCCGAGACAAGTTCCAGGAGACCTCAGATGGTAAGATTTACCCTTCTACTTGGGCCTACGATGAGGACAAGAGGCTAAGGGTATGCCACGGGCCTGCTATACATCACAGCAGTTCCTGTTCTGACATGTTTTCTTACTTAAAACTCTCAGGAGCCCTAAACAGTAGGGGTTATTACACCTGCTTTATAGAACGGAAAATTGCTGAGGTTCCCGGAGAGTAAATGACCTGTTCAAGGTCACACAGCTGGTTGCTGGTAGAACACAGGGAGGAATCCATATTTGTGTGGCTCCAGGCCCCTGTTTCTTGCTCTGCATTGTATCCAGTGGCCAGTCCACTGGATACAGATCCTTCTGGGACCCTCCTCAGGCATTCCTCTCTCTCAGTGGGATGTTCCTGCTCTGGATTGTCATTTGCAGGTCCTTCTTGCCAGGGCACTGAGGGGTCTCCTGTCTTTCTTTCTGGCAGAGTTTGAAGCAGCCCGAAAGCGAGCAAAGAAGGCCAAGCAGGCATTCGAACAGATCAAGAAGGAGCGCTTTGACCGCTTCAATGCTTGTTTTGAATCTGTGGCTACCAACATTGATGAGATCTATAAGGCCCTGTCCCGCAATAGCAGTGCCCAGGTAGGCTGGAGCCCCTTACCCAACCAGCTGCTACCATCCTCAGTTGTCCTTCCCTCTAGGCTTCCTGTCCCTATCTCCATCCAGTCTCAGATACAGATCCTGACCCATCTGCCTTCCCCTAGGCATTCCTGGGCCCTGAGAACCCTGAAGAGCCCTACTTGGATGGCATCAACTACAACTGTGTGGCTCCTGGGAAACGCTTCCGGCCTATGGACAACTTGTCAGGCGGGGAGAAGACAGTGGCAGCTCTGGCCCTGCTCTTTGCCATCCACAGGTAAGGCTGATCCCCTAGGGCAGTTGACGAAGAGACTGAACTGAGGCCACCAGAGGCTCTGGGGCCCAAGGATACACAGAGATCTGCGAAGGTGATGGTTTGGTGGAATCTGGATTGCATCCCTGTTTCACTATCTACTGCAGCATATCTGGCTTTGGTTTTTCTGGACCTGTCTTCCCCATCCACCCTCATCTGCTCAGCATGTCCTCACCGGCCTCTGCATGTATTTAGTTCCGCCTCCAGGCTTTTGCTCACGAGGTTGCTGGCTAATAATCCCTTTCCATGTAAATCTAGCTTGATCATCACCTTTCACCCCTTCACCCTTCCTCATTCTCCTCCCCTTTAGGAAGCCCTCCTTGATCACTGTGGCATACCCTGACCTTCCCCTCCTGAATGCCAGTAGTACTTGAGTCTGACTCCCGCAGCTTATATTGCTTGATTGTACAGCATCAATTTCTTGAGTGCTGCTCTGTACCAGACCCTGCGGAGGGATTAGGGACACAGATGTATCAGACAGGGTCTCTGGCCTCGAGGAGCTCACAGTCTAGTAGAAGCCAGATGCATAAACAGACATGTGCTAAGTGTTGTAACCGGGTGAGCATGGGTGCGATGGATACACAGAGGAGGTACACTTAACCCAGTCTGTGGGGAGGGTATGGGTAGGCCAGGGAAGACTTTTAATGACAGGTGCCACTTGAGCAGGAGATGTAAAGGATGAGTAGAAGTGTGCCAGGTAGACCAGCAGGCATTCTAGGCTGAGGGTGCAGCATGTGCAGAGGCAAGGAGGCATGACAAAGCATGCTGTGATGGCATGTGTTGGAATGGGGTGGACCTCTAGGTAGCTCGGTCATTACAACTAGAACCTTGGACAGCTTTAGCTCCCCAGCCAGCCTGGAAGCTCCTGAGGGGACCATGTCTTCTTGTGGTTCTGTAGGAACCTGGAACACAGGGCTGATTGCAGAGGGGAGGGCTTTGTTGATGTCTTGGCTTTCAGGGGCTCAGGCAACTTTGAGACCTGGGTTTTTTAGTTTCTGAAGAAGTGGAGTGGGAAGCTGGCCTGTTTGATGGGCCCTGGGGCTGTCCCACCCCGCCTTGCCACCCCCTCCCCGCCTCAGTGTCAGCTCACCTACTGGTTCCCTCCCAGCTACAAGCCAGCCCCCTTCTTCGTCCTGGATGAGATTGATGCTGCCTTGGATAACACCAACATTGGCAAGGTGGGTGCAAAGAAAGTGGGGCCTGGGAGGGATGCCCCCAGGTCGGGGTTGGGTTTCAGGGAGCAACTCCTGAGCGTGCCCTAGCCGTTCCTGCTGCCTGCTCTCTGTGCCTGGGAGGCTGGGCCCAGAGTCATCCATGCTGTGGTAGTCAGTAGTCTCCTCTCAACCTCTCTTTTCCCCACCTTCCTCTCCCTACCCTACCTCTTCTGCCTTCTGGTTGTGGCTGGAAAATACTGGGGACTGTTAAGGTTTGAGCCTTGCTAAGTGCCTGGCGGCCTTTCCCACAGGTGGCAAATTACATCAAGGAGCAGTCGACTTGCAACTTCCAGGCCATCGTCATCTCTCTCAAGGAGGAGTTCTACACCAAGGCCGAGAGCCTCATTGGAGTCTATCCTGAGGTAGGGCGGGCCTGGCTCAGGAGCCAGTCCTACTCCCTGCCTGATTTCCCAGGGCAGGAAAGGAAGGCTGCAGTGGAGGGGAAAGGAGGTGGGGGAGCATAGGGAATCAGGTCCTGAATGGCCATTTGGGCTTGTTGGAGCCCTGCCTCTGGAGGCTTAGCCAGCCCAGCCAGGCAGGGCCATTGCATTTGGGGACAGGTGGAAAGGCAGGCAGAGGCAGCCAGACAGTGGAGAAAGGAGGAGAGTACAGAAGTAGGCAAGGAGCGAAGGCACATGGGACTGAGCATATCCTCTCACACCCAGAGAGAACCATTGACTGGGCTTTGGGCAGGTATGTAGGGAGGAGGGTTTGAGGCCCCTGGTCCTGGGGCACTAGACCCCTCTTAATTCTCTCCTTACAATTTTATTTTTCTTTTTCTCCCTCCTCCTTCAGCAAGGGGACTGTGTGATCAGCAAAGTCCTGACCTTCGACCTCACCAAGTACCCAGATGCCAACCCCAACCCCAATGAGCAGTAGCAGTATTTTTGCCCTCCCGCCCTGTCTGGATCCCTAAGCTGTCCCTCTCCCAATCTCTGGATATTTGACTCCCAACCTTCCCCCTACCTCCTGGCCCTTTTTGGTGTAGTCATGGGATTTAGGCACTGCTAATCAAGCATGAAGAGGAACAGAGGTGATGTTAGGTCTGGAGCAAAAATTCCTGAACGACAGGGAGTATTCTGGCCTCTGAAAGGAGGTGCTGAGCTGAACAGGGCCATCTGTTCATCACACACACCCCCTTCCTCCCCCTCATCACCCATAATCGTGGGCCCCTTGGGCCTCTTGCCCACTGTGTGTGTGGGTATGTATGTGTGTATGTATGTATCCGCATGTGTGCATGTGAGTATGTTTGCAAAATAATAAAGGATATTGGAGACCTGTTTTAGAAGGAGCCTAGGCTGAATTTGATTCCAAGAGAGCTTAGGATGACAGCACCCCTGAGCTGGGCAAAGGTACTCAGGACCTCATAGGAGTCTTAGGCAGTTACCTGAAACTGCCTTCATTCACTCATTTGTGTATTCATTCATTTATGTATTCATCAGACACATACCGAACACCCTCTATTTGTCAGGCTCTGTGCTTGGAATACAGAGTTGAATCAGACATGATCTCTACCCTCCTAGTAAGGAGATACAGTGGGTTCATGAATGACTATAGTTAGCTGAATGTCATATGTACTTTGAATTTGAGAAGTGGGTGATCCCCTCTAGGCTTCCTGGAGGTCACATTTAAGCTAGACCTTGACAAATTGGTAGGATTTGGTCAGGCACTAGGAGTGGAGCATGAGCTCTGGGGACAGACAGTTATGGGTTCTGGTCCCACTTTTTATCACTTACTAGTTGTTTGACCTTGGGCAAGTCATTTGACCTTCTGTGCCTCAGTTTCCTCATCTGTAAAATGGGGCTAACAATATTACCTACCTCATAGGATTTAATGATGTCAAGCTCCTCACTGGAGGCCTTATCCCTTCGTGGAGCCCACTAGGTGCCGACCCCTCAGAATATAACCCTCATGCCTGGACCCCTGAGAGCTTCTGATCCCAGCTATTAGGGACAGAAGAAGCCTCCAAATCTGGAAGGTGCTGAATGCCCTGCTGACTGGGAAAGTTTCAGGGCACTGATGGGGTCTACCTGGTAAGCGGAGGGCCTGAGGAAACCTGTAGCTTCAATCATGTCTGGTAACCGGGTGCCTGAGCCCCAATCTGGGTTGTGAGGAAATAGGGGAGAGGTATCCTGGGCCACATCCCAGCCTAACACCTGTGAGGTTCATTTTAGGAACTAACCTCATTAGCTATAAGGATCATGCAGAGGCAGCAAAGCCGGGTGCGATGAGCTCAGCCTTTACTCATTCACATACACCATCACACTTTAATTCCAATCTGTATATTGCTTTTTAAAAGTTAAGTCCATTCTAATTACCCAAATATGCATGAATTCATTCTCCTTTTGAGAAGTTAGATTGTTAAAGATAGTCTCATTCAGCTACCAACCACTCCTTGATCCTTCCCTTCTTAGTGGCTGTTGTTTGTTGTACTTCCGTTTAGACTTTGTTTTAATGCTTGTACGTACATATGTGAACTCATTGGAAATATTGTGTGTTTAATGCAAATGATATATTGAATTGTTTAGCAATTTGTTTTCTTTGCTTAACGATGTTTTTGAGATCTGTGCATGTTACTTAATGTAGCTCAATCCATCTTCTGTAATTGCTGTATAGATTGTCATCATATGATTACCACATTTTACTTACGCATTTCTTTTGTGATGGACATTAAGACTGTTTTTAGGTTTTGCTATTACAAAATACTACACAGGAGCATCACTATGCCTGTGTGAAAGTATATGTATGAAAGTTTACCTAGGGTTGATTCCTAGAAGTGGAATTGCAAAGTCATAGGATATTTATATATTGGTTTTTAATAATACTTCCAAATTGCCCTCCTGTACTATTTACTCAGTATTTTTCTTGAGGTTGATCTGAGGTCTAACATTGTTATCCTATATCATTTTCATCCCAAGTAGTGATATCTGTGAAATCACAGGTTTGATGTGTGCTAATTATGTATTCTTCTAATACATATTAAAAGACATAACTATCAAAACAAAATAAATTTGTCTGTTTTCAACCAAAGAAGTCACGTACCACTGGTGGTACTGTGTGCCATAATTTGGCAAATGCTGGCCTTTATGGACGAGCACAATTCGGGGGTCAGACCTGGTTCAAATTCTAGCTGTAGAAACTTGTGCAAGTTACTTCACCTCTGAGCCTAAGTTTCCACATCTGTAAAAGGAGATAATAAACACCTACCTTGCAGTAGTGAAGCAAAGAGAAAATTAAATATATATGAAGCAATTTGGCTGGCATCTAGATCATTCACAGCCCTTTAAAGGTCACCTTTGCTGTTCTCCCCACTTTACAGATAAGGAAACTGAGGCCCAAAAAGGTTTGAACCCAGGTCTTCCAAGTCATTCAAGTGCTTTCTCCACTGTACAGGTGGTTATCAACCTTGGCTGCGCATCAGAATCGTTTGTAAAGCTTTTTCTTTTTCCTTTTTAAAAAGTAAAGCAATATATACACAGGTAAAAAAATAAAATAGTACAGAAGGGCTTATAATGAGAAGCAGCAGTTCCCTGCTTGCACCCCCACATCCAAAGGATGTGGAGCTCTTTAAAAATAAATTGCTCTGGTCCCACCTCTGGAAATCTGATTCAGCCAGCATGGATAATAACCCAGATAACTAACCCCTACCTCACAGGATAAAAAGGATTACATGAGATGCCTTAGGCTAAGGCCCTGGCACACAGGAACACATGTGCTACAAAGGAGCTTTGGGGACTTAAGTCCTGAGGATCCAGGAGGTGAGGTGACTTGTCCAAGATTCCACTGGTTTAGTGGCAGAGCCTAGACTTCCACTCGGATCTATTTAGTGCTTGCCCCCTGCTCTCTCCTGTCGTGCCCCACCACCTCCTGGCATCACAGGGCAACCGTTGTCAAGGCTATGCTCACGGGAGGCTGGGCACCACAGTGTTTCCAAGAGCAAGCTGGATCCGAGTAGATTCCCTAGGGCTTGTTGGAGGAACTAGTTTGACTCCCTTATACTGTGGACGCAGTAGCCTTGCTGTAGGGAGTTGAAGAGTACTCCACAACAGTATCTTAAGTTTAACTGGGCACTTCCCTCTGGAAATCACAGTGTTGTGCACCAGGAACACAAAGATGAGTCAAATCTTTATCCTGCCTTTGAGGAGCTCACTGTTTAGTTGGGGAAACCATTTGTAAAACAGCCATTAACCATACAGTGTGATCAACACTGACAGGAGCACAGGAAAAACATCTAGCTTATGTGAAGATTCAGAGAAGGCATCCTGTAGTCTAGGTGGTGATACCTGAACTGAGTCTTGAGGGACGGGTAGGAATTAGCCAGTTGAGGAAGTAGAAGGAATTTCCAGATATTGGAAACAGTATGCATGAAGACATGAAGGCAAGAAACAGCAAAACAAATACTGAAGCATGAAGATTCCTGGGGTGGGGGGAAAGCAGCAAGAAAAGGTAGAGAGGAACCAGATTGGAAGAGGGTCGTAAATGCATGGCTACAGAATTCAGATTTGTTTTGTAGGACAGTGTGGTTCCCAAACTGGCTGTATACCACAAACAGGTACGGCATTCTGGGCCCCGGCCCCTAAAACATTCATTAAGTCTGGGGTGAAGATTTGGAATCTTGAATGCTTATAAAGGTTACCACATGACTAGGGTACAGCCAGATTTGGAAACCATAGCTTGAAGGCAGTGAGGGAGCCATGAAATGGTTTTTAATAGGGGGACTCCAGATCAGATGTGAACTTAACCTGTTTCTGGCTGGCTAGCCAACCAGCATGGAAAACAGATTAGGTTAGATGTTCATGCTGTATGTGCCCGTGCCTGTAGCTTCCCTGTTAATCAGCTTCTTACACTACTATATTTGCTTATTTTGTCTCTGAATAAGCTTTAGGCACCACAAGGGTGGGCCTGGGGATATTTTGCTTACCAGTATAGCCCCTGCAAAAAAGCACAGTGCCTGACACAAAACAGGCACCCAGTAAAGTTTTTGAATGAATGAATGCATGAGTGAATCCATTTGTGAGAGAGCGAATGGAGATGACAAGATTAGCTAGGAGACTGGAAAAAGACCAGGAGGCCTGCACTAGGGCAAAGGCCAGTAGGAATAGATTGGAGGTGTTAAGGTGTGAACTGTTAAGGTAAGATGATAACTTAATGACTGATTATTGGATGTGGAGGGTGACTGAGAGGATAGAATGAGTACCCATGAATAGCCATGATTCCTACCCTGTCCCAGTCATCTCTTTCCTTATCCATCTCTGAAACAATCTGCTTACATCCTCCTCAGCAACTGGAATTCCTCAAGTTAGTTAGACATTCTGTGTGCTGTGTGGTCTCTCACTGCCCCCCCACTCCCCACCCCTCCACAAGCCATTGATTCATTCATCCAGTTCAATAAATCTTGGCTAAGCACCTCCAGTGTGCAGTAAGGCTCTTCCAAGCCAGGACTCTGACTCCCTCTTTCCTACCTCAAGAGATGTTTTTGAGGGCTTTCCCAGGTAAGAGTCACATCTCTTATACAATAACTTATAGTGAGATACCCAGAATGTCAGACTTGTAAGGGAAGACTGCCCAAACCCCTTCTGAGGTCCTCAGAGGGGAATTAACTTCCTAAGGTCCGACTGCTAGGAAGTGTTGGAGCCAGAAATGGAAGCTAGGTTTCCTTTCTATGTCATCTCTGGAGTCTTGATCTTGATCTATCCCATTGTAGATCAGGACAGGCAGAGGTGGTCAGGGAGAAGGTGGGACTTAGGTTGAACCTTGAAGGTCAATGTATTGGACAGGTCAAACAAGATGGTTGCCAATTACACTGCCCCCTTCTGGAAACCCTTAGCAAACCTGCCATGCTTGCAGTCCCTTCTAAGGGGTTTCCTTAGCATAAGTTGCCATGCTCTGTACCATGTGACCTCACAATCCTGGCCACAGATAGCTAGATGTGGATAGTGTCTGGTTCAAGGGCAACCAATCTCTAGGCTGGCCAGTGGCCTGTTAGCTGGACTGGCATAAGGACTTCACCTTACAGGGGTGGCATGTATCAAATGGCAAATGTATGAAACAACCAGATCTTTCAGGGAGGCAGAATGTGAGCTATTCAGAAGAAGTGAACGTTAATTAGAATTTAATGAGGCATTAGTGGTGGTGGATGAGGGGTGGCCAGAAACTAAACAGCAAAAGCAAAGAGAAAGCTGCAGAAACCATAAGTAAGCAGAGGTCATGAGACATTTGTATAATGAGATCACGGAGCCACAGGGTGGCAGAAGCCATGAAGCAGCAAGGCAACAATGGGCTAGAAGCCATGAAGCAATAGGAGCCACGAGGAACAGAAACCGTGAGACAAAACTGACTATGAGATCCACAAAGCAGCAGAAGGCTTGAATAGATAAGATCATGAGACAGTAGAAGCGATGAGACTGCAAGAACCACAAGGTAGCCAGAACCATGTGGCAACATGGCAACAGGAATGGAAGAGGCAGCAGGAGCTACAATGCAGAAAAGCCATGGATTAATAGGAACTGAAGCGCCGGGAGCCATGAAGCTGCAGGACCCATGAGGCAGAAAAAGCCATGGGCTAGCATCGAGGGGGGCAGAAAGAAGTTAGTCAGTAGCAGTAGGAGGAGTATAAATACAGCCAGAAAGGAGTTGAGTCACCAATTTGGGAAGCACTAGAGAAGGGAGCAACAGATGCCTGCAGCTGAGGGGGTGACAAGATAAGCCAGGCTCTAGAGCTGCTTTGGATCATGAACCATTTTCAAGTTTCTGTTCTTCCATGAGGCTGCCTGTGTAGCTGTTCTTGTCTTCCTTATTTCCCTGTGAATGCTTTAATAAATCCCCATCACTAACCTGTGTGTGTCTTTGTTCCTTGGAATCTAAAAGGTTAACACTGGTGTGCAGTTTAGATAACAGGAAAGCAGGGCAAGAGGTCTTCCTGGTGGGGTTGAAGCAAGACACAGAGGTGGGAATTCACTCATCCTTTCCTGCCTCACTGGCATGGGCACCTTTCATTCACTTACTTATTTTTATCATTCATTCATCCACTCATTTATTTATTACCTTATATATGCACTAACTCACAACTTCACTCACTTATTCATTAATGCATTAATGTAAGCATTTACCAGTTCATTTGCTCTTTCCTGTATTCACTCATGCATCATTTTTCCATCCATTTGTTCAGCAGGCATATGTTAAATTCCTGTCATGTGTCAGGCCCTGTGCTAGGTTCTGGGAATTAGATATACATGCCCTCCAGGAATTCTTGGCTTAATTGGGAACTCAGATAAGTAAGTGGTTAAGCACACTAAGTGTGGAAGATGATATAATGGACGTCTAGGTGAGGCAAAGTGAGCATATAGGAAGTATTAGGTGGTTCTCCCTGGGGTGGGAAAGCCTTTATAGAGGATGGTACACTTGAACTGAGTCTTGAAAGAGGAATGAGTGCTTACCACTTGGAAAGGGAGGAAAAAACATTCCAAGCAGAGGAGCTGCCTAAGCACAGTTAAATCAAGAGGGTGAAAGTGCATGGATTTCAGGGGGAATGGGGCATCACCCATGCAGTGAGAGAAGTGGTGGAATCCAAGCAGTCAAGCTTAGCTTTGACTCTGAGCAATGGGAAGCTGTAGAAAGGTTTGAAGCAAGGGACTAACCGGGCCAGATTGGTATTTAGGAGGACCACTCTGGTAGCTGGGGTGAAAGAAGGTTGGGGGCATGAAACACTGACCTAAAGAATGTACTTCAGGCTGGGTGCGGTGGCCCACGCCTGTAATCCCAACATTTTGGGAGGCCAAGGCGGGAGGATCACCTGAGGTCAGGAGTTTGAGACCAGTCTGGCCAACGTACTGAAACCCCATCTCTACTAAAAATACAAAAATTAGGCCAGGCGCGGTGGCTCACGCCTGTAATCCCAGCACTTTGGGAGGCTGAGGTGGGTGGATCACCTGACGTCTGGAGTTCGAGACCAGCGTGGACAGCATGGTGAAACCCCATCTCTACTAAAAATACAAAAATTAGCTGGGTGTGGTGGAAGGCGCCTGTAATCCCAGCTACTTGGGAGGCTGAGGCAGGAGAACCGCTTGAACCCGAGAGGCAGAGGTTGCAGAGAACCAAGATTGCGCCATTGCACTCCAGCCTGGGGGACAAGAGTGAGACTTCGTCTCAAAAAAACAAACAAAAATTAGCCGGGTGTGGTGGCGTGCGCCTGTAATCCTAGCTACTCGGGAGGCTGAGGTGGGAGAATTGCTTGAACCCAGCACTCCATCCTGGACAACAGAGTAAGACTCCATCTCAAAAAAAAAAAAAAAAAAACAGTACTTGAAAAAAGTACATTTGCCAGGCGCAGTGGCTCACCCTATAATCCCAGCACTTTGGGAGGCCAGGGCGGGTGGATCACCTGAGGTCAAGAGTTCGAGACCAGCCTGGCCAACATGGCGAAACTCTGTCTCTACTAAAAATACAAAAATTAGCCGGGCATGGTACCGCATGCCTGTAATCCCAGTTATTAGGGAGGCTGAGGCAGAAGACTTGCTTGAGCCCAGGGGGCGGAGGTTGCCGTGAGCCAAGATCACGCCACTGCACTCCAGCCTGGGCGACAGAGCAAGGCTCCATCTCAAAAAAAAAAAAAAAAAAAAAGTACATTTAATTGTCATAATCAGAGGCATAAATGAAGACTCGTAGGAACCCCCAAGGGGAGAGAGAGTTCTACCAGGGGACAAGGAAGACTTTTGGAGGAGGTGGAATTTGAGGTGAGCCTTTTTAAAAGGGAGGATTCCAACTGGTGGAGATAAGGAGGAAAGGCTTTCCAGGCCTGGGGGACATAAAAACAAGAAGGTGGGAATAAATATGCCCTGTTTGGGCTAACAAATATTCCATTTTGACTAAAGCAAAGAGGCTTCACCTAAGGGAGAAGCAGGAAGAGAGACTGCAGGGTTTCCCAAACTTTATTATATTCTGCTACAGTAGGTCTGGAGGGATAAGGGAATTTGGGGGGAGGAGGGTTGTGGGCAGGAGTGTCCTTTTTAAAATTTTTTTTCTCATTTTAAAATAGAAGTAATCCATGTACCTTATTTAGAAAACTCAAATCAGTAAAGTCAAATCACTACAGACGGACTCGTGAAAAGCAAAAGTCTACTGCCCCACACATCCCCACCCCCACTCTCACTTTTTGCCACCACTTTTAGTTATTTATTCTGATTTTTATCTCCATACCTACATAATATGTGGGCATTTAAAAAATCATTACTTTCAGACATTACCCATTGATGTCCTGCTATGAGAAATGAGGATTTAGATCATTTACAGCAAGTTCAACTCCGTCCTGCTTCTAGTATAGTTTAGTTTTTCTGTGGGTTATTGAGTAATGCCTTTATTTCCTGTTCCATGAACTACAGACAATATTTCTAAACTAGAACTTTGTTAGATGAGAGAATACCCTTTCCTATAGCCCCCTTCCGCACCATTAACCTCCCAACTTCTGTCATCTGGTCTTTTATATTGTCAAAACATAATGTTAAATTCTGTTCTGTAATCATAATTGAGTTTTTTTATGTTTGTCTATAGTTGGGTTCTAAAAGTTGAAAAGCAATAAACTGCTGTTAATATGACTATGTATTCTTCATTGCAGAGCAAAGCAATGTACTTTTTAATACTTTTTCCTTGTAGCAGCTTTCTATTTTTTCTGAAGTTTCTAATTCTGTTTTTCCTCTTTATCATATATTCCTTTTTTTTTTTTTTTTTTTTTTTTTTTTCAAAATCTCCATTAGGAATTCCATCAAGTCTACTTTTTGCCCCTTGGGAGACCTTCCCAGAGCCCTCAATCTCCTTTTCAAATCTTCACTAGTTGCTTTCTAAGGTCTGATGCATAGCTGTCATCTTGTGGCTTCTTGTCACTGCTTTCTATGGTTATATCCACTGTTTGCTGGTTCCCAAGGTTTTTGTTTTGTTTGTTTGCTTGTTCCATTGTTTTGATGGAGCACATCATCAAGTAAGTTTCTCAGAAAGGTTGTATAGGAAGTAGACTTCCTGAGTTTTTGCATGTCTGAAAATATTTTTTGTTTGTTTGAGACAGAGTCTCACTCTGTCGCCCAGGCTGGAGTGCAGTGGTGCGATCTCGGCTCACTGCAATCTCCAACTCCCGGGTTCAAGCGATTCTCCTGCCTCAGCCTCCTGAGTAGCTGGGACTACAGGTGCGTACCACCACGCGTGGCTAATTTTTTGTATTTTTAGTAGAGACGGGGTTTCACCGTGTTAGCCAGGATGGTGAAAATATTTTTATTCCATCCTCACACTTGGCTATAAAGTTTGAAGAGCAATGTCATTTTCCCACAGAACTTTGAAGGCATTGTTTCACTTTCTTCTAGCATTCAGTTTTGATGATAAGATGCATGATAGCAGTCTGAGTCTCATTGTTTTATAATTGACTTTCCCCATCACTTTTTCTCTTCTTTTTGGGACCTCAGTGACACAAATGTTAGATCTTTTATAATAGCCTCACAGGTCCTTGAGGCTCTGTTCATTCCTGCCCCCCAACCCCCCGTTTGTTTTCTAGATTGAGTAATTCCTATTGTTCTATCTTCAAGATTGTTGATTTTTTTCCTCTGCCCTCTCCATTTTGCTGTTAGCCTATCTGTTGAGGTTTTTATTTTTTTGTATTTTTCAGTTCTAAAATTCTGATTTGGTTCTTTATATCGTCTATTTTTTTGCTGACAGTTTCTACTTGTTTTAAGCATGTTTAAGCAAATTGTTGAGGCATTTTTATGATAGTTCCTTAAAAGCTCTTGTCAGATAATTTTAACATTTCTGTCATCTCAATGTTGGTGTTTATTGAGCATCTTTTCTCATTCAAGTTGAGATTTTCCTAGTTCTTGGTTTGATGAGTGATTTTTGATTGAAACTGGGCATTTTTGGTATTGTGTTGTGAGACGTTGGATCTTATTTAAATACTCAGTTTTAGCTTGCGTCCTCAGACACCACTCTGGCAAGGGAGAGGGCACATTGCCTCATTACTGCCAGGTGGGAGTAGAAGTCCAGATTCCCCACTCACTCTCTATTGATACCTCACCAGGAGGGTTTCCTAGTTACTGCTAGGTGGGAGTGGGAGTTCCAGCTGCCCGTGCAACCTTCTCTGACACCACCCCAGCAGAAAGGGAGAGGGGCAACCACTTACAGCTAGCAAGTGTGGAAGTCTAAGCTTCCCTCTTGGCCTTTGCTGGTGGATGGGAGTGGGACTACAGCTTTCTTCTGTGGTGTTAGAGCAGTTATTATCTAATTGTTGGCTTCTCCAGCCCTAAGTCTGGGATATATGAGACAAAAAACAAACTCAGGGAACTCACCAGTATGTCACTTCTCTGCTACCAAGTTCCCTACCCAGTTTGTCGCCTTCTATCCACCTTTCAGAATTTTATGTTTATACATAATGTCCAAGTTCAATTTTAGCTGTATTTGGTGGGAAGCATAGGGAAAAGTACTTCTACTCCATCCATCCCTCCTCCTGATTTTTGTTTTTGTTTTTTTTGTTTGTTTGTTTGTTTGTTTGTTTTTTTGAGACGAAGTCTCGCTCTTGTTCCCCAGGCTGGAGTGCAATGGCGCGATCTCGGCTCACTGCAACCTCCACCTCCCGGGTTCAAGCGATTCTCCTGCCTCAGCCTCCCAAGTAGCTGGGATTACAGGCGCCTGCCACCACACCCAGCTAATTTTTGTATTTTTAGTAGAGACGGGGTTTCACCATGCTGGCCAGGCTGGTCTCGAACTCCTGAACTGAGGTGATCTGCCCGCCTCAGCCCCCCAAAGTGCTGGGATTACAGGCTTGAGCCACTGTGCCTGGCCTCCTGTTATTTTTTAAGAATTGTATTCTTGGTATTCTGAAACTTAAAAATTATGTGTTTAGGTTTCAGATCTTTTGTCATTCATTGTGCTGGTCATTTGTTACATCCCTTCATTTTGAAGTCTTTTAACTCTGGGAAATTCTCACATATTATGTCTTTGATCTATTCCTTTATTCCATTTCCTTTATTCTCTCTTTCTGGAAATCCTTAATGTTAGATGTTAGATCTCCTGAATTTATCTTTTGTAATTTTTTATCCACTCTCCTATTTTCCATCTCTCGCTCCCTTCCTCTTTCCCTCCCTCCCTCCCTAGCTTTGTCCCTCTCTTCCTTTTGTTTTTGTTTACTTTCTGAGAGAAGACTTAACTTTATCTTTCAACCCTTCTATTGCATGTCTTTTCATGTGGCAATCAGATTTTAAATTTCTTAGTATTCACTCTTGTTCTCTTTTCCTTTCTTATTGCATTCTGTTCTTGTTTTATGGATGTACTATCACCTTGAATCTGAAAATAATAGAGATATTTTTATATTTCTTTCTGTTCTTTGAAATATCTATTTCATTTGGATTATTTTTTCCCTTGTTTACTTATTTTGGTCTCTTTCAAGTTGCAGTCTTTTCTCAAATGCTTAGTGATCCATAGTTGTTTGCTGATATTTAAGAATGTAGCAATAAAAATCTGATCAGAAGCTCTGTATATGGGGGCAGGGCTAGGCAACTGGTGGCCTTCCTTTAGGATGACTAGAGAGCTAACTTGCTATGCTGCAGAGTCCCTGAATGCCAGAATGCTAACGTCTTTTCTTTGAGGTTGTTCAATAGCCTTAGCGAAGAACCCTCTGGTTTTTGCCTAATGGGTAGACACCTGGCTGCTGTGAATTGTGCACAAGGGAGGGGGAGGGGGATTCATGGTTTGATATGCAGCCTTCCCATTAAACTCCCAATTTTCAGCCCCACATTTGACTCCCATCCTTTATCATACCTGGCATTGTCAAGACCAAGACACTCCAGGCTTCTGCAGAGAAAGAGCAACTTCTTCCTCTGAAGCATCACCTCCATGCATACTCCAGGCTGTGGCTTCCTCCACCATGCTCCATCAGTCACCATTCCTCCATTGACTTCTATCTTCCAGAAATTTGTTGAAATCTCTCTTTTGCTGATGGACCTGTTCCCACTCTCTTCATCATTGTGGATTTATACCCTTTTTAATCCCTTTACAATGATTTTAGCAGGGTCTCAGGAGGAAGTGGAGAAAAACACATGGTAAGTTTATCATCTTGACCTGGAAATCTACTAGTCTACTTTTAACTGTTTGGGTTTTTTTTTTTCCAGTAATTATCTTCATATCTCTAAATAATATACAGATTTTTCTTTTTCTTTCTTTTTTTTTTTTTTTGAAACGGAGTCTTGCTCTGTCGCCCAGGCTGGAGTGCAGTGGTGCGATCTTGGCTCACTACAACTTCTGCCTCCTGGGTTCAAGCGATTCTCCTGCCTCAGCCTCCCGAGTAGCTGGGATTACAGGCATGCGCCACCACGCCCAGCTAATTTTTGTATTTTTAGTAGAGGTGGGGTTTTGCCATGTTGGCCAGGCTGGTCTTGAACTCCTGACCTCTGGTGATCTGCCCGCCTTGCCCTCCCAAAGTGCTGGGATTACAGGCGTGAGCTACCACGCTCAGCCAATATACAGATTTTTCTATTTATCAACTTTTATTGATCAATTTTAGTCATTCTCTATTAACTTCCTGCTATTTATACCACCCGAATGCCTTTCCCATGCCTCCAATATAGCCATGTCACTAATTATATATCCTCTATTCCTTATCTTTCTACCTTTAACTAATAGACTTACTCTCCCTTTTCTCTCTTTTAACTTGTCAACTGCACTTTTATATTAACAAGGTTAATATTTACACTTTGTTCTATAACCATAATTAAGTCATCCATACTTTGCCAGTAGGTCATTCTAAAAGTTTAAGGGCAATAAAGTGTTTACATTATTATGATTATGTAAATATTGTTCCAGAAAGATCCAATTAGTATATTAGGATTACATTGCTTTTCTTATACACCTTTTTTTCCTTAGAGTTTCTAATTGTCTTTCTTTTTTTCCTTGCATTGTCTGACTTTATCACCTTCTTAAGTTATTCCAAAGTCTCAAGGAAAGTATAAAATCATTTGAATCCCCTTTTTCCCCAGATACCTTCTTCCTGGAGTCCTCCGTCTTCCTGTTCCAATTTGGACGGATTGCTCTGTAGGCCTGCGGTGCAGCTGTCATCCTGGGACGTCCCTTCATTATTCTGGGTTGGACCCAATCTTTCTTGGACCCCATATCTTCCTCTTTCTTAGTTTACTCCCTTGTAGTGGACATTGTAGTTGTTCTGCAGCATCCATTCCACTCCTCTCCCGCTGTATAACAACTATGCAATGTGAGTGGGATTGACCCCACCACCAGCTCTAGGTGTAGGCCTTTATTGGTATAAACTGATCTGAGTAATTTCACCCTCCTAGCCACAGTGATGACTGGTTCAGGGATGACCCAATCACAATGAGGCTTAGGACTTTTATTCAGCTTTTGAGGGAGGAGATGACCTATCTTCCCTTGGATAAGAACAAAGAAGCATGTAGCCTGGTTGCTGCTGTTAGCCATCTTGTGAACATGTGGAAGGCCTACCTGAGGATGGAGCTGAAAAATGGAGGAGGCAGAGCCAAGAGAATCACAGAAATGGAACCATATTCCGGATCATGCCATGCCTGAAATCTCCCTGCCTGTGGACTCTTCAGTTAAGTGAGCCAATGAATTGCATTTACTATTCAAGACAGTTTGAGTTGGATTTTGTATTGCTTGTCCCTGAAAGCATTCTAATTTATGTTTTTGGTTTTCTCACTCTGGAAAGGGGATGGGTGCATGTTTGGTTATATGAGGTATATTTGCACCGTATTAGGTGGAAGCTTTTTTTAAAAGCATAAATACGGGAGGAAGGCTATATGTGGATGTTGGATGACCAAAGGAGCGAACTCTACTGTTCTCTAGCATCTAATTTCCCATGCTGTTTTTTGGGGGAATCCCTGCCAAATTGGGAGGCATGGCCCTATTTCCCACTATGGAAACTGATGGTGGTCAGATATTTTCTTTCCCAGCCCGCCAGGCAACAAGGGCTGAATACTCTGTTCATGGCCTTGAATCTGGAACCAGCAACAAAAAGAAGGCAGGAATATACAAAATTAACAAAAGGATGATAGATTAGGAGAATATATAAGGAAGATAGTAAACCCAATAGGAAAATGGGCATAGGATATGAAGAGTAATTTATAGAAGGGGAAACTTGAGTTTACACAAGGGGAAACTTGAATATATTAAGAGCTTTTTCAACTCTGCCAATAATTAGAGAAATGAAATTAAAATAATAATGAGAAGTCACTACAGGAATGGTAACATGTAGAAAGTCAGATATTATCAAGTGCTGATGAATCAGGATGTGAGGAAAAGGACAACCATGAGTTGGAATGTAAACTGGTACAGGTATTCCAGAGAGAGTTTGGCAGCACCCATGAAATTAAGTATGTGAATACCCTACAACCCAGTAATCCCGCTTCTGGGCATATATTCCAGAGAAATTCTCATACAGGTCCTAAGAAAATATAGTTGAGGTTGTTCATTGCAGCACTGTTTGTGGTAGTGAGGAATCAGAAGCAATCAGGTGTTCATCACTATAGGACAGGATAAACAAACTGTATATTCATACGATGGAAAACTACAAAACAAAAGTAATAAACTAGATTTACATATAGCCACATGGATAGGTCTCTAAAATCCCCAGCATTGAGAGAAAAAAGTAAGAAACAGAATAGTATTTATAGTACAATTCCATTTACAGAAATGTAAAACAACACTATGTATTTTCATGGATATGCATATAAATAAACATATGGAAGACGGATTGAAAGTATACATACGTTAATTACACTGGAGAGGCTCACTGAGTTAGGCAGGAGAATGGGAGTAAGGATAGGGACTGATGGGGAAGAAGAAGAAGATAAAGTAAAAGAAGAACTAAAGTAAAAGAGCAGCCTTCAGTGAACTGGTCATAATGTGCCATAAATTGCAGATTATGATTAACTAAACTCTGAAGTCCACAACAAATAAACCAAAACAACAGATGTGAGGATGGTTGGAGCTCCCTTGCAGTGGCATGTGCCAGTAGGATAAGGTCCACTGGTAGGAGCAGTGCAGGGAGCAGTGCCAACAGCAGCATTCTAACCAGGCTGTTTTTATGGTGGACCCTTAGCTGTGGTTCCTGATGCCTGCCTTCCTCGCTCCCACTCCATGTTCTCAGCCTGATTCTCTAGACTTCCGTGAGCTACCTGATAACTTCATAATAAATCTCTTTTCTAGGCTGGGTGCAGCGGCTCACACCTGTAATCCCAGCACTTTGGGAGGCCCAGGCAGGCAGATCGCCTGAGGTTGGGAGTTCGAGACCAGCCTGACCAACATAGAGAAACCCTGTCTGTACTAAAAATACAAAAAATTAGCCAGGCATGGTGGCACATGCCTATAATCCCAGCTACTCGGGAGGCTCAGGCAGGAGAATTACTTGAACCCAGGAGATGGAGGTTGCAGTGAGCTGAGATTGCACCATTTTGAGACAGAGTCTTGCTCTTTCACCCAGGCTGGAGTACAGTGGTGCGATCTCAGCTCACTGCAACCTCTGCTTCCAGGGTTCAAGCGATTCTCCTGCTTCAGCCTCCTGAGTAGCTGGGACTACAGGTGCACGCCACCACGCCTGGCTAATTTTTGTATTTTTAGTAGAGATGGGGTTTCACCATGTTGTCCAGGATGGTCTCCATCTCTGGACCTCCTGATCCGCCTGCCTCAGCCTCCCAAATTGCTGGGATTACAGGCGTGAGACACTGCACCTGGCCACATCGTACATTTTGTTGGAGAACATCCTCGAGTAACTTCTTAAGAAAGGTAAATTTTAGGGTCTTTACATATCTGAATATGTAGTCATTGTTTTACCTTCATATTCCAATGATAGTTTGACTTTAGAATTCTATGTTAGAAACAATTTTTCCTCTGAATTTTGAAGATACTGCTTTAGCCTGTAGTGTCACTGATTAAAAGTCACATGCTAATATTATTCTCATTCCTTTGCTGGCAACCTGTTTTCTCTACATCTGGAAGCTTAATTTTTTTTTCTTCATACTTAGTGTTTTGAAATGTCACAATCATGTGCCCAGCAGTGGGGTTTTCCCTCGTCTACTTTGCTGGGCACCTGGTGGGTGGGCCCTTTCAATCTGAAGACTTGTGTCCCCCTGCTCTGAGAAGTTGCTGTTTTATTTCTTTGCTTACTTTCTCCGTTCTTTCTAGAACTCCTGTTAGTTGGATATTGGATTTCCTGGATGATTATCTTCTCACATATGTATTTTCCATGTCTTTTGTTTTTTTAATTCTATATTATGGGACCTTGTTTTGACTTTATCTTCTACTGGACACCTTTATTTTGGCAGTCATTTTTCATTTCTCAGCATTCTTATTCTCCAAAGATGCCTTTTCATTGCATCCTTTTCTTCTTTTTTTTATGAATGAAGTATCGTCTGTGTATGTGTACTTAATAGAACTTTACTGGCGTCTTACAGATAACAGAAGATAATTATCAGGCCAGACAGGAAACATTTCAAAGGATACCAGATAGAACCTCTCTGGGAGAAGGTCACTTATGCCTTTCTGAGGGAGGCTGCCTACTGGCTGTCCCTCTCCATAACCTCCCAGTTTCATACCATGTGTGGGCAAGATTGTCTTCCACCACCCTATGGTTCTCGCCATGTGCTCCCTGCCTGCAATCCAGATCTCCAGCTCTCACCATGGCATCAAAGAGAGGAGGCCATTTTCACATTCTTCACTCCCAGGCCAACTGCATTTCCTGCTCCCATGTAACACTCCCCATATCAATTTTCTTTCTGGGATTCTAACACACCTGCCGCACAGTGGTGATCTGGGCTCCGTAGCCCATAAGAGACCATCACAGTACTCAGCAGCACATGTCACAGAGTAGGTTGTTTTAAAGTTAAATAACCATGTATGTAGTAGGGCCAACAATCCAGCCTCATTCCTTTTTACAGTGCTTCCTCCAACAGGAGTCCATAGCATTTCAAACCTGCATGTCTCCTGATGTGGTCCCAATGGGGTATCTTCTGTGAGCAAAGGCCTGAGAAAAAATATGCACACATACCTCTCAAAAACAAACAATTTTCACTTTGGCATTTTAGTCCCAACATGAATTGGGACTAAACATGAATCTAGTCCCAATTCATGTTTAGGATAAAAAATTAACTCAGTGGAAGCATAGTACTGTAAAGGACACCCAGATTATATCAGTACACAGAACATTTAACATTTTAATCATAGTGGATATTTGCTGAGTGCTTACTCTGTGGCAGGCACTTGAGTTACTTTCATTTCATAAACAAGGAAAATGAAGCTCCCGGGTGTCATTTGCCCAGGGTCACAGAGCTAATAAATGGCAGACAGGAAATTGCACCAGGACTGTCTAACCACAGTCAACCCATGTTAACTGCTGTACAGAGCTGTCCTGGTTTCCACCAGCCACATTCAGGTTAATAGTGATAGCACAATTTTCTCTAAGATCAGTAGGTGGATACCTGAGATACCTCAGTCTAAGTAAAGAGCGTATTCTGGTAAGTTTGCTTCCAAGATGAATTGCTATCCTTTGCTCTGGAGATAGAAAACTATTACCAGCTTTTATTTTTAAGATTTCTTTTTTCATAGAAACCATAACACTTTATTTTTTAATTTAAATTTAATTTTATTTATTTATTTTTGAGACAGAGTCTTGCTCTGTTGCTCAGGCTAGAGTGCAGTGGCGCAATCTTGGCTCACTGCAACCTCGGCCTCCTGGGTTCAAGCAATTCTCCTGCCTCAGTCTTTGGAGTAGCTGGGATTACAGATGTGTGTCACCATGCCTGGCTAAGTTTTGTATTTTTAATAGAGACAGGGTTTCACCATGTTGGCCAGGCTGGTCTCGAACTCCTGACCTCAGGTGATCCGCTCGCTTTGGCCTCCCAAAGTGCTGGGATTACAGGTGTGAGCGACCACACATGGCCTAATTTTTATTTTTTATCAAAGGAATATATATACATACTTAAAAAAATAAAACAGTGCTAAGAGATGCCTAATAAAATCCAACAATATCCTGTCCTACTCCTTCCCACTGCAAGTCCTGCTCCCTAGAGGCAACTACTTCCAAATCCCTTGTTCCTTGCCACCTCCCACTCAGAGGCTGAAGAACCAGATACTTTCTTAGCCTCCCTTGCAGCTAAGGATGACTACGTGACCTGGCTTTGGCCAGTGAGATGTTTGCTGCGGGCCTTCTGAAAAAGTATTTGCTTTTCTGAGCAGAGGCACAAATAGCTGATGTTGTCCCCTTCTTTCTTTCTGCTTTGAATATAGTCAAGCCGTCTGGAGCTGTGACAGCCATCTTGTGACCATGTGGGGATGAGCACGAGGAAGAAGACAACATGTGAAGGAAGAAAGTCAGAAAGAGCCCAATTTCTTGATGGCATCATTGAGCAGCTGAACCCATGCCACAGTTCCTGTTAACTTAAAAAAATAAATAAAGCCATATGTGTTTAAGCCACTATCAGTTGAGTTTTTTGTTACTTGTAGCTGAAATGATTTTTATTTGATGGACCGCCATGGTTCCTTGTCATATGCTTATATCATTCTTTCTTTCTTTCTTTCGAGACAGAGTCTCGCTGCAATGCCCAGGCTGGAGTGCAATGGCACGATCTCGGCTCACTAAAACCTCCACCTCCCAGGTTCAAGCATTTCTCCTGCCTCAGCCTCCTGAGCAGCTGGTATTACAGGCGCCTGCCACCACACCCAGCTAATTTTTGTATTTTTAGTAGACACAGGGTTTCACCATGTTGGCCAAGCTGGTCTCGAACTCCTGACCTCAAGTGATCCGCCCACCTCAGCCTCCCAAAGTGCTGGGATTACGGGCATGAGCCACCGTGCCTGGCCACCATTATTTCTTAACTTAGCAATCTGAGACATTATCTCTTGAGATCTTATGGTAGAACAGGATTTACCTCTTTTCTATCTCTTCCACACACACACCCTACTTTCCCTCCCTTCATTCTTCCAATATGTTTATATCCAAACTCCTAGTAAATCAGTAGTCACTACAGAGCCAAGAAGTATACTATAATTACCTTTTTTTTCATTTTTTTATATTCCTGATTTTAATAATTGCTTGGACTTTTTCCACATTGGAAATGTGCCTAATCTTAGTTTTTCCCATTTGTTTCATCCGTTCGTTCATAAATCTATTAGCATATTTCTTCACAAATGTTCAAACCTATCAGTCCATTGATTTTTTTTTTTTTTTTTTGAGACGGAGTCTTGCTCTGTCACCCAGTCTAGAGTGCAGTGGCGTGGATCTCGGCTCACTGCAAGCTCCGCCTGCCGGGTTCACACCATTCTCCTGCCTCAGCCTCCGGAGTAGCTGGGACTACAGGCACCCGCCAGCACGCCCGGCTAATTTTTTGTATTTTTTAGTAGATACGAGGTTTCACCGTGTTAGCCAGGATGGTCTCGATCTCCTGACCTCGTGATCCGCCCGCCTCGGCCTCCCAAAGTGCTGGGATTACAGGCGTGAGCCACCGCGCCCGGCCGATTTTTTTTTTTTAAGACAGAGTTTCGCTCTGTCCCCCAGGCTGGAGTGCAGTGGCGCAATCTTGGCTCACTGCAACCTCCACCTCCTGGGTTCAAGCGATTCTCATGCCCTAGCCTCCCCCAGGTAGCTGGGATTACAGGTGCCTGCCACCATGCCCGGCTAATTTTTGTATTTTTAGTAGAGACATGGTTTCACAATGTTGGCCAGGCTGCTTTCAAACTCCTGACCTCAGGTGATTTCCCTGCCTCGGCCTCCCAAAGTGCTGGGATTACAGGCGTGAGCCACCGTGCCCAGCCTGGCCCATTGATTTAAGAAGAACACAATAAAAAGTTGAGCCGGACATGGTGGCTCACACCTGTAATCATTGCACTTTGGGAGGCCAAGGTGGGAGAATCATTTGAGCCCAGGAGTTTGAGACCAGCCTGGGCAACACGGAGAAACCTGGTCTCTATTTTAAAAATAAATAAAAAGTTGATTGATTTGGAGCCCTGTGTAAGGGCAGGTGTTTGTCAAGTCCCATTAAAGTGACTGAGTAAGGACCTGTACAATCTGCTGGAGGACCCCTAAGTACCGAAAATAGAGGCCTTTGCTTTGGGACTGTTTGGTTTCTTTGGAGAACCCGCTGATATTTTGCTGGAGTGTAGAGACTTGTTGGCTGCTGTGATTTCTACCCATGAGCATGGGGGAGATAAGGAGGAAATTAACTGTTCCAACATTGAGTTGGGGGAGATTAACCGTTCCAACACACACTTTCAATTATGTTTGAGGCTTTATGTCTTGCTCCCACATCAGGATACCTTTACTGCACCTCTCCAGGATTTGGCAGGGTAGATGAGCTCTCTCCCGGTGGATCCCTTCCCACATGTGGACTCTGCTCATTCCTTCCCCTGCACTGCCTTCTCAGTTACCACCCCTCCCGCCCCCTTTCTGCTTGCCAGAAAGTTGTTGAAATCTCTCTCCCATTGATGGGAGCTCCTCCAGTTTTCTTTGGAGTTGTGAGTTTATACCCTTGATCTTTTTATTTTGTGGAGTCTTAGGAATTAGAGAAAACAAATGCATTCCACCTTCTTGAACGGCAGTACTATCTGAATTTTAACTGCTCCAGATTTTCTGGATACACCAAGTCTGTAGACCAACATTCGTGAACCATTGGCAATAGAAAAAGCCTGGGTTTGGGAATCTGATGGGTTTGGGTTTGAATTCTGACTCCTTTTTTTTTTTTTTTTTTTGAGACGGAGTTTTGCTCTTGTCGCCCAGGCTAGAGTGCAATGGTGTGATCTCGGCTCACTGCAACCTCCGCCTCCCAGGTTCAAGCGATTCTCCTGCCTCAGCCTCCCAAGTAGCTGGGATTACAGGCAACCGCCACTGCGCCCAACTAATTTTTTTTGTATTTTTAGTAGAGACGGGGTTTCACCATGTTGGCCAGGCTGGTCTCGAACTCCTGACCTCAGGTGATCCACCTGCCTCGGCCTCCCAAAGTGCTGGGATTACAGGCATGACCCACCGCGCCCGTCCGAATTCTGAGTCTTTGGACCTCCTTGCTCAATTCATATCCATGGGCCTCGATTTTCTTCTCTATAAAATAATGTTCCAGATAAAATATAGTCCCAGGTAGAATAGTCATGTCTACCTGATAGAGTGCTGGGAAGATTTCCTTAGATACTGTATGTAAAGCATCCAACACAGGGCTTGGTATACAGTAGGTGTCAAAAAAATAGGAGTGATCACTTTTTTTTTTTCTTTTTTTGAGACGGAGTCTCACTCTGTCACCCAGGCGGAGTGCAGTGGCTTTTTCTCAGTTCCCTGCAACCTCTGCCTCCCGGGTTCAAGAGATTCTCCTGCCTCAGCCTCCCGAGTAGCTGGGACTACAGGCGCGTGCCACCACGCCTGGCTAATTTTTTTGGAGTGATCGCTTTTTAATGGAAGCAAGTGGCAAATGTGATTGGAAAGATTTGAATCAGGGTTTTGGAGGGCCTGGAATGCCAGGACTTCTTCTTGTGACACTGAGAAACCTTGACCATCTTGTGAGAATCTATCAGATTGTTCCCTCAGTCTGGTCTGAGGAGGGAGCAAGAAGCCCTTGGCCCAGCAGCTCTTGGGTTAAAATCTTCGTCTGCATCTGAGTTATTTGTAACCCGTTGTCATGGCAACAAGTTTGGCAAGCAAGCCAGTGCTGCAAGCTCCTGACAGTGCGGAGGGGAGGGCAGTGGGAGAAGATGGAAGATTTGGAAGGGGGGTGGTCTGTGACCAGCGCCTCACTTTCCTCTGATTTGTCTGAAGCTTTCAGCTGGAGATGAGGGTGAGCGTCCTCTAGGGAGAATCATTGGACGTTGGAGACTCTCCTCCCCAATCTCCTAATATTTCAGATATGAAAATAGGGCCAGAGAGGTCCAGCAGCTGGCTCAAGGCCACACAGCAAGTCAGAGACAGGTCTAGACTTTTCTAAAAAGGACTTAGGGCCATGGAACTGAAGCATAACAAACCAGGAGGGGACCTTTGGAAATGTTTCGTCCACCTCCCCACCAACACACACATGCCTTTTTGTGTTGTTCATATGAGGAACCTGGACCCAGAGTGGTTCAGAACAGACTCAGCTTCACACAGCAATTCTGGTGGTGACTTGGGAACAAAACCCAGAGGACTCGGGCCTTGCAGACCTGGATATTTCCTGAGGAAGTGGCAGTCTAGGAGTCACAGTCCAGAGAAGCCCCTCTCTGCTAACTGCCAAGACAGGGCCTCCCAGAGTAGCATTGATTTGACTGCCTTGGCTTCTGACTGCCTTGGCCTTTGAGCTCCTCAAATCCAACATGCATGTGCCCAGGTCACATTTCCCCTTCCCTGCGCCCTCTTTTTTCTGCATGTATGTGTGTCCTCCTGCCTGTGGCATCGCTGTTGCCCAAATGGCAGCCCAGCCCCACCCCACCCTGGACCAAACAAACCTGCCACATGCTTCCCATCCATATTGCCTACAGGGCTAGGCATTTCTTGAACATTCTCTTATGTAATTCATTCCTCCCAATTATCATTCTCCATCTCCCAGTTTAGCAGGTGGAAACCTAAAGGACCAGAGAAAGATAGTGACTGGTCCAAAGTCACACAGTGAGTCTTAGCCCGAATCCCTCCTCCTCATAATGATCCTCCTCATTTTACATGTTTCTGCCCATTCTATCCCACACTGATTTCTCAGCCCTCAGAGTTCCTCTGGCACTTATCTTTGTCTTAATCACCCCCTTAAACTTGTGCAATTTCCTCTGTGTTCTCTGCCTTATGTGCAGCCTAAAATCCTCCTGTCTCCTCATAGCTGATTCCTCACCAAGTCCAGTTGAGTCTCTCCTTTCTGTACGTCAAATCTACCTTCTTTCCTCATCTTCTGCCACTATCCTGTTCCAGCCTCAACATCCCTCACATGAATGACCCCAAATCTACTCCCTGGCTTCCAGACTGGCCATTTTCAACCTAATACTTGGCACATCAGCAGTAAGAGGGCATTGATGCTAGTCAACACAACCTTTCCTTCTATGACACTCCATACCCCACAGGGTAAAGTCTAGCTGCTTGATAGGTCATTAAGGTCACATAAGTTCTGGCCCCTGCCAGACCTCTTGAGTCTCATCACCTGCCACTCTTGGCCTCACACCCTGTGCTCTGACCACTGAGCACATAACTATAAGTGCAACTAACTACAAGTGCTTCCTAGACTGCACCAGTTTTTTTTTCCCCCCAGGTGTCTTTGCAATGTCTTCTGCATGAAAGGCCTTTCACACTGACACCCAAACCCCATTAATTCAGCTGTTGAAGTGTCACTTTATTCACGCAGCCTATCTTTGTTCCCAAGTTGGATGAGATCCTGTCATCTGGGCTCCCACAGCGCCCCTCTGCTCCTGTACCGTGCAGAACTGTTGTCTGGGGCTCTCTCTCCTTTCAGATAGGAAGCTCCCTGAGGGCAGGAATTCTGTCTTCAGCAAAGCCCAGCACCTGGATGGTCCCAAAAGGAAGGGGCGGCGAATATGCATTGAAGGAATCCAGGAGCATGAATGGTTGGATGACGAATGAAATTTGTTTTCAGTTCTGTGATTGTGCACTCTAGCCCGAGGGCCTGCGTGACGTCACTTGTTGCCTAGCAACAGTTTTCCCTCCGCCCCGGGGCGTGGTTTATGGGGGCGTGGCTTGTGTCAGCTGACGCAGAGTAAGGTGGCCGAGGATCCCAAACCAGATAGGTCTTGAGCAGGGAGCCGTGGTAGAAGAGAAGTGCGGATAGAAAGTGAGGGCCTTATGAGGTAGGTGATATTATTTCCCCTCCCCCTTATAGGTAAGAAAACTGAGGCACAGGGAGACTTAGGTGACTTGTCAAAGCTACACAGCTAAGTACCGATGTGGTGGGCGCCCAACTCTGATCAACTCCGTCACTTTTCACATTGTGTCGTCCTCTCAGTATTCCCTTTGGACAACAGGGTAGTTAATGGCGAAGTCGTGCCTGGAACCTGGGTCTTAGAGAAATAGCTGTCAAGGTAGAAGAGAGAGAAGAAATTATATTTTGAGCACCTACTGTGACATTGTGCAGTGGATGGCCCAGAGCTAGAATGCCAGGCCAGATGGGGCACTTTTTATGTATTAAAAAAAAAAAAAAAAAAAAAAAAGGCTGGGCAGGGTGGCTCACACCTGTAATCCCAGTGCTTTGGGAGGCCTAGGCGAGTGGATTACTTGAAGACAGGAGCTTGAGACCAGCCTGGACAATATATTGTGACCCCGTCTGTAAAATAACAACAACAAAAATTATCCAGGTGTGGTGGCACACGCCTGTAGTCCCAACTACTTGGGAGGCCAAGGTGGGAGGACCACTTGAGCCTGGGAAGTGGAGGCTGCAGTGAGCCAAGATCACACTACTGCACTCCAGCCTGGGTGACAGAGCAAGACTCTGTCTCAAAAAATTCTTAGGAACTCCTTAAAATATATACACATGTGCAAATGTTTCTGATGTTAGAAGCTAAATTCATTAAATACATTGAAATGTTTGTCTTTGGGTGTAAAGGGAGTAGAAATACAGGAGAAAAAATAAAATTAACAAACGAAAGGAATCAAGAGAGGAGCCTTGAACAAACTAATGATGACTTCTGTCCCACCGGAAGTAATGTGTTCATTGATGAAAATTTAGGGAAAGAAAAACGTCCTACCATCTAAATACAACCAATGTTAGTATCTTGGTGTATTTAGGCTTTTATCTAGGCTTAGAAAAACCGTATTTGGGATCATGCTGTATGTTCAATTACATACTGCCATTTTCACATAAACATTTCCCATTAAAATTTTTATAAACATCATTTAAATGGCCACAAAATACTCCTTTGAGTGGATATACTTACGGAATTCCTTTCTGCGTGGGTTTTGGCATTTATTTTATTTTTTTCTTGCTTTGTTTAGATTTGTTTGGCCAGGGTTTAGGTTTGATTTTCTCTATGTCTAATTTTAGGAGATAGCATAAAGAGAGATTGTTGTTTGAGAGAAGTAAGGGAAAGCACGGTAGGCTTTTGGGAAGCAATAGTATTTGAGGGGAATTTTGGAGTATGTAATGCACACATAAGATAAAACCTTCAAGTGACGCAAGAGGTTATACAGTGAAAACTGTCTCTTTCTCACTCCTTATCCTCAGTTCCCCAGATCTCCACTGGGGCTCTCCACTGTTACCAGTTTTTTGTAGGACCTTTGTGTGAACATTCTAAGGCTACACAAGTGTGTGTGTGTGTGTGTGGCTATTTTTTTTTTTTTGTCATTTTAAACAGCTTTATTGAGATATAATTCATTTACCATACAATTCACTCCTTTAGAGTGTAGAATTCAATGGCTTTTAGTATATCCATAGAGTTGTTCAATCATCACCACAATCAATTTTAGAATATTTTTCATTTCTCCTGTCCGTTTTCACACTGCTATAAAGAACGCCAGAATCTGGGTAATTTATAAAGAAAAGAAGTTTAATTGACTCACAGTTTTGCATGACTGAGGAGGCCTCAGGAAACTTACAATCATGGTGGAAGGGGAAGCAGGCACGTCTTACATGATGGCAGGAGAGAGAGAGTGCGTGTGAAGGAGGAACTGTCAAACACTTAAAAAACCATTAGACCTTGTGAGGATTCTCTCACTATCATGAAAACAGCATGGGGGAAACTGCCCCCATGATCCAATCACTTTCCACTAGGTCCCTCCCTCAACACCTGGGGATTACAATTCAAGATGAGATTTGGGTGGGGACACAGAGCCAAACCATATCAACTCCAAAAAGAAACCCTATACCCCTTAGCCATAACCCCCCACTGTTCCCATTCCCCATCACTAGACAATGACTAATCTACTTTCTGTCTCTGTAGATAGATTTTCCTGTTCTGAACATTTCATATAAAAGGAATCATACAAAATGTGGCCTTCTGTGATTGACTTCTCACTAACATGATGTTTTCAAGGTTCATAGATGATGTAGCATATATCAATATTTCCATTTTTTTAATAAAAATATAGAGACTTTATTTTTATTTTTTGTCTGTTTGTTTGTTTTATGAGACAGAATCTCTCCCTGTTGCCCACGTTGGAGTGCAGTGGTGTGATCATGGCTCACTACAGCCTTGACCTCCCACCTCAGCCCCCCGAGTAGCTGGGACCACAGCCATGCACCACCACGCCTGGCTAATTTTTAAATTTTCTGTAGAGACGGGATCTCCCTATGTTGCCTAGACTGGTCTCAAACTCTTAGGCTCAAGTGATCCTCCCACCTTGGCCTCCCAAAGTGATGGGATTACAGGCATGACCACCATGCCCAACCCTAGACTTTATTTTTTTAGCTGTTTTAGGTTTACACAAAAATTGGGTGGAAAGTGCACAGAGTTCCCATAAACCCCTTCACCCTACTACAGTTTCCTCTATTATTAACATGTGATACATTTGCTAAAACTGATGAGCCAATATTGGTACATTATCATTATTATTATTATTATTATTATTATTATTATTATTTGAGACGAAGTCTCACTCTGTCACCCAGGCTGGCGTGTAGTGGTGCGATCTTGGCTCACTGCAACCTCCACCTCCTGGGTTCAAATGATTCTCCTGCCTCAGCCACCTGAATAGCTGGGATTACAGGTGCGCACCACCACACCAGGCTAATTTTTGTATATTTAGTAGAGATGGGGTTTCACCATGTTGGCCAGGCTGGTCTTGAACTCCTGACCTCGTGATCCACCCGCCTTGGCCTCTCAAAGTGCTGGGATTACAGGCGTGAGCTACTGCGCCCAGCCTGGTACATTATTATTAACAAAAGTTCATAGTTTGCTTTAGGATTCACTCCTGGGGTTGTACATTTTGTGGGTTTTGACAAATGTCTGATGTCATGTATCCACCATTACAATATCATACAGAGTAGTTTCATTGCCCTAAAAAATCCTCTGTGCTTGACTGGGCATAGTGGCTCATGCCTGTAATCCCAGCACTTTGGGAGGCCAAGGCGGGTGGATCATGAGGTCAAGAGATCGAGACCATCCTGGCCAACATGGTGAAACCCTGTCTCTACTAAAAATACAAAAATTAGCTGGGTGCGGGAGGCTGAGGCAGGAGAATTGCTTGAATCTGAGAGGTGGAGGTTGCAGTGAGCCGAGATCGTGCCACTGCACTCCAGCTTGGCAACAGAGCAAGACTCTGTCTCAAAAAAAAAAAAAAAATCCTCTGCGCTCTACCTATTGACCTTCCTCCTTCCCTCAAACCCCTGGCAACTATTGACCTTTTACTTTTCCATAGTTGGCTTTTCCCAAATATCATATAGTTGGAATCATACAGTATGTAGCCTACAGTATGAAGGAAGGATTAGTGTCCTCCACTTAGCAATATGCATTTAAGTTTCCTCCACGTCTTTTCATGGCTTGATAGCTCATTTTTTATTGCCAAATAATATTCCATTGAATGGATGTACCACGGTGTGTTTTCTCAGTCACGTTGGTTGCTTCCAAGTTTTGGCAACTTTGAAAACAACTGCTATAAACATTCATGTACAGATTTTTATGTGGACATAAATTTTCAGCTCATTTGGGTAAATACCAAGAAGCATGATTGCTGGATCATATGGTAAGAGTATGTTTATCTTTATAAGGAACTATTCCAATGTGGCTGTACTATTTTACATTCCCACTTTGCAATGAGGATTCCTGTTGCTCTACACTCCTTGTCAGCATTTGATGCTGTCAGTGTTTTGAATTTTAGCCATGCTAATAGGGGTGTGGTGGTATCTTATTGTTATTTTAATTCTCAATTCCCTAATGATACATGATGTTGAGCATCTTTTCATATGCTTCTTTGCCATCTGTATATCTTCTTTGCTGAGGTGTCTGTTCAGATCTTTTGCCCACTTTTAAATTGGATTGTTTATGTTCTTATCATTGAGGGTTTTTTTCTTTTTAAAAAAGAATTACTGGCTGGGCGTGGTGGCTCACACGTGTAATCCCAGCACTTTGGGAGGCTGAGGTGGGTGAATCACGAGGTCAGGAGTTCAAGACCAGCCTGGCCAACATGGTGAAACCTTGTCTCTACTAAAAATACACAAAATTAGCTGGGCGTAGTGGTGGGCGCCTGTAATCCCAGCTACTCAGGAGGCTGAGGCAGGAGAATCGCTTGAACCTAGGAGGCGGAGGTTGCAGTGAGCCGAGATCACACCACTGCACTCCAGCCCCGGTGAGAGTGCAAGACTTCATCTCAAAAAAAAAATTATTATTGTTTTTCTTATAGGGATGGCATTTTGCCATGTTGCCCAGGCTGGTCTTGAACTCCTGGACTCAAGCAATCTACTCACCTTGGCCTCCCAAAGTGCTGGGATTACAGGCATTAGCCACTGGGTCTGGGCTTATTGTCGAGTTTTAAGAGGTAATTGTATCTTTTAGATAGCAGTTCTTTATTAGATATGTGTTTTGCAGATATTTTCCCCATTCTGTGGCTTGTCTTTTCATTCTCTTAAACGTGTCTTCAGCAGAGCACAAGTTTTTAATTTTAATGAAACCAAATTTATCAGTTTTTTCTTTTATGCATCGTGCTTTTGGTGTTGTATCTAAAACGTTATTGCCAGCCTGGGCAACATGGCGAGATCCTGTTTCTACTAAAAATACAGAAAATTATTTGGGCATGGTAGCGTGCACCTGTGATCCCAGCTACTTGGGAGGCTGAGGTGGGAGGATCACTTGAGCTTGGGGGGCAGAGGTTGCAGTGAGCATAGATTATGTCATGCACTCCAGCCTGGGTGACAGAGTGAGACTGTGTGTCAAAAAAATTAAAAAAAAATTAAAAAGTCATTGCTAAAGCCAAAGTCACCTGGATTTTCTCTTATGTCACCTTCTAGGAATTTTATATTTTTGCGTATTATACTTAGGCCTATGATCCATTTTGAGTTAATATTTGCAAAAGGTGTAAGGTCTGTGTCTAGATGAGTGTTTTTGCATATGGATGTCCAGTTGTTCCAGCACCGTTTTATCAAAAAGAGTATCCTTCTTCCATTGAATTGCCTTTGCTCCTTTGTCAGAAATCGGTTATATTTTTATGTGTCTATTTCTGGGCTATTCTGTTCCATTTATCTATTTGTCTATTCTTTTATCAATACCACACTATCTTGATAACTGTAGCTTTATATAGTAAGTCTTGAAGTCAGGTAGTGTCAGTCTTCTGACTTTGTTTTTCTCCTTCAATATTGTGTTGGTTATTCTGGGTCCTTTGCCTTTCCAGATAAAATTTAGAATTAGTGGCCGGGCGTGGTGGCTCACGCCTGTAATCCCAGCACTTTGGGAGGCTGAGGCAGGTGGATTGCTAGGTCAGGAGTTTGAGACCAGCCTGGCCAACATGGTGAAACCCCGTCTCTACTAAAAATACAAAAATTAGCTGGGCTCAGTGGCAGGAGCCTGTAATCCCAGCTACTGGGGAGGCTGAGGCAGGAAAATTGCTTGAACCCGGGAAGTGGAGGTTGCAGTGAGCCGAGATCGCATTACTGCACTCCAGCCTAGGTGACAGAGCAAGACTCCATCTCGGAAAAAAAAAAAAAAATAGAATTAGTTTGTTGATACCCAACAAATAACTTAGTGGGATTTTGTTTGGGATTGTGCTGAATTTGTAGATCAAGTTGGCAAGAGCTGACGTCTTGATAATATTGAGTCTTCCTATCTATATACAATAAATAGCTCTCCATTTATTTATATTTTCTTTGATTTCTTTCATCAGAGTTTTATAGTTTTCCTCATGTAGATCTTGTACATATTTTGTTAGATTTATACCTAAATATTTCATTTTCTTGGTGCTAATGTGATATTGTGTTTTTTATTTTAAATTCCAACTATTCATTGCTGGTATATAAGAAAGCACTTGAGGCCGGACACACCTGTAATCCCAGCACTTTGGGAGGCCAAGGCAGGAGGATCACTTGAGCCCAGGAGTTCAAGACCAGCCTGGGTAACAGTGAGACCCTGTCTCTATTAAAAAAAAAAAAAAGAAGAAAGCACTTGACTTTTGTATATTAACCTTGTATCCTGCAACCTTGCTATAATTGCTTATTAGTTCCAGAAGTTATTTTGTTGTTGTTGATTCCTTGGGATTTTAAACATAACAATCATGTCATCTGCAAACAGAGATTATTTTACTTATTCCATCCTAGTCTGTGTACCTTTTCTTGTCGTATTGCATTAGCTAGGACTTCTAGTATGATATTGAATAGAAGTAGTGAGAGCAGACATCCATGCCTTGTTCCTGACCTTGGGGAGAAAGCTTCTAGTTTCTCACCAGTAAATATGGCACTAGCTATAGGTTTTTTGTAGATTTTTTTTTCTTTCTTTTTTTTTTTTTTTTGAGACAGAGTTGTGCTCTTGTTGCCCAGGCTGGAGTGGAGTGGTGCAATCTCAGCTCACTGCAACCTCTGTCTCCTGGGTTCAAGCGATTCTCCTGCCTCAGCCTCCCAAGTAGCTGGGATTACAGGCATGCACCACCACACCCAGCTAATTTTGTGTTTTTTAGTAGAGACAGGGTTTCACCATATTGGTCAGGCTGGTCTTGAACTCCTGACCTCAGGTGATCCACCCGACTTGGCCTCCCAAAGTGCTGGGATTACAGGCATGAGCCATCGCGCCTGGCTTTTTTTTTTTTTTTTTTTTTTTTGAGGTACAGTCTTGCTCTGTTGCCCAGGCTAGAGTGCAGTGGTACAATTATGGCTTACTGCAGCCTCAACCTGCCAGGCTCAAGCACTGCTCCCACTTCAGCCTCCTGAGTAGCTGGGACCATAGGTGCGTGCCAACACCCCGGCTCATTTTTGTAGAGACTAGGTTTTGCCATATTGCCCAGGCTGGTCTCAAACTCCTGGGCTCAAGCAATTCATCCACCTTGGCCTTCTAAAGTGCTGGGATTTTTGTTTTTTTGGTTTTTTTGAGATGGATTCTTGCTCTGTCACCCAGGCTGGAGTGCAGTGGTGTATTGTGGCTCACTGCAACCTCCGCCTCCCTGGTTCAAGTGATTCTCCTGCCTCAGCCTCCTGAGTAGCTGGGGTTACAGGTGCCCACCACTATGCCTGGCTAATTTTTGTGTTTTTAGTAGAGATGGGCAAACTCCTGACCTCAAGAGATCCACCCGCCTTGGCCTCCCAAAGTGTTGGGATTTCAGGCGTGAGCCACTGTGCCCGGCTGTAGATGTTTTTTAGCTATGTTTTTTCCATTAGGATTTTTTTGAATTTTTATTTTGACAATTTCAGACTTACAGAAAAGTTTCAAGAATAGTACAAAAAATTGCTGTATACTCTTCACCTAGATTTGTTAAATGTTCACATTTTACCACATTTGTTTAGCCTACCCTGTTTCTTCCTCTGTCTCATAGATGTATTCTGTTCCATTGATCTATTGATGTATCTATGTATCTATCTATATATATTTATATGTGTATTCTTTATATATATTCTTTATATATATTTCTGTTTTCCCCTGAACCAATTGATAGTCAGTTGCAGACGTGATGCCTTTTTATACCTAAATACTTCAATGAGTATTTCCTAAAATAAGGAATTGTGTTATATAAACACTGAATAATTATCAAAAATCAGGAAATTCACATCGATAAAAATACTATTATATATAGAATCTACAGACCTTATTTAGAACTCACAAATTTCCTCAACAATAGCCTTTATAGCAAAAAAAAAAAATCCTCTGAATAATGTGCATTTGGTTGTTATAGCTCTGTAGTCTCCTTCCATATGGAAGAGTCCCTCAGTCTTTCTCTGTGTTTCATGACACTGACATTTTTGGAGAGTGCAGGCTAGTTATTTTTGGACAGTTCCTCAATTCGAGTTTGTCTGATGCTTCCTCATAATAAGACTCAGGTTATGCATTTTGGTAGGAATCTCACAGAAGTGATGCTGTGTCTCTTTCAGTGCATCATATCAGGATGCACATGATGTCTGATTGTCCCATTAATGGCAATGCAAACTTGCATCACTTGGTTAAGGTAGTGTCCATCGGGTTTCTCTGCTGTAAAGTTACTGTAGTATCTTGTAGGGAGATGCATTGGGCTTATGTAAATATACTGTTACTCAAACTTTCACCCACCAGTTTTACCATTCACTGACGATTCTCACTTGGAAAAATTATTATGGCCGAGGTCGACAAATGTTGATTTTCAAATGCCATCTTTCTTTTGACGTGGCTTGGTTGGCTTTCCAGTATAAGGGAGCACTTTTCTTTCTCCTGCGTTTATTTATGTATATCCTCATAGACTATAGTTGTCTCCTTTACTCAGTGGGTTATAACACATTAAACTATTCTTTATTTTGATTTGCAAATGTCCCATATTTGACCAGTAGGACATCTCTAATCTCCTTTGTCCTTGGACACATTTTCATCTCTCTTTGAACAATTTCTTGTTTTCTGGCACCACAAGATGCTGCAGGCCCATCTTATACTTTCCCTGCCACACCCCTGGAACCAGCCATTTTCCCAAGGAGCCCTGTCTCTTTTTACTAGAGAATGGCATTTAGTAACCTAGATTTGGGCACTAGGTGTTATAGCTATATTTTAAGAGTTTGCTTTCTTGTTTGAAAAAAAAAAAAAGCTGAAGCCACGTTACTGACAATCAGATGCTCTTTGTTGGAAGTGTTGGGAAATAGGCAATATCTGCCTGTAAAAGTTGTTGGGCATTGGTGTCTTCTGAAAGCAAGTTGTACCTTGGGATGTGGTACCACAGAGATTCAGGGGAAGGAGCAGAAGTAGAGGTGACTAGCAATGAGGGTGGACTGGAACAGTTGAAAGGATAATAACAGCTTATAATTTGCATTTAGTGAGCACTTACTGTGTGCCAGACAGTGTGCTGGGAGCTTCACAAACATTTTCTCTGATCCCTACAATAATTCTAGGAGGTGAAGTAAGGTTGACTTACTGGCTAGTAATAACTGAGCCAGGATAAGAACCCAGAGAGGGGCCGGGCACGGTGGCTCACACCTGTAATCCCAGCACTTTGGGAGGCCGAGGCGTGCAGATCACGAGGTCAGGAGTTCAAGACCAGCCTGACTAACATGGTGAAACCCCATCTCCACTAAAAATGCAAAAATTAGCCGGGCGTGGTGGCTTGCACCTGTAATCCCAGCTACTCAGGAGGCTGAGGCAGGAGAATCACTTGAACCCGGGAGTTGGAGGTTGCAGTTGAGCCTCTGAGATCGCACCACTGTACCCCAGCCTGGGTGACAGAGCGACACTCCGTCTCAACAACAACAACAACAACAACAACAACAAAAAAAAAAAAAAAAAAAAGAACCCAGAGTGGGAGGAAAACGGTGGGAGAAGCCATTGAAGAGGGAAAATGGCATATCTCTGGATTTTGGATAAATCACTCCAGTGTAATAGGTTAGGAATTTGAAGACTGAGGCTCTAGTCCCAGCTCTGCCACCCACTAATTGTGAGATCAGGGGTAGCCACATAGCCTCTTTGAACTTTAGTTCTCTTGCCTGGCTACCTCACAGAGTTGTTAAGAGAATCAAATTAAATAGTGACTCCAAAAGCAGATTTGTAGACCATGAAGTGCTACACAAATGGAGGTGGTTACTATTTATTTATTTATTTTGTTTTTTAGAGACAGGGTCTCACTCTGTCACCCAGGCTGGAGTGCAGTAGTGTGATCACAGCTGCACCCAGGCTGGAGTGCAGTAGTGTGATCACTGCAGCCTTGAATTCCTGGGCTCAAGCGATCCTCCACCTTCACCTCCCAAGTAGCTGGAACTACAGGTGCATGCCACCATGCGGAGATATTTTTTTTTTTTGGTAGGGACAGGATCTTGCTTTGTTGCCCAGGCTGGTCTCAAACTCCTGGGCTCAAGCCATCCTCCTGCCTCAGCCTCCCAAAAAGTACTGGGATTATAAGCATGAGCCACCTTACCCAGCTGGAAGTGGTTATGATCTACTTAGCCTTATGAGCCTAGGGGTTTCCTCTTCCATCAGAGACCATAATTCTCTTGAAAATATAATTGATCACTGGGCACGGTGGCTCACGCCTGTAATCCCGCACTTTGGGAGGCTGAGGCGGGCAGATCATTTGAGGTCAGGAGTTCGAGACCAGCCTGGCCAACATGGTAAAACTCCGTCTCTACTAAAAATACAAAAATTAGCTGGGCGTAGTGGCGGGTGCCTGTAGTCCCAGCTACTTGGGAGGCTGAGGCAGGAGAATCGCTTGAACCCGGGAGGCACAGGATGCAGTGAGCCGAGATCGCACCACTACACTCCACCTTGGGTGACAGAGTGAGACTCCGTCTCAAAAAAGAAAAAAAAAAAAAGAAAGAAAGAAAAAGAAAATATAATTGATCTAGGTTACAGGAGAACCCCAGTGATCTGTGTCCCTCCTTTACCTCATGTGCCAGTGAATTTCAAGGACACTCCTTTGGCAAATATTGAGTTAGCTAATGCTACCAAACCTCCCGTCACTTATACTTCTTAGTAACTGTGGCAGGTAACCTCTAAGATGACCCCCAGTGATCCAGACTCTTGGTATTCACTCCTTTATTATTGTGTTTTTTGTTTTTTTGTTTTGTTTTGTTTTTTGTTTTTGAGACGAAGTTTTGCTGTTGTTGCTCAGGCTGGAGCGCAATGGCGCGATCTCGGCTCACTGCGACCTCCGCCTCCTGGGTTCAGGCGATTCTCCTGCCTCAGCCTCCTGAGTAGCTGGGATTACGGGCGCCCGCCACCACGCCCAGCTAATTTTTGTATATTTAGTAGAGACAGGGTTTCACCATGTTGACCAGCCTGGTCTTGAACTTCTGACCTCAGGTGATCCGCCCACCTCAGCCTCCCAAAGTGCTGAGATTACAGGCGTGAGCCACCGCGCCCAGCTCACCCCTTTGTTTAATCCCCTCCCCTTGAGTGTGGGCTGACCTAGGTACTTGCTTCAAACTGATGGAATTAGGCTACTAGCCTAATCACTAAGTGAAATCCTATCACCTTTGACACATTCCATCAGTTTGAAGCAAGTACCTAGGTCAGCCCACACTCAAGGGGAGGGATTAAACAAAGGGTTGAGATGGGCACAGTGGCTCACGCCTGTAATCCCAGCACTTTGGGAGGCCGAGGCGGGCAGATCACCTCAGGTCAGGAGAGCGAGACCATCCTGGCCAACACGGTGAAACCCCGTCTCTACTAAAAATACAAAAATTAGCTGGGCGTAGTGGCAGGCACCTGTAGTCCCAGCTACTCGGGAGGCTGAGGCAGGAGAATGGCGTGAACCCGGGAGGCGGAGCTTGCAGTGAGCCGAGATCACGCCACTGCACTCCAGCCTGGGCGACAGACCGAGACTCCATCTCAAAAAAAAAAAAAAACAAAAACTGTGACTTCTGACCGGGTGTGGTGGCTCACACCTGTAATCCCAACACTTTGGGAGGCTAAGGCAGGATGATCGCTTGAGCACAGGAGTTTGAAACCAGGCTGGGCAACATAGTGAGATCCCATCTCTACAACAACAACAAAAAAAAAAAAAAAAGAAGAAGAAGAAGAAAAGAAAAGAAAATTAGCAAGGCATGGTGGCATACACCTGTAGTCCCAGCTACCCAAGAGGTTGAGGTGGGAGAATCACTTGCGCCCAGGAGGTCGAGGCTGCAGTGAGCTGTGATCACGCCATTGCACTATAGCCTGGGCAACAGAACAAGGCCCTGTCTCAAAAAACAAAACAACAACAACAACAACAAAAAACTATAAAACTATGCCTTCTAGCTTGCTAGAGTATGATTATCTCTTTCGTTGGCTTTGATGAAGCAAGCTGCCATGTTGGGGAGGTCCATGTGGCAAGGAACTGAAGAGCAGCATGCAGCCAGAAACTGAGGCTGTCAGTCTAACAGTCTTTGACGAATTGGAAATCTGCCAATAACCAGGTGATCTTGGAAGTGGCTCCTTCCTCTGTCAAGCCTTCAGATGAGACTCCAGCCCTGGATGACACCTTGATTACAGTCTTGTGAGGGAGCCTGAAGCAGAGGACCCAGTTAAGCTATGTGTAGATTCCTAATCTACAGAAACTATTAGATGAAGAAATGTTGTGGCTTTCTTTTTTTCTTTTTTCTTTTTTTTGAGATGGGGTTTCACTCTTGTTGCCCAGGCTGGAGTGCAGTGATGTGATCTTGGCTCACTGCAACCTCCACCTCCAGGGTTCAAGCGATTCTCCTGCCTCAGCCTCCCAAGTAGCTGGGATTACAGGCATGCACTACCACGCTGGCTAATTCTTTTTTGTATTTAGTAGAGATGGGGTTTCATCATGTTAGTCAGGCTGGTCTCGAACTCCTGACCTCAGGTGATTCACCTGTGTCGGCCTCCCAAAGTGCTGGGATTACAGGTGTGTGCTACTGCGCCTGGCTGAAATGTTGTTTTAAGCCACAAAATTTGTGGCCATTTGTTACTCAGCAATAGATAACTAATACAGTAACCATCTTTTATATAAGCTCCTCTTATCATCTGTTTGCTTCTTTTTATTTTTTGAGACAGAGTCTTGCTGTGTCACCCAGGTTGGAGTGCAGTGGCACTATCATAGCTCACTGCAGCCTCAAACTCCAGGGCTCAAGAGACCCTCCCACTTCAAACTCCTGAGTAGCTGGGACTATAAGCATGCACCAACACAACTGGCTAATTTTTTATTTTATTTTATTTTATTTTTGTAGTGACGAGGTCTCGTTATGTTGCTCAGGCTGGTCTGGAACTCCTGGACTCAAGCAGTCCTCCCATCCCAGCCTCCCAGAGTGCTGGGATTGCAGGTGTGAGCCCCTGCGCCTGGCCTCGCCTGTATTTCTTACAACTCTGCATTTTCCCTCCCTTGAGCCAACCTTGAACTGCTTTGCTTCCTTCAAAACCTTTCTACTATACCTTCTGGAAACCTCACTCTATAGTTAAGAAGCTCCCCTTGACCGGGCGTGGTGGCTTACGCCTGTAATCCCAGCACTTTGGGAGGCCGAGGTGGGCGGATCACGAGGTCAGGAGTTCAAGACCAGCCTGACCAACATGGTGAAACCCCGTCTCTACCAAAAATACAAAGATTAGCCGGGCATGGTGGCACGCGCCTGTAATCCCAGCTACTTAGGAGGCTGAGGCAGAAGAATCGCTTGAACCTGGGAGGCGGAGGTTGCAGTGAGCTGAGATTGCACCACTGTACTCCAGCCTGGGTGACAGAGCTAGACCCCGTCTCAAAAAAAAAAAAAAAGAAGCTCCCCTATAGGATATAATATATTTGGGGTTTTTGTGTTTTGTGGGTTTTTTTTTTGTGTGTGTGTGTGGTTTTTTTTTTTTTTTTGAGGTGGAATCTCCCTCTGTCGCCCAGGCTGGAGTGCAGTGGCGTGATCTCGGCTCACTGCAACCTCTGCCTCCCGGTTTAAGCGATTCTATGGCCTCAACTTCCCGAGTAGCTGGGATTACAGGTGGCCCCCATCACGCCTGGCTAATTTTTGTATTTTCAGTGGAGACAGGGTTTCACCATGTTGACCAGGCTGGTCTCAAACTCCTGACCTCAAGTGATCCACCCGCCTCGGCCTCCCAAAGGGCTGGGATTACAGGCATAAGCCACTGCCCCCGGCCAGGTTTTGTGTTTTCTAGAATGGGATCTCAGTCTGTCACCCAGGCTGGAGTGCAGCAGTGCGATCATTTCTCACTGTGGTCTCCAACTTTGGGGCTCAAGCAATCCTTCCACCTCAGCCTCTGGAGTAGCTGGGACTGCAGGTATGAGCCACCGCACTTGGCTGGATATAACATATTTGAATAAAAAGGGAGACATACCTCGTTCCTGGATGGGCAAACTCATTTATTAAAATGTTAATACTCTCCAAATTAATTTATAAATTTAATGCAACCCAAATAATTTTTAGTTGATATTACATTTCTAAACTGTATCCCTTTAGAAGAGTAAACATCTAGAAATAATCAAGAAAATTCTGAAAATTGAGTAATGCATACCAACTATTCTTAGCACTTATTGAAAGACATTGTGAGGCTATAGGAATTAAACAGTGATACCAGTTCAAAACTGACAACTAGATCAGTGGAACACAATAGAAAGTTCAGAAAAAAACATTGCCTATGGACAATTTAGTAATTGACAGATATTTTAATTCATTGGTGAAAAGATAGATTGTATAATAAATGGTGTTGGGATAACTGGCTTGTGATTTTGGTGAAAATGAAATTGGATCTCTAATTCCTTACACCAAAATAAATTCCAGGTGTATGAGATAAATAAATAAATAAGGCTGGGTGCCTGGCCTAATTTTTGTATTTTCTGTAGAGACAGGGTTTTGCCATGTTGCCCAGGCTAGTCTCAAACTTCTGGCCTCCCAAAGTGCTGGGATTACATGCATGACCCACCACGCTCAACCCTGCTCCCCTTCTGGGAGTCAGTCTTGCATCTTGTCCCTAGGGGTGGGCAGCTTAGTCTGCTCAGGTGCCCAGGCCATATAGCCTGGGGTGTCAGAGGAACTGGTACTTCAGGTAGGACAGATATGTGTCCCAGCCCAATGTCAGGCCATTGATGTAGGTGACTCGGAACTGGGAGGAGGGGGGTGCACAAAGGGAAAGTTCGCCAGCGTGCAGCCGGCCACATGCACCAGTCAGCCTTGTAGAATTCCCAGAACTTGTCCTGCAGCTCCTGGCAGCTCTCTCCCAGCGTCTGGCCTTCCAGGCAGCCAAGGCCCAAGACGTGTCATATGCTCAGCATGGGAGAGGCTACCAGCTGATCGATCCATGAGGACCTTCCTGAGGGCATTTGGGAGGCCACAGAGGCCAGACACAGGGAGTAGGTGGTCCAGCCAGAGGTACCAGTAGTGCGGGAAAGGATCCACGCTGCCATCCACTGCAAGCATGCTCACTGAGTGCCACCTGTGGAACATCTGGTCAGGCTGGGTGTAGACCTCCCAGGACTGTCACACACCATCCCGGGCTACCATAAGCACACCACAGCCCAGTGTGTTGATGACCAGCAGCACACAGCCCTGGAACAGGGACTGCCCCATAGTCCACAGGCCATACGGCCAGTGCCAGTAACATTTGGCCCTGTTGTTACTCAGTTGTTGTCTGAGTAACATTTGGCATTGTTGAGCTCTCCCCTCCATTTGGAAGATTTGCCCTTGGTTTCTGTGACACCGTACTCTCCTGGCTTTACTCTTTACTGTTTGGCCACTACTTCTCAGTCCCTTTTGCGGGCCCCTCTTCCTCTGCCCTTTCCTTAGAATCTGGTGTTCCATAAGGCTATGTCCCAGCCTTTTTCTCATTTTTGTGGAAATAAATGAAGACCCACCAAATACGAAAAGCAAAGCCTATTTTTTTCAGAGCTTGCTATAGCAAGGGAGTCGGCCACCATCACTTGCCTATTGGCAGAGACTCAAAGGCAGGCAGAGCAGTGGTAAAGCTTTAGCATGGAGAAAAGGGAAGGCTTCAGGTGTGCCCTGACTGGAGGCTGTTGGTGGGGGAAGCTGGAGGTGGCTAGCTAGAAGCGGGGTAGCCTATGTGGTTGGTTGGGGATACATATTTGTCTGTCTCTGGTTAGTACTAAGTTGGAGGCAGGGACAAAAATTAGGGAAGCTGCTAGTTATTCATCAAGTCCTGGCCATTTGGGGCCAATGTTTTTTTTTTTTTTTTTTGAGACACAGTTTCACTCTGTCACCCAAGCTGGAGTGCAGTGGTGTGATCTTGGCTCACTGCAGCCTTCGCCTCCCGGGTTCAAGTGATTCTCCTGCCTCAGCCTCCGGAGTATCTGGGATTATAGGCACAAGCCACCACGCCCAGCTATTTTTTGTATTATTAGTAGAGATGAGGTTTCACCATGTTGACCAGGCTGGTCTTGAACTCCTGACCTCAGGTGATCCACCCACCTCGGCCTCCCAAAGTGCTGAGATTACAGGCGTGAGCCACCACGCCCGGCCGGGGCCAATTGTTAGAGAAATATTTGCTTAGCTTCCTGGATTGTCACTAGAGGTGGCAAGCTGGTTTCCTGCAAGTCTGACTTAAGGCAGGCTGGCTTCCTGGGCTGTTTATTGTACATAAGGAGTGGGCTTCCTGGACAGGTTAACTGCAGGTTGTAGGTCAGAGTTCTGTTTTTATATATGGTCTGGCCATTGTCAATTTGTACGTTCAGGCTCTCATTCTGTGCAGTCTTGGTAGACGACCTCACCCATTCCTATAGCTTTAATAGCCATCTACATGTTGATGGTTCCCAACTCTTTCGCTCTAGCCTATATTTCTTTCCTGCACTTCATATCCATATGTCCATCTACCTCCTGGAAATCTCCCCTTGGACATTCCAGACACTTAAAATTTGGCAGGTCCAAAATTGAATTCAGTATTTTCCCCAGAAACCTGTTCCTCTTTGGGTGTTCTCTGTCTCAGTGGATGGTTCTATCATCCACTCAGCTACCTCAGCCATTAAACCCAGGCTTCCTCTCCGACCCACTCTGTCAACCATCACATACCATCCATCACTAATCATGTTGATTTTTATCTCCTAAATATTCTATATGTCAGAGATTTGACACACAGGCTTATGGACCCTTGAGGATTCCAAAGCATTCATGAATGTGCTGAATTGTAGACAAAATTTGGTCTACAATATCTAGTGGCATTTTTCTGGGGAGAGTGTGCAGGCCATGGCTTCCATTCACAGACAGGTCTATGACTGAACAAAAGGTTTAGAACCACTTCTCCAAATGCATCCATTCCTCCTCATCCATCCTCCCACCCTGACCAGATGTAGTCACTACAGAGGACTATGTCTCCCAATAACAGCCTCTTTGCTCTCTTAACAGCTGCAAATAAGGAGGGGATCTTGCTGTGGCCATGGGCAGAGGCCAGCAGTGCTGGATGCTCTGTGCCCCAGGTGTGCCATTGTGGCCTGCTCCCCTCCCCACATGTCCACAGGTCACTTACTCTTTTTTCCTTTTCCTCCCCTCCCCCATCTCTCTTTCTTCATCTTCTTTTCTCTTTAGCTCATTCTCTTTCCCTTCCCCAGCTTGTCTCATGCTTCCTTAACGCTCTGATTGTAGGGCATTGGGATCTTTGACACACATAGCTTGAAGCCTCTTAAAACCAAGACTAGAGGCAGCATTCACCCTGCTCATTGGCTCCCACTGGCAGAGCCCTCAACACCCCCTCCATGGAAGAGGAAAGGGAAGTGGGAGGGAGGCTGAGCTTGGAGATGTGGGGCCAGTAATTAGGGAGACCTCAGCCCCAAGAATAGCTGTAGTGTTAGGAGGAATATGGGGGGCAGCTCAAAGAATCATAGACCCGAAAATCCTTGATTAAAACTTAAAGTTGGGAAGACATTTTACGTTCTCTAACCTGATCTTTCCCCCATCTCTTACAGACGGTGCTTGATTCCTTTTTTTCCTCAACTCATATTTCCAACAAGTCCTATTGGCTTTACCTCAAAATATATTCCACTCTGTTCTATTGATCTCTGTATGCATTCTTTCTTTAACACCACGGTGATTATTATAAAATGTATATTTGGTCTTCCCCATTTCCTGACATACAACTCCTAAAATCCTTTAAAATCTCCAAAGTGATGTCTTTTTATATGTCAATGAGTTGGCTGATGGCCAACAGCCCCTAGGTAGCTTCAGGATTGGGGATTGGTCCCCAAAAAACCAAGGCAGGATTAGAGAGTTGGGACTTTCAGCCCCATTTCCCCACCTCAGGGGAGGGGAGAGGGGCCCGGAAGGTTCAGCTGATCACCAATGACCAATGATTTAATCAATCATGTCTGCATAATAAAGCCTCCATAACAACCCAAAAGGCCAGAGCTTGGGGAGATTCCAGATAGCAAAACACGTGGAGACTCCTGGAGGGTGGCACACTCGGAGAAGGCATGAAGCACTGTGCCCCTTCCCACAGGCCTTGCCCCATGCATCTTTTCATCTATATCCCTTGTAATATTCCTTATAATAATCCAATACCCTTTTGCTGCCTGACCGTTGCCATCATGGGTCGCATGCATGCTCCTGGTGGCTGACGTTGACTTCCGATAACGTGAAGGAGAAGATTGACAAACTGGCCAAGGAAGGGCCTGACTCCCTCACGAATCAGATAAGGATGCTAAATTCTATCTGATTCTGATAGAGAGCTGGATTCATCATTTGGCCCGATATTATAACACCAAGTGAGTCCTCCCTCTTGATTGGAAATATGAGTCATCCACAGCCTCTGCCCTGGTCACATAAATTGTCTATGTACTCAAGCAATAAAATGATTGTTTAACTAAAAAAACAAAAATCTAATACATATAAGTAAGTGCCGGACGCAGTGGCTCATGCCTGTAATCCCAGCACTTTGGGGAGCCGAGGCAGGTGGATCATGAAGTCAGGAGATGGAGACCATCCTGGCCAACATGGTGAAACCTCGTCTCTACTAAAAGTACAAAAAAATTAGCTGGGCGTGGTGGCGTGTGCCTGCAGTCCTAGCTACTTGGGAGGCTGAGGCAGGATAATCACTTGAACCTGGGAGGTGGAGGTTGCAATGAGCCGAGATCGCGCCACTGCACTCCAGCCTGGCGACAGAGCGAGACTCCGTCTTAAACAAATAAACAAACAAAAAATAATAAATAAATAAATAAGTAAATAAATTATGTAAGTGTTTCCTTGAGTTCTGTGAAGACCGTGTCTAATGATGAAACTTTGACAACTTCCCCTTTTCCTTGTATCTGGAATAGAAACTTTTCTGTGAGCTACTCTAACAAATTAATGGAACTCAGTGAGGGGGTTGTGGAAACTCAGTTTATAGCCAGTCTGTCAAAATCACTGGTAAAACAACCAGGAGTCACATCTGAAGGCGGAGGTGAGGATGAGCGAGGGGAACATGGCATTCTTGGAGACAGCTCTCAACCTGTGAGATCTGACGCCATCTCCGGGTAGTTAGTATCAAAATTACATGAAATTAGAGGACATTCATCTGGTGTCCACAACAAAACTGATTGCTCATTTGGTGTGTGTACTCCCACACATCTGGTCACAGAAATCTGTGTTGATTGTTCTGTGAGAGCGGAGCAAAAACAGTTTGTTTTTTTCCACACTCAACCACACTGTCTTGTGTACCATAGCTTTATAGTACTGTGGCGTCTTGACATTAGATAGTGCGAATCCTCCAACTTTGTTTTTCAGTATTGCTATAATATAGCTTGCTGAGATTTTGACTGAAATGATACTGAATATATACATTAAGTTGGAAAGAAATGACATCCTAAAAATATTGAGTCCTCTTTTTCATGAACATGGAATAGCTCTCCCTTTATTTAGATTTCTTTCATTCATGTTTTGTAGTTTTGTAGATTTGGGTCCAGTACACATTTTGTTATATTTTATTCCTAAGTATTTCATTGTTTTACTGCTATTGAAAACAGTATTGCAGTCGGGCGTGGTGGTTCATGCCTGTAATCCTAGCACTTTGGAAGGCCAAGACAGGTGGATCACTTGAGGTCAGGAGTTCGAAACCAGCCTGGCCAACATGGTGAAACCCTGTCTCTACTAAAAATACCAAAAAATAGCCGTGTGTGGTGGCGTGCACCTGTAATCCCAGCTACTTGGGAGGCTGAGGCAGGAGAATTGCTTGAACCTGGGAGGCAGAGGTTGCAGTGAGCCGAGGTCATGCCACTGCACTCCAGCCTGGGCAACAGAGCGAGACTCTGTCTAAAAAAAAAAAGAAAAAAGGCTGGGTGTGGCGATCACACTGGTAATCCCAGCACTTTTGGGAGGTCAAGGCAGGAGGATTGTTTGAGGCCAGGCATTCAAGACTAGCCTGGGCAACAGAGCGAGACTCTGTCTAAAAAAAAAAAAACAAAAAAATCAGTATTGCTTCCCTAAAATTTCAAATTCTAATTGTTTATTGCTGGTATATAGGAAAGCAATTGTTTTTTTGTGTATTGACCTTGTACCCTGTGACCTTGCTATATATATTTTCATTAGTTCCAGGAGTGGTACCCCCTATAGATTGTTTGGGATTTTCTGCTATCCCACACATTTTAACAAATTGCATTTTTATTTTCACTTAATTTGAAATATTTAAAAATTTATCTTGAGACTTCTTCTTTGACCTCTATGTTATTTAGAAATTTGTTGTTTAATTTCCAAATATTTGGGGATTTCCCAGCCATCTTTCAGTTACTGGTTTCTATTTTATTTCTTTTTTTTCTTTTTTTTTCGAGAAGGAGTCTCGCTCAGCCATCCAGGCTGGAGTGCAGTTTGGCACAATCTCAGCTCACTGCAACAACCATCTCCCGGGTTCAAGCGATTCTCCTGCCTCAGCCTCCCGAGTATCTGGGATTACTGGCACCCGCCATCATGCCCGGCTAATTTTTGTATTTTAATAGAGATGGGGTTTCACCATGTCAGCCAAGCTGGTCTTGAACTCCTGACCTCAGGTGATCCGCCCGCCTCAGCCTCCTAAAGTGCTAGGATTACAGGCATGAGCCACCACACCTGGACGGTTTCTGTTTTATTTCTATTGTGGTTTGAGAGCATACTTTGTATGATTTCTATTCTTTTAAATTTGTGGGGTTTTTTTTTTCTTTTCTTTTTAGAGACAGGGTCTCACTCTGTCACTCATGCTGGAATGCAGTGATGCAAACATAGCTCACTGCAACCTCGAAATCTTGGGCTTGCGGGGGTCTTCCTGCCTCAGCCTCCTGAGTAGCTGGAACTACAGGTACGTACCACCATGCCCAGCTATTTTTTTTATTTTTAATTTTTTTGTTGAGACAGGGTCTCGCTATATTGCCCAGGCTAGTCTTGAATGCCTGGCCTGAAACAATCCTCCTGCCTTGACCTCCCGAAAGTGCTGGGATTACCAGTGTGATCGCCACACCCAGCCTTTTGAATTTGTTAAGGTGTGTTTTATGGCCCAGAATATAGTCTATCTTGGTGCATGTTCCATGTCAGCTTGAGAAGAATGTGTATTCTGCTGTTATTGGATGGAGTCTCTATAAATTTTGATTAGATCATATTGATTGATAGTGCTGCCCAGGTAAAAATCTATTCCAAATCTGTCCACATATCTTTCTCCACAATTACTATCCTAGCCCAAGCTATCACGGTCTCTTGCCTGGACTGTCTAACTGGCTTCATAACTAGCCTCTTAGCTGGCCTTCTTGTTTCTGGTTTTGCCTCCACTATAACCCATTCTCCATACATCAGACAGAGTAAGCTTTAAAAGACAAAATTCAGATCATGTCACTTCCAGCTCAAAATCCTCCAATGGCTTTTCATTGTATCTGAAATAAAAACTAAATGTCTTCCATGGCTGGCGTGGCCCTACACCATTTTACTCCAGAACTTCTTTCCTACCTCATCTAGTACCAGTCTTTCCTCTTGCTGCCTCCAGCTGGACTTCTTTCTGAATTCCCTTGAATACACCAAGCTCATCTCTCACCCTGGGATCCCATGCCTCTGGGCCCTCATGAAATGACTGACAACTTCTTGTCATTCAGGCTCACCTCAACTCTCACCTCCATGGAGAATCCTTCCCTGACTAACCTATTTCATCTTGTTCTCCATCCTCACCCTATTATACTACCTTTGTACTGTTTTTTGTTTTATTCATTTGTTTTCATAACACTTTTGACTTTTTGAAATGTTCTTGTTCATATATTTGTTTGGTTGTTTGTGTCTGTTATCCTTTCTCTAAAATGTGAGCTCTAGGAGAGCAGGGATCTTCTTCACCACTAAGTAGCCAGAACCGAGAACAGTGCCTGACACCTAGATATTTACTGAGTGGCTGCACTTCTACTTGAACATTTCCAGTGACTTGGAATTGACTACTTTGGTCCATGGGGTGGCTAGTGCCTCTTTGGATAGTTTTGTATGTTAGAAATTTCACCTGTCTCTTGAACTAAATGCTGCATTCTTGACCATGTAAACAGATTAGAAGAGAAATGTATGATCATTAGAAAAGATGCTGATGAAGCATTTGGTAAAACTTAACTCCTGTTCATAACAAAAGAGATTCTTAGCAAGCCGGGCACGGTGGCTGACACCTGTAATCCCAGCACTTTGGGAAGCTTAGATGGGCAGATCGCTTGAGCCCAGGAGTTCCAGACAGCCTGGGCAACATGGTGAAACCTCATCCCTACAAAAAATAGCCAGGTGTGGTGGCATACACCTGTGGTCGCCGCTACTTAGGGGGGCTGAGGTGGGAGAATCTCTTGAGCCTGGGAGGTCAAAGCTGCAGTGAGCTGTGATGGCGCCACCACACTCCAGCCTGGGCAACAGAGCAAGACCCTGTCTTAAAAAAAAAAAAAAAAAAAAGGAATGAGAGGAAACTTCCCTAACCTGATAAAGAGTAAAGACTATCCTCCAAAATCCTCCGAATCCTCCAGTGAAGACCATGTCTAATGATGAAACATTGACATCTTCCCCTTTAACATAAGTAACAGCACAAGGATGCTCATTATCATCCCTTTTGGTCAGAATTGAACTGGAGATCCTGCAAAACAAGGCAAAGAAACGAAACAACAGGAATACGGATTTAGAAGGAAGAAACAAAACTGTCATTTAAATCTTCTGCCTTCTCGGGCGGCTCACACCTGTAACACCAGCACTTTGGGAGGCCGAGGCGGGAAGATCACTTGAGGTCAGGAGTTCAAGACCAGCCTGGCCAGCATGGTGAAACGCTGTCTCTACTAAAAATACAAAAATTAGCCAGGCATGTTGGTGGGCACCTGTAATCCCAGCTACTCGAGTGGCCGGGGCAGGAGAATTGCTTGAACCTGGAGGCAGAGGCTGCAGTGAGCTGAGATCATGGCACTGCACTCCAGCCTGGGCAACAAGAGTGAGACTCTGTCTCTAAATAAATAAATAAATAAATCTGCCTTTTCATAAATCGTACTCACTGGTCCTCCTTCTTTTTTCTGGAGGCCCACAGAACAAAGCTGTCCCCTCTTCTGCATGGTAGCCCCAGGTCTTCTTCCCTCTCTGGGCCTCGATCACCTCATCTGTAAAATAAGGTTATCCAAAAAGCTCCTTGTGTTTCTATCCTTCCATGCTCCTCTGAGTCCATATCCTCCTTTCTACGGGCAAAACATCTCCGTTTTCCTAATAGTGATGATTTCTACATCCCTCCTTTCCTAGCAACACACTCCATTTTGTTTTGTTTTGCTTTGTTTAAATATGGTGCCCAGAACTGGAGCAGAAGGTGAAGAAAGGCGAGGGCACAAAAAGATGAAAATAGAAGGAGTTAGACTGAAAACAGAGCTTGAAAATGGTAGAGAGAGGCAGCCAAGGGGAAGGGCTTGGGGGAGGGAGGACAGAAGACGCAGGGGACAGCCTCTGAGACAGAAGTGGCCTGGTGGGGCCAGCCTGTGGGCAGTGCCCCATCTCCTTAACTTATTTCCCTGGGAGGGGAGGAAGTTCCCCTCCATAGTTTGGGAGACGGTGATGGGCACAGAGTCTGTGGTCAGCCACAGCCCTGGGTGGCTCTGCCGGTCCTCCCTTCCAGCTTTCCTCCTCCTGGACTCCAGGACTCTCTCTCCCAGAGCTGGGGTGGGGGTAGGGACAAGGGGCATTGACAAAAGCCAGCTCCAGATGGGAAGGGGAACTGCACAGCATTGGGTCCATGTCCAGGAGGCAGGAGCAGCCGCCACAGTGGGAGGGAGCAGCAAGCCAACAGCTGAGTGCGACAAGGCCTGGGTTATTTTTTTTCCAGTTTGTTGGCATGTGGGTGGATTTTTTTCTCCTTTTTTCTTCTCTCCTGCTCTCTGCCGTTTCCACAGAGATGTGGGAGTTTGCAAATTTGTCTCAGTGGAGGGGAAAGGCAAGAGCTGATTTTGGGGGTCCTTGTCAGGGACCAGGGGAACGGAGAAGGGCACAGCAATTTTGGCAGCAGAAAAAGCAGGACCCATTCCCTGGCGGCATCCCTGGGGCAAAGAAGGCTCTCACTTTCTCCTTTTGTCTTGAGGCTGCAAGGATGCCTTTTCACCTCTCCTCAGCTCTTGGCTCTCAAATCCATCCCACCTGGTGATTGCAAAAGCCTCCCTCTGCTTCCTTTCTTGCTCTGCAGTGCCAAATGCACTTTCCTCGGGGCCCTGGACCAACTAGGGCCACTCCTGAGACTCTTCTGACCAGAGGCCGCTCTCCTTGTTAGTATCTCTGGGGGTTGGGCTTGTGGGGAGCTGAGGAGCTTTCTTTTTTTTGAACTATACATTTAAGGGATAAAAAACGGTACCTATAGCACATGCTAAGTGTCAAATGAGTGTTTCAGGCTTTCAGAGGGGGAAGTTTTCTGAAAGGATTAAGGGGTGAGTAGTTTAGCGAGTCTGGAGGACATGGGACCTAGACAAACTGACAGAGTAGCTGAGGGCATGCCAGCCAGGGGCAACAGTGGCCGGGGCTGTGGACCTGGACACCTAGATGCTGATTCTGGTTCTGCCATTAATTTGTAATGTAATGCTGACGAAGGAAATTTTTTCCCTCCTCTTGGGCTTTGTTTCCTCATCTGGAAAATGGGCTGGATCTCTAAAGCTCTACAGATCTGTGCAGACTGAATCCTGATTCCTGGCATCGAGGGTTAGGAGCCATGTAATGAGATCATGTGTATACGAGTGCATTGAACACCATCAAGGAGTAGGCTTGCCTGAGACTCAGAGGTTTCTTGAGATGTGGGTCTTTCAAGTGCTAAAACAATCTTGGGCAAACGGGTATGGTTGATCTCCCAAGCAAGGACCACATCCACTAGTTGTTATTATCATTATCATTATCATTATCATTATCATTATCATCATTATCATTATTATTACCACTAGAGGGCAATACTCTCTTATGCCTGGGAGTAGGTCTTATCCCACCGGAAAGGTGCAGAACTGATCCCTCATTCCAGGACCAATCAGATCTCTCTCTCTTTTTTTTTTCTTTTCTTTTTTGAGACAGAATCTTGCTCTGTTGCCAGGCTGGAGTGCAGTGGCACGATCTCGGCTCACTGCAACCTCCGCCTCCCGGGTTCAAGCGATTCCCCTGCCTCAGCCTCCCAAGTAGCTGGGATTACAGGCGCACGCCAACACGCCTGGCTAATTTTTTGTATTTTAGTAGAGACAGGGTTTCACCATGTTGGCCAGGGTGGTCTCTAACTCCTGACCTCAGGTGATCCACCTGCCTTGACCTCCCAAAGTGCTGGGATTACAGACGTGAGCCACCGCACCCGGCCCCAATCAGATCTCTCAATCTTCCTCCTGGAGAGCAGAATCCTGAGAAATAGAGAGATTTGTGAATTCCGAATTCCAGGAGTTTCCTTTCAGTTCTGCCCTGTGGTCTGACTGCCAATTGTGCCCGAACCCGAATCAGCAGGTGGTGGCCAGTCTGTCCCACTGTGGCAGAACTGCCTGCTTCCTAGGGGACTGGGGAAATGGAGAGATGCTGACAAGTAGCTTTGGTTTGTCTGAACACAATGGGCGCTTTCACAAAGCTATGCCGTTTGCCCCATGCTTTGATTGTCTGGCCGTATATGCGTTCTGCAAGGCTAGCCAAGGCCAGCTCCATAGATGCAGGAGCTGGCCTCCTCCTTTCTAAAGAAATGATTTCAGCCAGACACGGCGGCTCACGCCTGTAACCCCAGCACTTTAGGAGGCCAAGGCAGGCAGATCACCTGAGGTTGGTAGTACGAGACCAGCCTGACCAACATGGAGAAACCCTGTCTCTACAAAAATACAAAATTAGCCGGGTGTGGTGGCGCATGCCTGTAATCCCAGCTACTGGGGAGGCTGAGGCAGGAGAATCGCTTGAACCTGGGAGGCAGAGGTTGCAGTGAGCCGAGATCTCGCCATTGCTCTCCAGCCTGGGTAACAAGAGTGAAACTCTGTCTCAAAGAAAAAGAAAGAAAGAAATGATTTCTCTATTACCCTATACCTCTTATCACATTGAATTGTAGTTATGATTTATCTGTCTACATAATCGATTAGGTTGTCGATTCATGCATTCAACAAACATGGACTGCTTATCCTGGCTTTTGGCCAGGCTTATGATACAGTGGGAAGCAAAACACAGTATCTGCCCTTGTAGAGCTAACAGTCTAATGAGGAGGCAGGAGGTTAGCAAACCAAGAACTGCACAAATCAATATAGAATTACAAACTTGCTAAGTTCAGGAATGAAAAGGACTCACTGAGAGAATGTATCAGAGGGATCTGCCCAGTTTGGGAGTGAGAGAAGGTGCCGCTGATGAGCCAACATTTCATCTGAGATTTGAAGGATGAATAGGCAGTTTAGTGGGCAAAGGCAGCAAAGAGAACTTTCCGCGCCAAAGGAACAGCAGGTGTGCAGGGCCCGAGGTGGGAAGAGCCTAGCTCCCTGGAGGAATGTTTGCTCCTTGAGGGCACAGCTTGCCTCTGGTTTATCTTTTACTGTAGCTCCAGATCTGGCACATAGAGAAACCAATAAATGTTTGTTGAACTGAATTGAATGAGATTTTGTTATGGAAAGCATCATAGGTTGGGGGTTGAAAGGCCTAGCTTCTACTTGCAGTGCCTCTGGGCAATTCAGTTCCATTTTCCAACTGCTTACTGTTCACCCACAGTGGGCAAGAACCCAGGGCCAAGCCTGGTTGGGGGATTGAAAGGTCAACAAAACCATCTCTGCCCTCCTCAAGCAATCCTCCTGCCTCAGTCTCCTGAGTAGCTGGGACCACAGATGCATGCCACCACATCCAGCTAATTTTTTTTTCAGTAGATACAGGGTCTCACTACATTGCCCACGCTGGTGTTGAACTCCTGAGCCTAAGTGATCCTCCCACCTTAGCTTCTCAAAGTGCTGGGATTACAGGCGTGAACCACTATGCCTGGCCAAAATTATCTTAATTCAACTCCTCCATGTAGTGTTTCCATTCCCTAGGCAACAGACCCTCCTGATGAGGTTGTCCAGCCACTATTTGAAGACCTCCAATGACAGTGAACTCCACCACGGCCCTGGTGGAGTAGCAAACAAGGAGACAAGTCCTTTCAACTCTCTGAGCCTCTTTTTATCCGGTTATAAAATGAGGGGTTTGGATTACATGATCTCTAAGGTTCTTTCCAGCTCCAGCAGTCTTGACCTGTTCTTCCTTGAATAATAGCCAGTTAGATGGCAGTGGAGAGCAATGGAACGGATTTTTTGATTTCTCCTGCCCTGTAGGAGTTACATGCAGTAGGACTGGGGAAATGCAGGCTTGAGTTCTGTTTATGGACCATTCTTCCTTTCAGGAGTGTCTCAGGGGCTGTCAGGGTTCATTGCTTCTGGCTGGAATGTTCCAGCATTCAAAGACCTTTGTTTCTTTTTTTCCTGTCCCCCCTCCTTACCTCCCGGCCAGACTTCTTTTCTACATCTAGGACTGTGTAGTGCAAATCAGGGCCGGAAGGAGCCTTTAAAATTATCTTTTTTTTCTTTTTTAGAGACAAGGTCTCCTGTCTCCCAGGATGAAGTACAGTGGCACAATTATAGCTCACTGCAGCCTCAACCTCCCGGTCTCAAGCAATCCTCCTGCCTCAGTCTCCTAAGTAGCTGAGACCACAGATGTGTGCCACCACATCCAGCTAATTTTTTTTTTTTTTCAGTAGAGACAGGGTCTCACTACATTGCCCACGCTGGTGTCGAACTCCTGAGCTTAAGTGATCCTCCCACCTTGGCTTCCCAAAGTGCTGGGATTACAGGCGTGAGCCACTGTGCCTGGCCAAAATTATCTTATTCAACTCCTCCATGTAGTGTTTCCATTCCCTAGGCAACAGACCCTCCTGATGAGGCTGTCCAGCCACTACTTGAAGACCTCCAATGACAGTGAACTCGCCATCTTCGCCAAGCATCGCCTGTGAGAGCTTTCTTCCCTCTGGGATCATCTCTCTGTAATTTTCACCAATTGCTTCTGGCTGTGCCCTTTGGAGCTAAGCAGAATAATTCCACTACATTGCCCCCCTGACAGCCTATTGGATATTTGAAGACAGTAATCATGTCCTCATAAGCCTGCTCTCCTCTAGGCCAAATATCATCTGTTCCTTCAAATGTTCTTCATTGTTTCAAATCCCCTTAGCATCTGTAAATATAATTTAGTTTATGTAAGATTTATATCCCGCCTACTTTAAAGAGGATATTAGGCGACTCATCAGTTTATAACATGAAAGAAAGACAATTAGGGATAAAAATGTGGAAGAAAACAGACCAGATACCATGTAAAGGAAGCACGAATAGATGTTGCCAGGTACCTAAAATGAACTGGATTATAATTGGACTCTGAATTTGGCTCAAAGTTTTATGGCAGCTAGGACAAAATTGGAAACACATTGGGTTATGTGGTTTTATGTTCTGACAGGATCAAGCTTACAAATCATCTTCAGAGAGAAAATTTTCCTAAAACGAAACCCCAGACTTGCCTATTAGAATTGCTTTCTGTGCAGCTGTTTGAGACTGATAGGTATTTTGGTTACATCTCACCCCTTCCCCCACTAGGGGAAAGGGGGCTGGAAGGATAATTAATTAATTAGCCAAATGCCGTCTCAGTTTTAAGCACCGCTATCTCTTTAGGGATCCCCACAGAGAAGAGAATCTTCCTTTTCCTTTTCTTTTTTCTTCTATGTTCCTCACAGATGGTTACTTTCCTACCTTTCTGCCCTCTAAAGTCTGCAATCTTAAGACTCTGGAACACCAGACCGCAGGAAATAGCCTGAGAAAAGGGTCATATCCTAGTGGTGACTGATCATAGCAATTGTGTGCAAATCACTTCTCTCTGGTCCTCAGTGTTCTTATCTGGAGATGGAATTCACCTCTAAGTTCCTTCCTTTCAGCTCTGATATTCTGGACTGTAAAGTCTGAGAGAAAGACCAATTTTTTTTTTTTTTTTTCGAGAGAGTCTCGCTTTGTCACCCAGGCTGGAGTGCAGTGGCATGATCTCAGCTCACTGCAACCTCCGCCTCTTGGGTTCAAGCGATTCTCCTGCTTCAACCTCCCCAGTAGCTGGGATTACAGGCATGCGCTTACACGCCTTAATTTTTGTAGAGACAGGGTTTAACCATCATGGCCAGGCTGGTCTCAAACTCCTAGCCTCAAGTGATCCTCCCGCCTCAGGCTCCCAAAATGCTGGGACTATAGGTGTGAGCCACCACGCCCAGCCAGACCAATGTTTTTTTCATTTTGATTTTCCCACCTCGTGCTTGGCAGCTAACAGGTTTGGGAGAAAAGGTCTGCTCACGGAAGGGAGAGAGCTGTGAGGATCCAGTAGGAAAAACCAATTTGAACAGATGCCACCTTTGGATCTGAGGCAAATGCTTCATGGTTCTCAGTATTCTGACGGGTTCTTGTTGACTAGATCCTGGCAGTGGTGAGATGTGGTTTTTAAGGCTCTTTTCTGCTCTAGCTCCACGTTGCTTGGCAAAGCTGGTCCCAGGGACTGAGGCTTCTGGGAAATGACTCTGGGAGGCAGCAGGTGGGTAAAGAAGGTAGTACCACAGTTTCTGATGAACAACAACAATGAACCAATGCTAAACTCACCTTGTAGTGTGTGATACTTGGTGCGTGCAATATCCACGTGGGCCCCTCCCCTCCCACCATGTCACTCTCCCTACCGTGTCACTCTCCTGTTCAAAAACCTTTCATGGCTTTTCATTGCCTATAAGGGAAGATCCAGATCCTTCAGTTTGGCAATGGAGTTTTCTCTAAGCTGAATCAAGCTCTGTCTTCCCATCTCCCATCCCTTGCTACACACATACATACACACACCACACACGTCTCTTGCGCTGTCTTCAACCAAACTACATGTGGTTCCCTAAACAGACACTGTTTTCCTGACCCTGTTCCTTTCCTCACAGGCACAGGGTTCCTATTAGCAGGTCTTGCCCAGTTCTAGTACCTTCTACCTGTTGAAATCCTAGCTTAGCTCAAGGACTTTCACATCCATAAAGACCTCCCAACCCTTCCCCGCCATCCTTGTACCTCAGCTCTAGTGTTTTGTACATTCTGTCTCATTAGTCATGTTTGTGACTTATTGTTGTGGCTCTCTGAGTAGGTTGGGAGCTCCCTGAGGGCAGAGGCTATATCTGATTCACCGAAGCCTCTCTATCATCTTTTGCTGCCTTGTCTTTCTCCAGAGCACCTGTCACCATTTGTATTAGTGTCCCAGGGCTGCCATAACAAAATACCACAGACAGGGTGCTTATAACAACAGAAGTGGTTTCCCTCACAGCCCTGGAGGCTGAGAGTCCAAAATCCAGGTGTCAGCGCGGCCATGCTCCCTCTGAAGGCTCTAGGAGAGAATCCTTCCTTGCCGTTTACAGCATCTAGTGGCTGTGGCAGTCCTTGGCATTCCTCGGCTTATAGATTCATCTTTCCAATCTCTACTGCTAGATTCATGCGGCGTTCTCTTCACGTATGTGTGTTTCTGCATCTAATTTTCCTTCTTTTAAGGACACTAGTCATTGGATTAAGGCCTGTACTCATCCAGTGTGACCTCATCTTAAGTTGATTACGTCGGCAAAGACCCTTATTTCAAATAAGGTCACATTCAGTTTCTGTGTGGATATTAATTTTGGGGGGACATTATTCAACCTCATTCACCATCCAGTGCGCCCTACATATTCCATTTGCTTCTTGTCTGTCTCTGCCACTAGAATGTTAGCGCTATGAGGTTAAGGATCGTTGTCCTATTTTGTTCATTGCTATATCCTCAGTGGTGGACAGCAGTACTTTACTTATTGTAGACAAAATAGTTTGTAAATAAATCTAAATACCCATCTGCTTTAACCCCAGAGGGCATCTGAACAATAGAAGAAACAAGATAAGGACGGAAACATACGCATTGCCTAGAACATAATGTTCTGCTAGTGTTTGTTGGATGAATGGACATATTTGGTGGATATACTGTATTACTTTAACATTTATGGAGCACTTATTTTGTACAAGGTACTGAGGGAAAATATAAAGTGAGAAGTGAGAATGAATCATCTGAGTATCCTCACTATGCCTCTGTGTGACCCTGGGCAAGTCACTCAACCTCTCTGTTTCACTTCCCTCATCTGTAAGATGGGAGGTAATAATAGTACCTACCACATAGGATTGTCATGAGGGTTAAGTGAGTCCTTATATGTAAAGTGTGTAGCACAGTGCCTGGCACACAGTAAGCGCCAGAGACATGTTAACTATTACCATTGTAGGTGTTGTTATGTGATAGCTCTGTGCAAGGTGTTTTTTTTAATAAAGCTTTATTGAGATATAATTTATATACCATAAAATTCACCCTTGTAAAGGGTACAATTCAGTGGTTTTTAGTATATGGGCAGGATTGTGCAACCATCATCATAGTTTAATTTTAGAACATTTTCTTTTTCTTTTTTTTAAGACTAGTCAAGTGCAGTAGTGAGAGATGGGAAAAGAGTAGAACAAGGAGTTCGATCTGTAATTGACTGTGAACAACCAATTGAGATAACTCACTGCCTTTGGACCAGCCTCATTTTAGAACATTTTTATCCCCCTCCAAAAAAGCCCCATACCCGTTAGCAGTCTTTCCCCATTTTGCCACCCACACTCCAGACCCGGCAACCATTACTCTAATTTCTGTCTCTATAGATGTGCCTATTCTAGGATTTCATATAAAAGGAATCATACAATATGTGGTCTTTTGTGACTGGCTTCTCATTAGTATAATGTTTTCAAGGTTCATCCGTGTTTTAGCCTGTATTAGTTCTTGATTCCTTTTTAATGACTGAATACTATTCCATTGTGTGGTCATACCACATTTTGTTTATCCATTCATCAACTGATGAGCATTTGGTTGCTTCCACTTTCAGGCTGTTACAAATAATGCTGCTGTGAACATTCATGTACAAGTTTTTATGTAGATGTATGTTTTCATCTCTCTTGGATATATACCTAGGAGTGGAATCCCTGGATCATATGCTAACTCTATGTTTAACATTTTGAGGAACTGCCAAACTGCTTTCCAAAGTGACTGCACCATTTTACATTCCCATCCGCAATGAATGAGGGTTCCAATTTCTCTACATGCTCGCTAACACTTCTCATTGTCTGTTCTGTGGATTTTAGCTATCATAGTGGATGTGAAGTAGTATCTCTGTGTGTGTGTGTGTGTGTGTGTGTGTGTGTGTGTGTGTGTGTTTAAGAAACTGATATTTATTTTCCGTCAATCTGATTTCTGTTTTCTGTTCAAGAGCCTGTGGAAGAATAGCTTAAGACCACTCAGTGGTTATTCCTATCCAGTCAGCTATCTGAGAGTGACTGCTACAGACCAGCCTCCAGTGGCAGGCTGAGTGCTCCAAACTTGAGTAGAGAATTATTGAATAGGTACAAAGGGCACCTGCATGCCTTCAGACCAGTCTGTACCCTCAGGTTGAATAGCAGTAGACTCAGGAGCTGGCGCAGTCCATTCACCCTGAAGTTCCTCCTTGGTCACAGCCTTTTCTCCAGCAGCCTGCTCTTCGTTTTCAATCTTTTCAGGATCTCTGCAGAAATAGAGATCAGGCATAACTCCCATGGGTGTTCACGGGAGGTGGTACAACGCACGTGCAGAACCTCCTGGGCCAGCATCCATTACACTAGACCCCCTGAGGGAACTCCTGGGTTGTTGCATGGGATGGCAGTGTCCACACAGTGCAGGGGAGACTCTGTGTGACCCAGAGCAATGATAGGCAAGTTAATATAAGATGCCTCTGTGAGAGGTTAGTGGTCAGCCCTGGGATCAGTAACCACCAGCAGACGTGGCTCCTGGAAGGCTGCCTGGATCTGATTAGTGAAAGTTCCAGGAGTGAAGTGCCCAGCAATAAGAGTGGCCCCAGTGGAAACAGCAAACTTTAGCACAGCCCACTGGCCAGTATTCCTGGAAGATATAATACTAGCATCAGTCTGGTTTTCAATGGCAACAATGGCAGAATCTTCTTCCAGGTCCTTTTCAGATTTATGATGTAGATGCCACCACTTTTCCTTCTGTAATGTACTGTTCCATTTGGAAGTCAAGGTTGGTGCCATTCAAGTGGGGTTCTGCTGCAAGGAATTTGAGGATATCTCTTCCTTCATCTGCAGGACATTAAGGGCTCCAGACATTGTGGAAGTTTCCCTTTAGGTTATGGGAGAATGCAGGAAACGCCTGATGGGTAGCACTGAGAGCTCATTGTGGTTTTGATTTGCATTTCCCTGATGGTTAATGATGTTGAGCATCTTTTCATGTGCTTATTGACCATTTGTATATCTTCTTTGGAGAAATGTTTATTCAAATTCCTTGCCCATTAAAAAAAAATAGTTGTCTTTTTGTTGCTGTAAGAGTTCTTTATATATTCTACGTACAAGTCCCTTATCAGATACATGATTTGCAAATACTTTCTCTCATTCTGTGGGTTGTCTTTTCTGTGCAAGGTGTTTTTTGCATGCTTTTATCCAAGACCACCCTGTCAGGTAGCTGTTATTGATAGGGAAATTGAAATTAAGAGAGAAGATGGAATTTAAATCCAGTTTTGTCTGACTGTAAAACTCATGTTTTCTCCTCTAACCCAACCTGCTCACAAAGATAAATTAAGACACGTTTCTGTCTTTAAGGAGCTCCGTCTGGCAGAGGACATAAAACAAGAACACAGACGAATGTGCTGTAAAGCAAGTTCCACTTGTTCCACAAATTCCACAAGATAGGGAGTGCAGCAGGAGGTCAAGAGGGGAGAGAGAGAGAGAGAGAGAGCAGCAACTTGCACTTCTGGCTGAGGAAATCAGGGTTGGCTTCAGTAAGGTGGCATTTGAGTTAAGTCTTGAAGGATGGGTACAGTTTCAGTGGATGGGGATGATGGAGTGAATGGGGAGAGCATTTCTAAAAGAGAGCAGGAAATGAGGGTTGGTTGAATGAATGGAGCCTTGATCCCAAGACTGGCTGTGATGTGGAGTCCCAGGGCTTGTTGAGTTGAGAGATCCTGGACTGCCTTGGTTAGAGGACCCGGGGACTGGCTGAGATGGGGGATTCTGGGGTTGGCTGGGGTAGGAGATCTGGGCACTGGTTTGAATGGAGAGTGTAAGGGCTGGCTGGAGTGGGAGATGCCTGCGATGTTGTACATGAGTGTGTGTGTGCGCATCCTTTGGGAGTCCCAAGGGATGCCTGGGATGAGGGCAGCTGCAGACAGTCAAGGGACTGGCCAGGATGGGAGACTCAGGGACGACTGCCCATGATGGGGGCTGGAGGGAGGTCGCCTGAGGTAGAAGACACAGGGGCTGGCTAGGAAGGGGAATCTGACACTGCTTGGGATTGGCAGACCTAGGGCATGGGGAGTCCACGGGTTGTCGGGACCTGGGGACTGCCTGGGATGGGGGTTCCTCCCGGGATGGCTTTGGATGAAGATCCCCAACCTGGCGAACCCGAGGGACGGGCGGACTCTGGGAAGGAGGGCTTCTTTAGGCTCCGTTAAGTGAGGACCCAGGGACGGGTGGAATGGAGAGATCTCTTGCGGGCTGTCATGGGGGCTGGCCCTGGCCGGGCGCCGGTGCCTTGGGGCCAGTCCAGCTGCGGGTGCGGGTGGCAGCCGCAGGTGGGGCGCGCGGGGGCGGGCCGGGCGAGCCGGGTGGGGGCAGGGGCGGGGGGCGGGCCGGCGGCCGGGGCGGTCCCGCGCGGCCGCGCTGCGCAGTGACTCCGCAGCGGGCGGAGCGCCGTGGGCCGCGTCCTCCCGAGCAGTGGCTGTGGTGGTGGTGGTGGCGGCGGCAGCCTCAGCTCCTGCTCCCCGTGCCGCCGGCCCCAGCGCTGTCTCCCGGGCCCCCTAGGGCCCCCGGGCCCTCAAGCCCGGTGCGCGCCCTCGCGTCCCGCCGGCCCCCTCCCCCGGCTGGGCCCGGGGGAGGGTGGCGCCGTGAGAGAGCGGGGACAGGGCTCTCCTGCCCGTTCCCCTGCCCCTGGGCCGCCAGGATGGAGGCGGGGTCGGGGCCCCCGGGCGGCCCGGGATCCGAGAGCCCAAATCGGGCCGTGGAGTACCTGCTGGAGCTGAACAACATCATCGAGAGCCAGCAGCAGCTGCTGGAAACCCAGCGGCGGCGCATCGAGGAGCTGGAGGGCCAGCTGGACCAGCTCACCCAGGAGAACCGCGACCTGCGAGAGGAGAGCCAGCTGCACCGCGGGGAGCTGCACCGGGACCCCCACGGCGCGCGGGATAGCCCGGGCCGCGAGAGCCAGTACCAGAACCTGCGCGAGACCCAGTTCCACCACCGCGAGCTGCGGGAGAGCCAGTTCCACCAGGCGGCCCGGGACGTGGGCTACCCGAACCGGGAAGGCGCCTACCAGAATCGGGAGGCTGTGTATCGGGACAAGGAGCGGGACGCCTCCTACCCGCTCCAGGACACTACCGGTTACACAGCCCGCGAGCGTGACGTGGCCCAGTGCCACCTGCACCACGAGAACCCAGCCCTGGGTCGCGAGCGTGGCGGGCGGGAGGCCGGGCCGGCGCACCCGGGCCGCGAGAAGGAAGCGGGCTATTCGGCGGCGGTGGGCGTGGGGCCGCGGCCACCGCGGGAGCGGGGCCAGCTGAGCCGTGGCGCATCCAGGAGCTCCAGTCCCGGCGCCGGCGGAGGCCACAGCACCAGTACCAGCACCAGCCCGGCCACGACCCTCCAGAGAAAGTAAGGAATGTGTGTTTGTACCCCCGGCTCTTCCCTCTAGATCCCTCTCCAACTTGTCCAGCTGATAGAGTAAGAAGCCAGTGTCTGGTTCCGTGTCTTCCTCTCCTGTCCCAACCCGCCAGGAGAAGCCAGGTCCCCCTCATCCAGCCGACACCCCTTCCCTGGCCACCCCAGGCTGGGTTGGCCAGATGAGTGCAGGCGTCTCTTCTTTCCCGGTACCGCGGCCAGCGAGGGACTAGAGCAGTCATCGCCGCCTCCCCCGCCTCCACTTCTTCAACCCCTAGCTGCATCCTTGCCAGAAGATAGGTTTTCATTTATTTATTTATTTTGGGTATGCTGGTTGGAATTTTTATGGTCGGCGAGGGTGTCTACTCAGAGCCCCAGGGGAGAGAAAGCCCCCCACCCCCGCCTTTTTTTTTTTTTCCTTTTTCTTTTTGCCTGATCTTTTCTCCTCTGGCCGCCTCAGCTCCATCCCTTACCAAAGAGGCAGGTGGGGACCAGAATGGCTGCTGGAGGCTGAGACATCCCTCTGAAGGGAACTGCAGCACATTCTGGCCGGGGGGAGCAAAGATGGGGGAGCAAAGATGGAGGCCAAGCCCTTGGCTAGTTCCTCAAAGTCCACCCCCTCTCCACCCTTCAAGAAAAACAACACCCATTTAAAGAGCCCTACCGGGAAGGGAAGTCTAGATTGCCCCTCTGCTGGATCGGTTCCAGTTCCTGCACTGGGGTCTGTGTGTCTATTTGGGACACCTTGGCACTATCTCTTGGGTTGGTGGGACATGGGCTGGGTCCACTTTTTCTGTGTAGATACCATGGTGAGCTGATTGGGTTACATGTATCAGGCTGAGAGAGTCAAGGGCGTGCAGACTCCCAAGGCTGCCCTAAAGGCTCCCTTATTTCTTTTCTGCCGTATTCGAAGGAACACTGAGCTGGGAGTTGGGAGACCTGAGTTCCCCTTCCAGCTCTGCTGCAGATTGGCTTTGTGACCTTGACTGAGTCTCTTTCTCTCTTAGGCCATCAGTTCCCCCGTATCTTTTTAAATGGCAAGGTCTGCCTTGGATGATCTTGAAGTACCCCTCCAGCTCAGATTTGATGGTTCTATGTTTAATCCAGCCACACTACAGAGCAAGTCTGAAGTCCTGTAGCGAATGGACAGGCTTCCCCCTCCTCTCACTGCTCAGCTGGTCCTACCATGTGCCACAACCAGTGGAGTGTCTCTTGGAGGCTGGGCTGGGGGTGGGGAAACCTTCTGCCTCAGGAAATCTGCCGGGAGACAGCTCTCTGCAACTCCCCCGTGGTGAGGCAGCAGGCTGGGGTGCTGGGTTGAGATGGCTGGGCCCCAGGAGCAGCAGCTGTAGCTTGAGGGCTCGGCTGGGCTCCACTGCAGCACACCCTAAGCTGAATTTTAGTGTGGACTGCCCCTGAGGAGTCTGGGGGCAAAGGAAATGGGCTTTCCTGCCCAGGCAGGGCTGCTGCGAGCTCAGTCCGGGAGGACCGACTGTGTGCCTTGGGGCGCCACACTGGAAGAGGGACAGAGGTAGACCAAGGTCCATTCAGGGAGGGTCATGGTGGGCCGGGGGCAGAGGAAGACTGCATGGGGTATGGTCGAGCCTGGCTGCAGAAGACTTTTCTAGAGGGGTCAGGCCTGTGACAGAGGGAGCGGACTCATTATGTGTGGCTTCAGTGAGCAGAACCCGAAACAGTGGGAACATTTGAGATAGATTAGGAAGAACTTTCCAACCTGGCATTCTGGTGGTGCAGTGGACTGCCTCGAGAGGTGGAGGTGGGAGCTGGATGGACCTGGAGCTCTCAGCGGAGCTCGGGTGGGAGTCTGGGAGAACTGGAGGAAGCATGATTCCTGAATCAGGTAGAAAGCCCAGTGAAATGACCTGGGTCGTCCCCAGTTATGGGATTCCATGACTCTGGCTCTCCACCCTGCAGACATTGGTCTGAATCTCTTGGCTGACTGGTTGCCTGTTTGCTCCTGAGCTCCATGTTTCTGCTATCCGTGCAGGCCTACCTCTTGGTCCTTCCCTCTTTTTGTGAACCCCCCCAGGTTGCTTGTTGCGTTTCCTTGCTTTGCATTTCCTACTGGATTAATAAAGGGGTTTAGGTAGTACTTTAAGTTTCTCTCCTGACCATATATTAACTATTTGCACACCCATTATTACCTCTTTTTGACTTCACAACAAGCCTTCTGCAGTGAGTGTTGGCAACTGCATTTTAGAGATGGGGAAACTGAGGCTCCAAGATGAAGGGACCTCACTCAAGGTTACCCTACTAGTTGCTAATGGAGCTGGGACTAGAACCCAAGTCTTCCTGTCTCCAAGGCCTGGTATTTTTTTCTCTAGAGCTCTCCAACCCACAGGAGTCTCTTAGCCTCAGGACCTGGCCTGGCACTGAGCTAGGAGAGGCCAGGAGAGCCTTAGGTCTCTAGAGGATTTGAGCAGGAGGAGATGAGTCTGGGATGAGTGGGGAGTTGACAGCGGCAGGGAAGAAGGCTCTGTCTCCCTCCTTTCCACTCTCCCTCCTGGCCTGGCATCAGGAGGGCCTGTTGATGCAGTAGCCATTGCTGTCACTGCTGCTGCTGCAAGCGACTCCCCTGCTAGGTCTGTTCTGGGTTTGTAAGGAGTGGGTGAGAAGCCGCTGGAAGCGAGGGCAGGCAGGGTGGGAGTTTAGCAGCAGAGGCTGCAGCATTGGGGGAGGCTAGGTAGAGCGGGTACAGGCTGGGCTCTCTTGGTCCCCAGGCTCCCCCTGGTGGAGGAAGAGGGGAGAGTGGTGCCTGGGCCGAGCTGCAGCTTGTTGGGGGGGCCCCGCTGTGCCTAGGGACTTTCTTTAGTCCTCCCAATGATCCCGTGCTTCTGTCACCACGATCCACATTTTACAGCAGAAGAAACTGGGGGATCAGAGAAGTGAAGCCCACCAGAGCTTACATTACTCATAAGACAGACTCCCAATCCTGTGAACTTTCCCTCTACTGCATTGGACATCAGCTGTCATGTCCACCCCCATCCATGTCATCCACCCAGGATTCCCATATCCTCCTGCACCGTCCCCTCTGGACAGGTTCCAGGATGCCAGTATCCCTTCTGCTGTGCTCAGGGTGTGGCCTTTCTAGTGCAGATAGAGTGAGATGCGTCCCTGTCTCCTTTTGGTCCTGGGTCCTCTGTACGCGAAGGTTTTGTTTGCTTGCTTTTTAGTCGTTGGTCCTGACTAATGCTCAGGTCTTTTTACCTGGAATTGTCCACATACCCCCCCAAGCCTGGTTGATTAGAGAATAGCTCTGCTTTTGTTGTTGATCTTGGCTTGGCCCCCTTGCAGTCCTGCCACCTAGAGTGATATATAGGAGTGCTAGGGGCCCCTGCTGAGTTGCTCCACGCTGAAGAGCTGCGTTTCCCACGCTCTTTGCATGGGCCCAGCTCCGGCTCTGCTGTAGGCGGTGGTGGGCTGAAGCTGGTATGGTGGCAACTCTCCTTCCTTTACCCCCACCCCCATCCACCCTGCAAGCTGGCTTACACTTGGAGATAGCAACTAGAGGGGCTGGCCTGGTGGTGTTTTTTTTCTTTTTCTTTTTTTTTTTTTTTTGGTTTTGGTTTGTTTTTGGGACAGGGGTCTTGCTCTGCTGCTCAGGCTGGAGTGCAGTGTTGCGAACATAGCTTACTCAAGTGAGTTCAGGAGTTTGAGGCTGCAGTGAGCAATAATTGCAAAAAAGGAACACCAGGCTGGCCCTTCTAGTTGCTATCCGCCCAATTCTTTTAAGCAGAGACGGGGTCTCTCTGTGTTGCCCAGACTGGTCTCAAACTCCTGGGCTCAAGCGGTCCTCCCTCCTTGGCGTCCCAAAGTGCTGAGCCACCACGCCCGGCCCAACGTGGTATTCTTGACAGCTAGGGCAGTGTATGGTCTACCACATGCTGTCGTCTGCTTGCAGTGGGATGTCAGCATGCTCCCCGCAGGGGCTAAGGCCACTGAGAGACAGCACGTGAGACAGTGAGCCCAGGGAGAGGCTCAGGGAAGTCTCTCCTTTGGGGTCTTGGGTACTTTTCCCAGGGGGTGTCTCTCCTTCCCAGGAGGGAAAACCATTTATCTTCCCTCCCACTGTGTTGTGAGCATTATCTTCGTGTGGGAGGAAATGGTAATGTTGAATTTAATGAGAATGAGAGTCTTGCTTCTCTATCTAGATCTGGGGCAAGAATGGGGTTGTTATCATCTACAAACATTTCTTGGCTGTGTGCACAGCGCAGGAGGGGCCACGAGGCTGAGCAAACACTGCACTCTTAGCGCTTGCAGAACCCCTGCTCCCCTCCATCCAGGGAGACAGGGTTGCAGGCCTAGCCATGCCATAGAGGCAACACTCAGGACAAAATGAGTGGCAAGAATGGTGAGGAGTGGAAGTTCTCAGAGGAAGGAGGGATCAGGCCAGGCCAGGCTGCTGTTTGAGTACCTGGGCGGTGGGTGAGGGATGAGGGGTATGGAAGGAATGTGAGTGGTCCCTTCATGGAGGTGGCAGCTGGGAGGAAGACGTCAGACCAGACTTGCTGCCTGCCCTTTCCTCATCTGTCCCACCCCTGCCTACCAAGGTCTCTGAATTTGCTGGGCGCAGAGTAAAGGCCTGGAGCATGGGGAAGAGGCCACACGTGTACCGAGTGAGTCTCAGCCTTCTGCCAGGCCCCACGCTATGTGACTTTATGTAATAATAGCTAACATTTTTTCACTGCTCTTACTGTGTGCTAAGCACTATTTGTTCTAAGCGCTTTCCATGTATTAATTCATTCAATCTCCACATGAATCCTCTCGTGTAGATATTGTTATTAACTCCATTTTACAGATGAGGAAACTGAGGCCCAGAAAGGTTGGATAGCATACCCAGGATCACTCAATGAATAAGTGGCAGAACTGTGAAGGAGCTGGAGGAGCCCAGGGAGTTGGGCTTCAGGGTCCGCAGTGTTCTAACCCACCCTGGAGCACTACTTCTTACCTCATTTGCACAGAGCCCCTGTCAGATGGGTGTGTTCGTTTGTTTGTTTGTTTTATGAGTTTCACTCTTGTTGCCCAGACTGAAGTGCAATGGCACACTCTTGACTCACTGCAACCTCCACCTCCTGGGCTCAAGCAATTCTCATGCCTCAGCTTCCCGAGTAGCTGGGATTACAAACACGTGCCACCACCCCCGACTAATTTTTGTATTTTTAGTAGAGACGGGGTTTCACCATGTTGGTCAGGCTGGTCTCGAACTCCTGACCTCAGGTGATCCGCCCACCTCTGCCTCCCAAAGTGCTGGGATTACAGGCATGAGCCACTGCGCCCAGCCTATTATCTTCATTTTTTCAGACAAGGAAACAAGGATCAGAGAGGTACAGTGACCTGCCCGAGGTTATTCAGGCAGATGGAGCCCAGAACTGTCTGGCTTCCAAACCTATGGTACACCGCTGCCTCCCGCAGGTGGGCTTTAAAGACATCAGAGCTACTCCAGGTATGTGGCTCTAGCTTCCTCCAACAGAGCTCCCAGGACCCCTGCTCTAGGCAGGCTCCCTCTCACCATCACCCCCTGAATTTTGGCCATGGTCTCCTAGTAGATTGCCCCTCCTGCTCTCTCTCCATCAAGCCTCTGATGAGGTGCAGCCAGACCATGTTCTGCAGTCCAGCTCCAGTAGTTTCACTCTCTCTTTGGCCTGAGAACTCCTCCGCCTGCCCTGCATGGTCTTCTTAGGATCTGTCCCCAGTTTGCCTTTTTCCTCTCGTCTTTGTACAGACTATGCTCCAGCCAGGCTGACCCGTGTGCCCCCCTGGTTAGCCCACTCAGGCCTTCTGCTAGCCTCTAGGTCTTTGCTCATGTTGTTCCCTTCTCTTGGGCTGCTGTACCCAGTTCCCAGGCTGGACTCAGCTGTTACCTCTCCTATGTCTGTTTGCTGGTGTCTCTGATGTTTGGTCTATCCTTGACCCTCTCAATGAGCACATTGCCCCTTTTTATTCCTTCATGGTTGTTTACATCTCATGTCCCCTCTGTTAGACTGAGACCCCCTTCAGATTTACATTTAACTGACATATACTGAGTGCATTTTGTGTGTCAGGTTCTGTGTTAGGTGCTGTGGGCATGAGTGAAGGAGCTAAAAGCTTGGAAACACATAGCACAGCACATAGTAGCTGCTTAATAAATACTGAGTAGATAAATGAATGTCTGATTGAGTCCTGCTGAACTAATAGCCAAAGGTACCTAATTTTTTCTTCCTTCCAGGACTCCTGTAGTAAGAAATGACAACTTCAGAATTCTCTTGGGGTAGGCACAGTAGCTCCCAGCACTTTGGGAGGTCAAGGCGGGAGGATCACTTGTGCCAGGGAGGTTGAGGTTACAGTGAACTATGATTGTGCCACTGCACTCCAGCCTGGGCAACAAATTGAGATCCCATCCCTAAGGAAAAATAAATTCTTTTGGCTTTTCTGTGGCTTTTTTCTCATGCTCCCTGGAGCCATTTTGGCCTTTGCTGTCTCTTCTCACGCTCACCAGCCTTCCGATTCATAGAATGTCAAGGTAGCAGACTTGGACGAGACTTTGGAGACATTTAGACCAATCTGCTGATCATTATCTCTCCCTGCCATGTCAGGCTGTGGTCCTGACCCTCGATGCCAAGTCTTCTGTTCTGAAAGGAGCAAAGAGGCCTGCACAGGACCTGTGTGCAGTTCACTCAGCCCAGTGGGAAGTTGCTTATTTATCCATCAAACCTTTCTTGAGCTCAGACCCTGAGCTGGACATGGTATCTCAGGGTTGACATAAGACTTGGCCCCTCTGCCTCACTCACTGCAGTGTTCCCTGGCAGGATCATAAACATTGGTCATGGGGAAGAATGCTTAGTAAGTGACTTACTTCCTCTTTTGGGGAAGCTCGTTTAGGGCAACATAATTTGCCAGTTACTATAACTTCCTCATGGTATTTGGTTTCTCTCCAAGCCTGCCTGTTGGAAGCATTTACACGGGGAAGCCCATTCCCCAGTGCTTAGTAGCTGAAGCTCTCTGGGACCTTAGCATTCAGAGAAAGTGTGGTGCCATGGAAGGACTTTGTGTAACTCTAGGCAAATCACTTCACTTTCAGAGCCTCAGTTTTCTCAAGTAGTAAATAGGAATAAAACTGTATTTTCTGATGCATGAGATTCATGTTGCCAGCCCCCTACCTCCCTCAAAAAAATTGTATCAGAAAATTTCCTGGCTGCCTGGCATACCGTACATCAAGGTCCTGATCAGGCTGGAAAGCTGAGAATGGAAAATAATACATGAGACTGCCCTGCCCCCTAGAGGCGGAATGTGGCAAACACACAACAATGCAAAGACCGATGCATCGCATCCCTTTCAAAACAAAGATGACAAGCCAGAGCTACACGGCTGATCAGGATTATTCCTCCAACATTTTAGATGTAAATGTATCACTATCATCACCTAATAGGTACCATTTCACTAATGTTTCACTAGTGCATTTCGTTGGAGCGATGTGATTTTTATACCTTTTTAAAGGAGTGATAGGACTGCATATCCAGGCCCTGTGATTTCCTGCTGGATTCCAGGATACAGCATACTGCATTCACCTGAATAAAACCAATATTTTCCTTCATATAACCACTTTAGAATTATTGTCATTATATCTGTGATGAAAAGTACCTAACTTGGCTCTTCCCCCACATTTTCTTATAAATCTGAGAGGCATCTCTCACAACTGTATATCTGATATGCCAGCCAATTCATAAACAACCCATCTCATTGTGATGGTTGTGAAAATTAAATAAGATGACGTAGGTGAAGCGCTGAGCACACAGTATGTGTTTACTCAGCGATAGCCATTATTATTAATAATAACTCTGTAAAGCTCTGTGCTGTGGGAGGACAGGAGGAGAAACCATGTGGCAGCTCACCACATTTCAGAGAGAGAGGTCAGTCCAGTGAACATTGCATGCCAGGATGTGCCATGCCTTGTGCCATCACAGGCAGAGAATTCTATGATTAGTATATAGTTCCTGGCTTCAAGGTGCTCATAATTGGGTGGAGAAGGTGGTGGTGGAAATAGACGATTGCAGTGTGCTATCCAGTGTGTCATGCCAGAGGGGAGCACAGGGGGCCACAGGTGCTCAAAGGAGAGACATCACCCTGGACTGTCAGGGAAGGCTTACTGGAGGAGGTGATACCTGAGCTGAGGCTTGGAGGATGAGTTTGAGTTAGCTAGGTGAAGAAGGACAGCATGTGGGTTGGTGGGAATTGGGGGCAAAAGGGAGGTTAAGGCAGAGGGGCCAGCATGAGCAAACACACAGAGGTATGGGCCCAGCAGGATATGTGTATGGGGAGGTTTTTTGTTTGTTTGTTTTGTTTTTTTATGAGTTCAGTACAAACTAGAGCACAAACAGAGAGACTCGCAGGGGAGTCTGGAGGGTTGGCCGGCTCACATCTTGAGGACACTTCACTAGCAGCGTCAGGAGCTTTCTGCTGTTTTGTTTTTGTGTTGTTTTTGTTTTTATTTTTTTGAGACGGAGTTTTGCTCTTTCGCCCAGGCTGGAGTGAAGTGGCGTGATCTCAGCTCACTGCAGCCTCTTCCCCGCCCCAGGTTCAAGCAATTCTCCTGCCTCAGCCTCCCGAGTAGCTGGGATTACAGGCGTGTGCCACTATGCCTGGCTAATTTTTGTATTTTTAGTAGAGACAGGGTTTTGCCATATTGGCCAGGCTGGTCTCAAACTCCTGACCTCAGGTGAGCCACCTGCCCTGGCCTCCCAAAGTACTAGGATTACAGGCATGAGCCACCATGCCTGGCCAAGTAGCATTTTAAACTGGGGGAGAGGTGCTTATTGTGGTGTGGGAGAACATGTCAAGAGCCACGTTTTGGAGAGATCCCCCTAGAGGGCAGTTTGGAAGATAGATTGGAGGGTATCCAGGGAGGAGGCTGGTACAGCAGTCTAGATGAGAGATGATCAGGCCTGTGCTTGGGCAGTGGGAGTAGAGATAACCTATGTGGGGAGAAAGATGATGATGGAGGGGAGCGCAGCCTGCTCTGGAAGCTCAGAGGAGTGGCAGCGTTCATGACCAGTAGGGTTTTAATAATACCAGCATAGAAATCAAGAAATCACAAGTTGGAAGGACTCTGACAAATCATCCAACTGAAGCTATTCATTTTACAGATGAAAAGACTGAGGCCCAGAGAGAGAAAGGACTTGTATAAGGCCAGTCAGGGTGTGAGCAGAAAAGAGAACGCTGATTAGAAGAGTCACCCTAGTATGAATGCCAGCATTCAGAGCATCTTTTCTTTTCTTTTCTTTTTTTTTTTTTTGAGATGGAGTCTCTCGTTCTGTCACCCAGGCTGGAGTGCAATGGCGCGATCTCGGCTCACTGCAACCTCCGCCTCCTGGGTTCAAGGGATTCTCCTGCCTCAGCCTCCCGAGTAGCTGGGATTACAGGCATGCACCACCACACCCAGCTAATTTTGTATTTTTAGTAGAGACAGGGTTTCTCCATGTTGGTCAGGCTAGTCTCGAACTCCCGACCTCAGGTGATCCGCCCACCTCGGCCTCCCAAAATGTTGGGATTACAGGTGTGAGCCACTGCGCCCAGTGCATCTTTTCTTAAATGTGCTGTTCTCTTTCTCCCCCTAGCTCAGGCCCAGCCTTCTTTCTGCTGTTTTTTGTCTTACGTGGCTTCATTTACTGTAACTGAGGCAGCTCAGAGGCAGTTTCTGGCCTGACAGCCAGGTCTCTCATCCCTGTTTTTCTGTTTTCATGGAAGAGGGTGGACCTGTGTCTGTCTTTAGTATATCCCCATTACCTTGGGCTGGGCAGCTCTACCCCGGGTGTCTTTGTTTTGAGGCTCGATGATATGATACATAAAGAACGAGCTTTGGAGACAGACAGACCTGGATTTGAATCTATGTTCCACCCCAACCCGCAGGATGGCCTCAGCTAGGTCATTTTACCTTTTCTGAATTTTAGTTTTTCTGTAAAATGGGATAACAATGCCTATTATGCCTATTTCTCAAGTTTTTTGTTTGTTTGTTTGCTTGCTTGCTTGTTTTGAGACAGGGTCTCTTTCTATCAGCCAGGCTGGAGAACAGTGGTGCGATCACAGCTCACTGCAGCCTCGACATCCTGGGTTCAAGTGATCCTCCTACCTCAGCCTCCCAAGTTGCTTGGACCACAGACATGCACTACCATGACCGGCTAATTTTTTTTGTAGAGACAGAGTCTCCCTCTGTTGCCTGGGCTGGTCTTGAACTCTTAGGCTCAAGCAATCCTCCCACTTCGGCCCCCTAAAGTGCAGGGATTATAAGCGTGAGCCACCATGCCTGGCATATTTCTCAAGGTTAGCCAAGGTAATTTCGATGGCATTCCCTGATACTGTAGGTGCTCCGTAAATAGATAATTTCGATGGCATTCCCTGATACTGTAGGTGCTCCGTAAATAGTCATTTTTCTTCTCTTTCATGAAATCTCCCATGGACAATGACTTAACGAATCAAAGCTTTGCTTCCCCTGAAAACTGGTATATTTCTTCCTTCCTAATGTGAGGCTGTCATAGCTCATTGTATCTTCCTTTTTGCCTCAGCCACCAGTTAATTTGAAGCATAGCTCTAGCATCTTTGTTGATTTCTTTTTTGGACTTATTTTCGAGTTCAATTTCTATTCTGTGTTCTTGGAGTAAGCACCCTCAAATCCTTTGTGACTCAAGCAGGTATAAATAACTAATGGGTGTAAATAGTTGAATGAAAGTAAGGCTGAAGAGGCTGGACTGGCGATGGTGGGATTTGAAGAGGACCAGAGGTGGAGCAGGCTGGGGCAGCCAAGACAGTATCTGTGTGGATGGCTGTGAGGAACCAAGGGGTTAGTTAGGAGGGGCCAACCCGTCACCCGCCTCTCTTACCTCCTGTTCTCAAAAGAAGCATAGATATTGGAGAACAGGACCTCATGTCACCCAGAATCATCAGCCTGCCCATTTCATATTTACAGTGTGGAAGCCAGAGTTCTAAAGAAAGAGAAGGGCTTGTTTTGACAAACTAAATCAAAGCAATGCACATGCACAATTTTCAAAAGGCAAAGTAGTACATAAGGACTCATGTAGTAAAAAACTGACGTCTTCCTATCCCCTGCTTCTCAGCCCCAGATGCAACCACTTTTCCCATTTAGTTCTTCTGGCGGTAACTTCATATCTCTAAATAACGTGCTTGAATGGGTATTTCCTATTTATCAACTTTAAACATTATCTTGACTTTTTCCTACCATGACAAAATAATTTAGCTTATTTACAACAGCTGACTCTTTCTCAACACTCCTTCCCACTTTTTTTTTTTTTTTTTTTTGAGACAGGGTCTTGCTCAGTGGTCCAGGCTGGAGTACAATGGTGTGATCACAGCTCACTATGACCTCAAACTCCTGAACTCAGGCAATCTTCCTGCCTCAGTCTCCTGAGTAGTTAGGACCACAGGTGCATGCCACTACACCTGGCAAAGTTTTATTTATTTTTTTTTTTTAGAGACGGGGTCTCGCTATGTTGCCCAGTTAGGTCTCGAGCTCCTAGGCTCAAGTGATCCTCATCCTTCGGTCTTCCAGAGTGCTGGGATTGCAGGGGTGAGCCACTGCGCCCGGCCCCTCCCAGATTTTGAGAGTTTTATTATTGTGTGGGCTCCTCTATTAGTTACCTTTGTAACTTTATTAAGTACTATTTTAAACTGACTTCTTATTTCATCAGTTTTCCACAGCATCTCTTGACCACGTACTTTGTAAGACATAGTTATTAGTGCCATCCTTCCCTCCATCTCTCCTTCCCCTCTTCCACCTCCCAGTCTCTATGTTCTGTACTTGTGTATCTAGCAATGTAGATTACATTTGCATTCTATTCTGTAAAAATAATTATGTTTTCAATGCTTTATCTAGAGAGATTGATTATAAAAATTACCTGGCAGTACACTGTTTATGTGATTATGACTATGTCACTATTAGTCATCGCAGGGCCAAATAGTGTACTGTAATTATACCTCATTACTCACAGTTACACAACCTTTGTACTCCCAGGATTGTTTTAAAACTTCATACCGAAATATAATATGAATACAGAAAAGTGCTCATATCAGAAGTGATATGACCATATCACAAGTGATATAGTCACTTTTTACAAACCAAACACCTAGGTAACCAGCATTCAGAACAAGGTCTGTTTTTTATTCACCCTGAATAGTACTCAAGCAGCCCTTTCAGTTTGAAGGACTAAGTCTCTTCTTTTTTTTTTTTTTTTTTTTTTTTGAGATGGAGTCTCGCTCTGTCGCCTAGGCTGGAGTGCGGTGGCGTGATCTTGGCTCACTGCAACCTCTGCCTCCCGGGTTCAAGCGATTCTCCCATCTCAGCCTCTCTAGTAGCTGGGACTACAGGTGCCCACCACTATGCCCGGCTAATGTTTGTATTTTCAGTAGAGATGGAGTTTTGAACTCCTGACCTCAGGTGATCCACTCACCTCAGCCTCCCAAAGTGCTGGGATTATAGGCATGAGCCGCCGTGCCCGGCCTTTTTTTTTTTTTTTTTTTAGACAGGGCCTCACTCTGTTGCATAGGGTGGAGTGCAGTGGCTCAACCTCCACCTGCTGGATTCAAGTGATTCTCCTGCCTCAGCCTCCCGAATAGCTGGGATTACAGGTGTGCACTGCCACGCCTGGCTAATTTGTATTTTTAGTAGAGATGGGGTTTCACCATGTTGGCCAGGTTAGTCTCGAACCCCTGACCTCAAGTGACCTGCCCACCTTGGCCTCCCAAAGTGCTGGGATTACAGGCGTGAGCCACCATACCTGGCCCTCTCCTTATGTTATTTCTTTGATCATTCCCTTCCCTTAATTTGCTCTGTTTTCTTGTTTGGGAATGTCTCTTAGTTGGGTGTTGAACTTCCTGTAGGCTGTTGATCCTGTAGGCTGCTTACCTTTTCTCTCATACTTTCTATTTTATGGTATGTGAATAAGTTAATAGAAAGTCTGACTGAGCCAGGCGTGGTGGCTCATGCCTGTAATCCCAGCACTTTGGGAGGCTGAGGCGGGAGGATCGCTTGAGCCCAGAAGTTCGAGACCAGCCTGGGCAATATGATAACATGATGAAACCCTGTCTCTACAAAAAAAAAAAAAAAAAAAGAAAGAAAGAAAGAAAAAGAAAAAGAAAAAAAAAGAAAGTCTGACTGAGTGGTGAGCTGCCTATGTATCCAGGCTTGCTTGTCCACTCACTGGCTTCATTTTGGCGAGCTGGCAGGGAGTTGGTTGTTATAATCCCCAAAGGCCAGAATGAATAGCACTTTATTTTGGGGGCACCAACATGCCACTAGGTGTCTTGACTCATCCTAGATAGTTTAATTCCTTTAGCAAGCAGCCCTCTGATACTTTGCCTACGGGTGAATGCCAGGCGGCCTGTGTTCTAGGTCTGGGGGTTGGGGTGGCAGGGAAGGAAGGATGTCATATACTTACCTTCCATTTATCCCTGTGTCCAGTGCCGTGGTTCCTCCTACCCTCTCTTGCAGCTACCATCTCCAAGTCTGGAGTCTCTCTGGGCCTCTGCTGGCCTGACTGTCTCCCTCCTCAGCTGCAAGCCCCTAAGTGGTGTTCCTGGATCTTCCTCAACTGTGAACACCCTGCTGTTTGTTTTTTTGCTTCCAGAAATTTGTTGAAATCTCTCACCCACTGATCTCACCCTCTCCCATCCTCCTCCCTGTTATGAGTTCATACTTTATTTTATTCCTTCACTTTCATTATGGTGGGGTCCTGGGAGAGAGAGGAGATAAACATTTATGCCCTTGAGGTGGAAACTAAGGCGAAAGCTACTTTAAAAAATGGTTGTTTTGCTTTTTCAACCCAGACTGAAACTGGAAACTATTAGTAGGCCCCCCACATAGCCAAGCCTGGATGACCTCATTTGGGGTCATCCAAGCTGTGTTGCTTCTGGCCCCAGCCCTTATCATAAGCATTCCTCCATTGGCCTCCAGAGCACCCCTTTCCTCAACCTCTGCTGCCTAGACCATGGAGTCAAGCGAGCCCTCAGCCGAGGAACCGGACACCTGGGTTCTGATCCCAGCCCTGCCCCTGCCTCCCTCTGGACCCCTGGGCCAGCCCCTCCACCTCTCTGGGTGCCCTCTCTGTGGCTTGAGAGGCTCTCCGTCTGCTGTAAGCTGGGCTTTGCCGGGATTGGCTGGGTGCTTGGAGGGCAGCCCAGCCTCTTTGTCCAGGCGGTGGGAGCAAGTGGGCCAGAGATGGGCCCCAAGCACTCGGGGGGGCTTGGAGGCTGAGCTGAGGCTTCTGCAACAGCAGGCTGTGCTAGCTGCTCCCCCTTCCGCCCACTCTTTCCCATCATGGCTGAACCTCTATCTCTCTGCCTCCAGCAGAGAGAGGAGAGAAGGCAGGGCTAGAGAGCTAGTTCTGTTTTCCTTTGCTTCTTCTCTCTCTCTGTCATTGTAGTACCCAGCTGATCTGTGCTACAATACCTGTGCCTAACCGCACCTTCCTTTTTTGGTGTTCCCCCTTTCCGTCCTTGAATGATTGTCTCTTCTAGAAGCGCTCCTTGAGTGTTCATGGGGTGGGGGGCTTTGGGCTGCACTGTGTGGTGGGGAGACAGGAGACAGATGAGGGAGAGGGGCCAAGCTTGCAGGCTGGAATGGGAGATGAAGTGCCACTTGGCTCTGGGATGACAGAAGGAAGCAGCAGCTGTAGCAGTTAAAAGCATTGGTTTTGGAATCAGACAAACCTAGACTTGAATCTCGGCTCTACTACTTATTAGCTGTGTGAGTCTGGGTAAGTCACATTGCTCCTCCGTACCTCAGTGACTGCATCCATACAATGAGAAGAACTACTTTGCACAACAGTTATGAAGACTGTGCAAAGTAGTAGGTACAACTGTGGACCACTGTAGGTGCAACTAAATAGTAACTTTATGGCTGGGCATGGTGGCTCATGTCTGTACTCCCAGCACTTTGGGAGGCCAAGGCAGGATTGCTTGAGGCCAGGAGTTTGAGACCAGCCTGGGCAACATAGCAAGACCCCATCTCTACAAAAAATGAAAAAATTAGCTGGGCGTGGTGGTGTATGCCTGTAGTCTTAGCTACTCGGGAGACTGAGAGCAGAAGATTACTTGAGCCCAGAAGTTCAAGGATGTAGTGAGCTATGATCATGCCACGGCACTCCAGCCTGGGTGACAGAATGAGACCCTGTCTAAAAAAATAAATAAGGCCGGGCGTGGTGGGTCACACTTGTAATCCTAGCACTTTGGGAGGCTGAGGCAGGTGGATCACTTGAGGCCAGGAGTTCGAGACCAGCCTGGCCAATATGGTGATACTCCATCTCTACTAAAAATACAAAAATTAGCTGGATGTGGTGGTGCACACCTGTAATCCCAGCTACTCGGGAGGCTGGGGCACGAGAATCACTTGAACCTGGGAGACAGAAGTTGCAGTGAGCCGAGATTGCACCACTGTACTCCAGCCTGGGTGACAGAGTGAGACTCTGTCTCAAAAAATAAAAAATAAGAAAAATAAATAGTAACTTTATGATTATTTGGATTATTATAAGGCAGAATATGCTAAGGCCCAAATAAAGTCTGCTTATTACTTTATTATGATTATATAACATATAGTATTTGCTTATGATTGAAAGGAGCATGAGGTTAGGGAAGGTATTCTCTAAGGAGGCAGCTTTTGACCTCATCACTCCTTGGATCAAGCCTCCCAGGGGCTCCCTGGCAACTACAGAATGAGGTTCACGCTGTGCTGCCTGGTATTCAAGGCTCTCTTGGTTGTAATCTCTGCCTTTCTTCTCTTCAAAATGTAAATGTGAAGTGATACTTTTCTCTTTACTTCCTGAAAAAGACATTTGAAAAGTGATAGACAAATATTTCATTTGAGGTATATAGCAGTCTTCCTCATCATTGTCATCATCATCAACATCATTTTTATCATCCCAGAACCTGTACAGTGAGTTGTGTTAAACAAGGACTATAGGAACAATAATCACCAGCAAAAGGATAGCCAGCAACTGAAACCATCATGGCCTTCATTTTGTCCTTTACCGCCATCTTTGCCTTCAGGATTGTTTGGCTCCATTACTAAAAGTGATTCCAGTATCCAACAAGCTTTCTGATTTGTCCTATGGTTCTATTTCTTCTTTTTAAATAATCTTCATGAGACTTTCTTGCATAACACCATTACCTCATCCACCTGTTCGCTATACTTTTTGTCATTTCTAGGTCTGATTCTTGGCTTCCTTAGAAAAGAGTCTTCCTCTCTACCTGAATCATCTTCCTTTTTTTTTTTTTTGAGACAGAGTCTCACTCTGTTGCCCAGGCTGGAGTGCAGTGGTGCAATCTCGGCTCACTGCAACCTCCACCTCCCGGATTCAAACAATTCTCTGCCTTAGCCTCCCAAGTAGCTGGGATTACAGGCACCGCGCCCACCACCACGCCCAGCTAATTTTTTTGTATTTTTAGTAGAGACGGGGTTTCACCATCTTGGCCAGGCTGGTCTTGAACTCCTAACCTTGTGATCCACCCGCCTCAGCCTCCCAAAATGCTGGGATTGCAGGCGTGAGCCACTGCGCCTGGCTACCTGAATCATCTTTCAAAAGGTTTTCACTTTCACTTTTTTTTTTTTTTAGATGGAGTTTCGCTCTTTCACCCAGGCCGGAGTCAAGTGGCACGATCTGGGCTCACTGCAACCTCTGCCCCCCAGGTTCAAGCGATTCTCCTGCCTCAGCCTCCTGAATAGCTGGGATTATAGGCGCCCACCATCATGCCTGGCTAATTTTTGTATTTGTAGTAGAGATGGGGTTTTACCATGTTGGCCAGGCTGGTCTCCAACCCCTGACCTCAGGCAATTCACCCGCCTTGGCCTCCCAAAGAGCTGGGATTACAGATGTGAACCACCACGCCCGGCCTACTTTTACTTTTTACATTGTCATGATTTAGGTGTCACTTGAACTTGGGAATCATCTTTACCTCCCCCTAGTGCTTTTCTCCTTCCTCGCTGTCACAAGTAGGTCTTCACGCCACTTGTGGTTTAGGGAAGTGCTTGCATGCTCCTTTGGGTAAGGCTACAGCTCCACTCATTCCTCAAGTCACTCTGTTTCCTTCCTAACCCTACACTCAAGTTGTACTGAACTATGTAGAGTTTGCTAAGCATGTCAGGCTTCTTTATGCTTCCATGACTTTATTCTGGCTGTTCCTATGGCTAAATGCCCTTTTTTTTTTTTTTTGACAGAGTCTCACTGTGTCTCCCAGGCTGGAGTGCAATGGTGTGATCACGGCTCACTGCAGCCTCTACCTCCTGGGCTCAAGTGATCCTCCCACTCCAGCCTCCCAAGTAGCTGGGACCACAGGCATAGGCCACCACACCTGGCTAATTTTTTGGTTGTTTGTAGGGACAGGGTCTCCCTGTGTTGTCCAGGCTTGTCTCAAACTCTTGGGCTGAGGCAGTCTTCCCATCTCAGCCTCCTGAGTAGCTGGGACTATAGGCACACACCATCATGCCCACCTAATTTTTGTATTTTTGTAGAGACAGAGTTTTGCTATGTTGCCCAGGCTGGTCTCGACCTGGGCTCAAGCAATCCTCTCACTTTAACCTCCCGAGTAGCTGGGACTATAGGCACACACTAAAATGCCTGGCTAATTTTTATTTCATTGTAGAGACGGGATCTCCCTGTGATCCCCAGGCTGGTCTCAAACTCCTGGGCTCAAGCGGTCCTCCCGCCTTGGCTTCCTAAAGTGCTGGGATTATAGGCATGAGCCGCCGTGCCTGGCCCCAAATGCCTTTTTACCCTTGTCTACATGGCAGATAACCAGTTAACTTTTTTTTTTGACATAGGGTTGTGCTCTGTTGCCCAGGCTAGAGTGCAGTGGCATGATCATAGCTCGCTGAAGCCTCAAATTCCTGGGCTCAAGTGATCCTCCTGCCTCAGCCTCCCTAGTAGCTGAGGGAGGCCTAGAAACTTATTTCTCTCTGGTGCCACCACGCCTGGCTAACTATTCAAATTTGAAGAACATCTAAGTACCTCACACTGTTCAAGGCACTTGGAAACAGTGAGCAAAATAGACAAAACCTCTGCCCTGTGGAGCTGAGATTCTAGTGTATGGATGTCTGGGATGGGTGTGGAAAAGAAACAAATAAACAAGAAGACACATAATATGTCAAGTAGTGGTAAGTGCTATGGGGAAAATAAAGCTGCATGAGCCTGGGGATTGCAGAAGGCCCAGTCAGCTCCACCACAGCCAGTGTTTGCACAACCATTATTAAGCAGCATTTTCTCATTTAAGCATTTTCCAATGTTATCACATATTCTTTATAACCATAATCCTCCCAACAACCGTATCATATTAGTGCTATTATTATCTCCATTACATTGATGAAGAAACTGAAACTTAGGGTCATAAATCGCATAGCTGGAAGAGGCAGAGCTGAGACCCAAATCCAGGCCTGTCTGACCTAAAGCCTGGACTCATAACTACTGTCATTCTACAAACCTCAACACAATTCTCTGAAGTCAGAATTATTATGCCTATTTTATAGTTGGGGAAACTAAGTTCAGAGAGGAGAATGGATTCATCCATGGGTTGCACAGCAAATGAATGGATTTGAACCCAGATCTGTGAAGGCTAGGGCCTTCTACAAACCCTGAGGCCTAAGGCTCTATAGACTTGCCTGCCTCTACATTTCTAGGGCCCAAGCAAGTTACCAGTTGAAGCCCTTGGCCCTCCACACTTCTCTTCCCTCCCATAGTTCATATGGAGCCTTGAGATATGTGGATACCCCAGCCAACACCTCCAAGCCCTGTCTATCTCCCCTTCCCCTTAGGCCGCTCCTTGGTCCTAACAGATGGACCTGGGTAATAAGACCATGCAATTCCTGAAAGTAAGCCCAAGAAATTTAGGCAGGAAATTCTGAGGTCCTTGGTGCTTGAAGTGCAGCCTAGAAGGGACAGGGCCAAAGATCCTTATGGGTCCTGATGGCATTACAGACCTTTTGCCTGATGGAGAGTGGCCCCTAAAATGTGGGCCCCAGTGTAGGGCCTTCTGTTTATCAGTACAACCCATAAGATTGTGATTCGTAATAGGCTGGCCTCCAAGATCCTCCTCCTTTGGCTTCCTGAGCTAGGTCCTGCTTTGCAGGGAAGGGAGCAGGGGGTGTTCTGTGGGCCTGGGCCTTCAGAGGCTGTGGCCGGTGAAGAATAGAGCTTTCCCAGCAAGCCCTGGTGGACATGTGCACTGATTCTTATGCCCCCCGCCTCACAGTATTTTGTTCCCAGTACTCTCAGGCTACTTAACCAATTTAATTTCTTAGTAGCGTTTAAAAAATTATACTTTCAATGCATTTTTAAATTAGGAAATTTAGAAAAACTAGGAAAAGTAGAGGAGAAAAACATTACACATAATTACAGCACCCAGAGGCAGCCACTCTGAGCATCTGGTGTATTTGCCCTTGTTCTCTGCATTTTTTTCATGTAGTTGAAATGATTTTACACATACAATTTTTGTTCTTGATTTTTCCATTTGAGCATTTCCCATGTCATTGCATATTCTTCATAACCATCATTTTTAGTGGCAACTGATATACCACGATGGACTTAACCATCCTCTTAATGTAGGGTGTAGAAGCTGTGCTCATTTTTTTCACTGGTTTAAATCATGCTGCGATAGGCTTCCTTGCACACACAGCATCAAAGGAACTTACAGCTTTTAGGGAATTGACCTTATATAGGGACAATTGTATTCAGCTTATTTCCCTTTCTAGATGGTCCCTCTAGCTGGGTCCAATTCGTTTATTTAGTCATTCATTTATTCATTAATTTCGTCACCACATATTTACTCCATACGCCTGGAAGCCAGACTCTGAGATCTGGGGGTCCAAGCAGGAATGAGACAGAGCGCCTGACTACCAGGAGCTCCCAGTCGCTGGGAGAGTCAGCCATGGAAATAGACAATTTCAGAACAGTTTGATCAGGGCTGTGATGGAGTCAAGAAAAGGATACTGTGGGAGAACAGAGGAGGGGCTCCTAACCCAGCCTAGGGATGTTAAGATACGCTTCCTGGAGGAGGTGGTGCCTAAATGGGTCATGGAGGATGAATAGGAGTTGGCTGGAATAAGAAAGGGAGCTTCCTGTTAAACACAATGAGTTGGATAAACTTATTTCTCTCTGTTGCTTTCCCAAATCTCATTAAAATATGAAAAAAGGAGTAAAAAAGGTAGAAACACATAAGGTCTGGGATGCTGACCAGAAGTAAACTATTCTACTTAGAGAATCCCAGCAGTGCTCAGGATTGAGAGGTACTGAAGGTACATCCTCAGAAGGCAGGATGAAGTATGGACCTGAGAATGGGAATGTTGAAAGTCTTTTCTGTCCGGGCACAGTGGTTCATGACTGTAATTCCCCCCCCAACTTTGGGAGGCTGAGGTGGGAGGATTGCTTGAGCTCAGGAGTTTGAGACCAGCCTGGGCAACATAGTAAAACCCTGTCTCAAACAAACAAACAAACAAACAAAAGATTGGCTAGGTGTGGTGGCATGTACCTGTGGTTCTAGCTACTCAGGAGGCTGAGGTGGGAGGATCGCTTGATGAGCCCAGGAGGTCAAGGCTGTGAGCGATGCTCACACCACTGCCTCCTAGTCTGGGCAGCAGAGAGAGACCTTGTCTTAAAAAAAAAAAGTCTTGTCTTTTTGGTCCTTCCCCAACCCCATCCAGACAGTGAGTCCCCCACTCCCAGCTGCATCCCTGCAGATGGAGGTTGCTTCTTTGGAGAAACTGAAGTTAAGAGGCTTTGACTTGAAGTCACCAAGTACAGTGGAGGATGGGGTGAAACAGGCCTGCAGGCAAAGGGATCTGCAGCCTAAAACAGTGGAACCCCAACTTCCTTCCACTTAAAACAGTGGGACTCCAACCTCCTTCAACTCCCCCACTTCTAGGACACCAAAGTCAGGTACACAGATGAGATCAAAGGATTGTTCTCTGGGGAAACTGAAAGGCCCCAGAAAAAAAGGCCTCCAAAAGCCGACATTTGGAAGTCTTCTAACAAAAGAACAGCCTTTCAGCCCAGTAATTTGATAGTGAAGCCCACCACCTGGCAAGCCCCACCTGCACACAGAGTTTCCAAGCAGCTTGGTAGTGTCATGGGAACTAATCTAGGAACACCAGCCAAGAACCCTTAAGATTAGGTATATTTTATTTTAATGTAAACTAAACCTCAGTACACTGGGCCAGGCATGGTGGCCTATGCCTGTAATCCCAGCATTTTGAGGGGGCTGAGGTGGGAGGATCACTTAAGCCCAGGAGTCTGAGACCAGCCTGGGCAACATAGCAAGACCTTGTCTCTAAACTAAAAAAAAAAAGAGAGAGAGAGAAAGAAAGAAAAGAAATAAACCTCAGCATATGTTTTTAAAAACCCCAAGCTCTTGGTAGCCAGAGATAATCAGATAGTCCAAGGCTATTTGAGGAAAACCATCAACTTGGAAGACTGATTGAAAAAGCAAACAAACAAACAAACATAAAAAAGGAACTTGGAAGGTAATGAAGGGAGGAGAAGAAACCTGGGAAATTAAAAATAGTGAGAGCTAAAATAAAAATTTCAGCAGAAGGATTAGAAAATAAAAGGTGAGGAGGTATCCTAGGAAGCAGAATAACAAGACAAAGGGACAACAGAAGAGAAAAGATGAGAAAATTGGAGGATCAATTGAGGAACTCCAACAGCCAACAATAGGAGTTCCAGAAATAGAGAATGGAGGGAACAGCAGGAAGGAAATTCTCAAAGACATAATACAAGAACATTTCCTAGAACTGAAGGAGTGAAAACTCCTGCTGAGTACCCAGCAAGATAAATGATAAAAAGACCCATGCCAAGATATGCCGCTGTGACATTTCAGAATACCAGGGATTAAAGGGAAGATCCTAAAAGCTTCCAGAGAAAAAACATCATATGCAAAGAATCAAGAAAAGGAATTACGTTGGACTTATCAACAGCAACACTGGAAGCTAGGATATGATGGAGCAGTGTTCTCAATATTCTGAGGGAAAAGAATTTCCAACCTAGAAGTCTATACTCAGTTGAATGGTCACTCAGGTATGAGGGTATATAAGATCTAAAGGTTTTAAGTCCTATGCCTCCTTTCTCAGGAAGCCCTGGGGAATGTGCTCCAGCAAAATATGAGCATAAACTCTAAAAAAAAAAAGAAAGGAAAAAAAAAGCCACGGAATCTAGGAAACAGGAAGTTCAACGCAAAGGAGAGGTGAAAGGAATTCCTAGATGATGGAAAAGAGAGAGGTTCTTTTTTCTTTTTTTTGAGACGGAGTCTCGCTGTGTCGCCCGGTCTGGAGTGCAGTGGCGCGATCTTAGCTCACTGCAACCTCCGCCTCCCAGGTTCAAGCTATTCTTCAGCTTCAGCCTCCCGAGTAGCTGGGATTACAGGTGTTCGCCACTGCGTCCGGCTAATTTTTGTATTTTTAGTACAGACAGGGTTTCACCATGTTGGCCAGGCTGATCTCAAATCCCTGACCTCAGTTGATCTGCCCACCTCGGCCTCCCAAAATGTTGGGATTACAGGCATGAGCCACCACGCCTGGCCTGAGAGAGAGGTTGTTAGGGCAACATCTGGGCAGGCCTAGAGAGCAGCCAGCCTAGATTGCAGCAGGAAGGTGGGTGTTTTTAAGGGAAACAAAGAGTCCGATGGATTACCTGATATGTCAAAGCATATTGAGAGGAGAATTGCGCTTCTGACAGTTTGGGGAGAATTGATCATTTGTATGAAGAGAACTAAGCCGACAAAAAAATAATGGACAGTAATCAGGCTGGGCACGGTGGCTCATGCCTGTAATCCCAGCACTTTGGGAGGCTGAGGTAGGTGAATCTCTTGAGCCCAGGAGTTTGAGACCAGTCTGGGCAACATGGCGAAACCCCATCTCTACAAAAAATACAAAAATTCACCAGGTGTGGTGGTGCATGCCTGTAGTCCCATCTACTCAGGAGGCTGAGGTGGGAGGATCACTTGAGCCCAGGAAGTTGAGGCTGCAGTGAGCTGTGATTGTGTTACTGCAGCCTGGGTAATAGGATGAGGACCTGTCTCAAAAAAGAAAAAATATAGACAGTAAACAATAGCAGGGAAAATAAAAAGTTGTATGGGAAAGGAAATGTAATCATAGTATGTCATATGATTTATCCATTATTAGTATCCATGCAGTCATAATAACGTAGACCACCAGCCTAGGCAACATGATGAAACCCCATCTCTACAAAAAATGTAAAAATTAGCCAGGCATGATGGTACATGCCTGTAATACCAGCTACTCAGGAGGCTGAGGTGGGAGATACTGCTTGACCCCAGGAGGCAGAGGTTGCAGTGAGCTGAGATTGTGCCACCGCACTCCATCCTGGGTGACAGAGCGAGACCTTATCTCAAAAAAAAAAAAATGTAGACCACCAATGTTGATTTAACCCAAACTTTGTGATATAACTCTGATGGTAGAATGAGAGGAGGGCACAGTTGTTCAGTTGCAGGACACTTGGAGTGAATGGAAGTGGTCACTGCACAGTCGTGTGTAAAAACAGCATTTAGGCTGGGTACGGTGGCTCACAGCAGTAATCCCAGCACTTTGGGAGGCTGAAGTGGGCAGATCACTTGAGGTCAGGAGTTCGAGACCAGCCTGGCCAACATGGTGAAGCCCTGTCTTTACAAAACAATATGAAAATTAGCTGGGCATGGTGGCACATGCCTGTAATCCCAACTACTCAGGAGGCTGAGGCAAGAGAATCGCTTGAACCCGGGAGGCAGAGGTCGCAGTGAGCCAAGATCATGCCATTGCACTCCAGCCTGGGCGACAGAGTGAGGCTCCGTCTCAAACAAACAAAAAAAAAGTTCCTTTAGCAGACAGTGTGAGAAAGGAGCTGACATTTGCGGTTAGGTGTAAGGTGATATTCAGGAGAGAAAATGAAAGGCTGATTCGGGGCCGGTTCTCAGCTTTTGGAGAGACCCGCATGATTTCTGGGCCAGGGTACCTGTCTCTTTTTCCTTAGGACGCTCCTGGGAGGAGCCCCGTTCATAGTTGCCCTTCAAGTTTCATTCTTCAAAAAATCTACTTCTGGGCCAGGCGCGGTGGCTCACGCCTGTAATCCCAGCACTTTGGGAGGCTGAGGCAGGTGGATTGCCTGAGGTCGGGAGTTCGAGACCAGCCTGACCAACATGGTGAAACCCCATCTCTACTAAAAATACAGAATTAGCCGGGCATGATGGCAGGTGCCTGTAATCCCAGCTACTCAGGAGGCTGAGGCAGGAGAATCGCTTGAACCCAGGAGGCGGAGGTTGCAGTGAGCCAAGATCGCGCCACTGCACTCCAGCCTGGTGACAGAGTGAGACTCTGTCTCAAAAAAAAAAAAAAATCTACTTCTGTTGATGTTCAGTCTCCTTTCTGTAGGAGACATAATCTTTTAGGCATGTTATTCAGATTCTGGCTTGAGGACCAGTCTGTGATCATTCAAGTTACTCCGCATTATCTCATTTCTGATGCATTTTGTATTTATTTAATTAGTTTTGCTTTCAGGGACAAGCTTCTTGATCTAATTTCAGGTTCCTGGGAAGAGGCACCATATTGTTCCCCAGTTACTGCTTATGGGTGGCTTGGAGCATGGCAGGAAATCTAGTCAAGAGGCAAGGGCAGAAACTCCAACACAGCAGCTCCAAGGCCTCCATTCTTTTCAGTCATTCTGCTCTGTCTTCCCCATAAGTCCCCAAAAGGTTCAGGAACTTTCGATATTCTGCCATTTATTCTCTCATCTTCCAGATTGCTTCTTCTTTTTTTTTTTTTTTTTTTTTTTTGAGACGGAGTCTCACTCTGTTGCCCAGGCTGGAGTGCAGTGGTGCAATCTCGGCTCACTGCAAGCTCTGCGTTCTGGGTTCATGCCATTCTCCTGCCTCAGCCTCCCGAGTAGCTGGGACCACAGGCACCCACCACCATGCCCGGCTAATTTTTTGTATTTTTAGTAGAGATGGGGTTTCACCGAGTTAGCCATGATGGTTTCGATCTCCTGACCTTGTGATCTGCCCGCCTCGGCCTCCCAAAGTGCTGGGATTACAGGCGTGAGCCATGGCGCCCGGCCAAATTCTTGTACGTGGAAGAAGCAACATTAAAATCTCTGGTCAGATTACATGCCTGTTTTTGATTCAGAAAATATGGTTACTATCCTCAAAGCTCCAACAAGTTACTATTTATTGGCCATCACTGCTGAGGATGGGAGTTGGCATATCCAAATCTCTTGAGAATCCTGGGGCCTAAGTGGCCTTTCATTAAGACAAGGCTGGCCAGGTGCAGTGGCTCATGCCTGTAATCCCAGCAATTTGGGAGGCTGAGGCAGGTGGATCACTTGAAGTCAGGAGTTCGAGACCAGCCTGGCCAACATGGCGAAACCCTGTCTCTATTAAAAACACAAAAATTAGCCAGGCACAGTGGTGGGCACCTGTAATCCCAGCTACTCAGGAGGCTGAGGCAGGAGAATCGCTTGAACCTGGGAGGCGGAGGTTGCAGTGAACCAAGATAGTGCCATTGCACTCCAGCCTGGGCGACAGAGCAAGACTCTGTCTCTAAATAAACAAACAAACAAATAAATAAATAAATAAATAAAAGGCTGTGGGGAGTAGCAGGAGAAATCGGTCTCCTTTACTGACATGGATTGATGAAGAGGGATCTAGTCCTTGGGTCTATTGCTTCTCCTTGTAGACAGCAGAATCTAGTTGATAAAAGAGATAAACTTTGGGGTTCTGAAGAAATAGAATATTTTAAGGCCTAAAGATTGCTTGGAACTCAACTAACACAGCCCTATCACTTTACAGGTGAAGAACCAAGGTCCAGAGGGAAATGACTTGTCCGAGTTCACACTGCCAATTAGGGAATGAGCCATAAAAGGACCTAGCATTCTTTCTACCAGTCTATACTGCCTCCCAAAAGAATGGTGGCCCAGCTTCATGAACATTGGACAGTGCATGAGCCTCTGAGGAGGTGTAGGATAGCACTGATGATTGTTCTATACATAATGAATAATATGCTAAATGCATAAAGGGTGATGGACCCTGGGGTGAGCTGCACCCCCACATTGAGAGTCATATGATGCTGTGTACCCTCAAGCTAGTAAGAATCAGTCCATAGCGAGAATTGGCGAATTCCCCGCTGCATCATGACTTGGAGCTCTTTTGCTCCCCTTTGCTGCCATCTTGAGGACTGTCACATATCACATAGAAATACTTTTGGAGCAGAGATATATTTCTCATAATCTCTCAGGTGAAAGAGCACTGGAGAGGAAAGGTCTGTTGGTGCCTCTCTGGCTTGATATTGAGGAATGAAGATAAGGGAACTCACCGTCATAGTGCGTACGTGCCCGGCACTGAGCTTCTGGTACAGTGGAGCGTGGTGGTAGGAACATGAGCTTTGGGGTTCACTCTGAGCTTCTCTGCTTGTGTGACCTTGGGCAAGTCATTTTGACCTTTGTGAGTCTCAGTTTCATCATCTTGAAATTGGATGAATAACCCCCACTTTGCAGGATCAAAGGAGATAATGTACAAAAAGAGGCTAACACTATGCCTGGTACATAGTAGGTACTCATAGTTTGTTCACAGTGGTGGTGGGGGTGATTAGATGTGTTGCTTAAACCTTAGGTAGATTGGGACAAGTGGCCAGTCCACGAGCTCCTTGAGAGGTTGTATTCCCAGGGCAGGGCCTGGTAGACAGCAGACTGAATACATGTGTGCTGGGTTTGGGGGTAGGTGGGTGGTGAAGAGATCGGTCTGCCTAGAGCAGAGGGTTAGTGTTAGGGAGAGAGGCTGAGAGGCTTGGCCTCAGTTCTGTAGGCATCTGGGGAGTCATTGAAGTCAGGCCCCTCAGGCCTGGTACCTGAGAATAATTGGGCCAGGCCTCAGAAGCAATCTTGTTGCTGCAGAAGGAGATGGAACATTTTAATAAATGTGATAAGGTGCGCTGTGGCCCTGGTCCTCTGTTCCTTCAGGGGGCTGAGAAGGCTAAGGATTGGTGCTACTGGCATCTGCTGAGCATGTACCATGTGCCAGGCACTGTGCTAGGCTGAGCCTCACAGCCACACCCCATAAAGGGAGTGACTCTCACCGCAGCCCACCCCCAAAGCCCCATTTTACAAGGCAAAGCCCTGACACTCAACATAGTGAAATACCTTCCCTAGGATTCCATGGCTTGTGAATAGTGGAACCGGGAGTGCTGTGGTTGCAGCACCCTGATGCTTGCCTGCCCCACCTCGCCAGCGGGGCCTCCTTTCATTCTTTCAACAAATGCTCCCTTCTGAGGCCCACCTGCTCCTCTCCCTGTGTGTATCTCTGTCATTTAGCGCTTAGCATAGATGGACACTCCCCTCACTAAAGCCACGTCTTGGCTCTCTCAGCTGAGGACAGAGCCTGTGCTGTGTTCATCTCTGTCTCCTTCGCAGCATGAGTGAGGGTGGGAGGCCTGAGGTGAAGATGGAGGAAGATGACAAGGGGGATGTCCGTGTCCCACACGCTCCCACTTTCAAATTCCATGGTCCTCCTCTGCCCCTTCCCTGCACGCAGTGAACACCAGCCCCACTGTCCTGATCCTCCCTCCCGTACACACACACACACGTGCGCGCGCACATACACACACGTGTACACACGTGTGTGCACTCACGTATACACTCTCACACTCTTCTTGGGAAGGCGTGGTGGGAGAGGAAGGGTGTGGTTCAGATTTCACTCATTGCCCGGTTCCCTCAGTGATGTCCCCAACTCCATTCTCTTCTTTCGCCCTTCTTTTGCCTCTAAAGAGGCCTCACAATGAAAACGGCAGACCAGTGTAGTAGAAAGGAGCCCAGCGGCTGACTCATATATCTCCTCAGCCTCGTTCTCTTCATCTGGAAAATAAGCAGGTTGGACCAGGCAGTTGGCAAAGCCCCTTCCATGGTGTTAATAATACCTGGCATTTGCGTACCGGGTTCCAAAGGGCTGAATTATCCCAACAGCCCAGTGAGGATCGGCCTCGTGTCACAAACGGGGAGACTGAGGCTCAGACTCAGAGAGGTGAAGTGACTTGCCCAGGTCATGGGGCTGGTAAGTGGCAGAGCCAATATCTGAACCTAGGTCTTCCTGTGTTTCAAGCTTGGGCTTTGCCCCTGCCCACGGCTGCTGGCTGCCTCGACGAAAGCCACGCTCCTCACTGTGATCCACTAGGCCCCACATGTTTGGTTCCTGGTGCCTCTTTGACCTCACTTCTGACCACTCTTCCCCCTTGCTCACTGCACCCCAGCACCACCGTCTTCCTCTCCATCCCTCCAACTGGCGAGGCACTCTACTGTCTCTCGGCCTTGCACTTGCTATTCTCTTCTCTCCGCATGAAATAACCCTTCCCCTCATTTTTGTGATGTGCATTAGGCCTCAAGGCCCCCCAAAGCCACTCTACCTAGGGCAGAGGGAGAAGAGAGCGTATACTGACCGTTTTGGTTTTTTTTCTCTGTTTCCCTTTCAGATCTGATGGTGAGAATTCCAGAACAGTCAGGTCAGTACCTCCTTTCTTTAGTACTAGTTGGGAGATGGGGCAGGGCCTGGGGTGGGGGCCTCTGGTTTGTAACTGCAGGATCCATGGGCAAGGGGAGGGGCCAACTCAAGGGCGTCTTCCCTGTTGGTATTAGGGGTGGCTATGGAGTGGGGTGAGAGGGCAGTTGGGGGATGTGGCAGCTGTGGGGAGGGGGTTCAAGACTGTTCCTTAGTCTTTCTGACACTAGTTGACTTGGGAGCTTGGCTGAACACCATAGGGGCTCATAGGAGCTGCCCAGATATGAAAGCTGAGAGGTCAGCTCTGGACAAGGACCTTTTCCACCTTCTCCTCCCAGGGTAAGAGGGCATGATCGATGCTGAGCTTCCCTGGTCTAGCGTTCACTTTCCACCCTGAATCTGTGCCAGCCCTGAGTAGTGGGATTTGAATGGACTCTGGATGTAACACATTCTAGACATTAGAACTATACATTATGGCGACAAGGAAAATTTTTTTGTGTGTGCTTGGTAAAAAAAGTTTACAAGCTTCAGTACGTTTTATTTTATTTTATTTTATTTTATTTTTGTTGTTGTTATTGTTGTTACTGACCCATTGGTAGACATAGTAAGTTTTAAAGATGTGCTCAATCTGCCAGTTGGGGAGGCAGGAGTAAAACTTGGGTAAAGGTAAAGACAAGGGACCTTTGTGCATTTCCCAGGCCTTACCCCATCAGAAGCTTCATGAAGGCAGAGGTGTCAAGTATAGGGATTATATAGGAATGATGGGGGTGCTCAGGATAGGACCCACTCAGCCTTAACATCCAGGCTGGGGGCTATGGGATAGGCCACTGAGCTGAGCTGAGCCCAGGCAGCAGAGGCACAGATGGGTACAGTCTTTCCCAGCCACGGCTGCCAGTAGCATAATTGGCACCTTTGTGAAGAATAGAAAAAGATGTCCCTTTCAAGGGCACCCCCTCTGAGTGGCTCCATTGAGCATAGCACGGGTTGGATATCAGCCCCTGTTCATATCCTTTTGGCTGTGACCCTTTGTGAAAGGCACAGCTTGCCTGACTGTATGCAGGAGCCCTGGTCCTGTCATTCAGGCAGTGGATATGGGCTGGGGACAGAGGATGCCAGCATACAGACAAAAGTGTCTAATGAGACACACTCTGTTCTAGCACCCCAGACAGGGGATCTGGGGTAAACACACGGATACCCAGAGCCAAGAATGGGGCTGTGGGATAAACACATGCTGAGGCCAGCTTTAATGCAATCAGTCCCAGTGTCCAGGAAAGGGGTTTGTGACAAGACATAATTAGTCCTAGCATGCAGCCAAGGAGCATGTCATGGGCACAGCTTGTCCTAGCACTTAGGAAGGCACCTGTCTAGCAAAGGGAATAGATCTCAGTGTCCCACCGTGGGTTTGGAGAGAGGCCACCCGAGCACGGGGCTCCTGCAAGCATCCCCGGTGATGTGCCTGCTACTTGTTGAAGAAGAAGATTGAAAACATCTCTAGTTCTCAGCTCTTCCCAGCAAGGAAGTTCCTGGGACCTAGAGCTCAGGACATTTAATAACGAGCATAATCATAAGTCATGTGATGATATACATTTGGGCCTTTACAACTTACAGAAGTTGTCAGGGACTTTCTTTTGTCTGATCCTCCCAGTGACACTGTAGGTAGAACCTGAGCTGGCCTTATCATCATTGTTTTACAGCTGAGGAAACTGAGGCTCACAGTGGTTATGGGTTTTGCCTGCAGCCAGGCAGCTAATATGTGGATTCAGCTAATATATGGATCCTGAGCCAGGATTCAAACCCAAGTCTGCCTGGCGCCAACCCAGAGTGCTACCCATACCATCACCACGGGAGCTCTCGACAGCCTGGCAGATAATAATCATCATCCTCATCCTCATCCTAATATTAGCAATTATAGCAATCACCATTTGTTCCTCACATACTAACAACTTGGAATATGATCTTATTTAATGCTCACAACAGCCCTAATAGGCATGGATTACAATCCCTGATTTACAGATGAGGAGAAGGAGGTTCTGAGAGAGTCAGTGCCTTGGGCTGTCTGATTCCAAAGCCAGCATTTAATTTATTCAGACACGCTTCCTGACATCCATCCTGGGCCCAGAGTCAAGGAGGCTGTAGGGGCCTAGAGGAGTCAGCATCTGGGAAGCGAGGGTCAAACTCAGGCTATGGGAAGGGGCTAAAGCATGGCGTGTATGGGGCAATATCTTGACAACATGGTGGGAAGGCAACTTGAACTTGCAACCAGGGCTGGGTAGGGACCTACTTGTAAATTTTTGAATTCGCTCCAGTTAGGGTGAAGGAGAGCTTGCTGGAGCAGGCAGCGTCTGAGCAGGGCTGTCGGGGACTGCCGTGCAGATTTGCATAAGGAGGGTGTCCCCGGAGGTGGGATCAGCTTGTGGAGGGAAGCGAGGGGGGTGGGTTTAGAGACAGGGAGCCATCCGTGGGGCTAAAATAGAAGATCTAGGCAGGAAAAGAGCAGTAAGGTCAGAACGCGGGTCAGGACTGGGTCACAGCGACCTTCTGTCATCAGTGGGGAGCTGGGGAAGTTGGAGGAGAGAGGCGAGGCTCTGTGGCCTAGGAAGGGCAGAAACACTGGATCCATGCACAGGCCTCCATTTGGGGGGTGGGTTGCTCTCTAGTTGTGTGACTGGACAATCTGTTTGTCTCTTGGAGCCCCAGTTTCCTCATCTAATAAACTTCATGTGTGTGTGGAGGGGGAAGGGCTAGGGAGGTGGAAGAAACACCGAGGAGAGGCGCTAGGCCTGGGCTTTTATGGGAACTGAATAGCAAGGAGAGAGCAGAGTCGGTAGATTGCAAGCCACCCTTGGCATGACCCAGGCCTGAGGGCTTCTAAAGTATGGGGTGCCAGAGGAAGTGTGGCGTCTAATTAGAGCTGAACAGTTGGTGATGGGGGTGGGGGGTAGGCATGGGCAGAGAAAGGTGCCTGGACTTCTTGTGGGTCCCTGAGAAGTGTCACAGATCTGACCTAAAGATACCTTAAGCCAAGGTCCAGAGAGGGATTGGCCATCGCTCGAGGTCACAAAGCTAGCTAGCAGCAGAGCCTGCTTCCTAGCTGTGCACTCTTTGCAGAATCACTTAACTTCTCTGGTTCTTAGTTTCTCATGGGTAAAATGGAAACAATAGTCTTGACTTCTCTGGGTTGATGAGAGAACTTAAAGTAAAGCAATGCTTGGTGTGAAATAGTGGTGCAACAAACTGTAGTGTCCTCTGCTTTCCCCTAACCCAATCCATTGTCATATGCTATATAGTCAGGCTGGAAGAATGTGAACAAGTGTAGAACTTGAAAACAGAGAGGGCAGGACGGGCCTGATGAGGCCCTCACCAGAAGATGAGGGGGCCCAGGCCTAGAGGCACTGCTGCAGTGAGGGTCAGCCTGAACTTGTTGGCCCTGGGGACCAGGCTGGGGTTGCTAGGCACGCAAGGATGAAAGCAGGAGGAGGTGGCCTGTTGCTAGGGAAGGAGGGAGGGGGTGGGGGAGCCGCTGACACCCGCGGAGACAGGGACGTCCCTATGGCAACGGGAGCCACTGCAGTTGGAGGAGAAGTGGGAGGAGGAGCCTCCCACTGTGGGCCTCAGTGCTCCAATCTGTCCTACAGGAGTTTGGATTAGATAATCTCTTGTTTTCACCTCTTGGCAATCTGGGATGGCCAAGACCTCATGAACCGTCTGTGGCTCCCCCATCCACATGTCCAAGACACTACCCATCCCCAGAGCCATCCAGCTGCATCACCTCCCATGATGCCTCCCATTTGGCTCAGCCCGGTTGCCCACCCTGCCCTGTTCCTACCACTTCCTTTGCCTGGAACCTTGCCACTTACTGCTTCACAGTCTGGGGTTGCTGCAGACACAGATGAGCCAGCTCGGGCCAGCCCAAATGGGAGCGTGATGATGGTGTAGACAGCCAGTTTGTGAGGACAGAAGTCTAGAGGAGTCAGAGCTGGATTTTGACAGTGGGAGAGAGGAGGAGGTAACTTTCCAGGAAGCTAAAGAAGGGCAAGAAGGGGTAAGAGGTTTCTCTTCTCCTCCCCTTCCTCTCTGTGTTCTGCCGCCGCCTGGCCCAGCCCCAGGAAGTGGGTGACCCCTAAGCTGGCTGAGTGCCTGGTTGGCACCGAAATAAACTTGCCTTCTCTCTCTTCCCCTCCCCTTGCCTCTGTCCCCTCTGTCCTGGCTTTAATTAGCAGCCCTGGGGATGAGTCACTTGGCAGCTGGGGAGGGAGGCTGCACAGAGCTCAGTGAAGCTTCGACTCCTGCCCTGAGCCTTACGGGCAGCACCTCTGTGTTTATGCATGTGGGTGTGCACTGCTGCATGGCAGCGTGGCTGTGAAGAGCAAAGTGCAACACTGCATGCTGGCGCGTGGCCCTGCATGTCAGGGGGTCTGCAGAGAACCATATCTGGTTGCTGCTGCGTTTGTTGCTGTGTGCCACTGAATGTCAGTGTGTGTGAGCGTGTGGCTGGAGCGTGTGGCTGTGGTTGCAAGTGTCAGGGAACCAGGGAGCTTCTGGGTGAACAAACACAAACGCTGGACAATTGCATTCACCCCTCTCTACCTAAGTGTTCTTTATGCGATTTTGCTTACACAAACCCTGCACTTACATTCCCAATTTTCACTTGTCTTAGTCTGGGTACACTTTGTTGTGAGGAACGGAAGCCCACTCAAGCTAGCTCAAGAATAAAGGGCTAATGAGGGGACTATTGTGAGGCTACATTTCACAGAATCTAAGAACAGTTAATGAAAAACAGCCAGGCCTCACACCAACTGGAAGTGGGACCAGGAAGTCGAGGACCAAGGTTGCTGTCTCGCTGTCTGCATCTCCTGGGCCCATGTCTCATCTTTCTCCATCTCTCATGGCTTGCCTGGTCCCTGTCATCTCTTTTTCTTTCTTTCTTTCTTTTTCTTTTTCTTTTTTTTTTTTTTTTTTGAGCCGGATACTTGCTCTGTCGCCCAGGCTGGAGTGCAATGCCATGATCTTGGCTCACTGCAACCTCCACCTCCTGGGTTCAAGCGATTCTCCTGCCTCAGCCTCCCAAGTAGCTGGGACTACAGGCGTGTGCCACCACACCCAGCTAATTTTTGTATTTTTAGTAGAGATGGGGTTTCACCATTTTGGCCAGGATGGTCTCGATCTCTTGACCTCGTGATCCCCCCTCCTCGGCCTCCCAAAGTGCTGGGATTATAGGTGTGAGCCACCGCGCCCAGCCTATCATCTCTTTTTCATGGACTTCTCTCTCTGGACCAGCTTCCTCTGCTTGCCCATGGCCTGACATGGCCACCAACCTGGAAGCTATGTGACCTTTTCCAGCTTCAGGATCTGCCCCTCCTGCCATTGGACTGCAGTGATCCTCCAGCCTGTGGTAACACAAGGCAGCAAGGGGCCGTGTGAGATAATTGATTCCCTCAGAATTGGATGAGAGGAGAGAGAGAAAACACTTGGTACTTCTTGTTTCTTCTGCAGTAAGCACAGTTTTTATGTGTACCCAAGTGAGGTCAGAGCTGGTCGGCTCAGAGGCAAACACTTGTAAGATTGTTTTTGGTTCCTATTTTATAGCAAGATGACCTTTGCTCACTGTGCTTTCAAGTTCCATATCCTTGCATCAAAACATGCTGTTTTGTCTAAAAGTGCCCTCTTATTTTATGCCGAAAAAGCTTTTAAATGTACAGTGAATATTACCATTGCTACCAGCTTGTGGTAATTTTTCATAACCTCAGAACAACTGGTATAAAGCTACTGATGGTACAGCTGCTACCCAGCTCTTGGTGGCCTCAGGAATTTTGATATTTTATGAGTTCAGTGACTGAATTTATAGTTACCTCCAGTATATAATTACAAGTACACATTATCAATGTTATCAGCTTGATGCTGGAGCTTACTTTTCCACTAATACAAACCCTGCAGGTTTTACATTAATTACAGAGGGAACTAATGACCCCTTAGACAAGTTTTCACCTATGAATAAAGAGTTAGGAATCAGCTGTGCCAGTAATGACTGTTCTCCAGACACAGGAGCGATGTCCACAGCTCTGGCCTTGGCCCTGACCTCGCATCCTCTGGCCGAGACTAGGGGCTTCCCATCACCTCCTCAGAGGCCTCCTGACTCTGGCCTGGCACACAGCAGGTGCTGTTATTTTTAATAAAATTGATAGTTTTATGATTGCTATTAAAGCCATCTTCCATATCTAAATGGTAAACCTAAGTGAGAGAGATTATCCCAGGTTCTGGGCAGTCTCCTTCAACTCCTCCCCCTGCCCTTTTCTCACTGTTCCAAATAGTAATAATTGCTTTGAGTCAGAAAATGTCTGCTAAATATCAGGTACTATTACAGAGCACTGGAGACACATTATCTTTAATCTTTGTGGCCACCCTGCCAAGTAGGGGTGACTTACAGGTGGGGAAACTGAAACCTAGAGAGGTAAAATGACTTGCCCCAAATTGTCCATCCACACATCCATTCATTTATTCCTTCATTCAAGGATTTATTGAGTGCCTACAATGTGCCAGATGCTGCTAAATGTGGCTGATAGGGTGGTGAGTAACAGCCCTGCTGTGATGAAGCCCACTGTCTGGTCAGGAAATAGACAAGGAGACAGACAATTACAGACAATTATAGGGGAAGTGCAGGGTGCTGTGGGAGCACCACGGAAATATACCCAACCCAGCCTGAGGGCCAGGGAGGCTTCTCCAAGCTGACATCTAAGTGGAAGCTTGGAGCATGAGTAGAAGTTAGCCAGGGGAGGGGTTGGGTGGGGCAAAGTGAAGTGAAGAGTGTTGCAGGCCAGAACTGCGAGAAGAGTGTTTGGCACCCACGTTTGTGAAGAACTAAAGGAGTATCTGCAGTGAGATGGCACTGTCATGAGAAACGGTCTCATCTGGAAAGGGAGCAGAAGGTTTATCGGGAGGCTGGAACTGTGGCCCTGGTTGCTTAAGTCCAGAGCTGAGGAGCTGCAGGACCCAGTAACAGTTTCCATGTGACAATTGTGGGCCTGGGAGCCTCCTGGGTCGGCCTGGCCAACAGCAGGCTGGGATTCTAGTGGCCACAGTGCCCTCTAGTGTCCACTGGCCCACCTTGCAGCCTCCACCTCTGTCCATTGTCCCCCCACCATGTGTGACCAGGTGCCCGGTGCTGAGTGCTGGGGACACTGGGATGAACAAGACACAGCTCTCACAGAGCTCCCGACAGAGAAGGGGCAGCAGGCATCTGAACACAGTGTTGAGAGAAGCCGGCTGAGAAAAGAGCAGGGCGGAAGGACACAAGGGAGGTGACCCAACCTGCTTGGGTGGGGTCAAGGCAGGTTCCCAGAGGGCACAACATCTAGCTGACTTTTGAAGAACAAGGGGGAGCCAGCCAGGTGGGGAGATGACAGTGGGGGCACAGCGGGACAACAGAGGTACTATTACAGAGCATTTGACACACATTCTCTTTAATAAGGCTTGGAGCAGCAGAGTGTAGCTGAGAGAGTTGCAGGTGCTTCTGTCTGGGTGGGGTGCAGGTTGAAGGTGGGGGGAAGGCTGAGACTAGCTGGAGGTATGGGGTAGGGGCTAGCTCACAGAAGGTTCTAGGATGCCTGCCACCAGCTCATCATGGGCACTTAGTGAATGGAATCATATAAGAAGCTTCCCTACCCTTTGGGATCACAGACCCATCCGAGGATCTGATCAAAGCTAGAGATGTTCTCCCCAGAAATTAATGCTTTTCATACAACTTTAGGGGCTTCAAAGATACTCCCCACCCCACATGCCTGTCCCAAACCACAGGCTTCCAAATTGCTCTTCCTATAGATACGGAAACCCCGACAGAGGCCTCCAAGGCTCTGCATGCTGGGCCCCCACCTCCATCTCCAGTCTCACCTTTCTCCCCTGTGCTCTTCCCACCCCGCCACGTCAGTCTCTTCGTGCTTGCTGGAAATACCACCTCAGGTCCTTTGTCCAGGTTGTTTCCTCTGCCTGGAATGCTCTCCTCCTGCCATCTCTACTTTTTGCTCAGTTGAATTGCATTAGTTGGTGAATGTCTGTCTCTTCTCACTTGGATATAAGCTCCATGAGAGCAGGACATTGTCTACCTGTAGTCACTGCTGTATCCAGCACCGGGGACAGTGCCTGGGCCACAGTATCTGTCGAATAAATGCATGAAGGCCCTGCCAGTGTCCCGTGGCTGGGTCAGGCTCCTCACCCTTCATTCCTTCCTCCCTTCAGCCTCTGGTGGGTCATCATCTGAGTCTGTTCAGCATGCTCAGCTGTAACTGAATTCCAAAAGTGGTCCCAGGTTCAGGGATATTTTCTTAGAAATCTTCCTCACTATCCCTGAAACAAACAGGCTTCCCATGGGTCTCCTCTGCCTCTCTGGGAGAAGGGACAGACTCTCTCAGGTTCAGGCTGAGACTATTTACCATGTGCACACTTTGTCTACCTACCAAATCCCTACAAGAACTGTGAGGTAGGAATTTCCACTCCTCTTCCATAGATGAGCAAACTGAGCTTCAGAGGGCTTACCCAGCTAAAAAGTGATAGGGCAAGGACTTGTACCCAGCTTTACCAGGCACCAAAGTGTAGGTTCTTTGTCTCACCAGAGAGGGAAAGGGCCTTACCCAAAGTCACACAGCATCATCCCTTAAAGCTACCACTACACTTTCTTTCTTTCTTTTTCTTTTGTACAGGGTCTTGCTCTGTCACCCAGGCTGGAGTGCAGCGGCATGATCTCAGCTCACTGCAACCTCCGCCTCTGGGGCTTAAGCGATCCTCCCACCTCAGCCTCCCAAGTAGCTGGGACTACAGGTGTGCACCACCATGCCTGGCTAATTTTTGTATTTTTAGTAAAGACAGGGTTTTGCCATGTTGCCCAGGCTGGTATCAAACTCCTGAGCTCAGGTGATCCACCGTCCCCCACCCACCCCACTGCTCCCAGCCTCCCAAAGTGCTGGGATTACAGGCGTGAGCCACTGCACCCGGCCCAGCACTACACTTAATGTCTCTCGGCTCCTGCCAGGTCAAGAGGGTTCAGCTCTTAGGGCAATAACTACAAATGGGCACAAGGTGAAGCTGCTGCAGGAGCTAGGAGAGTTCCTCAAGGAGAGTTAAAAAAAAAAAAAAGGCAGATGCTAAGGCCAGAGCCTTGAGGACCAGGGCTTTGAGGGGTGGGCAGAGGGAGAGAAGGTCACTAAGGACCCACAGATGCCAACCTTGTGGTGTTCCGGAGGGCCTCTCTCTCTCAGTAGCTTTGGCTTTCTTGAGAGGAACCAGCTGCCCCAGCAGGGAGGCAGGAAGGCTGGCCTGTTGCCTGTCAGCTTCTATTTCTTCTAGATCACTGGCCCCCTGGCCCCTCCCAGGGCCGCCTTCTGCTCAGAACAGCCAGGGGCCTGGGCTCTGGGACCGTGAAAGGACAGGAGCACTTTGAGCTGGACCTGTGGTATTCTCAGGAGCCCTACATCCTTCAAAGCCAAAAAACTCTCTCCTTTCTCCAGTCCCGCCCATGTGGAGGACAGAGATGTTGCTGTAATAGGCAGGCAGGGAGCCAGGGCACCTGGAGTCTACTCTGACCTGCTGCATGAACTTTAGTAAGACCCTTTTCCTCTCCAGGCCTCAATTTGCCCATCCATAAAGTCAGGCTGGGCAGTTTACTTGGAAGAACAGCCTCTTGGCATTTCTTTTGATTTTCCCTCTTCTCTTCAGGAAGCATTTCTCTCAGCCAGTCTAGAAAACAACATAGAAGAGTGAGAGCTTATTGCAGTGAGAAAGAATATTGGCCGGGGCCCCATCTTGATACCCCAACATGGGTGATTTGAATTGCACTTAATATGCAGAGTCCCAGAACAACTCCTAAACATAGTCTCTTTAACTGTGCTGAAAATAAGGGTATTTGTGAAAAGCTTCTATGGAAAGGTTTCTGTACTCACAAGGTAGCAATATGGCTGAAGGGGCAGATTCCAGGTTTGGGAATAGCCAAACCGGGTCTTGATCTTGGGGTTCTGCCACTTACTAGCAGTATTACTTCACCTCTCTCCATCTCAATTTTCTGTTCAGGAGAATAGAGCCAGCGATACAAACTTGATGGGGTGCGTGGGGAGATTCTAGCAGAGGTGCACTGAGGGAGCCCAGCCTGGGGTTTGGCCCAGAGGAGGGACTGTGAGCTCTCCAGGCCGCTTCCTCGGAGGAGGAGTTCCCAGCCCTCCTGGAGGAGTAGGGGAAGGAGCAAAGTTTCCAGTTGCAATCTGGCCCGCAGCCCAGCTGGCCTGGCCCCGCCTTCTTGGTTCCTCCTTCTAGGGAAGGGCTGGGGAGGAGGGGGTGGTGACACGGTGGAGACACCGGCTAGGCCAGGGGGCCTGCCCTTGGGACAGGTCCAGACCCATGGAGCCCCCCGGGAGGAGCAGCAGGTAGGAACCTGGGCCCCGCAGCCTGGCCCCCTCCCTTCCTGCCCAGGCCTGGACCCAGTCCCTGGGCTACTGATTCAGCAGCCTCCTGGCTTCCTGGTTCCTGGCTCCCTTCTTGGACTCTGAGAGGCCTTTGGCCTGGGGGAGGGAGCCAGTTCAAGTGGGAGATCCCATGGGCATCCAGGTGCCCAGCTCTGGAAGGACCCTGGAACCCTGAGCAGCACAGCCTGTGGCCTGTGAGGGGTGAGCTTGGCTCCTACCCTGCTCTACTAGCCTTGTGTGCGAGGCACTGCAGGGCTCCAGGCTCGTGGCCTCTGAGATTCTAACACCAACATTCCAGCAGCCTAAGAGTCTCTGAGTCTCAGATTCAAAAGAGATAATGAGTCAAGGACTTGGGCTGGAGACTGGCACCTGAGAAGCAGTTGCCCTGATGATGATTAATCCAGAGCCTTCGATAAGAAGAGTCTCAGATTCAAAGATTCCCTGTAAGGTTCTGAGATTTGGACATCCTCAAATTCGCAGCTGGCCTGGCCCGCAGCCATGTCTCCTGGCTTTTACATGGGCTTTTGAATGGCCAGGCCCTGACCACAGTCTGCCTCTGTGGGCTTGTGGGGGACAGGGGCTGGCTGACCTGGAAGGGGTCGGCTCCACTCCCAGCTTGCTCTGGCTCCAGCTGACTGGCATACCTCTGGCATCTGCGCTGCACTGGGTAGGGCAGGGACCAGGCCCTCAGCCTCCCTGCCCTGCTGTACCTCCTCCTCCCCTTGGCCATTCTCCGGACTTTAATCGCAGGAGGCAGGAGGTGGAGGGGTCTTTGGACCCTGCACTAGGGGTGGTGGGGGCACAGCATCAGGGGTGGAGTGTGGGCCCCGCCTTGGGGTGGGGGGTAAAGCACTGGCCTTCAAAGCAAAAGACTCCTACCTGGAACCACCCCATCCTCTGCCTCACCCACTCAGCCCTGAGTCCCATCCTGTCACCAAGACCACTGAGACCTTGTCAGCCTCCTCCGCCCTCACCCTCCTCTGCTCTGGCGCTCTCTGCCTCTCTCTGGCTTCTCTCTGTGTCTTCTGTCTCGCCCTTTCTCTGTCTTCCTCTTTCTCTGTCTTTCTCCTTTTCTGTCTCTTTCGGTTTCTCTCTATCTCTCTCCCTCTCTTCCTTCAGTGTTCCCCTTACCCACCCACCTGGGTTCTCCCCCTTCTTTGGGCCCAGAGCTTCTCCTTCCTCCATCCCTTCCTCCCTTCCTGTGAGGGATCTTCTCTAAGGGGAGCCCCCATGCATCTTTCCCCCTTCTCTTTCATCCCCCCTTCCCCTCCCGTCCTCCCTACCCCTGTGGCGTCTGGTGTGAGGAGGGCTCCCTTCCCCCTTCCCTACTGTGGTGTCCCAGCGTCTCTGTGGCTGAGGTCCCCACGGAGTCACCTGGAACACAGGAGGCCCAGCCCGGCTCTTTCGTCTCTACTGCCCCCTGTTGTCGTTGTGTTCTGTATGTGGTTCGAGTGCCGTCCTCTCTTTCTTGACTTTGTGGTTTTTTTCTTTTTTTCTTCCTTCCTTCCTTCCTTCCTTCCTTCCTCCCTCCCTCCCTCCCTCCCTCCTTCCTTCCTTCCTCTCTCTCCATCTTCCTCCCTCTCTCCCTTCCTCTTTTCCTTTCTCCCTTATCTTCCTTCCTTTCCTCCCTCCCTGCCTCCCACGCCTCCTCTTCCATTTCCCATCCTCCATTCCTCCCAGCCTTCCCTTTTCCCCTCCCGCACTCACTCTCACCTTCTTGCCCCCATCGCCCACCCTGCCACTTCCCTCCCTCCCTGTCTCTCTCTCTGTCTCTCTCTGTCTCTTGCTGTCTCTCAGGTCCACAGCGTCTCATACTCTACACCAGTATTGCTGTCCTACTCAGGTCCTTGACTCCATGAAGCTTACCCCCTCAGGCAGGCTGGCAGAGAGCAGGTAAGAGCTAGACCCATCCCTCCCCCAATTCCTCCTCCTTCCAGACAAATATACAGTGTCATTGCCAGCCCCTCCCACCTCCCTGAGCCCCTGCTGTGCCTGTGGAATGGGTGTCCGAGTGTATGAGGAGAGTGCCTGGAAGATCAGGTCAGCAGACCAAAGAGGACATTTGGGATCTATCTAATTTGTCCTTCCTTAAAAAAATCCTTCCCTAGAGACCTGCCCCAAAAGGCCTGAGTGGTTGGTCCTAGACTATGTGATAATCCAGCTTTTTTAAAGGATGAATAGGAGTTTGCCAGTTGGATAGACTGAGGAAGGGCAGTTAGGCAGAGGGAACAATCTGCCCATATCTTTGCAGAATGTTATTTCTTTTTTTTTTTTCTGAGATGGAGTCTTGCTCTGTCGCCCAGACTAGAGTGCTGTGGTGCGATCTCGGCTCACTGCAGCCTCTGCCTCCTGGGTTCAAGCAATTCTCCTGCTTCAGCCTCCCGAGTAGCTGGGATAACAGGCATGCGCCACTACACCTGGCTGATTTTTGTATTTTTCTTTTAGTAGAGACGGGGTTTCACCATGTTGGCCAGGCTGGTCTCGAACTCCTGACCTCGTGATCCGCCCGCCTTGGCCTCCCAAAGTGTTGGGATTACAGGTGTGAGCCACCACACCCGGCTGGAAAACATTATTTCTAAGTTAATTAGAAAACCTATTTTATGTTTTCTAATTACAGCTCAATAAAAGGAAATATTAACAGCAGCAGCAAAAAGGCTAGGCCCTCCTCCCTATTTGAAAGTTTAAAAATACTTGTGTTAAAGAGGAAATAAGAGTGGAATTTATGGACTATTTAGAATAAATGTCAGTGAGAATACTACAACTTAAAACCTATAAAATATGGGCACAGGGATTCCCAGAGGAAAATTTATAATCTTAATTGCTTTTATTAAAGAACAAGATGGTTTAAATTAAATGGACTAATTATTCCACTCAAGAAGCTAGAAAAAAACAACCAAAACAAAGCAGAATAATTACTACAAATAAAACCAGAAATTAATGAAATGGAAAACAAAAGATTTGATAAAGTATTAATAAGTAAGTAAATATGACTTTTGGAAAGACCAGCTCTACCTAGTTTGGTAGACATTCTTTGGCAGATATGACTAAGAAAAAGGCTAAATAAATAAATACATTAAGAAATAAGGAAGGGGATTTAACCATAGATTCTAAGGAGATGAAAAAAAAGTTATTATAAGAAAATATTGGGGCCAGGCGCAGTGGCTCACGCCTGTAATCCCAGCACTTTGGGAGGCTGAAGCAGGCAGATCACGAGGTCAGGAGATCGAGACCATCCTGGCTAACACAGTGAAACCCCGTCTCTACTAAAAATACAAAAAATTAGTCAGGCATGGTGGCGGGTGCCTGTAGTCCCAGCTACTCGAGAGGCTGAGGCAGGAGAAGGGCTTGAACCCGGGAGGCGGAGCTTGCAGTGAGCCGAGATTGCACCACTGCACTCCAGCCTGGGCGACAGAGTGAGACTCCGTCTCAAAAAAAAAAAAAAAAAAAAAAAAAGAAAAAGAAAAGAAAAGAAAAAAAGAAAATATTGGTTGGACACAGTGGCTCATGCCTGTAATCCCAGGACTTTGGGAGGCCAAGGTGGGTGGATCACCTGAGGTCAGGAGTTCGAGACCAGCCTGGCCAACATGGCAAAACCCCGTCTCTACTAAAAATACAGAAATTAGCCGGGCGTGGTGGTGTGTGCCTGTAATCCCAGCTACTAGGGAGGCTGAAGCAGGAGAATCACTTGAACCTGGGAGGCAGAGGTTGCAGTGAGCCAAGATCGTACCACTGCACTCCAGCCTGGGTAACAGAGCAAGACTCCGTCTCAAAATAAAATAAAATAAACATTGTATATACTTTTTTACCAGTAAATGTGAAAATATAGATGAATTGGGTGGTTTTCTAGGAAAATGTAAATTACCAAAGTGACTTAAGGTGGGACAGGAAACCTGAATAAAATGGAAAAGTAGGGAAGAAACTTAAAAGATGGTCAAAGTGGCCGGGCGTGGTAGCTCACACCTGTAATCCCACCACTTTGGGAGGCCGAGGCGGGTGGATCACGAGGTCAGGCATTCAAGACCACCCTGGCCAACATAGTGAAACCCCGTCTCTACTAAAAATAAAAAATAAAAAATAATTAGCCAGGCGTGGTGGCAGGCGCCTGTAATCCCACCTACTCGGGAGGCTGAGGCAGGAGAATCGCTTGAACCTGGGAGGCGGAGGTTGCAGTGAGCCGAGATTGCGCCCCTGCACTCCAGCCAGGGCAACGGTGTGAGACTCCATCTCAAAAAAAAAAAGAAAAGACGGTCAAAGTTTTCTCCCCAGAAATGGTACCAGGTCCAGTTGGTATTCTGGAAGTTCTGGTATGATGGAAATTCTAGCAAATCTTGAAAGATCAGATAATAGGAAAAGATAGATAGCTTCCCAGTTCATCCCATAAGGCTAGTATAACTAGACAGGTTTAAACAAAATAAAAAAAAAACAACAACTATAGCCTAATGCCACATATTAATAGAGCAACAACTATTTTCAATAAAAGATTATCAAATGGAATCCATCAGTGTATTAAAAGAAGAATATATTGTGACAAATGAAAGTTTGCCCCAAGAGTGCAGGGATTGTTCAACATTAGGAAATGTTATTGTAATTTATTGTATTAAGATATTAAAGAGAAAATATCATATAATCATCTCCATAAATGCTGAAAAGTGATCTGATTAAATTATACATCTATTCTGCTGTATTGGGGTAGTTTGTTACACAGTAATAGATGACTAAATAGTAAGCTAGGAATCATGAAAACTTCCTTAACTTGGTAAAGAATTTTTATCAGAAACCAAAGAGAATCATCAAATGTAACAGTGAGGCCCTAGATACATTTCCATTGAATTCAGGAACAAAATAAGGATGGCTGCTATCACTGTTATTAACCAATATTTTTCTGGAAGTTTTAACCAGTGGGATTAACAAAAGAAATACATGGTATAAATGTTAGAAAGACAAAGTTAGAATTAGCATTATTTGAGGATGGTATGATTGTCTACTTAGATAATTGAAGAGAATAAAATGAAAAATTAGTAGAACTAAGAAGAAAAGTCAGTGCAGTGAGTAGACACAGATAAATATACACGCAAACCATTAACTTCTCTGAGTACCAGCAATAACTAATTAGAACACATAATAGAAAAGATCCCATTCACAATAGAAAAAATAATTCTATAAAACCACTATGAATTTACAAGAAATGTGAAATACTTCTCTATAGAAAACTATAAAATTTAATCAACGGCTGTAAGAAGACTTGAGTAAAACAAAGTTATATCTTGTTCTTGGATGAGAAGAGTCACTGTGGTAAAAATGACATTTTGTTCCTAATTTGGCCAAAACATTCATTGCATTCCTTATTAAAATTTCAGTGATATTTTCTTTGGGATTTGAGTGATTGGAGTTTAAAGTTCATTCAGAAGAGTAAATGTTCATGAATCACTAAGAAAATTTTGAAAAAGAATGCAGGTGGCTGGGCGTGGTGGCTCACGCCTGTAATCCCAGCACTTTGGGAGGCCGAGGTGGGCTGATCACGAGGTCAGGAGATCGAGACTATCCTGGCTAACACGGTGAAACCCCATCTCTACTAAAAATACAAAAAAAAAAAAAAATTGCCAGGCGTGGTGGCGGGTGCCTGTAGTCCCAGCTACTCAGGAGGCTGAGGCGGGAGAATGGTGTGAACCTGGGAGGCAGAGTTTGCAGTGAGCCAAGATCTCAGTCTCAAAAAAAAAAAAAAAAAAAAGAATGAGGGCAACTTGTTGTTCTGTTAGATATAAACTTACCATAAAGCTGCAATAATTTCAAATGTTCTATCACAGAAATAGAGGACTACAGACATGAAACAAAATAGAGAGTTTAGACACAAACTTATGTTCATATGGGAATTTAATTCATGACAAAAGACATCTCAAATCAGTGGGGAGTCAATAAATGAGATGGGACTATTGGTTACCCATTTGGGAAAAAAAATTTAAGTGAAATCCTTGTCTCATATGAAAACAAATACAGGCCAGGTGCAGTGGCTCATGGGGTTACATGCCTGTAACCCCAGCACTTTGGGAGGCTGAGGCGGGTGGATTGCTTGAGCTCAGGAGTTCAAGAGCAGACTGGGAAACATGGCAAAACACCAAAAATACAAAAATTAGCCGGGCCTGGTGGCACATGCCTGTAATCCCAACTCGGCAGGATGAGACAGGAGAATTGCTTAAACCCGGGAGGTGGAGGATGCAGTGAGCTGAGATCTCGCCACTGCACTCCAGCCCTCCAGCCTAGGCAACAGAGGGAGACTCTGTCAAAAGAAGAAAAAAAAAGCCATAAAAGTACCAGAAAAAAATCTGGAATATTTTAATAATATTAAGGTGGAGAAAGCCTTCCTGAGCATGACTTAAAAACCCATAAGCTATAACATAAAGAGTAATAATTTTGGCTACATTAAAATTTAAAACTTCTGTGTGGAGAAAGATGCTATACACAAAATTAAAACATAAACAGGCTAGGAGAAAGTGTTTACTACACAGATATCAGGCAAAAGGTTAATATCTCTGCCTATATCTATATCACCTTCTGGAAACTAGTAAGAAAAAGATACAAAACCCATTCAAAATGGAGAGATAACATGATATGGCAATTCAGGGAAGAAATAGACAATTAGCTAATAAAGGAGAAAATATGCCCAAGCTTACTAATAGTTAAAGAAATGCAGCTAAAGCAGGCCGGGTGCGGTGGCTCATGCCTGTAATCCCAGCACTTTGGGAGGCCGAGGCAGGCGGATCATGAGATCAGGAGATCGAGACCATCCTGGCTAACATGGTGAAACTCCGTCTCTAGTAAAAATACAAAAAATTAGCCAGGCGTGGTGGCGGGCGCGTGTAGTCCCAGCTACTCAGGAGGCTGAGGCAAGAGAATGGCGTGAACCCGGGAGGCGGAACTTGCAGTGAGCCAAGATTGCGCCACTGCACTCCAGCCTGGGCAACAGAGCAAGACTCCGTCTCAAAAAAAAAAAAAAAAAAAAAAAAAAAGAAATGTAACTAAAGCAATGAAGTGCCATTTTTAGGTTCCCAAATTAAAAATATTGGAAGGGTTCTGGAGAAACAGAACCTCTCAGATACCTTCTGCAAATTGGTAACATTTTTTATGGGGCTAGTTTGTCAGTTACCACCAGAATCCTAAATGTCTGTATTCTTCCATGCTGAGAACCATATCCTGGAGCTAGATTTCTCCAAGGTCTTGCTTCCAGAAGGACCTCAACTTGGCCAACCAGAGGCCTTTTCTAAAACACCACAATCCAAACTGCAAACATAAGCCAGACTGTGCAACTCTTTATCACCTGCCCTTGTAGGATATCATTCTCAACCAACTCTTAACTAAAAGGTGCATGATATATGCTTCTCAAAAGAAAGACAAGATTATGTGAGTAGGAATAATCTTTCTTTACAGCCAGACTGCAAACATGTTAAAGTAACGGAAATAACTTTTATGTGCACTTTAAACAAAATGTGCATTCCTTTGACCCAGCAGTTCAACTTTTAAGAATCTTAACCTTCAAGAATACTTGGAGACATATGCAGAGATGTTCAGTGCAGCATTGCTTGTGATACTGAAAAATTAAAACAACCTAAATGTCTATCAGTAGGGAATAGATCTTAGTCCATGATATACCCATATTATGGATTACTCTGTAGCAGATCCAAAGAAAAGGTAGCTCTGTATATACTCGCACAGCAAGATCTACAAGACTTACTGTTACATGGAGAAAGCAAGTTGCAGAACAGGGTTTACAGTATAATCCCATTTTTGTAAGGAAAAGAAAACCCCCATAACAACAGTGAAAACATGTTATGAACACCCTGTCATCATTTCAAAATTACTGGCCTTTTTCCTTGGTCCCATTTCCTTGCTTTTATTAATTCATTTCCCTCCTCCTTTATACCTTGTCCCTGTATCCAGCTGTTCAGATTTTGTTTAGATCCTTTTAATAATTAGCTCAGATACCACATCATTCATTCAGCAAGGATTCTGTCTTGCCTGCTTTAGATTAGGCCTTGTGCTGACCTTTGGTGGAATATTGGAATGAATTGTATCTGATCCTGCTCTCATGGAGCTGAAGTCTAGAAGGGAGAAAGGCACATAGACAATGACACCGTAGTGTGATTTGGGATGGGACAGAAGTAGGCCCAGAAGGCTGCCAGATGAGGGGCAATTAACCCCATCTGGGAAGGCTTCCTACTGGAGGGGACGTTTGTACTGAGTCTTGGAAGAGTGCTAGCTTTCCTTCATCCCCTTCCTCCACCAGAAATGGTCTTGTTCACTCTTTGGCCCTTCCAAGCAGGATGACGTCATAGGGGAAAAATAGTGGAGTCAGTACCTTTATTCAAGTCCGAGTTCTGCCACTTACCAACTCGGTGACTCTGGGCAAGTCATTTATCCTCTGAGCCTCTGTTTCCTCATCTATGTAATGCGGCTAATGCCAACTTACCTCTTAGGGCTGTCTTTAGGATTGGAGATAATGCATGTAAGGCTCCTGGGTGACTGTCAGCTCTAGAAGAGGAGGGACTACCTGTGTCTTGTTTTCCTCATAGCCAACTGTGTAGCATTGAATTGGATTCGATCTCAAAGCTGTGTGTATTAGACGGTTCTGGAGCAAAGAATGGGCCTGACCATAGCAGGGCTTTGGGATGAGAAGGCTGAGAGGAGTACAGGGTACATGGGTTGCATCATAAGAAGAGAGAACCAGGTGCCTGGTCTTGCCTTATATAAAGGTGATGCAGGAGGGAAAATAAGAGTAGGCGTTCCTGGGAAAGGGATTCCAAGTAGGGAGTTCTGGCCCTGGTTCTTGGTCCTCTTCTACTGATACCATCTCCTAATCTCACAGTTCAGAGCAGTGAGGCATGGTGGACCACTACTTGCCATGGCATTCATGGCAATTTCAGTCCCAACTTTGTCACTCACTAGCTAGCTGACCTTGACCAACTCACTTCACGTTTCTGAGCCTAGTTCCTTATCTGTTAAACAGGACTCAATACCACCAACATCATGGGGTTCATTTACTGAATGAGCTGAGCTCATTCAGATGAATGCATTCAGAATCTGAGTGGCTGGCACATAATGGGTACTCAGGAAAGAGTAGCTATTATTAGTGTTGATTTCAGTAGATACTTTTGGAGTACTGCTGTGACCAGGGTCTCTGTTGAGTAACAGTTCTTGCCCTCCATGAGTTCCCAGTCACTCAGGGAGACTGAGAAGGGCCCTGACAGAGGAGAACACTGAAGGGTATGGAAGCCCAGAGGAAGGAATTTGGCCCTGTCTGGGGCTGGTACAGGTCAACTCAGCCTAAGAGCTGGGTCTTAAAGGTTAAGTAAGAGCCAGGGACAGAAGGGTGAAGTGTGGAAGAGCATTCCAGGCAGAAGGAATAGCATACAGCATATGGAAAAGAAACGGGATGTTATTGGGAAGGGCCAGAAGTTCCTAACCTGGGGTGCATGGGTCTCAGATGGGCTTCAGGAACCCCACGAACCTCCGGAAATTGAATGCAAAATGTTGCATTCATATACCTATGTGCATTTTTTGGTGGAAGAGATGGTCCATGGCTTTCATTAAATTGGTAAAGGGGTTTGCATTCCCCTCAAAAAGCTTGAGAACCAATATTGTTGGTGACAAAGTGTCAGTTGAATGGATTCTAAATAGGAGAGTAATTTGGCAAAATTTGTGTTTTAGAAACATCACATTAGCAGTCAGTATGAAAAATGGGTTGTATGCAGGGAAACCAGCTGGAAGGCCTAAACTGGGGTATTGGCAGAGAAGAAATGGATTTGAGCAGGGCTACGGTGTTGCACGACTCCAGTGAGCACCATTTGTTGAGAAGCACTTTAATTTCAAATTATAGAATCCAAATCCTTTGAGAGTTATTAATGAGATAGACTCAATAGAAGTGTCAGATGATATAAACTGTTGTGGATGTATAAGGTGAGGGAAAGGGAAGAGGCGAGGATGAGTCAAAGTTAGCAGAGGGCCAGAGGGACATGAGTCCATGCCAGGGTGATAGTGCAAGGGGAAAAGGGAACCTCTATTAATGCTCACCCAGCATCCAGAGTCCTTAGTCTCAGACATATTTACTAACTTTCATCCTACCCCTGGTTCTCAGAGATCCCAAGTGACACTGGCAATACTCATTTCCCTGCGGATTTTGCAGAGGAATTACTTTTGCTTTGTGAGTTAGGTCAAGTTTCCTGAAGAAAGCTGTGTTTAAGCCAGTCATTCAAGGTCCATGAGGATTCTGAGAGTTAGAGATGGGGGAGGAGGTGCTGACAGTGTCCGCAAAGGCCTGGAGGTGAGCAAGGTGAAATCAGACATTGGAGGGTGCAGAGGTCAGGCTTACCTCAAGCAGCTGTCTGAAGAGTATAGGCTTTTTATTTTATTTTATTTTTTTTTTGGTAGGCAGTTGGAGAGCCATGAACAGTTCTTGAATAGGAAAAGATGAAAAGTGACATGATCAAATTAGCGTTTTAGAAGGGAAATGAGGGAGGAGGCTATGCAGTAATCCAAGGGAGAGAGAAGCCAAGGTCGTGGGCATAGAGCCGAGGAGATGGATTTGAGAGGTGATCAGGAGGAAGAGAGGACTGGAGTCAGAGACTGAAGAGGTAACCGGGGAGAGAGGAGGAGGTGGAGATGACAGAGGCTGGAGTTCGCAGTAAGTTCAAGTGTTCATGCCTGGCACTGGATTCATTCATTCACTGAATATTTATTGAATGCCAGGCACTGTGTTAGGCACTAGGGGTTTAGCACTGAACAGAACAGATGCCTGTCCTGATGGATCTTACAGTGAGTGAGACAGAAAAATAAATAAACAACTAAATGTCTAGAGTGTATCTGATGTCGATAAGTGCTATGAAGAAAAAGCTGGGGTGATAAGGTAGAGAATGTTGGGGTGCCTTTTGAGAGGGAGGGCCTCTCTGATGAGGCAGTATTTGAGCAGAGGCTTGAAGGAGGTAAGAGAGTGAGCCGTGTACCTCTCAGGGACGATGTTCCAGATAGAAGGAACCGCAGGTGTAAAGGCCCCGAGGCAAGAGTGTGTTTGGTCTGTTTGGGGAGCAGCAGGGAGACCAGTGTGATGGGGAAAAGGCTGAAGAAGGAGTGAGAGGAGTAGAAGATGAGATGGTAGGGGCAACATCACAGTCTATCTTTTAGAGCTATTTAGGAGGTAGAGTCCACAATAATTGGTGACTGACTTGCTAAGAGGGCAGGAAGAATCTAGGGTGACTCCAAGGTATGTTTTGGGCTCAGGTGACTGGATGAATGGTGGTGCCTTAAGGACAATGGTGAGATGCTGAGTCAGAGGTCCCTATGAGAGCTGAAGGCCCAAAGGGCCATCCTGGTAGAGCTGTCCAGCAAGCATTGGGCTCGACGGGTCCGGGACCCAGGAGAGGGATCTACACCTGAAGTTATGAAATGGAATGAGATCACTGAAAAAGTGTGGAGTGAAAGAGAAGAGGGCCAGAGCAGAATTGGGAAGGGGAAACCAACGCGTAGGGAAGGAGCCCAGGAAGAAATGGGGGCGGGGTCAGAGCAGTAGGAGGAAAAGCAGTGGGGGTGGGCTCACAGAAGCAGAGGAAGGAAAGGGCCATGCAGAGGAGGGCCTTGTTAAGAGTGTCAAATGTTGCAGCCTGGGCTAGTAAGCCGAGGGCGGAAGAGAGTCTATTGGCTTTAACCATCAGGAGGGCCTGGGCGACCTTCCTCAGAACAGCTTCCATGGAGTGGTGGGCGCATGAGGCAGATTGGAGTGGGTCGAAGAGCTCGTGGGAGGTACCGAAGTGAAGCAGAGATGGCCAGTGTAGACGGGTTTCTTAAGAAGAAGCTTAGCTGTGAAGAGGAGAGAGGGACAGAGGGGGATGTGGGGGCAGATAGAGGGTTTTTATTCCCAGATGGGAGAGACTTGAGCTTCTATAAATGTTGATAGGAAGGAGGCAACAGAGGGGGAGAGGTTGAAAACGCAGGAGGGAGAGGGGATGATTGTTGTGGAGGAGGTAATGGGGATGGGCTCCAGAGTCCAGGTGGAGAGACTGGCCCTAAATGCTAGAGGGGCCCCCTCTTTCTTACAGAGGAGCAAAGCAGTGATAGTGGTGGGGATACAAGGGTATTGGGGGATTGGTGAAAGAAATGCTTCAGGAAAGTTCAAAGCAACAAATGGAGAGCCCTGGCCAAGGGAACGGATGCTGGAGCTGGAAGGAAGCAGAGAATACTTCTGGCTAGGACTTCCTTAGGAAGTGGCACTTGAGCTGGGTCAGGAAATTCAGAAAGGATGGTAATAGGCAAAGATCTGTGCAGAGGGAAGAGTATTCTAAGTGGAAGAAACAGAATCAGCACACACATAGAGATGTGAAAAGGCCAGGCATGCTGATGGAATAATGAACAAGCTAGCTTGATGAAGGCTGGGCATCAGTGAGTAGGGAACATGGATACCACTATAATGGCCGTTATAATAATAGTTACCATGCACTAAGCACCAGCCTTGCTTAGTACATATTTGAATTCCTTTAGTCCCACTGCACCCTGCAGAATAGGTATTTCCTCAGTTTGCAGGTAAGGAAAGTGTGTCCTGGAATGGTGAAGAAATGGACCCAAGGTCATCCGGCTAGTAAATGATGGGGCTGGTATTGAAACTCAGGTCCGTCTGATTCCATAGCCTGTGCTTTTGCCATCTAACAGGAAAGGCCTGGTGAGGCCATATGGTGGGAGAGCCTTGAATGCCAACTTGAGGACCCTGAACTTTATCCAGGAGGCAGTGGGTGTCTGAGCAGAAGAGATGCATGCTTGAAGGTGGGCTTTAGGAAGGCTAATGTGGTTCAAGAAGGGAGGGAGAAGAAATCAGGAGGTGACTGCAGTGTTAGGGGGAGAGGAAGCAGGGGCCTCGCCTGGAAAAGAGGGGAGTGAGCAGTGGGAATGGAATATCACTTGTTCCTCATGACAGCCTGGAGAGGTGTGGATCTTCTGTTTTTATAGATGAGGAATGGGACACTCAGAAAGGGAGGGCTACTTGCCCAGAACTTGCGCCCTGCTTCATGTGATTTTGCTGATTCAGGAAGTCCGTGGAACAATGTGTCAGAGGGAGCTCTGAGTCTGAGAAAGGCGTGTGCGTGCGTGTGTGTGCTTGTCTGTGCATCAGATGGACAGCAATGCCTTCCTTTCCTTTCCCTTCACTTCCCTGTCTGCGTTCCTTCCCACCTCTTCCCATTCTTCCAGTCTCCTGGATTCCATAATTCCTGCATCCCCTGAGCCAAGGGGTCTGGGAATGAGGGTAACTGTTTCCTTGTCTGTCCCCAGAAGGTCAGCCTTGTCACTCCCAAGTCACCTGGTCCCCTCCCAGCCCAACTGTCTGTCCATCCACCATATGAAACTGTAGCCCAGCACCAGTGAATGCCACATGCAGCCTGGCCCCTGGTACTGCTCAGCAGCACCCTAGGGATAGGTGCTTGTTCCTGCAGCGACTCTTCTCCCACTGCTGTGGCTGCTTCTGTGTGGGCAGACGGCCACTTTGGGAATTAGATTCAGCTCACGAGTAGTTAACAATAATCACCACCATGTTCCCATTGCTGGTGTTTGCCAGACACTTGATATATGTTCTAGTTCTTGCAACAGTCCTGGGAGGTTCACATCACGAGCCCCATTTTTACAGACGAGGAAACTGAGGCTCCAAGAGTGACAATAATGCGCTCAAGGGCATATAGCCTGGAACCACTTGTAGAGCTGGGATTTGAACCCAGGTCTGTTTGCTTCCAAAGCTGTGGGCTTTCCGTACTCCATTTCCAAGTATCTCCCATTTTCCTGAGCCTGAACCTTCAGGAAATACAAATCCTTGTCCTTCAAGAGCAGGGTGGGTTTCTAGAGATAGTGCCAAGTTCACCCAAAGGACCTAGTGGGATGAGTCTGAGACTTGGAGCTCCAAAAACTCTGGGTTCAAATCCTGACTCTACCACTTACCCAGCTGTGTGACCTAGAGCAAGTTATCTAACCTTTCTGAGTTTTAATTCCCTCATCTCTAAAATGCTCCTCTGCAGAGCTGTTGTAGGGGCTAAGTGAGATGATGCGTGCAAAATGAGAGCAGGTTGCTGTTATTATATTAAAATGAGGGTCAGGCACCTGGCAGGGTTAGAAAGGGAGTTGATATACGCTGAGGGTGACCTTAAGACTGAGCCCAGGCTGGGTGTGGGGGAGGGCTGTCCCAGCACACTGAGTTGGGTGTGACCCTGGATAATCCATCACACTGGCCTCCCCACCCTGACCCCCATTCTCGTCCCACCTTCTGGTTCCGGTCCTGGCCCTTCGCGTATCTCCCCTGCTCTGCAAACTAATGCCTCTGCCTCTCTCTGTCACCCACCGCCTGTGGCCTCTACCCCGCCCTTCCTGGCCCCAGGGAAGAGGAGGAGGAGGAGGAGACTGAGGAAGAGGAAGAGGAAGACGCTCACCAGTTCTGCTGTCCGGCCTCCGAGTGCAGTAGTCCCTCCTCTCGGTAACTGAGAGGACAAGGGCCATTTTCTATGCAGAAGCAAAAGCCTTAACCAGCCCCTCCTTCCCCCCACCCACCCCCCCGCAGATTCCCCCATGGGACCCTGTCCCCTGCTTCAGGAACCAGATGGGCAAGCATCGTGCCCCTTCCTCCCCCCACCTTCTTCTTGGAATTCCCATCCCCACTGCTGTCTCCTCTGGACTCCAGCCCCTGAATTAAAGAGAGCTGGAGCCCTAGGTCCGACTAAAATGTGGGAGAAGCAGAGCTTGGAGCTTGGAGCTTGGAACCTGGATCCTCCCGTACCCGCACTCCCACTTCCCAGGCACCCTGGAGCCTGCCACTACTGGAGAGGTCTCCAAATGACATCCCAAGGACCTACCTCTGTCCTCTGTGAGCACAAACAGAGATGCAGGGTGCCTAGGGCTCAGAGGACCAGACGGGGGCAGGACCCAGCCTGCCTAGTTCCCTGTCGTTTGTTCCCTTGCTGTGGCCATTGCTGCCATCTCCTCCACTGCTTGAAGGCCTCACCCCATGCCCTCTGCCACTCCCATAGTGCTCTGTAAATATTATCAGGAGGAAAAGGCCTCTCAGAGTGCGTGTTGCTGTGTACAAAGGAATTTCCATCAATAAAAGCTGATCTCTTCTCTCTGTCTGATGTATATTCCACCCACCCCCACTTCCCTCTTCCAATCCCCACCAGGGCCTTGCCTTCTTTCCTATCCAGGGCTGGGAATAGGGGCCGGGAAAGAGAGTAGGGTTTGATTCGTGGTTTTGTCAACACCCAGGAGGCACTCAATAAATGCATGAATGACTCCCAACACGGGCAGGCTAACCTTGGATGTGTCGCATGACCTCTTTGACATCTATAAAAAGGAGAAGGGTTGGATTAGAGGGTCTCCAATGACTCTTCCAGCTGTGACATTTTGTGAATCTGAGATGCTACAGTTTTAAGAAGCTATGATTATGTGAATTTAATAGACAATGATTCAGTGACACATTCCACTGCAATTTTATGATTTCTATTTCTACAATGCAGTGATTTTGGGATTTTCCAGTCCTGTGGTTTTAAGATTGCATAATTCTACCATTTGAACAAATTCTGATGATGCAATTTTAATATTCTGCAATGTTTAGATTCCTTGATCGTTTACTTTTAAGGTTCTGATTCTACAACTTTAGGGATCTCTGAATCTGAGAGGAAGCCATTTCCCTCCAATGCAACGACCCTAAATATTCCCTGCACCTGGGCAGAGGCTGGTTCTAAGACTCCCTGGAGGCTCTCAGCTGGAGGGTGGAAGATGTCCTTTACGGGTTTGTAGGACTCACACCTTCCATGATGTGTCTGAAGTGGGCTCATACCCCCGACTTTTCCTGTCTGAGCCTTTGGTATTAGACAAATCTGAGTTTACCTTCTGGTTCTGCCACTTACATCTGTATAACCTTGAGCAAGTTTTTTCTTCTCCTTGAGCTTTGTTTTCCTCCTGAGTACAGTGAGAATATACCTACCTCTCTGGGTTGTCATGAAGATTAGCAAGAAAGAACACAACGAGCCCAGCATAGGAGCTTGTGCACTGTTGGGCAAGTGTGCTGTGATTGGTGGCTCTTGTTTTGATTAAGGCCCAGGTGAGAGTTTTCTCCTGTCTTTTCTTTCCTCCCTCCCTTCAGCATCTCTATCACATTGAACCTCTAGGTTTCCTAGAACCTCACCTCCTTCCCTCACTTATTGCCTCACTCGCTCAACTCATCTACTCATTCACCCATTCAAAGTCTCATTTATTTCTCCCCTCCCTCCCTGCCTGTCTCCCTTATTTACTCTTCCTCATTCTACTCAACAAAGCATTGTTTGAGCCCTTACTGGGTATAAGACCTGACGCTAAATACTGTGAGAGATCCAAAGTAAGACAGAGGCCAGGTGTGGTGGCTCACACCTGTAATCCTAGCCCTTTGGGAGGCTGAGACAGGCAGATGGCTTGAGGCCAGGAGTTTCAGATCAGCCTGGGCAACATAGTGAGATCTCATCTCTACAAAAAGATTTTTTTTTTTTTTTAAGCATGACAGTGGCTGTGTCCTCTGCGAGCTCTCCATCTCCCAGGGGAGATGAGAGATGAGAAATCCTTTGGGAAAGTAGGAAGGATGCAAAGGGTTAACATGATTGGACAGGAACGGCTTCAGTAATGAGCACATTTTGTTCCTGGCCCAGAGAGGAAGGAGATGTCAAGGTGGGTGGGGAGGTGTGGTGTCCAGGAGGGCTTGCTGGAGGAAGAGGTGCAAGAGTTGAGCCTTGAAGGCTGGTAAGGGTTTGAAAAGGTGGCAAGGGGTGAGAAGGCATTATAGGAGACAGGGACCGCATAGACAAAAACCTGGGGGAGCGCTCCAGGGTCATGCAGGGGAATGGTGGGTACATTACTCTGTTTATTCTGCTCTCCAGGGTGTGTGAATGTAGGTGACCTGGGGCTGGGGACGAGGAGACCATTCTACCCTTCCGCTGAATGGAGAGAGAAGCAAGTGTGGGGGTGGGGACGGGGGTTCAACTACATGGGGGGAGGGGGCAAGTCAGGGTCAGATGACCCTCCCGACCCGTGGGCAACTGAATTGGCTGAATCGGGCAGAGGGCTTGTGCTGTGGGAAGGGGGTGGGGTTTTGATCAGCCGTGAGAGAAATATGTGTGCACGCATGGCCTCCATGTGGCCGGCCATCCTCACACATGTCTTTGCACAAGGCTCTGCAGGTCTCACAGTTGTGAGACTGTGCACACTGCTGCAGAGCTGAGGAAATGTGATGATGTGAGACTGGGTGTGAGGAATTCTGAGTGTGAGGTTGATTGTGTGAAGTGGTGACTTTATGTACCTGGCAGCCTTGATGTCTGTGTCTGGTGGATGTAATCACAAGGCTGGGTGTGGGTGGCTTTTAAGCACGTGAGGCTGTGGCCTTTAGGGTGACAGTTGTCAGGCAGGATGGTCACACACACACAGACACACGTGATTTCTACCTGTGGTCTTCGAGGACCCAGGGTGGCTGCTGAGTAACTGCTGTGTGCTTAGTACTGGCATGAGTGCCATAGGTCCGCAAAGGTGAATCACACCGGGCCGCTGCCCTTGGGAAACAGGACGGGGGTGTGGGGTGGGAGACGGACACTTTAAGAGAGAACCACAAGTTAGCCAGGAAGAAAGACTGACTGTGATAATATGGGTATGCATAAGACACAGGGGAGGGAGTCACTGACCCTGTCATGTTCCGTGAGCGGCAGGAGTGAGTCAGCATTGACTTCCCAGAAGGACCAACCTGCCCAGGGTACTGCAAGATGAAGATGAGCTCACCCAGATCAAGCAAGTCGGGGGGTGAAGGGGAGACAGAAGACATTCTGGGCAGAAGAAACAAAGGAAGAGTATGAGCATGGGCTTGGTTATGTGGATCAGCTTGCTGTAGTCTAGGAATTGCAAGTAACCTGCTATTGCCTGTGACATTGAGGAACTTACAGGGCAGGGTGGGAGGTGAGGGGTGGGGAGACAGGCCAGATTCAGAGGGGCTTCTGAAGCTAAGAGTGGGATGCTGGCCAGAGGTGAGGGGGATTCTTGTCCTGTGCAACCCTGGGCAAGTCACTTTGACTCTCTGGGCCTCCATTTGGGTCTGTGGGATTGGATGGTTCATAAAGCCTAGTCCGTCCAGTCCATCCCAGCTCTGTGCATCTTCTGCCACCCTTGGCTAGCCACATCCATGAGTCATCGCTCTTGAGGTCAGGAGCTTCTTCCATCTAACCTCAGTCCTTCCTGCTTCCTCCCGGGTTGCTTCCTCGTTCACCCACTCCACAAATATTTACCCAGCATGCGATCCTTTGTGTGCCACTGTGGGAAGGCACGGGGAGATGAAGAATGCGAGGACTGTACCTTGAAGGGACTGCTTATAGTGCCTGGGACAGAGGGTGGGGTGGTGGTAAGAGCACGGGCTTTGTGTTCAGATACACTTTTGTTTGAATCTTGGCTCCACCAGTGCTGAGCTTCAAGGCTTTGGGCAGGTTACTTCATCTCTCTGTACCTCAGTTTCATCATCTGTGCTGTCCTCCTCAGAGAGAACAACCCAAACCTTGCAGTGTTGCTCAGCCTAGCAAAATGACAACTCAATAAATGACAACTATTATTTTTAGGGCTGCACAGCAGCAAAGCTGGGATTCAAGCTCAGGTCTTGCGCTCCCAAAGCCCGTGTATGCAGCTCAGCTCCTCTGAAGGCTGCTTTCTTCCCTGTCAGTTCCTGTGCCAAGCCAGGCTGGGCTAGGGCTTAGATCCCTGTGACACTGGGATTGGGCAGCAGAACTAGCTTGCAGAAGAAATATTGGAGGGAGAGGTGGCTGCAGTCCCCCTGCCTCCTCTCTCCCCTGCCACTGGGTCCAGTCTCCTGGCCCAGTCTGCTCCTTCCAGAACCCAAAGCCCCTGGTCCCATCCAGGTGCAATGACCTTCCTCGTCTTGTTTTCTTGTCTCTACTTCCAGTCCGTCCCGTTCCCCCCACTGCCACCTAAGTTGTCATGGGGATAGTCCTCACCATCCCTAGCTTCCTCTTGCCCTCATCTTATGATATCCATGGCAACAGCCCCCATTCGTTTCCATGACAACTGCATCCTGATCCCATCCCCTGCTGGCTGCCTGGTTCCGGGCAGTGCCAATAAAGGGAAGGAGGGAGAGAAGACCTCCCATTAGAAGCAGCATTTGAGGAGGATTAGTGCCCCTGCCATGGGCAGGCCAGCCCCAGATCCCTGTGGAACATCCTACACTGCTTCTCCCCATCTTAGTGCTTTGGCACACAAGGTTCCCTCACTCTTCATCTCTACCAACTCCTTCCAGGCAAGACCCAGTCCACAAGCTTCCTCCCCCAGGAAGCCTTCCGGGCAGCAGAGGAACTAGCACAAGCTTTGGGGTTTGAATCTCTGTCCTGCCACTTGCTAGCTCTGAGACCTTTGGCAGTCATTTCCCCTCTTGGAGTTTTTTTCTTCATCTGCAAAATAGGAATCCTAATTCTTCCCTCACGTTTGCCATGCAGATTAAATAATGTGTGGAAAATGCCTGACACAGGGAAGGTGCGCAGTAAGTGCGAGTTTATTTTTATTCTGCTCAACCACCCCCAAACAGAAGGGATCTCTCTCCTGCACTCCCCCAGCACTTCCTCTGTTCCCCAGCCCTGATAACTTTCTGCTTTGTACTGTGGTTATTTGTGTAGCATAGCTTATTTCCCCCTCTGCAGAGGATGCTCTCCAATTTCCCCCACAGAATAGCCCAGCAGACAGCGCACATGGGCGTGTGTGTGTGTGTGTGAGTGTGTGTGTGTGGTTGTGTCCGTATATGTGCATGTCTGCATGTGTTTGTGTCTATTTTCTTGTGTCTGTGGATGTGTTTTTGTTTCTAGGTTTGTCTGCCTTTGCATGTGTCTGTGTTATTGTACCTCTGCATGCATGTGTGTGAGTGTATGTGTGTGTGTGTGTGTGTGTGTGTGCACATGCAGATGTTTTGCTCCTGGCTGGGAAGAGTCCAGAGAGGGGGTGCTCCCAGACCGTTTCTGAAGTCCAGGAATCCAAAGAGGGAGTTGGTTTTGCTTGACCCCTGCACAGATGAGAAACTGAGTTGCAGAGAGGAAAAGTGACATGCACGGGCTCACACAGCTGGTCAGTGGCAGTCAGGACCTGAGCCTTGGCCTGCCCAGCGTCTTACTCTACAACAGGCTCTTTCTCTCTCTGTGTGTTTGCATGTGTGTGTATGTGTGCGAGAGAAAGAGAAGAAGAGAGATTTTCCATGTGATCAGCATGTCCCCGAGTGTTGTTCTGGGGGCTCTGACTTGAGGGATTCCACATCCCCAGTGCTGTTTCTTCAGCAGTATGTATGATGTCAGAAGCAACGCCGTCAAGCACCCTCCTTTTTTTGCCAGGCTCCCTTGTGGGAGGCTGTGCTGACAGCCTGATCTCCCTGCCACTATTCCCTTTGCAACCAAAACGGGGGTGAGCTCTCAAGGGAGGAATTGCCAAAGAGTGCAGAGCCAGGGGCAGCACGGAGCCGGGAGTGAGGAGAGGCAACAAGATGTCATGAAAAGCCTGGGCCCTGGGTTTGAATCCTAGCTTTTTTACTTAATAGCTATGTGACCTTGAGCAAGTTTATGTCACCTCTCTGAGCCTCAGTGTCTTCATCTATGAAATGAGGCTAATGGTGCCTGCCTTGGTAAGTTTCAAGAATTCAATGAGCTAAGTAGTGCCTTTGCCCTAGGAATTAGAGGTGACAACAGGGCCCTACTGCAGCCCGAGAGGAGCGGGTGTAAGACAGCCTGTGTGGAGGAGGCAGGCAGGCATGGAAAGGCATACCTGAGCAGAGCATTGAAGGCTGAGCAGGAGGTAGCCAGGTTGGGGCAATGGGGCAGAGAATATATGAGGTGGGGGTCAAGTCAGGAGAGCCATCCATGGCCACAGTGAGGAAGTTGAAGGTTATCCCATGGCTGCTGATTCCTGGAACACCCAAGTTAGATCATGTCCCTCCTCTGCTCACCTCAATCAGAGCAAAAGCCAAAGTCTTTATTGTAGGCTCATGCCCTTTCCGATTTGGCCCCCATGACCTCTCTGATCTTACCTCCTATCTCCTCTCATTCACTCTGTTCCGGCCACACTGGCCTCTTCACTGTTTCTCGAACATGCCAGACACAGTTCTACCTCCGGGCCTTTGCGCTGGCTGTACCCTCTCTCTGGACTGCTCTGCCTTTGCCATGCAACTTCCTCTCACTTCCCTCAGCACTCTGCTTATATGCCATTGCTCCAGAAAGGCCTTCCCTGAGCACCACTTCTCAAACAGCACCTTTTCGCAATCTGCTATATTTTCCTTCCTAGCACTTCACCCCTACCTGAAATGGCAGGATATATTTACTTGTTTCTTTCTTCTGTAAGCCTCCAACCTTGTGCCCCCCATAATGAGACCATTCTCTGGGTCCCAGCCACACCCATTCCCTCACTAGAACATCACCTCCCTGAGAATGTTCTCGTGCATTTTGCTCACTAGTATATTTCCAGCACCCAGCACTGTGCCTGGCATACAGAGGGTGCTCAGTTGTTGTTTGTTGAGTGAGTTATCTGGCGCTGTGGAAGGGTTTTAGTGAGAGAATGAAATAGTTAGGTTAGTACAGTTTTGTTTTTGTTTTTGTTTTTGTTTTTGAGACAGGGTCTCACTTTGTTGCCCAGGCTGGAGTGCAGTGGCAGGATCACGGCTTACCGCAGCCTTGACCTCCTGGGCTCAAGCGATTTTCCTGCCTCAGCCTCCCTAGTAGCTAGGACCACAGGCATGCGCCACCACGCCTGGCTAATTTTTTATTTTCTGTAGAGACGGGGTCTCCCTATGTTGCCCAGGCTGGTCTTGAACTCCTGGGCTTAAGTGATCCTCCTACCTCAGCCTACCAAAGTGCTGAGATTATGGGCCTGAGCCACCATGCCTGGCAATACTTTTTTTTTTGAGATGGAGTCTCACTCTGTCACTCAGGCTGGAGTGTGGTGGCACAATCTTGGCTCACTGCAGCCTCCACCTCCCGGGTTCAAGCGATTCTCGTGCCTCAGCCTCCCAAGTAGCTGGGACTACAGGGGCCCACCACCACACCTGGCTAATTTTTTGTATTTTTGGTAGAGATGAGGTTTTGCCATGTTGCCCAGGCTGGTCTTCAACTCCTGCCTTAAGTGATCCTTCCATGTCAGCCTCTGGAGTAGCTGGGATTACAAGTATAAGCCACTGTGCCCAGCTAGATTTGTACTTTTTTTTTTTTTTTTTTTTTTTTGGAGACAGTCTCACTCTATCTCCCAGGCTGGAGTGCAGTGGTGCGATGTCAGCTCACTGCAACCTCTGTCTCCTGGGTTCAAGTGATTCTCCTGCCTCAGCCTCCCAAGTAGCTGGGATTACAGGCACACCCACCATGCTCAGCTAATTTTTGTATTTTTAGTAGAGATGTGGTTTCATCATGTTGGCCAGGCTGGTCTTGAATTCCTGACCTCAGGTGATCCACCTGCCTTGGCCTCCCAAAGTGCTGGGATTACAGGCATGATCCACGGCGCCAGGCCTAGATTTGTACTTTTGGTGGTGGTGGTGGTGGTGGGTTTTGTTTGTTTGTTTGTTTGTTTGTTTTTAGACGGAGTCTCGCTCTGTCTCCCAGGCTGGAGTGCAGTGGCACAATCTTGGCTCACTGCAACCTCTGCCTCCTGGATTCAAGTGATTCTCCTGCCTCAGCAGGAGATTTCAGGCCCCCACCACCACGCCCGGCTAATTTTTGTATTTTCATTAGAGACGGGTTTTCGCCATGTTGCCTGGGTTGGTTTTGAACTCCTGGCCTCATGTGATCTGCTCGCCTCAGCCTCCCAAAGTGCTGGGATTACAGGAGTAAGCCACCACGCCCGGCCCAGATTTGTACTTTTGAAAGCTCTCACTGGCCACAGGGTGAAGAATGGGTTGGAAGAGGAGATCGGAGGCTGTGGTAAAAGTTCAGGAGAGAGTATTTCTTAGAGCAGCCTCCTGAGCACATTCATTGACTCCCTCTGGACGGCAGCTTTTATTGAGCACCTACTCTGTTCCAGGCCGTGTGCTCTGTGTTAGCTGGGAGATTATCAAATTCTCTTCCTGAGCTGGGATTCTGGGAGTCATGAACACAAATAGCTGTCATGCTTTGCCAAAGCTAACCTGTGCCATAAAAAGCAGGACAGACATGTGCTGTGTGTGGGAGCTCTGAACAGGATCAGCAATAATTTCTGGCTGGAGGCGGGATTCAGGAGGGCTTCTTAGTGGTGGCATATGACCTGAATCTTGACGGAACTAGGATGTGGGGGAATTTCTCAGATTGCAGATGGCGGAGACGATGGGGATTGCATTTCAAGTGGTAGGTACTGTATGAGCAGTTTTGGAGGTAGAAAGCAGAGGAGCATTTGGGAAAAGCAGGATGTGGGCCAGGCTGGAATGATGGGTGGATGGAATAGGGGGCTGGCAGCCAACCCTGAAGTATGGCTTAATGTTTAAGAGTGTGGGCTCTGGAGTCAGACTGCCTGGATTTGAATCCTGGCTCTATCATTAGTAGCTGTGTGACCATAGATATGTTACTTAACCTCTCTGGGCCTCAGTTTCTTTATGTGTAAAATGAAGATAAATTACAGTACCTACCTCATACGGTTGTCTTGAAGAGCAAGCAAGTTATTCAGTGTGAAGTGGTAAGAATGGTACCTAAATGTGCTAAATGGTCTATAAATATTAGCTGTTGTATCTTGGAGAAGCCTCAAATGCCAGAATAAGGGACTTGGGCTATCTCTTCTGAGCAGTGGAAGTTATAGATGATGGTTCATGCATACAGGAGACAGTTGATCAAAACTGGGCTTGAGCCGTGTGCTGGGAGGGGAGGTTTGAGAGATTAATGGGCAAGATCCTGCAGTCCTGGCAGGGAGGAGAGGAACATCTTGGATGCCGGGGGTGGGCTGAGCTGGGGCTGAACCCTGGAGTGGGGGTGATGTCAGGGCCACCGCCCCAGGCCCAGGAGGAGAGAGAATTTGGGGTGGAGAGCGAGCGATGGGTGGGAGCTCTCCCCAGGGCGGAGCCGAGCTCCACAGCGCTGCAGCCCGGGACCGGGCCTCGTGGGCGCAGCCTTCACACCACATCCAGCCCCCAGTGCAAAGCGCTCTGCTGCAAGGCTGGCAGGCCTGTTGCAGTTCCAGCTCCTGCACTGGTAGGGTCCCCCCCAGTACCTACCCCAGCCCATTTCTGCCCTTTGCCTTTGCCTCTGCCGAATAGGGGCTGGGGAGTACCCCTTCACCTGTTTACCAGCCAAGAGCCTCCAACCTTGTGCCCCCCATAATGAGACCATTCTCTGGGTCCCAGCCACACCCATTCCCCCCACAGCCTCCTCCATGCCTCACCTGCGTGTTCCTTCCCGCCCGACTCCTTCCCTGTCTTCCCCACCTCTGTGGCTCTTCACCGTGCAGGCTCGGCTCAAGGCGCCTGGGCTCTGTCGCCACCTGGGTTCCCTGGCAGCCTGGTTGCCATGGCACCATGGGAGCAGTTCTGGTGGAACAACAGCTCTGGGAAACCAGGGCAGGCAAGACCCGGGGCCCAGCTCCTGCCACGCGTGGAGACTCCCCTGCCCCCTTCCCCCAGCTGAGCAGAGGAGGCCATGAGGAGAAAAAGGAAGCTGCCCCGCAGGGCTGCTCTTTACCTGTGAGGATGCTGGATGGGAGGCGCCTCCCACTGTTGCTGCTCGCCCTGCCCTGCTGCTGGCCCTGCCCTCGCAACCAGGGAACCCTGGGAACTGGCTTGGCCTGGCCCGGAGTCCAGGCACCAGGGGGCAGGGGCCAGGCTGCAGGGGACAGGGCTGGGCGGATGAGGGGAGAGCTGTGTGCAGGGGTGGGCCTCACACAGCTGGGACAGGGCTGGGAGGGGGTGGCGCTTTGAAGGAGCTAGTCTGGGGTGGTGCTGGGAATCGGACTGGGAGGGAAATCACAGCGAGCACTGCGTTGGGGACAAGGCCAGGAGGGGATGGAGCTGTAAGGGGAAGAGGTCTGTGGGGAGGGGTGGAGCTGTGAGGGGGCAGAAGAAAGGGCATGAGGAGACAAGACTGGGAGGAGAGTGGTCTAGGGGAGAAGGCTGTGAGGGGTGAGGAGGACTGGGGACCAGGCAGAGCCTTGAGGGAAAGGAGTCTAAGAGGATCTTGCCGTAAAGGCAGGGGGGCTGGAAGGGAGGGGACTTGGGTGGGAGTGGGGAGACGTCCAAGAGCTAGGACTCACCGTGGCCTGTAAGTGTTGGGTCCCTATATCTGTGAGGAAGCTGGGGTGGATGGGATGGGGGGCAGGGATCTGGCTCACCCACTCTCAGTATGGCCCAGTAGGCCCCTGTCCTGTCCCCACATCCTGGCTCATCTTATCTCATCCCCACAGTGTGGAGGGTGATGCCCCAGGCAGTGACCTGAGCACAGCGGTTGATAGTCCTGGGAGCCAACCCCCCTACCGGCTGAGCCAGCTGCCCCCCTCCAGCAGCCACATGGGGGGCCCCCCTGCTGGAGTGGGCCTTCCCTGGGCTCAGCGGGCACGCCTCCAGCCAGCCAGTGTCGCCCTGAGGAAGCAGGAGGAGGAGGAGATAAAGCGCTCCAAGGCCCTATCGGACAGCTATGAACTCTCCACAGACCTGCAGGACAAGAAGGTGCAACAGAGGCATCTGGTTGGGAATGGGAGTCGGGATGCAAGAGAGCGCCAGGGGAGGGTTTGGGATGTGGCTCTTGGGGGTGGTATCAGGGAGGGATAATGAGGCTGGAATTGGAGAAGACTGGCCCAGGACCCTTCACCCCACTGGGGATGCACTCATTCACCACCCATCCACTGAGGCTTGTATTCACTCAAGAAACATTTACTGAGCTCCCTGCCCGGGTCCTGGCGATGTAAAGATGAATGAGTCCTGGATCCAGTCCCCAAAAAACTCAGTCTAACAGGAAGAACACACATCAGTTGACCTTTTCAGAAGAGTGCCATACAATAGATTGTTTGGCTAAAAAGAAAGGTGGAGGGAAAACAAAATACTACATATAGGAAAAAACTGGAAGGACATATACAAAAACATATACCCTACACCAAAAGACATATTCTAGTTATGCTTAGGTGTTTGGAATGTAGGTAATTCAACCTACCTACCTACCTTCCTTCCTTCCTTCTCTGCCTTTCTCTCTCCCTCTCTCCTTCTCCTTTCTCATTCTCTTTCTTCCTCCTTTCTTTCCTTCTTGCTCTCCATTTATTTCTACCTTGCTTTCTTTTTTTTTGGCTTCTCTGTTTGTTTCCTGTTTTCAAATAATCAATATGTTCTTCTTGCAAATAAGAAAACAAAACATAATCCAATCCCATTTGACTAGTGTTATCTGAAATTCAAGTGAGGAGACAACACTGAGCACCTAGCCTGGCGCTCTCGGTGGCTGTAAGCAGTCAGCCATGATTCCAGTGGGGGTGGTGTGGTTGAGTGCCTAGGGAGATGAGGCTGCCATGACTTTCTGACCTTGTTCCCCTCGACCCTTCTCTGCCAGGTGGAAATGCTGGAGAGGAAGTATGGGGGCTCCTTCCTGAGCCGCAGGGCTGCCAGGACCATCCAGACAGCCTTCCGCCAGTACCGCATGAACAAGAACTTTGAGCGGCTACGCAGCTCAGCCTCAGAGAGCCGCATGTCCCGCCGCATCATCCTTTCCAACATGCGGATGCAGTTCTCCTTTGAGGAGTATGAGAAGGCACAGAACCCCGCGTACTTCGAGGGCAAGCCTGCCTCGCTGGACGAGGGTGCCATGGCTGGTGCCCGGAGCCACCGGCTTGAACGGGGGCTCCCATATGGAGGCTCCTGTGGTGGGGGCATCGATGGTGGTGGAAGCTCCGTCACCACATCTGGAGAGTTTTCTAATGACATCACAGAACTTGAGGACTCCTTCTCCAAACAGGTCAGGATCCCTGAAAAGGACCTTTCTTCCCCATCCCCGTGTTCTGGCTACTCCTGCTACTTTTTACCTAGATTGCAAACTGAAAGAAGTTGCGTGACAGGCATTTAATAACAGCAAATAGCTACCATTTGAGTTGGGACTGTGAGAATAATGAGAAAGAACTGGTAAGATAGAAATTACCTTTTTTTTTTTTTTTTTTGAGACGGAGTTTCGCTCTCGACACCCAGGCTGGAGTGCAATGGCACGATCTTGGCTCACTGTAACCTCTGCCTCCTGGGTTCAAGTGATTCTCCTGTCTCACTCTCCCGAGTAGCTGGGATTGCAGGTATGTGACACCACGCCCGGCTAATTTTGTATTTTTAGTAGAGACAGGGTTTCACCATGTTGGTCAGGCTGGTCTCAAACTCCTGACCTCAGGTGATCCACCTGCCATCACCTCCGGAAGTGCTGAGATTACAGGCGTGAGCCACTGTGCCCGGCCAGAAATTACATTGTTAAAACAAGCAAGTTATAAATATGGGTGTTCCATGTCGTTCCCTTCTTGTGGGAAAAAATATGTATGGGTGTATAGAACAAATAAGAAAAAAGTTCTCACTACTTGGAACTTGATCTACTATAAAATAAAGCTTAACTCACAGGTAGTGAGCTCCTACTGTGTGCCAGTGCTGTATATGCCTCACAGCAGACCTGTGAGACAGGGATTATTATTCCCATTTAATAGAGGAGGAGACTGAGGCTAAGGACCTGGAATTGGTCCTTGTCCTCAAGGATCCCAGGGCAGTGGGAAATGGCAGACATATGTGTGCATTACTGTCTCCTGAAGTAGAGTGTGCTCTGAGCCATGAGAAAGGCTATAGTATAATGTATAGTACCTTGGGAACCCAGAGGAGGGGGAGGAAACTTTCTTCTGGGAGAACCACAGAAAACCTGTTTGAGAAAACAGCATTGGAGCTGGACCTTACCAGACAGAAAAGATTTAGCAAGTTAGAAATACTTGGGAGGGTGTTGCTTACATAGGCGTTGCATCAGCAAAAGTGTGGAGGGTGGAATTGTAATGCAGTAAAGGTAGTGGGTGATCGTTGTAGGCTTGGGGTGTGTCAACATACTTGCCCAGGTGTGAATCCCAGTTCTGCCATTTCCCAACTGTGTGGCCTTGGCAAACTGTTTAACCACACTGAAACATGATCAATAAAATGGAGAGAAAATAAAATGGAGAGAAAACCCTTTTAGAGCTGTTTGGAAGACTCGGTGCAACTATACAGGTAATATATATGAAAACACCTAGCACGTAGTAGCTGCTAAGTACGTTAGTTTTCTTCCTAAAACCAAGAAGGTACTTGGTAGAGATTGTTGAATGAATGGAAGAAGCTTTATAAGAGAAAAAGTCACCCTGCTCTAACCTCTATGATCTGGCCTTGCCATCAGCCTGGGCATGCCTCCTTGGAGCTGGTGAAGAGGTGGAGGGAAGGACAGGAGTATTGAAGGGAAGATCTATATCATTCGTCTGTTCATTCATACAACAAAGATTTAATTGAACATCTCTTCTGTGTCAAGCAATGTGTTGAGCTGAGCTAAAAAGAGAGAAACCAGGCCTGGATCCCTCCCTCAAGGGAGGAATGGGAAATAGGAGATCAGTCTGGGAAGCAGGTCTGGTCCCAGCTCTGAGTGCTATTGAAGTCTGATGGGGAAGTATATCTGTTATCTGTTGCTGTGTAACAAATTACCCCCAAATTTGGTAGCTTAAAACTGACCCAAGAGAGTGAGCCTAAACAATAAACATTTATTATTTCATACAGTTTCTGGGTGCCAGGAAGCTGGGAATGGCATGGCTGAGTGGTTCTGGTTCAGGGCCTTTCATGAGGCTGCGGTCAAGCTGTAGGGAGAGCCCGCAATATCTGAAGATTAGACTGGGGCTGGCAGTCTGCTTTCAAGCTCACCCACTTGGCTGTTGGCAGGAGGATTCAATGCCTCACCCTGTGGGCCTCTCCATAGGACTGTTCGTGATGCGGCTTTCCCCAGGTTGGGGGGTCTGAGAGAAATAGTACAAGTGACAAGCGACCAAGAGTGCTCAAGATGCAAGCTGCAGTCATTAAAAAAATTTTTTTTAATGTTTTAAATTTTTAAAAAATGTTTTGCAGTTTTTTTTTTTTTTTTTAATAAATTTTTTTTGGCCAGGTGTGGTAGCTCATGCCTGTAATCTCAGCACTTCGGGAGGCCAAGGTGGGCAGGTCACCTGAGGTCAGGAGTTTGAGACCAGCCTGTCCATCATGGCGAAACCCCGTCTCTACTAAAAATACAAAAATTAGCCAAACATGGTGGTGCGCACCTGTAATCCCTGCTACTGGGGAGGCTGAGGAAGGAGAATCGCTTGAACCTGGGAGGTGCAGGTTGCAGTGAGGTGAGATCGTGCCACTGCACTCCAGCCTGGGTGAGAGCAAGACTCTGTCTCAAACAAACAAATAAAAATTTTAGAGACAGTATCTTGCTCTGTTGCCAGGCTGGAGTGTAGTGGCGTGATCATAGCTCACTGCAGCCTCAAACTCCTGGGCTCAAGTGATCCTCCTGCCTCACTCTCCTGAGTAGCTGGGACTACAGGTGTGTGCCACCACACCCAGCTAATGTTTTTATTTTTTGTAGAGATAGAGTCTCGCCATGTTGCCCAGGCTGCTCTTGAACTCCTGGGCTCAAGGGATCCTCCCATCTTGGCCTCCCAAAGTGCTGGGATTACAGGCATGAGCCACCATGCCCAGCCTCTGCAGTCTTTTAAAACCTAATTTCAGAAGTGACATACATTCGCTTCTGCCATATGCTGTTTGTCACACAGACTAACTCTGGTACAATGTGGTACCCTAGGGTGTGAATACCAGGAGGCAGGGATCATTAGCGGCCAGTTTAGAGTCTGGATACCACAGGGAGAGAGCATTACCAGCTGTGGTCCAGATGCTCAAGGTCAAATGTTATGGATTTCCTAAGAGAATTCCCACAGAGGAAACTGGGATTTTGGTTTACTCTGGGGGATGGCAGAGGCAAGAATGTGGCTTGAATCAGGGAGGAGGTAACGTTTGGCTTGAGTCTAAATGGACACAAAGGAGGTATTGGGGTGTGAGCTGAGTGGGGAACTTGTGGGCATTAGTCTCAGCTCCTGTGAGCTCACAATGGTTCCCTGGGAGTCATTTTACAGACCACAGAGAGCCTGTCAGGGCTGGGGGAGGGGAATCCACCCTCCTTGCTGACCTACCAGGAAGACTCCCCCTTTTTCCTTACCTCCCTCCCTCATTCCCACCTTCCACCATTCTTCCCTTTATCTTTCTTTCTTTTCTCTCCCTTTCCCTCCTCTCCTCCCCCCCTTGCACAGGTAAAGTCTCTGGCTGAATCCATCGACGAAGCCCTGAACTGCCACCCGTCAGGGCCCATGTCTGAGGAGCCAGGGTCAGCCCAGCTGGAGAAGCGGGAGTCAAAGGAACAGCAAGAGGACAGCTCAGCCACATCCTTCAGTGATCTTCCCCTCTACCTGGATGACACAGTTCCCCAACAATCCCCTGAGCGACTGCCCAGCACAGAACCCCCACCCCAGGGCCGGCCCGAGTTCTGGGCGCCAGCCCCTCTCCCGCCAGTTCCTCCACCAGTGCCATCAGGAACCCGGGAAGACGGTAGCCGTGAGGAAGGCACTCGCAGGGGTCCCGGGTGCTTGGAGTGCCGGGATTTCCGGCTGCGGGCTGCCCACCTTCCCCTGCTTACCATTGAGCCTCCTAGTGACAGCTCCGTGGACCTGAGTGACCGCTCAGATCGCGGCTCTGTCCACCGCCAGCTGGTGTATGAGGCTGATGGCTGCAGCCCCCATGGGACCCTGAAGCACAAGGGGCCACCAGGCAGGGCCCCGATCCCACACCGCCACTACCCAGCCCCTGAAGGCCCAGCCCCAGCCCCACCAGGGCCCCTGCCACCAGCCCCCAACAGTGGCACTGGGCCCAGTGGTGTGGCTGGGGGTCGGAGGTTGGGGAAGTGCGAGGCAGCAGGCGAGAACTCTGATGGTGGAGATAACGAGAGCCTTGAGAGCTCCAGCAATTCCAATGAGACCATCAACTGCAGCTCCGGCTCCTCTTCTCGGGACAGTCTAAGGGAGCCTCCGGCTACCGGCCTGTGCAAGCAGACTTACCAGCGGGAGACAAGGCATAGCTGGGACTCGCCAGCTTTCAACAATGATGTGGTCCAGAGGCGGCACTACCGAATCGGCCTCAACCTCTTCAACAAGTGCGTGCTCCCCGTTCTAGCCTGCTTACCCCTTCCTACCCTGCCACATGCACTTGGGTTCCTGGGACAGAACTCCACACAGTGATCCCCGTTCTGCCATCCTTTCATTTTGTGGAATGGTATTTCTCCCCAGACATTCAGGGAAGAGGATTGGCAACAGGGTGGCAGAGTAGAGAGTCCCTTAACACACCTGGGCTCGGGTCCCAGTACTGCCCCTGGCTGGCTGTCTGATCTTGGGTGAGATGACCCCACTAAATGGATTCTGAACCTTGTCCTCCCCACCTTCCCTTTTTAGAGGGGAGGTGATATGGTGTAGAAAGAGCCCTAGTCTGGGAAACAGGAGACCTGGCCCCCTCAGTCGGCCTTTGGCTAGACTCACTGCATAGCCCTGGGCAAGGTGCATTCCTCCCCTGGGCTTCCATTTTTCCACCTACCACTAGCAGAATGTGTATGTAAGAGGTGTTGGGGGCAGGGTGGTGTGCTGGACCCTTCAGTGACTGTGACTAAGCTCTTTCTAGGTGCCTGGTCTTCTGCCAGGTGTTTAGGAGTGAGGTGGGAGTGTGACATTTGATTAGAAAATAATTGGAAAATATTAGATGTAATTGGAAAACATTAGATGTAATTGGAAGCCATTACTTGAATGCCTTACATCTTTATAGCTTATTAAACACTGCCACCTATATTTAATTCTTACAATAACTCAGCAAGGCAGGCAGTAGTGTTCCTATTTTGTAGATAAGGAACCAAGGCTTGGAGAAGCAAAAGGAATTGTCCAAAGTCATACAACTGGGAAGTGATGGATCTGAGACTCCTATGGCATCAGTCCCTTCCAAATTTTAACCTTGTGGGGTCCTAAGGTTCTGGGGTTCTGAATATGGGATAGCTGTGACCCAGATTTTGGCCCAGCTCCCTGGAAATCTAGGGGGCACCTTGTCTACAGAAACACTCAGAGAAAGTTGGTGATACCTGCCTGAGTGGGATGTGGGACGTGGAACAAAGTAACCTCTTCACTTCTTCCCTACTCTGAGGGTCTGTGACTCAGAGGGAAGGTGCTCAGCCCTCTCCTCGGTTCTTGCTGGGAATGTCAAGCCTGGCATAGAGCAGGCTCTCATTAGATACTGATTTTCTTTCAATTGTGATGTGGCTCCAGTGAAGGGGGATGTTGGGTTGAAGATACCTTGGGATTTTGAAGCTCCTTGAAATGGGCAAGTGGCTTCTTCTCCCTGGGCCTCAGTTTTCTCACTTGTGCCATGATGGGATTGGATCAAATTATGTATTTGACTTCGTTGGTCCTCTGAGGCCGGACTTAGTTGGGCCCAAAATTAGTTCAACAAATGAGACAGAGAGCACAGTTCCAGGAGGACAGTCATCTCATCTACCTCTCCTCTTTCTGCAGGAAGCCAGAGAAGGGTATCCAGTATCTGATCGAGCGGGGCTTCCTGTCAGACACACCGGTGGGAGTGGCTCACTTCATCCTGGAGCGGAAAGGCCTCAGCCGGCAGATGATAGGGGAATTCCTAGGGAACCGGCAGAAGCAGTTCAACAGAGACGTGTTGGAGTGAGGACCCCAGGATGGGGCAGGCTGGGCCAGGGATTCCTGGAAAAGGACAGCAAGAGGGAGGAAGGGGGCAGCCTGTCCCTTTAGCTCAGATAAGCTTTTCAAAACAGGATGAATAGACCTTCCTGCCCCTGTACCCTTCTGCCCCAAAGGGGTCTGATCTTGTTTGGCTCTATTCCTAAAGTCTTCTGGGTGGCCCTGGGCAAGACATGCTCATCCTGTAGCCTGTTTTGGGCCTCAGTTTTCCTGTCTCTGAAATGAGTGGCTTGATGGAAAGGACCTTTAGTGACCACGTGCCTTGCCTCAATTTTCTGAGATGGATTTGATTTCAAACATTCTGTCCTCATGTGTACTTGCTCGGGCCACAGGTCCTGAATTTGAGAGTCTATCAGTGGGGGTGTTGGTCCATTTGAGCAGGTCCAGGTGGGTCAGAGGTTTTCTGCAGAGGAATTGAAAGCGCCACACCTCCTTCTTTGCTCCTTAGCTGTGTGGTGGATGAGATGGACTTCTCCTCCATGGATCTGGATGATGCGCTCCGGAAGTTCCAGTCCCATATCCGGGTTCAGGGTGAGGCCCAGAAAGTGGAGCGACTCATCGAAGCCTTCAGGTGTGCCTACCTCCCACTCGCGAAGCTGCCCCTCCCTCCTGTGGGCATCGACGTAGTATGTGTTTATAAGTCACTTCTCTGAGCCTCATACTTTCTTCACCATAAAACAGAGATGATAAATCCTATCTTGCAAGGCAATTGTGAGGATCAGAGGTAGTGCATATAAAGTATCTAGCTCAGCCTCTGGGACATGGGCATTCGATAAGTGACAACAACATCAGCAATAACAGCTAACATTCACGGAGCACTTACTAGGTATCAGGTGCAGAGCTGAGCACTTTACATGATTATTTCACCGAATAATCACAACCACCCCATAAAGTAGGCACTTCTGTTATTATTCCCATTTTACAGATGAGAAATCAGAAGTTTAGAGAGGTTAAGTAACTTGCCCAGGCTCATACAGTGAATAAGTGGTAGAAACAGGATTTGAACTCGTATGTGTCTGAGTCCATGATCCATCCATGCCCTTAACCATTTTACTGTACTATAAATGCTTTGGAGATCAGATAGACTGGGGTCTAAATCCTGGCTCTGCCACTTTAGGGTATTTAGAAGAGAAACAGGAGTTGCTGAGAACTTGTTTCCCACAATGGGGGAAGGATTTGCTTTGCAGTCAGAAATAACTGGGTTTTCATCCTGGCTTCACCATTTACCAGCTCTATTACCTTGGGCAAGTTACCTCGCCACTTTGAGTCTTAGTCACTTCATCTGTAAAATGGGACTGCCAATAGCTACCTTGCAGGATTATGATAGGATTACGTGAAACAACGTACATAAATCCCCTGGAAGAGCTCTGTAAAAGGTAGCGATTGTGATTTTTACATGCTGGTCTAGGGGAAGCTCTGAAGAGGACAGACCCAGAGATCAAGAAAGTATTTCTTGCAGGAAAGGGTTGCTGGTGCCAGACTGGGTGGATGGTGGGTAGGCAGAGATGGCTGGTTCCTGAGTCTGGCTTTGACCCCTCCTGCCCTGCAGCCAGCGGTACTGTGTCTGTAACCCAGCCCTCGTGCGCCAGTTCCGGAACCCAGACACCATCTTCATCCTTGCTTTTGCCATCATCCTCCTCAATACCGACATGTACAGTCCCAGCGTCAAAGCTGAACGAAAGATGAAACTAGATGACTTCATCAAGAACCTGAGAGGTGACTTCCCTGTCAGCTTTTCCTGCCCTTCACCTGGAAAGGGAAAGTGGGGGGTAAGGGGAAGGATGCAGGAGATCCCATCTGTTCCTTGGAAATTAATTTGTGATGCTGTCACTTTCTGCCCTAGCTGGATGTTCCCAGGATATTCACTTATTAATTCACTCAAATCGTCATTTGCCCATTGTACTGAGCTTCTACTGTGTACCAGGTTTCTAGGTCCTGGGGTTCAAGCAGTGAACATGATAGATTAAAGTCCTGACTCTTACAAGGCTTTACTCTGATTCATTCATTCATTCATTCAGTAATTCACTTGTCCTTTCCTCGCTCCTTCTTTCCCTCTCTTATTTATGCCCATGAGGACTCATTTAATTATTTTAGGTACCTTTTCCTCTATTCATGCATTCATTTATCACTCGACCAAACAACCAGCCAGCCAGTCAACACTTAGCGCTTAGTGTGTGCCAAGCCCCATGATGGGTGCCAAGGACAATGGAGGGGAATCTGCCATACTCCCTGTTCTGAGAGAGCTCCCTGTGTGTGGGAGAGGCTGACTTGTAGCACCCAGATAACTAACATAAGACAGAAAGTGAACAGTGACATCAGAGAGGCCAAAAGTGCAGTCAGAGCTCAAAGGAGGGAGAGCCCACCTCTAGCTAGCTTCCTGGAGGAGGTAGTATTTTTATTTTAAGGTGGGTCTTGAAGGCATGGAGAAGGTGACACAATAGAGATAGAGGAGGGCTTACCTAGCAATGAGAATACCAAAGGCGCAGAGGCAGGAACATTTATTTTCTTTAGGGAACAATTGAGGGCTGGGTACGTTGGCTCACACCTGTAATCCCAGCACTTTGTGAGGCTGAGGCAGGTGGATCCCATGAGGCCAGGAGTTCCAGACCAGCCTGGCCAACATGGGGAAACCCCATCTCTACTAAAAATACAAAAATTAGCAGGCATGGTGGTGCACACCTGTAATCCCAGCCACTCAGGAGGCTGAGGCAGGAGAATTACTTGAACCTGGGAGGTAGAGGTTGCAGTGAGCTAAGATCGCACCACTGCACTCCAGCCTGAGTGACAGAGCAAGACTCTGTCTTGAAAAAAAAAAAAAAAAAAAAAGAACAATTGAGATGAGGTCATTGATGGGTTGGGAAGGTCCCAATATATGAGGTTCCAATATATGGAACCAATATATGAGGGCCTTGAATGCCAGATGAAAGGTGTCACCTTGCTCTTTTTGCTTATTCTACTGATGTCGAGCCCTGCCTATCACCAAAGAGCAGCTACTAAAAATGGTACAGATGTTAAGATTATTTAAGCAGAAAAGAAAGAGGGAAATAGAGTCAAAGAAAAAAAGCAAACTGAACACAAGACAAATTGGCTGCCCATCAGGTTTGTGCCGCTGTGGCTGCTCTGGTAAGAAAGTCAGTGCGATGTAGTATGTTCCTTTAGCACCTGTCCAAGGAGGAGATGTGACATTTCCAAGGAAGAAAACATTTTTTTTGTTTTCTGTTTTTTTATTTTATTTGTTTTTTTTTTTTTTATTTTTAGAGACAGGGTCTCACTCTCTCACCCAGGCTGGATTGCAGTGGTGCTAGCAGAGCTCACTGCAGCCTTGAACTCCTGGGCTCAAGCGATCCTCCCACCTCAGCCTCCTAAGTAGCTGGGACTATAGGCGCGTGCCACCATGCCCAACTAATTTCTAAATTTTTTGTAGAGACAGGGTCTTGCTAGGTTGCCCAGGCTGGTCTCAAACTCCTTGCCTCAACTCGGCCTCCCAAAGTGCTGGGATTACAGGTGTGAGCCTCCACGTCCTGCCCAGAAAACATTTTCTCTAGTAGAGGATTTAGAGAGAAGAGTGAGTGGGTTTCACTCAGCAATCAGAAGTGGAGAAGGATGGTGAACATGGGAGGAGGGAGTTAGATCAGAGGCCATTTGGAGCTGTCTCCTAGAATTTTGCCATCATTCATTCATCCATTCTTTTTCCCTCTCTCTCTCAATATATGTGTGTGTGTGTGTGGGTGTGTGTGTGTGTATGTGTAACTTCCCCCTCTAATTATTAAATAAATAAGCAAATAAATGAAGGTAATACATACTTTATTTCAGAAATGTTGGAAGATTCAGAAAATTAGAAAATTTCTTTTTATCACCCAAAATGTGCCCCCTAGAGGCAATCATAGTTAATGTTTTGGTGCGTTCTAATCTTTTCCCCCATGCATATGTAACTTTTTATATAGTTCAGATCATACCACACATGCAATTTATCTTACTCTTTTCCCATAATTTGCTACTGTAATTTTCTCATGCTATTGAAATGTTTTTGTAAATGTCAAGTTTTTAATAGCTGTGCATTATCTTATTAAATGGATATACTATCCTCTATTGTTAAAATTTAGGTTGTTTCAAATTGTCCCCATAAGTAACACTTAGTGAGTTTTTTTTTTTTTTTTTTGAGACAGGGTCTTGCTCTGTTGCCTAGGCTGGAGTGCAGTGGTGCAATCATGGTTCACTGCAACCTCCTCCTCCCAGGCTCAAGCTATTATCCCACTTCAGCCTCCCAAGTAGCTGGGGCCACAGGTGTGTGCCACCACACCCAGCTAATTTTTGTATTTTTTGTAGAGATGGGATTTTGCCATGTTGCCCAGGTTGGCTCTCGAATTCCTGGGCTCGAGCGATCCACCTGCCTCAGCCTCCCAAAGTGCTGGGATTATACCACGCCTGCCCTAGCATTCTTTTTTTTCTTTTTCTTTTTTTTTTTTTTGAGACAGAGTCTCAATCTTGTTGCTCAGGCTGGAGTGCAGTGGCGCGATCTTGGCTCACTACAGCCTCTGCCTCCCGGGTTCAAGCAATTCTGCCTCAGCCTCCCGAGTACCTGGGACTACAGGCACATGGTGCCATGCCTGGCTAATTTTTTGTATTTTTAGTACAGATGAGGTTTCACCATGTTGGCCAGGATGGTCTTGATCTCCTGACCTCGTGATCCACCTGCCTCGGCCTCCCAAAGTGCTGGGAGTACAGGCGTGAGCCACCATGCCCCGCCTGCACTAGCATTCTTGCACATACCTCTTGCACATATTTCTGAGTAGTTCCTTAGGGTAGATTCCTAGAAGAGAATCACTGGGTACAAACATTTAGGTTCTTGCCAAATTACCTTCCAAAAGAGTTATGTTACCATACATGCCCACTTCCCTGCACTCTTCCTAGCACTGGATTTCATTTTAAATTATTTTTGCTAATTAGGAAGGCAAACAATAGTATCTGATTGTTTTAATTACAGTGTATTCTGAGTTGTTGAGAAAAAATTCCCCACTCTGGGGAAGATAGCAACTGGCTGTTGTACTGAAGGACACCCTCCCTGCCCCAATCCTGGCTAAGGGGCCGAGGGTACCCATTGACCCTCAGTCCTGACTATCGTGGCCCGTGCCTGGGTGTGGGGGTGGTGGAGCACCCCTACCACCCAGTGCCCATAATTATGTGACATATCCCTGTGTTACTCCCTCCCCCAGGGGTTGACAATGGTGAAGACATCCCCCGAGACCTCCTGGTGGGCATCTACCAGCGCATCCAGGGGCGTGAACTGCGGACCAACGATGACCATGTGTCCCAGGTGCAGGCTGTGGAGCGCATGATTGTTGGAAAGAAACCAGTAAGTGCCTTGGGAGGCTGCAGAGGGGCCAGGGTTCAGGTCTGCCTCTGCCACTAAGTGGTAAGTCACTGCACCTCCCTGAGCCCCAGGTGCCCTTTACCTGCAATACAGAGTGGGTGATAATGCATTCCTCAGAAGGCTGTGGTGCAGAGTGAATGCATCGAGCACATTCCAAGGCCCATAGTGGGTACTATATAAATATTAGCATCCTTTTCACCTCCGGCTTTGCCTGTCCATCCTAAGTGAAGAGCCAAGCTAATGGTTAGCAGAAAACCAAAGTAAGAACACACTTTAGGCCAGGTACAATGGCTTGTGCCTGTAATCCCAGCACTTTGGGAGGCCGAGGTGGGTGGATCACCTCAGGTCAGGAGTTCCAGACCAGCCTGGCTATCATGGCAAAACCCTGTCTCTACTAAAAATACAAAAATTAGCTGCGGGCGTGATGGTGCATGCCTGGAGTTCCAGCTACTCAGGAGGCTGAGGCAGGAGAATTGCTTGAACCCGGGAGGCGGAGGTTGCAGTGAGCTGAGATCGTGCCAACGCACTCCAGCCTGGGGCCACAGAGCAAGACTCCGTCTCAAAAAAAGAAAAAAAAAAAGAAAACGCTTTAGCCAACAAACATTTGTGGATGCCTTTCCACTGAGCCCAGCATTTGCTGGGCACCAGAGTTGGTGCTGGGCATTCATAGATATGAATCAGACGTGTTCTCTATCCTTGGGGGCACTCACAGACCAGTCGGGGTGTGAAACAAAGACACATATAATACTTCTGCTTTATGGTCCAGTTTAGGAGAGGAGAAAGGAGAGAGAGACCATTTTCAGCCTGGAGAAATCAGGGAAGGCTTCTTGGAAGAGATCATTTTGGGATTGAATTTTTTTTTTTTTTTTTTTTTTTTTTTGACATGGAGTTTCACTCTGTCACTCAGGCTGGAGTGGAGTGGCATGATCTCGGCTCATTGCAACCTCTACCTCCTGGGTTCAAACGATTCTCCTGCCTCAGCCTCCTGAGTACCTGGGATTGCAGGCGCCCACCACCACACCCAGCTAATTTTTGTGTTTTTAGTAGAGACGGGGTTTCACCATGTTGGCCAGGCTGATCTCGAACTCCTGACCTCAAGTGATCCGCTCGCCTCGGCCTCCCAAAGTGCTGGGATTACAGGCGTGAGCCACTGCGCCCGGCCGGGATGGAAATTTGAAAGGGAGTTGAAATATGACCATGCAGAGCTGGGCAAGAAAGACATTCCAGACAGAAGGGCAAAGGCAAGGTAGCAGATAAGTTTAGGTCTTAGTTGCTGATACCCCTTGTGTCAGAGTGACACACATGTATGAGTGGTAAACTTCTTGCGGTTGAAAGTTAAGGTGCCAGGAGGCCTGAAGCTGATGGGCTGGCCTTGCTGACACCTGTTTCTTCATGCCTGTCTAGGTCCTGTCTCTCCCTCACCGTCGACTGGTTTGCTGCTGCCAGCTCTACGAGGTGCCAGATCCAAACCGCCCCCAGAGGCTAGGGTTGCATCAGCGGGAGGTCTTCCTCTTCAATGATCTCCTTGTGGTATGAGCACTGTGGGGGAGGAGATGGGAGGGAGAGAGTGAGCTTGACACCTAAGTCTGGTGTGAACCATATTGATGTAGGTGTGTGGTGTGTGGAGTGTGGCGGGCGAGGTGTTCTGCCATGCCATCTGCATGGTCTCAGGCAAGGCCCAGGCCTTCTCTGCCCCTCCTTTTCCTCACAGATGCATTTGGAGGTAGTAACAGACACACAGGGACAGAAAATATGAGGACCAAAGGAGATGACAGACTTACAACCTGGGAAGTGGTAGGAAATATCCCTGTCCACCTCAATAGCCCATAGGGTTGTGTGAAGAGGGGTGAACCTGCGACCCCCCAGGTCAGTCTGGAAATCTTCAGTAATCAAGATGCTTGAAGTGGGCTCGGCACTGTGGCTCACACCTATAGTCCCAGAACTTTGGGAGGCCAGGGCAGTTTGAATCACTTGAGCCCAGGAGTTTTGAGACCAGCTTGGGCAACATGTCGAAACCCTGTCTCCACAAAAAATACAAAAATTAGCCGGGCATGGTGGTGTGCACCTGTAGTCCCAGCTACTTGGGAGGCTGAGTCGGGAGGATCACTTGAGCCCAGGAGGCAGAGGTTGCAGTGTGCTGTGATCGCACCACTGCATTCCAACCTGGGCAACAGAGCCAGACCCTGCCTCAAAAATAAATAAATAAATAATAAAAACAAAATTTAAAAAAGATGCTTGGGCCAGGCACGGTGGCTCATGCCTGTAATCCCAGCACTTTGGGAGGCCGAGGTGGGTGGATCACCTGAGGTCAGGAGTTCAAGACCAGCCTGGCCAACATGGAGAAACCTCGTCTCTACTAAAAATATAAGAAATTAGCTGGGCGCAGTGGCGCATGCCTGTAGTCCCAGCTACTGGGGAGGCCAAGGCAGGAGAATCGCTTGAACCCAGGAGGCGGAGGTTGCAGTGAGCTGAGATCGCTCCATTGCACTCCAGCCTGGGCGACAAGTGAAACTCTGTCTCAAAAAAAAAAAAAAAAAAAGATGCTTGAAGTGATTCTTCAAACTGAGCTCATTACAAGTAGAGATGTTTGTCTTTTAGGGATGGGACTCTTAGGACTTTGCAGGTTGGAAGGGACTTTCAGGGTCCAGCTTCCTAGATGGCCCACTGGATGTATGACTGCAGGGACAGAAAGCCGCCTTCCTCTAAGGCAGCCAGTTGCCTTGTTAGGCAGCTCTGACTGCTAGAATTTGTCTCCCTGTGGGTTTCTTCCAGCCATCTGCACTCAACCCTTGGCATCACAAAGAACAAGTGTTGTACCTCTGCTCCAAGACAGCTCTCCAGGGATTTGAGGACTCTCTTGATCCTGTTCTCCCTGTGGTCTTCTCTCCTTTAGAGCAGGGTTTCTCAGTCTCATCACTGTTGACATTTGGGGCTGGATAATTCTTTGCGGGGACTGTCCTGTGCACTGTAGGATGTTTAGCAGCACCCTGGTCTCTACCTACTAGGTGCTAGTAGCAACCCTTCAACCAAAAATGTCTCCAGATGTTGCTCCGTGTCCTCTGGGGGCAATATCACCCCCAGTTGAGCATTGCTGCTTTAGCCGAAGTATTTCCATGCTCCCTCTGAGCCTTAGTTTCCTCCTCTGTGAAATGGAACTAACCCCTACTTCACAGGATTGTCATGAGGATGAAATGAAATAAGAGGTTATATGTGGAATCTGCCCTACCCCAGGGAGTACCTGGCCCACACAGTCAATGTGTAGACATCCCTCAGGTACTGAAACTGGTGTATGTCCAGCTCTATGCTAGGCACTGGGTATGCCAGGATGAATCAGACTTAGTCCCTGTTCTCAGGGAGCTCACAGCCCAAAGGACCTAAAAAAGTGCTTTGCGTCATTGTGCCATCCTGAAATCAAAACATTTCCTTTTACGAGCCACTTGCAGACCGCCTGAGGTGTTTGCAGCCTGTGTTAGTTGAGTCCAGAGTGCCCAAGTACTCGACAAAGATATTGGGTTGTTGAGAGGAAGACTTATTAACTCTCTACATGGGTTCAGCAGAGATTGCCATTAAGTGCAGGCTCTGGTAAGGCCTGGTGACAGAACCCGACAACCAGACTCCTGCCCTCCAGTCCAGCAGGGGGCGATCACACACTCAGAGGACTAGCATAGTGCCTGACAAGGGAAAGGCACTGAATCACCATTCTGGAGCTCAGAAAAGGGGTTTACAAATCTCTGTGGGATGTTGGAGCAGGCTTCCTGGAGGAAGCAGGATTCAGTTAGTTTCTGGAAATGTGGTAAATGTCTGTGGTGCGTGGTCATTACATCAGGAACTTGCGTTTTCTTCCATGTCTCCCATTCTGTCCCTCAAGCTTCCATTCTCCCCAGCTTGTGGGCATGTGTGTTTGTGTGTGTGTGTCTGTTAATGGGGTGGGAGGGGAGGGTGGTTACCAGAAATAGGTGCCACGTGGAAATCCCCCACCCAAAGCGCTGCCTCTTGTCTTTTTCCCACCCCTGCCAAAGGTCACCAAAATTTTCCAGAAGAAGAAGATCTTGGTGACGTACAGTTTCCGTCAGTCTTTCCCCCTCGTGGAAATGCACATGCAGCTCTTCCAGAATTCATGTGAGTCCCTTCTTGGATCCCAGCTCCTGAGAGTCTATGTCATGGCCCCCATGCTCACCCGTCATCTATACCAGCTCCAGTTTTCGGAGTCCCTTACAACCGGACTAAGGGTCTCCAAAGCACCTACTTGGTCCCAGGATGAGGGGCAGGCCAGGGTGGAGTATGACTTGGGTCTAGCCCCTGGTTAGCTCATGGTCTTGCAGAGAACCACAGTGCATGTGTTCTCTGGTGGGCCAAAGAGACGGTGATCATGCTGTGCTCTGAAGGATGAACCAGGAGGAGCTTTGTTGCGTGGTATTCCTGGCAGCAGAAGCAATGTGAGTTGAGGCAGAGGTGAGAAGGAAAGGGTTTCGAGAGAGCAGTGCATAGTTGTGTGCCTTTACATCCTGCAGTACAGGGAGTAAGAGGGCCACAGCTACCAGGAGTTTGAGGGCTTTGGGGCAAAGGGGAGCTGCTAAACATGCTCAAGCAGAGAAGAGGCATGATCAGAGTTAGACAGTAGAAAAATTATTTCATGGGCTAGGCATGGTGGCTCACACCTGTAATCCCAGCACTTTGGGAGGCCAAGGCAAGAGGATCGCTTGAGCCCAGGAATTCGAAACCAGCCTGGGCAACATAGTGAGACCCCATCTCTACTGAAAATAAAAAAAAATCTGCGCATGTGGTGCGTGCCCATGGTCCCAGCTACCCAGGAGGCTGAGGCAGAAGGATCACTTGAGCCCAGGAGTTCAAGGCTGCAGTGAGCCATGATGGCACCACTGCACTCCAGCCTGGGTGACAGAGAGATGTTGTCTCAGAAAAAAAAGAGCAGAAAAGAAAAATTATTTTATGTATGAGCCACCTTGCACCAGTCCCAACAGAGGTGCCCAGTCTCCCCTTTCTCCACAGATTACCAGTTTGGGATCAAGTTGCTGTCTGCAGTACCTGGTGGGGAGCGAAAAGTCCTCATCATCTTCAATGCCCCCAGCCTCCAGGACCGGCTGCGCTTTACATCCGACCTGCGCGAGTCCATTGCGGAGGTGCAGGAGATGGAGAAATACCGTGTGGAGTGTGAGTAGCCCAGCCATGTCTCCTCCCTGCTCTCCTGAAACAGTACCCTGCAGAAACCAAGAATCCTATCCTCAGAGAATCTCAGAGTTGAGGGTTAGCTTGTCCAACCTTCCCATCCTCATTTCAAGAATTCTTCAGCCTCTGCTTGAATACCTTCAGTGACAAGGGGCTCATTACCTCCCAACCCCATTATTATCCTGAACTCTAATTATGAGCCAACTATTCCTTCTAGTGAAAGGTATCAGGGAGAAGAATCAGAGTATTGGAGGTAGGACTATAGTTTTAGATCCCAGGTATACTACTCATTATCTGGGTGAACTGCAGCAAATTGCCTAACCTGCCAAGCCCCAGTTTCTTCCTATACGAAATTGGGGTAATGAAGTCTCCTTCACAGAGTCATGGAGATGAAATGAGACAAGGTAGCCGAAATGTCCCAACACATCTTAGGCATTCAAAAAATCCGTATTTCCTGTCCCACCCTCTCTCCTCCTCTGCCCACATATCAATTCCTGAGCTGAATCCCAGTGGGCTATCCTCTCAGCCCCCAGGGGCCACACCAAGTCATTTTGATCATATATATATAATGGAAAATAGTGATTACATCTCATTCCTCCCGATGCCCTCCAAGTTTTCTCTTCTCCAGGCTAAGCAGTCACAGTTAAGTAACATGGTGTTAAGGAGAAAGAGGCAGGCAGACAGAGACGAGGCGGCGGACAGCTCCTTGGTGAGGCCTTCACAGCTCCAGGGCCACTCTACTTCTCAGCGAGGCAGGGATAGAAATTTCAGTTCACCAGATCCTTTGAGACCCTGGGGAAATCCTGAGAGAGGGATTAGTAGCCCAAGACGAGGGGAGGCCAGTAGACACGTGTTTCTATGAGCTCCGTGGGGAGGTGGGGCTGTAGGAGGCCGGAAGCACCCAAGCTCTGGAATCAGGCAGACCTGCTTCCAGAATGTCGGCTCTGCCATTTCCAGCTGTATGACCCTGGGCAAGCTCTAAGACTTCTCGGATACTCAGTTTCTTCCTCTGCACAATGTGGATGCTAATACTGACCTCAGAACTGTTGTGAGGACTGAGAGAGATCAAGTATGTGTAGCGCCCAGCATACTGCCTGGCACATAATAAGAGGATTTGATTCCTGTCAGTTTCCTGCTCCTGCCCTTCCAGGAGCCCCTCTGCTCCGGAGCAAGGTATCTGAGAACTGACTGAACTCTGGAAAGATTGCCCTTTGCCATAGGCTAGAAGGGCCTTACCATCCTTACTGTGAACCATCTGCCATGAAGCTCTTTTTTGAAGGGCAGGGGTGCTTTGGGAGACCTGATTGCAAGAGGGCATGGGAGGGGAGAAGTCAGAAGGGTGAAAGGAAGGGAAAGGGAACAGGGAGAGCAGGCACCAAGAGGGATGAAGGGAAGGCTGAGCAGGAAGGGAGGGTGCAAGACAGGAGCTGGGCACTAAGGGTGCTTCGGTGATGGAGCTGCAGTTTTGGGGGAGACAAGGGCTGGTCGTCCAAGGGGCAAAACACGAAGCCTGGGGACAGAGGGAGGGAGGAGGGAGGAGGAAGGAGAATGGCCCATGGAGGGCTAGGGTCAGTCAGATGGGCTCTCACTCCTGTTCCTGACCTTTGCTCCCTGTCTCCCCGACTGCCACCCAGCGGAGCTGGAGAAGCAGAAAGGTATGATGCGGCCTAACGCCTCACAGCCTGGAGGGGCCAAGGACTCAGTGAATGGGACGATGGCCCGCAGTAGCCTGGAGGACACTTACGGGGCAGGCGATGGGCTCAAACGGGGCGCACTCAGCAGTTCCCTGCGAGACCTCTCTGATGCAGGTAAGCCCTCTGGGCCCCTGCCCTGGCTGGGGAGACACGGGACCGGGTGTCCTCTTTGCCTCCTGTCACTGGCCGCCAGCCTTCCCTCCACCTGCCACACATGCACGCACCCTGCCTTCACCCAGAGCCCTGGGCGCTGCGCCACAGGGGGCCTGGGAGCCAGGTCAGAGCAGGGGGAGCCCAGCTTTTGGGCCAGGGAGTGTGAAGTGGGGCCACAGTCTTGGTCCCTCTCTCTCGCTGCTCCCCCTCTCCTCCTCTTCTCCCTCTTCTGTCTCTCCTGTACCTCCACTCCTCCTTCTCCATCTTTTCCTCCTCTTTCTCCTCCTTCTCCACCTCTCCTCCTCCCCGCCTCCCCCTCTTCAATGGGGGAAAGGGATAATGGGGTGTCTGTCCCCGGGAGGGGCCCAGTCCTGGTGCCCAGCTCTGGAGCCCAGCAGGGTAGGGGGGGGGTTGCTGCTCTGACGCTGGGCTCCTTGCTTGTGGGTGCAGGGAAGCGGGGGCGGCGTAACAGCGTGGGATCGCTGGACAGCACCATCGAAGTAAGTGCCAGCTCCTGCCCCACTCGTCCTCTGCATGAGCCCTGCCCCGGCCATGGAGACCCAGAGGAGGAGGGGACCTGTTGCTCCCCCTCTTCCCTGCTGGGAACCATGCGGCTGCCTCTCCCAGCCAACCACTCTCTCCATCTGTCCTCAACTCTGTCTGTCCTCATTCTGCCTGTCTCTCAGTCTGTCTTCCACTCTCCCGTGCCCCCTCTCAACCCCAGGGCCGACGGCGAGTAGGGATGCCCTTGGAGTTGGGCCACGAGAAGCTCTTACCTCCAAGTCCTGCTCTTTGACCCTGGGCGAGTCACTCTGCCTCTCTGGGCCTAACCTTTTCCCTGCCTGCAAAATGGGGATGAGGAGGAGGTACTGCTAATTTCTCCTCTCCCAGCTGAGGCTCAGCTGAGATAGTGGATGTGACAGCCGAGCTTTGCAAGCTGGGGAGCTCCACATACGCGTACCGGACTGTGATTTGGTTTTTATTACAACTTGGGGTTTGCTGTCTCCCCAGCTCCAGCCCTCAGGGACAGGGGTGGAATTTAGGGCTGGGGGTTTAGGGCATCTAGCCTGGCCTGACTTCCCCCCTCCCCGCTTCCAGGGGTCTGTTATTAGCAGTCCACGCCCTCACCAGAGGATGCCACCTCCGCCCCCACCCCCGCCGCCAGAGGAGTACAAGAGCCAGAGGCCCGTCTCCAACTCCTCATCCTTCCTGGGCTCCCTATTTGGAAGCAAGCGGGGCAAGGGGCCCTTCCAGATGCCACCACCGCCAACAGGCCAGGCCTCTGCCTCCTCTTCATCTGCTTCTTCCACGCACCACCACCACCACCACCACCATCATGGCCATAGCCACGGTGGCCTGGGGGTGCTGCCTGATGGGCAGTCCAAGCTCCAGGCCCTGCATGCCCAGTATTGCCAAGGACCGGGCCCTGCCCCGCCACCCTACCTCCCACCCCAGCAGCCCTCTCTTCCCCCACCTCCCCAGCAGCCCCCACCCTTGCCCCAGCTGGGCTCCATTCCACCGCCTCCCGCCTCAGCCCCACCTGTGGGGCCACATCGCCACTTCCACGCCCATGGCCCAGTCCCAGGGCCCCAACACTATACCTTGGGCCGGCCAGGCAGGGCACCCAGACGGGGGGCTGGAGGACACCCTCAGTTTGCTCCACATGGCCGCCACCCCCTGCACCAGCCCACATCCCCACTGCCCCTGTACAGTCCTGCCCCCCAGCACCCTCCAGCCCACAAACAGGGCCCTAAGCACTTCATCTTCAGCCACCACCCACAGATGATGCCAGCAGCAGGCGCGGCTGGGGGCCCTGGATCCCGGCCACCAGGGGGCTCCTACTCCCACCCCCACCACCCCCAGTCACCATTGTCACCACACTCACCCATCCCACCCCACCCCTCCTATCCACCCCTCCCCCCACCCTCCCCTCACACCCCGCACTCACCCCTTCCACCCACCTCCCCCCATGGCCCGCTGCACGCCTCTGGGCCCCCTGGCACAGCCAACCCCCCCAGTGCAAACCCCAAGGCCAAGCCAAGCCGGATCAGCACCGTGGTCTGATGAATGGAGAGAGTGAGCTGGGGAACAGGAAAGTCTGGGGAGCCACAGGAGAGGGACCTTGCACCCTCTTTGCTTCCTCGGTTTTTTCAAAAATATATATACACATAGCAATGTCCTCCTCCCCATGTCCTCCCTGCCTTGGGACCCGTCCTCTCACCCCCAGCAGTTGCCATGGGGTTTCCTTCCAGATTCGAGGATCCTTGCCACTTGAAGCCTGGACTCAGGGTGCTCCAGCGCTGGGGAGTGGTGAGGGCCTTCCAGAGATCCTCGTACTCTTTCTCCCGTCTTCTTCTTCCCCACTTTTCCCTGGAGGTCTAGCTCTGTGGCCTCAGACCTCTGGGCCTGTGTGAGCTCTCTGTGAGCTCTGGCTGGCGGAGAAGGGCAGGTGTCCGGAGCTGTCGGGGTGAAGGCTTCCCTGGGGCTCCTCTGGCCGTGTGGGGCTAGGAGAGCGCTCTGTAGAGTTGTGGCCAAACTTCAGCTGGCTTGGCCCTCTCTCTGACCTCAGGGCCTGGCCACACACTTCCATGTGTCTTTTTGCCTGCTGGAGGACACGGACCATTGATGCACTTGGTGGGTGGGACCCTGCTTGTGTTGGCCCCACGTGGGGCAGTGCTTCCTCTCTCGAGCCAGTCTATGCCCTTTCTCCAGTAGGCCCCAGCCCAGACCTCTTCGGCTTCAGGAACTTGCCTCGCCCTGCAACGTTCTTATCCTGATCAAAGTCCAGACAGGTTTTGGGGGGGGCTCAGGTCTGGGATGAGAAGGGCACTGCCCTCCCTCACCCATATTGCATGCCCCCCCGCCATTCCCTTACACCTACCCCACCTACAACTGAAGACAATGCACTTTACAGATATCACCCACACACACCTCGCTGGGGCAGGGGCACCCAGCATCAGCCCTGGGGAGAGAGGCTCCCAAAGGGCCACCATGAGCCCAAGATATCCTTCCTGAGGCAGAGATTGAAGCCATCAGAGCTGGGGTTGGGAGCCAGAATGCCTGAGTCCTTCTGTCCGTCAGAATCTCCGCTGCCTCTCCAGCCCTTTTGCAGCCCTGTTTATTTATTATAAATATATTTTTTACAAGCCCCAGCTCCTCTTCTTGCCCCGCATATCCAGCTCCTCACTCAGCTCCTGCCTCCCTCTCCCCTCTCCACCATGGGCTGCAGTATAGACAGACAGATGGACCCTGGCTGTACGAAGGGCCAGGGCCACTGGGGCTTGGGGGCGGGGGAGGGTGGCAGTGGGAGGGGCTGTATGGAGAGGAGCTGGGGTTCAGGCATTGTCTTTTTTCCTCCTTGTATATAAGAATGTATATTTGATGCCTCATAAAAGACCTTGTGCTCACCTCCTGCCTCTGCCTCCTACTTCTGCGCCCCTTCCCCACTGTGGAGCCCATGGAGAGAGGCCTTAGCCCAGGGAGGCAATGCGCTAATGGTAGAAATTCAGGCACCTGGGTGGACGAGATGCTTTGCTTGGAGGGAGGTGGGAGTGAGGGAGGTTTTCCTATCTCATTTCATACACAGTTTGTGCGACAGAGTGGCAAGAGTATGGGCTTTGGAGTTGATCCAGTTCACATCCTGGGGTTTTCACTTCCTAGGCATGTGAATTCGGGAGAGTCACCCTCTCTGAGTCTCAGTTTCCTCAGTGTAAAACTTGGGGTGATAAGCCATTGCCACATGGAGATATGATGATTCCCAGGGGTAATGGGTGCCAAGGAGCCAGGACAGAGCTGAGCAAGTTAGTTCCCTTGTCTTCGTTTCATAGGATGAATGCTTCCTTCCACTCTTGGGGCATCTCCTCTCACCCTGGATGTGGCTGGCCTGGCCTGGCCTTGGAGCTCCTCCTCATCCCCACAATGGCTGGCCACATTTCTATCCTTGAGGGTAGGGGAGTGATTTGGAAGGCACAGGGCTAGATACATTTTAAGAGTTCTGCATATACACTTAGGATGTCAGATAACAAAGAGCTGGACTCCCTTTCGTTTACAGAGAAGGGGACAGGCTGAGAGAAGGGAAGAGTCTCTCCCGAGGCCACTCAGCAAGTCAGGATGGGGTTTCCTGACTTCTAGCCCCAGGGCCCTTTCCAGTCCTCCCAAACCTCTTCCCTCCGAAACGGACGTGTTTCTAGCATCACTGATTATGTCCTGGATCTTAGCCTAGCGCAGGAGAAGTGGGGTTGAGCCATGGTTCTTGGTTAGAGTCAGCAGGGTCCCCAGAAGCAGCATTCAGTTACTGTTTTTGCTGCCTTCCTAGAATCTGGAATGGCCTCTAAAAGGGAATGGTTTGGATGGCCCCGCTCTTAGCAGCTCAGACCAATTCTTTGTTTTCTTCCTTGTATGCATGTTTAAAGGTGTCCCAGGGAAGACAACTAGCAAAAGCAGCAGCTGGGGCCACCTACGCATTTGATGCCGCCTCATGGACCAGACTTGAGGGTTTGAAGAGCTTAGACCCACAGGGTCCTGAATCAAGTCCAATCAACATTTTTTAGTTTTCTTCCCTGCTGGACCAAGCTGCACGATCATTTCCCCACCTTCAACTTGATTCTGGTTGCATTTTTCCAAAGCTCAGCTTTTAGCGCTCAAATCCTGGCTCGGTGACTTGCCTGTGCTGCATTTGGCAAGTCACCTAGCCCTTCAGAGCCTGGCCTTCCACCTGTAAGATGGGGATAACAACCTTGCAGGACAGTTAACAGATGCATGTGAAGTGCCTACCTCATGCCAGACACACAGTAAGCCACCTACAGAAACCCCTTATCTTGACATGGGAGGTGTTCCACAAGGTGGCCCAGCCAATCTCTGTGGTCCTAACTCTCATTCCTCACCCACACATTGGCCATCCACTTACTATTCCCCAAAAATGCCTCTGTGTACTTTCCAAACTCAGCATTTTACTTGTGGCTTTCCCCCCTGCCACAATACTCCCCCCAACATCCCTGATGAAGGTTTTCCCAACCCTTGCAAGATGGGCTTGAAGAACCCATCCTTCACAAAATGTGCCCTTCATCACATACTCTGAGATCCTTCCCCACCAGGCCTTAAGTGGCTTGGGAGTGACACTGGTCTGAATCATCTCCATCCAGAACATTGCCCCATATAGTGCCTGGCACAGCACAGATGGCACTAAAATTTTGTTGATCAAATGAATGAATGAATGAATGGTTCTAAGTCTCAGAGTTAGATATCTTTGCATTGGTTGATTTATTGATTGATGCAACCTGTGTACCAAGTTTCCGGGCCCCTCTGGGAGCTCCTCATGCTTCCTTCAACTGTTTCCTACGTTCTTCTCCTCCAGTCCTCATTGCAGTCCCAGCGCTGGGCTGTCCATGCTCCTCACTCCCTCCACCCCTCCAGAAATGCACTGTCCAGACTGTGGAGGGGGTAGTTCATCTCCTCACCTCCCCATTTCTCTGAGGACCCAAAGACAGCAAGCCCACTGACTATTCTTACATCAAAGGTGCTGCTGCCAATCCCTCTGGGGATGCAGATGGGGACAGACAACACATAACAAAGAACAGAACTGCTTGAACCCGAGAGGCGGAGGTTGCAGTGAGCTGAGCGAGCTCGCGCCACTGCACTCCAGCCTGGGTGACAGAGCAAGACTCTGTCTCAAAAACAAACAAACAAACAAAAACAAAGGACAAAGGTCCTAGCATCTCAGAGTTCTTATGTTTGTTCTCTAGTGCTGTCCAATAGGTCTGTCTGTGATAAGCAAAATGTCCCATACCTGTGCTGTTCAGTACGGTAACCACTAGCCACATGTGGCTACTGAGCACTCGAAACATGGCTAGTGCAACTAAGGAACTGCACTTTTCATTTTATTCAATGTAAATGTAAATAAATAAGCACATGTGGGTAAGTAGCTGCCACGTCAGACAGTGTAGGATAAGAGTTTCAGGAGTGGACAGAGCCTGGTGGGGATAATGTGAAGATGATAAAATAAGTGCAGGCCCAGAAGGAAGCCCTGGGTATGTGGGAACACAGAGGAGGGGAAAACCCAACTTGGGGTGTGTGGGTGGGGTCAGGCACCATTTTCTGGAGCCGCTCCTTTTAGTGGAGTAGTCTTGAAGGGCGAGTAGGACTTAGCCTGATAGAGAAGGGAGGGAGGGAGCAGCGCATGAAAAGGCCTGGAGATGCGAGAGAATGCAATGTGTTAGTGGCACCGTAAGAAAGGAATGGGAGCTGGAGCTCCAGCGGTGGGCACAGCACATGGCACCGCGTGGAGACAGGCGGGTCTCCCCAGCCACTCCCTGTTACTCTGTTGCCAACAGATTTGTCACGCTGGCCTCAGCAGCAGCTAAAGTAAGACCAGATAACAAATTGGGCTATCTAGTACCTGCACTGTAAAGTTACCACTTTCCCCGTTGTAGTGGATGAGTATCTTGTGGAGACATGAATGGAAATGTTGTTACTCCTTAAATTTTACTCACTAGTTTTAGCGTTCGCTGGAACAATTATTATGGCTGAGGCTGTCAAATGGTGATTTTCAAATGCCGTCATTCTTTCAATATGTCTTTTTTTTTTCTTTTTTGAGACAGGGTCTCATCCATTGCCCAGTGCAGTGGTGCGATCATAGCTCACTGCAGCTTCGAACTCCTGGATTCAAGCGATCCTCCCACCTCAGCCTTCCATGTAGCTGGGACCACAGCCACACACCACCATGCCCAGCTAATTTAAAAATTTTTTGTAGAGATGGAGGTCTTGCTAGGTTACCCAGGCTGGTTTCAAACTCCTGGCCTCAAGCAGTCCTCCCACCTCAGCCTCCCAAAGTGTTGGGACTATAGGCATGAGCCACTGCCCCCAGCCTGGGCATGTCTTAGTTGGCTTTCCACTATAAGGGAGGGCTTTCCCTTCTACATTTATTTATTTATATCCTTATGGACTTAATGATTGTTTATTTTACTCAATGGGTTATATATAACCCATTAACATCATTCTTTATTTTGATGTTCACAGCCCCAGATTTGGCCAGTAGGAAGCCCTCTAAGCCCCTGTGTCCTGTGGCACATCTCCATCTTTTTCTGAGCCCTTCCAAGGAGCCCCGGTTCTTTTTAGTAGAGAATGACATTTAGAAACCAAGATTTGGGCACTAGGTGTTACAGCAATATTTTAAGAGCTTGCTCTTTTATTTTGCAAAGGTTTGAGCATCCATTGATGATTTCTAGCTCCATCATTCCTTCTATATAATTTAGAATTCTACTTTCCCTTTTCTCTCACTTTATTTACTTATATCAATGTGGAGTCATGGATTTTTATTTTAACCAGTGAGTTGTAATCCACTACTATCATAATTCATTTTGAATTAACATTACTTTGGATAAATCATTTTATTGTTATGTATATGTATAAGCACATACTATACATCTATATTTCTATACTAGACATCGATATTTCTCTGTCTCTGTCTAATAAACCATGAGTTCACACAGATACCTTGAGGAGGCTCTTTTAAGAGTCCAGGCTAGAGACAGTAAAAGGCTCACAGGAGGAGTGGAAGATGGCAAGGAGGAGGGGATGGATTCTAGAGCTATTTAGGAATCAGAACCAACAGCTTAAACCTACTTCAGAACTGGAAGAGATCATATTTTACAAACCAAAAAAAGTGAGACACAAAGTCAGTGTCAGCCCAGTTGATCCACAAAACATGAATGGGGTGCGTGTGGTTTTGAGCCCAGACGAGCCTTCCAGTCACTGCTCTGCACCAACTCCATGTCAGACCCTGTCTCCCGGGTGGATGGGTGAGGCCAAGCCAGCCCCCAGCCTGGAGTGAGTTTCCTGATGCATCCCAATTCTTAAGTCCCCAGCGTCTAGACTCCGGTTGTCCCCCAGCAAGACCCATGGCTTGGGGAACAAACCCATTTCCTGAATGCCTTACTACATGGGGAGCACCATCTGAGACTCTTACAGGCAGAATTGTACGGCAGTCAGACAGACCTGGGTTTGAGTTCTGGTCCTGCCACTTACTAGCCATGTGACTTGAGTAAGTTTACACTTCCCTGAGCTTCAGTTTCCTCATCTGTAGGATGGGGATAACAATACCTACTTCATAGCACCTGGCCCTTGATGAATGGCAGTCATCATTATCTCTAATCCTCCTAACAACACTGTGAGGAAGGGATTATTTAGCTTCATTATACAAAGGAGAAAATCAAGGCTCAGGAAGATGAGGTACTTGGCAGATCTCAGTGGGTGCATGTCAGCTCCAGGAAAGTAGAGACTACATCTGTCTTGGTCACCATTATATTCCCAGTGCCCAGAAAATTTGCTGGTGCATAGTAGAAATTTAATAAATATTTGTAAACGAATAAATTCTATCTCATTGGCTTCAAAGACTACATAATTTCTATTTAATCTTCTAGGACGGGTGTGTCTGGGCTAAAGGACCTCAAAGAAGGCTGTAGGAAGACTGTGCAGAGCTGAGACCCAAAATCTGGCCTCCTGATTCCTGATTCATGCTCTTTGTACTTCCTTGAGCCTCTAGATGGAAAGGCTGAACTTCCTTCGGCCTAAGATCTACCGTATTCTCCCACCTTCTAGATTCTCCTCACCCTTCTCTGGCCAGGCCTCTGCCTCCTTTTCATCTGTTTCTTCCACGCACCACCACCACTACCACCATCACGGTCACAGCCACGGTGGCCTGGGGGTGCTGCCCGATGGGCAGTCCAAGCTCCAGGCCCTGCATGCCCCATATTGCCAAGGACTGGGCCCTGCCCCACCACTCTACCTCCCACCCCAGCAGCTCCCTTTTCCCTCACCTCCTCCACTCCTGGTGAGGGCAAACGACAGGAAGAGCATTTGACCAGAGTCAGCAACTTCCTGTGTATCATTGGGCAAGTTGTTTAATCTTTCTGGAACTTGGTTCCTCATCTACAGACTGGGTAAATTCACCTACATCTTTCTGAAGACTGTTGCAAAGATTAAGGGAAATAATTGGTATGAACTAGCCATGTAGGCAATTAGATGCTTATCCATGTGAGAGGCTAGTGATATTACTGTGATTAGCATCACTTTGCCTAGTTTTCCTGCTTCCTGTCCAGACAGCTGTTCAGTTGGATCATCCACCTGTGTTTCTGGTGGAGAGGGGCTGAGGTTTCCCCTGACACCTAGAAAACTAGAAAGATGTCACTTAATATCTGTGTCACTTGGGACAAGTCTCCACACGAGCCAAGTGGGGATAAAGATCTTGAACATTCAAGGTAATATAAGGATTCAGGTGATAAAAAAAAAAATACAAAAGCACTAGCACAGTGTCTGACACAAAGGAGATTCTTAATGAGTTTTGGCATATTGGTTGTTGACTCTCAGAAATAAAAATAACAGCTACCAGATACTGAGGGCCTGCTATGTGCCAAGTACACAACAATTCTGCAAGGTATGTATTATCCCCATTTCAGTTACAGAAGTTGGGACTTGTTCAAGGTTACAAACTAGAAAATGGCAGAGCTGGTGGGACTGCAAGGCATGACTCTTTTGAGCCCAGGGCATGAGCTCCTTCCTACCTGTGTGCCCTGTTCCCTCAGCCAGGATGTCCTTAGCTCAGTCCTGAAGTAGGCAGGATGGACCTAATTGGCACAGTATCTGATTAGGAACAGTTAACTGCACGAAGGTATGACACTCCCTATCTGCCTCGAGCTTACAGTGGATGTTTAATATGTTAAACAGGAAATGTTTGCAAAAAGTATTCATATTTTTCAGTCAATATATACTAAGGACATTTATTCATTTTTCTTTTGTTTACTCAACATTCATTTACTGCTTAACATGCCAAGTGCTAAGGATGTATAAGGCCACATGGTCCCTGCCCTTAAGGAATTCATAGTCTGATGGGGGAAAACAAAATTACTTAATCAGCATGTACGCAAGTACTCAAATATTTGCACAGTAGGTGTTCAAACTATATGCAGTAGGTCCACAGCTGATGAATGACACAGATGATCCTCCAATCAGTAGATGCCTGATGTATATGTACAAAGTACTGGTTTGATGATACTCATTCAAAGTACTGTAGTTGCAATGAACCTATTCAGAAACTGCTCAAGGAACATGCACACGATAGGACTAAATGTACATACAGTTGGTACCAAATGCACAGGGGCTATACACAATAAATACAATAAAAGTACACGGATGTTTGGTAAGTGCACTGTAGGCTCACAAATGGGCAAACAGGTGTTTTACACAGTTGACACTGGATAAATACGCCGTTGCTAAACATCCAATAGTTAAAGTATACATACACACAGGCTTATTTTGTAGGAGTATATGCCACAAATGTGTACATGGTAAAAGTGAATACAGAACAGTTGAAAGCGTTCATTAAAATGCTGACTCCCAGTGACTTTTGGGGGGTAAGAATCGAAACCCCATCTCTCTACCTGTAACCTTGGATGAAATAAAGATTTCCTTCCTTTACTTGGGACTCAGAATCCTAAAAATCCATAATCCCCGGGGAGTGAGCAGCTTCCTGCCTTCCTTATTTCAAAGCCCCAGAGGTGTCAGTGTCTAGAGCTGGAGCCTAGTACATCTCCCCCCATCCCGCGGGCCAGCATAAGGGGTCCTTTGCAATCAGGCTCCCAGAGCCGCCTTCCGCGGCCCATACCGTTAAGACCAGGGAGAAGGGACAGAGAACACTGGTGCGGGGCTAGCGACCTGGTTGAGGTCTGCGGGGGAGTGCCGGTTTGACTCCACCACCCACGGACACCAGCTCCTCTTCCGGTCTCCATAACGCGCATGCGCATCACTGGCCTTTAAACGTGCACCGCCGGTCCATCCGGAAAGACGATCCGGCAAACTAATTACAATCTTGTTCCTCCGCCGTTGCAATGAACTATTTTCTCTCAGTCCGGGGTGGTACTTTTGAGTAACCCCTTCCAAATAGAAACCCATACCAGCCTATTTAGCTCGGTCTCCACTATATGAAGGTTTCCTAGGGCTTGGTGTGACGCAACGTATACGAGGCTCGGAAGGACACCCCGCGGAAGGATCCGGTTTGTTGTGGTGTGGGGAGGGGAGACGCTGACAAACCAAGATGGCGGCGGCGGCGCTGAAGGCCGCGGCGTTTGGGAGGTAACTGTGGTGGCGAAGGCTGCGGTAGTGGGGAGGCAACCACACAGTTTGGAAGAAACGGAGCGGGACGAAGAGGCGGTAGCAGTAGAGTCAGCCTGAGACTCTCAGAGCACGACGGCCACACGCCCCCTTAGGCCCTCGGCGGGCGGCGGCTGCCCCGCTTAGGGCCTAGCCTCCGAGCATTGCCTCGGCTTCAAACAGCGGCGGCGCCATGAGTCCTTAAGGGCGGTCCAAGCCTCCCGATCCCTGGCCCAGACCTCGGGCCCACCATGGAGCCGGGGTCCGACGATTTCCTACCGCCACCGGAGTGCCCGGTGTTCGAGCCTAGCTGGGCCGAGTTCCGAGACCCTCTTGGCTACATCGCGAAAATCAGGCCCATCGCAGAGAAATCGGGCATTTGCAAGATCCGCCCACCCGCGGTAAGCCCCGGGGCCGGTTTTCGCCGGCGGCGAGACGGAATGAAGCAGTAGGATAGCCAGCGGCGAAGTCTGGGGCGGAGGGCAGCTCGAGGTGGGGAGAGGGGGTGGCTGGGACCGTTGTGGTTGCGGCGCGGATCGGAAAAAGGGTGTTGGGCCAGGGGTCCTCTCGTGGTGTGAGGCCCACAGGTGACCTGGAGTCAGAGATCCACCCCCACCCCGGCCCTTCAGAATCACTCCGGGTTTAAGACAGGGATTCCTAGTGGGCCGGAGGGAGTTCACAGAGAGGCACCCCGCACATCTCTTAGCCCGGGCCACCTAGGTCGAGGCTGTAAAAATAAGACGTTTCTCCAATCTGTTGTCATCACTTCCTTTAAGGCAGGCAGCATAGTATAGTATTAATAGAAAGATCGCAGTCCTGAAGGGAGACAGACTTGAGTTCAAAACTCCACTTTGAAGCTGAGCAGCTGTGTGACCTTGGGAAAGTAGAAGTAATCTCTCTGAGCCCGTGAAATGGATCCCAGAAATGGTTATTTAGAGGATTGAATTAAACTAGGTAGCGTCTGTATGTAGTACGCACTAGATAAGTGGTAATTATTGTGACTGTGAGGGTGTTTGATGTGGTCATTGGTTTATTCCTATGTAGGTTGACTCATATTTACTCATACCTTGCCAGGCCAATTCATCTATGATAATATCCTGGCCTGCTGGACCAGTCAGGAAATCAGTCTCACAGGGATTGCTCTGTCTCCCTTGAGGTGGGTTCAGGGAATTGTCCTCTTCTTTTCCTCGTTGAAGGCAATGTCAAGGCCTTTTCTGCACATCATCCCGCAGACTTGACTTCCTATGGAGATGTTTGGACCGGTCAGCTTGGTGGTGGGGTGTGAGTCCTTCTCAGAAGATTTCTACTCTCCTCTGGTCCAGGATGTAGGAGATCCCAGAGGATAGGGCACTCTTGGGCCCGCAGAACAGAATGGAGCCATGGAATTCTGTCCCTTTTGGAACATGATTGCCAGGGGTCAGCAACAAAGGCCATAGCTTTCCTCCTAGGCCTGGCTTCAGGCTAGAAGTCTCCCAAGGGCTAGGGCAAGCTGCTGCCTTGCTGATATGGTGGAAAAGTGATGATAATGTTCAGTGATCAGTTGGGATTCCAAGGGCAGAAATTGAGCTTTGCTGGAAAAGGGTGTTTTTGAGTGGGTGTCTCCTGGCTGAAATGGAATAGGAAGCTTCATTCCCACCTGAGGAGGGCACCACAGGCCTCCTTATCCAACTTGGTGCTTTCTGGTGCTCAGCCACAGATCTAGGATGGTTTCAGATAGATCCTCTAGGAGGTGTTGGGTAAGCGAATTTCTTCCTTCTTGGAGTCTGGCCACAGATTTCTGAGGTATCCTTGTCCATGGTGAGGGAGTGGCAGTGGGTAGAGGGTCAGGAAGGCTAGTGGAAGGGAGAGGCAGGAGTCCTGGGCAGCCTCAAGGAGGCACTCCCTGAAGTGGTTGGGCAAGCCTGTGGGAAAAAGAGGCATAGCTGACGTAGGGGGTAGTTGAGGCCTGAATTCCTTTTTTCTATCTTGGACTGACTTAGGCAGGCTGGCCTTGTGTAGGTGTTGTTACCCTGCTTTGGGGCATCAGGAAGGGGAAGAGTGACATGTCCCAGGTGTGCATGGCCAGCAGGAGGCCGTCCTTTTCACTGCTCAACAGTGTGCTTCTCTCTAATCCAGGATACCTGGCTCTCTGGTTTGGTTTTGTTTTTTCCTTCTCTATGGCAGCTCCTAGGCCACCTTTAGGCAGCTGGCCTTCTTCTGGTTGAAGTTTGAAGTACTCGCTCAAGTGATGCTTGGGCCCAGGGTGGGAACCTGTATATGGGTGGGTACCTGGGAATTGGAGGTTTGCTGGAGGAAGGATGGTTTGGGGCCTGAATTGCTGGGCAGGTGACTGCTACGCTTGGGAAAGATGGGTGGGAGGAGAGTGTGGGTACCCTGAGTAGACCCAGTGGAGTTTGGAAGGATCTTGCTTTCTTCATCAGGTAGCCAGCCTTTTTTTTATCACCACATCCCAGTAATACCAACATACATTTGGCATACAGTAGTCTGGAGATGAAGGCAGGCGGTTTGCAGGGCCTTCCCAGGTATCTGTTGCATCCATGGCTCCTGCCGTAGCATTCCAGGGCTGCCATTTCCTGTCAGGTGCTTGATGTTGCACTGATTGTCTAGAACTTGATTCAGCAGGAAAGAAGGGTGCCCGGAGTTTTGGGTTTGAGCACCTTTTTAGCTGGGTTACCTGTGCTGAGGGGAGTGCCCTATCCTGATGAGAGGCAAGAGGGCATGGGGAGCTTGTCTGGATTTGAGCCATACCATTTTGGCCTGCCTGTTTTTTTTTTTTTTTGTCCCTGCTTACTGAGCCCCAGATGTTTGCCACCTGCTTTGGCTGGTAGGGGCAGGGGAGTGTGGTCTGTGTATGCATGCAAAATATGAGTCCTCTAGCCCATTTTCTAAAAGTGTGTGTGCAGAAGAGGTCAACAGTTTTTCTTCTCTTTCACTGTCTCTCCCCCCCGCCCACGTGTATGCATGTATGTATGAACATTGATGTCTGGTGTAGTGCAAAGGCCTTGGATCAGAGGTCAGAAGACGTGGGTTCTTGGCCCCACCACTAACTCAGCATGTAATTTTGGAAATTTCACTTTTTTTCTCTGAGCCTCACTTTCCCCATTTATAAAATGAGAACATTGGTTTAGGTTACTTTAGGTTGATTTCACCACCCCAGCAGGAGCCAGGGCTCTGGGAAGGAGAGGTCTGCATAGGAGGTTGGAAAGGGGTGTTGGAGAGGGGGTTCTTCACAGCTGACCTTTGGGCAGGACACAGCAAGCTCCAACTTGGCAGAGCAGAGTGTCTCCCACTTTCATGATCTTTCCCTGACTTCCCTCCCCAAATCCTCCCATTCTTTGCCACCACAGTCAGGCATCCCAGCACTTACCCCCACCCCCTGGGGCTTCCTCCCCTGCCTCTTCCTGTACCAGGCAGGTGTATGAGAGAGGATCTACAGGAAGCCTTCCAGACTGGGTGAGTGATACACATACTTGCTCCCTGTTCCTTGCTCTTCCCTGCAGTGTCTATCTCAGGCCCTTTAAACTGAGAGAACAAACATTAAAGGCCCAAACCTTTACGTCCTGCCACAATCGGACCTGAGCTACCCTGCATGTGTATTGTGAGGTGTGGTCAGCCTTAGATGTCAGGTCATAACGGTGACTCCTTTGAATAACATTTTCATTTGAAAACTAGTTTTAATTTTCCATATTGGTCTGGCAAGGAAGCCAGGGCTAGAGTTCATATTCCCACCTCACAGATGAGAAAACAGGTTCAGAAAGCTAAAATCTCATAGCTAGTAAGTAGCGGATCTAGAACATGAACCCATATCTTCTGACTCTAGATCCTGTGTGCTTTCCAGTACTCCCAGGCCTGTGTGTCCTACAGCACGTGCCTAGGGGATAAGGAATTAATGTGGGTGTGGAGAAGGTTTAGGGTCAACAAAACAGAGGCTCCATCTCTTAATTTCTTGAAATCCTGGCACTGTACTGTTGGGTGGGACTCAGGAGAAGTTTCCTAGGGCATGTGCATGGGGCCTTGGGTGCAGACTTGAGGGGCTGCTAGACTCTTGTGAGTTCTGGGGGGAGGTGGGGGTGGGTGGTTGGGTAGGATGTTTGCAGGTTAAAGGGTCTGGAGTGGCTAGAGGTTTGGGAAGGTGCCAGTGGGATTCCGAGCTGCTTTTGGTGACTTCCGGTCTTACACTATGCTGAGATAACTCAAGTCCCTTTCCCCTCTCTACCCTCTCAGGACTGGCAGCCACCCTTTGCTGTGGAAGTGGACAACTTCAGGTTTACCCCCCGAATCCAGAGGCTGAATGAGCTAGAGGTGAGAAGACTAGGAGCTGGTGGTGGGGTTGGGAGAATGTATACCTGAGTTCTAATCCCACTTCCCTTATAGTTTCTCTGGCTGAGGTACTTTACCTAGCTAGGCCTTTATTCTCTCTTCTGTGAAATTGCATTACTTTAGTGTGCCCAGGGCGTGGAAGAAGCTTTAGAGCTCTAAATATAACCAAGAGCCAGGGGCATTTAGCATTTGTGATTTGATAGCCCAAAGGCTGGGGACATATATCCCTTTCTCACAAAGGTTTGCTACTTCTGAAACTCCCCTGTAAACTAGCCTACCCTAGCTGAGTCAACAAAAAGGAATTATGGAACTGGCTGATACCCCTTCTTCCTTGGCCAGCTGAATGTGGCTTCATATATCCAATTCATCCACAGCCCTGTGCTTTCTACTTTGCTTCCATGGGTGCTTGGTAAGGTGGGAGTTTGGGTAGATGGGCAGAACAACACAAGAACTGGGCTCTGTGGAGGCTGGAATGGTTAGAGACTTGGCCAGGGGTCAGGCAGGTAGGATTTTCCTTCTCCCTTTTGTTCTGTACAGGAAGTCCAGGCCCTTTTCATGGACAGGTGGGGTTTTTCCTGCTTGAGAATGCCCTGGGGTAGTGAGATTAGGTTCCCTAAAGCCAGTTCCACGTAAGATCCTGGAGTTTTCCATGGCAGCTCTAGGTTAGGCATATGTTGCCACTCCCTCCCCCATTATTATGTACCCACAAATCTTAATAGATGTCCAAGGGGTGGGGCATTAGGCCCAGGCCCAGCTGAATACTTATACCCTAAAAGTTCACTTGTGTTCTAGACCAGAGTTCCTCAGCCTCGGCACTATTAACATTTTGGGAAGCTAAGGTGGGAGGATTGCTTGAGCTCAGGAGTTCAAGACCAGTTTGGGCAACATAGCAAGACCCCATCTCAGAAAAGAAAAATATATCTTGTCAGGTTTATAGGGGTACAGCTTGGGCAAGATGTTGCCTAGCATGACACAAGGGCAGGTTTTCTGTAGAGGGAGTGCTGACTAATAAGAAGGAGCAGGGATGAGGCCAACTTCAGAAAGCTAAGGGGCTGAGGTTGAAGGAGCACTTCCTTGCCCTTTGAGAGTTCTCACAGCCAAGGAACTGTAGGTTGTTTCTTTCTACAAATAGACCTTAGTTTTTCTCAACTATGAAATGGAAAGAGCTGTCTTTGTTCCCCCTAATGGGATCAGGGCAAGGTAGTGAATGGTAATGACTATCTAGTTCTTCCAAGAACCAGGCTCTCTGACTGGAGTGAGGAGGTTGTAGACTTGGGGCCTATGGGAGTCCTTCTTGGTTACTGAGATTTCAGGGAAGCATCATACATATCTTGTTTCTAGTCTCCTTGGCCCACATTGGGTCCTGGGTTGGCCAGGTGCTAGTGCTACTCTGATATACCATCTCTTAGTTCTAGGCCATTCTGTCTATAGTTATAGCATGCACTTTCACCCTTTAGCCACCATGGAACAAGTTTGGTGGTACATAAGGAGGTGCATGTGCCTTTTTGGAGCTTGCTTTCTCTGAAACATGCCTAGAGCTTAGATATAATTCTGAAATCTGCAGAGGATCTTCACTGGTCCCCTCATTAAGTCTACCCCTCTGGGGTAAGTGGACTGTGCAGTTATTTTCCTTTTATAATTATTAGTAAAAGGAAAAAGGAGTCCACAGTGGAACTGATTTGCTCAAGGCAGCATAGCAAATCAGTAGCAGAGGGAGAGCCAAAGCTCAAATTATTTGGCACCAAAATATCTTGATGCTTGCTGTGTGTCCTAACTCCTCTGAGCCTCTGTTTCCTCATCTGTATAGGAGATGATAATACTCACATGACCTTGTCAGGGAGATTAGAGGACATATCTAAAGCTTTTGGCAGTTGTGACCCTCTCTATTGGGACCTTGGGCTTCTCTGATTGACTGGAAGGTGACAAATGAGAGAGAGGTGGCTGGGTGCAGTGGTGCAGTGGCTTGTGCCTGTGATCCCAGCTCTTTGGGAGGCCGAAGTGGATGGATTGCTTGAGCTTAGGAGTTTGAGACCAGCCTGGTAACATGGTGAAACTTCATTGCTACAAAAAATACAAAATTAGCCGGGCGTGGTGGCGTGCGCCTATAGTTCCAGCTACTCAGGAGGCTGAGGCAGGAGGATCACTTGAGCCCAGGAGGTCAAGTCTACAGTCAGCCGTGATTGCACCACTCCATTCCAGCTTGGGCGACAGAGCAAGACCGTCTCAAAAAAACAAAAACGAAAGAAATGAGAGTGAGGTGGGGCTAAGCACTGCCTAGAGTCTGGGATCCGGTTCATTGGGAGAAACCCTGGGTAGTGAAAGTGTGGAGTGCTGTATTCCTCTGTTCTCCCCTAAGACTGGACCCAAAGATAGTGGTCAGTGGGAGGGGGTGGCCAGCCTCTTTGAGCCATTTCTTCTTCAGGCCCAGACGAGAGTGAAACTGAACTACTTGGACCAGATTGCCAAATTCTGGGAAATCCAGGGCTCCTCCTTAAAGATTCCCAATGTAGAACGGCGGATCTTGGACCTCTACAGTCTCAGCAAAGTAAGAACAGGTTTTTGTCAAGCACCCCTCCCACCAAACCCCAATATCCTTGATACTCTGGGGGCCCCCTTAGTTTGGATATTAGATCTTTAGGCTGCAATGGAAGGGGCACAGCTTGGTAGCACACAAGCTGTCATCAGAACATCTTGGAATCTTTTGCTGCAATTTGAGGTTGGGATAAGGGGATAGCCCCCAGTGAAGTGAGGGACTAGAGTTGCCCTCATTGCCCTTTTGCCCTTTCTACAGGCCTACTCCCTCACATATAAATACACGTGGCACATCCATGTCTTTTCCTACTTGTTTTTTCAGATTGTGGTGGAGGAAGGTGGTTATGAAGCTATCTGCAAGGACCGTCGGTGGGCTCGGGTAGCCCAGCGCCTCAACTATCCACCAGGCAAAAATATTGGCTCCTTGCTACGCTCCCACTACGAACGCATTGTTTATCCCTATGAAATGTACCAGTCTGGAGCCAACCTTGTGGTAAGGATGTCACAGTGGGGCAGGGTGCGGCTTTACCCTTCAGCACAGATTTCCACACTTGCTCTTAATGAAACTGGTTTAGTGGACTGGAGACCTGGGAGTTGGACTCTGCTCTTTCCTAGTGATGCTTATTCTCTTTCTACACTGCTCAGGGTCAGAGGTCCTGGAGTTATCTGTACGGCTAGCTTATTTGTTATGTGACAAAGTTTTAACTGATAGAGAAATCAGAGAAGGGAGAGCTTGGGCTAGAAGGTGTGGGAAGAGATGGCGTCTGATTTAGTTGGGGAGATGGTTGGTGGAGGAAGTGACTGGAAGGGAGGAGTGATACAAGCAAAGGTACTGAGAATTCCCAAAATGTGTGCTGGTGTCAGTGCTAAAGACCAGTGGAACAGGGGCTGTTGGTGTGGGTCAGGTGAGTGGACCACAGCTTTGGATGCCATTGGGTGAGGGTAGAGGGAAGTTATTGCTTTTGCGGGCTGGAGTCCATGTCCTGACCCTTACCCCTTACCTGTCCCCAGCAGTGTAACACACGTCCATTTGATAATGAGGAGAAGGACAAGGAATACAAACCCCACAGCATCCCCCTACGACAGTCTGTGCAGCCTTCCAAGTTCAACAGCTATGGCCGGCGGGCCAAGAGACTGCAGCCTGATGTGAGTACTCCCCTTCTTCGAACTTAGAGCTTTGAGGTGGAGGGAGTCCTCTCCTTCCTTCTGGCTAAGGCTGTGTTCCCTGTTCCATTATCCCTTCTTTTGTTCTCTGAGTTCTTCTGAGCATTAGTGTGCCTCTCTCTGGCTTCACTCTTGCTTTTTTCTCCCCTCTCAGCTGAGCTGCTGAGCTGGGTCTTGATCTGTTTGTGCAACCTCTTTTGTATGTCTGCTCTTCTTGCCTGTTTTGTTCCTTTCCGGACTTACTCTGCTCATAGAAGTAGAACTCTTCTTTCTCTTTATACCTGTATCTTTTGTTTTGTTTTGTTTTGAGGCATAGGGTCTTGCTATGTCGCCCAGACTGGAGTACAGTGGCTATTCACAGGCTTGATCATAATGCACTATAATCTTGAACTCCTAGGCTTGAGTGATCCTCTCACCTCAGCCTCTGGAGTAGCTAGGACTACAGGTGTGTACCACTGTTCCCAGCTCCTTGTAGCTATGTCTTCAGGCAGAAGCTTATGTGCCAGGCATTCTTGGCACTGGGAATACAATAGAGAACAAGATGGACACTGTCCCTGGGCTCATCGAAGCATGTAATTTAGCAGATCCTATTAGACTGCCATTTGTTGGTAATGCCAAACACTGTTAGCTTTTTCATATGTATTGTCCCTAACCCCCCTCATAACTATAAGGGAGGAGGTAATATTCTCATTTTACAGTTGGGAAAACTGAGATATCCTGTCTTTTATTCCTTTCTGAGAGAGGGCCGAGGGGGCAGCTCACCTACCCTCAGTCTCCAAAAAGCAACTCTGAGTTCTTGGCTTAGCCCATCTGTGCCTCAGCCCTCAGCATGAGATCAGGTGATATGTAGTCCGAGTTACTGTTCTTTTAGGATGGGACAGTCTGCCCCAGATAGCAGTCTTGATTCATTTCCTTCTTTCCTTCCAGCCGGAACCCACAGAGGAAGACATTGAGAAGAATCCAGAGCTGAAAAAGCTACAGATCTATGGGGCAGGCCCCAAGATGATGGGCCTGGGCCTCATGGCCAAAGACAAGACTCTGCGGAAGAAAGGTAAGGCCTAACAGGCTGGGGTGGCCTCACCTGGGGAGAAAAGTCAGGGCCCTAAGTGTCCTAGACCTGTGTTTACAGCCATTTTTCTCTCTCCCAGATAAGGAGGGGCCTGAGTGTCCCCCCACAGTAGTGGTGAAGGAGGAGTTAGGTGGGGATGTGAAGGTGGAGTCAACATCGCCTAAGACCTTCCTGGAGAGCAAGGAGGAGCTGAGTCACAGCCCAGAACCCTGCACCAAGATGACCATGAGGCTACGGAGGAACCACAGCAATGCCCAGTTTGTAAGGACCCAGCCCTGACTTCTTAATGCTCTGCTTCTTGTCCCTTCAATAAGCATTCCCCTGCATGGCACTGGACCAGTTCGCATTAACCACAAAAGCGGGCCTCCATGGGCCCTGCCCTCAGGTAGCTCACTTAATTGGGGAAACAAAGCCAACTCATATGGAACAAAGAGCAAGAAAGGGTGATCAAGTGCTGTCAACATGAAGTGCTGGAAGGGTCCAGAGAAGGAGTCTCACTCTCCATTGCTTCAGGATAAAGGCTAAGCTCCTCATTACCATGCATGATCCAGTCCCTGCTGACCTCTAGCCTCATCCCCCAGCACTGCCCACCTCACTCCTCTGCTATAGCCACACTGAACTCCTTGTAGGTATGTTCATTTTTCCCCGTAAGATGCAGTATGCTCTTTCATCCCTATCCTTTGCACATGTTGTTTCTTCAGCCTGGAAGAGATTCCCCCTGTGCTCTGCCCTGTTGCCATGTTTTGTTTTGCCTTCAGGTTTCAGCCAGTTTCAGGTGTTACCTTTTCAATGAAGTCCTTTCTCAAGGCCATCCCTCCTTATCTCCAGCTGCTTTGAGTGCTTCCTTCTCTAGGCTCCCACAGTGCCCTTTATGGACCGCTATTGGCAATTTTTAATTTTTATGAACACATGTCTCTAGAGTACTGTATATACTTGGAAGGATACCATGTCTTGTCTTTGTGCTAGAGTCCAGCGTAGTTCTGAATACGGGTTTAGTAAGTGTTTATTGGATGAATAAAAATGGGAGGATTCAAGACTGGATGATAAAAGACTGCTCTTGCAGCTCTACCTGCTTATTTGGGGAGATGGTACATACGTGCAGTTGAGCTCCAGACCTAGCATGACTAGCCTATACAGGGCTGTAAATCATTCAGCCAGCAAACACAGTGGATTTCCAATGGAGAACTTTTGCTCTTCTCCCCTGGCAGATTGAGTCATATGTCTGCCGGATGTGTTCTCGAGGGGATGAGGATGACAAGCTCCTGCTGTGTGATGGCTGTGATGACAACTACCACATCTTCTGCCTGCTGCCTCCTCTGCCTGAGATCCCCAAGGGTGTCTGGCGGTGCCCAAAGTGTGTCATGGCGGTAAGGCCTCCCCACTCCACATCTGCCTCATAGGGCTTCCTTGCCTTCCTTCATCTGGCCTTATTGAGGGCAGCCTCTTAGCTCAGCCATAGTCTTAGGTTTTGGGTCTCTGTGGTGGGATTAGGCTGGGCAGAGCTTTGGGAGAAAGGAGCAGGAGATTCAGCCTTTGCTTCTGTCCTCTAAGAGCTCCCAGACCACCTGGAGAGGTAAGCATCATAATTAGACTATATGTGGTGACATATAAACAGAGGCTAAATTGTGTGTTAGAAACTCTGAGATATAGAAGTTCAGAGGAGAGGAAAATAGCTAAGGGTAATAATCAGGGAAAATGTCAGAAATGAGACTTGAAGGATAGGAATATTAAGAAAAAAATGTTCTTTCAATTTCTGAGTTTTTGTTTTGTTTTTTTTTTTCTTTTTTAGAAAGTTTGAGGCCGGGCGCGGTGGCTCACGCCTGTAATCCTAGCACTTTGGGAGGCTGAGGTGGGCGGATCGTTTGAGCCCAGAAGTTTGAGACCAGCCTGGGCAACATGGCGAAACCCCGTCTCTACCAAAAAAGATACAAAAATTAGCCAGGCATGGTGGCGCACGCCTGTTGTCCCAGCTGCTCGGGAGGCTGAGGTGGGAGGATCGCTTGAGCCCAGGAGGCGGAGGTTGCAGTGTGCCAAAATCATGCCACTGCACTCCAGCCTGGGCAACAAAATGAGACCCTGTCTTCAAAAAAAAAAAAGACATTTTGGAAAATAGGCAAATTACTTGTGTTCCCACCACCCAGTGATAACCATTGTTAATAGTTTGATATATTTTTTTCTCATCTTTTTGCTGTTACTTATATGTAACTATCTTTAACAAGTTTGAGATCTTGTTATATATTTTCATTTGTTGCTTTATAACCATTTCTCTATATTACTAAGTTTAATTAAGGTCTGGAATTTTTTTAGATGGTGTATCATGGGTATAATATTTATTTAGTTGTTTTCCTCTTGTTATATTTAGATTGAGGCAGTGCTACAGGCTTTAACTAGAGAGGTGGTTGGCTGTTCAGGACTGGGAGGTGGAGGACTAGCAGGAACAGAGGTATAGCAGGAGAGCATGCCTACTATGGGTATAGGGGCAGTAAGGAGAGCAGCTGAAGCAGCAGTAAGGGCCAAGCAGCCAGGAAGTTGGGCAGGTACATTTCATGAACTTCCTACCTTCACCCAAATTCTCGGTACTTACCTTCTACATTTCCCTCTGGATTTCTGTAGAGCAGACATTCGCCTTATCTTAGGGACTCAACTGTGGTTGTAGAGACCGGGTGTGCACATGCATACATACACACAGACAGACATACACAGATGAGGAAAAATCAGGGCAGTGCATATTGGCCTTGGTAGTGGTGGAGATTCTAGTTGGGGAGGAGTTTGGATACCAACAGTATCAAGACTGTCGACTCTACTTGACTCTCTTCTCTAAGTGGTTATAAGTCAGTGGACCAGACGGACATTTATTTTTCAAACATAAGCATGGTGTGTGTCTGATTTTGGGGTACATATTGTTCTCATCTAAAATAATGAACATAGGTACAAAATGAGGTAGACCCACATCCTATCTTCTGAGACAGTCTCAAGAACAGGATTAGTGGAGGGTTTGATACTGTAAAAGCCAGTGTCTTCATTTTCCATCTTTCTTTTTTCTTTTTCTTTTCTTGCGACAGAATCTTGCTCTGTCACCCAGGCTGGAGTGCAGTGATGCCATCTCTGCTCACTGCAACCTCTGCCTCCCGGGTTCAAGCGATTCTCCTGCCTCAGCCTCCTGAGTAGCTGGGATTACAGGCGCCTGCCACCACACCTGGCTAGTTTTTGTAGTTCTAGTAGAGACAGGGTTTCACCATGGTGGCCAGGCTGGTCTCGAACTCCTGACCTCAGGTGATCCACCCCACCTCAGCCTCCCAAAGTGCTGGGTTTACAGGCATGAGCCACCATGCCCGGCCCTGTTTTCCATCTTTCAAGGTACTGGAATATTCAATGCCATTTTCCCAGCCTTACAGTTCTAGTCTGGGCATAAAAAACCTTCTCTAAGCACCCTGCATAGAACCACATTTTAGAGGCCAGGCGTGGTGGCTCACGCCTGTAATCCCAGCACTTGGGAGGCCAAGGCGGGCGGATCACAGGGTCAGGAGTTTGAGACCAGCCTGGCCAACATGGTGAAACCCCATCTCTACTAAAAATACAAAAATTAGCTGGGCGTGGTGGCGGGCACCTGTAATCCCAGCTACTCGGGAAGCTGAGGCAGGAGAATCGCTTGAACCTGGGAGGCGGAGGTTGCAGTGAGTTGAGATTGTGACCCTGCACTCCAGTCTGGGTGACAGAGCAAGACTCCGTCTCAAAAAAAAAAAAAAAAAGAATCACATTTTAGCTAGAGAGGAAAAATGGTGGCAGAAGAACACAGGATAGCATATTAAAGTCAGAGCCATTTAGATAAAGTCCTAAAGGAAGAAAAGAGCATGAGATGACTCCCTGGAAGTTGTGAGACTGGAATTGAGTTTTGAGGAACCAATGAAAGAAAGTGGAAAAGGACATTTCAGTAGGGAGGAACTGAGCAAAAGCATGATGGGGAATGAAAAGACTAAGCCGAAGTGGTAAGAGCAAAAGGTACAGCTGTAAAGTAAGGCCTGCCTCAGGGGCCTTGAGTGCAGACCTAGGGCTCTTCTCCCTCCCTACCCCTTATATTCCAGTTCCACTTGGGAGGATTCTTCACCTCTTTGCCTCTGTTTTGGTGACATGTTCTCCTTTGGGTTTCAGGAGTGTAAGCGGCCCCCAGAAGCCTTTGGCTTTGAGCAGGCTACCCGGGAATACACTCTGCAGAGCTTTGGCGAGATGGCCGACTCCTTTAAAGCTGACTACTTCAACATGCCCGTGCATGTAGGTGATGGAGGGCTGAGGTAGTGTTGGGCTAGGATCATAGGTATTGATGCCAGATGGTCTCAGCTCACCTGGATCAGTGGGTCCAGGGTGTGATGGGCCATAGTCATCTGCTACCTGTCTTCCCCCAGATGGTGCCCACAGAACTTGTGGAGAAGGAGTTCTGGAGGCTGGTAAATAGCATTGAGGAAGATGTGACTGTTGAGTATGGAGCTGACATCCATTCCAAAGAATTTGGCAGCGGTTTCCCTGTCAGTGACAGTAAACGGCACCTAACCCCCGAAGAGGAGGTGAGTGGATGATTCATGGTTACGTGTCAGCTGTGTGAGCTTAGGCAAATCATTTAGTATCTGAAAAACTCAGTATCTCTGTAAGATGAGGATAATTATGCCTGTCTTATGTAGCCATGAGATTTAGATGAGATGAAAGAAAACAGTCTGGTACCTGGCATGTACAAACATGAGATGGGTTCTTTCGCCTCTGTGAGCCCATTTCCTTATCTTTAAAATGGGGATAATATCTACTTTGCAAATTTGTTATAAAAATTAAATGAGAAGGTATATGAGATCCTGGCTCATCCATAAGTAGTGTTCAGGGAGTGGGGTTTGTATGCACAGGAGAAAATGAGGGCCTAGTTGTGCTTCCAAGAAAGGGTACATTTTGATCCAGAGCAGGATTTTTTTAACTTGCAGGTATTTTGGTAGGTGGATATATCGGTAAACTTCGTAGAAATTGAAGTGAATACAATTGAAATTTTGTGTGTATGCTTTTTGGTGGAGAGGTAGGGAGAAAACCTATATGTTTCTTAAGATGTTTCAAAAAAGTCTCTGACCTCAAAATTAAGGTTCCCTAGGCTAAAGAAAATGACTTAAGATCTCAGTTCCTTAGCATAACCCTCATGCCCTTTTTACAAATACCTGACCTGGCAGGAGTATGCTACCAGTGGTTGGAACCTAAATGTGATGCCGGTGTTGGAACAGTCTGTACTGTGCCACATCAATGCAGATATCTCTGGCATGAAGGTGCCCTGGCTCTACGTGGGCATGGTCTTCTCAGCCTTTTGCTGGCATATTGAGGATCACTGGAGTTACTCCATTAACTACCTCCACTGGTGAGTGGGACCCTGGGGAGCCAGGGAATCAAGTCAGTGTGGGCTCCCTGCATGACCAAGGTGTGATTTACTGTGTGTGTCCCTTTTCCACTTGTGCAGGGGTGAGCCGAAGACCTGGTATGGGGTGCCCTCACTTGCAGCAGAACATTTGGAAGAAGTGATGAAGAAGCTGACACCTGAACTATTTGATAGCCAGCCTGACCTCCTGCACCAACTTGTCACCCTCATGAATCCCAACACCCTCATGTCCCATGGTGTGCCAGTGAGTACCCAGGCAACAGGGACAAGCGGCAGGAGTGATTTAGTGATGTCCTTTGTGATGGTGGTGGTGGCGGTGGTTGTCATCTGTATTCTGCCCCTGGCCTTTCTTCATTGCTGTTCTTAATTGGGCTACGGGTTTGACTAGTCTAGTAGAGACCCAAAATAATAGTGATTAGATGCACCGTATGATGGTATGCCCTCTGGGCCATGTGTTTGACGGTAACAGCTAAGGGGTGGCTTATTATCACATCTACATTCCAGCCAGTGGAAGAGGGAAGTGGGGAAGTGCAGGGCTAGACAAATCTTTTAAAGGCACACATCATTTCCATTCACCTTCTGTTAGTAAAAACTTGGTCATATGACCACATCTAGCTGCAGGGAAAACTGGGAAATGTAATTCTTATTTTGGATGGTCAAGTACCACTTAAAACTGGAGGTCATGTTGTTATGACAGAAGACAAGAATGAATATCGAGGTACAACTAGCAGCCTCTGCCATACTTTGTATACTCTTACCCTTCTCAGAGCAGTGGATAGGTCTTTTTATTTAACAGGTCAAAAGTTGAACCCAGAGTTCTGGTCTATCCTCTGTGTACTTCTTTCTTACCCTTTAAAACATTTTGCTGGGTATACAACATGGCTTACCTGTGAGAGACTTTATATTCCTGGGAATTTCTAGCATTGATTAGCATCAGCCAGTTTTCTGGTGTGGATCTTAAAACAGCCTGATCACTAGTCCTGTAAGAACAGGAATTAGTAGATCCTCTATCTCTGCTTTAAGTATTATCCGGGGCTGCTACTCTTCCCTACACCCTTCCACGCTCTTTGGCCTTGGACACATTACCACTTACTCTAATGTATGAGATAGTCAATAAATACTGAATTAATGTCTCCTTCAGATATTCCTAGATATCTGTACAGTAGGGCTTTGGACTAGGTCAGTGGTTCTCACCTGCATTTCTTTTTGCCTTCTCCTTGTTTTGGTATACTATATGCCCCATGAGTAATATTTTTTTATTATAAAATTTAGTGATATTTAACCAAGGACTTGGGATATCTAGGGAATTGGACAGAAGGAGGTGTCCTATAACAGTTCAGGCAATCTTCCTCCACTCAGGGAGTTATCCTTTTCTCTCTCTACCTCACCCCATTTAAGGATGATGATCAAGGGCTTGAGTTCTGCTGCTTTACAAGTAGACATGGGGTCTGACTTTCCTTAGACTTCTCTCTTCCTGACCCATAGCACAGCATCAGTCCTTGTCTATAATGCCATGGAAAACTGTAAAAGAGGATTCTCTTGGCCAGGCACGGTGGCTCACGCCTGTAATCCCAGCACTTTGGGAGGCCAAGGCAGTCAGATCACTTGAGGTCAGGAGTTCAAAACCAGCTTGGCCGACACGGTGAAACCCCAGTCTCTACTAAAAATACAAAAATTAGCCAGGTATGGTGGCGCACGCCTGTAATCCCAGCTACTCAGGATCAGGAGGCAGGAGAATCGCTTGAACCCGGGAGGCAGAGGTTGCAGTGAGCCGAGATTGTACCACTGCACTCCAGCCTGGGCAACATAGTGAGACCCTGTCTCAAAAAAAAAAAAAAAAAAAAAAAAAAAAGAGCCGGGTGTGGTGGCTCATGCCTGTAATCCCAGCACTTTGGGAGGCTGAGGCGGCCGGATCACCTGAGGTCAGGAGTTCGAGACCAGCCTGGCCAACATGGTGAAACCTCGTCTCTAATAAAAATACAGAATTAGCCGGGCGTGGTGGCACGTGCCTGTAGTCCCAGCTACTGGGGAGGCTGAGGCGGGAGAATCACTTGAACCCAGGAGGCGGAGGTTGCAGTGAGCCGAGATCGTGCCATTGCATTCCAGCCTGGGCAACAGGTGGAGAGACTCCATTTCAAAAAAAAAAAAAAAAAAAAAAGGATTCTCTGAAGGATTTGGGTAGCTAAGAGGCATATATATATATATGTGTGTGTGTATATATATATATATATATATATATATGTATGTGTATATATATGTATATATACATATGCAGAAGGTCATGGAGCTGTTTAGTCCTTACCGCTTTTTAAAAAACTTTATCACAGAATCCAAAATACGTGCTTTTTGCTTACACCTCCACAGCATTTCTCCTGCTCGTGGCTCATCATCTTCTCTGGCCAGCTGCTACTTTACCACCCAGCCCTCTGTCTGCCCTGCCCTTCCTATAGGTAGTTCACAGCATCTCCAGGCCCTTTGGACTTGGCAGTATCCCCTTAATTCAAGTATCTGTGATTTTTATGTTCTCATGCTGGGAGACTGCAGTTTAGCCAGCTGGAGCTCCCCCAGAGGTATCTAGCTCCCTGCCCCCATCACCCCACCTTCCCCTTTGGTGGGAGAAGGCCATTTCTTTTTATAGATATGTAATGTAAGTATTATTTTCTTTTCTTTTTTTTTTTTTTTTTTTTTTGAGACAGAGTCTCGCTCTGTCACCCAGGCTGGAGGCTGGAGTGCAGTGGCACGATCTCGGCTCACGATCTCAGCTCACTGCAACCTCCTCCTCCCGAGTTCAAGTGATTACCCGGCCTCAGCCTCCCGAGTAGGTGGGATTACAGTTGCCCGCCACCACGCCCAGCTAATTTTTGTATTTTTAGTAGAGACGGGGTTTCACCATGTTGGCCAGGATGGTCTCGAACTCCTGACCTCAGGTGATCCACCCGCCTTGGCCTCCCAAAGTGCTAGGATTACAGGCGTGAGCCACCGCGCCCGGGCCTATTTTCATTATAAAATAAACATGTCCTCTTTCCAGAAGATGGAAAACAGAAAGTTCGCCCCTATTCTCTCCACTGTAAACATCTAAGCATTGTTATGTTTCCATCTGTTATATTTTTCTATGTAAAATTTGACATAGCAATAATTAGTGTATGGTTTTTATAATCAATTTGGTAAGTTTATTGGTCTAGAACTGCACTGTCCAATTTGGTAGCCACTAGCTACATGTGGCTGTTGAGCACTTGAAATGTAGCTAGTCCTCACTGAAATGTGCCAAAAGTATAAAATGCATGTTGGCTTTCAAGACTTAGTACGAAACAAAAGAATGCAAAGTATCTCACTTAATACTTTTGTGTGCCAATTACACATAGAAATGGTAATATTGTGGATATGTTAAGTTAAATAAAATATATTTAACTTAATTTTACCTGTTTCTTTTTGCCTTTTTAATGTGGCTACTAAAGATTTTTTTTTTTTTTTTTTTTTTTGGAGAAGGAGTCTCACTCTTGTTGCCCAGGCTGGAGTGCAGTGACGTGATCTCAGCTCACTGCAACCTCCGCCTCCCGGGTTCAAGCGATTCTCCTGTCTCAGCCTCCCAAGTAGCTAGGACTACAGGCATGAGCCACTGTGCCTGGCTAATTTTTGTGTATTTTTAGTAGAGATGGGGTTTCACCATGTTGGCCAGGCTGGTCTCGAACTCCTGACCTCAGGTGATCCTCCTGCCTCGGCCTCCCAAAGTGCTGGGATTACAGGCATGAGCCACTGTGCTTGATTTTTTTTTTTTTTTTTTTTTTTTTTTTTTTGAGAAGGAATCTTGCTCTGTTGCCCTGGGTGGAGTGCAGTGGTGCGATCTCGGCTCACTGCAACCTCCATCTCCTGGGTTCAAGCGATTCTTCCGCCTTAGCCTCCCGAGTAGCTGAGATTACAGGCGTGCGCCACCACATCCAGCTAATTTTTGTATTTTTAGTAGAGACGGGGTTGTACCATGTTGGCCAGGCTGATCTTGAACTCCTGACTTCAAGTGATCTGCCCGCCTCGGTCTCTCAAACTGCTGAGATTATAAGCGTGAGACACCGTGCCCAGCAAAAGAATTTAAAAGTACCTATGTACCTAGCATATTTCTCTTGGACAGCACTGGTCTAGAATGATTTTCGCTTTGTTACTATATGAATTATAACCATTTTTTAAAGTTTTATTGCGGTATGATTTGCTACATACCGTAAAATTCACCCATTTTAAGTACACAATCCAGTAAATTTATGGAGTTGTGCTACCATCTCTACAATCCAGTTGTAGAACATTTCTACCACCCCAAAAAGATCCCTTATACCCATTTACGGTCACTCCCCTTTCCAGCCCCTAGTCCCAGTCAACCATTCATCTGTTTTCTGTCTATAGATTTGTCTTTTCTGGACAGTTCATAAAAATGGAATAATATGTGGTCATTTGTTTCTTCTCTCACTTAGCATGTTTTTGGGGTTCATCCACATTGCAGCATGTATCAGAACTTTATTCCTTTGATGGCCCAGTAATATACACCAGTTGATGAACCTTTTGAGTTGTTTTTACTTTTTGGCTATTCACAGTTGTCATTTTTAACAGCTGCAGAATGTGAGGAGAACTTTTCTAAATAACCACATAGGAAATAGTAAAGTGACATTGCCAGCATCAGGGTGCAGGGTGAGACAGAGTTATGAGCATCAAGTTCTACTCCTGGCTCTGCTACCTGAGGCTTATCTGAGACTTAGTTTTCTTGTCGATAAAATTAAGGCTGGCATAGTAAGACCCCTTCTAATTAATTAATAATAAATAAAACTAAGCCTGGGACTAGATCATTCAGTGAATGTTGCTAGAGCTCATTCTTTGTGCAAGGCCTCTCTGGTCAACACTCAGAAGGCAAATAACCCAGTGCCTGCGTTTGTGTATGCATAGCTGAGTGCTGGACAGAGGAGTAAATAAGTGGAATAAAGCATTAAAGGTGCTGCAAAAGAGCAACAAACTAGGTCATTTAGGAAGCGGGGGTTATCAGGAAAGGTTTTGTAGGAGCAGTGATCCCTGAAAGAAGAGTAAGAGTTTACCTGTCAGAGCTGTGGCTTAATCATGTGGGCATGGGGATTCCAGTGAGAGGCTCTCAGCTGAGGCATTACATGGTCAAATTTGCTATTTTTGGAAGATAGTTCTGGCAGTTAGTAATTGAGGCCAGTGCAGTAATACAGGTAAGAAAGAAATGCTGATGTTGCCTCTAAGTAGAGATAGATTTGAGAAGAAAATATGACGGAGGTGGGAGCTGATGCATGGTCCAAATAAATGTGGAGATATGTTTATGAATGGGAAGATTTGATATTGTTAGGATGTTAATTCTCCCCAAATTAATTTAGACTCCTGGCAGAGGAATCATTGGGTTGAAGGGTTCTTGATATACATTAGCAAATTTGTTTTCCAGAGAGTAGAATGTATTTATTCCCTTACCGGCACTGTACCTACTTCACTGTGTCTTCACCAAAATTGAATGTTTATCTTAAAAAGCTTTGTGAGACTTCTCAGTAAAGATGACAGATTAAGCATACACATGGCTACTTCCATTCTGTACTGAAACTCCACAAAAATTACATAAAGGGATTTTTTAACGTGAAAAAAATTACAGAGATGGAGAATACGAGAGAGGAGACAATGATAAAATTCTTGAAACTAGAAAACAGATAGATGAGAAAACTGAAACATAAGCCACTACTGAGGACATCTTGAGAACCAGCCCGATTCATACCTCAGAATCCCCCAAAGATTTGTTATCAGTGGCACCAGGCATTCTAGGGGTAAAGATGGATGGGGTGAAAATAAGGATTGGTTCATGTCTGTATAAGAAGCTGTGAGGGCCGGGTGCAGTGGCTCACGCCTGTAATCCCAGCACTTTGGGAGGCCGAGGCGGGTGGATCATGAGGTCAGGAGATTGAGACCATCCTGGCTAACACAGTGAAACCCCGTCTCTAACAAAAATACAAAAAATTAGCCGGGCATGGTGGCGGATGCCTGTAGTCCCAGCTACTCGGGAGGCTGAGGCAGGAGAATGGCATGAACCCGTGAGGCGGAGCTTACAATGAGCCGAGATCACACCACTGCACTCCAGCCTGGGCGACAGAGCGAGACACCGTCTCAAAAAAAAAAGCTGTGAGATACCCTCCCATGCTGGGCAGCTAGAAATGTCTAGTCACTCTAGTAAAAGACTGAAGATTTATTTCTGAAGAGGTTAAAACAGAGTCTCTGGTTTAAGGTCTCCTAGGTACAATTGAAGGTGGAGTTATAGGGAATGTAATTAGGATTTATCATACTGGATGCTGAGGTTCCCAGCCATCATTCTCCACTTGGCTGTTAGAACACTGGCTGCCAGGCCTTTTTTCCTACAGGCAAAAAAAAAAAAAAAAAAAAAAAAAGGATTTTCTTTGGGGAATCTGACTGGCCTGCAAGGAAAGACCTGGAGTTTCCCAAACTAAATGGCTTAGCTAGATCACCCTACAGTGAAGCTCACAGTTGACAAGCTTCATCTGTGTACTCAGAGCTTCCATTTAGCTTTTTAATCTCTTCCTCTTAAATATAAGCAGGCAGCCACAGATTAACAACTGAGAGGCCAGTGCGGTGCAGTGGCTCACGCCTGTAATCCCAGCCAAGGTGGGTGGATCACCTGAGGTCAGGAGTTTGAGACCAGCCTGGCCAACATGACAAAACCCCGTCTCTACTAAAAATACGGCATAGTGGCGTGTGCCTGTAATCCCAGCTGCTTGGAAGGCTGAGGCAGGAGAATCACTTGAACCCGGGAGGCCGAGGTTGCAGTGAGCCGAAATTGCACCACGGCACTGTAGCCTGGGCGACAAAGTGAGACTCTGCGTCAAAAAAAAAAAACAAAAAACTGAGGAAACCCTAAAAAATCCCCCAAAAAACAGAAGCAACTTGGAGATACAGAGGCTAGGCAGGGAGAAATAAACTTCAAAAGAAAGGCATATACTGTAAAAATGAATGAAGACCAGAATACTGTTTAAAAAAATAGCATACCGCAAACAAAGTTATGATAGCAAAAGTGAAAAATGTAAAAAGTGTATGTTTTCCACTTTTGAAAGATGAATAGTTGAGGAAATCTCCCAAAAAGTAGAGTAAAAAGATGGAAAAGGGTAGAAAAAATTAGGGAATTTTTCTAGGAGGTTCAATATTCAAATAGGAGTTATGAAAAGAAAATAGATGAAAACTGAGAGGATGAAATCATTAATGAAATCACTCAAGAAAATTTCCCTGAACTGGAGAACCGATTTTCCAGAGTCAATGGGCCTACCCAGTACATGAGTGAAAAGAAATTCATACCAAGATATATCCTGTAAATTTCCATGTCAAACACTGAGACCAGAAGAATCCTATAAGCTCGAGAGAGAGAGAAACAGGTTTCAAATGCTTATCAAGCATTAGAAATCAGAATGGCTTCGAACTTTTCAACAGTAACACTAGAAGATCAGAGCAGTGTGCCTTTAAAATTATTTTCTGAGTCAACAACTATGGGAGTTTTTAAAAAAAGGATTTTTGCCGGGCGCGGTGGCTCACACTTGTAATCCCAGCACTTTGGGAGGCCGAGGCGGGCGGATCACGAGGTCAGGAGATCGAGACCACGGTGAAACCCCATCTCTACTAAAAATACAAAAAATTAGCCGGGCGTGGTGGCAGGCGTCTGTAGTCCCAGCTATTCGGAGAGGCTGAGGCAGGAGAATGGCGTGAACCCGGGAGGCGGACCTTGCAGTGAGCCGAGATCGTGCCACTGCACTCCAGCCTGGGCGGCAGAGCGAGACTCCGTCTCAAAAAAAAAAAAAAAGGATTTTCATCTTAGAATTCTATATACAGTCAAGTGTGAGAGTAAGAATAGAGACTTTCTTTAAAAAAAGAAAAGTAGGTTCTTCACACCATTTCTCAGGAAACTGTTGGAGGATGTTCTTAAGCATAGCAAAGGAATAAACCAAGAAAGAGGAAGACGTGGGATCTAGGAAATAGGAGATCTGTCACAAGAGAGTGATGATCCAGGGAGGACAGCTGGTCCAGATTGGGACAGATCAGAAGGTTGCATGAGACTGCTACAGAAAGATGAAAATTGATAGGAAAAGAGATTTAAATATTGGTCAGAAAATTAGGGATATATGCATAAAAAACTGAGCAAATTGAGAAACAGGAGGCTGTTTTTAACATAGTCTAGAAGCATGTTATTTAAGGTAGTTATAATCAACGCCAAAATAATCAGAAGAGGTGGAAGTGATTGGCTGTGGGGAAGGGAGAATGGCAAGGCTGGCTGATTTTATAACAGATCTTTATAGAGCCATTTGACTCTACAAACTGCATATATAACTGATGAAAGTAAATAACTAAAAAAGCTTGTCCAGCTTGATTAAAAGTGATATTTATAATTTTTGCAAAAATTACTAAGGAAGTTGGAATATTTTGACAGATATATTTTTTAATCTCAAATCTTCCTATCATCTCAACACACATCAAAACCTTGAGAGCAGAGACCAGTGGTCCTTCCTTTCAGAGTTGGAGAGTCTGGGATTCTGTTGTCAGACTGTGTTCCCTGAGGCTTTTCTTTGTCTCCTTAATTACCTTGCACTTAAGTCAGGTCTGTATACAGGAAAATCTCTATCTCAACAGCCATGGCCTTTTGTGTTCTTCAGGTTGTCCGCACAAACCAGTGTGCAGGAGAGTTTGTCATCACCTTCCCCCGTGCTTACCACAGCGGCTTCAACCAAGGCTACAACTTTGCCGAGGCTGTCAACTTTTGCACTGCTGACTGGGTGAGTCTAGAATGTGGTGGGATGGTGGGGAGAAGCAGGAGGGTTGTAGAGAAGCTGGGGCATCATGGCCTCCAGACTTGGCCACACTCAACCTTGAACCTGCCCACAGTTGCCTGCTGGGCGCCAGTGCATTGAGCACTACCGCCGGCTCCGGAGATACTGCGTCTTCTCCCATGAGGAGCTTATCTGCAAGATGGCTGCCTGCCCAGAGAAGCTAGACCTGAACCTGGCGGCAGCTGTGCATAAGGAGATGTTCATCATGGTGCAAGAAGAGCGGCGTCTACGAAAGGCCCTGCTGGAGAAGGTGGGGAGAGTACCCCAGATCAAGCACCCTATTCTGGTGGAAGTTCGGGGAGGCAGAGGCAGCACCAAGAAGATGTAGCCTCTACTCTTGGCGTATAGTGAAAAGAACTAGATGCATCTCGATTGAAAACCACATACCATTCTCTGCTATACCCTTTACCAGCAACCTTAAGTCGATTTACTTCATTGTCAGTTTTCCCCTCTGAAAAATGGGATTATGATAATGCTTATCTTTTTGGATAGTTGATTGTATTAAAGATAATGTTTGCTTAGTGACTGACCCATGGCAGGTACTGGTATAGCAGCTATTTATCATTATTTACATGACCTAGCAAAATAGACTGGCATATGAAACCTCACTGCTGATTATCTAGGTGACTGTATCAAGTTACTTGATCTTTCATATCTCACTTTCCTACTCTAAAGTGGGAATAAATACCTAACTTGCAAGATGTAAGGTTAGAGTAAGGTGATTTATATGAAAGCCATCTCTCTAACATTGCCTTTGCAATGTTGCAGCTGCTATTATTGGTAATGTTAATACATGAAGAAACTGATTGAAATTTGGAATGTTTCTCAGGAATTGCCATTTTATTACATGCAGATGGTTTATTAACTCCAGCTAGGGCAATAATATTACCAAGCTGAAGGTGGTCCTGCTTTAATTGATTTCTTGTAAGCTTGTGTCAGTTGTGTGTGTAGCTGAGTGGAAGCTGCTACAGAGCTCTAAAGTCCACTCGTGTAGTTTCAGCCATCATCTTCAAATTTCACACTTGCCCAGTTAGGGAATTGACTTTGTGAGAGTCTTTCATAAGATTACAAAGGAGTGCTGGTTCTGTGGGATCCCTTGCTGCCTATCTAGGGTAATACTTTCTTATTTTAAAGCTCATTTATAGCTTTCCTGTGAGTGTGGGCTATAGGGAGAACTATAGCTACAGTAGTGTTGGAAGTCTGGGGCCTCTCAGTCGTGGTGTAAGTTGTTGAGTCCCTGGGCTTTTCCAGGCATCATTTTCTCACTCTGTTCAGTACTGTTATTAAATGATGGCCGTGTGGCTGTGCCAAGCTGTGGGAAGGAGCCAAAGCAAGGTGGGGAGAATAGACCTTCTCATCTTGACATTCAGAATTCTTCACACTTGGCCCTTACCTCAGAGAAGCATTCTGGACACCATAGTCTTGGAATCCTGTAAGAGATTGTATGTGTATTTAAGTATGTTTCTGGGAAGAGGACTTATAGTTTACATCCAATTCTCAGGAGTCTGTAGTCCAAAAAAACCCTAGAGACTTCATCCTTAGAATATTCTCTGGCTTTAGAGTCAAAATTAACTCAGTTTGGCAAGTTACTGACCCTGAGACTTAGTTTCTGCCTTAGTAAAATGAGATAGGCCTGTGGAATATATATTCTTATCTGAAAATTAGAGCTAATAACAGTAAATATTTGATGAACACTGAATCTAAGTGCTGAGATACTTGTCTGATTCCATAGCTGCTTTATTTTTGTTAATCCTCATAACAACCCAACAAGGATGATACTGTTTATCTCCATCTTACTAGATAATGAAACAGACCCAGAGACGTTAAATGATTTACTCATGATCACACAGCATATAAGTGGCAGAGTGGGATTTGGGCTCATAACTTATGCAGAGATTAGGTGTTAAAGTTGGTATGTAAGACAAAAACTGTTAAGAGTTGACATTTCCCATTAAAATCCCTAAAATTGCCCATTAGATATACACACTGGGTTGTCTCTCGATTACTCCAATATAGCCAGCTTTTCCTTCATTTTTGAAATGGATTGCTTTTTCTTTATCTGAGCAACAGATGAAGTCATTGGATTAGGTTTGGAAACCATATTGTTGGGAGAAAATTATTATATCTCTTTAAACCCTGAACACAAGCACATACGGTTGAATTTCTCTAAGTTATATATGTGCACAAGTATCTCCTGCCTACTAAGTGGCCAGCGTGGTGCCTGGAACACAGTGGGCTCTGAGTAACTGGAAGCCGATATTGTTCCCCAGTACACATAACTAGCCAGGCCTGTCCCTTGGCCACTTGCACTCATTGCCACCTCTCTGGTATCTTGGTCCACCACTTTCCTCACTTCTCACCCACAAGACCCTTTCTGCTGATCTGGATCTTACCTGATTTTTCTTCCTCTATAAAATTATCTGACTCAGCGCACACTGATCTTGCCCTGGTTTATCTGATTCCCCAAGCTTTGAGAGTCTAGACTTTACAAAGGGCAGGTATGCTCCCTGGGGTTTGGCCTCTTAAACCCCATGACCCTCAGCATAGATTTGAATCTAAAGTAGGGGTCGGTGGTGGCTGAGATGGAGGATTTTGCTACCTGGTTCTGGTTATATATAACGCATAGGTTAAATGCCCTTAGGGTATCACAGAGGCTGAGCGAGAGGCTTTCGAGCTGCTCCCAGATGATGAGCGCCAGTGTATCAAGTGCAAGACTACGTGTTTCCTGTCAGCCCTGGCCTGCTACGACTGCCCAGACGGCCTTGTCTGCCTTTCCCACATCAATGATCTCTGCAAGTGCTCCAGTAGCCGGCAGTACCTGCGGTGAGCATGGGCCTTTCTGGAGGAAGTGGGGCAAGAAGGAGGATGGAGAGCTGGGCCAGACATGCTCTTGCCTGCCCTCTTCCTCCAGGTATCGGTATACCTTGGATGAGCTTCCTGCCATGCTGCATAAGCTGAAGGTTCGGGCTGAGTCCTTTGACACCTGGGCCAACAAAGTGCGAGTGGCCCTGGAGGTGGAGGATGGGCGGAAGCGCAGTGAGTGATGGGGGGGATGGAGGGACTCCACAGGCAAGTTCTATTCCCTTTCTTCTGTACTCTGACCCCCTTCCTCTGCCTCTATTCAATACTGCCTACTCTTTGCTGCCCTCATTTTTCTTCCAGGCCTTGAAGAACTGAGGGCACTAGAGTCTGAAGCCCGTGAGCGGAGGTTTCCTAATAGTGAGCTGCTGCAGCAACTAAAGAACTGCCTGAGTGAGGCAGAGGCTTGCGTGTCCCGAGCTCTGGGACTGGTCAGCGGCCAGGAAGCTGGGTATGACAGCGTGAGGAGTTAGGGCACACATAAGGTGCTGAGGATCCAGCACCGAGGAAAAGTGCTGCAAGGGGTAGACTGTGAATACCATTTGGCAGAATGGACATCAGCAGGAAGCTGCCAGGCACAAGAGTGTGAGATGGCCTGGAAGGTGTTGGGGGGGACAAGGAGACCAGGCCACCTAAAAAGGAGAGGAGAGCCTCTGTGATAAGAAAGCTAGAAGTGTTTATTTTTTATCAGTACCTGGAAGTGGCCTGAGAGAGAGGCTGAGGGGTTTTGTGGGCAGGGAAGAGTTGTGGGAGGCTTACGGGTAAGAACAGGACAAAGATGTATAGACCTGATCCCTGCTAACACAGCTTTAGAGTTCACAGTAGAGGATGGATTGCAAAGTGTAGCTCTTATTACAACCCATTAGTTTCTAATTCTTTCCCCTCATAATATGAACATGCTCTATAATTTAAAACCTTCCCTCTAACCTGGGCAATTGGGGCAAATTTGAAATATGCGAGATCAAGGTGGACAGGTGTAGTGAGGAAAGGTGTTCAGTCTTAGCATAGACATGGAGGGAAGGCACTGAGTTTGGACCTGAAACCTCACATGTGATACTTCATAGCCCCCACAGGGTGGCTGGTCTACAGATGACCCTGACTGAGCTCCGGGCCTTTCTGGACCAGATGAACAACCTGCCTTGCGCCATGCACCAGATTGGGGATGTCAAGGTGAGGACGCTTGGAGTGCTGATGAGGGATCAAGGGGACCAGGGGACCTGAGCAGCAGGCCATGCTTGGCTCCTTTCAAAAGCTTAAAGTGTTCAGGCAAGACAGGACACACGTGTGAGAAAAGAACAGGTGGGAGGGGTGAGGCAAGGGTCTAGTGACTTGTCTGTTAGAAATGGGCCTTGAGGGTCAGGTGGCAAGGGTATGGGTATAGGATACAGAGTCCAGGTAAGGTTTCCTGGAGGAGGGGTAGAGGAGAAGGAGGTAACAGGGGTGCTTGTTGGGCTTGGAAAGTGGAGGGAAATTCATGAAGGTGGAGGAGGAGTGAGATGGAGAGGGCAACAGACCCCAGGGTGGTGAGCACAAGGGTTTATGTGAGGACTAATCATAGCAATTTTTAGGGCAGGGAGGTCTCTTGGTGCCCTGAGAACAGAGCCCTCTGAAAAGTTAAATAAAGCATAGATTAATAATTATTAGTTAATTAAGAATCTCTCAGGGTGGGGCCCAGGAATCTGCATTCTTAAATTCCCCAGGGCATTCTAATGAGCAGTCAGTGTTAGGAACCCCAACTGTCTTAGGGCTTGGAGAAGGAGAGCTCAGCCCATGTTAGGCTCCTTTGCCCCAAAAGCTTGGAGGGTAAGAAGATAGGTGGGACAAGGTTCCATCTGGTGGTGGAACCCCTCAGTGGGCCCAGCTGAGGAGTTTGTTCTTCATCCTGTGTCCTGGTAGGGTGTTCTGGAACAGGTGGAGGCCTACCAGGCTGAGGCTCGTGAGGCCCTGGCCTCACTGCCCTCCAGTCCAGGGCTACTGCAGTCCCTGTTGGAGAGGGGGCGGCAGCTGGGGGTGGAGGTGCCTGAGGCCCAGCAGCTCCAGCGGCAGGTGGAACAGGCGCGATGGCTGGATGAGGTGAAACGCACACTGGCCCCCTCAGCCCGAAGGGGCACCTTGGCTGTCATGCGAGGACTGTTGGTCGCGGGTGCCAGTGTAGCCCCTAGCCCTGCTGTGGATAAAGCCCAGGCCGAGCTGCAGGAACTGCTGACCATTGCTGAACGCTGGGAGGAGAAAGCCCACCTCTGCCTGGAGGCCAGGTAGGTCCAGCTGCTGCTTCCCTTCCCTGCCCTATTCCAAACATCAAAGTTGAGTGGAGACCCAGAAGAGGATGCCCATGGGTGGCCTTAGGTATCACGCTCCTGTGTTACTGTATTGACTCTCCCCTCTTTTGTTGTCTATCTTGTCGTTTTTTTAAAAAACAACTCTGTATACTTAAAGGCAAAGAGAGGCTGATGGAGAAGCAGAAATGGACAGATAGAGATTATCTAGAAGACTAGCCCTACAGGCTAATGTGCGCATACCCAGAAGCACAAGTGACAGGCAGATGGGCAGATGTTGGTAGAAAGACCCCACACAGGGCAGTTGACAAACTGCAGCAACAGATTACACAATACAGGTTGTATATGTAGGCATTGCTAGCAGGCCAGCAGACTGGCAGACAAACAGAGGTGCAAGAGCTGTGGCAGAAGGGATGAAGTTGGGTGCATGCAGTCTTGGGGAAGCAGGGACTGGCAGCTACCCTTAGGTGGAATACAAGCAAGTAGGCCCAAGTGACAGCAGGAATAACAGACACCCAAGGGGCCCATGCAGATATATCTGGTGGTCAGGCTGGGCTTCTGGTCAGGCAGACCACATCAGACTGAGCGTTCTTTTTTTCCTTACCTTTAGGCAGAAGCATCCACCAGCCACACTTGAGGCCATAATCCGTGAAGCGGAAAACATCCCTGTTCACCTGCCCAACATCCAGGCTCTCAAGGAGGCTCTTGCTAAGGCCCGGGCCTGGATTGCTGATGTTGATGAGATCCAAGTGAGGACCCTGCCACTCCCACCCCAGGCCTTCAGTCCAGCTGGGAAGAGATGGCATATACACTGGGATGTGCTGGGTTGCTGGGATGGGTTGGGTTGGCTGGAGAGAGGAAGGGGGCATGGCATGTAGTCAGGAGGCAAGATGTGCCTGATGAGCAGGGTGAGAGGAAGAGTGTGAGGCTGGCCTGAAGGAAGAGAGGGCACTGGTTAGGATGAGATTGGTGGGCCAGGGAAGCAGGTGGTATGGGACTGAGCAGGGCAGGGGCATGGAGGAGAGGAGAAGAGGCAAACCACAACAGAAGGCTGACTAGATATTTGGGGCTGAGCCAGTCAGTAGATGCCGGTGTTGTGGGAGAGAGCCAAGTGGTTGTTCCTTAGGATGACACCTATTTTTTTAATCCCTCAAGACTGAGCCCAGTTCATCTTTCCAGCTCAGGGCCAGGCACAGAGTAAGCATCAATAGCATTGGCAAGTTGAACTGAGCTGTCTCTCGCCCTTGGCCTTAGAATGGTGACCACTACCCCTGCCTGGATGACTTGGAGGGCCTAGTAGCTGTGGGCCGGGACCTACCTGTGGGGCTGGAGGAGCTGAGACAGCTAGAGCTACAGGTACTGACAGCGCACTCCTGGAGGGAGAAGGCCTCCAAGACCTTCCTCAAGAAAAATTCTTGCTACACGCTGCTGGAGGTGAGGCCTGGGACCTTGACCTACAGCGTCTCTTAACGCCTGCCCTGGCTTCTGTGAGATGGCTCATGAGATAACATGGGTTTTGTAGGGGCACCAGGGAGGGAAGGAGGCGGGGGATGTAAGGGAAGCCCAGTCATTCCCTCTCTTGTCTGCCTGCCCCAGGTTCTCTGCCCATGTGCAGATGCCGGCTCAGACAGCACCAAGCGCAGCCGGTGGATGGAGAAGGAGCTGGGGTTGTACAAATCTGACACAGAGCTGCTGGGGCTGTCTGCGCAGGACCTCAGGGACCCAGGCTCTGTGGTAAGGAGCTTCGACACAGATGGGGAGAAGGGCTTGGTGATGATAGAGTGTCTGAGCTGGGTGGCCATGAGCAGACCGCTTGTCCCCTGAGCCTCAGTTCTCCTGGTTTGGGAGTGGGGGTGTTAAGGGGGGGCCCAGAGAAGGGAAGGGGTAGGCTGCTGACCCACTTTGCTCCTGTCCTGGGTATGGCAGATCGTGGCCTTCAAGGAGGGGGAACAGAAGGAGAAGGAGGGTATCCTGCAGCTGCGTCGCACCAATTCGGCCAAGCCCAGTCCACTGGCATCATCGAGCACGGCCTCCTCTACAACCTCTATCTGTGTGTGTGGGCAGGTGCTGGCTGGGGCGGGAGCTCTGCAGTGTGACCTGTGTCAGGACTGGTTCCATGGGCGGTGTGTGTCAGTGCCTCGCCTCCTCAGCTCTCCGAGGCCCAATCCCACCTCATCCCCACTGCTGGCCTGGTGGGAATGGGACACCAAATTCCTGTGTCCACTGTGTATGCGCTCAAGGCGCCCGCGCCTGGAGACCATCCTGGCACTGCTGGTAGCCCTGCAGAGACTGCCTGTGCGGCTGCCCGAGGGCGAGGCCCTGCAGTGCCTCACAGAGAGGGCCATCAGCTGGCAAGGCCGCGCCAGGCAGGCTCTGGCCTCTGAAGATGTGACTGCTCTTTTGGGACGGCTGGCTGAGCTCCGCCAACGGCTACAGGCTGAACCTAGACCTGAGGAGCCTCCTAACTACCCTGCAGCCCCTGCTTCTGACCCCCTCAGAGAGGGCAGTGGCAAGGATATGCCTAAGGTGAGCTACTCAGCCCAGCTCTTGTCCTCAGATTCTTGTCTCCTAGCCCCTACCCCAGTTTAGGCTCGGCCCTGCCCCTTGTTCTCCAATTTTCAGTTTTCTTTGGACCAGCCTTCCTACTCCATTCTGCATCTGTCCAGATTCCTAGACTCTGCTCCCTGCTGGCAGCCTGTGTCTTCCCTCCTCCTCCAGAAGGCGGAGGGTCTCAAGTTTGGGGTTGGCGGAGGAGGAATAGGGCCTGGTTCTTCACTTCAGTTGCCCCTACCTATTCTTGCTCTCCTCCGCAGGTCCAGGGCTTACTGGAGAATGGAGACAGTGTGACCAGTCCTGAGAAGGTAGCCCCGGAGGAGGGCTCAGGTAAGAGAGGTAGGTCTAGGTGTGGTGTGGGTAGGCTGTTGACTGCACATCACCATAGTGACCCATGTAGTCCTCAGCTCTGTTGTAGTGGTGGGGATAAGACCAAGGGCAGCCTCTAATGCCGCTTGTTCCTGCAACCTCCTAGATCTGGAGCTGCTGTCCTCGCTGTTGCCACAGTTGACTGGCCCTGTGTTGGAACTGCCTGAGGCAACCCGGGCCCCCTTGGAGGAGCTCATGATGGAGGGGGACCTGCTCGAGGTGACCCTGGATGAGAACCACAGCATATGGCAGCTGCTGCAGGCTGGACAGCCCCCAGACCTGGAGAGGATCCGCACACTTCTGGAGGTGAGGAGAGGGGTCATGGGCCGGGCCAGGAGGTCAGGCCGAGTAGGGAGCCCAGGCCTGACCACTGGCCCACAACCTGTCTTTCTGCCTGTCTGTAATCACAGCTGGAGAAGGCAGAGCGTCACGGGAGTCGGGCTCGGGGCCGGGCCCTGGAGAGGCGGCGGCGGCGGAAGGTGGATCGGGGTGGGGAGGGCGATGACCCAGCCCGAGAGGAGCTAGAGCCAAAGAGGGTACGGAGCTCAGGGCCAGAGGCTGAGGAGGTCCAGGAGGAGGAAGAGCTGGAGGAGGAGACTGGGGGTGAGGGCCCCCCTGCACCCATCCCCACCACTGGCAGCCCCAGCACCCAGGAGAACCAGAATGGCTTGGAACCGGCGGAAGGGACCACTTCAGGCCCCTCGGCCCCTTTCTCCACTCTGACTCCCCGGCTGCATCTGCCCTGCCCACAGCAGCCGCCTCAGCAACAGTTGTGACAGTGGCTGAGCCTAGCACAGACCCTGACAGAGACCCCCCTCGGCCTCAAGGATCCTCTTTCTGACCATCAAGCCTGCTTCTTGGGGGGTGGGCGGGTAGGGGGGTGGCCATCCCTGCTACCCGCCCACCCCTGAGTCCCTTGACTTTTGTATTCTGACTCCAAGGTATTGTTCAGACCTCAGCTCCTGGGGGCCGGCCCCTGGAGTCTTCCCTCCCTGGTAGCCTCTAACCAGCATTCCCAGACACCTGAGGCAGATAGATGGATGGGCTGGTGGGCAGGGGGGTGGCTGGGGCTGGGCCATCACCATTCCAGAGACAAGGCCAGTGTATATGCAAACTGGGGGACTCTCCTCCCTTCTCTCCCCAGTTCTGGTCCTGGCCAGGCCATGCTACACTAACCCCTGCCCCCACTCTCCTCCCCTCTTTTCCTTCCTTCCTACCCCCTTCTCCCTCTCCCTTCCCCTGACTGTTCCACCCAGGAGGAGGAAACTTCACATAGCCGTGCTCACAGTTTTTTATTTTAAAGGAATTTGGCTGGGGAGCTGAACAGGGCTCCCTGTGATCTGAAGAAAGCTTTTGGTGCTTGTCCTCACAACCACCTCAGTCCTCCCTCCCTGTCCTCCCCTGTCTCCTTTCCTCCTCCTGGGTTCATGTTGTAATAAAAGAAGATTGTTGGTGTGTAATTAATTTGTTCAAAAGAAAAAAAAAAGCAAAACAAGAAACTTGGTTCCAACTGAAGCCTATTTTAATTTTATTTTATTATTTTCCTCTTGTTAGAAATAAAACCCTTAGAAACATTTTTTGGAAACATGTTTCTGAAGTGCATTTCTCTTAGACGGGGAAGACAGTGCTTCCATCACCAGTCAGTGGAGCAGCTGTAGTGCTGGCAGGAGCACTAGGGCTGAAGCCAGGGAGCTCTGGGTTCTGAAATCAAGTTCCACCAGCTTCTTAACCTTGGGCAAGACATTCTGATCCTCCCCCGACTCTAACCCCAAGCCACTTTCCCTCAAGTCCAAACAGATGGGCTCGGGCCCCCTCACCCAAACTCCTACACTACAACCTCCCCCAGTTGATGCCCTCCAGTTTATCCTCCTCAAGCTCCCAAAGGGATTTTTTTGTTAATGGCTTTATTGAGATATAATTTACATACTATAAAATTCACTTGTTTGAAATGTACAATTCAGTGATTTGGGGGGTTTCTAAAGTGTAGATCTGATTATATACTGCTTAAAACCTTCCATGATGCTTTATTGCCCTTAAGATTATACATAGAATCTCGTTCTTCCTAGAATGTTTTCCTGTCTAACCCATCTACTGCATAATTCCCTGATTTTTCTCCACAGGTTATGCCCCTGATGAATGGGGACTAAAGCTCAGATGTGTGGTCATTTGCAACCCCTGAGTTCACTTTTTTAAGACAGCTTATTGATATATATAATGTACATACCATACAGTCACCCACTTAAAAGTATACAATTAAATAGCTTTTAGTATATTCAGAGTTGTGCAGCCATCATTCGAAAAAAAATTTCAGAACATTTTCATCACTGCAGAAAGAAACTCCATATCCCTTAGGCGTCCTTTACCCCTCATCCCATTTGCCTATTCTGGACATTTTACATAAATGGAATCGTATAATATGTGATCCTTTGTGTCTAGCTTCTTTCACTTAGCAAAGTGGTTTCAAGCCCATTAATGGTCCCATAGTAGTTGGAAAGATCTCTCTTCTGAGTCCCAAAGTCTTTAAGATGAGGGTGCTGGACTAAATCAGGGACCATCAACAGATTGTTTACATGTTTTTGTGGGTGTTTGCATGCATGTGTTTTTCTGACAAGAAGACTAACCAGCTTGTATCAGATTCATAAAGGGATCCTTGACCCTCCAAAGGCTAAGAACCATTCTTTGTGGTCTTGAGTGTTCTGTGTTTGGAGTCTGCCCATGATACGAGGATACAAAGGAGGAAGCAAGAGTATGGAAGCCCTAAGCCAGTCAGCTTCCTATCATGCCTGCCTCAAGGGCTTTCCGTCCTCTCAAGGGGCTGTGAGGAGGCTAAAGGCTGGGTCCTGATCCCTAGCCCAGGAGCTTAGCACACTGCCACTCTTATTTTGCTTTCTCATCTGAACGTTCATGGGTTTCATTCCCCCTTCCCAATATTTGCAGCTGATAGGAACCTAGTGGTAAATAAGAAAGCCCGCCCTCTTCTGGCAGCTTTGATTGGTGGGAAGGTCTGGCTCAGCCCTGCTTCATCTAGTCTTCCAGTTGGGACCCTAGGCTATACAAGTAAGGAGAGAGAGAGGAGTCCGTGGACAACCCTGCCGGGTCCAGCTTGACCCCAGGTCTCAGTCTAGGGGAAAAGGCTGACCTTTTGGCTGGAATTGATCATGAAAAGGGGGTTGGAGGAGCTGACAGGAGAGATGAGTGTGAGAGCTGGGATGGGCAGGAAGGGGCTCAATCTCAGCACTTAACTACCACTGCCAAGGCAGTCAGCCACAGGAAGTGTCCAGACAGGAGAGGAAGAGATGGTGCCTACAACCTGAAGCAACTCCCAGGTTAGAGAACTGCTTGGCCCAGGACGGAGGCCTCCCTGGTATAGGCCCATCCTTCACCAGTTTTCAGACAGCCTTTACCATGTTGGCACGTCTGTGTCCCATCCCTCACACACTCCTTCACAGCAGACATGCATTCCATGAACTCTGCAGGAGAGGCCCTGGCCATCATCCTGCAAGACCCAGATCAAATCTAACCTCTTCCAGAGAGCTTTCTCTGGTTCCAAATCTGCCCTCTTTCCCAGATACTCCCCTAGAAAGGGAGGGGGACTGGCTCAGGGGACACCCTCCCCCTCAGATAAGGGGCTGGGGAGAATGAGGTCAGGGAAGCAGTGGGTATCTTCTCACCTCAAAGTCATTTTCTATTATAGAGATATCACCTAGCTGCCGAGTCCTCCCAAATGTTGCCACATCCCTCAGGATGGCTCCTGAATCTGCAGGTGACAAGGGGATGGAAAGAGACATCACTTCTATTAAGGACTTTACCCAAACCCTTCAGGCCCAACTGAACCCTTCTTCCCCTTCTCCTTAGTGTCTCCACCTGTGCCTTACCTGGTGTCTGAAACACACTAAGATTAATAGGTCTGTCTCTCCTCCCACCCCCAAGCTCTGGAGCTTCTGGAGGGAAGGCAAGGCCCAGGCCTCAGTCTGTCTCCACTTCCAGGCCAAGGGCCCGCAATCTAGCTTAGAAGGAGGTAGGAGCATCAGTTGGGGCTCCACACTGTGCATATGACTCTGTTTCCTTTGCATTGCAGAGTCCAGTGGTACAGGATACCACCCCTTGGGAGTGGCGCCTGGGGTCTGAGGTACATGGTCAGTGGGTCCTTGAAGGGGCAGACACTAACCATGCTTCCCAGAAGACCTGAAATTGTGATGGGAGAAGAGGGGTTAGGAAGCAGAGGAACAGGGTTCTTGCCCCTGGGCACTCACATGAAAGGAAGGGGAACAGCCCCTTGTGAACCTCCACCTGGGTGCTCAGCTCCATGTGAGGTATTTCACAAAGTCCCCAACAGACACAGGAAACAGACCCCTAGGAAAACAGGCCTCACCTAAGCATATCAGCCTGGCAGAGCTGGGATTTTCACCAAATCTCTGTGACCCTAAGGCCTGTGCTAGACAGAAGGGGTCCAAAGTAATCAGCCTGCAATCCGGAAATAGTTCACAGTGGGAGCTCAGTGTTGATCTCTGCTGTTGGTAGGTTGGGAATTCAGCAGTGCTAGGGCCACAGTGGCCTTGGTAGGTTAGAAGTTCATATTGCCGAGGTACATAACCTCCACGCCTATCTCTATTGGTTATATATTTGCTACATAACAAATTATCTCAAAAACAGTGGCTTAAAACAACATTTTATCTCACAGTCCCTGTGGTTAGGAATCTGGGCACAACTTAGCTGAGTTTCTGTTTCAGGGTCTCACAGCCAGCAAGGTGTGAGCTGGGGCTACAGTCATCTCAAGGCTTGACTGGGGAAAGATCTGCTTTCAAGCTGACTCATGTGGCTGTTGGCATATTCAGTCTTGCTGGCTGTTGGCTGGGGGTCACTCTCAGGTTCCTTGCCATGTGCACCCTTTCATAGGGTGGCTCATAATATGGCAGCTTGCTTCATCACAGCAAACAAGTAAGATGAGCTAGAGATAGAAGGAGAGTGCCCACATGCCAGACAGAACTCATAGTCTTTATAACTTAATTTCAGATGTGAGATCCCATCACTTTTGCAATATTCTATTCGTTAGAAGTAAGTCAGTTACTGCCGGGCACAGTGGCTCACACCTGTAATCCCAGCACTTTGGGAAGCTGAGACGGGCGGATCACCTGAGGTCAGGAGTTCGAGACCAACCTGACCAACATGGAGAAACCCCATCTCTACTAAAAGTACAAAATTAGCTGGGTGTCGTCGCGGGTGCCTGTAATTCCAGCTACTCAGGAGGCTGAGGCAGGAGAATTGCTTGAACCCGGGAGGCAGAGGTTGCGGTGAGCCAAGATCGCGCCATTGCACTCCAGTCTGGGCAACAAGTGCAAACTCCGTCTCAAAAAAAAAAAAAGTAGGTCAGTTACTAGGTCCAGGCCACACTCAATGGGAGGGGATTACACAAAGGTGTGAATACCAGGAGGCGGGGGGTCATTGGGGGTCATCTTGGAGACTGACAACTATAGTTTTTCCACTGGTCCTGGTGATTCATGTTGCTTCCACATGCAATATACATTCACCACTTCCCAAAGTCTCTCAAAGTCTCATCCAATTACAGCATTGCCCCAAAATCCAGAACATCTAAATCAGGTCCATATATGAAAGAGGCTGTTTGAGTATGGCTTCTTAACTACTATTTTTCTCCATCTTTAGATTTGTGAGACAATTGTTTTTTTGTAAAAAATTATTTTTTGGCCGGGTGCAGTGGCTCACGTCTGTAATCCCAGCACTTTGGGAGGCCGAGGCGGGCGAATCATGTGGTCAGGAGATCGAGACCATCCTGGCTAACACGGTGAAACCCCGTCTCTACTAAAAATACAAAAAATTAGCCGGGAGTGGTGGTGGGCGCCTGGAGGCTGAGGCAGGAGAATCGCTTGAACCCGGGAGACGGAGTTTGCAGTGAGCCGAGATCACGCCACCGCACTCCAGCCTGGGCTACAGAGCAAGACTCCGTCTCAAAAAAAAAAAAGAAAATTATTTTTTATTTTTATTTTGTTATAGAGACGAGATCTTACTATATTGCCCAGACTGTTCTCAAACTCCTGGGCTCAATCCTTCCACCTTGGCCTCCCAAAGTGCTGGGATTACAGGCATGAGCCACCGTGCCTGGCTGATTTGTGAGACTTAAGAGGCAAGTTATCTGTCCCCAACACACCCTAGGTACAATGGTGGGATAGCCATAGGACAACTACTACAGACATTCTGGTTCAAAAAGAGGGGAAATGGGAGACATAAAGGAGTTACTGGTCTATAACTAACAACTCTGAAATCCAGCTGGGAAAATGGAAGTTTCTTGATTAGATGTCAAGGCCTGGGAATAATATTCTAAGGCTCTGCCCTCTGATCTCTTGGTTTTACCCTGTGTGCCTTCCTTTTTCATGAAAGGCAGCAAATGTTTGCAGCTGAACTGTTTCCCCAGTTTGCTTCCTGCCAGTAGAATTTTGGGGGTCCAGTGGCTTTTTTTCATTTTGTCTTGTCTGTAATCAGCTGCCACCAAGAAATAGTTCCACAGGGGGGCTTGGGTTACTGTTCTGTTGGCAGGTTGGGCACTCAGCAGTGGCTTATAGCCAGATTGGTCGTGGTGGAAGTCCATATTGTGGAGTCCATGCATAACCTCCATGCCTGCCACCATGGCCATTTTGTTCAGGAATCCATTGGGCAAAGAAAAGGGTGACAGATAAGAGGCTGACTGACATCACAGAACAGGACACCTACCTGTCTACTTGATTGAGCTCCTCTTCTGCAGTGGACTCTCTCTGGTGCTTATTTATGTGGGACGTGAATATCTCTGCCCATTCCAAGAGGGACAGCCATATGCTCTTCCTCAGACCTTGTCAATAATATTTCAGTCCTGTTATTTCCAAGTCCTTCACCATTTAGCCGAATCATTAAAAACTACTCATGAAACAGTGGAAACCTATCTATACCTCTGACCAGCTATGTGACCAGGCAGTTGTTCTACTGGGAGAATTTCCCTTCTCACTGTCCTTCAGGATCAACCCTAAGTAGGGCTGTAACACTACAGCTAGCTACTTCAGCAGGGCCAGCATATCATGCAGGGCTATGTATAAACCAAGCTGGAATAGAATATTGTATCCCTTAGTCACCTGGTCACAGGGAATTCCCCATGAGGCTTCAGGTGTGGGTGAGAGAGGGATGGCAGTACAGCAGTTGGGAGTATGATTCACTTGCTCAGGCAGCTTATTCATCATCTAGGCCTGCTTGTATAACTCTATTCTATTCGGTGGTGGAGTGCTACTGCACATAGATAACTTCGTGGCTTGATGAGACAGTTAACACACAACTCACCATGGGGAGCTCAGCTTGCCTGGGTCACTTGGAGTCCTATGCTCAGCCATTCATTCACAAAATAGACCCACTTTTCCATTTTTATTTTTCTCTGCTCCTGGGACTCCTGTTGTCACGATATTGCCACCTCCAATTTTATCCCCCATTTCTTGAATCTTTAACTTGCTCTTCAGCTGTAGTCCTCCTCCCCTTTATGCCATCTATACTGTGTAGATTCGAATAGTATATCCAAGAACTGGAGAAATCACCACAGGATTTCTTCTGGGCCCAGTGTAAGAAAGACTCAGATCAAAACTTCATGTATAACCCCATCCCACTCTGACTGATGGGCTGCAGTGGCAATCTGGATCACCAGAGATTAACATTAATTCAGAACCAATATCCAGTCTATTTCAAAGGCCTGGATATTTCCCTGTCCCCAGTGTACAATGACTGTGGCTGCAGGTCTCTGTGAGGAAAGCAAGGAGGGAGATTTTGCCATACACACTTGTGAAAAGTGTAGCAAGGTCCTTCTTCAGATGGACCCTCCCCTTCATTCAAGGGGCTCTGGTCTATGAACTGGGGAAGAGGCTGGGATGCCACATTTTTGAGGACAAAATCAGGCCTCCATTTTCCAGAGTAGAAGATTATTGGGGTTATATAACAACTAGGACTTTATCAGGCTACCTATTTTGGTCCTAGGGAAACTATCCTTAATTATCCACTGTTATACAAACCTCCACAGGTCAAACCTGATTATTGCTATGGCTCTGCTATCCATTATAAGAACGAGACCCAACTTCTCTTTGGAGATGAACCTGTCACCTCCATTGAAATCAGGGAGCCCATTCATGATTTCTCACCATGACCCTCACCTGCAGAAATAAATCACTGCAATGCTTTATAATACTGGTACTCATTCATGTACTAGTTAAGGTAAAGCTAGCTCCTGGGACAGAAAAAAATTTTCTGAGATTTAAGACAAGTTTACTTCTTGCTTCTGTAGTATTCCAAAACAGGTGTTAATAATTGAGTTTCCCTCTTCTAAGTGATGATTCAGAGGCTTAGGCACTTTCTGTCTAGAAGGTCTGCCATCTTCAAAACATGGTCATCATTGTATTTATTGTCATCTCCATCCTTAATAGCCAGAAGAGGAAAAGACCATGTGGGAGGTTTCTATGAGCCGGATGTAGCACACATCACTTCTCATATTCCATTAGCCAGAACTCAGACAATGGGCATACCCAACTGTAAGGGACACTGACAAATGTAGTCTAAATCTGTCCCTAGGAGGAAGAGGAAACAAGTTTAATGACCACTTAGCTAGTCTCTACCACAGTGTATTTCTCAAAGTCCTGTGAAAGGAATGTCAATGTCCACATAGTCAAAAGGGTGAGTTGAATGTGTTACATATGACTAATCGATTCCAACATTCTTATTGCCCTAAACGATGGATTCCCCTGCCTACACTGTACCATGGAATTTCTGGCATCTTAACCTCATTTAACACAAGCTACTATTGAGTAGAGGTTTTGGTCAATCAATAGAACAATTTTTAGAAATACTCCTAGCTGCTTCAACTAACAAAGTACATCCAGGATTGCTGATGAGTGTACCCATACTGAAAAGTTTGGCCCTACCCAAACCAGATAAAGACATCACAAGAAAATAAAATTACAGACAAATATCCTTTATGAATATAGATGCAAAATCCCCAACAAAATACTAGCAAACTAAATCCAACAGCATATTAAAAGTAGGATACGTCTTGGCCAAGTGGGATTTATCTTAGGAATGCAAGAATGGTTCAACATAAGAAAATCGATCAAGGTAATAACATCACATTAATAGAACAAAGGAAAAGAAACACATGATCATCTCACTTGATGCAGAAAAGGCATTTCAGGCTGGGTGTGGTAGCCAACACTTATGATCCCAGCACTTTGGGAGGCTGAGGTGGGAGGACTGCTTGAAGCCAGGAGTTCGAGACCAGCTTAGGCAACATAGCAAGACCCCATCTCTACAAAAAAAATTTAAAAATTAGCTGGGCATGGTGATGTGTGTCTGTACTCCCAGCTACACGGGAGGCTGAGGAAGGAGGCTCCCTTGAGTCCAGGAGTTTGAGGCTGTAGTGAGCTATGATCATGCCACTGCATTCCAGCCTAGGTGACAGAATGAGACCTCATCTCTCTTAAAAAAATAAAAAAGGCATACAGCTAATAAATTCAGCAAAGTTGCAAGGTGCAAGATCAACACATAAAAAGCAGTGTGCTTTTATACACTAGCAATGAGCAATCCAAAATGAAGTTAAGAAAACAATTCAATTTACAATAGCATCTGAAAGAATAAAATATCTAGGAATAAATTTAATCAAGGAGGAGAAAGACTTGTATATTGAAAACCATGAAACATTGGTGAAAGAAATTAAAGATCTAAAGAAATGGAAAGGCATCTCATGTTCATAGATTGGAAGACTTAATACTGATAAGATGTTGATACTAGCCAAAGTGATCTACAGATTCAACACAGTCCTTATGAAAATTCCAACAGCTTTTTTGCAGAAATGAAAAAGCTAGCGGGGTGCGGTTGCTTATGCCTGTAATCCCAGCACTTTGGGAGGCTGAGGCGGGCAGATCACGAGGTCAGGAGTTCGAGGCCAGCCTGGCCAACATGGTGAAACCCCCGTATCTACTAAAAATAATTTAAAAAAATTATCCGGGCATGGTAATCCATGCCTGTAATCCCAGCTACTCGGGAGGCTGAGGCAGAAGAATTGCTTGAACCTGGGAGGCGGAGGTTGCAGTGAGCTGAGATCGCGCCACTGCACTCCAGCCTGGGTGACAGAGCAAGACTCCGTCTCAAAAAAAAAAAGAAAAAAAAAAGAAATGAAAAAGCTGATCCTCAAATTCATATGGAATTACAAGGGGCCGTGAATAGCCAAAACAATCTTAGAAAAAAAAGAACAAAGTCAAATGGCCAATTTTTTTTTTTCAAGACACAGTCTTGCTCTGTTGCCCAGGCTGGAGTGCAGTGGCGTAATCTTGGCTCACTGCAGTTTGAGGCTCACTGCAGCCTCAAACTCCTGGGCTCAAATGATCCTCCTACCTCAGCATCCCAAGTAGGTGGGATTTAAAAGGCATGTGCCAATACACCCAGCTAATTTTTTTTTTTTTTTTTTTTTTTTGTAGAGACAGGGTCTCACTCTGTTGCCCAGACTGGCCTCAAACTCCTGGGCTCGAGCAGTCCTCCCACCTCAGCCTCCCAAAAATGTTGGGATTACAGGTGTGAGCCACTGTGCCCAGCCACCAATTGATGTTTTACAAGAGTGCCAAGTCCATTCAACGAGGGGAGAGATTAGTCTCTTCAACAGATGGTGCTGGGACAACTGGATTTTCACATGCAAAAGTATGAAGTTGGATGCCTAATTCACACCAGATACCATTAACTCAAAATGGATTAATGACCTAAATTTAAGTCCTAAAACCATAAAACTGGAGGAAAACATAGGAGTTAATGTTCATGACCTTGGATGTGGCAACAGTCTCAGGTGTGACACTACAAGCATGAGCAACAACAGAAAAAACAGATAAATTGGACTTCATCAGAATTAAAAATTTTGTGCATCAAAGGACATCAAGAAAGTGAAAAGACAGCCTACAGAATAAGATAACATATTTGCAGTCATATATCTGATAAGGATTTACTATCCAGAATATACAAACAACTCCTACAACTCAACAACAAAAAGACAAGCAATTCAATTTAAAAATGGGCAAAGGAGGCCAGGCGCAGTGGCTCACGCCTGTAATCCCAGCACTCTGAGAGGCCGAGGTGGGCGGATCACCTGAGGTCAGGAGTTCGAGGCCATCCTGGCCAACATGGTGAAACCCATCTCTACCAAAAATACAAAAATTAGCTGGGCGTGGTGGCATGTGCCTGTAATCCCAGCTACTTGGGAGGCTGAGGCAGGAGAATCACTTGAACCTGGGAGGTGGCAGCTACAGTGAGCCTTTCCAGAAATTTTTATGTTATATATAGTTTACCACAATGAAAAAGTTTGGCCCAGCCAGGCGCAGTGGCTCACACCTGTAATCCCAGCACTTTGGGAGGCTAAGGTGGGTGGATCACCTGAGGTCGGGAGTTCGAGACCAGCCTGACCAACATGGAGAAACCCGTCTCTACTAAAAATACAAAATTAGCCAGGCCTGGCGGTGGATGCCTGTAATCCCAGCTACTCGGGAGGCTGAGGCAGGAGAATCACTTGAAATCGGGAGGCGGAGGTTGTGGTGAGCCGAGATCAAGCCATTGCACTCCAGCCTGGGCAACAAGAGCGAAAATCCATATCAAAAAAAAAAAAAAAACAAAAAAGGGTGGCTCATGCCTGTAATCCCAGCACTTTGGGAGGCCGAGGCGGGCTAATCACGAGGTCAGGGGATCGAGACCATCCTGGCTAACACAGTGAAACCCTGTCTCTACTAAAAATACAAAAAATTAGCCAGGTGTGGTGGTGGGCGCCTGTAGTCCCAGCTACTCGGGAGGCTGAGGCAGGAGAATGGTGTGAACCCAGCAGGCGGAGCTTGCAGTGAGCTGAGATCGCTCCACTGCACTCCAGCCTGGGAGACAGAGCGAGACTCCGTCTCAAAAAAAAAAAAAGTTTGGCCCAATCAAAAATTACACTTCTTTTTCCCGATCTATCATCCATAGAATCAGTTCTCACATATTATGGAGGTTTCTTTTTTTCTTTTTCTTTTTTTTTTTTTTTTTTTTTTTTGAGACATGGTCTCACTCTGTCACCCATATTATGGAGGTTTCTGCCAGTATAAATTAGCTAAATCTTATCATTTGTGTGTGTGTGCTTTCTCCTCATAGGTTTGACTTTACTTCCTGGGACATACAGGAATCTGAATTCAGTAATGGGTCTGGAGGCAGCAAGAGATGATACGGGTGGATCTTGAAAAGATTAGCCTAACAGTGAGAGGGTCCCCAAGTCAGGCAGGACCAGCCCCATAGACTGGGGAAGAAGGGCTGCTTCTGCTGCCAGGGGAAACTCAGTGAGGGTTGGGGTTTAGGGTGCTCAGATCTATCCAAATCAATCCTGATGTTCCTATTCCTAGTCTCAAGGTCCCATTGTTCCCTAATCAGTAGCCATGTTTTTGCATATGAGACCTGGAGATCCTATGAATTCAACCTGCGTTGTAATTCAGCAACCTGCAGGATTTGGTTTTATGTCTGATTTCAGGCTGCATCAGTCCTGTGCCTGGAAGAGATAAAAAGATTACTTAAAAACAAAAAACAAACAAACAAAAAAAAATATATATATATAAATATAGGCTAGGCGTGGTGGCTCACACCTCTAATCCCAGCAATTTGGAAGGCCGAGGTGGGCGGATCACTTGAGGCCAGGAGTTCAACACCAGTCTGGCCCACATGGTGAAACCCCTCCTCTACTAAAAATACAAAAATTTCCGAGGCGGGCGGATCACGAGGTCAGGAGATCGAGACCATCCTGGCTAACACGGTGAAACCCCGTCTCTACTAAAAATACAAAAAATTAGCCAGGCGTGGTGGCGGGTGCCTGTAGTCCCAGCTACTTGGGAGGCTGAGGCAGGAGAATGGGGTGAACCCCCGGGGGGTGGAGCCTGCAGCGAGCCGAGATCGCGCCACTGCACTCCAGCCTGGGCGACAGTGAGACTCCATCTCAAAAAAAAAAAAAAAAAAAAAAAAAAAGCCGGGTGTGGTGGTGGTAATCCCAGCTACTCGGGTGGCTGAGGCAAGATAATCGCTTGAACCCCGGAGGCAGAGTTTGCAGTGAGCCGAAATCACACCACTGCCCTTAAGCCTGGGTGACAGAATGAGACTCTATTTCTTTGAGCAGTTTTAGGTCCACAGCAAAATTGAGTGGAAAGTATGTATCCCATATACCCCCTGCTCCTACACAGGCACAGCTTCCCCCACTATCAACATCCCCAGCAGAGTGGTACATTCGTTATAGTCAATACACTGGCACATAATTGGTCAAGTACATAGCTTACATTAAGGTTCACTCTTGGTGTTGTACACTCTATGGGCTTTGACAAATGTATAATGACATGTATCCACCATTATAGTATCATACAGAGTAGTTTCATTGCCCTAAAAATCCTCTGTGTTCCACCTATTCATACTTCCCTCCCATAACTCCTAGCAACCTCTGATTTTTTTTACTGTCTCCATAGTTTTACCTATTCCAGAATGTTATTATTTAGGAATCATATAGTATATAGCCTTTTCAGATTGCCTTCTTTCACTTATTAATATGCATTTAAGATTCTTCCATGTCTCTTGGTGGCTTGATAGCTCATTTATCTTTATTGCTGAATAACATTCTGTTGTCTGGATGTACCACATTTTATCTATTTACTTACTGAAGGGCATCTTGGTTGCTTCCAAGTTTGGGCAGTTGTGAATAAATCGGCTATAAATATCCATTGCAGGTTTTTATGTAGTTGTAAATTTTCAAATCACTTGGGCAAATACAAAAGAGTGTGATTGCTGAATGGTAAGGTAAGAATATGTTTAGTTTTGTAAGAACCTACCAAACTGTCTTCCAAAGTGGCTGAACCATTTTGCATTCCCATCAGCAATGAATGAGAGTTCCCGTTGCTCCATATCCTCATCAGCATTTGGTATTGTCGGTGTCCTGGATTTTGGCCATACTAATAGGTATGTGGTGGTATCTCCCTGTATTAATTTGCAAACCCTAATGACATATGATGTGGAGCATCTTTTAACATGCTTATTTGCCATCTGTATATCTTTTTTGGTGAGGTGTCTGTTCAGGTCTTTTCCCTTTTTCTTATTATGAGGTGGGGTATTGCTGTGTTGCCCAGGCTCATCTCAAACTCCTCAGTCAAATGATCCTCCTGCCTCAGCCCTCAAGTAGCTGGGACTACATGCATGTGCCACCATGCCAGGCTTCTTTTGCCTGTTTTTAAATCGGGATGTTCCTTTTCTTATTGTTGAGTTTTAAGAGTTATTTATGTGTCTTAAAGATCCTTTATCAGATATGTCTTTTGCAAATACTTTATACCAGTCTATAGTTTGTTTTCTCATTCTCTTGACAGTGTCTTGTTTTTTTTTTGGAGAGGGAGTCTCTCTCTGTCACCTAGGCTGGAGTGCAATGGCACGATCTCGGCTCACTGCAGCTAATTTTTGAATTTTTTTTTTTTTTTTGAGACGGAGTTTTGCTCTTGTCACCCAGACTGGAGTGCAATGGCACGATCTTGGCTCACTGCAACCTCCGCCTCCAGGATTAAAGCGATTCTCCCGCCTCAGCCTCCCAAGTAGATGGGACTATAGGCACCTGCCACCATGCCTGGCTAATTTTTGTATTTTGGTAGAGACAAGGTTTCACCGTGTTGGCCAGGCTGGCCTTGAACTCCTGACCTCGGGTGATCCACCCACCTCAGCCTTACAAAGTGCTGGGATTACAGGCGTGAGCCACCACCCCCGGATTTAATTTTTGTGTTTTTAGTAGAGATGGGGTTTCACCATGTTGGCCAGGCTGGTCTCAAACTCCTGACCTCAGCTGATCCACTCACCTCAGCCACCCAAAGTGCTGGGATTACAGGATGAGCCATCACACCCGGGTGACAGTATCTTTTGCAGAGCAGAAGTTTTTAATCTGAATGAAGTCAAGCTTATCAATCATTTCTTTCATGGATCATGCCTTTGGCGTTGTACCTAAAAAGTTATTGCCATACCCAAGGGCACTTACATGTTCTCCTATGTTATCTTCTAGGGGTTTTATAGTTTTGCATTTTACATTTAGGTGTATGATCCACTTTGAGTTAATTTTTTGAAGGGTGTAAAGGAGATTTCTTTTTTGAGGGCAGTGAAAGAAGCTCCCCAGTGTCTGACCATGCCTTGAACTAAAAGTTTACAACCATGATCTTGCCTTTTAAAAAGTTTTTTCTTAATTATGTCAGCAATATGTATTTATTGTTGTTCATAAATGGTCAAAATATGCTACCTATTATTAGACTAAAACAAGGTATAACTTCTCAAATACAGCATCACATAGAGACAAAGAATGAAAAGGCCAGTCATGTGTATACTTTAAAACACCCATATATACACATATACCCTCATGTCCAATACAGGCAAATGTTCTCCATTTAAAAGTTCCCAATTTAACTTTGCTTTGAAAGCAGAAAACATTGAGTTGCAGAGGTTCTAAGATATAGACATATTGAACACATTTCAGGCATTTAAAAAATGCACTGAAATAGCAAGAATAAAGTTCTTTTCTGGCCAGGCATGGTGGCTTAGGCCTATAATCCCAACACTTTCGGAGGCTGAGGCAGGAGAATCGCTTGAGCCCAGGAGTTCAAGCCAGCCTGGACAACATAGTGAGACCCTGTCTCAACAAAAAATAAAATATTGGCTGAGCAGAGTAGCGTGCACCTATAGTCCCAGCTACTTTGGAGGCTGAGGTGGGAGGATTGCTTGAGCCCGGGAGGTGGAGACTGCAGTGAGCCGTGATCACGCCACTGTACTCCAGCCTTGGTGACAGAGTGAGACCCTGAAAATAAAGGGTTTTTTTCTTCAAACATTTTGATCTGAGCCAAAGCAAAGAGTACATTAGAACAGACCAGAAAGACGTGTACAAGTAGACCTGTTTCCTTCTCAAACATTTAACAATTTACTTATTAAACATTAAGCTGAGTCAGTTTAAATCAAATGATATAACTGATTATTACTCCAAACAGGAATCTGTTGTTTCTTAGTGTCTGTAGGTAGAAGTTTCACAGATGCAAGGACATTATTTACCTGAAGGATCATTCCTGTTACAATTAGAGGGCATTCATACAAACATTGTTTCCTGTTTTATTTGCCTTTTAAAATCGTGAAACATGACATGAAGACATTTCCTTATGTAATTACAAAACGATTAGTACACCTAACACAATTCACAATCATTCCTTACTGTCATCATAGTCAAATGAATGTCATTATATTCAGATGTTCCCAATTTAACTAAAAACATATTTGAAAAATTATTTACAAATAAAAAACATTTTTTTAAAATGCAGGGTCTTGTTCTGTCATCCAGGCTGGAGTGCAGCACAATCATAGCTCAAACTGTAACCTCAAGCTTCTGGGCTCCAGTGATCCTCCAGCTTCAGCCTCCCGAGTAGCTGGGCCTACAGGCATACACCACCACACCTGGCTAATTTTTATTTTTTTCAAAGCAGGAGTGAAAGTTTATTTAAAAGCTTTAGAACAGTAAGGAAAGGAAAGAAAAGAAGGAAAGTACAACTTGGAAGAGGGCTAAGTGGGTGACTTGAGAAACCAAGTGCACCTAATTTGAATTTTTTTTGTAGAGATAGAGTTTTGCTCTGTTGCCCAGTCTGGTCTCTAACTTCCAGCCTCAAGTGATCCTTCCATCTTGGCCTCACAAAGTGCTGGGATTACAGGTGTGAGCCACCACACCCGACCAAAATATATCTTTTAATAGTTAGATTGTTTGATTCAGGATCCAAACATTGACTTTTATGGTCACCACTTCCTTACTTTTCTTTAACATTTTACCACTTAAGCATGACTTCCTATTTGTGTAGTTTAGTTTTGCCTGTTTTTATTAACATCATAGAGTCGTACAGTATGTATTCTCTTGTGTTTGGTTTCTTTCATTCAACATTATGCTTTTAAGATTGATCCACGTTTTAACATATAGCTGTGCTTTATCTTCTTGCCTGTATAGTATTGAAATCAACCCAGTTTTTGCACTAAACTGAAAATTGAGAAACTTATATTTGTTTTTATCTGAGTTCCTTTCTCAGGAAACCAACCATCAGGCCTCCCAGAGAGAATCGAGGAACTGAAATCTCCCATATCACCACATCCAGACAATGAGACATGGCTGCTGCCTGTTGACAAACTCCTCTTCTTTATACCTCCCGAATTTCTGTTTTCCTGCATATGGTTACGGTGAGACACCAGACCCCTCATCCAACCACCTGCTGCCCGTTGACCAACTCCTCTTCCTTACTCCTCCCTAATTCTTGTTTTACGTTCCTTCCCTACTATATAAACCCCTAACTTTAGTCAATTGGAGAGATGGATTTGAGACTGGTCTCCCATCTCCTGGCTGACATTACTGGCATTAAAGCTGTTCTTCCCTGGCAATATTCATCTCAGTGATTGGCTTTCTGTGCGGCAAGCAACCAGGCCTAGGCTGAACCCCTGGTGTTCGGCAACAGTATTTCATTTTATGAATCTACCATAATCTGTCAACTCTACTTTTGAAAGGCATTTGGAACATTCTGATATTTAACTGTATAAACAATGCTGCAAGAACATTTTTGTACATATTTCCTGGTATACATAAGCAGACTTTTTTTTGTTTTGTTTTAAGACAGAGTCTTGCTCTGTCGCCCAGGCTGGAGTACAGTGGTGCAATCTCAGCTCACTGCAACCTCCACCTCCCAGGTTCAAGCCATTCTCCTGCCTCAGCCTCCCGAGTAGCTGGGACTACAGGTGTGCACCACCACACCCAGCTAATTTTTGTATTTGTAGTAGAGATGGGGTTTCACCATGTTGACCAGGCTGGTCTCGAACTCCTGACCTCAGGTGATTTGCCCACCTTGGCCTCCCAAAGTGCTGGGATTACAGGCATGAGCCACCGCACCCGGCCCTAAGCATACATTTCCGTAGGGTGTATGACTTATTGGGACAAAAGGTATGCACATCTTTAACTTTTCTAGCTAGTGTCAAACTTTTCTGAAGAAGTAGTTTTACTAATGTATATTCCAACCAGCAGAGTATGAAAGGTCCTATTATTCCACATATTTCCCAACCCTTGGAACAGTCAATTTTAAATTTTTGCCAAGCTGAGGATTGTAAAATGGTATCTCATGTGTGTTAAACAGGCATTTTCCTGATAATTAATGAAGTTGAGCACCTTTAATATTTTTTTCTTTTTAGAGACAGGGTCTTGCTCTGTTGCCCAGGCTGGAGTGCAGTAGCATGATCACAGCTCACTGCAGCCTTGAACTACAGGGCTGGGCTCAGGCAGTCCTCCTGCCTCAGGCTCCTAAGCAGCTGGGACTACAGGCATGCCACCATCATGCCTGGATATTAAAAAAAAAATTTGTAGAGATGGTCTCACTATGTTGCCCAGGCTGGTCTTCAACTCCTGGTCTCAACTGATCCTCCCACCTGGGCTTCCCAAGTTGCTGGGATTGCAGGCATGAGCCAGCACACCAGGCCTACCTTTTCATATTTTTTTACTGGCCATTCAAGTACTCTCTTGTAAAACTGTTCAACTCTTTCACATATTTTTCTATTGATTATCTATCTTTCTCTTGTTGAATTGTAGAACTTCATCTTACGATCTGGATATGGAATCTGATTTTAAGTGATGCAAACAAATTTTCCCATTTTGTGGTTTTCCTTTGTACCATTTATGGTGTCTCTGGGTGAAGAAGTTATTATTTTTGACGGAGTCAATTTTATCAGTCCTTTCTTTTCATGGTTTGTACTTTTGGTGTCTTGTTTAAGAAATCTTTTACCATCCCAGGCCCAGCGCGGTGGCTCATGCCTGTAATCCCAAGACTTTGGGAGGCCAAGGTGGGAGGATCACTTGAGGCCAGGAGTTTGAGACCAGCCTGGGCAATGTAGCAAGACCTCCCATCTCTATTTTTTAAAAAATAAATACTTTACTATTCTAATGTCAAGAATATACCCCATTTGTTACTTTCTTTGCTTTTCACACTTAGGTCTATAATCTACCTGGGAATCATTTGAGTTTTAAAAAATATATAATGTGACGTAAATACCCAATTTAGCTTTAGTTATTTATTATTATTTTTTTAACTGGGCACCCAATTGTCCCAGCACCATTTGTTGAAAAGACTGCCCTGCTCCCATGGCTCTACAGAGACACATTTTTGATAAATCAAGTATGCGAATATGCATGGATTCATCCTTCTTTTCTTTTTTCTTTTTTTTTGATGGAGTCTCGCTCTGTCACCCAGGCTGGAGTGCAGTGGCACAATCTCAGCTCACTGCAACCTCCGCCTCCCGGGTTCAAGCAATTCTTCTGCCTCAGCCTCCCAAGTAGCTGGGATTACAGGCACCTGCCATCACACCTGGCTAATTTTTGTATTTTTAGTACAGTCGGATTAGTAGAGTCGGAGTTTCACCATGTTTGCCAGGCTGGTCTCGAACTCCTGACCTCAAGTCATCCTCCTGCCTTGGCCTCCTAAAGTGCTGGGATTACAGGCGTGAGCCACCATGCCCGGCTGCCAGTACTACACTCTTAATTACTATAGCTTTATTTTTTTAAAAAACCCTTAACATCTGAGAGATCAAGTCCTCCATCATAGTTCTTCTTCAGGAGTCATGGCTATTCTTAACTTTTTCATTTCTATTAATATATACATTTTAGAATCAGTCAAGTTCCACCAAAAGAAACAAACCAACCAACCCACCCATCAGGGTTTAATTGGAATCACATTGAATCTGTAGAGCTACTTGGGGAGAACTGGCATTCTTGTAATACTGAGTTCAGCAGCTTATGCATGTGAATATGGTATCTCACTTCATTTATTTACATCTTTTTTTTTTTTTTTGAGACAGAGTCTCACTCTGTCACCCAGGCTGGAGTGCAGTGGTGTGATCATGTCTCACTGCAGCCTTGACCTCCCAGGCTCAAGTGATCCCACCTTAGCCTCCCAAGTAGCTGGGACTATAGGTGCGTGACACCACACCCAGCTAATTAAAAAAAAATTTGTAGAGACAAGGTCTCACTCTGTTGCCGAGGCTAATGTTGAACTCCTGGGCTCAAGTGATCCTCCCGCGTTGGCCTCCCAAAGTGCTGGGATTACAGGCGTTATTTACTCTTTTTTTTTTCTTTTTCTTTTTTTGAGACAGTGTCTTACTCTGTCACCTAGGTTAGAGTGCAATAGTGCGATCTTAGCTCACTACAACCTCCGCCTCCCAGGCTCAAGTGATCCTCCTGCCACAGCTTCCCAAGTAGTTGGGACTACAAGCATACACCACCATACCTGGCTAATTTTTGTATTTTTTGCAGAGACAGGGCTTCACCATGTTGCCCAGGGTGGTCTTTTTTTTTTGAGATGAAGTTTCACTCTTGTCGCCCAGGATGGAGTGCAATGGCTCGATCCTGGCTCACTGCAACCTCTGCCTCCCGGATTCAAGTGATTCTTTTCTCTCAGCCTCCCGAGTAGCTGGGATTATAGGTGCACACCACCACGCCCAACTGATTTTTGTATTTTTAGTAGAGACGGGGTTTCACCATGTTGGCCAGGCTGGTCTCAAACTCCTGACCTCAGGTGATCCTCCTGCCTCGGCCTCCCAAATTACTGGGATTACGGGAGTGAGCCACCATGCCCGGCATTGGTCATCTTCCTTAATCTCTCTTTTGCAAGTGCTATAGTTTTCTCCAGAAAGGATTTACACATTGTCTGTTAGATTTATTCCTGGGATTTCTAGGTAAGTGATTTTTTAATGCTATTTAAATAATTTAATTTTTTGTTTTTCAGCTGTATTTGTTTTTATATAGAAATACAATAGAATTTCGTAAGCTGATTTTGTATTCAGCAAACTTTATTCCTGGGATATTTACCTCCATTCTTCAAATATTTTCTTTATTTATTTATGATTATACTCTAAGGCTATTATCAAAATGCGGACATTTCTCCATTTCTCTTGTTTTTTAAATTATTGTTTTCTATATTTTTATTCTTTCCTGCTGCTTTCTGGGAGAGGTCCTCAATCTGATCTCCCAATTCACTTATTCATTCTTCATCTGTGGTCAACCTGCTATTTGTCCCATCTATTGTGTTCTTTCTTTCAACTATATATTTTTCATAGCTAATATTTTCACTTTTCTGTGTCTGAAGGAAGGTGAAGGAAGACCCCAGAGAAGGTGGTGATGAACTGTCTGGAGAGATGAGTAGGGGTTTCTCAGGTTGTGAGAAGGAGGAGAATCCACCTCAGCAGTAGCTAAGGCCTAGAAACCAGACGGTGGGGCCCAGCTTGTCCTGCTGGGAACGGCTGGGGCACTGGAAGTAAGATGGGAGGGAGATCAGGTGGAGAAATGCAAGGCTTTATAGGGCCAGGGTCACTGGGGGTACCCTGACTTGCGACCCCCGCAGACTGTGATGGCCTCCAGAAAGACGGCAGCTTCAAGGCAGTGTTGGTCACCCAGTCCTCTGAGGTGAAGAGACCCACCCGCCCCCACCACCACATCATGCTCCAGCTCCATCCCCCTTTCCCCAGGGCACCTGCCAGAAGGTCCTCCCTCCCACCCTCCCTCCCTCCCTCTTCTTCCTCTCTTTTCTTTCTTTCCTCTTTTTCTTTTTTCTTTCTTCTTTTCTTCTATTTCTTCTTTTTATTTCTTTTTCTTTTCTTTCTTCTTTCCTTTCTTTTCTCTCTTCCTCTCTCTTTCTTTTTGAGACCGAGTCTCACTCTGTTGCCCAGGCTGGAGTGCAGTGGCACAATCTTGGCTCACTGCAACCTCCACCTCCCAGGTTCAAGTGATTCTCCTGCCTCAGCCTCCCAAGTAGCTGGGATTACAGACGCCCACCACCATGCCCGGCTAATTTTTAAATTTTTAGTAGAGACGGGGTTTCACCACGTTGGCCAGGCTGGTCTCGAACTCCTGACCTCAGGTGATCCACCTGCCTCGGCCTCCCAAAATGCTAGGATTACAGGCGCGAGCCACACTGTGCCCGGCCCCATCCTGTCTTTCTTGAGGAGGCAGGTTAAGTGGAGAAGGGGACCTAGTCCAGAGGGGTTTAGGAGCTCAGGTTGGCTACTGAGGGACTCAAGCTCTGGAGATGCCTTCAGGGCCAGTCTCCTCTCTGGCCATTTTATTTCCCCAACTACCACCAGGAGGTGCTGCTGGGATTGAACCCCTTCCTGCCCTTTACCTGGCATTTAGGCCTCATTCTCTTCTGAGGGCCTCCCTTCATCTCCCTGCCCTTGGTACGATGGCATCCCGTTTGGTCCTGGGATCAGCTCCAAATAGGAAGGCAGGTAAACAGCCAGACCTTTCCGCTAGACTAAGGCTTAAGGCCAGGCCAAGTCAGCGCCTGTGCATCCATTACTTCCTGCCACCCCTAATTGCAGACATCAGAGTCCCCAGCTGGGCCCGTCCTGCTATGTGGCCTATGTGGCTACCTGCTCAACCTGTAGCCTGGCTTGGGACAACCCCAATACTGATCCCTCTACATAACCAACCATTGCAGACCAAAAACAGAGGCCCAAGGGAGCAGAAAGGATCCCAGGAGGAGCAGGCACATTGAGGGGTACTCAGATGGGAAGGGCCACCCGCCCAGGAACTGCTGAACTGCCTGGGTGCAAGACCTCCCTGTGTCTCAGTGGAGACATCCCTCTGGCTGTTTCTCTGACTCTATTTGGAGGGAGTTTGAGGGTGATGAGAAGGATGGGAAGGGGGCTTGGTAAAAACGTGTTACTTTGTATTTATTTCATATAGTTATTACAAAAAAGAAAATACGCGCTGTTAGAGAATACAGTAAATCTTTAATTTGTATAAATATTTAAATAAACTTCATATTTTTCATGACATACTTGAGCATCTTCTATGAATATGCATTTTATATAAGGTTTTATGCTGGAAACAGCTATACACAATTTCTGATCAAGACTTTTTACTCATGATCTCTTCAAATTCTTGACTATTAATGAGAAATGATTGTTGTTCACACAGGTGGTGGTAAGTGGAAAAGGAGAATTTACCTATGTTTCTACCCATTACCAGGATTTCCATTTCATTCCTGAAATCATTTAAATCCCATTAAACAATTTAATAGTTTTAAAAGAACAATTCTTTCCTCCAGTTATTGGCAGATATTACTCTACTCCTTTTGCTACAAAACGAATGTTTGTCCCGCTTCCCCCAAATTCACAGGCTGAAATCAAATCCCCCATACGATGGTATCTGCAGGTAGGGCCTCTGGGAGATGAATAGGTCATGAAGGTGGAGCCCCATGGATGGGATTAGTGCCCTTAATAAAAGAGTACCAAGAGAGACCTCTTGCCCCTTCCATCACGTGGGGAGACAGTGAGAAGGTGCCATCTATGAACCAGAAAGTGGGCCCTCACCAGACACTGAATCTGCTGATGCCTTGATCTTAGACTTCCCAGCCTCTGGAACTGTGAGAAATACATTTTTGTTCTTTATAAGTCACCCAGTCTATGATGGTTTGTTACAGCAGACTTTTAACAACTTTTATGATTCAAACTATAACAGCAACAACACCTGGAAACCATTTTCACCTAACTTTTCCTTTCTTTTTTTTTTTTTTGTTTCTGATTAAGTACTTGCTCACTTTTCCAAAGTTTAATTTTTGCTTTGAACACCAAATCTTTGTCAGTTCACATTAGTTAATTTTGACATGGTCCTTCCAAATTTCTATTAACTATATTCAGGGATCCAAAGAGTCAGCTAATCTTTCCATAGATCTGCCAGGTGAGAATCATTCAAGGAAAAAATCTTCACCTTTTAAATTTTTTTTGCTACAAACTTTTGAAACTATTCTTCCTTTGGATCAGCTCCCACACTTAAGTATGAAATAGCAGAAAGGGATGTTTTGATCCCTTGTCTTTACACAAAGCTGAAAACAGGTGAGAGGTTAGTGCCTTGTATGTAATTAAGATTCTGAGTATGATACTGATAGTATCATTTCCGGTGGAAATCAGAAAGGCAAACTCTTAAAAATGAGGGCTTCTCTGTGTAAAATAGTAAATGAAATAATGTACTACTTGAATCTCAGGGTTTTCAGAACAAATTCTAGATGCAAAGCCTTTATATATTCCTATCACTGTGGCTTCACTCACTACACAGACTTAATTGTTTTAAAAATTCATAAAAATGCAATGCATGCTCCTGGTTTGGATCATTTTGCTATAAATTATAAGAAACTATTATGATAACTGGTATAATTTGAATAGGGTCTGAGGACTAGGTGGTAGTAATGTACCAACATTAATTTCACGACATTGATGGGTGCATTGTGGTTATGCTGGAAAATGTCCTTGTTTGTAGAAAATGCACACTAAAATATTCAGAAATGATGGGGCACCAGGTCTGCAACCTACTCTCAAATGGTTCAGGAAAAAAGTTATCTGTACTGTTCTTGCAACTTTAATTTTGCAATACCTTCAAAACATATAATAATTTATGAATTATTAATTTGACTATTTTGACCTGGAATAGTCTGCTTGGCATTGTTGCTTCTCTTGATAATTCTCCATGCAAATCAGACATTTAGTCTGAAGAGTGAGGGCTTGACAGGCATCCAAATCCAAATCCGAGATGATCCTCATGACTTAAGCATCATTTGTGGACACTGAGTTAGTCTTGGAAATGCGATGACATTCCAGCTTCACTCCAAAAGTTGTACAGTACGGTATTGTGAGGGTTAATTTTATGTGTCAACTTGAATGTGCCATTGGTGCCCAGATATTTGGTCAAACATTATTCTGGATGTTCTGTGAGGATGTTTTGGGATGAGGTTAACATACATACATACATATATACATACATACATTATTTATTTGACAGGGTCTCAGTCTGTCACCCAGGCTGGAGTGCAGTGGTGCGATTTCAGCTCACTGCAGCCTCAACTTCCCCAGTCGAGGGTGATCCTCCCATCTCAGCCTCCCAAGTAGCTGGGACTACAGGCGTGCTACCACGCCTGGCTGTTTTTTTTTTTTTTTTTTTTTTTTTTTACAGAGTCTTGCTGTCGCCCAGGCTGGAGTGCAATGATGCAATCTCAGCTCACTGCAACCTCTGCCTCCTGGGTTCAAGCAGTTCTCCTGCCTCAGCCTCCCAAGTAGCTGGAATTACAGACACACAGCAGCACACCTGGCTAGTTTTTTGTGTTTTTATTAGAGGCGGGGTTTCACCATGTTGGCCAGGCTGGTCTCGAACTCCTGACCTCAGGTGATCCACCTGCCTAGGCTTCCCAAAGTGTTGGGATTACAGGCGTGAGCCACCACACCTGGCCTGGGTGGACCTGGTTTCTAATGGCTTACATTTGCATATCAAAGGTTGCCAGCCTGGCTCTAAGAGCCGGGGCTTTACAAGAAACTTTTCCAGAGATGCTTTAAAAAATGAAAACTTCCCAAGGACCCCTTTTCCTCTCTATCTGCCTAAAATAATTTCTTAGTAACTCCTACAACATTACTTCCTGTGGAGATGCCACACTAACTGCTGTTAGGGGATTTTGGGCGGCGACTCCTTCTGGCTACTTCCTGCTGAAAAGGGGCGTTGAATGGGGAATAGCAGCTAGGGCTCCCCCTGGGATCAATCTAAGGGTCCTCGGAAGAATGGCCTGTCCATGTGTGGTTCAGTTTACAGCACCATTTGGAGTTTGATTGCTTCTAGGCGAGAAGAAACAATTCGAGTTATAGTATTGTATATACAGAGTCCAAATATCAATACAAGACATATAAGCAAGAGAGGGCTTAATAAAGGCGTTAACCAATTCCATAAAGAAGACTGGAATTTATTAAAGAGGGTTTGTAGCCACTCAGGGCTGAAGCTGGCATTTTTCCTGAGCCTATCAATAATTTTGATTTGATTTTTAAGTATCTGTAAATTTTCCTTTACTAGAGGTATTAATCCAAAAGCGGCATGTTTCATTTAAAACTGCATCACTAAACCCAATAAAAAGTCCTACCAGGCTCAGTGATAGTAAAACTTTCATGCTTCCTTTTTGTTAGTAACTATTATCCCTGCTATAAGGATAATAATTAAGCAAAATACGACAGCAATGGAAACTCTGTTTAATACTTCAGTTAGAAGGTGCTACTGTGTATAACCCTTTTGCAAATAATAGAGTGAGGATAGCAATTTCCGTAAGTGTGGTGTTGTAGATAATTTCCATCTAAAATTTTACTTGTCAAGATATAGAATTCCCCTTTGGGGGGGGTCTATGAAGTTCCTTGTTTTTATTTTCCTAAACAAAGAAACTTCCGGATTATGGGCACCCTACTCACTTTTATTACCTGGCAGAATTTGCAGGATAATTGCCCAGAACCAGTATATTGATCCAGATTTTTACATTACCCATCCCTTATTTTTTCTTCCAAGCTGCAGGAGACCACTACTTGATTCACAGGAATAAGCAGGGTTAGTCTAAAATGTAGGCGAAAAGCTTGAAAACAATTAATGAGACTAGGACTTAATGACAAATGTATGATAAGCTTTGGAGCACCATTTTTCTCTCTAGTCCTCATTTTTGGTAAAAACAAATTGTAAATAAACTGTAGTCTTATATTTGGCCTGATTATTTGCATAAAGTGCAGCAAGAATGGTTATTTTTACATAGGCCTTTTGGATTGGCTTTGATGAAACTCTGTTTCACAAGGAATTTCAGATAAGACTTTTAAAGCCGAGCCCAGCAATGGGTTTGTATCCTCAAATACCTGTGAACTGGGTGATCCTCTCCTCTTGAGTTCCCAAGATAAACTCGGAGCTTCCAGACCTGTTAGAAAGTGACATTCTTTACTAACCACAGGTTAGGAACCCTGTGCAGGGACTGTGTAGACAAGGTATGAGGCCAGTTCTCCCCAAGGGGCTTTTATTGGCTCTGCATGTCAAGCTTGATTCCTTAAAGAGAAACACACCCTTTCAGTTAAAGCCTTGGTAAAATAACCAGTTTTTCCAATTGTGTCCCGCTGACAAAGAAAAATGGATTCTTATTGCACCGATGCAAACAACTATATTGCCATAAGTTAAGAGTATTCACAGATAGTTCCCAAATTCCAGAGGAACCAGGCAGAGAAATAAACATGCTCTAAATTTTGTTCATAGGAATATACCTTACTCAATTATTAAAGGCCATCAATAGTTTAAAATAAGTTTCTCCTTGACTCTGAAAAACAAAACAAGGATCAGCAGTATTCCAAGCAAAAGATAAAAGACTTGCTTTAACTTTCTGAGTGCAACTCATTTAGTTAACTCTTGTTTTGCTTGATATTTGTGAACATGTCAGTTCTTTAAAAGTTTTCTATGTTCTTTCTCTGTTCCAATGTTACAATCTGTAAAGCTATTAAAACCTGCATTTGAGAACACCTGTTAAAGTTCTTAATATAGCTTGATTACAAACCGTCTTTTGAGAAGGAACAAAACACTTGTCTGCGAATGGCAACATTTCCTGGGTAGTTACAATTAAAAACATGACTGACAAAGAAGTTTGTGTATATCCATGGTCTACGATAACTTTACCTTTAATTATGACTGAGAGCATATACTTAGACATTAGAATTTTAGAAATCCCATACAATTTTTGAACATATATTAGTATTATTCACCAAAATATAACTTAAAGAAGATTGGACATCATTTTGGCAATCTCATGTGACTAAACATGTCAAATAATCCTGTTTATCTCTTTTTTAAATGTTTCAGGGGCCCTATGAACCATCCAAAAAGCCAATTAGGAAGGACAGTTCCCAGACTGCCATAGATTATTTTGCCCAAATGATGACTTAAAAGTCAAAAACCTTTTATTAGCCTTTACTATGACATGGAAATCCTGTTTAAAACCAAATTTTACCCTTGTATTAGTTTGTTAATGTTAACCCTAATTTGTTTAAATAAAACCTTATAGATTATTCCATCTAATCCTAACCAACTTGACCATGAAGTGAAATTTCTACAAACTTTTTATAACCCTTTTACTAAAAGGCAGAGTAGTGTTTTAAGACCTCCTTGCTATGCTTTTATTTCAATGCTTAATTTATGAAAAGACCATATAGATACTAGAGGAGAAGACAGTATAGTGCTTCTACCATGCATTTCATTGCAAGGCAACCCAAAGCCAACTGGCTTATTTTGTAATTAGCCCATCTCTGACGGGAGTCTCATCTCCCAGTGTGGGGTGGGGATGTTTCCTTATTTTTCAGGTGGCCAAGAGCATGCTTTTCTGATTTATAACTATTATTAGCCACCCCTTACAGGGTATTTTTTACCTAGTTATTATACACCAAAGCTCTCTTACAATGCGGAGTAATTTCTGATACCGCAAAACTCAAAACCATCAGATAATGCAAAACAGAACAGAGCCTTTGATTTTGAGAGGGAACTATTTGCTTTTAATTTCTGGGGTTTCATGAGGAAAACAGGTTTTTCCCCAAAACAGGGTCTGTGGCACCTCCTCTATTTTTCCCAAGGAGTCCCATGCTACCAGAAGTTATCTCAGGGCCTTTCATGCATGCACTAAGAGTGGCAAGACAAAAAAAAAAAAAAAATGGAAGAAAATAATTCAGCCGACTGAGAAGAACCTTTTTCCAGAAAACAAGATCCAAGAAAAGAAAAACATAAAGGCCTTTTAAATATACCTAAAACTTGAATATTCACTTTTAATTAAGCTGAGCGCTCTTTAAGAAATTCTTTTTAAATCCCTTGTTACTTGACTTCAGCCACGCCAAGCAGTTAAGATTTTTGGCTTTTGAACTTTACAAAGAGTAACCTCACAGGTGAAACCAACGAGCCTTAATTAGGTTATGACTTAACCGCCAGTGTACAAGGTATTTTCAAAGGAGTGATAGGTAGCTTTTGAAACTGTCATTGCAAAATTGTGACTGAGACCGTGAAAAAGATCCAACCCAAACAACTTCATTTTGTTTCCAGCTCACAAGCTGTCCTTGCCAATCACTGGGCGTAGGCTGAACCAACTTTGGGAGGAGTCAGGTTCACAGCCTGGCTCTAAGAGCTGGGGCTTTACAAGAAACTTTTCCGGAGATGCTTTAAAAAATGAAAACTTCCCAAGGACCCCTTTTCCTCTCTATCTGCCTAAAATAATTTCTTAATAACTCCTACAACAATACTCGTCTTCCCTGAATAGCAATGTTTTCCACGAGAACCAAAAATGCTGGAGAAGAGCTGACTTTTGATTATCAAATGAAAGGTTCTGGAGATGTATCTTCAGATTCTATTGACCACAGCCCAGCCAAAAAGAGGGTCAGAACTGTATGTAAATGTGGAGCTGTGACTTGCAGAGGTTACCTCAACTGAATTTTCAGGAAATAGGGCTGATGATCATTATAATTTTTTCCCCCTAAGGTTAACATTTTAAAAACTACGTATTTGGGACTCTTATTATCAAGGTTGTACCTATGTCAATTTACAATTCATGTTTCAAGACATTTGCCAAATGCATTACTGATGCCTCTGAAGAGAGGGCCACTGGGTCACATAGACTGATTTGAAGTCTACCTATTTAGTGCTTAGAGACCAAACATGGAAGGCAAACTATTTACAGCCCAGTATATATGTACTTAAGTCTATGTGAACGGAGAAATGCCTCCTGCACTGTTTGAAAGTGTTAAGCTGATAATGCAACTAACAATTGCTGAAAGAACAAACATTCAACTTGCCATACACCTCAAATTTGGAGAAAGAGAGTTAATTTGGGCAAATCTACAAGTTCTGTTTTTGTTTCTATATTGTCATTGTTGTTTAATACTCACTGTACTTGTAGTTGAGACAAATAGGTGATATTGAATTTTACACTCTATTTTCTTTTTCACTAAAACATTGGCATCTTAGTGATACAGAAATTTAAGGTATACAATTGCAGGGAGCCGAAGGCCTGTGGGATGTGACCAACTCAGCATTCTGCTGGAGGCTATATGATCAAAAAACAGTTTATCATGAATGCAGGATGTGGGCAAACTCACACTGCCCTGCCACCAAAAGGTTTGCTGAGGGACATCACTCCCCGGCGTTGGGCTCCTTGAAGTTACCTACTGAGAAAATCAGCGCCTATTGTTCAAAGGATGCAGTCTTGAAAGCCTGCTGTGAACCAAACAGCCGATGGACAATTACCTGAAAATCACCCCCCCACCCCCATTTCTCGCTATCTCTTTTGCCTAATAAATACAGAGGGTTGTGTAAAGCTCAGAGCCCTTGTCCACTAGAGGCAAGGTACCCCGGACCCCTTCTTCCAAATATACTCTTTTGTCTCTTGTCTTATTCCCGTGTTTGCCCCCCTTTGTTCAGTCCAATAGGTCAGCGGCATAGTGGCGCCCCAGAACAGGGACTTCGAGGACGTGAACGAAGGTCTGCTGGAGCAGAGGAACTGAATTTGACAAGGCAAACGGGGACCCCAGGACGAGTCTGCCGGCAGTGGATATAAGGTCGGTGCCCTAAAGAGGTAATGGGAGCAGTGCTTTAAAGAAGTACTGGGAACGGGAAGTTTTCTGAATCAGGGTAACAAGGGGAAGAATTCGTCTATTAAAGAAAAACATTATGTGCAGTTGCTTAAAGTTCTGCTGAGACAATCTAGAGCTCAGGTTAATTCGCAGACACTAACCTCCTGCAGAAGCCACAAAAGGTTATTACACATAACCCACGGTTTCCACAGGCAGGCACTCTCGATGTGGAAAATTGGGATAGGGCAGGAGAAGGATTAAAACAGGCTCATCCAAAAGGTCTTAAAGTTGATTCTTCTGTTTTCTCCACTTGGAGTTTAGTTCATACTGTACTTGTGCCATTATCTCCTCATTATTCTGCTGGACAGCAGGCTAAGTCTAAAAATCTGAAAGAATCTGTTGTCCCACCCACAGCTCCAACTGAAAATAAAAAACAGGAGAGGGAGATAAAAATTGGCCTATACCACTTCCTCCAATTGCAGAAACATCTGTACCACCTCCTTCAGTAGCAGAAATACAAACCCCAATACAAAGAATTTTACACTCTGCTGCCATAGCTGGAGAGCCCTTAGGACCTTGCGCTTTTCCTATTTCTGTAAGGCCTGATCCAAATAATCCACAGCAGGTTATTCATGAACACACACTAGAGTTTAAGTTGTTAAAGGAATTAAAAGTGAGTGTGGTAAATAATGGCGTACAAAGCCCATTCACCTTAGGATTGCTAGAATCTGTGTTTGGTGCTATGCATTTTTTGCCCTTTGATGTGAAACACTTGGTGCGAACTTGCTTGTCTGTGAGTGTATATCTGACATGGAATTTAAATTGGCAAAAACCTTAACTCTAGCTTTTGGGAATGCAAATGTGCACTGGCACCGGTGAGGTGTACAAAAAACTTGGGAAATTTTCTCAAGAGCTTGTCAGGATGTAGGAACTGAGCTTCATCGCTCTGCAATGTTAGCGCAAGCAATGGCTAATTTAGCAGTTGACAAATCTAAAAGAAGCCAAGGGTCAAACCCTAAAATGGGAAAATGTTATAATTGTGGAAAAACTGGACATTTTAAAAAGCAATGCTGCCAGATCTCAGGACAGAAAGGACCTTACAATGCTGTCCACCGCCCCCCCAACAGACTCCAGCGGAAAAAACGCCAGGACTTTGTCCTTGCTGTAACAAAGGAAATCACTGGACTAATCAGTGCTGCTCAAAATTTCATCAAAATGGCACCCCCCTGCCGGGAAGTGAGACGGGGGCCTGAACCCGGGCCCCACAAACAATGAGGGCCTTCCCAGTACAGACCTCAACCCCGTTTCAGGGATGGGTTCCCGGAGGCCCATTGATTCCCTCACCCCAGAAACACCAGGAAGTGCAGAATTAAATCTACCCACCAGAGAAAAAATCATGTTAGTTGGTGGAGACAAACCTATCAAAGTTACCACTGGTATTTGGGGACCTTTACCAACAGGATACATGGGACTAATTTTAGGCAAAAGCCGTCTTAATTTGCAAGGCATCACTATAGTCCCAGAAGTGACTGACTCCTATTATGAAGTAGAAATTCAAGTAGTTTTAATGTCACAAAATCTTTGGGGTTTTGAACCAGGAGAATATATTTCTCAATTATTGCTTATTCCCTGCAAATTACACCCTTCTCAACAAAAGGAGAAACGAGGAAATAAAGGGTTTGGGAGCACAACTATATGGGAAATCGATCTATCCTGACCCATTGCCTCTAATAGACCCACCTGTGTAGTACAAATTAAAGAAAAGAAATTTTATGGGCTTATGAATACGAAAGCTGATGTATCAGTAATATCTAAAGACAACTGGCCCCTATCCTGGCCCTTACAATTAACTTCTACGTCCCTAGTGGGAGTAAACAGCTCAAAGTGTTCAACAAAGCGCTGAGATTTTATCTTGTATTGGTCCGGATGGACAGTCATATACTTTTCAGCCTTATGTTGCAAATATAGCTATCAATTTATGGGGTCGAGACTTACAGCATGGGATATGAGACATACAAATGAAAACTTTAATAATCCAGGATTTAAAATGTTGAAAGACATGGGATATCAAAGGGAAAAAGGTTTAAGAAAATTTCTACAATGAAATCCTAACCTGATATCAGTAACTGGAAAAACAAATAAAGAAGGGCTAGAACGTCAGGATTTCTGACGGGGGTCATGATATTTCTCCTCCACCCACTGCCTTACCATTAGAATCGCTTAGTGACAAACCTGTGTGGGTGGATCAATGGCCCCTAACACATAAGAAGCTAGATCAACTTCATCTGTTGGTAAAAGAGCAATTAAATGCAGAACATATAGAAAAGTCAGTTATCCCCTGAAATTCACCGGTATTTGTTATTCCAAAAAGGTCCAAAAACAATAATGACCTCTGGGGTTTCAGCTCAAAGCTTAAAGCTAATTGCAGTCATTCAGGTTTTACAGCTCATAGCTTCAGATCCTATCAACACTGTGATTCAGCTTGGGTTATAAATGTAGCCAGTTGCATAAAAACTGCTACAATTAAAAGTACACTAGACCCAGAACTGCTTAATTTATTTTTAAGACTTCAATAAGTTATTTGCGCTCATACAGCTCCTTTTCATGTTTCTCATATTCGCTCTCATACACAACTTCCTGGGCCACTATCTCTAAGTAATGAGAAAGCAGAAAAACTAATTGGTTCTGTGTTTCAGCAAGCTCAAGTGTCTCATGCACTTCTGTACCAAAATACTTCCGCCCTTACTCGCATGTTCCATTTATCTTGCCGACAAGCTAGGGCTATAATACAAGCCTGTCCTATTTGCCAGCATGTCCCTGGAGCCACACCTGTAGAAGGCTGTAACCCATGAGGTTTGGCTCCAAATGAAATTTGGCAAATGGATGTTACACACATAGCAACCTTTAGCAAGCTTAGCTATGTTCATGTGACTATAGACACTTATTCTCATATGCTGCATGCTACATGCCAAATAGGTGAGACAGCTGGTCATGTACAGCAACATTGTCTGTCATCATTTGCTCATATGGGGATACCTAAACAATTAAAAACTAACAGTGGACCCGCTTATACTCGTCATGCTTTTCAAAATTTCTTACAGCTTTGGGCTATAACCCATAAAACAGGAATTCCTTATAATCCTAGAGGACAAGGCATTATAGAGCAGGCACATCAAACATTACAACACATGTTGAAAAGACAAAAGGGGGTATACGAGGCCAACTACCACCTCAATCAAAACTACATTTAGCCTTATTTACTGTAAATTTTTTGACTCCTGGTATGAATGGTTAAGACTCCAGCAAAAAGACACTGGCAAGCGTTAGAGGAAAAGAGGAAAGTTTATCCGAAAGTGTTATGGAAATCCCCAAAAGAAGGACAATGGAAAGGTGTGGTGGACTTACTGATATGGGGAAGATGGTATGCTTGTGTGTTTACAGGAGATGGACAAACTGTGCGTGCGACCATGGAACGGGAGACTGGAGGAACCTATGGTGGCCAACCATGAGCCCGGTCCCTCCGGTACGAGCCATGAGCCAGCTGAGCCTGAGTGCAAAGATGGAGAGAGGGCCGATAGGAGTCACGACACAGCTCTAATGCTACATTTTCTGTAAAATTCGATGGACCACCAATTGGATAGTAAGAGCTGCCCAGCCTGGACTTACATTCTTTCAATTAATACATAAAACAAAAAGGGGGATATGCAGGGAGCCGAAGGCCCGTGGGACGTGACCAGCTCAGCATTTCGCTGGAGGCTATATGATCAAACAGCAAACTGTTTATCATGAATGCAGGATGTGGGCAAACTCACATTGTCCTGCCACCAAAACGTTTGCTGAGGGACATCATTCCCTGATGGCTCCTTGAAGTTATCTACGGAGAAAATTAGCGCCTATTGTTCAAAGCATGTAGTTCAAAGCCTGCTGTGAACCAAACAGCTGACTGACAATTACCCGACAATCACCGCCCCCAACCCCGCTTTTTCGCTATCTCTTTTGCCTAATAAATATGGAGGGCTGTGTAAACCAGGGCCCTTGTCCACTAGAGGCAAGGTTCCCCCTGACCCCTTCTTCCAAATATACTCTTTTGCCTCTTGTCTTTTATTCCTGCGTTCGCCCCCCTTTGTTCAATCCAAACGTGGAAGGCAAACTATTTATAGCTCAGTATATATGTGCTTAAGTCTGTGTGAACAGAGAAATGCCTCCCGCAGTGTTTGAAAGTGTTAAGCTGATAATGTAACTAACAATTGCAGAGAGAACAAACGTTCAACTTGCCATACACCTCAAATTTGGAGAAACAGAGTTAATTTGGGCAAATCTACAAGTTCTGTTTTCGTTCCTATATTATCATTGTTGTTTAATACTCACTGTACTTGTAGTTGAGACAAATAGGTGCTACTGAATTTTATACTCTATTTTCTTTTTCATTAAAACATTGGCATCTTAGTGATATAGAAATTTAAGGTATAAAATTAAATGTAAAAATTTCAGCTTCGTTTCATATATATATGTATATATATTTTTTGAGACGGAGTCTTGCCCTGTCGCCCAGGCTGGAGTGCAGTGGAACGATCTCAGCTCACTGCAAGCTCTGCCTCCCAGGTTCACGCCATTCTCCTGCCTCAGCCTCCTGAGTAGCTGGCACTACAGGCGCCTGCCACCATGCCCGGCTAATTTTTTGTATTTTTAGTAGAGACGGGGTTTCACCGTGTTAGCCAGGATAGTCTTGATCTCCTGACCTCGTGATCCACCCGCTTCGACCTGCCAAAGTGGTGGGATTACAGACGTGAGCCTCCGTGCCCGGCCTCATTTCATATTTTGAAGCAATCTAGACTGCTGTAATGAGTCTGAACCTATAAGTCTTAAAGATTTCTTAATCTTCTAGAAGAAAAAATCTCCAAAGATCTCTCTCTTCGTCCAGAATAGCTGGCCATTATGCTTCTTTGAAAGGACAGGGCAGTGGGACCAGGATGGTTTTTTGGAGTACCAAGCTATGGAAATGGAGCACTTTAAGGGTGCCTCTTAGTAACATGAATTAGGAAATCTGTGTTGAGTACCTCAGTCTAAACAGTAAAACAAGCTGCCTGGAGAACAGCTGTACCTAATGTACATTAGGCAGGCTGGTCTCTTTAGCTCAAATGATCTGCCTGCCTCGGCCTCCTCAATTTCAGGCAGGTTCCTTTCTACCAGATTTAATTATTTTTATAGAAATATAAACTGCAGAAAGAAACTGCAGGTTCTTCTTAAAAAGTAATCTATACTTTTGAACTGATATTTGTTTTATACATGAATTTTTTTTAGATGTGATAAAGCTAAACTTGGCCAAAGTGTGTGCCTGAATTATGAGACTTTTTTATTAGTCTACCTATGAAGGCTGAAATGGGATATATTGGTTTTCAAGGGGATGGGGGTGGGGTTCCAGCATAGTATCAAATCTCAGGAAAAACTATGCTTTCATCTGTGATTCCGGGATTTCTAATCGTGTTGTCCACAATGAAGATAAATGCAGCAAATAAATCTAGCTTTCAGTATTCCTTAATTAAGTTTTACCTAAGCTAATTGCTCTAGGTTTTGATTACCTAAAATAAGCTTGGGTAAAACTGAACCGACTTCAAGAATGCAGCACTTCTTAATCTTTAGCTCTTTCTTGGGAGAAGCTATACTTTATTGTTCATTATATTGCTATCACAACTTTGCTCTTTCATAATACAGGATAAATTGTTTACATGTTTGGAGCCTCAGAGTCTGTTAACCAAGATTGCAGAGTGTGTCAAGGAAAAATACACTTTCTTAATGGCATTTGTGTTTTCTTTGTGAAAAATCAGTCACATAGTGTTAAGAAAGGGTCAAAGGTTTATAAGTTGCCCCCAATGGCCATACTTAGAATTATGATTCTCATGGGTTTAAAGATGTAATTTTTTAAAGTCAGTGTTTTACCACCTAGTTATTTGATCTTGTCCAATTTTGTGTTTTTTAAAAAGTGTAAAACTGGAAGGCAAAGAAAAAAGACTATTTTCAGTAAATATGTTGTTTTGTCATTATTAATAGAATGTAATGGGCCTTTGAGATCTTAAGTACTTATGTTACCTTTGTTATTCAAATGCTGAACTTAAGCAGTGAAATAATAGAAATTATTTGAAGGAAGTTATTAAGGGGTTTAACTATTTTAAGTCAATATTTAGCTTATTCATATTGGTTTCCTGAAGATGTCAGAATTTATTTTCAGTGTAAGACAAATATTCAAAAGTAATAGATCAAGTTTAAAATGTAAATCCACTGTACGTATTATATTGATACCATCATTTTCAGGATATACATAAGAGGACTGTGATACACAATTAGTAATCTCAGGGTTTTTCCCCATATATCTAAAAATTTAGACTGTACTTATTTCTCTTTTAGTTCATCAATTTCTCTTAGCAAAATAAATTTAGTTTGGTATTTGATGTTCTATTAAAAAAACTATTTCCAGGCTTGAGCCAGTTTAGAGACCTATAACACCTTGAATGAAGGGGAGACTGAGTCTTCCTTAAGAACTTCAGAAAACTATCTAAAATCTATACTGTATCTTTCAGCCTTCACCATAGGGACCTACAGCCTTTAACTAGAATAACTGCATTGAGGAAAAGGAAATATAGACCTTTTGGGAATTACTGGACACGGGCTTTGACATTTACTCCAGGAGACCCAAAATATCACTGTGATCATGTCAGAATAGTGGCTTATGGAGGTCACAGAATCAATGGAAATTTAGGTCATGTCCATTTCACAGTGGACCAAGTGGATACCCAAGCCCATGCTGTGGTTATTTCCCCAGTTCTAAATTGTGTAATTGAAATCGATATACTCAGCAGCTGACAGAATCCCACACTGGTTCTCTGACCTGTGGAGTGAGGGCTATTGTGGTGAGAAAGGCCAAGTGGAAGTCAATAGAACTGCCTCTACCTAGGAAAATCATATATCAAAAGCAATACCATGTTCCTAGGGGACTGCAGAAATTAGTACCAACATTAAGGACTTCAAAGATACAGGGGTGGTTGACAGAGCAAGAGTACTGCCATCTTGAACAACTACTGTCATTTTTAAATTCACCTTAATAAAAAACTGCCTAAATCCAAAGGGCATCAGTGTAATGGCTAAGGCAGCACGACTGTAAACCACAAACAACATCTCCAACCAGAAACATCCCGAACTCCTCCTCAACCAGAGACATGCTAGCCCTGAGATAAACCCCCTCTGGGTGGGAAGATGCCAGCCTCGAGATAAACCTCTTCTGGCCGGAAAGATGTCAGCCCCAAGATAACCTCCCCTCTGCCCAGAGACATTTTAACTCCACCGTAAAACTTCTCCCCCACAAAGAAACATTCCAAGCTTGTAATAAGCCCCTTCACCCTAAAACCAATATATACTCTTAGTCTGTAAGAGAAAGTGCTCCTGACTGAAATCGGCCAGAAGCCCCTCTCAGGTTTATTTTCTCTACAATAAATCTGTCTTTAACTGTTAAGCCACATTTTGTGTTTCTTTCCTCTTTAACTCTTACATTGGGGATTCCCACCACATCCCCATTGAACCATCCTGTTTGTCCTGTGCGGAAGACAGATGGATCTTGGAGGATGACACTAGATTAAGTTTAACCTGGTGGTGTCTCTAATTGCAGACATTGTGCCAGATGTGGTTTCACTGCTTGAGCTGTTGGTATACAGCTATTGATCCGGCAAATGCCTTTTTCTCCATCCCTGTCCATAAAACCCATCAGAAGTAGTTTGCTTTCATTTGGAAAGGCCAGAAATACACCATCCCTGCCTACATTAGGGGTACATCAACTCTCCAACACTATGTCATAATTTAGTTCACAGGGATCTTTTTTTTTTTTTTTTTTTTTTTTTTTTTTTTTTTTTTTTTGAGACAGGGTCTCATTCTCTTGCCCAGGCTGAAGTGCAGTGGCACGATCAGAGCACATTGCAGCCCCAACGTCCCACGCTCAAACAATCTTCCCACTTCAGCTTCCCGAGTAGCTAGGACTCCAGGCATGTATCACCACATGTGGCTAATTTTTAAAAATTTTTTTGTAGAAACAGGGTCTCAATACATTACCCAGGCTGGTTTTAAACTCCTGGGCTCAAGCAATCCTCCCGCACTGGCCTCCCAAAGTGCTGGGATTACAGGCATGAGCCACTGCACCCAGTGGGATCTTGATCATTTTTCCCTTTCAAGAGATATCACACTGGTCCATGACATCAATGAGATTATGGTGATTGGATTTAGTGAGAGAGAAATAGTACCTACTGTAGACATTGGTAAGATAGTTGCATGACAGAAAGTGGAGAATAAATCCGAAAAAAACTCCAGGGGCCTTCTACCTCAGTGAAATTTCTAGGGCATATTGAGATACTCCTTCTATTTGATATTTTTTTTGTTGTTTGCTTTTTTTGAGATGGAGTCTCACTCTTGTCGCCCAGGCTGGAGTGCAGTGGCACAATCTAGGCTCACTGCAACCTCTGCCTCTCGGGTTCAAGTGATTCTCCTGCCTCAGCCTCCCAAGTAGCTGGAACTACAGGTGCATACCACCATTGCCCAGATAATTTTTGTATTTTTAGTAGAGACAGGGTTTCACCATGTTGGTCAGGCTGATCTCGAACTCCTGACCTCAAGTGATCTGCCTGCCTCGGCCTCCCAAAGTGCTGGGATTACAGGCATGAGCCACCATGCCCAGCCTCAATTTTTAATTTTTTTGAGACAGAGTCTCAGTATGTTGTGCAGGCTGGTCTCAAACTCTTAAGGTCAAGTGATCTGCCTGACTTGGCCTCCCAAAGTGCTAAGATTACCGGCATGAACCACTGTGCCTGGCCAGAGATATTCCCTCTAAAATGAAGGGTAAGTTGTTGCATCTGGGCCCTCCTAAAACCAAAAAATGAGGCACAACACCTAGTAGGGTAACATGGTTTGGCTGTGTCCCCATCCAAATCTCACTTTGAATTGTAATCATCCCCACGTGTAAAGGATGGGGCTAGGTGGAGCTAACTGAATCATGGGGGCAGTTTCCCCCATACTGTTCTGTGGTAGCAAATAAGTCTCACGAGATCTGATGGTTTTATCAATGGGAGTTCTCCTGCAGAAGCTCTCTTGCCTGCCACTATGTAAGATGTGACTTTGCTCCTCATTCTCCTTTCACTGTGATTGTGAGGCCTCCCCAGCCATGTGGAACTGGGAGTCAATTAAATCTCTTTTCTTTATAAATTACCCAGTCTCAGGTATATCTTCATTAGCAGTGTGAGAACAGACTAATACATAGGACCTCCTTGGATTTTGGAGGCAACATATTCCTCATATGGCTTTGTTACTCTGGCCTATTTATGAAGCGACCTGAGAAGCTGCTAGTTTTGAGTGGGGTCCAGAATAAGAAAATGCTCTGCAACAGCTCCAGGCTGCTCTGCAAGCTGCTCTGCCACTTGGGGCATATGATCCAGCAGATCCAATGACAGTGGTGCTTGAAATGACAGTGGCATTTAGGGATGTTGTTTGGAGCTCTTGGCAGGCTCCCATAGGTGAACCACAGCTCAGGCCCTTAGGATTTTAGAGCAAAGACTTGCCATCTCCTGCAGATAACCACTCTCCTATTGAGAACAGCTCTTGATCTGCTACTGGGTTTTAGTAGAAACAACACTTGACCATAGGCCACCAAGTTACCATTTGACCTGAGCTGCCCATCATGATCTGGGTGTTATCTGACCCACCAAGCCATAAAGTTGGGTGTGCACACCAGTGCTCCATCACCAAATGGAAGTGGTAAATATGTGATGGGGCCTGAGCAGGCCCTGAAGGCACAAGCTACATGAAGAAGTGGCCCAAATGCTCATGGTCTCCACTCCTGATACACAGTCTTCTCTCTCCCAGTCTGCACCTGTGGCCTCATGGGGAGTTCCCTACAGTCAGCTGACAGAGGAAGAGAAGACTTGGGCCTGGTTTACAGATGGTTCTGCATGGTATGTAGGCACCACCCCAAAGTGGACAGCTGCAGCACTATCACCTCTTCCTAGGACATCCCTGAAGGACAGTGAAAGGAAATCCTCCCAGTGGGTAGAACTCCCAAGCAGTGCACCTAGTTGTTCACTTTGCTTGGGAGGAGAAATGGATAGATATGCAATCATATACTGATTTGTGGGGTGTGATGAATGGTTTGGTTAGATGGTCAGGAACTTGGGAGGAACATGTTAGAAAACTAGTGACAAGGAAATTTGAGGAAAAGGTAGATGGATAGACTTCCTTATGTGGGTCAAAAAAAGTGAAGACATTTATGTCCTGTGTGAATCCTCACCAAAGGTGACCTCAGCAGAGGAGGATTTTAATAGTCAAGTGGACAGAATAATAGTTTCTGTGGATACCAGTTAGCCTCTTTCCCCAGCTATCCTCTCATTGCCCAATGGGTTCATGAACAAAGTGGCCATGGTACCAGGGATGGAGGTTATGCATGGGAACAGCAACATGCACCCCCACTCACAAAAGCCAACCTGACTATGACCACTGCCGAGTGTCTAATCTACAACCAGCAGAGACTATCACTGAGTTTCCAATATGGCATCATTCCCGGGGAGATCAGTTATCTGGTTGATTACTCTGGATTGCTTCCATCAGGGAAGAAGCAATGTTTTGTCCTTACTGGAACAGACACTCTAGATACTGGTCTGGCTTCCATGCACACAAAGCTTCCGCCTAAACTACCATCCATGGTCTTACAGAATTCCTTATCCACCATCATAATATTCCATATAGCATTGCTTCTGGTTAAGGAACTAACGTTACAGCCAAAGAAGTGCAGCAATGGGCCCATGCTCATGGAATTCACTGCTCTCACCATGTTCCCCACCACCCTGAAATAGCTGGCTTGAAAGAATGGTGGAATGGCCTTTGGAAGATTCAGTTACAGTGCCAACTAGGTTACAATACCTTGCAGGGCTAGGGTAAGATTCTCCAGGAGTCTGTATATACTCTGAATCTGTATCTAATATATGGTGCTGTTTCTCCCACAGCCAGGATTCACAGATCCATGAATCAATGGGTGGAAATCAATGGGTCCCTATCAACCCTAGTGACCCACTAGCAAAATTTCTCCTCCTGTTACAGAGATCTTTTGGTCTGCTAGCCTAGAGGTTTCAGTTCCAAAGGGAGGAATGCTTCCGCCAGGAGACACAACGATTCCATTGAGCTAGAAGTTAAGGCAAAGAAGGGAGTTGTGGTGTTGGTTGGAGTGATTGATCCTGTCTACCAAGAGGAAACTGGAATACTACTCTACAATGGAGGGAAGGAAGAGTATTCTAGAATACAGGAAATACTCTAGAGAATCTCTTAGTGTTACCATCCCTTATGATTAAGGTCAATGGAAAACGACAACAACCCAACCCAGGCAGGACTACTAATGGCCCAGATTCTACAACAATGAAGCTTTGGGTTACCCTACCAGTAAAGAACTATGACTAGTTGAGTTGCTTGCTGAAGGCAAACAGAATATGGAATGGGTAGTGGAAGAAGGTAGTTATAAATATCAGTTATCATGTGACCAGTTAGAGAAACAAGGGCTGTAATTGTCATATTTCCTGCTTATTTTGTTATGAATATATTTGTTTGTATGTATCAAATACTTTTGTTTTCTTCCCTCTCTTATCCCCTTATCATGTAACATAAGATGTATTGGCTTTAAATAATAGTATTTAAGAATTGTTAACTTTACATCATAGTATTTAAGTTACAGGATATCAAAGAAAAGAGTTAACATCAGTGAAGGACTTTACCTCTTTTTCTGGGGAAAAGGTTAGTGCGTTTTCGGTTGTAGGTAGAACAGTTGTATCATGTTAGATGGAATTATGACCTTGTTATGGTCTTCATTTGAAGATTAAATGTGGTTTAAGGAGGTGTATATGGGTGCCAAGTTCACAAGGCATGGATTTGTGATGGTTAATTGTGTCAACTTGACTGGGTCTTGGGGTACCCAGATATTTAGTCAAACATTATTCTGGGGTTTCTTTGGGGGTGTTCCTGGGTGGCAGGAACATTGAAATTGGTAGACTGAGTAAAGCAGATTGCCCTTCCTGATGTGGGTAGGCCTCACCCAATCAGTTGAAGGCCTGAATAGAACAAAAAGGATTACCCTCCCCGAAGTAAGAGTGAATTATCCTGCCTGACTGCCTTCAAACTAGAACATCAGCTTTTTCTTCCCTTCAGACTTAAACGGAAACATCAGCTCTTCCTGGGTCTTGAGTCTGCCAGCCTTTAAACTGGAACTACACCATTGGTACTCCTGGGTCTTCCTCCTGACAACTCAACTAGCAGATATTAAGACTTGTCAACCTACACAATCATGTGAGCCGACTCCCTACAATGAATCTTTGTCTTTCTTGCTCTCTGTCTCATATATATCCTATTGATTCTGTTTCCCTGGAGAAACCTAATACAGATTTGAAAATAAATATTTGTATAAATTAAATCTATTTACATGTTAGGTTCTAAAAAATTATTATTACTTAGAGATGGGGTCTAGTTATATTGCCCGGGCTTGAGTACAATGGCTATTCATAGGCACAATCATCGTATGCCACAAACTCAAACTCCTGGGCTCAAGCAATCCTCTTGCCTCAGCCTCCTGAGTAACTGGGACTACAGGTGTGGGCCACTGTGTTGGGCTCAAAAATTAATTTTGGCCAGGCATAGTGGCTTGTGCCTGTATCCCAGCACTTTGGGAGGCTGAGGCGGGAGGATCTCTTGAGGCCAGGAGTTCAAGACTAGCTCTGGCAACATAGACACAGTATCTACCAAACAGAAAAATTAATTTTAATTGTTAAAAAATTAATGTTTTAAATGTTAAAAAATTTAAATTTTAATGCATTTAAAAATAAAATTTAAATGCATTAAGAGTGCTTTAAAATAAATTGCACTGAAACATTAAAAAAAAACCCAGGTGTAATCCTGAAATCTATAAATTCACCTATAGATCTTTTTTTTTTCACTTTTTTAAAAATTATACTTTAAGTTTTAGGGTACATGTGCACAATGTGCAGGTTAGTTACGTATGTATACATGTGCCATGCTGGTGTGCTGCACCCATTAACTCGTCATTTAACATTAGGTATATCTCCTAATGCTATCCCTCCCACCTCCCCCCACCCCACAACAGGCCCCGGTGTGTGATGTTCCCCTTCCTGTGTCCATGTGTTCTCATTGTTCAGTTCCCACCTATGAGTGAGAACATGCGGTGTTTGGTTTTTTGTCCTTGTGATAGTTTGCTGAGAATGATGGTTTCCAGCTTCATCCATGTCCCTACAAAGGACATGAACTCATCATTTTTTATGGCTGCATAATATTCCATGGTGTATATGTGCCACATTTTCTTAATCCAGTCTATCATTGTTGGACATTTGGCTTGGTTCCAAGTCTTTGCTATTGTGAATAGTGCTGCAATAAACATATGTGTGCATGTGTCTTTATAGCAGCATGATTTATATAATCCTTTGGGTATATATATACCCAGTAATGGGATTGCTGGGTCAAATGGTATTTCTACTTCTAGATCCCTGAGGAATCGCCACACTGACTTCCACAATGGTTGAACTAGTTTACAGTCCCACCAACAGTGTAAAAGTGTTCCTATTTCTCCACATCCTCTCCAACACCTGTTGTTTCCTGACTTTTTCATGATCGCCGTTCTAACTGGTGTGAGATGGTATCTCATTGTGGTTTTGATTTGCATTTCTCTGATGGCCAGTGATGATGAGCATTTTTTCATGTGTCTTTTGGCTGCATAAATGTCTTCTTTTGAGAAGTGTCTGTTCATATCCTTTGCCCACTTTTTGATGGGGTTGTTTTTTTCTTGTAAATTTGTTGGAGTTCCTTGTAGATTCTGGATATTAGCCCTTTATCAGATGAGTAGATTGTGAAAATTGTCTCCCATTCTGTAGGTTTCCTGTTCACTCTGATGGTAGTTTCTTTTGCTGTGCAGAAGCTCTTTAGTTTAATTAGATCCCATTTGTCAATTTTGGCTTTTGTTGCCATTGCTTTTGGTGTTTTAGACATGAAGTCCTTGCCCATGCCTATGTCCTGAATGGTATTGCCTAGGTTTTCTTCTAGGGTTTTTATGGTTTTAGGTCTAACATTTAAGTCTTTCATCCATCTTGAATTAATTTTTGTATAAGGTGTAAGGAAGGGATCCAGTTTCAGCTTTCTGCATATGGCTAGCCAGTTTTCCCAGCACCATTTATTCAATAGGGAATCCTTTCCTCATTGCTTGTTTTTCTCAGGTTTGTCAAAGATCAGATGGTTGTAGATACGTGGCATTATTTCTGAGGGCTCTGTTCTGTTCCATTGGTCTATATCTCTGTTTTGGTACCAGTACCATGCTGTTTTGGTTACTATAGCCTTGTAGTATAGTTTGAAGTCAGGTAGCGTGATGCCTCCAGCTTTGTTCTTTTGGCTTAGGATTGACTTGGCCATGCAGGCTCTTTTTTGGTTCCATATGAACTTTAAAGAAGTTTTTTCCAATTCTGTGAAGAAAGTCATTGGTAGCTTGATGGGGATGGCATTGAATCTATAAATTACCTTGGGCAGTATGGCATTTTCACGATATTGACTCTTCCTATCCATGAGCATGGAATGTTCTTCCATTTGTTTGCATCCTCTTTTATTTTGTTGAGCAGTGGTTTGTAGTTCTCCTTGAAGAGGTCCTTCACATCCCTTGTAAGTTGGATTCCTAGGTATTTTATTCTCTTTGAAGCGTCATCCTGCATTTAATTATTGCCTCAATTTCAGAGCCTGTTATTGGTCTATTCAGAAATTCAACTTCTTCCTGGTTTAGTCTTGGGAGAGTGTATGTGTCGAGGAATTCATCCATTTCTTCTCGATTTTCTAGTTTATTTGCATAGAGGTGTTTATAGTATTCTCTGATGGTAGTTTGTATTTCTGTGGGATCGGTGGTGATATCCCCTTTATCATTTTTTATTGCGTCTATTTGATTCTTCTCTCTTTTCTTCTTTATTAGTCTTGCTAGCGGTCTATCAATTTTGTTGATCTTTTCAAAAAACCAGCTCCTGGATTCATTGATTTTTTGAAGGGTTTTTTGTGTCTCTATTTCCTTCAGTTCTGCTCTGATCTTAGTTATTTCTTGCCTTCTGATAGCTTTTGAATGTGTTTGCTCTTGCTTCTCTAGTTCTTTTCATTGTGATGTTAGGGTGTCAATTTTAGAACTTTCCTGCTTTCTCTTGTGGGCATTTAGTGCTATAAATTTCCCTCTACACACTGCTTTGAATGTGTCCCAGAGATTCTGGTATGTTATGTCTTTGTTCTCGTTGGTTTCAAAGAACATCTTTATTTCTGCCTTCATTTCGTTATGTACCCAGTAGTCTTTCAGGAGCCAGTTGTTCAGTTTCCATGTAGTTGAGCGGTTTTGAGTGAGTTTCTTAATCCTGAGTTCTAGTTTGATTGCACTGTGGTCTGAGAGACAGTTTGTTATAATTTCTGTTCTTTTACATTTGCTGAGGAGTGCTTTACTTCCAACTATGTGGTCAATTTTGGAATAGGTGTGGTGTGGTGCTGAAAAGAATGTATATTCTGTTGATTTGGGGTGGAGAGTTCTGTAGATGTCTATTAGGTACACTTGGTGCAGAGCTGAGTTCAATTCCTGGATATCCTTGTTAACTTCTGTCTCGTTGATCTGTCTAATGTTGACAGTGGGGTGTTAAAGTCTCCCATTATTATTGTGTGGGAGTCTAAGTCTCTTTGTAGGTCTCTAAGGACTTGCTTTATGAATCTAGGTGCTCTTGTATTGGGTGCATATATATTTAGGATAGTTAGCTCTTCTTGTTGAACTGATCCCTTCACCATTATGTAATGGCCTTCTTTGTCTCCTTTGATCTTTGTTCGTTTAAAGTCTGTTTTATATGAGACTAGGATTGCAACCCCTGCCTTTTTTTGTTTTCCATTTGCTTCGTAGGTCTTCCTCCATCCCTTTATTTTGAGCCTATGTGTGTCTCTGCAGGTGAGATGGGTTTCCTGAATACAGCACACTGATGGGTCTTGACTCTTTATCCAATTTGCCAGTCTGTGTCTTTTAATTGGAGCATTTAGCCCAGTTACATTTAAGGTTAGTATTGTTATGTGTGAATTCGATCCTGTCATTATGATGTTAGCTGGTTATTTTGCTCGTTGGTTGATGCAGGTTCTTCCTAGCCTCAATGGTCTTTACAATTTGGCATGTTTTTGCAGTGGCTGGTACCAGTTGTTCCTTTCCATGTTTAGTGCTTCCTTCAGGAGCTCTTTTAGGGCAGGCTTGGTGGTGACAAAATCTCTCAGCATTTGCTTGTCTGTAAAGGATTTTATTTCTCCTTCACTTCTGAAGCTTAGTTTGGCTGAATATGAAATTCTGGGTTGAAAATTCTTTTAAGAATGTTGAATGTTGGCCCCCACTCTCTTCTGGCTTGTAGAGTTTCTGCCAAGAGATCAGCTGTTAGTCTGATGGGCTTCCCTTTGTGGGTAACCCGACCTTTCTCTCTGGCTGCCCTTAACATCTTTTCCTTCATTTCAACTTTGGTGAATCTGACAATTATGTGTCTTGGAGTTGCTCTTCTCGAGGAGTACCTTTGTGGTGTTTGAATGTTGGCCTGCCTTGCTAGATTGGGGAAGTTCTCCTGGATAATATCCTGCAGAGTGTTTTCCAACTTGGTTCCATTCTCCCCGTCACTTTCAGGTACACCAATCAGACGTAGATTTGGTCTTTTCACATAGTCCCATATTTCTTGGAGGCTTTGTTTCTTTTTATTCTTTTTTCTCTAAACTTCTCTTCTCGCTTCATTTCATTCATTTGATCTTCCATCACTGATACCCTTTCTTCCAGTTGATCGAATCGGCTACTGAGGCTTGTGCATTCATCAGATAGTTCTTGTGCTGTGGTTTTCAGCTCCATCAGGTCCTTTAAGGACTTCTCTGCATTGGTTATTCTAGTTAGTGATTTGTCTAATCTTTTTTCAAGGTTTTTAACTTCTTTGCCATTGGTTCGAACTTCCTCCTTTAGCTTGGAGTAGTTTGATTGTCTGAAGCCTTCTTCTCTCAACTCGTCATTCTCCATCCAGCTTTGTTCCATTGCTGGTGAGGAGCTGTGTTCCTTTGGAGGAGGATAGGCACTCTGATTTTTAGAATTTCCGTTTTTTCTGCTCTGTTTTTTCCCCATCTTTGTGGTTTTATCTACCTTTGGTCTTTGATGATGGTGACATACAGATGGGGTTTTGGTGTGGATGTCCTTTCTGTTTGTTAGTTTTCCTTCTAACAATCAGGACCCTCAGCTGTAGGAATGTTGGAGTTTGCTGGAGGTCCACTCCAGACCCTGTTTGCCTGGGTATCAGCAGCAGAGGCTGCAGAACAGCAGATATTGGTGAACAGCAAATGTTGCTGCCTGATCATTCCTCTGGAAGTTTTGTCTCAGAGAAGTACCCGGCCGTGTGAGGTGTCTGTCTGCCCCTACTGGGGGGTGCCTCCCAGTTAGGCTACTCGGGGGTCAGGGACCCACTTGAGGAGGCAGTCTGTCCATTCTCAGATCTCCAGCTGCGTGCTGGGAGAACCACTACTCTCTTCAAAGCTGTCAGACAGGGACATTTAAGTCTGCAGAGGATTCTGCTGCCTTTTGTTTGGCAATGCCCTGCCCCCAGAGGTGGAGTCTACAGAGACAGGCAGGCCTCCTTGAGCTGCAGTGGGCTCCACCCAGTTCGAGCTTCCGGGCCGCTTTACCTACTCAAGCCTCAGCAATGGCGGGTGCCCCTCCCCCAGCCTCGCTGCCACCTTGCAGTTTGAGCTCAGACTGCTGTGCTAGCAATGAGCGAGAATCTGTGGGCGTAGGACCCTCCGAGCCAGGGGCGGGATATAATCTCCTGGTGAGCTATTTGCTAAGACTGTTGGAAAAGCGCAGTATTAGGGTGGGAGTGACCCGATTTTCCAGATGCCATCTGTCACCCCTTTCTTTGACTAGGAAAGGGAATTCCCTGACCCCTTGTGCTTCCCGAGTGAGGCAATGCCTCGCCCTGCTTTGGCTCACGCTCAGTGCACTGTACCCACTGTCCTGCACCCACTGTCAGACACTCCCCAGTGAGATGAACCTGGTACCTCAGTTGGAAGTTCAGAAATCACCCGTCTTCTGCATCGCTCATGCTGGGAGCTGCAGACTGGAGCTGTTCCTATTCGGCCATCTTGGCTCCACCCCAAATTCACCTATAGATCTATAGAATTTATAGATCTTGAAATCTATAAATTCACCTTACTGTACAATATGGATTAAAAGTACTTGAGACACAGAACGACTAAGGCAGCTGCCTGGAGACTTGGATCCACTAAGTGGCTGAACTGAGATTTACATGGGAAAGATGAAAATTACATGAAATAAATTGTGTAAGGGACACTGGCTGATCATATGCAAAACGGTCTACTTATTTCAGAATAAGAACAGTATTCTTTAAAAAACACCCAGGTGTAGTAAATATTCTCTGGTGGTTAATAAAAAGTCTAAAAATTCACAAAGTATTCCCTACACTCATGTATGGACTTTTTTTTTTCTTTTCTTTACAGTGGTGCAATCTAAGCTGACTGCGACCTCCGCCTCTCAGGTTCAAGCCACTCTCCTGCCTCAGCCTCCCAAGTAGCTGGGATTATAGGCATGTACCACCATGCCCGGCTAATTTTTGTATTTTTAGGAGAGACGGGGTTTCACCATGTTGGCCAGGTTGGTCTCAAACTCCTGACCTCTGGTGATCCACTTGCCTCAGCCTCCCAAAGTGCTGGGATTACAAGCGTGAGCCACCATGCCCAGCCTAGACAGATTTTTTGTTTTTGAGACAGGGTCTGGTTCTACTGCCAGGCTGGAGTGCAGTGGCACAATCTCGGCTCACTGCAATCTCTGCCTCCTAAGCTCAGGCAATTCTCATGCCTCAGCCTCCTGGGTAGCTGGGACTACAGGCACGCACCACCATGCTTGGCTGATTTTTGAATTTTTAGTAGAAATGGGGTTTCGCCATGTTTCCCAAGCTGGTCTCGAACTCCTGGCCTCAACTAATCCACCCTCCTCGGCCTCATAAAGTGCTAGGATTACAGGCGTAGCCACCCAGCCAAGGAATCAATTTAATTAAGTAATTCTATTGTTATATGTTTTCCTATTTTTTTCTAAAAGAAAATAATTAAGAATAAATTTCCATCAAAAATCAGTATTTGGCTAATTGTTAACTTCAAAATCCAGTAATACAGTCACTTGCTGCCACCAGCCCCCACACCGTGTCTTCCCATGGCTCCACCGCCCTGCTCTTCCACAGGTTGCAATGGAAATAGAGATCGCCGCGCTCATCATTGACAATGGCTCTGGCATGTGCAAAGCTGGCTTTGCTGGGGATGGATGGCCCCTGAGCTGTGTTCCCCTCCATCATCAGGTGACCCCGGCACCAGGGTGTGATGGTGGGCATGGGCCAGAAGGACTCCTACATGGGCCATGAGGCCCAGAGCAAGCACGACATCCTGACCCTGAAGTACCCTATCGAGCATGGCATCATCACCATCTGGGATGACATGGAGAAGATCTGGCACCACACCTTCTACAACGAGCTGTGCATGACCCCAGAGAAGCACCCGGTGCTGTTGGCCGAGGCCCCTCGAACCCCAAGGCCAACAGAGAAAAGATGACTCAGATCATGTTTGAGACCTTCAACACCCCAGCCATGTATGTGGCCATCCAGGCCGTGTTGTCCCTCTAAGCCTCTGGGCGCATCACTGGCACTGTCATGGACTCTGGAGACAGGGCCACCTACATGGTACCCATCTACGAGGGCCATGCCCTCCCACCACGCCATCCTGCGTCTGGACCTGGCTGGCCAGGACCTGACCAACTACCTCATGAAGATCCTCACCAAGCTTCACCATCACGGCCAAGCAGGAGATTGTGCGCGACATCAACGAGAAGGTGTGCTACATCGCCCTGGACTTCGAGCAGGAGATGGCCACTGCCACATCCTCCTCCTCCCTGGAGAAGAGCTATGAGCTGCCTGATGGCCAGGTCAGGTCATCACCATCGGCAACAAGTGGTTCTGGTGTCTGCAGGTGCTGTTCCAGCCTTCCTTCTTGGGCATGGAATCCTGCGGCATCCACAAGACCACCTTCAACTCCATCATGAAGTGTGACGTGGACATCCGCAAAGACCTGTACGCCAACACAGTGCTGTCCAGCAGCACCACCATGTGCCCTGGCATCACCACGCTGGCATCCAGCACCATGAAGATCAAGTTCATCATGCCCCCAGAGCACAAGTACTCGGTGTGGATTGGTGGTTCCATCCTGGCCTCACTGTCCACCTTCCAGCAGATGTGGATTAGCAATTAGGTATGTGGCCCCTCCATCATCCACTGCAAATGCCTCTAAATGGACTGCAAGCATGTGGGTTAGCCATCAGGTATGTATGATGAGTCTGGCCCCTCCATTGTCTACCGCAAATGCCTCTAAATGGACTGCGAGCAGATGTGCAGCATTTGTTGCATGGGTTAATTCAGCAGTATAAATTTGCCCCTGGCAAATGCATACACCTCATGCTAGCCTCACAAAACTGGAATAAGCCTTCAAAAAGAAATTTGTGGCCAGAAGTGGTGGCTCACGCCTATAATCCCAGCACTTTGGGAGGCCGAGACGGGTGGATCACAAGGTCAGGAGTTTGAGACCGGCCTGGCCAACATGCTGAAACCCCGTCTCTACTAAAAATACAAAAATTAGCCAGGCATGGTGGCATTCGCCTATAATCCCAGCTACTGGGGAGGCTGAGGCAGGAGAATCACTTGAACCTGGGAGGCAGAGGTTGTGGTGAGCCGAGATTGCACCACTGCACTCCAGCCTGGGCAACAGGGCGAGACTACGTCTCAAAAAAAAAAAAAAAAACATACACAGAAAGTTGTCCTTGAAGCTTGTATCTGATATCAGCACTGGATTGTAGACTTGTTGCTGATTTTGACTTTCTATTCAAGCTATATTCAAGTTAACTGTTCCCCTTGGTATCTGTTTAATACCCTGTACATGTCTCTGATTTCAACCTTTAGTACATGTGGCTTGGGCACTTTGTGGCTGAGGTAAGAACGTGCTTGTGGAAGACAAGTCTGTGGCTTGGTGAGTATGCGTGGTCAGCAGTCTCCAATATGTGCAGGGTATTAATGTGTCATCAGGGCTGAGTGTTCTGGGATTTCTCTAGAGGCTGGCAAGGGCTCCTGAACCAGTTGTTTCTGTCCTGCCGGTCTGTCAGAGTTGGAAAGTCCAAGCCATAGGACCCAGTTTCCTTTCTTAGCTGATGTTTTCCTGCCAGAACACCGTGGGCTGTTACTTGCCTTGAGTTGGAAGCGGTTTGGATTTACACCTGTAAATATATTCATCCTTTTAATTTATGTAAGGTTTTTTTCTACATAATTCTAAATTCTTTAAAGAGATGACAACAAATTTTGGTTTTCTACCGTCATGTGAGAACATTAGGCCCCAGCAACACGTCATTGTGTAAGGAAAAATAAAAGTGCTGCCGTTAAAAAAAAATCCAATAATAGAGAGTGGGAGAAGGAGCAACTGGAGAGGGAGAGTGAGAGCAAGAAAGAATGAGGGACAGAGAGAAAGAAAAAAGGAAAGAGGAAGGGAGGGAGGGAAGGTAAAACAATGGGGGAATAACAACTAAGAAAATGAAATCAGTTATGTTCCTTTAAAGCAGCACCTAATAATAGATGCTGATTCTGATAATAAAAGATATAGCTTCCATGTTACCAGAAAAAATTGTGAAAAGAGCAGATTGAATCTAATAAAGTATTTAAATACTACACATATGCACACCAACAAAGTATCATGATGAGCAGGAGGAAGGCAAAAATCAGGTTAAGTCGAATGATTCCCACAGAAGGTCAGAGAAGTGCTGTATACTGCAGCCCCCACACAGCCCCTCTCTGGTAGTAGGAGCCATGCACTAGATCTTGCACTGGACCAAGACGTTCAAAGAGGGAACTGTGTGAAACACCACACTGTTCAAATATAATTTCAAAATAATTTTATTTTACTTATTTTGAGATGGAGTTTCGCTTTTGTTGCCCAGGCTAGAGTGCAATGGCACGATCTCGGCTCACTGCAACCTCTGGCTCCTGGGTTCGAGTGATTCTCCTGCCTCAGCTTCCTGAGTAGCTAGGATTATAGGCATGCACTACCACATCTGGCTAATTTCGTATTTTTAGTAGAGACGGGGCTTCATCATGTTGGTCAGGCTGGTCTCGAACTCCTAACCTCAAGTGATCCACCTGCCTCAGCCTCCCAAAGCACTGGGATTACAGGCGTGAGCCACCACGCCTGGCCTTCAAAATAATTTTAAACTAGAAAAACACAGTTACAAATGTTAGAGATACTTTAAAAACATTTATCATTATTTTAAAAATTATAACTATTGATAACTCTCACCCCTGGAACTGAAATGCAGCACTGTCAGGTACCTGGGCACACAGACTAGGAATCTCTACTTTAATGAGAGAAGGCTTGCACTTTTTTTGCCCTTGGAAACTTCTAATTTGGAGGGACATACATTTTGTTTTTGGCCTTTTTGTGCTTAATGTGTGATGAACACCCTTGCATATGGCCCCTTATATATCTGTGTACTTCCCTGGGATTTATTGTACCCAGGAACAGAATTGTTGGGTCATACAGTAAATGCATATACTTTTTTTTTTTTTTTTTTTTTGAGACAGAGTCTCACTCCGTTACCCAGGCTGGAGGGCAGTAGTGTGATCTTGGCTCACTGCAACCTCTGCCTCCTGGGTTCAAGCGATTCTCCTGCCTCAGCCTCCTGAGTAGCTGGGATTACAGAAGTCCACCACCACATCCAGCTAAGTTTTGCATTTTTGGTAGGGACGGGGTTTCGCCATGATGGCCAGGCTGGTCTGGAACTCCTGAGTGACCTCAGGTGCTCCACTTGCCTCGGCCTTCCAAAGTGCTGGGATTGCAGGCGTGAGCCACCGCACCTGGCCCAGTAAATGCATATCTAATTTGACAAGGTACTTCCAGACAGCTCTTCGGAACAGCTGCCCTAGTCCACACTCCCATCAGCCATGCAGGAGGGTTTGTAGGTCCTTACACCCCCACCGCCACTTGGCATTATCCTGCTTCTTAAATTTGTCGGGCTGATAAACTGGTATCTCACTGTTATTTTAATTCCTCATACTTGCAATGATCTTGAACACCTCATCATATACTGCTGGCTTTTCAAATTTCTTCCTCTGCAAATTGACTATTGTATGCTTTGGCTAATTTTCTATTGGCGTTGCTGTCTTCTTTTTCTTTCTTCCTTCTTCTTTTGTCCTTCCCCTTCCTCCTCCCCCTTCCTCCTGCCTCCTCCTCCTTCTTTTGTTTTGTTTTTAAAAACAGGGTCTTGCTTGTCACCCAGGCTGCAGTGCAGTGGCATGACCACAGCTCACTGTAACCTCAAACTACTGGGCTCATGTGATCCTCCCACCTTAGCCTCCCAAAGTAGCTAGGATGACTGGCATGTGCCACCACAACCAGGTAATTTAAAAAAAAATTATTTTTTCTAGAGACAGGGTCATGTTGTATTGTCTGGCTGGTCTCAAACTCCTGGCCTCAAGCAATCCTCCTGCTTCAGCCTCCCAAAGTACTGGGATTACAGGTATAAATCACTACACCCAACCTCTCTTCTTGATGATTCACAGGAAATCTTTTTATATTCTAGGTATCAAATCCCTTGTTGGTTTATGCATTGCAAATATCCTCTCCCAATCTGCACATTATCTCTTACTTTTGTCCATAGTGTCTTTCATTGAGCACAAATCCTTAATTTTGCTATAATCCAATCATCTCTTCAGCATATGGATTATAGTCTTGAAGTTTTGTCCAAGCCCCTAGGTCACAGACATCTCCCTACAATTTCTATTAACATTACAGTTTTATTTTCACATTTAGGTCCTCAATCTACCTAGAATTCCTTTTTTTTTTTTTTTTTTTTTTGAGACGGAGTCTCGCTCTGTCACCCAGGCTGGAGAGCAGTGGCACCATCTTGGCTCACTGCAACCTCTGCCTTCCGAGTTCAAGCGATTCTTCTGCCTCAGCCTCCTGAGTAGCTGGGACTACAGGCACACACCACCACACCCGGCTAATTTTTTGTATTTTTAGTAGACATGGTGTTTCACCATGTCTGGTTGACCAGGCCAGTCTTGAACTCCTGACCTCAAGTGATCCGCCCACCACAACCTCCCAAAGCGCTGAGATTACAGGCGTTGAGACACTGTGCCTGGCCCCTAGAATCCATTTTTGTACATGTCATGAGGAAGGGATCCAGTTTTATTGTTCTCTGTCATGAGCCAGTTTTCTCAACACCTTTAACTAAGCAACTGTCCTTTCTCCCTTGATTTGTTATACAATAGGTTTTTATATACAGGTGTCTGTATCTATGCTGTTGTATTGGTCTACTTGTCTGTTTCTGTGCCAATGACACATTGTTTATATTTCTTTTTTTTTTTTTTAAGACAGAATTTCGCTCTTGTTGCCCAAGCTGGAGTGCAATGGCGCAATCTTAGCTCACCGCAACCTCCACCTCCTGGGTTCAAGCGATTCTCCTGCCTCAGCCTCCCGAGGAGCTGGGATTACAGGCATGCGCCACCACACCCAGCTAATTTTGTACTTTTAATACAGGCATGTGCCACCACGCCCAGCTAATTCTGTATTTTTAGTAGAGATGGGGTTTCTCCATGTTGGTCAGGCTGGTCTTGAACTCTCGACCTCAGGTGATCCACCCGCCTCAGCCTCCCAAAGTGCTGGGATTACAGGCGTGAACCACAGCGCCCAGCCTATATTTCTAAATTCAAAGAAACAAAGGCCGGGCGTGGTGACTCGCGCCTGTTGGGAGGCTGAGGCGGGCGGATCACCTGAGGTCGGGATTTCAAGACCAGCCTGACCAACGTGGAGAAACCTTGTCTCTACTAAAAATACAAAATTAGCTGTGCGTCGTGGCGCATGCCTGTAATCCCAGCTACTCGGGAGGCTGAGGCAGGAGAATCACTTGAACCTGGGAGGCGGAGGTTGTGGTTAGCCGAGATCACGCTGTTGAACTAAAGCCTGGGCAACAAGAGTGAAACTCCATCTCAAAAAAATAAATAAATAAAAATAAATTCAAAGAAACAAGAAAGAAATAAGGCAGAAATAAATAAAATAGAGAACAAAAGATAACAGTGAAAATTAAGCAAACCAAAGCAGATTCTTTGAAAAGACCAATAAAAGAGACAGACTTCTGACCAGTGATCAAGAAAAAAACAAAAAGAAAATTAAAAAACCAAGATATAGGCCAGGCACGGTGGCGAAACTCTGTCAAAACAAAAAAACAAAAAAACAAAACAAAAAACAAGATATAGAATGATAAGGGGGGCAATAACTAGGGAAAAACAGATTTTTTTTTTTTTTTTGAGATGGAGTTTCGCTCTTGTTGCCCAGGCTGGAGTGCAATGGCACGATCTCAGCTCACCGCAACCTCCGCCTCCAGGGTTCAAGTGATTCTCCTGCCTCAGCCTCCCGAGTAGCTGGGATTACAGGCATGTGCCACCATGTCTGGCTAATTTTGTATTTTTTTTTTAGTAGAGACGGGCTTTCTCCATGTTGGTTAGGCTGGTCTCGAACTCCCAGCCTCGGGTGATCTGCTCGCCTCAGCCTCCCAAAGTGCCGGGATTACAGGCGTGAGCCACTGATCAGCCTCCCAAAGTGCTGGGATTACAGGCGTGAGCCACTGAGCCTGACCAGAAAAATAGATTTTTTAACAGTGAAGAATTATGAATGACATGCCAATGAATTAAAAAACCTAGATGAAAATAAATGATACATTCTTAGAAAAATACACCATGCTAAAAATGGCACAAATAGAAAGGCCTTGAATAGTCCAGTAAGTATTAAAGAAGTAAAAATGGTAGTCAAAGAACTGTTCTCTCTCAAAACCCCAGTGGGTTTTGTAGGTGAGCTGCAGCAAACCTTCAAGGTATAGTTAATTCCAATCATATGCACAATAACAAAAGTAAAACCTATTTATTCCACTTTTTGAGGTTAGTATAACCTAAATTATAAAACTGGATGGGAGAACCCAAGAAAAGAAAATCCTAGGGCCACTTAGAATGTTATGGTTCAACATCAACAGTATACTAATGTGGCCAGGTGCAGTGGCTCATGTTTATAATCCCAACAATTTGGAAGGCTGAAGCAGGAGGATTGCTGGAGCCCAGGAGTTTGAGACCAGCCTGGGCAACATAGTGAGATGTCTCTACTAAAAATACAAAATTAGCCGGGTGTGGTGGCACATGCCTGTAATCCTAGCTACTCGGGAGGCTGAGCCAGGAGAATTGTTTGAACCTAGGAGAGGGAGGTTGCGGTAAGCCGAGATTGTGCCATTGCACTCCAGCCTGGGCAACAAGAGCAAAACTCCATCTCAAAGACAAACAAACAAACAAACAAACAAAATATATATATATATATATATATATATATATATATATATGCCGGGCGTGGTAGATCTTGCCTGTAATCCCAGCTACTCGGGAGGCTGAGCCTCAAGCCCAGGAGTCTGAGGCTGCAGTGAGCCATGATCACGCCACTGCACTCCAGCCTGAGTGACAGAGTGAGACCCTGCCTAAAAATGAAAAAAAAAAAAAAAAGCCGGGAACGGTGGTTCACGCCTGTAATCCCAGCACTTTGGGAGGCCGAGGCAGGCAGGTCACCTGAGGTGAGGAGTTCAAGACCAGCCTGGCCAACATGGTGAAACCCCATCTCTAGTAAAAATACAAAATCAGCCAGGCGTGGTAGTTTACACCTGTAGTCCTAGCTACTCGGGAGGCTGAGGCAGGAGAACCGCTTGAACCCAGGAGGTGGAGGTTGCAGTGAGCTGAGATCGCATCATTGCACTCCAGCCTGGGCGACAAGAGCAAAGACTCCGTCTCAAACAAACAAACAAACAAAAAGAAACAAACTCTCTGTTGCTGATGGTGGGTGAAAACAGAGTTTTAGGGAATTGGGATGTCCTGAGACAGAGAAATAGTGTTGGTTAGGTCAACCCCAAAGAAGCCTGAACTGGATTCACAGAGAGGATGATGGTGGATTCAGAAGTCTGGGATGAACAGGGGTGACATATGTTCGCTAATGTGGTGTGGGTCCTGATCATGATGACAGACCCATCTGCTCTCAGACATAAATTTTGCTGACTTTCTTACCAGGAGGATAGGGCTGTTGTATAGACTGTGGTTGGCATTAAGACACCCAGTTTGAGGAGGACATTGATGATAGGCTCATTTCCCTCTTCTGCCAGTATGGAAAGTGGACACTAGGGCTAGAAGATGGCAACAGGTGCTGTGTGATTTTGATTTTAATGGGAGCATCCTAAGCAGCTGCCCTCCCTTGTTAAAGTCAGCTGTCCACAAGTTGGCTGGGACTTCTGCAAGGGCTCAACTCATAAAGACAGTTATTGTGGGTCAGACCCAGGTGATACAAATGGCATGGGGAGGTCTGGTTATACTCCAACTGGCCTGCAGCGCATTACTATGTTTAGTTTGCAAGGAACATGTCTACCTGATATGTCAGTAGACGTACAAGGTTAGGCAGGAAGGCACATACCTCAATGAAGCATCCTATGGTAACAGAAAGCCATTTCATACAATAAGAGCTAACTAACATGATCTCAACTAAAACTGCAGCCCACAGCAGATCTGGCAAGGCAACCTGAGTGCAGAGACAAGGCAGAATTCGTGACCTCAGTGTTGAGGGGAAATGTCCATTTGTCCATCAGTGGAGATAGGGACACTAGGACTGGGGGACAAAAGGAGGGAGAGTGTGGCTAGGGGTGATCCAAGCAGACTCAATATAACCCCCACGATTCTTTTCTAGTCTAAGGATGGCTGAGGTTAAATCAAGCACACATTTTTCCAACAGCCAGGTTTTTGTTTGTGTTGAAGCTACAGAGGCAATTTCCAAGACATGGTTCAACATGGGACTGTACTTCCAAGGTATGAAGGTTTGGTCTTTTGCTCTTGTAGGGACATGAGTTCAGCCCCCTGCTTTCTCCACTAGCTTTTGAGTTTTACTGTGAAATGGGCTAATGAACCGAGGGATGCATCTGAATCCTTTAGGAATGCTGGGAAGCAATCCCGACAAAACTTTGGAGAAATGACCAACTTTTGAAGGAGCTTTCAAAATCCTTCACCTCAGAAAACTCTCTGTTGCAATGATTTACTTGATTATAATAATCTTTTGAGTACTCAGGTGATTTAAGTTTGTACCTGTTGGTTTGGATCAATCAGATTTATTAGGGACCAGTTTCTTGATCACGCTCAGTATTTATTTTTCCTTTGAATCTCAGGTGCAGGTGGAGGAAGCTATACTCCACTGGTCATGTTACATTATTATCTTTGATCAGTAAAATGCTTACCTTTTTATTTACTTATTCATTTATTGACTCCACTTTACCTTCATTCCTCACTCCCGTTTCCAACACCCACCCCCTCATAGGCAGATATTCCAATGTGATTATTGTCATTCTCTTTTATTCTATGTGTTCTGATAAATGCAAATGTTATCGGGTTTGAAATCTCTTTGTGTTCCTTTCAAACTTTTAAATGTATTCAACATAGAGAAAAGTTTTGAAAACTTCCATGTACAGTTGAAAGACATGTAAGAAGACACCCATCTACCCACCAGCTGGCTTAAGAACTAGAACATTATAGAGTTTGAGAAGCCAACTGTGGATCCCTCATCTCCTTCCCCTGCCCAGAAGAAACCACTACCTTGACCTTTATGTTCTCATTTCCTCGATTTTTGCGGAAAAATTTTTTTTTTTTTTGAGACAGAGTTTCACTTTTGTTGCCCAGGCTGGAGTGCAGTGGCACGATCTCAGCTCATTGCAACCCCCACCTCCTGGGTTCAAGTGATTCTCCTGCCTCAGTCTCCCGAGCAGCTGACATTACAGGCACATGCCACCACGTCCGGCTAATTTTTGTATTTTTAGTAGATACGGGATTTCTCCATGTTGGCCAGGCTGGTCTCGAACTCCTGACCTCAGGTGATCCACTCACCTCGGCCTCCCAAAGTGCTGGGATTATAGGCGTGAGTCACTGTGCCTGGCCTGCTTTTGAGAAAATTTCACCTCCCATGTATGTATCACTGAACAAGGTATTGTTTTGTTTTGCTGGTTATGGAAGCTAAGCTGGTTATGGAAGGAGCAGTATTGCTACAATTAGGTGAAGAGTTCCAGGAGAGGATAAGCTGGAGAGAATCTCTCAGTCATAGTGAGTCTGGCTTCAGTTTCCCTAAGAGTTTACAAGAGCTGCTTCTGGGGAAGTCAGAGGGTACGGTTATAAATGAGGCCAGGAAAATACACCCATGTCTCAGCATAGTCAGGGCACTGGCAGGGCTGTTATGTGGACCAGAAATTAGTTACCATATGGTCTGGTTACCATATGGTTTGACAGGGAATGGGCCGCTCTAACTCTTCACTTCCAAACTCTGTGACCAGCCCCCACCCTCAATAGTAGATCACAGCAGGCAACTTCTGTGTGGTGAAATGCATGTCCACACCTGCTCCAGGCAGCTGCAGTGCTGGTGAGAGGGTGTGCAGGAGCCGCACCAGCACATACTCAAAACCAGCCAAGTACAGACCGTCTGCGCCAGGCTCACCTGGGCATTCTGGCCTCAGGTTAGCAGAGTGTAGGTGTGGCTGTTTCCTCCTCAGTGAAGAGCAGACTCTAAAGGATGATGCCATGGGGAGTGGGTGACTAGGCCAAGGGAACAGACACTTTCTGCTTGTTTTTTCTCCTCCCCCTTTCTTTCTTTTTTTTTTTTGACAAGGTCTCACTCTGTCACCCAGGCTGGAGTGCAGCGGTACAATCTCGGTTCACTGCAGTCTCAGACTCCTGGGCTCAAGCAATCCTCCCACCTCAGCCTCTCTGGTAGCTGGGACCACAGGCACACACCACCACATTTGGCTAATTTTGTATTTCTTGTAGAGATGAGGACTCACTATGTTGCTCGGGCTGGAACTGAACTCCTAGGCTCAAGCAATCTTCCCGCCTCGGCCTTTCGAAGTGCTGGGATTACAGGTGTGAGCCACCGTGACTGGCAATTCCACCGCTTTCTTGTTTTATGTATTCCCTGTCATCCATGCTCCCATTCCTCCCGACTCCCCGACACAGGCATTTTTCAAATGTGTTTAACTTACATCCTTTTGTGTGCATTTCTGTAAGGTGTGTATTTGGTGTATATGTGCATATATTTGTAACTTGTGAGTAGTATTGTTATACAGTTCATTCTTTTTCACTCAGTGCTACGTGTTGAAGATCATCGTGTTGCCCTGTGTACATCTAACTCACTGGTCTAAAGGTTAAGAGGTCCTCTGTGGAGTGCACCCATCACTATTTCCCTGTGTATGCCCCTGGTGATGGACACCCAGCATGCCTTCAACTTCCCACTGTTGCAAACTACACCATAATGCACATTCTTCTACATGACCCTTTATGGACCTGTATGAGAATTTCTTTGGAGGGCCCATGGGGATAGTGCCACATTCATCTCTGGGATGGCGGCCAAAGTCCCCAATCCCAATGCAAGAGGGTCCCTATGCCCCCATATCCCCACTAAAGGACTTGGCATGATCCAGCTTTTTAAAATTTTGTCTGTTTGTGAAACCTAAAGTAAAATCTCACTGTAGTTTTATTTTAGACTTTTCTGTTAATACATCTGAACATCTTTTATTAGGCCTGTTAGCTTTTTGGGTTTTCCACTTCAGGAAATTGCTTGTTCATATTCTTTGTAGACCTGTTTGCAACTGGAGGCCCTGTCACTGTTTTTCCTCTCTACATGTGCTCCACTGATAGTCCTAATCCTGTGGGAAAGCTGAACCCTACCCAGGGTTTCTACACACTGTACCAGGCTCTGTAGTGCCTTTCCATATGAATTTTAGGATCAGTTTGTAAATTTCGGCAAAAAGCCTGCTGAGATTTTTATAGGAATTACATTTAATCTATGGATCAATTTGGGGAGAATTGACATCATAACAATACTAAGTTTTCCAACCTATGAATGTTTTTCATTGATTTGGCTCCTCTTTCTCTCAGCAATACAAGTGTATAGGTCTTCCACATCTTTTGTCAGATTTATTCCTAAGTCATATTTTTAGATGTTATTGTAAATGGTATTTTAAAACTTTCTGTATCCAATTGTTCATTGCTAGTATATAGATATACAACTAATTTTTGTATATTGATCTTATAACCTGCAACTTGTTAGACTCACTTATTAGTTCTAGTAGGGTTTTATTTTTGGTGGACTCAGTTGGATTTTCTATATAGATGATCACATTTTCTGTAAATACAGTTTTACTTCTTCCTTTCCAATTTGGATGCCTTTTGCTTCTTTTTCTTGCCTGACTGCACTGCCTAGAACCTTCAGTATAATGCTGAATAGAAGTGGTGAGAGTGGACATCTCTGTTTGATTTCTGATCTTGTGGGGGAAAGCACTCAGTTTTCACCACTAAATATAATGTTAGCTGTGGGTTATTTTGCAGATGCCCTATATCAGGTTGAAGAAGTTCCCTTCTACTTCTAGTTTGCCAAGAGGTTTTTGTTTTTTAAACTCAGGAATGGATGTTAGATGTTGTCAAATGCTTTTTCTGCATTTATTGCAATAATCATATGGGTTTTCCTTTTTGGTTTGTTAATATGTTGAACTGCATGATTGATTTTCTAATGCCAAGCCAATCCTGCATTCCTGGGATAAAATCCATTTTGTTATGATTCATTATCCTTTTAATACATTATTGGATTTGATTTGATAAAGTTTTGTTTATAATTTTTGTATCTCTTGAACTTTCCATTTTAATACTAATGGCTCCTCAAATTGGCCTCCCCACCACGCGCCTGTTTTCCACATGACCCACTCTGCCTGTTCATATCCTCTAGACTGTGTCTGGGATGGTTACTGAGGTGGTTACTGAGGCTGGGACTTTCCCCAAACTTACGGAGGGTCAAAGAAAATTTAGAACAAAGACTTGAAAGCATTTTTTTTGTGTGGTCAATCCTACCTCTGAGTATGTGAATCAACTCCTGGCAGCAGTCTTGCCCCTTAATAAAGGTGTGTCCCCAACCTGAAGAGCCATCTTCAAAGCCTCTCAGTACCTGACAGGTTAGTTCCTAAGAGAAAAAGCATTATTAACTGCTTAAGAAATCCCCTGACCCTAGATTATCCCTCTGTCACTGTTCCCCCATATGGTACTGCTCTGCTCCAAAAAGGAAATATCCAATACTTCCCACTGAAGAATTCTATCCCATTCTGACTGCCTACTTGATATCCCACACTCTAAGATGCCCAAATAACACCTTCAAATTCCTGACCCTGTGTTTTTTGTGGATGGCTTTTATATCCAAGATATTAGGGGAACACACAGGGCAGGATATACTCCTTTCCCCATTGCAGCATAGAAGCTCTTCTTCCTTCAATCCCCTCGTCGCAAAAGTAATAATGGTAGTAACAGCAAACACATATACAGTGCTTACTACATGCCATGTATTATTCTAAATACTTTATGTAGATTAACTCATTTAATACCCTCAATAATCCTATGAAGTGCATATTACTACTATCCCCAGTTTTGTTTTATTTATTTTTAAGGGGGCTTTCAGCAAAAACCAGAATGCCTGCTAGACAAATTCTAAAACAGCTGTAACACTACTATCCCCATTTTTACGAAGAAACTACAGAAAATTGAGGTCAAGTGACTTGACCAGCTCTGGGATTTGAATCCAGGCAGTCTGTCTCAAGTCCACTGCACTACCATACTCGCAAGTGACAGAACTGTGGCACTGACCCATGTTTGCACACAGTAGAGGGCCCCCCTGGCCCACTATTCATACAAATTCTTTCTAAGGCTTCAGAATATGTCATGCCTGTGTTATCTGTGGTGCCTTTGGCCAAATCTGGTGTCAGTGAGTTTCTCACTACTGCTGACAACGAAATATATATGTTTGGAAACAAAAATTATGTAGGGTCAGGCGCGGTGGCTCACGCCTGTAATCCCAGCACTTTGGGAGGCCAAGGTGTATGGATCACTTCAGGCCCGGAGCTTGAGACCAGCCTGACCGACATGGTGAAATCCTGTCTCTACTAAAAATACAAAAATTATCCGTGTGTGACGGTGGGCACCTGTAATCCCAGCTACTTGGGAGGCTGAGGCAGAAGAATCACTTAAACCCAGGAGGCGAAGGTTGAAGTGAGATGAGATCGCGCCACTGCACTCCAGCCTGGGTGACAGAGTGAGCCTCTGTCTCAGTAAATAAATAAATAAATAAATAAATAAATAAATTTGTAAGGAGAACACTTTTTAAAAAGACATTATTATTTAATGTCATCAGAGCGACAAGAAGAAAACACTGCATTCATAGGGAAAGATTAGGAAGCTATAAAAAGGAACATTTGCAAGACAACACCAACTAAAAAGATCTTATAGAGTCAAGCAATAATTAAAGGACCTTCAAAGCAGCCAGAGAAAAAGAACACCTACGAAAAAAATTAGAGTGACAGTAGACTTTGCAACAGTAATAATAGAAACCAGACGAGTGTCCTAATGTCCTCTTAGTGTCAGTGTTTAATATCCTTCTAAAAAAGGCAATTTAGAAGTAGGTACCTAGCAAACCTATCTTTTAAGAAGAATAAAGGGAAAAAAAGGCATTTATAGATAAACACAGACTAAGAGTTTCCAATTAAGTGATCTATGCTAAAGGATTTTCTAAAGTTCTGTATGTATTTCAAGAAGAAGAAAAATCAGGCTGGGCGCAGTGGCTCATGCCTGTTATCCCAGCACTTTGGGAGGTCAAGGCAGGCGGATCACGAGGTCAGGAGATCGAGACCATCCTGGCTAACACAGTGAAACCCCGTCTCTACTAAACACACACACACACACACACACACACACACACAAATAGCCAGGCATGGTGACAGGCGCCTGTAGTCCCAGCTACTTGGGAGGCGGAGGCAGGAGAATGGTGTGAACCCAGGAGGCAGAGCTTGCAGTGAGCCCAGATAGCGCCACTGCACTCCAGCCTGGGTGACAGAGTGAGACTCCATCTCAAAAAAAAAAAAAAAAAAAAGAAGAAGAAGAAAAATCATCCCAAAAACGACATCTGAGGTAAAAGAAGAAAGATGGGCAAATAAAAGGTAAATGAGTATTTAAGCAAACAATGTTTGCATAAAATGATATTGTTAGTGTCATCCTTAATAAGGGAGGAACAAAAATAGTAGACATAATAACATGTAAATTGGGAGACATTAAAGATTTATAAAGTCTGAATTCTTTGGGTGGGGAGTATGTTTAACTTTGGACTTTAGGTTAAATATGTATGGTAAGCTTTCAAGGCCAATCGCTAAAAAAAAATCTTTGGAGAGACTAACAAGAAAAAATAGAAAAGGCACAAATAATATGAACAACATAAAAGATATAGTAAAAATTTAAAAATAAGAGAATATAATTAATTTGAAAACTTACATGAATTGGACCAATTCCTAGAAAACTGATTTATTTATTGGATAAGATCACTATAACCTTAACCAGACAAATACAGATGGCTAAAGATGCAAAAATCCTAAACAGTTTATTAGCAAACCACATCCAGAATGAGTAAGATTTAATACAACACAAAAATGTTGAGTTTAATCCCAGAAATGCAAGAGCAGTTTAACATTAGAAAGTTAAACTAAATCTTTTAAGATTTAGTTCATATGCCATCTCTTCCAAGAAAGCTTCCTTGGTCCCCTGAGCTGGGTTGTGTATTCCTTAGGGGCTCTCACAGTCTATTCTTCCTACCAGTGTTACTGCACTGACCACACTGCCCTGAAATTACGGTTCTGTGTCTAGGAACACACCTCGTTCATCTCTGTGTCTTCAGTGTACAGCAGGAGGCCTGACACACAGTAAGTGGTCAAATTTTGCTCAACTGAACTTATAGATGGCATTCTGTATAATTCTGATGGCATGCTGATGAAATTAGTGGGTGACCAAAACAGGAGAGTAGGTCACACATTAGACAACAGAATTAGTATCCGGAGTCATGGGCAGGCAGAAACACTGGAGCCAGACTAGGCCCCAGTAGGGTTAGGGGCAAAGTCAGGACTAAAACCCCACACAGCCTGTTCTCACTTTGACAATGAAATAAACTCTTTTTGAGCTGTAACTTACCCTCCTATGGGTATCTCCCATTATAATAACACTTACTATGAGCCCAGCATCATGCCAGCTTCCACGCTATCCCCTGCAGCCCCCCTACCACCACCAAGTACCACAGGTAAAGTATAATGAGAGTGGTCTGCTTGGCCTGGGGACCAGGAAACAGTTCCTCACCGTGCAAGAGAAAGGGGGATGATAGCTGGGATCAGAAAGCCCAATGAGAGTTGGGGTTTTGTTTTTCACCAGGTAACAGGCAGCACGACAACACAGCAGTTTGAGGGCTATTTGAGTAAGAGGCAGGCCTGCCTTCAGGAGCCCTAGGGCGTACAGCCAGTCAGAAAATATGGGGCTTTGCCACAACCCTACCAACTGAGAACTTGCTTCCCAAAAGAACCCAGGAGCTATCCTCACTGCTTCTTCACAGCCCCCACCCTTATGAAAAATGATATCCAAGTTCCTTAGCATGGCATTAAAGGCCTTTGTGCCTAGCCTACTCCTCAAGGCCTTTATTTCTCTATCCTCCACATTAATCAATTAAGTCATTCATCCATTCATTCAGTTTATTCCACAAATATTTATTGAGTATCTACTATGCACTGTTGTTTTTGGCACTGGGGATACAGCAGTGAACAAAACAGAAGTCCCTGCTTTATGGAGCTTACAGTCTACTGAAGAGAGACGAACACTAACCACAATAAATAAATATAAAATATACCAGGTGGTGATCAGTGCTTTGTAGAAAAACATACATAAAATAGGATAAAGGGATATAAAATGCATGTGATGGGGCGATTTTAGATATGTTGATCAGGAAACACTTCTCTAGGGAGGTGACATTTGAGCACACTGGAAGTACTAGGGCAACTCATCAGATTATTTAGGAGGAAGGGTGTTTCAGGCAGTGAGAAGAACAAGTACAAAGGCCCTGAAAAGGAAGGGTATCTAGCACACTTGGGGAACAGCAAGGAGGCCAGTGTAGCTGGAGAAGAGTGAGTGATATTGAGAGTGATAGGAGACAAGGTAAGAGAGGTAAAGGGAACCAGATTATGTAGGGACTTTGGGCCATGGTGAGGGCTTTGGCTTTTGTTGAGGGAGGTGGGAGCCATGGGAGAATTCTGAATAGTGGAAGGACATGATCTGATTTGGATTGTATAAAGAATTTCAGAGAAGAATAGTATAGGTACTAGAACACTAAGCAAAAGAAAACAAAATACACAATTATTAGCTCCAAGGAAAACGAAAGGGTATACAACGAAGGATATGTAATCAGAATATACTATGTAGTTTTGATGTGAACAATATTTACAATGTCATACTCATGCAAACAGTGACTACTGGTTGAACAAAAATTATATAAAATGTTTTAAAGAAGTAATAACAGATGTAATCACTAAGATGACCAAGCAATAAGAGACTATTAGGGATGACTAGGCAGATTAGCAAGTAAAATATATGAGGTTTGTACAAATGAAAAATATAACTTTTGAAATAAAAAACTCAATGGGCAGATTAGAGCAGATTAAACATAGTTGAAAAGAGAATCAGTAAGCTGAAAGATATACCTAAAGAAATTATCCAGAATGAAGTGCAGAAAGACAAGGAGATAGAAAATCTCAGAGATGTTATGAGATACGGAAGATAGAATGAGGAGGTCCAAAATATGACTAACTGTATTCCAAGAAAGAAAAACTAGAAAAAATGAAAGGCAATATTTGAAGAGATAATGGTTGAGAATTTCCCAGAAATTATGAAAAGCATGAATTCACTGAGCCACGAAGCATGACATTCCCAAAGTAGAATTAAAAAAAAATACATATGTAAACATGTTAGAGTAAAACTGCAGGACCCCCTGCACATTCCACTACTACTACTACCACTACTACCACTACTACTACTACTACTACACACACACACAAAACCAGCAATTAGTCTGATAGTCGACTTCTTAATAGCAACAGACATCTCAAAGCCAAAAGAGAATGGAACCATATATTCTAAGTGTTGAGTAAAAATACCTGTAACAAACTATCTTTTAAGAATGAGGATAAAATAAAGACATTTACATATAAGAAAGACTGGAAGAATTTAACATCAAGAGACCTGTACTAAAAAAAAAAAAAACTCACTTAAACACTATATTCATAATGAAAGAAAATGATCCCAAAGGATGATGTGTGATACAAGAATGTATGCATGTAAGTCCAAACAAACACTGTCTATATAAAATAACACTGACAATGATGTAAAATTGTGAGGTTTATAAAAAGGAACAAACTAACATATTTGAAAACAACAGTATGTGATCAGGAGAGGAATGACTAGAGTTGAAGGTTTCTAAGCTTCCTGCATTCTTTAAGAAGGGGGCTAAAATATTGTTTAACTTTAGACTTTATAAGTTAAACACATATGGAAAACATCAAGGATAACCACAGAAAGAATAGAAAAAAATTTAAAAATAGGGAGGAAAAAAATTGAATAAGAAAACAAATCTCAAAACTAAAAAAGCAGGCGAGAAAAGAGAAAATGAAGCACAGAAAAGGTAGTGATGGTAAACAGAAATAAAAAAGTATGATGGTAGAAACAAGCCCAAATACATCACAGTAAATGTAAACAGACTAAACTTGCCAACCAAAAGAGATAATCAGATTAGATTTTTTAAAAGGTCCAGTTATATGTTGTTTCCAAGAGATATAATTAAACATAATGGCATGAAAATGCTCAAAAGTAAAAGGATGGAAAATTATATACCACACAAATCCCAACAAGAAAAGTTTGTGTTACTACATTAATATAAGATAAAATAGGTTTCAAAGAAAAATGCATTATCAGGAATAGAGAGGGTCATTACATATTTATCAGGAATATATAACAATTTTTAATTTGAATATTCCTAATGAACACCCTCAAAATATATAAAGCAAGAAACGAGATAGAATTACAAGGAGAAATTGCCAAATCCACCATTACAGTTGAACATTAACGCACCTCTTTCAATTATCAGTAGATAATGACCAAAAAAATCAGTATAGGTAAGTAAAAATTGAACAATAGTTCACAAACTTGATAATAGACATATGTAGATCTCTGTATTCAACAATTAGAGAACACACATTCTTATAAATTAGCACACAGGAAGCATTCAAAAATATTGGTCACATACTAAGCCATAAAACAAGTCTAAAAAATTTCAGAGTTGTTGTCACACAAACCACATCCTCTGACCATAATGCAATTAAGACAGATTTCAATAACAAAGAGATAAAATTTTAAATCCCCAAACATTTGGAAATCTAAAAACACATTTCTATATAACTTACAGGTCAAAGAAGTAACCTTGATAGAAATGAAGTACTTATAACTGAGCAATAATGAAAATACTACATATCTAAACTTATGGAGAAGCAGGAGTTAGAGGGAAATTATATCCTTAAATGCACAAATTAGAAAATGGGAAAGAATGAAAACTAATGAGCTCAATGTCCAGTTAAATTAGAAAAAGAACAACAGAATAAACCCAAAAAATGTGGAAGGAAGGAGATCAAAAAAGATAAGAGCAGAAATTAAAGAAATAGAAAACAAAGATACAATAGAGAGGAGCAACAAAGCCAAAAGTTGGTTCTTTGAAAAGACTAATAAAATAGATAAACCTCTGGTGAGATTGATCAAGAAAAAAAGTGAGAAGGCACAAATAACCAATATCAGTAATGAAAAAGGAGACATTGTTACAGTTCATACACAGCACAGAATAAAAAGGAAACTTTATGCCAATGAATTTGAAAATGCAGACAAAATGGACCAACTCCTAGAAAACTGTTATCTTACCAAAATCGACTCAAGAAGAAAAAGAAATCCTCAACAGTTCCATAGCTACTAAAGGAGTTACAGCAGTAGTTAAAACTCTTCCCGCCAAAACAAACAAACAAACAAAAAATAGCAGGCAGATTCTTCCACTTGGTATGTGGATTACAGGCAGGTGAAGAGATACTGATCCCCTCAGCCCTAGAGGTGTCCGGGTAGGACCTGAGGAAGTGGAGACCCTAGGCAGGCCACTTCTCTCTATGGGCAGCCTCTTCTGGAGATCCTTAGAGGGTGGCCCTTAGTGAAGTAGGGTCTGACAAATCTCTCTGCAGTCCCTGAAGGTGGTGAGCACAAATAAGTAGCATCCAGCTCTGCAGTAAATGTGCTAAGCAGGGCCAAGAAGGTGCTCTATTACTTGGACAGCCTCTTCAGTAGCCAGCTCCTGTAGTCTTCTGCTCATTGAGGACAAGGGACCTGTGGAGCTGCTGGAGGAGTCTGTGTTCCAGTTTCCAAGAAACACCACGCACAGCCCAAGATGTGACTGGTTGGGATGGGACTGGGTGCAGGGAGGCCAAGGAGGGGCTTCCTGAGGGTGTAGCTCCAGGTAGAAACCCTGAAACTCTGTCTTCCCGAGTATCAGATACTTTAATCCGTTTGCAGCTGATGAGCCCTTTTAATGGTATCCAAGCTAGCTGCAGGGTGATGGTTCTAATAATGATGCATGTTCTGCAAATAAGAGCTTCATCATTATTTTGAAATTGTTAATATGAAAGCGTTCAACTGGATTTGAAATCTACTCACATCATCATGAGAAGTTTTAACAATATACTTGTCAGTGAAACAAAAAGAAAAGCTGTTAGATATAATTCCAATTGTTAAATATCTTTGAAACATTTAAAAATTGGCTTTAAATATTTTATCACCTACTTGTACAAAAAAAGACATTTATGGATGGCGACTGTTAAGAATTTGAAGAATGCATCATTAAAAAGTCTTGCTCAGAAAAAAAAAAAAAAGTCTTGCTCAGGATTTGTGTGTAGCCATTTCAAGCATAAAGCTTATAAAATAAACATGGAAGCAAATTTCAACCTTCTTATTTACAATTTTGAAAATATTTTAATTTATAAGTTTAACACTAATTCAATATTAAAAAGGAAAACACTAGACAAGATGGTTTTGCAGAAGTTCTACCAAACCAATCATTCCAAACTTATACAGCATCTTCCAGAATATTATAAAAGAGGGAACACTCTGAGTCATTCTATACCAGCAGAACCTTACTGCCAAAAGCCAATAAGAACAGCCTGAGAAAGGAAAAGACCAATTTTACTCATGGACACAGTTGCAAAATTCCAAACTTTTGTTCACCAACCTGTATAAAAAATGAAAGACCATGACCAAGTTGTGTTTATACAAGAAATGCAAAGATGGTCTAACATGAGGAAAATCTATAAATGTCATTTACCACATATCAGATTATTGGAGAAAAAACATATAATTATCATAAGAAACAGAAAAGGCATTTGGTAAAAATTCAACACCCTTTCATTATTAAAAAAATAAAAGCCTCTTAGTATAGAGTAATAGGATGGAACTTGCTTAACCTGATAAAACCCGTAGGAAATCTATAGCAAATACAGTATCATTCTTAATAGGGAAAAGTTAGTGGTGTTTCCTCTAAAATACACAACAAGACACAGATGCATGCTGTCATCATTGTACTAGATGTCCTGGTCATCTCAGTACGACAAGAAAAATAAAGGCATAAAGATTGGAAAGGAAAAGACAAAACTGTCATTATTTATAGCTGATATGGTTGTCACCATAGAAAACATAAAAGAATATACAGACACCTTAAAAGGAACCAGGGTTCCTTGGAGAAATGGCTGATTCCAGGACTAAGAGAGGAAAATACAAGACGAGTCTGGAGCATTTCCTAGTGCTGGCAAGTAAAGCAGTGCTCAAAACCAAAGGATGGGAGCATGTGAAAGGGACACAGGAGCCAACTGGCAAGAGTCCCCAGTGGCCAAAACTGGACTGATTTGACCAACAAAACAAAGAACACAGTATTAGATTTATAACTCAAATTATTAAATAAAAATGCATGAGTTCATACTGATATAAGTGACTGAATAAATAAATAAGGGATAAGAGACAAATCTTTACAGAAGAATTTCAAATGATATACAGAGATACACCCTCTCCTTCCAGGAGCTATAGCTCAATTCTTCCCACCTACTTGAGGGTGGGCTAGAGTCTTCCAAAGAACAGACTATGAAAAGGGAAAGGCAGCAACTTGCCAGGGGGAAAACCTGGCAAACATCACCTTAACCAAGGGATGAAGGTTCACAAAACCAGGGATGCCAATGGATACCAGGTACCTCTGATATGATCTGATAAGAAAGGCATTTAAACTCTGGTGTTCTTTCCAAAAACAACTCCACTCTAAATATAAGCAAAACTTCAGACAAATACAAACTGAGGAACATTCAACAGTATTCCTTAAAACTGTTAGGTCATAAAAAACAAGGTCATTCTCGGCTTAATGGACTTCTGGGAAAAAAAAACCAAAAACAAACAAACAAAAAAAAAAAACAAGAACAGACTGAGAAACTGTCATAGACCAGAGGACACTATGGAGACACGACAACTGAATGAAATGCGATATTTTGAATTGGATCCTGGAACAAAAAAAGGACACCAGTGAAAAAAACTGATAAAGCCATGTAAAGTCTGATGTTTAGGTAGTAGTAATATAGCAATGTTGCTTTCTTATTTTTGATAAATGTACTACAGTGAGGAATATACAGAAACTCTCTGTACTATCTCTTAACTAACTTTTCTGTAAATCTAAAACTATTCCAGAATAAAAACCTATTTAAAAATAAGTTTAGGGCCGGGCATGGTGGCTCACTCCTATAATCCCAGCACTTTGGGAGGCCGAGGCAGGCAGATCACCTGAGGTCAGGAGTTCGAGAGACCAGCCTGGCCAACATGGTGAAACCCCGTCTTTACTAAAAATACAAAAACTACCTGGGCATGGTGGTGGGAGCCTGTAATCCCAACTACTCAGGAGGCTGAGGCAGGAGAATTGCTTGAACCTGGGAGGTGGGGGTGGCAGTGAGCCGAGATGGCGCCACTGCACTCCAGACTAGGAGACAGAGCGAGACTCCATCTCAAAAAACAAAAACAAACAAAAAAAAACAACACCTTGGGAGGCTGAAGCGGGTGGATCATTTGAGGTCAGGAGTTCAAGATCAGCCTGGCCAACATGGTGAAACCCCATCTCTACTAAAAATACAAAAAATTAGCTGAGCGTGGTGGCACACGCTTGTAATCCCAGCTACTGGGAAGGCTGAGTAGGAGAATTGCTTGAACCTGGGAGGCGGAGGTTGCAGTGAGCCGAGATCACGCCACTGCACTCCAGCCTGGGCAACTGAGCGAGATGCGAACTCAAAAATAAATAAATAATAAATAAATAAAATAAATAATAAAAAGTGTAATAAGGCAAATGGTTATAATACTAATATACAAAAGCCAACTTCATTTCTATATACCTGCAAAAGAGATAAAAAATACAATAAAAGATCCCACTTATAATAGCAGAAAACCCATAAAGTACCAATAAATAAATCGAACACAAGATATGTAGACCTTATGCAGAAAAACATAAAGCTCTGCCAGAAGACATTCAATAATTTATTTACAATAGAGAGCTATGTCAGGCTCTTAGGGAGGGAGGCTCAACACCATAAACATCAATTCTCTTCAAAATGATCTACAGATTCACTGCAATTCCAACATTTTTACAGAACATGACAAGCTGATTCTGAAATGTGTTTAAAAAAACACAAAGGGGGGCCGAGCGTGGTAACCCCCACCTGTAATCCCAGCACTTTGGGAGGCCAAGGCAGGAGGATCACTTGAGGCCAAGAGTTCGAGACCAGCTGGGGGAACATGGCGAAACCCTGTCTCTACAAAAAAATACCAACATTAGCTGGGTGTGGTGGCATGCCCCTGTAGTCCCAGCTACTTGAAAGGCTGAGGTGGGAGAACTGCTTGAGCCCTGGAGGTTGAGGCTGCAGTGAACTTACTGTACCACTGCACTCCAGCCTGCATGACACAGCAAGACCCTGTCTCAAATAACTAAATTAATACAATAAAATAACAAAGGGGGGCTGGTCAAGGTAGCTCATGCCTGTCATCTCAGCACTTTGGGAGGCCAAGGTGGGTGGATTGCTTGAGCGCAGGCGTTCGAGAACAGCCTGGTTAACATGGGGGGAACCCTGTCTCTACAAAAAATACAAAAATTAGCTGGGCATTATGGCATGATGGTAGTCTCAGCTACCCAGGAAGCTGAGGTGGGAGGACCGCTTGAGCCCAGAAGGTCAAGGCTGCTATGAGCCAAGATCACACCACTGCACTCCAGCCTGGGTGACAGAGCAAGAACCTATCTCAAAATAAATAAATAAATAAATAAAATAACAAAGGGCTAAAAATACATGATACTTCTGAAGAAAAATAAGATGGGAAGATTTTGCTTTATCAAATATCAAGATTTATTATGAAGGCAAGGTAATTAAGGCAGTGTAGTACTGGTTCAGGGACAAAAAGCTAACCAACAGCAAAGAGAGGCCAGAAACAGATCTATATGGATATGGAATGTTGATGCTCCAGCCAGAGGTGGTTTCTCAGATTATTATGTTATTCATATGGAAAATAATGAAACCAGCTCCCTACCTTATACCACACAAAAACCAATTCCATTTGGACTTAAATGTGAAAGGTAAACTTTTAAAACTTTTATTGGAAGAAAATAAAGAAAATGTTTATAACTATAGGTTAGAGAAGACAAGACAAAAAATTGCTGGCTATAATACAGAAAAGATGGATTTGTTCAACTCAAAAATAAGACTAGCCTGGGCAACAGGGAGACCCTGTCTCTACAAAAAATAAAAAATAACAATTAGCCAGGTATGGCTAATTTACAGGCATGGCACACGCCTGTAGTCCCAGCTACTCAGTAAGCTGAGGTGGGAGGATCACCTGAGCCCAGGGAGGTCAAGGCTGCAGTGAGCTGTGATCCCACCACTGCACTCCAGCCTGGGTGAAAGAGTGAGACCCCGTCTCACAAAAAAAAAAAAAAAAAAGAAAGAAAAATAAGAATTTCTACTCATGCAAAGATACCATTAAAAAAGCTTCAAAATTACAGAAGCTATTCAACACATACAACTGACCAATGATGAGGATCCACATAAAGAACACCTACAAATCAATAAAAAATGATTTAGCCAGGCATGGTGATGCACATCTATAATTCTAGCTACTTGGGAAATGGAGGTAGGAGGATCCTTTGAGCACAGGAGTTCACGACCAGTCTTGACAACGTAGTGAGAACCCATCTAAACAAAAAAGATCTTTTTTTTTTTTTTTTGAGACAGAGTCTAGTTCTGCCGCCTAGGCTCAAATGCAGTAGTGTGATCTCAGCTCACTGTAGCCACCGCCTCCCAGGCTCAAGCCATCCTCCCACCTCAGCCTCCCAAGTAGCTGGGGCCACAGGCATGCACCACCACACCCGGGTAATTTTTGTATTTTTTGTAGAGATGCGGTTTCATCATGTTGCCCAGTCTGGTCTCGAACTCCTGGGCTCAAGTGATCTGCCTTCCTTGGCCTCCCTAAGTGCTGAGATTACAGGCATGAGCCATTGTACCCAGAAAAATTTTAATGGGCTAAAGATATTAACAGTCCTTTCACAGAAGAGGAAACATGTGGCTAAGGACCATGAAAAGATGCTTGATCACATTAATGACTAAGAAAATGCTAATATGTCCCCAGTGAAATACCATTTTACACTCAGTGTAATAACAAAAAATAAGAAGGAGGACAATATCAAGTGTATGAGGATGTGGATCAACGGGATCTCATACATTTCTGAAAGTAGTGTAAATTGGTTACCACCAGTTTGGCATAATCCTGTCAAGCCGAACTTTTGGATGACCTATTAATCAACAATCACATTCCTAGGTCTATATACCTTAGAAAAATGGGTGTGCATATGTTCCAGGAGATACACCTAAGAATGCTCATGGTAGCACTGTCCATAAGAGCAAAAAGCTGGAAATGACCCAAATGTCCAACAACGGATGAATGGATAATTTGTCTTATGGTCACCCAAGGGAATATTGTAAACAAACTCTAGCTACATGTAACAACATAGGTGAATCTTAGAAACATAATATTGAATGAAAAAAGTTAAGTCTCAGAAGACCACACAGGGCCGGGCATGGTGGCTCACGCCTGTAATCCCAGCACTTTGGGAGGCCGAAGCAGGTGGATCACCTGAGGTCAGGAGTTCAAGACCAGCCTGGCCAACACGGTGAAACCCCAACTCTACTAAAAATACAAAATTAGCTGGGTGTGGTGGTGCACACCTGTAATCCCAGCTACTCGGGAGGCTGAGGCAGAAGAATCACTTGAACCCAGGAGGCGGAGGTTACAGTGAGCCGAGATCACACCATTGCACTGCACTACAGCCTGGGCGACAAGTGAAACTCCGTCTCAAAAAAAAAAAAAAAAAAAAAAAAACACACACACACACACACACAGTATGATACTATTTTTACAAGGCTCACAACTGAGTCAAATAAACAATGTATTGGTTAAGCATCCCCACAAATATGAAAAAAAATCCCATATATCAAAAAGGGCAAGTGAATGTTAAGCACAAGACTTAGCAGAGCAGGAATTTCAGGAGTGGAGTGGTGGGGAGGGTGAGGAATGGGATAGAAAATGACACACAGGTAGATGATATCATTAATGTTCTTGGGTGGGGTTGTGAGTTCTTGGGTTTTCATATTATTATACTTATAACTTGTGTATATAATGTATATATTGTTTTTTTGTTTGTTTGTTTTTTGAGATGGAATCTCGCTCTGTCCCCCAAGCTGGAGTGCAGTGGCGTGACCTTGGCTCCCTGCAACCTCCTCTTGGGTTCAAGCGATTCTCCTACCTCAGCCTTCCAAGTAGCTGGGATTACAGGCACATGCCGTCACACCCAGCTAATTTTTATATTTTTAGTAGAGACGGGATTTCACCATGTTGGCCAGGCTGGTCTTCAACTCCTGACCTCAAGTGATTCACCCGCCTCAGCCTCCCAAAGTGCTGGGATTACAGGTGTGAGCCGCCGCGCCCAGCCTATTCTTTTATCATATATCTAATATATGTTATATGAACAGCATATAGGAGAAGAGTAGAGAACGTGAGGAAGGAAAACTCTTTGAAGAGTTTTGCTGTTAGGGGAATTGAGAAATGAAGTCATAACTGCAAAGGCATGTGAGATGAAGAGGATTTAAAGTTTTTTTCAAAGACAGGAGTAATAGTAGATAGATGGAATGGCAGAGCGAGGACTTTGATGAACTCACTTTCCCTCTAAAACAATGAAAAGATGGTCAAACCAACTCAAATCAACCATTTTAGAACTCTGGCAATTAACCAAAGCCACAGAATGAAGTGAAAATCATCATCCAAAGAAACTACTGAATGTTGGCAAGACAGTGAGGTCTACGACATTTCACTTGTGGTGATCCCCATCCTCCCTCCCTAACCCTCCCTATCTCCGTGGTACAGGATCCAAAAGGTGACCAAATTCCAGACAACAGAGAAATCTGACCACTTAGAGAATTTTACAGGAAATCCTAGAGAATGAGACAACCATAGGAAACTTTGAAAAGCTCTGACATATTCCTAGGGATCTAAAGGGCTGTGCATATACTCAAGGCTATATGCACGCCAAGGAAAGAGCTGGGATAGGAGAGGATCCAAGCCACTCACTTCTGGCTGACTGCGAGGCCCTGTGCAAGTACAAAGTGAAAGCAAAGGCTGTCTCATACACTGGCTGGACTTTGAAGGCAATGCTTTCTTACGCAGATCCTCTTGGCAAGGGTTGGAAGATGTACAGGCAAGGCATTTAAGGATACATTCTGACCAATCACTGGCTGACCACCAAATTATATTTATTCACCAGGTGTGACCCCTAGGAATCCAGGCTTAAAAAGAAAAACAAGAACTGAAAAGAAAAAAGGCTGCTAGCAGGAACTCAGAGGCCACATAATGCAGGGGGAGACCAAATCCACAAAATGAGTTCAGAAAAGTCACTGAACAAACAAACAGCAACAAGAAAAAGAACTATGACAGCAACAAAAACAAAAACAGACCAACAACAAACCTTGGGAGTCCAGATGGCAGCAAGATGGCAGAGCAGGACTTTCCAGTGCTCATTCCCCAACAGAAACATCAATTTGAAAAACAATCCATACACGAAAATACTTCACCAGAGCTAAGGAAACCAGGTGAGAGTTGACAGCACCTGGGTGTAGCACGGAAATAAGAAAAGATACATTGAAGAGGGTAGGAAAAAAAGTTACACACTATCCATGCCACCCCTCCCCCAACCCCAGGCAGTGCAGTGGGAAAAGAGATACTTTTTTCAGGGAAGAGAAAGGAAGTAAGCACTGGGCTTTCCCTTGGACTCCAACACTAGGGCTGCCCCAGTCAAACCCAGCACTGGGCAGGCACCCACAGCCCAAGCCTCTAGGCTGGTACCTGCAGACCGAGCCTCCAGGCCTGCCCCAGCACCAGACCAGATTCCACTGCCTCGCACTCCAGGCCTGCCTGGCAGTCTCAGTCTCCAGACCCACCCCAGTGCCAGGCTAGCCCCCATAGACTCAGGTACCAGGCTTGTTCCAGGGCCAGGCCAGCCCAGGTGGCCGTGGGTCCCAGACCATCCCCAGCATGGGGCTGGCCCCCCCGGCCCCAGGTTTCAGGCCCACCCCAGCACCAGGCCAGCCTCCACAGCACTAGTCATTAGGCCAGCACCTGCAGACCAGCATCCAGCAAGACCTTGTGGACACAGGCTCCAGGCCCACCCAGTGCCAGGCCAGGCCATGTGGTCCCAGGCTCCAGGCCCACCTTAGGTTCCAGCCCAGCCCAGAACCAGGTTGACCTACACAGCCCTAGGCCGCAGGCCTGCCCCGACACCAGGAGAGCACTTCTAGATTCAAGTACCAGGCTGGCACACACAGACACAGACTCTAGGCCTGCCCAGTGGTGGGCTGATCTCTGTGGCCCCACCCTTCAGGCTGGTCCCTGCAGCCCCATGCTCCAACAGACCCAGGGTCCAGGCCCATCCCAGTAGATCCCAGTACTGGGCTGGGCCTAGAGAATCCAGGCTCCACACCGGCCCCAGCACCACACAGTTCCCAGGCTCCAGGGTGGTCCTCATGGCCAAAGGCTCTAGCTGACCCAGGGTTCAGGCCCACCCTAGTAAGCTTTGGTGCCAAACCAACTCCTGTGGACTGAGGCTCCAGGACCACCCTTGCAGACCCAGGATCCAGGCCAGCCCCCATGGACCCAGAACCCAGGCTTGACATGCAGATTTAGGCTTCAGGTCCACCTCAGCACCATGTCAGCCCCTGTAGACCCAGACATGAAGTTGGCTCCCGCAGATCCAGGAACCAGCTGTGCTTTTGTGGACCCAGGCTCCAGGCCCACCTTCACATACCCAATCAACAGGCCCATCTGTTTGGATCCAGGCTCCAGGCCAAACCCCATGGACCCAGACATCGGGTCCACCTACCTGCTGACCCAGACACCAGACCAGCCTGCCTGAGGACTCCAGCAGCAAGCCTGCCCACAGAACATGCCAGATGGCCAGTCCAGAATCTCTGGACAGGCTGACTGGTGAGGGGCTTTCCCAGACAAAGGCAGTCTGCAAAGACTAGAATGAGTTTTCACGTCTTCAGATGTGCAGACACCAATGCACAGCCACAAGGATCAAGAACAATCAGGGAGGCCAAGCACGGTGGCTCAGGCCTATAATCCCGAGCACTCTGGGAGGCCGAGGCGGGCAGACTGCTTGAGCCGAGGAGTTTGAGAACAGCCTGGGCAACATAGCCAGACCCTGTCTCTATTTTTTAAGGAAAAAATTTTTTTAACCTGGTGCGGTGGCTCACGCCTGTAATCCCAACACCTTGGGAGGCCGAGGCAGGCAGGTGGATTGCTTGAGCTCAGGAGTTTGAGACCAGCCTGGGCAACATGGCGAAACCCCGTCTCTACAAAAAATACAAAAAAATTAGCTGGATGTAGTGGCACATGTCTGTGGTCCCAGTTACTTGGAAGGCTGAGGCAGGAGGGTCACTTGAGACTGGGAGGCAGAGGTTGCAGTGAGCTGAGATCATGCCACTGCACTCCAGCCTGGGTGACAGAGTGAGACTCTGTCTCAAAATAAATTTTGTTTTGTTTTTAAAAAGTACAATCGACTGGGTGCAGTGGCTCACATCTGTAATCCCAGCACTTTGGGAGGCTGAGGCAGGCAGATCACTTGAGGTCAGGAGTTCGAGACCAGCCTGATCAACATGGTGAAACCCCCATCTCTACTAAAAATACAAAAATTAGCTGGGCATGGTGGCATGCGCCTGTAATCCCAGCTACTCGGGAGGCTGAGGCATGAGAATAGCTTCAACCCAGGAGCCAGAGGTTGCAGTGAGCCGAGATCGCGCCACTGCACTCCAGCCTGGAGTGGGTGGGTGACAGAGCGAGACTCCACCTCAAAAAAAAAAAAAAAAAAAAAAGAACAATCAGGGAAAGGGAAACACACCACCACCAAAGGAACAAAAGAAAGCACCAGTAACTGACCCTACAAAGAAGAGACGTATGAAGTGGCTTACAAAGAATTCAAAGTAATTATATAAAGGAAGCTCAGAACTTCAAGAAAATATGCAGGGACAATTCAATGATATCATGAAAAAATGAATAAAATGAAACATTTAACAGAGAGATTGAAATTATTTTAAAAATTAGGGTTTTTTTTTGTGTGTGTGTTTTCTGCTATAGGCTTGGTTGGTTGCTATAGGCTTGGGCAAGTTCATGAAACCTGGGAAAGTGGTGCTGGTCCTGGCTGAATGCTACTCTGGACACAAAGCTGTCACCATGAAGAACGTTGATAAGGGCACCTCAATCTTCCCCTACAGCCACGCTCTGATGGCTGGAATTGACTGCTATCCCCGCAAATGACAGCTGCCCATGGGCAAGAAGAAGATCGCCAAAAGGTCAAAGATAAAGTCTTGTTAAAGTTCATAATTATAATCATCTCATGCTCACAAGGTACTCTGTTGATATCCCCTGAGTGGGATATCCCACTCAGAACTGATCAAGCAGAAAAAAGAATCTGTGAACCTGAAGACAGATTTGAAAATATACAGTCATAGGGGGAAAAATGAAAAAGAAATAAGACAGCTTATGGGATTTACAGGATAGCTTCAAAAGAGCAAATTTTTGAATTACAGAGTTCATGAAGGAGAAGAAAAAGACAAAGGAACAGAAAGCTTACTTTAAAAAGTAATAGCAGAAAGCTTTCCAAGTTTGGAGAAAGATACAAAATATCCAGGCATAGGTCAAAGTTCTCCAATCAAATTGAATGCAAACAAGACTATACAGAAACATAGAATCAAACTGTCAAAAATCAAGGACAAGCAGAGGATCCTTGAAAGCAGGAAGAGAAAAGAAGCAAATAACAGGTACAGGAGTTCTAATAAGGCTAGCAGCAGATTTCTCAGCAGAGACCTTACAGGCCATGAAAAAGTGAAATGATCTATTCAGTGTGCTGAAGGAAAAAACCTTCCAATCAAAAAGACTGTACCAGCAAAGCTGCCCTTTAGAAATGGAGAGGAAAAGTCATTATACGAAAAAGACACTTGCACACGCATGTTTATAGCAGCACAATTCACACCTGCAAAAACATGGCACCAGCCCAAATGCCCATCAGTTAACGAGTGGATAAGGAAACTGTGGTAATATATACACCATGGAATACTACTCAGCCATAAAAAGGAATGAAATAATGGCATTCGCAGCAACCTGGATGGAATCGGAGACCATTATTTTAAGTGAAGTAACTCAGGAATGGAAAACCAAACATTGTATGTTCTCAATCATAAGTGGGAGCTAAGCTATGAGGATGCAAAGGCAATAAGAATGACACAATGGACTTTGGGGACTTGGGGGAACGGGTGGGAGGGGGTGAGGGATAAAAGACTACACATTGGGTATAGTGTATACTGCTTGGGTGATGGGTACACCAAAATCTCAGAATTCACCACTAAAGAATTTACCCATGTAACCAACCACCACCTGTTCCCCAAAAACCAACTGAAATTAAAAAAAAATAATTAAAAAACAAGAAATGAAGGAGAGACAAGAGACTTTCCAAGACAAACAAAAGCTGAGGGAGTTCATTGCCACCAGATCTGTCTTACAAGAAATGCTGAAGTTAGCTTGTCTAACCCGCCTTATTTTGTTGTTGTTGTTCTGTTTTGTTTTAAGTTTTTAGCAGCCTGAAGCCACGGTTTTTAGTTTCTGTATCTAGTGATAAGCAGAAAAGAGGGATGAGGAAGGGGCTTAACTGGCTCAACCAGAAACAGAAACTAAGAACTCATGACTGTATTCGTTCCCTTGGACACCTCTGTGCTAAAGAGAGTTTTTCAAGCTGCAAGAAAAGAATGCTAATTAGTAACACGAAAACATATGAAAGTATAAAACTCACTGGTAAAAGTAAGTATACAGTCAAATTCAGAATACTATAATACTGTAATGGTGGTGTGTAGATTGCTTATACATGTAGTATAAAGGTTAAGAGGTAAAATTATTAAAATAATATCTACAATAATTTGTTAACAGATAACACATTATAAAAAGAAATAAATTATACCATCAAAACCATAAAATGTGGTGAGGGGGTGGAGCCAAAGTGTAGAGTTTTTTAATGCACTCAAAGTTAAGTTGTTACCAGCTTAAAATAGCCAGTTACAAGATGTTTTAGGCTGGGTGTGGTGGCTCAGGCCTGTACTCCTAGCACTTTAGGAGGCCGAGGCAGGAGGACTGCTTGAGTTCAAGGCAGGAGTTTGAGACCAGCCTGGGCAACATAGCAAGACCCCATCTCTACAAAAAAAAATTTTAAACTTAGCCGGGTGTGGTCGTTGCATGCCTCTAGTTGCAGCTATTCAGGAGGCTGAGGTGGTAGGACTGCTTAAGCCCAGGAGGTTGAGGCGGTGGGCTGTGATTGCACCACTGCACTCCAGCCTAGGTGACAGAGCAAGACTCTGTCTCAAAAATAAATAAATAAATAAAATTTATAAAATAAAGAAGTAATATCAGTCATTCTCAAACTCTTCCAAAAAACTGAAGAAGAAGGCATACTTCCAAACTCTTTTTTTTTTTGAGACAGAGTCTCGCTCTGTCACTCAGGCTGGAGTGCAGTGGCGCAATCTCGGCTCATTGCAATCTCCGCCTCCTGGATTCAAGCAATTCTCCTGCCTCAGCCTCCTGAGTAGCTGGGATTACAGGTGCATGCCACCACGCCCGGCTAATTTTTGTATTTTTAGTAGAGATGGGGTTTCACCATGTTGGTCAGGCTGGTCTCAAACTCCTGACCTTGTGATCCACCTGCCTTGGCCTCCCAAAGTGCTGGGATTACAGGCGTGAGCCACGGCGCCCGGCCCCAAACTCTTTATGAGGCCAGCATTACCCCGATACCAAAGCCAGACAATGACACTAGAGGAAAAGAAAATTACAAGCCAATATCCCTGATGAACAGAGAAGCAAAAATCCTCAACAAAGTACTGGAAACCATATTTAACAGTACATTAAATGGATCATTTACTATGATCGAGTAGGATTTATCACAAGGATGCAAGGTTGGTTCAACACATGCAAATTAGCAGAATGAAGGACAAAAACCATATGTCAATAGATGCAGAAAAAGCATTTGGCAAAATTCAACATCCCTTCATGATAAAAACTCAAAAAACTAGACATAGGAGAAATGTACCTCAACGTAATAAATACCATATATAACAAACCCACAGCTACCATCATACTCAATGGTGAAAAGTTGAAAGCCTTTCCTTTAAGATGAGGAACTCTATTCTACAGGATACTAGAAGTTCCAGCCAGAGGAATAAGTCAAGAGAAAGAAATAAAAGGCACCCAAATTGGACAGGAAGAAGTAAAATTGTTCCCATTTGCAGACGACACAATCTTATATATAGAAAATACTAAAGACTCCACCAAAAAACTGTTAGAACAAGCCTGCGTGCAGTGGCTCATGCCTGTAATCCCAGCACTTTGGGAGGCCGGGGCTGGCAGATGGCTTGAGGCCAGGAGTTCGAGACCACCCTGGCCAACATGGTGAAACCCCATCTCTACTAAAAAATATAAAACTTAGCCAGGCATGGTGGCACATGCCTATAGTCCCAGCTACTCGGGAGGCTGAGGCATGAGAATTGCTTGAACCCAGGAGACGGGGGTGCAGTGAGCTGAGAACATGCCACTGCACTCCCGCTTGGGCAATACAGTGAGACTCTGTCTCCAAAAAAAAAAAAAGAAAGAAAAAAGAAAACCGTTAGAACAAATAAATTCAGTAAAGTTACAGGATACAAAATCAACATACAAAAATCAGTAGCACTTCTATACACTAACAACAAAGTATCTGAAAAAGAAATCAAGAAAGCAATCCCATTTACAATAGCTACAGAAAAAAAGTAAAATACTTAGGAATAACCGGGTGTAGTGGCTCACGCCTGTAATCCCAGCACTTTGGGAGGCCGAGGCGGGTGGATCACCTGAGGTCAGGGGTTTGAAGCCAGGCTGGCCAACATGGCGAAACCCCATCTCTACTAAAAATACAAAATTAGCAGGGTGTGGTGGCACACATCTGTAATCCCAGCTACTCGGGAGGCTGAGGCAGGAGAATCGTTTGAAACTGGGAGGCGGAGGTTGCAGTGAGATGAGATCGCGCCACTGCATACTCCAGCCTGGGCAACAAGAGCGAAACTCCATCTCAAAACAAAAACAAAAACAAAACAACAAAAAACAAACTTAGGAATAAATTTAACCAAGGAGGTAAAAGACGTGTACCCTGAAAACAGTAAGACATTGATGAATGAAACTGAAGATGATACAAATACATGGAAAGATACCCTGTGGTCATGAATTGGAAAAATTAGTATTGTTTAAATGTCCACACTACTCAAAGTGATCTACAAATTTAATGCAATCTCTATAAAAGTTCCATGTCATTTTTTACAGAAAAATACTAAAATTTGTATAAACCACAAAAGACACCAAATAGCCAAAGTAATCTGGAGCAAAAAGAACAAAGCTGGTAATCCCAGCACTTTGGGAGGCTGAAGTGAAAGGACTGCTCGAATCTAGGAGTTTGAGACCAGCCTGGACAACATAGTGAGACCCTTGTCTCCACAAAAAAATTAAAAATCAGCTGGGTGTGGTGGTGTGCACCTGTAGTCCTACATACTTTGGAGGCTGAGATGGGAGGACTGCTTGAGCCCGAGAGTTCGAGGTTGCAGTGAGCTATGATCACACCGCTGCGCTGCAGCCTGGGTTACAGAGCGAGACCCTGCCTCAAAAAAAAAAAGGCATTCAGACAGGAAAGAAAAAAGTGAAACTATCTCTATTTAGAGATAACATGATCTTGTATATTTAAAAATCCCAAGGAATCCACCAAAAAACTATTTGAACTAATAAACAAGTTCAGCAATGTCATATGATAGAGGATCAATAAACAAAAATCTATTGTATTTCTATGCACTAGCAATGAACAATCAAAAAATGAAATTAAGGGCTGGGTGCAGTGGTTCATGCCTATAATCCCAGCACTTTGGGAGGCTGAGGTCGGGTGGATTACTTGAGGCCAGGAGTTCGAGACCAGCCTGGCCAACATGGCAAAACCCCATGGCTACTAAAAATACAAAAATTAGCTGGGTGTGGTAGTATGCACCTGTAGTCCCAGCTGCTTGGGAGGCTGAGGCACAAGAATTGCTTGAACCCGGGAGGTGGAGGTTGCAGTGAGCTGAGATCACGCCACTGCACTCCAGCCTGGGTGACAGAGTGGGACTCTGTCTCAAAAAAAAAAAAAATTAAGAAAAAATTTGAAGGCCAGGCACGGTGGCTCACGCCTGTAATCCTAGCACTTTGGGAGGCCGAGGCGGGCAGATCATGAGGTCAGGAGTTTGAGACCAGCCTGGCCAACATGGTGCAACCCCGTCTCTACTAAAAATACAAAAAATTAGCTGGGTGTAGTGGCTGGTGCCTATAATCCCAGCTACTCTGGAGGCTGAGGCAGGAGAATCGCTTGAACCCAGGAGGCGGAGGTTGCAATGAGCCAAGAGCGCCCCACTGCACTCCAGCCTGGGTGACAGAGTGAGACTCCGTCTCAGAAAAAAGAAAAAAAGAAAAAGTCCAGCTAGGTGCAGTGGTTCACACCTGTAATCCCATGAGTTCAAGGCTGCTGTGGGCTATGATGGAGCCATTGCACTCTAGTTTGAGCAACAGAGCAAGACCTTGTCTCTAGAAAACAAACCCCTGACTCTGAGATAAAAGCATGAGGAAATTAAAAATTATTTTAATTTAAAAATTTTTAAAAATTAAAAAACATCCCATTTTAAAGTAGTATCAAAAAGAATAAAATGCCTAGGAATAAATTTAACAAAGGAACTGCAAGACTTGTATACTGAAAACTATAAAACACTCCTGAAAGAAATTAAACATCTAAATAAATCCCAAGTTCACAGACTAGAAGACAATATTGTTAAATGGCAATACTCCCCAAGTTGATATATAGATTCAACATAATCTCTATGAGAATTTCAGCTGTTTTTTTTTTTAAAGAAATTGATAAACTGCTGAGTTTGGTAGATCATGCCTGTAATCCCAGCACTTTGGGAGGACGAGGCAGGAGGATTGGTTGAAGCCAGGAATTTGATATCAGCCTGGGCTACAAAGCAAGACCCTGTCTCTACAAAAAAAAAAAAAAAAAAAAAGCAAAGAGGATCACTTGAGCCCAGGAATTCAAGGCTGCAGTGAAGTATGATCACACCATTGCACTCCAGCCTGAGCAACAGAGAAAGATCCTATCTGTAAAAGAAAAAAAAAAAGAAAGAAATTGGAAAGCTGATCCTAAAATTCCTATGAAAATGCAAGGATAGCCAAAACAATCTTGAAAAAGAACAAAGTTGGAAGACTCTCACTTCTTGACTTCAAAACTTACTACAACTACAGTAATTAAGACAGTGTGGTCTAGCATAGTGACAGACCTGCAAATCAATGGAATAGAATTAAGAGTCCAGAAGTTAACCTTTATGTTTATGTTTTATGGTCAATTATTTTTTTCAGAGATGGGGTGTCACTATGTTGCCCAGGTTGGCCCTGAACTCCTGGGCTAAAGTGATCCTCCTGCTTCAGCCTCTCTAGTAGCTGGGACTACAGATGGGTGTCACTATGCCTGGTCTATGACAAGGTCGTCAAGACAATCCAATGGTAAAAAGAATATTTTTCAACAAAAGGTGCTCAGAAAACTAGATATCCATGTCAGAAGAATAAACCTGTACCCCTACTCTCACGCTATACACAAATATTAACTCAAAATGGGCTGGGTACAGTATGTCTGTAATCCCAGCACTTTGGGAGGCTGAGGTGAGAGGATCACTTGAGCCCAGGAGTTCGAGACCAGCATGGGCAATACACAGAGACCTCATCTCTACAAAAATATAAAAATTAGCTGGGTGTGATGGCTCACACTTGTAGTGTCAGCTACTCAGGAGGCTGAGGTGGGGGGATCACTTGAGCCTAAGAGGTCAAGGCTGCAGTGAGCTGTGATGGTGCCACTGCACTCCAGCCTGGGTGACAGAACGAGACCCTGTCTTGAAACAAAAATAACTCAAAATGGATCACTGTCCTAAATGTAAGAGCTAAAACGATAAAATTCCTAGAAGAAAACATAGGAATAAATCTTTGTCACCCTGATTTAGGCGATGATTTATTGGATATAACACCAAATGCCCAAGTGACAACAAAATAGGTAAGCTGGACATCACTGAAATTAAAACCTACTGTACATTAAAAGATACCATCAATAAAATGAAAAGAACCCACAGAATGGGAGAAAATATTTATAATTCATATTATCTGGCCAGGCGCGGTGGCTCACGCCTGTAATCCCAGCACTTTGGGAGGCCGAGGCGGGTGGATCACGAGGTCAGGAGATCGAGACCATCCTGGCTAACACGGTGAAACCCCGTCTCTACTAAAAATACAAAAAATTAGCTGGGCATGGTGGCGGGCGCCTGTAGTCCCAGCTACTTGGGAGGCTGAGGCAGGAGAATGGCGTGAACCCAGGAGGCGGAGCTTGCAGTGAGCCGAGATCGCGCCACTGCACTCCACCCTGGGCGACAGAGCGAGACTCTGTCTCAAAAAAAAAAAAAAAAAAAAAGAAAAAAACATATTATCTGACAAAGGACTTATATCCAGATACATAAAGAAGTTCTGGCCAGGTGCAGGGGCTCATGCCTGTAATCTTAGCACTTTGGGAGGCCGAGGCAGGTGGACTGCCTGAGCTCAGGAGTTCGAGATCAGCCTGGGCAACACAGGAAACCCCATCTCTACTAAAATACAAAAAAAAAAAAAAAAATTAACCAGGTGTGTCGTTGTGTGCCTGTAGTCCCAGCTATTCAGGAGGCTGAGGCAGGAGAATTGCTTGAACCCAGGAGGCAGAGGTTGAAGTAAGCCAAGATCACACCACTGCACTCCACCCTGGATGACAGAGTGAGACTCCGTCTCCAAAAAAAAAAAAAGAAGTCCTGCAACTCAATAATAAAAAGACACATAATCCAATTAAAAATGGGCTAAGAATTTGAATAGACATTTCTCCAAAGATATACAAGCATATAAAAGGACATTCAATATCATGAGTTATTAGGGAAATGAAAATCAAAACTACAATGAGACACCACTTTCATACTCACTAGGATGGCTATAATAAAAAAGACAAACGAAAAGTGTTGATGAGGATATGGAGAAACTGGAACCTTCATACACTGCTGATAGGACTGTAAAATGGCATAGCCACTTTTGCAAACAGTTTGATAGCTCCTCAAAACATAAGGCGGGGCACCATGGCTCATACCTATCATCTCAGCACTTTGGGAGGCGAGGAGGGCAGATCTCTTGAGCCCAGGAGTTCAAGACCAGCCTGGGCAACATGGCAAAACCCCATCTCTACAAAAAATACAAAAATTAGCCAGGTGTGGTGGCACATGCCCATGGTCCCAGCCACTCAGGAGGCTGAAGGGGGAGGACCACTTGAGCCCAGGAGGTGGAGGTTGCAGTGAGCCAAGATTGGGACACTGCATTCCAGTCTGGGTGACAGAGTGAGACCCTGTCTCAAAAAGAAAAAAAAAAAGTTAAACATAGAGCCACCATATGACAGCAATTCCACTCCACGTTCAGAGAAATATTAGTCATATTGGCCAACATGAAAGCAACTGAACTGACCAACTGAGGAACGGAGGTAGATCCATATGACAGAATATTATTTGACAATAGGAAGGAATGATACGTGCAACAGCATGGATGGACCTCAAAACATTATGCTCAGCGAAAGAAGCCAGCCAGCAAGACCAGTATCTTGTACGATCTAATTTATATGGAATATCTAGAATAGACAAATCTCTAGATACAGAAAGTATATTAGTGGGTGGCTAGGACTGGGGAGAATACTAATGGGAAGTGACTGCTAATGAGTATGAAGCTTCTTTGGTGGGGGTCGGGGGGTGAAAATGTTCTAAAATTGATCATGTTTGGGAGGCCGAGGCGGGTGGATCACTTGAGGTCAGGAGTTTGAGACCACCCTGGCCAACATGGCAAAACCCCGTCTCTACTAAAAATACAAAAATTAGTCAGGCATGGTGGTGTGCGCCTGTAATCCCAGTTACTCGGGAGGCTGAGGCAGGAGAATCACTTGAACCCGGGAGACAGAAGTTGCAGTGAGCCGAGATTGTACCACTGCACTCCAGCTTGGGTGACAGAGCGAGAGGCTGTCTCAAAAAATAAAGATAAATAAATAAAACTACTGAACAGTATACTTTTATTTATTTATTTATAATAATATTTATTATTATTTTAACAGTACCCTTTAAAAGGGTGAATTTACTCAGAAAGTTGAGGCCAGAGGATCACTTGAGCCCAGGAGTTCAAGTCCAGCCTGGGCAATACAGTAAGACCCTGTCTCAAAAATAAATAAATAAAAGGTGAATTAGATGGTATGCGACATGCATCTCAATGAAGTTGCAACGAAAAGATGGAAGAAGTAATAGAATGTCTGTGTGCTAATAAGAATGATCTTGTAGAGAGAGGGGAAAACTGGTGGAACCATGTCCTCAAGTAGGTGAGAGAGGATGGGATGGAGTGCCAAAGGGGAGAGACTGGATTTTGACGACAGTAGGAGCACCTTATGTAGTACAGAGAAGAAGGCAGAGTATGTGGATACAGATGCTGTGTGGTGGTTGGATGTGGTGGTGGGAATCTGCAGATGTTTTATTCCAATGGTTTCCATTTTTTCAGTCAAGTAGGAAGCCTGAGTGTAAGGACAGGGGAGGAAATGTTGAGGATTTCAGGAGAGAAGTAGGAAACAATCATCATCTAGGAGGGTAGGATAGAAAATGCAATGGAGCAAGTAGAGAGCTGGATTTAACTGGGCTGAGGCAGTGCCCGATAAAGTGGATGGTAAGTACGCTGAAGTGGCAGAGGGCGAAGGGAAGTGAGACTGTCCGCCCAGGAATGATTGTAACAGTGGGTCATGGAATCTAAGCTGATTAAAGGAGGGACATAGGAGCATGGGGGAAGTGAAAGGGAGTGAAAATGTTCAGTCCCAGTGGGATTGAGGGATTGCTGGAGTTGGAGTACTAGTAGGCGTGAGCTAGAAAAATAGGAGGTACTGGCTAGAGAACAGGATGCCTGAAACTGAGAATATGAAAACAATGCAGTCACAGGTACTGACAAGGACAAGGGTCAGGCTTGGCACAGTGGGTCACACCTGTAATCCCAGCACTTTGGGAGGCCCAGGCGGGTAGATCACTTGAGGTCAGGAGTTCGAGACCAGCCTGGCCAACATGGTGAAACGCTGTCTCTACAAAAATTAGCTGAGCGTGGTGGCAGGCGCCTGTAATCTCAGCTACTCTGGAGGCTGAGGCAGGAAAATCACTTGAACCCAGGAGGCGGAGGCTGCAGTGAGCTGAGATCGCACCACTGCACTCCAGCCTGGGTGACAGAGTAAGACTCCATCTCAAAAAAAAAAAAAAAAAACAAACAAAACAAGGGTCAGACTATTGGAGTAGGTAGCTGAGGTGGGGTTAAAAGGCAGGATCATTGTAGGGTGGCAAATCACAGAACTGACAGATGAAAATATTGGAAGGATCAGCTACAAAGATATTAAAATCACCAAGAATTAGGACTGGACCAGTGTTAAAGAGAATGACAGTGAGATCACAGCTAAATTCATTTAGAAATGGTAATGATGGGCAGATATGGGTGTATGTCTGTATATGATGATACAGAGTGGTAGCTGATGGTATATTCTGATGATATGAGATTTACAACAAGGTTGTTGATATTTATATAATCCCAACATATTTCATGAAAGAAAAAAGGGGAACTATAGTGGAAAAACCTGACAGACACCACCTTAAACAAGGAATCAAAGTCAACAAAACTGGTATCAGGACAAAATGACATCACATGCCTCCTGATAGGAAGCACTGAAGACATAACTTCTCTTCTGCGGTATTCTCACCAAAATTACATAACTTGAATATAATCACAGTGAAACTTGAGACAAACCCAAATTCTATGAAATAACTGTCCAGGAGTCTTCTAAATGATCAAAATCATAAAAGACAAAGAAAGACTCAAGAACTGTTCCATATTGGAAGAGCCTAAGGAGGCATGATAACTAAATGTAATGTGGGAGCCTGAACTGAATCCTTGAAAAGAAAAGTGGCACTAGTGAAAAACTGATGTAATCTAAATAAACCCTGTAGTTTCGTTAAGAGTACAGGCAATACCTCATTTTATTGTGCTGCACTTTACTGCACTTCACAGATACTGTGTCTTTTACTAATTGAAGGTTTGTGGCAAAGTTGTATTGAGTAAATCTATTAGTGCCATTTTTCCAACAGTATGTGCTCACTTAGTGTCTCTGTCTTACATTTTGGTAATTTTCACATTTCAAAACTTTTCTTATATCTGTTATGGTGATCTGTGATCAGTGATCTTTTTTTTTTTTTTTTTGAGACAGGGTTTCACTCCTGTCACCCAGGCTAGAGTGCAGTGGCGTGATCTCAGCTCACTGCAGCCTTTGCCTCCTGGGCTCAAGCGATTCTCCTGCCTCAGCCTCCCTGAGTAGCTGGGACTAGCGGCGCACGCCACAGCACCCAGCTTAATTTTTGTATTTTTTGTAGAGATGGAGTTTCACCATCTTGCCCACGCTGGTCTTGAACTCCTGAGGTCAAGCAATCCACCCACCTCGGCCTCCCAAAGTGCTGGGATTACAGGCGTGAGCTACCGCACCCCGCCTAGATCAGTGATCTTTGGTGTAACTATTTGTAATTGTTTTAGGGCACCATGAACTGTACCCATGTAAGATGGCAAACTGAACTGACAAATATGTATGTTCTGACTGCTCGACTGACTGGCTATTCCTCTGTCTCTCTCCCTCTCCTCAGGCCTCCCTATCCAAGACATAACAAATTGAAATTAGGCCAATTAATAACCCCACAATGGCTTCTAAGTATTCGAGTCAAAGGAAGTATCTCAACATCTATCACTTTATTTTTTATTTTTATTTTTTTGGAGACAGGGTCTTGCCATGTTGCCCAGGCTGGTCTCAAACTCCTCGGCTCACACAGTCCTCCCGCCTCAGCCTCCCAAAGTGCTGGGATTACAGTCGTGGGCCATTGCGCCCGGCCTTCAACATCTCTCACTTTAAATCAAAGGCTGGAAATGATTAAGCTTTGTGAGGAAGGCATGTTGAAAGGTGAGAGAGGCCGAAGGCTAGGCTTCTTGCGCCGAACAGTTAGCCAAGTTGTGAATGCAAAGGAAAAGTTTTTGAAGGAAATTAAAAGTGCTACTCCAGCGAACACATGAGTGATAAGACAGTGAAACAGTGTTATTGTGGATATGGAGAAAGTTTGGGTGGTCTGGCTAGACAATCAAATCAGCCACAACATTTCCTTAAGCCAAAGCCTAATTCAGAGCAAGGCCCTAACTCTCTTCAATTCTATGAAGGCTGAGAAAGGTGAGGAAGCTGCAGAAGAAAAGTTGGAAGCTAGCAAAAGTCGGTTCATGAGGTTTAAGGAAAGAAGCCATCTCCGTAACATAAAAGTGCAAGGTGAAACTGCAAGTGCTGATGTAGAAGCTGCAAGGAAGTTATCTAGAAAAATCTACATAAGATAGTTGGTGAACAACAGATTTTCTTTTTCTTTTTGTTTTTTGAGATGGAGTTTTGCTCTTGTTGCCCAGGCTGGAATGCAGTGGTGCGATCTCGGCTCACTGCAACCTCTGCCTTTGGGTTTCAACCGATTCTCCTGACTCAGCCTCTTGAGTAGCTGGGATTACAGGTGCCCGCCACCACGCCCAGCCAATTTTTGTACTTTTAGTAGAGACGGGGTTTCACTATGTTGGCCAGACTGGTCTCAAACTCCTGACCTTGTGACCCGCCCGCCTCTGCCTCCCAAAGTGCTGGGATTACAGGCGTGAGCCACCGCACCCGGCCAACAGATTTTCTTTTTTTTCTTTTCTTTTTTTTTTTTGAGACGGAGTTTCACTCTTATTGCCCAGGCTGGAATGCAATGGCATCATCTCAGCTCACTGCAACCTCTGCCTCCCAGGTTCAAGTGATTCTCCTGCCTCAGCCTCCCGAGTAGCTGGGGTTATAGGCATGCGCCACTACACCCAGCCAATTTTGTATTTTTAGTAGAGGCAGGGTTTCTCCATGTTGGTCAGCCTGGTCTCGAACTCCCAACCTCAGGTGATCCGTCCGCCTCAGCCTCCCAAAGTGCTGAGATTACAGGCGTGAGCCACCGCACCTGGCCAACAGATTTTCAGTGTAGCTGAAACAGCGTTATATGGGGAGAAGATGCCATCTAGGACTTTTATAGCTAGAAAGAAGTCAATGCCTGGCTTCAAAGCTTCAAAAGACAGGATGACTCTCTTGTTAGAGGCTCAGGCAGCTGGTGACTTTTAACTTGAAGCCAGTGTTCATTTTACCATTCTGAAAATCCTAGGATCCTTAAGAACTATGCTAAATATACTCTGTGCTCTATAAATGGAGCAACAAAGCCTGGATGATAGCAAATCTGTTTATAGCATAGTTTATTAAATATTTTAAGCCCACTGTTGAGACCTGCTACTCAGATAAAAAGATTCCATTCAAAATATTACTGCTCATTGAAAATGCACCTGATCACCTAAGAGCTCTGATGGAGATGTACAAGGAGATTCATGCTGTTTTCATGCCTGCTAACACAACATCCATTCTGCAGCCCATGGATCAAGGAGTAATATTGACTTTCAGGTCTTATTATTTAGGAAATACATTTCATAAGGCTATAGCCGCCATAGACAGTGATTCCTCTGATGGATCCGGGAAAAGTAAATTGAAAATCTTCTGGAAAGGACTCACCATTCTAGATGCCATTAAGAACATTTGTGATTCATGGAAGGAGGTCAAAATATCAACATTAACAGGGTGTAGAAGAAGTTAACTTCAAACCTCAGGGATGACTTTCAGGGGTTTCAAGACTTCAGTAGAGGAAGCAACTGCAGAGATGGCAGAAATAACGAGAGAATCAGAATTAGAATGTGAGGCTGAAGAAGTGACTGAATTGCTGCCATCTCATGATCAAACTTTTTTTTTTTGAGATGGAGTCTCGCTCTGTTGCTCAGGCTGGAGTGCAGTGGCGCGAGCTCAGCTCACTGCAACCTCCGTCTCCCAGGTTCAAGGGATTCTCCTGCCTCAGTCTCCTGAATAGCTGGGACTACAGGTGTCCGCCACCATGCCTGGCTAATTTTTCTGTATATTTAGTAGAGACAAGGTTTCACCATGCTGGCCAGGCTGGTCTCAAACTCCTGACCTTAGGCAATTCACCCGCCTTGGCTTCCCAAAGTGCTGGGATTACAGGCATAAGCCACTGTGCCAGGCCCTCCTTTAATGGAGCCTGGGCAACAAAGTGAGACCCTGTCTCCACAAAAATTAAAAAAAAAAATAGCTGGGCATGGTGGCACATGCCTGTGGTCCCAGCTACTCCGGAGGCTGAGGCAGGAGGATTACTTGAGGCCAGGAGTTTGAGACTAGCCTGGACAACACAACAAGACCCCACCTTTGCAAAATTTTAAAAATTGGCTGGGCGTGGTGGCATGCACCTATAGTCCCAGCTACTTGGGAGGCTGAGGTGGGAAGATTGCTTGAGCCTGGGAGGTCGAGGCCGCAGTGAGCCGTGATCGCGCCACTACACTCTAGCCTGGGTGACAGAGCAAGACCCTGTCTCAGAAAAAAAAAGAAAAAAAGTTAGTGGATGAGGAGTTACTTCTTATGGATGAGCAAAATAGTGATTTCCTGGGATGAAATCTACTCCTGGTGAAGATGCTGTGAACACTGGAAACAACAACAAAGGATTTAGAATATTACATAAACTTAGTTAACAAAGTAGTAGCAGGGTTTGAGAGAACTGACTCCAGTTTTGAAACAAGTTCTACTGCGGGTAAAATGCTATTAAACAGCATCACATGCTACAGAGAAACCCTTTGTGAAAGGAAGAGTCGACGTGCCAAACTTCATTGATATCTTATTTTAAGAATTTGCCACAGCCACCCCAACCAGCAACTACCACCCTGCTCAGTCAGCAACCATCAACATCGAGGTAAGACCCTCCACCAGCAAAAAATTACAACTTGCTGAAGGCTGGGATGATCTTTAGCATTTTTTAGCAATATAGTATTTTTAAATTAAGGTAAATACTTTTTTTGATACAATGCTATTGTACACTTAATAGACTATGGTACAGTGTAAACATAACTTTTATATGCACTGGGAAACCAAAAAATTCATCTGACTTGCTTTATTGTGTTGGTCTGGAACTGAACCTGTGATATGCCTGTATGTATCAATGTTAATTTTCTAGTTTTGATAGTTACACTGTAATTATATAATTTCTTTCTTTCTTTTTTTTTTTTTTTTTTTTGAGACAGAGTCTCGCTGTGTCACCCAGGATGGAGTGCAGTGGCATGATCTCAGCTCACTGCAACGTCTGCCTCCTGTGTTCAAGCAATTCTCCTGCCTCAGCCTCCCAAGTAGCTGGGACTACAGGCACAAGCCACCACACCCAGCTAATTTTTGTATTTTTAGTAGAGACAGGGTTTCACTATGTTGCCCAGGCTGGTCTCGAACTCCCGACCTCAGGTGATCTGCCCACCTTGGCCTCCCAAAGTGCTGGGATTACAGGCGTGAGCCACTGCGCCCAGTCTGTAATTATATAATTTCTTAACATGTGGGGAATCTAAGTGAAGAATATATGAGAATTCTTGTATAATTTTTGAAGCTTTTTAAAAGTTTGAAATTATTTTAAGTTTAAAAATTCTTGGCTGGGCCTGGTGGCTCACACCTGTAATCCCAGCACTTTGGGAGGCCAAGGCGGGTGGATCACTTGAGGTTAGGAGTTCAAGACCAGCCTGGCCAACATGGTGAAACCCTGTCTCTGCTAAAAATACAAAAATTAGCCAGGCGTGGTGGTGCATGCCTGTAGTCCCAGCTACTCTGGAAGCTGAGGCAGGAGAATCACTTGAACCTGGGAGGCGGAGGCTTCAGTGAGCCAAGACTGTGCCACTGCATTCTAGCCTGGGTGACAGAGTGAGATTCTGTCTCAAAAAAAAAAAAAAAAAAAACTTAAAACAAATGAAAAAAGGGTTGTTTGAGGAGGAAGAATGTCTGGAAAGGGTAACTAGGAGCAAGCATACCCACCCTCACCCTCACCACCCAGTTTCCCGGTAAGAGGGGTATGAGAGGGCTGCCGGGAGGACAGAGTGTTCAGGGAAAGCCAGGCTGCTACTTAAGCAATGGTTCTCACTGAGAGGTGGGGGCTGGACAATTAAAGGGTGTTTCAGGGCATTTTTTCTTTTTTTTGAGACGAAGTTTCGCTCTTGTTGCCCAGGCTGGCTCACTGCAACCCCTGCCTCCTGGGTTCAAGCGATTCTCCTGCCTCAGCCTTCCGAGTAGCTGGGATTACAGGCATGTGCCACCATGTGGGCCTGGCTAATTTTTGTATTATTAGTAGAGACGGGGTTTTACCATGTTGGCCAGGCTGGTCTTGAACTCCTGACCTCAGGTGATCCACCCACCTCGGCCTCCCAAAGTGCTGGGATTACAGGTGTGAGCCACAGTGCCCGACCCATTTTTTACTGCTTTTTTTTTTGAGACAGGGTCTCGCTGTCACCCAGGCTGGAGTGCAGTGGTGCAATCCTGGCTCACTGTAACCTCTGCCTCCTGGGCTCAAGCAATCCTCCCATCTCAGCCTCCTAAGTAGCTGGGACCACAGGCGTGCACCACAACACCCGGCTAATTTTTGTATTTTTTGTAGAGACGGGGTTTCATCATGTTGGCCAGGCTGGTCTCGAACTCCTGGACTCAAGCGATCTGCCCACCTTGGCCTCCCAAAGTGCTGGGATTACAGGCGTGAGCCATCACACCCGGCCCTGTTTGGGGGGCATTTTTGACTGTGACAATAATTGGAGATCATCAGTGACAACCCTAGCTATGGACCAGGGATGCTCAGCCCTCTGCAGTGTACAGGACAGCTCCACACCACAAAGAATCATACCACATTCCATACAACTTTAGAATATCTCACCAGTAATGTAGGTGAAAAACCTGTTCATTTGTTCTTTTATTCATTCAACAAACATTCATTGAGAAAGTCTACTAGGTGTCAAGCACTATTTTAGGTAATAGGAATGTATCATAGAACAAAAAAGACAAAAATCCCTGCCCTTCTGGAGCTTATAATTGAGTGGGAGAGTCAGACAATAAACAGCAAACATACTAAGCAGTTAATGCTACACTGTGAAAAAGGTGTAGAATACCATGGAACAGACAGAGCAGGGGCATATTAGGGGAGAGCTGCAATTTTAAACAGGATGGTTGGGGGGCCCTCTGAGAAAGTGACAGCTGAGTAGAGGCCTGAAGGAAGCAAGGGCCTGAGCCTTGTGGGTATTTGAGGAAAGAGCATTCCAGATACACGGAATGCAAAACCCCTGAGGCGGAAGTGTGCCTAAGGTGTTCAAGTAATAGTAAGGTGGCCAGCATGGGTAGATAGAGTGAGCAAGGGGGGAGAGTGGTGGGAGATAAGGTCAGGGAGATTAAGAGGGTCTCATCATGGATATTAATATATACTGATTTTTCCAGAAATTTAACGACCATATAAACTGAGAAACTCTTCCACATTGTTTTGTTTAGAACTTTGTGAAGAATTGTTCATTATTTAGGAAAACTGTGTCACTCTACCTGTGGCTTCTGAATCACCAATCAACACACATGTAGCTGTCACTATCATTAAGTGTAAGACCATTTCATCATGTCTTCTAATGGAGTCATATCCCAGTCTTTGCATATATATGTGCGATATATGTATAATATAATATTATATATTACTCTTCCTTTACTACTCTCTATATTACAATTAGGGCATTATATTGGTTTTCAGGGAATTATGGGTGTAGACAGATTCTATTTTCTATCCATTTCATTTTAGAATAGTGAAGCATTTCAAAATACACCTTATTAAAAAAAAAAAGCAATGTTGGGTCCAACAGGTATGAGAACGACCAAAGCATAGCAAGAAAATAAAGGGAGTATTCAGAAGCCAGGATGAGAATGGAGGGAATTTTGCTGATAACTGAAGGTGAGTTCCTTAAGGCCTGGTCAAAGGATTTCAGGATGGAAATAGAAAATAGGATGTCCAGGGCTGTATGGAGACATAACCAGGAGATCTGTGGGCTTCCTGTGGTGACTAACATTATATAGGATAAGGGGCTATTAAAAAGTGGTTTTTAATCTAAGTTGCTCCCAACTTTGGGTGTCTCTACCTGTTTAACAGAGTAGGCTGGGGAGCAAAGAGAGTTCTCTCTTCAATGACACCAGAAGCAACCCAAAGCCAGGCTCCATTTTTTACCCACAGAACAGGTCGGAGCCCCAGGCTAAGCTCATGTCCTCGGGGGTAAAACTTATTGCTATAAACTATGCACCTCTAACCTCTTTAGGGTTGAGAAAGAGACGGGTAAAAAGAGGAAAAACAGTAACAGAGAAAGACAGAAGCATTCAGAAAGATCCAATGGAGGAAGGGTCAGAGACAGAGAAAAGACAGAAACCAAGAGAGACAATATTCTTTTCAGTCAAGATAGTCATTATTTATTGAAAATTTTCTAAGGACCGGGTGCAGGGCAAAGTAATGCACATGCATTGTCTCAGGTACACATTATCAGACCCCCATTTGGCAGATGAGGAAACTGAGGCCCAGGCTGGTGAAGGAGATAGCTCAAGGTTTCATAGCTAGTTTAAACTGGTCAGGATTCAGCATCTTATATCTACTACGTCTCAAAAAGTGGGACAGAGACAGAGATGGGAGAGGGGATGCAAAGACAGACACGCACGCAGACGATCACGTGAGCGGCAGACCTGCATGGAACCGTTTCGAAAGACACTGAGGGTGGGAGGTGGGGCCGCGGGAGGGCAGCAACGGGCACCGACCGCTCCGCAGGGTACTCACCTGGTTGCAGTCTGGGAGCCGCAGGAGCACTCGGCTTCCCTTTGCGACCCGCACGATCCTCCGCAACCCGCTGACCTAGGGTTGAGAGGCCGCCCCAGTAAAAGCTCGCGCAGGCCCCACCCCTCGCGCGCTTCGGCCGGCCTCTTCCCGCTGCCACTCCCCCCACCGCCCCGTCTTTATGGCTTCTCACCGTACACCTCCGGCCGTCGCCGCCGCCGCCCCTGCCGCGCGCGCACAGACACCAGAGGCCTACAGCAAGATCTGAAGGATACGCTGGACGGAACCCTTCCACGGGCTGCAGCGCGAGCAGGGGCACGGGCCTACGCCGCTACCGACGGCTCCCCGGCTCCCATTGGAGGAGTGCCCTTCTGCCTTTCCAGGGATTGGCTGGGGATGGAAACATTTTATTTTTACCCCCGAGGCTTAGAGCCAAACCGAGGAAAACTCCGCCCCTTCGGGGGACTTTGATTGGTTAAAGAGCCAAGCCCACCCTTTAATAGGATTGGCCAGGAAAGGAGTGCTTGTCATGGCCCTTTGCCTGTCTATTCGACAGGTCTTCAGGCGGCTACTTGGGAATACGCAGGCGGGAAGCCGGAAGCCACGCCAGGCGCCGAGTCACTGCACAATCGAGATGCCTGGCTTCTTTGACGTTTTACTCTCCATAAGCCACCTTGCACTGCCACCGCTCTGCTAAGAGACGCGATTCTGCCCCTAGTTTCTCACAGTTCCACACCCACCTGCAGAGATTCCTAAGCCAGGTTTCTCTCGCTCAAAGTGAGCAGAGTTCCTTATTCCATGCATGGAGGATGAGGTGGCTATGGGGATGTGGCGTGTCACCTACCAGTCCCTGATACCTGCTGAGACATTGGTCAAGTGACAACCTCGCTAGGAGCCTCAGTTTAACCATCTGGAAATGGAAAGATGTTTTAAAATTTTCCTCACAATGTGTGAGGATTAAATGAGAGGGCAAATATAGATCAGTTGCCTGGGGCATAAATAATTAAGTTCTCTCCTCCCAATTCTTTCCCAGTATTCAGGCGGACAGAACTTATGGCCCAGAGAGGCAAACTGACTGGCTTGAAGTCACACAGCCAGGCCCCACCCCTCGCGCGCTCCGGCCCTGCCTCTTCCCGCTACCACTCCCCACCACCGCCCCGTCTTTGCGTCTTCTTACCGTACACCGCCGGCAGTCGGCGCAGTAAGACCCAGAATAAAACCCAGGCTTCCAAAGGAAAACTGTTTAAGAAGGAAGGAGAGATGGGAAGGACCCTCCTATTTGCAAGGGTTCTTAATTTGTATTCTGCAGACCTCTAATCGAGGCTGGGGACAGGGTTTGGAGAGGTCCATGAATTTGGATGGGAACAAATTTACACCTTTATGGCCGGGCGCAGTGACTCATGCCTGTAATCCCAGCACTTTGGGAGGCCGAGGCGGGCGGATCACCTGAGGTCGGAGTTCGAGACCAGCCTGACCAACATGGAGAAACCCCATCTCTACTAAAAATACAAAATTAGCCGGGCGTGGTGGCACATGCCTGTAATCCCAGCTACTAGGGAGGCTGAGGCAGGAGAATCGCTTGAACCTGGGAGGCGAAGGTTGCCGTGAGCTGAGATCGTACCATTGCACTCCAGCCTGGGCAACAAGATTGAAACTCCGTCTCAAAAAAATAAAACAAAATTACATCTTTATTTTCCCTCTCCTCTAACTGAAATTTAGCATTTTTCAATAAAGAATGTAACTAGGCATAGTAGCAGCAGTAGTAGCAGTACTGATTGTCACTAATAGAAATCAGAGATTTTCATATCACATTATAGATGTTGCAGATCTCTTGAAAATCATATAATTTCAATCATTATTTTAAAATCATGATAGTCATTAGACCCTCCATTAAATCTTATGATTTAATGGATTAATGGGGAGTACATATACGATTATACTATAGCACATATTTGCTTTTTCCATATTTTAATAACTATATTTCAATGTAATCAATTTCTTTTGTAATTCTAGATATTTTATTTTATGAATTTAAACAATTTTTTTTTTCTGAGAAAAGGTCTGGTGGGGCATGGTGGCTCATGCCTGTAATCCCAGAACTTTGGGAGGTCGGAGGCGGGTGAATCACCTGAGGTCAGGAGTTCCCGACCAGCCTGGCCAACATGGTGAAACCCTGTCTCTACTAAAAATACAAAAATTAGCCGGGCGTGGTGGCGGGCGCCTGTAATCCCAGCTACTCGGGAGGCTGAGGCAGGAGAATTGCTTGAACCCAGGAGGTGGAGGTTGCAGTGAGCCGAGATCGCACCATTGCACTCCAGCCTGAGCAACAAGAGTGAGACTCCATCTAAAAAAAAAAAAAAAAAAGAAAAGAAAAGAAAAAGAAAGGTCCCATTAGGCTTCACTAGATCACCAAAGGGGTCCATGGCACAAAAAATATTAAGAATATTTGTCTTGAACTCTAGGCTCCAGGAGGAAAAAGACTTGCTCTATTGGCTGGGTGCGGTGGCTCACGCCTGTAATCCCAGGACTTTGGGAGGCCGAGGCGGGCTGATCATGAGGTCAGGAGATCGAGACCATCCTGGCTAACATGGTGAAACCCCGTCTCTATTAAAAATACAAAAAATTAGCCGGGCGTGGTGGCAGGCGCCTGTAGTCCCAGCTACTCGGGAGGCTGAGGCAGGAGAATGGCGTGAACCCGGCAGGCGGAGCTTGCAGTGAGCGGAGATTGTGCCACTGCACTCCAGGCTGGGCAACAAAGAAAAAAAAAAAAAGACTTGCTCTATCTTGTTTCCCTGCTGTATCCCTATCACCCAGTTCAGTACTTCAGGCACACAGTAAGTACTCATAAGTGTTTACTGAATGAATAATAGGATTCCTTCCCAACCATCCTGCACACCCCCAACTGGGGGAGCCAGTGCCAGCCCTTTGGGTCACCTAAGGAGGGACATTCTTGAATCTAGTTTTGTCCCTGCCAATCCGATTCTACTCACAGAAGTAGGTGGCACTTTAAAGGTCTGGTCCCAGGAAATCCCAGGAACCTCCCACCCAGGAGCAGGGCCCTCTGCTGCAAAGGAGCGAGGGCAAGCTAGGAAGCATATGAAGACAAGTAGTTTCAACATGGGAACAGGCCCTAGGGCACATTGGGCCCATGACTCTTCATCCTCCTGGTTTCTGTTTAAGGTCTCAGCCAATGGGGCCTGTCTTCTCTGGCCTTCAGCGAAGACAGTATCTTGGAGCTAGATGTGACCTTAAAGACCTAGAACAGCCCTCTCTTTCGGAGGTCCAGACTGAAGAGTGAGGGCACAGGGAACAAGATGTTACTCTGGGCAAAGAACATCCTGTCCTCACATGGCTCAGCCGAGGACATGAGCACCCTGGCCAACTATACTAGAATACTATGATTGACTCTTAAGAGCATCACTGAAGATGAAGACCAGAGGCCCTCTCTAACAGGGTGGGTGAAGAAGAGTCTCAAATGCCAGGATGAGGGGCTGGGGATTTGATTGGGGGGACAGAGAGGAATCAGGGAAGAGCACAGTGAAGGCCAGACTTCAGAGACCTGCTTCAAGGCTAGACTCTGTCTTGAGACCTTAGGCAGGTTGCTTCTCCTGGACTGATCCCCCTGCACGATAAGCCTCAGTTTATAGATAGGAAAACTGAGGCCCTCTAGAGAGGACAAGGAGAGTCATGTTGTGAGGTAGGGCAGACTGAGGCAAGAGTAACCAGACTGGCTACTCTGGCTCTGATTGGCTGGGATCCTTTGGCAGGCTGACCTCTTTCTGGCCTACTCCGGCCTACTCCATTGCCTTTGCCCCTGCTGCTTTCCCCTCCCCTCCTCTTCACCGCATACTCATTGGGGTTGGCTCCAGATATTGCATGTAGATGTCTCTTTTCTCTGGGATCCTGCACTCTCAGCTCTGGCCTCGAGGTATTGTGTTACTTTGGGCAAGACATTCCCCTTTCTGGGCCTCAGTCCTCCCTGCCCACCTCTGACAGCACATCAAAGCCTCCATCCTGTCCCCCCCAAAACATTTATCAGAATCATTGGAGAGACATGTCAAGGATCTGGTATTCCAACCATCTCACAGAGGAGGCCCAGAGAGGGAAGGGGCCTTGCCAAAGGTCTCACACCAACCTGGCAGTCATCTTGACTCCTCTGAATCCCTCTCCTTCCATATCTAAAGCCTGTGGAGTCCAACATCTTAAAAGCTCTCATAGAATAGACAAATTGCTCTTGCAGAAGAATTCCAATTAATTTATGTACATACTTCCCTCTCAAGGAAATGGAGCATAACTCCTCATTCCCTAAGCACGGGCTGCGCTTACTTGGCTTCCTTCCAAAGAGTACAGCATGGAAAAAGAGAAAGAGGAGTAGCTTTACAGTGGAGAAACCTGACAGACACTACCTCAGCCAGGTGATCAAAGTTAACATCAACAGTGATAAATCACATTGATAGTACATGCCCTTGATATGATCTAGTGAGAATGACATTTGTCTTCTGTGGTCTTCCTTCCCCAAACTCATATCCTCAGTTTAATCATGAGAGAAAACATCAGACAAATCCTGATTAAGGGACATTCTATAAAATATCTGACCAGTACTCCTCAAATGACTCCAGGTCATCAAAAACAAGGAAAGCCTGAGAGAGTGTCATAGCCAAGAGGAGCTTAAGGACACAAGATGACTAAATGTAGTGTGCTATTCTGGATGGAATCCTGGAACAGAAAAAGGACATTAAGTTAAAACTAAGGAAACTGGAATAAAGTATGGACCTTAGTTAATAATAATGTACTGATATTGGTTCATTAATTGTGACGAATGTATCACAGAAATGTAAACTGTTAATAAGGAAAACTGGCTGTGGGACATACGGGACTTCTCTGTTATCTTCACAATAATTCTGTAAATTTAAAACTGTTCTGAAATTAAGTTTATTTTAAAAACCTCTCATATCCGCCCCCATCTTGCCAATCCCACCTGAGGTCTAGCGTCTATTTCCTTACTGCTGTCCTTCCTTCCAGTCAGTTCTCCTGGCAGCCAGCAGAGGGCATTCTCTAAAACGCAAATCTAACCATATCTGAAGCCTTCCAGCAAAATAAAGGCGTTGGATGGAAAGTTCGGGAGATATGTTATAAAAGACCGACTCGGATGTCTGAATAAAAGTTATTGTGATCCAGAACAAATCTGGGAAATATTCCTGGCGCCCACCGAGATAAAATTTATGTATCTAAATTTAATATAACTCAGCCTTTCCAAGGTCTCCCGGATAAAGCCTGTTTTTCAGATGTCCAACTCCCTACGTTTCCACCCCTTCGCACAGTTACATAGTTAATTCCCCTTTGTTTTTCCTTTATCTCTACGGATACTTCTCTGCTTGAGCTATCTTTTCTGCCTTCTCCCCCAAGCCCAGCTCTAGGGACTCTGCACCCCTTCCCAAAGGCAAGAGAGCGCTCCTGCATAATTGGGTTGTGATATCCGGACCGAAGTCGTGTTTTATTTTTACTAAATGCGAATGAGGAAAATGAATTCCTTTGGCTCCCCACGCCCCGCTCACTCTAGGCCCGAGGAAAGGTTTGACGCACTATAAATTAAAAGATGAATCACTGATAAATGGATGTTCTAGGACGCAGGATGTCTCTACACGCATGCGCCAGAGGGGAAGGCGTGGGAAGCCCTTCGCTACCTGGCTGGGTCCGCTGCGGGCGCCAGGAGAAGGAGGGGCTTCCTCAGCCTCGCACTGCCATTGGCCAGGATGATCCGCATTGGTCTGACGCAACGCCTCTGCGGCCTGGCGGAGCTCGCCCCCCACCCGCCAAACCCCCGCAACTAGCATGTTGCAGGATACTGCGTAGGCCAGGCGGCTACGTGTGGGCCTGGGGGAAACTGACCGCTGGGGCCGGGGCACCAGGCTAAACAAAAGACTCGAAGCGGCACTCTGAACTTGCTCAGAATTTTATTGGGATTAACAGGGTCCACGGGGAGAGGCGAGCCTTCTGGGGGACGGGGACAAGAATACCGCAAAGAATACCGCAATGGCGAAGCGGCCTTGCATAGACACCGAGGCGGGCTAGCGGCGCGGCGGGAAGAGGAGAGGGATGGAGAAAGAACTTGGGAGAGGAAGGTGGCAGCAGCGCCTCCATGGGCACTGCGCGGCTGTGACGAAGGCCACAGCGGCCCTCCCCGCTTCGGGGGTCAGGGTGTCCACTCCACACAGCACAGGGAGAGGGGCTGGGGCCACAACTGACTGGGAGAAGTGGGTAGAGGGGCCCTGACCAAGGCATCACAATAAATACAGTTAGCAGCACACAGAAGCCTGCGGGGGCGGAGGGCCAAAAGAAGGGGACTAGCCCCCTTTCCCTCCCCCCAAAATAAGAACTCTGCAATGACTAAACCATAAAAATAAACTTTAAACCCGTGTACGAAGTCGGTCACCCCCCAGAAGTGCAATGTGGGGCCGCGTGGCCCTAGCTGAGGAGGAGGGCAAATGGGATAGTGGGTGGGGGATACAGAGAGGTGATCCCCAAAAGGGGAAAACCCTTATCCGGTTTTCCCCCTCTTCCCCGGATTGGCCCAACCGTTTGGGACCTGAAGCACATCCTCTAGGTCAGAGTCGTCCGAATCTTCCCCTTCTTCCCAGACATCTTCACTTCCTTCCTCCTCATAGTTTCCTTCCTCATAGATGTCCTCATCTTGCTGGATGCCTGCATAGGGGAGAAGCAAGGAAGGGGAAATGGAGGAAGGCAGTTAGATGAGCAGATAGGTGTCACTCTAAAAGGGAACAGAGACCATAGCCAGGGTTTTTAGCGGCCTGGGACAACTTGTCAGCGCCTCTGCTTGGAACAAACAGCCAAGAGTGTGTGTGGGTGTACTCAAGCAAGCCCACAGAATGAGAGGGAGATGGAGGGAGGCAGGAAGGCAGTGTGGGATCCCTGCCTCTGTCAAAACTGATACATCTCTGATAGTAGCTTTTTCTCCCCCTTGTACTCCTCAATGTGTGTCTCTTCCTGAGCTCTGACCTCAGCTGAATAAACCTATTCATCTCCAGGCAGCTTCCTCGCTTTCTCCCCCAGTCTGATCCAAAGAGGCCCTAGTTTGTGTTCTGCAACCCAATTCCCCACCCCCACTCCCACCCTCAGGGCTGGGCAGATAGCTCTGCCTCCCCTTCTGAGAAAAGAGATGCCATCAGGTGGGAGGGGAAGAGAACTGAGAATCCCTGTTTCTCTCTCCTACCTGAACATGTCTAGATTGAGGCTCCACATTCATTCCTCTTCCCTTAGTGCCCTGGCCTTGCCCTCAATGGAAGTTTGCCAGGGACCCCATAGCCAAAAAAACCCGAAGAGTAGTTGATTTTCCTGCCCCTTCCACCTCCCATCTGAGTACTTCTCAGCACCTTTATAATTCTCGTGTTATTCTCAGAGCCTTTAAGGTGCTAATGTGACTCTACAAGAGGGTATTACTATATGCAGTACTTGTCCAACATATACGACCACTGAAACCTTTTGTGGGAAGCAGCTTTCAGATCTGGTGAGTGATCCTCAGGACATAATTTTGGAAACCCTGCCCAACCTACGATGCATTTTCACCCTTCCAGGTCCTTGTTCAGATGATCCACTCCACGGAGAATGCTCCATAAAGCTCCTCAGTGTGAATGCATCCTCCAGTTCAAATGTCACCTTTTTCCTCTAGCTCTTCCCCCGCCACCCCCCCCACCCCGATTCTTGAGGTAGAACTGGCTGCACCCTTTTCTGGACTCAGAGAGCACACTGTTCACTTCATGCTCTGCTCCCAACACAAGCCTGGAAATGCGCCAAAGGCCAAGGCCGGGTACAGACTGTGCTGAAATGCACTGTGTTTTGCCACTCCCCCACCTCGATGTGAAGTGTCCTTTTCAGTTTTCCACCCACTGTCTCCTATCTCTGTGTACTCTTCATCTTCTGCTGTTACAACCATCTATCCATCACCTAGAACTAAAATGATTTTTTGGGGTTTTGTTACATTTTTAAGTTAAATGTTCACTGGACTTCCTTTGTTTAAAAAGTTGCTCAGAATGCTTTTTCTTTCCTCCATAAAAGCAGATTGTGTTCATGCCTTGATACCCTGTCCTTGGCCAGGCTTGCTCTGAGAAAAGAAAAGAGGGAAGACAAGGGTGGGGGGGGATTAGCTCACCTTCCTCAATGCCCTCTTCTTCCACTGATTCGTCTGAGATGATCTCTATCACGTCCTCGTAGTCAGCCTGATCCTTGTCAAAGTCTTCAATAACTTTCTCATAGTACTCAATGTCTCTGTCGTCATCATCGCTGCCTTCATTGTCACCTTCATTGCCATCATCATCACTGCCCTCATTGTCACCTTCGTTGCCATCATTATCTTCATCATCACTGGCCTCATCTGCTTCATTGTCACTGTCGCTGCTGTCCTGGTTGTTGCCATGGCTGCCCCAGAAGCCACCTTTGAAGAAGTTGTTGCCGTAAGTGTTCTCGTTGTTGTTAGGGTTCTCTTCGTTGTCATCAGTGTTCTTGTTATTGTCTTCAGGATTCTCGTTGTTGTCATCTGCACTCTCATTGTTGTCAGTGGTTTCGTGGTCATCAGCACTCTCGTTGTTATCAGTGGTCTCGTTGTTGGGGACCTCATTGTGGTCAGGATTCTCGCTGTCGCAGATGTTCTCATTGATGTCAGTTATCTCATTGTCAGTGGTCTCGAAGTAGTCGGTGGTCTCCATGAAGTCAGAGATCTTGATGTCATGAATTGTCTCATCAATGTCTGAGATCTCGCTGAAAATGTCTTCCACTGCATAATAGTCAGGGGCGTCTTCCATGATCACCACCTCACATCTGCCCCTGGTTTTACTGTAAGGAAGGCTGTGGCTGAGTATAGGGTTGGTGGGAGGTGGTGTACTCATAGCACTCAAAGGTGGGAAGTAACTGGGGAAGCAGTAGGCTATAAGGGATCCCAGGAATGGGGCTAGGGTGGGTAAAGTCCCACTTCTGCCCCTGACTGTGTAACCTCAAGCCATTTCTGGGCATGATTTCCCACTTGTAAAACATATTCCACTGGGATTATCTCAAAGGTCCCTTTTTGGCTCCATAAATCCTGTGTTACACTAGTCTTTTCCCCATCCCCAACAAACCACCTCTCAGCGACCAAACTCCCATTACCGTTTCTTCATTTCTTGCTTCTTTCTCTTTATCCTGGAGCCCCTTTCTCTCAGGTAGTAGCGTAGAGGGTTAACCCACAGATCATTCTTGATAATCTGTTGAAAAAGGGGAGAAGGAATAAGACAGCCATTAGTACAAGCTCCAGATCCTCCTCTTAATTCCCCACGCACCCAGGAACAAGCCTAGCAAGGCCTTCTCTGGTGATGCCAGGAAGGGCCCCACCTCAGCAATCCTGTCAGCCTCTGGGAGGCTATGGTTTGAGAACCAGCTGAAAAAGCTGTGGCTCGCATCCTGGTTCCCGTGACGACGGGCCTGGGGTTCCTGGCCCCGGTGCCAGCGGATTGGGGTTGAGTGAGACACCAGCCGGCCTAGGGAGAGAGAAGGCTATGGAGATGGGACAAAACAAGGACAGATTGAGGGGGGGAACATGGATTTACTCTGGTACTGCCACTTACCTGAGCGGTTGCGCTGGAACTCCTTGACAATCACCATGTTTGTGAAGTAGGGGTTAGTCTGGAAGTACAGCTTCATTTTGTAGCCCATGGAGATATGTCTGAGATCCTGTACCTGCTCCAGGTGGGGGTGATGGTGGAATCTGTCCCCCCCCCAACACACCACGGCCCTTCCCACCCACCTCCCGTCACCTCCAAGAACCAGATTCGTGCCCGATCCTACTAAAAAATGTCTCTCTGGCCTGACCTGCAGATTGGTCAAGTAGCGGAAAATGTCTTCATCACGTCGGTTGATCAAAATTGAAATTCTGGGGTGGTTGAGGAACTGATGAGTGGAGCAGTTTAGGTCAAGGATTGACTATTCCGTGAAAGGGAGGGAGGGAAGGCCAGGAAGGGCACAGTAAGAGAGGCTGGAGCATGAGGATTCCTTCTGTGCTTATGTGGTGTGTATAAAGCAAGTGAGTCATGGGACATAACCCATACTTATTCCCATGATAAACCTCTATGTTAGGTGGCCCTACAGGGTGTCGACAATCCATGTGCATGTGGTATATGTCACTGGGTGCTGAAAGCTTGTGTTCACAAAATGCACGTCTGGGGGCTTAAGGGCCATGTCCAAGTGATGCTGTAACTGATTGCTGAGGGCCTGTGGTCACGTTATTGTATGTATGGGTGTTGAAGGTCCATGTCCACATGATGTGTGAATGGCTCTGATGGCTTGTGGTCAAGTTATGCCATGTGTCTACATGCTGAGGACCTGTGGTCACATAATACTGTGTCTAGGAGCTGAGGTCCTATGTCTAAATGATATTGTATGCCTGGGTGCTAAGGGCCTCTTACCATGTGCTGTTTCATATGAGGGCTAAGGGTCTGTATCCACATAATTCTATTAGGATGTTCGACTCATGTTCCTAACATGTTACATGTATGTGTATGTGTCTACTCTCCCCTTTCCTTCATTTAACTCCTTTTTCTCTATACCTAGACACTCCCTCTCTTGATCTTTCAGGGGCTCCAGCCCCCCTCCCTCCAATGCAAGGCACTCCAGCCAGGATTGGGGTCTCCTAGTATCTTAAGCAAAAATCTAGGTTTACAGAGCCTTGTATGGCTCAAGCACCCTTTCTGGGCAGTTTCTCTGCTGTGTGCCATTCCCCTCCCTCTTCAAGGTCTCTGAGTCAGTTCATCTTCTACGTGCCCCTCCCCTCCTCCTTTCACCATCTCTGGTCCAATTTTTTTGCTGTGTGCCCCTTTACTACCCTCCCCCTTTTTATCATCTGTGATCCTTTTTTTAATGCTATGTTCCTCCTCTTCCCCCTTTCCCATCTGTGGTCCAGTTTTTATGTCCGCCCCCCCTCCACCACCCTTCATCATCTCCAGTCCAGCTTCTCTGCTGTTTTGCCCTCCTCCTTCCATCCCTCTTCCACCCAGTCTAGTCCGTCTTCCGATAGGGGGATCATGCCCACCTCTGGCTCTCCTCCACCCGCTTTACCTTTTCTGTCCCTCCCCCACCTTCCCCTTTCCTGTCACGGGCTTCTGACCTACGGAGTATCGATTAGAAGGATACTGCTTTGACCCAGAAGCCTGGGATATGCTGGATGATGAGGTCTCTGCGCTCCAGGAAGGGTCTTCGCATCTGGATGAACTTGCGCTTGAGACGCAGGAAGGCTTTGCCTGCCTTGATGTTCACTGCCTCCAGATCCAGCTGAATATCCTCCAGTGCCTGCAGGATGCTCTCCATCCTCTCGGCATTTCTCTCTCTGCTTTCCCTCTTCACCTTCCTCTGCTTCCTCCTCCGCCGCCGCCGCCGCCTCCTGCTGCTCCTCATACTCTCCCGCTCATCCTCATCCTCATCCTCCACTATGATGATCGCCTCTTCCTTGCTCTTCGGGTCAACTAACCTCTGGGGCGCCCACCCCACTGCGCTACAGGTTTCTAGGGCCCCCTCTCCACCAAAACTGCTCGACTGTACAACCTGAAAATCGATTTCCAGGCTCCCCCCCGAGGCCTCAGGAGTGGGGAGTGCTTCCAGGCTCTCCGTGGGCGGGGGCGCCTCCCCATACCCCGACTCGATGGTAGAATCCCAGCCGGGACACTCAGCACCGAGCGTGAAGTATGCGCGGATCCCCCCCTCCTCGAGAATGACATAGGGAGGCGGCGGGGGCAGCGCGGGGCCCAGTCCCACCCCCCTCATATCGGCCAGCACCTGTGCCGCCTCCGTTTCCTCCTGGAGCCTCGGGCGCTGCTGGGGTGGAGGCAGCGGCAGTCGGAGGAGCGGCGGCGGCGGCGGCGGCGGGGGCGGGTCGCGCTGTGGAGACTCGGAGCTGCTCAGGCGGCGGGTCTTGGCCGGAGGCCCCTCATCTGGGCGGTCCATGGCGACCGCGTTCGTACAGCTCAGGGGACTCGCACTCGCCCCTTCGCTTTTAGCCGCGTCGCTGCCGCTAGTCGCACCGGTAAGCAGAGCTGAGGAGACTCACGCAACCAGCTCTCCTCACCACCTCGCTCTGGCGTTCCCTCCCACAGCGCCCGCTCTACTCCCTCCGCGCCAATCGCCGAAGCCCCGCCCACTCCTGACGCAGGGGTCCGCTCGGCCTGGCCATTGGCTGCCGGCCGCCGCGGCGGCGATCGCGCTCCCGCGACCCCTGCCCGCTCTCACGCAATCCGCTTGCCAACACCACACATCATCAGTTTCCGATTGGCTCCCCTCGGGCCCGCCAATCAACGGGCTGACTCCCTCAGCGACGGGAGGGAAACTGCAGGGCGATTGGCTGCGAGGAAAGCTGGGGAAGAAGCCCCTCTCCCTCACCCTCTCAGCGTTTTATCCAATGGGAAAAGTACCAGTGGTTCTGAAGACCAAAAAACGAGACGAAAAACAAACGCAGGCGCTGAGCAGGATGTGCTCACATGAAATTGGAAGAGCCTCGTTATCGTTCCCCCCGCCCCCCTCCCCTCAGCAACTACGCACTTTTAAAATCTGCCCCTTCCCCCATTTCCTTCAGCTCCTTCCCCCACCCCCGCTTCTGCCCCTTCCCCCATCCCGGGTCCTGCCCCTTCCCCCATCCCAGCTCCTGCCCCTTCTCCCACCCCCGCTTCTGCCCCTTCTCCCATCCCCCACTGCTGCCCCTTTTTCCATCCCCGCTTCTGCCCCTTCCTCCACTCCCCGTTTCTGTCCCTTCCCCCACCCCCCGTTTCTGCCCCTTCCCCCATCCCCCGCTTCGGCCCCTTCCCCCACCCCACCCCCGCTTCTGCCCCTTCACCCCCCGCTTCTGCCCCTTCCTCCCCCGCTTCTGCCCCTTCCCTCACCCCCCCTTCTGCCCCTTCCCGCATTCCCTGCTTCTGACCCCCATCCCCCAACTGTCTCTTCCCTCACCCCCACTTCTGCCCCTTCCCCTATCCCCCAACTTCTGCCCCTTCCTTCACCCCCCAACCCCACTTCTGCCCCTTCCCTCACCCTCCCGCCCTCCGCTTCTGCCCTTCCCCTATCCCCCAACTTCTGCCCCTTCCCTCACACAACCCCTGCCCCCCGCCCCCCCGCTTCTGCCTCTTTTCCTACCTTCCACTTCTGCCCCTTCCCCCACCCCCCACGTTTGCCCCCTGGGTGAACTCTGCTGTAGCTCCTCGGGGGCTCGGGCTGCCCTACCGCCTGCGCCTGCAATTTAGGCACCCAGGGTGTTTGGTTTGGGGGCCAGGTTTTGACGTGGCGTTTTCCATCTCCGCAAAATGGCTCTACAAATAATAATCACACACACAAAAAAGTAACTTCCTCTGCGTCATAAAAATGATTGTGATTCAGCTCATCTGCTAGAATTTTCTAGCACTTTCTGTCTCTTCATTTCTCCCCCTTTCCATCCTTTCCTCTCCCTTTCCCCAGTGTATGCTGTATTTTAAGATTTTTCTTTTTAAACCAGAGATGGATGGTCTTTTGTGAGGCATGGTGGTGGAGGGCTGGCTTTGGTGCTGGGATTCACATCATGGGTGTGCCCCTCATTTTGTAACCTTAACCAAATCACTGCCCCTCTCTGAGCTTCAGTTTTCTCTCCCCTAAATTAGGCATCCCTCAAGAGAGGTGTAGGTAACTGCCCATTGCAGCCTTGTCGCGGAGCAGAGAGGAGACCTAGGGATCCATCATCAGGGGAGTGGATAAGAAAAATGTGATATATGTTTTAGATGGACCACTAGAATGAATTAGATCTATATACGGCAACATGGCTGGATCTCTCAAAGACAGAATGTTGAGTGAAAAAAGAAACAACAAGATTTATAGTACAATACTGTTTATGTAAATTAAAACACACAGCAATACCATACATTTTTCACAGATACACATATATGTAAATAAACACATGAACGGTGGATTGGAAGGACGTACGTTAAATACACGAGAGTGGGTGCCTGTGTAGGGGGCGGGGAGGATGGGATCAGGAATGGGTGATGAAGGGGACAAAACTGAAGAAAAAAAAATAAAAGGGCCTCACATGGACCAATGATGATATAGTGTGCCAAGAACTGAGGAGTATGGTCAACTCAATTCTGTGCACCTGAGAGAATAACCAGATAGTAAATTAACTGTCTAGGGAGCAGGCTGGCTGGGTAGACTCCTGGGCTTGGGTTTTTTTTCCCCATGACATCCCTCCCTCTAAATTTGGTCAAAGCTGACCAAAGTCCCAGCTGCATACAGTGGCCCCTAGGAAGGGCTCCCATCCCAGACTGAGCAGTCCCTCCAGAAGCCATTACTTTGTGGGGGGCATTTCCTAACCTCATCAGTTTCCCTCACATTTGATCCTCAATTCCCAGTCCCCATTCTCCATGGTGGTCCAATTTTAGGAACACCTTGTTTGAGTTTGGGAAGGAGACTGAGACGGGGTTGAGATGGGGCTACAGGCTTTGTGAGGAGATGAGGTTTTCAAGTTCCCTGGCGGCCCCAGCCCTCCCGTGCTCAGGGCCTGGGCCAAGGGAGGCCCATCTTGTGAGATGGGAGTCTACCCTCTTGCTACCGACCTATGTAGTTTCCAAGATCCATCTCTTGACCACTCGACTTCCTACCACGGGCACATACTCTAGTTTGTCTCCTCTCAACTGTGGTGTGTGTGTGTGTGTGTGTATGCATGCACGTGCTGTATCTGTCCCCATATACAGGCATTTTACGTGTGTGCACCGGGCAAGTTTTCTTCAGGAGTGCCTCCCCACACAAAGTCACACAGACACACACTATCACTCAATCATGTCTCTCCACATGTGGTCAGACAGGGCACATGCACGCACGCACGCACACACACACACACAGTCAGAAAGAGAAAACATCCAGTATAGCATTGTTCATTTCAGTTTTTCCATTTACAAAATCCAATGGTGAATCCAGGCAGTTAGAAAAAAGAAATGGAGGAAAACCCTCCTAAATGTACCCTATCTACCCCCCACCCCCTTGGTCTTCCCACCCCACCCCCTCGGAAAGGCACCCCCATCACTATCGCTGAGAGAACAGGCTCCCCTACTCCCAGCCTCTCAGCCACTCTGGCCTGCCTTTCCAGGGCCACTCTGCAGCCAGGCTCATTAATGTCTCTCCTGCCTAGAGTGCCCTCCCCATTCTGTATGGGTCAGGCTTCCCCAGTTCTGGGGCTCTCTTGGGCTAGGGAGGGAGTTTAGGACAGGGACTTCTATAAAGAAGGGAAAGGGGGATGGATAAATACAGATTCCGGCCCCACAGGAAGTGAGAGGGGGACAGAGAGCCTGGGTAAGACCAGGGCAAGGAGTGCCAGCTTGGCTCACCAATCCACAGAACAGGCCTCAAAGTAAGCCCAGAGTGGACTCCACCCCTGGGAGGAGGCTTGGATCTCCCTCCTGGAGAATCTGACTGCAGTGTGCTCCACTTTGGGTGTAGGTAAGGGTGGGGGAAGGATGGGGAAGGAGGGTTGTTGGGAAAGAAGGATGCTTGGGGCTCAGGGCCCAGTCAGCCAAGGGCTACTAAGGAGGGGCTTGAGGCCCCTGAGGCTTGAGGGGGACAAAAAGAGGTCAGATAGGAATGGACTCAAGTCCACAGTGCCTTGGAGTTTGTACCGCTATCGGTTACCAAGGCCCCAAACAAATTTTCATCTTCAGAAGAGTAGGGTGAACCCGAGAGACAATTCTGGGGTTGAAATCAGCTCTGACCCAAGTCTCTGTGGTCCAGCTACTCTGGGGAGTTCAGCTCCCTCCTTACACTTTCCTGGTGGGCTGCTCCTGCCTGTATGGCACCCACATCAGTCCTAGTGGGGCTGGAGTGGATTTCCATCCTCAGGAAGAAGAGTTGGGGGCTGGGGATCCTGAAGGCAGCGTGAGAGAATGTGACCAAGTGTGGGTCTCTTCAGTTCGAGGAGTTCAGCTCACATCTTACTCTTCACCTAACCTGGGCCCATCCTTGGGGCCCTTCTCCCTACTCCCTTGACTTCTCCAACAGATGCACAAGAACCATTTGGGAGGTCTGGACATGGTGGGGAGGGAGAAGAGACTGGGCTTGGGGCAAGGGTTGGCCTAAAACAACATTGCACATGACATAGTAATTAAACATCCCTGCTCCCTGGGAACCCAGCACCCCCTTTGGTCCCTCTTGTCAGCAGCCTTGGACCACTTTCTCCCTAAACATCCAGGCCTTGCTAAAGGACTTGGAAGGGGAGGGTGCATGGGAGCAGAGGGGGCAAAAGAGCTCTGGAAGTCTATTTTACAGGACAAATTCCCCCTTCTGGACAGTGTCAGAAGGAGAGACATTAAAGTAAGAAAGCCTGTCTCCTCAGCTGTTAGTAGAAAAACCTGCATTCTCAGTGTTCTTTTCTTTTTCTGAATTGTCACTTCTGAGAGAGAGAGAGAGAGAGAGAGAGAGACAGAGAGAGAGAGAGAGAGAATGAGATTGTAGAAGTGGAGAAGGAGGCAGCGGAGACAGGCCCCACAAAACTAAATATGCCTCTTTCCCAGTCCCTCGCCCAGTCCTCCATCCTTGGGAGGTGTTGGCAAAGGTGCCTAGATTACAGGTGGTTCGAGGGGCTGGGGCTGGAGCTCAGAAAGGAGGACTCCTGTATGGGCCCCTACCCCTCCCTTGCTGTTGGCCCCATCACGGTGGCCATGACCTTCTCTCTGCCTGTCTGCCTACCAGCCTGCTTCACATGACACAGTAGGGTTCTCTGGGAGCCGGGGCACCTCCTGTGCCCCAGCAGGGGGCGTGAGTCCTCAGGCACTTCTTGAGGTCCTTGTTGAGCAGGAAGCAGACAATTGGGTTGACGGCAGCCTGGGCGAAGCTCATCCAAACAGCAGTGGCCAGGTAGCGGTGGGGCACAGCACAGGCTTTCACAAACACTCGCCAGTAGCAGGCCACGATGTAGGGTGACCAGAGGAGCAGAAAGAGCAGTGTGATCGCGTAGAACATGCGGCCCAGCTGCTTTTCACCCTTGACCTCGTCCATGCCCAGTAGCCGCCGGCTGGCTGCATGCCCATTCTGCCGGATACCCAGCAGGGTTGGTGGCATGGGCCCACGGCCAAAGCCGGCGATCCAGTTGGCAGCAGCCTGGCCGGTGGCCCCGGGACCATGGAATGTCCAGTTCTGGCTGATGGCTGGCACCATCTGCACTGGCTTCATCTTGCGGTGACGATACTCGAAGAGGAGCAGCTTGCCGTAGACAGCATGGGTAGCTGCCATGAGCACAGCCAACATAAGCATGAAGCCCAGCGTGTCATTGGCCTTGAAGTAGCGATGCTCAAAGATGCACTGGTCCTCCTCCCGAATAAACTTGTAGGTGCCCACGTCAAAGACAGGTGGGAAGGCCATGGCCACAGACAGGGTCCAGGCCATGCAGATGACAGCCGCGCATGTCCAGAGTGTCATGCGCTTGGCGTAGAAGCGGTGGTGGGCGATGGCCATGTAGCGGGTGACGCTGATGCAGAACAGCATGAAGGCCGCATGGAAGCAAAAGAGCACGGCCATAAAGGCCACAATCTTGCAGCTGAGTGCACTGAAGGTCCATGAAGAGCCGTGGCGCACAGAAGCCAGCACAAAGGGGAAGCAGACGGCAGAGCGTATGCCATCGGCCAGGCACAGGTCCAGCAGGAAGTAGTAAGGAGCCTTGTGCAGGGCACGCTCCTTGAGCACCAGCAGGGACAAGATGGCGTTACCCGCCAGGCTCACGCACATAATCAGTCCCAGCAGTACCAGCTTCACATAAGCTGATGCGGACGGTGGGGACAGAGCGCCGCTCACCTCCTCAGGCTCTCCGGTAGTGTTGGCCATACTGAGGGTCAGGGGCTACTGCCAACCCTAGGGGGTCAGCCAGTCCGGTACTCGATGGGCCCGGGGGGGCTCCATGAGTTGTCCTGCTACATTGCACCTGCAAATGGGAATGAGCGGGGGAGACACAGACACAGAGAGACAGAGAGATGAGGGCAAGAGAGAGACAGAGAGATGAGGGCAAGAGAGAGACAGGCAGAAAAACACAACAGGCGTGCAGAGACAAAGTGGGAAAGAGAGAGAGAGAGAGATAGAACAAAGAGATAGAAAAGTGGCCACCGATATAAATGGATTGAGATTGACACAGAAATGGAGGGGATGAGAAAGAGCGAGGAGAGAGAAAGAGGGGAGAGAGAGAGAGACAGACAGGAGACCATGAGAAACAGATGGAAAGGAAAGATGAGGAAGAAACAGAAAGGGTAGGGTTAGTGTGTCTACGAGCCCTCCCCAATTATGCCCTGGCTGGTGCCAGGCCCTGCCCCTGGGCCACTCCTGCTCCTACCCGCTCCTTGTCAGGTGAGGATGCTGCATTTCTTTGGATGTCTTTGGTTACCTGTTTCCTCCACTGGTGGATCTGTGGGGCAGGGATGTTGGTGCAGCTCTTCTCCCCTTTTGCAAAGCTCTAAGGTTGTGTTCAGACTTTTTTTTACTGCCACCCACAGTAAAAAAATACATTTTACATCACAACCCGCTACACATACATGCACGCACACACACAGCTCAACCAAAAGTTTCACAAAACAGTACTGAACCTGTATGCAATGTACCCCATTCATTTTTATTCTCTTTCATGTGTTCTTAAAATGCTGGTACCACTCACTTAATAGATTTCTTTATTCATGATGAGGAATGTGTTTAGTGTGCTTGAGGAACAGCAGGAAGACGAGTGAGGCAGGAACGGTGAGAGCAAGGGAGACAGTGGTGGAAGGTGAAGTCGCAGAGATGCCTTGGGGCCAGATTGTGTAGGGTTGTGGGCCACGATGAGGACTTTGGTTTTTATTTTAGGTGAGGAGGCAAGTATGTGTGAATATAAACATGTAGGGATGCTTGTGCATATTCATTCATACACTGAAAAAATATTTATCAAGCATCTGTGTGCCAGGCACTGTTCTAGGTATTGGGGATACAGCTGTGAACTACACAGATAAAGATCCCGGCCCTTGTGGAACCGACATTCTAGATAACAAAGAAGAGACACGGGTGAAGTATAGTATGTCAGATGATGACAAGTTCCTAAGAATAAACATAAAGGAGGGAAGGAAGATAGGAAGTGCTAGGGGTGGGGAAGATGCTGCAGTTTTAGATGAGGTGGACAGGGGAGGCTTCACGGAGGAAGTGTCATCTGAGCACAGACCTAAGGGAGGTGAGAGAGTGAGTCATGCGGATATCTCGGGGAAGAGAAGTCCAGGCAGGGGGAACGGCCAGAGCAAAGGCCCTGAGGTGGGACTCTACATGGCATATTTGAGGAAGAGCAAGGAAGCCACTGTGGGTGGAACACAGTGAGTCAGGGGAATGTGGTGGCAGGTGAGGTCAGAAAGGTGGTGAGGTCAGATCAGGGAGGCCGTGGCGAGAACTTTTTCCTCTGAATGAGATGGGAGTCACGGGAGGATTCTGAGCAGAGGCCAGATGTGGTATGATCTAGGATGGAACAGAATCCCGCTTGCCGTTGTGAAGAGCAGGGGTCATGTGGGGTGTATTAAAAGTAGGGAGACTACTCAGAGGCCCCTGCAGCAATCCAGGTGACAGATAATGCCCCCTCCATGCCACTCTCCCTATTTTGCCTCCTAGAATTTCTCTCTTCTAACACACTATATATTTATATATATATAATTTTATAATATAAAAATTTATATATAAATTATATATATTTATATATAATTATATTTATATATAAATACAAATAAATAAATATAAATATATATTTATATATTTATTTATAATATTTATAAATAAATATATATAAATCTATATTTATAGTTATTTATAAATAAATATATATAAATCTATATTTATAGTTATTTATAAATAAATATATATAAATCTATATTTATAGTTATTTATAAATAAATATATATAAATCTATATTTATAGTTATTTATAAATAAATATATATAAATCTATATTTATAGTTATTTATAAATAAATATATATAAATCTATATTTATAGTTATTTATAAATAAATATATATAAATCTATATAGTTATTTATATATAAATATAAATATATATTTATATATATTTATATATTTATTTATAAATAAATATAAATATATATAAATATATATAAATATACATTTATATATAAATATATATGAATGTATATTTATATATATTTATATGTAAATGTATATTTATATATGAATAAATATAAATGTATATTTATATATATTTCTATATGAATAAATATAAATGTATATTTATATATATTTCTATATGAATAAATATACATGTATATTTATATATATTTCTATATGAATAAATATACATGTATATTTATATATATTTATATAAATGTATATTTATATATTTATATATAAATAAATATACATGTATATTTATATATTTATAAATATATATTTATATTTATATATTTATATATAAATATATATTTATGTATAATATATATTTATGTATATTTATATATAAATATAAATATATATTTATATATAAATATACATAAATATATATTTATATTTATATATAAATATATATTTATATATATATAAATAAATATAAATATATATATAATTATATATAAAATATATAAATTTATATATATAAAATTATATATACAAACTTTTTTATATATATAAAATTTTTTAAATATATAAAAATTATATATATATAATTTTATATATATAATTTACTTTTAAATTTTAGTTTATTGCCTGCCTTGTCCTGTCAGAATGAAAGCTCCACAAAGGCAGGAGTTAAAGACTCACTGACTCTCCTCTGAAAGAACACTACATAGCACATCATGGTAGGCTCTCAGTGACAATATATCAAATGAATTGATTGAGGGATTAAATGGGCTGGGGCTGTGGGTCAGAGAGGGTGCCCTGGAGACATCCAGGCAGGATTAGCTACAACAGCAGCCTGGGGGGTACATCTGGTGGTGAGAGCAGCGCAGCAAAGCTGCAGGAAAGAGGAGAGCTCCGGGAGTGTGGGGATGTGACCAGGTAACAGCACAGGTCCCAGAGGGAAGGCAGTGAGGCAATTGGGCAGAAACTGGGGAAACTCAGGATGATTGTTGGGGCTGGGCTGGGATTAGGGGGTGGAACTTGAGTGGATGTCTTCCTACTCCCTCCCTCCCAGGAAAAGTCTCCCCTCTGCATGGTTTTCCAGCTCAATCCAGCCTGGCCTGCCACAGCCACCTGGTGCCCGGCCTTTTTTTTTTTTTTTTAGACAGTCTCCCTCTGTTGCCCAGGCTGGAGTGCAGTGGCAGAATCTCAGCTCACTGCAACCTCCGGCTACCGGATTCAAGTGATTCTTGTGCCTCAGCCTCCCGAGTAGCCGGAATTACAAGCACACGCACCACCACACCCGGCTAATTTTTGTATTTTTAGTAGAGACAGGGTTTTGTGATGCTAGCCAGGCTGGTCTCCAACTTGTAACCTCAAATGATTCGCCCGCCTTGGCCTCCCAAATTGTTGGGATTACAGGTATGAGCCACTGCGCCCGAGCCAGGCTTTTTAATGGCACCCTGAAATCTCAGAGCCCATGACAGGAGGCCAAACTAGTACTTAGAAAGTGCTAGGGCAGGGGCTGAGCAGAAATGGGGTTGGTGGGCTCCCTTTCAGCCCTTCAAGGCCTGACAGCCCCCTCAGACTGTGGAACAGCCCGCAGCTGGGTGAATGTAAACACACACACACTTACTCTCTTTCTCTCTCTCTCTTTCTCTTTCTCTCTCCTTTACCTTGAGGGGAGGCAGAGGGAAAGGGATAGAGACAGACAGAGACTGAATGTAAGAGAGAGGCCAGAGAGACACAGAGAGAGAGAAGGAGAGAGAGGTGTGTGTGACAGAGACAGACGGAGACACAGGAGGGAGAAAGAGACAGAGAGAGAAACAGAGAAAGGGGAGAGAGATCCTTACATACAGAGAGGAAGAGAGAGACAAAAAGGGGAAGAAGGGTGAAAATGAGAGTGAGAAAAAAGAGACAGAGGCACACACAGAAACCAGCATGCCAGACAGAGAAGGGAGAGAAATAGAGAGAGAGAGAGAGAGAGAGAGCAAGAGAGAGAAAAGGAGAGCAGGGAGAGGGAGAGGGCTAACGCCAGGAAAGAAAGAAAAATAGAGACGGGGTGGGGTGGGGCAGAGATAAGAGAGGGTAGCTGGAGAGAGATAGAGAGAGAGACAGAAATAAAGATGGAGATAGAGAGGGAGACACGGAGAGCCACGCTAAGACCGAGAAGGTGGATAATGCGTAGCCCTGAGTCTCAGTGAAAACAAAAGCTAAAGATAAAACAAAACCCCCCACATCCCCCCCAAACAATAGCAGCAAACAAACACAACCCTGGGAAAGCTCGGGACATTTTACAAACAAGTGAGGAGAGGGTTTTCCTCCGCAGACTGGCAGCTGCAGCCCGGGCCCAGCTGAGGCTCAAGACGCGTGCAAACACAGAACACACGCACACCTGCTCGAGCCCAGACACGTGCACACCCCATCCCCCCATAAACGGTCTACTGCTGTGGACACCCTCAGACAGCAACCCGCTCTTGCATGAGGAACGCGTGCGCACGCATGCAACACACATACACACACACACTCACACATACGCACACGCACTCACACACATATGCACACACGCACACGGAGGCAGAGGTACATCTTGTACTCTGCCGTGTTCACACAGGTACACAGTGTACCCTCTCCGAGCGCCAGCGCTTCGTCCTCAACAAAGGCGTTACTGCCCTCTAGGGGACATTTTGGAAATTTGTGTAGGAGCATTTTTGATGGCCACAGTGCTGGGGTGTAGGGTGTCCTTCTGACATTTAGGAGTCGGGGAGGATGTTGGCCATCCAGTAATATGGGGGAGAGTCCCACGCAGCCAACATGTCCCGCATCCTCTAGGACTTTGGACTTTTAAGTAAGTGAACTTAGAATCTATTTCACAGATAAACACCATTTTTTTTCTCTTGATTTTAACATACCCCGAATTATCCAGGAACGTGGCTGTCATGTAAGTAAAGAGGAGGCTGCACTTTGGTTTGGGATGAGCTTTCCTTAGAGTTGTTGACTATTTTAGAAAATCTCACCTCCAAGGCCTGTGCCTGTCATTTTCCTGCACGTCCTGCCTCTGATGTTTCCCCTTCTCCTAAATCCATAGTTACCCAGTATAAGACATTGGGGGCCGGGCACAGTGGCTCACGCCTGTAATCCCAGCACTTTCAGAAGCGGAGGTGGGCGGATCACCTGAGGCACGGAGTTCGAGACCAGCCTGACCAACATGGAGAAACCCCGTCTCCACTAAAAATAAAAAAATACAAAATTAACAGGGCGTGGTGGCACATGCCTGTAATCCCAGCTACTGGGGAGGCTGAGGCAGGAGAATCACTTGAACCCGGGAGGTGGAGGTTGTGGTGAGCTGAGATTGCGCCATTGCACTCCAGCCTGGACAACAAGAGCGAAACTCCATCTAAAAAAAAAAAAAAAAGACATTGGGAGCCTCTAATCACTTCCTTGAATCTCCTGGGGAGTGTCATGCCCAAGCATTTACATATTGAAATACAAATCGTTTTCTTATAAATCATTTTTCTTTTATTTCTTATTTGTATTATAGTTAATACAAAATGGATATTGTATAAAATATGGATTTTCTTTTTAAATTACATGTGCAGAGGGCCAGGCGTGGTGGCTCACACCAGTAATCCCAGCACTTTGGAAGACTGAGGCGGGTGGATCGCCTGAGGTCAGGGGTTTGAGACCAGCCTGGCCAACATGGTGAAACTCTGTCTCTACTAAAAATACAAAATTAGCTGGGCGTGGTGGCACGAACCTGTAATCCCAGCTACTCGGGAGGCTGAGGCAGGAGAATCACTTGAACCCAGAAGGTGGAGGTTGCAGTGAGCCGAGATAGTGCCATTGCACTCCAGCCTGGGTAACAAGAGTGAAACTCCATCTCAAAAAAAAATTACATATGCAGAGAGATTATATTCCTAAGAACTTCATTTCCAGACAGTAAAGGGGTGTTACAAAATATCTGTTATGTACAAGAGGGCACTGGATATGAGAGGGCTGAGAATTGTTCACATACACAGACACACTCAGATACACACTCACACACATGCAATGGTCCACAAAACCACCTTTGTAACTCCCCTAACACACACATGGATGAACGAGATCTCAAACACTGACAGATAGGTACACACAAGCAAACTTACCCACATATACTTTCATTCACACAGACATATATATACTCATTGACCCAATATAGCTGATGATTCAAATCCTCCCACATATTCAGACACAACACAGATATACACAAAGTTGTATATTAATATTGTCACATAGATAAACACTGTCACGATATTAACACTCAAAGTTACTTACATATGCCAGCAGGCTGACACGCACTTGAACCCTACCATGTGTGTGTATACACACACACATACACACACAGGTATAGTACATAGAATCCCCCTCAGAGACCTATAGATATATATGCACCCAGAAAAAAGCAGGCAAGTAAAAAACTGCCCACATATACACACACATGCTCTAACACAAAGAGACAGATTCAAACTCTCTCACATAGATTAGGTGTGCTCACCAACACAAATATGTATATCCTGGTATATGTACACACACACACCCATTCACATATACACTCCCACCCATGAACAGACTTATAACAGCTCCAACACACACACACAAAGGCACACTCATACACTTTAGCAATACGCAAACAAACACAAAGATAAAAATTGCATATTGTACATATACAGACACACACAAAGACAAGTACACATGGGCAAACATGTGTACACATATAAACTTGCTCACACACAGATACACTTAACTGACATACACATCCTGCAACAGGTATACCGCTGGAGCCAAACCTGCTCATGTGCAGAGACCAGCTAACTCTTGCACTTGTAAGTGGACAAACGAGCAGAGCTGCCCAGCTGGTAGGCTCCTACCACAGCAGAGGGCTAGAGCAAGAATGGCTCCAGAGCAACCATGTGCAAAGAGAGGTGGTAACTGTTTTCATCACTTCCCGTTGAAACATTCCAGATAGTATGATTATTACTTTGCTAGTTTATCATCAGTGAGGTTTTGGAGTTTGGCCTATACCTATGTGGACAATGTTTGTTTTTGTTTTCTTTTCTGTTTTTTTTTTTTTTTAAGAGAAAAGGTCGGCTGGGCACGGTGGCTCACGCCTGTAATCCTAACACTGTGGGAGGCTGAGGCGGGATGATCACTTGAGGCCAGGAGTTGGAGACCAGCCCGGCTAACATGGTGAAACCCTGTCTCTAGTAAAAATACAAAAATTAGCTGGGCGTAGTGGTGCATGCCTGTAATCCCAGCTACTCCGGAGGCTGAGGCAGGAGACTCGCTTGAACCTGAGAGGTGGAGATTGCAGTGAGTGAGCTGAGATCATGCCACTGCACTCCAGCTTGGGTGACAGAGTGAGACTCTGTCTCAAAAAAAAAAAAAAAAAAAAAGAGACAAGGTCTCGCTCAGTCACCCAGGCTGGAGTGCGGTGGTGTAATCATAGCTCACTGCAGCCTCAAACTCCTGAGCTCGAACAATCCTTCTGCCTCAGGCCCCGAAGATGCTGGGATTACAAGCCTGAGCCATCACGCCTAGCCTTCATTTATGAAAAATATTTATTTATTTATTTATTTATTTATACAGGGTCTCGCTCTGTTACCCAGGCTGGAGTGCAGTGGCATGAACCTCAACCTCCTAGGCTCAAGCAATCCTCCTACCTCAGCCTTCAGAGTAGCTGGGACTACAGGGATGTGCCACCATGCCTGGCTAATTTTTTAAGGTTTTTTTTTGGTAGAGATGCAGTCTCACTATGTTGCCCAGGCTAGTCTCAAATTCTTGGGCTCAAGAAGTCCTCCTGCCTCAGCCTCCCAAAGTCTTGGGATTACAGGCATGAACTATTGCACCCCGCCTATTTTTCTTTTAATTTGATTTTCTTCTTATTTTTCCTCAAGTTTCTTTCTTCTACAAAAATAGGAGGGCTGTCTTATCACCAAGAAACAGAGAAAAAATAGAAGCATTGTATGATTGTTGCTATGTGGACTATTATATAGTATAGTATTAGGTGTTTCTAAAGAGAACAGTATTATTTTATTTTTCTGATTGTTACTTTTTTATAAAAAAGTTTTATTATAGAGTATTTCAAACATTAAAAAGTAAAGAGAATACTGTAATGAATCTCAGTGGATCCATTGCCCAGACTTACCAATTACCAACTCATAGCTAGTCTCATTCTGCCTATAACCCTACCCACTTCCCTCACTCCCAGTATTCTGAAGCATATCTGTTATATCATTTCATCCTTAAGTATTTCAGTATCTACTCCTAAAAGGTCAAGACTCTTTTAAAAATATTACGACAATATCATTTTTATCATTTCTTGGTTTATTGATTGATTTACTTGTGATTGGTATTTGATACTAAAAATTAACCAAATCTGATTCCTGGTGGGATTTCATACTTACTATCTTTTGTTTTTACATAAAAATATTTGTCAATAAATGAATGAAGCCCAACAATAGTTTAATTGAGTTGCTTTATGACTTTGTTTCAGAGTGCTGCTTTCTTTTTTTTTTTTTTTTTGAGATGGAGTCTCGCTCTGTCGCCCAGGCGGGAGTGCAGTGGCACGATCTCGGCTCACTGCAAGCTCTGCCTCCCAGGTTCACGCCATTCTCCTGCCTCAGCCTCCCGAGTAGCTGGGACTACAGGCACCTGCCACCATGCCCGGCTAATTTTTTGTATTTTAGTAGAGACGGGGTTTCACTGTGTTAGCCAGGATGGTCTTGATCTCCTGACCTCGTGATCCGCCCGCCTCGACCTCCCAAAGTGCTGGGATTACAGGCGTGAGCCACCGCGCCCCGCCAGAGTGTTGCTTTCTTAAGAATGCAGAGAAAAATCAGTTTTCAGAACTCACAGAGGTCTGCTGACCCCTTCAATAGAAAGATTTGGAATTTTTAAAGCATCTGGCAGTGCAAATTGAGAAACTGGGATCTTTTATGAGATGGGTTAGAATATTTTTAGCTGGAGCTCAACCGGCTAGTGACAGGGTTGTATGATTAACAAGTAAAGCTAAGATGCCCCTCCCAGTAGAATCTCACAGGTTAGCGGTGTGCAGGGAAATTGTGTACACTATTTTTAAGACCAATGAGGTAAAGGGAATAGGAAAGGGGCCATGTTCAATTATTGCTGTTAGGAGATACACTGGTGACAGGTCAAAGGGCATTGAGATGACACTAACTTAGATGTTCAATCAGAAAGGTTTTCATTTTCTACCCATGCATCTATGGGTGTTGACATTGCATAGTTTACAGTACTAGTTAGAAACTTGAAGAGAAGTACAAGAAGCACCAACATAAACTAAGTTTGAAATATTCAAAGTGATACATGAATACTTTGAAATACTGTGGAAACTCCATAAGTCTGTGGACAGATGCTGCTGTTTACAACAGCAGTTTGTTTGGAAAACTCTGAGATTCATTTACTGAGGAGCCCTCACCTGTAAGTTTGTCTATAGGTCTCATTTCCACAGTAAATTATGCCAGATGAATGTAATTAAATCCAAGACATTTCCCACCTGCCTTTCAGCTTTCTGTAAGGAACTGGGATCAGTACACCCTTCCGTGTTGTTTTAAACCCAAATGTGTAGAGATTTGGTAAAAATAATAGTAATAATAATAATAATGAGGTAAAAGAAACATGGCAACATTTCTTTGTGAATGCTTCTCATTTTTCAGATTTTTTTTTTTTGAGTCTCGCTGTTGCCCAGGCTGGAGTGCAGTAGTGCAATCTCAGCTCACTGCAACCTCCGCCTCCTGGGTTCAAGCGATTCTCCTGCCTCTGCCTCCCAAGTAGCTGGGACTACAGGCGCACACTGCCATGCCCAGCTAATTTTTCTTTTTTTTGTATTTTTAGTAGAGACGGGGTTTTACCATGTTGCCCAGGCTGATTTCGAACTTCTGAGCTCAGGCACAGATTTTATGTTTACTGGCTTCAACAAATGGCTTTTTTTGCACACGAATAAAGTTACATAAAAAATGTTAAAGACACTAAAGAATAGCGTGAAGACTACTGACAGAGTTTATGGATTCGAAGCAAAACTTCAACTTAGGAAATGTGAAGTCAAGTATGGTTCCCTGGGTGATGTTTACTTGGTGTTGCAATTTGAATACTAAAGAAGACTTATTAGGGTAAGTAGAGCAATGTCTGCATTCACTTAGGGGAAAAGCTTCATCATTATTTTAAGATACACAAAATGAAAATTTTCTGTTGCATTCAATTTGTGAGCATTTATTTATTTATTTATTTTGGAAACAGGGTCTCACTCTGTCACCCAGGCTGGAGTGCAGTGAGGTGATCATGGCTCACTGCAGCCTCAACCTCCCAGGCTCAAGCAATCCTCCCACCTCAGCCTCCTGAATAGCTGGGATCACAGGCACGCGCCACCATGCCCGGCTAATTTTTGTATTTTTGGTAGAGACAGGGTTTCGTCACGTTGCCCAGGTTGGTCTCAAACTCCTGGGCTCAAGCAATCCTCCCACCTCAGCTTCCCAAAGTGCTGGTATTACAGGCATGAGCCACCGCACCTGGCCTGCATTTGTTACAAGAAATTTCATATTTGATTGAAAGAAAAGAAAGAGATGCTACATTTAAAAAAGAATCCTCCCTTTGAAGCACAAAATTCAAACACTACAAATTATCCAAATTCTGAATATTTGTCGAGAAACGAGTTTTAACCCACTAAAAAATACTCTTTGACCATTTGCTGCAACTTACTTAGGCTAGCAATTTCCTGTTGATGGTGACTACCAAAAGATAGAAAAGATCACGCAGCTATTTCAAGCACAAAACCTTAGTCTCTGCCTGGCCATGACAAGAACAAGAGAATTATAAAAGGGAGGTGGAAAAGGAAGGCACGAATAAGCAGTTGTTCCATTTCTTAAGAAAGGTGGGTATGGTGTGAAAGCACCAGCCATACTCAACACTAGTAACTGCACCTGATGCTTCTGAGAAACCAAAATGTTATCTGATGACCCCAAAGCTTGTGTTTTTGAGGTCAGCTCTGCTGACCTGTAGAATCATGCAGCTACATTTCATACATTCAAGCTAATTACTGAGGGCATTAGGTCAAACATTGGGTTGTGTGTGAGCAATCTCCATGGAATGTGTCTTACCTTCAACAACATGCTTTCCAAGATCAAAAACTGGCAGGCCACAATAGAAGTTTATATCTGTGTCAAAACTACCAATTGTTATTTACTTCATTTCCTTTGTTTGAGCTTTTACCAAGAAACACAATAACTTGATGTAGAAGATCTATGCTCAGCACCAGTGGATTTGCCAAGTCAAGATTAAAATGACCATAAATGAATCAAAGGACCATAAAATAAATCAAACCACTTATGACTTGATCAGAAGTGGGCATGGATGTTGACCACTACAAATTCACATTAGTGAATTTAAAAGTTATGGTCTGCTATGGTTTGAATGTGTCCCCTAAAGTTCATGTGTTAAAAACTTAATCCCCAATGCAACAGTGTTGACAGGTGGGACCTTTAAGAGGTAATGAGGTTATGAGGACTCTTCCCTCATAAATGGATTAATGCTGTTATCACAGGAGTGGGTTGGTTATCACAGAAACGGGTTCCTGATAAAAGGATGAGTTCTACCCACTTCCCTTCTCTCTTTGTCACGTGCACATGCTCTCTTGCCCTTTTGCCTTCCACCATGGGATGATGCAGCAAGAAGGCTCTCACCAGATGTAGCCACATGATCTTGGACAGCCCAGCCTCCAGAATGATAAGAAATAAAATAAAATCTCTGTTCCTTTTTTTTTTTGAGACAGAGTCTTGCTCTGTCACCCAGGCTGGAGTGCAGTGGCATGATCTAGGCTTGCTGCAACCTCTGCCTCCCGGTTTCAAGTGATTTTTGTGCCTCAGCCTCCCAAGTAGCTGGGACTACAGGGGCCTGCCACCAGGATGCCCAGCTAATTTTTGTATTTTTAGTAGAGATGCAGTTTCACCATGTTGGCCAGGCTAGTCTTGAACTCCTGACCTCAAGCAATCCTCCCGCCTTGGCCTACCAAAGCGCTGGGATTACATGTGTGAGCCACTGCGCCTAGCCTAAAATCTCTGTTCTTTACAAATTACCCAGTCTCAAATATTGTTATAGTAGCGCGAAATGGACTAAGAAGATTGGTGCCAAGAATGGGGTTGTTGCTATAATGCCTGAAAATGTGGAAGTGGCTTTGGAACTGGGTAATGGGTAGAGGTTGAAAGAATATGGAGGAGCAGGCTAGAAAAAGCCTGTAAAGCCATAAATAGAGGGTTAAGGGTGATTTTGTGTGAGGCCTCAGAAGAAGACAAGTGCTATAGGGAGAGCCTAAACCTCCTTAGGGATTACTTAAGTGGCCATGATCAGTTCTGATTTCATGTGTTAAAAATGTAATTGCCAAGTGGTTCTGATCATGACCACTTAAGTAATCCCTAAGGAGATTTAGGCTCCTTAGCTTTGTTTCTAATCCCATGATCAGAAATATGGATGGTAAAGGCCATTTTGATGAGGTCTCCGATGGAAATGAGAAATAAGGTATTGGAAACTGGAATAAAAGCCACCTTTGTTATATGCGTGCAAAGATTTGGCAGAATCGTGTTCATGTCCTAGGACTTAGTGGAAGGCAGAATTTAAGAGTCATAAACTAGCATATATAGCAGAAAAAATATCTAAGCAGCAAAATGTTTGAGATGCCACATGACTACTTTTGGCTATGTACAGCAAAATGAGAGAAAAACGATTTAAAGACAGAATTTATAATTAAAAGAGAAGCAGAACAGAAAGATTTGGAAAACTCTCAGCTTGACCATGTAAAAAATACAAAAGCATGTTGGGGAGAGAATACTAAGGGTGTGACCAAGAGACTGCTAAAGAGACTAATATGGGTAGAAGGAAGCCAGATTCTATTCAGAGGCCTTTGAGGCAAGCTAGGATCTTGAGGGCAAGGTTTCTAGAGAGGTACCCCTAGGACTTGAGCATTTGCTGCCCTGTGCCACCTTGGGACTCTGCTCCTTCAATTCTGGAGCAGTACCCCTTGGCTGCCCCTGCTGTGGCTCAAGCAGGCCCAAGTGCAGCTCGACTTGCTGCTCCAGAAAGTATAACCTGTAAACCTTGATGGTGTCCACATGGTGCTAATTCTGTAGGCACACAGAATGCACGAGTTGTGGAACCATGGCTTCCTTTGTCTAGATTTCAAAGAATTTCATGGACAGCCTGGGGAACCAAGCAGAGACTTGTCATAGGGATGGAGCCACTGCAGAGGGCTCCCACTAAGGCAACACTTAGTGGAACTGTGGGAGTGGGGCTGTCCCAAGACCACAGAACTACAGGACCACGAATGTGCAACTCCAGCCTGCGAAGGCTGGAGGCATGAGACTTCAACCCATGAGAGCTGCTGGGTGGACTGAGCCCAGCAAAGCCATAGGGGCAGGGCTGCTCAAGACCTTGGGGGCCCAGCCCAGCTCTAGTGTGCCCAAGATGCAGGACGCAGAGTCAAAGATCATTCTCCAGCTTTAAGACTTAATGTTGGCTGGGCACGGTAATCCCAGCAGTTCGAGAGGCTGAGGTGGGTGGATCGCTTGAGCCCAGGAGTTCAAGACCAGCCTGGGCAACATGGCCAAATCCCATCTCTACAAAAACTCGGGGAGCTGAGGTGAGAGGATCGCTTGAGCCCAGGAGGTTGAAGCTGCAGTGAGCTGTGACACTGTGATCCCATCACTGTACTCCAGCCTGGGTGACAGAGAGGGAGACCTTAACTCAAAAAAAAAAAAAAAAAAAAAAAAAAGAAGAAGACAATGTTTTTTTTTTTTCTGTTGGATTTTGGACTTACTTGGGACCAGTTACCCCTTTCTTCTTGCTTATTTCTCCCTTTTGGAATGGGAATGTCTATCCTATGCCTGTCCCACCATTGTATTTTGGAAGAAAGTAATTTGCTATTTTCATAGGCTAACATCTGGAGAGAAATTTGCCTCAGGATGAATTGCACCTGGAGTCTCTCCTGTCTGATTCAAATGGGACTCTGGACTTTGGAATTTTGAGTTGGTGCTGGAACGAGTCAAGACTTTGGGGCTATTGGGATGGAATTAATCTATTTTAGACATGAGAAGGACATGGATTTTGGGAGTCAAGGAAGAATGCTACGGCTTGAATGTGTCCTCCGAAGTTCATGTGTTGGAAACCTAATCCCCAATGCAGCAGTACTGAGAAGTGAGACCTTTAAGAAGTGATGAGGTAATGAGGACTCTGTCCTCATAAACAGATTAATCCTGTTTTCATGGGAGTGGGTTTCTATCATAAGAAGGGTTCCTGATAAATAGATGAGTTTGGCTCCCTTTTCTTCTCTTCTCTTCTCTTCTCTTCTCTTCTTTCTCTTCCCTTCCCTTCTCTTCTCTCTCTTTCTCTCTCTCATGCAAAAGCGTGTTCTCTTGCCTTTCTGCCCTTCACTATGGGATGACGCAGGAAGGAGGCCCTTGCTAGATGCATGCCCCTCAACCTTGGACTTCCTAGCCTCCAGAACTGTAAGAAAGAAATCTCTGCTTGTTAAAAATTACCCAGTCTCAAGTATTCTGTTAGAGCAGCACAAAACAGACTAAGACATGTTTCTAGAAGTGAGCTCAAGTGTGTCATAAAAAACTGAAAAGATTTCATTTGAAAGTTGTACACAAATTCAATATTTAATAACTCCCCTAAAATTCTGCATTTTAATTTTCTTCCCATAATTGTATAATATGAGGAAAATGTAAGAAATTCCTTTTCACTCAACTCTAGTACCCCTAACCCTCTTCAGTTTACTCCAGTGTGCCATAAAATATTTCACTTTCTCTGTGTCCCAGGTTGTGAATGCCCTAACACATTTACATCTAGTCACATTACATAGAAACACTAGCACATACAGACAGATATGTGCACACGGGGACATGTGTACATGGAAATTCAAATTTGCACTCACATTCAGACCAGCCGATAAGCACAATGAGACACTCATATACAGACACACAAACATTCCCCGTTAACTGCACAGAAGCAGCTAGGCATGCATGTAGATACCCACACACCAGCAAATAGCTCAAAGATACACACGCATACAATATACAGATATAACTATATAACTGCCTTTCTTTCTTTTTTTTTTTTTGAGATGGAGTCTCGCTCTGTCACCCAGGCTGGAGTGCAGTGGCGCAATCTCGGCTCACTACAAACTCTGCCTCCTGGGTCCACGCCATTCTCCTGCCTCAGCCTCCCCAGTAGCTGGGACTACAGGCACCTGCCATCACGCCCGGCTAATTTTTGTTGTGTTTTTTAGTAGAGACAGGGTTTCACCATGTTAGCCAGGATGGTCTCGATCTCCTGACCTGATGTACAAAATGGTATACAGTTAGCCTCAAAAAGGGAGTAAAAATGTCACCATCCTCCTCTGGAAGTGTCTGTACAGTCTGAGACTGTAGGCCTGTATAACTGCCTTTCTATAGAAATACAGGCCTGTATAACTGCCTTTCTATAGAAATACAGGCCTGTATAACTGCCTTTCTATAGAAATACAGGCCTACAGTCTCAGAATGTACAGACACTTCCAGAGGAGGATGGTGACATTTTTACTCCCTTTTTGAGGCTAACCGTATACCATTTTGTACATCAGCTATGCACAACCAGAGACGGGTAAGGGGCGCGGGGCAGGGGTGAAGGGCTGTAGGGGTGCCCCAACAAGAAATTTCTAACTTTTTGTTAATAATTAATCCCCTTCCCACTGTGGTTTCTGTTGTCTTTTTTTTTTTTTTTTGAGACGGAGTCTCGCTCTTGTTGCTCAGGCTGGATTGCAATGGTGCGACCTTGGCTCACTGCATCCTCTGCCTCCTGGGTTCAAGAAATTCTCCTACCTCAGCCTCCCGAGTAGCTGGGATTACAGGCACCCGCCACCATGCCTGGCTAATTTTTGTATTTTTAGTAGAGACGGGATTTCTCCATGTTGGCCAGGCTGATCTCGAACTCCTGGCCTCAGGTGATTCACCCGCCTCGGCCTCCCAAAGTGCTAGGATTACAGGCATGAGCCACTGCGACCGGCCGTCATTTTTTTAATTAAATTTTTTTTTGGTTGAGGCACGAGAATCGCTTGAACCCGGGAGGCAGAGGTTGCAGTGAGGTAAGATGGTGCCGCTGCACTCCAGCCTGGGCGACAAGAGCAAGGCTGTGTCTCAAAAAATTTTTTTGTTTCACTTTTTACCTCTTGTGTATATGTAGAGAGTTTACAGGGAAATGTGTACTTTATGGAATAAATTTTAAGAACTATATATATATATGTGTGTGTGCGTGTGTGTATGTGTGTGTGTGTATATATATATATATATAATATACACTTTGTTTTGTTTTTTTTTTGAGACAGGGTCTCGCTCTGTCGCCCAGGCTGGAGTGCGATGGCGAGATCTTGGTTCTCTGCAGCCTTGAACTCCGGGCTCAAGGGATCCTCTCACCTCAGCCTCCCAAGTCGCTGGGACTACAGGCATGTGCCACCATGCCCGGCTAATTTTTCTATTTTTTGTAGAGACAGGTTCTGGGTTTTTTTTTTTTTTTTGAGACATGGTCTCACTCTGTCACCCAGGCTGGATTATAGTGCCATGATCATGGCTCACTGCAGCCTCGAACTCCTGGGCTCCAGTGATCCTCCCACCTCAGCCTCCTGAGTAGCTGGGACTATAGGTGCACACCACTACACCTGGCTAATTTTTATATTTTTTGTAGAGGTGGGGTTTCGCCATGTTGCTCAGGCTGGTCTCAAACTCCTGGGCTCAAGCAATCCGCCCACCTTGACCTCCCAAAGTGCTAGGATTACAGGTGTGAGTCACCACACCTGGCCTAAAACATATTTTATTTAAGATAAAGTAATGGATCTTTAATCTTATACAGCTAAATTGCTGATTATATATTTGTTGAGCTGATTTAAGGTTAAAAAATTGTATTTAACAAAAATTAGCCCGGCATGGAGGCGGAGGTTGCAGTGAGCTGAGACCGGGCCACTGCACTCCAGCCTGGGCGACAGAGTGAGACCCTGTGTCACACACAAAAATTGTATTGAGAGTTTTATTTTTATTTTATTTTATTTTATTTTTTATTTTTTGAGACGGAGTCTTGCTCTGTTGCCCAGGCTGGAGTGCAGTTGCGCGATCTCAGCTCACTGCAAGCTCTGCCTCCCAGGTTCACGCCATTCTCCTGCCTTAGCCTCCCGAGTAGCTGGGACTACAGGCGCCTGCCACCACGCCCGGCTAATTTGTTGTATTTTTAGTAGAGACGGGGTTTCACCATGTTAGCCAGGATGGTCTTGATCTCCTGACCTCGTGATCCGCCCGCCTCGGCCTCCCAAAGTGCTGGGATTACAGGCGTCAGCCACCGCGCTCGGCCTAGAGTTTTATTTTTTAACTTCAAAGCCTTCTTAATAGTCTTTCTTCTACGAAAAAAAAAAAAGGAATACAGGTCTAGGCGAAATGCGTTCGCCATTTACATAGGCACTTACATACATACATACATATGAACCAAACTACATGAACCTACACACTTACAGATACAGTGTTACATGCGCAGACATAAGAAGACATAGGTCAAGTCCTGCTCACATCCTATATAGATCCAGGCCCTCCCGTGCCCCACCCCACTGGTTCTTACACTAAGAGATTAAAACCCACTCTATTATTATACAAAGCCACTCTCACAAATCTGCCCTGGAACACATCCATATACACATAGTACAGACCTGCTCACGCATACAAGCACATGGCTCAGCCTCACTGCTACACACACACAAAGGCAAGCAGGCATGTAGAGCAATGCAGACTCAATCATACACACCCACATAGCCACTGAGGTTTATAAATACAGAGAGACCCTCAGATGCACACTAGCCCTTTACATACACACACACACACACACACACACACACACACACACGTGCACCTGGATCATCGCATATAAACCTGGATACCAACCTTTTGACATTTATAGGCTCTCACAACAGAGATTCACATACATACGTTTACATATTGACCCCTACAAACCTGTTTACATAGGCAGATAAAAATACACTGGCATGCACACACCCAGATAGAAGCATGCTCACATGTGCAGACACACCAGCAGTGCAGGTCACACCCACACTCACAGACATTACACTACCACAGATACAGGCATGTGCACTCATACACCCAGATGTGTGTGCACTGGTAAATATACACACGGGGCCAACCCCCTCCATTCACGCCCGGGACACATGCTTCCTTTCTCACATGCTCGTGGTTTTATATGCACACTGGGATACACAGAAGTACAAACCCACTTTCATGTACAAACATAGATACACATAGGATATGCTCATTCTGTCACACAGACGTATAGATACAGATAACAGGGCAAATATGCACATAGAAACCCCATTCACACTTGCAGATGGACACATACTATTACACACTGGCATGGCTAATAATTATGGTAGTACGTAATGGCTTATATGGTGCAGAGGACTCATTACATGCCAGGCACTGTTTGAAGTGCTTTTCTTTTCTTTTCTCTTTCTTTCTTTTCCTTCTGTTTCTTTTTCTTTTCTTTTCTTTTTCTCTTTTTTGAGACGGAGTTTCACTCTTGTTGCCCAGGCTGGAGTGCAATGGCACGATCTCAGCTCACTGCAACCTCCACCTCCCGGGTTCAAGTGACACTCCTGCCTCAGCTTCCTGAGTAGCTGGTATTACAGGCATGCGCCACCACGCCTGGCTAATTTTGTGTGTGTGGTTTTTTTTTTTTTTTAGTAGAGATGGGGTTTCTCCATGTTGGTCAGGCTGGTCTCGAACTCCCGAACTCAGGTGATCCGCCCACCTCGGCTCCCAAAGTGCTGGGATTACAGGTGTGAGCCACCATGCCCAGCCACTTTTTTTCTTTTTCTTTCTTTCTTTTTTTTTTTTTTTGAGATGGAGTTTCACTCTTGTTGCCTAGGCTGGAGTGCAATGGCATGATCTCAGCTCACTGCAACCTCCACCTCCCGGGTTCAAGTGATTCTCCTGCCTCAGCCTCCCGAGTAGCTGGGATTACAGGCGTGTGCCACCATACCCGGCTAATTTTTGTATTTTTAGTAGAGACAGGGTTTCACCACATTGGTCAGGCTGGTCTCGAACTCCTGACCTCAAGTGATCTGCCTGCCTCAGCCTCCCAAAGTGCTGAGATTACAGGCGTGAGCCAACGCGTCCAGCCTCTAAGTGCTTTTCATATAACTCACCCAATCCTCATCCTATGAGATAGGTAATAGTACTCCCACTTTTACAGATAAGACAATGGGGCTTTGTTGAGCTTAGGTGACTTGCCCAAAGCCATACAGCTAATAAATGGCAGAACTAGGATTCGAACACAAAGGCTGCCTCCAGAGACCTTGCAGATCCAACTTACATGTAGAAATACACTCACCTCATGCACAAGTACAGATACATACCACTTTAGCACAAGTATGTGCACACCCAATCCAGCTGATACACTAAGGTATAAATGGCCACACGCACCTAGTCACATACATAAACAAACATGGACACGTTCACATTTACAGACATTCCAGCAGAGATATATATGCCCCGGGAAATATATACACATTCATACACATGCCCACAATCACACACCCTACCCAGAAAAAACCACATTATTGAACACACAAAACCTCCAGATATACCACCTACACACTCACACACAGATACACTCACATTCTCAGATATATTCCTCACCCAAATACTCACACATGCTATCCTCATACTCACATGCTGGCCACATACTCACACATGTGGCCGGATGCAGCCACATGCACACCCCCCAGATTCACTCACACTCACACACACACCCACACACTCTCACACCACCCAGAGATGACACATCCTATTTAGATATACACATCCTGATTCATAGCCATGTAGACGTTCAGACATAGGCTGAGCCCTGCTCACATCCTATAGGTCTTCGCGGTCTTAGATATACCCCACGCTCTCACATACTCCAACTCAGATGTGCCCACATTCTCCTCAAATACACCTACTTTCATACATATACCCAACACTGATACACCCACACCCTCTCACACAAATCCCATCTAAATACTCCCGTTCTCATATACACGCATCTCAAATGCACTTACACGCACAGGCCCTCCACACTTATGCAAACTCCCAATTCAGTACACCCACACTCTCACAAACATCACACAGATACATTCAAACTTGTACCCCACCCCAACTCAGAGCCCTCATACCTGAACCAGGCACACCTACAATCTCTCTCTCTCTCACACACAGTATTAAGACACACCCACAATGACACACATACCTTCCAAAGGCACTACACTTACCCACACCCCATCCAATTACTCACACTCACAAATTCCCAAGCCAAATACATCCACACACACAGACACACACATCATTCTCATACCCATACACACACACACACACACACACACACTCCAAATACAGCCCCACTCTTACAGCACACGCACACTCCAAATACAGCCCCACTCTCACAGCCCCATGCAGACACATCCACCCTCTCATATATCATCATCCAGATTCATCCCATATAGACCATGGAGATCCACTCAAAGCCACATGCACCACCCAGGTATAACTACATCCACACACAACCCACCTGGACATATCCAACTCTCACACATGCCATCCAGTGCACCTCTGCACACGCCCCACTCCCCAGATCCACCCATGCTCTCATCTCCTCCACACCACCCACAAGCACCCACACTCCATACACACACTTCCCACTCAGCTGTGCCCCCAACTCTCTTTTACACAACCCATCCAGTTATACACATTCACATCCACACCCAAGTACGTATACGCCTGCACTCTCCACCCAGATACAACCAAAGCTCTCACCACACGCCATCCAGACATACCTTACTACACACTCCATCACCCAAATATATCCGTGCTCTCACTCACCTACCATCCAGATACACCCACATTCAAACCCACTCCACCCCCAATACATCCACACACTGTCTCACACACAGCCCAAACGTACCTACACACTTTCTCTTTCACACACCATCTGGATACATCCACACTCTCCTCCAACCCAGTTAAACCCAAACTCTCACACCTCATCCAGATACACATACATGCTCTTCCCACAGGAGACATGCGTGCTCACACCCCTACCACACTCAGAAACACCCCCACTCTCACACACAAACACAATCTCGACCCCCAATTCTCTCTTAATCACCATCAGCCAGATCTACTCACACTGCACACACACAATGCAGATACATCCATACTGTCTCACACACACCACCCATACACACACTCCATAGACACCCCCAATTATATACACCCCCACCCTCACCCAGATGTGCCCAAATTCTCTTTCTCATGCACACCATCACAATACACCCTATCACACACTTCCATTGCCTAGATACACTTGTGCTCTCACCTACTGACATATCATCCACATATAACCACACTTGGATCTCCCTGACCCCAATATACCCATACTCCCTCATATACATACTCCACCCAGGAAACACCCACACTCTCTTACACACACAGTACAGACACAGCCACACCAGCAAACACATACGCCACCCAGGTATCCCCCACCCTATCTCACCATCCAGATAAACCCATACTCACACACCCCTCAAATACACACATCCTCACCCATATCCCCAACCCAACTCTCACTCATACCATCCTCCACACACACAGGCCACTTTACATACAACCACACTCACCCCCCCAATCCCAAACACACCCAAATGCCTCACACGCACACCCTACCCAGAAACACCCATACACCCATGTGCTCTCTCTCTCTTTTTTTTTTTTTTAGATGGAGTCTCGCTCTGTCGCCCAGGCTGGAGTGCAGTGGCATGATCTGGGCTCACTGCAACCTCCACCTCCTGGGTTCAAGCAATTCTCCTGTCTCAGCCTCCCAAGTAGCTGGGACTACAGGCATGCACCACCACGCCCAGTTGTATTTTTAGTAGAGATGGGGTTTCACCATACTGGTCAGGCTGGTCTCAAACTCCTGACCTTAGGAGATCCACCCGCCTTGGCCTCCCAAAGTGCTGGGATTACAGGCATGAGCCACCGCACCCGGCCCATGCTCTCTCTTACACACATGCAGACCACATCCTTTCTCTCTCACCAGATATACCAGTCTACACACACACACACACACATACACACACACTCTATTAAGATACTTTCACTTTTATATATACACACTCACATCTAGATTTCTGCCTGGATGGCATAATTTGGGTCCTCTCAGTGAAAACTATTTACCAACCCTAGATATCATACAATGCCACTCTACTCTGGGCCTTTGATGGTTGGGGGGATGAGAAGGGAGGTCTTTGTGTTTCAAGGAATCTTTTTCTAAATAGGCCTCTTTTCCCCAGTAGGACATCAGCCATGATTGGTGCCCACTTCTTGAGTGTGAATAATGACAGGAATTATCCTGAGACCCCCACAAAAGCCCAGTACATGGTCAAGGCCAGAGAAGCCCCAGAATGGGGGTCACAGGCATCAGGTGTCATAGTTTGCCAATCTGCAGGATGTCTACACACTTACAGACAGACATAGTCTCGCAGGGCACCACTGACTCTCAGTCATACACACAAATACATACTGAGGTACACAGACTTGTAAGTATTCTCCCTTTCCATCCCCTTGTCAATAAGGCCCAATCCGCACAGGCCCAAGGCCAAGTATCTCTCTCTCACATCGACTGACAGACACATGCACAAATACCTACACTCATCCTTACACATGGACACACTCACACTGTACTTAGTCATACGTGTACATCCATTTACTCTTAAACATAGGCACGCATGCGTGACATACATTCACATGACATAATGCCCATGAATGACGTACATTCACTCACAAACACAGGGGTACATACAGGCATACCTTCACATGTCCACAGACAGACAGACTTTGTATCACACCCAAGGAGATGATGAACAAACATGGACACAGACAGGGAAGCTCCCAAATGTGTGCACACACACACCCAGACATGACCACATATATTTACACACTCACACACATAAACACCTAGATATGCACATGCTTGTAAATGACATGAAGTATAGATATGCAGACATTCCTAACACAGACTTGTACACACAACTGGGCATGTTCACATGCACATAGACTTGTTCATTAATTCATTCCCATATGCTTACACTCAGACATGGAAATACAAATGTACTCACAAAACATGCCCACACTATCACAGCCAGATATGTACACCATGTACATTCCTACAAGTTCATACACCCATATGAGAAGCTACACAATAAAGAGGAATCATTTACACCTACATTCTCACAGATGGACTTGGACACAAAGGTATATTCACACACATGTACACATGGAAGTACACTCACATGCACACAACTGTACATCCATACAAGAAGGACTGATCCACACTCATCACAGACACACACACATCCTCACACACATCCTCACACACACACACTTAAACACACTTGTAGGCTGAGAGTGACATGCATGGACGTTACCTTACATTGTGTTCTACAACATATGCTCCAGAACAAAGATGCATAAACACAAACACATACATGCAAATAATTAGAACTGTACAAACTGGCACATTCACACATATGAATATACCTCTGTGTATGCCTGTCTGAATGTACAGGCATACACACAGGCATATTCACACACACACACACACACACACACACACACGTGTGTGTGTGGACAGATGTGTGTGGACATATGTGTATGGACAGGCAGGCATATACAGACATGTTCAATGAAACACACACAGCCAGATGTTCACACCTACTAGCATATACACCCACATATACACTCACAATCACAGGCATATTCAAATACACATTCACACTCACATACTCAGAAATTCAGACAAAACACATAATGAGACATGCACACCCAAGTACCTACTCATGCACGCCACAGACATGTACTCACACATAACAGTGTACACACAAACACAATTAGACATATAGACAATGCATCATTTCACCTATGCACACAGCATTTTGCGTGTGTGTGTGTTTTTGTGTGCAGACAGGCATACACCCCCACACACAGCCATACTCACATACATAATCAAATGTGCACATGTAGGCATACCCACAAAATAGATTTTCATTCACACACTCTCCCCTACCCATAAAATTAGTTCTCCTTATATTAGTGTGCCCACCTATATTAACATTTCTCTAATCGGATGTGGACATAAAGGTTTGTCTACAGGTGATATACACTGGAACATGCACACACGGACATCTATATAATTTAAAATGCTGGAGAACCCACATACAGACATTCACAGAAAGTCAAAAGCCTGCTTACACAAATGCAGGACAGATACACTCATATATACACACACACATATACACCCTCTCATACATGCATGGACATGCACATATATGCCCTTAACACTCACAAGCACACCCTTTAGATGCACCTACACTCATGAGCACACACCAATATGCACAAGCAGATACAACTAGGCATTCATCTAATTGGGCATGCACACCCAGGCATTCTGAAACCCACACACTCATACACATACAACCAGACACGTACACTCAAAGAAAAACTGATGCCACACACATATACAACTAGACATTCAACAGGCCTGATGGCTCAGAGAAAACACACCCACACTCAGGCTCAAAATCAAACATGTCCATTTGATCACCCAGACAGACATGCAAAGTCATGCCCACCCCACAGTACACACACAAGCCTACCCAGATACCCACACACTCACACACATGCCATCACACGGCCTGCTTACACACACAGGTTCATACACAGCCACACTGCCCATGAACAGACATGCACACACAGACTACACACTCAGCCACACATTTTCAGTAGCATATATACAACCACGCTCGGGCCCAGAGGCCTCCAGACCACAGACCAGGTCCTCTCCCACACCAAATGCTTCTTCAGAAAAGTCTACTTTATGCCTCAAAGCCCCCCTCCCTGCCCCCACAGAGATGGTCTTCTGGGCCTCAGTCTTTCCCCATTCCTCCTCTTCCCTTGGCCACCGACCCCACACTCTGTGTCCCATCACATCTCCATGCCCTGAAATCAGCCAGCAGACCCCGTTCTTCCCCCACCCCAGGCTCTAGGTGAGCAGCTCCCTGGGACGCGTCCCTCACAGGTCTGGCTGCTGCATGGGCCACACCCCAGCTCTACCCGAAGCCCCGTGATCTCAGGAGCTTCAGCCTCATCTCCAGGCCCTGCCAACCACTGACCACAGGCCAAACTCTTGCCAAGTCTCCCCTCAACAGGGAGACACATACATCACCAGGGCCAGAAAGGCTGCAGGCTGCAAGCCAGGCCTCTGCTGGCTCATGGGGGCTCAAGGTTCTGTGTGTGTGTGTGCGCACAAACAGGGACAAGTGCAGGGAAAGAAGACTGGAGTGGGGTGGGGGAGGGAGGCTCTGCCCATAACCACTTATCATTCTCTACAAATGAGAAGTATTAACACAGGGCTTCTCCTGCCTCCCTTCCACTACCCTCCATTTGCCCACTTGCTGCCCTCCCCAGATCTCTGCTGAGACCCTGGAGAAGAAGGACCTGTCCCTCCTCCAAGTAATCGATAACACTATTAATCATGAATAATCAGCAACAATATTGACTGTGAGCTTTGCTGACATTGCTTCAGTGCCACCTCGATGCACATCTCTTACTTACATGCACCAACTCATTCAATCCCTACACACACCCATCAGGGAAGGGTTACCAGTCTCTTTGACAGATGGGAAAACTGAGGTTCGGTAAGTGGCATGCTTCCACTAAAGTTGCAGAGCTAGTAGTTGGGGGAAGTGTCCCTGGGAGGATCCATGTTCTCCATGTACCAGGCTTTCCTGCCCTTCCAGATATATGGACCTCCGGCTACTGGGCACAAGGCCACAAGATCCGGGGGGTCTCAGACACAACATGGACATCTGAAACAGAGACAGAGAGCCTTGTGGTGGAGGCTGGGTCCCACACTGTAGGGACAACCATGTTGTTCCTGGCCCCTGCAGGTTGTCATGGGATTGGTCTTTGCCCCCACAGAACCATCAGGCAGCCTAGGGCCTGGAAGTGCTCCCCACCACCACTTCACTGTCCTTTAGCCCTACAGTGACTTCCTCCCCCTAGCTGGGAATCGGCAACATCTTCAGTGGTGAGTGAGCAAAACTCTGCTACCTGTAGGGAGAGATGGGGAGGTGGGGAGGGTGGAAGGAAGGAAGGAAGGAAAGGAGGAAAGAAGGAGTGGGGGATGGTCTGGGCTGGGAGCAGCTTCTCTGTCATGTCTACCCACCTGCTTGCTACCCAGGTGCACACACACACACACACACACACACACACACACACACACACCCGGCCAGCAGGCCAGGGATCCTGGAGGAGAGTGGAGGAGGAGGGAGAGGGAGAGGAGCAGCCGCAAGAGGCTGAGCCTGCCCAGGGTGCAGGCATTGTGAAGGGAACACGGCCGCCGGGCTCCCAGGCATCCCTTCCACAGCCAGCACACAAGGAAAGATTAACACAGCCTCATGCCCAAACGCAACCATGATGATAAAAACAGACCCTGTGAGGGGAAACAGGTGGTGGTTCCCTTTCTCATGGGACATTTGGGATTGGGGAAGATGGGGGGAAGATGAGGAGTCCCCAGGCTTGGGTACCAAGGAGCCCCTTGATGGAGCAGAAAGAGACTAACAGAGTCAGACAGAGACAGAGAGCATGGCAGTGATGGAGACTCTGAAGTATGTGTGGGGAGACAGAACAGAAGTCCCAGCCCCCCATCCTTGGTGGAGGGATGCTGACTGCTTACCTTGGCTCTCTCAGCAGGGATGTCTTGGAATCCACGATGGGGCTCAAGCTGTCTCACCCAGGTAAATCACAGCCCGGGCCACATTGTGGGACCCTCAGTGATCTGGCGGCCAGTGACACTCCTGCTTCTGTTGCCGTGGATACAGCCGGGCTGGTCTAAATCGCAGGCATCAGGGAAAGCAGGCACCGGAGGGGTGCACTGGGTAGGGCTGGGGGTGTTGGGGAACACCAGGTGGGCAGCACACAGCCTTGGGGTGTCCAACTAGCTGGCAGGTGGGGGTCCCGGCAGGTGCTTCCTCCACTATACACTCCCACTCCCATCTTCATGCCACTGCCAAGCTGGGAGGGGGGCCAGTGCTGGCCCCTGCTACCCGTCTGCCTGCCTGGCTGCCGGTCCCCCTACCCCCCCCACCCCCCACCCCCCCCCTCCGTCTGCCTGCTGGCCGCCGCCTTTTGTCCTCAGAAGACACGGTCCCCGCGGGGCCTCTGCCAAGCCTCCAGCAGATGCTCAGGGTCCGGGGCTCCTCCCTGGGAGCACACGGGCCATGGCCTGGGAGAGCCCCAGGTTGGGGGGGCTCTCATCCAGGCTCACCCCGCTCCCCGGGCCTGGCGGGGATGGGGAAGAGGTGCAGGTCCACAGCCAGAGGCAGCAGCAGAGGTGGTGTTGGGGAGGGGATGGACGCCAGAAAGAGGGGGTGGGGTGGAGAGAGAGGCTGGCCTGATAGCCGTGTCCCGGGTTTTAGATCCGGGTTGAGGAGGGTGGCTCAGAGCATCCGAGGGGGGTCCTCATGCAAAACGAGGGCACCAAGGGCCTGCCAGAGGGACCCTCCTGGCCTGGGAACCACCCCGGTGCACACAAATCCAGGTCCCACGATGCTGGGGACACCCAGCCTGGATAGAGCATCAGTGGGGAGTCCGGGGCCCTAAGCTGGACCCCATCAGGCCTGTCCGTCCCCCCTCTCCTCGATTTGCACGGTCCCTGCCTCAGGGGCGGGCGGAGGAGGAGGGAGGCAGGGAGGGAGAGGGAGGGAAGGAGGAAGGCTGAGCAGGCAGGGAGACTCCCAGCTGCCAGCCTGGTCCTCCCTGGGGCGGGGCGGGGAGCGGGGGGGGGGGCGGGGGGTGCTGGCGAGGCCAGGGAGCAGCCGGCTGGCTGACTGGGTGGGGACGCTGGCGTGGCGGCTGTGCTGCCAGGACAATAGCTGGCTGGGGAAGTCAGGCTCGGGCCTTTCTGAGATGCTCGAGAGAGGCATGAGTGGAGGTGGGGAGAGATGGCCAAGAGGCTGCTGAGAGAGCAACTCACATGGGCTACAAGTGCAGAGGAGGCAGGGCATAGAGGACGCTAGGATCTGGGTCGGGACAAAGGTCCGGCGAAAGTTTCTCAAAAGCTTTGGGCTGGGAGGCATGCTTAGGGCCCGGAGAGGTGGGATTCATAAACTGATTTAGAATGGGGTTCTATGGGCATTTTCCCTGCAAGGCCTGGAGGTTGGCTGGGGGGTTGGGGTGGGAAAGGAGCGCTGCCCAACTCTGAACAGCCCCTCTCAGGATATCTCCTGTGCCATCCCCACTTTCTCGGGGCCAGCAGACAGGCAGAACCCATACTTAAAGCCATGTCCCAGGACAACAGAATAGGAGAGGTGAGGAGAACGCTTGGTAGGCAGAGATATGAAGACAAGGAAAAAAATATTTGTTTCAAATATGATTAAATTGGGACCAAATGATGCTTCAGTGGTTCCCCTAAGTTACAGCATTCAAGAATTCAAATTATCTTGATATAAGAAATTGTGTTTTATTTCCTTTCTTCCTTCATCCATTGGTTCCTTCATTTATGACAAATGGTTTTATGTTAGGCCCAGTGCTGGGCACTAACAGTACCGGGTGACTCAGACCTATGCTCTCTGCCCTTAGGAAATGCAGGCTCTGCTACCAGACTGTGGACCTGGAACCCACTTGCATCTGAATCCCCTGGAGAACTTGTAAAGTGTAGATACCCAAGCCTACCTCCCAGAAATACTAATCTAGGAGGTTTTCAGATGGGGCTTCAAAACCTGCCTTTTGACAAGGCCCTCCGGTGGTCATTTTTATGCCCACATGCTTTGGGGAGGGAGAAAAATCCATGGAAAATTAGAAAATGTTTTGGAGGCCGGGTGTAGTGGATCATACCTGTAATCCCAGCACTTTCGGAGGCCAAGGCAGGAGGATTGCTTGAGTTCAGGAGTTTGAGACCACCCGGGACAACATATTGAGACCCCGTCTTTATAAAAAATTTAAACCTTATCTGGACATGGTGGTGTGCGCCTGTAGTCCCAGTTACTTGGGAGGCTGAGGTGGGAGGATCACTTGAGCCCAGGATGCTGCAGTGAGCTGTGTTCTCACCACTGCACTCCAGCCTGGGCAACAGAGCAAGACTCTGTCTCGAAAAACAAACAAAAAAAGGCAAAACGGGCTGGGCACGGGCTCACGCCTGTAATGCCAGAACTTTGTGAGGCCAAGGCAGGCAGATTGCTTGAGCTCAGGAGTTTGAGAAAAGCCTGGCCAACATGACAAAACCCTGTCTCTACTAAAAATACAAAAATTGGCAGAACGTGGTGGTGCGCACCTGTGGTCCCAGCTACTCCAGAGACTGAGGTAGGAGGATTGCTTAAGCCCAGGAGGTCGAGGCTGCAGTGAGCCGAGATCGTACCACTCCACTCCAGCCTGGGCGACAGAGCAAGACTCTGTCTCAAAAAAAAAAAAATGGCAAAACAATAAGTCTTCTAAAATATGATGTAAGAGAATATCTTTATAACTTTGGGGTAAGGAAGGAATTAAACAAGACAAGAAGTAATTACCATAAAGGAAAGGAGTGATACATTGAACAGCATTAAAATTTAAAACTTCTGGTTATCAAAAGATACCATTAAAATAGTGAAAAGATAAGTCATAGAATTAGATAAAATATTTGCAAAGTATATATCCAGTAAAAGGCTCATATCCAGAATATACAAATAACTTTTACCAACCAATAAGAAAAAGACAGATAACCCAAAAGAATAACAGACAAGATACTTGAACAGGGACCTTGCAAAAGAGGATAGCCAACTGGCCAAAAACTTAGGAAAATGTGCTAAACCTCATTGGTAGTCAAGAAAATACAAAATGAAACCATGCTCACTAGATTGACTAAAAAGAAAAAGACAATACCGAATATTGGTGAGAATGTGGAGTGATAAGAGCTCTCATACAGTATTGATGAGAGTATAAATTGATATAGCCACTTTGGAAACTGTTTAGCAATATCTACTAAGGCGACCACGTGCATACTTCATAACCCAGCAGTTCTACTTTTAGGTATGTGCCCATCCAAAATGCATATATATGTTTACCAAAAGACATTGTGGTAATGTTCATAAAAGCACTATTTGTAACAGTGCAAACTGGAAACAACCCAAATACCATCAATAGGAGAATGAAAAATAAATTGTGGTATATTTGCACATTGGAATAGTATACATCAATGAGAAGAAATGACTTACAACTACAATATGGATGAATCCCACAAACATTACACTGAGCAGAATAAACCAGACAAAAGAATACTGTATGATTCCATACATATAAAGTTCAAAACCAGGCAAAACCAATGTATTGTGATAGAAGTCAGAATAGTGATTACCATTGGGGTCTGAGTAGGAGGCCTAAAGAGACATTCTTTCTTTCTTTTTTCTTTTCTTTATTTTTATTATTTTTTTTTTTGAGATGGAGTCTCACTCTGTCGCCCAGGGTGGAGTGCAGAGGCACCATCTGGGCTCACTGCAACCTCTGTTTTCCGGATTCAAGCAATTCTCCTGCCTCAGCCTCCTGAATAGCTGGGATTACAGGCGGCCACCACCATGTGTGGCTAATTTTTGTATTTTTAGTAGAGGCGGAGTTTCACCATGTTGGCCAGTAGAGGCTGGATTCGAACTCCTGACCTCGGGTGATCTGCCCACCTCTGCCTTCCAAAGTGCTGGGATTACAGGCATGAGCCACCGCGCCAGGCCAAAGAGACTTTTTAGAGTGCTGGGAATGTTCTGGTTCTTGATTTTGGAGCTGATTACTCAGGTGGCTTAGTAACAGTTCATCGAGAGTGTTCATTTATATGTCTCGAGTGCTTTTCTTTTATTTTGTTTCTTTTTATTGAGACAGAGACCCACTATGTTGCTCAGGCTGGTCTTGAACTCCTGGGCTCAAGCAGTCCTCCTGCTTCCCAAAGTGCTGGGATTACAGGCATGAGCCACTGCTCCTGACTTCAAGTACTTTTCTCTTCTCTTTTGAAGGGAAAGGCAAGAAGCTTTTATTGCAAGGCAAAAGTAAACACTTAAGAGAGAGAAGTGCGGGCGTGTTTGTGAGAACGAGTTGCACAGAAGGGAGTTTGGGTTTCTAATTTTATGGGTGTTTCTTTAATTAGGGGGTGGAATAATCATTAGATGTTCTAGAAAAGGAGGGGATTTCAGCTCCCCCACTCTGGTTACCACCCCTTTTCTCCCTTATTTGGGTTTTCCCAGAAGAGTCATGGACATGTCACCCTGGCTGGGATTCTGGCCATTTTCTCCCCCTTATTTCAGATTTTCTGTTATCCCATTGTTTCTTTGCCTAGTTCTTGTTTTAGCTGTTGTTTGAGTTTTTTCATCCTCCTGTAACCACCCAGTGCTCTTCCTAATTCATTCACCCTTCAGAGATTTCCATCCCTTATTCTTAAGGGTTGATGAGGGAGGAGGCCAGTCATCTGTATCTTCTTCTTGCTAATTTAAGGGTGCTGGCCTTGCCTGTCCAGGGATTGGAAATCTCTGGATGCCTGGTCTAAGGGTCCCCAGGGTGCATCAGCAGGTGAGTCCGATTCCGAGACAAGAATTGGCTGGAATCCTTGCATGATCATCATCTTTACATGGAACTGCTGTAACCTGGAAGATATAAACTTTGCCCAGGCCTAAAGATGAGGCTTTGGTTAGCTTGAGCTTGGTGTCAGATACTGGCAGAAGTCAGTGCCTTCTTTAGATGAGATACGTGTACCCAAGTGTCAAAGCCCTGTAAAGTTCTGCGTGGCTGGGAGGCCTCAGGAAACTTACAAGCGTGGTGGAAGATGAAGGGGAAGCAAGGACCTTCTTCACATGGTGGCAGGAGAGAGAAAATGAGTACTTTATGTGTTATACTACTTCAATACAAAGTTTTTAAAAATGAAAAAGTAAAAGAGGCAATCAGATTGTTTCATTACAGTGTGAAGTGAAGGTGGGAACTGAGAGCTGTGGGAGCCCAAAAATGTCAGGGGCGGGGTGGGGAGAAGTGTTGACACCCAAGGTCAGTGTGGAAGAAGTGGAAGTGAGTCGGAAGTTTAAGAGGCAGCATAGTGCAGTGGCTAAGAGCACTGACTCGGGCACCAGACTGCTTGGGTTTGAATCCATGCCTCTTACCCTCCTTGTGCCTCAAGTTCCTTATCTGTTAAATGGGGTGATAATAGTGCTTACAATAGGGTTGTGAGGATAAATGAGGTAATATCTGTGAAGTGTTCGGAACAGTGTCAAGACATAATCAGTACCATATACCTCTTAATTCCATTTAAAAAGGTGACTAGGTGAGTGAAACAGCCTGTACAAAGGCTTGGGGGGTCCCAGAGGGTAGTGTGTTTGGAGCATGCTGGAAGCAATTTGATGTTGCCTGATGAGGGATGCTCAGGAGGCAGGGATGAGACCCTGAATGCCAGCCTAAGGATCTCAGACTTTATCTCAAGACAGGGATCTTGACCTGGACTCCTGCTATCTCAGTTTGCCCTCAGTTAGCCTTCACTCATGACCTTCCAAGGCCGTCAAGAGAAAGGATTGTTCTGTTGTTGGCGATGGTGAGGAACAGTGATGGGGAAGGAATGCCTTGCGAAGGAGGGTGGGAGGGGCCAGCTGGACTGAACGCCCCCCCACACACTCACTATCCACTCTGAAGCAGCTTTCCTCCCTTTGCAGTGGGAGGAGAGGGTTCTCCAGAAAGACCTGTCTTTATGAGATGAGCACACAGAAATCATCAGGCAGAGTTGTAGGGAGAGAAGACAGGGGGAACAAGGGAAACTGAGTCATGCACTTGTAGCCACAGTCCCCCTGCTTTTCTTTTTTGAGACAGAATCTCACTCTGTCACCTGGGCTGGAGTGCAATGGCGTGGTCTTGGCTCACTGCAAACTCTGCCTCCCGGGTTCAAGTGATTCTCCTGCCTCAGCCTCCCGAGTAGCTGGGATTACAGGCTCCTGCCACCACACCCGGCTAATTTTTGTATTTTTAGTAGAGACGGGGTTTTGCCATGTTGGCCAGGCTGATCTCGAACTCCTGACCTCAGGTGATCCGCCCATCTCGGCCTCCCAAAGTGCTGGGATTACAGGCGTGAGCCACTGCGCCCGGCCCACAGTCCCCCATTTTGAATCAACTCCAACACTGCAGGAATGGAAGAGACCTGATTCCTTTCTGCCTGTGCCCCTCTGTTTATCACCCTGAGCAGGCAGGGAGATAAGCAGGTTTTGGAAGATTTAAGAACTCCTTCCATATTTGCTCTTGTTTCTATCTCTAAAATGACAGTACTCCACCATCTGGTGGGCGAAAGCACCTTCATGGGGCTGCGACGGTCTCCTTAACCAGTCAGTGAGGCTACACTGAATTGGGAGAAAAAGTGTCATGTTCTACTATTTCAATTATACTTTTCAAAAATTCAACTTTTTAAATTGTGAAATATAATGTACAGATAGAAATGTGCATAAGTCTTGTAGATGAAGAAATAGTTATAAAATGAACACCCACTTAACCACTGCTCAGCTCAAGAAATAGAACATTAATGGTATCCAGAAGCCTCCAGCATTAATGATTATTTCATTTTAAAAAATAAAAACACATTCCTATCATAAGGAATTTTTTTTACATAGTGTATAAATAGCTGGGAGTGGTTTGATTCATTTCTCACCCATTTAAACTGTCCTAGTTACTGAATCTAAACAAGGCTTGAATAAAAATGCTCCTTTGCAACTTACTCTGAACATTTTCTTAGAGTCAAGATCCCCTTTCATTGTCTCAAAAAACTTTAATTTTTAAAATTATGAACATTTCAAACATGCAGAGGATACTACCATGAATACACATACATGCACTACTCAGATTGGACAATGAATAAGATTCTACTGTATTTATTTCATCTACTCTATTTTTTCTTTTGTTGAAGTATTTCAAATCAAATCTCAGACATTGTATCACATCCCTATATACTTCAGTATGCAATTCTAAAAAATAGGAATATCTTAAAACCACTATACCATTATTACACTGAAGGATAGTGACAATTCCTTGGTGATGTCTCATAATAGCAAGTCCACAGTTACCCAATTGTCTTCATAATTAAATGTCTTTTTACACCCAGCTTGTTCAAACCAGAACACACTGAATGATTTGACATGTCTCTTGAGGGTCCCTTAATCCTAGAGCAGGTCCTGCCTTCCCACTTTTCATTTCATGCCACCGACTTGTTGCAGTTGTCCTGTAGAAGGACCTATCTTTTGGATTTCTCTGTTTGCTCCCTTGTGGTGTCATTTAACATGTTCTTTATCTGCCCCCCACCACTCTATTTTTTCCTGGAGTTGGAAGTTAGCTCTTAAGACTCTGTTGCATTCAGGTTATTTATCATTATTATTTATTATTATTACTATAACTATTATTATTATTATTAGTTGCAACACTTTAGAGGTGGTGCTGTGAGATTTCTATTTCAACACATCAAGTGGCACATAATGTCTGGTGGTCCTGCTGTTAGTGATGTTAAGATTTATCGGTGGGTTAAGGTGGTAAAAGCCTCATCTCTCCATGGTAAATTTCCCCATTAACCTTTCATCTAATGGTTTCATCTATTGATGATTGTTGCCTGAATCAGTTGTTTTATTAGGACTTGCAAGTGGTGATCTTTCTAATTCTGTCATTTTTCTACATTTATTAACCAGCCTTCTCTACAAGTAAAATATTTCTGGCCAGACGTGGTGGCTCATGCCTGTAATCTAAACACTTTGGGAGGCTGAAGAGGTAGGATCGCTTGAAGCCAGGAATTTGAGACCAGCCTGGGCAAAATAGTGACACCCTATCTCTACAAACATTAAAAAATTAAGGGGGCCCAGTGGCATGTGCCTATAATCCCAGCTACTTGGAAGGGTGAAGTTGGAGGATGGCGTGAGCCCAGGAATTTGAGGCTGCAATGAGTTATGATCGTACCATTGCATTCTAGCTCAAGCAACAGAAGGAGACTCTGTCTCAGAAAAATACAAAAACAAAAACTTCCCTTCATCAACTTGGGCCATTGGAGTTACCCCAAGATAGAATTTACATAGGAAAGACAAAATAAATATATAATTTTGTCATTATAAATGCCAATTTTCAGAGGAAGGACTTGATGTCCTAGTTATTTCCAATGGTTCAAATGAGGTTTTTATGTTTTTTGTTTTTGCTGCTTGTTTTTAGTGCCATTATGAACTCATTTAAAAAAATATTCAGTGTGTTTCAATCCATTGCAATTATCATTCTGTTTGATGTTCAAATTACCCCATATTTGGCCAGTGGGAGCCCTTTCAAGTTTGTTTCTGTGCCTTTTTAACATGACACTAGCAGTCTTTGATAGTTTTCTTGGTTTCTGGTAGGAAAAGATGTCTCAGGCTCATGTTGGACATTTCCTGCTCCAGACCTGAAATTAGCCATTTCTCCAAGGAGCCCTGGTTCGTTTTAGTTGGGATGTATTCAGACACCAAGATACAGGTGCTAGGGATGTTCATTGATACTAGGTGTCACTGCTTCTGGGTATTTCCAATGAACAAGGCAGGGAAAAATTTTTTTTGAAAGAAGCAAAAATGTTGTTGTATCATATTGATATTTCCAGTTCAAAGTTAATATTCCAAGGTGTTTATGTACTTTTTAAAAGTTTATACTTCAGGCCGGGCATGGTGGCTCATTCCTGTAATTCCAGCACTTTGGGAGGCTGAGGCGGGCGGATCACCTGAGGTCGGGAATTCAAGACCAGCCTGACCAACATGGAGAAACCCCTGTCTCTACTAAAAATAAAAAATTAGCTGGGCATGGTGGCACATGCCTGTAATCCCAGCTACTCAGGAGGCTGAGGTAGGAGAATCACTTGAACCCGGGAGGCGGAGGTTGCGGTGAGTCGAGAGCGCGCCATTGCACTCTAGCCTGGGCGACGAGCGAAACTCCATCTCAAAATAAAATAAAATAAAATAATAAATAAATAAATAAATAAATAAATACAAAGTTTATACTTCATAGATGGCATTTTTATACTGAAAATTTTGGCTCCTAACAACATTTATATATTTGCGTCCCTGCATTAAACTAATCAAACCAATATTTCTACAATCAATTAGACTCCTGAAAGAAGTCTAGGATTTCTTAGTAGTTCTATTTGTTCTTGGAATATATTCCAGTAAGGATATGCATTCAAAAACTGTGTTCTAAAGTTGCTGGAAATAGTATATTATCTTTGGAAGCTATGTTACCAATGTGATATAGTTAGGTTTATTCATTCCAGTTTGTTTTCTATTTTTAAAGATTGATTTTTAAATTTTTAATTGAATTTTAATTTTGAATATGTAAAATGTTTTTATGTTTCCAAAGTCTCAACTCTGTAACAAGGCTTATTCAGAGAAATCTCACTTCCATCATGTCCCTATACCCTGTTATACCCCCTCCCTTGTTGGTTACTCTTTTTTATTAATTTTTAGTTTATCCTTCTAGTGTTCCTTTTTGCAAATATAAGTATCTATATATATAATACTTATATATATACATCTATATATACTTATATATAATACTTATACTTTGCTTTTTCCCTTCTTTCTCATGCAAAGGTAGCAGACTGGATTCACTATTTTACACCTTCTGCAAGCATCTATTGAGTCCTTATTATGTTCTCAGCACTGTACTGAGGTAGTCAGGCAAGAGTGATCCTACTTATCACCATGTTCCAGTATATTTTTCGGTATTACAGTTAATTAGGGCTGCTGCTCTTATCTCTGTCTCTCAGAAGACAGTGCTCCCGGGTGCCGCTTCAGTACAACTTATTTATCTCCACTATCTTGCAGAGAGCACTGACAGTGACAAGCACTTGTCCCTCAGCATGTCAAAAGAATATACATATTTTTAATTACAAAAGTAATGCATGAGAACATGCACATCGTGAGATGCTTGAACAACACAGGAGTGTATGGAAGAAAAAGCCATGATTTTCCCTCGCCCTCACCCAATCTCACTGCACTTGCTAGAAACAATTATTACCTTGGTGGTTGCCAGATGGTGATTTTCTAATTCCATTATTCATTCTACATTTATTGGTTCACACTTTACAATAAGGAATAATTTTCCTTTTGCCTCCATTTATTTATTCATTCAGTTAGCTAGTTTTATCATGGCTTTGCGGATTCTCAGTTTATTCAATGGGTTATAAACTGCTACATTTATTATTAATTTTGATGCCCAAATTGTTCCAGAATTTGACAGGGGAGCCTTTTCAAGCTTGTTTTTTGTGTCCTTTTGATTTGTGTCCTTGTTTCTGTGTCCTTCTCATGCTCCATCATTCTTTGAGGATTTCCTCACTTCCTAGAAGAGCAAGATGCTTCCGGCTCATCTTGTACTTTTCCTGACACAGCCCTGGAACCAGCTCTCCAAAAATCCAGGCTTCATTCCTTTCGATAGAGATAACAAGTTATGGGCATAAGGTGTGTTCTTGCTACTAGGGGATCATTGTTTCTAGGCCACCTTAGTGGACAGAGCTAGGATACATATGTATACATATGTGTAGGAATACATCTATCTATCTATCTATCTATCTATCTATCTATCTATCTATCTAATCTATCATCTATCATCTATCTATCTAATCTATTTATCTCTATCTATCTATCTATCATATGTCTGTCTAATTTAATCTAATCTAATCTATCTAATCTCTGTATCATCTTAAAAACCAGGAGCAGGCCAGGCATGGTGGCTCATGCCTGTAATTCCAGCACCTTGGGAGGCCAAGGTGGGAGGATTGCTTTAGCTCAGGAGTTTGAGACCAGCCTGGGCAACATAGTGAGACCTTGTCTCTATAAAAAATTTTTTTAAATTAGCTGGGCGTGGTGGAGTATGCCTGTGATCTCAGCTACTCAGGAGGCTGAGGTGGGAAAATCACTTGAGCCCAGGAGTTCAAGGCTACAGTGAGCCATGATCGTGTCACTGCCCTCCAGCCTGGGGAACAGAGTGAGATGCTGTCTCAAAAAAACCATAAGCTCGTACTGATACTCTAACCCCAATCCCAAGCCACAGAGTTCATTCCAGTCTTTCTACTTTCCATATTTCTAACTCCCTTCTCTAACAGCGAGAACCTCACTTCCCGTCATTCACAATATTTACTTGTTTGTTCAATCCTAGGATACACATTCAGTAGTTTCAGAATTGTCAACCCACACTGTGAAAAATAAAGCTACTGATTAAGGTTTAATATTAGGTTACAATTCTTTTTGTTTTCCCCTTTTAGTATAGTCACTTTATTCCATTGAAATAGGCTCATCTGTTGCTGTTTGTATTCCATCCTCCACCACCATCATTGTTAATTGATTGACAATGTGAAACATTAACGTGCCTTTTAAAGTCAAGACTATGCAAAAAATTATACCCAGAGAAGTGTCACTTCCCATCCCCTGTACCCCATTCTATCCTCTCATCCTTCTTTTCTTTTCTTTCTTTCTCTTTCTTTCTTTCTTTCTTTTTCTTTCTTTCTTCTTTCTCTTTCTTTCTTTCTTTCTTTCTTTCTTTCTTTCTTTCTTTCTTTCTTTCTTTCTTTCTCTCTCTTTCTTTCTTTCTCTCTCTCTCTCTTTTTCTTTTAGACGGAGTCTTGCTCTGTCACCCAGGCTGGAGTCAATGGCGCGATCTTGGCTCACTGCAACCTCTGCCTCCAGGGTTCAAGCAATTCTCCTGCCTCAGCCTCCTGAGTAGCTGGGACTACAGGTGCGTGCCACCACACTCGGCTAATTTTTGTATTTTTAGTAGAGAGGGGATTTCACCATATTGGCCAGGCTGGTCTCAAATTCCTGACCTCGTGATCCACCTGCCTCGGACTCCCAAAGTGCTGGGATTACAGGCGTGAACCACCACATCTGGCCCTCCTCTCATCCTTTTCACCTCATTCCTACACATCCCCTGTAGGTAATAAATCTCACTAGTTTCTGGTATACCCTTCTTGGTTTTTGTTTGTTTGTTTTTTGCACAAATGAACAATATATATTTCTTGGTTCTCTTTCTTTCACACAAGATAGTATACTGAGATATTCTATTACACTTTGCTTTTTCTTTTGCACTATTTGCTTGACAACTGTATCCTGGAAATGCATGTACTTATAAAAAGATTTTTGATTTTTTGTTTTTTTTGAGACAGAGTCTCTCTCTGTTGCCCAGGCTGGAGTGCAGTGGCGCAATCTTGGCTCACTACAACCTCTGCCCCCCAGGTTCAAGTAATTCTCCTGCCTCAGCCTCCCGAATAGCTGGGACTACAGGCGTGCACCACCACAACCAGCTGATTTTTGTATTTTTAGTAGAGACGGGGTTTCACCATGTTGGGCAGGATGGTCTCAATCTCCTGACCTCGTGATCCGCCCGCCTCAGCCTCCCAAAGTGCTGGGATTACAGGCGTGAGCCACTGCACCTGGCCATAAAAAGATTTTTATGGTAAAATATAACATACATATATAAAAGTATATAAACCATATATTCACTTTTAAATAATATGAACATATAAATCAAACACCTGTATAACCACTAAACAGGTTAAAAAATAGAACATTGTCAGTACCCTACTGACTTCTGTCAATCATACCTCCCTCTCTCTCCTCCAGAGGTAACCATCATCCTGAATCATATGGTATTTATTTCCTTGCTTGCTTCTTTTGATGGTCTACCAACTTAGTTTAGTTTTGCCTTTATTCGAGTATAACACACACACATGAAAGTGCACTAAAATTATGGAAAACTTGAATTTTCACAAACTGAACATATCCAGGTAAAGAAACAGATCCTGAACAAGTAAAGAAACCGATCCTGACCGGAAGGCCCACCTGTGTCCCTTCCCAGTCGCTGTCCAGGGTAGCCATTTTTCTGACTTCTAAGGGCATGGTTTAGTTTTGCCTGGGTTTGTACTTTATATGAATGGAAAACTAAAAGTATATACTTCTTTTGATTAATTTTATATTTGTGAGATCCACTCTGTTGGCTGAACAGGTAGTTCACTGTTCTTGCTGAAGAGCATTCTGTTGTCTGACTTCACCACGATTTTGTATCCATTATCACTGGCATTGTTGGGAGCCTGAGTCCTACATACATAGCTTGCAAAAGAAGGAAAAAGTAACCTGAAGATCATAGTCCCACAGGTGAGACAGACAGATGAGGCAGAAAGTTGCAAAATAAGTTCACCATGAGAGTTATACGTGTGGAGTCATGGGCTCAGTTTTAAAGGATGAGAAGATAGGATCTCTCTAGGAGGATATGGGTGAGGGAGAAAGAGAGAGATTCCAGGCAGAGGAAGAACACGAGGAACTGCTAGCATTTTGGGAAGATTGGATCAGAGAGAGCTGCATTTAGAGATGGAGGGGAGAATTGAGGTTGCAGGGTAGGTTGGTGAAACAAAGGATATGTCAAAAAAATTCTAAGGTACTGGATTAAGAAGATGGGACTTTATCGCTTAAGAGATTGGGGCACTACTGAGATTGTTTCCCTCCTCTTCCTTCTTTTTATTTTTAAAGCATCGTGTGACTTATTTTACAGTTCAGAAGGATCTCTCCAGCAGGGAAAGCAGGGAAGATGAACTGGAGGGGTAAAAACAGGAAGAATGGAGACCTGTAAGGAAACCACAGTAACATTCAGGAGTGATAAATATTGGGGGTTAAGAGTGGAAGTCTTGGAGTCAGGCTCCCAAATTTGTGTCTCCAGCCCAGTTCTCTCTCCTGATCTCCAGGCTCTCATGTCCAGCTTTCTACTCAACATCCCCACTTGTATGTCTCATAGGCATTTTCAAATCCTCACTTCCAAAACTGAACTCCAGCCTTACCCCTAAAGCCCACTCCTCCCACAGTCTTTCCCTATCATGTTGGTTACTCCATTCTTTTGGTTGCTCAGGCCATATTCTTATTCTTTTTTTCCTGTTATTATTATTATTATTATTATTTGAGATGGAGTCTCGCTCTGTTGCCCAGGCTGGAGTGCAGTGGTGTGACCTCGGCTCACTGCAACCTCCGCCTCCCAGGTTCAAGCAATTCTCCTGCCTCAGCTTCCTGAGTAGCTGGGATTACAGGTGCATGCCACCACACCTGGCTAATTTTTTACATATTTTTGGTAGAGACGGGGTTTCATCATGTTGGCCAGGCTGGTCTTGAACTCCTGACCTCGTGATCTGCCTGCCTCGGCCTCCTAAAGTTCTGGGGTTACAGGCTTGAGCCACCGCGCCCGGCCTTTACCATTATTTTTTTGTGACAGAGTCTTGCTCTATTGCTCAGGCTGGAGTACAGTGGCATGATTATAGCTCACTGCAGCCTCAAATTCTTGGGCTCAAGAGATCCTCCCACCTTAGCTTCCTGAGTATCTGGGACCACAGGGATGCATCACCATGATCAGCTAATTTTTTAATTTTTATTTTGTAGAGACAGGGTCTTGCTATGTTGCCCAGGCTGGTCTGGAACTCCTGGCCTCAAGCAACCCTCCCATCTCAGTCTCCTAAAGTGCTGGTTTTACAGGCATGAGCCTGGCTAATGTTTCTTTTACATCCATGCTTTTGTATCCCCCTTAGGAAATCTTTGCCAAACTGAAGGTGAGTAAAATTTCCTCCTATGTTTTCTTCAGTAATTTTTTTTCAAAGTTTTAGGTTTTGCATTTAGGTCTATGATTCATCTTGCAGTAATTTTTGTATATGTTGTGAGGTAACTGGGTAACTGTCAAAGTTAAATCTTTTTTTAATATGGCTATTCAATTGTTCCAGCACCATTTATTGAAAACATTCTTTCCCCCATTGAGTGGCATTTAAATCTTTGTTGAAAATCAACTGATCATATATGTGTAGGCCTATTTCTTGACTCTCTTCTTTTTCATTCATCTTTACACCAACATCTCACCATGTTGATTACTGTAGATAAAAACTGGGTAGAGTAAGTCTCTAACTTTGTTCTTTTTCAAAATTGTTTTGGTTCTAGGTCCTTCTCATTTCCATATAAATTTTAGAATCAGCTTGTCATTTGTGAATCTTCACAATACTGACTCTTTTCTTCTGTGAATATAGGATCTTCCTTCCTTCCTTCCTTCCCCCCTCCCTCCCTCCCTCGCTCCCTCCCTCTTCTTTCTTTCTTTCTCTTTCTTTCCTTCCTTCCTTCCTTCCTTCCTTCCTTCCTTCCTTCCTTCCTTCCTTCTTTCTTTCTTTCTTTCTTTCTTTCTTTCTTTCTTTCTTTCTTTCTTTCTTTCTTTCTTTCTTTCTTTTCTTTCTCTTTCTCTTTTTCTCTCTTTGATGGAGCCTCACTCTGTTGCCCAGGCTGGAGTGCAGTGGCACAATCTTGGCTCACTTCAACCTCCTCCTCCCAGGTTTAGGTGATTTTTGTGCTTCAGCCTCCACAGTAGCTGGGACTACAGGCACGTGCCACCACACCTGGCTAATTTTTGTGTTTTTAGTAGTGATGGAGTTCCACCACTTTGTCCAGGCTGGTCTCAAACTCTTGACCTCAAGTGATGCGCCCACCTTGGCCTCCCAAAGTGTTGGGATTACAGGCGTGAGCCACCACGTCTGGCTAGGATATTTTCTTTAATTGCTCTCAACAATGCTTTATAATTTTCAGTACACAGGTCTTGCACATCTTTTGTCAAATTTATCTCTAACTATTTTATATATCGTGATGCTATTGTAAATGGTATTTTAAATTTCAAATTCTGATCATTAATTGCCAGTATATAATAATACAGTTGATTTTGTATGTTGACCTTTTATCTTGCAACCTTGCTACACTCATTTGATAGATTCTTTTGTAGATTTCTTAGGATTTTTTTTCTTTTTTTTTTTTAGATGGAGTCTCATTCTGTCGCTCAGGCTGGAGTGCAGTGGCATGATTTCAGCTCACTGCAATCTCTGCCTCCCAGGTTCAAGCAATTCTCCTGCCTCAACCTCCCTAGTAGCTGGGACTACAGGCGTGCGCCACCATGCCCAGCTAATTTTTGTATTTTTAGTAGAGATGGGGTTTCACCATGTTGGCCAGGATGGTCTCCATCTCTTGACTTCGTGATCCACCTGCCTCAGCCTCCCAAAGTGCTGGGATTACAGGTGTGAGCCATCATGCGTGGCCTTTTCTTAGGATTTTCTATAGACAATAATGTCATATGTGAAAAAGACAACTTTACTTCTTCCTTTACAATCTGGGTACATTTCATTTCATTTTCTTACCATATTTCAAGGGCTAGAACCTCCAGTATAATGTTGAATAGAAGTGGGTGGAGAAATCAGACATCCTTGCCTTGTTGCTTGTCTTAAAAGAAGAAGCACTCAGTCTTTCCCCCAGTGAGTGTTAGCTGTAGGTTGTTCACAGATGCTCATTATCAGATTGAGAAAATTTTCTTCACCTAGTTTGGTGAGTTTTCAGCATAAATGGCATTTAATTTTTTTCAAGTGGTTTTCTGCCTCTATTCACATGGTCATATAGATTGTCTTTTAAAATTCTGCTAATATGGTGAATTTACATTGATTTTGAAATAGTAAACCAAACTTACACTCCTGGGGTAAAACCTCACTTGTTTTTAAAGGATCTAGTTATATGTTTTTGAATTTTAGTTGCTAAATCATCATTAAAACTTTTTGTGTATATGTTCATGGGAGATATTGGTCTATTGGTCTATAGCTTTCTTTACTTGTAAATTATTTTTCCGATTTTGTTATTAGTTTACTTCTGGCCTCATAGAATGGGCTTTGCAATGTTCTTTCCTTGTCAATTTTCCCAAAGAGATTATGTAGAAATGATATTTTTTTCCTTAAATATTTGGTAGAATTCATTAGTGAATCCAACTGGACTAGAGTTTTCATTATGGGAGGGTTTTAAATACAAATTCAATTTATTTAATTGCTATTCGTCTGTTCAGATTTTTTCTTTCTTTTTGAGTGAGCTTTGGTAGATTACATATTTCAAAGAATATGTGCATTTCATCTAAGTTGTCAAATTTACAGGCATAATACTGTCCATAATTGAGTAGGAAAAACAAACTCAGTTTCTCCCACCATACTCTCACAGCACGCTCCTGATGCCAGACGTACGGGGATTTCTCTCTCCAGCAAGCAAGCAATCAATTTTGCAGTGGACACCAGCTGGGTGTTCTCTAATTCAATTCCATTCTGACAGTATCTACCTGGAGCTAGCATCAGATCACACAGGTTGAAGATGCAATCCCACCAAACTGAGTCCCTGGGTTATTTTACTTGTGCTTCTGATCAACTGGCTATAAATCGCAGCCTCCACTCCTTGGGTTTGATTAATTTGCGAGAGTGGCTCACAGAACTCAGGGAAACATTTACTTACGTTTACCAGTTTACTACAAAGGATATTTTAAAAGACACAAATAAACAGCCAGATGAAGAGATACATAGGGCAAAGTCTGGAAGGGTGCTGAGTGCAGGAGCTTCTGTCCCCTTGGAGTTGGGGTGCCCCAAAGTGTTCGTGTATCTGCAAGTTCTCTGAACCCTGTCCCTTTTGGATTTTTATAGAAGCTTCATGACATAGGCATGATTGATTAAACTGCTAGCCATTGGCATCAACTTAACCTTTAGCCCCTCTGCCCTCCCCGAGCGTTGGGGGTTGAGACTGAAAGTTCCAACCCTCTGAGCATCTGGCTGGTTTTCCTGGCAACCAACCCTCCCACTGCATCCTATGGTATCCAAGGGCTTCCCAAAAATTACCTCATTAACATAAACCCAGGTGTGTTTGAAGGGCTTGCTGCAAATAACAAAAGATTGTCTTTCACTTTTAAGCTCGGGTGCTACTTCAGTAACCAAAGACAAAAGGCCAAATACTTTAACACAAGATATTTTTATTGCTCTAATCACTTAGGAAATAACAACCTTCCCCCTTTTCTTTTTTTTTTTTTTTTAACAGAGTCTTGCTCTGTCGCCCAGGCTCGAGTGCAGTGGCGCAATCTCAGCTCACTGCAACCTCCGCCTGCTGGGTTAAAGCAATTCCCCTGCCTCAGCCTCCTGAGTAGCTGGGACCATAGGCGCGCGCCCCCGCACCTGGCTAATTTTTGTATTTTTAGTAGACATGGGATTTCAGCATGTTGGCCAGGCTGGTCTCAAACTCCTGACCTCAAGTGATCCACCCACCTCGGCTTCCCAAAGTGCTGGGATTACAGGCGTGAGCCACCACACCTGGCCAAATAAATAATAAAAATTTTAAAAATTAACTGAGAGTGGTGGTGTGCACCTGTAGTCTCAGCCGCTTGGGAGGCTGAGGTGGGAGTATCGCTTCAGCCCAGAGGTCAAGGCTGCACTCCAACCTGAGAGACAGAGTGAGAACCTGTCTCCAAAAAAAAAAAAAAAAAAAAGACTGATTTACTTACATGAGGGAGTTGAATCTTACCAGCAACACCAGTATTTCATCATATTGCAGTATGATCATGGTATGATTCAGTTTCATTACAGAAGAGATCAGTAAGAATTATGGAGGTATTTGCTTTGTCTTCCCAGCAGATCTACCCTTGCCCATATACCACATATTATTAAGGACAGGTGTTGTTGTAATGGACCATGACTCGGTTATTTCTGAATTCCAAGTTAGATGGGGACAAAGCCAATCACTGTGTCTCATCTCACGGTCTTGACTGGTTTCCACTGTGTGTTGTTTTTATTTTTTAAGACAGGGTCTCACTCTGTCTCCTAGGCTGGAGTGCAGTAGCACAATAACGGCTCACTGCAGCCTCAATCTCCCAGGCTCAAGCAATCCTCCTGCCTTAGACCCCCAAGTAGGTGGGACTATAGGCACGTGCCACCATGCCCTGCTATTTTTTGTAATGTAGAGATGGGGTCTTGCTATGTTGCCCAGGCTAGTCTGGAACTCCTGGGCTCAAGTGATCCTCCCACCTCAGCCTCCCAAAGTGCTGGGATTATAGGCATGAACCACCTTGCCCGGCCCACTGTGTGTTATTATATAGCAGGGCCCACCTCCCTCCTACAGGGAGGACATATGTGGTATTTAGAACAGCTCATATTCTTACTTACTGTACCATAGCATATGTTTTATTTTGGCCTGTTCTGGAGGAGAGGGCAGTCATATTATATCGATGTAAAGTACAAGTGCCCCACAGAACTTCCATGAGTTTGGAGGGCCATAAGATTCCCATAGGTGTGCCCCTTGAGCCTGAGCAGCCAGGACAGAGGGCCACTGCCTCATGGACACTTTAGCCTCTATTTGTATTAAAATTGTCAAGAGGCCCTGTTGGGTCCGGGTGCAGGCCCTTTCCCCTACAGTGGGTTTTAGCATCATACAGCATCATTTGTTGAGTTTGCCTGACCCATTTTGCTAAAGCCTTATCATCTTTCCAGGCTAACTCCCATCCTTGGCCTTCCTCCTAGAAGAGAATTCTGTCTAACCTGCCTATTCTAGTTAATAAATCTTTTTCCTCTGAACGTTTTTCCTCATTGAAAGCAAACTCAGCTTGTTCTGGGATTCCTGGACCTGCACCTATCTCCCCTTTGCGCCTTTTCTGTCTGGTGGGCCAGTGTTGTTTAATCCACCATGCATGTTTTTGCCACTGTGTACTAATGGCCTGAGTACAGTTGGGATACATGTTTTGCACCCAAAAAAATTGGGTCCCCATACTAGGGTTACAAGAGTGGTGGCCACACCTAGATGTAATTTAGTTTGAGTGTGCCGTAAGGCCTTACAAATCCTCCTTTGTCTCAGGGTGGGCCCATTCCCTGAGGGACTCTGGATCCACCAAATGATGCCCACAGCTTTAATGCCATCAGGAATCCACTGTTTGTTCCTGTTATGCTTAATAGCTTTCCATCCACAAGAACAAGGGCAATTTGTGCTTGTGCACAGCACATTGTGACATGTTGGGCTACACTACACTTTGTCCTTTTTAATCAAGGGCCTTTGTAAGCATTCAATCATCAAGGTTTACAGGTACACAGCGACCAGTCTGCTGGAAGCTGTACATACACCACACAGTTTGAAGTGGGAAAACAGTTCTTGGAAATTCATTCTCAAATTATATTCTTCGTAGAAGGGGTTGCCTGAAAAATAGAATTCAAAAGATGCCAGCACATTACAAGTGTTTCATTTAGTCATTAACATTTGGTCCAGTTAATCAACATCTCCCAGAACATCTCCCAGAACATCTCCCAGGAAACTGTCACTCAAGTTTGCAGGTTGCCATTCAACCTGGTCAGTTTCCAAAAGCAGGAGTGGTCTTGGAAAGCATATAGCTTCACATTTCTGGGCATCTGGTAATTGTTGTGCTAAGAGATAACATTATTCTCTTGCTCTGAGCCTCTCTTGATGTATTAATACAATATTGGATTTCCCTCATTGCATCATCCACTTACTCATTCTTCTACCCTCAGCTATTGTTTCTCCTTCTCTCCATTTGTCATTTAAAAAAAAAGTTTTTTTGGAGACAGGGTCTTGCTTTGTCATCTAGGCTAGAGTGCAGTGGTGTGATCATAGTTCACTGCAGCCTTGAACTCCTCAGCTCAAGTGATCCTCCTGCCTCAGCCTCCCGAGTAGCTAGGACTACAGGCATGCACCACCATGGCTGAGGAATTTTAAAAAAATTCTTTTTTTTGGTAGAGATGGGGTCTTTGCAACGTTGCCCAGGCTGGTCTAGAACTCCTGGTCTCAAGCGATCCTCCCGCCTGGCCTCCCAAAGTGCTGAGATCCATTTGCATTTATTTTTACCCAAACTTTTTTACCGTTGGAAGGGACATTAGGTTTGGCCACTGTGCTGGTCCAGATTGCTAGCAGCAATACCATTCTAACTAATCCCTCCCACTCAGTCTATTCCCATTCACATAAGGTAGGATTACATAAGTACAGAACTAGTGGGCTACCTCAACCACTGGGCAACATAATGGCACATACTGTTAGCCTTAACTTTGCCATATGGGGTGAAAGTACAACCCACCCTATCAGGCCCTTAGGAATTCTGACTTAAAGGTTCACTCATTTCATGGACCCAGGTGGCCACCTCAAAGGAGCTCACCAAAAAGTTCACTTTATAGTTCCAATCACCTTCTGAGCCTGGAAGAGGGTTCTTCTGATAGGCATTGACACGTCCTACTTTAATGTGCCCCTTAAATTCCTAGAGTGATTTCCTAGTGGGCTGTGCCCCATACAGAAATTCCTTTAATAGTCCAGTTCTCCATTGTCTGTCTAACTGACCATATGACCAGGCTATTGGCTACTACCCATAAATAGTAAAAACCCGAATACAGTGGCTATTTTAATGTTTATTTTTTAGAGACAGGGTCTCACCCTGTTGCCCAGGTTGGTGTGCAGTGGTGTGATCATAGCTCACTGCAGCCTCAAACTCACGGGCTCAAGCAATCCTCCCACCTCAGCCTTCCAAAGTTCTGGGAATACAGGCATGAGCCACTGCACCCAGCTCAAACACAGTGGCTTTTATCACTGCTAACTGATAGGAAAACAGCATGCAACTCAGCCCATTGAGCTGATTTATTCTTACCTTCTTCAATCCATCTTTCCGTGTCCTGGTTTTAATGCAGCAGCTTTCCAAACAAGGCAGTTTCCATTCCCCTGGGAACTGCCATCTGTAAACCAAGCAGCTCCTTGTTGGTCAATTGAGAGCTGTTCATCGGGCACTGCCCATAGGGCAATTGGTTCCAGTAGCTCCTCAGATGGTTCTAAAGTCGGTCCTAAAAGAAAAGAGGCTACCAGCTCACGGATACTGTGGGTGCTTCCTTGCATCTCTCTGGTCGCATGCTCCAATATAAACCATTTTCATTTTATTATGGAACTCTTCTGGGCACTGCCTTCCTTATTTGAATGTCTCTCTTATCACCCAAAACATTACAGGTATTAGTTTTCATGATTATGTCCTTCAGTCATTGAGGCACTCTTAATAAATGCCCAATAATAAGCTAGTAGTTGTTTCTCAAAAGGTATGTATGTACCTGGTGGGAGCATCTGAAAATTTTCTGGTCCAAAATCCCAATGGTTGAGGCTGAGGGGCGTTCATGGGCTTTTGCCACAAGCTCTAGTCCACATGAGTGTGGATGGCAGACACTTACAAAATCATATCTCAGTGAGGATTATATGGGCCCCAAAGTGCTGAGAGGGCTACTGCTTTTTGTCATTTAGTCATGACCTGCCCTTGTTCAGGTCCCCATTCAAACAGGGCTTTCCTTCAGATGGTCTTATAGATAGGAGCTGGCAATATTCCCAGATGTTGTATATGCATTCTCCAAAATCCAAGCAAACCAACCAAATGCCGGGCTTCTTGTTTCATCCTAGGGGTGGGGAGCAACATCAACTTATTTTTAGTTACTTGTGGAATATCCTGGATAGCTCCTGCTCAGGTTATTCCTAAGAATTTTACAGTTTGGGAAGGCCCTTAAATCTTTGCTGGATTTATTAACCAGCCTTGGTTGGTCATGTGAGCCACCATTGCATTCAAATCAGTCCTAGACTGCTCTTCAGTTTCTGATATTAACATAGCATCCTCAATATAGTGTATTATTACACTTGAGACCAACATCAAGTCCAAATCCCTCCTGACCAAATTATGACAGTAAGTTGGTGAATTCAGGTAACCCTGTGGGAGCACAGTAAATATAAACTGATCCTTCCTACATGAAGGCAAACTGCAGTTGTCTCTTTTCTGAAATTGAGATAGAGAAGAAGGGCATTTGCAAGATCAACCTCTGAGTACTGTTCTCCTTTAGCCTGTTGTATTTTCTGTATGGTCAAAATCATGTCCAGGACTGCTGAGTCCATGGGTGGTACAACTTTGTTTAAGCCTGGATAGCCTACTGTTAGTCTCCATGAGCCATCCACCATTTTCATGGGCCTTGCAGGGCTACTGTACAGAGTTTGTTGGTATAATCTTCTAGCATGTCATTGATTATAGAGTAATCTCTTTCTGCCCAGCAGCTATTCTATATATATATTCTATATATATATTCTATATATATATTCTATATATATATATTCTATATATATATTCTATATATATATATTCTATATATATATTCTATATATATATATTCTATATATATATTCTATATATATATATTCTATATATATATTCTATATATATATATTCTATATATATATTCTATATATATATTCTATATATATATTCTATATATATATATTCTATATATATATTCTATATATATATATTCTATATATATATATTCTATATATATATTCTATATATATATATTCTATATATATATTCTATATATATATATTCTATATATATATATTCTATATATATATTCTATATATATATATTCTATATATATATATTCTATATATATATTCTATATATGCATTCTATATATATATTCTATATATGCATTCTATATATATATTCTATATATGCATTCTATATATATATTCTATATATGTATTCTATATATGTATTCTATATATGTATTCTATATATGTATTCTATATATGTATTCTATATATGTATTCTATATATATGTATTCTATATATGTATTCTATATATATTCTATATATATATTCTCTATATATTCTATATATATATTCTATATATATATTCTATATATATTCTATATATATATTCTATATATATTCTATATATATTCTATATATATTCTATATATATATTCTATATATATATTCTATATATATATTCTATATATATATTCTATATATATATTCTATATATATTCTATATATATATTCTATATATATATTCTATATATATTCTATATATATATTCTATATATATATATTCTATATATATATTCTATATATATATATTCTATATATATATTCTATATATATATATTCTATATATATATTCTATATATATATATTCTATATATATATTCTATATATATATATTCTATATATATATTCTATATATATATATTCTATATATATATTCTATATATATATATTCTATATATATATTCTATATATATATATTCTATATATATATTCTATATATATATTCTATATATATATTCTATATATATATTCTATATATATATATTCTATATATATATATTCTATATATATATATTCTATATATATATATTCTATATATATATATTATATATATATATTCTATATATATATATTATATATATATATTCTATATATATATTCTATATATATATATATTCTATATATATATTCTATATATATATATTCTATATATATATATTCTATATATATATATTCTATATATATATATTCTATATATATATATTCTATATATATATATTCTATATATATATTCTATATATATATTCTATATATATATATATTCTATATATATATTCTATATATATATTCTATATATATATATATATATTTTTTTTTTTTTTTTTTTGAGACGGAGTCTTGCTGTGTTGCCCAGGCTGGAGTGCAATAGCACAATCTTGGCTCACTGCAAGCTCCGCCTCCCGGGTTTTCATGCCATTCTCCTGCCTCAGCCTCCCAAGTAGCTGGAACTACAGGTGCCTGCCACCACGCCCAGCTAATTTTTTGTATTTTTAGTACAGACAGGGTTTCACTGTGTTAGCCAGGATGGTCTCCATCTCCTGACCTCGTGATCCACCCACCTCGGCCTCCCAAAGTGCTGGGATTACAGGCATGAGCCACCGCACCCGGCCTATATTGTTTTAAATTAACCACTGGTGTGGGTTCAGGCAGTTTTAGTGGTTCCCATTTAGCATGCCTAATCAAGACTGGCCTGAAGGTTGACTTATGACACAGGATTTTTTCTCAGTCACTTTGCAAGCTACTCGGGCCTCACTTGGCTACACTACCCGCTGCAGGAGATGGCCTGCCTACTTGTCCCACCTTGGCCGAGTCTGGCTCGTGCACCAGTTCCTGAGTTCATGTCCCATGCCAAGAAGAATGAGGATGCGCTGACAATCGAAGAGTGAGCAAGGTGGGGAGTTTTATTGAGTAATGGAACAGCTCTCAGTAGAGCGGGGAGCGGGGGAGGGGAGCAGTCCCCCACCCCAACAGTCAGGTGGTTTTTCTCCCCATGCGGCTGGGTCTGGGGCCTTTTATGGACTCAGAATGGGGAGGGCGTGCTGATTGGTTTATGAGTGTGGAAAAAGGTTAAAGCGAAGACACCACTCAAAGGTGGGCATGACAGTGTGGGAAGCCAATTAGGAAAGGGCAGGTATATGTAAAATAGGTGAAGGGTGAGGATTAATCAGAGGAAAGTGCATCAAATGGAAAAACAAGTTCTCAGTACAGTTCATAGATTTAACTTATAGCTTGGCTTTCAGGTTTTAGACTGGCTTCAGCTTGGAGGTTGGGTTTCACCGGGGACCCGCCCCATCTGCCTAGGCATTTGGCTGCCTCCTGTCGGTATCACTTACATGCCTTCTGTTTTTATAATATTAGGTAGAGGCTGGGCGCTGTGGTTCACCCCTGTAATCCCAGAACATTGGGAGGCCAAGACGGGATGATCACTTGAGGCCAGGAGTTCAAGACTAGCCTGGGTAACATAGGGAGACCTTTGTCTCTACAAAAAAAAAAAAAAAAAAAAATTAGCCAGGTGTGGTGGCACACGCTTGTGGTCCCAGCTACTCAGGAGGCTTAGGTGATCACTTGAGTCCAGGAGGTCGAGGCTGCAGTGAGCCATGATTGTGCCACTGTACTCCAGCCTGGGTGACAGAGCTAGACCCTATCTCAAAGCAAAACAAAATAAAAAAACAAATATTAGGTAGGGGAAACAATCCTCAGTCAGACATAATATCTATCCCAATAATATACTCAGGTAAAGGAGACGTGACCACCTCATATAAAAGGTTGTTCAAAAATCCTGTATCCAAGGCCGGGCATGGTGGCTCACACCTGTAATCCCAGCACTTTGGGAGGCCAAGGCGGGTGAATCATCTGAGGTCAGGAGTTCGAGACCAGCCTGGCCAACATGGTGAAATCCCGTCTCCACTAAAAATACAAAAATTAGCCGGGTGGTGCATGCCTGTAATCCCAGGTACTCAGGAGACTGAGGCAGGAGAATCGCTTGAACCCGGGAGGCGAAGTTTGCAATAAGCCGAGATTGCACCACTGCACTCCAGCCTGGGCGACAGAGTGAGACTCCGTCTCAAAAAAGAAAAAATCCTGTATCTGAGTGCCTCCATTTTTTTCTAAAAAAAAGGGAATGAATTACTATTATTCTAAAAATTATTTTTGCTGGGCACGGTGGCTCACGCCTGTAATCCCAGCACTTTGGGAGGCCGAGGCGGGCGGATCACGAGGTCAGGAGATCGAGACCATCCTGGCTAACACGGTGAAACCCCGTCTCTACTAAAAATACAAAAAATTAGCCGGGCGCGGTGGCGGGCGCCTGTAGCCCCAGCTACTTGGGAGGCTGAGGCAGGAGAATGGCGTGAACCCGGGAGGCGGAGCTTGCAGTGAGCCGAGATCGCGCCACTGCACTCCAGCCTGGGCGACAGAACGAGACTCCGTCTCAAAAAAAAAAAAAAACGTCTCTTCACTTCTCCTCTCCCCTTTTCCCCTGTTCCCTGTTTCCTACTTAGCCCTTCAGAATATAACCTTTCACATCCCTCTCACCAGACACTCCCTGCAGGGCAAATTCTTCTAACTGTGTGCTCCAAGACAGATCTCTCCTTGAGACGTGACAGTCAATTTGCAGACCAAAGCATACCCCCGCCATGAACTTTCACCTCCAGGGGGTAGCCTTGGAACTTCCATCTTCCAGGGATTGCCTTGGAACTTTTATCCACGAGGAGGGCTTATTGAAAGCATGCCGGCTTAGCCACTTTTATGACTTAACTTCTGCCCAGGAAGGTGCCAATTCACCTGTCCCATAGATAAGACACCAAACTAGCAGGGGGACCCCTGCCCTTGTTCACGTTCTCCCACCTTGAAAAAATGGCCGCTTTCTGCTCCAAAGGGGAAGTGGCACATTTAAACACAGGACGCTTTGTGCCCCTTCCCCTAAGCTAGCTTCAGAATTAATTCACTTGTTTTGCATTGTAGCAGGACGAGCCGCAGACAAAACTCCTCAGACACCGGATTAAAGAAGGAAGAGGTTTTTATTGGGCCGGCAGACTCGTGTCTTAAGAGCCGAGCTCCCCGAAAAAGAAATTCTTGGCCTTTTTAAAGGCTTACAACTTTAAGGGGTCCACGTGAAAGGGTCGTGATACATCAAGCAAGCTTGGGAAACGTGACTGGGGGCTACATGCATCAGCTAACAGAACAAAAAAGTTTTACAATGCTTTTTTCATACAGTGTCTGGAATTTACAGATAACACAAGTAGTTTAGGTCAGGGGTTGATGTTATTATTATTACTTTTTTAACTCCTAGGGCCGGGTGGTGGTGCCAAGGTTATCTGGCTATTTATCTTACTTTTGTTTTTTTTCCAACGTTTTGCTTTTTCTCTCCTCCTGTCTTGTGAACTAGGCAAGGTGGGGGGAGGAGGGCAGTAGGAGTAGTAGTGGTCTCCTTCCTTAGTATCAGATCTTGCTCTTGTTAATTGGACTCTGCATGAGGTAAGCAATTAACCTGCTTTTCAATTATAATCGCACTTTTCATCCAAACTTGTATCCAAACTGTTTCATCCAAACTGTTCCCTCTCCATACCTTCCCAATTTAAGCTTAGCTCCCCTTTATAAGATTTCACCAAAAGGTGGCTGGGTGCGGTGGCTCACGCCTGTAATCTCAGCACTTTGGGAGGCCAAGGTGGGCGGATCACCTGCGGTCAGGAGTTTGAGATCAGCCTGGCCAACATGACGAAACCCCGTCTCTACTAAAAAATACAAAAGTTAGCCGGGTGTGGTGGCAGAAGCCTGAAATCTCAGCTGCTCAGGCGGCTGAGGCAGGAGAATCACTTGAACCCAGGAGGTGGAGATTGCAGTGAGCTGAGATCACGCCATTGCACTCCAGCCTGGGCGACAAGAGTGAAACTCTGTCTCAAAAAAAAAAAAAAAAAAAAAAAATCCCAAAAGGCTTTGGAATCACAATGCATTGGGCTCCTGTGTCAAGGAGTCCCCAGAAGGTTTCTTCTCCCCAATCTGGACATTTTACCCATATGTATGCAAATGACTTCAGGTACCCAGCCAAGTCTAAGTCTCTTAGTCAATCATCACCCCAATTAATCTAACCATTGCCCTAGGTGATTCCAAATGGGATACCTCATGTAATCTTTGCCTTCCAGCTTTAAAAATTCCTCCAAACTGGAATAAATGTAGAGGACTTGCTTGGAGCCTTTTAAAGTTGGGGGACCAGCAGTGAGGGATGGGAGATGGGGGGTGTCCCATTTGTTTTAGCACCATCTATTGTCTGCCAAATTGATCCCATCTAAACCATCTAAAGATTTCTACCCTGCTGGAGTGAGTTCCCTGACTCTTCCCTCTGTCTTTCCCCACATTCCCTTTATGTGGGAAATATAATCCCTACTTTAATGTCCTTGGTATCAGTGAGATCTGTATGGGGAAGTCGAGCCAGCAAATCAGATGAGGTTTCTCCAACTGTTGTTCAGTTTTGCAGGAGTAACATCACATGGGGTGCCCATACTTTAGGTACCCCCTTTAATCACAGCATCTGCCATGACCTGGGTAATGTGCATATTCAGTAGGTTAATATCCCAGGCATCATAAACCAGTCCCACATAGCTTGCATATGAAGTATGTCAGCTGCTTCGCCTGGGATGTTCCACTTGGCATTTATAATAGAGGGAGTCACATAGTCCCCCTTCTTATGGGGCCTATCTCATGGGGGCTATCTGTAAAGGGTAAACATACTTTACAGTGGCTTTTATCCAGTCCACCATGCTGGGTGGCTCTCAGGAATAGCCTCCTGCATGTCTGGATCACATATAGCTATCTACGATTGTTCAACAGTGAGCTGTGGTTCTTGCATCAACTCAAACATGTTCTTTCACCCTGCAGCATTTAAAACCAAAGATACTGCTCCTAAATTTGTTACTCTCAGAATTCATTTTAGTAAAAGCTGCTCAGCAAGCTCATGATACCATCTACAAAATTAAACATTTCCTTTACACCATCCTTTAGTTTCAATAATTTCTTGGGTTTCTCCCACATTGACTACCTTCTTGGCAACCACAGGTCTCAGAGGTACATTCTGTTGTCCCTGCACAATTTTTACCATGGAGGTCAGTTTTCAGGCTAGTGGCTGAAGCTCAGGCTTACTGAAATCTAGTCTTATTCCAGCATCAAGGTCCAACTCAGCACTCTCTTTTTCCTCCTCCTCTTCCTCCTCCTTTTCTTCTTCCTCTTCCTCTTCCTCTTCTTCTTCTTCTTCTTCTATTTTTTTTGGAGACAGGGTTTTGCTCTGTCACCCAGGCTGTAGTGCAATGGTGCAATCACAGCTCACTGGAGCTTTGAACTCCTGGGCTCAAGTGATCCTCCCACCTGAGCCTCTCAAGTGGCTGGGACCACAGGTGTGTGCCACCATGCCTGGCTAATTTTTGTATTTTCTGTAGATACGAGGTTTCGCCTTGTTGCCCAGGCTGGTTTCGAACTCCTGGGCTCAAGCAATCCACCCACCTTGGCCTCCCAAAGTGCTGGGATTACAGATGTGAGCCACCATGCCCAGGCTTTTCACTTCGTTTTAGCTATTACAGATATTAATAACCAAGGGATTGAATATTTTGCTTTTTTTCTTATTAGTTTGCACTTCCTTATGTGTCCAGTGAACCAACTCCCTGGGAGTTGGATCCATCTCTAAATTCCACTGGTAACTTTTTAGCTGCAGTTTCATACCATGGGTGACTGACTAGGTAGCTATCCAGGGATGGAAGGTTTCTTATCCCCCACCCTTTCATCCTTTCTCTTCCTAAACCAAATGTTTCTGTGAACCAGGGCCTTTCTAGCAAATCCCTCTTCACTGACACCAAATGAATAGGAAAAAAACTAAACTCAGTTTCTCCCACCGTACTCTCACAGCACACTTCTGATGCCAGATTTGTGGGGATTTCTCCCGCCAGCAAGCAAGAATTCAATTTTGCAGTGGACACCAGCTGGGTGTCCTCTAATTCAATTCCATTCTGACAGTATCTACCTGGAGCTAGCATCAGATCATACAGGTTGAGGACGCAATCCCACAAAACTGAGTCCCCGGGTTATTTTACCTGTGCTTCTCATCAACTGGCTATAAATCGGGGTTCCCACAGTTTCCGCTCCTTGGGTTTGATTAATTTGCTAGAGCGGCTCACAGAACTCACAAAAACATTTACTTACGTTTACCAGTTTATTACAAAGGATATTTTAAAAGACACAAATAAACAGCCAGATGAAGAGATACATAAGGTAAGGTCTGGAAGGGTCCCAATTGCAGGAGTTTCTGTCCCTTTGGAGTTGGAGTGCCCCCAAGTGTTCGTCTATCTGCAAGTTCTCTGAACCCTGTCCTTTTTGGGTTTTTATAGAAGCTTTATGACATAGGCATGATTGATTAAACCGCTAGCCATTGGCATCAATTTAACCTTTAGCCCCTGCCCCTTCCCTGAGGGCTGGGGGATGAGACTAAAAGTTCCAACCCTCTGAGCACCTGGGTAGTTTCCCTGGCAACCAACGCCCCCATCCTATGGTATCCAAAGGCTTTCCAAAAACTGTCTCATTCACGTAAGTCCAGGTGTGTTTGAAGGGCTTGCTGTAAATAACAAAAAAGTGTCTTTCATTTTTAAGTTCAGGTGCTACTTCAGCAACCAAAGACAAAAGACCAAATACAATACTTTAACAAAAGATATTCTTATCACTCTAATTACTTGGGAAACAATAAGGCTTTCAGAAGGTGAAAGCCAGGAATCACGAACAAAACCAAATATATACATCACAGTAACACAATAATATTCCTGGTTATTTTCTCAAATCTGTGGCATCTGTAGTCATTCTTGATATTGGTAATGTGTGTCTTCTCTCTTTTCCCTGATCATTTTTCCTGATCATGCTGCCAAAGAGTTTATCAATTTTAATAATCTTCTAGAGGAACCAACTCTTAATGTCATTGATTTTTCTCTATTATTTTTTCTTTATTCAATGAATTCTGATCTTATTTTTATAATTTCCTTTCTTCTGTTTACTGTGGATCTTATTTGCTCTTCTTTTTCTGGTTTATTATGTCAGAAGCTGAGGTCATTGATTTGACTGGTTGCTTTTGTTATTTCAGTTAGGATAATGTTTTCAGGTTCCTCCATGTTGTAGCATGTATCGGTACCTCATTCCTTTTTATTGCCAAGTAGTATTCCATTAAGTGGATATATAACATATTATTCATTTATCAGTTAATAAACATTAGGGTTGTTTCCACTTTTTGGCTATTAAAAATAATGCTAAGTTGAGTTTGGTGGAACATGCCTGTAATCTTGGCTACTTGGGAGGTGGAGGTGGGAGGATCTCTTGAGTCCGGGGGTTCGAGATCAGCCTGGGCAACATAGTGAGATCCTGTCTCTTAAAGAAAGAAAAAAATAATAAAAGTAATGCTTCTATAAACATTTGTATGCAAGTATATATATACATATATACACATACACACATACGTATATACACACATACATACATATATATGCATGTGTATATATATACACACATACATACATATATATGCATGTGTATATATATACACACATACATACATATGCATGTATATATATACACACTCATAATATATATATATGCATGTGTATAAATATACACACACATACATATATACACGTGTATATATATACACACACAAACATATATATACACATACATATGTGTATATATACATACGTATGTTTTCAATTCTCTTGGGTATTGCTGGGTCTTATGGTGACTTTTTACTTAGGATTTGAGGACTTGCCAGTCTGTTTTCCAAAGCATCTTATCTTAGTCTTTTTGGGCTGCTATAACAAAATATTATAAACTAGGTAGTTTATTGTATTAGACCATTCTTGCATTGCTATAAAGAAATACCTGAGGCTGGATAATTTTTAAAGAAAAAAGGTTTAATGGCTCACGGTTCTGCAGACTTTACAGGAAGCATGGTGCTGGCATCTGCTCAGCTTCTGGGGAGGTCTCAGGAAGCTTACAATCATGGTGGAAGGTGAAGAGGGAGCAGACATTTCATATGGCGAGAGTGGAAGCAAGGAAGAGAGAGGAGGGGAGGTGCTACACACTCTTAAATAACCAAATCTCATGAAAACTCACTCGTTATTATCAGGACAGCACCACGGGGATGGTGCTAAACCATTCCTGAGAAATCTGCCCCCATGATTCAATCACTTCCCTCCAGGCCCCACCTCCAACAATGGGGATTACATTTCAATACGAGATTTGGAGGGACAAATACCCAAACTAAATCACTTATAAACAAAGAATTTATTTCTCATAGCCCTAGGTGCTGGGAAGTCCAAGATCAAGTTGCCAGCAGATTTGGGTCTGATGAAGTTTCACTTTCTGGTTTATAGATGATTATCTTCTATCTGTCCTCACGTGGTGGAAGGGGGAAGACAGCTCTCTGGAGCTTCTTTTATAGGGGCACAAATCCCATTCATGAGGGCTCCACCCTTAGGATCTAATCACCTCCCAAAGACCCCCCTCCTAATAGCATCATCACCTTTGGGATTAGGTTTTCAACATATAAATTTTGGGGGGACACAAACATTCATATCATAGCACAACTATACCATTTTACATTCTCACCAGCAGTATATGAATGTTCCAATTTCTCCACACCCTTGCCATTGCTGGTTTTTAATCTCTCTTTGGATTATCGTCATTCTAGTGGGCATGAAGTGGTAATTCATGTGGTGTTTGTTTTTGTTTTTTTGAGACAGAGTCTCACTCTGTCACCCAGGCTGGAGTGCAGTGGCACAATTTTGGCTCACTGCAACTTCCGCCTCCTGAGTTCAAGTGATTCTCGTGCCTCAGCCTCCTGAGTAGCTGGGATTACAGGCACACGCCACCACGCCTGGCTAATTTTTAAAATATTTTTAGTACAGACGGGGTTTTGCCATGTTGGCCAGGCTGGTCTCAAACTCCTGACCTCAGGTGATTTGCCCACCTCGGCCTTCCAAAATGTTGGGATTACAGGCGTGAGCCACCACTCCCAGCCTCATGTGGTTTTTATTGCATTTCCTTGATGACTGTTGATGTTGAGCATCTTTTCATGTGCATATTGGTCATTGTATATTTTCTTTAGAGAAATGTCTATTAATATATTTTGCCCACTTTTAAATGAGGTCATTTATCTTTTTATTATTGAGTTGTGTTTTCTCTATAATACAGATATCAGGTACAGAACGGTCCCCGACTTAAAATGGTTCAACTTATGATTTTTTGATTTTACAATTATGGAAAATCAATACATGTTCAGTAGAATACAATCATTCTGTTTTTTACTTTCAGTGCAGTATTCCATAAATTACATGAGATATTCAACACTTTATTATAAAATAGGCTTTGTGTGTTAGATGATTTTGTCCAACTATAGGCTAACGTAAGTGTTCTGAGCATGTTTAAGGTGGACAAGGCTAAGCTACGATGTTCAGTAGGTTAGGTGAATTAAATGCATTTCCAACTTATGATATTTTTGACTTTTAATGGATGTATTGAGATGTAACCTTATTGCAAGTCAAGGAGCATCTGTATACAATTTGCAAAAAATTCCTATTCTGTGTTGCTTCTTCACGTCCATGATGGTGTCCTTTTAATTTTGATGACAACCAATCTATCTATTTTTTTCCTTTTATTACTTAGGCTTTTTGCTATCACATTTAAGGGACCATTGCCTAATCCATGGTCACAAAGGTTTTTTGTGACCTTGTTTGTTTGAGACAGGGTCTATCTCTGTTACCCAGGCTGGAGTGTAGAGGCACTATCATAGTTCACTGCAGCCTCAAATTCCTGGGCTCAAGTGATCCTCCTACTTCAGCCTCCTGAGTAGCTAGGACCGTGGGTGAGTGCCACCACACCCAGCTATTTTTTTTTTTTTTTTTTTTTTTTTTTTTTTTTTTTTTTTTAGAAATGAGGTCTCACTATGTTGCCCAGGCTAGTCTTGAACTCCTGGCCTCAAGTGATTCTCCCGCCTTGGCCTCCCAAAGAGCTGGGATTATAGACGTGTAATTACATCATGATCAGCCATGGTCACAAAGTTTCATGCCTATGTTTTCTTCTAAGAGTTTTAGCTCTTTAATCTTTGATCCATTTTGAGCCAATTTTTGTATATGGTGTGAAGGAAATAAAAATATTTTACCCAAAAATTATATTTCTTTGGCATAATTTGAAGTGGCTGCCACGGACTGAAATGGCCTTGCAAAGCAGTCTTTTGTGTGAGAAATTTATATCTGTAGAGAATCCCCATTAACAGGCCTTCCCTTTGTAGGCTTTTCTTGGATGTAGGAGCGATTAACTGAGGGTCTGACACCTTTAAAGGTTCTTCCTTTCTTCCTTTCTTCCTTCCTTCCTTCCTTCTTTCTTTCCTTTTTTTTTTTTTTGGCAAGGTCTCACTCCATCGTTCAGGTTGGAGTGCATCAGCGTGATCTTGTCTCACTGCAGCCTTGACTTCCCTGGCTCAGGTGGTTCTCCTACCTCAGCTTCCCGAGTAGCTGGAACTACAGACGTGCACCACTACGCCCAGTTAATTTTTTGTATTTTTTGTAGAGACAAGGTCTCACTATATTGCCCAGGCTGGTCCTGAACTCCTGGGCTCAAGCAATCTGCCCGTTTCAGCCTCCCAAAATGCTGGGATTACAGGCATGAGCCACCACACCTGGCCTAAAGGTCTTAAAAGAGACATTCACCATCTATTCTCTCTGAGGACTACTGTGAGGTTTCATTTACATAACAAGATTCCCTTTGCTAGCCAGGCCTCTTCCTTTCTCCTTTTCATAACCTGTTTTGCCAGTAAAATCTGTTTTTGGCCATGCTCTGAGCCTGCATTCTTTCTGGAATCTGAAGATGGTATATAAATTTCTGAACCTCATTGGGAGGTTAGGTCTTCATTCTGAAGGCTCCTGTATATACACATTAAATAAATGTGTATGCCTCTTCTCCTTTTAGTTAATCTGCCTCATGTCAGTGATTTTTTTTTTCAGTGAGCTTTTAGGGGACCAAGGGCCTTGGCCTCCACAGGTGTGAGATAGAGGTCTAACTTCATTGTTTTGCATGTGGATATCCAGTTGTCCCAGCACCATTTGTTGAAAAGAATATTCTTTGCCATTGAATTGTTTTGGCCTCCTTGTCCAAAATCAGTTGACCAGAAACGTGAGTGTTTATTTTTGGATTTTTAGTTCTATTCCATATCTACCCTTATGCCAATATTGTTACAGTAGGCAGTCAGGTAGACATGAGCAGGAGACCGCCCCCCTCCCCCATAACCAGGAATTTCAGGTGACCATCAAGGTGATGGTCAGGGAGTTGTTAAACTGTCTCTCTAAAATAATAATTAGTTGCAGCCAGTGCCAGGGAAAAGCAATCTCCCAATAGACAGAAAATACCTGAAACTGGTGATCAGCAGCTTCCCAATAAGCTCTCAGGAGTTGGATGAGCGGGCTCAAGCATGCACACTAAGAGGCAAAATGGCAGAGTTTAACTGGTATATGACCTTCCTCTAGGACCACTGGACTGGTAAGGAAAAAATGCCTCAAGTGAGCATGCATACAACTTCAGTAAACACATACGGCCCCTCCCAAGTGCTGGCAGGCCACTGCACATGTGGACAGCCCACTCCAAGGGAAGAATCAGGGGAGAAGGGATGCAACACCCTGCCCTACCCCAGAAGCATGCCAACATATAAAGCCCCAAGTCAAAGGCCAAACAGTGCACTTTAATTTCTCAAGTCACCTGCTTGGCCTCCTTCCAAGTGTACTTTACTTTCTTTCATTCCTGCTCTAAAACTTTTTAATAAACTTTAACTCCTGCTCTAAAACTTGCTTCAGTCTCTCACTCTGCCTTATGCCCCTTGGTCAAATTCTTGCTTCTGAGGAGGCAAGAACTGAGGTTGCTGCAGACCCATACAGATTCGCCACTGCTAACAGTACCACACTCTCCTGATTATTGTTTCTTCATAATAAGTTTTGATAACAAAAAGTGTGAATCCTTTGACTGTGTTCACCTTTTTAAAGATGGTTTTGGTTATTCTAGTTCCCTTTCAACTTCATATGAATTTTATAATCATTTTGACAATTTCTACCAAAAAATGCAGTTAAATTTTTGAAAGAGATTGCATTGAAATAATAGATCAGTTTGGGGAGTATTTCCATTTCAACAGCATTAAATCTTCTGTTCCATGAACATGGAATGTCTTTCCATTTATTTAGGTCTTCTTTAATTTTTTTTTCAATAATATTCTGTAGTTTTCAGTGTATGGTCTTGCAATTATTTTGTTAAATTTACTCCTAAGTATTTTTAATGCTATTGTAAATTGAATTGTTTCTTTGATTTAATTTTGGGGTTGTTTATTGTTAGTATATAGAAATAACACTTCATTTTGGTATGTTGACCTTTTATCCTACAAACTTTCTGAAGTTATTTGTAAGCTCTAATAGTTTTTTAGTGGCGTCCTTAGGACTTTCTATTTATAAGAGCATGCTATTTGCAATTAGAAGTCATTTTGATTCTTCTTTTCCAATCTAGATAGCTTTTATTTCTTTTTTCTTGCCTAATTGCTCTGTCTGGAACTCCCAGTCAGTTTTGTTTGTTGGTCTCATAGAGTTACCATCCTCTTTTTAGTTGTTTACTAGCAAAATCTATAGTTTTTTAGAGTTCTCTTAAGTTTGAACTCTCTCACACTGTTTCAAATAAAGTTGATTCCTTTGAAGATAACTTTAGAGTTTTATCTTCCTATGCACTGCCTCACTCCCTGGGCAAAATCTCTGATCTATCTGCTCCAAACACTGGGTGGGGGTAGTAGCCTCTGCTTTTCTCAACTGAAACCACCTCTTTAGAGTGACCTGGGGCAAAGGCTGTTAGTGCTCTAGTATTCTCAGCCTGTTAGGCCTGGGGTAAGGCTTCCACTTTACGAATGGGGGTTGTGTGGAGGAAGGCAGCTCCTGAGCCCTCAGATACCCTCACAAGGAATTTAGTCTCTGCAATTTGGATTTGGGTGGGATAAGAAATGCTGGTGTCCTGTCTCTTCCAGTGAGATACTGTATCTCTAGATTGAGAGCTGAAGGGAGAGGGAGACTGATATTTTTAATCACATCCTCCTAGAGTGGAGCTTCCATCTAGCTGAGCTGGGAGAGTGGGTCATGGCTTAAATGCCACAGACTGTCACTGCTTTTACTGAGATTTAGTAGATTTCCTTGAACACATGTTTATTTATTATGTGTCCTTAGGACATCTTCTGTAAACTTTAAATGTTTTATTTTCTAAGAAAATATTTTTAGGCCAGGCGTGGTGGCTCAACGCCTGCAATCCCAGCACTTTGGGAAGCCAAGGCGGGTGGATCACGAGGTCAGGAGATCAAGACCATCCTGGCTAACACGGCGAAACCCCGTCTCTACTAAAAATACAAAAAATTAGCCAGGCATGATGGTGGGCACCTGTAGTCCTAGCTACTTGGGAGGCTGAGGCAGGAGAATGGCATGAACCTGGGAGGCGGAGCTTGCAGTGAGCCGAGATCACGCCATTGCACTCCAGCCTGGGCGACAGAGCGAGACTCTGTTAAAAAAAAAAAAAAGAAAGAAGAAAAAAAAAGAGGCCGGGCGCGGTGGCTCACGCTTGTAATCCCAGCACTTTGGGAGGCCGAGGCGGGCGGATCACGAGGTCAGGAGATCGAGACCATCCTGGCTAACATGGTGAAACCCCGTCTCTACTAAAAATACAAAAAAATTTAGCTGGGCGTGGTGGCAGGCGCCTGTAGTCCCAGCTACTCGGGAGGCTGAGGCAGGAGAATGGCGTGAACCCGGGAGGCGGAGCTTGCAGTGAGCTGAGATTGCGCCACTGCACTCCCGCCTGGGCCACAGAGCAAGACTCCGTCTCAAAAAAAAAAAAAAAAAAAAAAGAAAGAAAATACTTTTTACTAGTTTCACTGGTGAACAGGTCCACAGAGCTCTTTGCATTGCCATCCTGCAAGCAGAATTCCCTGAGTGGTCCATCTTTTTACTTTAACCTATCTGTGTCTTTATATTCAAATTGGGTTTCTTCTAGGCAGCATATACTGTAGTTGAATTTTGCTCTTTAAACCCATCTGGCAATCTTTGTCTATTAATGGGGGCATTTAGAACCTTTACATTTAATGTGATTATTGATATATTTTGATTTACATATTCCATTTTGTTATTTGTTTTCTATTTGTCCCATCTGCTCTTTGTTCCTATTATCTTCTTTTTATTCTTTGTTTTGGATTAATGTAGTATTTTTATAATTCTATTTTATCTCCATTGCTGATTTGTTGGCTTATTTGCTGTACTTTTATGTTTGAGTAGTTGATTCAGGGTTTATACTATACATTTACAATTTATCACTCTTAAGTAATAGTATACCACTTCAAATAGAGTATAAGAAATTTATAAGTGTATAATTTTATTTCACTTCTTCCAGGTTTTTGCCTTCGTTGGAATACATTTTACTTTTACTTATGTTATAAACTCCACAATATATTATTTTTTTGCCTCAAAATGTTAATTAAATTAAATTAATTTAAAATTTATTTTAAAAATAAGAAAATGGGTGTTTTATATTTACACACATATTCATCATTTCTGGTATATATATATATATATATATATATAGAGAGAGAGAGAGAGAGAGAGAGAGAGAGAGACAGAGAGAGAGAGAGAGACAGAGAGAGAGAGAGACAGAGAGAGAGAGAGACAGAGAGAGACGGAGTCTCTCTCCATTGCCCAGGCTGGAGTGCAGTGGCATGATCTCAGCTCACTGCAACCTCTACCTCCAGGGTTCAGGCAATCCTCCTGCCTCGGCCTCCCAAGTAGCTGCACCACCACCCCCAGCTAATTTTTGTATTCTTTAGTAGAGACAGGGTTTCACCATGTTGGCCAGGCTGGTCTTGAATGCCTGACCTCAAGCAATCTGCCTGCATCGGCCTCCCAAAGTGCTGGGATTACAGGCATGAGCCACCATGCCCAGCCTCATTTCTGGCACTTTTTATTTCTTTTTGCATGCCCTAATTTCCATCTGATACAATATCATTTTCACTCTAGCTGACAGACTTTTTAAATCATTTTTTTAATGGTGCAGTTTTGCTGATAAATTCTTTTAGCTTTATAACGCTAAAAAAGTCACCATTTTGTCTTCATTATTGAAAATTATTTTATCTCTGTTTTCAATTTTAGTTTGACAATTCCTTTCTTTCACTACATTAGTGATGTTGCTCCACTGTTTTCTGGTTTCTGTTGTTTCTGAAGAGACATGTGCTGTCATTTTAATTTTTGTTCTACTTTATATAATGAGGTTTTTAAAAATCTGGCTGCTTTTAAGATTTCCTCTTTTTTACTGCTTTCAAACATTTTGATTATAATGTGACTTGGTGTGTTTTTCTTTTCTTTTTAAATTAGAGATAGGATCTCACTCTGCCATCTAGCTGGAGTGCAATGGCACTATCATCGCTCACTTCAGCTTTGAACTTCTGGGCTAAAGGGATCCTCCTGCCTCAGTCTTCCAAGTGGCTAGGAGTATAGGCGTGTTCCACCGTGCCCAGATAATTTTTTTATTTTTTATAGAGATGGGGTCTTGCTATGTTGCCCAAGCTGGTCTTGAATTCCTGGCCTCAAGCAATCCTCCCACCTTGGCCTCCCAAATTACTGGGATTACAGGCATGAGCCACCATGTCCAACAGGTGCTTTACTTTGTTTCTTGTGCTTGGGATTCATTGAGCTTCTTGGACATGTGAGTTTATGCTTTGCCTCAAATTTGGAAAAATTTCAGCTATTATTTCCAGAAATATTTTTTGTGTCCACCTCTCTTCAGCAATTCCAATAATATGTATGTTAGGCTGCTGGAAGTTGTCCTACAGTTCATCACATCATTACGTCATTCAATTTCTATCAGCTTTTGTTCCACTTTGTAAATTTCATTTAGAATACTTAAAATTTTTCATTATGTCTTCCAGTTCACTAAGCTTTTCTTCTGTGATGTCTAATCTGCTGTTAATCTTATCCAGTGCATTTTTCATTTCAGACCATGTATTTTCCATCCCTAAAAGTCCAATTTGGTCCTTTTTTATAATTTTGTGTCTCTTCTTAACATGCTAACTCATTCCTTTATCTTCTTCAATACATAGAATACATCTATGTATTGTACAACAATATAATGTACAACAATATAATAGCTGTTTTAATGTCCTTGTCAGTTAACTTTACCACCTGTGCTAGTTCTGTGTCTGTTTCTATTGATTGATTTTTCTCCTTGTTATTGGCTGTATTTTCCTCCTTGTGTGTATGCCTAATAATTTTTTATTGAATGCCAGACATTGTGACATTTACCTTGTTGGGTTTTGGGCATGGTAGCTTGCACCTGTAATCCTAGTGCTTTAGGAGGTTGAGGTGGGAGGATTGCTTGAGACTAGGAGTTTGAGACTAGACTTGACAATATAGTGAGATCCTGTCTCTAAAAAGAATTTTTTTTTTTTAATTAGCTGGGCATGGTGGGATATGCCTGTAGTCCTGGAGTGCAATGGCATGACCATAGCTCACTTCAGCTTTGAACTTCTGGGCTAAAGGGATCCTCCTTTAGCCTTCACCAAATGGCCTCCTTGGGAGGATAAGGTGGGAAGACCACTTGAGCCAAAGCAGAGCCCAAGGAGCTCAAGGTTACAGTGAGCTATGCATGTGCCACTGCACTCCAGCCTGAGTGACAGAATGAGATCCTGTCTCCAAAAAAAATCTTTTTAAATAATAATCATTCATTTACATGATTTTGGGCTTTGTCCTCAGATGCAGTTAAACTACTTAGAAACAGTTTAATCCTTCTGAGCCTTGCTTTCAAGCATTGTTAGATGGAACAAGAGCAGTATTTAGTGACAATTTGCCTCACTATGAGGTGATATGGTTTGGATGTTTGTTCCCTTCAAATCGCATGTTGAAACGTGATTCCCAGTGTTGGAAGTGGGACCTGGTGGGAGGTGGTTGAATCATGGGGGAAGATTCCTCATGAATGGTTTATCCCCTTGGTGATAAGTGAGTTCTTGCTCAGTTAGTTCACACAAGAGCTGGTTGCCGAAAAGTGTGTGGCACCTTCTCCCTCTCTCTTGCTCCCATTCTCACCATATGACATGCTGGCTACCTGTTGCCTTCTGCCATGATTGTAAGCTTCCTGAGGCCTCACCAGAAGCAGATGCCAGCACCATACTTCCTGTACAGTTGGCATAACCATGAGCCAGTTAAACCTCTTTTCTGTGTAAATCACTCAGCCTCAGATGTTTCTTTATAGCAATGTAAGTATGGCTTTACGCAGAAAATTGGTACCAAAGAGTGGGGCATTGTTAGAAAGATACCCGAAGATGTGAAAATGACTCTGGAACTGGGTAACAGGCACAGGTTGGAAGAGTTTGGATGGCTTAGAAGAAGACAGGAAGATGAAGGAAAGCTTGGAACTTCTTAAAGACTTGTTAAGTAGTCATGTCCAAAATGCTGACAGAAATATGGACAGGTCAGGCACAGTGGCTCATACCTATAATCCTAGCACGTTAGGAGGCTGAGGTGGGAGGACTGCTTGAGGTCAGGAGTTCAAGAGCAGCCTGGACAACATAGCAAGACCCTGTCTCAAAAAAAGAAAGAAAGAAAGAAAAAGAAAGAAAGAAAGAGAAAGAAAAGAAAGAAAGAGAAAGAAAAGAAAGAAAGAAATGTAGACAGTGAAGGCCAGGTTGAAGAGGTCTCAGTTGGAAATGAAGGATGTTATTGGGAACTGGAGTAAAGGTCACCTGCGTTATGCCCTAGCAAAGAGCTTGGCTGCATGGTGTCCATGTCCTAGGTATCTGTGGAAGGTTGAACTTAAGAGTGATGACTTAGGGTATCTGGCAGAAGAAATTTCTTTCTTTCTTTTTTTTTTTTTGAGACAGAATCTTGCTCTGTCGCCAGGCTGGAGTGCAGTGGCGTGATCTTGGCTCACTGCAACCTCCGCCTCCTGGGTTCAAGTGATTCTCCTGCCTCAGCCTCCCAAGTAGCTGGGACTACAGGTGCTGGCAGAAGAAATTTCTAAGCAGTAAAGCATTCAAAAATCAGCCTAGCTGCTTCTAGCAATGTGTGATCAGATATGGGAGCAAAGGAATGAGTTAAAGTTGGAACTTATATTTAAAAGGGAAGCAGAGTGTAAAAGTTTGGAAAATTTGCAGCCTAGCCATGTGGCAGACAAAGAAAAAGTTTTCTCAGTAGAGGACTATAAGAGGGCTGTGGAGTAACCATTTGCTAGAGAGACTTGGCATGACAAAAGGGGAGCCAAGTATTAATATCTAAGGCTATGGGAAAAAGACCTTGAAGGCATTTCAGAGATCTTTGTGGCAGCCTATCCCATCACAGATCCAGAGGCCTAGAAGGAAAGGGTTTGGGGGGCCAGGTCCAGGGCCCTGCTGCCCTATGCAGCCTTGGGATACTACTACCTGCATCCCTGCTGCTCCAGCTCTAGATCCAGCTGTGTCTCAAGGGGCTCCCAGTGCAGCTTGTGTTGCTGCTTCAAAGGGTGCAAGCCATAAGCCTTGGTGGTTTCTATATAATGTTAAGTCTGTAGGTGCATGGAATGTGAGAGTAAGGAAGCTTGGCAGCTTCTCTCTAGATTTTAAAGGATATATGAGAAAGCCTGGGGCAGAGCCCTCACAGAGAACCTCTGCTAGGTCAGTGCAGAGGGGAAATGTGAGTTTAGAGCCCCCCACATAAGAGGCGCCCCCACATAGAGTCTCCACTGGGCCACTGCCTAGTGGAGCTGTGAGAATGGGTAACTGTCATCCAGACCCCAGAATGGCACAGCCATGGGCAGCTTGTACCCTGAGCCTGGAAAAGTTGCAGGCACTCAACTTCGACCTGTGACAGCAGCCACAGGGGCTGTATCCTGCAAAGCTATAGGGGCAGGGCTGCCCATAGCCTTGGAAGCCCACCCCTCACACCAGTGTGCCTGGATGCAGGACATAGAGTCAAAGATTATGTTGGAGATTTAAGGGTTAATAACTGCCCTGCTGGGTTTTGGACTTGCTTGGGGCCTACTGCCCCTTTATTTTAATTTAATTTAATTTTTTTAGGCAGGATCTTACTCTGTTGCCCAGGCTGAAGTATAGTGGCACAATCATGGCTCACTGCAGCCTCAAACTCCTGGGCTCAAGCGATTCTCCTGCCTCAGCCTCCTGAGTAGCTGGGACTACAGGCATCTACTACCATGCCCAGCCCCTGTTGCCCTTTTCTTTTGGTTGATTTCTCCCTTTTGGAATGGGAATGTTTACCCAATGCCCGTACCACCATTGTATCTTGGAGGTAAATAACTTGATTTTACAGGTTTATAGGTGGAAGGAGTTGAGTCTCAGATGAGACTTGAGACGTGATTTAATGCTGAAACAAGTTAAGAGTTTAGGAAATTATTGCAAAGGCATAATTGTATTTTGAAGTGTGAGAAAGACATGAGATTTGGGGGGCCAGGGGCAGAATAATATGGTTTGGATGTTTGTGCCCTCCAAATCTCATGACGACATGTGATTCACAATGTTGGAAGTGGAGCCTGATGGGAGGTGGTTAGATCATGGGGTGGATCCCTCATGAATGGTTTAGCAACATTCCCTTGGTGATAAGTGAGTTCTTGTTCAGCTAGTTCCCAAGATATCTGGTCATTTAAAAGTGTGTGGCACCTCCCCCCTCTCTCTCTTGCTCCCACTCTCACCATGTGACATGCTGGCTCCCCGTTGCCTTCTGCCATGATTGAAAGCTTTCCTGAGGCGTCACCAGAAACTGATGCCATCACAATGTTTCCTGTGAAGCCTGCAGAACTGTGAGCCAATTAAACCTCTTTTCCCCAGCCTCAGGTATTTCTTTACAGCAATACAAGAATGGCTTAACACATGAGGTAGTATCTTTTTGAGTACTCTACCCAGAAGCCTGCATGTTATGAAGTTTTTCCCACTCTGGCAGGTGAGGAGATAAACTATTTCCATCCCTTTGTGAGTTCTGGGGTTGTTCCACCCACTCCTTTTCCGCGACTGTTTTTCCAGGCTTGGGTAGTTTCCTCACACACTTATGCTGATCAAAATTCAGCTGAAGACTCAACGGGACCCTTGGCAGATTTCCAGAACTCTCTCTCTCTGTCTCTGCAGCTCTCTCCTCTCCATGCAGCTCTCTTTCTCAGGACCTCTGCTCTGTGAATTCTAGCTGTCTTGGCCTCCGAGAATAATCAGCTCTGTTTCCTCAACTCTGGGAGAATGCTGGCCTCTGTTTGGGTTCCCTTTCCCTGCACTGATGTCTGGAAACTCTCCAGGCAGTAAATTGGGAACAATTTTAGTACTTACCTCATTTCCCCCCTTCTCTCATGTATCAATGCCTGCACTGCCTGTTGTACCATATCCTAAAACTGCTTCTTCCAATTTTTTTAGTTATTTAGAGTGGGAAGATAAATTTAGACCCCATTACTTTATCATGGAGTAGCAAGCCAGAAGTGATTCCTAGGTAAGTCTTGAATTAGGCTTGGAATGCTGTGTTCAGAGGGTTGGCAATCTTTCTCATATGACATGTATGTGTGTGACCTGTGATGAAGAGGTTGAAGGAAACTCCCCACGTTCTGTCAGTGTAAAAATTTAACAGCTGTTGCTATCATGACAGTTACCATTTATGATGATGAGGATGTATCGTGTGTAAAGTACACGACATGAGGTCATCATTTAAAGAGCACCTGCTACTAGAGGCAGAATAGAATGTTGTTTTAGGACAGGACACCTAGCATCAGAAAGCGCAGTGTGTAAATCCAGGCTTTGGTGGGATCCTGGACAAGCTGTCTAACCCCTTTGTATCTAGGTCTCCTTATTCACTGGTCTATTAATAGAAGCAGGGGTGAATGTGGGCTGTTGCAGCCACTCGAAGCGGAGAGTGCCAGGAAGGAGGTCATGATGGGTCAGCTGGGCCCAGGGGTAGAAAGTCCCTAGAACAGATGCCATCAGCATGCCCTGCCCAGCGGTGCAGAAAGAGATGGGTGTTGCTCAGGTCAGCTTTGGACATGATCCTGTAGGTAGCTGGGATGTCCCTTGAAGACAGAACCCATAGGATGGATTCTCCCAGCTCCCAGGACATGCACAGGGAGGAGTGACTCACTGAGACTGAGAGTACTTCAAATGTCTAGTCTTTCTTCAGCATGTTGTGAGGATCGAATTTCTTTCAGGGGTCTTTGCTCAGCTTTGGCTACCTTTATGACCTTTATGACAGTGGCTACCACTGTCACTGATATTGCTATGGAATAAGGCACAGCCAGGCATATGGGCAGGAGCTCTGGGGCCAGACTAGACCTGGGCATAAGTACTAGCTTTTATCCTCTGGCCCTGGTAAGCTTAAGTCAGCTGATGAACAGTGCCTCAGTTTACTCATCTGTAAAACAGTGATTAATAATAATAACAACCACCCAGGGATGTTATCAGTATTAAAGGAGTTAACTGACCATTAAAATAGAGCATCTCTGGAAAAAATAATGACAAAAGCAGCCGGGTGCAGTGGCTCATGCCTGTAATCTCGGCATTTTGGGAGGCTGAGGCTGGCAAATCACTTGAAGTCAAGAGTTCAAGGCCAGCCTGGCCAACATGGTGAAACCCTGTCTCTACTAAAAATACAAAAATTAGCTGGGTGTGGTGGCAGACGCCTGTGGTTCCAACTACTCAGGGTGGGGGTGGGGGGTGCTGAAGCAGGAGAATCGCTTGAACCCAGGAGGCAGAGGTTGCAGTGAGCCGAGATCACGCCACTGCAGTCCAGCTTGAACAATAGAGGGAGACTCCGAAAGACAAAAACAATAGTACTGGCTAATGTTTATCTCACATTTATTCTGTGCCAGGTCTTGAGAGAACTCGTGTGTGTGTGTGTGTGTGTGTGTGTGTGTATATATTTTAACCAAGGACTCACTTCACAGCCAATATAACTCTTACTGGGATCACCTTATTTACTCTTCACTACAATCTATGGGGATTGACTCTGTTTCACAGTGGAGAAGACTGAGACACACAGAAGGCAAGGGAATGATCCCCAGTCACACAGCTAATAAGAGGAGGAGAAGCTGGGATCTGCACCAGCTCCAATTTCTCTGTTTGTATTCACTCCAGAGGCTGATTGGCAGGGAACATTTAGCATACTCATTGCGCTGATCTTCCTTACATTGAGATGAGCTGGGTTCTCTTATGCACATTGTCTAGCCCCTCGGGCATGTAACTTTGATAACCCTATTCCTGGACACCCTCCAGATACCCTCACACAAAACTCCTCTGTGGTGTAGGGATTGCTTTCATCACATGACTTTGCTTTATAGTTACTCAAATAATACTCGAATATGGGCCTGGTGTAAAAGACTCCATTAGGCTGGGCACAGTGGCTCATACCTGTAATCCCAGAACTTTGGGAGGCCAAGGTGGGAGGATCACTTGAGCTCAGGAGTTAAGACCAGCTTGGGCAACATAGTGAGACCCTGTCTCTACAAAAAACTAAAAAATGGCCAGGTGTGGTGGCACACGCCTGTAGCCCCAGCTACTTGGGAGGCTGTGGTGGGAGGATCCCTAGAGCCCAGGAGATTGAGGCTGCAGTGAGCTGTGATCACACCACTGCACTCAGCCTGGGTGACACAGTGAGAGCCTGTCTCAAAAAAAGAAGAATAAAAGACTCCATTAGTACATCAGTACACGGACTACATAGGCCATCCCCTTCCTCCACATTCTCTCCCTTCCCAGCTTACCACTGGGGTGAGGATCTGGGTGTTTGCTTGTTTTCTTCAAATACATTTCTCTGTGTTTAAACACACACACACACACACACACACACACCCCAGGTCCCACTATGAACTTTTCCACATTCCCCCATTAAGAGCGTGTCCTGAAGAAGATTCCTTTGACCAGTATAGTCTGGTCCCCTCATTCTGTTCCGTGGCCAGTGACTGCTCCCTGATATAATACAAGTCTCTCATTGTTCATTTACCATCCAGTGATCACTGACTATGAATGGACATTTAGAGGTTTTCCCTGATTGTTTGCTACTATCTTCCTTGTATACTAAGCTCTGTGCTATGTGTATGTTTCTTCATTATACATTCTTTTAAGTGGAATTGCTAGGGAAAAAGAGTTCAGCCATTCAACAACCATGCAGTGAGTGCCTGCTGTGTGGTGGGCACTGGAGAGACTGAGGAAACTGGATAGGAAAATGCCCCTGCCCTCATGGATGTAACATTCTAAGGGCTTACATATAAGGATTTTTCATTTTGATAGATGCTGCTCTGATGTTATTCATCAGTGGTGCAGGAGAAGAAAAGTTTGTTGACTGGCATAGTCACACCACTCATGGGGCAGGAGCTCTGTGGCAGTGGACTCGATGCTTAGACCTTTGCTCCCTTTAAGATCTTCAGGGTCTGGTGATAAGACTTTATCTGGGTGTGTTGTTGGGGAGAGAGGGAGAAAAAGATGGGGAAGGGCTGGTCTACTAGTAATACAGTGGAGGAAGGTGGGAATAAAAGTCTACTTAGCTGTGTGGAAGAGTGGCTGGGCACAGTTAGAAATGCAGTCTTGGCCGAGTGCAGTGGCTCATGCCTGTAATCCCAGCACTTTGGGAGGCTGAGGCGGGCGGATCACCTGAGGTCAGGAGTTCTAGACCAGCCTGGCCAACATGGTAAAACCCCGTCCCTACTAAAAATACTAAAAATACAAAAATTAGCCGGGTGTGGTGGTGTGCGCCTGTAGTCTCAGCTACTCCGGAGGCTGGGGCATGAGAATCACTTGACCTGGGAGGTGGAGGTTGCAGTGAGCCGAGTTCGGCCACTGCACTGCAGCCTGGGCAACAGAGCGAGACTCCATCTCAAAAGCAAAAACAGAAAGAAAGAAGAAGAAGAAAAAAAAGAAATGAAAGTCTTGGGCCCCTCCCCAGACCCACTGAATCAGAAACTCTGAAAGGTGAGGCCCAGCAATCTGTGTTTTAACAAGCTCTCTAGGTGATTCTTGATGCACACTAAAGTTTGAGAACCATTAGAGTAATCCACAGGACCTAAGTATGAAATAGCTGGCCCCTCTTGGATCTCACCTCCTGTGAGTGTGCAGCTGGGGATGAGGCGTGGAGGATGTAACATACCATTGCGGGTACCGGAAATGAACACACCATTATGCGAGATACCATAGGGGAAGGGAGCTTCTATTTTGTAAGAATACAAATGCTGTGTGTGGAGGGACAATAAAGCCCACCCCCGCCCACCAACGAAATCAGCCCCACCTTTCGACAGTAGGGCGGGCGCGGCGGCGAGCGCCCCAGGCGGCAATCCGTCCTCCTGGTTTCCACCCAGGCCCAAGCTGACACCCATTCTCCGACTTCTCGGAGACCCCTCTAGTCCCATTTTTGGCCACGCCCGTCTCCGTTCTACAGATCTGAATAAATTAGGAACCTGCAAAGGGGCAGTCGATCGGTTGTGGGACGATCAAGGCAGGAAGGCATCAAGGACCGCTCTGGGAAGCTCACCTAGAGAGTGCGGCTCTTACAGAGTACAGCGGGATGCACTCGTAGAGCCGGGTCCCTGGGTCTTCGCGCTCGCGCACGGTCAGGCACAGTGGCTGATGGGCGGAAGTTCGTAAAGCGGAGCCTGGGCTTTAAGGACTGGATGACCAGTGGGATCCAGTCTTCAAGACTTGGACTGTTGTTCAGTATGAGGCTAAAGATGCTTCCCAAGTCACAGGCAGGGCTTAAGTGAGACCACTCGCAAGGGGTCATCTGGCGCTCAGTGCGCAGGGCTCTAAGTTTTAGGTCATCACAGATCTGACTTGCAGTGTCCCAAGCACTTCTTTCTTATGTGCCATCTCATTTAATCCCCACTAGCACCTTTGGAAGAAAGCCCTGTCACCTCTGTCGCTGATGAGGACACTGGAGCGCCAAGAAGGCAGATCCCTGGCTGGGGCCCTCCAACCAGGGTGGGGCAGAGCTGGGGCCAGATGACAATTCCCGGAGGACCGCAGTTGGGACACTCCCAGCGCTCATGCTGCCCCTGTCCCTCCCAGGGTCCCTTCTCTGTCCTCACAGACCCAGCTGGGCAGTGTCCTCCCATCTCCTGAGGTGACACTCACCCCAGCGCCTCCTTCAGGAATCCCACCCCGCCCCCTCCAGCCCTAGGCGAATTGCCCTGGACTCTCAGTCTGGGTCTGGAGTTTCATCTGGATCTGGGAGACATTTCCAGTTCTGCCCTAACAGGGATGTTGTGACAGAAACCTGTGTGGGGGCAGGAGAGATATCTGTCCTGCAAAATGGTCTGCACTTTCAGGAAGTGCAGGGAGGGTCCTGAGGGGGTCCTCTGAGGTAGGCCTAGGTGCCGGGTGAGAGGACCGAAGTGGGCGTGAGAGGGTATAACTGAGGCCCCATGACTAGGGCTGGGGTAGGGAGGTAGAGGTCCGTGGTGGAAGGGGAGCCCTGGTGGCTCACAAGGGTGGGGAGCTGGGGAGAGAGAGGAGGTGTGGCAGCTGCCAATTGGAGAGGAAGTTTGGGAGAAAGGACCAGAATGCTCAGAAGGGCCATAATGGGGGTTGCCATTGGCAGTGTGAAGGGAGGACCTCTACTCTCTCTCCAAGATCCAGTTCCCCACAGTGGGTGCTGAGAGATGGCAAAGATAACGGGGTCTAGGGGTCTCCTACTGTGTTCTGGGATTTACCCTGAAGCCCCCATGGGGCAAGATACAAAAGTCACCAGGACCAAAGGTGATCAGGGTTGGTCAGACGATGGCCATTCCTGGGAGCCAGATATGAGAGCTTACTCTCTGATCCCCTCAGTCCCAGAGGGTCCTTCCCCATCCCTGGTGTGAACCTGCCTTCCTCATGACAACAACGGTGGTGACTGCAGACTGTGGGGAACTACAAGATCCAAGGCCTCCCCATAACAGTGTTGGATGGCACAGAGATTCAGCATCACACAGCAGCCCTGAGCTGATTCTTTGTGGGTATGTGTACCAGGGTGTAGCTGGTAAGCTCTTTGTGGGTTGGTGTGTGAGGTCCTTGAGTTATTGTGAGCTGTTACCTTGAGGTAGGAATTCTCTGAGCTGGTTGGGGGTCTGTGTCCTGAGGTGTGGCATCTTTGAGCTGTTTGGTGGTTGGTGTCTAGGGTGAGAGGTCTCTGAACTGCTTGTGGGCACTGTCCTAAGGCATGAGATCTTTGAACATTTTTGTGGGAGGTCTTTGTCCAGAAGGTTAGGTCTCCGAGCTGCTCATATATCAGGATATTTTTGTGAGGAAGGCAGGATGGTCCTTTCTCTCACAGGGGTAGAACAAGGTGCCCTGGTATCAGAGAGATGAAAACATAGGATCCTTATCCTTAGGGAGGGCAAGTCCTCAGTGTAGCATGTAGGAGCCAGTGGTACAAATACTAATGACAATGTCTGCAGACATTAACCCCATCCTTGCTCAGGGCCGACCCCTGTGACAAACCCATGTAACCCATGTTAACTCAATCTGCCAAATTGCCAATGAGGAGCTCACCATTTGCAGATGAGGAGGCTGAAGCCAAGTGAGGGTAGGGCCTGTGCTCACACAGTCCTCATGAAGAGGGAGGAACTGGCTGTAACTTGGACTCACTGGAGGAGACAGGGAAAGGCTCAGGCACAGCCGGGGTCAATGGGAGATGACAAGGAAAGGGGAAAGGAAGAGGTTTGCCCAGGGCCTCAAGGGCCCCATCACTGACTCACTGGTGGGAGGTCTGCCTCTCTGTCTCTCTGTCGCACACCCTGCTTGGTAATGGATGTTGAGAATGCAATCCTCACGTTACCTGTGGAAGTGGTGGCATGAGGTAAAGAGTGGGGAAATACCACAGATTCATCCATTGGCATGAGGTCCACCAGCAAATGTAGAGATTCCTACCTCTTCTTCCCCCTTGAAAGAATTTTTTTCAGGCCAGGCATGGTGGCTCACGCCTGTAATCCCAGCACTTTTGGGAGGCCGAGGCAGGCAGATGGCTTGAGCCCAGGAGTTCAAAACCAGCTTGGGCAACATGGCAAAACCCTGTCTTTACAAAACATATAAAAAAAAATCAGGCCGGGCATGGTGGCTCATGCCTGTAATCCCAGCACTTTGAGAGGCCAAGGCAGGTGGATCACTTGAGGCTAGGAGTTTGAGACCAGCCTGTCCAACCTGGCGAAACCCTGTCTCTACTAAAAATACAAAAATTAGCCGGGCATGGTGGTGCATGCCTGTAATCCCAGCTACTCGGGAGGCTGAGGCATGAGAATCGCTTGAGCCCAGGAGGTGGAGGTTGCAGTGAGCCGAGATCACACCACTGCACTCAGCCTCGGTGACAGAGGGAAACTCTGTCTCAAAGAAACCAAAACCAAAACAAAAAAATCAGCTGGGCATGGTGGCGTGCACCTATAGTCCCAGCTACTTGGGAGGCTGAGGTAGGAGGATTGCTTGAGCCCAGGAGGTTGAGGCTGCGGTGAGCCGTGATTGTGCCACTGCACTACAGCCTGGGTGACAGAGCAAGACTCTGTCTCAAAAAAAAAAAAAAAAAAAAAGAATTTTTTCAGCACTGAGAGTCAGCAGGACGGCAGTCAAGGGCTGGAGGGGGTATGGGGGATTCTGTATACAGCATGAGCCTCCCCATAACTGGAACGTGTCCTTATCCTGATGGGTAGAGGGTCCCAATGTGTGTCAAGGAAGTGGGGCGGGTCTTCCCTCATGACTGAGGCCCAGGCCAAGGGCAGGTGAGTCAGTCCCTAGACACAGTTTCTGGGGAGAGGCTTCCTTTCCTCTGCAGACACAGGCACAGCACCTAGTAGCATGCATAGGGGTCCGGAGCTGTGGATCTAATTCAGCAGGGACAGCCAGCTGCCAGAAGTAGTCTCTCTGCCCTTGTCTCTCTATTACTCTCTTTCTTTCCCTCTATCTTCTCTGTGTCTGTTACTTTCTCTCTCAGACATGGGGCTAGGTGTGACCTCACTCATGCTATCAGGGCCCTTGATCAGCTTCTTCTAAGGGTATCATCCTCTGACATGGATTTTTCTGGGGAGCAGTTGGGAGGATACCTTCTGAGTCTAAGGGATTGTCCAGGAAAGGCATATTTGGCTGCAGAGGGGCTGGAGGAGTCCCTCGGCAAAACCAGGAGCTCTTCCCTATACTTTGAGTGACCTGGGCCTCTGGCCTCTGAAAGAAGCATAGGAGCTTCTCTGCTAAAAACTTTCCCATGGCTCGCTCAGAGTAAGTCAAAGTCCTTGCCATGGCCCAGAAGGTCCTGTATAATCTGGTCCTCATTACCTTTCTGAGCTCATCTCCCACCTCTTCCAGCAACACTGGCCTCCTCACTGTGCCTCACACATGCTAGGCAGAGTTCCACCTCAACACTTTTGCACTGGTTCTTATCTCTGCCCAGAATGCTTCTCTCAGATATTCATCTCCTATTGAAATGTCAATTTCACGTTCTCAGAAAGATCTTCCTTGGCTACTCTTTCTAGATAGGATCCTCCCCTCTTCTATTTCACTACCCTGACTTTTCATTACAGCAATTACCACCACCTGACAAATTACATGCTTACATTTTTGTGCCATATGATCCCAATAGAATGTAAGCTCCACGAGGGCAGGAGTTTTTGTCTCTTTCCACACAGCTGTATTCCTAACACCTATAACAGTGCCTGGCACATACTTTGGACAGAATGAATAAATTAGCAAATGAATAAACCAATGCAAAATTCTGGTGAGAGATATAGCTAGACAGGTTGAGGATTCTGCTAGGGCACATATTCAGGTGTGACAGGATTTATTTGGCCTACTCATTCTCCTTGGGGGCCCCTGAGAGATGGCCCTTTCCCTAACAGAGCTTGAAGGTCCTGCTGTCCCTCTCACCCATTACTGACAGTCAAGGACAGACACCTGGCCCGCATCAGGCCTTCTGAGCCCAGTCAGGAGTTCCATCCCTCCTGCCCCTTGGGGGACTGTGGCTGGGTTCCCAGGCCAGCAGGCCCCCCATTAGATCTATTCTGCATTACCCAGGGAGGGACAAGTGAGCACAATGCCCAGCACGTGGTAAACGTTTGATGGTGGACGCTGCAGGAAGGTAATGGAAGTCTGCTGCTTAGGAACACTTTTCTCCTGTTCAAGATTGCAGTGAGTATACAGTCAGTTTTTGTCCTGACTTTGCCCTCTCACCCTCTGGGGACCAGCCCGGAATGGTCCATGGGTATCTGCATCCACTAGCTGTTCCTTGTTTGCACCACCAAGGGGCGCGCGGGATGGAACAGTTCTATCCTGGGATGTACCACTGAGGGGCGCAGAGGAAGGACAGTCCACTCCGCCTGTCCATTTTGGAATAATCCCTTGTGTGCGACAGCACTAAGGGTCTCTTTAAACCCACGTGTAGCATCCGCCACAGTTCCTGCCCCGTTAGGTCCGTCCCTACTCGCACCACTCGGTTCTCCCAGCCTGTTCGAGGCATCATTTTCACTTTACCTCCACCCCCTCGTTTCTACATAGTCAAATCCCGCTGGGGACCGCAAAGGGGCAAGCGATTGGCTCCAAGATGTGAAGGGCGGGGTCGAGGGCCGTCCCGGGAGGTGATTGGTTACTGCGAGAGTGCCCCGACTAAGCTTTTCCGGGGCGCGGAGTGGCTCCGGATGGACCGGCTAGCCCCTGCCTCCCTCTTCGCATCTCTGGTTCCCATTGGCCTTCAGTTTGTGACAGGCACGACGATTGCGGAGCTGAAGTTCAGGCAGCGGGAGCGAGGAGGGTGTGTGGCTTTTGATACAGTAGAGTTCTTTGGCCTACTCACCAACTGACAGTCCCAAAGGGGCTGGAGATGCCACCCCGGCAAAGTTCGCCCTAGTCATTTGCTTCACGTGAGCTCTTTCAGTCTTGTTTATCCTTAACTCGGTGACAAGCCTAGTCTGGCGCTTTTGGCACGGCACCATCGTTCCTCCCGCTACACTCAATTAATGTCCAGGGAGCGGTCTCTGAGCTTGTTTGGTGTTTGCCTAGGAAGTAATGCGGGTGAAGCAGTTTCGGGGATGTGTATCTTTAGGCATGACATCTCAGATGCTGTTTGGGTGTATTTGATCACTCTGGGCCGTTTGGGGTCCAGATTGTGTCTGAATGGGATATTTTATCTCAGTGGATTTTGTGTGCCTATGTGTCTGGATATGCCTTCTTTTCTTTTCTCTTGTTTGTTTTCAGAGTCTCACTCTGTCGCCCAGGCTGGAGTGCAGTGGCTGATCATGGCTCACTGCAGCCTCATACTCCTAGGCTCAAGCTATCCTCCCGCCTCAGCCTCCCGAGTAGCTGCGACTATAGGTGCTCACCACCATGCCCGGCTAAGTTTTTTATTTTTTATTTTGTAGATATGGAGTCTCGCTATGTTGATCAGGCTGTTTTTGAACTCCTGGCCTCAAGTGATCCTCCCACCTCGGTCTCCCAAAGTGCTGGGATTACAGACATGAGCCACCACGCCTGGCCTGGGTGTGCATCTTCTGAGCTTTTTGGACATTTGTGTCCCTGGGTGTGAGAGCTCTATGTAGGTGTCTGCACCCCAGGATGTGAAGTCTCTGAGCTGTTTGCAATTCTGGGTCCCAAGTTGTGATGTTTCCCAGCTGGTGTTGGTGAGGACAATTTTGCTTAAGGTATAAAGTATCTGAGCTGTTTGGAGGAGGGAGGGGTCTCTGCCCAGAATGTAGGTTCTCTGATTTGTCTGGGGACTTTATCTTAAGATTATGTGATGTTTCTGAGCTACTTGAACTTCTGTTTCTGTTTTGTATTAGGTTGGGAGGTGTCTGAGTGGTTTGGGGGGGGTCTCTGTCTAGGGTGTGAGATATCTGAATGGTTTTAATTTGTTTCCCAGGAGTGAGAACTTTGGTCTGTTGTGTGTGGGGGTCTTTGTCACAGCATGTGTGGTCTCTGTTCTGTTTGGGGGTCTGTGTCAAGTTGTGGGGTCTCTGTGCAGGGATTTTGGAGTCTGTTTCAGGTTGTGAGATTAGTGAGCTCTTTTTGATGTCTTTGAGTATCTGAGCTGTTTGGGAGTCTGTGTCTCAGGAGTGAAATTTCTTACCTTTTTGGCTGTGAGGTCTCGGTCCAGGAACTATGGGTTTTGGAGGCTGGCAGACATGATTTCAAAGCCTGGAGCCCCCAAGTCTTGATTGTGTGACATTGGGCAAGTCACTTGTCTCCTTGAACCTCAGTATGTATCATAATCAGTAAAATGGGGCCAATATCCATCTTGGAGGGCATCTGTGCATCTTAGCAATGTGTGTAAAGGGCCCCACTCCAGCCATCCTTCAACAAGAATTTCCTGAGCGTCTGCTGTATATTTGAGTACTGTTCTAGGTTCTGCAGATACAACAGAGACCAAAACCAACAACATCCCTGATAGCATAGAGTTGGTCAGTAAATATATAGCACATCACAGTGTGGTAAGTGCTACGTAGAAAGTTAAGACAGTGGCTGACGCAGTGGCTCATGCCTGTAATCCCAGCACTTTGGTAGGCCGAGGCGGGCAGATCACCTGGGGTTGGGAGTTCGAAACCAGCCTGGCCAACATGATGAAACCCCGTCTCTACTGAAAATACAAAAATTAGCCAGGCGTGGTGGCAGACACCTATAATCCCAGCTACTTGGGAGGCTGAGGCATGAGAATTGCTTGAACCCGGGAGGCGGAGTTTGCAGTGAGCCAAAATCGCGCCACTGCACTCCAGCCTGGGTGACAGAGTGAGATTTTGTCTCAAAAAAAAAAAAAAAAAAAAAAAAGAAAGTTAAGACAGGGTCAGGTAAATGGGTAAGTGGGCAGGATGTTATTTTATTCAGGGTGTGTGGGGAAGGCATCCCTGGAGAGGTGATGACTGAGCAGAGACCTGGAGGCAGTGAGGAGCAGGCCTTGCAATTACCTGAGGGAAGAGCATTCCAGGCAGAAGGAACAGCAAGTGCAACAGCCCTGGAGCAGGGGAAGCACCTGGTGGGTCTGGGATCTCAAGGATGTGTGATGGTAAAGAAAGGCTCATCCAAGGTTTTGACATGTGGCACTCATTGACAGGTGCCTGGTGTCCCCATCTCTATTTCTCCCACAACCTGAGAGGGAGATGGGGTTCTCCCATGTCACAGATGAAGGACCTGAGGCTCAGAGAAGTGCCCTGAGCCTGCTCTCCTGCTCACACCTGAAATTCCTAAAAGAGGGATGACCTCCTATTGTGCCACGGGAGACACAGGGCTTGAGCCCACAGCTGGAGGGAAGGTGCCATCCACACTGAAAGTCAGCCAGCCAGCCAGTAGAAATTATTTATGATAATACAGGAACCATGGCCAGCATGACATTTCTACTTCCAGTGGGAAGGCAGGACTTTAGGAATGAGAAAGGAACTGGGATGGAAGAGAGAGGCAGAAGGGGAAGGTGGGGGACAGTGAGGAAAAACACACTGATTGAGAAGGGACCCTGGGGACTTCTGGGATGGTGATCGACCTTGAACTATATGGTTGTTACATGAACGTGCAGCTTATTGCTTGTCATTAAAACATACACTTAACGTTTTATACACTCTCAGGCAAAAAAAAAAAAAAAGACTCACAAGTGAAGCAGAGTGCTGTGGGAAGTGGGAGTCGCGTGAGTGTCCCTGACTCCTGCACACAGGCTCGCAGTGCCCTGGCCTGCTGGTGTGGACCACACAGCATAGGCGGCCTCCTTCCTGCAGAACCTCCCCTGGGCTCCAGGTCTTGCCTTCTATCCTGGAGGCTCCAGAGGCTCCCTCAGGCCTGTTTGTGGAGATTGTCTGGTGGGAAATCCTCTATCCTGTGCTCCTGACGCCAGCCATGGAGCAGGAACACCACCTCTCAGGGGATAGACAGGATCTGCCCATTTTGTCCTCAGATGTTGGGGTCCATCTCCCCTCAGGCCTCATTTACACCCACAATAGCCCAGGACATGTGGGCTTTGGGGCCTGGCAGGCTTCATAGAAGCCTGGAACCCCAAGCCCTGGTGGTGTGACTTTGGGCAAGTCACCTGTCCTTGACCAGCCTCAGTTCCCCATTCATAAAGGAGGCTAATGCCCGCCAAGCAGGGTAGGTGCAGGTTTTGGGGAAAACATGTGTACTGCCCTCCTCCCGAGCCCATGTTAGATGGGTCTAGTAGTTGAGGCAGGGTAGGAGCAGGGGCTGGAGTGACATTGGCAGGGACTAAATTGCCCCGGATCAGACGGTGGGCAAGTGGCTTCAGCTCTCTCTGCCTCCCTTTGCTCGTCTGTCATCAGGGTACTAACTTTCCCTCCTCACAGGGTTATGTGAAGGAGAGGTGAGACAACTGGTCAGTCACCGAGAGCAGTGCCGGGCACAGGGCAAGGCTGAGTACAGGCCCACTGTCATCTCCCTGGCTGGAATAGGTTCTAGCAATAATGACATGGATGTGTTTGGGGGGCCACTATTCTGCCTACCACTTACCCTCTTCCTTGGCAAGCCTTGATGGTAACTGTCATTGTCCCCATACTGGGGCCACAGAGGTAGACAGATGGACCTTAGCCTCCAAGAGAGTGAGTGCCCACCCTGTAGAGGAGAACAGCATGTCGCAGGCAGTTCACAGAGTGATGCCTTTTATATCACTATTGTGATGGTTAGTTTTAGGTGTCTGCTTGATGGGGTTAAGAAAAACCCAAATAGCTGGCAAACCATTATCTCTGGGTGTGTCTGTGAGGGTGTTTCTGGCCTTTGAATCAGTGAACCGATGGAGGAAGATTGGCGTGGGTGGGCATTGTCCGATCCCTCGAGGGCACAGGTACAACAAGAAGGCGGAGGAAAGGGGAATTTGCTGTCTTCTGGAGTTGGGACACCCCGTCTTCTCCTGCCTTTGGACATAAGAACTCCGGGTTTTCAAGCCTTCAGACTCCATGAATTATGCCTCTGGCTCTGCTGGTTCTCAGGCCTTTGGACTCAAACTGAATCACACCATCCACCTCCCTGGCTCTCCAGCTTGCAGATGGAGATGGCAGGACTTCTCAGCCCCCACAGTCACATGAGCCAATTCCCATAACAAGTCCCCTCTTTGGTTCTGTTTCTTGGGAGAACCCTGACTAATACAACCATTCATACCAATACTATCGGTATTCACCTCACCGTGATTCTGTACCAGACACTGGCTGACCACCTAACATGAATCATGCTTTTCTCACCCAACTCCGTGACTGTCAACTCTACTTCTATCACCCATTCACAGGTGAGGGCCTTCTGTATTCTCATCAGCCCCAGCTCCGAGCACAGTCCTTTGCCGAGGCCTTCCTGGTCCTCCTCTTCCTCCTCCTCCTTCTGACCAGGGCCAGCATCTTTTCTTTTCTTTTCTTTTCTTTTCTTTTCTTTTCTTTTCTTTTCTTTTCTTTTCTTTCTTTTCTTTTCTTTTCTTGACAGTCTCACTCTATCGCCCACTCTGGAGTGCAGTGGAGCGATCTCGGCTCACTGCAACCTGCACCTCCCAGGTTCAAGCGATTCTCCTGCCTCAGTCTCCAGAGTAGCTGGGATTACAGGTGCACGCCAACATGCATGGCTAATTTTTGTATTTTTAGTAGAGATGGGGTTTTGCCATGATGGCCGGGCTGGACTTGAACTCCTGACCTCAAGTGATCCACCCGCCTTGGCCTCCCAAAATGCTGGGATTACAGGCATGAGCCACCGTACCTGGCCAGAGCTAGCATCTTAGTCTCACAGTGGCCCCTGCTCATTCTGTCCTCAGCCCTCAGCCCTGCTGTCACCCACCCACATCCTACAACCCCTCCACTTCCTCTTCTCCGTGTCTGTTGTCCAGGGTGGGACCAAGTCCAAACCTGAGCTTCCTGCTAAGTCAAAGTGACCTTTTCCTTTCAGTCAGGGAAGCCTGACTGAAGCCTGTGGTCCCACGGTGAGGTCTTGGTGTCTCCAGGCACAGTGCAGCCACGTTGCAGTGATATCCACCTTTGCCAGCAGGGGGCATCTCATCTCCAAGACCGGGAAAGCCTCAGAGAAGACAGAGGAACAGTCTTAAACATTCACTCCTGGTGGGGTCAGAGGCCTCAGGGTGCATGAGCTCCAGGCTGGGTGTCTCTTGGAGCCTCCCTCTCTGCATGTGGACAGGTAGGGGCAGCCTAGGGCCAGGTTTTAGTGCTGTTGGGGTCATCTGCAGATGGCTTTTCACTCCTTCCTACTTCTTCTCCTTGTACCAGAAGCTCATTTCCATGGCTAAAGGAAAATTCTCATATAATTTTGTCTTCCTTTTCTTATTTAATGATTGCATTATATGCTTTCTTCTACAAGATGCACTGGCTCTGAGGCAGGTCAGGCTATAGGTTGGCGAGTCCTGAGGGCACCAGCCTGGATCCTGAAGATACTGGGGGCAGGCTCCAACAGAGCCTGGGGCTCAGGAAAAGGCCACCAACCCCCCAGCCAGATCCTGGCCAGCTGCCGGCTCCGCCTCCACCCTGTCCTCTCCCAGGGCCTGAACTCTGGGTCTAGAAGCTCCAGGCCTGGTGGTTTGGGGAGACAGGGACCAGGAGGATCCCTCAGAAGAGGAGGCAGCAGACAATCTCCATACAGCTTGAGGGGGTGCACAGCTGTGGGGTGAGGCACGGCCCACCCAGCACAGGCCCACTGACCTGCTGTGCAGCTGCAGGCCCAGCTGCTGCCCTCTACGACACTCAGTCTCCTCACCTGCGCAGTGAGCATCATTATACCCCCAACATGCAGGGGATGCTCATGAATGGAGGGGAGCTGAGGCGTTAATAAAGCAGATTTGGCCCAAGAGGAGGAGGAGTGGGTCAGGGTTGGTGGGGAAGGACAGATGCGGCCACCTCAGGGACAGCCAGGGGCTGCCTTCCTGGAAGTGCTCAGGACAGTCAGGCGAGGGAAGTTCTGAGGTTGTGAGCAGAACCATGGTCTGGGGACCAGGTGAGATTTTCTCTATAGTGTTCTGGGGTGGCCACCTGCTTTGTCACTGTTCCTTCCTGTTGTCGTCATCTCTGCCTATGGGTGCCCCGAGACGAGCCCAGTGAGCTCACTGTGAGTTACTGCGACCCACATGCAGTCATTAGAGCCATGCGTCATCATCACAACAGCCACCAGGTTAACACTTGGGTAATTTATCCAAATAATGACTCACCTGTTCTGACCTGATTTGGATTATATGCCATCATTTATTGTAGCCATAGTTTATTCAGTCATTCTCCTATTGGATCGTTAATTAGTGTTTGATTTACTTTTTGACCATCCAGACCTGTGATGAGAATTCTTGTACATGCAATGATGTTCATAGAGTAACCCTACTTGTAATAGCTAAAAACTGGAAACAACCCAACTACACACCAATAAGAAGTTGCATAAATAAATTCTGCCAGATTCACACTATGAATTACTGCACAGCTATGAGAAGGAATGAGCTAGACCATACAGAGACATAACATTAGGTGACTGAAGCCAGATATAAAAGAGGATATGCTATGTGATTCCCTTTCTACATGGCTCAAAAGCAAATAACAATAGTGTTTAGGCATACATATGTCTGTATTATAACAGTTTTACAGAAAGCAAGGATTCTAACCTGTCTGGTGGGCAAATTTTCTTAATTTTTGAAATTATACAGTAAAATGGACACTTGAGGTATAGTTCTGTGAATTTGAACACCTGTATAGATAGATATAACCACCATCACAGTCAGTATCCAGAACATATGCATCACCCCAAAGAACTTCCTGGGTTCCTTGTGCTGCCCTTGTATAGTCACTTCCTTCTCCCACCCCTAAGCGCTGGCACCCACGGATCTGTTCTCTTATCACTATACTATTGTCTTTTCCAGGATATCATAGAAATGGAATAATACAGCCTGTAGTCTTTTGAGACTGGCTTCTTCACTCAGCATAGTCTCTTTTCTTTTCTTTTCCTTTCTTTTCTTTTCTTTTCTTTTTTTTTTTTGAGACAGAGTCTTGCTCTGTTGCCCAGGCTGGAGTGCAGTGGCGTGATCTCGGCTCACTGCAACCTCCATCTCCCGGGTTCAAGCGATTCTATTCTCCTGCCTCAGCCTCCTGAGTAGCTGGGATTACAGGCACGCACCACCATGCCTTGCCAATATTTGTATTTTTAGTAGAGACGGGGTTTCACCATGTTGGCCAGGGTTGTCTCGAACTTCTGATCCGCCCGCCTCGGCCTCCCAAAGTGCTGGGATTATAGGCATGAGCCACTGCGCTCGACCCCTTGAGTTTCATTCAAATCGTTGAATATATCAATAGTTCCTTCTTTTTTTCTGAATAATATTCCATTGTATGTGTGTAGCAGATCTTGTTTATCCATGCACCCATTGAAGGACATTTGGGTCATTTCTAGTTTGGTACAATTATGAATAGAGCTGCCATAAACATTTGTGCATGGATTTTTGTGTAAACATAAATTTTCCTTCTTCTAGGATAAATATCCTGGATGTCCAATGTTTCCAACACCATTTGTTGAAAAGACTGTTCTCTTTCTGTTGAACTATCCACAAAAATAAGGCAAATAGATTTTTTTTTTTTTTTTTGAGACAGGGTCTTACTCTCTCACCCAGGCTAGAGTGCAGTGCCACAATCACGGTTTGCTGCACCCTTGGCCTCTCAGGCTCAAGCAATCCTCAGCCTCCTGAGTAGCTGGGACTACAGGTGTACACCAGCACACTCGGCTAAGTTTTCTTATTTTTTGCAGAGATGGGGTCTCACTCTGTCACTCAGGCTGGAGTGCAGTGGCATGATCATGACTCACTGCAGCCTCGACCTTCTGGGCTCAAGCCATCCTGCCTCGGCTTCCCAAAGTTCAAAGTCATTTTGACTGTTGTAGCTCCTTTCCCTTTCCACATAAATTTTAGAATCAGTTTGTATCTATAAAAGATCCTGCTGGGAATTTCATTGGAATTGCATGAAATCTGTACATCAATTTGGGGACATCATTCCTATAATGAGTCTGTAATCCATGAGTACAGTACGTCCCTCTCTTTATTTAATTGTTCCTTTATTTCTTTCATTAGCTTCTGATGGTTTTTAGCATACGGCTCCTGCACATGTTTTGTTAGGTTTTCAGGGGCAGCTATTGTAAATGGTATTGTATATTTTTAAAAATGTTCCAAGCAGTTCATTGCTAGTCTATAGAAGTGCTTTGCTTTTTGTTGTTGTTGAACATATATCCTATAATGTTGCTTAACTCCCTTGTTCATTCGAGAAGTATTTTTTATAAATCTGACAAGATTTTCTATGTAGATTATAATAATGTCTGTGAGTTGGAGTAGTTGTAGTCCCTCCTTTCCAATCTGTAAGCCATTTATTTCTTTTTCTTTCCTTTTTAAGCTGGTTGGAACTTTCAGTACAATATTGAATAACAGGGGTGAGAATGAGCAACCTTGTTTGGTTCCTGATGTTATGGAGAAAGCAGTTAGTCTTTATTAAGTATAATATAAGGTGTAGGATTTTTTTAGTTGCTCCATATCAAGTTAAGCAAGCCTCCTTCTAATTCTGGTTTGCTGTTTTTTTTTTCTTTAATTATGAATGACTGTTGAATTTTGTCAAAGGCTTTATCTGTATCAACTGTTGTGACCATGTGGTTGGAGTTTGCAGTTTTTTTTCGGTATATTAATATGGTAGATTGCATTGACACATTTTTGAATATTGAACCAGCTTTGCATTCCCAAGATAAATCCCACTTGGTCTTGGTGCATTATCCTTTTTATATATTATTGGATTTAATATTAACCAAATGTTTTCTTGATAATATTTTGTTGAGAATTTTCTGAATCTATGTTCATGAGGGAGATTACACTATAGTTGGTTTTTTCTTAATGCTGTCTTTGTCTGATTTTGGTGTCAGTGTAATGCTGATCTTATAACATGATTTGGTAAATATTTCAACCATCAATTCCATGTTTTTTTTTTCTGCAGTGATTTTATTTTTTTATTTTATTTTTTTAATTTTATTATTATTATACTTTAAGTTTAGGGAAGTCAGTGTGGCGATTCCTCAGGGATCTAGAACTAGAAATACCATTTGACCCAGCCATCCCATTACTGGGTATATACCCAAAGGATTATAAATCATGCTGCTACAAAGACACATGCACATGTATGTTTGTTGTGGCACTATTCACAATAGCAAAGACTTGGAACCAACCCAAATGTCCAACAATGATAGACTGGATTAAGAAAATTCCATCTTTTAATAGATGGAATCTATTTAGATGATTGGTTTATTTTATTATTGGTTTATTTTATTATTATTATTATTTTTTTTTAGTAGAGACAGAGTTTTGCCATGTTGTACAGGCTGGTCTTGAACTCCTGACCTCAAGTGATCCACCCACCTTGGCTTCCCAAGGTGCTGGGATTACAGGCATGAGCCACCACAGCTGGCCAATGATCTATTTTTGAGTAAGTTTTGGTGGTTTGTGTCTTTCAAACAATTGTTCCATTTTCATCTAAGTTGCTTAATGTATATGCATTCATATATTTGTGAATTAGTATTCATTAGTTATTCATAGTATCCTTTTCATTTTTGTGGGGTCTCTAACTTGTATTAAAGTTTTCAAAGAACGAGCTTTTGGGCCATTGATTTTGTCTGTTCTTTTTTTTGTTTTCAGTCTTATCGATTTCAGCTCCAATCTTTATTTCCCTCATTCTGCTTACTTTGGGTTTATTTTTATTTTCTTTTTCTAGTTTCTTAAGGTGGAAAGTTTCATAATGGGTTTGGGTCCTTTATTTTTTCCAATATGATAATGTAATGGTATAAATTTACTCCCTAGCACTGATTTAGCTGCATCCTGCAAATTTTAATATGTTGTATTTTCATCTTCATTCAGTTTAAAATATTTTCTAATTTCCCTTGTATTGCTCCTTGACCCATGGATTACTTAGAAGTATATGGATTGTTTAATTTCTAAGTTTGGAGATTTTCCTGTTTACTTTCTCTTATTCCTTGTTTTTTTTTTTTCCTATTTTGATCAGAGAACATGCTCTGTATGATTTCAATTATTTTACATTTGGGAAGATTTATTTTGTGACCCAAGATATGGGCTATTTTGGTGAAGTGTCCATATGTACTAGAAAAGAATGTATATCCTCATGTTGTTATGTAGATGGTTCTGTAAATGTAAATACAATTCAGTGGGTAAATGGTGTCATTCAGTTCTTCTATATCCTTGCTAATTTTCTTTCAACTATTTCTATATATTACTGAGAGAGAATTGAAATCTCCAACTATAATTATAAATTTGTTCATCTTTTCCTCTATGTGTGATTTTGCTTTTGTGTTTTTTTTTTTGTTTTTGTTTTTTGTTTTTTGAGACAGAGTCTCACTCTGTCACCCAGGCTGGAGTGCAGTGGTGCAATCTCAGCTCACTGCAACCTCCGCCTCCCAGGTTCAAGCGATTCTCCTGCCTCAGCCTCCTGAGTAGCTGGGATTACAGGCATGTGCCACCACACCTGGCTAATTTTTGTATTTTTTAGTACAGATGGGGTTTCATCCTGTTGGCCAGGCTGGTCTCAAACTCCTGACCTCAGGTGATCCACCTGCCTCGGCCTCCCAAAGTTCTGGGATTACAGGCGCGAACCACTGTGCCCAGCCTGCTTTTGTGTTTCGAAGGTCTGTTGTTCGGTGCTGGCAGAAAAGGGTTAATAATATAGGAAGCCTGAGACTTCCCTTAGAAGGGCCTGCTTACCATGTTGGCCCTTGCCAGGCATCAGGGAACTTGGATTTGGGAAGGATTCCCATGATTCCCTTACTCTGCCTAAACTGTTTGTACAAAATATAGTTTATGCTGCATAGGTGCTTTCATTCTGGAAGTCTGGAATCTTGGCACATGCTAGGCAGAGGGTGCCTGTGTGACCAGCCCCCAGTAAAAGTCTTCAACACTGAATCTCTAGTGAGCTGCTCTGGTAGAAAATATGTCACATCACACATGTCACAATTGATTTCTGGAGGAACGAATTCTGTGACTTTCCTAAAAAAGGACTCCTGGAAACTTGGGCTGGTTTCCTCGGGACATTGCCCCATACACTTTTTTTTTTGTGCTGATATTGCCGTATACTTCCATTGTAATGAATCTTCACCAACATGAGTCCAGCTATATGCTGACTGTGAGTCCTGTGCGTCCTCCCAGCAAATAATCGAAAATGGGAGTGGTCTTGGGGACCCCTGACACAGTTGTGACAGTGGTGGGATTTGCCAGAATGAGCCTGACTCACTAAAATATGGTGAAAGCCTTGTTTAAGTAAAGAAAGGATGAAGGAGTAATGGGTGATGAACCTTTTGTGCTCGGGCGATTATGGCCTCACACACGCTGTGAAACAGCAGCTAGCTGTTGTCTCTTGTGAGAGGTAAATGTTACTTACAGAATTTAAAAAGAACACATCCAACTCTTGGAGACTTGGATCACTGCATTCCTTGGCGTCTTTTGCCATGCCGGAGATTGTGGGGTGGGAGCACAGCCAGGTCAAATTTTGGTTTTTGTCCTCTCTTCCAAACAAAAGAAAGGGACTGGGAATTCACAAAAGTAATGCTGGGGTGGATGAAAAATGTTAAAAATTTGGGTTTCTCTCTCCTCCAGGTGGGAGGGAAAAAATTATATCAGTTCTCTGGGCTGGAGCAAAGCTTAGATAAACCAAAGGGAACAAAAAGAAAAATTTCTCCAGCCTTTTCTTCAGCTTTGCTGCTGCTACTGCAGCCCCTCCCAGCCTTCCAGACAGAATCTCCCCTGGCAGCTATGATGTTAACCCTATAATTGCAATGAAAGCCAAAAAAAGGAATTAAAAATAGCTTTTTTTTTTGTTTTATGGCTGCTGCATCTGGATGTATGATAAAATTGATGTGAAATGCTATATACTTATAATGTAATAAATGCTAGAGGGACCATCCCCTTCAGGGAAGGCTGGAGGGGAAATATTTTTTCTTTTTTATTTTGAGACGGTCTCACTCTGTTGCCTAGGCTGCAGTGCAGTGGTGCAATCATGGCTCACTGTAGCCTCGACCTTCTGGGTTCAAGCAATCCTCCCATCTCAGCCTCACGAGTACCTGAGATCACAGGCATGTGCCAGGATGCCAGGCTAATTTTCTTATCTTTTTGTAGAGATGGAGTTTCTCTGTGTTGTCTAGGCTGGTCTTTAATTCCTGGGCTCAATCTGCCTTATGTTAGTCATTTCCAGTGAACCTGTAAAGGGCCAAAGCCCTCAGCTCCTACACAACAAAGGACTAATAGCCTGGCTTTGCTTCCCTAACTTTTCTCCTGGTGTACACACCTTGGTAAGGCACTTTGACCATTCAATGCAGAGCTGTCACCAGCAAAGCATTGAACTTTTCCAGCCTGCTCGTGAAATAAATGATAGAGACAAAAGGGATAAGAAGTTATGCAAACCTACATAAATTTATTTTTAAATCTGGAATTTCATCCTGATCAGTTTCTGAACATGATGTGTATTATTGGTTGATTTATTAAAATTTTTTTCTCTGAAAATTCTTTTTTCCCTCTTGCATATGACCATTTCAGAGAAAAGATCTAGAGGACGGTAGATGATAAGTAAAGAAATGGGAAGGTCTTTTTTTTTTAAGAGATACTTGGTTTTATTTAAAGTATATATTGAATTACATTGAGTGTCTTTATAGTATCTATTGAGATTATTATTTTTTACTTTAACTGATTAATATATCGTTACTTACATTAATTGACTTTCTTTTTTAAAATTATTTATTTATTTATTTTTGAGATGGAGTCTCACTCTATCACCCAGTCTGGAGTGCAGTGGCTTGATCTTGGTTCACTATAACCTCCGCCTTCCAGGCTCAAGCGATTCTCCCACCTCAGCCTCTCGAGTAGCTGGGATTACAGGTGCTCATCACCATGCCCAGCTAATTTTTGTATTTTTAGTAGACATGGGGTTTCACCATGTTGGCCAGGCTGGTCTTGAACTCCTGACATCAAGTGATCCACCCACCTTGGCCTTCCAAAGTGCTGAGATTACAGGCATGAGCCACCACGCCCAGCCTTTTAAAAAATATAAGTTTTTAAAAATTTTATTTATTTTTTGAGATGGGTTCTGCTATGTTGGCCAGGTTGGTCTTGAACTCTTGGCCTCAAGCAGTCCTCCTTCCTAGGCCTTCCAAAGTGCTGGGATTACAGGCATGATCCACTGAGATGATATCTCATTGTAGTTTTGATTTGTAAGAAGTGGAAAGTTTTGATTTCAGATTAGTACACACTGGTTTTCTAACAATGAAGAAAACACAAAACCTGACATGTGGAAAGAGTCAAGCCAGAGAGAGGGGACATTAGTGATCTCTGGTTTTCAAATGGTTCATGAAAACCTTCCCCTTTTCCTGAAAAAAAAAAAAAGCTCCTCATTCAGCCTTCCTAAATTTCTGTGAGTATGTTGAAATCATACTGACTGCCGAGTGCACAATTACACCTGACAGAGCTGCAACTAGGGGACAGTAGGGGCAACCCAGCTCCTGAGCATCCCATGCAGAACATCTACAGATGTCATCCATGCTTGTGAAGAGGAGGAACTGGTGTCAATGGTTAACAGAACCTGGACTGACTGCCTTCTGTCAGTCCCTCAGAAACCAAGAACACAAATGAGTTGTTTGGATGGACGAGGAACCCTAGAGGGAAAAGTCCCACAGTGGGAAGCCACACTGGGGGCCTTGGCCAGCTCCTGCCTGACTAATGTATGTCCTGCTGGGGGTGCCCTAACAAGGGTAAAGTCTTGGTGTCCAGGGGTACCACGTGTGCCTTCTGGGATTGTACTTGCATGTGCGCCCTGACTATTCCATCACTGCCTCATCCCTGGAAGGCATTCATGTCAGCTTCAGTTTCCTGTCCAGATTGGTGCTGAGCCTGAAATGGAGACTTGGGCTGGACAAAAAAAGGTTCATACACAATCTTAGTTAGGAAGTCACCTGCCTTTCTAAGATAGACCTTCATGGTTACTGGGATTTGTATTAGTTGGCTGTGATGGTAAACTTGATGTGTCAACTTGGCTTGGCCACAGTACACAGGTATTTGTTGAAACACCAGACTAGGTGTCTCTGTGAAGGTGTTTTTTAAGATGAGACTAACATTAAAATCAGTAGACTTTGAGTAATGCAAATTATACTCCATGATGTGGCTGGGCCTCATTCAATCACTTGAAAGTCTTAAAGAAAAAAAAAAAGACTGGGATCCCCCCATGAAGAAAAAATTCTGCCTCGAGACTGCCCTTGGATTCGAGCTACATTACCTCTTCCCTGGGTCTCCAGCCTGACATTCTGCTCTGCACAATTTAGACTTGCCAGCCCCCACAGCCTCTCTCTCTCTCTCTCCCTCTACACACACACACACACACACACACACACACACACACACACACACACACACACACACACACACACACACAGAGGAACCCTAACCAAAAGGCTGCTTACATCTGGGACCCTTAAAGGGCATAGCTGAGATCAGTACTTTGGTCTCACTCTGTTGCATGGCTCCTAAGGCAGAGGCCTCTGGCATTCTCCTCCCACCCTCTGCAGACTGCCAGCCATGGGGCTCATCACTGTGACTCAGCGTTTGGTCATCCAACCATGTAGAGATCACTACAATTCCATAAGTGTTCCCTGCCCTCTTTCTGTCTGTGAGGTCCTCTATCCCATCCTGAGGACTCAGGGATCTACTGGGCATGTTTCCAACCTTCCAGGAGAGACCACAGAGCCTGGTGAGGGAAATACACCTGCAAAGAGAAGTTCAGTTTAGTAACAGCAATGGGCATAGCCGGTGTGTTCACCAACTAATGAGAGATCACACTACCAACATCTCCCGCTTGATTTTCCCCATCAACTAACAGCTTATCATGGAAATGATCCCTTTGGTAGGTAAGTTGGATTCCCCTCATTGTTTCCCCCAGGCATGCAGCACTACAAAGCAAATTGATACTGGTATGTTGTGTCAGAGTGGAATCCAAGAATGGAATGCCCTGCAGTGATGTGATTTCTAAAGCAGTCAATAAGTCTTTGTAAGTTTCCAGGTGAAGCAACATACAAGCCCCGGCCCCCGCCACCCAGTTTACAGGGAAGTGATATATATGGAAAAAAATCCAGTTTATTTAAGACTCTGGAAAAAGTTGTTTGCCTCCCTGTAACCTTCACTCCACAAATGCCAGTAGCCGCTTCCAATAATTTGAACACCCAAAGCTGCCCTTGGAAATTTCCAAAATGCCCCAAAATGGGCGATGATATTCTGACTACAAACCACAAGTTTAGGATTTAAAAGAAGAATCCTAGAACTTCTTAATAACATCAAAAGTTTAGGAATGTTGCAGTCGGTACAGAGGAAACAGCACAGTAACATGGAGAAGGACACAATGTTCCCCAGGAGGGGTTGCGGGAACCTTGTTCCTCTGTGTTGCTTTCTTGTGATAAGAAAGTGTTTCAGTGCCAGCTGGGGTGTGTGGTGAAGCTTCATTTCAAAGGTCAACCACTGCCATGGGACATTGATGCTCAGGATGGTTCTGTGGTAGTCATGGCTCTGGGATCCTGGGACTGGTGTCCTTCTTCTCAGTGAGGACAGCCCTCTCCAGGCTGTGACATAGGAGGAACAGGCCAGGCTAGGTCGTCAGGCTGCCAGGGACAGGTGTGTGCTGTGGGAGAAGGAGAAGGACAGCTGGAGGGAGGAGAGGGGAGACGAACTCCTTAGGTGAGGGGCAGGTGTCTGTTGGTGAAGGGAAGACATTGGTCCTAAGTCCTGACATTGCTCTAGGCTCCCGTTGAAGGAAATGACGGTGCAAGAAGGAAACCAAGGCTGGTGGGAGGGGGACAACAGCTTGCATCTCCTCCCATCCTATGTGTTCAGTGGTCCCTGAGAGGAGCCCATACCATTTTGGGATCTAAAAGGTCATTTCCTGGGACCCCTTCATTCACTGCCCATGAAGAGAAGGGATTTGAGATAAACTGAGGCCTTCAAGGAGAAAGGCCAGTAGGAGTTGTGAGGCCTTCTCAAAAGTCCCTCTGCCCTACCCTTACGGTGAGTCTCACACTGCGCTCATCTTGTCCTGTGTTACTTTGCTCTGAGGTTGCTCTTCTGAACCTCATGTCTGTCCTGGGAATATTTTTCTGGGTATATTGCAGACAGTCTTGCTACCAAAGGGATTTAATAAGGTTTCTGAAAGTTCCCTAGGCTGGCCAGCAAAGTTCCCTTGGACTACATGAGACTCACTGGGTGTGAGTTCTGGAATCTGCACTTTTAAAAGATCCTAGGTTCTAACTTTCATGGAAACGTGTCTGAGCAATACTAGAGCAGGAGAATAGTCTCCTTTCCCAGTGACACAGCTTCTTTCTCCTTTGTGAAGGTATGGAAGGGATAGGTTTGATGTGTTCTCTGATGTACAAACCCAAGACCTTCAGCTGAGGAGACCGACACTGACGTGCTGCCTGTTATGGTAATGACACACTCAGGGCACCATCTCCAAATGATACCCAGACCAGTCCTTTCAAGTCTCCATCTCTTAAAGATTTCTGAAGAAATCAAATATCTATTGCCTGTGCAGTCCCATGCTATAAAATTCTAAATATTTTGCAGTAGCTTTTGGATCTTACTCTTGATTGCACTAATATGCAGCACAGTAGAGTTTTCGCGATGCCCGTGGCTCTTGGTTCCAGCACTCACTGCTGGGTGACCCTGAGAAAGTTCCTTAACATCTCTGTGCTTCCTTTCTCCATTAGTACCATGGAAATACTACTAGTAATGTCATCTACTTCTTGGGGCAGTTTAGAGCACTGACTGTGTGAAGACATGTACAGTTGTCTGGACAGTCCCTGGCATATGGTCAGTTTCCAATAAATTCTAAGCTGTTATTGTTGCTGTTCCCGCATTTCCCTGGGGCATGTTCTGGAGAGACAGATGTCAAGTCTACTTTTGACCCCTTGGATGATGTTTAGATTATCTCTTCAGCTCTTCTGGGACTCAAGGTCTGAGTCTGTGGGGCAGGGGGAGGGCACATTTTATTAGCATAATGAATATTCAGCTTTCCTTACAGGGTATCGTGGAGCCTAAATGCAATGCTGGAGTTTCATCATCATGAGCTTGTATGGAAAATTTGAATGGAAATTTCTCTAGGAAATTAGAACTCTAGTGACCTCTTCATGTAACTTGTATAATGCTTGGACAAGCAAGTGGTCACTGGATAATGATAGCACAAAAGCATATAAATTTTTAGAAATAATTTAAAGAGTGAAATTTAAAGGTCAAAAATTATTATCATATGGATTATTCTATTGCTATTAGTTCTATTAAGTCCAACTCTCCTCCATCAAATTGTGAAGATCTGAATCTGATGGAGATATGAAGCTGTTAGCAGTTGAATTTTTATTAGTGGTATTTTATTTTTTGTATAGTATTCACCTCGTCTGTTGTATCTTGTGTTGATTACTTCTACCATTAATGTTTATTGTTGGCTAGGCATGATGGCTCACACCTATAATCCTAGAATCTTAGGAGGCCAAGGCAGGAGGATTGCTTGGGCCCAGGAGTTCGAGATCATCCTGGGCAATGTAGTGAGACCTTGTCTCTACAAGAATAAAAAAATAAGCTGGGCATGGTGGTTCATGCCTGTATTCCCAGCTACTCAGGGGTCTGAGGTGGGAGGATTACTTGAGCCCAGGAAGTCAAGGCTGCAGTGAACCATGATCATACCACTACACTCTGGCCTGGGCAATGGGAGTGAGACCCTGTCTCAAAAAAGTAAATTCATTTTTGATCTAAGGAAAGACTTATGGTACTAATGTTTTCTGAGCTAAATCATGAGAAGATGGTATCAATTTATTCAGATCCAGAGTCAGAGGAAATGGGCAATGGGGGAAGAGAGTGGAGTGTGGAGGGGAAGTGAAGGTGTGCGGGGCAGGGAGAGAGGTCTAGGGCAGACAGGGGCAAGGAATAATGGGGAAGAGCAGAAAGCAGAAGTTCAGAGATGTGAGAATAAAAACTCATACTTCTGGATACTTACTCTGGGCCAGATGTTTTTAGTGCACTCTCTCTCTTCATTTATATATATACGTATCAAGATATATATATATATATATATATGTGTGTGTGTGTGTGTGTATATATATGTATATATGTATATGTATATATGTGTGTGTATATATATATGTGTGTGTGTATATATATATATATGTATAGTGCCACAGGCATCGTGAAAACTCTACTGTCCCTGCCCTTGCAGGCAATGTGACTTTTGGCAAGTTCCTTAGTCTCTTAACCTATGTGTCTCAGTTTCCTATTCTGTAATAAGGGATGATAACATTAGCAACACACTAAGTGACTGTTATTATATATACATATTTATATAATGTAAAAATATAGTCATATTTCGATAATACAGGGTGATGAGTCAATACCAGGAAAGCACAAAGATGGTCTCTGTTCCATATCAAGCTTTCTGTATGTGTTTGCTACCATGGATGTTAGCAGCAACATCCTTGTCACTGTCATTATGGGAAATAGCTTTGGTATAATATTAAACAAAACAACAGATGCAGTATTATAAACACACTACTTGTTCTCCAATCTCATAATTTTAAAAAACATGCATAGAAAAAAGCCTGTAAGGGAATGCACCACATTTGAAGTGTTGCTCTCTAAGTGGGAAACTCAATCATTTTGAAATAACATTCCTTTCACTGTTTTACTTGCGTTTTCTTCCTTATTATTACTCAGCCACTGTTTCTCTAATAATTTTTTTTTTTGAGATGGAGTCCTGATCTGTCGCCCGGGCTGGAGTGCAGTGGCACGATCTTGTTTCACTGTAACCTCTGCTTCCCAGGTTCAAGCAGTTTTCCTGCCTCAGCCTCCCGAGTAGCTGGCATTACAGGTATGCACCACTATGCCTGGCTAATTTTTGTATTTTTAGTAGAGACCAGGTTTCACCATGTTGGCCAGGTTTGTCTCGAACTCCTGACCTCATGATCCGCCCGACTCAGCCTCCCAAAGTGCTGGGATTACAGGCGTGAGCCACCGCACCTGGCCAATAATTTTTAAAATAGATGTTCTGAAGACTCATTCTTTTAGGTATCTTGAGGATTAGGGGTAAAAGGTGTTTTGATATCCTTATCAGGAGGCAAACCAGTCAGTGACCCTCGGGGGCAGCATTTAAAACAGAAGGAAGGTTTGGGGTAGGGTAGAGAGGGGCAGTGGGGGAGGCAGGGTGGTGTGGATGGAAAGTTAGCTGAAGACCCCCAGGCATCCTGAAAAATGCCACAGTGGGTACATGTTGAAAGAAACCAAAACACCCGCATGTCCATAAGAGGAGGCTGCTGTGCTATCGAGATGGAGATCTTTATGACGTCTCCTTAGACCTTTCCTCTCCTTCGGCTCCAGTGGCGCAATTTGGCAGCACATGGCCCTGGCAAGGCGCTGCTGCTGGTGAGCTGTGCTGAGGTCAAGGCCCGGCCCACCTGCAGCATCATCACTTCAGAGACTGGCCTGGGGCACCTGTCTTGGTATCTGGAAGCCTACAGTTTCAGATCAGGGAAACGGAGAAAACACATAGTGCAATAGTTAGACTCAACGCTCCCCCAGTGACGCCATCAGTGCAAAGCGAGAGGCACATATAGGTTGTTGTGGTCATTAGTTTGGGATGAGCAGGGCTGGGTTGGGTCATTCCCTGAAAGAGGAATTGGGGGAGTGAATGCCAGTGTGATCTATTACATTACTAGTGCACAAGTGGCTAAGCTTCTGTTTCCTAAGTTTGTTTTTCTGCTAAGACAATGGCGTGCTCCGTTACTGTGGTGAGAAGCTGCCCTGGCCTGAGGTGTGTGCGGGAATGACTGCACCTACTGATGAGCATTCTGAAGATTCGCCAAAAGCTGTGACAAGGGGGCACTGCCCGCATAAAGCTATGAAGGCCCCTGGCTCTTAGCACCCACAGACCCAGAAAGCTCTTCAGCCTGGCTGTGCATCATGCCGTGGCATCTTTGAGGCCACGGGAAGCTTTGAGGCCACCCTCGAGCTAAAGTTCTGGTGCCCTTCAGCCTCCTAATGCAGGTCAGGTGGCTTCCCAGAAGCTGCCCACTGATCTGAATCAGTGCCAAGGGAATGTGTGTGTGTGTGTGTGTGTGTGTGTGTGTGTGTGTGTGTGTATGTGTTTAACAGAGAGGGAGGGCGCACCTGAAATAGTGAGAGAAATCGACCAGGGCTTGCTCTGTCTTGCTTCTGACCTGAGGAGCTAACTGCCTTTGCTCATTCCCGCACGTAGGCCAAGCTAACTATGGGAGGAATTTAGTGTAGGGTTTAACTTCAAAGCAAAGACGATAATAGTCCCTTTCGGAACCCAGCCCCGAGGAGATGAGAAGGGTGTACACACAAGCAGCAATGTTGTGTGAAAGGTTTATGGGAGCACTGTGACCTGACCAAGGACAAAGATGTTTTGCAACCTCCCTGGGCTCCCGTTGACACCTAGATGTCTGTGGTCACCATTCTCCTCCTGACCTCACCCTTTCCTGATTCTCCCTTGCCTGTAAAAAGAAGCTTGAGATTCATGCCCCTTAAGATGGCTCCATAGGTCATTAGTCCATCATCGTCTTGGCTTGCTGGCTGTCTGAAATAAAGTCACTTTTCTCTGCCCAGGAGGTGGAGGTTGCAGTGAGCCATGATCAGGGCACTGCACTCCAGCCTGGGCAATATAGTGAGACCCTGTCTCAAAAAAAAACTTAATTTGTTGAACAGTCATTTGCCAAGCCTCAACTATGTTCTAGGTACTGTGCTGAGTGTCTGGGACATACAATAAAAAAAGACACATCCCCGCCCTCATGGAGTTTATGTCAAATTGTAGGATAATGGTCAATCTACTGATCCCACACAAAAAATGCAAAAATTCCTGCCAGACTTCAAGTAATGTCCTACCACTTCATGTACACTGTGAGACTCTTACAGCTGTATACTTCCATTTCCTTTCTCCCCAGCCTTCTGCTATTGTTGTCTTACATTATATGTCTACCTATGTCAGAGCCCCACAATACATTGTTACTATTTGACAGTCAATTTTCTTTTAAAGAGATTAGCTACAAGAAAAAAGTCTTGACTGAGCATGGCGGCTCATGCCTGTAATCCTGGCACTTTGGGAGGCTGAGGCAGGAGGATTGCTTGAGCCCAGAGGTTTGAGAGAAGCCTGGGCAACATAGGGAGACCTTTTTTCTAAATAAGAAACTTTAAAAGTTTTTAAAAAATCAGCCGGGCCCCGTGGCTCATGCCTATAATCCCAGCAGTTTGGGAGGTCGAGGTGGGTGGTTTGCCTGAGCTCAGGAGTTCATGACCAGGCTGGGCAACATGGTGAAACCCCGTCTCTACTAAAACACAAAAAAATTAGCCAGGCGTGGCGGCGTGCACCTGTAGTCACAGCTACTTAGGAGGCTGAGGCAGGAGAATCCCTTGAACCTGGAAGGCGGAGGTTGCAGTGAGCAGAGATCGTGCCACTGCACTCCAGCCTGGGCGACAGACGGAAACTCCGTCTCCAAAAAATAAAATCTTGTACTTTCCCACAATTGTTCCGTGTCCAGTACTGTGAAGTTCTGTGTGTAGATCCAAATTTCCTTCTATTTTCCTTCTGACCCAAGAACTTCCTTTAACATGGTTTGTAGGACAAATCTGTTGACAGTGACTTTTCTCCCCATTTTTGTTTGTTTACCTGTTTGTGTAAACATGTTTATGTCACATTCATTAAAAAAAATTGTGCTGATTAGAAAGTTCTGGGTTGCACAGATTCTGATGAGAAGTCTGATGGATGACTTTAAATTTGTTCCTCTGTATGTAGTGTGTCTTCCTTTCTTTTTCTGCCAGAGCATTGGTGTTGGGGTTTGAATCAATCTTTTCAGTAGCTGAACTGGACTTCAGTTGTGTTGTTGCTGTAGTTATTTTCTCTCTTTTTTTTTGCAGCAGCTATAAATGTGAATTTATTTTTTTTTAATTTTTTAATTTTTATTTATTATACTTTAAGTTCTAGGGTACATGTGCACAACATGCAGGTTTGTTACATAGGTATACATGCACCATGTTGGTGTGCTGCATCCATTAACTCGTCATTTACATTAGGTGTATCTCCTAATGCTATCCCTCCCTCCTCCCTCCCACCCCATGACAGGCCCCGGTGTGTGATGATCCCCTTCCTGTGTCCAAGTGTTCTCATTGTTCAATTCCTACCTATGAGTGAGAACATGCGGTGTTTGGTTTTTTGTCCTTGTGATAGTTTGCGGAGAATGATGGTTTCCAGCTTCATCCATGTCCCTACAAAGGACATGAACTCATCCTTTTTTATGGCTGCATAGTATTCCATGGTGTATATGTGCCACATTTTCTTAATCCAATCTATCATTGATGGACATTTTGGTTGGTTCCAAGTCTTTGCTATTGTGAATAGTGCCGCAATAAACATACATGTGCATGTGTCTTTATAGCAGCATGATTTATAATCCTTTGGGTATATACCCAGTAATGGGATGGCTGGGTCAAATGGTATTTCTAGTTGTAGATCCTTGAGGAATCACCACACTGTCTTCCACAATGGTTGAACTAGTTTCCAGTCCCACCAACAGTGTAAAAGTGTTCCTATTTCTCCACATCCTCTCCAGCACCTGTTGTTTCCTGACTTTTTAATGATTGCCATTCTAACTGGTGTGAGATGGTATCTCATTGTGGTTTTGATTTGCATTTCTCTGATGGCTGCCTAAATGTCTTCTTTTGAGAAGACTTTTTGAGAAGTCTTTTGAGAAGACTTTGCCCACTTTTTGATGGGGTTGTTTGTTTTTTTCTTGTAAATTTGTTTGAGTTCTTTGTAGATTCTGGATATTAGCCCTTTGTCAGATGAGTAGATTGCAAAAATTTTCTCCCATTCTGTAGGCTGCCTATTCACGCTGATGGTAGTTTCTTTTGCTGTGCAGAAGCTCTTGAGTTTAATTAGATCCCATTTGTCAATTTTGGCTTTTGTTGCCATTGCTTTTGGTGTTTTAGACATGAAGTCCTTGCCCATGCCTATGTCCTGAAAGGTATTGCCTAGGTTTTCTTCTAGGGTTTTAATGGTTTTAGGTCTAACATTTAAGTCTTTAATCCATCTTGAATTAATTTTTGTATAAGGTGTAAGGAAGGGATCCAGTTTCAGCTTTCTGCATATGGCTAGCCAGTTTTCCCAGCACCATTTATTCAATAGGGAATCCTTTCCCCATTTCTTGTTTTTGTCAGGTTTGTCAAAGATCAGATGGTTGTAGATGTGTGGTATTATTTCTGAGGGCTCTGTTCTGTTCCATTGGTCTATATCTCTGTTTTGGTACCAGTACCATGCTGTTTTGGTTACTATAGCCTTGTAGTATATATAGTTTGAAGTCAGGTAGCGTGATGCCTCCAGATTTGTTCTTTTGGCTTAGGGTTGTCTTGGCAATGCAGGCCCTTTTTTGGTTCCATATGAACTTTAAAGTAGTTTTTTCCAATTCTGTGAAGAAAGTCATTGGTAGCTTGATGGGGATGGCATTGATTCTATAAATTACCTTGGGCAGTATGGCCATTTTCACGATATTGACTCTTCCTATCCATGAGCATGGAATGTTCTTCCATTTGTTTGTGTCCTCTTTTATTTCGTTGAGCAGTGGTTTGTAGTTCTCCTTGAAGAGGTCCTTCACATCCCTTGTAAGTTGGATTCCTAGATATTTTATTCTCTTTGAAGCAATTGTGGATGGGAGTTCACTCATGATTTGGCTCTCTGTCTGTCTGCTATTGGTGTATAAGAATGCTTGTGATTTTTGCACATTGATTTTTGTATCCTGAGACTTTGCTGATGTTGCTTATCAGCTTAAGGAGATTTTGGGCTGAGACGATGGGGTTTTCTAAATATACAATCATGTCATCTGCAAATAGGGACAATTTGACTTCCTCTTTTCCTAATTGAATACCCTTTATTTCTTTCTCCTGCCTGGTTGCCCTGGCCAGAACTTCCGACACTATGTTGAATAGGAGTGGTGAGAGAGGGCATCCCTGTCTTGTGCCAGTTTTCAAAGGGAATGCTTCCAGGTTTTGCCCATTCAGTATGATATTGGCTGTGGGTTTGTCATAAATAGCTCTTATTATTTTGAGATACGTCCCGTCAATACCTAATTTATTGAGAGTTTTTAGCATGAAGGCTGTTGAATTTTGTCAAAGGCCTTTTCTGCATCTATTGAGATAATCATGTGGTTTTTGTGTTTGGTTCTGTTTATATGCTGGATTACATTTATTGACTTTCGTATGTTAAACCAGCCTTGCATCCCAGGGATGAAGCCCACTTGATCGTGGTGGATAAGCTTTTTGATGTGCTGCTGGATTCGGTTTGCCAGTATTTTACTGAGGATTTTTGCATCAATGTTCATCAGGGATATTGGTCTAAAAGCTGTAGATATTTTCAATATAACACAATACCTCAGATTCAGGGTACAAGATATCAGTATGCAAAAATCAATTGTATTACTTCTTTGTTTTTATTTGATAAATTGGCATAATAATTGTACATATACATGGGGCAAGTAGTGATATTTCCATACATATGATGTATGGTGATCAAAGCAGAGTAATTAGCATATGGATTGTCTCAAACATTCATCATTTCTTTGTGTTGGGAATATTCAATGTCCTCCTAACTATTTGAAACTATATAATATATTATTTGTTTACTTTTTCAAAACAGAGTCTCACTCTGTCACCCAGGCTGGAGTGCAGTGGCACGATCTCAGCTCACTGCAACCTCCGCTTCCCAAGCTCAAGCGGTTCTCCTGTCTCAGGATCCCGAGTAGCTGGGATTACAGGCAACCACCACCACGCCTGGCTAATTTTTGTATTTTTAGTAGAGACGGTGTTTTGCCATGTCGACCAGGCTGGTCTCAAACTCCTGACCTCAGATGATCCGCCCGCCTCAGTCTCCCTAAGTGCTGGGATTACAGGTGTGAGCCACCATGCCCGGCCTATATAATATATTATCGTTCATTATAGTTATCCCACAATGCTGTGGAACACTATAACTTACTTCTCCTATCAAACTGTAATTTTGTATCCTTTAACAAATCTCTCTCTATCTCCACCACCCCTTACCCTTTCCAGCCTCTAGTATCCTCTGTTCTACTTTTTATTTCTATGAGATTAGCATTTTTTAGCTTCCACATATGAATGACAACATGTGGTGTTTAAGTCTCTGTTCCTGGCTTATTTCACTTAACATAAAGTCCTCCACTTCCACCCAAGATTGCTCAGAATGACAGAATTTCATTCCTTTTTAGGGCTGAAAAGTATTGCATTGTGTACGTGTACCACATTTTCTTCATCCGTTCATCTAGACTGATTCCATAGCATGGCTATTGTGCATAGTGCTATAATCAATGTGGGAGTGCAGATGTCTCTTTGATATGCTGATTTCCTATCCCTTGAATAAATGCCCAGTAGTGGGATTGCTGGATCATATGGTGGTTCTATTGTAGTTTTTGGAGGAACCTCCCTTCTGTTCTCCATAGTGTCTCTACTAGTTTAAATTCTCACCAATAGGGTATGACAGTTCCCTTTTCTCTGCATCCTTGCCAGTGTTTGTTATTTTTCGTCTTTTTGAGAATAGGCATTCTAGCTGAGTGAGATTGCCAGCATTTGTTTGTTTGTTTGTTTGTTTTGTCTTTTTGATAACAGGTATTGTAACTGTGTGAGACGATAACTCATTGTGGTTTTACTGTTATTTCTTTTCTTTTCTGGAGACAGGGTCTCACTATGTTGCCCAGGCTGGTCTTGAAGTCCTGAGCTCAAGCAGTCCTCCTCCCTTGGCTTCCTAAGTAGCTGGGACTACAGGCCTGCTCCATCCCAGCCAGCTCTCATTGTGGTTTTGATTTGCATTTCCCTGATGATTAGCGATGCTGAACATTTTTTCATACATTTCTTGGCCATTTGTAGGTCTTCCTTTGAGAAACATCTATTCAGATAATTTCCCTATTTGAGCTTGGATGGGTTTTTTGGCTGTTGAGATGTTTGACTTCCTTGTATATCATGGTTATTAACACCCTGTCTAATGAATAGTTTGCAAATCTTTTCAATCTTTTGTAAATAAACAAATACGGGATTTTATTTTTTTAATTATATTTTTTTGAGACAGGATTGTGCTCTGTCACCCAGGTTGGAGTGCGGTGGCGCGATCAAGGCTCACTGCAGCCTCAACCTCCCAGGCCCAAACCTTCCTCCCACCTCAGCCTCCTGAGTACCTGGGATTCCAGGTGCTCACAACCCTGCCCAGCTCATTTTTAATTTTTTTTTGTAAAGACAGGGTCTCGCTATGTTGCCCAGACTGGTCTTGAACTCCTGGCCTCAACTGATCCTCCCACTTCAGCCTCTGAAGAGCTGGGATTACAGGAGTGAGCCATCGTGCCCAGCCTAAATATGGGATTTTAGGCATTAAGCAGGGACAGGTGTTTGGGTGAGCGTAGCTAAGAGCTGGGTTCTTCAGTCAGAGAGCATCCCACCAGGCATTGATTAAGCCCGGACTGTGTTCAGAGCGCTGGAGGAAATGCTGAAGATGCGACACTGGGCTCCTGTGGTCCTGCGGGAGTGCACGTCCACCAGGGAATCAGAGATGGGCCACTGAGTGTGTCCGCCAGGAGGATCAGGCCTACCGGCCAGGCCCACCTGGGCCTCAGTCCCCGAATTCCACAGCCTTACAGCTGTTTTCATCCATGAGCAAATAGCCCTGCCCTAGGGCTGGTCTAGAGGAGATGGGGCAGGGAGATGTCTGGGCTCCTTCCGTTTGCACAAAGCCCTGCAAGAAGCATGGATACCCTCGTGTGCTGTCTCTTGTAAAGCAGAATCAGGCATTTAGAGGTAGGGAGTGGGGTCGGGGGGACGGGTCTCTCATGGCACAGGGAGGATAACTGGGGAGGGACAGCAGCACCCCTCAGTGTCAGCTCTTGGTCTGTGCCACGGATCCTCAGCACAGCACGGCCAGCTACTTCAGGCTCCACTTTAGCTGCCTCTGCTTCACTCCCTTGCGAAAGATCTGCAGGTGCCCTTCTGTTCAGGGCCACAGAGGGCAGAGAGAAGCCAGGTGGCCGCCGTGCCTCCTGAGTGCACTTGCCCAGGAGGCTGAAGCAGACTTGCTCAGGGCGGATGAAGAGGGTGTGGACAAGCAGTCCCAAGGTTGGGGGAAGCTTCCAGCACTTTCGTAAGCAGCACAGGTTCATGCTCTTATTCCACCGGGGCAGAGACACCCCTTCCCCACACCAGGACAGCAGCACCTCAGCAGGAGGGCAGCTGGGGCCTTAGGGGCACAGGGTTCCACCTCATGATGGCATGAACCCTCCAAACCTAGAATGGATCCCCATTTTGATGGGTAAAGGGCTCCCCTGTGTGCCTGGGCCAGCTCCTGCCCTCCTGGATGTGGCCTAGGCCCAGAAACAGCCTCTGAGGGCAGAAACCGGGGTCTCCCTTCGCCTGGAAAACAAAAGGTTACTCGGCTGCCTGGGCCCGGGTCCTGAGATCGAGGCTAACTCCGTGAGGACAGAAGGTGTCCAGAAATGCTCTCCCTAATCCTCAATCCCTCCCCCACCTCATTGCTCCCTTTGACTCTGTCTGTCTCTGTCTCCCTGTGTCTCCATGTCTGCCTCATGAGCCTGGGTGATCTCTTGCTGTGACTGCATCTGACACGTGTCCTGTACCAAGTGACTTTTTAGGTGTCTCCAACGCAAGATGTCATTCTGCTGAGCTTTTTCAGGCTCTGTGCCCAGATTCTGAGGCCTCTGACCAATTTGGAGGGTAGCGTCCCAGGTCGGCAGGTCTCTGAGCTGTGGAGGGCTTGTGTCTGGGGTGACAGTCCTCTGGGCTGATCAGGGTTCTCTCCCAGCATGTGAGGTGTCTGATCTGCTTTAGGTATTGTGTCTAGAATGCAAGGCATGGGAGCAGTTCTGATTTCAGGAAGTAGGGTTTGAGCTCTCCCGAGTGTCTGTGTCAATGATAGGACACAATAGCGCCCCTTGGGGCTCCATATCCTAGGTTGTGAGAACACTGAGGTTATTCCAAACTCACGAAAGGTGTCTGATCCTTTTGGGGTCCTGCGTCCTGAGTGTGTCCTCCCTACCCGGTTATGAGTCTGCACCGCAGGGGTTGAGGCTGCTGACATGTTGAGGAGTTGCTGTGTCTCAGGTTGTAAACTCTGTGCTGTGTGGGAATGGTGTGTCCCACACTCTGAGGTCTCCTAGGTGTTTGTTGCAGGGAACATTGTGCCCAAGGCCTCTGTGTTCCCTGTCCCGGTCCCCTCAACTGTTTCTGTGTCCGCATCTCAGGGTGTGCGCACTGTGGTTTTGTGGGCTTCTGGGTCCGGGCTGTGAGGTCCGTGAGGTAATCCGTTTTCTACATCACAGGTTCTAAAGTTGCTCACACGCACGTGGGTCTGAATTTTAGAATCTGATGTCTCTGAGCAGGTTTAGTGTCTGTGTCCTCCTTCACTGAGTTCTTGGAGGGGTCTGAGTTCTGCGAACTGTTCAGTGTTGTGTGTCCAGGGTTGAGGTCTCTGAGCTGCTTGTTCCTGGGTTGTTGTCTGGGTTTTCTATGTCACTGGGGTCTCTTGGGCTTTGTGACCCAGCCTGTGAGGTCCCTGAGGTATCTGAGAGTGTGTGTGTCCAGGATAGGACGTTTCAGAGCTGGTAGGAGATGTATGTTTTGGAGGGAGGCCTGTTCTGTCTTTGGTTCCGTGTTCCAGGGATTGAAACGTCTGAGCTCTTTGGGAGATCATCTCAAGCATGAGAGACACTGTCACATAGCAAAGTTCAGACATGAGTTGTTTGTGACCTTCTCCTGATATTTGGGTCTCACCCTGTACAGTCAGTGAGAGGTTGTCTTGAGTTGACTTTCCCAGACTCGTCCACTCCAGCCTGCCACAGCCACGCTTACTTATCTAGACCCCTGAGTTTACACGGCCAGCTTCCTTCACAGCTGCCCCTGGGGTTGGAGTCATGCGACTGCTTTGAGAGTCACAGGTCCCCCTCAGCACCACTTGTGGAGATCTCACTGTGCGGAGGAGTTTCTTCTGTGTCTCTGATAAAAGACACAGAGCAGGGACCCTCTCTCTCAGCGATGAACAGGACCTGCCCATGTGTTCCTGGGTCGTGTGGTCTGTCTCCTGCAAGATGTCACTGACACCCAGAAAATAACCTGGACACAACATCCCTCTTGCAGCTCTCCCAGAACACATGCATCAAACCCGGGATCCCCTGTGCCCTGGTGGGATGGCAGGAGTCTCTAGCTGTTTGGATCATCTTCCCAAACCTTAACTTCACCTTTACATGATGAGGATCTACAGAGCGGCATCTCAGCCCTTTCCTGCAAACGCACGGTGCTTCTGAATGCAGAATTCGGGGCTAGGGAAGGGAGGGGACACAGGTAGATGCCATCTGTGGTCAGGGGGAGGTGTGGGCCCGAGACCGTCTCAGCTGAAATGTAGGAGTAATGGGCACAGACCATTCAAGAGAAATGTGTGTTGGGCTGAAGAAAGTAGAAACTACCTCCAGAGTATCTCCTCCATCTCTAAGACATGCACGGTTTAATTCTGTTATTTTGTGAGGCTCTTTGCACCATGACACAAGCATGCATAGAGGGCTCCATCATACAGGGGAGAACGAGACCCTGAATGGTCTCACAGTCTAGTGGGGGAGGCATATGTGTTCCTTCAGGCAACAAATATGTATGAAAGTCTTCTACGTGCCAGGCACTGCTTGAGGTGTAGGGATACCTCAGGGAAGCAAATCAACAGAAATCCCTGCCCTGGATCTGACATTCCCCGAAGAGGACGTGGTAGGTGGCAGACAGCAAACCCTCCACAAGGGAATCTAGGAAACGTTAGAAGTTATGAACCAAAACGTACCCGAGACAGGTCTCAATCAATTTAGAAGTTTATTTTGCCAAGGTTAAGGACGTGCCCCTGACACAACCTCAGGAGGTCCTGACGAAACATCCCCAAGGTCGTCAGGGTACAGCTTCGCTTTATACACTTTAGGGAGACATAAGACATCAATCAATGCATGTACGACATACATTGATTCCTTCTGAAAAGGCGGGACAACTACAAGTTGGCGGGCGGTGGAGGGGCGGTGGGGTCTTACAGGTCATAAGTGGATTCAAAGATTTTCTGATTGGCAATTGCTTGAGTTTATCTAAAGACCTCCAATCCATAGGAGGGAGTGTCTGGGTTAAGATAAGGGGTTGTGGAGATCAAGGTTCTTATTATGCCAATGAAGTCCCGAGGCAGCCGGCTTCAGAGAGAATAGACTGTAAATATTTCTTATCAGACCTTAAAAGTTGCTGGACTCTTGGGAACTAATTCTCTCCTAGACCAGGAAAAAGACCTGGAAAGGGAAAGGGATTCTCTACAGAATGTAGACTTCCTCACAAGAGATGGCTTTGTAGGCCTATTTCAAAATGTGTCAAAGAAATGTATTGTTGGATGAAACACTTTGACTTCTTTCAGGGCCTATTTGTTATGTGATGCTATACTAGTCAGGCTGGAACTTGGTGTCTTATTGCCACAGTCTTAAGATCTCTCCCTTAACATAAATGCTGGTCAGTTGTGCCTGAATTCCATAGGGAGAAGGGTGTAATGACGCATGTCTGACCCACCCTTCCCATCATGGCCTGAACTACTTTTTCAGGCTAACTTTGGAAAAGCTTTGGCCGAGAGGAAGGGTCCATTCAGATGGTTGGGGAGTGGGGCTTAGAATTTTATTTTTAGTTTACAAAGATGATGGGGGCTGTGTTAAAAAGAAAAAATATACAGATCACAGTACAGGGATTGGGAATTGGGGGAGGCACTGGGTTAGCTGCAGGTAAATTATAACAGAGTGACTAGGGTAGGCTGGGTTGAGAAGGTGACAATTTGACAAAGATGTGAAGGGGGAGGAGTCAGTCAAGCAGATATCTGTGGTGAAGGCCTTCCAGACAGAGGGAGCAGTTGGAAAAAAGTCAGAGGCTGAGTCGTTCCAACATGGCGCAGATGCCACAAGGACACTAGCACACCAGCAGGAAGCTGAACAGAAGGCTGGAGGTGCCACGGTGACAAGGACGGGATCCTGTCAGGCCAGGTAAGCTTCTGCTCTGCCAGTGACACGGAAAGGGACAATGAAGGGCCACAGATACAGAAAGCATGTCTGTGCAGCCTGCAGAGTTCAGGTGAAGGAGGGACCCAGGCAGGAGCAGTCAGAACCAGGAGGGCTTAGGCAAGAGACAGGACAGGCAAAGGCACTGATGCAGCCCACCCAGACTTGACAGACGCGTTCATCCAGGTGTTCATGTCCTTGTCACTGTGGACATCTGTGTTGCAGCCACAGAACCACATACTCGATTAGGACGCCTGAACCCAATCAATAGTCGTTTTTCCCTACAGACCCTGGGGGAGGCCCACATGCACTTGCCCTAGGGTACTCTGACATTTTGGCACTGCAGTCCCACTGGGAGGCCACATGGAGTAACATACTGGCCAAGACATATTTAAAAATTCTGGCAGGGTGCGGTGGCTCACACCTGTAATCCCAGGACTTGGGGAGGGCAAGGCAGGCAGATCACTTGAGGTCAGGAGTTCAAGAACAGCCTGGCCAATATGGTGAAGCCCCATTTCTACTAAAAATCCAAAAAAAAAAATAATCCCGGGTGCAGTGACGCACACCTGTAATCCCAGCTACTTGGGTGGCTGAGGCACAAGAATCACTTGATCCCAGGAGGTGGAGGATGCAGTGAGCTGAGATTGTGCCACTGCACTCCAGCCTGGGTGACAGAGCTAGTCTCTATCTAAAATAAACAAATAATTTTGTAGCCTCTTTTACTAGGAGTTCTGGAATTAGGGAAGAGAGGAAAGGTACAACCCTCCTCCCGAACTCCAGGGGAGGAGAATCTCATTGCACAGATGTCCTCTGTTCACTCGATTCTCCTGGAGCATTTCTAAGGCACACAGAGCTGCTACCATCATAGCCATTACTGACCAAGTACTCTGGGTGAAATTCCTTTATTAACTGAATAAACTTGTTCTGAAGTGCTGACCGGACACTCTGGGGACAGGGGGAGGTTTCGGCTGTATCCTTGCTGGCAGATGACCCCCACACTTGGGGGGTAAGGAGAGCCATGGCAGAATTCAACCCACGGTCCCCTAGGAGTACACAGGAGACCACCCTACCCTCACCTGAGGGATGTGTGTGTGCAAGGGTTGGGTCAGGGCAGACTCTTCAGAAGAGGGGAGGTTTGTGCGGCAGGCACTTTGATTCTGCACAGCTTACAGTCCAGAGAGCCGAAGAACAAGAGGAACTAGATTCCCATTCTCAGTCTGTTGATTTCCACACCACATTTGGAGTCTGATCAACTCCACAGCTGTGTTGCAGCCGCTAACGCTGCCTCTGCTCTGTTTGCCTCTAGATTCTTCTTATCTGTTAAATAAAGTGAGGCTGATGGAGATGTAATTTAGGGCAGGGGTGGATTGCAAGTGTCTCTGTGATAGGGCAAAGCGCCTCCCGGTGGAGGCGCAGAAGCTAAACTCGACTGGTAGCTGTGAGGCAAGGGACGCCAGGGCAGCTCCTGTGGACTGTGTTAGAACTTTTCAGGGTGGCTTTGCCCTGCCAGGGGCCTGGATCTCACAGGGGGACGTCGTGTTAGGACCAAGCTGACTGTCCCATCACAGAATAATATCTGCAGCTCAGCATGGGGAGCATAAGCAAAGTACGTTGTCGTGAGTTTAAAGAGGCCTGGCTTTGGAGTCTGACAGAACCCGCGTGTGAGTCCCAGATCCAGCCTTTTCTGCCTCAGTGCCCTGACCTCTTTCAGCTTGGTTCCTTATCTGTAGATGGGAGTTTGATACTTACCTCTCTGGGTCTTTGGGAAATCAACACTGTACATGAGTAGCACACAGTAGGTCCTCAACAACCAGGCTCCAGGGAGAGAGAGCCATTCACACTGTGCCATGTTAGAGGCACATCAGTGTGCAGGCCAGCGTGCCAGGACAGTGGGAGTCCAGTCTACCCTCCAGCCAGGGTTTGGGCTTGGGCTGATGGTGGCAGGACCAGGGCCATTTCCATCTTTTCTCTTTTATTGTCCATATGTCCAAAGCAGACACTTCCATTCATATTCAGGTGTGCAATGCTAGGAGCTGAAATAACAGGCTGTAGTGAATGAAGCGAAGCCTCACAGTTCACTCTATGGCAGGAAGAACCAGCTGTGAGGCAGGTCCTCAGCCCACATCACTTCATGGTACTGAACCTGGGGCCACAGTTCCAAACTCCATGTTCACACATGATGAGTCTATAGGAATGAAGGAGAGATCTATGTTGTGTATCTTTATTATTATGTTTTATTGTATATATTTAAGGTATAAAACATGTTGTTATACACACACACACACACACACACAGTGAAATAATTGCTACAGTCAGGCAAATGAACCTGTCACCTTCCTCAGTTACCTTCCTGCATCCTATTTTTGCAAGTAAACTTTTCCTAAAAACCCTACTCTCACGTGACATTCCAGTTGGTTGGCCCATTGGGGGAATTTTCATGAATCTCCATCATGTGCTATTCAGTAAAAATATCAAACCCACTAAGCATGCCTTTTCATCCAGTTGCTCCCTAGGTAAAGTATAATTTGCTCTCCTTCACTTGAGAGCTGAAGGTAAGGAGCAATCAGGCAGCGGTTGATGGAGCAAGTGCAGGCCAGACAGAGGGAAGGGCGGTTGTGAGGCGGCAGACACGAGAGAGAGACAGCGAGAGAGCGAGCGTGCACGCTAGACAGAGAGAGGCCTGGTAGTAGCTGGGGCCTGATACCCCTAATCCAGGAGGCTGGACTTTATCCTAAGGGCAGCAGGCAGCCCTAGTAGAATTTGAAAAGGTTTGACATGACCAGATTAGCAGTCAAGAAAGGTGCCCCACTCACTGGGACAGAGAATGCGTGGGAAGGGGTCAAGACTGGCAGCAAGATGAGCTATGAATTGTTGGTGGTCATCGAGGAGGGAGATGAGGGTGACTGGACTAGGGAACTTCCTGTGGTGATGGAGAGGAGTCAGTGTCAAGGTCTCACTTAGAAAAACTTGGGAGGTCTAACTGGCCAGGCTCGGTCAACTGTGGGGGTGGTAAGAGGCAGCAATCAAGGATGGCTTTCAAGATCTTTGGCCCAAGCTGCTGGGTAGAGGGTGGTGCCTGTCACTGAGTCAGGCAGCACAGGAGGAGGGGCAGGCGTGCTGAGTGGGGATGGGTGCGTTCACTTTGGGACATGCTGAGCAGTACTTGCTATGGGACTCAACGACTTATGACTTGAAGACTTCGCAGAGCTGACCTAACCTCCCTGTGCTTACCGTGCCTCATCTGTAATAGGAGAATAAGAATAATTAGAAAAAATAACTAATTAGTTTCATTTGTTGAGTCTAGGAGAATGTTCTCCTTTTATACTGCAGAGTGGTATTTTCTTGTCAGGTCTTCCCAAGTAAAATGGGAATGTCTCGACTTGCCCATACAGTGGCTTGATTTTACCTGTCTGCTTTGGGTATCACCACCATTCGGCATGTATTGCCAATACTAAACAAATAAGTAAATACATAAATTCAAAGTAACAGGTGTTTATTATCACGTGTGTGCTGTAATAGCCCATCAGCCTGTCCCTCAGACAAATAAACTCTCTTTAAATCTTCTAAACTTCCTCTTGAAGCCCACCTCTCCCTCCAGGGGCTGGACAGGGCATTTGGGACCCAGGATCTCTAACACTCTCTTCTCTGGGAAGCCATCTCCCACTGCCCAGGATGCTGGATGGGAGGTGAGTGCAACGGGCCTGTGGGGTTGTCAGTTGGCGGAAGAAATCTGTAGATCCAGGGAGAGAATCGAGCCACATGTGTGGATTTGGAAATGACAGTGTATGGCTGCACAGCACGAAGGGGATGAAGTCACAGACACCTGGATTTAAATCGAGACTCCACCATTTATTTCTTGTACGACTTTGGGGAGGTTACTTAATCTCTTTGTGGCTCAGTTACTTCATTTGTAAAATGAAATGATAATATTCTGGGAGAATGGTTCATGTTTCCTTCCTTCATAAACTGCTGTTCACGAGGCGGCTTCTTCCAGGGTTAAAAAGGAATCTACTATCCATGTATCTGCTAGGACAGACATTGTTGCGTGTCACTTGACTCCTGAAATACGCCACGGTAAAGAAATCTCTGTACACTTTCGTGTTCTGGGAAGTCACTGACCACACAGGACCAATTATTCTCCATGAGACTTAGATAAGGGATGCTGTCTTCCCACTCTGTGCCGTGACTCCCAGATGGCAGACACCACCAGTCCTTGTTCTTTTGTCTCATGAATGTGTTGTAACCAAGCGAGTTATAGAGAAACGCCACACTTTTGAGACAAATTAAGGGGACCTTTATTAGCTGGCGACCTACAGGCAGCTAACGCTCAAAATTCTCTCGGCCCCAAGGAAGGGGCTAGTTTTGTTTTTATACCGTGGTCTAAACAGGGGAGGGGGGAGTTTAGCTGAAGCAATTTTACAGAAGCAGAATAGGCAAAAAGTTAAAAAAAATTAATTGGTTATAGAAGCAGTTACAAAAAATAAACAGTTCCAGGTGCAGGGGCTTAAACTATGATTAAGAGATAAATGCAGGGGCTTTTAGGTACCTTCCACCGAGCACATTCCCGAGCTGTTGGTACAGCCTGCCTCAATATCTTACCAGCAGGTGTATTCTTGGATGTGCTTGGACTCAGCTTGCACTAGTTATTCCCTTAAGGGGGATAAAGGGGGCTGCAAGTGAAGAAACTAAAATGGAGTCTGTCCGGCTCTCTCTGCTAGGAAAGAGTCACTCAGGTTAAAACAAGGTAGGGTATCACAAATGATTCACTTAGACGGGAAGTCTGTCCTCCTAAAAGTAGCTAGGCACAGAGAGAAACATTCCCTGTTCAGCTGGCTGAGACTTCCGCTGATTAAAAAAAAAACAAAAAACCCTGCCCCATAAATCTCCCCACTGAAACCGGTGTACTCCTTCCTATGAAAGTAAAAGACACCCCCGCCCCGCCCCGGTTACCCCAACAGTGTGATTTCCACTTCTGGGGCGCTCTCCCTAAGGCAGTAGCCTGAATAATTTCAATGTATTGGATTGTTTGGTTTCTGTCTTTACCAAGGTGCATTTATCATTCATGCAAAAACAGTAAAAAAAAAAAAAAAAAAAAAAAAAAAAATGAAACAGCACGTGTCGGTTCTCAGCGGCGCGCCCTAGCTCAAAACTCCAGCCAATCACAGGAGAAGTCGGCCGCCTCCCAACCCTCCAGCCCAGTTCCCACGTCCCTCGCCCGGGAAGTCACGTCCGCTACAGGGAGTGTCTTCCCATGGCCTCCGGAAGCATTCGGCAGTCCACAAGCCACGCTTCAGAGAAGCCGCTCCGGGAACGCCGCGGCGCACCTCCGGAAGGGATGACCTCCACGCCTTCTCCCCTCGCAGTCCACCCGAGCGGCGTGGGTCGCGAGAAGCCACCCAACCGCTCCGTCTTCCGGCTCCGGCGGTCCGCGGCAGCCAATCAAAGGTTCAGTTTCTCAGCGGCGTCGCATCCCTGTGACGTGAGCACATCCTCGCCGGCGCCCCCTTCCGCGCTGCGGCGCCTCTAGCCCGCCGGAGGGCGGCTCCTCTCGATGGTCTTAACCCTTCAATTACGAGCGGGCGGCGCTGCGTTTCCAGGGCAGAGGAAACGAGGCGCCGCGTTGGCGCTTGGACGGCGGGAACCGGCTCCGGAGCGAGAACGCGCGTGAGAGAGCCCGAGAGAGACGGAGAGCGAGCGAGCGCGCGGGAGAGACTGAGAGCGGGGGGGTGGGAGAGAGACTTCCAGAGAGACAGAGCGAGAGGCCGAGACGGAGGCTGTCCCTAGCACAGGCCAGGGTGTCTTGGGACTCGAATCCCTGGGTTGGGCTGGCCGGGAGTGGGGCTTTCGAAGGAAGCGGGTGATTTTCCACGTCGTCCATATCTCCCCGGTGTGGGAATGGCGGTCGTGCACTCTGGGGGTGGCGTTGTTCTCGTTCCCTACTTGGGGGTGGCCTTTTTCAGCGGAGAAAGAGGATGCCGCGGGCATTGGTAGCCGGCGGGACTACACTTGGGCTAGGATCAGTGTTCAGCGGGTTCAGAAATCACCGTGTCCTTGGCATCACCTCCCTCCCCACCTCCTCTCCCATCGCACAGCAGGAGACAGTGACTGGAGGGTTTTCAAGGAGGACTGCATTGCCCCTATTGAAACAAACCGTCCGACAAACCCTTTCTCCGACGTGTGACAGAGGGACGGTCGTAATGTGAAATACGACTAGACATGCGTTTAATGGGCGGTGTGATTGCTGCATTCGTGCGCAATGAATGGTCCAGGCCATTTGTGTCCAGTAGCCGCACAAGCTGCAGGGTCTCATGTTTAGAGAGGGAGGGCCTCTCCGCCGTCCACCTTGCTGGAGTACAGGCGACCCTGGGCGGTAGCCCTCTCCGCCATCAGAAATGTGGTGCTCTGAGTAGCCACAGATTCCCATCTGCATCTCCAATACCATTTCCCTCTACTCACTGACCCGTTGGGTGCGTTGGATTTGTGCGTGGGTGTGAGGGTAGTTTGGTGTGTTTGCTTGCAAATGGAAAAGCGAATGGCCTTGGTTGGCTGAGCTTATCAGGGCACTAGCAGTGGAGAGAGAAAGGACTACTGTATTCTTAGGAGCAGAATCTCAACAACTTCCTATAAAACGGGCAGTGTGTCTTACCTGGAATGCTTTGGCATTTAATAAAATGTCCTGTGAATACTTTTCATAGGGAAGCACTTTGTTTTTACTGTTTCTGGTTGGACAGTGGTTACATTTCAAATCGTAGTTCAGAATTCGTGAAATACCCAAATTAAATCTCTACGTGGCAGTAATCCATTTTCTTTCCTTGGTGTGTGGTTGGAAGATTAATTTGAGATAAGTGTTCAGTTCTGGGCTGGGCAGTCGTGCCGGGCACGGGAAATTCAGGTTCTTTAAGGGAAAGGCCTGATGTGCTAAGACGAAATCTATACCGTGTGTAGCCGCTTATGAGAATATGAAACTAAGGAGAGCCACAGGTAAGTATACGTCTATGAATGCGAATTAAAACGGGTGACAATATAAAGAGAGATTGGTGTCACAAATGGTGGAGTGACTTTTGTATTTCAGCAGACCTCAGTGAGAAATGGTCACCACCACTCCCTAGATGTGTGACCTTGAGTGAGTTGCTTAACCTCTCTGATCCTGTTACCTCATCTGCAACTGGGGATGAGAATATATATCATAGCATGCCCTGGGAGAAGCTGTTCCTGACCACCTGGGCTATGGTGATTTTGACTTCCTCTGTGTCAGAAGTACCCCCGTCTCATGCCTGCCATAGTTGTCTTTTTGTTTTGTTTTGTGATTTCAGATGGACTCACCCTGTCACCCAGGTTGGACTGCACTGGCCTCAACCTCCTGAGTTCAAGTGATCGTCCCACCTCAGCCTCCCCAGTAGCTGGGACCATAGCTGTGCAGCATCATGCCTGGCTAATTTTTTAAGTTTTTTGTTGAGATGGTGGTCTCGCCCTGTTGCTCAGGCTGGCCTCAAACTCCTGGGCTGAAGCAGTCCTCCCACCTCAGCCTCCCAAAGTGCTTGGATTAGAGGCGTGAGCCACCATTCCTGGCTCCTTGGACAATATTTTATTCCTCAGATTAAGACACGTCCTTGGGATGGGGCTGCATTGGATAATTCACCGAAGGCACCGCTGAATGGAGTGGGCCCTCAGTAAATACCTGGAGGAATGTGACCTGGCCAGTGAGGTTATTTTCTTTTGTAGGTGAAAGGTGTAGCAGTCACTCGGCCTACACCCACAGCATCGACCTTGTGAACCCAGCGACCTGACTGCCTTGGGTGAGTCTAGGCAAGCTCCATTCTCGCCAGAGCGGACTTGCTCCTTGTCTTCCTCTTGCTGCTCTGGCCACTCTTCTTGGTCCCTCCCCTGTTCCCTCCCCGGACTCCCGGTTGTACTCCCGCTGCTTTTCTGTGTACTCACCTGCTGGGAGACCCCTGATGCCAGCACCACGCTTCACTGCTGTCTTCATTTTCTTCTTTCTTTCTTGAAAGTGGGCATTGCTGGCTTTACTGACTACCTGTTCTTTTGTTACAAAGCTGCTAAAAATTGTATCTCTTCCGCTCCAGACCCAGTAGGATAGAGATGATCTGTGTAGGCATCAAAAATGTAGAACATCTGCAAGTCATGTGTAGGACAGACTCTTTCCTCAATCTGTGTGGCGTTGCGTGGCTAGGAGTTAGATTCCTTTGCCATGACATGGCACAAGACTAGGAGCACGGTTTTCAGCACCCAGAGAACTTGCACAGACCTTAGACATTTTGCTGTAGGATTTTGCCACTTCTAGAAAAAAGTCCATGTGGCCGGGCGTGGTGGCTCACGCCTGTAATCTCAGCACTTTGGGAAGCCGACGTGGGCAGATCACAAGGTCAGGAGTTCGCGGCCAGCCTGGCCACCGTGGTGAAACCCTGTCTCTACTAAAAATACAAATGTGAGCCGGGTGTGGTGGCGGGTGCTTGTAATCCCAGCTACTCCGGAGGCTGAGGCAGGAGAATTGCTTTAAACCAGGAGACGGAGGTTGCAGTGAGCTGAGATCATGCCACTGCACTCCAGCCTGGGCGACACAGTGAGACTGTCTCAAAAAAAAAAAAAAAAGTCCATATTTAATTGGGATTATTAAATGAAATCTGTATCTTTAAACTGAAATAAATGCATTTTATTATCTCATATTATTGTGGAAGATTGAAAAAAGCATCACATGGGACTGGCTTAATTTTGAAAAGAAACACAAAGCTCTTCCTGGCGCTCATCTGCAGGGTGTCGTCTGGATTCACTTGCTTAGCTGTTCTCTTTCTCCTTCCGCACAGGAGAATTGAAGCGAATGAGAGTGGGGAGTGTGAGAGGTGCGTTTGGTGCAGCATTTCTGGCATGGGAACAGAACTGGCCAGGAGGAAGTGACGGTAAGGATTCGCAGCATTGCACCCGATCCCCGGGCAGCTGTGGACATGCGGGTCAGCCCCTAGGACTCTGCTGTCTGAACTCTTCCCTCAGGATTACTTTCTCGCTTAGGTATCAGGGGAGGCTGAACACCCAGAGAGGCAATGCCACCAGGGGTGTGTTCATCTGCAGTCAGGGAGACCTGGGAGGGAATTCTGTCCCTGAGTGGTTGTGTGATCTGAGGGAAGTTACTTGACCTCTCCATGCAGGAATTTCTGCCTTTGCAACGTGGGAAAATATGGATTCTGCAGGGTTGACTTGACATTCTCAGTGAGATGTTTATCACGGGCCCCACATCCTTCTTGTTTCATTTGATAGATATTTGTGAATGTCCACTGGGCTCAAGGCTCTGTGATGGGTGAACAAGACAAAGTCCCTGGCCTCTGTCAGCTCCTGGGCTAGTGGGTTGACAGAGAAATAACCATCTGTTGACAGCTGAGTGGGATTGGGGCTGGGACAGGGGAAATACAGGGCGTTTTAGGAGCTTGGAGAAGGCTTCCTGGGAGAAGTGCTATCTCAGCTGAGTCATGCAGGGTGAATGAGAGGTGAAAGTCTTGCCAAGGGCCATGGCAGTCCCAAACTACAGGCACCCATCACTATACCCGGCTAATTTTTATTTTTAGTAGAGATGGGGTTTCACCCCGGTGGCCAGGCTGCTCTCGAACTGCTGACCTCAAGTGATCCACCCGCCTCAGCCTCCCGAAGCAGGGATTACAGGCGTGAGCCACTGTGCCCAGCGTGATTGTAAATGTTAATCATGTCCACAAATACCTTCCCAGCAACAACTAGAGTAGCATTTGACCAAAAGGGACCAGGCACCAAGCCTGGCCGAGTTGACCGATAAAACCATCACAGTGAGGGATTGGTACCCAGAGACATCACCTCTCATGCTGAAGGTCTGACCGGTAAACTGTCTGGGTTCCCTGTCTCCAGTAGTCCTTCTCTCTCTTCGGTAGCTGCATGACATGATGCAGGAAACTTGAGGCTGTGGTGTTTCATGCAGAGATTTTTGATACAAGGTCTTTTACCTGGGGGCAAGTGCCTGTTGAAGAAATGACATTGGTGAGATGATGAAGGAAGGGAAGTCACATGTATTGCTGCAGCTGCTCCCCTCCGCACACACAACGGACTTCTCTAGGCCTCACTGTCCTTAATGCCTCTGTCAGGGATCATGAGCAACTCCATGGGTGTGGTTTGAGAATCTCTGGATGAACCTACACATAGGACGGTAAAATGTTTCATTTCACAAAATTGCTGGAGGGAGAAAGAGAGAAAAGAGAGCGATGACTATGCAGGCCGGTTGTCAGTTGATGTCTCCAGAATCTTCCTATTTCTTTTTTTTCTTTTTCTTTTTTTTTTTTTTTTTTTTTTTTTTTTTGAGACAGAGTCTTGCTCCGTTGCCCAGACTGGAGTGCAGTGGTGCAATCTCGGCTTACTGCAACCTCCGCCTCCTGGGTTCAAGTGATTCTCCTGCCTCAACCTCTCTATTACCTGGGATTACAGGTGCCCACCACCACACCCAGCTAATTTTTTTGTATTTTCCGTAGAGATGGCGTTTCGCCATGTTGGCCAGGCTGGTCTCAAACCCCTGACCTCAGGTGATCTGCCTGCCTCGGCCTTCCAAAGTGCTGGGATTGCAGGCATGAGCCACCACACCCGGCTCACATTTCTTCTCATAAAAGTGTTTCTGGCTGGGAACAGTGGCTCACGCCTATAATCCCAGCACTCTGGGAGGCTGAGGCATGCAGATCATGTGGAGCTCAGGAGTTCCAGACCAGCCTAGGCAACATGGCAAAACCCCGTCTCTACAAAAAATACAAAAATTAGCCGGGCATGGTGGCTCACGCCTGTAGTGCAAGCTGCTCAGGCGTCTGAGACTGGAGGATCCCTTGAGCCCAGGAAGCAGAGGTTTCAATGAGCCGAGGTTTTGCCACTGCACACCAGACTAGGTAACAGAGCGAGTCCCTGCCTCAAACAAACAAACAAAACAGCAAAAGAAACGTGGGGGGTGGGGGTCGTAAGGTCTTTTCTCTCTCTGAGAATTGGCTTTCTACATGTAGAAATAGATCCTGAGAGAGTCCTTGTGACACATGAGAATTGGCTGGGAGATAATTGGGTTAAGATCATTTTCCAAACGTTTCACACATTAACTGTTTGTGTCAGATAGTGGTGGCCCAAAGGATGTCAGGGAACTAACTCGTAGGAAAGATAGATTGCAATTTCTGAAAAGTTAAGAACTCTTTCTGGGATGTGTGTGTGTGTGTGTTTATATATGTTTGTGTTCAGTACATATTCAAACTGTTCCTGTTACGGTTCTGTCTTTCTTGCCCCAGTGTGGGCTGATAGCCACGATTTGGTGAATAAACATTCAGAGGACCAGTATCCTCTGAAGAAAACTAGTGAATTCTTGGTTTCCACGTTTGTCAAAAGAATAGAGCCTGGGAGGCTGATCTAAAGTTTCCATTTAGCATTTAATGTCAATTTTTGGTTGCACTCATCCAAGATGTATTTATCAAAACAGTACAGAGAGATACCCTTATCGCAAAATATGCCGTTGGGTTTTTCCACTTAACCTACAGCAAGATTGACTTTTTTCCCTCAGGAGTACAGTTCTGTGAGCTTTGACACGGGCATACATTCTTGTCACCACCACCACAGTCGGGATCCAGAACAGTCCCATCACCGCAGGACACTCCCTGGAACTGCCCCATTGCGGTTACCCCTTCTTCATCCATCATCCCTGGTGTAAAGTGATCTGTTTCCTTCCCTCTAGTTTTGTCTTGGGGAGAGTGTTATGTCAATGACACCATACAGTTTGTGGCCTTGTGAGGCGGGCTTCCTTCTTTTGGCCCGATGAACATCTCGGATGAGTGTCAGATGCCTCTGTCACAGGCTGTTGTTTTTTCATGAAGGCAGTTTCACGGTGTGGAAGACCACAGGTGTTCAGCCATCCTTCTACTGAATGACATTTTCCTCTGTCCAGTGTGGGGCAGTTTCGCATCGAGCTGCTTTTACAATTCAGTGCGGGCTTTTTTGTGAACCTAAGTTTTCATTTCTCTAGGGTAGATACCCAGGAGTGGGATGGCTGGGTCCTATGGTAAACATCTGTTTGACTTACAAGAAACTGCCAAACTGCTTCTCAAAGTTGCTGTGCTATTTCGCCCTCCCAGCTGCAAAGTGTGAGAGTTCCAGTCACCCAACATGTTCTCGCTTGGCCTTGCCAGTCTCCATGGTGTTAATTTGCATTCCCCTAATGCTGAATGATGTTAAATATGGTTTCTTGCGCTCCCATTCAAGTCTTTCCCCCATTTTCTAGTTGGGGTGTTGATTTTCTTATTGTGGAGTTTTGAAAACGCGCCATGTGTTTTGGATATAAGATCTGTCAGGTTGGTGATTCTCAAACATTTCCTCCTAGTGGTGCAGCTTTGATTTTCATTCTCTGAACACACTGGCTCTTACACAGCCAAAGTTGTGTTGTATTGTATTGTGTTGTATTGTGTTGTATTGTATTGTATTGTATCGTATCGTATCGTATATTATCGTATAGTATCGTATCGTATCCTATTCTATTCTATCTATCCTATTCTATTCTGTTCTATTCTGTTCTATTTATTTATTTAGAGACAGGGGCTCGCTATGTCGCCCAGACTGGAGGGCAGTGGCTCGATCTCGGCTCACTGCAGCCTCTGCCTCCTGGGTCGAGCAATTCTCCTGCCTCAGCCTCCCCAGTAGCTGGGGACTACAGGTATGTCCCACCATGCCAGGTAATTTTTGTATTTTTTGGTAGAGACAGGGTTTCACCATGTTGGCCAGGCTGGTCTCGAACAACTGAACTCTAGTGATCTGCCCACCTTGGCCTCCCGAAGTGTTGGGATTACAGGCAGGAGCCACCACGCCCGGCCAGAGCCAGAGTTTTAAATTTTGCCAAACTCCTATCCATCCATCTTTCCTTTCCATGGATCATGCATCTCAGGTCATGTCCTAGCCTCCCCTCACAAAGATGTCCTCCTACGGTTTCTACCAAAAGTCATAGTATTGAACTTTGGCGTGTAGGTCTCTGAACCCTTTTTCCTTAATTGCGTGTAAAGGTTGAGGTTGAGGTGCATCTTTTTGCGTAAGGATAGGCCACCTCATGTATTGAAAAGCTTATCCCTTCTCCATTGGATTCCCTCTCACACCCATGTCAAAACTCACTGGACACATTTCTATGGATGGATTCATGGACTCTATTTTATTCCATGGATCTACTCGTCTACCCCTGTAAGCCAGCAATCTCGATTATTACAGCTTTAGAGCAAATCTGAAAATCTGATAATATCATCTCTCTAAAATACCTTCTGCTTTTTGAAACATCAGATATTCCACGTGAATTGTAGAATCTGCTTGTTTATGCATGCAAATGTCCCTCAAGGATTCTGATTGGCAGGCACTGCATTCATTCTACAGATCAAGTTGGGGACAATGGACTGTTAACTTTTTTGGGTCTTTAAATATGGGAACACATTGTTTCTCTCCATTTAACTAAATCTTCTTTGATTTTTTCATTACCGTTTAATAGTTTTGGGCATACAGACCCCGTCCACGTATTTTAGCTTTATACATAACCATTGCATTGTGTTTGTAGCTTTTGTAAAACAGTATTATTTCTTAAATTTAGGTTTCCAGTTACGCATAGGATTGTTTTCCGTGTGTTGAGTTTCTCTCCTGTATTGCTGCTAAGCTCTCATTAATGAGCACTAAGCTCTTATTAGCTCTGAGAGTCTGGGGGAGATACACTGGTTGTTTCATGTAGACGATCACAGGACCCATGAAAAGGAGTACTTTGGTTTCTTGCTTTCTCCGGTGTGTGCCGTGATTCTTCTGGCATTATAGCACTGACTGGGCCTCAGCGTGACGTTGAATAGCTGTGGTGAGAGTGGACGTCCTTGCCTGGTTCGCATCCTTAGGCAGAAAGCATCCAGTCGTTGACCATTAAGTGGCTTGTTAGTTGTAGGTTTGACTGTACACGCCCTTTTTCAGGTTGAGGAAGTTGTCTTGTGTTCCTAGTGTGCTAGAGCTTTTATATCACCAGTGGACTTTGAATCTTATCAAAGGGTTTTTCTGCATAGCTTGATGTGATCCTGTCATTTTTGTTCTTCATCTGATCTCTCAATCTGTGGGTTACATTGATTGATTTTCAGGTGTGGGAAGAACAACCCTTGCATTCCCGCTATAAAACCCACTTGATCGTGGCTTATTATTCTTCTCACATATTGCTCAATTCAAACTGCAAGGTTTTGTTGAATACTTTGGTGCCTGTACTAGGAAAGAATACTGGTCTGTCCTTTTCTTGGTATCCCTGTGGTGCTGGCCTCATAAAATCAGTGGGGCGCATTCCCTCTGCTTTGTTTCCTAGAAGAAGTTGTGTAAGTTGGTGATATTTCTTCATTAAACGTTTGGTAGACTTGGCCAGTGAAACTGTCTTGGCCCAGAGATCTTTTTGCAAATGTGTTTGCCTGTGAATTCAACTTCTTTAAAACATATAGGACTGTGCACACAGTTCAGTGTTTGAAATCCATCCTGTGTGAGTTTCCGTAGCTTGTGGTTTTCAAGTATGTGCTACATTTCCTCTGACCTGTGGAATGTGAATCTGTAGAGTTGCGTGTATTCTTACCATATTGACCCTTTTATGTTTTCTGGGTCTGGAGTGAAATCTCTTCTTGCATTCCTGATATTGGTAACTTGTTTCTTTGCCCTCTTTTTTCCCAGCCAGTCCTGCCACGGGTGTATCAATTTCATTGATCACTTCAAAGAACCAGCTTTTTTTTTTTTTTTTTTCCTGGATTAATTGAATTCATCTATGTGTTTTTCTGTTTGAAGTCTCCTGGGGGTTTATGCTTCTGTTGTTTAGCAAAATAAATTCTTATCCACACTAGGAATTTGGAAACGATTTCCATAGGCATGAGCAGCCTTTTCGACTAGATGCAAACCCAGTGGTCAGGAAGGCGAACATACAAAAGGGTGTGTCCCCATGGTGCAAACGCTTACAGTTGAGTAAAAGTCTCCCTTGTGAGTGGATGAAAATGAACGCTCATGGGCAGAGCACCTGTGAGTCACACATTGATTATTCTACAAATGATGCTTGGGAAGGGGTTGGAAAATGTCAGCAGGGAATTGACATCGTCGAACTGCATTGCATCCTTTTGCACCCCGTGTCACGTGGATGCATTAATTGGTATCATTTGTAAATCCTTTATTAGATGGCATTAATATTCTAAGCTGGTGAGATGTATGATCTCACGTCATCCTCAGAAGAAGCCTAGGACAGGGTCTCTCTATAATCCCCATTCTACACACAGGAAGTGGAGGGACAGAGAGGTTGAGTAAGATGAATAATTCTGTGTTTTCTTGTCTTATCACCTTGCGTTGCAGTCTGGGTTCTGCCCGCACACATTCCTCGCCACCTTCTTGGTGTCTGAGAACCTCCAGCTTCACCTCCTTTTCTGGACCCGAGGGCCTGGCGGAGCTTCCAGCTGGGACCAGACCTCCATGGATCCACTCCAGAAACGGAATCCAGCATCGCCTTCCAAATCTTCCCCGATGACAGCTGCAGAGACTTCCCAGGAAGGTCCAGCGCCCTCTCAGCCTTCGTACTCAGAACAGCCGATGATGGGCCTCAGTAACCTGAGCCCCGGTCCTGGCCCCAGCCAGGCCGTGCCTCTCCCAGAGGGGCTGCTCCGCCAGCGGTACAGAGAGGAGAAGACCCTGGAAGAGCGGCGGTGGGAGAGGCTGGAGTTCCTTCAGAGGAAGAAAGCATTCCTGCGGCATGTGAGGAGGAGACACCGCGATCACATGGCCCCCTATGCTGTTGGGAGGGAAGCCAGAATCTCCCCATTAGGTGACAGAAGTCAGAATCGATTCCGATGTGAATGTCGATACTGCCAGAGCCACAGGCCGAATCTTTCTGGGATCCCTGGGGAGAGTAACAGGGCCCCACATCCCTCCTCCTGGGAGACGCTGGTGCAGGGCCTCAGTGGCTTGACTCTCAGCCTAGGCACCAACCAGCCCGGGCCTCTGCCTGAAGCGGCACTCCAGCCACAGGAGACAGAGGAGAAGCGCCAGCGAGAGAGGCAGCAGGAGAGCAAAATAATGTTTCAGAGGCTGCTCAAGCAGTGGTTAGAGGAAAACTGAGACGTGCACCCCCATGGGATGGAGACCCGAAGGGACTCAGACGGAGCCGCCGTGTTGGCAGCGCCTGGGTGTGGGCCCATTTTGGGGACCAAACAGCAAGCTGTGGTCGGATGAGTGCCAGGACCTGTGTACCGGGACACGTGGGAGTCCTCCCAGCATGATGCTTGACTGACCCGAGGAAGGTCCTCATGTTTCGTGCCTGTCATTCTCGGATGGCTGTGAGGCATTCCTTGGCAAGGGACGCTGCGTACCAGCGGTCCTCACCGCATCTCACATGGCTCCTGTGATGCATGTTGTCGCTTTCCCACCCGGGATCTCCATCTCTCTTCCCTTCCTGCTGTCAGTAAGAGATCACATGTCTGTGTAGTGTGAATGCCTTGTCGCTGTCCTGTGCTTTTGCACCATTGAGTTGACTGCCTCTGAGAAGCAGCACTAGGCCTGTTGAAATGCAATGTGCTGCCCTGAGATCCAGTTTCAAGAATGGGCAGGTAAACGCAGTGTGGGAAAGGAATGTGGAATGAGAACTTGGTGGTTCACCGCTGTACTATTTGTGTAAATGTTTACGTATGTGATAAGCTACATGTATGTAAATGTTGCAATACCCCTAACAGTCGAGTAGTAGTCTCCCTTACAGGAATTTTTGACGGGGTTCCTCATCATCAATACCAAATAAATATATGTAGGAATGGAAAATGGGTGTAGAATTCAGGTTTGTTCCTCAGTATTGGTTTGTTTCTCATTAGATCTGAGCTGGTTACCTTGAAATCTCCCAGCAGGGGATCCGGGTTTATTGAGGGAAGCTCTGTGCTGTGGAGACTGGGAACGGGGGAGGGAGGGCACCAGAGAACACAGCCCAGTCACTGTTTGAGCCCTGCAGCGGGACCAGCATCGAGACCAGCGAGGCAGGGCCATGGCTTTGAAGAGAGGCTTCCTGTGCACAGGAGACGTGGAAGCAGAGTCCGCCGCCCACGGTGAGAGCCCTGCGTGTTGGTGCTGGTGCCCTGGCTTAGGGGCTGCGGCGCCATTGCTTGTTGTGTGGTGGGCCCGGGTGGGTGAAACTGAGCAGCAGTTTGCACCTGCTTTGTGAGAACCAGAGCATCCTTGGGTTCTTCCAACATCTTATTGGGATTTAGACATGTGTGTCTTTTAATTTCAGGAGGCACAAATGACTAAATCTACCTTTTTTTTTAACCTCTGCAGAATCCTGAGATGTGAACCCAGCCAGTACCCATGTGACTCCTCTGAACTGAAAACAAATTCTGCTTTGTGTCAGTCTGTTTTAGGTAGTCCCCAGAGCTGTCTTGCTGCAAAAGTCTACACATCTCCTGCCGACAGAAGTGGCTTGAAAACAGGTAAGTGTCTTGGATTCTGATGCTGAGATCTCATGAGAGAGTCGACAGTTGAACTGACCTAGCTCCAGGGGAGAAGGGAAAAAAAAGCAGGGCTATTCCTTCTTGAAACACAAAGGCCTAAATGGAGACCAGTGAATCCGGGAGGGTTTCAAAGGGGTTCGAGGCGTTGCCCTTTGGCTGATGTTTCCTAGGGTTCTGATGGTATTTTCCCCATTTCCATATGTCAGCTGCCTTCCTCCACTCCCACACACCCATCCTCTAGCAACATTTTCAGTTCCGCTTTATGAATTTCGAAAGCAGAACACCAGAGAAGTTAGGGAACTAGCCCACGGTGGCACAGGCAGTAAGAGGTAGAACTAGCACCCGAACCTAGGTAGGCTGGGATCGGAGCTGGCCCCCCTTCAGCAGTTCACCTCTGTGAAGGCTGTGGGTGAAGTGCCTAGAGCCGGGCTTTGGTGCTCATTTCATAGCTGGTAGCACCAAGTCTTGGTGAGATCCATTGCTGAATCCTCCACACAGTGCCGTGGGCCAGGTACAACCATCCCCACCTTGTGGAGAGTTTGTGCAGGTCCTAAAGTGGTGGCCAGAGATGCATGCCTTTGTCTCACTCCCCAACCACTCAGATGCTCTCTGCGGACCTTCTCAGTCAGCGCAGCAAGCACACCAGGTCCATGCTGCCAGTGACAGTCATCATTTCAGCAATCATCAGGGTTTCCATTTTCTCACCTTGCCTGTCTCCCTTCTGGGCTACGTCGACTGTCGTGGTGGGGAGGTGAGGAGGAGTTGCAGAGGTAGCCCCGCTCCGGGGGATTGAGCGATTCATCAGGGAGAGAGATCCGACCCCATCTTAGTCTGTGTCCTTCCACTATATCATGAAATACAACAGGTTGGGTGCTCTGGACTGGATATGGTGTGTTTATCCCCACCAAGAGTCAGGTTGAAGTTGAATCCTCAGTGCTGCAGTGTTGGGAGGTGGGTCCTAGTGGGAGGTGTTTGGGTCGTGGTGGGGATCCCTCATGAATGAGTCAGTGTCCTGTGATGCCATCCTGCTGGGCTGAGTTCTTACTCTCACAGGTATGGATTAGTTCGCAGGAGAGTGGATTGTTCACAAGATTCTGGCCTCCCTCGATTCTCTCTCCCTTCCTTCTTTCCATGTGATCTCGTTGCACACGCCGGCTCCCCTTCCACTTTCCACCATGAGTTGAAGCAGCCCGAGGCCCTCACCAGATGCAGTTGCCCAAAAATGAATGTTTCAGCCACCAGAATTGTGAGCCAGATAGACCAACTTTTTCTTTTTAAAAGATTTATTTATTTTAATTTTTTTTAAGAGACCGGGTGATGCTCTGTTGCCGACGAGAGTGGAGTGGCACGATCATGGCTCACTACAGCCTTGAACTCAGGTGGGATCCTCCCACCTGAGCTTCCCAAGTAGCTCAAGGATGTACTGCCATGCCAGGCTGATTTTTAAATGTTTTGTAGAGATAGCGTCTGGCCGTGTTGCCCAGGCAGATCTCGAACTTCAGGCCTGAAGGTGTTCCTCCTACCTTGGCCTCCCAGAATGCTGGGATTAACAGGCATGAGCCACCGTGCCTGGCCTCCCATTTTCTTTAGAAATTACTGAGTCTCAGGTATTCTGTTATAGCAAAGCAAAATGGACCAAGACAGCTGGCAATTTGTAATGGAAACAAATTTATTTCTCGCGACCCTGGATGCTGAGAAGTCCAAAACAAAGGTACCAGTATCTGGTATCTGGCAAGAGTCTTCCTGGTATTTCCTCACGTGGCAAAAGGTGGAAGGACAAGCCGGGGAGAATGTTATGTCCTCACATAGCAGAAGAGGAAAAGAGAGAGCAAACCCACTTCTGCAAGCTCTTTTCATAGCAGCATTCATTCACTCACGAGGGCTCTGCCGTGATGGCCTAAACACCTGCTGTTATTCCACACCTCCCAACACTGTTGCAGTGGGGATTCATTTCACTGTGAGTTTTGGAGGGAACACAAATATTGAAATGCTAGCAGATACGCATCGTTGTGTCAGAGAACAGGTGGTTGATCCCATGTGGTCCCAGTCTCAGGAGATGAAAGGAGTGAGAAGGATCTCAGTTGGAAAAAGCAGGCATCAGGGGCTTGCTCAGGGAAGTCACAGATGCACAGTGCCACAGGGTCTCCAGGAACAGACATGGAAGGTGGGTGGGTGGAGGTAACTGAGGCACTCGGCACACCCTCCACATCCTCACCTCCAGGTCTTTGTCCCTGTACCTGTGTATGGGGGGTGGATGGGACTTGGGGGTCATGTCTGAGACACCATACTATCCCAAGTTACAGACTAGGATCTGCAGTCCTGTGATGTCCACAGGTGTCCAGCATGCGACATTCTAGAGTAGAGACCAAACCAAAGGCACCAGCAGGCGAGAGAGGATTGGGACAGAGAAAGGTGCAAATGCAGTGATCACATGGGACATCTGAGTAGACCCGGAGAATGTAAGGAAATAGAAAGACTACATTAAAAATCTTCCCACTAGGGACAGTCTAGGCTCCACTGCCTCATTGGTGAAGGCTATCCAACATTTACAAAATACATAATGCCAACCCTTCACAGATTCTTTTAGACTATAGAGGAGGGAACATTTCCCAACTTATCCTTTGAAAATTGTATTACCCTGCTACTAAAGGCAGATAGAGGCTGGGCGTGGTGGCTCACGCCTGTAATCCCAACGTGTTGGGAGTCTGAGGTGGGCGGACCACCTGAGGTCAGGAGTTTGTGACCAGCCTGGCCAACATGGTGAAACCCCGACTCTGCTAAAAATACAAAAATTAGCTGAGTATACTGGTGGGCACCTGTATTCCCAGCTACTCGGGAGGCGGAGGCAGGAGAATTGCATGAACCTGGGAGGCAGAAGTTGCAGTGAGCCCAGAGCGCACCACTGCACTCCAGCCTGGGTGACAGAGCAAGACTTGTCTCAAAAACAATAATAAAATAATAATAATAATAATAGTGCCAGAGACAGCAGAAGAATACCATAAACCAATATCCATCATGAATATGCGTGCAAAAATCCCCAACAAAACATTAACAAACCCCAATCCAGCGACACATACAGTGGGTTATGCAACATGACCAAGTGACATTTATTCTAGGAATGCAAGATTGGCTTAACATTCAAATTTCAGTCAAGGTAATCCACCCTGTTAATATAATAGAGGACAGGAACTATATCATCATCTTCATAGACAGAGAAAAGTATTTGACAATATCTGACACCCATTAGTGATAAAATCATGTCTACACAAAGACATGTGCTCAGATGTTCACTGCAGCATTTTGCAGGAAGGCCCCAGGGTGGAAACAAGCCAAATGTCTACCAATCAGTAAAGGGATAAAGAAGTGGTATATCCGTACAGCCGAATGTTACTGAGCCGTGACAAAGAACACACTACTGATGCACGTTTGAGCCTCCAAGACATTATGCTCATTGACAGATGTCAGACACAGAAGACCACTTATTGCACAAGTCAGTTTATAGGAAATGCCCAGAGAGGCAGCTCTAAAGAGAGAGAAAGGAGCTTGCTAGTTGCCTGGGTGGGCCTGGAGGTAAAGTAATGGGGATTCACTGCTGCTAGTGGGTACCAGCGATCTTTCTGGGGTGATGGAAGTATTCTGAAACTGGATAGTGGTGAGGGCTGCAAAACTGTGTAAATTTACTAAAACTCACTGTGTTATTCCCTTTAGGTACGTGAAGTTTGTGGCAAGCAAATTATACCTTAGTAAAGCCATTTAAAAAATGTAGTGCAAGTGTGACCGTAAGTCACGGAGGAAGGGGTATGCAGTCATTTTTTTCTACAACAGTAAGCAACATCCCCTCTCTTTCCCTGTTCCGCATCCTGCCTACATGTCCTGCCTGGTCGCCTGGCTCCTCCACGTGCACTTGATGCTCCAGCCAGATAGACTGTGCACACCTGGGCAGAGGGAGTGCTGGTGAGTGCACATGTCTACGTGTGTGTCTGTGTGCGGTGTGCACGCGTTCCTGCGCAGGCACCCTGTGGGTGCATGCACTAGTGACTGTCAATCCTCTGTCTGTGGGCTGGCTCCCATAATCCATGCTACGTCCTGAATTCCACTGCCGGTTTTTCTGTTCACCAATCTCAAGGACCTGGCTTCAGTTTCTCTGGTAACCAACCTCAGCCCTTAGCTTCAACCTCTGAGCACAGGAAGACAGCCAGAGTGGGGAGGGGTGTTGTCTCACCCACAGGGCCCCTGCCGGAGCTGAGCACCCCAATGGGATGAGTGGCAGCACGGTTACCAAGACAACAGAACTCTCGACCCCTTTCCACCTGCAAGGCTCTTCTCCCTCTCCTGGGCCTGCCGAGCATCAGGTCGGAAAGGTAAAGCTGTGGCATAACCACCCTCCTAAGTCCTTGAAATTGCTCTAGACGTGGCTGTAGAATAAATATGTCAAAAGATGCTCTTGAAAGAGAAGGCAACCCCTACTTTTTTTTTCCCAATTCATTAACTACAAACAAGGCTATGAAGTCCAAGGTTATATTTAAAAATCAGGGCAGGCGAAAGGGAGTGTGTGCTTATGTCTCTCAACGTCAGCTGTGCATCAGGTCTCTCGTGGAGCATTTGTCCAAGAGCAAATGCCGGACCCCATCCCCAGAGAGTCTGACTTAGCAGGTCTGGAATGTGGCCCCAGCATGAGTATCATTTTATAACTCCTCTTATGAAAGACGAGGTGGCAGCTGCAGAAACGGAACCATCCTCATAGGAAGTAAAGCATATCTGAAACACAAGGTCCCTCGCCAAAGGGAAAGCAGGACGTCTTTGCTCCCTGCTGTGCTGGCGGTTTCTAGGGCTAATAGATTTCCCGGGCTAAGGAAAGGTCAAAAACATTCAAAGTAATGTGAGTGCGTGTTTTACAGCTGACACTGTGCTCGCCTTCCTCTATATTCCTGAAATCAAAATTTTCACGTTAACATGCTGCATTTGCCAGTGAAATTTATTGTTGTTTCTGGTGAGGGTCTCCTATGCTCGAGTTCTTTTCTTTTTTTTTTTTTTTAACTTTCCACATACCCTCTTTTTTATTACTATTATTATTATTATTATTAATATTATTCTTATTTTGTGTGTGTGTGTGTGTGTGTGTGTGTGTGTGTGTGTGTGTGTGATAAGAACACTTAGCCAAAAATCTACTCTTTTAGTAAATTTGAAGTATACAATACAGTGTTTTTAGCTATAGGCATTATGCTATGTAGTAGATCTCTAGAACTTCTTTATCTTACATAACTGAAACTTTGCAACTTTGACCATCAACCCTCCATTCCCTGCCCCAACCAGCCCCTGGCAACCACCATTCTACTCTCTGTTTATATAAGTTTAACTATTTTAGATTCCACATATAAGTGAGGTCGCACAGTATGTGTCTGGCATATTCACTTAGCATAATGTTCTCAGGGTCCATCCATGTTGTCACAAATGTCAGAATTTCCTTCTTTTTAAGGCTGAATAATATTCCATTGTATGTATATACCACATTTTCTTTATTCATCCATCAATGAACACTTAGGTTGTTCTTATATCTTGCTTATTATGAATAGTGCTGCAAAGAACATGGGGAGTATCTGGACTATCAATACCCAGAAGTGAGATTACTGGATCATATGGTAGTTATTTTCAAGGTGAGTAAAACACTGCATAGATACGTTCACGAGACATTGCACAATCATTCCTTGAATCTAGAGATGGCTCAGATTTGTATTAGCTGATGTGGATGAATCAGCTCCCAGGCTTACTTATTGTGTTGAGATGTATTTTTCACATGTTATTATAATTAGTGATATCAGATTAATCCTTCCGCTTAAAGGGCCATATAGGACTAGGAAATGTACGATGAAAAATACAATTCAGCAGTCCCTTGTTTCATGTGGTGCACCCGTGGAGACCCACCTCCGCAAACTTCTCTTTTTTTTCTTCAGCTATTTCTTCTGAATATTAACCTCTGTGTCTCTAAATGATGGGCTCCTACTGCTATGTCCCGATTTAGGGATTTGGAGGTTATCTGCTGAGTTCTCGGAGGAGATGAGCATTTCGGTCTCTGAGATACATTACAGGGCCCGGGTCTGCTCTTTGGCCTTCCCTGTGGGGGCCACCCAAGCCAGGGTCTGGGCCTCCACTCGGATGCCTGTAGAGAGTCTCTGCCAATACAAAGCCTTCACGGGAGACTCTTTGCTCATCTGTGGCAATGTGGAGGTCATGGTTGGCTTTTTCCAGAGGCTTGCAGCAGAGTCACGGGGTGATCTGCAGCCAACCTGGCAGTATTCCTAGGTTCTGGGGTTCAGGAACTGAGTGGATGGCGGTGCCAACCCATGAGACAAGGGACACAGTTGGGGGTCATCCGCTGATTTGTTGGGCTTGTGGGATATCTGAGTGGACATGCTCCTGAAACCATGCCCTGTGGGGGCTCTGGGGCTCAGCTGGGATTTTCCTGGTGGAGTTCGTGATGCAGGAATCCATCAGCACACAAGCGGAGAAGGACGGAACCAAGTCTGGGTGGCCATGTGGGCACCCAGGGTCACCTACAGAATGAGGAGTGTCCAGGGCAAAGGTCGCAAGAGGGAGGAGGAGTCCTGCTGGGGGAGCACAGAGCAGTCTTGTGATGAGAGTGGTGGACCTATGGGGCTTGGAGTTGGGGTGATGGAAGGGGCTGGGTACATGGGGGCACTTGGTCTGGAGATTCACACCGAATGCCTGGTGTGAGGAGGTTTCTTTGCTTGGGACCATAGAAGCACGAGGAGCCATCAGAAGCCAGAAGAGGTTGTTCGTGTCTGTGGCCCTGGCCAGGATGGATTTCCAGCCTCTGTAAACCTAAGCCCTATCGTGAGAGTGGCCTCAAAGTGTTATCCCTCGTGGTGAGGAGGCTGTGCTTTTGGGCCCTTCAAGGGAGGATCAGAGAGACTTAGCCACAGGGTGACACAACAGAACTCCCCTGGGAGTTCTCCATGGGAACTGCGAGGGGCCCCGTGTTCCAGTATTCTTTGCAAATGCAAGGAGAGCCCCGAGTCTGGAGGTTCAGATATCTTGCAGCGAGCCACCTGTACCAGGCCGCCATAAATAATGGTGGGGTATGTTCCCCAGTGAAGGAGCAGGTGCGATGCAAGAAAGATTCCAGCCACCACTACCTGGCCACAGCCCAGGTGCCGTCGGGAACTGAAGGTCTTTGTCAAGGAAACTCGTCATTGCAAAGCTCCTTAAACTCTCTTTGGGCGGTGGGGGGGGGGCAGTCTCCGGGTGTCTACCTGGGTGGTACCCCCTATAAGAAAAGGGGACCACATGAGGCATGAATGTGACAAGAGGAGAAGCACGCCCTTCCTCCAAATTGACCCCTTTAGAGATCTCAGGATGAGACACAAGGGCCCCGGGAGCCTCTCTGGGTCTGGTTCCTGGTGTGCATTTGCCAGACTCTTCGGCCTCAGAGCGCTGCTGGGGCGTGAAGAAGTGCTGTGGAAGTCATGATTTTCTCAGCGTCAAGAGCCCAATCAGGATCTGGAAGTGGTGGAGTGGCCTCGGAGTTCCAGGTACTCGAGAGGCTGAGGTGGGAGGATGGCTTGAGCCGAGTTCAAGGCTGTAGTGATGTATGTTTGCACGACTGCACTCCAGCCTGGGTGACAGAGCAAGACCTTATATCAAAAAAAAACAAAACCGAATCAGGCAATGCGTATATAAATGTTTTCTAAATCTTACAGCTCCACGTGAAGTAAGAGTGCTATTACTGATTTTGTTTTTGCTGTCTAACTGTGGCGGCTGCTTCTATTAGTAACCGAGTTCTATTATTAAATGAAAACACTCAATGGGGCCCAAGACAGCTGACTCGCCCCGGGGTGGAGAAGCGAGACCTGCCCAAAGGGCCATGCCAGTGCACTAGGGCGCATGGCGTCTGTGAGAAATGAGGAGGTTCTGCCTTGGAGAATGAGTTTCTGCCAGGATACAACAATGGGAGACAATTCTTGGGTCTGTCAGGAGCCACTGAAGTTCTCCCCTGTACCTTTCAACTCTTGGGAGGAAACTGGCATTATGTACATTTGAAAGAAATAGGAAGGAAAAAAGCCCTCCTTCTTTTAATAAGAAATTTTGGCTTGCTGCATTTGCTCCAGGCGTCATTCTCTGTCTGTAGAAACATTGTTTCACTCCACCCTCCAGGGCTCAGGTCCTGGGAAGTGGGGTCTATCTTAATAAAGAACACTGGAGCCCGGCATGGCTGGGGATGTCAATGATGGCCCTGAAGGAGGCCCTGCTCACCTCGGTGACACGCTCATTGGCTGCTCCACTCTCTGTGTGTGTCTGGTTTTCTCCTCTTTCTGTGCTCTGTTTGGGGAGGGTCTATTTATGGGGAGTTAATATCATCTCAGATGATTAAAGAAGAGGTGGCAGCCATGCACACTGGTACACACCAGTAATCCCAATCATTTGGGAGGCTGAGGCTGGAGGATGCTTGAGCCCAGGAGTTTGAGACCAGCCTGGGCAACATAATGAGACCTCATCTCTACAAAGAATAAAAACATTAGCCGGCTGTGGTCGTGCAAGATTGTACTCCCAGCTACTGGGGTGGTTGAGGTGGGAGGATCTCTTGAGCCCAGGAGTTTGACGCTGCAGTGAGCTACAATCATGCTACTGTACTCCATCCTAGGTGACAGAAAAAAAAAGAGAAAGAAAAGAAGGGGGAAAAAAACCCTTCTTTTTATGAGAATCTTTGGCTTACTGCTTTTTCTCTAGACATCCTTTCCTGGCTCTCGACACATGTTTTGACTCCAAGCTCCATGGCTCAGGCCCTGGGAAATGGGGTCTGTCTTAATAAAGGACAGTAGAGCCTGGCCTTGCATGGGGAGGGGAACGACAGCTTCTCTCTTCTGTGTGTCTGTCAGATTCTTTGCTCTTTCTGTGTCCTGTTTTGGGAGTCTGCTTATGAGGGGTTAAAATTGTCCTGGGTTACAGTAGGGAAGACAAGTACGTCCCATTCCCTTGCTACTGTGGACTGATAAGACGGTGTGCAGAGGAGGAGTCGCAGGGAATGGTATGCAGAGAGCAACAAACTCACTCAAGCCCCTCACACCCCACAAGCACGCTGGCTTATTTATTCTCTCTGACTGATTTGACATTTGTCTTGCTTGTCCACCCTCTGGACTGGATAGTAAGGGGAAACAAACGCACTGGATTTTCGTCTAATCTGGTGTCATCTGATGCTGTCATGTAACCGATCCATTTGTATAAATGCTCAATCTGTTTTGGCGAAAATGATCAGTCTCTTGGATTGCCACCCCACCTCCCTACTCTTGTCCAAGATGGGGAAGGGGCATATATGGCTTTTGAGTCTCCATGGTGATGTGGGAAGGGGCCTATGACATTGTATGTTGGCTGCAGTGTCCTCGGTGGGTTCTGAGGGAAGGCTCACTCTTGTCCCCAGGTCCTGCTGTCGACGCTGCCCTGCTCACCCATGCGTGAGGCTGGCGTAACTTGCATTTTTGTCTCTCTCTCTCATCTTGATCAGGACCTTGTGCTCCCTGGCTGACTTGACCTCAGCCCACCTGTGCTGGCATCTAGCCGACCCTTCTGAGTCAGGGCCTCATGCTCTCCCCGACCCCTGACCAGTGCTGTCCACTCCACAGCCTCAGCTGCAGGGTCTCCTAGCTCCTATCTGGCTTATGCTTGCTTCATGGTAGCACCGCTGGGTTTTGAATCAGCCACTTCCACATTCCCCTCTCAGAGAATGTAGAGCGCTGAGGTCTCCCAAAACAGCAGGAACCAAGATCAGCTCTACAAAGTGAAATTCCTCAACTCCAGACATCCCTCTGCCCAAAGAGGCTACTGGGCCATTCTGCAAAACGAGCTCCAAATTTGCATGAGGTAAAACCCTCTTTTACTCGAAGCTTCTCTCCACTCCCTTGTCACACCTTCCTCCTCTGAGATGTCTGACTCTGTCACTGCCTCTGGGGACCTCCTACCCCCTGTGACCAGAACAGGACACCTTCTTTGGCTTGTCTTTCATGTTCACCTCAGACTTGCCCTGTTATATCCAGGTCAAGAAGGTCACAGTTGGGAATTTGTACTTGGTTCAGAACAACAGTAGAATATGTTTCCAAGGGCCTGAGCCATGGAGCTTGGATTCAAAAAAATGTGTCCAGAGCCAGGAAAGGACGCCTAGGGAAAAAGCAGTAAGCCAAAGGTTTACTGCTTCTTACTTATAAGAAGAAGGGGAGATTTTTCCCTCTTGTTTCTCTCTCTTTTTTTTTTTTTTTTTTTTTGAGACACCCTCTCGTTCTGTCACCAAGGCTGGACTATAGTGGCACAATCATAGCTCACTGCAGCCTCAAAATCCTGGTTTCAAGAGATCCTCCCACCTCAGCCACCCCAAAATACAGATTAGGGACAAAAGCCCTATTGAAGGGAGTTGAGGAGGCCGTGGCCTCAGAACTCCAGGCAGTTTTTGTTGAAGGGCAGCACATTCTGTGCCAGCAGCTGCTGAAGGACATGTGGGGAGAGGGTGGGTTTTTCCTCCTTTGCTTGTGGAGTGCTCCAACGTAGAGGGGGCAGTTGATGACTTTGAAGGGAGGAGGGATCATTGCAGGAGCAAAGCCCCTGAGAAGGTGGGAGGTATGGGATCCTGAGCTGAGGTGAGGAGCTGGCTTCAGTTAGGAGCACTGTATGCAGAAGGGCGGCAGAGAATGCCAGGGCAGGCACGGGTAGACCGGGCTTGGGAAGCCCTAAGAGTTCCCAGTGGATTGCTTCTGTCTTCTCGATGAATCCTTAGGGTAGGCCACTGAAATGGAAGAGGGTTCCTAGCATTGTTGGGGGGTATGTTAGCAATGGAGGTAGGATGACAGTGAAAGAGAGAAGCAATCTCTCTTGGTCATGGAGAAAGGTACAATAATTTGTAAGGCTTGTTAAGGTTTTTCTCATCAGTGCTCAGACAGGCATGACGCCCGTGCATTCCTTCACATCGTGGAGGGGTGCGGTCTTTCCTGAGGCCCAGGGCATGACCGCTGGCAGAAGAGACTTAGGTGGGCAGGAGGAGACCCGTGAGGACGGAGAGGTTCTGGCGGTGGCCTGGTCAGCCCCTGGGGGCGCTGAGATCGCCAGGGAGGATCGGCGGATTAAGGGCTGCGGGGAAGACGGGGTGTGCCACGTGGGAAGCGTGTTCAAAGGCTGGCTGGATGGGAGGAGAATGGCTCTGGGACTGGCACAGGTCTCGAACGCGGGGCGGCTGGGCAGTCGTGTCCCTCAGCCGTCAGCTCCTAACCGCAGGGAAGGAAGCCTGCGGCGAACCCCGATGAGACGAGCCGACCTCCCCGGGCTCCGACGCGCAGGCCCAGAGCTCGTCAATCCTAGGCCAGCCCCGCCCTCCGGACTGCGTATTTCCGGCGGCGCAGGAACTTTCTGTCCGGATGCTATGGTTCCGAGGGCGGAACTAGTGGGGGTGTCTGGCGCCGCAGGAACTTATTGCGCAGTTGCTGTGGTTGCGAGGGCGGGACTAGGGGAGGCTTTTGTGCAGGGGTGAGTCCCTCTTCCCTGTTCGCCGGAGCCATCGCGGCCCGTTCCAGTCCCTTCTCTGTTCGTCGCTCTCCTTTCCTGCCCCAGTGGATCTCTCAGGGCTTGGTGCCGAAAAGTAGTGGAGAAGATGGAATTTCCTCTGTGGTTGGTGGCTTTCGGTTTATTTCGCCGGCAGGTGGCAGTGTTGCACTGTGGAGTGGCCCTGCTCGCCTTCCGCCCCTCCCTTCGCGAGCGAAAAAACGCTGCCCATCGTTTTCCGATGGAAGAGGTCGGTTTTTTTTTTTCCTCCTTCCCTGGCGTGTGAACCGGCTGGTCCTGGAGCCTGAGTTGCCACCTTCTGGCGGGCGAGGGGGGGGGGTCCCTCGCTGAAACTCAGCACTGGTGGACAAAGCCTTTTTGCTTTTCAAATCGGCCTGTCTCCCGCGGACCTGCCTGCGTCCCTTAGTAACCCTTATTCTGCTGCTCTGAATGGTCTTTCCCCCACGTCGTCCTGGAATCCGTTGGCCTTCATCACTGTATTCTTTCATTAGGTAGGGCGTTCAGCCTTGCTGGAGAACATGCGAGGCGAAATAACGCAGAATAAAGAAAACGAATCTTAGCCACCGTCCTATCACACAGCGGTGGCCATTCATTATGCTTTGTGAAATTTCTTCCTTAAGAGGGTTTTTCATCCATAACGGTGCATTTTCCACATACTGACATTCCTACTTGCGTCACGACTTCAACATCCTTATTTTAAAACTCGGTTTCACATTTTTGAAAAACGGTTTTTGTGATTTTCGTCGTTTTGATTGAAATAATGCAAACGTTTTCTGGAATGTTCTGTGTTCCTGTAAAACTCCAGTGCACAATTCATTAACTCGTGATCCAAAGACAGCTGTCACCGTGTTCTCTTATGAGGGCAGGAGCTGTGGTCTGTGTGTGTGTGTTTCAGTCTTTTGTCCTCAGTACCTGCAAGGACACTTAGAATTTACTGGGTGCCTAATAAACATTGTGAAATAAAGTATTTATATTTCCCGTCATTTTTCTTTATACGTGTAGAAACAATCTTTTCATAGCACTGAGAGATAAAATATAGTGAAGAAAACTATCCACAGTTCCATCAACATGCCATCATCACTAATCATATTTTTTTATTTCCTTAGCGGTTTTCCATCTATAAAGGTACATTTTAAACATACTGAGATTGATGTTTGCATCATTTCTTTCGAAAATTTTTAAACTATTCTATTTAGCATTAAGGTGTCCCACAAATTATTTCAAAAAGACTCGAAAATTTTTTATTCATGTCTTTTGCTAATACAATATGTAGTATAGAAGAGCAAAAAAAAAATTAACAATTAAGCTGTACAACAGAAATAACCCCTGACTCCCTATTTCAAAGGTTAATATCAGAAAGTGATCATTATAAGGACAGAAACTATATTTGTTTTGCTTTGTTTTTGCTCACCAATGTATTTTCAGCACATTACCAGAACAGTGCCTAGCTTTGTCTTGTCAATATAGACATTTGTTGAATACAAATACAAGTGTCTAATTTCTTCCAGGTGAGTAAAAAAAAAATAGGCCAGGCGTCATGGCTTAGGCCTGTAATCCCAGCACTTTGGGAGGCCAAGGCAGGAGGATTGCTTGATCCCAGGATCAAGTTGGAGGCCAGCCTGGGCAACATAGTGAGATCCTGTCTCTACAAAACATAAACAATAAAATTGGCAGGCTGTGGTGGTGTGTACCTATAGTCTCAGCTTTTGGGAGCCACAGGGGGCTGAAGTGGGAGGGTCGCTTGAGCCCAGGAGGTCAAGGCTGCAGTGAGCCTTGATTGTACCACTGTACTCCAACCTGGGCCTTGTCTCAAAAAAAAAAAAAAAAAAGATCATTTCATAATACTTAGATCCTACTCTTTGAACAATTTCCTTCATGGTTTATTTTTTCTTTCCATTTTGCACTATTTCTGTGAGCAGTGACTTCCATGATTTTTTAAAAAGTTTTGCTGGCTCTTTTACACACTTCCCCAGTGTGTCTTTTATTCTTATACTGGGGGCAGGAAAGCATTCTGCAAGCCAGTGTGTAATATAGAGTCTGACAGACCAGGGACAACTGACTCCACATCTGTGTGCCTGTTTCCACAAGTATAGATTAAGGGTGGTAACAGCATCTCCTTCAGGGGGTGGTGTTCATCATAAACAGCCCAACAGGTTCTTGGCTTGGGTCCTGGCGGTTGTAGATGTCATACTACTGTTGTTGTGTCTAATATTTTCTATTACGTGTGTAGTAGGTACAGTTTTTTTTTTTTTTTTTTGAGACGGAGTCTCGCTCTGTCTCCCAGCCTGGAGTGCAGTGGCACGATCTCGGCTCACTGCACCTCTGCCTCCCAGGTTCAAGCGATTCTTGTGCCTCACCCTCCTGAGTAGCTGGGATTACAGGCATGGGCCACCACGCCTGGCTGATTTTTGTCTTTTTAATAGAGACAGGGTTTCACAATGTTGACCAGGCTGGTCTCGAACTTCTGGCGTCAAACGATCCACCTGCCTCAACCTCCCAAAGTGTTAGGATTACAGGCGTGAGCCATGGCGCCCAACCGGATTTTTAAGCCAGATTTTTTTTAGAGTGCATGTAGTAAAATCTAGTCTTGAAATTTAGTGGCCGGGCGCGGTGGCTCACGCCTGTAATCTCAGCACTTTGGGAGGCCGAGGCGGGTGGATCATGAGGTCAAGAGATCGAGACCATCCTGGCTAACACGGTGAAACCCCGTCTCTACTAAAAATACAAAAAAATTAGCCGGGCGCGGTGGCGGGCGCCTGTAGTCCCAGCTACTCGGGAGGCTGAGGCAGGAGAATGGCGTGAACCCGGGAAGCGGAGCTTGCAGTGAGCCGAGATTGCGCCACTGCAGTCCGCAGTCCGGCCTGGGCGACAGAGCGAGACTCCTCTCAAAAAAAAAAAAAAAAAAAAAAAGAAATTTAGTTATAGCTGCTATGTGTTCTTTCATTTTCCATTTTTGCCTTCTGGTAGAAAATGCACTCTACTAATCACTAGGGAAATTCATGCAAGGAAATGTGTAGGAGGAAAGCATATTGATACATTCCTCAAAGATATTCCCTCCATAAAATGTAAAGAATATTTTTGTACATATATATTTTTCACTATCTCTGATGATGATGATGATGATGATTATTATTATTATTATTTATGGAGTTTTGCTCTTGTTGCCCAGGCTGGAGTGCAATGGCGCCATCTCGGCTCACTGCAACCTCTGCCTCCTGGGTTCAAGCAATTCTCCTGCCTCAGCCTCCCGAGTACCTGGGATTACAGGTGCCCACCACCACGCCCAGCTAATTTTTGTATTTTTAGTAGAGACAGGATTTTACCATGTTGGCCAGGCTGGTCTCAAACTCCTGACCTCAGGTGATCTGCCTGCCTCGGCCTCCCAAAGTGCTGGGATTACAGGCGTGAGCCACTGCACCTGGCCACCCTGAGCTCCTTGATTTGCCTGAGCTCCTTGACCTGTATCATTTAGCACACCTTTCAGTAAGACCAGGAGATCCCTGAGCCTGGTTTGACAAGGCCACCATAAATGAGGATTTAGGTAACGCTCCTAGAAATAACACCTGCTCTGCATATGTAGAAGCCCCAGAAATAGGATAGTGTCTTTTAAAGGCTATCCCTGAAGTTTACCCCCTCACAATTACTAGAGAACAATCCAATCCTGTTGACAAAGGTAGGATGAATCTGTCTCTAACTATAGAGACCAATTAGATACTACTATCAGGAATGCTAGAGGTTGGGCATTAATGCTGATGCCGCCAGGGAGTTCTCCACCTTTTTTGTTAATGGCCCTAAGCCTGAAATATCAGCTGCTGTTCAGAAGCAGAAAATAGGTGGGCAAGTCATACCCATCCATGAGTTACAACACTTAGCTCAGTATTTTGAAGAAAGTATGATAAATGAGGAGAAAACTGCATGCACAGTCTTATGGCCCTCAACTTCACCTAAGGGAAACACAAGGGCCTCTACAAATACAACACAGCTAGACAAGCATGTGTGCCGATGCTGTGGTTTATAATTTTGGTATTCTACGGAAACAATAGGGTTTCCTACCTGCTGCTGGTACTTACATTAAGTATGGTGACAAGGTCGAGCTTTACTAGAAACCTTGCTCCAGGAATTGGCTGTAAGTGTGGTCAAAGCTCCTACTGGGAAATAAACCTGTGAAACAAAAGGAAAGTCCTTGACTGGTATGCTAAACAATTCGCTCTCATTCATATTCAGCAAACTAATGATGGTCTGGTTCCTCCAGACCACTTATTTATTTATTTATTATAATTTAAGTTCTGGGTTACATGTGCAGAACGTGCAGTTTTGTTACATAGGTATACACATGCTATGGTGGTTTGCTGCACCCATCAACCCATCACCTACATTAGGTATTTCTCCTAATGTTATCCCTCCTCTATCCCCCCACCCACCACAGGCCCTGGTGTGTGATGTTCCCCTCCCTGTGTCCATGTGTTCTCATTCTTCAGCTCCCACTTATGAGTGAGAATATGCGGTGTTTGGTTTTCTGATCTTGTGATGGTTTGCTGAGAATGATGGTTTCCAGCTTCATCCATGTCCCTGCAAAGGACACAAACTCATCCTTTTTTATGGCTGCATAGTATTCCATGGTGTATATGAGCCACGTTTTCTTAATCAAGACTATCATTGATGGACATTTGGGTTGTTCCAAGTCTTTGCTATTGTGTATAGTGCCGCAATAAACATACGTGTGCACGTGTCTTTATAGCAGAATGATTTATAATCCTTCGGGTATATGCCCAGTAATGGGATTGCTGGGTCAAATGGTATTTCTAGTTCTAGATCCTTGAAGAATAGCCACACTGTCTTCCACAATGGTTGAACTAATTTACACTCCCACCAACAGTGTAAAAGTGTTCCTATTTCTCCACATCCTCTCCAGCATCTGTTGTTTCCTGACTTTTTAATGATCGCTATTCTAACTGGCGTGAGATGGTGTCCCATTGTGGTTTTGATTTGCATTTCTCTAATGACCAGTGATGATGAGCATTTTTTCATATGTCTGTTGGCTGCATAAATGTCTTCTTTTGAGAAGTGTCAGTTCATACCCTTTGACCATTTTTTTATGGGGTTGTTTTTTTCTTGTAAATTTGTTTAAGTTCTTTGTAGATTCTGGATATTAGCCCTTTGTCAGATGGGTAGATTGCAAAAATTTTGTCCCATTCTGTAGGTTGCCTGTTCACTCTGATGATAGTTTCTTTTGCTGTGCAGAAGCTCTTTATTTTAATTAGATCCCATTTGTCAATTTTGGCTTCTGTTGCCATTGCTTTTGATGTTTTAGTCATGAAGTCTTTGCCCATGCCTACATCCTAAATGGTATTGCCCAGGTTTTCTTCTAGGATTTTTATGGTCCTAGGTCTTACGTTTAAGTCTTTGATCCATCTTGTGTTAATTTTTGTATAAGGTGTAAGGAAGGGGTCCAGTTTCAGTTTTCTGCATATGGCTAGCCAGTTTTCCCAACATAATTTATTAAACAGGGAATGTTTTCCCCATTGCTTGTGTGTGTCAGGTTTGTCAAAGATCAGAGGTGGTAGATGTGTGGTAGTATTTCTGAGGCCTCCGTTCTGTTCCATTGGTCTATATCTCTGTTCTGGTACCAGTAGCATGCTGTTTTGGTTACTGTAGCCTTGTAGTAAAGTTTCAAGTCAGGTAGCGTGATGCCTCCAGCTTTGTTCTTCTTGCCCAGGATTGTCTTGGCTAATGCGGGCTCTGTTTTGATTCCATATGAAGTTGAAAGTAGTTTTTTTCCAATTCTGTGAAGAAAGTCAGTGGTAGCTTGATGAGGATAGCATTGAATCTATAAATTACTTTGGGCAGTAAGGCCATTTTCACGATATTGATTCTTCCTATCCATGAGCATGGAATGTTTTTCCATTTGTTTGTGTCCTCTCTTATTTCCTTCAGCAGTGGTTTGTAGTTCTCCTTGAAGAGCCTCCAGACCACTTCTATGAAACCTTGGGAAAACTGCAGTCACAAGCATTCGATTCTATAAAAGAGATAAGGGAGAATGGCAGTTCCTCAAAAAATTAAACATAGAATTACCATATAATCCAGCAATCCCAGTTCTTGGTATATACCCAAAAGAACTGCAGTCAGGGACATGACCAGATATTTGTACACCCATTTTCATAGCAGCATTATTCTCAATAGCCAAAATGTGGAAGCAACCCAAGTGTCCATTGACAGATGAATAGATACACAAAATGTGGTATATAAATACAATGGAGTATTATTCAGCCTTAAAAAAGGAATGACATTCTGACACATGCTACAACATTAAAAAACCTTGAAGACATACTAACTGAAATAAGACAGTCACAAAGACAAACATTATATAATTTCACTTATATGAGGTATTTAGAGTAGTCACATTCATAGAGACAGGGAGTAGAATGGTAGTTGCCAGGGGCTGGAAGGAGGGGGGAATATGGAGCTATGGTTCAGTGTGGACAGAGTTTCAGTTTTGCAAGATGAAAAGAGTTCTGGAGATGGATGGTGGTGGTGCCTGCAGAACAATATGAATGTATTCAATGGAACTGAACTGTATACTTAAAAATGGTTAAAATAGTAAATTTTATGTTATGTATATTTTACCACAGTAAAATAAGATATTGGAAGAAACCCAATGTTCCCTCCTATCAGATGGGCAATGGAGATACCAAGACTGCTGTTTGGCCTCTCCAGTCTGAATTGGAGCTTGATGAAAAATTTCTAGGCTATGATCCATCACAGTAAACCTTGAAAACTCCTCTGGGCCAACACTGGTGGGGAATTTTATTTGAGTAGCAGATGATGTCCCCAGGGTATGTTCCACCTGCAATATTTTATAATCCTGGACAAACTGTAAATGTGGGACATGGACAGGAACCACAGCTCCAGGGACCTTTTGAAGATTTACAGATGGACTTTATATAACTCCCTGCATCACAAAACGTTTAATTTCCTTAATTCCCTTGCTCTAAGGCAACAGCTCTTACTATGACTTTTAAGAACATTAGAATTTGTACTTCCTATCTGGGGAATCTCTACTTACTCATTTTACTGAAATTATAATTAAGAAACTTTGTAAGGTGTTTCCTGTTAGCCAAAAATTATACTATCGCTACCAACTTGTATTCTCACTCTGCTATTTCTGTTTCCTCTCCTTGTTCTCCCCATTTCCTTCTCCCTTTCTCCTCTGCCCTTACTCAATACCTCAAATCTTTCTCATTTTCTTGCTCAGGCTTATGAAGCTAATGTCACCTATTGGCTCTGCTCACCTTTTCCTGTCAATTGTATTTTACAACTCCTCCATTTCCTACCCTGGAAGAAATCTCTCCACCAGTACGGCTGCCATTTGAGGCATATTCCCATACAAACTGGACCTCTGACGACTCTAAAAAAGGAACACACCCTACCCAGGATACGCACCAAAGGAGATGAACTTGTTTTTATCCAAAGGAAGTGTTTGTTTGTAATCATAAATTTGTGAGCCTAAGCTACTGCAAAGGAAACTGGCCAGGTTATTAGCCCAAATGAAGGCAGTGGGTAACTTGGGTTTAGCCCCAACACCAGCCGCACCTAGGAAAGTTACATGATAAATTGTGACAATTGTTTTTTTCCCCCCCGGAGAATACCAAAGCAATTCATACTTTGTTGTGGGTTCACTGCCTTTTTTTTTTTAACCAGCCAATTGGATAGTCATGTTATCTTACCCATCTCTTTCTCCCTTTCTGATTATACATTTGCATAGAGTTATGACAACTTACCACCTTTTCAGAAGTAGAGTAAAACTCTCACTCCTAGACAGAACAATCCATTGTCAGGAGTGAGAACATCCCTCTGCAAAACAGCCATTCTCTCCAGGAAAACAACAGGAACTGTCTGAAGAAGCTAAAAGACTTGGAATGGTTTTAGATGTGTTCGCCCCCAACAGGGACAGGTCTCAGGTTGCAGGCTTTTCTGGCAATCCAGCTCTGTGGGTTACTGAAGAAGCTCAACCCAATTCCTGAGTTTTCCATGCTCTCATTCATGAAGCCAACCAAGTCACCAGTGATGTCACGAAAAATATTAACACAATCACTCAAGAAATGCAAGAACTCCAGAGGCTGTTGTCCATCATCAACTGGCATTAGCCATCATCCGGGCAGATCTAGGAGATGGATGCACTTGTGCAGTTGTCAATGACGACTGCTGTACATATATCCCCCAACACCTTTCTGATGTCTTTTTGATGAATTGCCACCTAGTCCTGATCTCTGGGACCTCTGGGTTATCATTGGGTGGCTGAGAATATGACCTTTTCCCTTGAATATTCCCAACAGGGATACAGTCCTGGGGATGCACTGCTTTTCCAAGATATAGTGATAATTTTTCTTTTTATTCTCATAGGAATACTCCTCATGAAGTCTATCCAGTCACATCTAGTTAAGACCAGCAGCACTCTCCTGTCCAAATGGATGACCCATGTTACGACTAAGGAACAGAAGACCAAATAACAAACTGCTCCTCAGATCCATTATGGAGGCCTTCTTGGCTCAATTCCTGAATATGATATATCCTTATAATTTTGTTTTCTCTCCAAAAAAGAATATGCTGGCAATGAAAGGAGTTCATCTTGTCTAAGAGGAGGGACTGGAAAAATAATTTATTTTGAGATAGGGTCTCACTCTGTTGCCCAGGCTGGAGTGCAGTGGTGCAATCTCGGCTCACTGCAACCTCTGTCTCCTGGGTTCAAGCGATTCTTGTGCCTCAGCCTCCACAGTAGCTGGGACTACAGGCACGGGCCACCACGCCTGGCCAATTTTTGTATTTTTAGTAGATACGGGGTTTCACCATGTTGGCCCAGCTGGTCTCGAACTCCTGATCTCAAGTGATCCTCCCACCTTGGCCTCCCAAAGTGCTGGGATTTGTTTTTAATTTTTAAAAATTAGCCAGGTTTTGCCAGGCGTGGTGGCTCTCACCTGTAATCCCAGCACTTTGGGAGGCTGAGGCAGGTGGATCACGAGGTTAGGAGATGGAGACTATCCTGGCCAATATGGTGAAAACCTGTCTCTACTAAAAATACGAAAAAATGAGCTGGGTGTGGTGGCACGCACCTGTAATCCTAGCTACTCAGGAGGCTGACGGAGTAGAATCGCTTGAACCTGGGAGGCGGAGATTGCAGTGAGCCGAGATCGTGTCACTGCACTGCAGCCTGGTGACAGAGCGAGACTCCGTCTCAAAAAAAAAAAAAAAAAAAAAAGCCAGGTATGATTCCAGCTACTTGGGAGGCTGAGGTGGGAGGATCTCTTGAGCTCAGGAGGTCGAGGCTGCAGTGAACCATTATTGCACCACTGCACTCCAGCCTGGGTGATAGAGACCCTGTCTCAAAAAAAAAAAAAAAAAAAAACGGCATGTACAGTGGCTCATGCCCCCCGTCTCTACTAAAATACAAAAGATTAGCTGGGCGTGGTAGCGTGTGCCTGTAATCCCAGCTACTCGGGAGGTTGAGGCAGGAGAAATGCTTGAACCCAGGAGGCGGAGGTTGCAGTAAGCTGAGATCACCCCACTGCACTCCAGCCTGGGTGATGGAGTGAGACTCCGTCTCAAGAAAAAGAAAAAAATAATATGAGGAAATCTGTCCCTTGAGTCATCATAGGGTTTACATTATACAAACATCTTTAGCATCACACACCTGAGCATTGATGTCTCTTTAAGTAGCAGTTTTCTCATCTGTTAAACAGGAATAATTATAGTAACCAATAACAAACTCCAAAGGTTTCTATGATCAATGAGACTAATAGTACATGTAAAGGACTCAGTATAGTACCCAACACATAGTATATGCTCAATAAATCTTATCCACATGATTTGAAATAGATAAGAATACAGTCTCTGGAATCATAATTTTAGGGAGAGTAAAGACTTTCTTTACATCCTTTTTTTCGAGACAAGGTCTCACTCTGTTGCCCAAGCTGGAGTGCCATGGTGTGATCACAGCTCACTGTAGCCTTAAACTACTGGGCTCAAGCAATCCTGCCACTTCAGCCTCGAGTAGCTGGAACCACACCTGGCTAATTTTAAAAAAATTTTTTGTAGAGACGGGGTCCCTACATCTTTAAAATACAAACGAAGGGTGTCTGTGCCAAAATAATACAACCTAAGATGCCACTGGGAAACAAATATAGGAAAAACTGTGTTTTGCTGTTTGGAAAAGATATTGAAAAACTCACTAAATTGAAAAAAAGGACTGAAATTTCTATAGAGTTTAGTTTTCAGTGATGCTACAGTCTATGCTCTTATATGCCTATTATTATTATTATTATTATTATTATTATTATTACTACTACTATTTTGAGACAGAATCTCTGTCACCCAGGCTGGAGTGCAGTGGTGCGATCTCGGTTCACTGCAACCTCTGCCGCCCGAGTTCAAGCGATTCTCCTGCCTCAGCCTCCCAAGTAGCTGGGATTACAGATGCCTGCCACAGCGCCTGGCTAATTATTTGTAGTTTTAGTTGAGACGGGGTTTCACCATCTTAGCCACGCTGGTCTTGAACTCCTGACCATGTGATCCACCTGCCTCGGCCTCCCAAATTGCTAGGATTACAGGCGTGAGCCACCGTGCCCGGCCCTTATATAACTATTTAGTTAGGAAACAGGCTAATCTATTTAATGAGGCAGCAAAAATATATTAGCTTTAACAAAAGATAAAAGTTTATCTTCAAATAGTCTTGATTAAGCCAAGGGCCAGTAGAGTAACTTGACAGTGCTGGAGACCTAAGCAGAGCGATTGCTTGGTAGTAGCCGCTACTCCTATGGATAGCTGTACTTACTCATTTTCATAACTTCATTGCTGTCCAATCTTCCTTCATCTGTGGGTGACTAAGCACATAGGAAATCTTAGAAATCACGTAGACCAGTGGATTTCAGTTTTTGTTAAAGTAAAAGCATGTTTCTTGAAAAAAAAATCCAATGCATAAGAGAAAAAAGAGGAGCTGTTGGGCTGGGAACAGGGGCACTCTCACCACACCCCTCCCTGGATGCTGCTGCAAGCCCAGAGAAGCAAAGTGACTCAGTCAAATAGGTAAGGCTGGCAGGGCAGGAACTATTAATAGAAAGGGACTTCTCTTGAGGCCTGGCCCAAGGCCCTGCATGAGGCCCTGTGAGAGGAAGTGAATATTAGTGAAGAACTTCTTGTCCAAATCAAACCGCAGCTTTAGGGTAAAGAAGCTGTCTGCATAAATTAACTCCGATTATTTGTGTACAGTACTGTTTACGGTGAGCCCCCTCCCCCTTTTTGGAAAGAAGTATGTGATTTTTTTCAGTTATTTGAGGCATGCCTAAAGCAGCTTCACAAGTATTAGCTAGACATGGAGAAAGACCACTGCAGTCAGATGAGCCTTGGCTCACATATGGTGCTTCCAGTCAAGTGATGGTGTCCCTGACTCCAATGACACGTTGGGAATTAGGCCCCTAAGTTCATATTTAGTGCATTTTTCTTTATGCCCCCAGTACGTCATTACATGACTATATCAATGCAGCAAGCTAAGCTGACTGTAGCTTCTTACCACTGGGCCAGATAACCTTAGCATGCCATCCAGAATCTCAGTTCTGTGAATTGTCTTGATCTAGGGCAGTGTCCTGTGGAAGACAGCCAATATATTGAAAGCTGATTAAAACACAGAATAAAAGATCCGTCTCTATCAAGGCAATTCTAGGCTACAACTTAGTTAAGCTTCAGTGAGATTATTATTTTTGGAGACGGAGTCTCACTCTTGCCCAGGCAGGAGTGCAGTGGTGTGATCTTGGCTCACTGCAACCTCCACCTCCTGGGTTCAAGCGATTCTCCTGCCTCAGCCCCCCGAGTAGCTGGGATTACAGGCGCACACCTCCACGCCCAGCTAATTTTGTATTTTTAGTAGAGACGGGGTTTCAACATGTTAGCCAGGCTGGTCTCAAACTCCCGACCTCAGGTGATCTGCCCACCTTGGCCTCCCAAAGTGCTGGGATTACAGGCGTGAGCCACTGCGCTGGCCGGCTTCAGTGAGATTTTTATGGAATTATGGAGAGTGTTTTACATGCAAAGCCCTGAATTCTTTCCTGAATATCATAAACAAGTAAAATTATCTTTTGTAAGTGAATTGACCTGACCGATGCAAGACAAACATTTAAGAAATGTTAACGACAAAGGCAAATGCTCACTACAAAATGTGAAACGAAAAAATCATGTAGAAAACCGGTGCTATATTATAATCCAGGGTTATGAAAAGATTAACTCTGCATATATAAGGAAAATTGACTGGAAATGTAAATATCAGTTTAATTCACAATGTTTATTAGGCACCTAGTAAATTCTAAGTAGTCTTCCAGGTGCTGAGGACAAAAGACTGGAACACACACATACCACAGCTCCTACCCTCATAACACAGTGACGGCTGTCTTTGGATATCGAGTTAATGAATTGTGCACTCAAGTTTTACAGGAACTTTCAACGTTCCAGAAAACGTTTGCATTATTATTTCAATCAAAACCATTAAAGTTACAAAAAGAATTTTTCAAAAATGTGAAACCGAGTTAAAAAGAAGGATGTTGAAGTCGCGACGGAAGTAGGAATCTCAGTATGTGGAAAATGCACCTTTATGGTTGAAAAACCTTCTTAAGGAAATATCACAAAGCATAATGAATGGCCACCGCTGCGTGATGGGACGGTGGCTAAGATTCGTTTTCTTTATTCTGCGTTATCTCGCCTCCCAACGTTCTCCAGTGAGGCTGAACGCAGTCCCTAATGAAAGAATACATTGATGGGCCGGGCGGTGGCTCACGCTTGTAATCCCAGCACTTTAGGAGGCTGAGGCGGGCGGATCACCTGAGGTCAGGAGTTCGAGACTGGACTGGCCAACATGGTGAAACCTCGTCTGTACTAAAAATACAAAAATTAGCCGGGTGTGGTGGCGCCTGCCTATAATTTCAGCTACTCAAGAGGCTGAGGCAGGAGAATCCCTTGAACCCAGGAGGCGGAGGTTGCAGTGAGCCTCGCAACACTGCACCCCAACCTGGGCAACAAAGCGAGACTCCGTCTCAAAAAAAAAAAAAAAAACGTTGATGAAGGTCCACAGGCGCCAGGACGGCGTGGGGGGAAAAGAAGGATGAGACCAGGCCGGGCCCGGTGGCTCACGCCTGTAATCCTAGCACTTTGGGAGGCCGAGGCGGGTGGATCACGAGGTCAGAAGATCGAGACCATCCTGGCTAACAGGTGAAACCCCGTCTCTACTAAACAAAACACAAAAAATTAGCAAGGTGTGGTGGCGGTCGCCTGTAGTCCCAGCTATTCGGGAGGCTGAGGCAGGAGAATGGCGTGAACCCGGGAGGCGGAGCTTGCAGTGCGCGGAGATCGCGCCACTGCACTGCAGCGTGGGCGACAGAGCGAGACTCTGTCTCCAAAAAAAAAAGACGAGAGCATTCAGCGCAGCAGAATGAGGGTTGCTAAAGGAAGAAGGCAGCCTCGCGGGAAACAGGCCGATTTGAAAACCAAAAAGGCTTTGTCCACAGGCTGTGAGTTTTAGCGAGGGGGCCCCTCAGAGGGCGGAATCTCAGCCTCCGGGACCTACCGGCGCAGACCCCAGGGAAGGGAAAAAAAAAAAGCCTCTTCTCTCGGAAAAGGTTCGGCGGCCTTTTTTCGCTCGCGAAGGGCGGGGCGGGAGGCGAGCAGGGTGGCTCCATGGTGCAACATTGCCACCTGCCGGCCGCAAAAACCGAACGCCGCCAACTGCAGAGGAAATTCCATCTTCTCCTCTGCTTTTCGGCCCCGAGCCCGACTGGGGCAGGCTAGCGGGAGGAGAACTACGACCCGAGAAGGGAATGGTACGGGACGCAATGGCTCCGGCGAACAGGGAAGAGGGACCCACCACTGCACAAAACTTCTAATCCCGCCCTCTCAATCACAGCAACCGCGCAGGAAGTTCCTGCGGCGCCGGAACCCCCCCCCCCCCAGTCACGGCCTCGCAACCATAGCAACCGCGCTAGTCCCGTTCCCGCAACCACAGCAGCCGAGCAGGAAGTGCTTACGGCGTCGGTAACCCCCACTTGTCACGCCCTCGCAACCACAGCAACCGCGCAGGAAGTTCCTGTAGCGCCGGAAAACGCAACCCGTGGGGCGTTGCTGGCGTAGGATTGACGGGCTCTGGGACTACGCTTCGGAGCCCGGGGAGATCGGCTCCTGTATCCTTCACGGGGTCCGCCAGGGCTTCCTTCCTTGCTGTTGGGAGCTGACGGCTGAGGGACGCGACTGCCCCAGCCGCGCCACGTTCGAGACTTGTGTCAGTCACCAGGCCATTCTCCTCCTACCAAGCCAGGCGCTTTTTTTTTTTTTTTTGAGACGGAGTCTCGCTCTGTCCCCCCAGGCTGGTGTGCAGTGGCGCGATCTCGGCTCACTGCAACCTCCGCCTCCCAGGCTTAGGCGATTCTCTTGCCTCAGCCTCACGCATAGCTGGGACTACAGGCACCCGCCACCATGCCCGGCTAATTTTTGTATTTTTAGTAGAGGCGGGGTTTCACCATATTGGCCAGGCTGGTGTCGAACTCCTAACCGTGTGATCCCCCCGCCTCAGCCTCCCAAAGTGCCCAAGCCAGCCTTTGCACACGCTTCCCACGTGACACACCCCCTGTACCCTCGCAGCCCTTACTCTATAAATCCTCTCTGGCGATCTCAACGCCCACCCCCGGGGCTGACCAGGCTACTGCCAGAACCCCTATGTCTTCAGGGGTCTCCTCCTGCCCACCTTCATGCCCTTGGCCTCAGGAAAGACTGCGCCCCTCCACGATGTGCAGTAAAGGATGGGCGCCCTGCCTCTCAGGAGCTGAGCACTGATGAGAAAAAATGCCTTACTTATTATTGTACCTTTCTCCATGACCAAGAGAGATTGCTTCTCTCTTTCACTGTCATCCTACCTCCATTGCTAACATACCCCCCAACAATGCTAGGAACCCTCTTCCATTTCAGTGGCCTACCCTAAGGATTCATCGAGAAGACAGAAGCAATCCACTGGGAACTCTTAGGGCTTCCCAAGCCCGGTCTACCCGTGCCTGCCCTGGCATTCTCTGCCGCCCTTCTGCATACAGTGCTCCTAACTGAAGCCAGCTCCTCACCTCAGCTCAGGATCCCATACCTCCCACCTTCTCAGGGGCTTTGCTCCTGCAATGATCCCTCCTCCCTTCAAAGTCATCAACTGCCCCCTCTACGTTGGAGCACTCCACAAGCAAAGGAGGAAAAACCCACCCTCTCCCCACATGTCCTTCAGCAGCTGCTGGCACAGAATGTGCTGCCCTTCAACAAAAACTGCCTGGAGTTCTGAGGCCACGGCCTCCTCAACTCCCTTCAATAGGGCTTTTGTCCCTAATCTGTATTTTGGGGTGGCTGAGGTGGGAGGATCTCTTGAAACCAGGATTTTGAGGCTGCAGTGAGCTATGATTGTGCCACTATAGTCCAGCCTTGGTGACAGAACGAGAGGGTGTCTCAAAAAAAAAAAAAAAAAAAAAGAGAGAGAAACAAGAGGGAAAAATCTCCCCTTCTTCTTATAAGTAAGAAGCAGTAAACCTTTGGCTTACTGCTTTTTCCCTAGGCGTCCTTTCCTGGCTCTGGACACATTTTTTTGAATCCAAGCTCCATGGCTCAGGCCCTTGGAAACATATTCTACTGTTGTTCTGAACCAAGTACAAATTCCCAACTGTGACCTTCTTGACCTGGATATAACAGGGCAAGTCTGAGGTGAACATGAAAGACAAGCCAAAGAAGGTGTCCTGTTCTGGTCACAGGGGGTAGGAGGTCCCCAGAGGCAGTGACAGAGTCAGACATCTCAGAGGAGGAAGGTGTGACAAGGGAGTGGAGAGAAGCTTCGAGTAAAAGAGGGTTTTACCTCATGCAAATTTGGAGCTCGTTTTGCAGAATGGCCCAGTAGCCTCTTTGGGCAGAGGGATGTCTGGAGTTGAGGAATTTCACTTTGTAGAGCTGATCTTGGTTCCTGCTGTTTTGGGAGACCTCAGCGCTCTACATTCTCTGAGAGGGGAATGTGGAAGTGGCTGATTCAAAACCCAGCGGTGCTACCATGAAGCAAGCATAAGCCAGATAGGAGCTAGGAGACCCTGCAGCTGAGGCTGTGGAGTGGACAGCACTGGTCAGGGGTCGGGGAGAGCATGAGGCCCTGACTCAGAAGGGTCGGCTAGATGCCAGCACAGGTGGGCTGAGGTCAAGTCAGCCAGGGAGCACAAGGTCCTGATCAAGATGAGAGAGAGAGACAAAAATGCAAGTTACGCCAGCCTCACGCATGGGTGAGCAGGGCAGCGTCGACAGCAGGACCTGGGGACAAGAGTGAGCCTTCCCTCAGAACCCACCGAGGACACTGCAGCCAACATACAATGTCATAGGCCCCTTCCCACATCACCATGGAGACTCAAAAGCCATATATGCCCCTTCCCCATCTTGGACAAGAGTAGGGAGGTGGGGTGGCAATCCAAGAGACTGATCATTTTCGCCAAAACAGATTGAGCATTTATACAAATGGATCGGTTACATGACAGCATCAGATGACACCAGATTAGACGAAAATCCAGTGCGTTTGTTTCCCCTTACTATCCAGTCCAGAGGGTGGACAAGCAAGACAAATGTCAAATCAGTCAGAGAGAATAAATAAGCCAGCGTGCTTGTGGGGTGTGAGGGGCTTGAGTGAGTTTGTTGCTCTCTGCATACCATTCCCTGCGACTCCTCCTCTGCACACCGTCTTATCAGTCCACAGTAGCAAGGGAATGGGACGTACTTGTCTTCCCTACTGTAACCCAGGACAATTTTAACCCCTCATAAGCAGACTCCCAAAACAGGACACAGAAAGAGCAAAGAATCTGACAGACACACAGAAGAGAGAAGCTGTCGTTCCCCTCCCCATGCAAGGCCAGGCTCTACTGTCCTTTATTAAGACAGACCCCATTTCCCAGGGCCTGAGCCATGGAGCTTGGAGTCAAAACATGTGTCGAGAGCCAGGAAAGGATGTCTAGAGAAAAAGCAGTAAGCCAAAGATTCTCATAAAAAGAAGGGTTTTTTTCCCCCTTCTTTTCTTTCTCTTTTTTTTTCTGTCACCTAGGATGGAGTACAGTAGCATGATTGTAGCTCACTGCAGCGTCAAACTCCTGGGCTCAAGAGATCCTCCCACCTCAACCACCCCAGTAGCTGGGAGTACAATCTTGCACGACCACAGCCGGCTAATGTTTTTATTCTTTGTAGAGATGAGGTCTCATTATGTTGCCCAGGCTGGTCTCAAACTCCTGGGCTCAAGCATCCTCCAGCCTCAGCCTCCCAAATGATTGGGATTACTGGTGTGTACCAGTGTGCATGGCTGCCACCTCTTCTTTAATCATCTGAGATGATATTAACTCCCCATAAATAGACCCTCCCCAAACAGAGCACAGAAAGAGGAGAAAACCAGACACACACAGAGAGTGGAGCAGCCAATGAGCGTGTCACCGAGGTGAGCAGGGCCTCCTTCAGGGCCATCATTGACATCCCCAGCCATGCCGGGCTCCAGTGTTCTTTATTAAGATAGACCCCACTTCCCAGGACCTGAGCCCTGGAGGGTGGAGTGAAACAATGTTTCTACAGACAGAGAATGACGCCTGGAGCAAATGCAGCAAGCCAAAATTTCTTATTAAAAGAAGGAGGGCTTTTTTCCTTCCTATTTCTTTCAAATGTACATAATGCCAGTTTCCTCCCAAGAGTTGAAAGGTACAGGGGAGAACTTCAGTGGCTCCTGACAGACCCAAGAATTGTCTCCCATTGTTGTATCCTGGCAGAAACTCATTCTCCAAGGCAGAACCTCCTCATTTCTCACAGACGCCATGCGCCCTAGTGCACTGGCATGGCCCTTTGGGCAGGTCTCGCTTCTCCACCCCGGGGCGAGTCAGCTGTCTTGGGCCCCATTGAGTGTTTTCATTTAATAATAGAACTCGGTTACTAATAGAAGCAGCCGCCACAGTTAGACAGCAAAAACAAAATCAGTAATAGCACTCTTACTTCACGTGGAGCTGTAAGATTTAGAAAACATTTATATACGCATTGCCTGATTCGGTTTTGTTTTTTTTTGATATAAGGTCTTGCTCTGTCACCCAGGCTGGAGTGCAGTCGTGCAAACATACATCACTACAGCCTTGAACTCGGCTCAAGCCATCCTCCCACCTCAGCCTCTCGAGTACCTGGAACTCCGAGGCCACTCCACCACTTCCAGATCCTGATTGGGCTCTTGACGCTGAGAAAATCATGACTTCCACAGCACTTCTTCACGCCCCAGCAGCGCTCTGAGGCCGAAGAGTCTGGCAAATGCACACCAGGAACCAGACCCAGAGAGGCTCCCGGGGCCCTTGTGTCTCATCCTGAGATCTCTAAAGGGGTCAATTTGGAGGAAGGGCGTGCTTCTCCTCTTGTCACATTCATGCCTCATGTGGTCCCCTTTTCTTATAGGGGGTACCACCCAGGTAGACACCCGGAGACTGCCCCCCCCCCACCGCCCAAAGAGAGTTTAAGGAGCTTTGCAATGACGAGTTTCCTTGACAAAGACCTTCAGTTCCCGACGGCACCTGGGCTGTGGCCAGGTAGTGGTGGCTGGAATCTTTCTTGCATCGCACCTGCTCCTTCACTGGGGAACATACCCCACCATTATTTATGGCGGCCTGGTACAGGTGGCTCGCTGCAAGATATCTGAACCTCCAGACTCGGGGCTCTCCTTGCATTTGCAAAGAATACTGGAACACGGGGCCCCTCGCAGTTCCCATGGAGAACTCCCAGGGGAGTTCTGTTGTGTCACCCTGTGGCTAAGTCTCTCTGATCCTCCCTTGAAGGGCCCAAAAGCACAGCCTCCTCACCACGAGGGATAACACTTTGAGGCCACTCTCACGATAGGGCTTAGGTTTACAGAGGCTGGAAATCCATCCTGGCCAGGGCCACAGACACGAACAACCTCTTCTGGCTTCTGATGGCTCCTCGTGCTTCTATGGTCCCAAGCAAAGAAACCTCCTCACACCAGGCATTCGGTGTGAATCTCCAGACCAAGTGCCCCCATGTACCCAGCCCCTTCCATCACCCCAACTCCAAGCCCCATAGGTCCACCACTCTCATCACAAGACTGCTCTGTGCTCCCCCAGCAGGACTCCTCCTCCCTCTTGCGACCTTTGCCCTGGACACTCCTCATTCTGTAGGTGACCCTGGGTGCCCACATGGCCACCCAGACTTGGTTCCGTCCTTCTCCGCTTGTGTGCTGATGGATTCCTGCATCACGAACTCCACCAGGAAAATCCCAGCTGAGCCCCAGAGCCCCCACAGGGCATGGTTTCAGGAGCATGTCCACTCAGATATCCCACAAGCCCAACAAATCAGCGGATGACCCCCAACTGTGTCCCTTGTCTCATGGGTTGGCACCGCCATCCACTCAGTTCCTGAACCCCAGAACCTAGGAATACTGCCAGGTTGGCTGCAGATCACCCCGTGACTCTGCTGCAAGCCTCTGGAAAAAGCCAACCATGACCTCCACATTGCCACAGATGAGCAAAGAGTCTCCCGTGAAGGCTTTGTATTGGCAGAGACTCTCTACAGGCATCCGAGTGGAGGCCCAGACCCTGGCTTGGGTGGCCCCCACAGGGAAGGCCAAAGAGCAGACCCGGGCCCTGTAATGTATCTCAGAGACCGAAATGCTCATCTCCTCCGAGAACTCAGCAGATAACCTCCAAATCCCTAAATCGGGACATAGCAGTAGGAGCCCATCATTTAGAGACACAGAGGTTAATATTCAGAAGAAATAGCTGAAGAAAAAAAAGAGAAGTTTGCGGAGGTGGGTCTCCACGGGTGCACCACATGAAACAAGGGACTGCTGAATTGTATTTTTCATCGTACATTTCCTAGTCCTATATGGCCCTTTAAGCGGAAGGATTAATCTGATATCACTAATTATAATAACATGTGAAAAATACATCTCAACACAATAAGTAAGCCTGGGAGCTGATTCATCCACATCAGCTAATACAAATCTGAGCCATCTCTAGATTCAAGGAATGATTGTGCAATGTCTCGTGAACGTATCTATGCAGTGTTTTACTCACCTTGAAAATAACTACCATATGATCCAGTAATCTCACTTCTGGGTATTGATAGTCCAGATACTCCCCATGTTCTTTGCAGCACTATTCATAATAAGCAAGATATAAGAACAACCTAAGTGTTCATTGATGGATGAATAAAGAAAATGTGGTATATACATACAATGGAATATTATTCAGCCTTAAAAAGAAGGAAATTCTGACATTTGTGACAACATGGATGGACCCTGAGAACATTATGCTAAGTGAATATGCCAGACACATACTGTGCGACCTCACTTATATGTGGAATCTAAAATAGTTAAACTTATATAAACAGAGAGTAGAATGGTGGTTGCCAGGGGCTGGTTGGGGCAGGGAATGGAGGGTTGATGGTCAAAGTTGCAAAGTTTCAGTTATGTAAGATAAAGAAGTTCTAGAGATCTACTACATAGCATAATGCCTATAGCTAAAAACACTGTATTGTATACTTCAAATTTACTAAAAGAGTAGATTTTTGGCTAAGTGTTCTTATCACACACACACACACACACACACACACACACACACACACACACAAAATAAGAATAATATTAATAATAATAATAATAATAGTAATAAAAAAGAGGGTATGTGGAAAGTTAAAAAAAAAAAAAAAGAAAAGAACTCGAGCATAGGAGACCCTCACCAGAAACAACAATAAATTTCACTGGCAAATGCAGCATGTTAACGTGAAAATTTTGATTTCAGGAATATAGAGGAAGGCGAGCACAGTGTCAGCTGTAAAACACGCACTCACATTACTTTGAATGTTTTTGACCTTTCCTTAGCCCGGGAAATCTATTAGCCCTAGAAACCGCCAGCACAGCAGGGAGCAAAGACGTCCTGCTTTCCCTTTGGCGAGGGACCTTGTGTTTCAGATATGCTTTACTTCCTATGAGGATGGTTCCGTTTCTGCAGCTGCCACCTCGTCTTTCATAAGAGGAGTTATAAAATGATACTCATGCTGGGGCCACATTCCAGACCTGCTAAGTCAGACTCTCTGGGGATGGGGTCCGGCATTTGCTCTTGGACAAATGCTCCACGAGAGACCTGATGCACAGCTGACGTTGAGAGACATAAGCACACACTCCCTTTCGCCTGCCCTGATTTTTAAATATAACCTTGGACTTCATAGCCTTGTTTGTAGTTAATGAATTGGGAAAAAAAAAGTAGGGGTTGCCTTCTCTTTCAAGAGCATCTTTTGACATATTTATTCTACAGCCACGTCTAGAGCAATTTCAAGGACTTAGGAGGGTGGTTATGCCACAGCTTTACCTTTCCGACCTGATGCTCGGCAGGCCCAGGAGAGGGAGAAGAGCCTTGCAGGTGGAAAGGGGTCGAGAGTTCTGTTGTCTTGGTAACCGTGCTGCCACTCATCCCATTGGGGTGCTCAGCTCCGGCAGGGGCCCTGTGGGTGAGACAACACCCCTCCCCACTCTGGCTGTCTTCCTGTGCTCAGAGGTTGAAGCTAAGGGCTGAGGTTGGTTACCAGAGAAACTGAAGCCAGGTCCTTGAGATTGGTGAACAGAAAAACCGGCAGTGGAATTCAGGACGTAGCATGGATTATGGGAGCCAGCCCACAGACAGAGGATTGACAGTCACTAGTGCATGCACCCACAGGGTGCCTGCGCAGGAACGCGTGCACACCGCACACAGACACACACGTAGACATGTGCACTCACCAGCACTCCCTCTGCCCAGGTGTGCACAGTCTATCTGGCTGGAGCATCAAGTGCACGTGGAGGAGCCAGGCGACCAGGCAGGACATGTAGGCAGGATGCGGAACAGGGAAAGAGAGGGGATGTTGCTTACTGTTGTAGAAAAAAATGACTGCATACCCCTTCCTCCGTGACTTACGGTCACACTTGCACTACATTTTTTAAATGGCTTTACTAAGGTATAATTTGCTTGCCACAAACTTCACGTACCTAAAGGGAATAACACAGTGAGTTTTAGTAAATTTACACAGTTTTGCAGCCCTCACCACTATCCAGTTTCAGAATACTTCCATCACCCCAGAAAGATCGCTGGTACCCACTAGCAGCAGTGAATCCCCATTACTTTACCTCCAGGCCCACCCAGGCAACTAGCAAGCTCCTTTCTCTCTCTTTAGAGCTGCCTCTCTGGGCATTTCCTATAAACTGACTTGTGCAATAAGTGGTCTTCTGTGTCTGACATCTGTCAATGAGCATAATGTCTTGGAGGCTCAAACGTGCATCAGTAGTGTGTTCTTTGTCACGGCTCAGTAACATTCGGCTGTACGGATATACCACTTCTTTATCCCTTTACTGATTGGTAGACATTTGGCTTGTTTCCACCCTGGGGCCTTCCTGCAAAATGCTGCAGTGAACATCTGAGCACATGTCTTTGTGTAGACATGATTTTATCACTAATGGGTGTCAGATATTGTCAAATACTTTTCTCTGTCTATGAAGATGATGATATAGTTCCTGTCCTCTATTATATTAACAGGGTGGATTACCTTGACTGAAATTTGAATGTTAAGCCAATCTTGCATTCCTAGAATAAATGTCACTTGGTCATGTTGCATAACCCACTGTATGTGTCGCTGGATTGGGGTTTGTTAATGTTTTGTTGGGGATTTTTGCACGCATATTCATGATGGATATTGGTTTATGGTATTCTTCTGCTGTCTCTGGCACTATTATTATTATTATTATTTTATTATTGTTTTTGAGACAAGTCTTGCTCTGTCACCCAGGCTGGAGTGCAGTGGTGCGCTCTGGGCTCACTGCAACTTCTGCCTCCCAGGTTCATGCAATTCTCCTGCCTCCGCCTCCCGAGTAGCTGGGAATACAGGTGCCCACCAGTATACTCAGCTAATTTTTGTATTTTTAGCAGAGTCGGGGTTTCACCATGTTGGCCAGGCTGGTCACAAACTCCTGACCTCAGGTGGTCCGCCCACCTCAGACTCCCAACACGTTGGGATTACAGGCGTGAGCCACCACGCCCAGCCTCTATCTGCCTTTAGTAGCAGGGTAATACAATTTTCAAAGGATAAGTTGGGAAATGTTCCCTCCTCTATAGTCTAAAAGAATCTGTGAAGGGTTGGCATTATGTATTTTGTAAATGTTGGATAGCCTTCACCAATGAGGCAGTGGAGCCTAGACTGTCCCTAGTGGGAAGATTTTTAATGTAGTCTTTCTATTTCCTTACATTCTCCGGGTCTACTCAGATGTCCCATGTGATCACTGCATTTGCACCTTTCTCTGTCCCAATCCTCTCTCGCCTGCTGGTGCCTTTGGTTTGGTCTCTACTCTAGAATGTCGCATGCTGGACACCTGTGGACATCACAGGACTGCAGATCCTAGTCTGTAACTTGGGATAGTATGGTGTCTCAGACATGACCCCCAAGTCCCATCCACCCCCCATACACAGGTACAGGGACAAAGACCTGGAGGTGAGGATGTGGAGGGTGTGCCGAGTGCCTCAGTTACCTCCACCCACCCACCTTCCATGTCTGTTCCTGGAGACCCTGTGGCACTGTGCATCTGTGACTTCCCTGAGCAAGCCCCTGATGCCTGCTTTTTCCAACTGAGATCCTTCTCACTCCTTTCATCTCCTGAGACTGGGACCACATGGGATCAACCACCTGTTCTCTGACACAACGATGCGTATCTGCTAGCATTTCAATATTTGTGTTCCCTCCAAAACTCACAGTGAAATGAATCCCCACTGCAACAGTGTTGGGAGGTGTGGAATAACAGCAGGTGTTTAGGCCATCACGGCAGAGCCCTCGTGAGTGAATGAATGCTGCTATGAAAAGAGCTTGCAGAAGTGGGTTTGCTCTCTCTTTTCCTCTTCTGCTATGTGAGGACATAACATTCTCCCCGGCTTGTCCTTCCACCTTTTGCCACGTGAGGAAATACCAGGAAGACTCTTGCCAGATACCAGATACTGGTACCTTTGTTTTGGACTTCTCAGCATCCAGGGTCGCGAGAAATAAATTTGTTTCCATTACAAATTGCCAGCTGTCTTGGTCCATTTTGCTTTGCTATAACAGAATACCTGAGACTCAGTAATTTCTAAAGAAAATGGGAGGCCAGGCACGGTGGCTCATGCCTGTTAATCCCAGCATTCTGGGAGGCCAAGGTAGGAGGAACACCTTCAGGCCTGAAGTTCGAGATCTGCCTGGGCAACACGGCCAGACGCTATCTCTACAAAACATTTAAAAATCAGCCTGGCATGGCAGTACATCCTTGAGCTACTTGGGAAGCTCAGGTGGGAGGATCCCACCTGAGTTCAAGGCTGTAGTGAGCCATGATCGTGCCACTCCACTCTCGTCGGCAACAGAGCATCACCCGGTCTCTTAAAAAAAATTAAAATAAATAAATCTTTTAAAAAGAAAAAGTTGGTCTATCTGGCTCACAATTCTGGTGGCTGAAACATTCATTTTTGGGCAACTGCATCTGGTGAGGGCCTCGGGCTGCTTCAACTCATGGTGGAAAGTGGAAGGGGAGCCGGCGTGTGCAACGAGATCACATGGAAAGAAGGAAGGGAGAGAGAATCGAGGGAGGCCAGAATCTTGTGAACAATCCACTCTCCTGCGAACTAATCCATACCTGTGAGAGTAAGAACTCAGCCCAGCAGGATGGCATCACAGGACACTGACTCATTCATGAGGGATCCCCACCACGACCCAAACACCTCCCACTAGGACCCACCTCCCAACACTGCAGCACTGAGGATTCAACTTCAACCTGACTCTTGGTGGGGATAAACACACCATATCCAGTCCAGAGCACCCAACCTGTTGTATTTCATGATATAGTGGAAGGACACAGACTAAGATGGGGTCGGATCTCTCTCCCTGATGAATCGCTCAATCCCCCGGAGCGGGGCTACCTCTGCAACTCCTCCTCACCTCCCCACCACGACAGTCGACGTAGCCCAGAAGGGAGACAGGCAAGGTGAGAAAATGGAAACCCTGATGATTGCTGAAATGATGACTGTCACTGGCAGCATGGACCTGGTGTGCTTGCTGCGCTGACTGAGAAGGTCCGCAGAGAGCATCTGAGTGGTTGGGGAGTGAGACAAAGGCATGCATCTCTGGCCACCACTTTAGGACCTGCACAAACTCTCCACAAGGTGGGGATGGTTGTACCTGGCCCACGGCACTGTGTGGAGGATTCAGCAATGGATCTCACCAAGACTTGGTGCTACCAGCTATGAAATGAGCACCAAAGCCCGGCTCTAGGCACTTCACCCACAGCCTTCACAGAGGTGAACTGCTGAAGGGGGGCCAGCTCCGATCCCAGCCTACCTAGGTTCGGGTGCTAGTTCTACCTCTTACTGCCTGTGCCACCGTGGGCTAGTTCCCTAACTTCTCTGGTGTTCTGCTTTCGAAATTCATAAAGCGGAACTGAAAATGTTGCTAGAGGATGGGTGTGTGGGAGTGGAGGAAGGCAGCTGACATATGGAAATGGGGAAAATACCATCAGAACCCTAGGAAACATCAGCCAAAGGGCAACGCCTCGAACCCCTTTGAAACCCTCCCGGATTCACTGGTCTCCATTTAGGCCTTTGTGTTTCAAGAAGGAATAGCCCTGCTTTTTTTTCCCTTCTCCCCTGGAGCTAGGTCAGTTCAACTGTCGACTCTCTCATGAGATCTCAGCATCAGAATCCAAGACACTTACCTGTTTTCAAGCCACTTCTGTCGGCAGGAGATGTGTAGACTTTTGCAGCAAGACAGCTCTGGGGACTACCTAAAACAGACTGACACAAAGCAGAATTTGTTTTCAGTTCAGAGGAGTCACATGGGTACTGGCTGGGTTCACATCTCAGGATTCTGCAGAGGTTAAAAAAAAAGGTAGATTTAGTCATTTGTGCCTCCTGAAATTAAAAGACACACATGTCTAAATCCCAATAAGATGTTGGAAGAACCCAAGGATGCTCTGGTTCTCACAAAGCAGGTGCAAACTGCTGCTCAGTTTCACCCACCCGGGCCCACCACACAACAAGCAATGGCGCCGCAGCCCCTAAGCCAGGGCACCAGCACCAACACGCAGGGCTCTCACCGTGGGCGGCGGACTCTGCTTCCACGTCTCCTGTGCACAGGAAGCCTCTCTTCAAAGCCATGGCCCTGCCTCGCTGGTCTCGATGCTGGTCCCGCTGCAGGGCTCAAACAGTGACTGGGCTGTGTTCTCTGGTGCCCTCCCTCCCCCGTTCCCAGTCTCCACAGCACAGAGCTTCCCTCAATAAACCCGGATCCCCTGCTGGGAGATTTCAAGGTAACCAGCTCAGATCTAATGAGAAACAAACCAATACTGAGGAACAAACCTGAATTCTACACCCATTTTCCATTCCTACATATATTTATTTGGTATTGATGATGAGGAACCCCGTCAAAAATTCCTGTAAGGGAGACTACTACTCGACTGTTAGGGGTATTGCAACATTTACATACATGTAGCTTATCACATACGTAAACATTTACACAAATAGTACAGCGGTGAACCACCAAGTTCTCATTCCACATTCCTTTCCCACACTGCGTTTACCTGCCCATTCTTGAAACTGGATCTCAGGGCAGCACATTGCATTTCAACAGGCCTAGTGCTGCTTCTCAGAGGCAGTCAACTCAATGGTGCAAAAGCACAGGACAGCGACAAGGCATTCACACTACACAGACATGTGATCTCTTACTGACAGCAGGAAGGGAAGAGAGATGGAGATCCCGGGTGGGAAAGCGACAACATGCATCACAGGAGCCATGTGAGATGCGGTGAGGACCGCTGGTACGCAGCGTCCCTTGCCAAGGAATGCCTCACAGCCATCCGAGAATGACAGGCACGAAACATGAGGACCTTCCTCGGGTCAGTCAAGCATCATGCTGGGAGGACTCCCACGTGTCCCGGTACACAGGTCCTGGCACTCATCCGACCACAGCTTGCTGTTTGGTCCCCAAAATGGGCCCACACCCAGGCGCTGCCAACACGGCGGCTCCGTCTGAGTCCCTTCGGGTCTCCATCCCATGGGGGTGCACGTCTCAGTTTTCCTCTAACCACTGCTTGAGCAGCCTCTGAAACATTATTTTGCTCTCCTGCTGCCTCTCTCGCTGGCGCTTCTCCTCTGTCTCCTGTGGCTGGAGTGCCGCTTCAGGCAGAGGCCCGGGCTGGTTGGTGCCTAGGCTGAGAGTCAAGCCACTGAGGCCCTGCACCAGCGTCTCCCAGGAGGAGGGATGTGGGGCCCTGTTACTCTCCCCAGGGATCCCAGAAAGATTCGGCCTGTGGCTCTGGCAGTATCGACATTCACATCGGAATCGATTCTGACTTCTGTCACCTAATGGGGAGATTCTGGCTTCCCTCCCAACAGCATAGGGGGCCATGTGATCGCGGTGTCTCCTCCTCACATGCCGCAGGAATGCTTTCTTCCTCTGAAGGAACTCCAGCCTCTCCCACCGCCGCTCTTCCAGGGTCTTCTCCTCTCTGTACCGCTGGCGGAGCAGCCCCTCTGGGAGAGGCACGGCCTGGCTGGGGCCAGGACCGGGGCTCAGGTTACTGAGGCCCATCATCGGCTGTTCTGAGTACGAAGGCTGAGAGGGCGCTGGACCTTCCTGGGAAGTCTCTGCAGCTGTCATCGGGGAAGATTTGGAAGGCGATGCTGGATTCCGTTTCTGGAGTGGATCCATGGAGGTCTGGTCCCAGCTGGAAGCTCCGCCAGGCCCTCGGGTCCAGAAAAGGAGGTGAAGCTGGAGGTTCTCAGACACCAAGAAGGTGGCGAGGAATGTGTGCGGGCAGAACCCAGACTGCAACGCAAGGTGATAAGACAAGAAAACACAGAATTATTCATCTTACTCAACCTCTCTGTCCCTCCACTTCCTGTGTGTAGAATGGGGATTATAGAGAGACCCTGTCCTAGGCTTCTTCTGAGGATGACGTGAGATCATACATCTCACCAGCTTAGAATATTAATGCCATCTAATAAAGGATTTACAAATGATACCAATTAATGCATCCACGTGACACGGGGTGCAAAAGGATGCAATGCAGTTCGACGATGTCAATTCCCTGCTGACATTTTCCAACCCCTTCCCAAGCATCATTTGTAGAATAATCAATGTGTGACTCACAGGTGCTCTGCCCATGAGCGTTCATTTTCATCCACTCACAAGGGAGACTTTTACTCAACTGTAAGCGTTTGCACCATGGGGACACACCCTTTTGTATGTTCGCCTTCCTGACCACTGGGTTTGCATCTAGTCGAAAAGGCTGCTCATGCCTATGGAAATCGTTTCCAAATTCCTAGTGTGGATAAGAATTTATTTTGCTAAACAACAGAAGCATAAACCCCCAGGAGACTTCAAACAGAAAAACACATAGATGAATTCAATTAATCCAGGAAAAAAAAAAAAAAAAAAGCTGGTTCTTTGAAGTGATCAATGAAATTGATACACCCGTGGCAGGACTGGCTGGGAAAAAAGAGGGCAAAGAAACAAGTTACCAATATCAGGAATGCAAGAAGAGATTTCACTCCAGACCCAGAAAACATAAAAGGGTCAATATGGTAAGAATACACGCAACTCTACAGATTCACATTCCACAGGTCAGAGGAAATGTAGCACATACTTGAAAACCACAAGCTACGGAAACTCACACAGGATGGATTTCAAACACTGAACTGTGTGCACAGTCCTATATGTTTTAAAGAAGTTGAATTCACAGGCAAACACATTTGCAAAAAGATCTCTGGGCCAAGACAGTTTCACTGGCCAAGTCTACCAAACGTTTAATGAAGAAATATCACCAACTTACACAACTTCTTCTAGGAAACAAAGCAGAGGGAATGCGCCCCACTGATTTTATGAGGCCAGCACCACAGGGATACCAAGAAAAGGACAGACCAGTATTCTTTCCTAGTACAGGCACCAAAGTATTCAACAAAACCTTGCAGTTTGAATTGAGCAATATGTGAGAAGAATAATAAGCCACGATCAAGTGGGTTTTATAGCGGGAATGCAAGGGTTGTTCTTCCCACACCTGAAAATCAATCAATGTAACCCACAGATTGAGAGATCAGATGAAGAACAAAAATGACAGGATCACATCAAGCTATGCAGAAAAACCCTTTGATAAGATTCAAAGTCCACTGGTGATATAAAAGCTCTAGCACACTAGGAACACAAGACAACTTCCTCAACCTGAAAAAGGGCGTGTACAGTCAAACCTACAACTAACAAGCCACTTAATGGTCAACGACTGGATGCTTTCTGCCTAAGGATGCGAACCAGGCAAGGACGTCCACTCTCACCACAGCTATTCAACGTCACGCTGAGGCCCAGTCAGTGCTATAATGCCAGAAGAATCACGGCACACACCGGAGAAAGCAAGAAACCAAAGTACTCCTTTTCATGGGTCCTGTGATCGTCTACATGAAACAACCAGTGTATCTCCCCCAGACTCTCAGAGCTAATAAGAGCTTAGTGCTCATTAATGAGAGCTTAGCAGCAATACAGGAGAGAAACTCAACACACGGAAAACAATCCTATGCGTAACTGGAAACCTAAATTTAAGAAATAATACTGTTTTACAAAAGCTACAAACACAATGCAATGGTTATGTATAAAGCTAAAATACGTGGACGGGGTCTGTATGCCCAAAACTATTAAACGGTAATGAAAAAATCAAAGAAGATTTAGTTAAATGGAGAGAAACAATGTGTTCCCATATTTAAAGACCCAAAAAAGTTAACAGTCCATTGTCCCCAACTTGATCTGTAGAATGAATGCAGTGCCTGCCAATCAGAATCCTTGAGGGACATTTGCATGCATAAACAAGCAGATTCTACAATTCACGTGGAATATCTGATGTTTCAAAAAGCAGAAGGTATTTTAGAGAGATGATATTATCAGATTTTCAGATTTGCTCTAAAGCTGTAATAATCGAGATTGCTGGCTTACAGGGGTAGACGAGTAGATCCATGGAATAAAATAGAGTCCATGAATCCATCCATAGAAATGTGTCCAGTGAGTTTTGACATGGGTGTGAGAGGGAATCCAATGGAGAAGGGATAAGCTTTTCAATACATGAGGTGGCCTATCCTTACGCAAAAAGATGCACCTCAACCTCAACCTTTACACGCAATTAAGGAAAAAGGGTTCAGAGACCTACACGCCAAAGTTCAATACTATGACTTTTGGTAGAAACCGTAGGAGGACATCTTTGTGAGGGGAGGCTAGGACATGACCTGAGATGCATGATCCATGGAAAGGAAAGATGGATGGATAGGAGTTTGGCAAAATTTAAAACTCTGGCTCTGGCCGGGCGTGGTGGCTCCTGCCTGTAATCCCAACACTTCGGGAGGCCAAGGTGGGCAGATCACTAGAGTTCAGTTGTTCGAGACCAGCCTGGCCAACATGGTGAAACCCTGTCTCTACCAAAAAATACAAAAATTACCTGGCATGGTGGGACATACCTGTAGTCCCCAGCTACTGGGGAGGCTGAGGCAGGAGAATTGCTCGACCCAGGAGGCAGAGGCTGCAGTGAGCCGAGATCGAGCCACTGCCCTCCAGTCTGGGCGACATAGCGAGCCCCTGTCTCTAAATAAATAAATAGAACAGAATAGAACAGAATAGAATAGGATAGATAGAATAGAATAGGATACGATACGATACTATACGATACTATACGATACGATACGATACAATACAATACAATACAACACAATACAACACAATACAATACAACACAACTTTGGCTGTGTAAGAGCCAGTGTGTTCAGAGAATGAAAATCAAAGCTGCACCACTAGGAGGAAATGTTTGAGAATCACCAACCTGACAGATCTTATATCCAAAACACATGGCGCGTTTTCAAAACTCCACAATAAGAAAATCAACACCCCAACTAGAAAATGGGGGAAAGACTTGAATGGGAGCGCAAGAAACCATATTTAACATCATTCAGCATTAGGGGAATGCAAATTAACACCATGGAGACTGGCAAGGCCAAGCGAGAACATGTTGGGTGACTGGAACTCTCACACTTTGCAGCTGGGAGGGCGAAATAGCACAGCAACTTTGAGAAGCAGTTTGGCAGTTTCTTGTAAGTCAAACAGATGTTTACCATAGGACCCAGCCATCCCACTCCTGGGTATCTACCCTAGAGAAATGAAAACTTAGGTTCACAAAAAAGCCCGCACTGAATTGTAAAAGCAGCTCGATGCGAAACTGCCCCACACTGGACAGAGGAAAATGTCATTCAGTAGAAGGATGGCTGAACACCTGTGGTCTTCCACACCGTGAAACTGCCTTCATGAAAAAACAACAGCCTGTGACAGAGGCATCTGACACTCATCCGAGATGTTCATCGGGCCAAAAGAAGGAAGCCCGCCTCACAAGGCCACAAACTGTATGGTGTCATTGACATAACACTCTCCCCAAGACAAAACTAGAGGGAAGGAAACAGATCACTTTACACCAGGGATGATGGATGAAGAAGGGGTAACCGCAATGGGGCAGTTCCAGGGAGTGTCCTGCGGTGATGGGACTGTTCTGGATCCCGACTGTGGTGGTGGTGACAAGAATGTATGCCCGTGTCAAAGCTCACAGAACTGTACTCCTGAGGGAAAAAAGTCAATCTTGCTGTAGGTTAAGTGGAAAAACCCAACGGCATATTTTGCGATAAGGGTATCTCTCTGTACTGTTTTGATAAATACATCTTGGATGAGTGCAACCAAAAATTGACATTAAATGCTAAATGGAAACTTTAGATCAGCCTCCCAGGCTCTATTCTTTTGACAAACGTGGAAACCAAGAATTCACTAGTTTTCTTCAGAGGATACTGGTCCTCTGAATGTTTATTCACCAAATCGTGGCTATCAGCCCACACTGGGGCAAGAAAGACAGAACCGTAACAGGAACAGTTTGAATATGTACTGAACACAAACATATATAAACACACACACACACACATCCCAGAAAGAGTTCTTAACTTTTCAGAAATTGCAATCTATCTTTCCTACGAGTTAGTTCCCTGACATCCTTTGGGCCACCACTATCTGACACAAACAGTTAATGTGTGAAACGTTTGGAAAATGATCTTAACCCAATTATCTCCCAGCCAATTCTCATGTGTCACAAGGACTCTCTCAGGATCTATTTCTACATGTAGAAAGCCAATTCTCAGAGAGAGAAAAGACCTTACGACCCCCACCCCCCACGTTTCTTTTGCTGTTTTGTTTGTTTGTTTGAGGCAGGGACTCGCTCTGTTACCTAGTCTGGTGTGCAGTGGCAAAACCTCGGCTCATTGAAACCTCTGCTTCCTGGGCTCAAGGGATCCTCCAGTCTCAGACGCCTGAGCAGCTTGCACTACAGGCGTGAGCCACCATGCCCGGCTAATTTTTGTATTTTTTGTAGAGACGGGGTTTTGCCATGTTGCCTAGGCTGGTCTGGAACTCCTGAGCTCCACATGATCTGCATGCCTCAGCCTCCCAGAGTGCTGGGATTATAGGCGTGAGCCACTGTTCCCAGCCAGAAACACTTTTATGAGAAGAAATGTGAGCCGGGTGTGGTGGCTCATGCCTGCAATCCCAGCACTTTGGAAGGCCGAGGCAGGCAGATCACCTGAGGTCAGGGGTTTGAGACCAGCCTGGCCAACATGGCGAAACGCCATCTCTACGGAAAATACAAAAAAATTAGCTGGGTGTGGTGGTGGGCACCTGTAATCCCAGGTAATAGAGAGGTTGAGGCAGGAGAATCACTTGAACCCAGGAGGCGGAGGTTGCAGTAAGCCGAGATTGCACCACTGCACTCCAGTCTGGGCAACGGAGCAAGACTCTGTCTCAAAAAAAAAAAAAAAAAAAAAAAAAAAAAGAAAAAGAAAAAAAAGAAATAGGAAGATTCTGGAGACATCAACTGACAACCGGCCTGCATAGTCATCGCTCTCTTTTCTCTCTTTCTCCCTCCAGCAATTTTGTGAAATGAAACATTTTACCGTCCTATGTGTAGGTTCATCCAGAGATTCTCAAACCACACCCATGGAGTTGCTCATGATCCCTGACAGAGGCATTAAGGACAGTGAGGCCTAGAGAAGTCCGTTGTGTGTGCGGAGGGGAGCAGCTGCAGCAATACATGTGACTTCCCTTCCTTCATCATCTCACCAATGTCATTTCTTCAACAGGCACTTGCCCCCAGGTAAAAGACCTTGTATCAAAAATCTCTGCATGAAACACCACAGCCTCAAGTTTCCTGCATCATGTCATGCAGCTACCGAAGAGAGAGAAGGACTACTGGAGACAGGGAACCCAGACAGTTTACCGGTCAGACCTTCAGCATGAGAGGTGATGTCTCTGGGTACCAATCCCTCACTGTGATGGTTTTATCGGTCAACTCGGCCAGGCTTGGTGCCTGGTCCCTTTTGGTCAAATGCTACTCTAGTTGTTGCTGGGAAGGTATTTGTGGACATGATTAACATTTACAATCACGCTGGGCACAGTGGCTCACGCCTGTAATCCCTGCTTCGGGAGGCTGAGGCGGGTGGATCACTTGAGGTCAGCAGTTCGAGAGCAGCCTGGCCACCGGGGTGAAACCCCATCTCTACTAAAAATAAAAATTAGCCGGGTATAGTGATGGGTGCCTGTAGTTTGGGACTGCCATGGCCCTTGGCAAGACTTTCACCTCTCATTCACCCTGCATGACTCAGCTGAGATAGCACTTCTCCCAGGAAGCCTTCTCCAAGCTCCTAAAACGCCCTGTATTTCCCCTGTCCCAGCCCCAATCCCACTCAGCTGTCAACAGATGGTTATTTCTCTGTCAACCCACTAGCCCAGGAGCTGACAGAGGCCAGGGACTTTGTCTTGTTCACCCATCACAGAGCCTTGAGCCCAGTGGACATTCACAAATATCTATCAAATGAAACAAGAAGGATGTGGGGCCCGTGATAAACATCTCACTGAGAATGTCAAGTCAACCCTGCAGAATCCATATTTTCCCACGTTGCAAAGGCAGAAATTCCTGCATGGAGAGGTCAAGTAACTTCCCTCAGATCACACAACCACTCAGGGACAGAATTCCCTCCCAGGTCTCCCTGACTGCAGATGAACACACCCCTGGTGGCATTGCCTCTCTGGGTGTTCAGCCTCCCCTGATACCTAAGCGAGAAAGTAATCCTGAGGGAAGAGTTCAGACAGCAGAGTCCTAGGGGCTGACCCGCATGTCCACAGCTGCCCGGGGATCGGGTGCAATGCTGCGAATCCTTACCGTCACTTCCTCCTGGCCAGTTCTGTTCCCATGCCAGAAATGCTGCACCAAACGCACCTCTCACACTCCCCACTCTCATTCGCTTCAATTCTCCTGTGCGGAAGGAGAAAGAGAACAGCTAAGCAAGTGAATCCAGACGACACCCTGCAGATGAGCGCCAGGAAGAGCTTTGTGTTTCTTTTCAAAATTAAGCCAGTCCCATGTGATGCTTTTTTCAATCTTCCACAATAATATGAGATAATAAAATGCATTTATTTCAGTTTAAAGATACAGATTTCATTTAATAATCCCAATTAAATATGGACTTTTTTTTTTTTTTTTGAGACAGTCTCACTGTGTCGCCCAGGCTGGAGTGCAGTGGCATGATCTCAGCTCACTGCAACCTCCGTCTCCTGGTTTAAAGCAATTCTCCTGCCTCAGCCTCCGGAGTAGCTGGGATTACAAGCACCCGCCACCACACCCGGCTCACATTTGTATTTTTAGTAGAGACAGGGTTTCACCACGGTGGCCAGGCTGGCCGCGAACTCCTGACCTTGTGATCTGCCCACGTCGGCTTCCCAAAGTGCTGAGATTACAGGCGTGAGCCACCACGCCCGGCCACATGGACTTTTTTCTAGAAGTGGCAAAATCCTACAGCAAAATGTCTAAGGTCTGTGCAAGTTCTCTGGGTGCTGAAAACCGTGCTCCTAGTCTTGTGCCATGTCATGGCAAAGGAATCTAACTCCTAGCCACGCAACGCCACACAGATTGAGGAAAGAGTCTGTCCTACACATGACTTGCAGATGTTCTACATTTTTGATGCCTACACAGATCATCTCTATCCTACTGGGTCTGGAGCGGAAGAGATACAATTTTTAGCAGCTTTGTAACAAAAGAACAGGTAGTCAGTAAAGCCAGCAATGCCCACTTTCAAGAAAGAAAGAAGAAAATGAAGACAGCAGTGAAGCGTGGTGCTGGCATCAGGGGTCTCCCAGCAGGTGAGTACACAGAAAAGCAGCGGGAGTACAACCGGGAGTCCGGGGAGGGAACAGGGGAGGGACCAAGAAGAGTGGCCAGAGCAGCAAGAGGAAGACAAGGAGCAAGTCCGCTCTGGCGAGAATGGAGCTTGCCTAGACTCACCCAAGGCAGTCAGGTCGCTGGGTTCACAAGGTCGATGCTGTGGGTGTAGGCCGAGTGACTGCTACACCTTTCACCTACAAAAGAAAATAACCTCACTGGCCAGGTCACATTCCTCCAGGTATTTACTGAGGGCCCACTCCATTCAGCGGTGCCTTCGGTGAATTATCCAATGCAGCCCCATCCCAAGGACGTGTCTTAATCTGAGGAATAAAATATTGTCCAAGGAGCCAGGAATGGTGGCTCACGCCTCTAATCCAAGCACTTTGGGAGGCTGAGGTGGGAGGACTGCTTCAGCCCAGGAGTTTGAGGCCAGCCTGAGCAACAGGGCGAGACCACCATCTCAACAAAAAACTTAAAAAATTAGCCAGGCATGATGCTGCACAGCTATGGTCCCAGCTACTGGGGAGGCTGAGGTGGGACGATCACTTGAACTCAGGAGGTTGAGGCCAGTGCAGTCCAACCTGGGTGACAGGGTGAGTCCATCTGAAATCACAAAACAAAACAAAAAGACAACTATGGCAGGCATGAGACGGGGGTACTTCTGACACAGAGGAAGTCAAAATCACCATAGCCCAGGTGGTCAGGAACAGCTTCTCCCAGGGCATGCTATGATATATATTCTCATCCCCAGTTGCAGATGAGGTAACAGGATCAGAGAGGTTAAGCAACTCACTCAAGGTCACACATCTAGGGAGTGGTGGTGACCATTTCTCACTGAGGTCTGCTGAAATACAAAAGTCACTCCACCATTTGTGACACCAATCTCTCTTTATATTGTCACCCGTTTTAATTCGCATTCATAGACGTATACTTACCTGTGGCTCTCCTTAGTTTCATATTCTCATAAGCGGCTACACACGGTATAGATTTCGTCTTAGCACATCAGGCCTTTCCCTTAAAGAACCTGAATTTCCCGTGCCCGGCACGACTGCCCAGCCCAGAACTGAACACTTATCTCAAATTAATCTTCCAACCACACACCAAGGAAAGAAAATGGATTACTGCCACGTAGAGATTTAATTTGGGTATTTCACGAATTCTGAACTACGATTTGAAATGTAACCACTGTCCAACCAGAAACAGTAAAAACAAAGTGCTTCCCTATGAAAAGTATTCACAGGACATTTTATTAAATGCCAAAGCATTCCAGGTAAGACACACTGCCCGTTTTATAGGAAGTTGTTGAGATTCTGCTCCTAAGAATACAGTAGTCCTTTCTCTCTCCACTGCTAGTGCCCTGATAAGCTCAGCCAACCAAGGCCATTCGCTTTTCCATTTGCAAGCAAACACACCAAACTACCCTCACACCCACGCACAAATCCAACGCACCCAACGGGTCAGTGAGTAGAGGGAAATGGTATTGGAGATGCAGATGGGAATCTGTGGCTACTCAGAGCACCACATTTCTGATGGCGGAGAGGGCTACCGCCCAGGGTCGCCTGTACTCCAGCAAGGTGGACGGCGGAGAGGCCCTCCCTCTCTAAACATGAGACCCTGCAGCTTGTGCGGCTACTGGACACAAATGGCCTGGACCATTCATTGCGCACGAATGCAGCAATCACACCGCCCATTAAACGCATGTCTAGTCGTATTTCACATTACGACCGTCCCTCTGTCACACGTCGGAGAAAGGGTTTGTCGGACGGTTTGTTTCAATAGGGGCAATGCAGTCCTCCTTGAAAACCCTCCAGTCACTGTCTCCTGCTGTGCGATGGGAGAGGAGGTGGGGAGGGAGGTGATGCCAAGGACACGGTGATTTCTGAACCCGCTGAACACTGATCCTAGCCCAAGTGTAGTCCCGCCGGCTACCAATGCCCGCGGCATCCTCTTTCTCCGCTGAAAAAGGCCACCCCCAAGTAGGGAACGAGAACAACGCCACCCCCAGAGTGCACGACCGCCATTCCCACACCGGGGAGATATGGACGACGTGGAAAATCACCCGCTTCCTTCGAAAGCCCCACTCCCGGCCAGCCCAACCCAGGGATTCGAGTCCCAAGACACCCTGGCCTGTGCTAGGGACAGCCTCCGTCTCGGCCTCTCGCTCTGTCTCTCTGGAAGTCTCTCTCCCACCCCCCCGCTCTCAGTCTCTCCCGCGCGCTCGCTCGCTCTCCGTCTCTCTCGGGCTCTCTCACGCGCGTTCTCGCTCCGGAGCCGGTTCCCGCCGTCCAAGCGCCAACGCGGCGCCTCGTTTCCTCTGCCCTGGAAACGCAGCGCCGCCCGCTCGTAATTGAAGGGTTAAGACCATCGAGAGGAGCCGCCCTCCGGCGGGCTAGAGGCGCCGCAGCGCGGAAGGGGGCGCCGGCGAGGATGTGCTCACGTCACAGGGATGCGACGCCGCTGAGAAACTGAACCTTTGATTGGCTGCCGCGGACCGCCGGAGCCGGAAGACGGAGCGGTTGGGTGGCTTCTCGCGACCCACGCCGCTCGGGTGGACTGCGAGGGGAGAAGGCGTGGAGGTCATCCCTTCCGGAGGTGCGCCGCGGCGTTCCCGGAGCGGCTTCTCTGAAGCGTGGCTTGTGGACTGCCGAATGCTTCCGGAGGCCATGGGAAGACACTCCCTGTAGCGGACGTGACTTCCCGGGCGAGGGACGTGGGAACTGGGCTGGAGGGTTGGGAGGCGGCCGACTTCTCCTGTGATTGGCTGGAGTTTTGAGCTAGGGCGCGCCGCTGAGAACCGACACGTGCTGTTTCATTTTTTTTTTTTTTTTTTTTTTTTTTTTTACTGTTTTTGCATGAATGATAAATGCACCTTGGTAAAGACAGAAACCAAACAATCCAATACATTGAAATTATTCAGGCTACTGCCTTAGGGAGAGCGCCCCAGAAGTGGAAATCACACTGTTGGGGTAACCGGGGCGGGGCGGGGGTGTCTTTTACTTTCATAGGAAGGAGTACACCGGTTTCAGTGGGGAGATTTATGGGGCAGGGTTTTTTGTTTTTTTTTTAATCAGCGGAAGTCTCAGCCAGCTGAACAGGGAATGTTTCTCTCTGTGCCTAGCTACTTTTAGGAGGACAGACTTCCCGTCTAAGTGAATCATTTGTGATACCCTACCTTGTTTTAACCTGAGTGACTCTTTCCTAGCAGAGAGAGCCGGACAGACTCCATTTTAGTTTCTTCACTTGCAGCCCCCTTTATCCCCCTTAAGGGAATAACTAGTGCAAGCTGAGTCCAAGCACATCCAAGAATACACCTGCTGGTAAGATATTGAGGCAGGCTGTACCAACAGCTCGGGAATGTGCTCGGTGGAAGGTACCTAAAAGCCCCTGCATTTATCTCTTAATCATAGTTTAAGCCCCTGCACCTGGAACTGTTTATTTTTTGTAACTGCTTCTATAACCAATTAATTTTTTTTAACTTTTTGCCTATTCTGCTTCTGTAAAATTGCTTCAGCTAAACTCCCCCCTCCCCTGTTTAGACCACGGTATAAAAACAAAACTAGCCCCTTCCTTGGGGCCGAGAGAATTTTGAGCGTTAGCTGCCTGTAGGTCGCCAGCTAATAAAGGTCCCCTTAATTTGTCTCAAAAGTGTGGCGTTTCTCTATAACTCGCTTGGTTACAACACATTCATGAGACAAAAGAACAAGGACTGGTGGTGTCTGCCATCTGGGAGTCACGGCACAGAGTGGGAAGACAGCATCCCTTATCTAAGTCTCATGGAGAATAATTGGTCCTGTGTGGTCAGTGACTTCCCAGAACACGAAAGTGTACAGAGATTTCTTTACCGTGGCGTATTTCAGGAGTCAAGTGACACGCAACAATGTCTGTCCTAGCAGATACATGGATAGTAGATTCCTTTTTAACCCTGGAAGAAGCCGCCTCGTGAACAGCAGTTTATGAAGGAAGGAAACATGAACCATTCTCCCAGAATATTATCATTTCATTTTACAAATGAAGTAACTGAGCCACAAAGAGATTAAGTAACCTCCCCAAAGTCGTACAAGAAATAAATGGTGGAGTCTCGATTTAAATCCAGGTGTCTGTGACTTCATCCCCTTCGTGCTGTGCAGCCATACACTGTCATTTCCAAATCCACACATGTGGCTCGATTCTCTCCCTGGATCTACAGATTTCTTCCGCCAACTGACAACCCCACAGGCCCGTTGCACTCACCTCCCATCCAGCATCCTGGGCAGTGGGAGATGGCTTCCCAGAGAAGAGAGTGTTAGAGATCCTGGGTCCCAAATGCCCTGTCCAGCCCCTGGAGGGAGAGGTGGGCTTCAAGAGGAAGTTTAGAAGATTTAAAGAGAGTTTATTTGTCTGAGGGACAGGCTGATGGGCTATTACAGCACACACGTGATAATAAACACCTGTTACTTTGAATTTATGTATTTACTTATTTGTTTAGTATTGGCAATACATGCCGAATGGTGGTGATACCCAAAGCAGACAGGTAAAATCAAGCCACTGTATGGGCAAGTCGAGACATTCCCATTTTACTTGGGAAGACCTGACAAGAAAATACCACTCTGCAGTATAAAAGGAGAACATTCTCCTAGACTCAACAAATGAAACTAATTAGTTATTTTTTCTAATTATTCTTATTCTCCTATTACAGATGAGGCACGGTAAGCACAGGGAGGTTAGGTCAGCTCTGCGAAGTCTTCAAGTCATAAGTCGTTGAGTCCCATAGCAAGTACTGCTCAGCATGTCCCAAAGTGAACGCACCCATCCCCACTCAGCACGCCTGCCCCTCCTCCTGTGCTGCCTGACTCAGTGACAGGCACCACCCTCTACCCAGCAGCTTGGGCCAAAGATCTTGAAAGCCATCCTTGATTGCTGCCTCTTACCACCCCCACAGTTGACCGAGCCTGGCCAGTTAGACCTCCCAAGTTTTTCTAAGTGAGACCTTGACACTGACTCCTCTCCATCACCACAGGAAGTTCCCTAGTCCAGTCACCCTCATCTCCCTCCTCGATGACCACCAACAATTCATAGCTCATCTTGCTGCCAGTCTTGACCCCTTCCCACGCATTCTCTGTCCCAGTGAGTGGGGCACCTTTCTTGACTGCTAATCTGGTCATGTCAAACCTTTTCAAATTCTACTAGGGCTGCCTGCTGCCCTTAGGATAAAGTCCAGCCTCCTGGATTAGGGGTATCAGGCCCCAGCTACTACCAGGCCTCTCTCTGTCTAGCGTGCACGCTCGCTCTCTCGCTGTCTCTCTCTCGTGTCTGCCGCCTCACAACCGCCCTTCCCTCTGTCTGGCCTGCACTTGCTCCATCAACCGCTGCCTGATTGCTCCTTACCTTCAGCTCTCAAGTGAAGGAGAGCAAATTATACTTTACCTAGGGAGCAACTGGATGAAAAGGCATGCTTAGTGGGTTTGATATTTTTACTGAATAGCACATGATGGAGATTCATGAAAATTCCCCCAATGGGCCAACCAACTGGAATGTCACGTGAGAGTAGGGTTTTTAGGAAAAGTTTACTTGCAAAAATAGGATGCAGGAAGGTAACTGAGGAAGGTGACAGGTTCATTTGCCTGACTGTAGCAATTATTTCACTGTGTGTGTGTGTGTGTGTGTGTATAACAACATGTTTTATACCTTAAATATATACAATAAAACATAATAATAAAGATACACAACATAGATCTCTCCTTCATTCCTATAGACTCATCATGTGTGAACATGGAGTTTGGAACTGTGGCCCCAGGTTCAGTACCATGAAGTGATGTGGGCTGAGGACCTGCCTCACAGCTGGTTCTTCCTGCCATAGAGTGAACTGTGAGGCTTCGCTTCATTCACTACAGCCTGTTATTTCAGCTCCTAGCATTGCACACCTGAATATGAATGGAAGTGTCTGCTTTGGACATATGGACAATAAAAGAGAAAAGATGGAAATGGCCCTGGTCCTGCCACCATCAGCCCAAGCCCAAACCCTGGCTGGAGGGTAGACTGGACTCCCACTGTCCTGGCACGCTGGCCTGCACACTGATGTGCCTCTAACATGGCACAGTGTGAATGGCTCTCTCTCCCTGGAGCCTGGTTGTTGAGGACCTACTGTGTGCTACTCATGTACAGTGTTGATTTCCCAAAGACCCAGAGAGGTAAGTATCAAACTCCCATCTACAGATAAGGAACCAAGCTGAAAGAGGTCAGGGCACTGAGGCAGAAAAGGCTGGATCTGGGACTCACACGCGGGTTCTGTCAGACTCCAAAGCCAGGCCTCTTTAAACTCACGACAACGTACTTTGCTTATGCTCCCCATGCTGAGCTGCAGATATTATTCTGTGATGGGACAGTCAGCTTGGTCCTAACACGACGTCCCCCTGTGAGATCCAGGCCCCTGGCAGGGCAAAGCCACCCTGAAAAGTTCTAACACAGTCCACAGGAGCTGCCCTGGCGTCCCTTGCCTCACAGCTACCAGTCGAGTTTAGCTTCTGCGCCTCCACCGGGAGGCGCTTTGCCCTATCACAGAGACACTTGCAATCCACCCCCGCCCTAAATTACATCTCCATCAGCCTCACTTTATTTAACAGATAAGAAGAATCTAGAGGCAAACAGAGCAGAGGCAGCGTTAGCGGCTGCAACACAGCTGTGGAGTTGATCAGACTCCAAATGTGGTGTGGAAATCAACAGACTGAGAATGGGAATCTAGTTCCTCTTGTTCTTCGGCTCTCTGGACTGTAAGCTGTGCAGAATCAAAGTGCCTGCCGCACAAACCTCCCCTCTTCTGAAGAGTCTGCCCTGACCCAACCCTTGCACACACACATCCCTCAGGTGAGGGTAGGGTGGTCTCCTGTGTACTCCTAGGGGACCGTGGGTTGAATTCTGCCATGGCTCTCCTTACCCCCCAAGTGTGGGGGTCATCTGCCAGCAAGGATACAGCCGAAACCTCCCCCTGTCCCCAGAGTGTCCGGTCAGCACTTCAGAACAAGTTTATTCAGTTAATAAAGGAATTTCACCCAGAGTACTTGGTCAGTAATGGCTATGATGGTAGCAGCTCTGTGTGCCTTAGAAATGCTCCAGGAGAATCGAGTGAACAGAGGACATCTGTGCAATGAGATTCTCCTCCCCTGGAGTTCGGGAGGAGGGTTGTACCTTTCCTCTCTTCCCTAATTCCAGAACTCCTAGTAAAAGAGGCTACAAAATTATTTGTTTATTTTAGATAGAGACTAGCTCTGTCACCCAGGCTGGAGTGCAGTGGCACAATCTCAGCTCACTGCATCCTCCACCTCCTGGGATCAAGTGATTCTTGTGCCTCAGCCACCCAAGTAGCTGGGATTACAGGTGTGCGTCACTGCACCCGGGATTATTTTTTTTTTTGGATTTTTAGTAGAAATGGGGCTTCACCATATTGGCCAGGCTGTTCTTGAACTCCTGACCTCAAGTGATCTGCCTGCCTTGCCCTCCCCAAGTCCTGGGATTACAGGTGTGAGCCACCGCACCCTGCCAGAATTTTTAAATATGTCTTGGCCAGTATGTTACTCCATGTGGCCTCCCAGTGGGACTGCAGTGCCAAAATGTCAGAGTACCCTAGGGCAAGTGCATGTGGGCCTCCCCCAGGGTCTGTAGGGAAAAACGACTATTGATTGGGTTCAGGCGTCCTAATCGAGTATGTGGTTCTGTGGCTGCAACACAGATGTCCACAGTGACAAGGACATGAACACCTGGATGAACGCGTCTGTCAAGTCTGGGTGGGCTGCATCAGTGCCTTTGCCTGTCCTGTCTCTTGCCTAAGCCCTCCTGGTTCTGACTGCTCCTGCCTGGGTCCCTCCTTCACCTGAACTCTGCAGGCTGCACAGACATGCTTTCTGTATCTGTGGCCCTTCATTGTCCCTTTCCGTGTCACTGGCAGAGCAGAAGCTTACCTGGCCTGACAGGATCCCGTCCTTGTCACCGTGGCACCTCCAGCCTTCTGTTCAGCTTCCTGCTGGTGTGCTAGTGTCCTTGTGGCATCTGCGCCATGTTGGAACGACTCAGCCTCTGACTTTTTTCCAACTGCTCCCTCTGTCTGGAAGGCCTTCACCACAGATATCTGCTTGACTGACTCCTCCCCCTTCACATCTTTGTCAAATTGTCACCTTCTCAACCCAGCCTACCCTAGTCACTCTGTTATAATTTACCTGCAGCTAACCCAGTGCCTCCCCCAATTCCCAATCCCTGTACTGTGATCTGTATATTTTTTCTTTTTAACACAGCCCCCATCATCTTTGTAAACTAAAAATAAAATTCTAAGCCCCACTCCCCAACCATCTGAATGGACCCTTCCTCTCGGCCAAAGCTTTTCCAAAGTTAGCCTGAAAAAGTAGTTCAGGCCATGATGGGAAGGGTGGGTCAGACATGCGTCATTACACCCTTCTCCCTATGGAATTCAGGCACAACTGACCAGCATTTATGTTAAGGGAGAGATCTTAAGACTGTGGCAATAAGACACCAAGTTCCAGCCTGACTAGTATAGCATCACATAACAAATAGGCCCTGAAAGAAGTCAAAGTGTTTCATCCAACAATACATTTCTTTGACACATTTTGAAATAGGCCTACAAAGCCATCTCTTGTGAGGAAGTCTACATTCTGTAGAGAATCCCTTTCCCTTTCCAGGTCTTTTTCCTGGTCTAGGAGAGAATTAGTTCCCAAGAGTCCAGCAACTTTTAAGGTCTGATAAGAAATATTTACAGTCTATTCTCTCTGAAGCCGGCTGCCTCGGGACTTCATTGGCATAATAAGAACCTTGATCTCCACAACCCCTTATCTTAACCCAGACACTCCCTCCTATGGATTGGAGGTCTTTAGATAAACTCAAGCAATTGCCAATCAGAAAATCTTTGAATCCACTTATGACCTGTAAGACCCCACCGCCCCTCCACCGCCCGCCAACTTGTAGTTGTCCCGCCTTTTCAGAAGGAATCAATGTATGTCGTACATGCATTGATTGATGTCTTATGTCTCCCTAAAGTGTATAAAGCGAAGCTGTACCCTGACGACCTTGGGGATGTTTCGTCAGGACCTCCTGAGGTTGTGTCAGGGGCACGTCCTTAACCTTGGCAAAATAAACTTCTAAATTGATTGAGACCTGTCTCGGGTACGTTTTGGTTCATAACTTCTAACGTTTCCTAGATTCCCTTGTGGAGGGTTTGCTGTCTGCCACCTACCACGTCCTCTTCGGGGAATGTCAGATCCAGGGCAGGGATTTCTGTTGATTTGCTTCCCTGAGGTATCCCTACACCTCAAGCAGTGCCTGGCACGTAGAAGACTTTCATACATATTTGTTGCCTGAAGGAACACATATGCCTCCCCCACTAGACTGTGAGACCATTCAGGGTCTCGTTCTCCCCTGTATGATGGAGCCCTCTATGCATGCTTGTGTCATGGTGCAAAGAGCCTCACAAAATAACAGAATTAAACCGTGCATGTCTTAGAGATGGAGGAGATACTCTGGAGGTAGTTTCTACTTTCTTCAGCCCAACACACATTTCTCTTGAATGGTCTGTGCCCATTACTCCTACATTTCAGCTGAGACGGTCTCGGGCCCACACCTCCCCCTGACCACAGATGGCATCTACCTGTGTCCCCTCCCTTCCCTAGCCCCGAATTCTGCATTCAGAAGCACCGTGCGTTTGCAGGAAAGGGCTGAGATGCCGCTCTGTAGATCCTCATCATGTAAAGGTGAAGTTAAGGTTTGGGAAGATGATCCAAACAGCTAGAGACTCCTGCCATCCCACCAGGGCACAGGGGATCCCGGGTTTGATGCATGTGTTCTGGGAGAGCTGCAAGAGGGATGTTGTGTCCAGGTTATTTTCTGGGTGTCAGTGACATCTTGCAGGAGACAGACCACACGACCCAGGAACACATGGGCAGGTCCTGTTCATCGCTGAGAGAGAGGGTCCCTGCTCTGTGTCTTTTATCAGAGACACAGAAGAAACTCCTCCGCACAGTGAGATCTCCACAAGTGGTGCTGAGGGGGACCTGTGACTCTCAAAGCAGTCGCATGACTCCAACCCCAGGGGCAGCTGTGAAGGAAGCTGGCCGTGTAAACTCAGGGGTCTAGATAAGTAAGCGTGGCTGTGGCAGGCTGGAGTGGACGAGTCTGGGAAAGTCAACTCAAGACAACCTCTCACTGACTGTACAGGGTGAGACCCAAATATCAGGAGAAGGTCACAAACAACTCATGTCTGAACTTTGCTATGTGACAGTGTCTCTCATGCTTGAGATGATCTCCCAAAGAGCTCAGACGTTTCAATCCCTGGAACACGGAACCAAAGACAGAACAGGCCTCCCTCCAAAACATACATCTCCTACCAGCTCTGAAACGTCCTATCCTGGACACACACACTCTCAGATACCTCAGGGACCTCACAGGCTGGGTCACAAAGCCCAAGAGACCCCAGTGACATAGAAAACCCAGACAACAACCCAGGAACAAGCAGCTCAGAGACCTCAACCCTGGACACACAACACTGAACAGTTCGCAGAACTCAGACCCCTCCAAGAACTCAGTGAAGGAGGACACAGACACTAAACCTGCTCAGAGACATCAGATTCTAAAATTCAGACCCACGTGCGTGTGAGCAACTTTAGAACCTGTGATGTAGAAAACGGATTACCTCACGGACCTCACAGCCCGGACCCAGAAGCCCACAAAACCACAGTGCGCACACCCTGAGATGCGGACACAGAAACAGTTGAGGGGACCGGGACAGGGAACACAGAGGCCTTGGGCACAATGTTCCCTGCAACAAACACCTAGGAGACCTCAGAGTGTGGGACACACCATTCCCACACAGCACAGAGTTTACAACCTGAGACACAGCAACTCCTCAACATGTCAGCAGCCTCAACCCCTGCGGTGCAGACTCATAACCGGGTAGGGAGGACACACTCAGGACGCAGGACCCCAAAAGGATCAGACACCTTTCGTGAGTTTGGAATAACCTCAGTGTTCTCACAACCTAGGATATGGAGCCCCAAGGGGCGCTATTGTGTCCTATCATTGACACAGACACTCGGGAGAGCTCAAACCCTACTTCCTGAAATCAGAACTGCTCCCATGCCTTGCATTCTAGACACAATACCTAAAGCAGATCAGACACCTCACATGCTGGGAGAGAACCCTGATCAGCCCAGAGGACTGTCACCCCAGACACAAGCCCTCCACAGCTCAGAGACCTGCCGACCTGGGACGCTACCCTCCAAATTGGTCAGAGGCCTCAGAATCTGGGCACAGAGCCTGAAAAAGCTCAGCAGAATGACATCTTGCGTTGGAGACACCTAAAAAGTCACTTGGTACAGGACACGTGTCAGATGCAGTCACAGCAAGAGATCACCCAGGCTCATGAGGCAGACATGGAGACACAGGGAGACAGAGACAGACAGAGTCAAAGGGAGCAATGAGGTGGGGGAGGGATTGAGGATTAGGGAGAGCATTTCTGGACACCTTCTGTCCTCACGGAGTTAGCCTCGATCTCAGGACCCGGGCCCAGGCAGCCGAGTAACCTTTTGTTTTCCAGGCGAAGGGAGACCCCGGTTTCTGCCCTCAGAGGCTGTTTCTGGGCCTAGGCCACATCCAGGAGGGCAGGAGCTGGCCCAGGCACACAGGGGAGCCCTTTACCCATCAAAATGGGGATCCATTCTAGGTTTGGAGGGTTCATGCCATCATGAGGTGGAACCCTGTGCCCCTAAGGCCCCAGCTGCCCTCCTGCTGAGGTGCTGCTGTCCTGGTGTGGGGAAGGGGTGTCTCTGCCCCGGTGGAATAAGAGCATGAACCTGTGCTGCTTACGAAAGTGCTGGAAGCTTCCCCCAACCTTGGGACTGCTTGTCCACACCCTCTTCATCCGCCCTGAGCAAGTCTGCTTCAGCCTCCTGGGCAAGTGCACTCAGGAGGCACGGCGGCCACCTGGCTTCTCTCTGCCCTCTGTGGCCCTGAACAGAAGGGCACCTGCAGATCTTTCGCAAGGGAGTGAAGCAGAGGCAGCTAAAGTGGAGCCTGAAGTAGCTGGCCGTGCTGTGCTGAGGATCCGTGGCACAGACCAAGAGCTGACACTGAGGGGTGCTGCTGTCCCTCCCCAGTTATCCTCCCTGTGCCATGAGAGACCCGTCCCCCCGACCCCACTCCCTACCTCTAAATGCCTGATTCTGCTTTACAAGAGACAGCACACGAGGGTATCCATGCTTCTTGCAGGGCTTTGTGCAAACGGAAGGAGCCCAGACATCTCCCTGCCCCATCTCCTCTAGACCAGCCCTAGGGCAGGGCTATTTGCTCATGGATGAAAACAGCTGTAAGGCTGTGGAATTCGGGGACTGAGGCCCAGGTGGGCCTGGCCGGTAGGCCTGATCCTCCTGGCGGACACACTCAGTGGCCCATCTCTGATTCCCTGGTGGACGTGCACTCCCGCAGGACCACAGGAGCCCAGTGTCGCATCTTCAGCATTTCCTCCAGCGCTCTGAACACAGTCCGGGCTTAATCAATGCCTGGTGGGATGCTCTCTGACTGAAGAACCCAGCTCTTAGCTACGCTCACCCAAACACCTGTCCCTGCTTAATGCCTAAAATCCCATATTTAGGCTGGGCACGATGGCTCACTCCTGTAATCCCAGCTCTTCAGAGGCTGAAGTGGGAGGATCAGTTGAGGCCAGGAGTTCAAGACCAGTCTGGGCAACATAGCGAGACCCTGTCTTTACAAAAAAAAATTAAAAATGAGCTGGGCAGGGTTGTGAGCACCTGGAATCCCAGGTACTCAGGAGGCTGAGGTGGGAGGAAGGTTTGGGCCTGGGAGGTTGAGGCTGCAGTGAGCCTTGATCGCGCCACCGCACTCCAACCTGGGTGACAGAGCACAATCCTGTCTCAAAAAAATATAATTAAAAAAATAAAATCCCGTATTTGTTTATTTACAAAAGATTGAAAAGATTTGCAAACTATTCATTAGACAGGGTGTTAATAACCATGATATACAAGGAAGTCAAACATCTCAACAGCCAAAAAACCCATCCAAGCTCAAATAGGGAAATTATCTGAATAGATGTTTCTCAAAGGAAGACCTACAAATGGCCAAGAAATGTATGAAAAAATGTTCAGCATCGCTAATCATCAGGGAAATGCAAATCAAAACCACAATGAGAGCTGGCTGGGATGGAGCAGGCCTGTAGTCCCAGCTACTTAGGAAGCCAAGGGAGGAGGACTGCTTGAGCTCAGGACTTCAAGACCAGCCTGGGCAACATAGTGAGACCCTGTCTCCAGAAAAGAAAAGAAATAACAGTAAAACCACAATGAGTTATCGTCTCACACAGTTACAATACCTGTTATCAAAAAGACAAAACAAACAAACAAACAAACAAATGCTGGCAATCTCACTCAGCTAGAATGCCTATTCTCAAAAAGACGAAAAATAACAAACACTGGCAAGGATGCAGAGAAAAGGGAACTGTCATACCCTATTGGTGAGAATTTAAACTAGTAGAGACACTATGGAGAACAGAAGGGAGGTTCCTCCAAAAACTACAATAGAACCACCATATGATCCAGCAATCCCACTACTGGGCATTTATTCAAGGGATAGGAAATCAGCATATCAAAGAGACATCTGCACTCCCACATTGATTATAGCACTATGCACAATAGCCATGCTATGGAATCAGTCTAGATGAACGGATGAAGAAAATGTGGTACACGTACACAATGCAATACTTTTCAGCCCTAAAAAGGAATGAAATTCTGTCATTCTGAGCAATCTTGGGTGGAAGTGGAGGACTTTATGTTAAGTGAAATAAGCCAGGAACAGAGACTTAAACACCACATGTTGTCATTCATATGTGGAAGCTAAAAAATGCTAATCTCATAGAAATAAAAAGTAGAACAGAGGATACTAGAGGCTGGAAAGGGTAAGGGGTGGTGGAGATAGAGAGAGATTTGTTAAAGGATACAAAATTACAGTTTGATAGGAGAAGTAAGTTATAGTGTTCCACAGCATTGTGGGATAACTATAATGAACGATAATATATTATATAGGCCGGGCATGGTGGCTCACACCTGTAATCCCAGCACTTAGGGAGACTGAGGCGGGCGGATCATCTGAGGTCAGGAGTTTGAGACCAGCCTGGTCGACATGGCAAAACACCGTCTCTACTAAAAATACAAAAATTAGCCAGGCGTGGTGGTGGTTGCCTGTAATCCCAGCTACTCGGGATCCTGAGACAGGAGAACCGCTTGAGCTTGGGAAGCGGAGGTTGCAGTGAGCTGAGATCGTGCCACTGCACTCCAGCCTGGGTGACAGAGTGAGACTCTGTTTTGAAAAAGTAAACAAATAATATATTATATAGTTTCAAATAGTTAGGAGGACATTGAATATTCCCAACACAAAGAAATGATGAATGTTTGAGACAATCCATATGCTAATTACTCTGCTTTGATCACCATACATCATATGTATGGAAATATCACTACTTGCCCCATGTATATGTACAATTATTATGCCAATTTATCAAATAAAAACAAAGAAGTAATACAATTGATTTTTGCATACTGATATCTTGTACCCTGAATCTGAGGTATTGTGTTATATTGAAAATATCTACAGCTTTTAGACCAATATCCCTGATGAACATTGATGCAAAAATCCTCAGTAAAATACTGGCAAACCGAATCCAGCAGCACATCAAAAAGCTTATCCACCACGATCAAGTGGGCTTCATCCCTGGGATGCAAGGCTGGTTTAACATACGAAAGTCAATAAATGTAATCCAGCATATAAACAGAACCAAACACAAAAACCACATGATTATCTCAATAGATGCAGAAAAGGCCTTTGACAAAATTCAACAGCCTTCATGCTAAAAACTCTCAATAAATTAGGTATTGACGGGACGTATCTCAAAATAATAAGAGCTATTTATGACAAACCCACAGCCAATATCATACTGAATGGGCAAAACCTGGAAGCATTCCCTTTGAAAACTGGCACAAGACAGGGATGCCCTCTCTCACCACTCCTATTCAACATAGTGTCGGAAGTTCTGGCCAGGGCAACCAGGCAGGAGAAAGAAATAAAGGGTATTCAATTAGGAAAAGAGGAAGTCAAATTGTCCCTATTTGCAGATGACATGATTGTATATTTAGAAAACCCCATCGTCTCAGCCCAAAATCTCCTTAAGCTGATAAGCAACATCAGCAAAGTCTCAGGATACAAAAATCAATGTGCAAAAATCACAAGCATTCTTATACACCAATAGCAGACAGACAGAGAGCCAAATCATGAGTGAACTCCCATCCACAATTGCTTCAAAGAGAATAAAATATCTAGGAATCCAACTTACAAGGGATGTGAAGGACCTCTTCAAGGAGAACTACAAACCACTGCTCAACGAAATAAAAGAGGACACAAACAAATGGAAGAACATTCCATGCTCATGGATAGGAAGAGTCAATATCGTGAAAATGGCCATACTGCCCAAGGTAATTTATAGAATCAATGCCATCCCCATCAAGCTACCAATGACTTTCTTCACAGAATTGGAAAAAACTACTTTAAAGTTCATATGGAACCAAAAAAGGGCCTGCATTGCCAAGACAACCCTAAGCCAAAAGAACAAATCTGGAGGCATCACGCTACCTGACTTCAAACTATATATACTACAAGGCTATAGTAACCAAAACAGCATGGTACTGGTACCAAAACAGAGATATAGACCAATGGAACAGAACAGAGCCCTCAGAAATAATACCACACATCTACAACCATCTGATCTTTGACAAACCTGACAAAAACAAGAAATGGGGAAAGGATTCCCTATTGAATAAATGGTGCTGGGAAAACTGGCTAGCCATATGCAGAAAGCTGAAACTGGATCCCTTCCTTACACCTTATACAAAAATTAATTCAAGATGGATTAAAGACTTAAATGTTAGACCTAAAACCATTAAAACCCTAGAAGAAAACCTAGGCAATACCTTTCAGGACATAGGCATGGGCAAGGACTTCATGTCTAAAACACCAAAAGCAATGGCAACAAAAGCCAAAATTGACAAATGGGATCTAATTAAACTCAAGAGCTTCTGCACAGCAAAAGAAACTACCATCAGCGTGAATAGGCAGCCTACAGAATGGGAGAAAATTTTTGCAATCTACTCATCTGACAAAGGGCTAATATCCAGAATCTACAAAGAACTCAAACAAATTTACAAGAAAAAAACAAACAACCCCATCAAAAAGTGGGCAAAGTCTTCTCAAAAGACTTCTCAAAAAGTCTTCTCAAAAGAAGACATTTAGGCAGCCATCAGAGAAATGCAAATCAAAACCACAATGAGATACCATCTCACACCAGTTAGAATGGCAATCATTAAAAAGTCAGGAAACAACAGGTGCTGGAGAGGATGTGGAGAAATAGGAACACTTTTACACTGTTGGTGGGACTGGAAACTAGTTCAACCATTGTGGAAGACAGTGTGGCGATTCCTCAAGGATCTACAACTAGAAATACCATTTGACCCAGCCATCCCATTACTGGGTATATACCCAAAGGATTATAAATCATGCTGCTATAAAGACACATGCACATGTATGTTTATTGCGGCACTATTCACAATAGCAAAGACTTGGAACCAACCAAAATGTCCATCAATGATAGATTGGATTAAGAAAATGTGGCACATATACACCATGGAATACTATGCAGCCATAAAAAAGGATGAGTTCATGTCCTTTGTAGGGACATGGATGAAGCTGGAAACCATCATTCTCCGCAAACTATCACAAGGACAAAAAACCAAACACCGCATGTTCTCACTCATAGGTAGGAATTGAACAATGAGAACACTTGGACACAGGAAGGGGATCATCACACACCGGGGCCTGTCATGGGGTGGGAGGGAGGAGGGAGGGATAGCATTAGGAGATACACCTAATGTAAATGACGAGTTAATGGATGCAGCACACCAACATGGTGCATGTATACCTATGTAACAAACCTGCATGTTGTGCACATGTACCCTAGAACTTAAAGTATAATAAATAAAAATTAAAAAATTAAAAAAAAAATAAATTCACATTTATAGCTGCTGCAAAAAAAAAGAGAGAAAATAACTACAGCAAAAACACAACTGAAGTCCAGTTCAGCTACTGAAAAGATTGATTCAAACCCCAACATCAATGCTCTGGCAGAAAAAGAAAGGAAGACACACTACATACAGAGGAACAAATTTAAAGTCATCCATCAGACTTCTCATCAGAATCTGTGCAACCCAGAACTTTCTAATCAGCACAATTTTTTTTAATGAATGTGACATAAACATGTTTACACAAACAGGTAAACAAACAAAAATGGGGAGAAAAGTCACTGTCAACAGATTTGTCCTACAAAACATGTTAAAGGAAGTTCTTGGGTCAGAAGGAAAATAGAAGGAAATTTGGAACTACACACAGAACTTCACCGTGCTGAACACAGAACAATTGTGGGCAAGTGCAAGATTTTTTGTTTTTTGGAGATAGAGTTTCCCTCTGTCACCCAGGCTGGAGTGCAGTGGCACGATCTCTGCTCACTGCAACCTCCGCCTCCTGGGTTCAAGCGATTCTCCTGCCTCAGCCTCCCAAGTAGCTGTGACTACAGGTGCACGCTGCCATGCCAGGCAAATTTTTTTGTATTTTAATAGAGACGGGGTTTCACCATGTTGCCCAGGCTGGTCATGAACTCCTGAGCTCAGGCAATCCACCTGCCTTGGCCTCCCAAAGTGCTGGGATTACAGGCATGAGCCACCAGGCCCAGCTGATTGTTTTAAAAAAATTTTAGGTTTCTTTTTTTTTTTATTATACTTTAAGTTTTAGAGTACATGTGCACAATGTGCAGGTTAGTTACATATGTATGCATGTGCCATGGTGGTGTGCTGCACCCATTAACTCGTCATTTAACATTAGGTATATCTCCAAATGCTATCCCTCCCCGCTCCCCCCACCCCACAACAGGCCCTGGTGTGTGATGTTCCCCTTCCTGTGTCCATGTGTTCTCATTGTTCAGTTCCCACCTATGAGTGAGAACATGTGGTGTTTGGTTTTTTGTCCTTGCGATAGTTTGCTAAGAAAGATGGTTTCCAGCTTCATCCATGTCCCTACAAAGGACATGGACTCATCCTTTTTTATGGCTCCATAGTATTCCATGGTGTATATGTGCCACATTTTCTTAATCCAGTCTATCATTGTTGAACATTTGAGTTGGTTCCAAGTCTTTGCTATTGTGAATAGTGCCTCAATAAACATACATGTGCATGTGTCTTTATAGCAGCATGATTTATAATCCTTTGGGTATATACCCAGTAATGGGATGGCTGAGTCAAATGGTATTTCTAGTTCTAGATCCCTGAGGAATCGCCACACTGACTTCCACAATGGTTGAACTAGTTTCCAGTCCCACCAACAGTGTAAAAGTGTTCCTATTTCTCCACATCCTCTCCAGCACCTGTTGTTTCCTGACTTTTTAATGATTGCCATTCTAACTGGTGTGAGATGGTATCTCATTGTGGTTTTGATTTGCATTTCTCTGATGGCCAGTGATGATGAGCATTTTTTCATGTGTCTTTTGGCTGCATAAATGTCTTCTTTTGAGAAGTGTCTGTTCATATCCTTCGCCCACTTTTTGATGGGGTTGTTTGTTTTTTTCTTGTAAATTTGATGGAGTTCATTGTAGATTCTGGATATTAGCCCTTTGTCAGATGAGTAGATTGCAAAAATTTTCTCCCATTCTGTAGGCTGCCTGTTCACTCTGATGGTAGTTTCTTTTGCTGTGCAGAAGATCTTGAGTTTAATTAGATCCCATTTGTCAATTTTGGCTTTTGTTGCCATTGCTTTTGGTGTTTTAGACATGAAGTCCTTGCCCATGCCTATGTCCTGAATGGTATTGCCTAGGTTTTCTTCTAGGGTTTTTATGGTTTTAGGTCTACAATTTAAGTGTTTAATCCAGCTTGAATTAATTTTTGTATAAGGTGTAAGGAAGGGATCCAGTTTCAGCTTTCTGCATATGGCTAGCCAGTTTTCCCAGCACCATTTATTCAATAGGGAATCCTTTCCCCATTTCTTGTTTTTGTCAGGTTTGTCAAAGATCAGATGGTTGTAAATATGCGGCATTATTTCTGAGGGCTCTGTTCTGTTCCATTGGTCTATATCGTTGTTTTGGTACCAGTACCATGCTGTTTTGGTTACTGCAGCCTTGTAGTATATATAGTTTGAAGTCAGGTAGCGTGATGCCTCCAGCTTTGTTCTTTTGGCTTAGGATTAACTTGGCAATGCGGGCTCTTTTTTGGTTCCATATGAACTTTAAAGTAGTTTTTTCCAATTCTGTGAAGAAAGTCATTGGTAGCTTGATGGGGATGGCATTGATTCTATAAATTACCTTGGGCAGTATGGCCATTTTCACGATATTGACTCTTCCTATCCATGAGCATGGAATGTTCTTCCATTTGTTTGTGTCCTCTTTTATTTCGTTGAGCAGTGGTTTGTAGTTCTCCTTGAAGAGGTCCTTCACATCCCTTGTAAGTTGGATTCCTAGATATTTTATTCTCTTTGAAGCAATTGTGGATGGGAGTTCACTCATGATTTGGCTCTCTGTCTGTCTGCTATTGGTGTATAAGAAAGCTTGTGATTTTTGCACATTGATTTTTGTATCCTGAGACTTTGCTGATGTTGCTTATCAGCTTAAGGAGATTTTGGGCTGAGACGATGGGGTTTTCTAAATATACAATCATGTCATCTGCAAATAGGGACAATTTGACTTCCTCTTTTCCTAATTGAATACCCTTTATTTCTTTCTCCTGCCTGGTTGCCCTGGCCAGAACTTCCAACACTATGTTGAATAGGAGTGGTGAGAGAGGGCATCCCTGTCTTGTGCCAGTTTTCAAAGGGAATGCTTCCAGGTTTTGCCCATTCAGTATGATATTGGCTGTGGGTTTGTCATAAATAGCTCTTATTATTTTGAGATACGTCCCGTCAATACCTAATTAATTGAGAGTTTTTAGCATGAAGGGCTGGTGAATTTCGTCAAAGGCCTTTTCTACATCTATCGAGATAATCATATGGTTTTTGTGTTTGGTTCTGTTTATATGCTGGATTACGTTTATTGATTTGTGTATGTTGAACCAGCCTTGCATCCCAGGGATGAAGCCCACTTGATCATGGTGGATAAGCTTTTGGATGTGCTGCTGGATTCGGTTTGCCAGTATTTTATTGAGGACTTTTGCATCGATGTTCATCAGGGATATTGGTCTAAAATTCTCTTTTTTTTTGTTGTGTCTCTGCCAGGCTTTTGGTATCAGCATCAGGATGATGCTGGCCTCACAAAATGCGTTAGGGAGGGTTCTCTCTTTTTCTATTGATTGGAATAGTTTCAGAAGGAATGGTAGCAGCTCCTCCTTATGCCTCTGGTAGAATTCAGCTGTGAATCCATCTGGTCCTGGACTTTTTTTGGTCGGTAAGCTATTAATTATTGCCTCAATTTCAGGGCCTGTTATTGGTCTATTCAGAGATTCAACTTCTTCCTGGTTTAGTCTTGCGAGGGTGTATGTGTCGAGGAATTTATCCATTTCTTCTAGGTTTTCTAGTTTATTTGCATAGAGGTGTTTATAGTATTCTCTGATGGTAGTTTGTATTTCTGTGGGATCGATGGTGATATCCCCTTTATCATTTTTTATTGCGTCTATTTGATTCTTCTCTCTTTTCTTCTTTATTATTCTTGCTAGCGGTCTATCAATTTTGTTGATCTTTTCAAAAAACCAGCTCCTGGATTCATTGATTTTTTGAAGGGTTTTTTGTGTCTCTATTTCCTTCAGTTCTGCTCTGATTTTAGTTATTTCTTGCCTTCTGCTAGCTTTTGAATGTGTTTGCTCTTGCTTCTCTAGTTCTTTTAATTGTGATGTTAGGGTGTCAATTTTAGATCTTTCCTGCTTTCTCTTGTGGGCATTTAGTGCTATCAATTTCCCTCTACACACTGCTTTGAATGTGTCCCATAGATTCTGGTATGTTGTGTCTTTGTTCTCGTTGGTTTCAAAGAACATCTTTATTTCTGCCTTCATTTTGTTATGTACCCAGTAGTCTTTCAGGAGCAGATTGTTCAGTTTCCATGTAGTTGAGCGGTTTTGAGTGAATTTCTTAATCCTGAGTTCTAGTTTCTTTGCACTGTGGTCTGAGAGACAGTTTGTCATAATTTCTATTCTTTTACATTTGCTGAGGAGTGCTTTACTTCCAACTATGTGTTAAATTTTGGAGTAAGTACAGTGTGGTGCTGAGAAGAATGTATATTGTGTTGATTTGGGGTGGAGAGTTCTGTAGATGTCTATTAGGTCCGCTTGGTGCAGAGCTGAGTTCAGTTCCTGGATATCCTTGTTAACTTTCTGTCTCATTGATCTGTCTAATGTTGACAGTGGGGTGTTAAAGTCTCCCATTATTATTGTGTGGAAGTCTAAGTCTCTTTCTAGGTCTCTAAGAACTTGCTTTATGAATCTGGGTGCTCCTGTATTGGGTGCATATATATTTAGGATAGTTAGCTCTTCTTGTTGAATTGATCCCTTTACCATTATGTAATGGCCTTTTTGTCTCTTTTGATCTTTGTTGGTTTAAAGTCTGTTTTATTGGAGAGTAGGATTGCAACCCCTGCCCTTTTTTGTTTTCCATTTTCTTGGTGGATCTTCCTCCATCCCTTTATTTTGAGCCTATGTATGTCTCTGCACGTGAGATGGGTTTCCTGAATACAGCACACTGATACGTCTTGACTCTTTATCCAGTTTGTCAGTCTGTGTCTTTTAATTGGAGCATTTAGCCCATTTACATTTAAGGTTAGTATTGTTATGTGTGAATTTGATCCTGTCATTTTTTTAGAGAAAAGATCTCCCTATGTTGCCCAGGCTTCTCTCAAACCTCTGGGCTCAAGCAATCCTCCTGTTGCAACCTCCCAAAGTGCTGAGATTACAGGTGTGAGCCATCATGCTCAGTGAAGACTTTTTCTTGTAGCTAATCTCTTTAAAAGAAAATTGGGCCAGGTACGGTGGCTCACGCCTGTAATCCCAGCACTTTGGGAGGCTGAGGCAGGCGGATCACAAGGTCAGGAGATTGAGACCATCTTGGCAACGTGGTGAAACCCCATCTCTACTAAAATACAAAATTTAGCTGGTGTGTTGGTGCGTGCCTGTAATCCCAGCTACTTGGGAGACTGAGGCAGGGGAATCACTTGAACCTGGGAGGCAGAGGTTGCAGTGAGCTGAGATTGCGCCACTGCACTCCAGCCTGGTGACAGAGCAAGACTCCGTCTAAAAAAAAAAAAAGAAAATTGACTGTCAAATAGTAACAATGTATTGTGGGGTTCTGACATAGGTAGAAATATAATGTAAGACAATAATAGCAGAAAGCTGGGGAGAAAGGAAATGGAAGAATACAGCTGTAAGAGTCTTACAGTGTACATGAAGTGGTAGGATATTACTTGAAGTCTGGCAGGAATTTTTGCACTTTTTGTGTGGATCAGTAGATTGACCATTATCCTACAATTTGACATAAACTCCATGGGGGCGGGGATGTGTCTTTTTTTATCATATGCCCCAGACACTCAGCTCAGTACAGAGAATATAGTTGGGATTTGGCAAATGACTGTTCAACAAATGAAGTTTTTTTTTTTTTTTCTGATAGGGTCTCACTATATTGCCCAGGCTGGAGTGCAGTGCCCTGATCATGGCTCACTGCAACCTCCACCTCCCGGGGAGAGAAAAGTGACTTTATTTCAGAGAGCCACCAAGCTGAGACGATGATGGACTAGTGTCCTGTGGAGCCATCTTAAGGGGCATGAATCTCAAGCTTCTTTTTACAGGCAAGGGAGAATCAGGAAAGGGTGAGGTCAGGAGGAGAATGGTGACCACAGACATCTAGGTGTCAACGGGAGCCCGGGGAGGTGGCAAAACATCTTTGTCCTTGGTCAGTTCACAGTGCTCCCATAAACCTTTCACACAACATTGCTGCTTGTGTGTACACCCTTCTCATCTCCTCGGGGCTGGGTTCCGAAAGGGACTATTATCATCTTTGCTTTGAAGTTAAACCCTACACTAAATTCCTCCCATAGTTAGCTTGGCCTACGTGTGGGAATGAGCAAAGGCAGTTAGCTCCTCAGGTCAGAAGCAAGACAGAGCAAGCCCTGGTCGATTTCTCTCACTATTTCAGGTGTGCCCTCCCTCTCTGTTAAACACATACACACACACACACACACACGCACACATTCCCTTGGCACTGATTCAGATCAGTGGGCAGCTTCTGTGCAGCCACCTGACCTGCATTAGGAGGCTGAAGGGCACTGGAACTTTAGCTCGATGTTGGCTTCGAAGCTTCCTGAAGGTGTCATGGCATGACACGCAGCCGGGCTGAAGAGCTTTCTGGGTGTGTGGGTGGTAAGGGCCTGGGGATCTTCATACCATCATACTGGTATCTTGTACCCTGAATCAGAAGTATTGTGTTATGTTGAAAATAACTACAGCAATATAATTTATGCATTCAGTGCCCCCTTGTCACAGCTTTTGGCGAATCTTCAGAATACTCATCACTAGATACAATCATTGCCTGACATGCCTAAGGCCAGGGAGGCTTCTCACCACAGTAATGGAGCACTCCATCATCTTAGCAGAAAAACAAACCTAGGAAACATAAGCTTAGCCACTTGTGCGCTAGTAATGTTATAGATTGCATTGGCATTCACTCCCCCAATTATTCTTTCAGGGACCAATCCAACCCAGCCCTGCTCATCCCAAACTAATGACCACAGCAACCTATATGTGCCTCTCGCTTTGCACTGATGGCGTCACTGGGGGAGCGTTGAGTCTAACTATTGCACTATGTGTTTTCTCCGTTTCCCTGATCTGAAACTGTAGGCTTCCAGATACCAAGACAGGAGCCCCAGGCCAGTCTCTGAAGTGATGATGCTGCAGGTGGGCCGGGCCTTGACCTCAGCACAGCTCACCAGCAGCAGCGCCTTGCTAGGGCCATGTGCTGCCAAATTGTGCCACTGGAGCCGAAGGAGAGGAAAGGTCTAAGGAGACGTCATAAAGATCTCCATCTCGATAGCACAGCAGCCTCCTCTTATGGACATGCGGGTGTTTTGGTTTCTTTCAACATGTACCCACTGTGGCATTTTTCAGGATGCCTGGGGTCTTCAGCTAACCTTCCATCCACACCACCCTGCCTCCCCCACTGCCCCTCTCTACCCTACCCCAAACCTTCCTTCTGTTTACGTGCTGCCCTGAGGGTCACTGACTGATTTTCCTCCTGATAAGGATATCAAAACACCTTTTATCCCTTTGAGGATTCTCAAGATACCTAAAAGAATGAGTCTTCAGAACATCTATCTTAAAAATTATTATAGCAACAGTGGCTGAGTAATAATAGCAAAGAAAATGCAAGTAAAACAGTGAAAGGAATGTTGTTTCAAAATAATTGAGAGTTTCCCACATAGAGAACAACACCTCATATGTGGCGCGTTCCCTTCCAGGCTTTTTTCTATGCATTTTTAAAAAAATTATGAGATTGGAGAATAAGTAGTGTGTTTACAATACTGCATATGTTGTTTTGTTTAATATTATACCAAAGCTATTTCCCATAATGACAGTGACAGAGATGTTGCTGCTAGCATCCATGGTAGCAAACACATACAGAAAGCTTGATATGGACCACAGACCGCCTTTGTGCTTTCCTGGTATTGACTCATCACCCCGTATTATCGAATGCACTCAAGAGACCTCATGTTGAATCCACACGCAGATAATGTCATCTCATGAATGCTGCTGGACACTTTCACTTGTCTTCTTATCTGGAGGACCATTCCACATTGCAGTGCATTCTAGAGTGTCAGGGTCAGATTGCATGTGTCTGTACACCCCTGTCTAGCCTGGGTACCAATCTGACTCTGCCCTTGCTGGCGAGGTGACTTTGGGCAAGTTCCTTAGTCTCTTAATGTGTCTCAGTTTCCTATTCTATAATAAGAGGTGATAACATTAATAACACACCCATGACAGTGTTGCTATGAGCACTAAGTGACTGTTGTTATATATACATATATATATAAAATTTAAAAATATAGTCTCTCTCTCTCCCCATATATATATACATACATATATATACATATATATACATACATATATATACATATATACATACATATACATACATATATACATACATATACACACATACATACACATATACACATACATATATACATATATACATACATATATACATATATACATACATATATACACACATATATATTTATACACGTATATATACATATATACATACATATATACACACATATATATACATATATATATATATGTGGGGAGAGAGAGAGAGAGAAGAGTGCGCTAAAAGCATCTGGCCTAGAGTAAGTATCTGTAAAGTAAAAGTATCTGTAAAGTAAAAGCATCTGTAAAGTAAAAGCATCTGTAAAGTAAAAGCTGTAAAGTAAAAGCATCTGTAAAGTAAAAAAAAAAAAGCTGTAAAGTAAAAGCATCTGTAAAGTAAAATCTGTAAAGTAAAAGCATCTGTAAAGTAAAATCTGTAAAGTAAAAGTATCTGTAAAGTAAAAGCATCTGTAAAGTAAAAGCTGTAAAGTAAAAGCATGTGTAAAGTAAAAAAAAAAGCTGTAAAGTAAAAGCATCTGTAAAGTAAAATCTGTAAAGTAAAAGTATCTGTAAAGTAAAAGCATCTGGCCTAGAGTAAGTATCCAGAAGTTTGAGCTTCTATTCTCACATCTCTGATCTTCTGCTTTCTGCTCTTCCCCATTATTCCTTGCCCCTGTCTGCCCCAGATCTCTCTCCCTGCCCCCACACACCTTCACCTCCCCTCCACACTCCACTCGCTTTCCCCATTGCCCATTTCCTCTGACTCTGGATCTGAGTAAATTGATACCATCTTCTCATGATTTCGCTCAGAAAACAGTAGTATCATTGGTCTTTTATTAAGTCACCAATGAATTTATTTTTTTGAGACAAAGTCTCGCTTTCTCACCCAGGCTGGAGTGTAGTGGCATGATAATGGCTCACTGCAGCCTCGACCTTCTGCAGTCCAGTGATCCTCCCACCTCAGCCTCCTGAGTAGCTGGGACTACATATGGGTGCCACCATGCCCAGCTAATTTTTAAAATTTTGTAGATGTGAGTTCTTGCTATGTTGTCCAGGCTGGTCTCAAACTCCTTGCTTCAAGTGATTGTCCTGCCTCAGACTCCCAAAGTGCTGGGATTACAGGTGTGAGCCACTGCACCTGGTCTGTTTGCCCCCTCCTTTTTTTCCCTTTATCTAAGTCTTTGCTCCAGCCCAGAAAACTGATTTTTTTCTCACCCACTTGGAGGAAAGAGCAACCAAACTTTCAGGATTTTTGCCTCCTCAAAGCTCACCTTTGGCAACATTTGAGTCCTTTCTCCTCCTGCCTGGAGGAGAAAACAAAAGCCAAAGTCAGCACCTGGCTGCACCTTCCCCCTGCACCCTGCATTATTCAGCATAGAACAGCGACTCAGGGATCCAGTGGGCCAACTCTCTTGCCATTGGAGGGATTACTGTGAAATGCTGTGAGTACATATATTTTTCACAACAGACAAGAGCTCAGCTGCTGCTTCCTATTATGGGCAAATCCACAGTCTCCCAGGTGTTACAGCTTCGTCATGCCTGCTTCTTCATTCTTTATTCAAAGAAGTCTTTCATCATATTTTAGTGAGTCAGGGTCTTGCTGGAGAATCACACTGTTGCTGCCACTGTGTCAGGGATCCTCAAGACCACCCTCACTTCCAGTAATTGCCTATGAGGACCCAATGTATAGTTGTGCTCGTGGCTAAGATTTCTTACAGCAAAAGAATACTGAGCTAAATCAGTAATGGGGAAAGTCCACTGGGCAAAGTCCGGCGGGAACCAGCAAAAGCTTCTAAGAGTCCCTTCCCAATGGAGTCACACAATTTGTCTCTCCAGCAATGAATCGTGACAACATGTGTAAAATGTTGTCTACCAGGGAAGCTCATTAGAAACTCAGTGCCCCAGGTTTTTACTGGGGACTGGTCACATAGGCACTCTCTGCCTAACAGGCAACAACATTTCAGATTCCCAGAAGGGAAGCTGGTGTTCAGCATAGAACATATTGCTTGAACAGTTTCGGAGGAGTAAACCACTCTTATCAGATGGAGAATGGTGGGAAACCTCCTGAAATCAAGTTCAGAGATGCCAGGCAAGGGCCAGTCTTGCAAGCTGGCCTTTCTAAGGATAGTAGTTTCAGACCTGCTATATTACCTCTTTTTTGCACAGAACTCAACTACAAAGCTTTAAAATGCATAATCAAATCAGACAGAACCAATGGAAAAAAGTCAGCAACATATAGATGAACTGAATGGCACCATGGACTAATTGGATCTAAGTGACATGTAAAGAAAGCTCCTCATAACGACAGCAGACCGTGTATTCCCTCATGGGTGGTTTTGAGGGGTTCATGGCTCCAGTGGATGAAGTACCTGCCGACATGGTGGAAACAGCAAGAGAACAAGGGTGGAGCGTGAAGAGGTGACTCAACTGCTGCCATCTCATGATAAAACTTTAACCTGTAAGGAGTTGCTTCTTATGGATGAATAAAGAGAGTAGTTTCTTGCAATGAAATCTACTCCCGGTGAAGATGCTGTGAACACTGTGGAAATGACAGCAAAGGATGAGTTGATTAGGTAATGGCAGGATTTGAGAGATCTGACTCCAATTTATAAAGGAGTTCTACTGTAGGTAAAATGCTATCAAGCAGCATTGCCTGTTATGGAGAAATCTTTCGTGAAAGGAAGAGTACATCAATGGAGCAAATTTCACTGTTGTCTTACTTTAAGAAATTGCCACAGCCCTCCATGTAGTATTAGCTTGTTAAAAAGTAAATAAAAAAAGAAAATAAATTGCCACAGCCACCCAACTTTCAGCAACCAGCACCCTGATCAGTCAGCAGCCATGTACATCCAGGCAAGACTCTCTACCAGCCCAAAAGTTACAACGCACTGAAGGCTCAGATGATCTTTAGCATCTTTTAGCAATACAGTATTTTCCAATTAAGTTATGTACATTTTTTGACATAATACTATTGCACAGTTAACAGATTGTAGTGTAGTATAAACATCACTTTTATTTTATTTTATTATCATTTTTAAAATTTTTTATTTCAATAGGTTTTTGGGGGAACAGGTGGTATTTGGTTACATGAGTAAGTTCTTTAGTGGTGATCTGTGAGATTTTGATGCACCCATCACCTGAGCAGTATATACTGAAACCAATTTGTAGTCTTTCATCCCTCACCCCCCTCCCACCCTTTCCCCTGAGTCCTCAAAGTCCATTGTATCATTCTTATGCCTTTGCATCCACATAGCTTAGTTCCCACTTATGAGTGAGAACATACTATAAACATCACTCTTATATGCACTAGGAAATAAAAAAATGTGTGAGACTTGCTTTATTGTGGTGTTCTGGAACAGTACATGCAATATCTATGATTTATGCCTGCATAAATTTCTGAAGGGGACATGATTTAATATGTAAAAGTCCACCATCTGGCACCTCAAATTCATGTTCTCTCACATCTAAAATACATTCATCTCATCTCAACATCCTCAAAACTCTTAATTCTTTTCAGCATCAACTCTAAATCCCAAATCTCATTCAAATGTCATCAAAATCAGGAAAGGGTGAGAGTCAGAGTATGTTGTATTCTGGGGCAAAATTATTTTCATCTGTGAACTTGTGAAACCAGACAAGATGTTATCTGCTTCCAAAACAGCATGAAGGTGCAGGCATAGTAGAAACATTCCTATTCCAAAATGGAGAAGATGGAAGGAGAAAAGGAGTCATGGGGTCCAAGCAAGGTTTCAGACTTTAAGAGATTTTAAGGCTTCAGAATGGTCCTCTTTGGCTTGATGATGTGTCCTCTGGGCCTAGTAGGGTGGCAGCTCTGCCCTCTTGGCCCTGAATGTTAGCCCTGCTCCCTCACCCCTGGGCAGAAGCCCTGTTTTCTGAAATTGAGGAGGTGGCTCTGCCATCTGGAGCTCAGGAAGAGGCGTCTGGATTCCTGTTCCCCAGGTCATTGCTGTCTGGGCCTATAGAGGCAGTGGCAGCTTGCCAGCCTCTGCATCTGTAGCTCTCCCCTCAAAGTCACTCTTCCTTTATTTTGTCCCATTTCTGTCCCTTTCATTTCAGGCTGGCTGTGCTTCTTTTGGTATAAAATCCTCAAAAACATGTTGGCCTCTGATGCAATTCATGGCATCCATGCCAACAGACCCTGAATCCTCCCTAGATCTTTCCTGGATAAATGCATCTCCTTCCCTGCATTCTGCTGAGATGGTTGACTGGATCCATGACTCACATAGCTCATATCCTTAGCAATCAGTTGTCCTGCTACACCCTTGGCCCTATTTCCAGAGCTTGCTATCTGGTTAGGCTGAGAATCTTCTAAATAATCAAGGGCTGATTCCTTTTTGCTCAGCAATTCTGTTGTTGTTTTATTTCTCCTCCCTTACATTTTGCAACCAACAGCGAGGAGAAACCAGGCCACAACTTCAATACTTTGCTTAGAAATGTTCTTAGCTACATATACAATTTCATCACTTACAAGTTCTACTCTGCATCTAAGAGAATGCATTCTAGCCAAATTCTCTGCTACTTTCTTACAGGGATTGTGTGTCCACATGTTTCCAACACCGTGTTCCCCATTCCTGTCTGAGAGCTCACCTTCAACATTCATATTTCTAGGAATATTCTGTTCATGATGATTGATGTATTCTCTAAGATGACAGAAACTTTCTCTATAGTTATATAAACACCCACACAATGCTAGAAACTCTCCTCCATTTGAATGACCTCCCATAATGATTCATTTAGAGGAGAGAAGCGATCTGCTGGGAACTCTTAGAGCTTCTAAAACCCAGTCTACCTGTGCTTGCCCTGGCATTCTCTGCCGCCCTTCTGCATACAATGCTCCTAACTAAAGCCAGCCCCTCACCTCAGCTCAGGATCCCATGCCTCCCACCTTTTCAGGAGCTTTGCTCCTGCAATGATCATTCCTCTCTCCTGAACCACCAACTCTTCCCTCTAAATGGGATCATTCTCCAAGCTAAGGGGGGAACTCCCCTTCTTCCCCCATGTCCTCCTATAGCTACTAACACATTTATCTGCTGCCTTTCAAAGCGAAACTGCATGAACTTATACAACCCACTTCATTGGAGTCATTTTTTCAAAATTATATGGAAAGGAAAATGAACGAGAAAAACCAAAACGATTCTGAACTATAACTTTGGGGAAATCACACTACCTAATTTCAAGAGTCATGTTAATTCTATAGTAATCCAGGGAATGTGGTACTGGGGAAAAATCAACAGATCAGAATGGAGTCCAGCAATAGGTTCACAGACATGATAAACTCATTTTCAAAAAAGGTGCAAAGGCAATGGAGAAATATTATCTTCTTGAGAAATTGTGTTGTTTTCTCCCTTGCTTCTTGGCCACGACATTCATTGTTCTTTACTCCCCTGGGTCCGTTCCCCGTGTTTCTCCTTTGCAGTTCAACTGCTCTTCTGTTTAACTGTCTGTCTGCCCCACCACAGTGTGGTAGCCTCCATGGGACATACCACGTGTGGTTCCTTGGTCTTCACATTTCCAGCATCCCAGATATTTCCTGCAACATGGCAGACACCCATGCATATATAAATGAGAAAGAAGTATGTATGAATATATATAATAAAATAATTTATTTCTGTCACAAAAGGTCTGAGACACATCCTCCACTCATGGTGACATGGGACTGTCCCCAGTGTTTCTGGATGCATGAGAATGGTAGGGCAAGAGAGAGAACGAAGCCTCTTAGTCCCTTTCCTTCTACTACAAACACCTTAGGGATGCGAGCCTGGGGAGAGAGGGAAAACCCCGGGTGGCCTTGCATGTGCCTGACTCAGTGTGCACGTCCCTTGCTGCCCAAGTCCCTTGTCCATGTGCCTTGCTGTCCGCCTTCTGTCCCTGCAGAGCTGTGCAAGGAGACATCATGACTTCCTTCTGTGCTGCTGACTAGGAGTCAGCCAGTAAGTCCGAAGATCAGTCTTCCCAGAGTTGAAGTGGGAGAGACTGTGAGGAGGAGCCCGCGGCGCGGTCTATGGCCTCCGACGGGGAGGTCCTTGAGGTTCCTGTCCTTCTCCTAACAGGTGGTGACACAGCCATGGCCTTGCTGTCGTGGGGGTCCCAGACAGGGGAGGAAGGAGGGCCATAGAGGGGAGGAGGACCTAGTGAACATGGAGTGAGTTTTGAAGGGGGAAACTATTTGTGGTATTTGAGTCCCGGAGGCATATGAAACCGCCCACAGAAGACACATTCCGAAGTCTTCAGTGGGAACCTGGGAGAGGGTAGAGAACTGCGCGGCGCGGCATGGGGTGGGGCTAGGAGAGGCGCCACAGCCCACTAGGCAGGCACCGACCTCACTGCGCATGTCCACTGGGTGTCTTCCCCTCGGCCCCTTTTCCCACGTGGTGAATGCCCTGGAGTTGTGAGGGTGTGAGGGTCGCGTTCCTGCTGTCTGGACTTTTTCTGTCCCACTGAGACGCAGCTGGTAGGTCCGCAGGCCAGTCCTCCCAAGGGTTGAAGTGTGAGTGCGTGTGAGGAGGAGCCAGTGGCTGTCCGGAGCGTGGGAAAGCATAGCCCGTGGCCTCAGAGGCCGAAGGGTCTCAAGGTGATCGTCCTTCTCCTCGTGAGGTGGCACTGCCATGGGCCTTGTTGTGGTGAAGTCAGAATGAGGGAAGAAGGTGGGCCGCGTAGTTGAGAGGGGTCAGGTGAAAATGGGGCGAGTGCTGGGGGTGCTGGGGCAGGTATCCGAGTCCCTGGAACCCTCGACCGAGGACGGATTCCAGACTCCTCCGTGTCGACCCGGGAAGGAGCAGGGTGGGCATTAAGGAAGGGAACTGGGAACGCTGCGGGTTGGTGACTGTGGCCCTGAGGTCTGTAAAGCGCCTGGCAGAGGTGTACAGTGAGGAGGGCCCAGAGCTGTGTGGCAACTTCTCAACTCCACTGTGGAGGTTTGAATGGGCGGGGCTCTGCATTCCAACAAAACTTGATTTTAGGGGGGAAATGGGCCCAGCAAATGGGTGTGTGACAAAAGCCGTGGTCACTGCAGTTTTAATTCTCTGGCTGTATTTTCCCAAATGTCTCCACGGAGGAGAGTTCAGTTGTGAAACCAAACCTCATCGGAAATATCCTGTCTTTTGCCAGGAGCCTTAAGAAATTGCTCAGCTAGCTTGACCAACTTAATGGCTTCCCAAGCATTCAGAAGGCACACATACTTACACTTGCCCTGAGACTTAGTTCGAAAGTATTTACAAACTTTTAAAAAATGACAAGTTAATATTTGGTCATGGAAGTGGTCAAATATAGCTGTCTTTTCAAGTGCATTTACCAATTCACAGTATTCTGTTTGCAGTGTGAAATATGATTTGGCGAGGAAGATCAACATATAGGCCTAGGCCGAGGAGAAGTGTACCACCTCCTGAGCTGATTGGGCCTATGCTGGTGAGTGCCTTAACCTTTGATGTTTTCTATTAGCAGAAAGTTATTTTTGTAACTTGTTGTTGTTGCAAAACTATGTTTTGTAATTGTTGTTGAACCAGTATAGATATACCAATAAAGGTCTCCCATGCTGAGAAAAATAATCATGGCATCTCATGAAGGAAAGACTAGTCCAAGAGGATTAAGTTCTTCTGTTGTCTGGATGGATGATCTTGTGTTCCCCAGATTTTGCCCATGATTTCCTTCTCATGCTTATTTGCAAAAGATTACACACATTCATCCCAGCTTAGATTAAAACAGCTTCCAAAGCCCTTGAGGGCAACTGTCTTAGAGTAACCTCTCTGTGGGAAGAGTAACTTTATGAAAAATAAGTATGTGGAATCGTGTTGGAGAAATGTCTTTAGACTTATGATCAGAAATATCTATGTATTCTGTATATTTGTATTATTGAAATGTATCGATAACAAAACTTTTTATCTGCACACACACACACACACACACACACCCCTGGTTCCAGGAGCCCGGTGATGAGGAGCCTCAGCAAGAGGAACCACCAACTGAAAGTCGGGATCCTGCACCTGGTCAGGAGAGAGAAGAAGATCAGGGTGCAGCTGAGACTCAAGGTGCTGGGAAGGGAAAGAAAGAATGTCTATGGGGAGGGGAGGAGGCCTATGTGTGCATCATGCCTTATGCCATGACCAGTAACAGGAGGAAAGAAAACATTAGGAAAGGATCTCAAACATTTGCTGAGAGTTGGCTGGAAAAGTGAAGAGTATAGTTTGCAGCTTCATGGATATAATGAATCTTCTCTTACCTTTGAAATATATTTCGTATGCTTGAAAATACAGTCCTTGCTAAATCAGATGAAACTGTTTAATTTGATGTACAAAAATATACATTATTTCACTAGTTTACTTTGATCTTCTTAGAATGTTGTTGTCTGATCTTCTCAGCCAAGGTGTCCACAGTATTGTATGCACCCTTTAATAGCATGTAGAATGCCAAGTCACCCTACCTGAATACACTGAATAAAGCCCATTTGCATAAGGATGTTAGCCCCATTTTATAAATAAGAAAACTGAGGCTCTGAAATGGAGGCTTACCAAGAACAGTTGAGTCATGGAGAAGGAATTCATATTTCATTCCAAGGTTTGTGTTCTCCCTACCATTCACATTAGAAAACGTGAATGATTTTGCTTGAAATGTTAATACTCAAATGTGTCTGTACTGTAAGTACTTCAGTATTGGCTCAGGACAAAACAAAGTTCAGTGAAGCAGGATAGCAACGCCAGAAAAGAGCTCAATGAATGACAGCCACTCTTTCCTTTGCTTTGTATTTTTGAAAGTATGTTTGGTAAAATCTGGATAATTCAGGACATTGGCATACAGGTAGCTATATTAGTATGATTTTAAGGGGCTTTTAAAGAGTTGTTTATATACTTTTATAATTAGAAAACTCGAAGTACGATAAGATTATCATGAAACAGAAATTATTTCCTCAACAGAGAGCATTTTGAAGTTAAACATTGACAGAATTTGGGTCATGGGTTACTTTAGCAATTCACTGTTAAGGGGTTTCCAGAATATGACTGTCAACAATGCCCATTAATTTTTTTTTCACTCAAGTTTCTGTACTCTTGTGGAAGACAGCGATTTTGCTGTTATATTCGGTATTTTTTTGTGAATGGGATTCATTTATGGAAAGTTACATATAGGGCCTTTGGACCTAAGTTTGTTTAATTTTAACCAAAAAATTTTCAAGTTACCTCAACAGGTGATGAGTGTCAGGACTGTAAGATTTGTCATAGGCTCACCAATATATTCATCTAATCTTTCAGAAAATTACATTTAAGTTATTATTAAAATGCTATCCATTGGGCAGTCTTTAGGTTTCCTAGATAGCTGACACTCACTGTTTATAGTACACAATGGTAAAGTATAGGAAATGTAAGTGTGGTCTGATTTTTCCTCAGATTGTCATTTAAGATAAGATTTCATAGTACAGGAAAACAAAGGTGGGACATCTTTGCATCACATTTATTACCACAGTCGCCTGCAGCCTTTTATTTCATAACATTGAGGAAAAGAATATTATCATTTCCTTCTTTATCTTTCTTGTTTGCCTGCTTCAATCGACAACCTTTGTATTTTTTAGTGCCTGACCTGGAAGCTGATCTCCAGGAGCTGTCTCAGTCAAAGACTGGGGGTGAATGTGGAAATGGTCCTGATGACCAGGGGAAGATTCTGCCAAAATCAGAACAATTTAAAATGCCAGAAGGAGGTATGCTATCCATTATTATGTGCTTTCTGTTTTCCACAATATTATACTTTTGATAATAAAAGAGAACATTACTATCCCTTTAAAATCAGAGTTCAAATGCAGACTTTTTTTGAAAGGTTGTTCAGACCCCAATTGCCTGACTGTAAGACTTAAACACTATCAGCTACAGACACAAATTGGGTCAAACCCACATTGAATCATCAAATATGAAAGCATATTCTTACTTCTGATTATACCCAACAACTAACAATTTTCAGATATTTTTCAATTTCTGCTTTTAACAAATACATAATGCATTTGTAATACCACTTTGTGTGAAATATCCTGAGCACCTTAAGCAGATTCTAATAACAGCTCTAACATTATTTGTGAGATTCTGGATGAATTCCATAAATTCTACAACCATCTTTTGCTGTTATTGAAAATAGTAAATGCATATCAGATGTATTAACATCTGTTTCAAAATTGATTTCTGTATCCTCATGTTCTGTTGGATAGAATACAAAGATATGATTTGTTTTTCATAACAATCAGTTTCGCTCCAGTTATAATATCTGAGTTGAGATTTCATGGTTCCTAAGAAAATGAGTGGGCAACTTGCTTCATGAAAGTATCTTTTCCACATATTTTCCAAATTGATGACTGTTAATCAGAAGAGCTTCTGAATTTATAGGAAGCATTCCATATTTATGGAAGAAATTGCCTAAATGGTTTTACTCTATACTGCTGAACCATTCCATTAGACTATTTACATGAAAGATAGTTTTCAATTATTTCCAGGAGCCCATTGAGCAATCCTCAATTGTATTCTTAGGAAGATAGTCTTAAGTGAGTATCTTGTTAAAATAGATAGAAAATTACACGAGAAAGGAAAATATTAATGAAAATTATAAAGAGCAATAGAATAAATCTAAGGGAAAAGGAAAGAGGTCCTTAATAAGAGACAGATATGAGTCATTAGTAAAAGGAAATGTAATCCAAAAGTAATACATTTAAAAGATTGTTCTTTTGAAAAATAGCTATGAATAGAGTAATAGTTTACACACTCTTGAAGAAAATGGAAAAAGCTCAACATGGAATATGAACAAGACCCTAACAGATACTGAATATATGGTATAATCGAAAGTGAATACATTCTTGAACTCTAGTATTTTCGAAGTATGAATGAAATGATTGATATGCTAGGAACACATACATTAGTTAATTTATTCCAGTAATACCTGAACATCTAAGCATCACAAAGAGTGTGGGAAAACTTCTGAAAGTTCCCACTTATCCCTCAAAAACACTTAACTTTTAGAAACAATTATTTGGCTTTTCCAGATGTCTTACTGTCCTTTTCTATTTTCCTCTCCCTCCATTTCTTTTTTTGCCCGACTATTCATGATATATGCCTCTTTCTCATTTTGATGTCAAAAATAATAGTGATAGATTAAACCAAATGTGACCATGTAATTTATTTTACCAATGGGAATACTTTCAAGTGTAAAAAGAGGGACTCTTCATATTGACATCAGGATGATAGGTGAAAATCTTGGACAAATGGTTACCGTACCTTAAAGACCACAGAAGGATGAACTAGCCCCAAGCAATATTTTTGGACTTCTGTGCAAAGAGAAAAAACAAATGCAGTACTGACCTTTCAATTCACTGCACTTTTGCAGTCCCTAATGTGACATAAATTGTTTCCCAGGAGCTTGTTGAACATCCAGACTATTATTTCAAGGCAAAACATTGCATTACATGATACATTGTTTGTAAATTCCTTTTGTTTCTTAGGTTTGTTGTGTGTTGGTCATATTTTTATTAAAACAATACACAATGTTTGCTTTTCACTTTGAGCCACCTTTTAATAGGTTCACTTGATTTAAAGTGCTCTGAAGTTAGACAGTTTTTGGTTTCCTTGAACTACAGAAGGCAGGATGTTTTAAAAATGTTGCTAATGTATATACTTGGAAGCCTATCTTCAAAGTCTCTACAGAGGTCTAACTGAATGTTAGCCATCAGGTTACTCTTAGGCTTCTGGTTTAATCCACGGTATAAAACCAAAACTTTGGTGTCCTTTGCCTACCTTTAATGTCATCTGAATACAGTTCTGCTACTAATGTTCCCTCCTGTTATATTTCTATTATAGGTGACAGGCAACCACAGGTTTAAATGAAGACAAGCTGAAACAACACAAAACTGTTTTTATCTAAGATATTTGACTTAAAAATATCGAAATAAACTTTTGCAGCTTTCTCCAAAGAAGTCTTGCACATTTTTTGTTCATTTTATTCCCAAATATTTGGTACTATTGAAAATGGTGGCCAGGTGTGGTGGCTCAAGCCTGTAATCCCAGCACTTTGGGATGCGGAGACAGGAGGATTTCTTGAGCTCAGGAAACTGACACCAGCTTGGGCAACATAGTGAGACCCCCTCACTGCAAAATAAATGAATGACTGCATGAATGCATGAATGTATGCATGTATATATGTAGCCTTAGTCCCAGCTACTCCTGAGGCTATGTTGAGAGGATCCCTTGAACTCAGGAGGTCGAGGATGTAGGTAGTTATGTTCAGGCCACTGCAACTCCAGCCTGGGTGACAGAGTGAGACTCTGTTTAAAAAAAGAAAAGGAAAAGTATCATTTTTGAAATTTTCTATTCTGATTACACTGGTACACACACTTGTGATATTATGAAATATATAAATATATATTTGGTCCTCTACCCTGTATACTGGCATACAACTCTTAATATTTTTAGAATCTCCACAAAGTGATGTCTTTTTGTATGCTAATGAGTTGGACTGATGCCTAGCAGCCCCTAGGTAGCTTTGGGATGGGGGATTAGTGGGCTGGGACTTTCAGCCCCACCCCAAACCTTCAGGGAAGGGAGAAGAGTTGAAGGTTAAGTTGATCACCAATGGCCAGCCAGTGGTTTAATCGATCACACCTGCATAATGGAAACCTCCATGAAAACCGAAAAGGACAGGGTTCAGAGAGCTTCTGGATAGCTGCACACATGGAGGATAGCATTTCCACAGAGGGCATGGATGCTCCCTGCCCCTTAACTCATTCCTTACCCTATGCATCTCTTTAACTGGATCCTTTCTAATATCCTGTTTAAATCAACCCATAAATGTATATGTTTCACTGAGTCGTGAGATGCTTTAGTAAATTAATTGAACTCGAGTAGGAGTCATGGGAAATTCAATTTATAGCTGGTGTGTCAGAAACACAGTAAAACAACCTAGGGCTTGAAGCAATTGGCAGGGTCCTCTTGTGGGACTGAGCCCTCAATCTGTGCAATCTGATGCTATCTCCAGGTAGATCCTATTGGAGTTGAATGGGAGGATACCCAGCTCGCGTATGCTGCAAAACTGATTGCTTGCTTGGTGTGTTGAGAAAAGCCCCCACATATTTGGTCACAGAAGTCTTTGATGTTACTGGTAGTAGGGCAAGAACAGAGAAAACACTTTTTTCTTCCATTCAACCAACAGGTATCATGTTTGTATATTGTTTTTCTATGCAGTAAACTTGCTAAATATCCTCATTCCAAATTTATCTCTAGATCCTTTCGGATTTTCAACATACACAATCATATCGTCTTTGAATAACAACAGCTTGTTTCTGACATTTCAAACACTGTACTTTTTCCTTTTTCCTATTTCACAACATCAGACGGACTCACCCAATACAATGCTGATTAGAACCAGTAATTGTGGCCATCCTTCTCTTATGCGTACTAGGCACTGGAAATTTTTTGTTTTATATTTTTTGTTATACTTTAAGTTTTAAGGTACATGTGCACAATGTGCAGGTTAGTTACATATGTACACATGTGCCATGTTGGTGTGCTGCACCCATTAACTCGTCATTTAACATTAGGTATATCTTCTAATGCTATCCCTCCCCACTCCCCCCACCCCACAACAGGCCCTGGTGTGTGATGTTCCCCTTCCTGTTTCCATGTGTTCTCACTGTTCAATTCCCACCTATGAGTGACAACATGTGGTGTTTGGTTTTTTGTCCTTGTGATAGTTTGCTGAGAATGATGGTTTCCAGCTTCATCCATGTCCCTATAAAGGACATGAACTCATCATTTTTTATGGCTGCTTAGTATTCCATAGTGTATATGTGCCACATTTTCTTTTTTTTATTATTATTATACTTTAAGTTTTAGGGTACATGTGCACAATGTGCAGGTAAGTTACATATGTATACATGTGCCATGCTGGTGTGCTGCACCCATTAACTTGTCATATAGCATTAGGTATATCTCCTAATGCTAACCCTCCCCACTCCCCCCACCCCACAACAGTCCCCAGAGTGCGATGTTCCCCTTCCTGTGTCCATGTGTTCTCATCGTTCAATTCCCATCTATGAGTGAGAACATGCAGTGTTTGGTATTTTGTCCTTGCGATAGCTTACTGAGAATGATGATTTCTAATTTCATCCATGTCCCTACAAAGGACGTGAGCTCATCATTTTTTATGGCTGCATAGTATTCCATGGTGTATATGTGCCACATTTTCTTAATCCAGGCTATTATTGTTGGATTGGTTGGTGGGCAAAGGATATGAACAGACACTTCTCAAAATTTGGGTTGGTTCCAAGTCTTTGCTATTGTGAATAGTGCCGCAAGAAACATACATGTGCATGTGTCTTTATAGCAGCATGATTTATAATCCTTTGGGTATATACCCAGTAATGGGATGGCTGAGTCAAATGGTATTTCTAGTTCTAGATCCCTGAGGAATCACCACACTCACTTCCACAATGGTTGAACTAGTTTCCAGTCCCACCAACAGTGTAAAAGTGTTCCTATTTCTCCACATCCTCTCCAGCACCTGTTGTTTCCTGACTTTTTAATGATCGCCATTCTAACTGGTGTGAGATGGTATCTCATTGTGGTTTTGATTTGCATTTCTCTGATGGCCAGTGATGATGAGCATTTTTTCATGTGTCTTTTGGCTGCCTAAGTGTCTTCTTTTGAGAAGTGTCTGTTCATATCCTTTGCCCACTTTTTGATGGGGTTGTTTTTTTCTTGTAAATTTGATGGAGTTCATTGTAGATTCTGGATATTAGCCCTTTGTCAGATGAGTAGATTGCAAAAATTTTCTCCCATTCTGTAGGCTGCCTGTTCACTCTGATGGTAGTTTCTTTTGCTGTGCAGAAGCTCTTGAGTTTAATTAGATCCCATTTGTCAATTTTGGCTTTTGTTGCCATTGCTTTTAGTGTTTTAGACATGAAGTCCTTGCCCATGCCTATGTCCTGAATGGTATTGCCTAGGTTTTCTTCCAGAGTTTTTATGTTTTCAGGTCTAACATTTAAGTCTTTAATCCAGCTTGAATTAATTTTTGTATAAGGTGGAAGGAAGGGTTCCAGTTTCAGCTTTCTGCATATGGCTAGCCAGTTTTCCAAGCACCATTTATTAAATAGGGAATCCTTTCCCCATTGCTTGTTTTTGTCAGGTTTGTCAAAGATCAGATGGTTATAGATATGCGGCATTATTTCTGAGGGCTCTGTTCTGTTCCCTTGATCTATAGCTCTGTTTTGGTACCAGTACCATGCTGTTTTGGTTACTGTATCCTTGTAGTATAGTTTGAAGTCAGGTAGCTTGATGTCTCTAGCTTTGTTCTTTTGGCTTAGGATTGACTTGGCGATGTGGGCTCTTTTTTGGTTCCATATGAACTTTAAAGTAGTTTTTTCCAATTCTGTGAAGAAAGTCATTGGTAGCTTGATGGGGATGGCATTGAATCTATAAATTACCTTGGGCAGTATGGCCATTTTCACAATATTGATTGTTCCTACCCATGAGTGTGGAGTGTTCTTCCATTTGTTTGTATCCTCTTTTATTTCATTGAGCAGTGGTTTGTAGTTCTCCTTGAAGAGGTCCTTCATGTCCCTTGTAAGTTGGATTCCTAGGTATTTTATTCTCTTCAAAGCAATTGTGAATGGGAGTTCACTCATGATTTGGCTCTCTGTTTGTCTGTTATTGGTGTATAAGAATGGGAATTTTTTGATAAATATCTTAAGTTTGCTGTGCTTTTTAAAATAGATCTATTTTATTAGAATAGGAAGTTCCATTCTATTTTCCATTTGTTAAGACTATTTATCTTGAATATATATTGACTTTCATGAAGCACTTGTAATGCATCCACGTAGATGATTACAGGACTTTTTCCTTTATTAATCTGTTAACATTGTGAATTACATTGGTAAGTTGCTATGTTTAAACCAACGTTGCATTCCTAGGGGGAAACATTTGGTCATGACACATTATCCTTTTTGAATAATCTATGTATTACTAATTTGTTTAGGATTTGTATGTGTGTTCTCAGAAGCGACATTAGCCTATATTTTTATTTTATGTAGAGATGCTCCTCAAGTTATCATAGAATTATGTCCTAATAAATCGATCATATATTGAAAATTTTGTAAGTTGAAAATGCATTCAGTACACCTAACTTAGCAAACATCATAGCTTAGCTTAGGCTCCCTTAAACGTGCCCAGCATGGTTACATTAGCCTACGGTTGTGCAAAATCATCTAACACAAAGTCTATTTTATCATAACTTGGAATATCTCATGTAATTTATTGAATACTGTCCTGGAAGTGAAAAATATAATGGTTATATGGCTATTCGAAGTACTGTTTCCACTGAACACATTTCTTTTATCTGCCATCATAAAGCCAAATAATTTTAAGTGGAAGCATCATAAGTTGGGGCCATCTGTATTCTCTTTGTTGGCCTTTGGTATCTAGGTTACACTAGCTTCATGAAATGAATTGGGATATAAGTCCTCTTTCTTTCTTTCTTTCTTTCTTTTTTTTTTTTTTTTTTGAGACGGAGTCTAGCTCTGTCGCCCAGGCTGGAATGCAGTGGTGCAATCTCGGCTCACTGCAAGATCCGCCTCCTGGGTATAAGTCCTCTTTCTATTCTCTAGAACTGAAATCTCTGCAAGACTGAATAACTTAGGGATAGGCTTTGTCATGTTCTTTTGTTTCTAGATTGAATCTCCTTTTTACCTTTGGACCTTACTTAAAAGAAAGACAGAAGGGGCAGCTTTAGGTTCCTATGCCTTTGAACTTTATAAGGTGGCCGTCTTTCCTCCAATGATCCCTCTAATGATGCTGTCACTCTGAAAACTACCTGCTCCTTTTTTTTTGTACTGATATTAACCCCTGTACACAGAAAGTTAAAAGTTGCCATTCTATTAATGTGCTTACATAAGTTTTTTAAGAGATGGGTTCTTGCTATGTTGCCCAGGCTGATCTTGAACTCCTGGGCTCAAGTGATCCTCCCTCCTTGGCCTCCAAACGTCCTGGGATAACAGGTGAGAGCCACCATGCCGGGCCTGCCTACATGATTTTGATCTGTGGTATGTGGTTGTGAATGGGTTGACTAACCAAAGGTGTTTATAGTTAGGACAATAGCTCCATTTATTGAGTTAAGAAAAACAGGAATAATAATAACTCACATTTAAAGAGTATGTGTTATCCATTAGCCACTTCTCTGAGCTATGTTTCATTGTTTCTGACCTCATTTAATCCTTTAAAAAGGTGAGTCAGAGTTTTCGTAAACTTTGCAATAAATGACTCTAGTAAGAAGCAGATATGGGGATTCAAGTTCTAAGTTCACAGTCTGCATTTTCTCGAAGCAAATGCTTCTGACAGCATTGAATGTAGAACTGGTGTTGTATATATTGACTTCAGTGGTAATCTCATTTTTCATATAAATCTGTGGTAATATATAAAATATATATTTTTTCATAGTTCAAGATAAAAGGCTTTATTCTTTTCTTGAAGGAGGGGTTTCCCAAAATATGGCACATAGAGCTAACAGGCGTTCCGAGATGAAACCATTGGTACAAAAACATTTAAAAAAGTAATGATAACATACCTATTTTACTGTGCTACAGAACAATATAACTGGAATACTAAAGTCATTTGGAATAGTTTGTGGGAACACGGAGAGAAGAACTGATGCCTCAATCCCTATGGAAAATGCCACAACATCTCCTGCAAACACATTTGACCTTTCTTTAAAAGTTATTAAGAGCCAGGGAGGGAGAAGCACCAAACCTCATTTTTTTTTTAGAAAAGCACACACATTTATTTAATATAAGTTTTACATAGGGAAAGGAAAACACAAAGAAACAGGAAAACTTGTGTATATTTATTCTAGGTTTGATGGAGAAGTGGATAGTGATGGAAAAGTATGTTGGATAAAAACGCATGATCTAATGGTAGTTAATTGGGGAGAACTCAGTTATGCCTGTTTGTTCAGATTGCTGTCAGTGATCTTGTGTTTTTGGAGACATACAGATGTCCATTTCCTCTGGGTATAGAGACAGCACCTGTCAAATGAGGGTTTTATGACCTGCTTCAGGGGAGAAGGGTTGGGGGAAGGTGAGAGCTATCTTCCTGCTTCTGCTGTTTTCTAAATAGCCCCATATTCTGGGGTAGTGTGTCCTGAACCCCATCCTCAAAAGTTACCACTGGTTTTATATCTCTGTATGATATGTTCCAAGCTTTTCAACATGACATACAAAATTTCCTCTCTTTCCCATCCTCCTATGATCTTTCTAGTTTCAATCACCACCGCTTTCCACCTTTCATTTTACATTCTATTGTCAAGGACTGCTCATACTTCTCATCCACACACAATGCTATTTTATTCCTCCCTGTCTGTATATATATTGTCTTCTCTGCCCGGAATGTGCTTACCCCTCTTTTTTTACTTGAGTAACTCCCATTTACTCTCCCTTATTCTGCTCAGGTGTTACCTTCTCTATGAAGCCTTCTTTAATGTACTTAAACTGCTAAGCTTCCTCTTCTACATTTCTAAAAGAAATTGTGCTTCCCTCTTTAAATCATTTTTTTTAAATTTTACTTTAAGTTCTGGGATACATGTGCAGAATGTGCAGATTTGTTATGTAGGTGTACATGTGCCATGTGGTTTGCTACACCTACCAACCTGTCATCTAGGTTTTAAGCTCTGCATGCATTAGGTATTTGTCCTAATGCTCTCCCTCTCCTTGCCCCCGACCCCCCCACCCAGTGTGTGTTGTTCCCCCTCCCTGTGTCCATGTGTTCTCATCATTCAACTCCCACTTATGAGTGAGAGAATGTTCTCTGTTCCTGTATTAGTTTGCTGAGGATGATGGCTTCCAGCTTCATCCATGTCCCTGCAAAGGACACGATCTCATTCTTTTTTATGGCTGCATAGTATTTCATACAAGCCTCATTTTTCATCTACATAAAAACTCCATCAGTCTGACAGTCACCACATCTCATTCAGAAGCCCCTGAAGCTTCCTGGATCCAGCCTTATATCCCTCTTACTAAACATAATACAGGAATTTCAACTCTGGGCTCCATTTGTATCCTCATACCCACAAAGAGAATTCTGCAGCAAAGGCCCTACTCAGAATCCATACTGCTTAAGGAGGGGAAGGAGATTATAATCAGCAATTATTTCTCCCTATTACAGAGATTATAAAGTATTTTCTTATCCAAAAGGACTGAAAAGCCAGGATTCAAATAAAAAGTGAGACTAAGTGTAGGGGATCCCATTTGCCTAGGCCATAGAGCTGGGATGAAAGAATTAAGGCCTAGGTCAAAGACAGGGGAAAGTAACCAGGGCAACTTGCTGATGAGAGATGACTTGGGTCCTAGCTACACTGTCTCTTTATAGGCTATGACATGAAATAACCATGGGTTTCTATTCCGCCTCTCACGCGCTGGCCTTGAGATGGTGGGCAAGATACTTATATCCTATGGGACGGTTTCCCCATTTCTAAAGTAGAAATTAGAATATTTACACTAAATACTTGCTATGAAGAATAAATGAAATAATATAGGAAGCAGGCATGACATTGCAGACAAATTTGGTTTACTAGTTACATTTCTGTTTTTTCTTCAAAATTTATTTTTTTCATTCAATTTACCTTTACAACTACATCTATAGTAAGTGATAACTGCTTTTGAAATGCAAGTAAAAATACCAAGTTATCTTTAAAAATGCATTTGACTTCCAAAACTTATTTGATTTAAATAAATATGTTAATTAATTGTGTCAGACATGGAATGAATTCTAAAGTCTGTTTGTAAATACCCAACGGTGACAAGGCCAATCCTAAGTCAGTGGTATGTGCTAAAAACTGTGCTTCTTGCTCCGTGTGATGCCAGGAGGAATTAGTCAATGTTCTGGCCAGGCAACACTACACACAATTCAGTACAATAGTGTGTCAATTGCTCAAGCAGTTCCTAAACAGCCCTGTTGTGGCTAACAGGGCTACAAGGTTCACCAGTATAGTTGTTAGTTTACCTTGTCACATATCCATAGATTTAGCCGGTAAGAAGAAAATGAGCCCAAATGGATCCAAGTGGTTGATTGCTTGCGTAGACAGCAAAAGCAAGATCAGCATTGTGTCAGCACTGTGTCCCTAGTCTTACAGTATGACACTGAATTGGAGGTACTCTGTGACAGCACAGATGGTGGGTCTCTCTGCTTGTGAGGAGCCCACAGTCATATCCTGTAGCCAAGGTTGAAACTACACCGAATACTGAACCCAAGATCACACCTGACACAGCTGCGACTATGGAACAGCAGGGGCGACCCAGCTCCTGAACATCCCAGGCACAACACCTGGGGATGTATCCATGCTTTTGAATTGGAGGAACTGGTGTCAATGACTACCGTGAACTGACTGCCTTCTGACAGTTCCCTTAAGCCAAAGATGCAAATGAATTGTTTGGACTGGATAAGAACCCCAGAGGGAAAGGTCACGCAGTGGGAGGCCACATTGGGAGCCTTGGCCAGCTCCTGCCTAACTAATGTATGTCCTGCTGGGGGTACCCTAACAAGGGTATAAACTCTTAGAGTCCACGGGTATCACTTGTGCCCTCTGGGATTGTACTTGCATGTGCGCCCTGACTATCCTGACCCTGCCTGAGCCCTGGAAGGCATTTACATCAGCCTCAGTTTCCTGGCCAGTATCATACCAAGCCTGAAATGGAGGCTTGGGCTGGACAAAAAAGGTTAATACAGAATCTTAGTTAGGAAGTCACCTGCCTTTGTCAGATAGACCTTCATAATTAATAGGATTTGTATAAGATGGCTATGATGGGAAATCTGGTGTGTCAACTTGGCTCAGTCACGATCGAGACAAAATTGTTCACTTTGTCCAGGGTAGGTGTCTCTCTGAGGGTGTTTTTCAGCTGAGACTAACAGTTAAATAAACAGACACTGGGTAAACTTAATTGCCCTCCACAATGTGGGTGGGCCTCATCCGGTCACTTGAAGGCTTTCAGAGAAGAAGACTGAAGTTCTCCTCAAGATGAAGAAATTCTGCCTCTACGCTGCCCTTAAATTTGAGAGATCACATCACCTCTGCCATGGGACTCCAGCCTGACATCCTGCTCTGCAAGGTTTGTACTTCCAGCCCCCACATTTGCATGATCCACTTCCTCAAAATCAATTTCTCTCTGTCTCTCTCTGCGTGCACACACACACACACACACACACACACACACACACACAGAGGAACCTTAACCAATAGGCTGCATACATCTGGGACCCTTAAAGGGCATAACTGAGATCAGTACTGCAGGTTGGTCTCACTCTGCTGCAGCTGCATGGCTCCTAAGGCAGAGGCCTGTGGCATTCCCCTCCCACCCTCTGCAGACTGCCATCCATGTGGCTCATCACTGTGACTCAGGGTTTGGTCATCCAACCATGTAGAGATCACTACCATTCCACAAGTGTTCCCTGCCCTCCTTCTGTCTGTGAGGTCCTCTGTCCCATCCTGAGGACACAGAGATCTACTGGGTATGTTTCCAGCTTTCCAGGAGAGACCACAGAGCCTGGTGAGGGAAATACACCTGCAAAGAGAACTTCAGTGCAGTAACAGCAACGGGCATAGCCGGTGTGTTCACCAACTAATGAGAGATCACACTACCAACATCTCCCACTTGATTTTCCGCATCAACTAACAGCTTATCATGGAAATTATCCCTTTGGTAGGTAAGTTGGATTCCCCTCATTGTTTCCCCTGGGGCATGCGGAGTTACAAAGCAAATTGATACTGGTATGTTGTGTCAGAGTGCAATCCAAGAATGGAATGCTCTGTAGTGATGTGATTGCCAAAGCAGTCAATAAGTCTTTGTAAGTTCTCAGATGAAGCAACATTACAAGCATCTCTCAGTTTACAAGGAGTGACATGTATGGAAAATCCAGTTTATTTAAGACTCTAGAAAAAGTCAATTGCCTTCCCTGTAACCCTCAGTCCCCAAATGCCAGTAGCCCCTGCCAATCACTCCAGCAACCAAAGCTGCCCTCAGAATGTCCTAAATGTCCCAAAATGTGCAATGATTTTCTTGCTATAAATTACAAGTTTAGGATTGAAATTACCCTCAGTCTTCTTATTTACATAAAAAGAATAGGAATGTTGTGGTCAGTACAGAGGAAATAGCTCTCTAGTGTGGAAAAGGACACGTTTCCTAGGAGGGGTTAAGGCACCTTCCTCCTCTGTCTTGCTTTCTGTGATAGGAAAGTTTTTCAGGACCAAGCGAGGTGGCTCAGCCCTCTAATCCCAGCATGTTGGGACGTCGAGGCACAAGTATTGCTTGAGCCCAGGAGTTTGCGATCAGCCTGCGGAACATAGGGATACCTCGTCTTTACAAAAACAAACAAACAAACAAACAAACAAAAAAACAACCCCAGATGTGGTGGAGTGTGCATGTAGTCCCAGCTACGTGGGAGGCTGAGATGGGAGGATGGCTTGAGCCTGGGTGGTGAAGGCTACGGTGAGCCATGATTTCCCCACTGCACTCCAGGCTGAGCAACAATGAGACCCTGTCTGAAATAAGACAAAAAGAAAAGAAAGTATTTCAGAGCCATCTGGGGTGTGTGGTGAAGCTTCATTTCATAGGTCAACCACTGCCATGGGACACTGATGCTCAGGATGGTTCTGTGGTAGTCATGGCTCTGGGATCCTGGGACAGATGTCCTTCTCCTTGGTGAGGACAGCCCTCTCTAGGCTGGGACACAGGAGGAAGGGGCCAGGCTAGGTTGTCGGGCTGCCAGGGACAGCTGTCTGCTGTGGGATCACAGACGAGATCAGGAGAAGGACAGCTTAAGGGAGGAGAGGGGAGACGAACTCCTCAGGTGAGGGTGTGGAGTCTGTTAGTGAAGGGGACATTGGCCCTACATCCTGACATTGCTCTAGGTTCCCGTGGAGGGACACGAAGAAAGAAACCAAGGCTGGTGGGAGGGGGACAATAGCTTGCATCACCTCCCATCTAATGTGTTCAATGGTCCCTGAGAAAAGCCTATGCCCTTTTGTGATCTAAAAGGTCGTTTCCTGGCACCCCTCCATCCACTACCCATGAGGATAAGAGATTTGAGATAAACTGAGTCCTTCAGGGAGAAAGGCCAGTAGGAGTTGCAAGGTCTTCTCATAAGACTCATCGTCTTACCCTTGTGGTGACTTTCACACTGTGTTCATCATGTCTTCTGTTCCCGTGTACTCTGAGGTCGCTCTTCTAAACGTCCTGTCTGTGCTGGGAAGAGTGGGTATATTGCACACAGTCTTGCTACCTAAGGGATTTAATAAGGTTTCTGAAAGTTCCCTAGGCTAGGCAGTAAATTCCCAGATCCTAGGGCACCATTGTGGCCGCACTACATGAGATTCATTGGGTGTGAATCCTGGAGTCTGCATTTTTAAAAGATTCTGGGTTCCAACTTTCATGGAAACTTGTTTGAGGACTACTAGAGCAGGGAAGTAGTCTTTCCCAGCCACACAGCTTTCTCCTTTGTGAATGTATAAAAGGGATAGGTTTGGAGTGTTCTCTGATGTACAAACTCAAGACCTTCAGGTTACGGGGCTGACACTGACATGCTGCCTGGTATGGTAATGACACACTCAGGGCACCTTCTCCAAATGATACCCAGACCAATCCTTTCAAGCCTCCGTCTCTAAATGATTTCTGAAGAAATCAAATTTCCATTCATTGTACAGTCCCATGCTGTAAAATTATAAATATTTTGCAGTAGCTTTTGGGTCTTGCCCTTGATTGCACAAATATGTAGCACAGTAGATGTTTTCATGATGCCTCTGACCCATGCTCCACTGCTTACTGCTGGGTGACATTGAGAAAGTTACTTAACATCTCTGTGCCTCCTTTCTCCATTAGTTCTTTGGAAATAGTACTTGTAAAGTCATCTACTTCTTGCAGGCAGTTTAGAGCACTGACTGTGTAAACAAGTACAGTTGTCAAGACAGTTCCTTGCATATAGTAAGTTTCCAATTAATTCTAGCAGTGACATTTTTGCTGTGAATATTGTTGCTCTTCCCACATTTTCCTGGAGCATGTTCCAGAGATACAAAGTCAAGACTACTTTGACACCTTGGCTGATCTTTGGGTTATCTCTTCAGCTCTTCAGGGACTCAAAGACTGAGTCTGCGGGGCTTGGGAGAGGGCATAGTTTTTTTTTTTTAGCATAATGAATATTCAGCTCTCCTTAAAGGGTATTGTGGAAACTAAATGAAATGGTGGGATTTAGTCATCATGAACTTCTAGGAAAAATTTACATTTCTCTAGGCAATTAGACCTCTAGTGACCTCTTCATGTGATTTGTATAATGCTTTGAAAAGTAAGTAGTCACTGGATAATGATAGGACATAGGTATATAAACTTAAAAACAGTTTATGAATTTTTTATTTCATAGTCTGTGCTTTTTGTATCCTGTCTTTGTCTAACATGATGTCAGACATCCTCATACATTTTCTTCTACAAGTGTTGTAACATTAGCTTTTACATTTAGTTCTATGATGCATTTTTTTAAAAAAATTAGAAATAGAGCCTCCCTATGTTGACCAGGCTGTTCTTGAACTCCTGGTCTCAAGCAATCCTCTCATCTCAGCCTCCCAAAGTGCTGGGATTACAGGCGTGAGCCACCTCGCCTGACCATGCCTGGCCAATTTAAGACTTTTCTTCCTTTCTGATGCGAGTATTGAATGGTATACATTTCCCTCTATGCTTTAGTTTCATCTTGCAAAGTTTGATATGTTGCATTTTTATTTTAAAATTTTCTCTGTGAGGTCCGGTTCTGAAGAGGAACTGCTCCAGTCTGCAGCTCCCAGTGTGACCGACGCAGAAGACGGGTGCTTTCTGCATTTCCATGGTTCATCTTATTGGGACTGGTTGGACTGTGGGTGCAGCCCACAGAGGGCGAGCTGAAGCAGGGCGGGGCGTCGCCTCACATGAGAAGTGCAAGGGATCAAGGGATTTCCCTTTCCTAGCCAAGAGAAGATGTGACAGACTGTACCGGGAATATTGGGGCACCGCCACCTAAATACTGTGCTTTTCCAATGGTTGTAGCAAATGGCACACCAGGAAATTATATCCCGTACCTGGATCAGCAGGTCCCATGCCCACAGAGCCTTGCTCACTGCTAGCACAGCAGTCCGAGATCGAATTGCGAGGCTGCAGCCTGGCTGGGGGAGGGGCATCTGCCATTGCTAAGGCTTGAGTAGGTAAACGAAGCGAAGCTTGAACTGGGTGGGACCCACTGCAGCTCAACGAGGCCTGTCTGCCTCTGTAGACTTAACCTCTGGGGGCAGGGCATAGCTGAATAAAAGGCAGCAGAAACTTCTGCAAACTTAAACGTCTTTAAACATCCCTGTTGGACAGCTCTGAAGAGAGCAGTGGTTCTCCCAGCAAGGTGTTTGAGCTCTGAGAATGGACAGACTGCCTCCTCAAGTGAGTCCCTGACCTCCGTGTAGACTAACTGGGAGACACTTCCTAGTAGGGGCCAACTGACATCTCATACAGATGGGTGCCCCTCTGAGACAAAGCTTCCAGAGGAAGGATCAGGCAGCAATATTTGCTATTCTGCAAAATTTGCTGTTCTGCAGCCTCTGCTGGTGATACCCAGGCAAACAGGATCTGGAGTGCACCTCCAGCAAACTCCAACAGACCTGAGGCTGAGGGATCTGACTGTTAGAAGGAAAACTAACAAACAGAAAGGAATAGCATCAACATTAACAAAAAGGACATCCACACCAAAACCCCATCTGTGGGTCACCATCATCAAAGACCAAAGGTAGATAAAACCACAAATATGGGGAGAAACCGGAGTAGAGAAGCTGAAAATTCTAAAAACCAGAATACCTCTTCTCCTCCAAAGGACTGCAGCTCCTCACCAGCAACAGAATAAAGCTGGACGGAGAATGACTTTGACGAGTTGACAGAAGTAGGGTTCAGAAGATTGGTAATAACAAACTTCTCCAAGTTAAAGGAGGATGTTTGAACCCATTGCAAGGAAGCTAAAAACCTTTGAAAAGATTAGATGAATGGCTAACTAGAATAAACACTGTACAGAAGACCTTAAATGACCTGATGGAGCTGAAAACCATGGCACAAGAACTACGTGACACATGCACAAGCTTCAGTAGCCGATTCGATCAAGTGGAAGAAAGGGTAATGGTGATTGAAGATCAAATTAATGAAATGAAGCAAGAAGAGAAGTTTAGAGAAAAAAGAGTAAAAAGAAACAAACAAAGCCTCCAAGAAATATGGGACTATGTGAAAAGACCAAATCTACGTCTGATTGGTGTACCTGAAAGTGACGGGGAGAATGGAACCAAGCTGGAAAACACTCTTCAGGATATTTTCCAGGAAAACTTCCCCAACCTAGCAAGGCAGGCCAGCATTCAAATTCAGGAAATACAGAGAACACCACAATGATACTCCTCGAGAAGAGCAACCCCAAGACACATAATTGTCAGATTCACCGAGGTTGAAATGAAGGAAAAAATGTTAAGGGCACCCAGAGAGAAAGGTCAGGTTACCCACAAAGGCAAGCCCATTAGACTAACAGTGGATATCTCAGCAGAAACGCTGCAAGTCAGAAGAGAGTGGGGGCCAATATTCAACATTCTTAAAGAAAAGAATTTTCAACCCAGGATTTCATATCCAGCCAAACTAAGCTTCATAAGTGAAGGAGAAATAAAATCCTTTGCAGACAAGCAAATGCTGAGAGATTTTGTCACCACCAGGCCTGCCTTACAAGAGCTCCTGAAGGAAGCACTAAACATGGAAAGGAACAACTGGTAACAGCCACTGCAAAAACATGCCAATTTGTAAAGACCATCAATGCTAGGAAGAAACTGCATTAACTAACAGGCAAAATAACCAGCTAACATCATAATGACAGGATCAAATTCACACATAACAATATTAACCTTAAATGTAAATGGGCTAAATGCCCCAATTAAAAGACAGAGACTGGCAAATTGGATAAAGAGTCAAGACCCATTGCTGTGCTGTATTCAGGAGACCCATCTCACGTGCAGAGACACACACATAGGCTCAAAATAAAGGGATGGAGGAAGATCTACCAAGCAAATGGAAAGCAAAAAAACAAAAAAACAAAACAAAACAAACAACAAACAAACAAACAAAAAACAGGGGTTGCAATCCTAGTCTCTGATAAAACAGACTTTAAACCAACACAGATCAAAAGAGATAAAGAAGGCTATTACATAATGGTAAAGGGATCAATTCAACAAGAAGAGCTAACTATCCTAAATATACATGCATCCAATACAGGAGCACCCAGATTCATAAAGCAAGCCCTTAGAGACCTGCAAAGACACTTAGACTCCCACACAATGATAATGGAAGACTTTAACACCCCACTGTCAACATTAGACAGATCAACGAGACAGAAGGTTAACAAGGATATCCAGGAACTGAACTCAGCTCTGCAACAAGCAGACCTAATAGACATCTACAGAACTCTTCACCCCAAATCAACAGAATGTACATTCTTCTCAGCACCACATCGCACTTATTCCAAAATTGACCACATAGGTGGAAGTGAAGCACTCCTCAGCAAATGCAAAAGAACAGAAATGATAACAAACTGTCTGTCAGACCACAGTGCAATGAAATTAGAACTCAGGATTATGAAACTCACTCAAAACCACACAACTACATGGAAACTGAACAACTTACTCCTGAATGACTACGGGGTAAATAACGAAATGAAGGCAGAAATAAAGATGTTCTTTGAAACCAATGAGAACAAAGACACAACATACCAGAATCTCTGGGACACATTTAAAGCAGTGTGTAGAGGGAAAAGTACAGCACTAAATGCCCACAAGTGAAAGCAGAAAAGATCTAAAATTGACACCCTAACATCACAATTAAAAGAACTAGAGAAGCAAGAGCAAACACATTCAAAAGCTAGCCGAAGGCAAGAAATAACAAGATCAAAGCAGAACTGAAGGAGATAGAGACGCAAAAAACCCTTCAAAAAATCTGTGAATCCAGGAGCTGGTTTTTTTTTTAAAGATCAACAAAATCGATAGACTGCTAGCAAGACTAATAAAGAAGAAAAGAGAGAAGAATCAAATAGACGCAATAAAAAATGATAAAGGGGATATCACCACCAATCCCACAGAAATACAAACTACCATCAGAGAATACTATAAACACCTCTATGCTTATTTGCATAGAAAATCTAGAAGAAACGGATAAATTCCTGGACACATACACCCTCCCAAGACTAAACCAGGAAGAAGTTGAATCTCTGAATAGACCAATAACAGACTCTGAAATTGAGGCAATAATTAATAGCTTACCAACCAAGAAAAGTTCAGGACCAGATGGATTCACAGCTGAATTCTACCAGAGGTACAAGGAGGAGCTGGTACCATTCCTTCTGAAACTACTCTAATCAATAGAAAAAGAGAGAATCCTCCCTAACTCATTTTATGAGTCCAGCATCATCCTGATAACAAAGCCTGGCAGAGACACAACAAAAAAAGAGAATTTTAGACCAATATCCCTGATGAACATCGATGCAAAAGTCCTCAATAAAATACTGGCAAACCGAATCCAGCAGCACATCAAAAAGCTTATCCACCATGATCAAGTGGGCTTCATCCCTGGGATGCAAGGCTGGTTCAACATACACAAATCAATAAACGTAATCCAGCATATAAACAGAACCAAGGACAAAAACCACATGATTATCTCAGTAGATGTAGAAAAGGCCTTTGACAAAATTCAGCAGCCCTTCATGCTAAAAACTCTCAATAAATTAGGTATTGATGGGACATATCTCAAAACAATAAGAGCTATTTATGACAAACCCACAGCCAATATCATACTGAATGGGCAAAAGCTGGAAGCATTTTCTTTGAAAACTGGCACAAGAGAGGGATGCCCTCTCTCACCACTCCTATTCAACATAGTGTTGGAAGTTCTGGCCAGGGCAATCAGGCAGGAGAAAGAAATAAAGGGTATTCAATTAGGAAAAGAGGAAGTCAAATTGTCCCTGTTTACAGATGACATAATTGTATATCTAGAAAACCCCATCATCTCAGCCCAAAATCTCCTTAAGCTGGTAAGCAACTTCAGCAAAGTCTCAGGATATAAAATCAATGTGCAAAAATCACAAGCATTCTTACACACCAATAACAGACAAACAGAGAGCCAAATCATGAGTGAACTCCCATTCACAATTGCTACAAAGAGAATAAAATATCTAGGAATCCAACTTACAAGGGATGTGAAGGACCTCTTCAAGGGGAGCTACAAACCACTGCTCAACGAAGTAAAAAAGGACACAAACAAATAGAAGCACATTCCATGCTCATGGATAGGAAGAATCAATATTGTGAAAATGGCCATACTGCCCAAGGCAATTTTTAGATTCAATGCCATCCCCATCAAGCTCCCAATGACTTCCTTCACAGAATTGGAAGAAACTACTTTAAAGTTCATATGGAACCAAAAAAGAGCCTGCCTTGCCAAGACAATCCTAAGGAGAAGGAACAAAGCTGGAGAAATCAGGCTACCTGACTTCAAACTATGCTACAAGGATAAAGTAACCAAAACAGTATGGTACTGGTACCAAAACAGAGATATAGACCAATGAAACAGAACAGAGCCCTTAGTAATAACACTACACATCCACAACTATCTGATCTTTGACAAACCTGACAAAAACAAGCAATGGGGAAAGGATTCCCTATTTAATAAATGGTGCTGGGAAAACTGGTTAGCCATATGTAGAAAGCTGAGACTGGATCCCTTCCTTACACCTTATACAGAAATTAATTCAAGCTGGATTAAACACTTAAATTGTAGACCTAAAACCATAAAAACCCTAGAAGAAAATCTAGGCAATACCATTCAGGACATTGGCATGGGCAAGGACCTCATGACTAAAACACCAAAAGCAATGACAACAAAAGCCAAAATTGACAAAAGGGATCTAATTAAACTCAAGAGCTTCTGCACAGGAAAAGAAACTATCATCAGAGCGAAAAGGCAACCTAGAGAAAGGGAGAAAATTTTTGCAATCTACTCATCTGACAAAGGGCTAATATCCAGAATCTACAAAGAACTTAAACAAATTTACAAGAAAAAAATCAAACAACCCCATCAAAAAGTGGACAAAGGATATGAACAGACACTTTTCAAAAGAAGACATTTATGCAGCCAACAGGCACATGAAAAAATGCCCATCATCACTGGTCATCAGAGAAATGCAAATCAAAACCACAATGAGATACCATCTCACACTAGTTAGAATGGTGATCATTAAAAAGTCAGGAAACAACAGGTGCTGGAGAGGATGTGTAGAAATAGGAACGCTTTTACACTGTTGGTGGGAGTGTAAACTAATTCAACCATTGTGGAAGACAGTGCGGTGATTCCTCAAGGATCTAGAACTAGAAATACCATTTGATCCAGTGATCCCATTACTGGGTATATACCCAAAGAATTATAAATCATGCTACTATAAAGACCCATGCACATGTATGTTTTTTGAAGCACTATTCACAATAGCAAAGACTTGGAACCAACCCAAATGTCCGTCAAAGATAGACTGGATTAAGAAAATGTGGCACATATACACCATGGAATACTATGCAGCCATAAAAAAGGATGAGGCTATGTCCTTTGTGGGGACATGGATGAAGCTGGAAACCATCATTCTGAGCAAAGTATCACAAGGACAGAAAACCAAACACCTCATGCTCTTATTTGTAGGTGGGAATTGAACAATGAGAACATTTGGACACAGGGCGGGGAGCATCACACACTGGGGCCTGTCGTGGGCTGGGGGACAGGGTAAGGGATAGCATCAGGAGAAATACCTAATGTAAATGACGAGTTAAAGGGTGCAGCAAACCAACATGGCACATGTATACCTATGTAACAAACCTGCTTGTTGTGCACATTTGAACTTAAAGTAGAACTTAAAGTATAATAAAAAATAAAAATATACTCATAGGTGGGAATTGAACAATGAGAACACATGGACACAGGAAGGGGAACATCACACACCGGGGCCTGTTGTGGGGGGGAGGGGGGAGGGATAGCATTAGGAGATATACCTAATGTTAAATGACTAGTTAATGGGTGCAGCACACCAACATGGCACATGTATGCATGTGTAACTAATCTGCATGTTGTGAACATGTACCCTAAAACTTAAAGTATAAAAAAAAATAAAAATAAAAATAAAATTTTCCCTACAATTTCTTCTTTCATCCCTGCATTACTTAAAAGTTTTGTTTAATTTCTGCTATTTCATGGATTCTAGATATCTTTCTACAAGTAATTTCTATTTGAATTCTTTTGTGGTCACAAAACATGTTTTATAAGTTTTCATTCCTTTTGAATTTGTTGATATTTGTTTTTCGGCCTATAATATGGTTTATCTTGGTGAACATTCCATGAGCACTTGAGACGAATATGCATTCTGCTTTGCTCTATGAATATCAATTAGGCCAAGTTGTTTAATAGTGATGTTTAAGCCTTCTGCATGTATATATCCTGGTGTTTTTGTACACTCTTTCTACCAATTGCTGGCAGGAGTGTTGAAGAGTTCTACTATAACTGCATGTGTGTCTATTTCTTCTTTCTGATGTATCGATTTTGCCTCATGTATTTTGAAGGTGCATACATACTCATGGTGTTTCTGTCTCCTGAATCAATGCACCTTTCTATGATTATTATGTAATGTCCCACTTTGTCCCTTGTAATAATCTCCACTATAAAGTGTGCTTTGTGAGGTATTAATCCCTCCAGTTTTTATTTGATTCGTATTTGTGGGGTTATATCTTCTTCTATCCTTTGCTTGTAACTTATTTATTTTTAACGTGGGTTTTTTCAAGATACGGATTACTGATAAATGTATTGTGAAAATCAAGATCTTCTTGCAGCTGCGCCACAATAAAAATACCAAAAAATTAGATGCAGAAGTTAATATAAAACTGAAGTGTTATGAAGAAATCCACAGAATAATTTGTAAGGTTCTTCAAAAGAACCTAAATCAAACCATTTTACAGCCTTTATGGAAAGATAACTTGAAACTAAAGTGATATATTTGTCTAAAAATATTATTTTATCCCACCACTTTCTGCAGTAGGGTTTTGGATAAAATTTCATTTTACAGAAGTGTTATGGTGCTAAAAGTTCTTTGAAAAATGGCTATATCAGATGATCTCTCAGAGCTCTCTTAGCTTTGACATTTTGGAGTTCAAATATCCTCCTGTAGATTGAGTGGGAAACGTAAAAAGGAGAACATTATCATGGGGGAGGAAATGTTGGTCTTTTATATTTTTCTTTTCCTTTTTTCCCTAAACTAACCAGTCTCTTTTGGTCCTCAGTTGGGCTGTTAATCCAGGGAAGAGGTGCCCTTCAGGAGAATACACTGGATTCAATGGAGCCCAAGGCAGGATTGAATCGCTCAGAAAAACTGGGGAGGGGGGATGAATAGCATTAGGAGATATACCTAATGCTAAATGACGAGTTAATGGGTGCAGCACACCAACATGGCATATGTATACATATGTAACAAACCTGTACGTTGTGCACATGTACCCTAAAACTTAAAGTGTAATAAAAAAAACTAGCCAGAATAACTTTTGAAAGGCTGTAAATGGAGATGATTATGACCCTCTGATTTATGTTACTTGACACTCAAGTTGCTCAAAGTGCCTTCTCATCAAGAGCTGTTTGGGTAGAGACAGACACATTTGTTCAGCCCTGTTTTTGTTTTCTGTTTTCTTCTCCTTCTCTCCTTATCCCCTCCCTCCCTCCCTACCTACCTACCTCCCTCCCTTCCTTCCTCCCTTCCTCCCTTCCTTCCTTCCTCCCTTCCTTCCTTCCTCCCTTCCTCCCTTCCCTTTTTAATAAAAAGAAATGAACTGATTTTTTTTCTCAGTAGAAAGATCAGAATATTTCACAATTTTTGTGCGTTTTTTTGAAACTTTTATTTTGGGTTGAGGGGTACATGTGCAGGTTTGTTACCTAGGTAAACTTGTGTCATAGGGGTTTGTTGTACAGATTATTTCATCACCCAGGTATTAAACCCAGTACCCATTAGGTATTTTTCTGACCTTCTCCCTCCTCCCACCCTCCACCCTCCAACAGGCTCCAGTGGGTGTTGTTCCCCTCTATGTGTCCGTGTGTTCTCATCATTTAGTTCCCACTTATAAGTGAGATCTTGTGGTATTTAGTTTTCATTTCTTGCATTAGTTTGCTAAGGATAATGGCCTCCAGCTCTATTCATGTTCCTGCAAATGATATGATCTCGCTTTTTAAAATGGGCACATAGTATTCAATGGTGTATATGTACCACATTTTCTTTATCCAGTCTACTATTGATGGGCATTTAGGTTAATTCCATGTGTTTCTTATTGTGAATAGTGCTGCAATGACCATACATGTGCATGTCTTTATAATAAAAAGATTTGTATTCCTTTGGGTATATTCCCAGCAATGGGATTGCTGTGTCAAAATGGTATTTCTATTTTTAGGTCTTTGAGGAATCTCCACGCTCCTTTCCACAATGGTTGAACTAATTTTTATACTCCAACCAACAGGGTGCCAGTGTTGCTTTTTCTGCACAAACTCACCAGCATCTGTTATTTTCGTTCTTACCTTTTTATCTAGTATTATAAACTCAGACAATTTTTTTTTGAGACAGGATCTCACTCTGTCTGTGGATGTGAATTCCACTTGTCTCTGAGACTTCCAGGGATTCCAGCTCTCTCAATTGCGTATGTTTGGCCTTTATGAATTTGTTACATTTTCAGTTGTTTCCTTCTTACTCACTTTTATGACTGTCACTGCCTCCACATGTGCTCTGCCAGAAGTGATGCAGTTTGTGTGTCTCATCTCTCCTTAGAGGGACTAGTCGCCCTTTTGTATCAGTTCCCATGGCTGCCTTGTTACCTTGATGATCTTTTTTAGATCATGATCTAATAAATCCCCTATAATTTTTTTTATTATTATACTTTAAGTTCTAGGGTACATGTTCACAACCTGCAGGTTTGTTACATAGGTATACATGTGCCATGTTGGTGTGCTGCACCCATTAACTCATCATTTACATTAGGTATTTCTCCTAATGCTATCCCTCTCCCTGTCCACCACCCCACCAAGGTGTGATGTTCCCCTTCCTGTGTCCAAGTGTTCTCATTGTTCAGTTCCCACCTATGAGTGAGAACATGCAGTGTTTGGTTTTCTGTCCTTGTGATAGTTTGCTCAGAATGATGGTTTCCAGCTTCATCCATGTCCCTGCGAAGGACATGAAGTCATCCTTTTTTATGGCTACACAGTATTCCATGGTGTATATGTGCCACATTTTCTTAATCCAGTCTATCATTGATGGGCATTTGGGTTGGTTCCAAGTCTTTGCTATTGTGAATAGTGCCGCAATAAGCATACGTGTGCATGTGTCTTTATAGTAGCATGTAAATCCCCTATAATTTTATAGATTATCAGGATATTGCTGATTTTCAGGGCTAGAGTGACTTTCTCTTGAGGCTTTCAAAATCTTATCTGAAGTTAGAACTCTCATTTGTTAATATTTTGACTACTGGTACAAAAATACAGTATTCAAATATTTGAATTAAAAGATAATCCAGGGGCTAGCTGTCTATGGCTTGAAAGCTAAATCCAGTCTATGGCTTATTTTTGCACATCTTTTGAGATAAGTATTTTTTTTTTACATTTTAAAGTATTATTTCTAAAAAACACAACAATATGACACAGAAACTACATGGCCTACCAAGACTGAAATACTTATTGTAGGGCCTGTTAAAGAAAAATTTGCTGACCTCATATTAATTTAATACATATTATTCTGCTTTGCATTATTGTATACATTTTTTCACCCATTGCTTAATTTATTTACCTACAGATTGAAAATTATGGATTACTTTCTGATCTTACTGTATCCCTTCCATAAATCATCCAGCTTTATGATACCATGGTTTCAGTCGGGGGAACTTGGCCCAAGGCTCATGTGAATACACAAACATGTATGTGAGGTAGGAGACCAGCAGGACTTGTTTTCTAGTCATAACCCTACTGACCAAAACAGGATCTGATCCAAACAGGATAAGATAGTGAAACTGGCAGAAACCAGCAGGTGGCCGTGAGGGTGATTTCTGGCTGCCCTCATTGCTTATTAGCATGGGACCTTCCCACCAGCATCATGACAGTTTATAAATGCCATGGCAATGAACCAGAAGTTTACCATAATAAAGTAAATAGCATATTGCTATTTATTTGATTAAGGATTTGTGGTTGTATATTCTCTCTAAAGGAATTTAATATTAATTTTCTTGATGTAAGATATTATTTCTTTTCTGATTAAAAAGTAGTAGATGATTTTTACAGAAAATTGTAAAATATGGAATAGCAGAATAAAAACAGCCAAAATTTCACAGTGTGAGGTAAACATTTGTTGCACTTCTATCCAATCCCTTTTATAACTCACTCATATCTTAAATTGTATACATATATCAAATCATCAAATTGTACACCATAAATATATATAATTATTAGTTGTTAAGTAAACATTTTTAAAGAAGAAAAAATAATAAAAATCATCAACAATTTTGAAACAATATATCAACAGAAAAGTTATTCTTTGTATAACGTGACAGAGTTAATACTCTTTGTACACACAAACAAAAACCCTTGAGATGAAAAAAATTAAAACAGTATGGATATAACATGATAAATAAAAATAAGAATAAAATGGAAAATTAGCACCAAAACAGTTCAAATTATAAAGATATAGAAACACTTATGCACCTTCTAGTAATTTTGGAATGAAAAATAAAGCAAAATTTAAATGGAAACTTTCTCCATCAAATTAGAAAACACTTATTTTTGAATAAACAACGAATACCCATGGATATTCTTCATAATGCTGCAGTTAAATGGGCACTATTATAAATCTCCCATTGCTGAGATTTTTGTTTATGATTTTCTGTGTTTTGTAATTTTTCTTTTTTTAATTTTTTTATTATACTTTAAGTTTTAGGGTACACGTGCCCAACGTGCAGTTTTGTTACATATGTATTCATGTGCCATGTTGGTGTGCTGCACCCATTAACTCATCATTTAACATTAGGTATATCTCCTAATGCTATCCCTCCCCACTCCCTCCACCCCACAACAGGCCCTGGTGTGAGATGTTCCCCTTCCTGTGTCCATGTGTTCTCATTGTTCAATTCCCACCTATGAGTGAGAACATGCGGTGTTTGTTTTTTTGTCCTTGCGATAGTTTGCGGAGAATGATGGTTTCCAGCTTCATCCATGTCCCTACAAAGGACATGAACTCATCATTTTTTATGGCTGCATAGTATTCCATGGTGTATATGTGCCACATTTTCTTAATCCAGTCTATCATTGTTGGACATTTGGGTTGGTTCCAAGTCTTTGCTATTGTGAATAGTGTTGCAATAAACAAACCTGTGCATGTGTCTTTATAGCAGCATGTTTTTAATCCTTTGGGTATATACCCAGGAATGGGATGTGTTTCCTGACTTTTTAATGATCGCCATTCTAACTGGTGTGAGATGGTATCTCATTGTGGTTTTGATTTGCATTTCTCTGATGGCTAGCAATGATGAGCATTTTTTCATGTGTCTTTTGGCTGCATAAATGTCTTCTTTTGAGAAGTGTCTGTTCATATCCTTTGACCACTTGTTGATGGGGTTGTTTGTTTTTTTCTTGTAAATTTGTTTGAGTTCATTGTAGATTCTGGATATTAGCCCTTTGTCAGATGAGTAGATTGCAAAAATTTTCTCCCATTCTGTAGGTTTGCCTGTTCACTCTGACGGTAGTTTCTTTTGCTGTGCAGAAGCTCTTGAGTTTAATTAGATCCCATTTGTCAATTTTGGCTTTTGTTGCCATTGCTTTTGGTGTTTTAGACATGAAGTCCTTGCCCATGCCAATGTTCTGAATGGTATTGCCTAGGTTTTCTTGTAGGGTTTTTATGGTTTTAGATCTAACATGTAAGTCTTTAATCCATCTTGAATTAATTTTTGTATAAGGTGTAAGGAAGGGATCCAGTTTCAGCTTTCTGCATATGGCTAGCCAGTTTTCCCAGCACCATTTATTAAATAGGGAATCCTTTCCCCATTGCTTGTTTTTGTCAGGTTTGTGAAAGATCAGATAGCTGTAGATGTGCAGCATTATTTCTGAGGGCTCTGTTCTGTTCCATTGGTCTATATCTCTGTTTTGGTACCAGTACCATGCTGTTTTGGTTACTGTAGCTTTGTAGTATAGTTTGAAGTCAGGTAGCGTGATGCCTCCAGCTTTGTTCTTTTGGCTTAGGATTGACTTGGAGGTGTGGGCTCTTTTTTGGTTCCATATGAACTTTAAAGTAGTTTTTTCCAATTCTGTGAAGAAAGTCATTGGTAACCGAATCCAGCAGCACATCAAAAAGCTTATCCACCATGATCAAGTGGGCTTCATCCCTGGGATGCAAGGCTGGTTCAACATATGCAAATCAATAAACGTAATCCAGCATATAAACAGAACCAACGACAAAAATCACATGATTATCTCAATAGATGTAGAAAAGGCCTTTGGCCGGGTGCGGTGGCTCACGCCTGTAATCCCAGCACTTTGGGTGGCCGAGGCGGGTGGATCACAAGGTTAGGAGATCGAGACCATCCTGGCTAACACGGTGAAACCCCGTCTCTACTAAAAATACAAAAAAAAATAGCTGGGCGTGGTGGCGGGCGCCTGTAGTCCCAGCTACTCAGGAGGCTGAGGCAGGAGAATGGCGTGAACCCGGGAGGCGGAGCTTGCAGTGAGCAGAGATCGCGCCACTGCACTCCAGCCTGGGCGACAGAGTGAGACTCCGTCTCAAAAAAAAAAAAAAAAAAAAAAGAAAAGGCCTTTGACAAAATTCAGCAACCCTTCATGCTAAAAACTCTCAATAAATTAGGTATTGATGGCACGTATCTCAAAACAATAAGAGCTATTTATGACAAACCCACAGCCAATATCATACTGAATGGGCAAAACCTGGAAGCATTCCCTTTGAAAACTGGCACAAGACAGGGATGCCCTCTCTCACCACTCCTATTCAACATAGTGTTGGAAGTTCTGGCCAGGGCAATCAGGCAGGAGAAAGAAATAAAGGGTATTCAATTAGGAAAAGAGGAAGTCAAATTGTCCCTGTTTGCAGATGACATGATTGTATATCTGGAAAACCCCAACGTCTCAGCCCAAAATCTCCTTAATCTGATAGGCAACTTCAGCAAAGTCTCAGGATACAAAATCAATGTGCAAAAATCACAAGCATTCTTATACACCAATAATAGACAAACAGAGAGCCAAATCATGAGTGAACTCCCATTCACAATAGCTTCAAAGAGAATAAAATATCTAGGAATCCAACTTACAAGGGACATGAAGAACCTCTTCAAGGAGAACTACAAACCACTGCTCAATGAAATAAAAGAGGATACAAACAAATGGAAGAACATTCCATGCTCATGGGTAGGAAGAATCAATATCGTGAAAATGGCCATACTGCCCAAGGTAATTTATAGATTCCATGCCATCCCCATCAAGTTACCAATGTGTTTTGTGATTTTTCAACAAGCAAAATTAAAAACATGATACAAATGAATGTTTTTCACTATGTTTACCAAGAATTTGTATCAATATAAAGACATATTTATGTTATAATGTATACATTTATATAAACATGGGTCTAATCAAGAAGAATATAACATTCTTCAGGATATTTTCTAACTTATGTATGCTCTTTTTTTAATTGAACTCTCAATCTATTTCCCAATTACTCATCTGAAAGTAATTGGGATAACATGATAACCATAACTCTAAATGTTATGGTTTGTTTATAGTACTGATGATGTATTATTGGTTAGATATGATGGTCACATAAGAATTATCAGGATCACAAAGTAGTATAGGGATGCCAGAAATCTTGTTGGCATAGAATTTGGCTACTTTGTCTTCCTAAATATCCTAAGCTGAAACTGAAGCTGAATAGAAAATTTAGGCCAAATATTTGTGAAAAAGCAAACTTTGAATGGCTGCATGCAATAAAAAATATGCTTGGAATGATTAAAGGGACACCTGATTTTAATAAGAAAGAAAACCCTGCATTCTCTTGTAGTTTTTAAGTAGAAGACACACAGCACTTAGTTCCAGGTCCTGACAGGACTTAATTCACGGTCCTCACAGGATAGAGTGAAGAAACCCTCATGAACCCGCAGACAGAGATGACCGTGGATGATTGAGGAATCTCTAGCTGACTTCATTGTTCACTAGCACATGACACTGTCACCAGCACCATGACAGTTTACAACCGCCATGGCAATGAACCAGAAGTTCACCCTCCCCTGCCCCCCTGCATTACTAGACAGTTCTAAATAACTCGCCCTTCAATTTGCATTAACCTACCCCTTCATTTACATGGAACTGAAAGTGGGTATAAATGAGTATAAATACAGTTGTCAAGAGCCCATAGGTTGCTGCCTCCTGGCGCACTGCCTGTAGGTTAGCCCTGTTCAGAAAGGAGCCGTACTGTTCTATAAAAGTATTGCTGTCTAACACCACCAGCTCATGCTTAAATTCTCTCCGAGGCAAAGCCAAGAACCCCCCTGGAATAAGCTCCAACTTTGGGGCTCGCCTATCCTACATGAGTTTCAAGGCAATAATTTTCCTGGTAGTCCACAATTGTGTATTTCTCAAGTTGATTTGTTAATAATGTCAAAATCTCAGAATCTTTCATTCTATGTCTTGGTCAATATGTCATTTAAGCATAATGGTGACGTAAAAGCTGAAGTGTAATAATTGTTAGTCTGACTAGAAGTGCAGTAGGATTATTGCCCTGTAAGATCTTTTATTGTTACATTCACTGGAAGCATGGCATAAAACCCAGAATCACAGAAAAAAGTGATTAATCAAAGCATGTATAAAAATTGGCCAAGGTGGGAAGATCACTTGAGCCCAAGAATTTGAGACCAGCATGAACAACATAGTGAGACCACTCTCTAAAAAATAAATGAATCAATTGCTCAGGTGTTGTGTCCACACCTGTAGTACCACCCACTTGGGAGGCTGCAGGATGAGGATTGTTTGAGCCCAGGAGTTGTGCCACTGCCCTCCAGCCTTGGCAACAGAACAACATCCTTAGGAAAAAGCACGTATAAATACAGACATAAAATTCCTTATTTCTGTCACAAAAGAAATACATCCTCCACTAAGGGTGACATGGGACTGTGTGTTTCCAGTGTTTCTTGATGCAGGAGATTGTTTGGGCAAAGAAACAAAAGCTCTCTTAAGTCCCTTTCTTTTTACTAAAAAATGCCCTGTGGATGCGGATACAGGTGTTATGGGATCTTTGGGGTGTCGATTTTCTGGCTGGAAACCTCTGTGGCTGGTGGCACCTTTGTTCAAGTTCTTGTCCTGCATCCAGGAAGTATAAGGTACACAGACAAGTGGAGGGTAAACAAGACAAAGAGGACTTTTCAGTCGGGCACTGAGTGGTTTTTTGGATCATGTCTGGTGGCTCCATGGATTATAACAGAGAACGTGGCAGCCCAGAGGGAATGGACCCTGATGGTGCCATTGAGAGCAACTGTAATGAGATCGTTGATAACTTTGATGATATGAATTTAAAGGAGTCTCTTCTTTGGGGCATCTATGCTTACGATTTTGAGAAGTCTTCTGCTATTCAGCAGAGAGCTATTATTACCTGTATGAAAGGGTATGATGTGATTGCTCAAGCTCAGTCAGGTACTGGCAAGACAGCCACATTTGCTATTTCCATCCTGCAACAGTTGGAGACCCAAGCACTAATGCTGGCCCCCACCAGAGAACTGGCTCCACAGATCCAAAAGGTAATTCTGGCACTTGGAGACTATATGGGAGCAACTTGTCATGCCTGCATTGGTGGAACAAATGTTCAAACTGAAATGCAAAAACTGCAGGCTGAAGCACCACATATTGTTGTTGGTACACTTGGGAGAGTGTTTGATATGTTAAACAGAAGATATCTTTTTCCAAAATGGATCAAAATGCTTGTTTTGGATGAAGCAGATGAAATGTTGAGCCATGGGTTTAAGGATGAAATCTATGAGATTTTCCAAAAACTAAATACAAGTATTCAGGTTGTGTTGCTTTCTGCCACAATGCCAACTGATGTGTTGGAAGTGACCAAAAAATTCATGAGAGATCCAATTTGAATTCTGGTGAAAAAGGAATAATTGACCCTTGAAGGAATCAAACAGTTTTATATTAATGTTGAGAGAGAAGAATGGAAGTTGGATACACTTTGTGACTTGTATGAGACACCGACCATTACGCAGGCTGTTATTTTTCTCAAGGCCCAAAGTGGACTGGCTGACTGAGAAAATGCATGCCAGAGACTTCAGTTTCTGCTCTGCATGGTGACATGGACCAGAAGGAGAGAGATGTTATCATGAGGGAATTCTGATCAGGGTCAAGCCGTGTTCTGATCACTAGTGACTTGTTGGCTCGTGGGATTGATGTGCAACAACTGTCTTTGGTTATAAATTATGATCTACCTACCAATCGTGAAACTATATTCACAGAATTGGCAGAGGGGGTCTATTTGGGAGGAAAGGTGTGGCTACAAACTTTGTTACTGAAGAAGACAAGAGGATTCTTCATGACATTGAGACTTTCTACAATACTACAGTAAAGGAGATGCCCATGAATGTGGCTGACCTTATTTAATTTCTGGGATGAGAGTTTTGGATGCAGTGTTTGCTGTTGCTGAATAGGCAATGACAATATGCATTGTGGTTCTTTCTTTGGGACTATTTGGATCTTGTCTCAATGCTCATAATGGATCAGAAATATAGATTTTGATAGCAAAGCTACATTAGTCTTGAGCTCTTGTGAGGAAAGTCATTGGCTTCATCCTCTTTAGAGTTAGACTGTTGGGGTGGGTATAAAAGATGGGGTCTGTAAAATCTTTCTTTCTTAGAAATTTATTTCCTAGTTCTGTAGAAATGGTTGTATTTGATGTTCTCCATGATTTAATAATATACTTGTGGACTAAAAGATATAAGTGCTGTATAAAATCAGCCAATTATGTTAAACTAGCATATCTGCCTTTATTGTGTTTGTCATTAGCCTGAGTAGAAAGGACTTTAAAATTTTTTTTAGGAAGCATTTGAATGCATTTTGTTTGGTATTATATTTATTCAGTAAAATATTTAATTAGTGCTAAGTGTGAACTGGACCCTGTTGCTAAGCTCCGGCAAGCAATCATCCTAGGTAGGGTTTAATCCCCAGTAAAATTGCCATATTGCACATGTCTTAACGAAGTTTGAATGTTAAGTAAATTGTATGTTCACTTTTTAAAAAAACAAGACATAGAGGAGCTTTATTGAGTGTTAGAACAGCTCAGAGGAGATCCGCAGTGGGTAGTTCCTCTGTAGGCAGGTTGTTCACTCAAGTGTTCAGCTCTCAGCAGAGAGGAGGCCCTGAAGAGTGTGGCTCCTCTTTGCAGGCAGGTCTTTCCAATGTCTGCAGCTCTTAGCAGGGAGGAGGCACTGGAGAGGGTAGCTCCTCTCTGCAGCTGGTCGTCCCATTGTCTCTCCATCCTTTGCCCTGCTCTGGCTGAGTCCCAGGCATTTACGGACCTCGGAGGGGAGAAAGTGCATGTACATTGGTCCATGGGTGGCCATGGATCGGCCCAGAAAAGGCACCACAAGTCCACACTCTGGTCTCTGGGATTGGCTGCCTGGCCAGTCCCTGGTCTGAAGGTGGGTCCTTACCAGGGACTGCCCCCTTCTGCTCTGGAGCCGGTCTGCCTCCCACTGCAGTCTATGGTGCCCAGGCTGCTCACACCAAGGGGCACCTGCAGGCCTCCGCCCAGCTGCCCTCAGCACCTCCTTGGCTTCCCCTCTCATGTTCCTCAAAAATCAAATGCTGGAGTGTCTGAGGTGGCAGGGGGCTGGCATGCCAGTGCTGGCCTGGCCATGTGCACACTTGGCTGAGCTGTGACAGTGCAGGGGCTCAGCTCCCAACCTGCTCTGAAATCAGAGTGGGTGCTGAGAGCAGGGAGAGATCAGGCAGTGGGTGCTGACACTTCCAAGTCTGCAGGGACAGTGGGGGCCTTCCTGGGCTTCAGAGAGTGCAGGCTGCAGACACGCCTGGGTCTTGCACCTGGGAGGGCAGTTGCAGCTGCTCCTGGGGAGCTCCCAACCCACCAACTCTGAAGGGGTGGGGCTCCCACCTGTCCCCAGCTCCTGGGTCTGCAGCCATAGATCGCTTGGCTGCAGCTGCACCCAGGAGGGCAGGGATCCTGCCTGCTCACAGTCCCCCCAAGAGGACAGGGAGGCTTGGATCTGTAGCCACAATATGCCTGCTCCATGGAGCTAGAGGTCTGGGTCTACAGCTGCTGTTTGGGCAGCTGCAGGTGCACCCAGGAGCTCCCTCCCCAACTCGTAAAAGATGGGGATCCCACTTGTCCCTGGCTCCTGCTGCCTCCACAGAGCGTGCAGCCCTGGCTGGGCCTCCCTGCTGCAGCCAGTGTGATGGCAGCAGCTGCTGCTATCATGGTGACAGTGAGGAAACTCTGGCTGTCCCTGAAAGTCCCTGGCTCAATGTGCATGTTCCTTCCTATGCAAGTTCCTGCTGCCTGTGGGTCTTGCTGTCTGCCTTCTGTCCCTGCAGAGCTGTGGGAGGAAATGTTGTGACTTCTTTCTTGCTGACTATGACACATCAGGTGGGTCCACAGATCAGTCCTCCCAGAAGTTGAAGTGTGAGTGAGTGTGAGGGAAAGTGGGCAGACTTCCCATGGGTTGGGCCACTTGGTCCGTGGCCTGACAGAGAGCCTCATCCTCCTACTAGAAGTCAGCGACACCACCATGCACTTGCTCCCTTGAGGGGCCTGGAAAAGGGAGGAACAAGGGCCATAGAGGGGAGGAGGGTCAGGTGAACACGGAGTGAGTTTTGAATGGTGATATTGGGGTATTTGAGTCTCAGAGGCATAAAAAAACACACAGGGAGGATGGATTCCAAAGTCCTTAGTGGGGTCCTAGGAAGGGATGGAGGAAAGAGCAGGGGGAGGGGGGAGAAGGAGGGACACCACAGCCCTTAAGGCTAGCGCACATCTCACTGCGCATGCTATTTGGGCGCCCACCTCAGTGCACATGTTCACTGGGCGTCTTCTACTCTACCCCTTCGCCCTCGTGGTGAATGCCTTGGAGCTGTGAGGCCAAGTTCCTAAGGTCTAGATTCTTTCTCTCCTACTGAGATGCAGCAGGTAGGTCCACAGGCCAATCCAACTGGGAGTTGAAGTGTGAGTGAGGGTGAGGAGGAGCCAGTGGGCTTCTGGAGGGTCACCGGTGGGAGGGAGACTCAGAGGGAGAAGGGCCTCGAGGTCTTCATTCTTTATATGTGGCACTGCAGCCATGGGCCTTCTTTTTTGTCGGGGCCACAACTGGGGAGGAAGGAGGGCCTCGGCATGGGGGGGACTGGGTTATGATGGGGTGCATACTGGGGGAGCTGTTGGAGGTATCTGAGTCCCAGAAATGCCTCAAGCCCCCAAAAGAGGACAGATTGTAGACTCCCCAGGGGGGACCCAGGCAGGGACGGCGTGGGTGGCAAGGAAGGGGCCTGGGAACTGGGAAGGCTGCGGGTTGGTGACTTCAGCCCCGAGGTCTGTAGAATGCCAGGCACAGGTGTCCAGTGAGGAGCACCCAGTGCTGTGTTGCAACTTCTCAACTCCATGAGGTTTGAATGGACGGGGCTTTGTGGTCGAGCAAAACTTGATTTTAGGGAGGAACTGGGACCAGGAAATGGGTATGTGACAAACACTGTGGTCACTCCCAGTTTAATTCTCTAGTTCTATTTTCCTACATGTCTCCATGATGGAAATTCCAGCTGTGAAACCAAACCACATCAGAGATATCCAGTATCTCTTGCCAGGAGCCTTAAGACATTGATAGCTTGACCACCTTAAGTGATTGTGCAAGCATTCTATTCAGAAGACACACAAACTTATACTTGCCCTGGGACTTACCTTCAAAGTATTTCCAAACTTTAAAAAAGTGACACGTTAACATTTGGCCATGGAAGTGCTCAAATATAGCTATCCTCTCAAGTGCCATTTCCCAATCACAGTGTTCTGTATTCTCTTTGCAGAGTGAAATATAATTTGGCGAGGAAGATCAACATGTAGGCCTAGACCAAGACGAAGTTTACAACCTCCTGAGCTGATTGGGAGTATGCGTGAGTGCTTTAACATTCGTTGTTTTCTATTAGCAGAAATTATTTTTTTTTGTGATAGTGTCATTGAACTAGTATGCATACACTGTTAAAGGTCTTCCGAGCTGATAAAAAATGATCATGGCATCTCATGAAGGAAAGACTGGTCCAAGAGGATTACGTTGTGTGTGTTTTTTTTGGAGACGGAGTCTTGCTCTGTCACCCAGGCTCGGCTCACTGCAACCTCCGTCTCCTGGGCTCAAGCAATTCTGCTGCCTCAGCCTCCCGAGTAGCTGGGACTACAGGTGCACGCCGCCTCGCCCAGCTAATTTCTTTTTGTATTTTAATAGAGACGGAGTTTCATCATGTTGCCCAGGCTGGTCTTGAACCCCTGAGCTCAGGCAATCCGCCTGCCTCAGCCTCCCAAAGTGCTGGGATTACAGGCCTGAGCCACTGTGCCCAGCCTACATTCTGATTTTGCCTGGATGGATTCCCCAGATTTTGCCCATGACTTCCTCCGTATGCTTATTCATAACAGATTGCACACATCCATCCCAACATAGATTAAACTGCCTTCCAAAGCCCTTGAGTGTAACTGTCTTAGAGTAACCTCTCTGTGGGAAGAATAACTTTATGAATAATAAGTATGTGGAATAGTGTTGGAGAAATGTCTTTAGACTTATGATCAGAAATATCTATGTATTCTGTATATTTGCATTATTGACATGTATTTATAACAAAACTTTTTTTTTTTTTCCCGAGATAGAGTCTTGCTCTGTCACCCAGGCTGGAGTGCAGTGGTGTGATCTCGGCTCACTGCAACCTCCGCTTCCCGTGTTCAAGCGATTCTCCTGCCTCAGCCTCCCAAGTAGCTGGGATTACAGGCATGCGCCACCACGCCCGGGTAATTTTTGTATTCTTAGTAGAGACAAGGTTTCACTGTGTTTGCTAGGCTGGTCTCGAACTCTTGACCTCGTGATCTGCTTGCCTTGGCTTCCCAAAGTGCTGGGCATGAACCACTGCGCCCGGCCAAAACTTTTTATTTATACACACACAACCACAGTCCCAGGAGCCCAGTGATGAGGAGCCTCGAGAGGAACCACCAACTGAAAGTCGGGATCCTACACCTGGTCAGAAGAGGGAAGATCAGGGTGCAGCTGATATTCAAGGTGGTGGGAAGGGAAAGAAAGAACGTCTATGGGGGGAGGAGGCCTATGTGTGCATCATGCATTATGCCATGACCGGTAACAGGAGGAAAGAAAACATTAGGAAAGGATCGCAAACATTTGCTGAAAGTTGGCTGGAAAAGTGAAGAGTACAGTTTACAGCTTCATGCAGTCCCTGGATATAAGGAATCTTCTCCTAACTTTGAAATATATTTTGTGCCTCCCTCTCCCTCTCCCTCTCCATCTCCCTCTCCCTCTCCCCACGGTCTCCCTCTCTTTCCACGGTCTCCCTCTCATGCGGAGCCGAAGCTGGACTGTACTGCTGCCATCTCGGCTCACTGCAACCTCCCTGCCTGATTCTCCTGCCTCAGCCTGCCGAGTGCCTGCGATTGCAGGCACGCGCCGCCACGCCTGACTGGTTTTGGTGGAGACGGCGTTTCGCTGTGTTGGCCGGGCTGGTCTCCAGCCTCTAACCGCGAGTGATCCGCCAGCCTCGGCCTCCCGAGGTGCTGGGATTGCAGACGGAGTCTCGTTCACTCAGTGCTCAATGGTGCCCAGGCTGGAGTGCAGTGGCGTGATCTCGGCTTGCTACAACCTACACCTCCCAGCCGCCTGCCTTGGCCTCCCAAAGTGCCGAGATTGCAGCCTCTGCCCGGCCGCCACCCCGTCTGGGAAGTGAGGAGCGTCTCTGCCTGGCCGCCCATCGTCTGGGATGTGAGGAGCCCCTCTGCCTGGCTGCCCAGTCTGGAAAGTGAGGAGCGTCTCTGCCCGGCCGCCATCCCATCTAGGAAGTGAGGAGCGCCTCTTCCCAGCCGCCATCACATCTAGGAAGTGAGGAGCGTCTCTGCCCGGCCGCCCATCGTCTGAGATGTGGGGAGCGCCTCTGCCCCGCCGCCCCATCTGGGAGGTGAGGAGCGTCTCTGCCTGGCCGCCCCATCTGAGAAGTGAGGAGACCCTCTGCCTGGCAGCTGCCCCGTCTGAGAAGTGAGGAGCCTCTCCGCCCGGCAGCCACCCCATCTGGGAAGTGAGGAGCGTCTCCGCCCGGCAGCCACCCCGTCCGGGAGGGAGGTGGGGGGGGGTCCACCCCCCGCCCGGCCAGCCGCCCCGTCCGGGAGGGAGGTGGGGGGGTCAGCCCCCCGCCCGGCCAGCCGCCCCGTCCGGGAGGGAGGTGGGGGGGTCAGCCCCCCCGCCTGGCCAGCCGCCCCGTCCGGGAGGGAGGTGGGGGGGTCAGCCCCCCGCCCGGCCAGCCGCCCCGTCCGGGAGGTGAGGGGCGCCTCTGCCCGGCCTCCCCTACTGGGAAGTGAGGAGCCCCTCTGCCCGGCCACCACCCCGTCTGGGAGGTGTACCCAACAGCTCATTGAGAACGGGCCATGATGACAATGGTGGTTTTGTGGAATAGAAAGGCGGGAAAGGTGGGGAAAAGATTGAGAAATCGGATGGTTGCCGTGTCTGTGTAGAAAGAAGTAGACATGGGAGACTTTTCATTTTGTTCTGCACTAAGAAAAATTCTTCTGCCTTGGGATCCTGTTGATCTGTGACCTTACCCCCAACCCTGTGCTCTCTGAAACATGTGCTGTGTCCACTCAGGGTTAAATGGATTAAGGGCGGTGCAAGATGTGCTTTGTTAAACAGATGCTTGAAGGCAGCATGCTCGTTAAGAGTCATCACCAATCCCTAATCTCAAGTAATCAGGGACACAAACACTGCGGAAGGCCGCAGGGTCCTCTGCCTAGGAAAACCAGAGACCTTTGTTCACTTGTTTATCTGCTGACCTTCCCTCCACTATTGTCCCATGACCCTGCCAAATCCCCCTCTGTGAGAAACACCCAAGAATTATCAATAAAAAAATAAATTAAAAAAAAAAATAAAATGTCGCCTGTCAAGCGACTGCTTATGAAGGGTTATTCCTCAACTAAATATTTCTAAATGAGTCTGAGGTCTGTTGGCCTTCAATCTCTACCAAAACCCAGAGAACTTGATGATGCCTTTGTTTTCAGAGAATCCTTCCAGTGTGCTGGCTGACAGTTCCATGAGGATGGCAAAAGTGAAGAAATTGTAGCGCCAGTAAAAAAGAGATGGATACACTTCTTGGGAATTTTTTAAGCTATGGGACATGATGAATTAATGGTGCATGAGTATACTCTTCACTGTGAAAGTTTTTGTTTTCACATCTTTCATTAGATGTGTGTAAGAAAAAGATACTGAACGTAGTATCTACTAACCCAATAATGAAAAGGAATGCCATTTGCTATTTACACTTTATTACTAAAATAAACCTAAATTTAATTAATAAATTTTGGAAACATAAAAAAAAAGAAATATATTTTGTGTACTTGAAAATACAGTCCTTGCTAAATCAGATGAAGCAGTTTAATTTTATGCATAAATATGCAGTGTGCCATTAGTTTAATTTGTTCTTCTTAGAATGTTGTTGTATAATCTTCTAAGCCATTGTGTCAACAGTGCTGTAAGCACCCTTTAACAGCATGTGGAGTGCCAAGTCATCCTACCTTATAACACCCTGAATAAAGCCCATTTGCGTAAGGATGGTAGCCCCATTTTATAAATAAGCAAACTGAGGCTCTGAAATGGAGGTTTACCAAGAACCTTTGTACTCATGGAGACAGAATTCATATTTTGTCCCAAGGTTTGTGTTATCCATGTTGTAATAAGAAAAGGTCAGTGGTTTTGCTTAAGATACTTACTATTCGAATGTGTGTGTACTGTAAAGTACTTCAGTATTGGCTCAGGACGAAACACAGTTCAGTGAAGCAGAATAGCAACTCCAGAAAAGAGCTCAATAAATGACAGCCACTCTTTGATTGGTATCCTTCTGTATTTTTTCAGGATGTTTGGCAAAAGGTGGGTAATTCAGGACACTGGCATACAGGTAGCTATATTAGTATGATTTCGAAGGGGCTTTTAAAAGTTGTAGAAGCACTTTCATAATTAGAAAACTCAAAGTACCATAAGTTTATCCTGAATCAGAAGTTGTTTACTCAGTAGATAGCATTTTTGCGTTAAACACTGGCAGAATTTGGGCCATGGATTATTTTAGCAATTCACTGTTAAGAGGTTTCCAGAATATGACTGTCAACAATGACCACTAATTTATTTGCACTCAACCTCCTGTACCCTTACTGGAAGATAGTGATTTTCCTGTTATTTTTGGTACATTATTCTAAATGTGATTCATTTATGTAAAGTTACATATGGGGCCCTTAGACCTAAGCATAATGTTAATTTATCTAAATAATTTTCAAGTTACCTCAACAAGGGATGGGTGTCACAATTGTAAGATGTCTCATAGGCAGGCCAATACGTTGATCTAATCCTTCAGAAAACTGCATTTCATTTAGGATTAAAATTCTATCCATGTGGCAGACTTCAGATTTCTTAGTCGATATTCACTGTTCATAATTCACAATGGTAAAGTATGGGAAATGTAGGTGTGGTGTGATTTATCCTCAGATTATCATTTAAGATAAGATTCCATAATATAGGAAAACAAAAATGTGACATCTTTACATCACATTTATTACCACAGTAGTCTACAGGCTTTTATTTCATAACACTGAGGAAAATAGTATTATCATTTCCTTATTTGTCTTTCTTGTTTGCCTGCTTCAATCAAGAACCTCTGTATTTTTCAGTGCCTGACCTGGAAGCTGATCTCCAGAGCTGTCTCAGTCAAAGACTGGGGATGAATGCGGAGATGGTCCTGATGTTCAGGGGACAATTCTGCCAAAATCAGAGCAATTTAAAATGCCAGAAGGAGGTATGCTACCCATTAAGATGCAAAATTATGTGCTTTCTGTTTTTCACAATATTATACTTTTGATAATAAAAAGAGAGAACATTACTGCCCCTTTAAAAACACAATTCAAATGCAGGCTTTCTTTGAAAAGTTGTTCAGACCCCAAATGCCTGACTGGAAGACTTAAACACTATCAGATACAGAAACAAATTGGGTCAAAGCCATACTGAATCATCAAATATGAAAGCATTTTCTTACTTGTGACTATAGCCAATAGCCAACAATTTTCAGATTTTCTAATTTCTGCTTTAAACAAATACATAATGCATTTGTAATACCACTTTGTGTGAAATATGCTGAGTACTGAAGGAGGTTCTAGTACAAGATCTAACATAATTTGTGAGATTTTGGATGAATTCCAAAAATTCTACATCCATCTTTTTCTATTGAAAATAGTAAATGCAAATCAGATATATTAAAATCTGTTTCAAGATTGATTTCTGTATTTTCATGTTCTGTTGGATAGAATACAAAGATATTATTTGTTTCTCATAACAGTTTCACTCCAGTTATAATATCTGATTTGAGATTTCATGGTTCCTAAGAAAAAGAGTGGGCACCCTGCTTGATGTTTGTTTTCCTGTATGGAGACCTAAATGACTGTTCTTGGATTTTGTTAAATTTTGAATTCTCTGGTTCTTAAGGAATAATTGTATTTTAAATCCTTCCCGCAGTGAACCCTTGAATGACTGAATAATAAAATGGCAAGAGACAGTCAGGTTTCTGTGGCCGATGTAGTAGGGAGCATGCATGTAGGTCAGTGACGCTCAAAGTGGGTGTAAGATGCCTGTGCTAAGCATGCTCCCTGCCCTTCTGTCAGTCTTCATGAGCTACTGTGTGTGATTAGATTGAAGACACATATGATAGAATCACCTCTAACCATATCAGAGGTTACATATTACAGGTTTCTGCCTTGAGACATCGGATGATACGACTTACAGTTCAAAGACTATAACGTCCTAATTCGTGAGTAGTCGACATAAGTATCTTTTACACATATTTTCCAAATTGCTGACTGTTAATAGAAGAGCTTCTGAATTTCAAGGGAGCACTCCATATTTAGGGAAGAAATTACCTAAAAGTTTGGACTCTACACTGCTGAACCATTCCATTAGACCATTTACATACAAAGACAGTTTTCTTTGGGAGGCCGAGGCGGGCAGATCACGAGGTCAAGAGATTGAGACCATCCTGCCTAACACAGTGAAACCCCGTCTCTACTAAACAAAACACAAAAAATTAGCAAGGTGTGGTGGCGGGCGCCTGTAGTCCCAGCTACTCGGGAGGCTGAGGCAGGAGAATGGCGTGAACCCGGGAGGCGGAGCTTGCAGTGAGCCGAGATCGCGCCACTGCACTCACTCCAGCCTGGGCTACAGAGCGAGACTCCGTCTCAAAAAAAAAAAAAAAAAGAAAGACAGTTTTCAGTCTATTTCCAGGAGCCTATTGAAGAAGCCTCAACTGTATGCTTAGGAAGATTATAGTCCTAAATGCACATCTTATTAAAATAGATAACACATTACATGATAAAGGAGAAGAATAAAAAATAAAAAAAAAAGAGCAATAGAATAAACCTAAGGGGAAAGGAAAGAGGAAATGAATAAAAGACAGATACGAATCACTAGTAAAAGGAAAACGAATCCAAAAGTAACAAATTCAAAAGATTTTTTTGGGGGAAATAGTTATGAATAGAGTATCCAGTAGTTTACACACTCGGAGAAAATGGAAAAAGGTCAACACGGAACATGAACAAGACACAGATATTGAATTTAGGTTATAACTGAAAGTGAATACATTCTTGAACTCTAATATTTTCAGTGTATGGATGAAATGGTTGATATGCTAGGCACATATACATTATTTAATATATCCCTATAATATGTGAATACCTAAACATCACGAAGACTGGAAGAACTGAAATTTGCTAGTTGTCCCTCAAAAACTCTTACTTTTAGAAACAAATGGTTGGCTTCTCCAGATGTCTTACTGTCCTTTCCATTTTCCTATCCCTCTATTTCCTTTTTTTTTTGGCCACACTGTTCATGATATATAACGGTTTCACGTTTTGACATCAGGAATGATAGTGATAGCTTAAAACTAATGTGACCATATAATTAATTATACAAACGGGAATACTTTCAAGTGTAAAAAGGCAGTATTCATATTGACATTAGCACTTTAAGTGAAAATTGGGGAAAATGATTACTGTACCTTAAAAACCACAGAAGGGTAAACTAGCCCAAAGAAACACTTTTGCACTTCTGCACAATAGAGAAAAAACAAATGCAATAAACTGTTTTCTTAAAAGATAGTTTTCAGACTATTTCCAGGAGCCTATTGGACATCCAGAACGTAGTTTCAAGCTAAAGCATTAAACATTTTTTTGTAAATTCCTTTTGTTTCTTAACTTTTTTTGTGTGTTGGTTATATTTTTAGCAAAAGTATACACAATGTTTGCTTTCTACTTTGAACCACTTTTTAATAGGTTCACCTGATTTAAAGTGTTCTGACCTCTAACTGTCTTTTGGTTTCCTTGTAGCACTAGAAACCAGGGTGTGTTTAAAAAGTATTGATAATGTATATGCTTGGAAATCTATCTTCAAAATCTCTACAGAGGTCTAACTGCATGTAAGCCAATGGGTGACTCATAGGCTTCTGGTTTTGGTCTATTGTATGAAACTAAAACGTTGGCGTCCTTTGCATACCTTTAATGTCACCTAAATACAGTTCTGCTAGTAATGTTGTTCTATCATAGGTGAAAGGCAACTACAGGTTTAAATGAATACAAGCTGAAAGAACGCAAACTGGTTTTGTATTAGACATTTGACTTAAAAATATCTCAGAGGACCTCACATGCAGAAGGAGGGCAGGGAACACTTGTGGAATTGTAGTGATCTCTACATGGTTGGATGACCAAACCCTAAGTCACGTGGATGTCAGTCTGCAGAGGGCGGGAGGGGAATGCCACAGGCCTCTGCTTTAGGAGCCATGCAGCAGAGTGAGACCAACCTGCAGTACTGATCTCAGTTATGCCCTTTAAGGGTCCCAGACATATGCAGCCTATTGGTTAGGGTTCCTCATTGCGCGTGCACGCGCGTGTGTGTGTGTGTGTGTGTGTGTGTGCACGTGTGGGTGGGTGGGTGGAGAGAGAGAGAGAGAGAGAGACTGAGTTTGAAGACCTAGCCCATGGAAGTGTTGTGACTGGCAAGTCCAAATCTCACAGAGCAGGATGTCAGGCTGGAGACTCGGGGAAGAGGTGATATGAGAGCTCAAATCGAGGGCAGTGTGGAGGCAGAATTTCTTCATCTTGTGGAGGACCCCTGTCTTCTTCTCTGAAGGCCTTCAAGGAACTGGAGGAGGCCCACCCACATTGGGTAGGGCAATTAGGTTTACCCAAAGTCTGCTGATTTAAATGCTAGTTTTCATGTAAAGAAAACACTTCATGGATACATCTACTGTGGTCAAAGTGAACATTTCTCAGGCATCGTGGCGTAGCAAAGTTGACACATCAAATTTCCCATCACATCCATCTTATACGAATCCTATTAATGCTGAAGGTCCATCTGACAAAGGCAGGTGACTTCCTAACTAAGATTCTGTATTAACCATTTTTATCCAGCCCAAGCCAGCATTTCAGGCTCAGCGCAACTATGGACAGGAAGCTGAAGCTGATGTGAATGCCTTCCAGGGATGAGGCAGTGATGGGATAGTCAGGGCATATAGGTAAGAACAATCCCAGAGGGCACAGGTGATACCCCTGGACAACAAGACTTTACCCTTGTTAGGGCACCCGCAGCAGGACATACATTCGTCAGGTAGGAGCTGGCCAAGGCCCCCAATGTGGCCTCCCATTAAGGGACCTTTCCCTCTAGGGTTCCTTGTCCAGTCCAAACAACTGATTTGCATCTTTGGTTTACGGGAGCTGTCAGCAGGCAGCCAGTTCAGGGTAGTCATTGACACAGGTTCCTCCTCCTCACAAGCATGGATGACATCCCTAAGGTGTTCTGTGTGAGATGTTCGGGAGCTGGGTCACCCCTGCTGTCCCATAGTTGCAACTTGGTCAGGTGTGATCTGGGGTTCAGGATTCAGTGTGGTTTCAAAATTGGCCTTATGCTATGACTGTGGGCTCCTCACAGGCAGAGAGACCCACCATCTGTGCTGTCACTGAGTAACTCCGATTCAGTGTGGTACTGTAGGACTAGGGACACAGTGCTGACACGATGTTAATCTTGCTTTTGCTGAGTCTGCAAGTAATCAACCACTTTGATCCATTTGGGCTCATTGTCTTTTACCCACCAAATCTATGAATATATGACAAGACAAAATTACAACTGCACTGGTGATCCTTGTGGCCCCATTAGCCACCACAGGGCTGCTTAGGGACTGCCTGAGCTCTTGACACACGATGATATTGAGTTCTGTGGTGTTGACTGACCGGAATAGACTTATTCTTCATGGCTTCACACACACCAAACAAGTTTTCAGCACATAGTACTGACATAGGGTTGGCCTTGTCACACCTCGGTTATTTACAAATCAACTTCAGAATCAATGCCATGTCTGATGCCAGCTACACTGCTATTTAATTTACATATTTACATCAAATCAGTTTCTGAAGTCAAATGCATTTAAAAAGGTAGACTGATATTCCTACTTGCAATTCCAAAGCAGTTATCACATACTAGAGGTGTAGTTGTAAAGAAAAATGGAATGAAAACATTTGAAATTTTAAAGGGATTAAGGAAAGATAACTAGTAAATTTATCTGCAATGTAATGCCTGCATTGTATGTTATTTCATTTATTCTTCATAGCAAGTATTTAGTCTAAATATTCTAATTTCAACTTTAAAATGGGGAAACAGTCCCACAGGATGTAAGTATCCTGCCCACCATCTCAAGGCCAGTGTTTGAGAGGCAGGATGGCTCTTACACCCATGGCTATGTCATGCCATCGCCTGTAAGGAGACAGTGTAGGTAGGATCCAAGTAATTTTGCTTCAGCAAGTTGCCCTAGTTGCTTTCCCCTTTCTTCTGCCTAGGCTGTAGTTCTTTCATCCAGCTCTACAGCCTGGGGAATTCTCACATATTTTGTGGAAAGTAGGATATCCTAACAAAGGATGCAGATAAAGAGATACATAGGGGAAGGAATAGAAGGAAGAGGCAGGGGGCTTCCATGGCCTCTACGGGCATGCTACCCTCCATGTGTTCTGCTAGGCAGAAGCTCTATGAACCCTGTCCTTTTGGGTTTTGATGGAGGTTTTCATTATATAGGCATGACTGACTAAACTGTTGGCCCGCCATTGGCAATCAACTTAACCTTCAGCCCCTCTCCCTGTCCTGAAGGTTGGGGATGTGGCTGAAAGTGCCAACCCTCTAATCCCCTATCCTAGAGCTACCTAGGAGCTGCCAGTCAATGGTCAACTCACTAGCATACAAAAAGACGTCACTATGAGGCGATTCTAAAACCTGTAGGAGTTGTATGACAGTAAGCAGGGTCCAGGACCAAATATATATATTTCACAATATCACACGTGTATACCAGCTCAATCAGAATACAAAGTTGCAAAAATGATACGATTTTTTATACAGACAGAGTCTCATTCACCCAGGCTGGAGTTGCAGTGGCATGAACATGACTACCTGCATCCTTGACCTCCTAGGCTCAAGGGATACTCCCACCTCAGCCTCCAGAGTAGCTGGGACTACACCTACATACATATATGCATATATTCATGCATTCATTCATTTATTTTTGTAGAGAGCGGGTTTTGCCATGTTGCCCAAGCATGTCTCAATCTCCCAAGCTCAAGCAATCCTCCTGCCTCAGCATCCCAATGTGCTTGGATTACAGGCATGAGCCACTGCACCTGGCCAAAATTTCCAATAGGGTCTAATATGCGAGAATAAATGAACAAAAGATGTGTGATACTTCTTTGGAGAAAACTGGAAAACTTTATTGAGATTTTTAAAAGTCAAATATCTCGGATAAATCCAGTTTGCATTCTTTTGGTTGTCTTCGTTTAAAGCTGTGGTTTCCCTTCCCCTGCAATAGAAACATAACAGGAGGGAACATTACTAGCAGAACTGTATTCAGATGAAATTAAAGGTATGCAAAGGACACCAAAGGTTTAGTTTTATACAGTGGACTAAAACCAGAATCTGAAGAGTCTCCCTACGGCTAATATTCAACTAGACCTCTGTAGAGACTTTGAGGATACACTTCCAAACATATACATTAGCAACATTTTTAAAACACACCCTGCTTTTAGTGCTAGAAGGAAACCAAAAGACAGTCTGAGGTCAGATCACATTAAATCAAGTGCATCTATCAAAAGGGGCTTAAAGTAGATGGCAAACATTGTGTAGAGTTTACTCAAAATACAACGAGAACACAAAAAACCTAAGAAACAGAAGGAATTTCTGAAAAAAAAATTCCTCCAGAAAAAATGCATAATTTAAAGTTTTGGCTTGAGAGTATGGTCTGAATGTCCAATAGGTTCCTACAAATAGTCTGAAAACCATCTTTTGAGAAAACAGTTAATGTCACATTAGGAAATACATAAGTGGAATGAATAGAAAGACCAGTATTGCATTTGTTTTTTCTCTATCGTGAAGAAGTGCTGTGATATTGCTTTGAGCTAGTTTACCCTTCTTTGTTCTTTTTTAACATACACTAACCATTTGCATCCAGTTTTCACCTATAGTCCTCATGTCAATATGAATAATGACACTTTTTTCACTGGAAACTATTCCCGTTTGTACAATTAATTAAATGGTCATATAAGTTTTAAGGTATCAAGATCATGATTGATATTAAAATGTGAAAGAGTTATATATCATAACCAGTGTGGAAAAAAAAGAAGAAATGGATGGAGAGGGAAATGAAAACGGAGAGTAAGACATCTGGAAAAGCTAAATATTTGCTTCTAAAAGTAACTGTTTTTGAGGGACGACTAGCAAATTTCACAAGTTCATGCACAGTCTTTGTGGCGTTCAGATATTCAGGTATTGCAGGGACATATTAAATAATGTAGGCATCCCTAGCATGTCAACCATTTCATCCATACTCTGAAAATATTAGTGTTTAAGAATGTATTCACTTTCAATTATGCCTTACATTCAATATCTGGGTCTTGTTCATATTCCATGTTGTGCTTTTTCCATTTTTTTCAAGATTGTTTAATCTACTGGATGCTGTCTTCCTACCTATTTCTCAAAAGAACGATCTATTAAATGTATTACTTTTGGATTAGTTTTCCTTTTGTTAATGATTCATACCTTTCATTTACTGCCTGCTTCCTTTTCCCTTAAGTTTATTCTGTGACTCTTTTATTATTTTTTATGTCTTAGTATTATTTTCTTGTATCATGTAATTTGTTATCTATTTTAATAAGATATGCATTTAACGCTATGACTGTCCTAAGAATACAACTGAGGCTTGTTCAGTAGGCTCCTGGAAATCGTCTACAAACTATCTATTGATGTAATTAGTCTAATGGAGTGGTTCAGAAGTGTGGAGTAAAACATTTAGATAATTTCTCCCCTAAAAATGCAGTGCATCCTTTAAATTCAGAAGTTCTAATTAAGTCAGGAATTTGGAAAACATGTGTAAAAGATACTTCTGTGGACTACTCAGGACTTAGTACGTTATAGTCTTTGACCTTTAAATCATATCATCTGATGACTCAAGGCAGAAACCTGTAATATATAACCTCTGATATGTTTAGAGGTTACCATATGTGTCTTCAATCTAATTACACACAGTAGCTCATGACGATTGACAGAAGGGTAGGGAGCATGCTTAGCGCAGGCATCTTCCAACCATTTTGAGCATCACTGACCTACATGCATGTTCCCTACTTCATGGGCCACAAAAACTTGACTGTCTCTTTCCATTTTATTATTCAGTCATTCAAGGCTTCACTGCGGGAATGGTCTGAATGTATGGTCTGAATGTCCAGTAGGTTCCTGCAAATGCAATCATTGGGTCCGGTGAGGGAGGTGGTTCACACCTGTAATCCCAGCATTTTGGGAGGTCAAGGCAGGTGGATCACTTGAGGTCAGGAGTTCGAGCCCAGACTGGCCAACATGGTGAAACCCCGTCTCTATTAAAAATACAAAAGTTAGTTGGGCGTGGTGGCACGCACCTGTAATCCCAAATACATGTGAGGCTAAGGCATGAGAATCGCTTGAACCCGGGAGGCGGAGGTCACAGTGAACCAAGATTGGACCCCATCCTGGGCGGCAGAGCGAGACCTCGTCCGAAAAAAACAAAACAAAAACAAACAAAAATAAATAAAACAATAGTTGTTTAAGAGCCTGAGAGAATTCAGGATTTGACAAAATCCAAGAACACTCATGAAGGTCTCCTTATGGAAAAACAAACATCAAGCAGAGTGCCTGCTCGTTTTCTTAGGAGCAATGAAATCTCAACTCAGATATTACAATTGGACTGAAGCTGATCGTTATGATAAACAAATCATGAAAATCCGAATATCTTTGTATTCTCTCCAACAGAACCAGAGCATGTAGAAATCAGCAATGAAATGGATTTTAATCTATCTGATGTGCATTCACTACTTTCAATAAAAGCAAAAATGGGTGTTGGATTTATGTGATTTGTCCAGAATCTCACAAATTATGTTAGAGCTGGTACTAGAATCTTCTTCAGGGATCAGCATATTTCACACAAAGAGGTATTACGAGTGTATTATATATTTGTGAAAAGCAGAAATTACAAAATAATCTGAAAATTGTTAGCTGTTGGTTATAATCAGAAGTAAGAAAATGCTTTCCTATTTGATGGTTCAATATGGCTTTCACCCAATTTGTGTCTGTATCTGATAGTGTTTCAGCTTTGCAGTCAGGCTTCTGGGGTCTGAATTACCTTCCAAAGAAAGTCTGCATTTGAACTCTATTTCTAAAGGGGCAGTAATATTCTCTCCTTTTATTATCAAAAGTATAATATTGTGTAATACAGAAAGCACATAATTTTTAATCTTAATGGATAACATACCTCCTTCTGGCATTTTAAATTGCTCTGATTTTGGCAGAATCTTCCCCTGGACATCAGGACTATCTCCGCATTCATCCCCAGTCTTTGACTGAGACAGCTCCTGGAGATCAGCTTCCAGGTTAGGCACTGAAAAATACCAAGGATATGGACTGGAGCAGCCAAACCAGAATGATAAATAAGGAGATGATCCTATTCTTTTCCTCAGTGTTGTGCAATAAAAGCCTAGAGGCTACTGTGGTAATAAATGTTTGTTTTCCTGTATTATGATATCTTATCTTAAATGACAATCTGAGGATAAGTCTCAGCACACCTACATTTCCCATACTTTACTAATGTGTATTATAAACACACAGCTACCTAGGAAAACTGAAGACGGCCTCACGGATAGCATTTTAATCATAACTTAAATGTAATTTTCTGAAGGATTAGATCAATGTATTGGTGAGCTTATGACAAATCTTATGGTCCTGACACTCATCCCCTGTTGAGGTATCTTGAAAATGTTGGGGTTAAACTTTATTAAAGTAATTCTTAGGTTGAAAGGCCCTATATGTGACTTTCCATACATGAATGTCATTAAGAAAAAAAGTACGAAATATAACAGCAAAATCACTGTCTTCCAGTGAGAGTATGGGAACTGAAGTGCAAAGAAATTAATGAGCATTGTTGACAGTCATATTCTGGAAACCCCTTAACAGTGAATTGCTAAAATAATCCATGGCCCAAATTCTGTCTCTGATTAGTTTGAAAATGCTATCCGTTGTGAAAACAATTTCTGTTTCACGATAATCTTATTCTACTTGGAGTTTTCTAATTATAAAAATATTGAAACAACTTTTAAAAGCCCCTTCCATATCCTATTAACACAGTTACCTGCACGCCAACATCCTGAATTATCCACCTTTTACGAAACATGCTGTCAAAAATGTACATCAAAGGAAACAGTGGCTGTCATTCATTGACCTCTTTTCTGGAGTTGCTATCCTGTTTCACTGAACTGCGTTTTGTCCTGAGCCAATATCGAAGTACCTTATAGTACAGACACATTTGAGTATTAAGCATTTTTAAGCAAAATCATTCACATTTTCTAAAATAGATGGCAGGAAGAATGCACACCTTGGAACAAAATATGAATTCCTTCTCCATGAGTCAAGTTTTCTTGGTAAGCCTCTATCTCTGAGCCTCAGTTTTCTTATTTATTTATTTTCATTTTTTGAGATGGAGTCTCGCTGTGTCACCAAGGCTGGAGTGCAGTGGCGCGATCTTGGCTCACTGCAGCCTCCGCCGCACGGGCTCAAGAAATTCTCCTGCCTCAGCCTACTTAGTAGCTGAGATTACAGGTGAGTGCCACCATGCCCAACTAATTCGTATATTTTTAGTAGAGACAGGATTTCACCACATTGGCCACAGTGGTCTCGAATTCCTGACCTCAAGTGATCCGCCCACCTCGGCCTCCCAAAGTGCAGGGATTACAGGGGTGAGGCACCACGCCCGGCCTCAGTTTTCTTATTTATAAAATGAGGTTAACATCCCTTTGCAAATGGGCTTTATTTGGGATGTTATATGGTAGGGTGACTTGGCACTCCACATGCTATCAAAGGGTGCTTACAACACTGTGAACACCATGGCTGAGAGGATCTCACTGCAACATCCTAAGAATATCAAGTTAAACTGGTGAAATAATGTACATTTTATACAACCAATTAAACGGTTTCATCTGATTTAGGAAGGACTATATTTTCAAGCATACAAAATGCATCTCAAAGAAAAAGAGAAGATTCATCATATCCAGGGACTGCAGGAAGCTGCAAACTATACCCATCACATTTCCAGCCTCTTGCAAAACTCTCAGCAAATGTTTGAGATCCTTTCCTATTGCTTTCTTTCCTCCTGTTACTGGTCATGGCATAAGGCGTGATGCACACACAGGCCTCCTCCCCCCATAGACATTCCTTCTTTCCCTTCCCAGCACCTTGAATCTCAGCTGCACCCTGATCATCTTCTCTCTTCTGACCAGGTGTATGATCCTGACTTTCAGTTGGTGGTTCTTCTTGTTGAGGCTCTGGCACACTGGGCTCCTGGGACAAGGGCGGGGGTGGTGGTGTGTGTGTGTGGAGATAAAAAATTTTTCTTATCAATGCATGTCAATAATATGAATATACAGATTACACAGATACTTCTGATCATATGCATGTTTAAAGACATGCTCCTACACTATCCCAAAACGATTCCACATACTTATTCTTCATTAAGTTACTGTTCCCATAGAGAGGTTACTCTGAGACCGTTACCCTCAATGGCGTTGGAAGCCATTTTAATTTATGTTGGGTTGAATGGGTGTAATGTGCTATGAATAAGCATGAAGAGGAAATCACCAGTGAAATCGAGGAACACAAGTTCACACATCCAGGCAAAAACAGTATGTAGTCTTCTTGGGTTACTCTTTCCTTCATGAGATGCCATGATCATTTTTTATCAACATGGGAGACCTTTATCAGTGTATCTATACTAGTTCAACAATAACTACCACACAAAAAAATTTCTGCTAGTAGAAAAAAATCGAATGTGAAGTCACTCACAAGCATAGGCCCAACCAGCTGAGCAAGTCGTAAACATCGTCTTGGTCTATATCTTCTTCCTCGCCAACTCATATTTCAGTCTGCAAACAGAATAGTGTGCACTTTGGGAGGCTGAGGGGGATGGATCACCTGAGGTCAGAAGCTCGAGGCCAGCTTGGCCAAAATGGTGAAACCCCGTCTCTACTAAAAATACAAAAACGTAGCTGGGTGTGGTAGCGAGCACCTGTAATCCCAGCTACTCGGGAAGTTGAGGCAGGAGAACCACTTGAACCGGGGGGCGAATGTTGCAGCCAGCCGAGATTGCACCATTGCACTCCAGCCTGGGCAACAAGAGCAAAACTCTGTCTCAAAAAAGCCAAACCAAACCAAAGCAAAAACCAGAATATTGTGATTGGAAAAATGCACCTGAGTGTATACCACACTTGAGCACTTCCATGGCCAAATGCTAACTTGCAATTTTTAAAAATTTGGTAAGACATTGAAAAGTAAGTCAGAGGGCATGTATAAGTGTGTATGCCTTCTGAATCGAATACTTGTACAGCCACTTATGTTCGTCAAGCTAGCTGAGCAATCCTTAGGGCTTATGGCAAGAGACACACGGTATTTCCAATGAGGTTTGGTTTCGCAATTGGACTCTCCATCGTGAGACATTTAGGAAAATACAGCTTGAGAATTAAAATTAAAGTGCCCATGGCTTTTGTCACACACCCATTTGCTAGGCCCGTTTCCCCCCTAAAATCGAGTTTTGTTGGAATGCATAGCCCCTTCCACCCATTCGAACTTCCAAGATGGGGTTGAGAAGTTGCCACATAGCACTGGGCAGTCCTCACCGGGCGGGCACCTCTGCGGTTCGTTATACAAACCTTGGGGTGGCGGTCACCAGTCCGGAGTGTTCCCACTTTCTAGGCCCCTTCCTTACCGTCCACGACATTCCAGCCTTGATGTCCCTTGAGGAGTCTGGAATTTGTCCTCTGTTGGGAGTTCCAGGCGTTTCTGGGACTGGAATACCACCAACAGCACCCCAGCATTGCCCCAGCTTCACCTAACCCCCGTCGCACTCCGAAGCCCTCCTTCTTCCTTCGTCCTGACCCCTACAAGACAAGAAGGCCCATAGCTGCGGGGCCGCACGAGAAGGACGACGACATCAAGGCCCTTCTCACTCGGAGTCACCAATCACGCGCCCCGACCCTCCGGAAGCCCGCTGGCTCCTCCGCACTCTCACTCACACTTCAACTCCCAGTTGGATCGGCCTGTGGACCTACTGGCTGCGTCTCAGTAGGGGAGAAAGAATCCAGACCTCAGGGACCCGAAGTGCAGGATCACAGCTCCCGGGTGGGCGAAGGGCCAATGGCAAGGTGCCCAATGAACATGCGCACTAAGGAGGCACCCAAGGAGCATGCGCAGTGAGGTCGCCTCTTGCCTTAAGAGCTGCACTGCCCCTTCAGTGTCCCCCCGTGCCCTGTTCTCTGCTCCTTCCAAGGTCCCCCACTAAGGACTTTGGAATCCATCCTCTCTGTGTGGTTTTTTTATGCCTCTGAGACTGAAATACTGCAAATAATGTCACCCTTCAACTCATTCCGTGTTCATCTGACCCTCCTCCCCTCTATGCCCTTACTTCCTCCCCTGCCCAGGACCCCACAACAGCAAGGCCATGGTGATGTCGCTGCCTTTTAGTAGAAGGATGACAACCTATATGAGGCCATGGACCGAGTGGTCCAAACCACGGGAAGCCTTTCTGCTTTCCCTCACACTCAGACACTTCAACTTCTGGGAGGACTGGTCTGCTGACCTACCTGCTGTGTCATAGTTGGCAAGAAAGAAGTCATGACGTTTCCTTCCACAGCTCTGCAGGGATAGAAGACAGACAGCAAGGCACATGGGCAGCCGGAACTTGCTTAGCAGGGAGCATGCCCATTGAGTCTGCCACTTGCAGGCTGACCGTGGTTTTCCTGCTGTTCTCGTACTCGCATCCACAGGGTGTTTGTAGTGGAAATAAAGGGACTTAAGAGAGCATTTGTTTTTTTTTTGCCCAAACAATCTCATGCATTGAGAAACGTTGGGAACACACAGTCCTATGTCACCCTTAATGGAAGATGTGTCTCAGAAAAGCCTGTTGTGAAAGAAATAAACTATTTTTATATCTTTATTTATAAATTTTTTTTTCAGACGGGGTATGGCTTTCTCGCCCAGGCTGGATGGCAGTGGCATGACCATACCTCACTGAAGTCTGGGTCTCTTGGGCTCAAATAATCCTCATGCTGAAGCCTCTCAAGTGGATGGTACTACAGGTGCGAACACCACACCTGAGCAATTAATTTATTTTTTAGAACGTTGTTTCAGTCTGATGCCATGCTGGTCTTGAATTCCTGGGCTCAAGCTATCATCCCACCTTGACCAATTTTTATAAATGCTTTGATTAGTCACTTTTTCCCTCTGGTTCTCAGTTTTCTGCCATGCTTCTAATGAATGTAATGGAATAAACTCTTCTGCAGACTAAATATATTCACACATGCTTAGTTTTTTTTCGGAGGATGTGTTATTGCACATTTAAATCTCTGGGCTAGTGACTGATTTGCCTGAATATACCTGTAGGTCATTCAGATCATGTATTTTGATTCAGAAATATACATACATATTGATGACAAGATCTAGGCGCAGTCTACTGTGACATGATGCAAAGCAGTGGTGACTAAATGGATCATATACTGTACTCTCCAAATATCAGCCAAATAGCCTGTTCATATGACAGGGCTGACATTATTTGCATAATGCTGTAAGGGAGAGCACTACCTCGACTGAGGCACTAGCACATCAGACGTTGAAGGGATTTCAGTATATTTATTCTGATTTTGAAATCTGGTGTACAGTGGGTCTTTTAAAGTGGGGGATTGTTTGGTTAGAGTTAGGTAGGAATCATAATGATTTAGGGTTGGTGGAGCCAAGAAGACAAAGATTTTTAGGCAACAGTTCAATGAGTTTTGGGATTGAAAAATGTCATTTGACACTTTTGACTGAAGAGTTGATGGATCTTTCAGGCAGTTGCTGAAATGAACAGTAAAGTTCTTTGAAACTTTTATTTTCCTAGGCAAGAGATTGCTGTATTAGTAAAGTTATGTTGATGAAGCCAGTGGAGTATAAACTCTCCATGTAGACAGCAAGCTGTGCGCATGATTCCTGTTCTTATTACTTTTGTATTCTTTAGCAGTTTAATGTGGGAAATATTATATGGAAGGGAAGGATAGGAAGGGTGTCCTGATCAGAATGTAGCCCTTTATAAATAAATTAAGATATATTGCTAAAATGACGCCTATATATTTCATGCAGCTGGGCTTCTTTTAGGGAAATACCTTGAGCTGGAAAAGAAAGGTTGCTCAGTCTCTCTCTGTCTCTCAAAAGCAACTTGAGTAGGAATCATGGTGTTTTAAATATTTTTTTTTAAAAGCGAGAGCAGTTATAATCATAATCTCTTATTTAATTTACCTTTTATATTTTTTATTCTTTCTTGGCATGGACACTATCATTATTAAATTTTACTTTCTTTTGCTTCTTATTAACTCCAGTTTTTAATATAGTGCACTCAGAAGTGCTCACAGAATGGGAGATAGTGATTTCTGGACTCAGACGTTTTGTGAGCAACTATTTAGCAAATGGCCATGCCATCAGATGGCTGGATGGTAGTGTTTCATGCTGTATTAGTTAGGGATCTGTAGAAGGACAGAACTAATAGGACAGATGTATATATGAAGTAAGGTTTATTAAGGAGTATTGACTCACATGGTGACAAGGTGAAGTCCCACAATAGGCCATCAGCAACCTGAGAAGCAAGGAAGGCAGTCCGAGTTCCAAAACCTCAAAAGTATTGAAGCCAACATTGCAGCCTTTAGTCTATGTCCAAAGTCCCGAGAGCCCCTGGCAGATCACTGGTGTAAGTTCAAGAGTCCAAAAGCTGAAGAACCTGGAGTCTGTTGTTCGAGGGCAGGAGGCATGCAGCACCGGAGATAGTTGGAGGCTGGAAGACTCAGCAAGTCTAGTTTTCCATGTTCTTCTGCCTGGTTTGTTCTAGTGGCGCTGGCAATTGATTATTAGATGGTGCCCACACAGACTGAGGGTGGGTCTACCTCTCCCAGTTCACTGACTCAAATATTAATCTCCTTTGACAGCACACTCTCAGACACACCCAGGAACAATACTTTGCATCCTTCGATCCAATCAAGTTGACACTTAATATTAACCATCACATGCAGACCTGGACTTTAATGATTCCTGAGTGGCCTCACTCCAGCCTCAAAGAGCAGGCTTGAATTTCTTGCCAAATTTGAACTTCCCGCTGCCATTCCTGTGGGCCATAACTCCAGACCTGCTGGATGAGTTCAAAGGATCATATTAGGATTGGGATTGGGAAAGTTGTGAAAGAGTCCTTGTGACAAACAGGAAGCAGCGGAAAGTATGAAAGACACTGTAGAGACAAGAAGAGTTGCCTGATACATGACCCTAGCAACTCTCTAGCTGCTAAGGGAGGAAACAGAGCTGGGAGCAACACAGCCGGTCTACCTGTGGGAGGGCTCAATTTCCCACATGACCAGAGCTTCCCATCCTCCATACACGGGAATCTATGACCAAACATAGATTTCCACAGGATGGTGGGTGGGTGGGACAAAGTCTACAGATTCTGAGCAGCTGGCAAGTTTCAGGGTACCAGAGTAAACGCTGTCACGTGAGCTCAGATTGCTTGGTGGTTGAGGCCAAATTATTTACTACCTACCATTTTCAGTGTAGCTCTCCCACTTGCTTCATAAAATGGGAGCACCATAGGGGAATGGAGGTCACACAGGGACCTCCCTGTGAATGCATGCAATGCATGACATTCAGCTATGCTGCAGCCCAAGCAAAGCCTCCACATGATATCAAGAGGACAAGAAGTCACATGTACTTTCTGTTCCTTTTGCCTGTGAGTTCCCACTTCTCCAAGTAAGACTTCACCTGTGCAAAACAGACGCTGATATCTGCAGATGAAGCACACATTTCATCAGTAATTGTATATTTTGTAGTAGCCTTTGTGGCCCATATCAAAGATGACATTTTTGTCTAAAAACACTGAATTGCAAAGGAGGTGGACAAAATTGGGTTCTCATGTATATTTGCATATATTCTATAGCAACATTTATCAACCATGGGGGATGTTCTCTGAAAAAGCTGTAATCATTTCTAAACTGGTTTTTAATTCATAGTGGATCATAAGATGAATGTTGTCAGCCACAAACAGCATTTTAAAGAATGGAGATAAATTACTAAATAGCGTTCACTGTATATAGAATATACAAATACACTACACATCTCCATGTACATACATATATTTATTTGCCTAGTTGACTATATATAAACTGTGTATTTCTCACACGTTGTCATAAAAGAGTTTGAACGTCATTACTTTAGTGGTTATCAGATAAAATGTTTACAGGCCATTTCTATAGCCATCTGTGAAGATGATGGATTAAGATTTGCTCAGAATAAGTTCACTGTTCTCTGTAGCTTTCTACATAATGCTTGAAATGGCACTCAGTGATGTTTAAATTGGTCAGTTTTACTGTGGGCATTTGACCCTCAGCAAACTCATTTGTGAACTCATGAGCTGGTGAGAAGGAAGGCTGATGAGTTGTGGGGCTTTACTTCCTACCATGTCTTTCTGCAGCTGCAGGTGTGACCATGTGTGTGCTTCTGCACTCGTCTGACAGTGCTTTGATATGTTCCCTTTTATTTCCCCCTTTATTATTGATTGTGTCTTATGGGTCCATTATGTACTTCATTAGTATCCAGTGACAGTGACATCTGTGGTATTCAGTGTTGATCCAATTTATACAAATTTTAAAAATATTTTCAAGGATGAGTATTTTTTCTTACCAACTTTCCTTAAGTACTTCCAGGAGTCAAATGCAATTCAATATTAGTAGTTGATGTTAGATCATACTGGGGCATAATCCTGGAAAATTGCTGATCATACTAATTGTTATTATGCCTCAGCTTTCATGTCACCATAATGCTTAGATAAATGACACAATGACCAACACATGGAAAGAAGGATTCTGAAATATTGACATTTTTTATTTCCAAAATTTACTTTAAGCTTAGGGGTACATGTGCAGGATGTGCAGGTTTCTTACATAGGTAAATATGTGCCACGGTGATTTACTGCACACATCATCACATCACCCTGGTATTAAGCCCAGCATCCACGAGCTATTCTTCCTGACCCTCTCCCTCCTCCCACCCCCGCAGTCCAGTAGGCCCAGTGTGTGATGCTTCTCCCATGTGTCCATGTGTTTTAATCATTTAGCTCTCACTTAAAAGTGAGGACATCTGGTATTTGGTTTTCTGTTCCTGCATTAGTTTGCTAAGGATAGTGGCTGCCGCCACCATCCATGTCTCTGCCAAGGACATGATCTCATTCTTTTTATGGCTGCATGGTATTCCATGGTGTACATGTACCGCATTTTCTTGATTCGGTTTCTCATTGACGGGTTGGACATCTCAAATATCACAAAGACACGTGGTCCTTGCTGTGGGAAATATTGCACTGTGGTGGGGAAGACAGACAAACAAAACAGCAGTTGAAGTGCAAAGGAGAAACACAGGGAAGGGAACCAGAGGAATAAAAATCAATTAATGTAGTGGCCACGAGACAGGAGAAAACAACACAATATTTTAAAAAGATAATCTTTGTCCATTGCCTTTGCCACTTTTCTGAAAATCAACTTATTAGGTTTGTGAGCCTATTGCTGGCTCTATTTTGACCTGTTGATTTTTCTCCAATACCATACTGTCTTGAATACTGGAGAAGTAACACAATTGCCATATGGGGCTGGATGATTAAGAATCATAATCAACAACTTCATGCAATGCTTCCTAACTCAAGGCAGCACCCTCACCTCAGCTGAGGATCCCATGCCTCCCACCTTCTCAGGGGCTCTGCTCCTGCACTGATCTCTCTTCTCTCCTGAACCATCAACAGCTCCCTCTATATTGGATCAATCCCCAAGCCAAGGGGGAAGTCACCTTCTTCCAATGCACTGATAACATAATCAATCAATAAATATAATAGAATTAATGTGAATCTTGACCTCCTGTAGGGTGAATTCCCCAAAGTTAAACTTCAGAATTGCTTTGGATATTCTGGTTCATTTTCCTATGTAGATAATTTTGAAAATGGACTCCAGTGAAGTGTGTTGCATAAGTTCATGCAGTTTTCCTTTGCAGGGCAGGAATTAAATGTGTTCATAGCTAGAGAAGGACATGGGGGAAGAGGGTGAGTTTTCCCGTAGCTTGGGGAATGATCCAATGTAGAGGGAGCAGTCGATGCTTCAGGAGAGAGGAGTGATCACTGTAGGAGCAAAGCCCATGACAAGGTGGGAGGCATGGTATACTGACCTGAGGTGAGGGGGCTGGCTTCAGTTAGGAGTATTGTATGCAGAAGGGCAGCAGAGAATGTCCATGAATCACTGAAGGTGAGGGTGGCCTTGGGGGTTCCTGACACACTGTCAGCAACCGTGTGATTCACCAGCAGGACCCTGACTCACTACAATATGGTGAAACTTTCTTTGAGTAAAGGAAGAGCGAAGGGGTAGAGATGAGGAAGCTGTCACTCCTGGGAGACTATGGATTTCCCCATAGTATGAAGCAGCAGCTGAGCTGTTGTCTTTTATGAAGAATACATGTACTCACAGCATTAACAATAATCCCTCCAACTGTGAGAGAACTGGCTGACTGGATCCCTCGACCGCTGTTCTGTGCAGGATAATGTACGGAGGAAAATCGCAGTCTGGTGCTGACTTTAATTTTTGTTTTCTCCTGCAGGCAGGTAGAGACAGGATACAATTGTTGCCAATGAACTTTCAGTAGGCCAAAAATCCTGAAGGTTTGAATTGCTCTTTCCTCTAAGTGGGAGGGAAAAAATCAGTTTCCTGGGCTAAAGCAAAGCCTTAGATAAAACTTAAGTCTTAGATAAAGGAAAAAAAGTGAGAGAAAAAAAGGCCACATGCAGCGGCTCACACCTGTAATCCCAGTATTTTGAGAGGCTGAGGGAGGAGAATCACTTGAAGCCAGGAGTTCAAGACCAGCCTGGGCAACATAGTGAGACCCCTGCTCTACACAATTTTTAAAATTAGCTGGGTATCATGGCACATGTCTGTAGTCCCATCTACTCAGGAAGGTAACACAGGAGGATTGCTTGAGCCTAGGACTCCTAGGTTGTGGTGAGCTCTAAGTCCTCCAGTGTATTCCAGCCTGGATGACAGAGAGAAACCCTGTCTCAAAAAGGGAGTGGGGTGTGTGAAGACACATTTCAGCCTTGTCTTCAGCTGGACTGCCAGTGCTGCAGCCTCCTCCCAACATTTGAGGCAGGATTTCTCTTGGCCATGGTATCATAACTCTGTGAATGTTGAGTTCAGTGCTAGGGTTTTGATGGAAATTACAATGAGATAAAAAAAAGGTACAGTTGTAAAATGTCTTTGTGTTTTGTGGCTATTACATCTGGATGTGTGATACTGACGGAGAGGGTCCAGCAGTTTGACTACTTAATGCAGTTGCCACAAGTGAGGAATTCATCTTTTCTACACTTCTCACTGGATAAGGGATAGAGACAAAAGGGATGGATGTTATGTAAACTGATTTTTAAAATTTTTATGAATTCAGGATTTCATCCTGTCCATTTCTTAAATATGATGAATCTTTTCACTAAGTTTATATCATAATGTGTTTTTCTGAAGATGTTTCGTCCCTTCTGCTTACAACCCTTCCAGAAAAAAAAAGGTCTGGAGGACGAAATGGGATGATTAAAGAGATAAAAACTTTTCATCACAGGATACAACATGGTGATTCTGTAATAGTGGAGAAAACAGAAAACCTGGCACATGAGGAGAGGCAAGGGAGGGAAGGAGGACATCGGTTGTCTCTGTTTTTCAAAACTATTCCTGCACACTCTCCACTTTTCCTCAGAAATACTTCCCATGAGGGCTTTCCAAGCCACTGTGAGCCATTGTTAAAACCACATTCATTGGTGAGCCAGTGATTACCTTACAGGTATTCAAGGAAATCAGCTACCAGTCAAGAGGTATAAAAGTGCAATAACACAACCTTAAAAAAAAGTACAGGTGTGAATTGATTGTCTACAGCATGTATAAAAAGCATGTATAAAAATTGGCAGGCATGGGAGGATCACTTGAGGCCATGTGTTTGAAAGCAGCCTGAGCAACTCAGTGACACCCCGCATCTAAAATATAATAATAATTAAATACATTAGGAGGGCGTGGTGGCGGCCAACTGCAGTCCCAGCTACAGGGGAGGTTGCTGTGTGAGGAGGATTGCTTGAGCCCAAGAGATGGAGGCTGCAGTGAGCCATGGTCATGCCACTGCCCTCCACCCTGGACAACAGAAAAACACCCTGAGAAAACAGTATGTGTAAATATAGACATAAAATTCTTTATTTCTGTCACAAAAGGTCTTTCTGAGACACACCCTCCACTAAGGGTGACATGGGACTCTCTGTTCTCAATGTTTCTGGATGCCTGAGAATGGCTGGGCAAGAGACAAAAAAAATTTAAAAAATCTCTCACGTCCCTTTCTTCCTACTACAAACTACCTGGGATAAGGGTGTGGGGATAGCAGGAAAACCCTGGCCGGCCCTGCATGTGCCTGACTCAGTGTGCATGCCCCTTGCTGCACAAGGCATAGTGGCTCACATCTGTAATCCCAGCACTTTGGGAGGCCAAGGTGGGTGGATCACCTGAGTTCAGGAGTTCGAGACGAGCCTGGGCAACATGGCGAAACCCCGTCTCTACTAAAAATACAAAAATTAGCCGGGCGTGGTGGCACATGCCTGCAATCCCAGCTACTCGGGAGGCTGAGGCAGAGAAACTGCTTGAATCCAGGAGGTGGAGGTTGCGGTGAGCCGGGACTGCACCATTGCACTCCAGCCTGGGCAAAAAGAATGAAACTCTGTGTCAATAAATAAATAAATAAATAAATAAATAACAGAAAAATGAGGCTCAGAGATTGAGACTTACCAAGAACACTTGACTCATGGAGGAGGAATTCATATTTTGTTCCAAGGTTTGCATTCTTCCCACCATCCATGTCAGAAAATGTGAATGATTTTGCTTAAAAATGCTTAATACTCAAATATGTCTGCACTGTAAGGTACTCAGCATTGACTCAGGACAAAACGCAGTTCAGTGAAGTAGGATAGCGTCTCCAGAAAAGAGGCCAATAAATGACAGCCACTGTTTCCTCTGATGCCTATTTTTGACAGTATGTTTGGTAAAAGGTGGATAATTCAGGACACTGGAATACAGATAACTATATCAGTAGGACTTTGAAGGGGCTTTTAAAAGTTGTTTCAATATTTTTATAATTAGAAAACTCCAAGTACAATAAGATTATCATGAAACAGAAATTGTTTCCTCAACGAATAGATAGCACTTTCGAACTAAAGATAGACAGAATTTGGGCCATGGATTATTTTAGCAATTCACTGTTAAGGGGTTTCCAGAATATGACTGTCAACAATGCCCATTAATTTCTCTGCACTTCAGTTCCCGTACTCTCATTGGAAGACAGTGGTTTTGCTGTTGTATCGGGTACTTTTTCTTAATGACATATAGGGCCTTTGGACCTAAACATTAATTAAGTTTAACCCCAACACTTTCAGGGTACCTGAACAGGGAATTAGTGTCAGGACTATAAGATTTGTCATAAGCAGACCAGTACATTGATCTAATCATTCAGAACATTATATTTAAGGTATGATTAAAATGCTATCCACGGGGCAGTCTTCAGATTTCCTAGGTAGCTGAGATACTTCAGATTTCCTAGGTAGCTGAGTGTTTATAACACACAATGTTAAAAAGTATGGGAAATGTAGGTGTGGTGTGATTTATCCTCAGATTGTTAGTTAAGATATCATAATACAGGAAAACAAACGGGGACATCTTTGCATCACATTTATTACCACAGTAGCCTACAGGCTTTTATTGCATCACACTGAGGAAAAGAATAGGATCATTTCCTTATTTATCATTCTGGTTTGGCTGCTCCAGTCGATATCCTTGGTATTTTTTAGTACCTGACCTGGAAGCTGATCTCCAGAAGCTGTCTCAGTCAAAGACTGGGGATGAATGTGGAGTTGGCCCTGGTGTCCAGGGGGAAGATTCTGACAAAATGAGAGCAATTTAAAATGCCAGAAGGAGGTATGTTATCCATTAAGATTCAAAATTACGTGCTTTCTGTATTCCATAATATTACACTTTTGATAATGAAAAGAGAGAACATTACTGCCCCTTTAAAAACAGAGTCCAAATGCAGACTTTCTCGGGAAGGTAGTCGAGACCCCAGAAGCCTGACTGCAAAACTGAAAGACTATCAGATACAGACACAAACTGGGTCAAAGCCATATTGAATCATCAAATAGAAGCGGGGGCTCACGCCTGTCATCCTAGCACTTTGGGAGGCCGAGGCGGGTGGATAATTTGAGGTCAGGAGTTCGAGACCAGCCAGGGCAAATGGTGAAACCCAGTCTCTACTAAAAATACAAAAAATTAGCCGGGCTTCATGGCAGGCACCTGTAATCCCATCTACTCGGGATGGTGAGGCAGAGGAACTGCTTGAACCCAGGAGGTGGAGGTTGCAGTGAGCCGAGATCATGCCACTGTACTCCAGCCTGGGCAACAGAGTGAAACTCCGATCTCGGGGGGAAAAAAAAGAAAGGAAAAGAAAAAAGAAAAGAAAAGAAAAGAAAAGAAAAGAAAAGAAAAGAAAAGCACTTTCTTACTTCTGAGTATAACCAACAGCTAAAAATTTGTAGATTATTTTCTACTTTCTGCTTTTCACAAATACATAATACATTTGTAATACCACTTCGTATGAAATATGCTGACCCTGAAGAAGATTCTAATACCAGCTCTAAGATAATTTGTGAGATTCTGGACAAAACACATAAATCCTGCACCGGTTTTTGCTTTTATTGAAAGTAGTGAATGCACATCAGATAGATTAAAATCATTTCATTGCTGATTTCTGCATGTTTCGGTTCTGTTGGAGAAAATACAAAGATAATTTCATTTTCGTGATTTGTTTATCATAACCATCAGCTTCAGTCCAATTATAATATCCGAGTTGAGATTTCATTGCTCCTAAGTAAATGAGCTGGCACTCTACTTGATGTTTGTTTTCCTGTATGGAGACCTTCATGAGTGTTCTTGGATTTTGTCAAATCCTGAATTCTCTCAGGCTCTTAAACAATGATTGCTTTTTTTTTTTTCAGTAGGGGTCTCACTCTGTCGCCCGGGCTGGAGTGCAGTGGTCTGATCTTGGTTCACTGTGACCTCCACCTCCCGGTTTCAAGGGATTCTCATGCCTCAGACTCCTGTGTAGCTGGGAATACAGGTGTGTGCCACCACGCCGGACTAATTTTTGTATTTCTAGTAGAGACAGAGTTTCACCATGTTGGCCAGGCTGGGCTCGAACTCCTGATCTCAAGTGATCCACCTGCCTCAGCCTCCCAAAGTGCTGGGATTATAGGGCATGAGCCACCTCCCTTGCTGGACCCAGTGATTGCATTTTAAAGTCTTCCCGCAGTGAGACCTTGAATGACTGAATAATAAAATGGAAAGAGACAGTCAAGTTTTTGTGACCCAAGAAGTAGGGAGCATGCATGTAGGTCAGTGATGCTCAAGGTGTTTGTAAGATGCCTGGGCTAAGCATGCTCCCTGCCCTCCTGTCAGTCTTCATGAGCTACTGTGTATAATTAGATTGAAGACACATATGGTAACCTCTAACCATATCAGAGGTTATATATTACAGGTTTCTGCCTTGAGTCATCAGAAGATACGATTTAAAGTTCAAAGACTATAACATACTAAGTCCTGAGTAGTCCACGTAAGTATCTTTTACACATGTTTTCCAAATTGCTGACTTAATTAGAAGAACTTCTGAATTTAAAGGAAGCACTGCATGTTTAGGGGAGAAATTACCTAAATGTTTTTACTCCACACTTCTGAACCACTCCATTAGGCTATTAACATTAAAAGATTGTTTTCAGATGATTTCCAGGAGGCTACTGAACAAGCCTCAGTTGTATTCTTAGGACAGTCATAGCATTAAATGTATATCTTATTAAAATAGATAGCAAATTCCATGACACAAGAAAATAATATTAAGAAAGAGCAAAATAATAAGAGTCACAGAATAAACTTAAGGGAAAAAGGCAGTAAATGAAAGGTATGCATCATTAACAAAAGGAAAACTAATTTGATATTAATAAATTTAATAGAATGTTCTTTTGAGAAATAGCTAGGAAGAGCATCCAGTAGATTAAACAATCTTGAAGAAAATGGAAAAGGCACAACACAGAATATGAACAAGACACAGATATTGAATGTAGGGCATAATTGAAAGGGAATACATTCTTGAACACTAATGTTTTCAGAGTGTGGATGATATGGTTGATATGCTCAGAATGCCTACACTATTTAATATATCCCTGAAATACCTGAATATCTGAACATCACAAAGACTGTGGAAGGACGTGAAATTTGCCAGTTGTACCTCAAAACACAGTCACCTTTTTTTTTTTTTTGAGATGGAGTCTCTCTCTGTTGCCCAGGCTGCAGTGCAGTGGCACAATCTTGGCTCACTGCAAGCCCCGCCTCCCGGGTTCATGCCATTCTCCTGCCTCAGCCTCCCGAGCAACTGGGACTATAGGCACCAGCCACCACGCCTGGCTAATTTTTTGTATTTTTAGTAGAGACGGGGTTTCATCGTGTTAGCCAGGATGGTCTTGATCTCTTGACCTGGTGATCTGCCTGCCTCGGCCTCCCAAAGTGCTGGGATTACAGGCGTGAGCCACTGCGCCCAGCCAAAAACAGTCACTTTTAGAAGCAAATATTTAGCTTTCCAGATGTGTTACTCTCCGATTTTGTTTCCCTCTCCATGTCTTTTTCTTTGCCTCACTGCTTATGATGTATAACTCTTTCACGTCTTAATGCCAATAATGATAGTGATACCTTAAAACTTATATTACCATTTAATTAATTATACAAATGGGAATACTTTCCGGTGAAAAATGTGTCATTATTCATATTGACATGATGACTATAGGTGAAAACTGGATGCAAATTTCTAATATATAACTTCTACTAGATAAACATACAATTGATTTATATGTTGATCGCTTACTCTGCAATCTTGCTAACCTCAATTATTGTAGAAGCATTTTTTTTAGATTGATTTTCTACATACACTCTCATGTAGTCTTTGACAAAAGATACTTTTACTTCTCCCTTCCAATCTGAATGCATTTTTTTTTGTCACTGGACACAATCTCCAGTGCAAAGCTTAGCTATGCCCACATTCTTGCACATATTAGTCTTAGATTGCAGTATCCTGCAGGTAAATACTCAGGACAACTTCCAGCACTTGAATATTTACTCCTTCCCCCACCCCACATACTGGTAGAATTCATGTTGGGATACTACATTTACTATGAACATACACCCCTGATTTGAAACAAGACTAGGATGCAAGGTAAAGAATGTTAATTCACTAAAGTTTTGACAGACTGAGGCCATTGTTTCAGATTGGAAATAGGAAACTTAAAAGAACTACATGGACATTGGGTAAAAGAACATGGGTTGAAATTTGCCTGGCAGTAGCCCAAGAGTAAATGGTCTTCAAGGTGCATATGAAGGAACTGTAAGAGGGAAATGGGATAATTCACATCTCCACCAATAATTAAATGTAGCCACACTAGCTTGGGGGATTTGAGGTGAGACATCTAAAATACTAAGTCATGGTGAGGGCTGGAAGACAAAAGAATGAATCACTTAATAGGAATGGCTGTGGGGAAGGGCTTGACAGAATCAACCTCTCACTTCCATGTGAACCATGAACATTAAACATGGAGAAATGAGGAGCGGCAGCAGATCAGTTTGGGATGCGTCTTCAGGGGATGCTGAAACAACAGCAGCATTTGGTTTCCTCTACACCCCTGTCACCCCTCCCCCACAAGCCCAGGGAGTGGTCAGCAGTGGTGCTTTGTGATGTCTAAGCCACCCTTGGACTGCCATTGGCTGGGACACTGCCTGTATGATCAAACAAAGCTCAAGGGTGTGGCTTTGCCTTGTCACCAGGAGGGTATATATAGGGAGGGCAAGAGCTCTGGGCCACTGGGAAGCTTCAATATAGCTGTGGAAGTCTGGACTCTACAAGATCCTGCTGTAGACATTCAACAACCAACCAGAATCATGGAAAAGCCCACTTCAAGCACCAATGGGGAGAAGAGGAAGAGCCCCTGTGACTCCAACAGCAAAAATGATGAGGTAAGATTGTTAGGTTTTGAAGTGAAGGCGAGGGTGAAAGAAAGACACACAGAGAGGGGGCAGCTCAAACAGCAACACAGGAATACTGCAGACGCTTGTGGAAGTGGGGGACCAGCTTAATGCCAGATCCCACCACCGCTTACAGCCTGGGGTACTTACAGGTATGGGTGGGAGGGATCTGGGCAGCATGGCTTGCTGCCCAGCAGGATATTGATAAGATGTTCTTATGATCAGGTGGTTTGGCCCTTTTTCTGGTGGAATATCGTTGTGGTGTTCCTTAGAACTTTGCCAAGCAAGATATGATAGGGATGTTTCTTTAGTTGGGCCTTTGTCTGCCTTGTGGACAGGTGGTTAGGCAGGATGTTTCTCACGGCCTGAACCCCCATGGGATGTTTCACTTTGACCAAGGTCTGCAAAATAGCAAAGAACTTACAAAATGGTGCAGTTTGGACTAACAGATGACCCTACCCATGCTCCTCTTCTTCCCCATAGATCCCTACCCTGTGAGTCAACCTTGTTCTTCTCTGGATCGAACCCCTTCCTCAACCTGCATTCCTTCTCATAAAGCCCCCCTTGCTATCCAGTCTCTATCCTATTCACCCAAAATAATGTCTTTCTGGCCTCTCCCTGTTTTCTTAACAGATGCAGGAGACACCAAACAGGGACTTAGTCCTCGAACCGAGTTTGAAAAAGATGAAAACATCAGAATATTCAACAGTATTAGTGTTGTGCTACAGGAAGACTAAGAAAATACATTCAAATCAACTCGAGAATGACCAGTCCTGAGAGAACTCCATCAATCCAGTCCAAGAGGAGGAGGACGAAGGATCCTCACAGGAGGACGAAGACCTAGACTCATCTGCAGAATCTTCAAAGCAGGATGAAGACCTACAATTACCTGAAGGATCTTCACAGGAGGATGAAGACCTAGGGTTATCTGAAGGATCTTCACAAGAGGATGAAGACCTAGACTCATCTGAAGGATCTTTGATGGAGGAAGAAGACCCAGACTCATCTGAAGGATCGTCAGAGGAGGGTGAGGAAGACTAATTAAACATGGAGAAACCAAATTGGACAAATCCTCACCACCAACGGTGATGATTACAATAAAATCAAGTTTGAGAAGCTGATGGCTGCATATATCTATGCCTGTTTTCTGATGGTGGGGGAGAAGGGAAGGGAAGAGGTAGGCATTTGAGAAGGGAGGGATATGAGGTCCTGTAGGGTTGGTGGACAGACTCACAGGTTGACAGTAAGCCAGACATTGTAAATAAGGCCTGGGGGAGCACTGATTCCTAAAGAAAATTTTCTTCTTAAAATTTCCTCCCACAGGAAGTGGAGATGTGTATATGTTCATGCAACTGTACCCGGCAGCACATAGTTCTGCTGAATGTACATATCAAAGGTATTCCCATCCCTTTTCCATTTGATATTTTCCTAGGTTAGAAATATATGCTTTATAAAGAGTTAATGTTCTGTAAAACACAAAGCACAATACAGACATACACAGACACCTCTGCTCACTCTCTCTAGAGGGATACAATTAAAAACATTGGTTATAGGGCCGGGCACAGTGGCTTGCGCCTGTAATCCCAGCAGTTTGGGAGGCTGAGGTGGGTGGATCACCTCAGGTTTGTGAGGTTTTCAAAGAAAGATCTTGATCAAAAGAGGGAATGTGAAGCTGACTGTGTGAATGAACCAGCTTCTCCAGTGCCAATGAGCCTCATTTCAAAGCAGTGGAGATAACTAGAAAATTGTACTGTTACTATAAAAGAATAACAAAAGGGGGAAATTGTAAGGGTAACTAAACATAAAATTGAGATTTTCCTGTTGCCAAAAGAGCAAGAAGAGACCTTCCCCATTTCACTTTCCTTAGAGCATTTCCTTGAGAAAATTTGTATTTATAAATTCTTCCTTTGATATGTAAGCCTCTGGCCACCCTATAACCCAGGAATGTCTTGAACTTGAACTCCAGGCCTCAAGTGATCCTCCAGCCTCAGCCTCCCAAAGTGTTGGGATTACAGGTGTGAGCTACCAAACACCGCCACCAGGAATGTCTTTCTTCAGGGCCATGGAGCATCTCTTTGAAAGGTGAACGTTGAGGAAGATGATGTCTTTGTCTCCCTGTCACCAGGGGAGTTTAACTTAGGTGCCTTGCTCCAAGCCGTAAGCACCTGCTTGTCATAGAGATATGAGTTTTATTTTTCCTTCAGATAAAGGCAATTAACTAACACAGATGGGTACTCCAGTTACTCGATGAACTTAGGACTTGCCTGGGAGCATTTAGTGTTCACCCTTGGCTGCTGCTGTACAACAAGGCCAATTACCTACATATCTGGACTTTCTGATTTCTGCTACCACTTTTTATTTTTTGTTTTGTTTTTGTTTGTTTGTTTTTGAGGTGGAATCGCCCTCTGTTGCCCAGGCTGGAGTGCAATGGTGCAATCTCAGCTCATTGCAACCTCTGCCGCCCAGGGTCCAGCGATTCTCCTTCCTCAGCCTCCCGAGTAGCTGGGATTACAGGCGTGCACCATCATGCCCAGCTAATTTCTGTATTTTTAGTAGAGACGGGGTTTCACCATGCTGGCCAGGATGGTCTCGATCTCCTGACCTCATGATCCGCCTGCCTTGGCCTCCCACAGTGCTGGGATTACAGGCGTGAGCCACCACGCCTGGCCTCTGCTACCACTTTTGGATTGTATGAAACACTACACTTCAAAGTGTGGGATCTGGCTTCCTAGACAGCTGTCAAAGGGGCAGTTGATGCAATCTAGAAGTGTAGGGGAGTTCGCACCTGTGGGGTAAATTTTGACCAATAAGAAAAGGAACCAGGAGTGAGAGTCAGGTACGTAATTCCCTCTCCTCTCCTCTCCTCTCCCCATGTACCATTCCAGGCATTGTTTCTCAGTATAGTCTGTCTAGAGGTGTCCTGTATGGCCCAAAGCCTGTTTCCTTGGGAATCTGAGCTAAAGCAATGGGCATTCAAACACTCGAAGACAGTGTTAAGTGTTGTGGAGGACCCAGATCTGGGCAGAGGAAAATTATCCCAATAAGAAAATGGACAATTTGAGGATGTGGAATAGAGGGAAGGACTAGAAGAACCAGTAGTAGTATAGCTTAGGGGTACTATTTTTGGAGAAAAAGGCAGTTCTGGTGATTGTTCCAGTGAATTGCTCAGCTCTGTTATATATATATATATGTTTATATCCTTTCTTTCCATCATTCTCCCCTATGAAATCATCCATAAAGTATCCTTTTATAACTCTCTATTGCCTGTGAAGTGAATTTTCTTTTTTTCTTTATCTTTTTTATTTAGAGATAGAGTCTCTGTTGCCCGGGCTGGAGTGCAGTGGTGCGATCTCGACTCACTGCAATCTCCGCCTCCCGAGTTCAAATGATCCTCCCGCCTCAGCTGCCCTAGTAGCTGGGACTACAGGTGCGCACCACCAATGCCTTGCTAATTTTTTTTATTTTATTGTATTTTTAGTAGAGAAAGGGGTTCACCATCTTGGCCAGGCTGGTCTTGAACCCCTGACCTCAGGTGATCCACCCGCCTCAGTCTCCTAAAGTGCTGGGATTACTGGCGTGAGCCACCGCGCCCAGCCTGTCACTTTCCTTTTGGAGAATAAAACATATTGAGTCTTGTGCCAAAATGCAGGGGAAGCTGCACCCAGACAGGTAACAAAATATTATATATATATAGATAGGTTTTTTCTACATACCAATATTAACGATTTAGAAAACCAAATTGAGAAAAATTACACTTATATAGTGACAAATATACATAAAATATCTAAAACCAGATGATTGGAGCAAGATGGCAGATAGATCCCGTGCCCCACTCAACATTCCATTGAACTGGGAAGAAAATGTTTTCAAGGGTCAATTCTCAAGAGTAGAGGAAAATAAGAAAACGTGTCAGTGGTTCACCAGAAATATTGAGGCATTCCTGGGAGATAGAGTAGATGTGATCAGACTGGTAGAGAAACCCAAGGAGACAAGAGCATCACTGTAGACGAGAGATGCTGTTTGAGACAAAGACTTACTCCGTCGCCCAGGCTGGAGTGCAGTGGCGTGATCTCAGCTCACTGCACACTCTATCTCCCAGGTTCAAGGGATTCTCCTGCTTCACTCCCCACTGTAACTGGAATTCACAGAGGCCTGCCACCACGGCCAGCTGATTTTTGTATTTTTAGTAGAGACGGGGGTTTCACCCTGTTGGCCAGGCTAGTCTCCAACTCCTGACCTCAAGTGATCTGCCTGCCTCGGCCTCCCAAAGTGCTGACATTACAGCATGGGACACCGTGCCTGCCCAGGAGATGATCTTTGTAACAAAGCCTCTGAAAAACTCCAAACCCTGAATCAAAAAAACACGGAGCTGGAAAGGGCCTTAGGATAATCATCAGGTAGGTTAATTTAAAAGTTCATTAGAAACATCTGAATCGGCCAGAGTCCCCTCCAACACCATCCTCAGATTGGCTGGCAGTAGCCACTTTTGCCTCTAAGATGAAACTCTGATAATTGTTCATTAAAGAAAGTGAAGGCCTGGCGAGGTGGCTCACACTTGTCATCCCAGCACTTTGGGAGGCTGAGGCAGGAGGATTGCCTGAGGCCAGGAGATCGAGACCAGCCTGGGCAACATAGTGGATGCTGTCTCTACCAAAAATAAAAAACTAGCTGGGTGTGGTGGCGTGTGCCTGTAGTCCCAACTAGATCGGAAGCTGAAGTGGGAGAATCCCTTGAGCCTGGGAGATCCAGGCTGCAGTGAGCTGTACTTGCATCACCGCACTCCAGCCTGGGCGACAGAGTGTGATCATGTCAAAAAAGAAAAAAAAGAAAGAAAGAAAACAACAACAACAACAACAACAACAACAACACACACACACACACACACACACACACACACACAAATGTAACGTATCAGAACTTGGTGTAACTTCAGCCCTTCACAAGGAGAGAAACACATTTGTGGAGAGGGGACCATGTTCACTCTTTATCTATCCATGATAGACAGATAGTCCGGAGCTTTATATACCCATGGAACCTAAGGAAAAATGTTGCCTGTCATAACTCACAATCTTCCAGCCACCCTTCCTTGTATCTGTCTTGTGGGCTTGGGGAACCAACTTATGGATCCCATCGTCCCAGGGAGAAAGAAAAATCAAATCCTTCATTATCTTTTTTAGGGTATGCTCTCCTCTATTTGCATGGAGGATACGGTATTCAATATCTAGTAGCCGAATGTTACATTTGGGTAATACAGAACTATATTGGGATAAAATCGAATTTGTTTCCTCTGAGACACAGGTAGAGGTACGTCCACACTGACCTGGGTGGCAGCCACCTCTTCCTGCAGTGCCAGGCAGGGCATGCTCACAGATCTGGGGAACCTCTTGCTCCTGGAGCCCCACAACCTCCTTCCTGGCATCCTCTCCCTCTGGTGGCTGTGACAGCCCACACTTGGCCTTGGGTCTCCCCTGCTTCTTTGCCTGCCCCTCTTCTGCCCACCCTGCATATCTCTGTCTCCCACTGTCCCTGCTGTGACCACGACTGCCTGCCCTCCCTACACTCTCTCTCTCCTAGGGCTCCTTGTCTTCGGTAAATGAACCCACAGCCTTTACATTGTGATTGGAAACAGAGCCTGGGGCTTGTTCAGTTCTCCCTCCTTCCATCACACACCTGTCCGCCTTAATGTTTCTGAAGTCAGTGAGCTCCAAACTCAGCTCCTCCTGCACCTGCCAGGTGTAGGACCTGTGACAAGACGCCTACCATCTATCTGGGACTCTGTCTCTCATCTATCATATAGGCATAATGATGATAGTGTCCTCCTTCTCAGGCTGGAGAGAACCAGGAGGCCAAGGTGATGGTCCACGAACGGGCAAAACAGCTCCAATCCTGCCTCCACCTGGGGCTGGTGTTTCAAGTCCATTGTGTGTGAATGGAGCTTTGATGTCTCCATTGACACGCAATGGTTTGTTCTAAAATAGACTCCCCTCTGCCCTTCCCTTCCCCACAACTGTTTCACCTCTGTACCGTGCAATGGTACCTGTGAGAAAGAACTGTCCCATTCCCAAATCATCATCCCCACCCCAGCCCCCAGGCCTTTGGTTGGTGAGACCCTTGATGGGCGCTCTCATGCTTCTGTCCAGGAGACTTTCCCACCAATTGCTCCCCTGCATGGAGACTAAGTGGACTCTTCTATTCCCTGTCCATCACAGGGTCTACATTGCACGCATCTGCCTTATTCTTCCACGTTCCCCAGATGACGATTTCATCTGTGTCTCCTCCCACATCCACCCAAATGGACCGTCCCAGACCTTGAAACCGAAAATCATTCAGAGAGCAAAGGCCAAGATGCCCAACCACCTGCTACAGAATCCTGCTCCAGGACTGAAGTGTATAGTCTGTATCAAAATAAAAACTGGAGGACAGGTGCTGCGGCTCACGCCTGTAATCCCAACACTTTAGGAGACCAAGGTGGGAGGATTGCTTTGGCCCAGGAGTTTAAGTCCAGCCTGGGTAACATAGAGAGACTTTCTTGACAAAACCTTAAAAAACTTAGTGGGTCATGATGGTGCATTCCTGTAGTCACAGCTTCTCTGGAGGCTAAGGTGGGAGGATCACTTGAGCCCACGAGTTCAAGGCTGCATTGAACTATGATCATGCCACTGCACTCTAGCCTGGGCAGTGCAAGACCCCTTCTCTAGAAAAAAGAAACAAACAAAGAAACCCAACAACTGGAAACATCCTCCTCTGTAATGGTGGTCAGGAACATCTGCCTGCCTTGTTCACTGATGTCTCTCCAGCACCTAGAACAACGCCCAGCACGAGAACACACTCATTAGTGTTTTGTTGAATAAATGACTCCTTTGACACAGCAATTCAACTTCTAAGAATCTTTCCTAAAGAAATATTCACACAGGTGCAGAGACCTGTGCGCACATTAATGAGAGGAGCAAACAACTGGGGAACGTTTGCAAAGGTGTATTAACTGTCAGTGACTGATACGGGGAATCAGAGGAGGGGAGTACATGCTGAACAGGAAACAAATTGAAGGGGGGCTTGACCAGGACTCATGGCAATGGGGAAAAGCATATGGGAGATGCTTATACTGGTACTTGGTGTGTCTGTGTGTGTGTGTGTCTGTGTGTGTGTGTTTGTGTGTCTGGTGTGTAAATGCAGAGGGGAAAATCGGAAATTAAACACTCAGATCTGCCCTCAGTAGTCACATCTGGGGAGAGAGGAGGGTAGTGCTGTTCTATGGAGAGAATACCTGACTATACTTGCTTTCTGAGGTAGGTGCATGGATACACAAACCGAAATACACATTAAGCATGTCTTGCTCATCAATGAAAACGCTAATATCTAACAGAATGGCACACTGTAAGAAAATACAATGGAAACACTAACATCGAACTCTTGTCACACTAAGAAAAACGACGCTCAACTTTTCACTGTTGTGAACACTTGCTTTCACTTGCTATGCACCTGATGACGAGGGGTCCGCAGCCATGCCTATGTTCGTGAAAGGTCACCACGTTCTACTTCTCATCATGGGCATGTGACGTATCCCCGAGGCTGAGGCAAGAAGAGAGAAGGAAAGTAAGTGTCAGTGAGTTCCCACTGCCTGATAACTCAATCTCAACTCCTCCTGACCTGCAGACCCTGCACACTCTGATTCTGCCCTACCCCAGGACCTGCACACGCCTTCCATGGTTCCTTGAAGTGAACCATCTGCTCATGCCACAGTGACTTCTTTGGCTGGGTTATCCATTCCTAGGCTAGAGAAAGGTGTGGCCCACATACAGGGCTGACCTGGAGTTTGGGAACCCACAGCATCCTGAGTAGGGAGGATCCCTGGATATACAGGGCAGGGGTAAAAAGAGCTTGGGAAGGCCAGGCGTGGTGGCTCACGCCTGTAATCCCAGCACTTTGGGAGGCCGAGGCGGGTGGATCACGAGGTCAGGAGACCGAGACCATCCTGGCTAACATGGTGAAACCCCGTCTCTACCAAAAATACCTGGCTGTTCTCGAACTCCTGACCTCAGGTTATCCTCCCACCTCTGCCTTCCAAAGTACTGGGATTACAGGTGTGAGCCACCACGCCCAGCCTATCCGATAATTTTTCTGTATAACTCTTTGTTCCTGGGAAGGTGTGTCAGTCCAGACACTCCACATGAGTTTCAGGGTTTCTGGATTGATAGGTCGTAGGATACGGAGCCTCTAGAGCTGAGCTGAGCCAATTCTTCTTCCAGTCCCTAGCCTATGAGCCCCTGGAGACCCTTACAGGATTTCTGCCTTACAGTGTGGAGGGAGTCTACAGGTGGATGATATTGGTTGTAATCGCCCAGCTCAGAGGGCAGAGGGAGAGGTAGGAAAGAAATGTTCAGTTACTGGCCAGCTTTGATGAGTCTGCACTTTTTCTAGGAGCTTGCCAGGCCCCTTATTCTTTAATGTTATCAGGCCACTTTGGGCTAGCACTGGGCCAGCCCTGCCAAGTGTCTGCTCTATATGTTTACAGAACAGGTAATAAGCCTTCCAGAAAACAAGGAGAAAACAAGAATGCAACTTAGAAAGCTCCACCTGGGCTGATCCTCCATCTGTGGCCTCTGACCTTTTCCCACTCTAAGCCGTCTCATCCCCCAGTGGGGCCAAACCATCAAGGGTTTTGTTACAGGAACTGTTCTGAACTCCAACCACTTCCCACCTCTTCTGTGGCATCTGCAGGGTTTGGTTTGGGAAGGAAGCCAGCAGCTATTCCTGGTTCACCATCTTCTTCTTGAACCAGATATGCCTTTACATTTTAAAAGTAATTTGAAGTCATTACTAACAACAAGTAAAAGATATATACTAACTTAACCACATGACAGGCACTATTCTAAGTGCTTTACAGGTACTTGCCCATTTAATCATAGCAATCAAATGGGCTAGATAGTGTGGTTATCCCCAGTTTACTCTTGAGTAGCCTGAAACACGGAAAGGTTATATGACTTACGCAAGGTCACATAGCTTAATAAGTTGAGAAGCCAGAAACTGAACCCAAGCTGTCTGGTTCCATAGTTTGTACTCAAAAATACTAGCGTTAAGTGGGCACAGTGACTCACTCCTATAATCCCACCACTTTGAGAGGCTGATGTGGGAGGATTGCTCGAGGTCCAGAGTTCAAGGTCAGCCTGGGCAACATAGCAAGACCCTGTCTCTACCAAAAAAAAATTTTTTTTAGTTACCCAGGCATGGTGGTGCACACCTGTAGTCCCAGCTACATGGGAGGCTGAGGCAGGAGGGTCACTTGAGCTGAGGAGGCTGGGGTTGCAGTGAGCCATGATTGTGCTATGGAACTCTAGCCTGGGCACCAGAGTGAGGCCCTGTCTAAAATAAAACAAAATTTAATGCTAGTGCCTTTTACCATTCTACCGTTCTATCATTCATAAACATCTGTATACATTCCCTGAACACCGAAATAACTTCTCTTTTTTTTCCTGTCCCTCCTCCCATCTTCCATGTTTATAATACCTGGAATTTTATTTCAAGACTATAATTTTTTAAGTTTACAATCAAAAGTTTACACTTTTTAATAAATTTTACTGGTTTTCTTCTCATCATTGCTTGTTAAAATCACCTCCTTCCTCTTAAATTTACTTTTCTCTTCTCATAGACCTGTATACCAACAATGATTTCTGAAGGGTATATGTGTCATGAATTTTCTGAAATATTTTCTCCCTCATTCTGGATTATCCTGGCTGTATATAGATATCTAGGTTCAACTTTTTTGTTTGTTTTTGTCTTGTTTTGTTTTAATTTTTGAGACAGTGTCTGGCTCTGTCACCCAGGCTGGAATGCAGTGGCACCATCTCGGCTCACAGCAATTTCCACCTCCCGGACTCAAGTGATTCTCCTGTCTCAGCCTCCCAAGTAGCTGGGACTACAGGCACGTGGCACCACACCTGGCTACTTGTTGTATTTTTTGTAGAGATGGGTTTTGCCTTGTTGGCCAGGCTGGTCTCAATTTCCTGAGTTCAAGCTGTCCTCCCATCTTGGCCTACCAAAGTGCTGGGACTACAGGCGTGAGCCACTGTGCCTGGCCCAAAGTTATTTTTAATCAGCTCCTTGAAAAACGTCTCCATTGCATTCTCTTTTCTCTCTTTCTCTCTGGGGCCTTTCAGGATTTTATCTTTATCCTAGAAATTTTACCCCTAGGGAGTGTGTGCGTATATGTGTGAGTGTGTGTGTGTGTGTGTGTGCGCGCGCCTGTGTGTTAATCAGGTTCAGAACTAGGTGACTTTTTTCAGTTTGAAGATTCATGTGTTTGTTCAGTTGAGAAAATTCTAGAACATTATTTCTTCAAGTACCGCCTTCTCTACAGTCTTTCTATTCTTTTTTTTTTTTTTTTTTTCCTTTTCGAGTCGGAGTTTTGCTCTGTCATCCAGGCTGGAGTGCAGTGGCACAATCTCAGCTCACTGCAACCTCTGCCTCCCGGGTTCAAGTGATTCTCCTGCCTCAGGCTTCCACATAGTTGGGATTTCAGGCGCCCACCACCACACCGGGCTAATTTTTGTATTTTCAGTAGAGACGGGGTTTCGCCATGTTGGCCAGTCTGGTCTCAAACTCCTGACCTTAGGTGATGGGCCTGCCTCAGCCTCCAAAGGGCTGGGATTACAAGCGTGAGCCACGGCGCCTGGTCCAGTCTTTCTGTTCTCTACCTCTGCAACTTCTATTGGATGAACGTTGAAACCTCTGGGCTCTATCCTCCATTTCCTTTATTATTTTCATTTCATACTTTCTATTTCATAATCCTTTTCTGCTATACGGTGAAGTAGTGCCATGCCTGAACACATTTTTTCATTGGGTTGTTCCAGTTTCTCTTACTGATATGCAAAAGCTTTGTTGTATATTAGAGATGGTTACTGTTAATTTATTGAGGATGCTTCACCAATTTCCCCAACATTTGCCTTTTTAAACAGTTTTGTGGTGTTTTTTGAATTAGATGATACTTTAATTTTTACATCGTTATGTCAGATTCATTGTTCATAGCCTTAGTGTAATATCAGGAAGTGCCTATGACACCTCCAGATGTCTTACACTGTAATATTTTCCTAAATTTTCATCTAGTTCTTTATGACTTCACATTTTCACGTTTAAGTAACTGATTTTTTAGAATTTATTATTTTATGTGGTTTAAAGTAAGGATTTACTCTTTATTTTTTCAAATAGATAGACACTTGTCAAGCAATAATTTATTATACAACCCATCATCTTTTGCCCACTGTTTGAAAATGCATGCTGAAATTTGCGTATAGATTAGTCTGTTTCTTGACTTTCTATTTTGTTTCACTAATAAATGTTTCTATGTGCATTCATTTTTTATTGCAGCTGTAACAAATTTTCAATAGCTTAGACAACGCTGGGCGCAGTGGCTCAGGCCTGTAATCCCAGCACTTTTTGGAAATCTTTACCAACAAAGAAAAATTCTGATGTATTCTCTTTCAGTTGAATGTCCTCAGATGACTTTCGGCAGACTCTAGAGAATCTTCCCGAAGGTGAGTATCTCTCAAATCTAAATGACCAGAGAACCTTTGTCCCTCCATGGATGCGAAAACTGGTAAGAGTGGGAGAATATCAAAAATGCCCTCACTGCCTCCTTTTTCCCATGTCTATCACAACACCTGATGTAGCATTGACGGCTTGATAACACTGACAGTTGTAATCCTTAACACTTCTTTTGTTTTCATAGTGATGCCAGATATTCTAAGCAGGTTACATGGATTAATTTATTTAATCCTTAAGAATACGTCTATGACGTTGTTTCTATTATTATCTCCAAATAATGTCTCATACATTTCAGTTGTCATCCACACAAAAGCCATGTGACTTGGCGCAAATCTTCTAAGTTCTCTGAGCTCCAGACTCCTGGGCCATGAAATGGAAGTAAAGAATCATAGTTCATGTTTTAGATCATAGTTATCAGCAAAATAATAATAACATGAGACTATCGTGGTACAGAGATGTTAGAGAATTTTCCTGAGGTGCAGTGGCAGTGGTAGTCTGATCCAGAGCTCCAAGCCATTTAAAGCTCATTCACGTTTGCATTTGTTTATGAAGTTCAGATGTTGCTCACTAGGGCTTTACCCCATAGGGCCTGCTGGTGCTTCCAAGGAGACACCCACTCTCGCAACAGGAAGGACCAGCTGGCTTCTGATCCGTTACTGGGGCCACTCGCATGGCTTAGGAATAGGTTTGACTGTGGGCCCCTCCCTACTGTGAGCTCCTTGAGGGCTTTCTCTACACCTGGTGCATCCGAGAAACCCCAGTCCCAGCCCAGGGGTTTCCTTGGAGGCCCCTGAACGAGTGACTCCACAACTACATATTCAATTCCGGTTTAGAGGGTAAAGGGATCTGGGATTGGGTTGCCAGTATGGAGGACAAATTCAAAGAAGGATCATGAAAGGTATTAATTGTTATTATTACTACATTTAAACAGTGTTTATAAGCTCAGAGAGGACTTTCCCTTAGCCTATTTTACATGTATTGTTCACTATTTCATAAGTGAGGAAGCTGAATAAATGTAGCTTAAGACTGTTGGTCAGTGACCCATCCCAGTGCAACCAGAATTGATATGGGTACCACCTCACTGAATTCCACATTCAATGTTGGTGCCTCGGTAGGCTGGTATGCCAGATCTGGTACTGCTTTCTTTGCTGCCTGGATTAATTTCAGCAAACCATTTCTTTCCCTCTCCCTTCCCTGTATTCCTCTCCCCACACCATCTTTCCCAGCAGTGTTTCGTCCCCTCCCTATGTTTTTACATTTACCCTCCCAGCAGCTGTCTACGAGCTTATATGGGATCCCTTGTATTTTATAGAAGCTCTTCCTTTTGCAGACCTGTGAATTCTTAGAATGCTATGCTCCAAATCTTCTGTATATCACACTCTCAATTACATGGAGATTTTTGCTGTTTGCAAGAATGTCAGTCCTAAAAGAGTGGGAAGATAAGCATTCTATCCCTGGAAACCCCATTCATGTAGGCCAATCCTTTCCCTTCTAACCTCCCCTCCCAGGTTTCTCCTAATTTAGGCAAGTGTAACTCTCCCAGCTTTGTTGAGAACATTGATTAAGGTAATGCATGCGAAGACGCTTTGTAAGCTCTAAAGCACTATAGAAATGGCACTGATTCTGTTTATCTGTGACCTTCACATTATAAAGATCATGCCCAAGAAGCCAGCAGAGGAAGGAAATGATTAGAAGGGAGTGCCAGAAGCATCTGCCCCACAAAACGATCCGAAGCAGCTGTGCCCACCCAGGAAAAGCAAATACCTCTAGAAGATTCACAAGAGATCTGGTAAGAGGAAACAATTCGGGAACAAACCCTCTGGCTTTCCTGGCTATGTTCAGGTGTGTGGATTGGGTGTGTGGCACGGACCCCAGACAAGCCTGGGTCCCGGCTGAGCTGAGGAGCTTGCCCAGCGCCAGAAGAGATGTTAGACATGACTTCCAGAGACACAGAGTGGAGTTGTCATCCATATACAACCACGTGACTTGGGGCAAGTCTTCCAAATTTTCTCAGCTCCAGATTCCCAGTCCATACGATGGAAGTAAAGAATCATAGTTCACAAATTGTTTGGAGACATTATATTTAGTCTAGAAGGCCTGATGACATGAAAGGTGCTCAAGCAATTCTATCTGTAATTAATTACCTGGGATCATGTCTTACGCAGCTCAATGCCTGATACCCAATCAGTTGTACTTCAGAGATATTGCAGGTTCGGTTCCAGACCACTGCAATAAAGTGAGTCACACATTTTTTTTGTTATTGTCGTTTCGCAGTGCATAAAAACATTACGTTTTCACTATAGTGTACTCTACTAAGTGTGCAATAGCATTGTCTAAAAATGTACATACCTTAATTTTAAAATAATTCATTGATAAAAAATGCTAACAATCTTCTGAGCCTTCAGTGAGTCACACTCTTTTTGCTGGTGGAGGGTCTTGCCTTGGTGTTAATGGCTGCTGGCTGATCAAGGTGGTGGTTGCTGAAGATTGGAGTGGCTGTGGCAGTTTCTTAAAAGAACACAACGGTGAAATTTGCCACATTGATTAGCTCTCCCTTTCATGAAAGATTTCCCTGTAGTGTGTGATGCTACTGGATAGCATTTTACCCACAGTAGAACTTCTTTCAAAGTTGGAGTCAATCCTCTCTAGCTATGAAAGTCCTAGATGGCATCTCCTTCCAATAGAAGGCTATTTTATCTACATTGAAAATCTGTTGTTTAGTGTAGCCACCTTCATCAGTGATCTTAGCTAGATCTCCTGGATAACTTGCTGCAGCTTCTCCATCAGGGTTTGCTGCTTCACCTTGCACTTTTATGTTATGGAGATGGCTTCTTTCCTTAAACCTCACGAACCAACTTCTACTAGCTTCACGTGTTTCTCCTGCAGCTTCTTCACCTCTCTCAGCTTTCATGGACGTGAAGAGAGTTCAGGTCTTTCTCTGAATTAGACTTTGGCTTAAGGGAATGTTGTGGCTGGTTTCATGTTCTGTCCTGACCACGCAATCTTCCTCTATTTCAGCAGTAAGGCTGCTTTACTTTCTTATTTGTGTGTTCACTGGAGTATTAGTATTATTATTTCCTTCAAGACCTTTCCTTTGCATTATATACTATTATTTCCTTCAAGAACTTTTCCTTTGCAATCACAGCTTGGCTGTTTGGTGGAAGAGGCCGAGCTTTCAGCCTGTCTTGGCTTTCAGCGTGCCTTCCTCACTAAGCTTAGCCATTTCTAGCTTGTGATTTAGAGTGAGAGACATGCGACTCTTCCCTTCCTTTGAACACTTAGTGGCCATTGTAGGGTTGTTCATTGTCCTAATTTCAGTATTGCTGTGTCTCAAGAAATAGGGAGGCCCAAGAAAAGGAAGGTAGGCAAGGAAGAGCTCATCGGTGGAGCAGTCAGAACACACACAACATTGATCAATTAAGTTTGTCATCTTCTGTGGGTGCAGTTCCTGTTACCCCTAAAACAATTACCCACAACAGGGTGATTATTGTCAGTAATAACCTAATTGCACATTTAAAAAAACTAACACAGTGTAAATGGATTGTTTGTAACACAAGGATAAATGGTTGAGGGGACGGATACCCTATTTGCCATGATGTGATTATTATGCATTGCATGCATGTATCAAAACATCTCACGTACCCCATAAGTATATAGACCTACTGCGTACCCACAAAAATAAAAAAAAATTATTTTAAAAGACTAAAGAACAACAAAACAATCGCAATCATAATATCAAAGCTCACTGATCACAGATCACTATAACAGATATAATAATAATGGAAAAGTGTAAAATTGGTGAGAATTTCAAAAAAAAATTGCAGTATCTGCGAAGCAGGATAAAAATGAGGTGCCATAAAACAAGGTTTGCCTTGTGCCCTTAACAAATACGTGCAGCATGAAAGGAGGTATGGGTGAGTGTTCCCATAAGTGAAGAGGCTGGGAATCTAAACCTGACAACGGAAGGAGCCAGAAGCTAAAACTTTAATTGGTATTTGTGGTGTATTGGTGTGGATCTAAGGCCTCAGCCTCTCTAAGCCAGAGAATGTGAAAAACTGGATAAAGAAGGCCCATGGGCACTTGGTGGTGGGGAGGCATCTCCTTTTTTGAGAAAACAGAGCCTAACACTCTCCAACCCACCCAACCCTCACTTTCCAACTATTCTCCATCATAGGACCCAAAAGGGGGAAACATGCCTGGACCCACAGACTGCGTGAGAGAAAGCAGCTGGTGATTTATGAAGAGATCAGCGACCCTGAGGAAGATGACGAGTAACTCCGTAAGTGAACCTTCCGCTCATCCCCCACATCCCTGCAGATGTGCTATTCTGTTATGATACTGGTATCCCATCTGTCACTTGCTCCCCAAATCATTCCCTTTTCTAGGGTACAGCATTGAGGCTGAATGATGAGATTTCCCATTCTCTTTCTTTCTTTCTTTCTTTCTTTCTTTCTTTCTTTCTTTCTTTCTTTCTTTCTTTCTTTCTTTCTTTCTTTCTTTTTCTTTCTTTCTTTTTTTTTTTTGGAGGGATTCTTGCTCTGTCGCCCAGGCTGGATGTGGTGGCCCGATTTCGCCTCACTGCAACTTCCGCATCCCGGTTCAAGCAATTTTCTTGCCTCAGCAACCTGAGTAGCTGGGATTACACGTGTGCACCCCACACACCCGGCTAATTTTTGTATTTTTAGTAGAGATGAACTTTCACCATGTTGGTCAGGCTGGTCTCGAACTCCTGACCTCGGGATCCACCTGCCTCGGTCTCCCAAAGTGCTGGGTTTACAGGCGTGAGCCACCGCACCCGGCCGATTTCCCATGCTCTTTCTACTCTCTACCCTGTATATCCAGGGATGCTCCCTACCCAGGATGCTGTGGGTTCCCAAACCCCAGGTCAGCCCTGATATGCGGGCCACACCTTCCTCTAGCCTAGGAATGGATCACCCAGGCGAAGAAGTCACTGTGGCATGAACAGATGGTTCACTTCGAGGAACCGTGGAAGGCGTGTGCAGGTCCTGAGGTAGGACAGAATCAGAGTGTGCAGGGTCTGCAGGTCAGGAGGAGTTGAGGTTGAGTTGTCACGTGGTGGGAACTCACTGCCACTTACTTTCCTTCTCTCTTCTTGCCTCAGCCTCGGGGATACGACACATGCCCATGATGAGAAGCAGAACGTGGTGACCTTTCATGAACACGGGCATGGCTGTGGACCCCTCGTCATCAGGTGCATAGCAAGTGAAAGCAAGTGTTCACAACAGTGAAAAGTTGAGCGTCATTTTTCTTAGTGTGCCAAGAGTTCGATGTTAGAGTTTACGTTGTACTTTCTTACAGTGTGCCATTCTGTTAGATATTAACATTTTCACTGATCAGCAAGACATACTTAATGCATATTTCGGTTTGTGTATCCATGCACCTACCTTAGAAAACAAGTATAGTCAGGTATTCTCTCCATAGAACAGCACTACCCTCCTCTCTCCCCAGATGTGACTGCTGAGGGGAGGTCTGAGTGTTTAATTTCAGATTTTTTCCTCTGCATTTACACCACACACACACACACACACACACACACACACACAAACACCAAGTAACACTATAAGCATCTCCCATCTGCTTGTACTCCCCTCATCCGATTCCCCTCTATCAGTCACTGACAGTTAATAAACATTTGCAAACGTTCCCCAGTTGTTTGCTCCTCTCATTATTGTGCACACAGCTCTCTGCATGTGTATGAATATTTCTTTAGGAAAGATTCTTAGAAGTGGAATTGCTGTGTCAAACGAGTCACTTATTCAACAAAAAACTAATGAGTGCATACTCATGCTGAGCGCTGTTCTAGGTGCTGGAGAGACACCAGGGAACAAGGCAGACAGATGTTTCTGACCCCCATTCTAGAGGAAGATGTTTCCCGTTGTTGGGTTTCTTGGTTTGTTTGTTTGTTTCTTCTAGAGATGGGGTCTTGCTCTATCCAGGCTAGAGTGCAGTGGCATGATCATAGCTCAATGCAGCCTTGAACTCCTGGGCTCAAGTGATCCTCCCACAGCAGCCTCCAGAGTAGCTGTGACTACAGGCATGCGCCATCACGCCCCACTGATTTTTTTAGGTTTTGTCTAGAGAGTCTCACTATGTTACCCAGGCTGGTCTCCACCTCCTGGGTTCAGGCAATCCTCTCACCTTGGCCTCCTAATATATTGGGATTACAGGCGTAAGCCACCGCACCTGGCCTCCAGTTTTTATTTTGATAGAGACTATACACTTCAGTCCTGGAGCAGGATTCTGCAGCAGGTGTTTGGGCATCTTGGCCTTCGCTCTCTGAACCATTTTCGGGTTCTAGGGCTGGGACGGTCCATTTGGGAGTATGTAGGAGGAGACACAGATGAAATCGTCATCTGGGGAACGCAGAGGGATGAGGAAGATGCGTGCACTGTAGACCCTGTGATGCACAGGGAATAGAAGAGTCCACTTAGTCTCCATGCAAAGGAGCAACGGTGGGAAAGTCTCCTGGACAGGAGCGTGAGACTGCCCATCAAGGATCTCACCAACCAAGGGCCTGGGGGCTGGGGTGGGGACGATGATTTGGGAATGGGACAGTTCTTTCTCACATATACCACTGCACGGTGCGGAGGTGGAACAGTTGTGGGGAAGGAAGGGCAGAGGGGAGTCCGTTTTAGAACAAACCAGTGTGTGTGAATGAAGACATTAAACCTCCATTCACACACAACAGACTTGAAACACCAGCCCCGGGTGGAGGCAGGACTGGAGCTCTTTTGACCATTCATACCCCATCACCTTGGCCTCCTGGTTCTCCCCAGCCTTGGAAGGAGGACACTATCATCATTATGCCTATATGATAGATGAGAGAGGGAGTCCCAGACAGATGGTAGGCATCTTGTCACAGGTCCTACAGCTGGCAGGTGCAGGAGGGGCTGAGTTTGGAGTTCATTGACTCTAGAAATATTAAGGAGGAAAGGTGTGTGTGGTGGAGGGAGGGAGAATTGAACAAACTCCAGGTTCTGTCCCCAGTCGCAAGGTAGAGGTTGTGGGTTCATTTTCCAAGACAGGGAGCCCTTAGAGATGGAGAGTGCAGGGAGGAAGAGGCAATCGTGGACATAGTGGGGACAGTGGGAGACAGAGATGTGCAGCCTGGGCAGAAGAGAGGCAGGCAAAGAAGCAGGGGATACCCAAGACCAAGTGTGGGCTGTCACAGCCACCAGAGGGAGAGGGTGCCAGGAAGGAGGTTGTGGGCCTCCAGGAGCAAGAGGTTCCCTAGATCTGTGAGCATGCCCTGCCTGGCACTGCAGGAAGAGATGGCTGCCACCCAGGTCAGTGTGGACATACCTCTACCTGTGTCTCAGAGGAAACAAATTCTATTTTATCCCAATATAGTTCTGTATTACACAAATGTAACATTCCAATACTAGATATTGAGTGCCTTACCCTCCATGCAAATAGAGGAGAGGATACCCTAAAGGAGATACCGAAGGATTTGATTTTTCTTTCTCCCTGGGAAGATGGGATCCATAAGTTGAGTCCCCCAGCCCACAAGACAGGTGCAAAGAAGGGTGGCTGGAAGATTGTGAGTCATGACAGGGAACATTTTTCGTTAGGTTCCATGGGTATATAAAACTCCCGACTATCTGTCTATCAGGGATAAAGAGTGAACATGGTCCCCTCTCCACAAATGTGTTTCTCTCCTTCACTATTACAGTGAAGGTCTGAAGTTCCGTCAAGTTCTGATACATTACTTTTATTATTATTATTTGTTTTTTTCTTTCCTTTTTTTTTTGAGACAGAATGTCACTCTGTCACCCAGGCTGGAGCGCAGTGGCGAGATCTCCCACTGCACTTCCAAGTTCGAAGGAATGTTGGGTAGGGTACGGGATCTATCTGCCATCTTGCTTCAATCATCTGGTTTTAGATATTTTATGTACTTTTGTCACTATATATGTGTAATTTTTCTCAATTTGGATTTCTAAATGGTTATTATTGGTATGTAGAAAAGCTATCTATTACTGTATATAATAATTTGTTACCTGTCTGGGTGCAGCTTCCCCTGCATTTTGGCACAAGACTCAATCTGTTTTATTCTCAAAAAAAAAAAAAAAACAAACAAAAACAAAACAAAACAAAACAAAACCTGATAGCCTGGGTGCGGTGGCTCATGCCTGTCATCCCAGCACTTTGGTAGGCCGAGGTGTGTAGATCACCTGAGGTCAGGAGTTCGAGACCAGGGTGGCCAAGATGGTGAAACCGCATCTCTTCTAAAAATACAAAATAAAAAAAAAATTAGCCACGCCTGGTGGCGCACGCCTGTATTCCCAGCTACTAGGGCAGCTGAGACGGGAGGATCACTTGAACTCGGGAGGCAGAGATTGCAGTGAGCCAAGGTGGCACCACTGCACTCCAGGCTGGGCGACAGAGTTTCTATCTCTAAACAAAAAGAAAAAGAAAAAAAGAAAAATCACTTCACAGGCAATAGAGAGTTATAAAAGGATACTTTATGGAAGATTTCATAGAGAAGACTGATGGAAAGAAAGAAGTGTATATTTTACAGAGCTGAGCAGTTCACAGCAAAAATCACCAGAACTGCCTTTTTCTCCAAAATTATTACCCCTAAGCTATTCTACTACTGGTTCTTCTAGTCCTTCCCTCTATTCCAAATCCTCAAATTGTCCATTTTCTTATTGCAATAATTTTCCTCTGCCCAGATCTAGGTCCTCCACAACACTTAGCACTCTCTTCGAGTGTTTGCATGCCCATTGTTTTAGCTCAGGTTCCCAAGGAAACAGAATTTGGGCCATTCCGGACACCTCTAGACAGACTATACCGAGAAACCATGCCTGGAACGGTGCAGGGGGAGAGGAGAGGAGAGGGAATTTACATACCTGGCTCTCACTCCTGGTTCCTTTTCTTAACGGTCAAAATTTATCCCACAGGCACGAGCTCCCCTACACTTCTAGATTGCATCATCTGCCCCCTTGGCAGCTGTCTGGGAAGCCAGATCCCACACTTGGAAGTGTAGTTTTTTCATACAATCCAAAAGTGGTAGCAGAGGCCAGGTGTGGTGGCTCACGCCTGTAATTCCAGCACTTTGGGAGGCCGATGCAGGCAGATCGTGAGGTCAGGAGCTCGAGACCAGCCTCGATAGCATGGTGAAACCCCGTCTATACTAAAAGTACAGATTTAGCTGGGCATGGTGACGTGCACCCGTAATCCCAGATACTCCGGAGGCAGAGGTGGGAGAATCGCTTGACCTCGAGAGGCAGAGGTTGCACTGAGCTGAGATCTCACCATTATACTCCAGCCTGGAGGACAGAGCGAGACTCAATCTCAAAAACAAAACAAAACAAACAAACAAACAAACAAACACAAAAGTGGTAGCAGAAGTCAGAAAGTCCAGGTATGTAGCTACTTTGCCTAGTTGTAAAGCAGCAGCCAAGGGTGAAAACTGAATACTCCCAGGCAAGTCCTAAGTTCACCGAGTAACTGGAGTACCCATCTGTGTTAGTTAATTGCCTTTATCTGAAGGAAAAGTAAAACTCATGTCTCTGTGACAACCAGGTGCTTACAGCTTGGAGCGAGGCACCTAGGCTAAACTCCTCTGGTGACAGGGAGACAAGGACATCATCTTCCTCAATGTTCACATTTCAAAGAGATGGCTCCAAGGCCCTGAAGAAAGACATTCCTAGGGGATGGGCGTGGTGGCTCACGCCTGTAATCCCAACACTTTGGGAGGCTGAGGCTGGAGGATCACTTGAGGCCTGGAGTTCAAGTTCAAGACATTCCTGGGTTCTAGGATGGCCAGAGGCTTACAGATCAAAGGAAGAATTTACAAATACAAATTTTCTCAAGAAAATGCTCTAAGGAAAGTGAAATGGGGAAAGGTCTCTTCTTCCCTTTTGGCAACAGGAAAAATTCAATTTTATGTTTAGTTACCCTTACAATATCCCCCTTTTGTTATTGTTTTATAGGAACACTGCAATTTTCTAATTATCTCCACTGCTGTTTCTATCTTTCTCTGTGTGGTTTACAGCCACCTAGATATCCAACAAGTCCATAGTAAGATGCAAAGCAAAGCAATTATCAGGATTATAATAGAATGATTTTTTTTTTCAGGACAGAGTTTCGCTCTTGTTGCCCAGGCTGGAGTGCAGTGGTGCGATGTCGGCTCACTGCAACCTCTGTCTCCTGAGTTCAAGCGATTCTCCTGCCTCAGCCTCCCGAGTAGCTGGGATTACAGGCATGTGCCACCACGCCCAGCTAATTTGGTATTTTTTGTAGATATGCGGTTTCACCATTTTAGCCAGGCTGGTCTTGAACTCCTTACCCCAGGTGATCCGCCCACCTCGGCCTCCCAAAGTATTAGGATTACAAACGTGAGCCACCATGCCCTGCCTAGAAAGAATTCTTAAATTCAGTATAATACTCCCCTTGTTTGGGCGGCGGGACCTTTAAACACATCATACTGGTTAATTGTGTCAAAGTCAAAATAAATTATAGAGACAAATCCCTAAATCAAATGCTGTATTTGGGAATCACAAAATTGCAATCCAGGGCATATACAAGGACTAGGGTGGTCTTCAGTGTGTCCAACGAACAAACAGAAGTTGGAAATTTTATTAGAAAGAAAAATGTTACATATTGTTTTGAAATGAGGCTCATTGGCCCTGGAGAAGCTGGTTCATTCGCACAATCAGCTTTCACATTCCCTCTTTTGATCAACATCTTTGTTTGAAAACCTCACTGATTAGCCATCTTAAAGTGAGGCTTCACTGTCACTCCATGCCAGGATGGACGTGGGCCGGTTGTCTTTGTCCCATGTCAAGGGAAAGGTAAGGGAGTCTAGATCAGGGACATGGGCCATATTTGAGCCACAAAGAGGCCAGAAGGAAAAAAAAAAATTCAGGCAGGTTTGTCTGGAGTTCAGCATCAAATTCCATCTTGTTAGTCCCATCTATATTAGCATTCATCTTGAAGCACTAGGCCAACATTTTCCTGTTGGTAGAACTGGCTTAACAAATATTAGACAGGCAACAAGAATGGAGCTCAAAGATCATAATACAAAAGTAATTAGCTATCGTTATTTTATTTTATTATTTTATTTTATTTTATTTTATTGCAACGCGGTCTTGCTCTGTCACCCAGGCTGGAGTGCAGTGGCGTGATCCCGGCTCACTGCAACCTCCACCTCCTGGGTTCAAGCGAATCTCCTGCCTCAGCCTCTCGAGTAGCTTGGATTACAAGTGCTCACCACCACGCCCGGCTAATTTCTGTCTTTTCAGTAGAGACGGGGTTTCATCATGTTGGCCAGGCTGGTCTCGAACTCCTGACCTCAAGTGATCCGCCCTCCTTGGCATCCCAAAGTGCTGGGACGGTAGGCGCGAGCCACCGCACCCAGCTATAATTAGCAATAGTAGAATAAATTTAGTTTGTACAATGATTTTGAACTAAGATCCCAAGCCTAAGGGCCACCAGCTAAACAAATCAAAAGACTATGGGGGAATTGAATGAGACCTCTTATAGTCTTTGAGTAGCATTTGAGGACTGGGTTGAATTAAAGCAGAGTGCCAACTCTATAAAAGGGACCACTCTATAAAAAGGATTCACTAGGTGAATCAAAGGATTTGGGAGTCATGGTCTGCCAAGTGAAAAATGTAGACATTAAGGGGATAAGAGTCTCATTATGATATGAAGACTTATTCTGATATCTTGGGAAAAGCTGTCTACAATGTGGAATCGTCAGCTTCTCATCCTGATTTGTCGTTCGAATGTCTCTGGTTATGGCATTCGACAGTTTGGTGAACTTTTTGTGTGGTCCATGCATCAGACACGAGACTTGTTCCTTAAAATGTATGCAGTTTGGCTAGGTGCAGTGGTTCATGCCTGTAATCCCAGCATTTTGGGAGGCTGAGGTGGGCAGATCACGAGGTCAGGAGATAGAGACCATCCTGGGTAACTCGGTGAAACCCCGCCTCTACTAAAAATACAAAAAATTAGCCGGGGATGTTGTCACGTGCCTGTAGTCCCAGCTACTCGAGAGGTTTGGGCAGGAGAATCGCTTGAACCCGGGAAGCGGAGGTTGCAGTGAGCCGAGATCTCACCACTGCACTCCAGCCTTGGCAACAGTGTGAGACTCCATCTCAAAAAAAAAAAAAATTATGCAGTTTTTGTCTTAGAGTATTTGTAAACCAAAAATAGCATCCTAAGCACCCCCACCCTTAACCATCTGAATGGACGTCCTCCTCAGCCAGAGCTCTTTTAAAATTAAGCTGGGAGACTGTTTTAGGCCATGACAGGACTTGTGGGTCAGACATGCCTCATTATACCTCTCTGGCATCAATATCAACACAGACTTAAATCTCATAAGAAACATGTTACAACCTAGTCTCTCTGAAGTCTAGTACCTGAAGGTTTCCTCTGCAAATAAGAACTTGGGTCACCACAATCCTTTATCTCAACCCAGGCATTCCTTTCTGTTGATCCTAGGCATTTTTGTTTGTTTGTTTGTTTGTTTGTTTGTTTTTGCTTTGAGACAGAGTCTAGATCTGTTGCCCAGGCTGGAGTATAATGGTGCATTCTCTGCCAACTGTAACCTCTGCCACCCGGATTCAAGCAATTCTCCTGTCTCAGTCTACCCAGTAGTTGGGGTTACAGGCACCCGCCATCACATCCAGCTAATTTTTTTGTATTTTTAGTAGAGACGGGGTTTCACCATGTTGGCCAGGCTGGTCTCCATCTCCTCACCTCAGGTGATTCATCTGCCTCAGCCTCCCAAAGTGCTGGGATTATAGGCACGAGCCACCAGGCCTGGCCGATCCTAGGTTTTTAGAAAACCCAACCAATTGTCAACTAGAAAATTTTTTAATCTACCTGTAAGCTGGAAGCCCCTGCTTCGAGTTGTCCTGCCTTTCTGGACCAAACCAATGTATTTCTTAAATGTATTTGATTGAGTCTCCATAAAATCTGTAAAACCAAGCTGCACCCCAACCTCCTTGGGCAACTCAGGACCTCCTGAGGCTGTGTCATGGGCCATGGTCGCTCCTATTTGGCTCAGAATAAGTCTCTTCAAGTGTTTTCCAGAGTTTGACTCTTTTCATCAGCAGGCTTCAGGAACAGAGCAGTTTCTGTTTTTAGTAATTTTATGGGAAAAAGTTGGATCTAGTCTAGTCTGTATGTAGATAACAAGAACTCGGCCAGGCGCAGTGGCTCAGGCCTGTATTCCCACCACTTTGGGAGGCCGAGGCGGGCGGATCACGCGGTCAAGAGATTGAGACCATCCTGGCCAACATGGTGAAACACCGTCTCTACTGAAAATACAAAAATTAGCCGGGCGTGGTGGCATGCACCTGTAGTCCCAGCTACTCGGGAGGCTGAGGCAGGAGAATCGCTTGAATGCGGGAGGCAGAGGTTGCAGTGAGCCGAGATCCCGCCACTGCACTCCAGCCTGGTGACAGAGCGAGACTCTGTCTCAAAAACAACAACAACAACACAAAAAGAAAAAAAACACAAGAACTCGAAAAAATGCAGAGAGCTACAATCTAATAACTGGTCTATTAGAGCTTTTCTTTAGCAACATAATTTTTCTCTATACATTGATCACTTAGGAATCTCAGATTTAAAAACCTCTTGAGCATAGAAAGTCAAACCAAGGCCGACTTTAGATTTCACCTACCTTCTTAAGGTTCCTGGGCCTGACAGAAAGTGACCGTTTTTATTCACCCACTCTAAAGCTAAAAACACTTGAAGTCAGGCATTCCATGCATTTTGATGAAAGCCTTGGTAATATAACCAATTTTTTTTTCTTTTTGAGACAGTCTTGCTCTGTCACCCAGACTGCTGAGATCTCAGCTCGCTGCAGCCTCCACCTCCTGGTTTCAAGCAATTCTCCTGCTTCAGCCTCCTGAGTAGCTAGGATTACACATGTACACCACCATGCCCTACTACATTTTTTCTTTATAATTTTTAGTAGAGATGTGGTTTCCCCATGTTGGCCAGGCTGGTCTCAAACTCCCGATCTCAGGTGATCCACCCACCTCAGCCTCCCAAAGTGCTGGGATTACAGGTGTGAGTCACCATGCCCGGCCTTATAACCAATGTTTTTAATTGTATCTGTCTATAAAGAGAGAGCAGATTTTTTTGTGTGTGTTTAGAAAAAAGGTGGGTCAGGTGCAATGGCTCACACCTAAAATCCCAGAGCTTTGGGAGGCCACTTGAGCCCAGAAGTTCAAGATCAACCTGGGCAACATAACTAGACCCCCATTGCTAAAAAAAAAAAAAAAAAAAAAAAAAAAAAAAAAAAGAAAAAGAAAAAAAAAAGGAAAGATGGAAAAGAGAAAAGAAGTATGGTTTTATAACTACCTGCAGGTAGGGCCTGCATGAGGTGGTGGGTGTACTTGAGAGAAGAGAAGAGGAACGGAGGAGAGGAGAGGGGAGGGGAGGAAAGGGGGGGAGAAGGGCGAGGGGAGGGGGAGGAAGGGGACAGGGGAGGGGGAGCGGTGGAGCGGCACGGAGGCGGGAATGGTTTTATTACTACCTGCAGGCAGGGCCTGCATGAGGTGGTGGGTGTGCTGGGCCCAGGGTACGTGTGGGCTGTGAGGAGATGGTGATGGTGAGGCTGGAAGGAAAGGGGGTGGCTTGGAAACCAGGCCCAGGGGATCCTCAGATCCGCTTCTTGGAATGGGCAGCCTTGAGAAAAGAGTCATGGTAAGCCACAGTCATGCCATCCATCAGATGCAGACATTCTTGGAAATCCAGCTGCCCATCACTAGTGAGGTCCAGTTTCTTCATCATGTGGTCAAAGACACTGGGGGCCTCTGGTTCTTCATGAAGGCATCCAGTTCTGTATTCATGAAGCTTGGGAACTCCATCTTGGAGTGAATGCTATCGTAACCATCCTTTCCAGCCTATTTCTGGAAAATAGCAATCAGGGACTCTCTGTAGGGCTGGAGACTTTTGCCATGTTGGAGTTGAATGAGGCACCAAGAGCAGGTTTTTACTGGACCTGTGTAAATAACCATATTGCCATAGGAATATTTACAAATAGTTTTCAAATTCTGGAGGAATTGAGTAGTAAGAAAAAGCAAACATTTCCATCTCAGTTTACAAAAGTATACTTCACAAAATTATTATAAACTATAGATAGTTTAACAGAGAAAATTTTCTCTTTTTTTTTTCATTTTTTTGAGAAAGGATTGCGCCCCGTCGCCCAGGCTGGAGTGCAGTGGTGCAAACACGGCTCCCTGCAACCTCTGCGTCCCGACTCAAGTGATCCTCCCACCTCGGCCTTGCAAGTAGCTGGGACCACAGGTGCGTGCCACCATGCCCAGCTAATCTTCTTATTTTTGTTTTTGTTTTTGTAGAGACAGGGTTTTGCCATGTTGCCCAATCGGGTCTGGAACTCCTGGGCTCAAGCGATCCTCCTGCCTTGGCTTCCAAAGTGAGCCACCACATCCCACCAGAAAATTTTCTTAAATGTGGAAAACAAAACATTTAGGTAAAAAACAAATAAAGTTTTATTTTCTTAATTTCTTTCAGAAACCAGGTCTCCTATATTTCCCAGGTTGGTCTTGAACTCCTGCACTCAAGGGATCCTCCTGTTCCAGCCTCCAAAAGTGCTGGGATCAGAGGTGTGAGCCACTGCACCCAGCCCAAGAATAAATAAAGTTTTAAATAAAGGTCACAAAAACATTATTGGTTATTTAGCCTCATATAATTAATGTTTGTTCTGCTTGATCTTGATAATCAGTTGCATGAACCCATCAGTTTTCGTTAGAGTTTTCAAAAATAATTCATTTCGTTCATTGATCTGAAAGTTATTACAAATCTATATTCAACAGTACTTGTTAAAATATTTTTTATGAATCTGATTCTGGATGCCTTTAGAGAAGAATCAGCACTGTAGATGATAAAGCTTAGAATAGTAACGATTAAAATCCGATGAAAGTTCAATAATTGACAAGGAAATTCAGTTATTTCTATTATAGAGAGAATTTTAAGATAACAACCAGAATCATGACTAACAGCATCACACCAGGACCATCAGACCTCTGTAAATTTTATATGATCTTCTGAACATTAACATCAATAATATATCTATATAAATGTAAACACCAATTAGTATTTTTTATTATCTGACATTGTTTTTCATATAATGTGACATATCAAATAAGCCTAATGAGAGACACATTCTTTGAGGCTCTCCAGGGGCCTCACTGGTAAATCTCAAAGTCAATTTTAGGTTAAAAAGACTTAAATTAGAATTTGATTAGTTTGTTCAACAGCAATAGATAAATTAAAAAAGAATTGCATTTTGGGGAAGTTTGTCAAAGATGTTAAAAGGCTCAAAACACTTGTGCAAAACAGGATCACGGGTCACTGTGAAATAATAGTCACTCATTTAACCAGAGTGATAGTCCACAGACTTCAAAAGCAATACAGAAAGTTACATGGACTTAAAAACTTACCCTTTCAAAGCTCAGTTTTCCTAAGCAAGAAGAAACCTAATCAGTAGGCTGGGCGTGTTGGCTCACGCCTGGAATCCCAGCACCTTGGGAGGCCGAGGCGGACAGATCACTTGAGGCCAGGAGTTCAAGACCAGGCTGAGCGACATGGCAAAACCCCTTTTCTACTAAAAGGACAAAATATTAGCTGGGTGTCGTGGCCCACGCCTGTGGTCCCAGCTACAGGAGGCAAAAGAATTGCTTGAACCTGGGAGACAAAGGTTGCAGTGAGCCAAGATCCCGCCCATTGCATTCCAGCCTGGGCGACAGAGAGAGACTCCATCTCAAAACAAAACCCTAGGATCAACAGAAAGGAATGCCTGGGTTAAGATAAAGGATTGTGGAGACCCAAGTTCTTATTTGCAGAGGAAGCCTTCAGGTACTAGGCTTCAGAGAGACTAGGTTGTAACATGTTTCTTATTAGACTGAAAGTCTGTGTTGATGTTGATGCCAGAGAGGTATAATGAGGCATGCCTGACCCCCACTTCCTGTCATGGCCTGAAACCATCTCTCAGGTTAAATTTTAAAAGAGCCCTGGCTGAGGAAGAAGTCCATTCAAATGGTTGCGGGTTGGCGGGGGATAGGATTTTATTTTTGATCTACAAGTTCTGTAAGATAACAGTGCATACATTTTAAGGAACAAGTCTGCTGCCTGATGTATGGACCACACAAAAAGTTCACCAAACTGTCCAATGCCATAACCGGAGACATTCGAACGACAAATCAGGATGAGAAGTTGACGTTTCCACACTATAGACAGCTTTTCCCAAGACGTCAGAATAAGTCTTCATATCGTAATGAGACTCTTACCCCCTGAATGTCTACATTTTTCACTTGACAGAACCCGACGCCCAAATCCTTTACCTCACCTAGTGGTCCCTTTAGAGTTGGCACTCTGCTTTAATTCGACCCAGTCCTCAAATGCTACTCAAAGACTACAAGAGGTCTCATTCAATTCCCCCATAGCTTTTTGATTTGTTTAGCTGGTGGCCCTTAGGCTTGGGATCTTGGTTCAAAACCATTGTACAAACTAAATTTATTCTACTGTTGCTAATTATAGCTGGGTGTGGTGGCTCACGCCTGTAATCCCAGCACTTTGGGATGCCAAGGAGGGGGGATCATTTGAGGTCAGGAGTTCGAGACCAGCCTGGCCAACATGGTGAAACCCCATCTCTACTGAAAAGACAAAAATAAGCCAGTCATGTTGATGGGCACCTGTAATCCCAGCTACTGGGGAGGCTGAGGCAGGAGAATCGCTTGAACCCGGGAGATGTAGGTTACAGTGAGCCGGGATCACGCCACTGCACTTCAGCCTGGGCGACAGAGCAAGAATCCATTGCAATAAAATAAAATAAAATAAAGTAAAATAATAAAATAAATAAAATAAAATAAACAATTGCTAATTATTTTAGAATTATGATCTTTGAGCTCCATACTTGTTGCCTAATATTTGTTAAGCCAGTTCTCCCAAGAAAATAATGTTAGCCCAGTGCGTCAAGATGTTTGCTAATATAGATGCGACTAACAAGATGGAACTTGATGCTGAACTCCAGGCAAACCTGCCTGAAATTTTTTTTCCTTCTGTCCTCTTTGTTGCTCAAATATGGCCCATGTCCCTGATCTAGACTCCCTTACCTTTCCCTTGGCATGGGATAAAGACAACCGGCACAGGTCCATCCTGGCATGGAGTGACAATGAAGCCTCACTTTAAGATGGCTGATCGGTGAGGTTTTGAAAGAAAGATGTTGATCAAAAGAGGGAATGTGAAAGCTGATTGTGCGAATGAACCAGCTTCTCCAGGGCCAATGAGCCTCATTTCAAAACAATATGTAACATTTTTCTTTCTAATAAAGCTTCCAACTTCTGTTTGCTCGTTGGACATACTGAAGACCACCCTAGTCTGTGTGTATGCCCTGAATTGCAATTTTGTGATTCCCAAATACAGCATTTGATTTAGGGATTTGTCTCTATAATTTATTTTGACTTTGACACAATTAACCAGTATGATGTGCTTAAAGGTTGCCCCACCCCCTGACAGGGTGAGTATTATACTGAATTTAAAAATTCTTTCTAGGCAGGGCATGGTGGCTCACATCTGTAATCCTAACACTTTGGGAAGCCGAGGTGGGTGGATCACCTAGGGTGAGGAGTTGAAGACCAGCCTGGCTAAAATGGTGAAATCCCATCTCTAAAAAAATACCAAATTAGCTGGGCGTGGTGGCACATGCCTGTAATCCCAGCTACTCGGGAGGCTGAGGCGGGAGAATCACTTGAACTTAGGAGACAGAGGTTACAGTGAGCCGACATCGCACCATTGCACTCCAGCCTGGGCAACAAGAGCGAAACTCCATCCCGAAAAAAAAAATCATTCTATTACAATCTTGATAACTGCTTTGCTTTGCATCTTACTATGGACTTGTTGGATATCTAGGTGGCTGTAAACTACGCAGAGAAAGATAGAAACAGCAGTGGAGATAATTAGAAAATTGTAGTGTTCCTATAAAACAATTAACAAAAGGGGGAAATTGTAAGGGTAACTAAACATAAAACTGAATTTTTCCTGTTGCCAAGAGGGAAGAAGAAACCTGTCTCCATTTCACTTTCCTTAGAGCATTTCCTTGAGAAAATTTGTATTTGTAAATTCTTCCTTTGATCTGTAAGCCTCTGGCCATCCTAGAACCCAGGAATGTCTTGAACTTGAACTCCAGGCCTCAAGTGATCCTCCAGCCTCAGCCTCCCAAAGTGTTGGTCTTACAGGCGTGAGCCACCACGCCCTGCCCCCGAAATGTCTTTCTTCAGGGCCTTGGAGCCATCTCTTCGAAATGTGAACACTGAGGAAGATGATGTCCTTGTCTCCCTGTCACCAGGGGAGTTTAGCCTAGATGCCTTGCTCTAAGCTGTAAGCAGCTGGTTGTCGTAGAGACATGAGTTTTATTTTTCCTTCAGATAAAGGCAATTAACTAACACAGATGGGTACTCCAGTTACCTGATGAACTTAGGACTTGCCTGGGAGCATTTAGTGTTCACCCTTGGCTGCTGCCATACAGCCAGGCCAATTACCTACATATCTGGACTTTCTGATTTCTGCTACCACTTTTTATTGTTTGTTTGTTTTGCTTTTTTTTTTTTTTTTTTTTTTTAGGCGGAGTCGCCCTCTGTTGCCCAGGCTGGAGTGCAGTGGTGTGATCTCAGCTCATTGAAACCTCTGCCTCCCAGATTCAAGCGATTCTCCTACCTCAGCCTCCCGAGTAGCTGGGATTACAGGCGCGTACCACCATGCCCAACTAATTGCTGTTATTTTTAGTAGAGACGGGGTTTCTCCATTCTGGCCAGGCTGATCTCCAACTCCTGACCTCATGATCCGCCTGCCTTGGCCTCCCAAAGTGCTGGGATTACAGGTGTGAGCCACCACGCCTGGCCTCTGCTACCACTTTTGGATTGTATGAAACACTACACTTCCAAGTGTGGGATCTGGCTTCCCAGACAGCTGCCAAAGGGGCGGGTGATGCAATCTAGAAGTGTAGGGGAGTTCGTGCCTGTGGGATATCTACTGCCTGTGAAGTGAATTTTCTTTTTATTTCTTTTTCTTTTTTATTTAGAGACAGAGTCTCTGTCGCCCGGGCTGGAGTGCAGTGGCCCGATCTCGGCTCACTGCAATCTCTGCCTCCTGAGTTTATGTAATCCTCCCTCCTCAGCTGCCCTGGTAGCTGGCACTACAGGCATGCAACACCAATGCCTGGCTAATTTTTTCATTTGTGTGTTTAGTAGAGAAGGGGGTTCACCATCTTGGCCAGGCTGGTCTCGAACTCCTGACCTCAGGTGTTCCACCTGCCTCAGTCTCCCAAAGTGCTGGGATTACAGGCGTGAGCCACCGTACCCGGCCTGTCACATTTACTTTGGAGAATAAAACAAGTTGAGTCTTGTGCCAAAATGCAGGGGAAGCTGCACCCAGACAGGTAACAAAATATTATATACAATCATAGATAGGTTTACTACATACCGATAATAACCATTTAGAAAACCAAATTGAGAAAAATTACACTTTCATAGTGACAAAAGTACATAAAATATCTAAAACCAGACGATTGGAGCAAGATGGCAGACAGATCCCGTGCCCCACTCAATCAACATTCCATTGAACTGAGAAGAAAATGTTTTCAAGGGTCAACTCTTAACAGTAGAGGAAAATAAGAAAACGTGTCAGTGGTCCGCCAGAAATATTGAGGCATTCCTGGGAGATAGAGTAGATGGGATCAGACTGATAGAGAAACCCGAGGAGACAAGACCACAGCTCAAATCACTGTAGTAAAGAGATGCTGTTTGCTTTTTGAGACAGACTTACTCTGTGAGACAGACTTACTCTGTTGCCCAGGCTGGAGTGCAGTGGCGTGATCTCGGCTCACTGCACCCTCCGTCTCTCAGGTTCAAGGGATTCTCCCGCCTCACTCCCCGCAGTAATTGGAATTCACAGAGGCCTGCCACCACTACCGGCTAATTTTTGTATTTTTAGTAGAGACGGGGGTTGCACCCTGTTGGCCAGGCTGGTCTCAAACTCCTGACCTCAAGTGATCTGCCTGCCTCGGCTTCCCAAAGTGCTGATATTACAGAGTGGGTCACCGCGCCCACCCGCCCACCCAGGAGATTCTCTTTGTAACAAAGCCTCTGAAAATCTCCAAACCCTGAATCAAAAAAAACACGGAGCTGGAAAGGGCCTTAGGATAATCACATCATGTAGGTTAATTTAAAAGTTCATTAGAGGAACCAACCCAAATGTCCAACAATGATAGACTGGATTAAGAAAATGTGGCACATATACACCATGGAATACTATGCAGCCATCAAAAACGATGAGTTCACGTCCTTTGCAGGGACATGGATGAAGCTGGAAACCATCATTCTCAGCAAACTATCGCAAGGACAAAAAACCAAACACCACATGTTGTCACTCATAGGCGGGAATTGAACAATGAGAACACATGGACACAGGAAGGGGAACGTCACACACCGGGGCCTGTTGTGGGGTGGGGGGAGGGGGGAGGGATAGCATTAGGAGATATACCTCATGGTAAATGACGAGTTAATGGGTGCAGCACACCAACATGGCACATGTATACATATGTAACAAACCTGCACGTTGGGCACATGTACCCTAAAACTTAAAGTATAATGAAAATAAAAAGTTCATTAGAAACATCTGAATCAGCCAGATTCCCCTCCAACACCACAGACAGATTGGCTGGCAGTAGCCACTTTTGCCTCTAAGATGAAACTCTGATAATTGTTCATTAAAGAAAGTGAAGGCCTGGCGAGGTGGCTCACACTTGTCATCCCAGCACTTTGGGAGGCTGAGGCAGGAGGATTGCCTGAGGCCAGGGGATCCAGACCAGCCTGGGCAACATAGTGGATGCCGTCTCTATAAAAAAATACAAAAACTAGCTGGGTGTGGTGGCGTGTGCCTGTAGTTCCAGCTAGATCAGAAGCTGAAGTGGGAGAATCCCTTGAGCCTGGGAGATCCAGGCTGCAGTGAGCTGTACTTGCATCACTGCACTCCAGACTCAGCGACAGACTGCGATACTGTCTCAAAAAAACAAACAAACAAACAAACAAACAAAAAAACAAAAACAAAAAACCACGAAAAAGTAATGTATCAGGACTTGGTGTAACTTCAGCCCTTTACAGTAATAATCAAGGAGAGAAACACATTTGTGGAGAAGGGACCATGTTCACTCTTTATCTATCCATGATAGACAGATAGTCCGGAGCTTTATATACCCATGTAACCTAAGGAAAAATGTTCCCTGTCATAACTCACAATCTTCCTGCCACACTACGTTGCACCTGTCTTGTGGGCTGGGGGACCCAACTTATGGATCCCATTGTCCCAGGGAGAAAGAAAAATCAAATGCTTCGGTATCTCTTTTAGGGTATCCTCTCCTCTATTTGCATGGAGGACATGGCACTCAATATCTAGTAGCCGAATGTTACATTTGTGTAATACAGAACTATATTGGGATAAAATAGAATTTGTTCCCTCTGAGACACAGGTAGAGGTACGTCCACACTGACCTGGGTGGCAGCCATCTCTTCCTGCACTGCCAGGCAGGGCATGCTCACAGATCTGGGGAACCTCTGTTGCTCCTGGAGCTCCACAATCTCCTTCCAGGCACCCTCTCCCTCTGGTGGCTGTGACAGCCCACATGTGGCTTTGTCTCCCCTGCTTCTTTGCCTGCCCCTCTTCTGCCCACCCTTCGTATCTCTGTCTCCCACTGTCCCTGCTGTGACCACAACTGCCTCTCCCTCCCTGCACTCTCTCTCTCCTAGGGCTCCTTGTCTTCGGTAAATGAACCCACAGCCTTTACATTTTGATTGGGGACAGAGCCCGGGGCTTGTTCAATTCCCCCTCCCTCCACCACACACACCTGTCCTCCTTAAAGTTTCTGAAGTCAGTGAGCTCCAAACTCAGCCCCTCCTGCACCTGCCAGCTGTAGGACCTCTGACAAGACACCTACCATCTCTCTGGGACTCCGTCTCTCATCTATTATATTGGCATAATGATGATAGTGTCCTCCTTCGAAGGCTGGGGAGAACCAGGAGGCCAAGGTGATGGGCCACGAACGGGCAAAACAGCTCCAATCCTGCCTCCACCTGGGGCTGGTGTTTCAAGTCCATTGTGTGTGAATGGAGCTTTGATGTCTCCATTGACACGCAATGGTTTGTTCTAAAATAGACTCCCCTCTGCCCTTCCCTTCCCCACAACTGTTTCACCTCTGTACCGTGCAATGGTACCTGTGAGAAAGAACTGTCCCATTCCCAAATCATCATCCCCACCCCAGCCCCCAGGCCTTTGGTTGGTGAGACCCTTGATGGGCGCTCTCATGCTTCTGTCCAGGAGACTTTCCCACCAATTGCTCCCCTGCATGGAGACTAAGTGGACTCTTCTATTCCCTGTCCATCACAGGGTCTACATTGCACGCATCTGCCTTATTCTTCCACGTTCCCCAGATGACGATTTCATCTGTGTCTCCTCCCACATCCACCCAAATGGACCGTCCCAGACCTTGAAACCGAAAATCATTCAGAGAGCAAAGGCCAAGATGCCCAACCACCTGCTACAGAATCCTGCTCCAGGACTGAAGTGTATAGTCTGTATCAAAATAAAAACTGGAGGACAGGTGCTGCGGCTCACGCCTGTAATCCCAACACTTTAGGAGACCAAGGTGGGAGGATTGCTTTGGCCCAGGAGTTTAAGTCCAGCCTGGGTAACATAGAGAGACTTTCTTGACAAAACCTTAAAAAACTTAGTGGATCATGATGGTGCACGCCTGTAGTCACAGCTTCTCTGGAGGCTGAGGACGGAGGATTGCTTGAGCCCAGGAGTTCAAGGCTGCACTGAGCTATGATCATGCCACTGCACTCTAGCCTGGACAGAGCAAGACCACCATCTCTAGAAGAAACAAACAAACAAAACCCAACAACTGGAAACATCCTCCTCTAGAACGGGGGTCAGGAACTCCTGTCTGCCTTGTTCCCTGACGTCGCTCCAGCACCTAGAACAGCGCTCAGCACGAGGACGCACTCATTAGTGTTTTGTTGAATAAATGACTCCTTTGACACAGCAATTCCACTTCTAAGAATCTTTCCTAAAGAAATATGCACACACGTGCACAGAGCTGTGTGCACAATAATGGCACGAGCAAACAACTGGGGAACGTTTGCAAAGGTTTATTAACTGTCAGTGACTGCTACAGGGGAATCGGATGAGGGGAGTACATGCTGACCAGGAAACAGAGTGAGGGGAGCTTGACCAGGACGCATGGCAATGGGAAAAGCAGATGGCAGATGCTTATACTGGTACTTGGTGTGTGTGTGTGTGTGTGTGTGTGTGTGTGTGTGTGTGTGTGGTGTGGTTTGTGTGCGTGTGTGTGTAAATGCAGAGGAAAAAATCTGAAATTAAACACTCAGAACTGCCCTCAGTAGTCACATCTGGGGAGAGAGGAGGGTAATGCTGTTCCATGCAGAGGTAACCGACAATACTTGTTTTCTAAGGTAGGTGCATGGATACACAAACCAAAATATGCATTAAGTATGTCTTGCTCATCAATGAAAATGTTAGTATCTAACAGAATGACACAGTGTAAGAAAATACAACGTAAACGCTAACATCGAACTCTTGGCACACTAAGAAAAATGACGCTCAACTTTTCACTGTTGTGAACACTTGCTTTCACTTGCTATGCACCTGATGACGAGGGGTCCGCAGCCATGCCCATGTTCGTGAAAGGTCACCACGTTCTGCTTCTCATCATGGGCATGTGTCGTATCCCTGAGGCTGAGGCAAGAAGAGAGAAGGAAATAAGTGGCAGTGAGTTCCCACCACGTGGCAACGCAATCTCAACTCCTCCTGACCTGCAGACCCTGCACACTCCGATTCTGCCCTATCTCAGGACCTGCACACGCCTTCCACGGTTCCTCGAAGTGAACCATCTGTTCATGCCACAGTGACTTCCTCGCCTGGGTTATCAATTCCTAGGCTAGAGAAAGGTGTGGCCCGCATATCAGGGCTTACTTGGGGTTTGGGACCCCACAGCATCCTGGGTAGGGAGGATCCCCGGATATATACAGGGCAGGGAGTAGAAAGAGCATGGGAAATCTCTCATCGTTCAGCCTCAATGCTGTACAGTAGAAAATTGTAAGAAGGGAATGATTTGGGGAGCAAGTGACAGATGGGATACCAGTATCATAACAGAATAGCACGTCTGCAGGGATGTGGGGGATGAGTGGAAGGTTCTCTTACGGAGTTACTCGTCATCTTCCTCAGGGTCGCTGATCTCTTCATAAATCACCAGCTGTTTTCTCTCACGCAGTCTGTGGGTCCAGGCATGTTCCCCCCTTTTGGGTCCTGTGATGGAGAATAGTTGGAAAGTGAGGGTTGGGAAGGTTGGAGAGTGTTAGGCTCTGTTTACTCAAAAAAAGGAGATGCCTGCTTCCTCCCAAGTGCCCATGGGCCTTCTTCATCCAGTTTTTCACATTCTCTGGCTTAGAGAGGCTGAGACCTTAGATCCACACCAACATAGGCCAAATGCCAATTAAAGTTTTAGCTTCTGGCTCCTTCCCTTCTCAGGCTTAGATTCCCAACCTCTTCACTTACGGGAACATTCCCCCATACCTCCTTTCATCCAGCACGTATTTGTTAAGGCCACACAGGCGTACCTTGTTTTGTTGCACCTCATGTTCATACTGCTTCGCAGATGCTGCAATTTTTTTTTTTAATTCTCACCAATTTTACACTTTTCCATTATTATTATATCTGCTATAGTGATCTGTGATCGGTGAGCTTTGATATTATTACTGCAATTGATTTTATTGTTTTTTAGTGTTTTAAAATAATTTTTGTTCTTTATTTTGTGGGTACGCAGCAGGTGTATATTCTTATGGGGTACATGAGATGCTTTGATACAGGCATGCAATGGGTAATAATCACATCATGGAAAATAGGGTATCCATCCTCAAGCATTTATCCTTGTGTTACAAACAATCCATTTACACTTTTAGTTTTTTTTTTAATGTACAATTAAGTTATTATTGACTATAATCACCCTGTTGTGTGTAATTGTTTTGGGGGTACCATGAACTGCACCCATAGAAGTTGACAAACTGAATCGACCAATGTTGTGTGTGTTCTGACTGCTCCACCGATGAGCTGTTCCGCGTCTCTCTTCCTTTTCTTGGGCCTCCCTATTTCCTGAGACACAGCAATACTGAAATGAGGATTATTAACAACCTTACAATGGCCGCTAAGTGTTCAAATGAAAGGAAGAGTCGCATGTCTCTCACTCTAAATCACAAGCTAGAAATGGCTAAGCTTAGTGAGGAAGCATGCTGAAAGCCAAGACAGGCTGAAAGCTAGGCCTATTGCGCCAAACAGCCAAGCTGTGAATGCAAAGGAAAAGTTCTTGAAGGAAATAATAATACTAATACTCCAGTGAACACACGAATAAGAAAGCAAAACTGCCTTACTGCTCAAATAGAGGAAGTCTGAGTGGTCAGGATAGAAGACGAAACCAGTCACAACATTCCCTTAAGCCAAAGTCTAATTCAGAGCAAGACCAGAACTCTCTTCAAGTCCATGAATGCTGAGAGAGGTGAAGAAGCTGCAGGAGAAACATGTGAAGCTAGCAGAGGTTGGTTCATGAGGTTTAAGGAATGAAGCCGTTTCCATAACATAAAAGTGCAAGGTGAAGCAGCAAACCCTGATGGAGAAGCTGCAGCAAGTTATCCAGAAGATCTAGCTAAGATCACTGTTGAAGGTGGCTACATGAAACAACAGATTTTCAATGTAGATAAAATAGCCTTCTATTGGAAGGAGATGCCTTCTAGGACTTTCATAGCTAGAGAGGATTGATTTCAACTTTGAAAGAAGTTCTACTGTGGGTAAAATGCTATCCAATAGCATCACATACTACAGAGAAATCCTTCATGAAACGGAGAGCTAATCGATGTGGCAAATTTCACTGTTGTGTTCTTTTAAGAAACTGCCACAGCCACTCCACCCTTCAGCAACCACCACCTTGATCAGCCAGCAGCCATCAACACCGAGGCAAGACCCTCCACCAGCAAAAAGAGTGTGACTCACTGAAGGCTCAGAAGATTGTTAGCATTTTTAACAAAGAATTATTTTTAAATTAAGGTATATACATTTTTAGACACAACGCTATCGCACACTTAGTAGACTACACTATAGTATAAACATAATGTTTTTATGCGCTGCCAAACCAAAAAACAACGTGTGTGACTCACTTTATTGCAGTGGTCTGGAACTGAACCTGCAGTATCTCTGAAGTACACCTGTATTGGGTAACAGGCATGGCATTGAGCTGAGTCTTAATCAGGTAATGATCCCAGGTAATCACAGATAGAATTGCTTGAGCACCTTTCATGTCATCAGGCCTTCTAGATTAAATTTAATGTCTCCAAACAATTTATGAACTATGATTCCTTATTTCCATCTTACGGACTAGGAATCTGGAGCTGAGAAAATCTGAAAGACTTGCCCCAAGTCACATGGTTTTTTCTATGGGTGACAAATCAAGTCTATCTCTGGAAGTCATGTCTAACATCTCATCTGGAGCTGGGCGAGCTCCTCAGCCCAGTCTGGACCCAGGGTTATCTGGGATCCATGCCACACACCCAGTCCATATACCTGAACATCGCCAGGGAAGCCAGAGGGATTGTTCCTGAATTGCTTCCTCTTACCAGATCTCTCGTGAATCTTCTCAGAGGTAGTTGGTTTTCCCGGGGGGCACAGCTCTTTCCCATCATTTTGTGGGCCAGATGCTTCTGGCACTTCCTCCGAATCATTTCCTTCCTCTGCTGGCTTCTTGGGCATGATCTTTATAATGTGAAGATCACAGATAAATAGTATCAGTGACATATCTATAGTGCTTTTGAGCTTACAAAGGGTCTTCACATGCATTAGCTTATTCAATGTTCTCAACAACACTGGGAGAGTTACACAGGCCTAAATTAGGAGAAACCTGGGAGGGGAGGTTAGAAGGGAAAGGAATGGCCTAAGTGAATATGGTTTCCAGGGATAGAATGCTTATCTTCCCACTCTTTTAGGACTGACATTCTTGCAAACAGCAAAAATCTCCATGTAATTGAGAGTGTGATATACAGATGATTTGGAGAAGAGTAGCATTCTAAGAATTCACAAGGTCTACAAAGGGAAGAGGTTCTGTAAAATACAAGGGATCCCATATAAGCTTCTAGACAGCTGCTGGGAGAGTAAATGTAAAAACATAGGGAGGCGACAAAACACTGCTGGGAAAGATGGTGTGGGGAGATGAATACAGGGAAGGGAGAGGGAAAGAAATGGTTTGCCGAAATTAATCTAGGCAGCAAACAAAGCAGTACCAGATATGACATACTACCCTACTGGGGCACCGACATTCAATGTGGAATTCAGTGAGGTGGTACCCATACCAATTCTGGTTGCATTGGGATGTGTCACTGACCAACAATCTTAAGCTACTTTTTTTTTTCTTTCTTTCTTTCTTTTTTTTTTTTTTTTTTTTTTTTTTTTTGAGACGGAGTCTCACTGTGTCGCCAGACTGGGGTGCCGTGGCATGATATCGGCTCAAGGCAACATCCGACTCCCGCGTTTAAGCGATTCTCCTTCCTTAGCCTCCAGAGTATCTGGGACTACAGGCAGGCACTACCACGCCCCGCTAAGTTTTGTATTTTTAGTAGAGACACGGTTTCACCATGTTGGGCAGGATGGTCTCGATCTCTTGACCTCGTGATCTGCCCGCCTCAGCCTCCCAAAGTGCTGGGATTACAGTCGTGAGCCACCGCGCCCGGCTCTTAAGCTACTTTTCATTCAGCTTCCTCCCTTATGAAATAGTGAACCATACATGTCAAATAGCCTACAGTAAAGTCCTCTCTGAGCTTGTAAACACTGTTTAAATGTCGTAATAATAACAATTAATACCTTTCACAATCCTTCTTTGAATTCAGTCTCCACACTGGCAACCCAACTCCCAGATCCCTTTACCCTCCAAACCAGAGTTGAATCTGCACTTGTGGGATCACTCATTCAGGGGCCTCCGAGGGATCCCCTGGGCTGGGACTGGGCCTTCCCAGATGCCCCAGGTGCAGACAAGGCACTCAAGGAGCTCACAGTAGGGAGGGGCCAACAATCAAAGTGATTCCTAAGCCATGCAAGTGGCCCCAGCAACACAGCAGAGACCAGATGGTCCTTCCTGTTGAGAGAGTGGGTGTCTCATTGGAAGCACCAGCAGGCCCTATGGGGTGAAGCCCTAGTGAGCAACATCTGAACTTCATAGACAAATGCAAATGTGAATGAGCTTTAAATGGCTTGGAGCTCTGGATTAGACTACCACTGCCACTGCGCCCCAGGAAAATTCTTTAACATCTCTGTACCACGATAGCCTCATTTTATTATTATGTTGCTGATAACTATGATCTAAAACATGAACTATAATTCTTTACTTCCATTTCATGGACCAGGAATCTGGAGCTCAGAGAACTTAGAAGATTTGTGTCAAGTCACATGGCTTTCATATGGATGAAAACTGAAGTGTGTGACTCATTATTATTTGGAGATAATAGAAACAATGTCTTCTTAAGGATTAAATAAATTAATCCATGTGAACTGCTTGAAATAGTATCTGGCATCACTATGAAAACAAAAGAAGTATTAACAATCGCAACTGTTGGTACTATCAAGCCGTCGGTGCGACATCAGGTGTTGTGATAGACATGGGGAGAAGAAGGCAGTGAGGGCATTTTTGATATTCTCCCACTCTTACCAGTGTTCGCATCCGTGGAGGGACAAAGGTTCTCTGGTCCTTTAGATCTGAGAGACACTCACCTTCGGGGAGATTCCCTGGAGCCTGCCGAAAGTCATCTGAGGACGTTCAACTGAAAGAGAATACATCAGAATTTTTCTTTGTTGGTAAAGGTTTCCAAACTCTAGAGAGACTTCTGTCGCATCAGGGTATTCTGCAGCAGAGGGTTATGAGTCCACTCATTGTTGAGGAGTTATTTCAGATTTGCTTCTGAATTATGTTTAGTCATGGTTGGTGCATTTATCTGTGGCATCAATTCAGAATTTTCCATCTCATGGTTTATCACATGGGGACTACACCCCATCACAGTCTCATCTTATTCCATTACATATCTTTTACTTTTTCCCAAATAATTAAATTGATTGGTTAGGAATCTGAACTGTATCCACTCAAGATGTGCAACAACTGAAAATCATTGTACACTTCAAATGGGTGAATCTTATGGTATGTGAATTAAGCTGTTAAATGTGTGATGAACCATGGATGATTTGGTCCAGTGGCTCTGAAATATTTTCAGTATAAAGACACTCCTTTACTGTCAAAACTTGGCAGATACTCAAGCACTGGCTTTTCAGGTCTCTTATAGTGATTGCGGGAGATTGTAGAATCTGGCCTGTTTAGTTGGCGAGTAATAGGTCTATTGGAGACGGTTTGGACATTCTGACCTTGTCTTATAATTATGTTGTCAGAGTAGAAGAGCAAGTAAATACATATGTCCCCTTTATATTCCTGAAATGTACAAAGCTCTCTACCCAAGAACCTATCTTTTTTTCACCCTATGTTATCTCTGCTCTCTGACAAGTGGGAAAGCTCTCTGTGTGTTGGATAAGGGATCACTCCTTCAAACTCTCTTCCAAGCTCATTACGGAGAATCAGGGTTCTTTGGGAATGAGAAGACTATTTGGTTTTGATAAACCAATACAGAGAAACAGCGATCTTTATTACATAATGTGTTCATCACCCTCACTCCTAAGATACCTATCCAATACCTACATGCTGTTAATGAAACAAACTCTGGAAGTTTTTGGCGGATCTACAGTTTTAACACTTTCTTTCTTTCTTTCTTTTTTTTTTTTCACTTGTAGCATTTTTTTAGCAGTCCTTTGATTCATTAACGGTGCTTAGGAAGAACAACATGTCGTTTAAAAAAGAAATATTTCAAACACACAGAAAAGTATGGGGAATAATATTGAGTCCAGTCGGATCTCAACATTACCCCACAGCTATGTTAGGTCTGATTTATTTATTCAGAATATTAGAAAAACTGCAAATAGGCCGGGCGTGGTAGCTCACAGTTGTAATCCCAGCACTTTGGAAGGCTGAGGCGGGTGGATCACCTGAGGTCAGGAAGTTTGAGACCAGCCTGGCCAACATGGTGAAACCCCGTCTCTACCATAAATTAAAAAATGAGCTGGGTGTGGGGGCACGTGCCTGTAACCCCAGCTACTCGGGAGGCTGAGGCAGGAGAATCACTTGAACCCAGGAGGTGAAAGTTGGAGTGAGCTGAGATTGCCTTATTGCACTCTACCCTGGCCGAGAAGAGTGAAACTCCATCTCAAAAACAAAAACAAACAAAACACACTATCAACAAGTCACAGCTGAAGCTGTCTGTGCCGCACTCAGTAATCCCTGCCCGCCCTCCCTCCCTCCTCCACTTACAGCCAGTCACCTTAATTTGATGGCTTTTTATTCACATTCATGTTTGTATACATTTACCATTTACTTATTATCCATAAAATATATATTCTTCTTTTGCATGTTTTAAAATTTTATATGAATGGCCTCTGTAGTTAACTTTCTGCATGCAATTTTTTTTTTTTTTTTCACTCAGCCCTGATGTGTATGAGGGAACAAATGCCTGAGGATCTTTCTCAGGTAGCTGAGCTGAAAAGCAGCTGGGCTTGAGGAGACCCTTTCCAGCCCCTTCCCATCTACTCACCCTGATTCCCACGGTTAGGGTCATTATCCAAATCATTCCCCTGGAAGTCTTCGGCCCGTTTATTACACATGAAAGGTGGGAGGGTGGCCTTGAAACCTAGAAAGAAGCAAAATGTTTATTCCTTAAGAGACAAGCTTGGGCCTGGTATGGTGGCTCATGTCTGTAGTACCAACACTTTGGGAGGCTAAGGCTGGAGAATTGCTTGAGGCCAGGAATTCAAGGCTGCAGTAAGCTATGATTGCACTACTGCCCTCTAGCCTAGGTGACAGACTGAGACTGACTCAAAAAAAAAAAAAAAAAAGGAAGAGACAAGCCGAGAGAAGGTAGGGTGGGTGTGTGTGGGGTGGGGGTAGGGGGGTTGCCGGGATGCCACAGAGACAGTTGGGCTCATCAGAACAGAAGCCTAAGGGAGAGAAACGTGCAGGATCCAGGTATAAGCTCCACTGTGGCCAGTCCCTGCCCTCAGCCCTGACAGGATACAGAAGAGCAGAACACCCAGAAGCTGCCTTGCGATTTTTCCCTGCACAAAAGGAAAATGTGAGGTACTTTCTGCAGCCTAAGAAGTAGCCAAAGCAGGAAAAGGGATGCTCATGTGTCCCCAGACTTGTCTGTTCCCAGAACTTTCTGTTACCTAGTTTAGTCATAGCCTCATACTTTCTCTTCATATACACATAGAAGATTTTCTCCGAGGCTTTCATCTTTTCCCACTCTTCCTTAGAGAAGTATTTGGCAATATCATCGAAGGCCTACAAAAAAAAAAAAAAGGAATTATGGCAGGGACTCAGCTAGGCATGTCTGCCATTCAGCTGGAGCCGCTTCCTGTGTGCTAGATCTGGGAACTGGGGATGATAATCCTTCCTGGTTGATGCCATGGCTAACTGACAGAACACGAGGGACCTTCCCTAGCTTCACCCCTGCCACACAGTAGGGCTTTAATGCTGCTGGCTGGCTCTCTTCCCACCTTCCAGAATGGACTGAGAGTCACCAGATGTAGTGCAAGGTCACAGACTTGTCTCCAGGGATGCTAGGTGATGACAGAGCGAGGGTGGGAGGCTCCCAAGGGTCCAGATCTCCCCCGAGACCCTGCTCCTTGTCTCCAGTATCTCTGTCCTCCCCTCCTCAGAAACCGGGTCACCCCACACTGTCCCCTGGGCCACTACTCTGCTCCCTCCAGGTCACCTCACCTTTTGGATCTTCTCTGGTATTTGAGCACCAACCGTGGGTCTCCTTGCAAAGGCGTCGTCTCCGTTCATGGCACCGGGAGCAGTCTGACCTGCAAGAGAAATAGCCTGAGTCTTTCCAGCCACAGCAGCTTTGATCCTGTGGAGGGAGAAGTCAGTGAAGGCCGGCCACCCTCAGTCACCTGGAATCAGCTGCTGCATTTCTCCATCCGGGGCTTATCTGTCCCTGAGTAAGGATATGGGGAGAAATCAGATGAAAACAGGGAACCAGGGGTCTCTGGGAGAAGTATTGATAGGGAATGACAGGTTTCCTATGGGCAAAGCAGCCTTGAGTCTTTGGGAGGGGGTTGGCTAATGTTGTTAGTAGTTTCCCTGGAGCTAGGCTTACCCTGAAAGATGTACGGACCCTTTTTGGGGAGGCAGGGACATGACTGTGTAATTTTATTCAGTGGGGGCATGCTGACACCCCCACTCAATAAATAAAGGAAGGGAAGTTAGTCCCAGAGATAACATGGTCTCTTTGGCGATGGATCTGATCAGGCAGAGGGATGGGGGGTTCTGTTCTGTTGAAGAGAAATGAGCATCGCTAATATGAACGTGTTCAGAGGCTATTACTCGGTGATTTGTAAATTATTAGAAGGAAGAGAGCTAGAATTTCTGAGACTACAAGAGCCCGCCATCACTTAGAGAGAATGTGGGGCATTTCAAGATGCAGCAATCAGCCAGGCGCCGTGGCTCACGCCTGTAATCCCAGCACTTTGGGAGGCCGAGGCGTGCAGGCCGCTTGAGCCCAGGAGGTCGAGACCCGGCTGGGAAACACAGCAAAACCCCCGTCTACAAAATACACAAAAAGTTAGCTGGGGTTGGTGGAGCAGGCCTGTACCATCCCAGCACTTTGGAAGGCCAAGGTGGGCGGATCGCCTTAGCCCAGGAGCTTGAGACCAGGCTCGCAAACGTAGCAAAACCATCTCTACTAAAAAAAACAAACAAAATTTAGCAGAAGCGGGGTGGTGCGCGCCTGTAGCCCCAAGGCCTAGGCGAGAGGCTCACTTGAGCCCAGGAGGAAAGATTTGAGTGAGCTTTTTTGGTTTTTGTTTTTTCAGACAGGGTCTCGCTCTGTTGCCCAGTCGGGAGTGCACTGGCGTGATCATGGCTCACTGCAACCTCCGCCTCTTAGGTTCAGGCGATCCACCAGCTGTGGCTTCCAAAAGTGCAGGGATTACAAGTGTAAGCCACCACGCCCGGCCCAAATTTCTTAAGTTACTACAGAGTTCCTAGGAAAAATCCCGTACCTGAAAAAGTTAGAAACTGACAGGAAAGATTCGAGATGGCGGCCTGCCTCATATACACTCCTTATTAAAACTAGATAGCAAATGCACCGCGGAGGAGGGGAGGGGTAGGAAGAATGGAAAAAGAAAATCGGCGTATGCTTACTCTGATTTTGGAAGAATCCAAAGAGAAAATCAGACCGTGCGTACTCTGAGTATGGAAGAATCGAAAGAGAGAGAAAGTCAGAGCATGCGTACTCTGAACTTAAAGTAGCCAATCCCAGGGGATGCTTTAGGCGGGAAAATTAGAGTCTCCACCCCCACTTTGAGAAGGTTCCGTCCCTGGAGCCGGGACTGATAGAAGCCACATCCGCTTCGCTTGTTCCGCCTACTGTTCTGACTTCTAATTGGCCAGATGGAGTTCACTAACTGCCCTGATTGGTCCATCATCCTTGGGCAGTGACATAGCAGAATAATGTCTCCTCCTCCAGCCACACTTTGTTGCCACTGCGAAAAAGTGGGTGGTCCTCAGGCGCCGTCAGATTTTGAACTCTCTGAAGACCGTTCCTGGATCTTGGGTTAAAAATCTGGATTCTAGTCTGAACTGTGGGAAGAAAAAAATAGTCAATCTGTGATTTTTCTACTTGAAAGACACGATGTTTTCCAAACTAGCACATTTGCGGAGGTTTGCTATACTTAGTCGTGGCTTTCATTCTTCAGTGGCTTCTATGTCTGTTGCCACTGAAAAAACAGTCCAAGGCCCCGCAACCTCTGCTTACATTTTTGAAAGGGAATCTTAAGTATGGTGCGCACAATTACCATCCTTTACCTGTAGCCCTGAAGAGAGGAAAATGTATTTACTTATGGGATGTGATTGTGGTATTGGTTACATCTGCCTTGGCCAATCCTCCAGCCTCCGTCTTGGGACTACAGGCGCGAACCACCCTACCCCCACTAATATTTTTTATTTTTTGATTTTTTAATAGAGAAGGTTTCGCTGTGTTGGCCAGGCTGGTCTTGACGTCGTGGGCTCAAGCGATCCTCCCACCTCGGCCTCGGGACTACAGGCATTCACCACCCAGCCCACGCTTTTTTTTTTTTTTTTTTTTAAGTAGAAACCAGGTTTTGCTATGTTGGCCAGGCTGGTCTCATCGTCCTGGGCTCAAGGGATCCTTCCGCCATGGCCTCGAGACGACAGGCATGCACCACCCTGCCCACGCTTTTTTTTTTTTTTTTTTTTTTAGTAGAAACCGTGTTTCCCTATGTTGGCCAGGCCGGCATCAAGCTCCTGGACTCAAGGGATCCTCCCATCTCAGGACTACAGCCATGCACCACCCTGCCCAAGCTATTTTTTGTTTTGTTTTGTTTCGTTTTAGTGGAAACCGGGTTTCGATATGTTGCCCAGGCTGGCCTCAACCTCTCAGGCTCAGATGATGCTTCCACCTCGGCCTCAGAACTATAGGCGTGTGCCATTCTACCCCGCTCATTTTTATTTATTTATTTATTTATTTATTTTTTAGGAGAGGCAGGCTTTCGCTTTGTTGGCCAGGCTGGTATCAAACTCCTGGGCTCAAGCAATGCTCCCACCTTGGCCTCAAAACTACAGGAGTGAGCCACCCCGCCCACGCTATTTTTCTGTTGTTCTTGTTGTTAGCAGAAATGGGGTTTCGCTATGTTGGCCAGGCTGGCCTCGACCTCCTAGGCTCAAGCAATCCTCCCGCCTCGGCCTCGGGACTATGGGCTCACACCACCCCGCCCCCACTAATATTTTTAATTTTTCTATTAGAGACAGTTTCGCTATGTTGTCCAGGCTGGGCTCTACCTCTGGGACTCAAGTGATTCTCCCGCCTCGGCCTTGGGACTACAGGCATGCACCACCCTGCCTTTTGCTATGTTTCCCAGGTTGGTCTTGACCTCCTGGGCTCACTCAATGATTTGAACCCGGGAAGTGGAGGTTGCATTGAGCTGAGATCACACCACTGCACTCCAGCTTGGGCGACAGAGCAAGACTGAAAAAGAAAGAAAGAAAGAAAGAAAGAGCGAGAGAGAGACCAGCTGAATCTCCGTAAGAACAGTGAGCTTTGTGGTATTTTTACTTGCCCTCGTCCCATCTCATGCTCCCAGCTTGGTTCTGTTCATTGTTGATGAAATACAGATAGGATTGGCCAGAACTGGTAGATGGCTGGCTGTTGATCATGAAAATGTCAGTCCTGATATAGTCCTCCTTGGAAAGGCCCTTTCTGGAGGTTGATACTCTGTGTCTGCAGTGCTGTGGGACGATGGCATAATGCTGACCATTAAGCCAGGGGAACATGGGTCCACATACGGTGGCAATCCACTAGGCTGCTGAGTGACCATCGCAGCCCTTGAGGTTTTAGAACAAGAAAATCTTGCTGAAAATGCAGAAAAAAAAATGGGTATTATCGTGAGAAGTGAACCCATGAAGCTACCTTTTGATGTTGTAACTGCCATAAGAGGAACAGAATTATTATTATTGCTATTATTTTGAGTCAGAGGTTCATTCTGGTTGCCCAGGTTGGAGTGCAATGGCGCGATCTTGGCTCACTGCAACCTCTGCCTGCTGGGTTCTAGCGATTCTCCTGCCTCAGCCTCCTGAGTAGCTGGGATTACAGGCACGCGCCACTATGCCCGGCTAATTTTTGTATTTTTAGTAGAGACGGGGTTTCGCCATGTTGGCCAGGCTGGTCTCGAACTCCTGACCTCAGGCGATCCACCCGCCTCAGCCTCCCAAAGTGTTGGGATTACAGGCGTGAGCCACTGTGCCCGGGAGGAAAATAATTATTAAATGCTATTGTTATTAAAGAAACCATAGACTGTAATGCTTGGGAGGTGTGTCTATGACTTTGAGATTATGGACTTCTGGCCAAGCCCACCCATGGTGACATCATCAGGTTTCACCTCTGCTGGTGATCAAGGAGGATGAGATTCGAGAGTCCAGTGAAATCATTAACAAGACCATCTTGTCGTTCTGAGGGTAGCAGCTGTTTTCAGTGGTCCCTGGGAGCCGGCTGGAGACAGGTGGTCCTGTAAAAGCTCTGCTCTAAATGTAGGCACATTCCACTCCCATGTGCCGTCAAAATCTTTTTGTGTATATATGTTTTTTTCAGTTGATACACAATGGAACAATGTTCATGAACCTGACATTTGCTTTGTAGTGTTAAGAGAATGTAATGGCATCTATATTCAGTGAAAGCGTTTTGATGTGCACGTGTACTTTATAAGGTGAAATGCATCTGTATATACAGACAGCCTTTAAATCACATCCTTCAGTATACTTTATATATGCTTTTATAATTTCCTTGCTGGTATAAAGGTTTTGTATTTGAAAAAGTATCTCTAGCGTATTACATAAAAGGCTGCACCTTATAAAGTCAAATCATTGTTTTCATTGAATTTTAGGAAGGATCAATGGTTAAGCATATAAAAAATACTAGTTCTTTTGTTTTCTTTTGTTTTTTGTTTTTGTTTTTGTTTTGAGACGGAGTCTCGCTCTGTCGCCCAGGCTGGAGTGCAGTGGCTCGATCTCCGCTCACTGCAAGCTCCGCCTCCTGGGTTCACGCCATTCTCCTGCCTCAGCCTCCCGAGTGGCTGGGACTACAGGTGCCCACCAAAACGCCTGGCTAATTTTTTGTATTCTTAGTAGAGACGGGGTTTCATCGTGTTAGCCAGGATGGTCTCGATCTCCTGACCTCGTGATCCGCCCGCCTCGACCTCCCAAAGTGTTGGGATTACAGGTGTGAGCCACTGAGCCTGGCCTATAAATTACTAATATTAAGTAAACTTTATGTTGACCAACACCAGGATATATTCTATGGATGTCATTATTTTGAATTAAGAATTAGTGTTTAACATCCCTAAATTGTTTTGAGTGCTTGATTATAATTTGTAAAAAAAAGTTTATTTTTAATATTTCTTTACATTTTAAACAAAGCTTATATTTCAGAAAAAAAAAAAAAAGAGACAGAACATGGGCCGGGTGCAGTGGTTCACGCTTGTAATCCCAGCACTTTTGGGAGGGTCGAGGTGGGCAGATCACTTGAGGTCAGGAGTTTGAGACCAGCCTGGCCAACATGGAGAAACCCCGTCTCTACTAAAAGTACAAAAATTAGCCAGGCATGGTGGCACCCGCCTGTAGTCCCAGCTACATGGGAGGCTGAGACAGAATAGCTCGAACCCGGGAGGCAGAGGCTGCAGTGAGCTCGAGAGTGTGCCACTGCACTACAGCCTAGGAGACAGAGTGAGAATCCCTCTTGAAAAAAAAAATGTACAGTACATTTTCATCACCGCAATGCTATCCCTTGTGCTACTCATTTTTAGTAATACTCTCCTCCCATCCGCCATCCCTAATCCCTGGCAACCACAAATCTGTTTTTCGTTTCCACAATTTTGTCTTTTCTACAATGCTGTACAAGTGAAATCTTACAGTATATAACGTTTTACGGGCTTATTTCACTCAGCGTAATTCCATGGAGATTCCTCCAAGATATTGATATTTGTGTATCAATAGTTCATTGTTGTTGTTGTTGTTGTTGAGACAGAGTCTCACTCTGTCACCCAGGCTAGAGTGCAGTGTCTCGGCTCACTGCAACTGTCTGCCTCCCGGGTTCAAGCAATTTTCCAGCCTCAGCCTCCCGAGTAGCTCTGACTACAGGTGCGCGCCACCACACCCGGGTAATTTTTGTATCAGTAGTAAAGATGGGGTTTCAACATACTGGCAAGGCTGGTCTTGAACTCCTGACATCATCATCCACCCGCCTCGACCTCCCAAAGTGCTGTGATAACAGGGTGAGCCACTGTGCCCTGACGATAGTTCATTTTTATTGCTGAGTAGCATTCCAGGGGATGGATATACCACAGTTTGACCATTCACTTATTTTAGGACATATTGATTATTTCCAGCTATTGGCTATTACAAGTAAAGCTGCTATGAACAATTATGTACAAGTTTCTGGATGGGCATACATTTTAATTTCTCTGAAGTGTAATTGTTGAATTGTATGGTCACTGCATTGTTTAGTTTTATAAGAAACTACCAAACTGCTTTCCAGAGTGGCTGTAAGATTTTACCTTCCCAGCAGCACTTAATGAGGTGTCCAGTTTCTCTGCATCCTTGTCACCATTTGGTGTTGTCACTATGTCTTTTATTTTAGCTATTGTAATAAGTGTGTAGTGATACCTCATCGTGGTGTTATTCTGCATCTAGTGAAGCAAATGAGTGTTGAACATCTTTTCATGTGCTTATTTGCTTATTTCCTCTTCAGTGAAATGTATGTTCATATCTTTTCATGATTTTCTAATTGGATTATTTGTTTGTATTTTTTACCATTGAGGTTTTTATTATTTTTTTTTTTCTTGAGACAGAGTCTTGCTCTGTTACCCAGGCTGGAGTGCAGTGGCACGATCTTGGCTCGCTCCGACCTCCACCTCCGAGGTTCAAGTGATTCTCGTGCCTCAGCCTCCAGAGTAGCTGGGATTACAGGCATGCATCATCATGCTTGTCTAATTTTTGTATTTTTAGTAGAGATGGGTTTTTTGCCATGTTGCCCAGGCTGGTCTTGAACTCCTGGCCTCAAGGGATCTGCCCTCCGTCCACCTCGACCTTTCAAAGTGCTGGGATTACAAGCGTGAGCCACCACGCTCAGCCTACTGTTGAGTTTTGAGAGTACTATACGTATCCATTGTATATTCTGGATGTGAGTCCTTTCTTGGATATGTGGTTTGCAAACATTTTCTTTCAGATCGTACCCTATTTTTTCATCCTTTTAACAAGATTTCTTGCAGAGCAAAAGTTTTAAATTGGATAAAATCTAATTTATTTTTTTCTTATGTATTATGCTTTTTGAACCATTCACTATGCCCTAGATCTCAGACGTTTCTCCTATATTTTCTTGTAAAACTTTGTTTTTAGTTCATTTGTTTGTTTGTTTGTTTGTTTGTTTTTTGAGATGCAGTCTCGCTCTGTTGCCCAGGATGGAGTGCAGTGGCACGATCTCGGCTCACTGCAAGCTCCACCTCCCAGGTTCACCCCATTCTCCTGCCTCAGCCTCCCGAGTAGCTGGGACTACAGGCGCCTGCCACCACGCCCAGCTAACTTGTTTGTATTTTTAGTAGAGACAGGGTTTCACTGTGTTAGCCAGGATGGTCTCGATCTCCTGACCTCGTGATCCGCCCACCTCGGCCTCCCAAAGTGCTGGGATTACAGGCGTGAGCCACCGTGCCCGGCCTTTTTTAGTTTTATATTTTAGATTTAAATCTATGATCCACTTGACTTACTTTTTTGTATAAAGGTATGAAGACTAGGCCTTATTATTATTATTTTTTTTTTTTTGGCCTATGGCTCTGCAACTGCCCCAGCACCATTTGTTAAGCAGATGATCTTTCCCTATTTTTGTCTCTTGGTAAAAAATCAGTGTGGGCTATTTCTAGGTTTTCTATTTTGTTACAGCGATCTATGTGTCTATTTTTCTCCCAATGGTATATAGTCTTGATTCCTGTAGCTATATAAGAAGTATTGAAATATGGTAGAGCAATTCCTCCCACCTTATTCTTCTTCTTTTTCAAAAATTGTCTTAGCTATATAAATATTTTTTGAGATGGAGTCTCACTTTTGTCGCCCAAGCTGGAGGGCAGTGGGGTGATCTTGGCTCACTGCAACTTCTGTCTACTGTGTTCAAGCGGTTCTCCTGTCTCAGCTTCCCGAGTAGCTGGGATTTCAGGTGCACGCCACCACACCCGGCTAATTTTTGTATTTTTAGTAGAGACAGGGTTTCGCCATGTTGGCCAGGCTGGTCTCAAACTCCTTACCTCAAGCGATCTGCCCCTCTCAGCCTCCCAAAGTGCTGGGAATACAGGCGTGAGACACGGGGCCCAGTGTTGTCTTAGCTGTTGACAATTTGTTACAGCAGCAATCAAAAATGAATACACATAGAAATAGATTAATTAGTGAAACAAAATAAAAAGTCAAGAAACAGACTAATTTATATACAAACTTCAGCATGCATTTCCAAACAGTGGGCAAAAGATGGGGTGTATAATAAAGGATTGTATAATAAAGGATTGTTGTCTATCCATTTGGAAAAATAAACATTAAATCCTTACTTTCAACCACATAAAATAATAAATTCTAAAAATTCAGAGACTTAAATGTGAAAACGTGAAGTCATAAAGAACTAGATGAAATTTTAGGAAAATATTACAGCGTAAGACATCTTGAGTTGGCATAGGCACTTCCTGACATTACACCAAGGCTATAAACAATGAATCTGACATATTTAAAGATGTAAAAAGTAAAGTATCATCTAAGTCAAAAGACACCATAAAAAAACTGTTTAAAAAGGCAAATATTAGGCCAGGCACAGTGGCTCATGCCTGTAATCTCAGTACTTTGGGAGGCCAAGGCGGGCAGATCACGAGGTCAGCAGATCGAGACCATCCTGGCTACCACGGTGAAACCCTGTCTCTACTAAAAGTACAAAAAATTAGCCGGGTGTGGTGGTGGGTGCCTGTAGTCCCAGCTGCTCGGGAGGCTGAGGCAGGAGAATGGTATGAACCCGGCAGGAGAATGGCGTGAACCTGGGAGGCGGAGCTTGCAGTGAGCCGAGATTGCACCACTGCACTCCATCCTGGGCAATAGAGTGAGACTCCGTCTCAAAAAAAAAAAAAAAAAAAAAGGCAAATTTTGGGGAAAATGAAGCATCCCCAATAAATTAACAGTAACCATCTCTAATATGTAACAAAGCTTTTCCATATCAATAAGAGAAACTGGAACAACCAAATGAAAAAATGTGTTCAGGCATGGCACTACTTTATCGTATAGCAGAAAAGAATTACAGAATAGAAATTATGAAAGGAAAATAGTAAAGGAAATGGAGAAGAGATCCAAGAACTTTCAACGTTCATCCAGTAGAAGATCCAGAGGTAGAGAATAGAAAGACTGGGACGGGCGCGGTGGCTCACGCCTGTTATTCCAACACTTTGGGAGGCCAAGGCAGGCAGATTACATGAGGTCAGGAGTTCGAGACCAGCCTGTCCAACATGGTGAAACCCTGTCTCTACTAAAAATACAAAAATTAGCCCAGTGTGGTGGTGGGCGCCTGAAATCCCAGCTACTTGGGAGGCTGAGGCAGGGGAATCACTTGAACCCGGGAAACAGATGTTGCAGTGAGCTGAGGTCCTGCCACAGCACTCCAACCTCGGTGTCAGAGCAAAACTCCATCTCAAAAATGAAAAAAAAAAAAAAAAAAAAAAGACTGGAGAGAAGGCACTACTTGAAGAAATAATGTTCTAGAATTTTCCCAGTTGAACAAAGACATGAATCTTCAACCTGAAAAGAGCCACCTAGTTCTGAGCCTGATTAACACACATGTGCACACACACCTGCGCACGCAGGAGCGCACACACACACACACCCCCTCGGGGTAAAATTTCTAGGATAAAGATAAAATCCTGAAAGGTCCCAGAGAGAAAAAGAGAAGAGAGAATGCAATGGAGAGGTTTTTCAAGGAGCTGATTTAAAATAACTTTGGGCCAGGCGCAGTGGCTCATGCCTGTAGTCCCAGCACTTTCGGCGCCAAGACCAGATGCTCACTTGAGCTCAGGAGTTTGAGACCAGCCTGGCCAACAAGGCGAAACCCACTTCTACAAAAAATACAAGTAACCAGGTGTGGTGCCACATGCCTGTAGTCCCAGCTACTTGGGAGGCTGAGGCAGGAGAATTGCTTGAGTCCGGGAGGTGGAGATTGCAGTGAGCCGAGATTGTGCCATTGCATTCCAGCCTGGGTGACAGAGCCAGGCACTGTCTCAAAAAAACAAAACAAGAACAAACAATAAAAAAGTTGAACCTAGATATCTATATACAGCCAGAATAATCCAGAATGAGGGGAAAAATATTTCAGAAAATTCATGACGCATATACCCTTCAGAAATAATTATTGGTATCCAGTCCTGTGAGAAGGGAAAACTAAATTTAGGAGGAAGGAGGTGATTTCAGTAAGCAATGGCGAGCAGAAAAATAGTAAAATTTATTGAAAAGTGTAAGCTTTAGATTGAAAAATTTTAAAATTACAGTCTTGAACTAAAATTCCCAGTATTATAAACTTGGAAGACGGGAGCAGGGACAGGAAAGAAAAGATAAGTTTTTTTGGTGTTCAAGGAAGGGATACAGATGCTAATGAATGATAGAATGCGGTGGTGCACGCCTGTAACCTGAGCTATTCAGGAGGCTGGGGCAGGAGAATCACTTGAACCTGGGAGGTGGAGGTTGCATTGAGGTGAGATCACACCATTGCACTCCAGCCTGGGAAACAAGAGTGAAACTCTGGAAAAAGAAAAAAAAAAAAAGGCCAGGCACAGTGGCTCAAGCCTGTAATCCCAGCACTTTGGGAGGCCGAGACAGGTGGATCCCTTGAGTTCAGGAGTTCGAGACCAGTCTGGCCAACAAGGTGAAACTCCATCTCTACTAAAAATTCAAAAATTAGCCTGGCACAGTGTCACATGCCTGTGGTTCCAGCTACTCAAGAGGCTGAGGCAGGAGAATTGCTTGGACTCGGGAGGCAGAGGTTCAGTGAGCCAAGATCGTGCCACTGTGCTCCAACCTGGGCGACAGAGGAAGACTCTGTCTCAGATAAATAAATAAATAAATAAATAAATAAATAAATAAATAAATAAATAGAAAACCTATTGGATAGATTGGATATGAAAACATTAACTGCTCAAATAAATAATTCAGCGGAATAGATTGGATGTTAAAACCGATATAGTTGAAAAAGCAATTACTGAGCTGAGGAAATGCGTCTAAAGAATTCATAAAAGTAATCAGTAATGGATAGAGAAGAAGTAAATGAAAGAAAAGTTAATTAATAGAGAGGATAGAAGAATAAATGTCAAAACACATCTAATAGTAGCCTTATAAGAAGAGAATACAGTTATTAAAAAGGAGAGTGTACTTAAATAAGCAATCAATGAGAATTCCTCAGATTTAAAAAAATGACTTAAGGTTTAAAGGTATTATAGTACACACATACACACAGGAAAAGTGAAATGTAAAATTGTGAAAGACAAAGAAAAAATATTTTAAAAACGATCAGAGAGAAATAGCAGGTTACTTACGGAGGAAAAATAAACTGACACCGGATCTCTCAAATACCACACTGGAGGCAAGGATACAATGGTGTAATAACTCCAAGCTGTTGAAAAAAATGATTTTTTTTTTGAGACAGAGTCTCGCTTTCTCACCCAGGCTGGAGTGCAGTGGCATGATCTCAGCTCACTGCAACCTCTGCCTCCTGGGTTCAAGCAAATCTCCTGCCTCAGCCTCCTGAGTAGCTGGGGCTACAGGCGCACACCACCACACCCGGCTAATTTTTGTACTTTTAGTAGAGATGGGGTCTTGCCATGTTGGCCAAGCTGGTCTGGAACTCCTGACCTCAGGTTATCTGCCTGCCTCGGCCTCCCAAAGCGCTGGGATTACAGGCGTAAGCCACTGCACCCGACGAAAGAAAGGAATTTTTATACCGGGTGGAGTAAAGACAATGTCAGCCACATGACTTCAGGAGATTGAAGACACAGGGAAATGTTAAAGCAAACAAGTATTTACTGCACTTATTAGAGACTGTAAGGAAGGGCCAGCTGCAGTGGCTCGTGCCTGTAATCCCAGCACTTTGGGAGCCTGAGGCAAGAGGATTGATTGAGCCCGGGAGTTCAAGACCAGCCTGGGCAACATGGCAAAACGCCGTCTCTACAAAAAATTCAAAAATTAGACGGGCATATCAAGTTCCTGGGTCTGTAGAGAATTAAAAAAAAAAAAAAATATATGTGTATATATATATATATATATGGTTGGATTTGGTGGTGCGTACCTGTAGTCCCAGCTATTCGGGAGGCTGGGGCAGGAAGATTGCTTGGGCCCTGGAGTTTGAGGCTGCAGTGAGCTAGGATTGGGTCACTGCACTCCAGCCTGAGTTACAGAGTGAGACTTTGTCTCTGAAAAAAAAAAAAAAAAAAAAAAAAGATCGTAAGGACGATTTTACTCAGAGGGGGGACTACTGTGATAGGTACAGGGACCACCGTAATGGGGTCTTGCGGTGGGAGAGTGATATTGGGATCGACTTCAACTCCACAAGGACAAGTGGGGATTTGTAGTCAAGGAGTAGGGTCGGGGGGTCAGAAGATGGGAAATTACTTGGAGGAAACCTCAGGTGCAGGGGAATTCTGGCTAAACTGACTTGACAGGATTTTTGCTGAAACAGGCTAAATGGGCAGAGTCCCTGGATGAAGGACAGAGCCCGAGGTTGGGACCTAGTCAGAAACAGGACTCAGAGGAGCCCGATTCAAGTTTGGTCAAAGGAGAGTGTCTCTGTCTGAAAGCAAAAGCAAGAAAGCCAACAGCAGTAAAATGAATGGGTCACAAAGGAGAATTTTTGTGCATTGCTAAACAGGACTCTGCTTTAAACATTGTGAAAGTTGATTATGTGAAGTGAGTCACTCTTAGTTGTTTTTTTTGTTTGTTTTGTTTTGTTTTTTGTTTGTTTTTTTGTTTTTTTTTTTGTTTTTTTTTTTGTTTTTGAGATGAAGTCTCTCTGTGTCACCCAGGCTGGAGTGCCATGCGTGATCTCGGCTCACTGAAACCTCAGCTTCCTGGGTTGAAGCGATTCTCCCGCCTCAGCCTCCCGAGCAGCTGGGACTACAGCCACGTGCCACCACACCCGACTAATTTTGTATTTTTACCGGAGACAGGGTTTTGCCATGTTGACCAGGCTGGTCTCAAACTCCTGACCTCAAGCCATCTGTCCGCCTTGGCCTCCCAAAGTGCTGTGATTACAGGCGTGCTCCACCGCAACCCACTGAATTGACTCATTCTTGACATACACAACTATGTCAGAGTTGTGTGGCCAGGGGAAAAAGCACTCAGGGCACATTGCACCTGCTCTAAGAATTGAATTTTCCACAAGGCTGGTGGCTGAAATGGCCTGCTGCCACCCTAAGAGCACTTTTACCTAGTAACTGCTGAAACAACCTGCAATGACTCTAAGGCTTGTTTTACCTATTGTCCACACTCACCAATCAGAGCTTCCAGCTCCTGAAAGCTTCTCTGGTGCCAATGGACTTGCTTTAAAAACTATAGGTAACATTTCTGTTTCTAATAAAACTCTCAACTTTCTCTTTGTTCTTTGGACATACCAAAGACCAGCCAGTTTGGGTGTATGCCTCACATCACAATTCTGTGATTCTCAAGTAAAATGTTTAGAGATTCATGGCCTGGCGTGGTGGCTCACCCTGTAATCCCAGCCCTGTGGGAGGCTGAGGCCGGTGGATCGCTTGAGCCCAGGGGTTCGTGACCTGCCTGGACAACGTGGTGAAACCCTGTCACCACAAAAAAATACAAAAATTAGCTGGATGTGGTGGTGCATGCCTGTAATCCCAGCTATTCCAGAGGCTGAGTCGGGGAGGCAGAGGTTGCAGTGAGCCGAGATTGTGCCACTGCACTCCGGGGTGGGCGACAGAGTGAGACCCGGTCTCAAAACAAAAAACAAAAACAAAAACATAATATAACATCCTTAATATTGTAGTTAAAAAAAGAGACTCGTCTCCATAGGTTTTGACTTTGATATTTGTGGTGTCAGAAGTGGGGTCCGAAGCTGACTCACCTTGGAGATATCAATGACCTCTGGAACTATGGCGTGAGGTCTGCACACTTGGTCCCCTTGAGCTTTTGCTTTTCTGGTTGCCTCTTTCCCCCCTGGTGAGTCTTTCTTGGATCAAACTGCCATTTGCTGAGGAGTTGAGTTCAGTTTTATTTGGGAATTTGTTAGGAAGGGTCTTTCTCTCTCTCCTGGTTATGAAACCTCCTCTTTTCTTTTCCTTTCTTTTCTTGTCTTGTCTTTTTTATCTTGTCTTTCTCTTTTCTTCTTTTTTTGAGACAGTGTTTCGCTCTGTCGCCCAGGCTGCAGTGCAGTGGTGTGATCTGGGCTCACTGCAACCTTCACCTCCCAGGCTCAACTGATTCTCGTGCATCGTCCTCCCGAGTAACTGGGATTACAGGTGTGCGCCACTACGCCTGGATAATTTTTGTGTTTTTTAGTAGACATGTGGTTTCACCCTGTTAGCCAGGCTGGTCTTGAAGTCCTGAGCTCGAGTGATCTGCCCGCCTCGGCCTCCCAAAGTGCTGGGATTACAGGCATGAGCCACTACACCCAGCCAGAGACGGCCTGTTTAAGAGGGATTTTCTCCCTCCTGGTTATGAGGCCTGGTTACAGAGATTTTTCTGTTAGAGAAGGCTTCTCATGCTTCCTGGTAAGTTTGTACTTTATTTTCTGAATCGTTTGCATGCTTAGAGTTTAATTTGGCTTTTGTGTATTAGGCATTAAACCGAATCACCTAGATTAATTTATTTACACACAGGCTCTCAAAGTTCAAAGGCATGCCAACATAGTTCCCTCTTTCTGGGACGCCAGCTGGTAATATGTGCCAACATTATGGGGATCATTCACGCAGTCTGTTTTCCTCAAACTGAACTAAAATAATACAGTCCAAATGGGACTCCTATCTCAGTTGGTATCTTGAGGCTCCAGAACACATTCAAGACTCAAAGGCTGCCTCACTGCAAGATACTGTCTAAAGCTAGCTGAGATTTTCTTCTCCAAAGCCTTCCCCTCTCCTTTGTTTACCTCTTCCTCTTTATCCTTCTTTAAGCAAAACTCTTTTTCCAAAACTCCTCAGCTACTCTGACATACTGACTATTAAAATAAAGACAGTTGAAAGACATCAGATACAAATAAAATAAAATCACTGACCTTTGTAGTGTTTCTTAAAAGCAAAAGATGAAATTCCCATGTAAAAGATCTCCTTCCTATACTAAAAGGGAAGACAACACTCTTATCTTCAAGGATGAGGAATTGAGACCAAGAGAACACTATACAAAGCTTATTGGAATACCACTTATCTTTTGGGCCTTCTCACATAATTCAGTCACATTTTTACAGTTAACAATTCTTTGTCTAATTCAACATGTTGGTAACTGACTCAAACTGCTTTACCCAAAATTTGGGTCACCACCTTCATAGGATTACCTATTGAGGAGAAAAATCTTAAATAAAGTTTAGCCTTCTTCCATTTTGTCAGAAATATAATTTAGATCCAACGTCTTTTATAAATTGGTGAGTTTGTATGTTTTACTGTCCCATAATCAAAATTCTAAAATGAAAGTTATCTTTGTTTATGTACGTATCTGTGTTTGGGCGTATTCATACGTATGTACATGTGTTATGTTAAATGTGTCTACGTGGTAAAATCTGGAATCGTTGGCAAACAATTATTTAAAGAATCCTATTCAGATTGGCTTAACTAGGTACTCATATAAATACACAGTAATTAACTAAAACGCATTTAGTTCATGCAACTTAATTAAGTAGTTGAAAAATAAGCTGGTTTTAAAATTGTTGGTAAAATAAAATGAGAAATGTTTTCAAAATTGTGACCACACATTTTTGGCTGGGTTTACTGGTTCTATATTTGTCTCTGTTGGATGTTTTAAGGTTATGAAACATAAACCTAACCTAAAAACAGAATGGTCTTTTATGTGCAATTCTTTGATAAGTAAGACTAATTTAATATTGTGGGTGTAATAAAACAGCTGTATTTTCTGAGTTATTGGCAAAATACTCATATATTTAAGGTTTTTGCTCAGGTGGATACCTGACATTTACAGGCTATAAAAATGTTTTAATAGGAAAATAACTCCAAATGACTAGCTTTATTTATTTATTTATTTATTTATTTATTTATTTATTTAGAGCAGAGTCTCCCTCTGTCGCCCAGGCTGGAGTGCAGTGGTGCTATCTCGGCTCGCTGCAGCCTCTGCCTCCCAGGTTCAAGAGATTGTCCTGTCTCAGCCTCCCAAGTAGCTGGGACTCTAGGCGTGCGCCCCCATGCCTGGATAATTTTTGTATTTTTGGTAGAGATGGGGTTTCACCTTGTTGGCCAGGCTGGTCTTGAACTCCTGACCTCAAGTGATCTGCCCTTCTTGGCCTCCCTAAGTGCTGGGATTACAGGCGTGAGCCACCGACCCCGGCCGACTGGCTTTGTTTAATATGTCAGTTTTCATAAGTAATCTAGGTATAATAGTTAAAATGAATAAATGAGGTAACTGTGAGATACATGTTTATAAGTGAACTTTTCATGTAATTTGAAATGTTTTTTTCTCTTGCTCTTACCATATGGAGATGAAATATTAAAGTTGTGTTATGTTAGATTAAGTAATAGGTACTCACTAAATGCCAGGATCATGTCCAACTAAGAAAACAATGGATCACCTGCCTAGGCCTTCCAAAATGCTGGGATTACAGGTGTGAGCCACCATGCCCAGTGAGGAAAAGAAGTATTAAACGCTATTGTTATTAAAGAAACCAAAGATCGTGATGCTTGGAAGGTGATTCTAAGACTCGAGATAATGGACTTCTGGCCAAGCCAACCCATGGTGACATCGTCAGGTTTGCGCCTCCACTGGTGATCAAGGAGGATGAGATTCGAGAGTCCAGTGAAATCATTAACAAGACCATCTTGTCTTTCTGAGGGTAGCAGCTGTTTTCAGTGGTCCCTGGGAGCCGGCTGGAGACAGGTGGTCCTGTAAAAGCTCTGCTCTAAATGTAGGCACATTCTACTCCCATGTGTCTTCAAAGCCTTTGTGTGGAATATCCATTATTTTCAGTTGATACACAATAGAACAACGTTTATGAACCTGCCTTTTGCTTCGTAACGTAAGTAAGAGAATGTAGTGGCATCTATATTCAGTGAAAGTGTTTTGATGTGCATCTGTACTTTCTAAGGTAAAACATATCTATGTATACAGAACAGCCTTTAAATCACGTCCTTCAGTATACTTTATATATGTTTTTATAATTTCCTTGCTGGTAAAAATTTTTTGTATTTGAAAAAGTTATCTCTGGGGTATTGCATAAAAGGCTTCATCTTGTAAAGTCAAATCACTGCTATCATTAAATTTTAGGAAGGGCGAATGGTTAGTCATATGTAAAATACTAATATTAAGTAAACTTCATATTGGCAAACACCAGAATGTATTCTATGGTTGTCATTATTTTGAATTAAGAATTAGTGATTAAAATTCCTAAATTGTTTTGAGTGCTTGATTATAATTTGTAAAAAAAGTTTATTTTTAATATTTCTTTAAATTTAAAATAAGGCTTATATTTCAGGAAAAAACAAAAAAAAGATACAGAACATGGCCAGGTGCAGTGGTTCACGCCTGTAATCCCAGCGCATTGGTAGGCCAAGGTAGGCAGATCACTTGAGGTCAGGAGTTCGAGACCAGCCTGTCAAGATGGTGAAACCCCCTCTCTACTAAAAATACAAAAATTAGCCAGGCGTGGTGGCACGTGCCTGTATACCCAGATCCATGGGAGTGTGAGACAGGTGAATGGCTCAAACCTGGGAGGCAGAGGTTGCAGTGAGCCGAGAGATCCTGCCACTGCATTCCAGCCTGGGTGACAAAGTGAGACTCAATCTTGGAATTTAAAAAAAAAAATGGTACAGACCATTTCCATCACCACAGTGCCATCCCTTGTGCTACTCATTTTTAGTAATACTCACTCTCCTCCCATCCGCCATCCCTAACCCCTGACAACCACTAATCTATTTTTCATTTCTACTATTTTATATTTTCTACAATGCTATACGAATGAAATCTCATGGTATATAACATTTTAGAGGCTTATTTCTACTCAGCATAATTCCCTGGAGATTCATCCAAGCTATTAATATTTGTGTATCAATAGTTCATATTTTTGTTGTTGTTGTTGTTGAGATGGAGTCTCACTATGTCACCCAGGCTGGAGCGCAGTGGCGCGGTTTTGGCTCACTGCAACCTCTGCCTCCCGGGTTTAAGCGATTCTCGTGCCTCAGCCTCCCAAGTAGCTGGGACTACAGGTGCACGCCGCCACGCCCAGTTAATTTTTGTATTATTAGTAGAGACAGGGTTTCACCATATTAGCCAGGCTGGTCTCAAACTCCTGATCTCATGATCTACTTGCCTCCTGACCTCATGATCTGCCTGCCTCGGCTTCCCAAAATACCGGGATTACAAGTGTGAGCCACCGCGCACGGCCAATGGTTCATTTTTATTACTGAGTAGTATTACATGGTATGGATGTACCACAGTTTCACCATTCACCTATTGTTGGACATATTGATTATATCCGGCTATTTGGCTATTACAAGTAAAGTTGCTATGAACAATTATGTACAAGTTTCTGGATAGGCATACATTTTAATTTCTCTGAAGTGTAATTGATGAATTGTATGGTCACTGCATGTTTAGTTTTATAAGAAACTACCAAACTGCTTTCCAGAGTGGCTGTAAGATTTTACCTTCCCAGTAGCATTTTATTAGATGTCCAGTTTCTCTGCATCCTTTCCAGCATTTCGTATTGTCACTATGTCTTTTATTTTAGCTGTTGTAATAAGTGTGTAGTGCTGCCTCATCGTGGTCTTAATTTGCATCTAGTGAAGCAAGTAAGTGTTGAACAGCCTCTCATGTGCTTATTTGCTTATTTCCTCTTCAGTGAAATGTATGTTCATATATCTTCATAATTTTCTAATTGAATTATTTGTTTGTTTTTTTTTACCGTTGTTTTGTTTTGTTTTTGAGACAGAGTCTCGCTCTGTTACCAAGGCTGGAATACAGTGGCATGATCTTGGCTCACTCCAACCTCTGCCTCCCAGGTTCAAGCGATTCTCGTGCCTCAGCCTCCGGTGTAGCTGGGATTACAGGTGCGAACCATCATGCCTGTCTAATTTTTGTATGTTTAGTAGAGATGGGTTTTGCCATGTTGCCCAGGCTGGTCTCGAGCTCCTGGCCTCAAGGGATCTACCCTCCATCCACCTCGACCTCCCAAAGTGCTGGGATTACAAGCGTGAGCCACCACGCCTGGCATACCGTTGAGTTTTGAGAGTACTATACGTATCCGTTATATATTCTGGATGTGAGTCCTTTCTTGGATACGTGGTTTGCAAACATTTTCTCCCAGTTTACACCCTGTTTTTTCATCCTTTTAACACGGTTTCTACAGAGCAAAAGTTTTAAATTGGATGAAATCTAATTTATTTTTTTCCTTATGGATTATGTTTTTTGAACCATTCACCATGCCTAGATCTCAGACGTTTCTCCTACGCTTTCTTGTAAAAGTTTTTTTAGTGTTATATTTTAGATTTAAATCTATGATCCACTTGAGTTTTATATATATATATATATACACATATATAGTATATATATACACATATATGTATATATATACACGTAAATATTACACACATATACACGTATACATATACATATATATGTACGTGTATATATACACATATGTATATATGTGTATATATACACGTACATATATACATATGTATATATGTGTGTGTATACGTATATACACATATGTGTATATACGTATATACACATATATACACATATGTGTATATATACACATATATATATACGTATATATATATGAAGATTAGGTGTTTTTTTTTGTTGTTGTTGTTTGTTTTTTGTTGTTGTTGTTTCTTGTCTATGGATATGCAACTGCTCCAGCACTATTTGTTAAGCAGACGATCCTTCCTTCTTTTTGTCTCTTGGGGAAAATCAGTGTGGGACTATTTCCAGGTTCTCTGTTTTGTTCCAGTGATCTATGTGTCTATTCTTCTCCCAATACTACACAGTCTTGATTCCTGTAGCTATACAAGAAGTATTGAAATATGGTAGAGCCATTCCTCCCACCTTATTCTTCTTTTTCAAAAATTGTCTTAGCTACATATACATTTTTTGAGAAGGAGTCTCACTTTTGTCGCCCAAGCTGGAGGGCAGTGGGGTGATCTCGGCTCACTGCTGTCTCTGCCTCCCATGTTCAAGCGATTCTCCTGTCTCAGCTTCCCAAGTAGCTGGAATTTCAGGTACCCGTCACCACACCCAGCTAATTTTTGTATTTTTAGTAGAGACGGTGTTTCTCCATGTTAGCCAGGCTCGTCTCAAACTCCTGACCTCAAGCGATCCACCCATCTCGGCCTCCCAAAGTGTCTTTGTTCAGTTCAGAAAATTCTAGAACATTATTTCTTCAAGTACTGCCTTCTCCCCAGTCTTAATATTCTTTTTTTTATGTTTTTCATTTTTGTGACGTAGTTTTGCTCTGCCACCCAGGGTGTAGTGCAGTGGCAAGACCTCAGCTCACTGCAACCTCCGCTTCCCAGGTTCAACTGATTCTCCTGCCTCAGCCGCCCAAGTAGCTGGGATTTCAGATGCCCACCACCACACCGGGCTAATTTTTGTATTTTTAGTAGAGACAGGGTTTTGCCATGTTGGACAGGCTGGTCTCGAACTCCTGATCTCAGGTAATCTGCCTGCCTCGGCCTCCCAAAGTGCTGGGATGACAAGTGTGAGCCACCTCGCCAGGCCTTCACTTTCTTTAATGAACAATTATCAGAGTTTCATCTTAGAGGCAAAAGTGGCTACTGCCAGCCAATCTGTCTGTGGTGTTGGAGGGGAATCTGGCTGATTCAGACGTTTCAAATGAACTTTTAAATTAACCTACATGATGATTATCCTAAGGCCGTTTCCTCCTCCGTGTTTTTTTGATTCAGGGTTTGGAGTTTTTCAGAGGCTTTGTTACAAAGAGCATCTCCTGGTCGGGCACAGTGACTCACGCTGTAGTGCCAGCACTTTGGGAGGCCGAGGCAGGCAGATCACTTGACGTCAGGAGTTTGAGACCAGCCTGGCCAACAGGGTGAAACCCCCGTCTCTACTAAAAATACAAAAATTAGCCAGCCGTGGTGGCGGGCTCCTGTGAATTCCAGTTACTGCAGGGGCTGAGGCAGGAGAATCCCTTGAACCTGGGAGACGGAGGGTGCAGTGAGCCGAGATCACGCCACTGCACTCCAGCCTGGGCGACAGCAATTCTATCTCTTTAAAAAAAAAAAAAAAGAAACGAAAAAGAAAAAAAGAAAATTCACATCACAGGCAATAGATAGCTATAAAAGGATACTTTATGAAAGATTTCACAGGAGAGACTGATGGAAAGAAAGAAGTATATATCTTACAGAGCTAAGCAGTTCACTGCAAAAATCAACGGAACTGCCTTTTTCTCCAAAAATAGTACCCCTAAGCTATATTACTACTGGTTCTTCTAGTCCTTCCCCCTATCCCAAATCCTCAAATTGTCCATTTCCTTATTGGGATAATTTTCCTCTGCCCAGATCTGGGTCCTCCACAACACTTAACCCTGTCTTCGGGTGTTTGAATGCCCATTGTTTTAGCTCAGGTTCCCAAGGAAACAGGCTTTGGGCCATACAGGACACATCTAGGCAGACTATACTGAGAAACCATGCCTGGAACGGTGCAGGGGGAGAGGAGAGGAGAGGCAATTTACGTACCTGACTCTCACTCCTGGTTCCTATTCTTATTGGTCAAAATTTACCGCACAGGCACGAGCTCCCCCACACTTCTAGATTGCATTAGCTGCCCCTTTGGCAGCTGTCTGGGAGCCCAGATCCCACACTTTGAAGTGTAGTGTTTCATACAATCCAAAAGTGGTAGCAGAGGCCAGGCATGGTGCCTTACTCTGTAATTCAATGCCATCCCCATCAAGCTACAAATGACTTTCTTCACAGAATTGGAAAAAACTACTTTAAAGTTCATATGGAACCAAAAAAGAGCCCACATTGCCAAGTCAATCCTAAGCCAAAAGAACAAAGCCAGAGGCATCATGCTACCTGACTTCAAACTATACTACAAGGCTACAGTAACCAAAACAGCATGGTACTGGTACCAAAACAGAGATATAGATCAATGGAACAGAACAGAGCCCTTAGAAATAATGCCACATATCTACAACCATCTGATCTTTGACAAACCTGACAAAAACAGGCAAAGGGGAAAGGATTCCCTATTTAATAAATGGTGCTGGGAAAACTGGCTAGCCATATGTAGAAAGCTGAAACTGGATCCCTTCCTTACACCTTATACAAAAATTAATTCAAGATGGATGAAAGACTTAAATGTTAGACCTAAAACCATAAAATCCCTAGAAGAAAACCTAGGCAATACCATTCAGGACATAGCATGGGCAAGGACTTCATGTCTGAAACACCAAAAGCAACGACAACAAAAGCCATAATTGACAAATGGGATCTAATTAAACTCAAGAGCTTCTGCACAGCAAAAGAAACTACCATCAGAGTGAACAGGCAGCCTACAGAATGGGAGAAAATTTTCGCAACCTACTCATCTGACAAAGGGCTAATATCCAGAATCTACAATGAACTCAAATAAATTTACAAGAAAAAAACAAACAACCCCATCAAAAAGTCGGCAAAGGATATGAACAGACACTTCTCAAAAGAAGACATTTATGCAGCCAGAAGACACATGAAAAAATGCTCATCATCACTGGCCATCAGAGAAATGCAAATCAAAACCACAATGAGATACCATCTCACACCAGTTAGAATGGCAATCATTAAAAAGTCAGGAAACAACAGGTGCTGGAGAGGATGTGGAGAAATAGGAACACTTTTACACTGTTGGTGGGACTGGAAACTAGTTCAACCATTGTGGAAGTCAGTGCGGCAGTTCCTCAGGGATCTAGAACTAGAAATACCGTTTGACCCAGCCATCCCATTACTGGGTATATACCCAAAGGATTATAAATCATGCTGCTATAAAGACACATGCACACGTATGTTTATTGTGGCACTATTCACAATAGCAAAGAGTTGGAACCAACCCAAATGTCCAACAATGATAGACTGGATTAAGAAAATGTGGCATATATACACCATGGAATACTATGCAGCCATAAAAAATGATGAGTTCATGTCCTTTGTAGGGACATGGATGACACTGGAAACCATCATTCTCAGTAAGCTATCACAAAGACAAAAAACCAAGCACCGCATGTTCTCACTCATAGGTGGGAAGTGAACAATGAGAACACATGGACACAGGAAGGAAGACATCACATTCCGGGGACTGGTATGGGGTGCATGCATGCCCGTCGTCTCTAGAGGATCCCCTAAAACTTACTCAGCCTGGGCGACAGAGTAAGTCTCCGTCTCAAAAAACAAACAGCATCTCTCGCCTACAGTGATTTGAGCTGTGGTCTTGTCTCCTTGGGTTTCTCTATCAGTCTGACCCCATCTACTCTATCTCCCAGGAATGCCTCAATATTTCTGGTGGACCACTGACACGCTTTCCTATTTTCCTCTACTGTTAAGAATTGATCCTTGAAAACATTTTTTTAAATTTTATTATTATTGTACTTTAAGTTTTAGGGTACATGTGTACAATGTGCAGGTTTGTTACATATGTATACATGTGCCATGTTGGTGTGCTGCACCCATTAACTTGTCATTTCTCATTAAGTATATCTCCTAATGCTATCCCTCCCCCCTGCGCCCTCCCCGCACCCCATAACAGTCCCCGGAATGTGATGTTCTCCTTCCTGTGTCCATGTGTTCTCATTGTTCACTTCCCACCTATGAGTGAGAACATGCGGTGCTTGGTTTTTTGTCCTTGTGATAGCTTACTGAGAATGATGGTTTCCAGTGTCATCCATGTCCCTACAAAGGACATGAACTCATCATTTTTTATGGCTGCATAGTATTCCATGGTGTATATATGCCACATTTTCTTAATCCAGTCTATCATTGTTGGACATTTGGGTTGGTTCCAACTCTTTGCTATTGTGAATAGTGCCACAATAAACATACGTGTGCATGTGTCTTTATAGCAGCATGATTTATAATCCTTTGGGTATATACCCAGTAATGGGATGGCTGGGTCAAACGGTATTTCTAGTTCTAGATCCCTGAGGAACTGCCGCACTGACTTCCACAATGGTTGAACTAGTTTCCAGTCCCACCAACAGTGTAAAAGTGTTCCTATTTCTCCACATCCTCTCCAGCACCTGTTGTTTCCTGACTTTTTAATGATTGCCATTCTAACTGGTGTGAGATGGTATCTCATTGTGGTTTTGATTTGCATTTCTCTGATGGCCAGTGATGATGAGCATTTTTTCATGTGTCTTCTGGCTGCATAAATGTCTTCTTTTGAGAAGTGTCTGTTCATATCCTTTGCCGACTTTTTGATGGGGTTGTTTGTTTTTTTCTTGTAAATTTATTTGAGTTCATTGTAGATTCTGGATATTAGCCCTTTGTCAGATGAGTAGGTTGCGAAAATTTTCTCCCATTCTGTAGGCTGCCTGTTCACTCTGATGGTAGTTTCTTTTGCTGTGCAGAAGCTCTTGAGTTTAATTAGATCCCATTTGTCAATTATGGCTTTTGTTGTCGTTGCTTTTGGTGTTTCAGACATGAAGTCCTTGCCCATGCTATGTCCTGAATGGTATTGCCTAGGTTTTCTTCTAGGGTTTTTATGGTTTTAGGTCTAACATTTAAGTCTTTCATCCATCTTGAATTAATTTTTGTATAAGGTGTAAGGAAGGGATCCAGTTTCAGCTTTCTACATATGGCTAGCCAGTTTTCCCAGCACCATTTATTAAATAGGGAATCCTTTCCCCTTTGCCTGTTTTTGTCAGGTTTGTCAAAGATCAGATGGTTGTAGATATGTGGCATTATTTCTAAGGGCTCTGTTCTGTTCCATTGATCTATATCTCTGTTTTGGTACCAGTACCATGCTGTTTTGGTTACTGTAGCCTTGTAGTATAGTTTGAAGTCAGGTAGCATGATGCCTCTGGCTTTGTTCTTTTGGCTTAGGATTGACTTGGCAATGTGGGCTCTTTTTTGGTTCCATATGAACTTTAAAGTAGTTTTTTCCAATTCTGTGAAGAAAGTCATTTGTAGCTTGATGGGGATGGCATTGAATTACAGAGTAAGGCACCATGCCTGGCCTCTGCTACCACTTTTGGATTGTATGAAACACTACACTTCAAAGTGTGGGATCTGGGCTCCCAGACAGCTGCCAAAGGGGCAGCTAATGCAATCTAGAAGTGTGGGGGAGCTCGTGCCTGTGCGGTAAATTTTGACCAATAAGAATAGGAACCAGGAGTGAGAGTCAGGTACGTAAATTGCCTCTCCTCTCCTCTCCCCCTGCACCGTTCCAGGCATGGTTTCTCAGTATAGTCTGCCTAGATGTGTCCTGTATGGCCCAAAGCCTGTTTCCTTGGGAACCTGAGCTAAAACAATGGGCATTCAAACACCCGAAGACAGGGTTAAGTGTTGTGGAGGACCCAGATCTGGGCAGAGGAAAATTATCCCAATAAGGAAATGGACAATTTGAGGATTTGGGATAGGGGGAAGGACTAGAAGAACCAGTAGTAATATAGCTTAGGGGTACTATTTTTGGAGAAAAAGGCAGTTCCGTTGATTTTTGCAGTGAACTGCTTAGCTCTGTAAGATATATACTTCTTTCTTTCCATCAGTCTCTCCTGTGAAATCTTTCATAAAGTATCCTTTTATAGCTATCTATTGCCTGTGATGTGAATTTTCTTTTTTTCTTTTTCGTTTCTTTTTTTTTTTTTTTAAAGAGATAGAATTGCTGTCGCCCAGGCTGGAGTGCAGTGGCGTGATCTCGGCTCACTGCACCCTCCGTCTCCCAGGTTCAAGGGATTCTCCTGCCTCAGCCCCTGCAGTAACTGGAATTCACAGGAGCCCGCCACCACGGCTGGCTAATTTTTGTATTTTTAGTAGAGACGGGGGTTTCACCCTGTTGGCCAGGCTGGTCTCAAACTCCTGACGTCAAGTGATCTGCCTGCCTCGGCCTCCCAAAGTGCTGGCACTACAGCGTGAGTCACTGTGCCCGACCAGGAGATGCTCTTTGTAACAAAGCCTCTGAAAAACTCCAAACCCTGAATCAAAAAAACACGGAGGAGGAAACGGCCTTAGGATAATCATCATGTAGGTTAATTTAAAAGTTCATTTGAAACGTCTGAATCAGCCAGATTCCCCTCCAACACCACAGACAGATTGGCTGGCAGTAGCCACTTTTGCCTCTAAGATGAAACTCTGATAATTGTTCATTAAAGAAAGTGAAGGCCTGGCGAGGTGGCTCACACTTGTCATCCCAGCACTTTGGGAGGCCGAGGCAGGCAGATTACCTGAGATCAGGAGTTCGAGACCAGCCTGTCCAACATGGCAAAACCCTGTCTCTACTAAAAATACAAAAATTAGCCCGGTGTGGTGGTGGGCATCTGAAATCCCAGCTACTTGGGCGGCTGAGGCAGGAGAATCAGTTGAACCTGGGAAGCGGAGGTTGCAGTGAGCTGAGGTCTTGCCACTGCACTACACCCTGGGTGGCAGAGCAAAACTACGTCACAAAAATGAAAAACATAAAAAAAAGAATATTAAGACTGGGGAGAAGGCAGTACTTGAAGAAATAATGTTCTAGAATTTTCTGAACTGAACAAAGACACTTTGGGAGGCCGAGATGGGTGGATCGCTTGAGGTCAGGAGTTTGAGACGAGCCTGGCTAACATGGAGAAACACCGTCTCTACTAAAAATACAAAAATTAGCTGGGTGTGGTGACGGGTACCTGAAATTCCAGCTACTTGGGAAGCTGAGACAGGAGAATCGCTTGAACATGGGAGGCAGAGACAGCAGTGAGCCGAGATCACCCCACTGCCCTCCAGCTTGGGCGACAAAAGTGAGACTCCTTCTCAAAAAATGTATATGTAGCTAAGACAATTTTTGAAAAAGAAGAATAAGGTGGGAGGAATGGCTCTACCATATTTCAATACTTCTTGTATAGCTACAGGAATCAAGACTGTGTAGTATTGGGAGAAGAATAGACACATAGATCACTGGAACAAAACAGAGAACCTGGAAATAGTCCCACACTGATTTTCCCCAAGAGACAAAAAGAAGGAAGGATCGTCTGCTTAACAAATAGTGCTGGAGCAGTTGCATATCCATAGACAAGAAACAACAACAACAAAAAACAAACAACAACAACAAAAAAAAACACCTAATCTTCATATATATATACGTATATATATATGTGTATATATACACATATGTGTATATATGTGTATATACGTATATACACATATGTGTATATACGTATACACACACATATATACATATGTATATATGTACGTGTATATATACACATATATACATATGTGTATATATACACGTACATATATATGTATATGTATACGTGTATATGTGTGTAATATTTACGTGTATATATATACATATATGTGTATATATATACTATATATGTGTATATATATATATATATAAAACTCAAGTGGATCATAGATTTAAATCTAAAATATAACACTAAAAAAACTTTTACAAGAAAGCGTAGGAGAAACGTCTGAGATCTAGGCATGGTGAATGGTTCAAAAAACATAATCCATAAGGAAAAAAATAAATTAGATTTCATCCAATTTAAAACTTTTGCTCTGTAGAAACCGTGTTAAAAGGATGAAAAAACAGGGTGTAAACTGGGAGAAAATGTTTGCAAACCACGTATCCAAGAAAGGACTCACATCCAGAATATATAACGGATACGTATAGTACTCTCAAAACTCAACGGTATGCCAGGCGTGGTGGCTCACGCTTGTAATCCCAGCACTTTGGGAGGTCGAGGTGGATGGAGGGTAGATCCCTTGAGGCCAGGAGCTCGAGACCAGCCTGGGCAACATGGCAAAACCCATCTCTACTAAACATACAAAAATTAGACAGGCATGATGGTTCGCACCTGTAATCCCAGCTACACCGGAGGCTGAGGCACGAGAATCGCTTGAACCTGGGAGGCAGAGGTTGGAGTGAGCCAAGATCATGCCACTGTATTCCAGCCTTGGTAACAGAGCGAGACTCTGTCTCAAAAACAAAACAAAACAACGGTAAAAAAAAACAAACAAATAATTCAATTAGAAAATTATGAAGATATATGAACATACATTTCACTGAAGAGGAAATAAGCAAATAAGCACATGAGAGGCTGTTCAACACTTACTTGCTTCACTAGATGCAAATTAAGACCACGATGAGGCAGCACTACACACTTATTACAACAGCTAAAATAAAAGACATAGTGACAATACGAAATGCTGGAAAGGATGCAGAGAAACTGGACATCTAATAAAATGCTACTGGGAAGGTAAAATCTTACAGCCACTCTGGAAAGCAGTTTGGTAGTTTCTTATAAAACTAAACATGCAGTGACCATACAATTCATCAATTACACTTCAGAGAAATTAAAATGTATGCCTATCCAGAAACTTGTACATAATTGTTCATAGCAACTTTACTTGTAATAGCCAAATAGCCGGATATAATCAATATGTCCAACAATAGGTGAATGGTGAAACTGTGGTACATCCATACCATGTAATACTACTCAGTAATAAAAATGAACCATTGGCCGTGCGCGGTGGCTCACACTTGTAATCCCGGTATTTTGGGAAGCCGAGGCAGGCAGATCATGAGGTCAGGAGGCAAGTAGATCATGAGATCAGGAGTTTGAGACCAGCCTGGCTAATATGGTGAAACCCTGTCTCTACTAATAATACAAAAATTAACTGGGCGTGGCGGCGTGCACCTGTAGTCCCAGCTACTTGGGAGGCTGAGGCACGAGAATCGCTTAAACCCGGGAGGCAGAGGTTGCAGTGAGCCAAAACCGCGCCACTGCGCTCCAGCCTGGGTGACATAGTGAGACTCCATCTCAACAACAACAACAACAAAAATATGAACTATTGATACACAAATATTAATAGCTTGGATGAATCTCCAGGGAATTATGCTGAGTAGAAATAAGCCTCTAAAATGTTATATACCATGAGATTTCATTCGTATAGCATTGTAGAAAATATAAAATAGTAGAAATGAAAAATAGATTAGTGGTTGTCAGGGGTTAGGGATGGCGGATGGGAGGAGAGTGAGTATTACTAAAAATGAGTAGCACAAGGGATGGCACTGTGGTGATGGAAATGGTCTGTACCATTTTTTTTTTTAAATTCCAAGATTGAGTCTCACTTTGTCACCCAGGCTGGAATGCAGTGGCAGGATCTCTCGGCTCACTGCAACCTCTGCCTCCCAGGTTTGAGCCATTCACCTGTCTCACACTCCCATGGATCTGGGTATACAGGCACGTGCCACCACGCCTGGCTAATTTTTGTATTTTTAGTAGAGAGGGGGTTTCACCATCTTGACAGGCTGGTCTCGAACTCCTGACCTCAAGTGATCTGCCTACCTTGGCCTACCAATGCGCTGGGATTACAGGCGTGAACCACTGCACCTGGCCATGTTCTGTATCTTTTTTTTGTTTTTTCCTGAAATATAAGCCTTATTTTAAATTTAAAGAAATATTAAAAATAAACTTTTTTTACAAATTATAATCAAGCACTCAAAACAATTTAGGAATTTTAATCACTAATTCTTAATTCAAAATAATGACAACCATAGAATACATTCTGGTGTTTGCCAATATGAAGTTTACTTAATATTAGTATTTTACATATGACTAACCATTCGCCCTTCCTAAAATTTAATGATAGCAGTGATTTGACTTTACAAGATGAAGCCTTTTATGCAATACCCCAGAGATAACTTTTTCAAATACAAAAAATTTTTACCAGCAAGGAAATTATAAAAACATATATAAAGTATACTGAAGGACGTGATTTAAAGGCTGTTCTGTATACATAGATATGTTTTACCTTAGAAAGTACAGATGCACATCAAAACACTTTCACTGAATATAGATGCCACTACATTCTCTTACTTACGTTACGAAGCAAAAGGCAGGTTCATAAACGTTGTTCTATTGTGTATCAACTGAAAATAATGGATATTCCACACAAAGGCTTTGAAGACACATGGGAGTAGAATGTGCCTACATTTAGAGCAGAGCTTTTACAGGACCACCTGTCTCCAGCCGGCTCCCAGGGACCACTGAAAACAGCTGCTACCCTCAGAAAGACAAGATGGTCTTGTTAATGATTTCACTGGACTCTCGAATCTCATCCTCCTTGATCACCAGTGGAGGCGCAAACCTGACGATGTCACCATGGGTTGGCTTGGCCAGAAGTCCATTATCTCGAGTCTTAGAATCACCTTCCAAGCATCACGATCTTTGGTTTCTTTAATAACAATAGCGTTTAATACTTCTTTTCCTCACTGGGCATGGTGGCTCACACCTGTAATCCCAGCATTTTGGAAGGCCTAGGCAGGTGATCCATTGTTTTCTTAGTTGGACATGATCCTGGCATTTAGTGAGTACCTATTACTTAATCTAACATAACACAACTTTAATATTTCATCTCCATATGGTAAGAGCAAGAGAAAAAAACATTTCAAATTACATGAAAAGTTCACTTATAAACATGTATCTCACAGTTACCTCATTTATTCATTTTAACTATTATACCTAGATTACTTATGAAAACTGACATATTAAACAAAGCCAGTCGGCCGGGGTCGGTGGCTCACGCCTGTAATCCCAGCACTTAGGGAGGCCAAGAAGGGCAGATCACTTGAGGTCAGGAGTTCAAGACCAGCCTGGCCAACAAGGTGAAACCCCATCTCTACCAAAAATACAAAAATTATCCAGGCATGGGGGCGCACGCCTAGAGTCCCAGCTACTTGGGAGGCTGAGACAGGACAATCTCTTGAACCTGGGAGGCAGAGGCTGCAGCGAGCCGAGATAGCACCACTGCACTCCAGCCTGGGCGACAGAGGGAGACTCTGCTCTAAATAAATAAATAAATAAATAAATAAATAAATAAATAAAGCTAGTCATTTGGAGTTATTTTCCTATTAAAACATTTTTATAGCCTGTAAATGTCAGGTATCCACCTGAGCAAAAACCTTAAATATATGAGTATTTTGCCAATAACTCAGAAAATACAGCTGTTTTATTACACCCACAATATTAAATTAGTCTTACTTATCAAAGAATTGCACATAAAAGACCATTCTGTTTTTAGGTTAGGTTTATGTTTCATAACCTTAAAACATCCAACAGAGACAAATATAGAACCAGTAAACCCAGCCAAAAATGTGTGGTCACAATTTTGAAAACATTTCTCATTTTATTTTACCAACAATTTTAAAACCAGCTTATTTTTCAACTACTTAATTAAGTTGCATGAACTAAATGCGTTTTAGTTAATTACTGTGTATTTATATGAGTACCTAGTTAAGCCAATCTGAATAGGATTCTTTAAATAATTGTTTGCCAACGATTCCAGATTTTACCACGTAGACACATTTAACATAACACATGTACATACGTATGAATACGCCCAAACACAGATACGTACATAAACAAAGATAACTTTCATTTTAGAATTTTGATTATGGGACAGTAAAACATACAAACTCACCAATTTATAAAAGACGTTGGATCTAAATTATATTTCTGACAAAATGGAAGAAGGCTAAACTTTATTTAAGATTTTTCTCCTCAATAGGTAATCCTATGAAGGTGGTGACCCAAATTTTGGGTAAAGCAGTTTGAGTCAGTTACCAACATGTTGAATTAGACAAAGAATTGTTAACTGTAAAAATGTGACTGAATTATGTGAGAAGGCCCAAAAGATAAGTGGTATTCCAATAAGCTTTGTATAGTGTTCTCTTGGTCTCAATTCCTCATCCTTGAAGATAAGAGTGTTGTCTTCCCTTTTAGTATAGGAAGGAGATCTTTTACATGGGAATTTCATCTTTTGCTTTTAAGAAACACTACAAAGGTCAGTGATTTTATTTTATTTGTATCTGATGTCTTTCAACTGTCTTTATTTTAATAGTCAGTATGTCAGAGTAGCTGAGGAGTTTTGGAAAAAGAGTTTTGCTTAAAGAAGGATAAAGAGGAAGAGGTAAACAAAGGAGAGGGGAAGGCTTTGGAGAAGAAAATCTCAGCTAGCTTTAGACAGTATCTTGCAGTGAGGCAGCCTTTGAGTCTTGAATGTGTTCTGGAGCCTCAAGATACCAACTGAGATAGGAGTCCCATTTGGACTGTATTATTTTAGTTCAGTTTGAGGAAAACAGACTGCGTGAATGATCCCCATAATGTTGGCACATATTACCAGCTGGCGTCCCAGAAAGAGGGAACTATGTTGGCATGCCTTTGAACTTTGAGAGCCTGTGTGTAAATAAATTAATCTAGGTGATTCGGTTTAATGCCTAATACACAAAAGCCAAATTAAACTCTAAGCATGCAAACGATTCAGAAAATAAAGTACAAACTTACCAGGAAGCATGAGAAGCCTTCTCTAACAGAAAAATCTCTGTAACCAGGCCTCATAACCAGGAGGGAGAAAATCCCTCTTAAACAGGCCGTCTCTGGCTGGGTGTAGTGGCTCATGCCTGTAATCCCAGCACTTTGGGAGGCCGAGGCGGGCAGATCACTCGAGCTCAGGACTTCAAGACCAGCCTGGCTAACAGGGTGAAACCACATGTCTACTAAAAAACACAAAAATTATCCAGGCGTAGTGGCGCACACCTGTAATCCCAGTTACTCGGGAGGACGATGCACGAGAATCAGTTGAGCCTGGGAGGTGAAGGTTGCAGTGAGCCCAGATCACACCACTGCACTGCAGCCTGGGCGACAGAGCGAAACACTGTCTCAAAAAAAGAAGAAAAGAGAAAGACAAGATAAAAAAGACAAGACAAGAAAAGAAAGGAAAAGAAAAGAGGAGGTTTCATAACCAGGAGAGAGAGAAAGACCCTTCCTAACAAATTCCCAAATAAAACTGAACTCAACTCCTCAGCAAATGGCAGTTTGATCCAAGAAAGACTCACCAGGGGGGAAAGAGGCAACCAGAAAAGCAAAAGCTCAAGGGGACCAAGTGTGCAGACCTCACGCCATAGTTCCAGAGGTCATTGATATCTCCAAGGTGAGTCAGCTTCGGACCCCACTTCTGACACCACAAATATCAAAGTCAAAACCTATGGAGACGAGTCTCTTTTTTTAACTACAATATTAAGGATGTTATATTATGTTTTTGTTTTTGTTTTTTGTTTTGAGACCGGGTCTCACTCTGTCGCCCACCCCGGAGTGCAGTGGCACAATCTCGGCTCACTGCAACCTCTGCCTCCCCGACTCAGCCTCTGGAATAGCTGGGATTACAGGCATGCACCACCACATCCAGCTAATTTTTGTATTTTTTTGTGGTGACAGGGTTTCACCACGTTGTCCAGGCAGGTCACGAACCCCTGGGCTCAAGCGATCCACCGGCCTCAGCCTCCCACAGGGCTGGGATTACAGGGTGAGCCACCACGCCAGGCCATGAATCTCTAAACATTTTACTTGAGAATCACAGAATTGTGATGTGAGGCATACACCCAAACTGGCTGGTCTTTGGTATGTCCAAAGAACAAAGAGAAAGTTGAGAGTTTTATTAGAAACAGAAATGTTACCTATAGTTTTTAAAGCAAGTCCATTGGCACCAGAGAAGCTTTCAGGAGCTGGAAGCTCTGATTGGTGAGTGTGGACAATAGGTAAAACAAGCCTTAGAGTCATTGCAGGTTGTTTCAGCAGTTACTAGGTAAAAGTGCTCTTAGGGTGGCAGCAGGCCATTTCAGCCACCAGCCTTGTGGAAAATTCAATTCTTAGAGCAGGTGCAATGTGCCCTGAGTGCTTTTTCCCCTGGCCACACAACTCTGACATAGTTGTGTATGTCAAGAATGAGTCAATTCAGTGGGTTGCGGTGGAGCACGCCTGTAATCACAGCACTTTGGGAGGCCAAGGCGGACAGATGGCTTGAGGTCAGGAGTTTGAGACCAGCCTGGTCAACATGGCAAAACCCTGTCTCCGGTAAAAATACAAAATTAGTCGGGTGTGGTGGCACGTGGCTGTAGTCCCAGCTGCTCGGGAGGCTGAGGCGGGAGAATCGCTTCAACCCAGGAAGCTGAGGTTTCAGTGAGCCGAGATCACGCATGGCACTCCAGCCTGGGTGACACAGAGAGACTTCATCTCAAAAACAAAAAAAAAAACAAAAAAAAAAACAAAAAAACAAACAAAAAACAAAACAAAACAAACAAAAAAAACAACTAAGAGTGACTCACTTCACATAATCAACTTTCACAATGTTTAAAGCAGAGTCCTGTTTAGCAATGCACAAAAATTCTCCTTTGTGACCCATTCATTTTACTGCTGTTGGCTTTCTTGCTTTTGCTTTCAGACAGAGACACTCTCCTTTGACCAAACTTGAATCGGGCTCCTCTGAGTCCTGTTTCTGACTAGGTCCCAACCTCGGGCTCTGTCCTTCATCCAGGGACTCTGCCCATTTAGCCTGTTTCAGCAAAAATCCTGTCAAGTCAGTTTAGCCAGAATTCCCCTGCACCTGAGGTTTCCTCCAAGTAATTTCCCATCTTCTGACCCCCCGACCCTACTCCTTGACTACAAATCCCCACTTGTCCTTGTGGAGTTGAAGTCGATCCCAATATCACTCTCCCACCGCAAGACCCCATTACGGTGGTCCCTGTACCTATCACAGTAGTCCCCCCTCTGAGTAAAATCGTCCTTACGATCTTTTTTTTTTTTTTTTTTTTTTTTCAGAGACAAAGTCTCACTCTGTAACTCAGGCTGGAGTGCAGTGACCCAATCCTAGCTCACTGCAGCCTCAAACTCCAGGGCCCAAGCAATCTTCCTGCCCCAGCCTCCCGAATAGCTGGGACTACAGGTACGCACCACCAAATCCAACCATATATATATATATATATATACATATATTTTTTTTTTTTTTTAATTCTCTACAGACCCAGGAACTTGATATGCCCGTCTAATTTTTGAATTTTTTGTAGAGACGGCGTTTTGCCATGTTGCCCAGGCTGGTCTTGAACTCCCGGGCTCAATCAATCCTCTTGCCTCAGGCTCCCAAAGTGCTGGGATTACAGGCACGAGCCACTGCAGCTGGCCCTTCCTTACAGTCTCTAATAAGTGCAGTAAATACTTGTTTGCTTTAACATTTCCCTGTGTCTTCAATCTCCTGAAGTCATGTGGCTGACATTGTCTTTACTCCACCCGGTATAAAAATTCCTTTCTTTCGTCGGGTGCAGTGGCTTACGCCTGTAATCCCAGCGCTTTGGGAGGCCGAGGCAGGCAGATAACCTGAGGTCAGGAGTTCCAGACCAGCTTGGCCAACATGGCAAGACCCCATCTCTACTAAAAGTACAAAAATTAGCCGGGTGTGGTGGTGTGCGCCTGTAGCCCCAGCTACTCAGGAGGCTGAGGCAGGAGATTTGCTTGAACCCAGGAGGCAGAGGTTGCAGTGAGCTGAGATCATGCCACTGCACTCCAGCCTGGGTGAGAAAGCGAGACTCTGTCTCAAAAAAAAAATCATTTTTTTCAACAGCTTGGAGTTATTACACCATTGTATCCTTGCCTCCAGTGTGGTATTTGAGAGATCCGGTGTCAGTTTATTTTTCCTCCGTAAGTAACCTGCTATTTCTCTCTGATCGTTTTTAAAATATTTTTTCTTTGTCTTTCACAATTTTACATTTCACTTTTCCTGTGTGTATGTGTGTACTATAATACCTTTAAACCTTAAGTCATTTTTTTAAATCTGAGGAATTCTCATTGATTGCTTATTTAAGTACACTCTCCTTTTTAATAACTGTATTCTCTTCTTATAAGGCTACTATTAGATGTGTTTTGACATTTATTCTTCTATCCTCTCTATTAATTAACTTTTCTTTCATTTACTTCTTCTCTATCCATTACTGATTACTTTTATGAATTCTTTAGACGCATTTCCTCAGCTCAGTAATTGCTTTTTCAACTATATCGGTTTTAACATCCAATCTATTCCGCTGAATTATTTATTTGAGCAGTTAATGTTTTCATATCCAATCTATCCAATAGGTTTTCTATTTATTTATTTATTTATTTATTTATTTATTTATTTATTTATTTATCTGAGACAGAGTCTTCCTCTGTCGCCCAGGTTGGAGCACAGTGGCACGATCTTGGCTCACTGAACCTCTGCCTCCCGAGTCCAAGCAATTCTCCTGCCTCAGCCTCTTGAGTAGCTGGAACCACAGGCATGTGACACTGTGCCAGGCTAATTTTTGAATTTTTAGTAGAGATGGAGTTTCACCTTGTTGGCCAGACTGGTCTCGAACTCCTGAACTCAAGGGATCCACCTGTCTCGGCCTCCCAAAGTGCTGGGATTACAGGCTTGAGCCACTGTGCCTGGCCTTTTTTTTTTTTTCTTTTTCCAGAGTTTCACTCTTGTTTCCCAGGCTGGAGTGCAATGGTGTGATCTCACCTCAATGCAACCTCCACCTCCCAGGTTCAAGTGATTCTCCTGCCCCAGCCTCCTGAATAGCTCAGGTTACAGGCGTGCACCACCGCATTCTATCATTCATTAGCATCTGTATCCCTTCCTTGAACACCAAAAAAACTTATCTTTTCTTTCCTGTCCCTGCTCCCGTCTTCCAAGTTTATAATACTGGGAATTTTAGTTCAAGACTGTAATTTTAAAATTTTTCAATCTAAAGCTTACACTTTTCAATAAATTTTACTATTTTTCTGCTCGCCATTGCTTACTGAAATCACCTCCTTCCTCCTAAATTTAGTTTTCCCTTCTCACAGGACTGGATACCAATAATTATTTCTGAAGGGTATATGCGTCATGAATTTTCTGAAATATTTTTCCCCTCATTCTGGATTATTCTGGCTGTATATAGATATCTAGGTTCAACTTTTTTATTGTTTGTTCTTGTTTTGTTTTTTTGAGACAGTGCCTGGCTCTGTCACCCAGGCTGGAATGCAATGGCACAATCTCGGCTCACTGCAATCTCCACCTCCCGGACTCAAGCAATTCTCCTGCCTCAGCCTCCCAAGTAGCTGGGACTACAGGCATGTGGCACCACACCTGGTTACTTGTATTTTTTGTAGAAGTGGGTTTCGCCTTGTTGGCCAGGCTGGTCTCAAACTCCTGAGCTCAAGTGAGCATCTGGTCTTGGCGCCGAAAGTGCTGGGACTACAGGCATGAGCCACTGCGCCTGGCCCAAAGTTATTTTAAATCAGCTCCTTGAAAAACCTCTCCATTGCATTCTCTCTTCTCTTTTTCTCTCTGGGACCTTTCAGGATTTTATCTTTATCCTAGAAATTTTACCCCGAGGGGGTGTGTGTGTGTGTGCGCTCCTGCGTGCGCAGGTGTGTGTGCACATGTGTGTTAATCAGGCTCAGAACTAGGTGGCTCTTTTCAGGTTGAAGATTCATGTCTTTGTTCAACTGGGAAAATTCTAGAACATTATTTCTTCAAGTAGTGCCTTCTCTCCAGTCTTTTTTTTTTTTTTTTTTTTTTCATTTTTGAGATGGAGTTTTGCTCTGACACCGAGGTTGGAGTGCTGTGGCAGGACCTCAGCTCACTGCAACATCTGTTTCCCGGGTTCAAGTGATTCCCCTGCCTCAGCCTCCCAAGTAGCTGGGATTTCAGGCGCCCACCACCACACTGGGCTAATTTTTGTATTTTTAGTAGAGACAGGGTTTCACCATGTTGGACAGGCTGGTCTCGAACTCCTGACCTCATGTAATCTGCCTGCCTTGGCCTCCCAAAGTGTTGGAATAACAGGCGTGAGCCACCGCGCCCGTCCCAGTCTTTCTATTCTCTACCTCTGGATCTTCTACTGGATGAACGTTGAAAGTTCTTGGATCTCTTCTCCATTTCCTTTACTATTTTCCTTTCATAATTTCTATTCTGTAATTCTTTTCTGCTATACGATAAAGTAGTGCCATGCCTGAACACATTTTTTCATTTGGTTGTTCCAGTTTCTCTTATTGATATGGAAAAGCTTTGTTACATATTAGAGATGGTTACTGTTAATTTATTGGGGATGCTTCATTTTCCCCAAAATTTGCCTTTTTTTTTTTTTTTTTTTTTGAGACGGAGTCTCACTCTATTGCCCAGGATGGAGTGCAGTGGTGCAATCTCGGCTCACTGCAAGCTCCGCCTCCCAGGTTCACGCCATTCTCCTGCCGGGTTCATACCATTCTCCTGCCTCAGCCTCCCGAGCAGCTGGGACTACAGGCACCCACCACCACACCCGGCTAATTTTTTGTACTTTTAGTAGAGACAGGGTTTCACCGTGGTAGCCAGGATGGTCTCGATCTGCTGACCTCGTGATCTGCCCGCCTTGGCCTCCCAAAGTACTGAGATTACAGGCATGAGCCACTGTGCCTGGCCTAATATTTGCCTTTTTAAACAGTTTTTTTATGGTGTCTTTTGACTTAGATGATACTTTACTTTTTACATCTTTAAATATGTCAGATTCATTGTTTATAGCCTTGGTGTAATGTCAGGAAGTGCCTATGCCAACTCAAGATGTCTTACGCTGTAATATTTTCCTAAAATTTCATCTAGTTCTTTATGACTTCACGTTTTCACATTTAAGTCTCTGAATTTTTAGAATTTATTATTTTATGTGGTTGAAAGTAAGGATTTAATGTTTATTTTTCCAAATGGATAGACAACAATCCTTTATTATACAATCCTTTATTATACACCCCATCTTTTGCCCACTGTTTGGAAATGCATGCTGAAGTTTGTATATAAATTAGTCTGTTTCTTGACTTTTTATTTTGTTTCACTAATTAATCTATTTCTATGTGTATTCATTTTTGATTGCTGCTGTAACAAATTGTCAACAGCTAAGACAACACTGGGCCCCGTGTCTCACGCCTGTATTCCCAGCACTTTGGGAGGCTGAGAGGGGCAGATCGCTTGAGGTAAGGAGTTTGAGACCAGCCTGGCCAACATGGCGAAACCCTGTCTCTACTAAAAATACAAAAATTAGCCGGGTGTGGTGGCGTGCACCTGAAATCCCAGCTACTCGGGAAGCTGAGACAGGAGAACCGCTTGAACACAGTAGACAGAAGTTGCAGTGAGCCAAGATCACCCCACTGCCCTCCAGCTTGGGCGACAAAAGTGAGACTCCATCTCAAAAAATATTTATATAGCTAAGACAATTTTTGAAAAAGAAGAAGAATAAGGTGGGAGGAATTGCTCTACCATATTTCAATACTTCTTATATAGCTACAGGAATCAAGACTATATACCATTGGGAGAAAAATAGACACATAGATCGCTGTAACAAAATAGAAAACCTAGAAATAGCCCACACTGATTTTTTACCAAGAGACAAAAATAGGGAAAGATCATCTGCTTAACAAATGGTGCTGGGGCAGTTGCAGAGCCATAGGCCAAAAAAAAAAAAATAATAATAATAAGGCCTAGTCTTCATACCTTTATACAAAAAAGTAAGTCAAGTGGATCATAGATTTAAATCTAAAATATAAAACTAAAAAAGGCCGGGCACGGTGGCTCACGCCTGTAATCCCAGCACTTTGGGAGGCCGAGGTGGGCGGATCACGAGGTCAGGAGATCGAGACCATCCTGGCTAACACAGTGAAACCCTGTCTCTACTAAAAATACAAACAAGTTAGCTGGGCGTGGTGGCAGGCGCCTGTAGTCCCAGCTACTCGGGAGGCTGAGGCAGGAGAATGGGGTGAACCTGGGAGGTGGAGCTTGCAGTGAGCCGAGATCGTGCCACTGCACTCCATCCTGGGCAACAGAGCGAGACTGCATCTCAAAAAACAAACAAACAAACAAACAAACAAATGAACTAAAAACAAAGTTTTACAAGAAAATATAGGAGAAACGTCTGAGATCTAGGGCATAGTGAATGGTTCAAAAAGCATAATACATAAGAAAAAAATAAATTAGATTTTATCCAATTTAAAACTTTTGCTCTGCAAGAAATCTTGTTAAAAGGATGAAAAAATAGGGTACGATCTGAAAGAAAATGTTTGCAAACCACATATCCAAGAAAGGACTCACATCCAGAATATACAATGGATACGTATAGTACTCTCAAAACTCAACAGTAGGCTGAGCGTGGTGGCTCACGCTTGTAATCCCAGCACTTTGAAAGGTCGAGGTGGACGGAGGGCAGATCCCTTGAGGCCAGGAGTTCAAGACCAGCCTGGGCAACATGGCAAAAAACCCATCTCTACTAAAAATACAAAAATTAGACAAGCATGATGATGCATGCCTGTAATCCCAGCTACTCTGGAGGCTGAGGCACGAGAATCACTTGAACCTCGGAGGTGGAGGTCGGAGCGAGCCAAGATCGTGCCACTGCACTCCAGCCTGGGTAACAGAGCAAGACTCTGTCTCAAGAAAAAAAAAAATAATAAAAACCTCAATGGTAAAAAATACAAACAAATAATCCAATTAGAAAATCATGAAAAGATATGAACATACATTTCACTGAAGAGGAAATAAGCAAATAAGCACATGAAAAGATGTTCAACACTCATTTGCTTCACTAGATGCAGAATAACACCACGATGAGGTATCACTACACACTTATTACAATAGCTAAAATAAAAGACATAGTGACAACACCAAATGGTGACAAGGATGCAGAGAAACTGGACACCTCATTAAGTGCTGCTGGGAAGGTAAAATCTTACAGCCACTCTGGAAAGCAGTTTGGTAGTTTCTTATAAAACTAAACAATGCAGTGACCATACAATTCAACAATTACACTTCAGAGAAATTAAAATGTATGCCCATCCAGAAACTTGTACATAATTGTTCATAGCAGCTTTACTTGTAATAGCCAATAGCTGGAAATAATCAATATGTCCTAAAATAAGTGAATGGTCAAACTGTGGTATATCCATCCCCTGGAATGCTACTCAGCAATAAAAATGAACTATCGTCAGGGCACAGTGGCTCACCCTGTTATCACAGCACTTTGGGAGGTCGAGGCGGGTGGATGATGATGTCAGGAGTTCAAGACCAGCCTTGCCAGTATGTTGAAACCCCATCTTTACTACTGATACAAAAATTACCCGGGTGTGGTGGCGCGCACCTGTAGTCAGAGCTACTCGGGAGGCTGAGGCTGGAAAATTGCTTGAACCCGGGAGGCAGACAGTTGCAGTGAGCCGAGACACTGCACTCTAGCCTGGGTGACAGAGTGAGACTCTGTCTCAACAACAACAACAACAACAATGAACTATTGATACACAAATATCAATATCTTGGAGGAATCTCCATGGAATTACGCTGAGTGAAATAAGCCCGTAAAACGTTATATACTGTAAGATTTCACTTGTACAGCATTGTAGAAAAGACAAAATTGTGGAAACGAAAAACAGATTTGTGGTTGCCAGGGATTAGGGATGGCGGATGGGAGGAGAGTATTACTAAAAATGAGTAGCACAAGGGATAGCATTGCGGTGATGAAAATGTACTGTACATTTTTTTTTTCAAGAGGGATTCTCACTCTGTCTCCTAGGCTGTAGTGCAGTGGCACACTCTCGAGCTCACTGCAGCCTCTGCCTCCCGGGTTCGAGCTATTCTGTCTCAGCCTCCCATGTAGCTGGGACTACAGGCGGGTGCCACCATGCCTGGCTAATTTTTGTACTTTTAGTAGAGACGGGGTTTCTCCATGTTGGCCAGGCTGGTCTCAAACTCCTGACCTCAAGTGATCTGCCCACCTCGGCCTCCCAAAGTGCTGGGATTACAAGCGTGAACCACTGCACCCGGCCATGTTCTGTCTCTTTTTTTTTTTTTCTGAAATATAAGCTTTGTTTAAAATGTAAAGAAATATTAAAAATAAACTTTTTTTTACAAATTATAATCAAGCACTCAAAACAATTTAGGGATGTTAAACACTAATTCTTAATTCAAAATAATGACATCCATAGAATATATCCTGGTGTTGGTCAACATAAAGTTTACTTAATATTAGTAATTTATAGGCCAGGCTCAGTGGCTCACACCTGTAATCCCAACACTTTGGGAGGTCGAGGCGGGCGGATCACGAGGTCAGGAGATCGAGACCATCCTGGCTAACACGATGAAACCCCGTCTCTACTAAGAATACAAAAAATTAGCCAGGCGTTTTGGTGGGCACCTGTAGTCCCAGCCACTCGGGAGGCTGAGGCAGGAGAATGGCGTGAACCCAGGAGGCGGAGCTTGCAGTGAGCGGAGATCGAGCCACTGCACTCCAGCCTGGGCGACAGAGCGAGACTCCGTCTCAAAACAAAAACAAAAACAAAAAACAAAAGAAAACAAAAGAACTAGTATTTTTTATATGCTTAACCATTGATCCTTCCTAAAATTCAATGAAAACAATGATTTGACTTTATAAGGTGCAGCCTTTTATGTAATACGCTAGAGATACTTTTTCAAATACAAAACCTTTATACCAGCAAGGAAATTATAAAAGCATATATAAAGTATACTGAAGGATGTGATTTAAAGGCTGTCTGTATATACAGATGCATTTCACCTTATAAAGTACACGTGCACATCAAAACGCTTTCACTGAATATAGATGCCATTACATTCTCTTAACACTACAAAGCAAATGTCAGGTTCATGAACATTGTTCCATTGTGTATCAACTGAAAAAAACATATATACACAAAAAGATTTTGACGGCACATGGGAGTGGAATGTGCCTACATTTAGAGCAGAGCTTTTACAGGACCACCTGTCTCCAGCCGGCTCCCAGGGACCACTGAAAACAGCTGCTACCCTCAGAACGACAAGATGGTCTTGTTAATGATTTCACTGGACTCTCGAATCTCATCCTCCTTGATCACCAGCAGAGGTGAAACCTGATGATGTCACCATGGGTGGGCTTGGCCAGAAGTCCATAATCTCAAAGTCATAGACACACCTCCCAAGCATTACAGTCTATGGTTTCTTTAATAACAATAGCATTTAATAATTATTTTCCTCCCGGGCACAGTGGCTCACGCCTGTAATCCCAACACTTTGGGAGGCTGAGGCGGGTGGATCGCCTGAGGTCAGGAGTTCGAGACCAGCCTGGCCAACATGGCGAAACCCCGTCTCTACTAAAAATACAAAAATTAGCCGGGCATAGTGGCGCGTGCCTGTAATCCCAGCTACTCAGGAGGCTGAGGCAGGAGAATCGCTAGAACCCAGCAGGCAGAGGTTGCAGTGAGCCAAGATCGCGCCATTGCACTCCAACCTGGGCAACCAGAATGAACCTCTGACTCAAAATAATAGCAATAATAATAATTCTGTTCCTCTTATGGCAGTTACAACATCAAAAGGTAGCTTCATGGGTTCACTTCTCACGATAATACCCATTTTTTTTTCTGCATTTTCAGCAAGATTTTCTTGTTCTAAAACCTCAAGGGCTGCGATGGTCACTCAGCAGCCTAGTGGATTGCCACCGTATGTGGACCCATGTTCCCCTGGCTTAATGGTCAGCATTATGCCATCGTCCCACAGCACTGCAGACACAGAGTATCAACCTCCAGAAAGGGCCTTTCCAAGGAGGACTATATCAGGACTGACATTTTCATGATCAACAGCCAGCCATCTACCAGTTCTGGCCAATCCTATCTGTATTTCATCAACAATGAACAGAACCAAGCTGGGAGCATGAGATGGGACGAGGGCAAGTAAAAATACCACAAAGCTCACTGTTCTTACGGAGATTCAGCTGGTCTCTCTCTCGCTCTTTCTTTCTTTCTTTCTTTCTTTTTCAGTCTTGCTCTGTCGCCCAAGCTGGAGTGCAGTGGTGTGATCTCAGCTCAATGCAACCTCCACTTCCCGGGTTCAAATCATTGAGTGAGCCCAGGAGGTCAAGACCAACCTGGGAAACATAGCAAAAGGCAGGGTGGTGCATGCCTGTAGTCCCAAGGCCGAGGCGGGAGAATCACTTGAGTCCCAGAGGTAGAGCCCAGCCTGGACAACATAGCGAAACTGTCTCTAATAGAAAAATTAAAAATATTAGTGGGGGCGGGGTGGTGTGAGCCCATAGTCCCGAGGCCGAGGCGGGAGGATTGCTTGAGCCTAGGAGGTCGAGGCCAGCCTGGCCAACATAGCGAAACCCCATTTCTGCTAACAACAAGAACAACAGAAAAATAGCGTGGGCGGGGTGGCTCACTCCTGTAGTTTTGAGGCCAAGGTGGGAGCATTGCTTGAGCCCAGGAGTTTGATACCAGCCTGGCCAACAAAGCGAAAGCCTGCCTCTCCTAAAAAATAAATAAATAAATAAATAAATAAAAATGAGCGGGGTAGAATGGCACACGCCTATAGTTCTGAGGCCGAGGTGGAAGCATCATCTGAGCCTGAGAGGTTGAGGCCAGCCTGGGCAACATATCGAAACCCGGTTTCCACTAAAACGAAACAAAACAAAACAAAAAATAGCTTGGGCAGGGTGGTGCATGGCTGTAGTCCTGAGATGGGAGGATCCCTTGAGTCCAGGAGCTTGATGCCGGCCTGGCCAACATAGGGAAACACGGTTTCTACTAAAAAAAAAAAAAAAAAAAAAAGCGTGGGCAGGGTGGTGCATGCCTGTCGTCTCGAGGCCATGGCGGAAGGATCCCTTGAGCCCAGGACGATGAGACCAGCCTGGCCAACATAGCAAAACCTGGTTTCTACTTAAAAAAAAAAAAAAAAAAAAGCGTGGGCTGGGTGGTGAATGCCTGTAGTCCCGAGGCCGAGGTGGGAGGATCGCTTGAGCCCACGACGTCAAGACCAGCCTGGCCAACACAGCGAAACCTTCTCTATTAAAAAATCAAAAAATAAAAAATATTAGTGGGGGTAGGGTGGTTCGCGCCTGTAGTCCCAAGACGGAGGCTGGAGGATTGGCCAAGGCAGATGTAACCAATACCACAATCACATCCCATAAGTAAATACATTTTCCTCTCTTCAGGGCTACAGGTAAAGGATGGTAATTGTGCGCACCATACTTAAGATTCCCTTTCAAAAATGTAAGCAGAGGTTGCGGGGCCTTGGACTGTTTTTTCAGTGGCAACAGACATAGAAGCCACTGAAGAATGAAAGCCACGACTAAGTATAGCAAACCTCCGCAAATGTGCTAGTTTGGAAAACATCGTGTCTTTCAAGTAGAAAAATCACAGATTGACTATTTTTTTCTTCCCACAGTTCAGACTAGAATCCAGATTTTTAACCCAAGATCCAGGAACGGTCTTCAGAGAGTTCAAAATCTGACGGCGCCTGAGGACCACCCACTTTTTCGCAGTGGCAACAAAGTGTGGCTGGAGGAGGAGACATTATTCTGCTATGTCACTGCCCAAGGATGATGGACCAATCAGGGCAGTTAGTGAACTCCATCTGGCCAATTAGAAGTCAGAACAGTAGGCGGAACAAGCGAAGCGGATGTGGCTTCTATCAGTCCCGGCTCCAGGGACGGAACCTTCTCAAAGTGGGGGTGGAGACTCTAATTTTCCCGCCTAAAGCATCCCCTGGGATTGGCTACTTTAAGTTCAGAGTACGCATGCTCTGACTTTCTCTCTCTTTCGATTCTTCCATACTCAGAGTACGCACGGTCTGATTTTCTCTTTGGATTCTTCCAAAATCAGAGTAAGCATACGCCGATTTTCTTTTTCCATTCTTCCTACCCCTCCCCTCCTCCGCGGTGCATTTGCTATCTAGTTTTAATAAGGAGTGTATATGAGGCAGGCCGCCATCTCGAATCTTTCCTGTCAGTTTCTAACTTTTTCAGGTACGGGATTTTTCCTAGGAACTCTGTAGTAACTTAAGAAATTTGGGCCGGGCGTGGTGGCTTACACTTGTAATCCCTGCACTTTTGGAAGCCACAGCTGGTGGATCGCCTGAACCTAAGAGGCGGAGGTTGCAGTGAGCCATGATCACGCCAGTGCACTCCCGACTGGGCAACAGAGCGAGACCCTGTCTGAAAAAACAAAAACCAAAAAAGCTCACTCAAATCTTTCCTCCTGGGCTCAAGTGAGCCTCTCGCCTAGGCCTTGGGGCTACAGGCGCGCACCACCCCGCTTCTGCTAAATTTTGTTTGTTTTTTTTAGTAGAGATGGTTTTGCTACGTTTGCGAGCCTGGTCTCAAGCTCCTGGGCTAAGGCGATCCGCCCACCTTGGCCTTCCAAAGTGCTGGGATGGTACAGGCCTGCTCCACCAACCCCAGCTAACTTTTTGTGTATTTTGTAGACGGGGGTTTTGCTGTGTTTCCCAGCCGGGTCTCGACCTCCTGGGCTCAAGCGGCCTGCACGCCTCGGCCTCCCAAAGTGCTGGGATTACAGGCGTGAGCCACGGCGCCTGGCTGATTGCTGCATCTTGAAATGCCCCACATTCTCTCTAAGTGATGGCGGGCTCTTGTAGTCTCAGAAATTCTAGCTCTCTTCCTTCTAATAATTTACAAATCACCGAGTAATAGCCTCTGAACACGTTCATATTAGCGATGCTCATTTCTCTTCAACAGAACAGAACCCCCCATCCCTCTGCCTGATCAGATCCATCGCCAAAGAGACCATGTTATCTCTGGGACTAACTTCCCTTCCTTTATTTATTGAGTGGGGGTGTCAGCATGCCCCCACTGAATAAAATTACACAGTCATGTCCCTGCCTCCCCAAAAAGGGTCCGTACATCTTTCAGGGTAAGCCTAGCTCCAGGGAAACTACTAACAACATTAGCCAACCCCCTCCCAAAGACTCAAGGCTGCTTTGCCCATAGGAAACCTGTCATTCCCTATCAATACTTCTCCCAGAGACCCCTGGTTCCCTGTTTTCATCTGATTTCTCCCCATATCCTTACTCAGGGACAGATAAGCCCCGGATGGAGAAATGCAGCAGCTGATTCCAGGTGACTGAGGGTGGCCGGCCTTCACTGACTTCTCCCTCCACAGGATCAAAGCTGCTGTGGCTGGAAAGACTCAGGCTATTTCTCTTGCAGGTCAGACTGCTCCCGGTGCCATGAACGGAGACGACGCCTTTGCAAGGAGACCCACGGTTGGTGCTCAAATACCAGAGAAGATCCAAAAGGTGAGGTGACCTGGAGGGAGCAGAGTAGTGGCCCAGGGGACAGTGTGGGGTGACCCGGTTTCTGAGGAGGGGAGGACAGAGATACTGGAGACAAGGAGCAGGGTCTCGGGGGAGATCTGGACCCTTGGGAGCCTCCCACCCTCGCTCTGTCATCACCTAGCATCCCTGGAGACAAGTCTGTGACCTTGCACTACATCTGGTGACTCTCAGTCCATTCTGGAAGGTGGGAAGAGAGCCAGCCAGCAGCATTAAAGCCCTACTGTGTGGCAGGGGTGAAGCTAGGGAAGGTCCCTCGTGTTCTGTCAGTTAGCCATGGCATCAACCAGGAAGGATTATCATCCCCAGTTCCCAGATCTAGCACACAGGAAGCGGCTCCAGCTGAATGGCAGACATGCCTAGCTGAGTCCCTGCCATAATTCCTTTTTTTTTTTTTTGTAGGCCTTCGATGATATTGCCAAATACTTCTCTAAGGAAGAGTGGGAAAAGATGAAAGCCTCGGAGAAAATCTTCTATGTGTATATGAAGAGAAAGTATGAGGCTATGACTAAACTAGGTAACAGAAAGTTCTGGGAACAGACAAGTCTGGGGACACATGAGCATCCCTTTTCCTGCTTTGGCTACTTCTTAGGCTGCAGAAAGTACCTCACATTTTCCTTTTGTGCAGGGAAAAATCGCAAGGCAGCTTCTGGGTGTTCTGCTCTTCTGTATCCTGTCAGGGCTGAGGGCAGGGACTGGCCACAGTGGAGCTTATACCTGGATCCTGCACGTTTCTCTCCCTTAGGCTTCTGTTCTGATGAGCCCAACTGTCTCTGTGGCATCCCGGCAACCCCCCTACCCCCACCCCACACACACCCACCCTACCTTCTCTCGGCTTGTCTCTTCCTTTTTTTTTTTTTTTTTTGAGTCAGTCTCAGTCTGTCACCTAGGCTAGAGGGCAGTAGTGCAATCATAGCTTACTGCAGCCTTGAATTCCTGGCCTCAAGCAATTCTCCAGCCTTAGCCTCCCAAAGTGTTGGTACTACAGACATGAGCCACCATACCAGGCCCAAGCTTGTCTCTTAAGGAATAAACATTTTGCTTCTTTCTAGGTTTCAAGGCCACCCTCCCACCTTTCATGTGTAATAAACGGGCCGAAGACTTCCAGGGGAATGATTTGGATAATGACCCTAACCGTGGGAATCAGGGTGAGTAGATGGGAAGGGGCTGGAAAGGGTCTCCTCAAGCCCAGCTGCTTTTCAGCTCAGCTACCTGAGAAAGATCCTCAGGCATTTGTTCCCTCATACACATCAGGGCTGAGTGAAAAAAAAAAAAAAAATTGCATGCAGAAAGTTAACTACAGAGGCCATTCATATAAAATTTTAAAACATGCAAAAGAAGAATATATATTTTATGGATAATAAGTAAATGGTAAATGTATACAAACATGAATGTGAATAAAAAGCCATCAAATTAAGGTGACTGGCTGTAAGTGGAGGAGGGAGGGAGGGCGGGCAGGGATTACTGAGTGCGGCACAGACAGCTTCAGCTGTGACTTGTTGATAGTGTGTTTTGTTTGTTTTTGTTTTTGAGATGGAGTTTCACTCTTCTCGGCCAGGGTAGAGTGCAATAAGGCAATCTCAGCTCACTCCAACTTTCACCTCCTGGGTTCAAGTGATTCTCCTGCCTCAGCCTCCCGAGTAGCTGGGGTTACAGGCACGTGCCCCCACACCCAGCTCATTTTTTAATTTATGGTAGAGACGGGGTTTCACCATGTTGGCCAGGCTGGTCTCAAACTTCCTGACCTCAGGTGATCCACCCGCCTCAGCCTTCCAAAGTGCTGGGATTACAACTGTGAGCTACCACGCCCGGCCTATTTGCAGTTTTTCTAATATTCTGAATAAATAAATCAGACCTAACATAGCTGTGGGGTAATGTTGAGATCCGACTGGACTCAATATTATTCCCCATACTTTTCTGTGTGTTTGAAATATTTCTTTTTTAAACGACATGTTGTTCTTCCTAAGCACCGTTAATGAATCAAAGGACTGCTAAAAAAATGCTACAAGTGAAAAAAAAAAAAGAAAGAAAGAAAGAAAGTGTTAAAACTGTAGATCCGCCAAAAACTTCCAGAGTTTGTTTCATTAACAGCATGTAGGTATTGGATAGGTATCTTAGGAGTGAGGGTGATGAACACATTATGTAATAAAGATCGCTGTTTCTCTGTATTGGTTTATCAAAACCAAATAGTCTTCTCATTCCCAAAGAACCCTGATTCTCCGTAATGAGCTTGGAAGAGAGTTTGAAGGAGTGATCCCTTATCCAACACACAGAGAGCTTTCCCACTTGTCAGAGAGCAGAGATAACATAGGGTGAAAAAAAGATAGGTTCTTGGGTAGAGAGCTTTGTACATTTCAGGAATATAAAGGGGACATATGTATTTACTTGCTCTTCTACTCTGACAACATAATTATAAGACAAGGTCAGAATGTCCAAACCGTCTCCAATAGACCTATTACTCGCCAACTAAACAGGCCAGATTCTACAATCTCCCGCAATCACTATAAGAGACCTGAAAAGCCAGTGCTTGAGTATCTGCCAAGTTTTGACAGTAAAGGAGTGTCTTTATACTGAAAATATTTCAGAGCCACTGGACCAAATCATCCATGGTTCATCACACATTTAACAGCTTAATTCACATACCATAAGATTCACCCATTTGAAGTGTACAATGATTTTCAGTTGTTGCACATCTTGAGTGGATACAGTTCAGATTCCTAACCAATCAATTTAATTATTTGGGAAAAAGTAAAAGATATGTAATGGAATAAGATGAGACTGTGATGGGGTGTAGTCCCCATGTGATAAACCATGAGATGGAAAATTCTGAATTGATGCCACAGATAAATGCACCAACCATGACTAAACATAATTCAGAAGCAAATCTGAAATAACTCCTCAACAATGAGTGGACTCATAACCCTCTGCTGCAGAATACCCTGATGCGACAGAAGTCTCTCTAGAGTTTGGAAACCTTTACCAACAAAGAAAAATTCTGATGTATTCTCTTTCAGTTGAACGTCCTCAGATGACTTTCGGCAGGCTCCAGGGAATCTCCCCGAAGGTGAGTGTCTCTCAGATCTAAAGGACCAGAGAACCTTTGTCCCTCCACGGATGCGAACACTGGTAAGAGTGGGAGAATATCAAAAATGCCCTCACTGCCTTCTTCTCCCCATGTCTATCACAACACCTGATGTCGCACCGACGGCTTGATAGTACCAACAGTTGCGATTGTTAATACTTCTTTTGTTTTCATAGTGATGCCAGATACTATTTCAAGCAGTTCACATGGATTAATTTATTTAATCCTTAAGAAGACATTGTTTCTATTATCTCCAAATAATAATGAGTCACACACTTCAGTTTTCATCCATATGAAAGCCATGTGACTTGACACAAATCTTCTAAGTTCTCTGAGCTCCAGATTCCTGGTCCATGAAATGGAAGTAAAGAATTATAGTTCATGTTTTAGATCATAGTTATCAGCAACATAATAATAAAATGAGGCTATCGTGGTACAGAGATGTTAAAGAATTTTCCTGGGGCGCAGTGGCAGTGGTAGTCTAATCCAGAGCTCCAAGCCATTTAAAGCTCATTCACATTTGCATTTGTCTATGAAGTTCAGATGTTGCTCACTAGGGCTTCACCCCATAGGGCCTGCTGGTGCTTCCAATGAGACACCCACTCTCTCAACAGGAAGGACCATCTGGTCTCTGCTGTGTTGCTGGGGCCACTTGCATGGCTTAGGAATCACTTTGATTGTTGGCCCCTCCCTACTGTGAGCTCCTTGAGTGCCTTGTCTGCACCTGGGGCATCTGGGAAGGCCCAGTCCCAGCCCAGGGGATCCCTCGGAGGCCCCTGAATGAGTGATCCCACAAGTGCAGATTCAACTCTGGTTTGGAGGGTAAAGGGATCTGGGAGTTGGGTTGCCAGTGTGGAGACTGAATTCAAAGAAGGATTGTGAAAGGTATTAATTGTTATTATTACGACATTTAAACAGTGTTTACAAGCTCAGAGAGGACTTTACTGTAGGCTATTTGACATGTATGGTTCACTATTTCATAAGGGAGGAAGCTGAATGAAAAGTAGCTTAAGAGCCGGGCGCGGTGGCTCACGACTGTAATCCCAGCACTTTGGGAGGCTGAGGCGGGCAGATCACGAGGTCAAGAGATCGAGACCATCCTGCCCAACATGGTGAAACCGTGTCTCTACTAAAAATACAAAACTTAGCGGGGCGTGGTAGTGCCTGCCTGTAGTCCCAGATACTCTGGAGGCTAAGGAAGGAGAATCGCTTAAACGCGGGAGTCGGATGTTGCCTTGAGCCGATATCATGCCACGGCACCCCAGTCTGGCGACACAGTGAGACTCCGTCTCAAAAAAAAAAAAAAAAAAAAAAAAAAAGAAAGAAAGAAAGAAAAAAAAAAGTAGCTTAAGATTGTTGGTCAGTGACACATCCCAATGCAACCAGAATTGGTATGGGTACCACCTCACTGAATTCCACATTGAATGTCGGTGCCCCAGTAGGGTAGTATGTCATATCTGGTACTGCTTTGTTTGCTGCCTAGATTAATTTCGGCAAACCATTTCTTTCCCTCTCCCTTCCCTGTATTCATCTCCCCACACCATCTTTCCCAGCAGTGTTTTGTCGCCTCCCTATGTTTTTACATTTACTCTCCCAGCAGCTGTCTAGAAGCTTATATGGGATCCCTTGTATTTTACAGAACCTCTTCCCTTTGTAGACCTTGTGAATTCTTAGAATGCTACTCTTCTCCAAATCATCTGTATATCACACTCTCAATTACATGGAGATTTTTGCTGTTTGCAAGAATGTCAGTCCTAAAAGAGTGGGAAGATAAGCATTCTATCCCTGGAAACCATATTCACTTAGGCCATTCCTTTCCCTTCTAACCTCCCCTCCCAGGTTTCTCCTAATTTAGGCCTGTGTAACTCTCCCAGTGTTGTTGAGAACATTGAATAAGCTAATGCATGTGAAGACCCTTTGTAAGCTCAAAAGCACTATAGATATGTCACTGATACTATTTATCTGTGATCTTCACATTATAAAGATCATGCCCAAGAAGCCAGCAGAGGAAGGAAATGATTCGGAGGAAGTGCCAGAAGCATCTGGCCCACAAAATGATGGGAAAGAGCTGTGCCCCCCGGGAAAACCAACTACCTCTGAGAAGATTCACGAGAGATCTGGTAAGAGGAAGCAATTCAGGAACAATCCCTCTGGCTTCCCTGGCGATGTTCAGGTATATGGACTGGGTGTGTGGCATGGATCCCAGATAACCCTGGGTCCAGACTGGGCTGAGGAGCTCGCCCAGCTCCAGATGAGATGTTAGACATGACTTCCAGAGATAGACTTGATTTGTCACCCATAGAAAAAACCATGTGACTTGGGGCAAGTCTTTCAGATTTTCTCAGCTCCAGATTCCTAGTCCGTAAGATGGAAATAAGGAATCATAGTTCATAAATTGTTTGGAGACATTAAATTTAATCTAGAAGGCCTGATGACATGAAAGGTGCTCAAGCAATTCTATCTGTGATTACCTGGGATCATTACCTGATTAAGACTCAGCTCAATGCCATGCCTGTTACCCAATACAGGTGTACTTCAGAGATACTGCAGGTTCAGTTCCAGACCACTGCAATAAAGTGAGTCACACACGTTGTTTTTTGGTTTGGCAGCGCATAAAAACATTATGTTTATACTATAGTGTAGTCTACTAAGTGTGCGATAGCGTTGTGTCTAAAAATGTATATACCTTAATTTAAAAATAATTCTTTGTTAAAAATGCTAACAATCTTCTGAGCCTTCAGTGAGTCACACTCTTTTTGCTGGTGGAGGGTCTTGCCTCGGTGTTGATGGCTGCTGGCTGATCAAGGTGGTGGTTGCTGAAGGGTGGAGTGGCTGTGGCAGTTTCTTAAAAGAACACAACAGTGAAATTTGCCACATCGATTAGCTCTCCGTTTCATGAAGGATTTCTCTGTAGTATGTGATGCTATTGGATAGCATTTTACCCACAGTAGAACTTCTTTCAAAGTTGAAATCAATCCTCTCTAGCTATGAAAGTCCTAGAAGGCATCTCCTTCCAATAGAAGGCTATTTTATCTACATTGAAAATCTGTTGTTTCATGTAGCCACCTTCAACAGTGATCTTAGCTAGATCTTCTGGATAACTTGCTGCAGCTTCTCCATCAGGGTTTGCTGCTTCACCTTGCACTTTTATGTTATGGAAACGGCTTCATTCCTTAAACCTCATGAACCAACCTCTGCTAGCTTCACATGTTTCTCCTGCAGCTTCTTCACCTCTCTCAGCATTCATGGACTTGAAGAGAGTTCTGGTCTTGCTCTGAATTAGACTTTGGCTTAAGGGAATGTTGTGACTGGTTTCGTCTTCTATCCTGACCACTCAGACTTCCTCTATTTGAGCAGTAAGGCAGTTTTGCTTTCTTATTCGTGTGTTCACTGGAGTATTAGTATTATTATTTCCTTCAAGAACTTTTCCTTTGCATTCACAGCTTGGCTGTTTGGCGCAATAGGCCTAGCTTTCAGCCTGTCTTGGCTTTCAGCATGCTTCCTCACTAAGCTTAGCCATTTCTAGCTTGTGATTTAGAGTGAGAGACATGCGACTCTTCCTTTCATTTGAACACTTAGCGGCCATTGTAAGGTTGTTAATAATCCTCATTTCAGTATTGCTGTGTCTCAGGAAATAGGGAGGCCCAAGAAAAGGAAGAGAGACGCGGAACAGCTCATCGGTGGAGCAGTCAGAACACACACAACATTGGTCGATTCAGTTTGTCAACTTCTATGGGTGCAGTTCATGGTACCCCCAAAACAATTACACACAACAGGGTGATTATAGTCAATAATAACTTAATTGTACATTAAAAAAAAAACTAAAAGTGTAAATGGATTGTTTGTAACACAAGGATAAATGCTTGAGGATGGATACCCTATTTTCCATGATGTGATTATTACCCATTGCATGCCTGTATCAAAGCATCTCATGTACCCCATAAGAATATACACCTGCTGCGTACCCACAAAATAAAGAACAAAAATTATTTTAAAACACTAAAAAACAATAAAATCAATTGCAGTAATAATATCAAAGCTCACCGATCACAGATCACTATAGCAGATATAATAATAATGGAAAAGTGTAAAATTGGTGAGAATTAAAAAAAAAAATTGCAGCATCTGCGAAGCAGTATGAACATGAGGTGCAACAAAACAAGGTACGCCTGTGTGGCCTTAACAAATACGTGCTGGATGAAAGGAGGTATGGGGGAATGTTCCCGTAAGTGAAGAGGTTGGGAATCTAAGCCTGAGAAGGGAAGGAGCCAGAAGCTAAAACTTTAATTGGCATTTGGCCTATGTTGGTGTGGATCTAAGGTCTCAGCCTCTCTAAGCCAGAGAATGTGAAAAACTGGATGAAGAAGGCCCATGGGCACTTGGGAGGAAGCAGGCATCTCCTTTTTTTGAGTAAACAGAGCCTAACACTCTCCAACCTACCCAACCCTCACTTTCCAACTATTCTCCATCACAGGACCCAAAAGGGGGGAACATGCCTGGACCCACAGACTGCGTGAGAGAAAACAGCTGGTGATTTATGAAGAGATCAGCGACCCTGAGGAAGATGACGAGTAACTCCGTAAGAGAACCTTCCACTCATCCCCCACATCCCTGCAGACGTGCTATTCTGTTATGATACTGGTATCCCATCTGTCACTTGCTCCCCAAATCATTCCCTTCTTACAATTTTCTACTGTACAGCATTGAGGCTGAACGATGAGAGATTTCCCATGCTCTTTCTACTCCCTGCCCTGTATATATCCGGGGATCCTCCCTACCCAGGATGCTGTGGGGTCCCAAACCCCAAGTAAGCCCTGATATGCGGGCCACACCTTTCTCTAGCCTAGGAATTGATAACCCAGGCGAGGAAGTCACTGTGGCATGAACAGATGGTTCACTTCGAGGAACCGTGGAAGGCGTGTGCAGGTCCTGAGATAGGGCAGAATCGGAGTGTGCAGGGTCTGCAGGTCAGGAGGAGTTGAGATTGCGTTGCCACGTGGTGGGAACTCACTGCCACTTATTTCCTTCTCTCTTCTTGCCTCAGCCTCAGGGATACGACACATGCCCATGATGAGAAGCAGAACGTGGTGACCTTTCACGAACATGGGCATGGCTGCGGACCCCTCGTCATCAGGTGCATAGCAAGTGAAAGCAAGTGTTCACAACAGTGAAAAGTTGAGCGTCATTTTTCTTAGTGTGCCAAGAGTTCGATGTTAGCGTTTACGTTGTATTTTCTTACACTGTGTCATTCTGTTAGATACTAACATTTTCATTGATGAGCAAGACATACTTAATGCATATTTTGGTTTGTGTATCCATGCACCTACCTTAGAAAACAAGTATTGTCGGTTACCTCTGCATGGAACAGCATTACCCTCCTCTCTCCCCAGATGTGACTACTGAGGGCAGTTCTGAGTGTTTAATTTCAGATTTTTTCCTCTGCATTTACACACACACGCACACAAACCACACCACACACACACACACACACACACACACACACACACACACACACCAAGTACCAGTATAAGCATCTGCCATCTGCTTTTCCCATTGCCATGCGTCCTGGTCAAGCTCCCCTCACTCTGTTTCCTGGTCAGCATGTACTCCCCTCATCCGATTCCCCTGTAGCAGTCACTGACAGTTAATAAACCTTTGCAAACGTTCCCCAGTTGTTTGCTCGTGCCATTATTGTGCACACAGCTCTGTGCACGTGTGTGCATATTTCTTTAGGAAAGATTCTTAGAAGTGGAATTGCTGTGTCAAAGGAGTCATTTATTCAACAAAACACTAATGAGTGCGTCCTCGTGCTGAGCGCTGTTCTAGGTGCTGGAGCGACGTCAGGGAACAAGGCAGACAGGAGTTCCTGACCCCCGTTCTAGAGGAGGATGTTTCCAGTTGTTGGGTTTTGTTTGTTTGTTTCTTCTAGAGATGGTGGTCTTGCTCTGTCCAGGCTAGAGTGCAGTGGCATGATCATAGCTCAGTGCAGCCTTGAACTCCTGGGCTCAAGCAATCCTCCGTCCTCAGCCTCCAGAGAAGCTGTGACTACAGGCGTGCACCATCATGATCCACTAAGTTTTTTAAGGTTTTGTCAAGAAAGTCTCTCTATGTTACCCAGGCTGGACTTAAACTCCTGGGCCAAAGCAATCCTCCCACCTTGGTCTCCTAAAGTGTTGGGATTACAGGCGTGAGCCGCAGCACCTGTCCTCCAGTTTTTATTTTGATACAGACTATACACTTCAGTCCTGGAGCAGGATTCTGTAGCAGGTGGTTGGGCATCTTGGCCTTTGCTCTCTGAATGATTTTCGGTTTCAAGGTCTGGGACGGTCCATTTGGGTGGATGTGGGAGGAGACACAGATGAAATCGTCATCTGGGGAACGTGGAAGAATAAGGCAGATGCGTGCAATGTAGACCCTGTGATGGACAGGGAATAGAAGAGTCCACTTAGTCTCCATGCAGGGGAGCAATTGGTGGGAAAGTCTCCTGGACAGAAGCATGAGAGCGCCCATCAAGGGTCTCACCAACCAAAGGCCTGGGGGCTGGGGTGGGGATGATGATTTGGGAATGGGACAGTTCTTTCTCACAGGTACCATTGCACGGTACAGAGGTGAAACAGTTGTGGGGAAGGGAAGGGCAGAGGGGAGTCTATTTTAGAACAAACCATTGCGTGTCAATGGAGACATCAAAGCTCCATTCACACACAATGGACTTGAAACACCAGCCCCAGGTGGAGGCAGGATTGGAGCTGTTTTGCCCGTTCGTGGCCCATCACCTTGGCCTCCTGGTTCTCCCCAGCCTTCGAAGGAGGACACTATCATCATTATGCCAATATAATAGATGAGAGACGGAGTCCCAGAGAGATGGTAGGTGTCTTGTCAGAGGTCCTACAGCTGGCAGGTGCAGGAGGGGCTGAGTTTGGAGCTCACTGACTTCAGAAACTTTAAGGAGGACAGGTGTGTGTGGTGGAGGGAGGGGGAATTGAACAAGCCCCGGGCTCTGTCCCCAATCAAAATGTAAAGGCTGTGGGTTCATTTACCGAAGACAAGGAGCCCTAGGAGAGAGAGAGTGCAGGGAGGGAGAGGCAGTTGTGGTCACAGCAGGGACAGTGGGAGACAGAGATACGAAGGGTGGGCAGAAGAGGGGCAGGCAAAGAAGCAGGGGAGACAAAGCCACATGTGGGCTGTCACAGCCACCAGAGGGAGAGGGTGCCTGGAAGGAGATTGTGGAGCTCCAGGAGCAACAGAGGTTCCCCAGATCTGTGAGCATGCCCTGCCTGGCAGTGCAGGAAGAGATGGCTGCCACCCAGGTCAGTGTGGACGTACCTCTACCTGTGTCTCAGAGGGAACAAATTCTATTTTATCCCAATATAGTTCTGTATTACACAAATGTAACATTCGGCTACTAGATATTGAGTGCCATGTCCTCCATGCAAATAGAGGAGAGGATACCCTAAAAGAGATACCGAAGCATTTGATTTTTCTTTCTCCCTGGGACAATGGGATCCATAAGTTGGGTCCCCCAGCCCACAAGACAGGTGCAACGTAGTGTGGCAGGAAGATTGTGAGTTATGACAGGGAACATTTTTCCTTAGGTTACATGGGTATATAAAGCTCCGGACTATCTGTCTATCATGGATAGATAAAGAGTGAACATGGTCCCTTCTCCACAAATGTGTTTCTCTCCTTGATTATTACTGTAAAGGGCTGAAGTTACACCAAGTCCTGATACATTACTTTTTCGTGGTTTTTTGTTTTTGTTTTTTTGTTTGTTTGTTTGTTTGTTTGTTTTTTTGAGACAGTATCGCAGTCTGTCGCTGAGTCTGGAGTGCAGTGATGCAAGTACAGCTCACTGCAGCCTGGATCTCCCAGGCTCAAGGGATTCTCCCACTTCAGCTTCTGATCTAGCTGGAACTACAGGCACACGCCACCACACCCAGCTAGTTTTTGTATTTTTTTATAGAGACGGCATCCACTATGTTGCCCAGGCTGGTCTGGATCCCCTGGCCTCAGGCAATCCTCCTGCCTCAGCCTCCCAAAGTGCTGGGATGACAAGTGTGAGCCACCTCGCCAGGCCTTCACTTTCTTTAATGAACAATTATCAGAGTTTCATCTTAGAGGCAAAAGTGGCTACTGCCAGCCAATCTGTCTGTGGTGTTGGAGGGGAATCTGGCTGATTCAGATGTTTCTAATGAACTTTTTATTTTCATTATACTTTAAGTTTTAGGGTACATGTGCCCAACGTGCAGGTTTGTTACATATGTATACATGTGCCATGTTGGTGTGCTGCACCCATTAACTCGTCATTTACCATGAGGTATATCTCCTAATGCTATCCCTCCCCCCTCCCCCCACCCCACAACAGGCCCCGGTGTGTGACGTTCCCCTTCCTGTGTCCATGTGTTCTCATTGTTCAATTCCCGCCTATGAGTGACAACATGTGGTGTTTGGTTTTTTGTCCTTGCGATAGTTTGCTGAGAATGATGGTTTCCAGCTTCATCCATGTCCCTGCAAAGGACGTGAACTCATCGTTTTTGATGGCTGCATAGTATTCCATGGTGTATATGTGCCACATTTTCTTAATCCAGTCTATCATTGTTGGACATTTGGGTTGGTTCCTCTAATGAACTTTTAAATTAACCTACATGATGTGATTATCCTAAGGCCCTTTCCAGCTCCGTGTTTTTTTTGATTCAGGGTTTGGAGATTTTCAGAGGCTTTGTTACAAAGAGAATCTCCTGGGTGGGCGCGGTGACCCACTCTGTAATATCAGCACTTTGGGAAGCCGAGGCAGGCAGATCACTTGAGGTCAGGAGTTTGAGACCAGCCTGGCCAACAGGGTGCAACCCCCGTCTCTACTAAAAATACAAAAATTAGCCGGTAGTGGTGGCAGGCCTCTGTGAATTCCAATTACTGCGGGGAGTGAGGCGGGAGAATCCCTTGAACCTGAGAGACGGAGGGTGCAGTGAGCCGAGATCACGCCACTGCACTCCAGCCTGGGCAACAGAGTAAGTCTGTCTCACAGAGTAAGTCTGTCTCAAAAAGCAAACAGCATCTCTTTACTACAGTGATTTGAGCTGTGGTCTTGTCTCCTCGGGTTTCTCTATCAGTCTGATCCCATCTACTCTATCTCCCAGGAATGCCTCAATATTTCTGGCGGACCACTGACACGTTTTCTTATTTTCCTCTACTGTTAAGAGTTGACCCTTGAAAACATTTTCTTCTCAGTTCAATGGAATGTTGATTGAGTGGGGCACGGGATCTGTCTGCCATCTTGCTCCAATCATCTGGTTTTAGATATTTTATGTACTTTTGTCACTATGAAAGTGTAATTTTTCTCAATTTGGTTTTCTAAATGGTTATTATCGGTATGTAGTAAACCTATCTATGATTGTATATAATATTTTGTTACCTGTCTGGGTGCAGCTTCCCCTGCATTTTGGCACAAGACTCAACTTGTTTTATTCTCCAAAGTAAATGTGACAGGCCGGGTACGGTGGCTCACGCCTGTAATCCCAGCACTTTGGGAGACTGAGGCAGGTGGAACACCTGAGGTCAGGAGTTCGAGACCAGCCTGGCCAAGATGGTGAACCCCCTTCTCTACTAAACACACAAATGAAAAAATTAGCCAGGCATTGGTGTTGCATGCCTGTAGTGCCAGCTACCAGGGCAGCTGAGGAGGGAGGATTACATAAACTCAGGAGGCAGAGATTGCAGTGAGCCGAGATCGGGCCACTGCACTCCAGCCCGGGCGACAGAGACTCTGTCTCTAAATAAAAAAGAAAAAGAAATAAAAAGAAAATTCACTTCACAGGCAGTAGATATCCCACAGGCACGAACTCCCCTACACTTCTAGATTGCATCACCCGCCCCTTTGGCAGCTGTCTGGGAAGCCAGATCCCACACTTGGAAGTGTAGTGTTTCATACAATCCAAAAGTGGTAGCAGAGGCCAGGCGTGGTGGCTCACACCTGTAATCCCAGCACTTTGGGAGGCCAAGGCAGGCGGATCATGAGGTCAGGAGTTGGAGATCAGCCTGGCCAGAATGGAGAAACCCCGTCTCTACTAAAAATAACAGCAATTAGTTGGGCATGGTGGTACACGCCTGTAATCCCAGCTACTCGGGAGGCTGAGGTAGGAGAATCGCTTGAATCTGGGAGGCAGAGGTTTCAATGAGCTGAGATCACACCACTGCACTCCAGCCTGGGCAACAGAGGGCGACTCCGCCTAAAAAAAAAAAAAAAAAAAAAAGCAAAACAAACAAACAATAAAAAGTGGTAGCAGAAATCAGAAAGTCCAGATATGTAGGTAATTGGCCTGGCTGTATGGCAGCAGCCAAGGGTGAACACTAAATGCTCCCAGGCAAGTCCTAAGTTCATCAGGTAACTGGAGTACCCATCTGTGTTAGTTAATTGCCTTTATCTGAAGGAAAAATAAAACTCATGTCTCTACGACAACCAGCTGCTTACAGCTTAGAGCAAGGCATCTAGGCTAAACTCCCCTGGTGACAGGGAGACAAGGACATCATCTTCCTCAGTGTTCACATTTCGAAGAGATGGCGCCAAGGCCCTGAAGAAAGACATTTCGGGGGCAGGGCGTGGTGGCTCACGCCTGTAAGACCAACACTTTGGGAGGCTGAGGCTGGAGGATCACTTGAGGCCTGGAGTTCAAGTTCAAGACATTCCTGGGTTCTAGGATGGCCAGAGGCTTACAGATCAAAGGAAGAATTTACAAATACAAATTTTCTCAAGGAAATGCTCTAAGGAAAGTGAAATGGAGACAGGTTTCTTCTTCCCTCTTGGCAACAGGAAAAATTCAGTTTTATGTTTAGTTACCCTTACAATTTCCCCCTTTTGTTAATTGTTTTATAGGAACACTACAATTTTCTAATTATCTCCACTGCTGTTTCTATCTTTCTCTGCGTAGTTTACAGCCACCTAGATATCCAACAAGTCCATAGTAAGATGCAAAGCAAAGCAGTTATCAAGATTGTAATAGAATGATTTTTTTTTTCGGGATGGAGTTTCGCTCTTGTTGCCCAGGCTGGAGTGCAATGGTGCGATGTCGGCTCACTGTAACCTCTGTCTCCTAAGTTCAAGTGATTCTCCCGCCTCAGCCTCCCGAGTAGCTGGGATTACAGGCATGTGCCACCACGCCCAGCTAATTTGGTATTTTTTTAGAGATGGGATTTCACCATTTTAGCCAGGCTGGTCTTCAACTCCTCACCCTAGGTGATCCACCCACCTCGGCTTCCCAAAGTGTTAGGATTACAGATGTGAGCCACCATGCCCTGCCTAGAAAGAATTTTTAAATTCAGTATAATACTCACCCTGTCAGGGGGTGGGGCAACCTTTAAGCACATCATACTGGTTAATTGTGTCAAAGTCAAAATAAATTATAGAGACAAATCCCTAAATCAAATGCTGTATTTGGGAATCACAAAATTGCAATTCAGGGCATACACACAGACTAGGGTGGTCTTCAGTATGTCCAACGAGCAAACAGAAGTTGGAAGCTTTATTAGAAAGAAAAATGTTACATATTGTTTTGAAATGAGGCTCATTGGCCCTGGAGAAGCTGGTTCATTCGCACAATCAGCTTTCACATTCCCTCTTTTGATCAACATCTTTCTTTCAAAACCTCACCGATCAGCCATCTTAAAGTGAGGCTTCATTGTCACTCCATGCCAGGATGGACCTGTGCCGGTTGTCTTTATCCCATGCCAAGGGAAAGGTAAGGGAGTCTAGATCAGGGACATGGGCCATATTTGAGCAACAAAGAGGACAGAAGGAAAAAAAATTTCAGGCAGGTTTGCCTGGAGTTCAGCATCAAGTTCCATCTTGTTAGTCGCATCTATATTAGCAAACATCTTGACGCACTGGGCTAACATTATTTTCTTGGGAGAACTGGCTTAACAAATATTAGGCAACAAGTATGGAGCTCAAAGATCATAATTCTAAAATAATTAGCAATTGTTTATTTTATTTTATTTATTTTATTATTTTACTTTATTTTATTTTATTTTATTGCAATGGATTCTTGCTCTGTCGCCCAGGCTGAAGTGCAGTGGCGTGATCCCGGCTCACTGTAACCTACATCTCCCGGGTTCAAGCGATTCTCCTGCCTCAGCCTCCCCAGTAGCTGGGATTACAGGTGCCCATCAACATGACTGGCTTATTTTTGTCTTTTCAGTAGAGATGGGGTTTCACCATGTTGGCCAGGCTGGTCTCGAACTCCTGACCTCAAATGATCCCCCCTCCTTGGCATCCCAAAGTGCTGGGATTACAGGCGTGAGCCACCACACCCAGCTATAATTAGCAACAGTAGAATAAATTTAGTTTGTACAATGGTTTTGAACCAAGATCCCAAGCCTAAGGGCCACCAGCTAAACAAATCAAAAAGCTATGGGGGAATTGAATGAGACCTCTTGTAGTCTTTGAGTAGCATTTGAGGACTGGGTCGAATTAAAGCAGAGTGCCAACTCTAAAGGGACCACTAGGTGAGGTAAAGGATTTGGGCGTCGGGTTCTGTCAAGTGAAAAATGTAGACATTCAGGGGGTAAGAGTCTCATTACGATATGAAGACTTATTCTGACGTCTTGGGAAAAGCTGTCTATAGTGTGGAAACGTCAACTTCTCATCCTGATTTGTCGTTCGAATGTCTCCGGTTATGGCATTGGACAGTTTGGTGAACTTTTTGTGTGGTCCATACATCAGGCAGCAGACTTGTTCCTTAAAATGTATGCACTGTTATCTTACAGAACTTGTAGATCAAAAATAAAATCCTATCCCCCGCCAACCCGCAACCATTTGAATGGACTTCTTCCTCAGCCAGGGCTCTTTTAAAATTTAACCTGAGAGATGGTTTCAGGCCATGACAGGAAGTGGGGGTCAGGCATGCCTCATTATACCTCTCTGGCATCAACATCAACACAGACTTTCAGTCTAATAAGAAACATGTTACAACCTAGTCTCTCTGAAGCCTAGTACCTGAAGGCTTCCTCTGCAAATAAGAACTTGGGTCTCCACAATCCTTTATCTTAACCCAGGCATTCCTTTCTGTTGATCCTAGGGTTTTGTTTTGAGATGGAGTCTCTCTCTGTCGCCCAGGCTGGAATGCAATGGGCGGGATCTTGGCTCACTGCAACCTTTGTCTCCCAGGTTCAAGCAATTCTTTTGCCTCCTGTAGCTGGGACCACAGGCGTGGGCCACGACACCCAGCTAATATTTTGTCCTTTTAGTAGAAAAGGGGTTTTGCCATGTCGCTCAGCCTGGTCTTGAACTCCTGGCCTCAAGTGATCTGTCCGCCTCGGCCTCCCAAGGTGCTGGGATTCCAGGCGTGAGCCAACACGCCCAGCCTACTGATTAGGTTTCTTCTTGCTTAGGAAAACTGAGCTTTGAAAGGGTAAGTTTTTAAGTCCATGTAACTTTCTGTATTGCTTTTGAAGTCTGTGGACTATCACTCTGGTTAAATGAGTGACTATTATTTCACAGTGACCCGTGATCCTGTTTTGCACAAGTGTTTTGAGCCTTTTAACATCTTTGACAAACTTCCCCAAAATGCAATTCTTTTTTAATTTATCTATTGCTGTTGAACAAACTAATCAAATTCTAATTTAAGTCTTTTTAACCTAAAATTGACTTTGAGATTTACCAGTGAGGCCCCTGGAGAGCCTCAAAGAATGTGTCTCTCATTAGGCTTATTTGATATGTCACATTATATGAAAAACAATGTCAGATAATAAAAAATACTAATTGGTGTTTACATTTATATAGATATATTATTGATGTTAATGTTCAGAAGATCATATAAAATTTACAGAGGTCTGATGGTCCTGGTGTGATGCTGTTAGTCATGATTCTGGTTGTTATCTTAAAATTCTCTCTATAATAGAAATAACTGAATTTCCTTGTCAATTATTGAACTTTCATCGGATTTTAATCGTTACTATTCTAAGCTTTATCATCTACAGTGCTGATTCTTCTCTAAAGGCATCCAGAATCAGATTCATAAAAAATATTTTAACAAGTACTGTTGAATATAGATTTGTAATAACTTTCAGATCAATGAACGAAATGAATTATTTTTGAAAACTCTAACGAAAACTGATGGGTTCATGCAACTGATTATCAAGATCAAGCAGAACAAACATTAATTATATGAGGCTAAATAACCAATAATGTTTTTGTGACCTTTATTTAAAACTTTATTTATTCTTGGGCTGGGTGCAGTGGCTCACACCTCTGATCCCAGCACTTTTGGAGGCTGGAACAGGAGGATCCCTTGAGTGCAGGAGTTCAAGACCAACCTGGGAAATATAGGAGACCTGGTTTCTGAAAGAAATTAAGAAAATAAAACTTTATTTGTTTTTTACCTAAATGTTTTGTTTTCCACATTTAAGAAAATTTTCTGGTGGGATGTGGTGGCTCACTTTGGAAGCCAAGGCAGGAGGATCGCTTGAGCCCAGGAGTTCCAGACCCGATTGGGCAACATGGCAAAACCCTGTCTCTACAAAAACAAAAACAAAAATAAGAAGATTAGCTGGGCATGGTGGCACGCACCTGTGGTCCCAGCTACTTGCAAGGCCGAGGTGGGAGGATCACTTGAGTCGGGACGCAGAGGTTGCAGGGAGCCGTGTTTGCACCACTGCACTCCAGCCTGGGCGACGGGGCGCAATCCTTTCTCAAAAAAATGAAAAAAAAAAGAGAAAATTTTCTCTGTTAAACTATCTATAGTTTATAATAATTTTGTGAAGTATACTTTTGTAAACTGAGATGGAAATGTTTGCTTTTTCTTACTACTCAATTCCTCCAGAATTTGAAAACTATTTGTAAATATTCCTATGGCAATATGGTTATTTACACAGGTCCAGTAAAAACCTGCTCTTGGTGCCTCATTCAACTCCAACATGGCAAAAGTCTCCAGCCCTACAGAGAGTCCCTGATTGCTATTTTCCAGAAATAGGCTGGAAAGGATGGTTACGATAGCATTCACTCCAAGATGGAGTTCCCAAGCTTCATGAATACAGAACTGGATGCCTTCATGAAGAACCAGAGGCCCCCAGTGTCTTTGACCACATGATGAAGAAACTGGACCTCACTAGTGATGGGCAGCTGGATTTCCAAGAATGTCTGCATCTGATGGATGGCATGACTGTGGCTTACCATGACTCTTTTCTCAAGGCTGCCCATTCCAAGAAGCGGATCTGAGGATCCCCTGGGCCTGGTTTCCAAGCCACCCCCTTTCCTTCCAGCCTCACCATCACCATCTCCTCACAGCCCACACGTACCCTGGGCCCAGCACACCCACCACCTCATGCAGGCCCTGCCTGCAGGTAGTAATAAAACCATTCCCGCCTCCGTGCCGCTCCACCGCTCCCCCTCCCCTGTCCCCTTCCTCCCCCTCCCCTCGCCCTTCTCCCCCCCTTTCCTCCCCTCCCCTCTCCTCTCCTCCGTTCCTCTTCTCTTCTCTCAAGTACACCCACCACCTCATGCAGGCCCTACCTGCAGGTAGTTATAAAACCATACTTCTTTTCTCTTTTCCATCTTTCCTTTTTTTTTTCTTTTTCTTTTTTTTTTTTTTTTTTTTTTTTTTTTTTTTTTTTAGCAATGGGGGTCTAGTTATGTTGCCCAGGTTGATCTTGAACTTCTGGGCTCAAGTGGCCTCCCAAAGCTCTGGGATTTTAGGTGTGAGCCATTGCACCTGACCCACCTTTTTTCTAAACACACACAAAAAAATCTGCTCTCTCTTTATAGACAGATACAATTAAAAACATTGGTTATAAGGCCGGGCATGGTGACTCACACCTGTAATCCCAGCACTTTGGGAGGCTGAGGTGGGTGGATCACCTGAGATCGGGAGTTTGAGACCAGCCTGGCCAACATGGGGAAACCACATCTCTACTAAAAATTATAAAGAAAAAATGTAGTAGGGCATGGTGGTGTACATGTGTAATCCTAGCTACTCAGGAGGCTGAAGCAGGAGAATTGCTTGAAACCAGGAGGTGGAGGCTGCAGCGAGCTGAGATCTCAGCAGTCTGGGTGACAGAGCAAGACTGTCTCAAAAAGAAAAAAAAATTGGTTATATTACCAAGGCTTTCATCAAAATGCATGGAATGCCTGACTTCAAGTGTTTTTAGCTTTAGAGTGGGTGAATAAAAACGGTCACTTTCTGTCAGGCCCAGGAACCTTAAGAAGGTAGGTGAAATCTAAAGTCGGCCTTGGTTTGACTTTCTATGCTCAAGAGGTTTTTAAATCTGAGATTCCTAAGTGATCAATGTATAGAGAAAAATTATGTTGCTAAAGAAAAGCTCTAATAGACCAGTTATTAGATTGTAGCTCTCTGCATTTTTTCGAGTTCTTGTGTTTTTTTTCTTTTTGTGTTGTTGTTGTTGTTTTTGAGACAGAGTCTCGCTCTGTCACCAGGCTGGAGTGCAGTGGCGGGATCTCGGCTCACTGCAACCTCTGCCTCCCGCATTCAAGCGATTCTCCTGCCTCAGCCTCCCGAGTAGCTGGGACTACAGGTGCATGCCACCACGCCCGGCTAATTTTTGTATTTTCAGTAGAGACGGTGTTTCACCATGTTGGCCAGGATGGTCTCAATCTCTTGACCGCGTGATCCGCCCGCCTCGGCCTCCCAAAGTGGTGGGAATACAGGCCTGAGCCACTGCGCCTGGCCGAGTTCTTGTTATCTACATACAGACTAGACTAGATCCAACTTTTTCCCATAAAATTACTAAAAACAGAAACTGCTCTGTTCCTGAAGCCTGCTGATGAAAAGAGTCAAACTCTGGAAAACACTTGAAGAGACTTATTCTGAGCCAAATAGGAGCGACCATGGCCCATGACACAGCCTCAGGAGGTCCTGAGTTGCCCAAGGAGGTTGGGGTGCAGCTTGGTTTTACAGATTTTATGGAGACTCAATCAAATACATTTAAGAAATACATTGGTTTGGTCCAGAAAGGCAGGACAACTCGAAGCAGGGGCTTCCAGCTTACAGGTAGATTAAAAAATTTTCTAGTTGACAATTGGTTGGGTTTTCTAAAAACCTAGGATCGGCCAGGCCTGGTGGCTCGTGCCTATAATCCCAGCACTTTGGGAGGCTGAGGCAGATGAATCACCTGAGGTGAGGAGATGGAGACCAGCCTGGCCAACATGGTGAAACCCCGTCTCTACTAAAAATACAAAAAAATTAGCTGGATGTGATGGCGGGTGCCTGTAACCCCAACTACTGGGTAGACTGAGACAGGAGAATTGCTTGAATCCGGGTGGCAGAGGTTACAGTTGGCAGAGAATGCACCATTATACTCCAGCCTGGGCAACAGATCTAGACTCTGTCTCAAAGCAAAAACAAACAAACAAACAAACAAACAAAAATGCCTAGGATCAACAGAAAGGAATGCCTGGGTTGAGATAAAGGATTGTGGTGACCCAAGTTCTTATTTGCAGAGGAAACCTTCAGGTACTAGACTTCAGAGAGACTAGGTTGTAACATGTTTCTTATGAGATTTAAGTCTGTGTTGATATTGATGCCAGAGAGGTATAATGAGGCATGTCTGACCCACAAGTCCTGTCATGGCCTAAAACAGTCTCCCAGCTTAATTTTAAAAGAGCTCTGGCTGAGGAGGACGTCCATTCAGATGGTTAAGGGTGGGGGTGCTTAGGATGCTATTTTTGGTTTACAAATACTCTAAGACAAAAACTGCATAATTTTTTTTTTTTTTGAGATGGAGTCTCACACTGTTGCCAAGGCTGGAGTGCAGTGGTGAGATCTCGGCTCACTGCAACCTCCGCTTCCCGGGTTCAAGAGATTCTCCTGCCCAAACCTCTCGAGTAGCTGGGACTACAGGCACGTGACAACATCCCCGGCTAATTTTTTGTATTTTTAGTAGAGGCGGGGTTTCACCGAGTTACCCAGGATGGTCTCTATCTCCTGACCTTGTGATCTGCCCACCTCAGCCTCCCAAAATGCTGGGATTACAGGCATGAACCACTGCACCTAGCCAAACTGCATACATTTTAAGGAACAAGTCTCGTGTCTGATGCATGGACCACACAAAAAGTTCACCAAACTGTCGAATGCCATAACCAGAGACATTCGAACGACAAATCAGGATGAGAAGCTGACGATTCCACATTGTAGACAGCTTTTCCCAAGATATCAGAATAAGTCTTCATATCATAATGAGACTCTTATCCCCTTAATGTCTACATTTTTCACTTGGCAGACCATGACTCCCAAATCCTTTGATTCACCTAGTGAATCCTTTTTATAGAGTGGTCCCTTTTATAGAGTTGGCACTCTGCTTTAATTCAACCCAGTCCTCAAATGCTACTCAAAGACTATAAGAGGTCTCATTCAATTCCCCCATAGTCTTTTGATTTGTTTAGCTGGTGGCCCTTAGGCTTGGGATCTTAGTTCAAAATCATTGTACAAACTAAATTTATTCTACTATTGCTAATTATAGCTGGGTGCGGTGGCTCGCGCCTACCGTCCCAGCACTTTGGGATGCCAAGGAGGGCGGATCACTTGAGGTCAGGAGTTCGAGACCAGCCTGGCCAACATGATGAAACCCCGTCTCTACTGAAAAGACAGAAATTAGCCGGGCGTGGTGGTGAGCACTTGTAATCCAAGCTACTCGAGAGGCTGAGGCAGGAGATTCGCTTGAACCCAGGAGGTGGAGGTTGCAGTGAGCCGGGATCACGCCACTGCACTCCAGCCTGGGTGACAGAGCAAGACCGCGTTGCAATAAAATAAAATAAAATAAAATAATAAAATAAAATAACGATAGCTAATTACTTTTGTATTATGATCTTTGAGCTCCATTCTTGTTGCCTGTCTAATATTTGTTAAGCCAGTTCTACCAACAGGAAAATGTTGGCCTAGTGCTTCAAGATGAATGCTAATATAGATGGGACTAACAAGATGGAATTTGATGCTGAACTCCAGACAAACCTGCCTGAATTTTTTTTTTTCCTTCTGGCCTCTTTGTGGCTCAAATATGGCCCATGTCCCTGATCTAGACTCCCTTACCTTTCCCTTGACATGGGACAAAGACAACCGGCCCACGTCCATCCTGGCATGGAGTGACAGTGAAGCCTCACTTTAAGATGGCTAATCAGTGAGGTTTTCAAACAAAGATGTTGATCAAAAGAGGGAATGTGAAAGCTGATTGTGCGAATGAACCAGCTTCTCCAGGGCCAATGAGCCTCATTTCAAAACAATATGTAACATTTTTCTTTCTAATAAAATTTCCAACTTCTGTTTGTTCGTTGGACACACTGAAGACCACCCTAGTCCTTGTATATGCCCTGGATTGCAATTTTGTGATTCCCAAATACAGCATTTGATTTAGGGATTTGTCTCTATAATTTATTTTGACTTTGACACAATTAACCAGTATGATGTGTTTAAAGGTCCCGCCGCCCAAACAAGGGGAGTATTATACTGAATTTAAGAATTCTTTCTAGGCAGGGCATGGTGGCTCACGTTTGTAATCCTAATACTTTGGGAGGCCGAGGTGGGCGGATCACCTGGGGTAAGGAGTTCAAGACCAGCCTGGCTAAAATGGTGAAACCGCATATCTACAAAAAATACCAAATTAGCTGGGCGTGGTGGCACATGCCTGTAATCCCAGCTACTCGGGAGGCTGAGGCAGGAGAATCGCTTGAACTCAGGAGACAGAGGTTGCAGTGAGCCGACATCGCACCACTGCACTCCAGCCTGGGCAACAAGAGCGAAACTCTGTCCTGAAAAAAAAAATCATTCTATTATAATCCTGATAATTGCTTTGCTTTGCATCTTACTATGGACTTGTTGGATATCTAGGTGGCTGTAAACCACACAGAGAAAGATAGAAACAGCAGTGGAGATAATTAGAAAATTGCAGTGTTCCTATAAAACAATAACAAAAGGGGGATATTGTAAGGGTAACTAAACATAAAATTGAATTTTTCCTGTTGCCAAAAGGGAAGAAGAGACCTTTCCCCATTTCACTTTCCTTAGAGCATTTTCTTGAGAAAATTTGTATTTGTAAATTCTTCCTTTGATCTGTAAGCCTCTGGCCATCCTAGAACCCAGGAATGTCTTGAACTTGAACTCCAGGCCTCAAGTGATCCTCCAGCCTCAGCCTCCCAAAGTGTTGGGATTACAGGCGTGAGCCACCACGCCCATCCCCTAGGAATGTCTTTCTTCAGGGCCTTGGAGCCATCTCTTTGAAATGTGAACATTGAGGAAGATGATGTCCTTGTCTCCCTGTCACCAGAGGAGTTTAGCCTAGGTGCCTCGCTCCAAGCTGTAAGCACCTGGTTGTCACAGAGACATGAGTTTTACTTTTCCTTCAGATAAAGGCAATTAACTAACACAGATGGGTACTCCAGTTACTCGGTGAACTTAGGACTTGCCTGGGAGTATTCAGTTTTCACCCTTGGCTGCTGCTTTACAACTAGGCAAAGTAGCTACATACCTGGACTTTCTGACTTCTGCTACCACTTTTGTGTTTGTTTGTTTGTTTGTTTGTTTTGTTTTGTTTTTGAGATTGAGTCTCGCTCTGTCCTCCAGGCTGGAGTATAATGGTGAGATCTCAGCTCAGTGCAACCTCTGCCTCTCGAGGTCAAGCGATTCTCCCACCTCTGCCTCCGGAGTATCTGGGATTACGGGTGCACGTCACCATGCCCAGCTAAATCTGTACTTTTAGTATAGACGGGGTTTCACCATGCTATCGAGGCTGGTCTCGAGCTCCTGACCTCACGATCTGCCTGCATCGGCCTCCCAAAGTGCTGGAATTACAGGCGTGAGCCACCACACCTGGCCTCTGCTACCACTTTTGGATTGTATGAAAAAACTACACTTCCAAGTGTGGGATCTGGCTTCCCAGACAGCTGCCAAGGGGGCAGATGATGCAATCTAGAAGTGTAGGGGAGCTCGTGCCTGTGGGATAAATTTTGACCGTTAAGAAAAGGAACCAGGAGTGAGAGCCAGGTATGTAAATTCCCTCTCCTCTCCTCTCCCCCTGCACCGTTCCAGGCATGGTTTCTCGGTATAGTCTGTCTAGAGGTGTCCGGAATGGCCCAAATTCTGTTTCCTTGGGAACCTGAGCTAAAACAATGGGCATGCAAACACTCGAAGAGAGTGCTAAGTGTTGTGGAGGACCTAGATCTGGGCAGAGGAAAATTATTGCAATAAGAAAATGGACAATTTGAGGATTTGGAATAGAGGGAAGGACTAGAAGAACCAGTAGTAGAATAGCTTAGGGGTAATAATTTTGGAGAAAAAGGCAGTTCTGGTGATTTTTGCTGTGAACTGCTCAGCTCTGTAAAATATACACTTCTTTCTTTCCATCAGTCTTCTCTATGAAATCTTCCATAAAGTATCCTTTTATAACTCTCTATTGCCTGTGAAGTGATTTTTCTTTTTTTCTTTTTCTTTTTGTTTAGAGATAGAAACTCTGTCGCCCAGCCTGGAGTGCAGTGGTGCCACCTTGGCTCACTGCAATCTCTGCCTCCCGAGTTCAAGTGATCCTCCCGTCTCAGCTGCCCTAGTAGCTGGGAATACAGGCGTGCGCCACCAGGCGTGGCTAATTTTTTTTTTATTTTGTATTTTTAGAAGAGATGCGGTTTCACCATCTTGGCCACCCTGGTCTCGAACTCCTGACCTCAGGTGATCTACACACCTCGGCCTACCAAAGTGCTGGGATGACAGGCATGAGCCACCGCACCCAGGCTATCAGGTTTTGTTTTGTTTTGTTTTGTTTTTGTTTGTTTTTTTTTTTTTTTTGAGAATAAAACAGATTGAGTCTTGTGCCAAAATGCAGGGGAAGCTGCACCCAGACAGGTAACAAATTATTATATACAGTAATAGATAGCTTTTCTACATACCAATAATAACCATTTAGAAATCCAAATTGAGAAAAATTACACATATATAGTGACAAAAGTACATAAAATATCTAAAACCAGATGATTGAAGCAAGATGGCAGATAGATCCCGTACCCTACCCAACATTCCTTCGAACTTGGAAGTGCAGTGGGAGATCTCGCCACTGCGCTCCAGCCTGGGTGACAGAGTGACATTCTGTCTCAAAAAAAAAAGGAAAGAAAAAAACAAATAATAATAATAAAAGTAATGTATCAGAACTTGACGGAACTTCAGACCTTCACTGTAATAGTGAAGGAGAGAAACACATTTGTGGAGAGGGGACCATGTTCACTCTTTATCCCTGATAGACAGATAGTCGGGAGTTTTATATACCCATGGAACCTAACGAAAAATGTTCCCTGTCATGACTCACAATCTTCCAGCCACCCTTCTTTGCACCTGTCTTGTGGGCTGGGGGACTCAACTTATGGATCCCATCTTCCCAGGGAGAAAGAAAAATCAAATCCTTCGGTATCTCCTTTAGGGTATCCTCTCCTCTATTTGCATGGAGGGTAAGGCACTCAATATCTAGTATTGGAATGTTACATTTGTGTAATACAGAACTATATTGGGATAAAATAGAATTTGTTTCCTCTGAGACACAGGTAGAGGTATGTCCACACTGACCTGGGTGGCAGCCATCTCTTCCTGCAGTGCCAGGCAGGGCATGCTCACAGATCTAGGGAACCTCTTGCTCCTGGAGGCCCACAACCTCCTTCCTGGCACCCTCTCCCTCTGGTGGCTGTGACAGCCCACACTTGGTCTTGGGTATCCCCTGCTTCTTTGCCTGCCTCTCTTCTGCCCAGGCTGCACATCTCTGTCTCCCACTGTCCCCACTATGTCCACGATTGCCTCTTCCTCCCTGCACTCTCCATCTCTAAGGGCTCCCTGTCTTGGAAAATGAACCCACAACCTCTACCTTGCGACTGGGGACAGAACCTGGAGTTTGTTCAATTCTCCCTCCCTCCACCACACACACCTTTCCTCCTTAATATTTCTAGAGTCAATGAACTCCAAACTCAGCCCCTCCTGCACCTGCCAGCTGTAGGACCTGTGACAAGATGCCTACCATCTGTCTGGGACTCCCTCTCTCATCTATCATATAGGCATAATGATGATAGTGTCCTCCTTCCAAGGCTGGGGAGAACCAGGAGGCCAAGGTGATGGGGTATGAATGGTCAAAAGAGCTCCAGTCCTGCCTCCACCCGGGGCTGGTGTTTCAAGTCTGTTGTGTGTGAATGGAGGTTTAATGTCTTCATTCACACACACTGGTTTGTTCTAAAACATACTCCCCTCTGCCCTTCCTTCCCCACAACTGTTCCACCTCCGCACCGTGCAGTGGTATATGTGAGAAAGAACTGTCCCATTCCCAAATCATCGTCCCCACCCCAGCCCCCAGGCCCTTGGTTGGTGAGATCCTTGATGGGCAGTCTCACGCTCCTGTCCAGGAGACTTTCCCACCGTTGCTCCTTTGCATGGAGACTAAGTGGACTCTTCTATTCCCTGTGCATCACAGGGTCTACAGTGCACGCATCTTCCTCATCCCTCTGCGTTCCCCAGATGACGATTTCATCTGTGTCTCCTCCTACATACTCCCAAATGGACCGTCCCAGCCCTAGAACCCGAAAATGGTTCAGAGAGCGAAGGCCAAGATGCCCAAACACCTGCTGCAGAATCCTGCTCCAGGACTGAAGTGTATAGTCTCTATCAAAATAAAAACTGGAGGCCAGGTGCGGTGGCTTACGCCTGTAATCCCAATATATTAGGAGGCCAAGGTGAGAGGATTGCCTGAACCCAGGAGGTGGAGACCAGCCTGGGTAACATAGTGAGACTCTCTAGACAAAACCTAAAAAAATCAGTGGGGCGTGATGGCGCATGCCTGTAGTCACAGCTACTCTGGAGGCTGCTGTGGGAGGATCACTTGAGCCCAGGAGTTCAAGGCTGCATTGAGCTATGATCATGCCACTGCACTCTAGCCTGGATAGAGCAAGACCCCATCTCTAGAAGAAACAAACAAACAAACCAAGAAACCCAACAACGGGAAACATCTTCCTCTAGAATGGGGGTCAGAAACATCTGTCTGCCTTGTTCCCTGGTGTCTCTCCAGCACCTAGAACAGCGCTCAGCATGAGTATGCACTCATTAGTTTTTTGTTGAATAAGTGACTCGTTTGACACAGCAATTCCACTTCTAAGAATCTTTCCTAAAGAAATATTCATACACATGCAGAGAGCTGTGTGCACAATAATGAGAGGAGCAAACAACTGGGGAACGTTTGCAAATGTTTATTAACTGTCAGTGACTGATAGAGGGGAATCGGATGAGGGGAGTACAAGCAGATGGGAGATGCTTATAGTGTTACTTGGTGTTTGTGTGTGTGTGTGTGTGTGTGTGTGTGTGTGTGGTGTAAATGCAGAGGAAAAAATCTGAAATTAAACACTCAGACCTCCCCTCAGCAGTCACATCTGGGGAGAGAGGAGGGTAGTGCTGTTCTATGGAGAGAATACCTGACTATACTTGTTTTCTAAGGTAGGTGCATGGATACACAAACCGAAATATGCATTAAGTATGTCTTGCTGATCAGTGAAAATGTTAATATCTAACAGAATGGCACACTGTAAGAAAGTACAACGTAAACTCTAACATCGAACTCTTGGCACACTAAGAAAAATGACGCTCAACTTTTCACTGTTGTGAACACTTGCTTTCACTTGCTATGCACCTGATGACGAGGGGTCCACAGCCATGCCCGTGTTCATGAAAGGTCACCACGTTCTGCTTCTCATCATGGGCATGTGTCGTATCCCCGAGGCTGAGGCAAGAAGAGAGAAGGAAAGTAAGTGGCAGTGAGTTCCCACCACGTGACAACTCAACCTCAACTCCTCCTGACCTGCAGACCCTGCACACTCTGATTCTGTCCTACCTCAGGACCTGCACACGCCTTCCACGGTTCCTCGAAGTGAACCATCTGTTCATGCCACAGTGACTTCTTCGCCTGGGTGATCCATTCCTAGGCTAGAGGAAGGTGTGGCCCGCATATCAGGGCTGACCTGGGGTTTGGGAACCCACAGCATCCTGGGTAGGGAGCATCCCTGGATATACAGGGTAGAGAGTAGAAAGAGCATGGGAAATCGGCCGGGTGCGGTGGCTCACGCCTGTAAACCCAGCACTTTGGGAGACCGAGGCAGGTGGATCCCGAGGTCAGGAGTTCGAGACCAGCCTGACCAACATGGTGAAAGTTCATCTCTACTAAAAATACAAAAATTAGCCGGGTGTGTGGGGTGCACACGTGTAATCCCAGCTACTCAGGTTGCTGAGGCAAGAAAATTGCTTGAACCGGGATGCGGAAGTTGCAGTGAGGCGAAATCGGGCCACCACATCCAGCCTGGGCGACAGAGCAAGAATCCCTCCAAAAAAAAAAAGAAAGAAAGAAAGAAAGAAAGAAAGAAAGAGAATGGGAAATCTCATCATTCAGCCTCAATGCTGTACCCTAGAAAAGGGAATGATTTGGGGAGCAAGTGACAGATGGGATACCAGTATCATAACAGAATAGCACATCTGCAGGGATGTGGGGGATGAGCGGAAGGTTCACTTACGGAGTTACTCGTCATCTTCCTCAGGGTCGCTGATCTCTTCATAAATCACCAGCTGCTTTCTCTCACGCAGTCTGTGGGTCCAGGCATGTTTCCCCCTTTTGGGTCCTATGATGGAGAATAGTTGGAAAGTGAGGGTTGGGTGGGTTGGAGAGTGTTAGGCTCTGTTTTCTCAAAAAAGGAGATGCCTCCCCACCACCAAGTGCCCATGGGCCTTCTTTATCCAGTTTTTCACATTCTCTGGCTTAGAGAGGCTGAGGCCTTAGATCCACACCAATACACCACAAATACCAATTAAAGTTTTAGCTTCTGGCTCCTTCCGTTGTCAGGTTTAGATTCCCAGCCTCTTCACTTATGGGAACACTCACCCATACCTCCTTTCATGCTGCACGTATTTGTTAAGGGCACAAGGCAAACCTTGTTTTATGGCACCTCATTTTTATCCTGCTTCGCAGATACTGCAATTTTTTTTTGAAATTCTCACCAATTTTACACTTTTCCATTATTATTATATCTGTTATAGTGATCTGTGATCAGTGAGCTTTGATATTATGATTGCGATTGTTTTGTTGTTCTTTAGTCTTTTAAAATAATTTTTTTTATTTTTGTGGGTACGCAGTAGGTCTATATACTTATGGGGTACGTGAGATGTTTTGATACATGCATGCAATGCATAATAATCACATCATGGCAAATAGGGTATCCGTCCCCTCAACCATTTATCCTTGTGTTACAAACAATCCATTTACACTGTGTTAGTTTTTTTAAATGTGCAATTAGGTTATTACTGACAATAATCACCCTGTTGTGGGTAATTGTTTTAGGGGTAACAGGAACTGCACCCACAGAAGATGACAAACTTAATTGATCAATGTTGTGTGTGTTCTGACTGCTCCACCGATGAGCTCTTCCTTGCCTACCTTCCTTTTCTTGGGCCTCCCTATTTCTTGAGACACAGCAATACTGAAATTAGGACAATGAACAACCCTACAATGGCCACTAAGTGTTCAAAGGAAGGGAAGAGTCGCATGTCTCTCACTCTAAATCACAAGCTAGAAATGGCTAAGCTTAGTGAGGAAGGCACGCTGAAAGCCAAGACAGGCTGAAAGCTCGGCCTCTTCCACCAAACAGCCAAGCTGTGATTGCAAAGGAAAAGTTCTTGAAGGAAATAATAGTATATAATGCAAAGGAAAGGTCTTGAAGGAAATAATAATACTAATACTCCAGTGAACACACAAATAAGAAAGTAAAGCAGCCTTACTGCTGAAATAGAGGAAGATTGCGTGGTCAGGACAGAACATGAAACCAGCCACAACATTCCCTTAAGCCAAAGTCTAATTCAGAGAAAGACCTGAACTCTCTTCACGTCCATGAAAGCTGAGAGAGGTGAAGAAGCTGCAGGAGAAACACGTGAAGCTAGTAGAAGTTGGTTCGTGAGGTTTAAGGAAAGAAGCCATCTCCATAACATAAAAGTGCAAGGTGAAGCAGCAAACCCTGATGGAGAAGCTGCAGCAAGTTATCCAGGAGATCTAGCTAAGATCACTGATGAAGGTGGCTACACTAAACAACAGATTTTCAATGTAGATAAAATAGCCTTCTATTGGAAGGAGATGCCATCTAGGACTTTCATAGCTAGAGAGGATTGACTCCAACTTTGAAAGAAGTTCTACTGTGGGTAAAATGCTATCCAGTAGCATCACACACTACAGGGAAATCTTTCATGAAAGGGAGAGCTAATCAATGTGGCAAATTTCACCGTTGTGTTCTTTTAAGAAACTGCCACAGCCACTCCAATCTTCAGCAACCACCACCTTGATCAGCCAGCAGCCATTAACACCAAGGCAAGACCCTCCACCAGCAAAAAGAGTGTGACTCACTGAAGGCTCAGAAGATTGTTAGCATTTTTTATCAATGAATTATTTTAAAATTAAGGTATGTACATTTTTAGACAATGCTATTGCACACTTAGTAGAGTACACTATAGTGAAAACGTAATGTTTTTATGCACTGCGAAACGACAATAACAAAAAAAATGTGTGACTCACTTTATTGCAGTGGTCTGGAACCGAACCTGCAATATCTCTGAAGTACAACTGATTGGGTATCAGGCATTGAGCTGCGTAAGACATGATCCCAGGTAATTAATTACAGATAGAATTGCTTGAGCACCTTTCATGTCATCAGGCCTTCTAGACTAAATATAATGTCTCCAAACAATTTGTGAACTATGATTCTTTACTTCCATCGTATGGACTGGGAATCTGGAGCTGAGAAAATTTGGAAGACTTGCCCCAAGTCACGTGGTTGTATATGGATGACAACTCCACTCTGTGTCTCTGGAAGTCATGTCTAACATCTCTTCTGGCGCTGGGCAAGCTCCTCAGCTCAGCCGGGACCCAGGCTTGTCTGGGGTCCGTGCCACACACCCAATCCACACACCTGAACATAGCCAGGAAAGCCAGAGGGTTTGTTCCCGAATTGTTTCCTCTTACCAGATCTCTTGTGAATCTTCTAGAGGTATTTGCTTTTCCTGGGTGGGCACAGCTGCTTCGGATCGTTTTGTGGGGCAGATGCTTCTGGCACTCCCTTCTAATCATTTCCTTCCTCTGCTGGCTTCTTGGGCATGATCTTTATAATGTGAAGGTCACAGATAAACAGAATCAGTGCCATTTCTATAGTGCTTTAGAGCTTACAAAGCGTCTTCGCATGCATTACCTTAATCAATGTTCTCAACAAAGCTGGGAGAGTTACACTTGCCTAAATTAGGAGAAACCTGGGAGGGGAGGTTAGAAGGGAAAGGATTGGCCTACATGAATGGGGTTTCCAGGGATAGAATGCTTATCTTCCCACTCTTTTAGGACTGACATTCTTGCAAACAGCAAAAATCTCCATGTAATTGAGAGTGTGATATACAGAAGATTTGGAGCATAGCATTCTAAGAATTCACAGGTCTGCAAAAGGAAGAGCTTCTATAAAATACAAGGGATCCCATATAAGCTCGTAGACAGCTGCTGGGAGGGTAAATGTAAAAACATAGGGAGGGGACGAAACACTGCTGGGAAAGATGGTGTGGGGAGAGGAATACAGGGAAGGGAGAGGGAAAGAAATGGTTTGCTGAAATTAATCCAGGCAGCAAAGAAAGCAGTACCAGATCTGGCATACCAGCCTACCGAGGCACCAACATTGAATGTGGAATTCAGTGAGGTGGTACCCATATCAATTCTGGTTGCACTGGGATGGGTCACTGACCAACAGTCTTAAGCTACATTTATTCAGCTTCCTCACTTATGAAATAGTGAACAATACATGTAAAATAGGCTAAGGGAAAGTCCTCTCTGAGCTTATAAACACTGTTTAAATGTAGTAATAATAACAATTAATACCTTTCATGATCCTTCTTTGAATTTGTCCTCCATACTGGCAACCCAATCCCAGATCCCTTTACCCTCTAAACCGGAATTGAATATGTAGTTGTGGAGTCACTCGTTCAGGGGCCTCCAAGGAAACCCCTGGGCTGGGACTGGGGTTTCTCGGATGCACCAGGTGTAGAGAAAGCCCTCAAGGAGCTCACAGTAGGGAGGGGCCCACAGTCAAACCTATTCCTAAGCCATGCGAGTGGCCCCAGTAACGGATCAGAAGCCAGCTGGTCCTTCCTGTTGCGAGAGTGGGTGTCTCCTTGGAAGCACCAGCAGGCCCTATGGGGTAAAGCCCTAGTGAGCAACATCTGAACTTCATAAACAAATGCAAACGTGAATGAGCTTTAAATGGCTTGGAGCTCTGGATCAGACTACCACTGCCACTGCACCTCAGGAAAATTCTCTAACATCTCTGTACCACGATAGTCTCATGTTATTATTATTTTGCTGATAACTATGATCTAAAACATGAACTATGATTCTTTACTTCCATTTCATGGCCCAGGAGTCTGGAGCTCAGAGAACTTAGAAGATTTGCGCCAAGTCACATGGCTTTTGTGTGGATGACAACTGAAATGTATGAGACATTATTTGGAGATAATAATAGAAACAACGTCATAGACGTATTCTTAAGGATTAAATAAATTAATCCATGTAACCTGCTTAGAATATCTGGCATCACTATGAAAACAAAAGAAGTGTTAAGGATTACAACTGTCAGTGTTATCAAGCCGTCAATGCTACATCAGGTGTTGTGATAGACATGGGAAAAAGGAGGCAGTGAGGGCATTTTTGATATTCTCCCACTCTTACCAGTTTTCGCATCCATGGAGGGACAAAGGTTCTCTGGTCATTTAGATTTGAGAGATACTCACCTTCGGGAAGATTCTCTAGAGTCTGCCGAAAGTCATCTGAGGACATTCAACTGAAAGAGAATACATCAGAATTTTTCTTTGTTGGTAAAGATTTCCAAAAAGTGCTGGGATTACAGGCCTGAGCCACTGCGCCCAGCGTTGTCTAAGCTATTGAAAATTTGTTACAGCTGCAATAAAAAATGAATGCACATAGAAACATTTATTAGTGAAACAAAATAGAAAGTCAAGAAACAGACTAATCTATACGCAAATTTCAGCATGCATTTTCAAACAGTGGGCAAAAGATGATGGGTTGTATAATAAATTATTGCTTGACAAGTGTCTATCTATTTGAAAAAATAAAGATTAAATCCTTACTTTAAACCACATAAAATAATAAATTCTAAAAAATCAGTTACTTAAACGTGAAAATGTGAAGTCATAAAGAACTAGATGAAAATTTAGGAAAATATTACAGTGTAAGACATCTGGAGGTGTCATAGGCACTTCCTGATATTACACTAAGGCTATGAACAATGAATCTGACATAACGATGTAAAAATTAAAGTATCATCTAATTCAAAAAACACCACAAAACTGTTTAAAAAGGCAAATGTTGGGGAAATTGGTGAAGCATCCTCAATAAATTAACAGTAACCATCTCTAATATACAACAAAGCTTTTGCATATCAGTAAGAGAAACTGGAACAACCCAATGAAAAAATGTGTTCAGGCATGGCACTACTTCACCGTATAGCAGAAAAGGATTATGAAATAGAAAGTATGAAATGAAAATAATAAAGGAAATGGAGGATAGAGCCCAGAGGTTTCAACGTTCATCCAATAGAAGTTGCAGAGGTAGAGAACAGAAAGACTGGACCAGGCGCCGTGGCTCACGCTTGTAATCCCAGCCCTTTGGAGGCTGAGGCAGGCCCATCACCTAAGGTCAGGAGTTTGAGACCAGACTGGCCAACATGGCGAAACCCCGTCTCTACTGAAAATACAAAAATTAGCCCGGTGTGGTGGTGGGCGCCTGAAATCCCAACTATGTGGAAGCCTGAGGCAGGAGAATCACTTGAACCCGGGAGGCAGAGGTTGCAGTGAGCTGAGATTGTGCCACTGCACTCCAGCCTGGATGACAGAGCAAAACTCCGACTCGAAAAGGAAAAAAAAAAAAAAAAAAAGAATAGAAAGACTGTAGAGAAGGCGGTACTTGAAGAAATAATGTTCTAGAATTTTCTCAACTGAACAAACACATGAATCTTCAAACTGAAAAAAGTCACCTAGTTCTGAACCTGATTAACACACAGGCGCGCGCACACACACACACACACACACTCACACATATACGCACACACTCCCTAGGGGTAAAATTTCTAGGATAAAGATAAAATCCTGAAAGGCCCCAGAGAGAAAGAGAGAAAAGAGAATGCAATGGAGACGTTTTTCAAGGAGCTGATTAAAAATAACTTTGGGCCAGGCACAGTGGCTCACGCCTGTAGTCCCAGCACTTTGGTAGGCCAAGATGGGAGGACAGCTTGAACTCAGGAAATTGAGACCAGCCTGGCCAACAAGGCAAAACCCATCTCTACAAAAAATACAACAAGTAGCCAGGTGTGGTGCCACGTGCCTGTAGTCCCAGCTACTTGGGAGGCTGAGACAGGAGAATCACTTGAGTCCGGGAGGTGGAAATTGCTGTGAGCCGAGATGGTGCCACTGCATTCCAGCCTGGGTGACAGAGCCAGACACTGTCTCAAAAATTAAAACAAAACAAGACAAAAACAAACAAAAAAGTTGAACCTAGATATCTATATACAGCCAGGATAATCCAGAATGAGGGAGAAAATATTTCAGAAAATTCATGACACATATACCCTTCAGAAATCATTGTTGGTATACAGGTCTATGAGAAGAGAAAAGTAAATTTAAGAGGAAGGAGGTGATTTTAACAAGCAATGATGAGAAGAAAACCAGTAAAATTTATTAAAAAGTGTAAACTTTTGATTGTAAACTTAAAAAATTATAGTCTTGAAATAAAATTCCAGGTATTATAAACATGGAAGATGGGAGGAGGGACAGGAAAAAAAAGAGAAGTTATTTCGGTGTTCAGGGAATGTATACAGATGTTTATGAATGATAGAACGGTAGAATGGTAAAAGGCACTAGCATTAAATTTTGTTTTATTTTAGACAGGGCCTCACTCTGGTGCCCAGGCTAGAGTTCCATAGCACAATCATGGCTCACTGCAACCCCAGCCTCCTCAGCTCAAGTGACCCTCCTGCCTCAGCCTCCCATGTAGCTGGGACTACAGTGTGCACCACCATGCCTGGGTAACTAAAAAAAATTTTTTTTTGGTAGAGACAGGGTCTTGCTATGTTGCCCAGGCTGACCTTGAACTCTGGACCTCGAGCAATCCTCCCACATCAGCCTCTCAAAGTGGTGGGATTATAGGAGTGAGTCACTGTGCCCACTTAACGCTAGTATTTTAGAGTACAAACTCTGGAACCAGACAGCTTGGGTTCAGTTTCTGGCTTCTCAACTTATTAAGCTATGTGACCTTGCGTAAGTCATATAACCTTTCCGTGTTTCAGGCTACTCAAGAGTAAACTGGGGATAACCACACTATCTAGCTCATTTGATTGCTATGATTAAATGGGCAAGTACCTGTAAAGCACTTAGAATAGTGCCTGTCATGTGGTTAAGTTAGTATATATCTTCTACTTGTTGTTAGTAATGACTTCAAATTACTTTTAAAATGTAAAGGCATATCTGGTTCAAGAAGAAGATGGTGAACCAGGAATAGCTGCTGGTTTCCTTCCCAAACCAAATCTTGCAGATGCCACAGACGAGGTGGGAAGTGGTTGGAGTTCAGAACAGTTCCTGTAACAAAACCCTTGATGGTTTGGCCCCACTGGGGGATGAGATGGCTTCGAGTGGGAAAAGGTCAGAGGCCACAGATGGAGGATCAGCCCAGGCGGAGCTTTCTAAGTTGCATTCTTGTTTTCTCCTTGTTTTCTAGAAGGCTTATTATCTGTTCTGTAAACATATAGAGCAGACACTTGGCAGGGCTGGCCCAGTGCTAGCCCAAAGTGGCCTGATAACATTAAAGAATAAGGGGCTTGGCAAGCTCCTAGAAAAAGTGCAGACTCATCAAAGCTGGCCAGTAACTGAACATTTCTTTCCTACCTCTCCCTCTGCCCTCTGAGCTGGGCGATTACAACCAATATCATCCACCTGTAGACTCCCTCCACACTGTAAGGCAGAAATCCTGTAAGGGTCTCTGGGGGCTCATAGGCTAGGGACTGGAAGAAGAATTGGCTCAGCTCAGCTCTAGAGGCTCCGTATCCTACGACCTATCAATCCAGAAACCCTGAAACTCATGTGGAGTGTCTGGACTGACACACCTTCCCAGGAACAAAGAGTTATACAGAAAAACTATCGGATAGGCTGGGTGTGGTGGCTCACCCCTGTAATCCCAGTACTTTGGAAGGCAGAGGTGGGAGGATAACCTGAGGTCAGGAGTTTGAGACCAGCCTGGCTAAGATGGCGAAACCCCATCTCAACTAAAATTAGCTGTGTGATGTGGTGCATGCCTGTAACCCCAGCTACTCAGGAGGCTGGGGCAGGAGAATCACCTGAACCTGGGAGGCGGAGGTTGCAGTGAGGTGAGACCACACCATTGCACTTCAGCCTGGGCAACAATAGTGAAACTGTAAGAGAAAAAAAAAAAAGGCCGGGCACAGTGGCTCACACCTGTAATCCCAGCATTTTGAGAGGCTGAGGCGGGCGGCTCACCTGAGGTCAGGATTTCGAGACCAGCCTGGTCAACATGGTGAAACCCCGTCTCTACTAAAAATGCAAAATTCACCTGGCATAGTGTCACACGCCTGTGGTCCCAGCTACTCAAGGGACTAAGGCAGGAGAATTGCTTGGACTCAGGAGACAGAGCTGCAGTGAGCCAAGATGGAGTCACTGCACTCCAGCCTGGGTGAAAGAACAAGACTCCATTTCAAATAAATAAATAAAAAGAAAACCTATTGGATAGATTGGATATGAAAACATTAATTGCTCGAATAAATAATTCAGTGAAATAGGTTGGATATTAAAATGGATATAGTTGAAAAAGCAATTACTGAGCTGAGAAAGTGAGTCTAAAGAATTCATAAAAGTAATCGGTAATGGATATAGATGAAGTAAATGAAAGGAAAGTTAATTAATAGGGAGGATAGAAGAATAAATGTTGAAACACATCTAATAGTAGCCTTATGAAAACAGAATATAGTCATTAAAAAGGAGAGTGTACTTAAAAAAGTAATGAATGAGAATTTCTCAGATTTAGACAAATGTCTTAAGATTTAAAGGGGTCATCGTACACACGCACATACACACACAGGAACAGTGAAATAAAAAATTGTGAAAGACAAAGAAAAAATATTTTAAAAATGATCTGAGAGAAATAGCAGGTCACTTACAAAGGAAAAATATTTAAACCTTCATCGGGTCTCTCAAACACCACACTGGAGGCAAGGATACAATAGTGTAATAACTCCAAAGTGTTGAACGAAAGGATTTTCTTTTTTTTGAGACAGAGTCTCGCTTTGTCACTCAGGCTGGAGTGCAGTGGCATGATCTGCCTCCCAGTTACAAGCGATTATCCTCCTCAGCCTTCTGAGTAGCTGGAGCTACAGGCGCACACCACCACACCCGGCTAATTTTTGTAGTTTTAGTAGAGATGGGGTTTCACCATGTTTGCCAGGCTGATCTTGAACTCCTGACCTGAAGTGATCTGCCCGCCTTGGCCTCCCAAAGTGCTGGGATTATAAGGGTAAGCCCCAGCACCCAGTGAAAGGAAGGAATTTTTATATTTCGTGGAGTAAGGCAATGTCAGGCATATAACATTTCAGGAGATTGAAGACACAGGGAAATGTTAAAGCAAACAAGTATTTATTGCACTTATTAAAGACTGTAAGGTAGGGCCAGCTGCAGTGGCTCATGCCTGTAATCCCAGCATGTTGGGAGCCCAAGGCAAGAGGATTGGTTGAGCCCAGGAATTCAAGACCAACCTGGACAACGTGGCAAAACCCCCTCTCTACAAAAAATACAAAAATTAGACGGACGTATCAAGTTCCTGGTTCTGTAGATAATTAAAAAAATATATACCTGGGTGTGGTGGTGTGTACGTGTAGTCCCAGCTACTCGGGAGGCTGGGGCAGGAAGATTGCTTGGGCTCTGGAATTTGAGGCTGCAGTGAGCTAGGATTGGGTCACTGCACTCCAGCCGGAGTGACAAAGTGAGACTTTGTCTCTGAAAGTGAAATAAAGATCGTAAGGACGATTTTACTCAGAGAGGGGACTACTGTGATAGGCACAGGGACCACTGCAATGGGGTCTTGCGGTGGGAGAGTGATATTAGGATCGACTTCAACTCCACCAAGGACAAGTGGGGATTTGTAGTCAGGGAGTAGGAGCCGGGGGTCAGAAGATGGGAAATTACTTGGAGGAAAACTCAGGTGTGCAGGGGGATTCTGGATAAACTGACCTGACAGGATTTTTGCTGAAACAGGCTAAATGAGCAGAGTTCCTGGATGAAGGACAGAGCCCAAGGTTGGGACCTAGTCAGAAACAGGACTCAGAGGAGCCCAACTCAAGTTTGGTCAAAGGAGAGTGACTCTGTCTGAAAGCATAAGCAAGAAAGTCAACAGCAGTAAAATGAATGGATCACAAAGGAGAATTTTTGTGCATTGCTAAGCAGGACTCTGCTTTAATCATTGTAAAAATTGATTATGTGAAGTGAGTCGTTCTTAGTTTTTTTTAAGTTCTTATTTGCAGAGGAAGCCTTCAGGTACTACGCTTCAGAGAGAACAGGTTGTACCTTTTTTTTTTTTTTTTTTTTTGAGGTGGAGTCTCGCTATGTTGCCAGGCTAGAGTGCAGTGGCTCCTTCTCCGCTCACTTCAACCTCCGGCTCCTGGGTTCAAGCAATTCTCCTGCCTGAGCCTCCTGAGTTGCTGAGACTACAGGCACGTGCCACTACGCCCAGCTAATTTTTTGTATTTTTAGTAGAGACGGGGTTTCACTGTGTTAGCCAGGATGGTGTTGATCTCCTGACCTCGTGATCTGCCCTCCTCGGCCCCCTAAAGTGCTGGGATTACAGGGGTGAGCCACCATGCCCGGCCAACATGTTTCTTATCACACTTCAAGTCTGTGTTGATGTTGATGCCAGAGAGGTATAATGAGGCATGCCTGACCCCCACTTCGTGTCATGGCCTGAAACCGTCTCTCCAGTTAAATTTTAAAAGAGCCCTGGCTTAGGAGGACGTCTATTCAGATGGTTGGGGGCAGGGAGCTTAGGATTTTATTTTTGATTTACAAGTCCTATAAGGTAAAACTGCATAAATTTTAAAGAACAAGTCTTGTGCTTGATGTATGGACCACACAAAAAGTCCACCAAACTGTCCAGTGCCATAACCAGAGACATTCGAACGACAAATCAGGATGAGAAGTTGATGTTTCCACACTGTCGACAGTTTTTCCCAAGATGCCAGAATAAGTCTTCATATCACAATGAGACTCTTACCCCCCGAATGTCTGCATTTTTCAATTGACAGAACCTGGCCTCCAAATCCTTTCCTTCACCTAGTGGTCCCTTTCATAGAGTTGGCACTCTGCTATAATTCAACCCAGTCCTCAAATGCTACTCAAAGACTATAAGAGGTCTCTTTCAATTGCCCCACAGTTTTTAGATTTGTTTAGCTGGTGGCCCCTAGGCTTGGGATCCTCGTTCAAAACCATTGTACAAACTAAATTTATTATACAATTGCTAATTATAGCTGAGTGCAGTGGCTTAGGCCTGTAATCCCGACTTTGGGATGCCAAGGCAGGCAGATCACTTGAGGTCAGGAATTCGAGACCAGCCCAGCCAACATGGTGAAACCCTGTCTGTACTAAAAATACAAAAATTAGCTGGGCGTAGTGGTGGGCACCTGTAATCCAAGCTACTCAGGAGGCTGAGGCAGTAGAATCACTTGAACCTGGGAGATGGAGCAACCTTGCTCACTGCAGTGGGTGGATCGCACCACTGCACTCCAGCCTGGGCGACAGAGCGAGACTCCGTCTCAGAAAACAAAACAAAAACAAAAGCCTAATAAATGCAGTTAAGAAACTATCTTAAAAGAAAATCCCCGTTTTTTTAGACTAATTATTTAAAAGATAAAGAAAAATAGATCAACCTGTTAAGAAAACCTATTTCAAACTTAGAGGAGCAGACTCACCCTGCTTCAGTTCACCCTTGACACTAATGTTCGATTTTTAGAAAAATTGATAAATCATTTCTTTTCAATCCCAACCAATCTGATCATATATAAGACTTCCTTCCCAAGGCCCATCCTTCATAAACGTCAACAACGTGCGTAGACATTCCATCGTGTTTTTACCCCCAGTCTTAGTCCTATAATTTTTCATTTTTATATTGGACTTCAGTCCAAGTACTAACCAAGCCTGACTCTGTTTAACTTCTGAGATCAGACAAGATTTGGCATATTCAGGTGGTATGGCCATAGACTGTTTTTTTTTTTTTTTGAGACATAGTCTCACTCTGTCTGTTGCCAGGCTGGAGTGCAGTGGCGCAATCTCAACTCGCTGCAACCTCCGCCTCCTGGGTTCAAGCAATTCTCCTGCCTCAGCCTCCCAAATAGCTGGAACTACAGGCAAGAGTCACCATGCCCAGCTCATTTTTGTATTTTTAGTAGAGTCAGAATTCCACCATGTTGTTCAGGATGGTCTCGATCTCTTGACATCAGGAACTGCCCACCTCTGCCTCACAAAGTGCTGAGATTACAGGCCTGAGCCACTGCACCTGGGCTAAACTATTTTTTTTTATGCTAAGGCAACCAATCATTTTGTTTTAGGATAAAAATATATTTATCACTCAGACCACACAAAATTTTTTGATATAAAAATTGTTTTCTGTATATTTTGTATATGGAACTACATATACTAAGAACTTTTAATTTTTAGTAACCTTAATTTTTTTTTTTTTGAGACCAAGTCTTGCTCTGTTGCCCGGGCTGGAGTATAGTGGCACAATCTTGGCTCACTGCAACCTCCACTTCCCAGGTTCCAATGATTCTCCTGACTCAGCCTCCCAAGTAGCTGGGACTACAGGCGCCCGCCACCGTGCCCGGCTAATTTTTGTATTTTTAGTAGAGACGGGGTTTCACCACGTTGGCCAGGATGGTCTTGATCTCTTGACCTCGTGACCCACCCGCCTCAGCCTCCCAAAGTGCTGGGATTACAGGCGTGAGCCACCACACCCAGCCAGAACAATTTTCAATGTAGAACAGGGCATTTTATTAATGGATCCAAGTATCTTTTGTGTTTTATAAAACTTAAGGGCCAAGAACAAACTTGTATTTATGTTTAGCGATTTGTTTCAGCTGTTTTCTTAGTTGGAAAGATCCCGACATTTAATGAGTACCTATTACTTAATCTAACACAACATAACTTTAATATTTCATCTTCCTATGATAAGAGCAAGAGAAAAAAGATTTCCAATTACATGAAAAGTTCATTTATAAACATGTATCTCACATTTACCTCGTTTATTCATTTTTAACAATTATACCTAGATTACTTATGAAAACTGACATATTAAACATAGCCTGTTGGCCAGGTGAGGTGGCTCACACCTCCCCATCCAGGGACTCTGCCCATTAAGCCTGTTTCAGCAAAATTCCTGTCAACTCTGTTTAGCCAGAATCCCCCTGCACCTGATGTCTCCTCCAAGTAATTTCCCATCTTCTGACCCTGCTCCCCACCACCCTGCTCTTGACTATAAATCCCCACTTGTCCTTGGTGGAGTCCAAGTCGATCCCAATATCTCTCCTACCACAAAAACCCATTGCAGTGGCCCGTGTACATCTCATATTACTCCCCCTTCTGAGTAAAATCGTGCCTACGATCTTTTTTTTTTTTTTTAATTTTCAGAGACAAAGTCTCATTTTGTCACTCAGGCTAGAGTGCGGTGACCCAATCCTAGCTCACTGCAGCCTCAAACTCCAGGGCCCAAGCAATCTTCCTGCACCAGCCTCCTGAGTGGCTGGGACTACAGGTACACACCACCAAATGCAGCTTTTTTTTTTTTTTTAATTATCTACTGAGACAGGAGAACTGCTCGGACTCGGGAGGCGAGGTGCATTGAGCCAAGATCACGCCACTGCACTCCAGCCTGGGTGACAGAGCGAGACTCCATCATAAATAAATAAATAAAAAATAACCTATTGGATAGATTGGATATGAAAACATTAAATGCTCAAATAAATAATTCAGTGAAATAGGTTGGATATTAAAACGGATATAGTTGAAAAGGCAAAGGCTGACCTGAGGAAATGAGTCTAAAGAATTCATAAAACTAATCGGTAATGGATACAGATGAAGTAAATGAAAGAAAAGTTAATTAATAGGGAGGATAAAAGAATAAATGTCAAAACACATCTAATAGTAGCCTTATAAGAAGAGAATATAGTCATTAAACAAGAGAGTGTACTGAAATAAGTAATGAAAGAGAATTTCTCAGATTTAGAAAAATGACTTAAGATTTAAAGGTATTTATAAGTACACACACACACAGGATCAGTGAAATGTAAAATTGTGAAAGGAAGAAAAAGTAGTTTTAAAACGATCAGAGAGAAATAGCAGGTTACTTACAGAGGAAAAATAATTAAACTGATATTGGGTCTCTCAAACACCACACTGGAGGCAAGGATACAATGGTGTAATAACTCCAAAGTGTTGAAAGAAAGGAATTTTTTTTTTTTTGAGACAGAGTCTCACTTTGTCACTCAGGCTGGGGTGCAGTGGCATAATCCTGGCTCACTATAACCTCCGACTCTCGGGTTCAAGCGATTCTACTGCCTCAGCCTCCCGAGTAGCTGGGGCTACCGTTGCACACCACCACACCGAGCTAATTTTTGTACTTTTAGAAGAGACAGAGTTTCCCGTGTTGGCCAGGCTGTTCTCGAACTCCTGACCTCAGGCCTTCCAAAGTGCTGGGATTACAGGCATGAGCCACCGCGCCTGGCCTATCTGATAGTTTTTCTATATAACTCTTTGTCCCTGGGAAAAATGTGTCACCCCAGAAACTACATGTGAGTTTCAGGGTTTCTGGATTGATAGGTCATAGGATACACAGCCTCTAGAGCTGAGCTGAGCTGAGCCAATTCTTTCCAGTTCCTAGCCTATTAGCCCCCAGAGATGCTTACAGGATTTCTGCCTTACAGAGTGGAGGGAGTCTACGGGTGGGTGATATTGGTTGTAATTGCCTAGCTCAGAGGGCAGAGGAAGAGGTAGGAAAGGAATGCTCAGTTACTGGCCAGCTTTGATGAGTCTGCACTTTTTCTAGGAGCTTTCCAAGCCCCCTATTCCTTAATGTTATCACGCCACTTTGGGCTAGCACTAGGCCAGCCCTGCCAAATGTCTGCTCTATATGTTTACAGAACAGGTAATAAGCCTTCCAGAAAACAAGGAGAAAACAAGAATGCAACTTAGAAAGCTCCACCTGGGCTGATCCTCCATCTGTGGCCTCTGACCTTTTCCCACTCTAAGCCGTCTCATCCCCCAGTGGGGCCAAACCATCAAGGGTTTTGTTACAGGAACTGTTCTGAACTCCAACCACTTCCCACCTCTTCTGTGGCATCTGCAGGGTTGGGTTTGGGAAGGAAGCCAGCAGCTATTCCTGGTTCACCATCTTCTTCTTGAACCAGATATGCCTTTACATTTTAAAAGTAATTTGAAGTCATTACTAACAACAAGTAAAAGATATATACTAACTTAACCACACGACAGGCACTATTCTAAGTGCTTTACACGTACTTGCCCATTTAATCATAGCAATCAAATGAGCTAGATAGTGTGGTTATCCCCAGTTTACTCTGGAGTAGCCTGAAACACGGAAAGGTTATATGACTTACACAAGGTCACATAGCTTAATAAGTTGGGAAGCCAGAAACTGAACCCAAGCTGTCTGGTTCCAGAGTTTGTACTCTAAAATACTAGTGTTAAGTGGGCACAGTGACTCACTCCTATAATCCCACCACTTTGAGAGGCAGAGTTGGGAGGATTGCTTGAGGACAAGAGTTCAAGGTCAGCCTGGGCAACATAGCAAGACCCTGTCTCTACCAAAAAAAAATTAATTAGCCAGGGGTGGTGGTTCATACCTGAAGTCCCAGCCACATGGGAGGCTGAGGCAGGAGGATCACTTGAGCTGAGGAGGCTGGGGCTTCATTGAGCCACGATTGTGCTATGGAACTCTAGCCTGGGCACCAGAGTGAGGCCCTGTCTAAAATAAAACAAAATAAAATGCTCGTGTTTTTAACCATTCTACCATTCTATCATTCATTAGTATCTGTATGCATTCCTTGAACACCAAAATAACTTCTCTTTTCTTTTCTGTCCCTCCTCCCATCTTCCATGTTTATAATACCTGCAAATTTAGTTCAAGACTATAATTTTTTTAATTTACAATCTAAACTTTACACTTTTCAATAAATTCTAGTATTTTTCTCCTCACCATTGCTTATTGAAATCTTCTCCTTCCTCTTAAATTTACAACCTCTGCCTCCCGTGTTCAAGCGATTCTCCTGCCTCAGGTTCCTGAGTAGCTGAGACTACAGGCGCGTGCTACCGTGCCTGGCTAATTTTTTGTATTTTTATTAGAGACGAGGTTTCGTCGTGGTAGCCAGGATGGTGTTGATCCCCTGACCTCATGATCCGCCCTCCTCAGCCCCCTAAAGTGCTGGGATTATAGGCGTGAGCCACCCCGCCCCGCCTAAAATTTGCCTTTTTAAACGGTTGTTTATGGTGTCTTTTGACTTAGATGATACTTTAATTTTTACATCTTTAACTATGTCAGATTAATTGTTTATAGCCTTGGTGTAATGTCAGGAATTGCTTATGCCAATTCAAGATGTCTTACACTGTAATATTTTCCTGAATTTTCATCTAGTTCTTTATGACTTCACATTTTCACATTTATGTCTCTGAACATTTAGAATTTATTATTTTATGTGGTTCAGAGTAAGGATTTAATCTTCATTTTTTCAAATGGATAGACACTTGTCACCAATCCTTTATTATACAACCCATCTTTTGCCCACTGTTTGTTTGGAAATGCATGCTGAAGTTGGTATATAAATTAGTCTGTTTCTTGACTTTCTATTTAGTTACACTAATCTGTTTCTACGTATATTCATTTTTGATTGTTGCTGTAACAAATTGTCAATAGCTAAGACAACGCTGGGAGTGGTGGCTCACGCCTGTAATACCAGCACTTTGGAAGGCCGAGATGGGCAGATCGCTTCAGGTCAGGAGTTCAAGACCAGCCTGGCCAACATGACAAAACACCGTCTCTAATAAAAATACAAAAATTAACTGGGTGTGGTGGTGAGTGCCTGAAATCCCAGCTACTCGGGGGGCTGAGGCAGGAGAATCACTTGAACATGGGAGGTGGAGGCTGCAGCGAGCCAAGATCACTCCACTGATCTCCAGCTTGGGTGACACAAGTGAGACTCCATCTCAAAAAATATTTATATAGCTAAGACAATTTTTGAAAAAGAAGAATAAGGTGGGAGGAATGGCTCTTTCATATTTCAATACTTTTTATATAGCTATAGGAATCAAGACTGTGTAGTACTGGGAGAAGAATAGACGCATAGATCACTGGAACAAAATAGAGAACCTAGAAATAGCCCCACACTGATTTTTTACCAAGAGACAAAAAGAAGGAAGGATTGTCTGCTGAACAAATGGTGCTGAAGATGTTGTAGACATAGGCCAAAAAAAAAAGACCTAATTTTCATACCTTTATACAAGAAAGTAACTCAAGTGGATCATAGATTTAAATCTAAAATATAAAACTAAAAGAAAACTTTTACAATAAAATATAGGAGAAACATCTGAGATCTAGGGCATAGTGAACGGTTCAAAAAGCATAATCCATAAGGAAAAAAATAAATTAGATTTCATCCAATTTAAAACTTGTGCTCTGCAAGAAATCTTTTTAAAAGGATGAAAAAACAGGTTATGACCTGGGAGAGAGTGCTTGCAAACCACATATCCAAGAAAGGACTCACATCCAGAATATATAATGGATATACATACTACTCTCAAAACTCAATGGTAGGCTGAGCATGGTGGCTCACACTTGTAATCCCAGCACTTAGAAAGGTCGAGGTCGGGGGGGCGGGGGCAGATCCCTTGAGGCTAGGAGTTCGAGACCAGCCTGGGCAACATGGCAAAAAACACATCTCTGCTGAAATACACAAATTAGACAGGCATGATGATGCGTGCCTGTAATCCCAGCTACTCGGGAGGCTAAGGCACGAGAATCGCTTGAACCTGGAAGGCGGAGGTTGGAGTGAGCCAAGATCATGCCACTGCACTCCAGCCTGGGTAACAGAGAGAGACTCTGTCTCAAGAAAAATAATAATAATAAAAGAAACCTCAATGGTAAAAAATGCAAACAAATAATCCAATTAGAAAATCATGAAAAGATATGAACATACATTTCACTGAAGAGGAAATAAGCAAATAAGCACATGAAAAGATGTTCAACACTCATTTGCTTCACTAGATGCAGAATAACACCACGATGAGGTATCACTACACACTTATTACAATAGCTAAAATAAAAGACATAGTGACAACATGGTGACAAGGATGCAGAGAAACTGGACACCTCATTAAGTGCTGCTGGGAAGGTAAAATCTTACAGCCACTCTGGAAAGCAGTTTGGTAGTTTCTTATAAAACTAAACAATGCAGTGACCATACAATTCAACAATTACACTTCAGAGAAATTAAAATGTATGCCCATCCAGAAACTTGTACATAATTGTTCATAGCAGCTTTACTTGTAATAGCCAATAGCTGGAAATAATCAATATGTCCTAAAATAAGTGAATGGTCAAACTGTGGTATATCCATCCCCTGGAATGCTACTCAGCAATAAAAATGAACTATCGTCAGGGCACAGTGGCTCACCCTGTTACCCTAGCACTTTGGGAGGCCGAGGCGGGTGGATCATGACGTCAGGAGTTCAAGACCAGCCTTGCCAGTATGTTGAAACCCCATCTCTATTACTAATATAAAAATTACCCAGGTGTGGTGGCATGCACCTGTAGTCACAGCTACCTGGGAGGCTGAGGCTAGAAAACTGCTTGAACCTGGGTGGCAGAGGTTGCAGTGAGCTGAGACACTGCACTCCAGCCTGGGCGACAGAGTGAGACTCCGTCTCAACAACAACAACAACAATGAACTATTGATACACAAATATCAATATCTTGGAGGAATCTCCATGGAATTATGCTGAGTGAAATAAACCCCTAAAACGTTATATACTATAAGATTTCATTTGTACAGCATTGTAGAAAAGAGAAAATTATAGAAATGAAAAACAGATTAGTGGTTGCCAGGGGTTAGGGATGGTGGATGGGATGAGAGTGAGTATTACTAAAAATGAGTAGCACAAGGGATAGCATTATGATGATGGAAATGTTCTGTACCTTTTTTTTTTTTTCTGAGAGGGATTCTCACTCTGTCACCTAAGCTGTAGTGCAGTGGCATGATCTTGGCTCACTGCAACCTCTGCCTCCCGGGTTCAAGCGATTCTCTTGTCTCAGCCTCCCATGTAGCTGGGAATACAGGCGTGTGCCACCATGCCTGGCTAATTTTTGTATTTTTGTATTTTTTGTATTTTTGTAGTAGAGACAGGGTTTCTCCATGTTGGCCAGGCTGGTCTCGAACTCCTGATCTCAAGTAATCTGCCCACCTCGCCCTCCCAAAGTGCTGGGATTACAAGCGTGAACCACTGCACCCAGGCATGTTCTGTATCTTTTTTTTTTCTGAAATATAAGCTTTATACTAAATTTAAAGAAATATTAAAAATAAACATTTTTTAACAAATTATAATCAAGCACTCAAAACAATTTAGGAATGTTAAACACTAATTCTTAATTGAAAATAATGACATCCATAGAATACATCCTGGTGTTGGCCAACAGGAAGTTTACTTAATATTAGTATTTTATACATACTTAACCATTCATCCTTCCTAAAATTCAATGATAACAATGATTTGACTTTATAAGGTGAAGTCTTTTATGTAATTCCCTAGAGATAACTTTTTCAAATGCAAAGCATTTATACCAGCAAGGAAATTATAAAAACATATATAAAGTATACTGAAGGATGTAATTTAAACACTGTCTGTATATGTAGATACGTTTAACCTTAGAAAGTACACATCAAAACACTTTCACAGAATATAGATGCCATTGCATGCTCTTACTTACGTTACAAAGCAAACAGCAGCTTCATAAACGTTGTTCTGCTATGTATTAACTGAAAAAAATAGATACTCCACAAAAAGATTTTGAAGACACATGGAGTGGAATGTGCCCGCATTAAGAGCAGAGCTTTTACAAGACCACCTGTCTCCAGCCGGCTCCCAGGGACCACTGAAAACAGCTGCTACCCTCAGAACGACAAGATGGTCTTGTTAATGATTTCACTGGACTTGAATCTCATCCCCCTTCACCACCAGCGGAGGCGAAACCTGATGATGTCGCCATGGGTTGGCTTGGCCAGAAGTGGATAATCTTGAAGTCGTAGACACACCTTCCAAGCATCACAATCTTTGCTTTCTTTAATAACAATAGAAATTAATAATTCTTTTCCTCCCAGGCACAGTGGCTCACGCCTGTAATCCCAACATTTTCGGAGGCCGAGGTGGGTGCATCACCTGAGGTCAGGAGTTCAAGACCAGCGTGGCCAACATGGTGAAACCTAGTCTCTACTAAAAATATGAAAATTAGCTGGGCATAGTGGCACATGCCTGTAATCCCAGCTACTCAGGAGGCCGAGGCAAGGAGATTCGCTAGAACTCAGCAGGCAGAGGTTGCAGTGAGCCAAGATCGCACCATTGCATACTGGGCAACCAGAGTGAACCTCTGACTCTAAATACATACATACATACACACATACACACAATAATTCTCTTCCTCTTACAGCAGTTACAGCATCAGAAGGTAGCTTCATGGGTTCATTTCTCAAGAGAATACCTATTGTTTTCTGTATTTTCAGCAAGGTTTTCTTCTTCTAAAACCTCAAGGGCTGCGATGGCCACTCGGCAGCCTAGTGGATTGCCACCGTATGTGGACCCATGGTCGCCTGGCTTAATGCTCAGCATTATGTCATCGTCCCACAGCACTGCAGACATAGAGTATCAGCCCCCAGAAAAGGCCTTTCCGAGGAGGACTATATCAGGTCTGACATTTTCATGATCAACAGCCAGCCATCTACCAGTTCTGGCCAATCCTATCTGTATTTCAGCAGCAATGAACAGAACCAAGCTGGGAGCACGAGATGGGATGAGGGTAAGTTAATATACCACAAAGCTTACTGTTTTTACAGAGTTTCAGCTGGTTCGTTCGTTCCTTCCTTCCTTCCTTCCTTCCTTCCTTCCTTCCTTCCTTCCTTCCTTCCTTTCTTTTCTTTCTTCTTTCTTTCAAGTATGGATGTATTTATTTATTTGACAGTCTTGCTCTGTCGCCCAAGCTGGAGTGCAGTGGTGTGATCTCAGCTCAATGCAACGTCCGCTTCCCAGGTTCAAATCATTGAGCGAGCCCAGAAAGTCAAAAGCAGCCGGGGAAAAATAGCAAAAGGCAGGGCGGTGCATGCCTGTAGTCCCAAGGCTGAAGCAGGAGGATCGCTTGAGCCCAGGAGGTAGGGACCAGCCAGGACAACATAGCAAAACTGTCTCTGCTAGAAAAATTAAAAATATTAGTGGTGGTGGGGTGGTGTGAGCCTGTAGTCACCAGGCTGAGGCGGGAGGATTGTTTGAGCCCGGGAGGTAGAGGCCAGCCTGGCCAACATAGCGAAACCCCATTTCTACTAACAACAAGAACAACAAAAAAATTGCGTGGGTGGGATGGCTCACTCCTGTAGTTCCGAGGCCAAGGTGGGAGGACTGCTTGAGCCCAGGAGGTCAATACCAGCCTGGCCAACGTAGCGAAAGCCTGTCTTTCCTATAAGTAAATAAATAAATAAATAAATAAATAAATAAATAAATAAATAAAATAAAATAAAATAAAATAAAATAAAAATGAGCAGGGCAGAATGGCAGTAGTCCTGAGGCCGTGGTGGAAGGATCCCTTGAGCCCAGGAGGTTGAGGCCAGCCTGGCCAACATAGCGAAACCGTCTCTTTTAAAAAATCCAAAAACAAAAAATATTAGTGGGGGTGGGGTGGTTCCCACCTGTAGTCGCGAGACCGAGGCGGGAAGATTGGCCAAGGCGGATGTAACCAATACCACAATCACATCCCATAAGTAAATACATTTTCCTCTCTCCAGGGCTACAGGTAAAGGATGGTAATTGTGCACACCACACTTAGATTCCCTTTCAAAAATGTAATCAGAGGTTGGAGGGCCTTGGACTGTTTTTTCAGTAGCAACAGATATAGAAGCCACTGAAGAATGAAAGCCACTACTAAGTACAGCAAAGCTCTGCAAATGTGCTAGTCTGGAAAACATTGTGTCTTTCAAGTAGAAAAATCACAGATCCGACTATTTTTTTCTTCTCGCTGTTCAGACTAGAAAACAGATTTTTAACCCAAGATCCAGGGACGGTCTTCAGAGAGTTCAAAATCTCCTGACGGCGCCTGAGGACCACCCACTTTGTCGCAGTGGCAACAAAGTGTTGCTGGAGGAGGAGACAATATTGTGCAATGTCACTATGCAGGGATGATGGACCAATCAGGGCAGTTAGTGAACTCCATCTGGCCAATCAGAAGTCAGAACAGTAGCGTGATAAGCGAAGCTGATGTGGCTTCTATCAGTCCAGGCTCCAGGGACAGAACCTTCTCAAAGTGGGGGTGGAGACTCTGATTTTCCCGCCTAAAGCATCCCCTGGGATTGGCTACTTTAAGTTCAGAGTATGCATGCTCTGACTTTCTCTCTCGATTCTTCCATACTCAGAGTACGCACGGTCTGATTTTCTCTTTTGATTCTTCCAAAATCAGAGTAAGCATGCGCTGATTTTCTTTTTCCATTCTTACTACCCCTCCCCTCCTCTGTGGTGCATTTGTTATCTAGTTTTAATAAGGAGTGTATGTGAGGCAGGTCGCCATCTCAAATCCTTCCTGTCAGTTTCTAACTTTTTCAGGTATGGGATTTTTCCTGGGAACTCTAGTAACTTAACAAATTTGGGCCGGGTACGGTGGCTCACGCTTGTAATTCCAGCAGTTTTGGAGGCCACAGCTGGTGGATCACTTGAACCCAGGAGGCGGAGGTTGCAGTGAGCCATGATCACACCACTGCATCCCAGCCTGGGCAGCAGAGAGAGACCATGACTCAAAAAAAAAAAAAAAAAAAAACTCACTCAAATCTTTCCTCCTGGGATCAAGTGATCCTCTCGCGTAGGCCTTGGGACTAGAGGTGCACACCACTCCGCTTCTGTTAATGTGTGTGTGTGTGTGTGTGTTTTGTTGTTGTTGTTGTTTTAGTAGAGATGGTTTCGGTATGTTGGCCAGGCTGGTCTCAAGCTCATGGGCTCAAGCGATCCGCCCTCCTTGGCCTCCCAAAGTGCTGGGATTACAGGCGTGAGCCACTGCGCCTGGCTGATTGCTGCACCTTGAAACTCCCTACATTCTCTCTAAGTGATGGCGGGCTCTTGTAGTCTCAGAAATTCTAGCTCTCTTCTTCTAATAATTTACAAATCACCCAGTAATAGCCTCTAAATCCGTTCATATTAGCCATGCTCATTTCTCTTCAACAGAACAGAACCCCCTATCCCTCTGCCTGATCAGATCCATCACCAGAGAGACGATGTTATCTCTGGGACTCATTTCCCTTCCATTATTTATTGAGTCGGGGTGTCAGCATGCCCCCACTGAATAAAATTACACAGTCACATCTCTGCCTTCCCAACAAGGGTCTGTACATCTTTCAGAGTAAGGCTAGCCCCAGGGAAACTACTAACAACATTAGCCAACCCCCTCCCAAAGACTCAAGGCTGCTTTGCCCACAGGAAGCCTGTCATCCCAAATCAATACTTCTCCCAGAGACCCCTGGTTCCCTATTTTCATCTGACTTCGCCCCATGTCATTACTCAGGGACAGATAAGCCCCAGATGGAGAAATGAAGCACCTGATTCCAGGTGACTGAGGGTGGCCGGCCTTCACTGATTTCTCCCTCCACAAGACCAAAGCTGCTGTGGCTGGAAAGACTCAGGCTATTTCTCTTGCAGGTCAGACTGCTCCTGGTGCCATGAACGGAGACGACGCCTTTGCAAGGAGACCTAGGGCTGGTGCTCAAATACCAGAGAAGATCCAAAAGGTGAGGTGACCTGGAGGGAGCAGAGTAGTGGCCCAGGGGACAGTGTGGGGTGGCCAAGTTTCTGAGGAGGGGAGGACAGAGATACTGGAGACAAGGACCAGGGTCTTGGGGGAGATCTGGATCCTTGAGAGCCTCCCATCCTCGCTCTGTCATCAACTAGCATCCTTGGAGACAAGTCTGTGACCGTGCACTACATTTGGTGAATCTCAGTCCATTCTGGAAAGTGGGAAGAGAGTCAGTCAGCAGCATTAAAGCCCTACTGTGTGGCAGGGGTGAAGCTAGGAAAGGTCGCTCATGTTGTCGGTTAGCCATGGCATCATCCCCACTTCCCAGATCCAGCACACAGGAAGGGGCTCCAGCTGAATGGCAGACATGTCTAGCTGAGTCACTGACAAAATTCCTTTTTTATCTTTTCCTAGTCCTTCGATGATATTGCCAAATACTTCTCTAAGAAAGAGTGGGAAAAGATGAAATCCTTGGAGAAAATCAGCTATGTGTATATGAAGAGAAAGTATGAGGCCATGACTAAACTAGGTAACAGAAAGTTCTAGGTACAGACAAGTCTGGGGACACATGAGCATCCCTATTCCTGCTTTGGCTACTTCTTAGGCTGCAGAAAGTACCCCACATTTTCCTTTTGTGCAGGGAAAAATCGCAAGGCAGCTTCTGGGTGTTCTCCTCTTCTGTATCCTGTCAGGGCTGAGGGCAGGGACTGGCCACAGTGGAGCTCATACCTGGATCCTGCACGTTTCTCTCCCTTAGGCTTCTGTTCTGATGAGTCCAAGTGTCTCTGTGGCATCCCGGCACCCCCACACCGTCCCTACCTTCCTTCTCTCGGCTTGTATCTTTCTTTCTTTCTTTTTTTTTGAGTCTGAGTCTCAGTCTGTCACCTAGGCTAGTTTGCAGTAGTGCAGTCATAGCTCACTGCAGCCTTGAACTCCTGGCCTCAAGCAATACTCCAGCCTCAGCCTCCCAAAGCACTGGTACTACAGATATGAGCCACCGTGACAGGTCAAAGCTTGTCTCTTAAGGAATAAACATTTTGCTTCTTTCTAGGCTTCAAGGCCACCCTCCCACCTTTCATGCATAATACAGGGGCCACAGACCTCCAGGGGAATGATTTTGATAATGACCGTAACCAAGGGAATCAGGGTGAGTAGACGGGAAGGGGCTGGAAAGGGTCTCCTCAAGCCCAGCTGCTTTTCAGCTCAGCTACTTGGGAAAGATCCTCAGGCATTTGTTCCCTCATACACATCAGGGCTGAGTGAAAAAAAAAAAAATTGCATGCAGAAAGTTAACTACAGAGGCCATTCATATAAAATTTTAAAACACGAAAAACAAGAATATATATTTTTATAGATAATAAGTAAATGGTAAATGTATACAAACATGAATGTGAATAAAAAGCCATCAAATTGAGGTGACTGGCTGTAAGTGGAGGAGGGAGGGCGGGCAGGGATTGCTGAGTGCTGCACAGACAGCTTCAGCTGTGACTTGTTGATAGTGTGTTTTGTTTGTTTTTGTTTTTGAGATGGAGTTTCACTCTTCTCGGCCAGGGTAGAGTGCAATAAGGCAATCTCAGCTCACTCCAACTTTCACCTCCTGGGTTCAAGTGATTCTCCTGCCTCAGCCTCCGGAGTAGCTGGGGTTACGGGTGCCCGCCCCCACACCCAGCTCATTTTTTATTTTTGGTAGAGACGGGGTTTTACCATGTTGACCAGGCTGGTCTCAAACTTCCTGACCTCAGGTGATCCACCTGCCTCAGCCTCCCAAAGTGCTGGGATTACAAGTGTGAGCTACCATGCCCGGCCTGTTTGTAGTTTTTCTAATATTGTGAATAAATAAATCAAACCTAGCATAGCTGTGGGGTAATGTTGAGATCCGACTGGACTCAATATTATTCCTCATACTTTTCTGTGTGTTTGAAATATTTCTTTTTTAGATGACATGTTGTTCTTCCTAAGCACCATTAATGAATCAAAGGACTGCTAAAAAAATGTTACAAGAGAAAAAAAGAAGAAAGAAAATGTTACAACTGTAGATTCGCCAAAAACTTCCAGAGTTTGTCTCATTAACAGCATGTAGGTATTGGATAGGTATCTTAGGAGTGAGGATGATGAACACATTATGTAATAAAGATCGCTGTTTCTCTGTATTTTATCAGAGCCAAATAGTCTTTTCATTCCCAAAGAACCCTGATTCTCCGTGATGAGCTTGGAAGAGAGTTTGAAAGAGTGATCCCTCATCCAACACACAGAGAGAGCTTTCCCACTTGCCAGAGAGCAGAGATAACATAGGGTGAAAAAAAGACAGGTTCTTCGGTAGAGATCTTTGTACGTTTTGGGAATATAAAGGGGTCACATATGTGTTTCCTTGCTCTTCTGCTCTGACAACACAATTATAAGACAAGGTCAGAACGTCCAAACTGTCTCCAATAGACCTATTACTCCCCAACTAAAAAGGCCAGATTCTAAAATCTCCCACGATCACTGTAAGAGATCTGAAAATCCAGTGCTTGGGTGTCTGCCAAGATTTTGACATTAAAGGACTGTCTTTATACTGAAAATATCTCAGAGCCACTGGACTAAATCATCCATGGTTCATCACACATTTAACAGCTTAATTCACATACCATAAGATTCACCCATTTGAAGTGTGCAATGATTTTCAGTTGTTGCACATCTTGAGTGGATACAGTTCAGATTCCTAACCAATCAATTTAATTATTTGGAAAAAAATAAAAGATATGTAAAGGAATAAGATGAGACTGTGATGGGGTTTAGTCCCCATTTGATAAACCATGAGATGGAAAATTCTGAATTGATGCCACAGATAAATGAATCAACCATGACTAAACATAATTCAGAAGCAAAACTGAAATAACTCCTCAACAATGAGTGGACTCATAACACTCTGCTGCAGAATACCCTGATGCTACAGAAGTCTCTAGAGTTTGGAAATCTTTACCAACAAAGAAAAATTCTGATATATTCTCTTTCAGTTGAACGTCCTCAGATGACTTTTTGCAGGCTCCAGAGAATCTTCCCGAAGGTGAGTGTCTCTCAGATCTAAAGGACCAGAGAACCTTTGTCCCTCCATGGATGCAAACACTGGTAAGAGTGGGAGAATATAAAAAATGCCCTCACTGCCTCCTTCTCCCCATGTCTATCACAACACCTGATGTAGCACCAACAGCTTAATAATACTAACAGTTGTGATCCTTAATACATCTTTTGTTTTCATAGTGATGCCAGATACTATTTTAAGCAGTTCACATGGATTAATGTATTTAATCCTTAAGAAGACCTGTATGACTTTGTTTCTATTATTATCTCCAAATAATAATGAGTCACACACTTCGGTTGTCGTCCATATAAAAGCCATGTGACTTGGCACAAGTCTTCTAAGTTCTCTGAGCTCCAGATTCCTGGTCCATGAAATGGAAGTAAAGAATCGTAGTTATCAGCAACATAATAATAAAATGAGGCTATTGGGGTATAGATATGTTAAATAATTTTCCTGGGGCACAGTGGCAGTGGTAGTCTAATCCAGAGCTCCAAGCCATTTAAAGCTCATTCACGTTTGCATTTGTTTATGAAGTTCAGATGTTGCTCACTAGGGCTTCACCCCATAGGGCCTGCTGGTGCTTCCATTGAGACACCCATTCTCGCAATAGGAAAGACCAGCTGGCCTCTGCTCTGTTACTGGGACCACTTGCATGGCTTAGGAATCGTTTTGACTGTTGGCCCCTCCCTACTGTGAGCTCCTTGAGGACCTTGTCTGCACCTGGGGCATCCCAGAAGCCCCCATCCCAGCCCAGGGGATCCCTCGGAGGCCCCTGAATGAGTGACCCCACAAGTGCAGATTCAACTCTGGTTTAGAGGGTAAAGGGATCTGGGAGTTGGGTTGCTAGTGTGGAGACCGAATTGAAGGAAGGATCATGAAAGGTATTAATTGTTATTATTACTGCATTTAAACAGTGTTTACAAGCTCAGAGAGGACTTTCCCGTAGACTATTTTACATGTATTGTTCACTATCTCATAAGCAAGGAAGCTGAATAAAAAGTAGATTAAGAGCGGGGCACGGTGGCTAGCGACTGTAATCCCAGCACTTTGGGAGGCTGAGGTGGATGGATCACTAGGTCAAGAGGTCAAGACCATCCTGCCCAACATGGTAAAACCTCATCTCTATTAAAAATACAAAACTTAGCGGGGCGTGGTAGCGCCTGCCTGCAGTCCCAGATACTCTGGAGGCTGTTGCATGAGTCACTTAAACACAGGAGTTGGATGTTGCAGTGAGCTGAGATCGTGCCACTGCACTGCAGCCTGGTGACAGAGTGAGACTCTGTCTCAAAACAAAACAACAAAAAAAAAAGTAGCTTAAGATTGTTGGTCAGTGACACATCCCAATGCAACCAGAATTGGTATGGGTACCACCTCACTGAATTCCACATTCAGTGTTGGTGCCTCGGTAGGGTGGTATGCCAGATCTGGTACTGCTTTCTTCGCTGCCTAGATTAATTTTAGCAAACCATTTCTTTACCTCTCCCTTCCCTGTATTAATCTCCCCACACCATCTTTCCCAGCAGTGTTTTGTCCCCTCTCTATGTTTTTACATTTACTCTCCCAGCAGCTAAGAGCTTATATGAGATCCCTTGTATTTCATAGAAGCTCTTCCTTTTGTAGACCTTGTGAATTTTAAAAATGCTATCCTTCTTCCAATCTTTTGTATACCAAACTCTCAATTGCATGGAGATTTTTACTGTTTGCAAGAATGTCAGTCTTAAAGAGTGTGAAGATAAGCATTCTAGCCCTGGAAACGATATTCACATAGGCCATTCCTTTCCCGTCTAACTTCCCAGGTTTCTCCTAATTTAGGCATGTGTAACTCTCCCAGCATTGTTGAGAACATTGATTAAGGTAATGCATGTGAAGACGCTTTGTAAGCTCTAAAGCACTATAGAAATGTCACTGATTCTGTTTATCTGTGACCTTCACATTATAAAGATCATGCCCAAGAAGCCAGCAGAGGAAGGAAATGATTCGAAGGGAGTGCCAGAAGCATCTGGCTCACAGAACGATGGGAAACACCTGTGCCCTCCAGGAAAACCAAGTACCTCTGAGAAGATTAACAAGACATCCGGTAAGAGGAAAGAATTCGGGAACAAACCCTCTGGCTTCCGTGGCTATGTTCAGGTGTGTGGACTGGGTGTGTGGCATGGACCCCAGACAAGCCTGGGTCCAGGCTGGGCTGAGGAGCTCGCCCAGCTCCAGATGAGATGTTTGACTGGACTTCCAGAGATACAGACTGGAGTTGTCACCCATATACAAACCACGTGACTTGGGGCTAGTCTTCCAAATTTTCTCAGTTCCAGATTCCTAGTCCATAAGATGGAAATAAAGAATCATAGTTCATAAATTGTTTGGAGACATTAAATTTAATCTAGAAGGCCTGATGACATGAAAGGTGCTCAAGCGATTCTATCTTTGATAACCTGGGATAATATCTTACTCAGCTCAATGCCTGATACCCAATAAAGTTGTACTTCAGAGATATTGCAGATTCGGTTCCAGACCACTGCAATAATGTGAGTCACACACATTGTTTTTTTGGTTTAGCAGTGCATAAAAACATTATGTTTACACTATACTGCAGTCTACTAAGAGTGCAATAGCATTATGTCTAAAAATGTACATACCTTTATTTTAAAATAATTCATTGTCAAAAATGCTAATAATCTTCTGAGTCTTCAGTGACTCACTCTTTTTGCTGGTGGAGGGTCTTGCCTCGGTGTTGATGGCTGCTGGCTGATCAAGGTGGTGGTTGCTGAAGGGTGGAGTGGCTGTGGCAGTTTCTTAAAAGAACACAACAATGAAATTTGCCACATTGATTAACTCTCTGCTTCATGAAGGATTTCTCTGTAGTATGTGATGCTATGGACAGCATTTTACCCACAGTAGAACTTCTTTCAAAGTTCGAGTCAATTCTCTCTAGCTATGAAAGTCCTAGAAGGCATCTCCTTCCAATAGAAGGCTATTTTATCTACATTGAAAATCTGTTGTTTAGTGTAGCCACCTTCAACAGTGATCTTAGCTAGATCTTCTGGATAACTTGCTGCAGCTTCTCCATCAGGGTTTGCTGCTTCACCTTGCACTTTTAAGTTATGGAGATGGCTTCTTTCCTTAAACTTCATGAACCAACCTCTGCTAGCTTCACACATTTCTCCTGCAGCTTCTTCACCTCTCTCAGCTTTCATGGACTGGAAGAGAGTTCTGGTCTTGCTCTGAATTAGACTTTGGCTTAAGGGAATGTTGTGGCTGGTTTCATCAAATATCCTGACCACTCAAACTTTCTCTATTTGAGCAGTAAGGCAGTTTTGCTTTCTTATTCGTGTGTTCACTGGAGTGTTAATATTATTATTTCCTTCAAGGACTTTCCCTTTGCATTATATACTATTATTTCCTTCAAGAACTTTTCCTTTGCATTCACAGCTTGGCTGTTTGGTGCAAGAGGCCGAGCTTTCAGCCTGTCTTGGCTTTCAGCATGCCTTCCTCACTAAGCTTAGCCATTTCTAGCTTCTGATGTACAGTGTGAGACACGCGACTCTTCCTTTCATTTGAATACTTAGCGGCCATTATAGGGTTGTCAATCATCCTAATTTCAATATAGGTGTGTCTCAAGAAATAGGGAGGTCCAAGAAAAGGAGGAGAGATGGGGAATAGCTCATCGGTGGAGCAGTCAGAAGACACACAACATTAATCGATTAAGTTTGTCATCTTCTATGGGTGCAGTTCCTGGTACCCACCCCCCAAACAATTACACAGAACAGGGTGATTATTGTCAATAATAACTTAATTGTACATTTTAAAAAAACTAGAAGAGTGTAATTGGATTGTTTATAACACAAGGATAAGTGGTTGAAGGGATGGATACCCTATTTTCCATGATGTGATTATTACGCATGGCATGCGTGTATCAAAACATCTCACGTACCCCATAAGTATATACACCTACTGTGTATGCACAAAAATAAAAAACACGGACGGGCGCCGTGGCTCACGCCTGTGATCCCAGCACTTTGGGAGGCCGAGGCAGGCAGATCACGAAGTCGGGAGATCGAGACCATCCTGGCTAATACGGTGAAACCCCGTCTCTACTAAAAATACAAAATATTAGCCAGGCGTGGTGACATGCTCCTGTAGTCCCAGCTACTCGGGAGGCTGAGGCAGGAGAATCGCTTGAACTGGAGAGGCAGAGGTTGCAGTGAGCTGAGATTGCTCCACTGCACTCCAGTCTGGGCGACAGAGCGAGACTTCATCTCAAACAAAATAAAATAAAATAAAAATTAAAAATTAAAAAATTAAAATTATTTTAAAAGACTAAAAAACAACAAAAACAATTTCAGTAATAATATCAAAGCTCACTGATCACAGATCACTATAACAGATATAATAATAACGGAAAGGTGTAAAATTGATGAGAGTTTCCAAAAAAAAACATTGCAGCATCTGTGAAGCACTATGAAAATGTTGTGCAATAAAAAAAAGTATGCCTCGGTGCCCTCAATAAAAACACGTGCTGAATGAAAGGAGGTAAGGGTGGATGTTCCCGTAAGTGAAAAGGTTGGGAATCTAAACCCCACAACAGAAGGAGCCAGAAGCTAAAACTTTAATTGGCATTTGGCCTGTATTGGTGTGGGTCTAAGGTCTCAGCCTCTCTAAGCCAGAGAATGTGAAAAACTGGATAAAGAAGGCCCATGGGCACTTGGGAGGGGGGAGGCATCTCCTTTTTTTGAGAAAACAGAGCCTAACACTCTCCAACCTACCCAACCCTCACTTTCCAACTATTCTCCATCACAGGACCCAAAAGGGGGAAACATGCCTGGACCCACAGACTGCGTGAGAGAAAGCAGCTGGTGATTTATGAAGAGATCAGCGACCCTGAAGAAGACGACGAGTAACTCCGTAAGTGAACCTTCGGCTCATCCCCCACATCCCTGCAGATGTGGTATTCTGTTATGATACTGGTATCCCATCTGTCACTTGCTCCCCAAATCATTCCCGTCTCATAATTTTCTAGGGTACAGCATTGAGGCCGAATGATGAGAGATTTCCCACGTTTTTTTTTTTTTTTTGACGGATTCGCCCTTTGTGGCCCAGGCTGCAGTGCAGCAGCATGATCTCCGCTTACTGCAAGCTCCGCCTCACGGGTTCACGCCATTCTCCTGCCTCAGCCTCTCCAGTAGCTGGGACTACAAGTGCCCGCCACCACGCCCGGGTAATTTTTTTTGTATTTTTGGTAGAGACGGGGTTTCACCGTGTTAGCCAGGATGGTCTCGGTCTCCTGACCTCGTGATCCGCCCGCCTCGGCCTCCCAAAGTTCTGGGATTACAGGCGTGAACCACCGCGCCTGGCCTTCGTAAGCTCTTTTTACTCCCTGCCCTGTATATCCAGGAATGCTCCCTACCCAGGATGCTGTGGGTTCCCGAACTCCAGATCAGCCCTGTATGTGGGCCACACCTTCCTCTAGCCTAGGAATGGATAACCCAGGCGAAGAAGTCACTGTGGCATGAGCGGATGGTTCACTTCAAGGAACCATGGAAGGCGTGTGCAGGTCCTGGGGTAGGGCAGAATCAGAGTGTGCAGGGTCTGCAGGTCAGGAGGAGTTGAGATTGAGTTGTCACGTGGTGGGAACTCACTGCCACTTACTTTCCTTCTCTCTTCTTGCCTCAGCCTCGGGGATACGACATATGCCCATGATGAGAAGCAGAACGTGGTGACCTTTCACGAACATGGGCATGGCTGCGGACCCCTCGTCATCAGGTGCATAGCAAGTGAAAGCAAGTGTTCACAACAGTGAAAAGTTGAGCGTCGTTTTTCTTAGTGTGACAAGAGTTCGATGTTAGTGTTTCCATTGTATTTTCTTACAGTGTGCCATTCTGTTAGATATTAGCGTTTTCATTGATGAGCAAGACATGCTTAATGTGTATTTCGGTTTGTGTATCCATGCACCTACCTCAGAAAGCAAGTATAGTCAGGTATTCTCTCCATAGAACAGCACTACCCTCCTCTCTCCCCAGATGTGACTACTGAGGGCAGATCTGAGTGTTTAATTTCCGATTTTCCCCTCTGCATTTACACACCAGACACACAAACACACACACACAGACACACACACACACAGACACACCAAGTACCAGTATAAGCATCTCCCATATGCTTTTCCCCATTGCCATGAGTCCTGGTCAAGCCCCCCTTCAATTTGTTTCCTGTTCAGCATGTACTCCCCTCCTCTGATTCCCCGTATCAGTCACTGACAGTTAATACACCTTTGCAAACGTTCCCCAGTTGTTTGCTCCTCTCATTAATGTGCGCACAGGTCTCTGCACCTGTGTGAATATTTCTTTAGGAAAGATTCTTAGAAGTTGAATTGCTGTGTCAAAGGAGTCATTTATTCAACAAAACACTAATGAGTGTGTTCTCGTGCTGGGCGTTGTTCTAGGTGCTGGAGAGACATCAGTGAACAAGGCAGGCAGATGTTCCTGACCACCATTCCAGAGGAGGATGTTTCCAGTTGTTGGGTTTCTTTGTTTGTTTCTTTTTTCTAGAGAAGGGGTCTTGCACTGCCCAGGCTAGAGTGCAGTGGCATGATCATAGTTCAATGCAGCCTTGAACTCGTGGGCTCAAGTGATCCTCCCACCTTAGCCTGCAGAGAAGCTGTGACTACAGGCATGCACCATCATGACCCACTAATTTTTTTAAGATTTTGTCAAGAAAGTCTGTCTATGTTACCCAGGCTGTTCTTAAATTCCTGTGCCAAAGCGATCCTCCCACCTTGGTCTCCTAAAGTGTTGGGATTACAGGTGTGAGCCCCAGCACCTGGCCTCCAGTTTTTATTTTGATATACACTATACACTTCAGTCCTGGAGCAGGATTCTGCAGCAGGTGGTTGGGCATCTTGGCCTTCGCTCTCTGAATGATTTTCGGTTTCAAGGTCTGGGACGGTCCATTTGGGTGGATGTGGGAGGAGACACAGATGAAATCGTCATCTGGGGAATGTGGAGGAATCAGGCAGATGCGTGCACTGTAGATCCTGTGATGGACAGGGAATAGAAGAGTCCACTTAGTCTCCATGCAGGGGAGCAATTGGTGGGAAAGTCCCCTGGACAGAAGCATGAGAACGCCCATCAAGGGTCTCACCAATCAAGGGCCTGGGAGTTGGGGTGGGGATGATGATTTGGGAATGGGACTGTTCTTTCTCACATATACCACTGCACAGTGCAGAGGTGAAAGAGTTGTGGGGAAGGAAGGGCAGAGGGGAGTCTATTTTAGAACAAACTATTCTGTGTCAATGGAGACATCAAAGCTCCATTCACACACAATGGACTTGAAACACCAGCCCCAGGTGGAGGCAGGATTGGAGCTGTTTTGCCCGTTCGTGGCCCATCACCTTGGCCTCCTGGTTCTCTCCAGCCTGAGAAGGAGGACACTATCATCATTATGCCTATGTGACAGATGAGAGACGGAGACCCAGACAGATGGCAGGCGTCTTGTCACAGGTCCTACAGCTGGCAGGTGCAGGAGGGGCTGAGTTTGGATCTCACTGACTTCAGAAACATTAAGGAGGACAGGTGTGTGATGGAAGGAGGGAGAACTGAACAAGCCCCGGGCTCTGTCCCCAGTCACAATGTAAAGGCTGTGGGTTCATTTACCGAAGACAAGGAGCCCTAGGAGAGAGAGAGTGCGGGGAGGGAGAGGCAGTCGTGGTCACAGCAGGGACAGTGGGAGACAGAGATATGCAGGGTGGGCAGAAGAGGGGCAGGCAAAGAAGCAGGGGAGACCCAAGGCCAAGTGTGGGCTGTCACAGCCACCAGAGGGAGAGGGTGCCAGGAAGGAGGTTGTGGGGCTCAAGGAGCAAGAGGTTCCCCAGATCTGTGAGCATGCCCTGCCTGGCACTGCAGGAAGAGATGGCTGCCACCCAGGTCAGTGTGGACGTACCTCTACCTGTGTCTCAGAGGAAACAAATTCGATTTTATACCAATATAGTTCTGTATTACACAAATGTAACATTCGGCTACTAGATATTGAGTGCCTTAACCTCCATGCAAATAGAGGAGAGCATACCCCAAAAGAGATAATGAAGGATTTGATTTTTCTTTCTCCCTGGGATGATGGGATCCATAAGTTGGTTCCCCCAGCCCACAAGACAGATACAAGGAAGGGTGGCTGGAAGATTGTGAGTTATGACAGGCAACATTTTTCCATAGGTTCCATGGGTATATAAAGCTCCGGACTATCTGTCTATCATGGATAGATAAAGAGTGAACATGGTCCCTTCTCCACAAATGTGTTTCTCTCCTTGTGAAGGGCTGAAGTTACACCAAGTTCTGATATGTTACTTTTGTGTGTGTGTGTGTGTGTGTGTGTGTGTTTTTTTTTGACATGATCGCACTCTGTGGACCAGGCTGGAGTGCAGTGATGCAAGTACAGCTCACTGCAGCCTCGATCTCCCAGGCTCAAGGGATTCTCGCACTTCAGCTTCCAATCTAGCTGGAACTACAGGCACACGCCACCACACCCAGCTAGTTTTTGTATTTTTTTTGTAGAGACGGCATCCACTTTGTTGCCCAGGCTGGTCTGGATCCCCTGGCCTCAGGCAATCCTCCTGCCTCAGCCTCCCAAAGTGCTGGGATGACAAGTGTGAGCCACCTCGCCAGGCCTTCACTTTCTTTAATGAACAATTATCAGAGTTTCATCTTAGAGGCAAAAGTGGCTACTGCCAGCCAATCTGAGTGTGGTGTTGGAGGGGAATCTGGCTGATTCAGATGTTTCTAATGAACTTTTAAATTAACCTACCTGATGATTATCCTAAGGCCCTTTCCGGCTCTGTGTTTTTTTGATTCAGGGTTTGGAGTTTTTCAGAGGCTTTGTTACAAAGATCATCACCTGGGCGGCGTCCCACGCTGGGTAATATCAGCACTTTGGGAGGCCGAGGCAGGCAGATCAGTTGAGGTCATGAGTTTGAGACTAGCCTGGCCAACAGGGTGAAACCTCCATCTCTACTAAAAGTACAAAAATCAGCTGGCCATGGTGGCAGGCCTCTATGAATTCCAGTTACAGTGGGGAGTGAAGCAGGAGAATCCCTTGAACCTGGGAGATAGAGTGTGCAGTGAGCCGAGATCACGCCACTGCACTCCAGCCTGGGCGATGGAGTAAGTCTCTGTCTCAAACAGCATCTCTCGCCTACAGTGATTTGACCTGTGGTCTTGTCTCCTTGGGTTTCTCTATCAGTCTGATCCCATCTACTCTATCTCCCAGGAATGCCTTAATATTTCTGGTGGACCACTGACACGTTTTCTTATTTTCCTCTACTCTTGAGAATTGACCCTTGAAAACATTTTCTTCCCAGTTCAATGGAATGTTGAGTGGGGCATGGGATCTATCTGCCATCTTGCTCCAATCATCTGGTTTTAGATATTTTATGTATATTTGTCACTATATAAGTGTATTTTTTCTCAATTTGGTTTTCTAAATGGTTAATATTGGTATGTAGAAAACCTATCTATCTATATATATAATATTTTGTTACCTTTCTGGGTGCAGCTTCCCCTGCATTTTGGCACAAGACTCAATATGTTTTATTCTCCAAAAAGAAAGTGACAGGCTGGGTGCGGTGGCTCACGCCTCTTATCCCAGCACTTTGGGAGACTGATGCTGGTGGATCAATTGAGTTCGAGACCAGCCTGGCCAAGCTGGTGAACCCCCTTCTGTACTAAAAATACAATAAAATTAAAAAATTAGCCTGGCATTGGTGGTGCGCACCTGTAGTCCCAGCTACTAGGGCAGCTGAGGTGGGAGGATCATTTGAGCTCGGGAGGTGGAGATTGCAGTGAGTCGAGATCGTGCCACAGCACTCCAGCCCAGGCGACAGAGACTCTATCTCTAAAGAAAAAAGATAAAGAAAATTCACTTCCCAGGCAATAGGTAGTTATAAAAGGATACTTTATGGACGATTTCATAGGGGAGAATGATGGAAAGAATGATGTATATATATATATATATATATACACACACACACACACACATATATATACACATATATATACACACATATATATACACATATATATACACACATATATATACACACACATATATATTTATATATATATATCCTTTATGTATATTTATATATATAAAACAGAGCTGAGCAATTCACTGGAACAATCACCAGAACTGCCTTTTTCTCCAAAAATAGTACCCCTAAGCTATACTACTACTGGTTCTTCTAGTCCTTCCCTCTATTCCACATCCTCAAATTGTCCATTTTCTTATTGGGATAATTTTCCTCTGCCCAGATCTGGGTCCTCCACAACACTTAACACTGTCTTCGAGTGTTTGAATGCCCATTGCTTTAGCTCAGATTCCCAAGGAAACAGGCTTTGGGCCATACAGGACACCTCTAGACAGACTATACTGAGAAACAATGCCTGGAATGGTGCATGGGGAGAGGAGAGGAGAGGAGAGGGAATTACGTACCTGACTCTCACTCCTGGTTCCTTTTCTTATTGGTCAAAATTTACCCCACAGGTGCAAACTCCCCTACACTTCTAGATTGCATCAACTGCCCCTTTGACAGCTGTCTAGGAAGCCAGATCCCACACTTTGAAGTGTAGTGTTTCATACAATCCAAAAGTGTTAGCAGAGGCCAGGCGTGGTGGCTCACGCCTGTAATCCCAGCACTGTGGGAGGCCAAGGCAGGCAGATCATGAGGTCAGGAGTTGGAGACCATCCGGCCAGCATGATGAAACCCTGTCTCTACTAAAAATACAGAAATTAGTTGGGCATGATGGTACACGCCTGTAATCCCAGCTACTTGGGAGGCTGAGGAAGGAAAATCCCTTGAACTCAGGAGACAGAGGTTGCAGTGAGCCAAGATCGCACCATTGCACTCCAGTCTGGGCAACGAGAGCGAAACTCTGTCCCGAAAAAAAAAGTCATTCTATTATAATTCTGATAATTGCTTTGCTTTGCATCTTACTATGGACTTGTTGGATATCTATGTGGCTGTACGCTACCCAGAGAAAGATAGAAACAGCAGTGGAGATAATTAGAAAATTGTAATGTTTCTATAAAATAACAAAAGGGGGAAATTGTAAGGTTAACTACACATAAAATTTAGATTTTCCTGTTGCCAAAAGGGAAGAAGATACCTTTTCCCATTTTCCTTTCCCTAGAGCATTTCCTTCAGAAAATTTGTGTTGGTAAATTCTTTCTTTGATATGTAAGCCTCTGGCCCTGTATATCCCGGGAATGTCTTGGACTTGAACTCCAGGCCTCAAGTGATCCTCCAGCCTCAGCCTCCCAAAGTGTTGGGATTACAGGTGTGAGCCACCATGTCCAGTCCCTAGAAAGGTCTTTCTTCAGGGCCTTGAGCCATCTCTTTGAAATGTGAACATGGAGGAAGATGACGTCCCAGTCTCCCTGTCACCAGGGGAGTTTGCCTAGGTGCCTTGCTCCAAGCTGTAAGCACCTGCTTGTCATAGAGATACGAGTTTTATTTTTCCTTCAGATAAAGGCAATTAACTAGCACAGATGGGTACTCCAATTCCTTGGTGAACTCAGGACTTGCCTGGGAGTATTTAGTTTTCACCCTTGGCTGCTGCTATACAACCAAAGCAATTAGCTACCTACGTGGACTTTCTGGTTTCTGCTACCACTTTTTTGATTGTTTGTTTTGTTTTGTTTTGTTTTTCAGATGGAGTCTTGCTCTGTCGCCCAGGCTGAAGTGCCGTGGTGCAATCTCAGCTCACTGCAACCTCTGCCTCCCAGGGTCAAGCGATTCTCCTGCCTCAGCCTCCCGAGTAGCTGAGATTACAGGTGTGTGCCACCATGCCGGGCTAATTTTTGTATTTTTAGTACAGACTGGGTTTCACCATGCTTGCCAGGCTAGACTCAAACTCCTGACCTCATGATCTGCCTGCCTTGGCATCCCAAAGTGATGGGATTGCAGGCGTAAGCCACAACACCTGGCCTCTATGACCACTTTTGGATTGTATGAAACACTACACTTCAAAGTGTGGGATCTGGCTTCCCAGATAGCTGTGAAAGGGGCAGATGATGCAATCTAGAAGTGTGGGGGAGTTCATGCCTATGTGGTAAATTTTGACCAATTAAAAAAAAAAAAAACCATGAGTGAGAGCCAGGTACATAAATTCCCTCTCCTCTCCCCATGCACCGTTCCAAGCATGGCTTCTCAGTATAGTCTGTCTAGATGTGTCCTGTATGGCCCAAAGCCTGTTTCCTTGGGAACCTGAGCTAAAATAATGGGAATTCACACCCTCACAGACAGTGTTAAGTGTGGTGGGGGACCCAGATCTGGGCAGAGGAAAATTACCCCAATAAGGAAATGGACAATTTGAGGATTTGGAATAGAGAAAAGGACTAGAAGAACCAGTAGTAGAATAGCTTATGGGTAGCACTTTTGGAGAAAAAGGCAGTTCTGGTGATTTTTGCAGTGAGTTCTGCTCAGCTCTGTAAAATGTATACTTCCTTTCTTTCCATCAGTCTCCCCTATGAAATCTTCCATAAATTATCCTTTTATAACTATCTATTGCCGGTGAAGTGAATTTTCTTTTATTCTTTTTCTTTTTATTTAGAGATAGAGTTTCTGTCCACGAGGCTGGAGTGCAGTGGTGCCACCTTGGCTCACTGCGATCTCCGCCTCCCGAGTTCAAATGATCCTCCCGCCTCAGCTGCCCTAGTAGCTGGGACTACAGGCGTGCACCACCAATGCCCGGCTAATTTTTCTTTCTTTCTTTTTTTTTTTTTTTTGTATTTTTAGTAGAGATGGGGTTTTACCGTCTTGGCCAGGCTGGTCTCGAAATCCTGACCTCAGTTGATCCACATGCCTCGGCCTCCCTACGTGCTGGGATTACAGGTGTGAGCCACCACACTCAGCCTGTCAGTTTTGTTTTGAAGAATAAAATAGATTGAGTCTTGTGCCAAAATGCATGGGAAGCTGTACCCAGACAGGTAACAAAATATTATTAACAATAATAGATAGGGTTTCTACATGCTAATAATAGCCATTTAGAAAACCAAATTGAGAAAAATTACACTTATATTGTGACAAAAATACATGAAATATCTAATAACAGGTGATTGGAACAAGATGGCAGCTAGATCCCGTGCCCCACTCAACATTCCATCAAAGTAGGAAGAAAATGTTTTCAAGAGTCAATCCTTGACAGTAGAGGAAAATAGGAAGACGTGTCAGTGGTCCACCAGAAATATTGAGGCATTCCTGGTAGATAGAGTAGATGGGATCAGACTGACAGAGAAACCCGAGGAGACAAGACCACAGCTCAAATGAGTGTAGGCGAGAGATGCTGTTTGTTTTTTGAGACAGAGACTTACTCTGTCGCCCACGCTGGAGTGCAGTGGCGTGATCTCGGCTCACTGCACGGTGTGTCTCCCGGGTCCAAGTGATTCTCGTGCCTCAGCCCCCGCAAGAACTGGAAGTCACCAGTGCCCACCACCACAGCTGGCTAATTTTTGTATTTTTAGTAGAGGCAGAGTTTTTGCAATGTAGGCCAGGCTGGTCTCAAACTCCTGACCTCAAGTGATCTGCCTGTCTTGGCCTCCCAAAGTGCTGGCACTAGAGCATGAGTCACTGTGCCCGACCAGGAGATGCTCTTTGTAGGAAAGCTTCTGAAAAACTCCAAACCCAGAATCAAAAAAACATGGAGCAAGAAAGGGCCTTAGGATAATCATCAGGTAGGTTAATTTAAAAGTTCATTTGAAATGTCTGAATCAGCCAGATTCCCCTCCAACACCACACTCAGATTGGCTGGCAATAGTCACTTTTGCCTCTAAGATGAAACTCTGATAATTGTTCATTGAAGAAAGTGAAGGCCTGGTGAGGTGGCTCACACTTGTCATCTCAGCACTTTGGGAGGCTGAGGCAGGAGGATTGCCTGCGGCCAGGAAGTTGAGACCAGACTGGGCAACATAGTGGGATCCTGTCTCTACAGAAAATACAAAAATTAGCTGGGTGTGGTGGCATGTGCCTGTAGTCCCAGGTAGTTCGTAAGCTGAAGTGGGAGAATCCCTTGAGCCTGGGAGATTGAGGCTGCAGTGAGCTGTACTTGCATCACTGCACTCCAGCCTCAGCAACAGACTGCGATTCTGTCTCAAAAAAAATTTAAAAAAAAGTAATGCATCACTGGGCGCGGTACCTCACGCATGTAATCCCAGCACTTTGGGATGCTGAGGCCATCACATCACGAGGTCAGAAGATCAACCTGGCTGGCACAGTGAAAGCCTGTTTCTACTAAAAATACAAAAAATTAGCTGGGAATGGTGGCACGCGCCTGTGTTCCCAGCGACTCTGGAGACTGAGGCAGGAGAATCGCTTGACCCTGGCAGGCAGAGGTTGCAGTGAGCCGACATCTCGCCACTGCACTCCAGCCTGGATGACAGAGTGAGACTCTGTCTCAAAAAAAAAAAAAAAAGTAATGTATCAGAACTTGACGGAACTTCAGACCTTCACTGTAATAATGAAGGAGAGAAACACATTTGTGGAGAGGGGACCATGTTCACTCTTTATCTATTCATGATAGACAGATAGTCGGGAGCTTTATATACCCATGGAACCTAACGAAAAATGTTCCCTGTCATGACTCACAATCTTCCAGCCACCCTTCCTTGCACCTGTCTTGTGGGCTGGGGGACCCAACTTACGGATCCCATCATCCCAGGGAGAAAGAAAAATCAAATCCTTTAGTATCTCTTTTAGGGTATCCTCTCCTCTACTTGCATGGAGGATAAGGCACCCAATATCTAGTAGCTGAATGTTACATTTGTGTAATACAGAATGATATTGGGATAAAACAGAATGTGTTTCCTCTGAGACACAGGTAGAGGCACGTCCACACTGACCTGGGTGGCAGCCACCTCTTCCTGCAGTGCCAGGCAGGGCATGCTCAGAGATCTGGGGAACCTCTGTTGCTCCTGGAGCCCCACAACCTCCTTCCTGGCATCCTCTCCCTCTGGTGGCTGTGACAGCCCACACTTGGTCTTGGGTATCCCCTGCTTCTTTGCCTGCCCCTCTTCTGCCCACCCTGAATATCTCTGTCTCCCACTGTCCCCACTATATCCGTGATTGCCTCTCCCTCCCCGCACTCTCTCTGTCCTAGGGCTCCTTGTCTTGGGTAAATGAACCCACAATATCTACCTTGTGACTGGGGACAGAACCCGGGGCTTGTTCACTTCTCCCTCCCTCCACCACACACGCTTGTCCTCCTTAATGTTTCTAGAGTCAGTGAACTCCAAACTCAGCCCCTCCTGCACCTGCCAGCTGTAGGACCTGTGACAAGACACCTACCATCTCTCTGGGACTCTGTCTCTCATCTATTACATAGGCATAATGATGATAGTGTCCTCCTTCTAAGGCTGGGGAGAACCAGGAGGCCAAGGTGATGGGTTACGGATGGTCAAAACAGCTCCAATCCTGCCTCCACCTGGGGCTGGTGTTTCAAGTCCGCTGTGTGTAAATGGAACCTTAATGTCTCCATTGACACACAATGGTTCGTTCTAAAATAGACTCCCCTCTGCCCTTCCCTTCCCCACAACTGTTTCCTCTCTGCACCTTGCAATGGTACCTGTGAGAAAGAACTGTCCCATTCCCAAATCATCATCTCCACCCCAGCCCCCAGGACCTTGGTTGGTGAGACCCTTGATGGGCAGTCTCATGCTTCTGTCCAGGGGACTTTCCCACTGCTGATCCCCTGCATGGAGACTAAGTGGACTCTTCTATTCCCTGGCCATCACAGGGTCTACAGTGCATGCATCTTCCTCATTCCTCCACGTTCCCCAGATGACGATTTCATCTGTGTCTCCTCCCACATACTCCCAAATGGACCATCACAGCCCTAGAACCCGAAAATTGTTCAGAGAGCGAAGGCCAAATTGCCCAACCACCTGCTACAGAATCCTGCTCCAGGACTGAAGTGTATAGTCTCTATCAAAATAAAAACTGGAGGCCAGGTGCGGTGGCTCATGCCTGTAATCCTAGTACTTCAGGAGGCCAAGGTGGGAGGATTGCTTGAGCCCAGGTGTTCAAGGCTGCATTGAACTATAATCATGCCACTGCACTCCAGCCTGGACAGAGCAAGACCCCATCTCTAGAAGAAACAAACAAACAAATCAAGAAAACGAACAACTGGAAACATCCTCCTCTAGAATGGTGGTCAGAAACATCTGTCTGCCCTGTTCCCTGATGTCTCTCCAGCACCTAGAATAGCGCTCAGCCCGAGGACACACTCATTAGGGTTTTGTTGAATAAATGACTCCTTTGACACATCAATTCCACTTCTAAGAATCTTTCTAAAGAAATATTCACACATGTGCACAGAGCTGTGTGTACAATAATGAGAGGAACAAACAACTGGGGAATGTTTGCAAAGGTTTGTTAACTGTCAGTGACTGATAGAGGGGAATCGGATGAGGGGAGTACATGCTGAACAGGAAACAGAGTGAGGGGGGCTTGACCAGGATGCACGGCAATGGGAAAAGCAGATGGGAGATGCTTATAATGGTACTTGGTGTGTGTGTGTGTGTGTGTGTGTTGTGTGGTGTGTAAATGCAGAGGAAGAAGTCTGAAATTAAACACTCAGGACTGCCCTCAGTAGTCACATCTGGGGAGAGATGAGGATAGTGCTGTTCTATGCAGAGAATACATGACAATACTTGTTTTCTGACGTAGGTGCATGGATACACAAACCGAAATATGCATTAAGTATGTCTTGCTCATCATTGAAAAGGATAGTATCTAACAGAATGGCACAGTGTAAGAAAATACAATGGAAACACTAACATCGAACTCTTGGCACACTAAGAAAAATGACGCTCAACTTTTCACTGTTGTGAACACTTGCTTTCACTTGCTATGCACCTGATGACGAGGGTCCGCAGCCATGCCCATGTTCGTGAAAGGTCACCATGTTCTGCTTCTCATCATGGGCATGTGTCATATCCCCCAGGCTGAGGCGAGAAGAGAGAAGGAAAGTAAGTGACAGCGAGTTCCCACTGCCCAATAACTCAATCTCAACTTCTCCAGACCTGCAGACCCTGCACACTCTGATTCTGCCCTACCTCAGGACCTGGACACGCCTTCCATGGTTCCTCGAAGTGAACCATCTGCTCATGCCACAGTGACTTCCTCGCCTGGGTTATCCATTCCTAGGCTAGAGGAAGGTGTGGCCACATATCAGGGCTGACCTGGGGTTTGGGAAGCCACAGCATCCTGGGTAGGGAGGATCCCTGGATATACAGGGCAGGGAGTAGAAAGAGCATGGGAAATCTCATCATTCAGCCTCAATGCTGTACACTAGAAAATTATGAGAAAGGAATGATTTGGGAAACAAATGACAAGATGGGATACCAGTACCATAACAGAATAGCACATCTGCAGGGATGTGGGGGATGAGCCAAAGGTTCACTTACGGAGTTACTCATCATCTTCCTCAGGGTCTCTGATCTCTTCATAAATCACCAGCTGGTTTCTCTCACGCAGTCTGTGGGTCCAGGCATGTCTCCCCCTTTTGGGTCCTATGATGAAGAAGAGTTGGAAGATGAGGACTGGGTAGGTTGAAGAATGTTAGGCTCTGTTTTCTCAAAAAAAGGAGATGCCTCCCCCCTCCCAAGTGCCCATGGGCCTTCTTTATCCAGTTTTTCACATTCTCTGGCTTAAAGAGGCTGAGACCTTAGATCCACACCAATACACGACAAATACCAATTAAAGTTTTAGCTTCTGGCTCCTTCCGTTGTCAGGTTTAGATTCCCAACGTCTTCATTTACAGGAACATTCACCCATACCTCCTTTCATGCTGCACATATTTGTTAAGGGCACAGAGGCATACCTTGTTTTATGGCACCTCATTTTTATAGTGCTTTGCAGATACTGTAATTTTTTGAGGGGAATTCTCACCAATGTTACACTTTTCTGTTATTAGTGTATCTGTTATGGTGATCTGTGATCAGTGAGCTTTGATGTTATTATTGCAATTGTTTTTGTTGTTTTTTAGTCTTTAAAATAATTTTTTTTATTTTTGTGGATATACAGTAGGTGTACATACTTATGGGGTATGTGAGATGTTTTGATACATGTATGCAATGCGTAATAATCACATCATGGAAAATAGGGTATCCATCCGGTCAAGCATTTATCCTTGTGTTACAAACAATCCAATTACACTCTTTTAGTTATTTTTAAATGTATGACTAAGGTATTATTGACTATAGTCACCCTGTTGTTTGTAAATGTTTTGGGCGTAACAGGAACTCCACCCAGAGAAGATGACGAACGTAATTGATCAATGTTGTGTGTGTTCTGACTGCTCCACCGATGAGCGCTTCCCGACTCTTTTCCTTTTCTTGGGCCTACCTATTCCCTGAGACACAGCAATACTGAAATTAGGACAATTAGCAATCCTACAATGGCCGCTAACAGTTCAAATGAAAGGAAGACTTGCATTCTCTCACACTAAATCAGAATCTAGAAATGGCTAAGCTTAGTGAGGAGGGCATGCTGAAAGCCAAGATAGGCTGAAAGCTAGGCCTCTTGCACCAAATAGCCAAGCTGTGCATGCAAAGAAAAGTTCTTGAAGGAAAGAATAGTATATAATGCAAAGGAAAAGTTCTTCAAGGAAATAATAATACTAATACCCAGTGAACACACGAATAAGAAAGCAAAACAGTCTTACTGTTGAAATAGAGAAAGTTTGAGTGATCAGGATAGAACATGAAACCAGCCACAACATTCCTTTAAGCCAAAGTCTAATTCAGAGCAAGACCCGAACTCTCTTCAAGTCCATGAAAGCTGAGAGAGGTGAGGAAACTGCAGAAGAAACGTGTGAAGCTAGCAGAGGTTGGCTCATGAGGTTTAAGGAAGGAAGTCATCTTCATAACATAAAAGTGCAAGGTGTAGCAGCAAACCCTGTTGGAGAAGCTGCAGCAAGTTATCCAGAAGATCTAGCTAAGATCACTGATGAAGGTGGCTACACTAAACAACAGATTTTCAATAAAGATAAAATAGCCTTTTATTGGAAGTAGATGTCATCTAAAACTTTCACAGCTAGAGAGGATTCACTTCAACTTTGAAAGAAGTTCTAAAGTGGCTAAATGCTATCGAATAGCATCACATACTACAGAGAAATCTTTCATGAAAGGGAGAGCTAATCCATGTGGCAAATTTCACTGTTGTGTTCTTTTAAGGAACTGCCACAGCCACTTCACCCTTCAGCAACCACCACCTTGATCAGCCAGCAGCCATCAACACTGAGGCAAGACCCCACACCAACAAGAAGAGTGTGACTCACTGAAGGCTCAGAAGATTGTTAGCATTTTTTAACAATGAATTATTTTAAAATTAAGGTATGTACATTTTTAGACATAATGCTATTGCACACTTAGTAGAGTACACTATAGTGTAAACATAATGTTTTTATGCACTGCAAAACAATCGAAAAACAATGTGTGTGACTCACTTTATTGCAGTGGTCTGGAACCGAATCTGCAATATCTCTGAAGTACACCTGCATTGGGTATCAGGCATTGAGCTGAGTAAGATATGATCCCAGGTTATCACTGATAGAATCGCTTGAGCACCTTTCATGTCATCAGGCCTTCTAGATTAAATTTAATGTCTCCAAACAATTTATGAACTATGATTCTTTATTTCCATCTTATGGACTAGGAGTCTGGAGCTGAGAAAATTTGAAAGACTTGCCCCAAGTCACGTGGTTTTTTATATGGGTGACAACTCCAGTCTGTGTCTCTGGAAGTCATGTCTAACATCTCATCTGGAGCTGGGCGAGCTCCTCAGCCCAGCCTGGACCCAGACTTGTCTGGGATCCATGCCACACACCCAGTCCACACACCTGAACATAGCCAGAAAAGCCAGAGGAGTTGTTCCCAAATTGATTCCTCTTACCAGATCTCTTATTAATCTTCTCAGAAGTATTTGCTTTTCCCGGGGCGGCGCAGCTGTTTCCCATCGTTCTGTGGGCCAGATGCTTCTGACACTCCCTTCGAATCATTTCCTTCCTCTGCTGGCTTCTTGGGCATGATCTTTATAATGTGAAGGTCACAGATAAACAGAATCAGTGACATTTCTATAGTGCTTTAGAGCTTACAAAGCATCTTCACATGCATTACCTTAATCAATGTTCTCAACAATGCTGGGAGAGTTACACTTGCCTAAATAAGAGAAACCTGGGAGATTAGAAGCAAAAGGAATGGCCTAAATGAATGGGGTTTCCAGGATTAGAATGCTTATCTTCACACTTTTTTAAGACTGACATTCGTGCAAACAGCAGAAATCTCCATGTGATTGAGAGTGCGGTACACAGAAGATTTGGAGAAAAACAGCATTCTAAGAATTCACAACGTCTAAAAAAGGAAGAACTTCTATAAAATACAAGGGATCCCATATAAGCTTGTAGACAGCTGCTCAGAGAGTAAATGTAAAAACATAGAGAGGGGACAAAACACTGCTGGGAAAGATGGTGTGGGGAGATGAATACAGGGAAGGGAGAGGGAAAGAAATGGTTTGCTGAAATTTATCTAGGCAGCAAAGAAAGCAGTAACAGATATGGCATACCACCCTACCGAGGCACCAACATTGAATGTGGAATTCAGTGAGGTGGTGCCCATACCAATTCTGGTTGCATTGAGATATGTCACTGACCAACAATATTAAGCTACTTTTTTTTTTTTTTGACAAAGTCTCGCTCTGTCACCAGGCTAGAGTGCAGTGGCGCGATATCGGCTCACTGCAATCTCCTCCTCCCCTCCTCCCCGGTTCAAGTGATTCCCCTGCCTCAGCCTCCCAAGTAGCTGGGACTACAGGCAGGTGCTACCAGGCCCCACTAAATTTTGTATTTTTAGTAGAGACGAGGTTTCACCATGTTGGCCAGGACGGTCTCGATCTCTTGACCTCGTGATCTGCCCGCCTTGACCTCCTAAATTGCTGGGATTACAGTCATGAGCCACCGCGCCCGGCCCTTAAACTACTTTTTACTCAACTTCCTCACTTATGAAATAGTGAATAATACATGTAAAATAGACTAAGGGAAAGTCCTCTCTGAGCTTGTAAACGTTGTTCAAATGTAATAATAATAACAATGAATACCTTTCTGGATCCTTCTTTGAATTCGTTCTCCATACTGGCAACCCAACTCCCAGATCCCTTTACCTTCTAAACCAGAGCTGAATCTGCACTTCCAGAATCACTCATTCAGGGGCCTCTGAGGGATCCCCTGGGCTGGGACTGGGGCTTCTCGGATGCCCCAGGTGCAGACAAAACCCTTAAGGAGCTCAAGGAGGGGCCAACAGTCAAAGCGATTCCTAAGCCATGGGAGTGGCCCCGGTAACAGAAGAGAGGCCAGCTGGTCCTTCCTGTTGAGAGAGTGGGTGTCTCAATGGAAGCACCATCAGGCCCTATGGGGTGAAGCCCTAGTGAGCAACATCTGAACTTCATAAACAAATACAAACGTGAATGAGCTTTAAATGGCTTGAAGCTCTGGATTAGACTACCACTGCCACTGCGCCCCAGGAAAATTCTTTAACATCTCTGTACCATGATAGCCTCATTTTATTGTTATATTGCTGATAATTATGGTCTATAACATGAACTATTATTCTTTACTTCCACTTCATGGACTAGGAATCTGGAGCTCCAATAACTTAGAAGATTTGTGCCAAGTCACATGGCTTTTATATGGATGACAACCGAAGTGTGTGACTCATTACTATTTGGAGATAATAAAAGAAACAACATCATAGAGGTCTTCTTATGGATTAAATTAATTAATCCATGTGAACTCCTTAAAATAGTATCTGGCATCACTATGAAAACAAAAGAAGTATTAAGGATCACAACTGTTAGTATTATCAAGCCGTCGGTGCTACATAAGTTGTTGTGATAGACATGGGGAGAAAGAGGCAATGAGGGCATTTTTGATATTCTCCCACTCTTATCAGTGTTCACATCCATGAAGGGAAAAAGGTTCTCTGGTCCTTTAGATTTGAGAGGTACTCACCTTCGGGATGATTCTCTGGAGCCTGCCAAAAGTCATCTGAGGACGTTCAACTGGAAGAGAATACATCAGAATTTTTCTTTGTTGGTAAAGATTTCCAAACTCTAGAGAGACTTCTGTCGCATGAGGGCATTCTGCAGCAAAGGGGTATGAGTCCACTCATTGTTGAGGAGTTATTTGAGATTTGCTTCTGAATTATGTTTAGTAATGGTTGGTGCATTTATCTGTGGCATCAATTCAGAATTTTACATCTCATGGTTTGTCAAATGGGGGTTAAATCCCATCACAGTCTCATCTTATTCCATTACATATCTTTTACTTTTTCCCAAATAATTAAATTCATTGGTTGGGAATCTGAACTGTATCCACTCAAGATGTGAACAACTAAAAATCACTGTACACTTCAAATGGGTGGATCTTATGGTATGTGAATTAAGCTGTTAAATGTGTGATGAACCGTGGATAATTTAGTCCAGTGGCTCTGAAATATTTTCAGTAAAAAGACACTCCTTTAATGTCAAAACTTGGCAGACACTCAAGCACTGGCTTTTCAGGTCTCTTATAGTGATTGCGGGAGATGGTTGATTCTGGCCTGTTTAGTTGGGGAGTAATAGGTATATTGAGGACAGTTTAGACACTCCGACCTTGTCTTATGATTGTATTGTCAGAGCAGAAGAGCAGGTAAACACATATGTCCCCTTTATATTCCTGAAATGCACAAAGATCTCTACCGAAGAACCTGTCTTTTTTTCATCCTATGTTATCTCTGCTCACTGACAATTGGGAAAGCTCTCTGTGTGTTAGATGAGGGAGCACTCTTTCAAACTCACTTCCAAGCTCATCATGGAGAATTGGGGTTGTTTGGGAATGAGAAGACTATTTGGTTTTAATAAAGTACAGAGAAACAGCGATCTTTATTACCTAATGTGTTCATCACCCTCTCTCTTAAGATATTTATCCAATATCTACATGCTGTTAATGAAACAATCTCTGGAAGTTTTTGGCTGATCTACACTTTTAACATTTTCCTTTTTTTCACTTTTAAAATTGTCTTAACTGTCCTTTCATTCATTAACAGTGTGTAGCAAGAACAACATGTCGTTTAAAAAAGAAATGTTTGAAACACACAGAAAAGTATGGGGAATAATATCGAGTTCAGTCGCATCTCAACATTACCCCATGACTATGTTAGATCTGATTTATTTATTTAGAATGTTAGAAACACTAGAAACGGCCTGGGTGCAGTAGCTCACACCTGTAATCCCAGCACTTTGGAGGCTGAGGTGGGTGGATCACCTGAGGTCAGGAGTTTGAGACCAGCCTGGCCAACATGGTGAAACCCCGTTTCTACTAAAAATACAAAAATTAGGTGTACATGGTGGCGGGTGCCTGTAATCCTATCTACTCAGGAGGCTGAGGCAGGAGAATCCCTTGAACCCGGTAGGCAGAGGTTGTAGTGGGCTGAGACTGTGCCATTGCACTCCAGCCTGGGCGACAAGAGCAAATCTCCAGTTCAAAACAAAAACAAAAACAAAAACAAAAACAAAAACAAAAACAAAACAAAACACACTATCAACAAGTCATGACTGAAGCTGTCTGTGCAGCACTCACCAATCCCTGCCCCCGGCCCTTCTCCATTTACAGCCAGTCTCCTCAATTTGATGCCTTTTTATTCGCATTCATGTTTTCATGCATTTACCATTTACTTATTATCCATGAAAATACATATTACTGTTTTGCATGTTTTAGAATTTTATGAATAGCCTCTGTAGTTAACTTTCTGTATGCAATTTTTTTTTCACTCAACCCTGATGTGTATGAGAGAACAAATGTCAGAGGATCTTTCCCAGGTAGCTGAGCTGAAAAGCAACTGGGTTTCAGGAGACCTTTCCAGCCACTTCCCATCTACTCACCCTGAATCCTGCGGTTACGGTCATTATCAAAATAATTCCCCTGGAAGTCTGTGGCCTGTTTATTACACATGAAAGGTGGGAGGGTGACATTGAAACCTAGAAAGAAGCAAAATGTTTATTCCTTAAGGGACAAACTTAGGCCTGGCACGGTGGCTCATGTCTGTCGTACCAGCACTTTGGGAGGCTGAGGCAGGAGGATTGTTTGAGGCCAGGAGTTCAAGATGAGACTGTGTAACATAGAGAGACCCCCATATCTACAAAATATAAAATAAAATTAGTTGGGCATGGTGGCATGTGCCTGTAGCCTCAGCTATTCCATTGGCTGGGCAGAAGGATTGCTTGAGCCCAGGAGTTCGAGGCTGCATTGAGCTATGATTGCACTACTACACTCTAGCCTAGGTGACAGAGTGAGACTCTGACTCAAAAAAAAAAAAAAAAAAAAAAAAGGGAGAGAGAGAGAAAAAGACAAGCCGAGAGAAGGAAGGTAGGGTGGGAGGTGTGCTGCAATGCCACAGAGACCGTTGGGCTCATCAGAACAGATGCCTAAGGGAGAGAAAAGTGCAGGGTCCAGGTACAAGCTCCACTATGGCCAGTCCCTGCCCTCAGCTCTGACAGGATACAGAAGAGCAGAACACCCAGAAGCTGCCTTGTGATTTTTCCCTGCACAAAAGGAAAATGTGGGGTACTTTCTGCAGCCTAAGAAGTAGCCAAAGCAGGAAAAGGGATGCTCATGTATCCCCAGACTTGTCTGTTCCTAGAACTTTCTGTTACCTAGTTTAGTCATGGCCTCATAGTTTCTCTTCATATACACATAGCTGATTTTCTCCGAGTATTTCATCTTTTCCCACTCTTTCTTAGAGAAGTATGTGGCAATATCATTGAAGGCCTAAAAAAAAAAAAAGAAATTTTGGCGGCGACTCAGCTAGGTATGTCTGCCATTCAGCTGGAGCCGCTTCCTGTGTGCTGGATCTGGGAAGTGAGGATGATAATCCGTCCTGGTTGATGCCATGGCTAACTGAGAGACCATGGGGGACCTACCCTAGCTTCTCCCGTGGCACACATTAGGGCTTTAATGCTGCTGTCTGGCTCTCTTCCCACCTTCCAGAATGCACTGAGAGTTACCAAATATAGTGCAAGGTCACAGACTTGTCTCCAGGGATGCTAGGTGATGACAGAGCGAGGGTGGGAGGCTCCCAAGGGTCCAGATCTCCCCGGAGACCCTGCTCCTTGTCCCCAGTACCTCTGTCCTCCCCTCCTCAGAAACCTGGTCACCCTACTCTGTCCCCTGGACCACTGCTCTGCCCCCTCCAGGTCACCTCACCTTGCTTCTCTTCTCTGATGCTTTATCATCATCCCTGGGTCTCTTTGCAAAGGCGTCGTCTCCGTTCATGGCACCAGGAGCACTCTCACCTGCGAGAGAAACAGCCTGAGACTTTCTAGCTACAGGACCCTTGGTCCTATGGAGGGAGAAATCAGTGAAGCCCGGCCACACTCAGTCACCTGGAATTAGGGGTTGCATGTCTGCATTCGGGGCTTATCTGTCCCTGAGTAAGGACATGGGGAGAAGTCAGACGAAAACAGGGAGCCTGGAGTCTCTGGGAGAAGTATTGCTTGGGGATGACAGGTTTCCTAGCAGCCTTGAGTCTTTGGGAGGGGGTTGGCTAGTGTTGTTAGTAGTTTCCCTGGGGCTAGGCTTACCCTGAAAGATGTACAGACCCTTGTTGGGGAGGCAGGGACGTGACTGTGTAACTATTCAGTGGGGGCGTTCTGACACCCCCACTCAATAAATAAAGGGAGGGAAGTGAGTCCCAGACATAACCTGGTCTCTCTGGTGATGGATCTGATCAGGCAGAGGGTTGAGGGGTTCTGTTCTGTTGAAGAGAAATGACCTTCACTAATATGAACAGATTTAGAGGCTATTACTCGGTGATTTGTAAATTATTAGAAGGAAGAGAGCTAGAATCTCTGAGACTAGATGAGCCTGCCATCACTTACAGAAAATGTGGGGTGTTTCAATTTGCAGCAATCAGCTAGGCACAGTGGCTCATGCCTGTAATCCCAGCATTTTGGGAGGCCGAGGCATGCAGATCTCTTGAGCCCAGGAGGATGAGACCAGCCTGGGAAACATAGCAAACCCCTCATTTCTACAAAAAAAAAAAAAAATCACAAAATTTAGCTGGGGGCAGTGGCACAGGCCTGTAGCATCTCAGCACTTTGGTCAAGGGGGGCGGATTGCTTGAGCCCACGAGGTCGGTACCAGCCTAGCCAACCTAGCGAAACCCTCTACTAAAAAAAATAAAATAAAATAAAATAAAAAGTATTAGTGGGGGCGGGGTGGTGCTCGCCTGTAGTCCGGAGGCCGAGGCAAGAGGATCTCTTGAGCCCAGAAGGTCGAGGCCAGCCTGGCCAACATAGCAAAACCCCATTTCTACTACTAGTAATAACAACAAAAAAATAACATCAGCGAGGTGGTTCTTGCCTGTAGTTCCGAGGCTGAGGTGGGAGGATCACTTGAGCTGAGGAGGTCAAGCCCAGTCCGGCCAACATAGCGAAACCCTGTCTCTAGTAAAAAGAACAACAACAAAACTAGCAGGGGCAGAATGGCACACATCTGTAGTCCTGAGGCCAAGGTACGAGGATCGCTTGAGCCCAGGAGGTTGAGGCCAGCCTGGCCAACATAGTGAAACACGGTTTCTACTAAAAAAAAAAAAAAAAGAAAAGCGTGGGCAGGATGGTGCACTTCTGTAGTCCTGGGGCCGAGGCGGAAGGATTGCTTAAGCCCAGGCGGTCGAGGTCAGCCTGGCCAACATAGCGAAACCATCTGTACTAAAATAAATAAATAAATAAAAAAATACTAGTGAGGGTGGGGTGGTGCGTGCCTGCAGTCCCGAGGCCAAGGCGGGAGGATTGCTTGAGCCCAGGCGGTTGAGGCCAGCCTGGCCAACATAACGAATCCCTGTCTCTACTAAAATACCCCCCCCCAAAAATACCAGGGGTGGGATGATACAGGCCTGTACACCCAAGGCCAAGGCGGGAGAATCCTCCATGATGATCGTCCTGAAAGGCATTAGTTGTCTTTCAGTCCTCAAGATTTTCGGAACCCCAAGCACTTGACGGCCCTACAGAAGCTTCCTCCTTTTCTATCTGCCCCGATTAGCCCATCTAGGGTGTCCCTTAAAGAGAACCTACTTCAGAGACAAAGCAGTGGTGGCGAGGTCGGCAGCAGTGGTGGCGAGTTGGCAGCAGTTGGTGACAAAGTGTGGCTGGAGGAGGAGAAAATATCCTGCAATGTCACTGCTCCAGGATGATGGACCAATCAGGGCAGTTAGTGAACTCCATCTGGCCAATCAGAAGTCAGAACAGTAGGTGGGAAAAGCCAAGCTGATGTGGGGTCTATCAGTCCAGGCTCCAGGGACAGAACCTTCTCAAAATGGAGGCAGAGACTCTGATTTTCCCGCCTAAAGCATCCCCTGGGATTGGCTACTCCAAGTTCAGAGTACGCATGCTCTGATTTTCTCTTTAGATTCTTCCAAAATCAGAGTACGCATGCGCTGATTTTCTCTTTCCATTTTTCCTATCTCCCTTACCCCCCCAGTGGTGGATTGTTGTTCAGTTTTAATAAGGAGTGTATATGAAGCAGGTCATCATCTCAAATCCTTCCTGTCAGTTCCTAACTTTTTCAGGTATGGAATTTTTCCTAGGAACTCTGTAGTGACGTAAGAAATTTGGGCCTGAGCGGTGGCTCACGCTTGTAATCCCAGCACTTTGGGAGGCCACAGCTGGAGGATCTCTTGAACCTGGGACTCAGAGGTTGCAGTGAGCCACGATCATGCCACTGCACCCCAGCCTGGGCAACACAGCAATACCCTGTCTCTTTTCTCTACAAAAAAATAAAATAAATAAAATTAGCGAGGTGGGGTGGTGTGCCTGTAGTCCGTTACTCAGGAGGCTGAGGTAGGAGGATAGCTTGAGCCCAGGAGTACGAGGTTGCAGTGAGCCATGATCTGGCTACTGCTGCCTACCTGGGCCACAGAGCGAGATCTTGTCTTTAAAAAGAGAGAGAGAGAGAGAGAAAGAAAGAAAAATTTCAGTGAGCCAGTCCCAGTGGCTCATGCCTGTAATCCCAACACTTTTTGAGAGGCTGAGGCAGGAGGTGGAAGGATCACTTGAGGCCAGGAGTTCTGGAACAATCTGGGATACATAGTGAGACCCCCGTCTCTATAAAAAAATTTTTAAAAAAGAAATTTAAACAAAAAAACCACTTCTACACTTCTATGTATGTTTTTTTCTAAAAGACCAAAGAAGCAGAAATATATTTTACCCATTGATATTAAAAATATTTATAATAATAGTTTTAAAAAGAGTATGTAATTAAGGCCCACTGTGTTCATCAGGGAGCTCATAAGTCAATTTGTCTAAGAAGTTTCCCCTACCCCCATCCCTAGTACCTCCAACAAGTCCCCTTTCCTCTCTGGGCTTTCCATCTACAGCCCTGATCTCTCTAAGATCCTCCCAGGATGACAGCAAGCTCTGTTAGGGCAGGGACAGGGCAATGGCCCTTGAGCCCAGCACAAAGCCCTTTATGTGCATCTTCCCATTGATTTTCACAATCTTCTCTTGAGTTAAATACTATTATCATCCCCAGTGTGCAGATGTTGAGACTGAGGCTCAGAGAATTAAGCAGTGTGCTCAAGTTCACATAGTCAGTGGGTGACAGAGCTGGGATTCACCCCCAAGATGAATTGAGTCCAAAGTCTGTGCTTTTATTTATGTATTTATTTATTTTTAATTAAAATAATATTTTTTAGAGATGGGGTCTTGCTATGTTGCCCCCGCTGATCTGGAAGGAACTGCTGGCCTCAAGCAATCCTCCTGCCTTGGCTTCCCAAAACATTGGGATTACAGGAGTGAACCACCCCACACCCGGCCTCAAAGTCAGTGCTTTTAATTACTCTTCTATATTGCCTCGACTATTTGTTGAATGAATGAATGCATCTTACAACTGCAATGGTTCTTTAACATAATTTACATAACTCCTTACAATCACCCCAAATTCCCTCTGGCTGCTGTAACAAATTACCACAAACTTTGTGGCATAAACAACATCAATTTATTCTCTCACAATTCTGGAGCCCAGAAATCTGAAATCAGTTTCACTGAGTTGAAATCAAGTTGTCAGCGGGGCTGTAGTCCTCCAGAGGCTCTGGGAGAGAATCTGTTCCTTGCCTCTTCCAGCTTCCGGTGATTGCCAGCATTTCTTGGCTTGTGGCTTGACATGGGTTGGCTCTGTGTCCCCACCCAAATCTCATCTCCAATTGTAATCCCCACAGATTACAAATCCCCACGGGGGGGGCGGGTTTTCCCCATGCTGTTTTTGTGACAGTGAGTTCTCATGAGGTCTGATGGTTTTATAAGCGTCTGGCATTTCCCCTGCTTGCACTTCTGTCTCCTGCTACCATGTGAGGAAAGTCTTTGCTTCCTCTTCACCTTTGGCCATGATTGTTTCCTGAGGCCTCCCCAGCCATGCGGAACTGTGAGTCAGTTAAATCTCTTTCCTTTATAAATTACCCAGTCTCGGGCAGTTCTTTATAACAGTGTGAGAACGGACTAATACATGGCTGCATCACTCTAATCTCTATCTCCATGGTCATTGCCTTCGTTTGTTTTCTGTTGCTATAATGGAATACCACAAACTGGGTAATTTATAAAGGATAGAAGTTTATTACGTATACAGTTCTAGAGGCTAGGAGTCCAAGAACATGGCGCTGGCATCTGGTGAGGGTTGTGTCATGATGGAAGGATGAAAGGCAAAAGCAAGTGCAGGAGACAGACAGAGAAAATGTGGCTAAGCTCCCTTTTATAACAAACCCAGTCTCATGATAACTAATCCACTCTTATGATAATGGCATTAATCACTTCCTAACAGCCGCACATCTTAATATTGTTACAATGGCAATTAAATTTCAACACAAGTTTTGGTGGGGACGTTCAAACCATGGCAGGCATACTGCCGTCTTCTCTTCTGTCTGTGTCAGATCTCCCTGCCTCAATGTGATAAGGACACTCATTATTACATTTAGGGGCCACCCAGATAATCCAGGAGAATCTCCCCATCTCAAGAGCTTTAACATAATTACTTTTTTTTTTTTCGAGACGGAGTCTCACTCTGTCACCCAGGCTAGAGTGCAGTGGCGTGATCTCAGCTCACTGCAACCTCTGCCTCCCAGGTCAAGCAATTCTTTGCCCCAGGCTCCTGGGTAGCTGGGATTACAGGTGCCCGCCACCATACCCAGCTAATTTTTATATATTTTTTTTAGTAGAGACGGGGTTTCACCATCTTGGCCAGGCTGGTCTTGAACTCCTGACCTCGTGACCCATCCGCCTCAGCCTCCCAAAGTGCTGGGATTATAGGCGTGAGCCACCATACCTGGCCAACATAATCACTTTTTTTGTTGTAAGCTAGCACTCACAGGTTCCAGGGGTTACTATGTCACTATCTTTTGGAGGGGCATTGTTCAGTCTACCACAACCTGCCCTCTGGCCCCCAAGGATTCACATCTCTCCCACATGCAAAATACATGCACCCCATCCCCAAATCCTCAAATGTCTCAAACCATGCAACATTAGCTGAAGTCCAACATTTTATCCATATAAGATCAGCTCAAAATTACCAAATCTCCTCATCTAAAACAGATATGGGTGAGACTCTGGTTATGAAACATCCTGGGGCAAAATTCTCCTGCTGTGAATTTGTGACACTAGAAAACAAGTTATCTGTTCCAAAAATAAAGTGGCGAGACAGGTGTAGGATAATAGTTACAGATACTTCCATTTCAAATGGGAGAAACTGGAAGAAAGGAGTCACCGCTTCCAACCATTTTGAAATCTAGCAGGACAAATTCCATTTGGTTTCAAGTACTCAGAATAATCCTCTGTAGCTTGAAGCTCTCCCCTCTGGTCCCATAGCCCTCCTCTCAGAATGTATGTCATAGTGATTCACACCTTTAGGCCAGCAGGTCCTTTGTGTAGCTTCCAAGATAATATCATTTCTATTACCAGCTATGGCTGAGCATAGTGGAAGAGCTCCTTGAGTCACGTGCCTGATCTCTTCAGCACTAGCAAACATGGCCACATTCTTGACTTTCTCTCTAGAGCATACCTTCCTGACAGTGCCTCTCCTAATTTTAGTGTCTTTTGCAATCTTGATAGGCTGAGAATTTCCCTGGATCCTTTTTGCTTAACAGTCCTTTCCTCAGTTTATCCTTTTCCTCTAACATTTTACTAGAACTTGAATTGGAGTCCAATATAAAAATGAAAAATTATGGGACTAAGACTGGGCATAAAAAATGATGGACTTTCTAGGCAAGTTGCTGAGGGTTTATGAAGGATGAGCCTTGGGAAGGGAGTCTTATATATGATCAGATTGGTTGTGATTGAAAAGAAATTGTTTATCCGTTTATCTAAAAATCGACCATTAGTGTCAAGGGTGCACTGCAGCAGGGTGAGTCTACTCCTCTCGTTTTGAAATAGGTTTTCTTAACATGTTGATCTGTTTTTCTTTATCTTTTAAACAATCAGTCTAAAAAAACGGGGATTTTGTGTTTTAAGATAGTTTCCTAACTGCATTTATTAGGTTTTTGTTTTTGTTTTCTGAGATGGAGTCTTCCTCTGTCGCCCAGGTTGGAGTGCAGTGGTGGGATCCAGCCACTGTAGTAAGCAAGGTTGCTTACTGCAACCTCCACCTCCCAGGTTCAAGTGATTCTTGTGCTTCAGCCTCCTGAGTAGCTGGGATTACAGGTGCCCACCACCACGCCCAGCTAATTTTTGTCTTTTTAGTAGAGACAGGGTTTCACTATGTTGGCCAGGCTGGTCTTGAACTCCTGACCTCAGGTGAGTCGCCCGCCTCAGCCTCCCAAGGTGCTAGAATTACACGCGTGAGCCACCATGCCCGGCCTTTTTTTGTTGTTGTTGTTAAGACAGTTTCACTATTGTTGCCCAGGCTGAAGTGCAATGGTGTGGTCTCGCCTCACTGCAACCTCTGCTTCCCAGGTTCAAGTGATTCTCCTGCCCCAACCTCCTGAGTAACTGGGATTACAGGCGTGCACCACCACACACAGCTAATTTTGTATTTTTAGTAGAGATGGGGTTTCGCCATCTTGGCCAGGCTGGTCTCAAACTCCTGACCTCAGGTGATCGTCCCACCTTGGTCTTCCAAAATACTGGGATTACAGGCATGAGCCACCATGCCAGGCCTATCCGATAGTTTTTCTGTATAACTCTTTGTTCCTGGGAAGATGTGTCAGCCCAGACACTCCATATGAGTTTCAGGGTTTCTGGATTGATAGGTCGTAGGATATAGAGCCTCTAGAGCTGAGCTGAGCCAATTCTTCTTTCCAGTCCCTAGCCTATGAGCCCCCAGAGACGCTTATAGGATTTCTGCCTTACAGTGTGGAGGGAGTCTATGGATGGGTGATATTGGTTGTAATTGCCTAGCTCAGAGGGCAGAGAAAGAGGTAGGAAAGGAATGCTCAGTTACTGGCCAGCTTTGATGAGTCTGCACTTTCTCTAGGAGCTTTCCAAGCCCCCTATTCCTTAATGTTATCAGGCCACTTTCGGCTGCCACTGGGCCAGCCCTGCCAAGTGTCTGCTCTGTATGTTTACAGAACAGGTAATAAGCCATCGAGAAAACAAGGAGAAAAAAAGAATGTAACTTAGAAAGCTCCAACTGGGCTGATCCTCCATCTGTGGCCTCTGACCTTTTCCCACTCGAAGACATCTCACTCCCCAGTGGGGCCAAACCATCAAGGGTTTTGTTACTGGGAACTGTTCTGAACTCCCAAATAGCTGGGATTTCAGGCGCCCACCACCAAACCCTAGTAGAGACGGGGTTTCACCCTGTTAATCAGGCTGGTCTCAAACTCCTGACCTCAGGTGATTTGCCTGCCTCGGCCTCCCAAAATGCTGGGATTACAGGCATGAGCCATGGCGCCCGGCCCAGTCTTTCTATTCTCTACCTCTGGAACTTTTTTTTTTTTTTTTAAGACGGAGTCTTGCTCTGTTGCCCAGGTTGGAGTGCAGTGGCACAATCTCGGCTCACTGCAACCTCTGCCTCCCAGGTCCAAGTGATCCTCCTGCCTCAGCACGGCTAGCAGCTAGGATTACAGGCACGTGCCACCATGCCCAGCTAATTTTTGTATTTTTAGTACAGACAGGGTTTCACCATGTTGGCCAGGCTGGTCTCAAACTTGTGACCTCAGTTGATCCGCCCACCTCGGCCTCCCAAAATGCTGGGATTACAGGCTTGAGCCACCGTGCCTGGCCTATCTCTGGAACTTCTGTTGGATGAACTTTGAAACTTCTGGGATCTATTCTCCATTTCCTTTATTATTTTTCTTTTATACTTTCTATTTCATAATCCTTTTGTGCTATACAGTGAAGTAGTGCCATGCCTGAACACATTTTTTCATTGAGTTGTTCCAGTTTCTCTTATTGATATGCAAAAGCTTTGTTGTATATTAGAGATAGTTACTGTTAGTTTATTGGGGATGCTTCACCAATTTCCCCAACATTTGCCTTTTTAAACAGTTGTTTATGGTGTCTTTTGAATTAGATGATACTTTAATTTTTGCATCTTTATGTCAGATTCATTGTTTATAGCCTTGGAGTAATGTCAGGAAGTTCCTATGCCAACTCAGGATGTCTTACACTGTAATATTTTCCTAAATTTTCATCTAGTTCTTTATGATTTCACGTTTTCACATTTAAGTCACTGAATTTTTAGAATTTATTATTTTATATGCTTCAAAGTAAGGATTTCATCTTTAGTTTTTGAAATGGATAGACACTTGTCAAGCAATCATTTATTATACAACCCATCATCTGTTGCCCACTGTTTGGAAATGCATGCTGAAGTTTGCATATAGATCAGTCTGTTTTTTGACTTTCTATTTTGTTTCACTAATAAATGTTTCCATGTGTTTTCATTTTTGATTGCTGCTGTAACAAGTTTCCAATAGCTTAGACAACACTGGGCGCAGTGGCTCAGGCCTGTAATCCCAGCACTTTGGGAGGCCAAGACAGGCGGATCACTTGAGGTCAGGAGTTCAAGACCAGCCTGGTCAACATGGCGAAACCCCCTCTCTACTAAAAATAAAAAAATTAGCCGTGTGTGGTGGCGCATGCCTGTAATCCCAGCTACTCAGGAAGCTGAGACAGGAGAATCACTTGAACCCTGGAGGTGGAGGTTGCAGTGAGCCGAGATCACCCCAGTGCGCTCCAGCTTGGGCAACACAAGTCAGACTGCATCTCAATATATATATATGTAGCTAAGACAATTTTTGGAAAGGAAGAATAAGGTGGGAGGAATGGCTCTACCATATTTCAATATTTCTTATATAGCTACAGGAATCAAGTCTGTGTAGTACTGGGAGAAGAATAGACACATAGATCACTGGAACAAAATAGAGAACCTAGAAATAGCCCCACAATGATTTTTTACAGGGACAAAAAGAAGGAAGGGTCATCTGCTTGACAAATGGTGCTGGAGCAGTTGCAGAGCCATAGGCTAAAAAAAAAAAAAAAAAGACCTAATCTTCATATTTTTATACAAAAAATAACTCAAGTGGATCATAGATTTAAATCTAAAATATAAAACTAAAAAAAAATCTTTTACAAGAAAGCATGGGACAAACGTCTGAGATCTAGGGTATAGTGAATGGTTCAAAAAGCATAATCCATAAAGAAAACAAGTAAATTAGATTTCATCCAATTTAAAACTTGTGCTCTGCAAGAGACCCTGTTAAAAGGATGAAAAAACTGGGTCTTGACTAGGAGAAAATGTTTGCAAACCACATATCCAAGAAAGGACTCACATCCAGAATATATAATGGATATGTATAGTACTCTCAAAACTCAATGGTATGCTGAGTGTGGTGGCTCACGCTTGTAATCCCAGCACTTTGAGAGGTCGAGGTGGATGGAGGGCAGATCCCTTGAGGCCTGGAGTTCAAGACCAGTCTGGGCAACATGGCAAAAGCCCATCTCTACTAAAAATACAAAAATTAGACAGGCATGATGATGCGTGCCCGTAATCCCAGCTACTCAGGAGGCTGAGACATGAGAATCGCTAGAACCTGGGAGGCAGAAATTGGAGTGAACCAAGATCGTGCCACTGCACTGCAGTCTGGGTAACAGAGTGAGACTCTGTCTCAATAATAATAATAATAATAATAGTAATAATAATAATAAACCTCAATGGTAAAAAATACAAACAAATAATCCAATTAGAAAATCATGAAAAGATGTGAACATATACTTCACTGAAGAGGAAATAAGCAAATAGGCACATGAAAAGATGTTCAACCCTCATTTCCTTCACTAGATGCAAGTTAAGACCATGGTGAGGTATCACTACACACTTATTACAATAGATGAAATAAAGCACATAGTGACAACACCAAATGGTGACGAGGATGCAGAGAAACTGGACACCTCATTAAGTGCTGTTGGGAAGGTAAAATCTTACAGCCACTCTGGAAAGCAGTTTGGTAGTTTCTGACAAAACTAAACATGCAATGACCATACATTTCAACAATTACACTTCAGAGAAGTTAAAATGTATGCCTATCCAGAAACTTGTACATAATTGTTCATAGCAGCTTTATTTGTAATAGCCAGTAGCTGGAAATAATCAATATGTCCTACAATAAGTGAATGGTCAAACTGTGGAACATCCATCCTATGGAATACTACTCAGTAATAAAAATGAACTATTGGCCAGGCACAGTGGCTTACCTTGTTATCGCAGCACTTTGGGAGGTTGAGGCAGGCAGATCATGATGTCAAGAGTTCAAGACCAGCCTTGCCAATATGTTGAAACCCCGTCTCTATGACTAATACAAAAATTACCAGGGTGTGGTGGCATGCACGTGTAGTCACAGCTACTCAGGAGGCTGAGGTAGGAAAATCACTTGAACCAGGGAGGCGGACGTTGCAGTGAGCCAAGATCATTCCACTGCACTGCAGCCTGAGTGACAGAGTGAGACTCTGTCTCAACAACAACAGCAACAATGAACTATTGATACACAGATATTAATAGTTTGGATGAATCTCCAGGGAATTATGCTGAGTGGAATAAGCCCTTAAAACGTGATATACTATAAGATTTCATTTGTACAGCATTCTAGAAAAGACAAAATTGTAGAAGTGGAAAACAGATTAGTGGTTGCCAGGGGTTAGGAATGGTGGGTGGGAGGAGAGTGAGTATTACTAAAAATGAGTAGCACAAGGAATAGCATTGTGGTGATGGAAGTGTTGTGTACCTTTTTTTTTTCCAAAGGGATTCTCACTCTGTGATCTAGGCTTGAGTGCAGTGGCATGATCTTGGCTCACTGCAACATCTGCCTCTTGGGTTCAAGGGGTTCTCCTGTCTCAGTCTCCCATGTAGCTAGGACTACAGGCACCCACCACCTCACCTAGCTAATTTTTGTATTTTTAGTAGAGATGGGGTTTCTCTGTGTTGGCCAGGCTGGTCTCAAACTCCTGACCTCAAGTAATCTGCCCACCTTGCCTCCCAAAATCCTGGAATTACACGCATGAACCACTGCACCTCGCCATGTTCTGCACATCAAAACACTTTCACTGAATATAGATGCCATTACATTCTCTTACTTATGTTACAAAGCAAAAGGCAGCTTCATAAACACTATTCTATTATGTATCAACTGAAAAAAAAATATATTCCAGAAAAAGGTTTTGAAGACACATGGGAGTGGAATGTGCCCACATTAAGAGCAGAGCTTTTACAGGACCACCTGTCTCTAGTCGGCTCCCAGGGACCACTGAAAATGGCTGCTACACTCAGAACGACAAGATGGTCTTGTTATTGATTTCACTGGACTCTCGAATCTCATCCTCCTTGACCACTAGCAGAGGCAAAAACTGATGATGTCACCATGGATTGGCTGGGCCAGAAATCCATAATCTCGAAGTTGTAGATACACCTTCCAAGCATCACAGTCTTTGTTGTCTTGAATAACAATAGCATTTAATAATTCTTTTCCTCCTAGGGAGAGTGGCTCACGCCTGTAACCCCAACATTTTGGGAGGCCGAGGCAGGTGCATCACCTGAGGTCAGGAGATCAATACCAGCTTGGCCAACAAGGCGAAACCCCATCTCTACTAAAAATACAAAAATTAGCCGGGCATAGGGGCACATCCCTGTAATCCCAGCTACTCAGGAGGCTGAGGCAGGAGAATCCCTTTAACCCAGGAGGCAGAGGTTGCAGTGAGCCAAAATCGTGGCATTGCACTCCAGCCTGGGCAACCGGAGTGAATCTCTGACTCAATAAAATAACTAAATGAATAAATAAAACAATCATTTTCCTCTTACGGCAGTCACAACATCAGAAGGTAGCTTCATGGGTTCATTTCTCAAGAGAATACCCATTTTTTTTCTGCATTTTCAGCAAGGTTTTCTTCTTCTAAAACCTCAAGGGCTGCGATGGTCACTCAGCAGCCTAGTGGATTGCCACCGTATGTGGACCCACGTTCCCCTGGCTTAATGGTCAGCATTATGTCATTGTCTCACAGCACCACTGACACAGAGTATCAGCCCCTAGAAAGGGCCTTTCCAAGGAGGACTATATCAGGTCTGACATTTTCATGATCAACAGCCAGCCCTCTACCAGTTCTGGCCAATCCTATCTGTATTTCATCAGCAATGAACAGAACCAAGCTGGGAGCATGAGATGGGATGAGGGTAAGTAAAAATACCACAAAGCTTACTACTATTCTTATGGAGATTCAGCTGGTCTTTCTTTCTTTCTTATGTATTTATTTATCTATTTATTTGACAATCTTGCACTGTCGCCCAAGCTGGAGTGCAGTGGTGTGATGTTGGCTCAATGCAACCTCTGCTTCCCAGGTTCAAGTCATTGAGTGAGCCCAGGAGGTCAAGACCAGCCTGGAAACATAGCAAAAGGCAGGGTGGTGCATGCCTGTAGTCCCTAAGCTGAGGCGGGAGTATCGCTTGAGCCCAAGAGGGCGAGACCAACTTGGTCAACATAGCAAAACCCTCTCCACTAAAAAAAACAAAAATAAAAATATTAGTAGGGGCTGGGTGGTGCATGCCTGTACTGTAGTCCCAAGATCGAGGCGGGAGGATTGGCCAATGTGCTGGGATTACTGGCGTGAACCACTGCTCCTGGCTGATTGCTGCATCTTGAAATACCCCATATTTCAGCACGCCCTCACCCAATACAATTACATAGTCATGTCCTTGCCTCCCCAACAAGGGTCTGTACATCTTTCAGGGCAAGGCTAGCTCCAGGGAAACTACTAACAAGAGTAGCCAACCCCCTCCTAAAGACTCAAGGCTGCTTTGCCCATAGGAAACCTGTTATCCCCAATCAATACTTCTCCCAGAGATCCCTGGTTTCCTGTTTTCATCTGACTTCTCCCCATGGCCTTACTCAGGAACAGATAAGCCCCGGATGGAGAAATGCAGCACCTGATTCCAGGTGACTGAGTGTGGCCGGCCTTCACTGATTTCTCCCTCCACAAGACCAAAGGTCCTGTGGCTGGAAAGTCTCATTCTGTTTCTCTTGCAGGTCAGACTAGTCCCGGTGCCATGAACGGAGACAACGACTGTGCAAAGAGAGCTAGGGATGATGCTCAAATACCAGAGAAGATACAAAAGCTGAGGTGACCTGGAGGGGGCATAGTAGTGGCCCAGGGGACAGTGTGGGGTGACCTGGTTTCTGAGGAGGGGAGGACAGAGACACTGGAGACAAGGAGCAGGGTCTCGGGGGAGATCTGGATCCTTGGGAACTTCCCACCCTCGCTCTGTCATCACCTAGCATCTCTGGAGACAAGTCTATGACTGTGCACTTCATTTGGTGAATCTCAGTCCATTCTGGAAGGTGGGAAGAGAGCCAGCCAGCAGCATTAAAGCCCTACTGTGTGGCAGGGGAGAAGCTAGGGTAGGTGCCCCTTGTTCTGTCAGTTAGCCATGGCATCAACCAGGAAGAATTATCATCCCCAGTTCCCAGATCTAGCACACAGGAAGCGGCTCCAGCTGAATGGCAGACATGCCTAGCTGAGTACTGCCAGAATTCCTTTTTTTTTTCTTCTAGGCCTTCAATGATATTGCCAAATACTTCTCTAAGAAAGAGTGGGAAAGATGAAAGCCTCGGAGAAAATCATCTATGTGTATATGAAGAGAAAGTATGAGGCCATGACTAAACTAGGTAACAGAAAATTCTAGGTACAGACAAGTCTGGGGACACATGAGCATCCCTTTCCCTGCTTTGGCTACTTCTTAGGCTGCAGAAAGTACCCCACATTTTCCTTTTGTGCAGGGAAAAATCGCAAGGCAGCTTCTGGGTGTTCTGCTCTTCTGTATCCTGTCAGGGCTGAGGGCAGGGACTGGCCACAGTGGAGCTCATACCTGGATCCTGCACGTTTCTCTCCATTAGGCCTCTGTTCTGATGAGTCCAACTGTCTCTGTGGCATCCTGGCAACCCCCCACCGACACTACCTTCCTTCTCTTGGCTTTTCTCTCTTTTGAGTCAGACTCTCACCATGTCACCTAGCCTAGAGTGCAGTAGTGCAATCATAGCTTACTGCAGCCTCGAGTTCCTGGCCTCAAACAATCCTCCCACCTCAGTCTCCCAAAGCGCTGGTACTATAGACGTGAGCCACAGTGCCAGGCCTAAGCTTCTCTCTTAGGGAATAAACATTTTGCTTCTTTCTAGGTTTCAAGGTTACCCTCTCACCTTTCATGCATAATAAACGGGCCGCAGATTTCCAGGGGAATGATTTTGATAATGACCGTAACCACAGGAATCAGGGTGAGTAGATGGGAAGGGGCTGGAAAGGGTCTCCTCAAGCCCAGTTGCTTTTCAGCTCAGCTACCTGGGAAAGATCCTCAGGCATTTGTTCCCTCATACACATCAGGGCTGAGTGAAAAAAAATTGCGTGCAGAAAGTTAACTACAGAGGCCATTCATATAAAATTTTAAAACATGCAAAACAAGAATATATATTTTTATGGATAATTAGTAAATGGTAAATATATGCAAACATGAATGTGAATAAAAAGCCATCAAATTAAGGTGACTGGCTGTAAGTGGAGGAGGGAGGGAGAGCAGGGATTGCTGAGTGCTGCACACACAGCTTCAGCTGTGACTTGTCGATAGTGTGTTTTGTTTGCTTTTGTTTTTGAGATGGAGTTTCACTCTTCTCGGCCAGGGTGGAGTGCAATAAGGCAATCTCAGCTCACTCCAACTTTCAACTCCCGGGTTCAAGTGATTCTCCTGCCTCAGCCTCCGGAGTAGCTGGGGTTATGGGTGCCCGCCCCCACACCCAGCTCATTTTTTTATTTTTGGTAGAGACGGGGTTTCACCATGTAGGCCAGGCTGGTCTCAAACTTCCTGACCTCAGGTGATCCACCCGCTTCAGCCTCCCAAAGTGCTGGGATTACAAGTATGAGCTACCACGCTCAGCCTGTTTGCAGTATTTCTAATATTCTGAATGAAAAAATGAGACCTAACACAGCTGTGGGGTAATGTTGAGATCTGACTGGACTCAATATTATTCCCCATACTTTTCTGTGTGTTTGAAATATTTCTTTTTAAAGGACATGTTGCTCTTCCTAAGCACTGTTAATGAATCAAAAGACAGTTAAGAAATGTGAAAAGTGACAAAAAAAGAAAGAAACTGTTAAAACTATGGATCCGCCAAAAACTTCCAGAGTTTGTTTCATTAACAGCATGTAGGTATTGGATAAGTATCTTAGGAGTGAGGGTGATGAACACATTATGTAATAAGCATCGCTGTTTCTCTGTATTTTATCAAAACCAAATAGTCTTCTCATTCCCAAAGAACCCTGATTCTCTGTGATGAGCTCGGGAGTGAGTCTGAAAGAGTGATCCCTCATCCAACACAGAGAGAGCTTTCCCACTTGTCAGTGAGCAGAGATAACATGGAGTGAAAAAAAGACACGTTCTTCGGTAGAGATCTTTGTACATTTCAGGAATAAAAAGGGGACATATGTGTTTACTGGCTCTTCTGCTCTGACAACACAATTACAAGACAAGGTCAAACTGTCCAAACTGTCTCCAATAGACCTATTACTCCCCAACTAAACAGGCCAGATTCTACCATCTCCCACAATCACTATAAGAGATCTGAAAATCCAGTGCTTGAGTATCTGCCAAGTTTTTGACATTAAAGGAGTGTCTTCATACCGAAAATATTTCAGAGCCACTGGACTAAATCATCCATGGTTCATCACACATTTAACAGCTTAATTCACATACCACAGTATTCACCCATTTACCACAGTATTCATCCATACCACAGTATTCACCCATTTGAAAATCACCCAATGATTTTCAGTTGTTGCCCATCTTGAGTGGATACAGTTCAGATTCCTAACCAATCAATTTAATTATTTGGGAAAAAGTAAAAGATATTTAATGGAATAAGATGAGACTGTGATGGGGTTTAGTCCCCATTTGATAAACTATGAGATGGAAACCATGACTAAACATAATTCAGAAGCGAATCTCCAATAACTTCTCAATAATGAGTGGACTCATAACCCTCTGCTGCAGAATACCCTGATGCGACAGAAGTCTCTCTAGAGTTTGGAAATCTTTACCAACAAAGAAAAATTCTGATGTATTCTCTTTCAGTTGAATGTCCTCAGATGACTTTCAGCAGGCTCCAGAGAATCTTCCCGAAGGTGAGTATCTCTCAAATCTAATGGACCAGAGAACCTTTGTCCCTTCATGGATGTGAACACTGGTAAGAGTGGGAGAATATCAAAAATGCCCTCATTGCCTCCTTCTCCCCATATCTATCACAAAACCTGGTGTAGCACCAACGGTTTGATAATACTAACAGTTGTGATCCTTATTACTTCTTTTGTCTTCATAGTGATGCCAGATACTATTTTAAGCAGTTCACATGGATGAATTTATTTAATCCCTAAGAAGACCTCTGTGACGTTGTGTCTGTTATTATCTCCAAATAATAACGAGTCACACAGTTGAGTTTTCATCCATATAAAAGTCATGTGACTTGGTGCAAATCTTCTAAGTTCTCTGAGCTCCAGATTCCTGGTCCATGAAATGGAAGTAAAGAATCACAGTTCATGTTTTAGATCATAGCTATCAGCAACATAATAATAAAATGAGGCTATCGGGGTACAGAGATGTTAAAGAATTTTCCTGAGGCGCAGTGGCAGTGGTAGTCTAATCCAGAGCTCCAAGCCATTTAAAGTTCATTCACGTTTGCATTTGTTATGAAGTTCAGATGTTGCTCACTAGGGCTTTACCCCATAGGGCCTGCTGGTGCTTCCATTGAGACATCCACTCTCACAACAGGAAGGACCAGCTGGCCTCAGCTCTGTTACTGGGGCCACTGGCATGGCTTAAGAATCGCTTTGACTGTTGGCCCCTCCCTACTGTGAGCTCCTTGAGGGCTTTGCCTGCAGCTGGGACATCCGGGAATCCCCCGTCCCAGCCCAGGGGATACCTCGGAGGCCCCTGAATGAGTGACCCCACAACTGCAGATTCAACTCTTGTTTAGAGGGTAAAGGGATCTAGGAGTTGGGTTACCAGTATGGAGACCGAATTCAAAGAAGGATTCAGAAAGGTATTAATTGTTATTATTACTACATTTAAACCGTGTTTACAAGCTCAGAGAGGACTTTCCCTTAGCCTATTTTACATGTATTGTTCACTATTTCATAAGTGAGGGAGCTGAATAAAAAGTAGCTTAATGACCGGGTGCAGTGGCTCACGACTGTAATCCCAGCAATTTCGGAGGCCGAGGCGGGCAGTTCACGAGGTCAAGAGATCAAAACCAACCTGTCCAACATGGTGAAACCTCATCTCTACTAAAAATACAAAACTTAGTGGGGCGTGATAGCACCTGCCTGTAGTCCCAGACACTAGGGAGGCTGAGGCAGGAGAATCGCTTGAACGCGGGAGTTGCATGTTTCAGTGAGCTGAGATTGCGCCAGTGCACTCCAGCCTGGCGACAGAGCAAGACTGCGTCAAAAAAAAAAAAAAATAGCTTTGTCAGTGACACATCCCAAAGCAACCAGAATTGTTATGGGAACCACCTCACTTAATTCCACATTCAATGTTGGTGCCTCGGTAGGGTGGTATGCCATATGTGATACTGCTTTGTTTGCTGCCTAGATTAATTTCAGCAAACCATTTCTTTCCCTCTCCCTTCCCTGTATTAATCTCCCCACACCATCTTTCCCAGCAGTGTTTTGTCCCCTCTCTATGTCTTTACATTTACTCTCCCAGCAGCTGTCTACAAGCTTATATGGGATCCCTTGTATTTTATAGAACCTCTTCCCCTTGTAGAACTTGTGAATTCTTAGAATGCTATTTTTCTCCAAATCTCCTGTATAACAAACTCTCAACTACATGGAGATTTTTGCTGTTTGCAAGAATGTCAGTCTTAAAAGAGTGTGAAGATAAGCATTCTAGCCCTGGAAACCCCATTCATTTGGGCCGTTCCTTTCCCTTCTGACCTCCCAGGTTTCTCCTAATTTAGGCAAGTGTAACTCTCCCAGCGTTATTGAGAACATTGATTAAGGTAATGCATGTGAAGACACTTTGTAAGCTCTGAAACACTATAGAAATGTCACTGATACTGTTTATCTGTGACCTTCACATTATAATGATCATGCCCAAGAAGACAGCAGAGGAAGGAAATGATTCGAAGGGAGTGCCAGAAGCATCTGGCCCACAAAACGATGGGAAACAGCTGCGCCCCCCAAGAAGAGCAAATACTTCTGAGAAGATTCACAAGAGATCTGGTAAGAAGAAAGAATTCGGGAACAACCCCTCTGGCTTTTCTGGCTATTTTCAGGTGTGTGGACTGGGTGTGTGGCATTGATCCCAGACAAGCCTGGGTCCAGGCTGGGCAGAGGAGCTTGCCCAGCTCCAGATGAAGCCATGTCTAACGTGACTTCCAGAAACACAGACTGGAGTTGTCATCCATATAAAAAACCACATGATTTGGGGCAAGTCTTCCAAATTTTCTCAGCTCCAGATTCCTAGTCCATAAGATGGAAATAAAGAATCATAGTTCATAAATCGTTTGGAGGTATTAAATTAAATCTAGAAGGTCTGATGATATGGAAGGTGCTCAAGCAATTCTATCGGTGATTACCTGGGATCATTTCTTACTCAGCTCAATGCCTGATACCCAATACGGGTGTACTTCAGAGATATTGCAGGTTCGGTTCCAGACCACTGCAATAAAGAGAGTCACACACATTTTTCTTTTTTGAATTCGTAGTGCGTAAAAACACGTTTACACCATCCTGTAGTCTACTAAGTGTGCAATAGCATTATGTCTAAAAATGTACATAACTTAATTTTAAAATAATTCATTGTTAAAAATGCTAACAATCTTCTGAGCCTTCAGTGAGTCACACTCTTTTTCCTGGTGGAGGGTCTTGTCCCGGTGTTGATGGCTGCTGGTGGATCAAGGTGATGGTTGCTGAAGGCTGGAGTGGCCGTGGCAGTTCTTAAAAGAACACAGTGAAATTTGCCACATCGATTAGCTCTCCCTTTCGTGAAGCATATCTCTGTAGTATGTGGTGCTATTGGACAGCATTTTACCCACAGTAGAACTTCTTTCAAAGTTGGAGTCAATCCTCTCTAGCTATGAAAGTCTTAGATGGCATCTCCTTCCATTAGAAGGCGAGTTTATCCATATTGAAAATCTGTTGCTTACTGTAGCCACCTTCAACAGTGATCTTAGCTAGATCTTCTGGATAACTTGCTGCAGCTTCTCCATCAGGGTTTGCTGCTTCACCTTGCACTTTTATTTTATGGAGACGGCTTCTTTCCTTAAACCTTATGAACCAACCTCTGCTAGCTTCACACGTTTCTTCTGCAGCTTCTTCACCTCTCTCAGCTTTCATGGACTTGAAGAGAGTTTGGGTGTTGCTCTGAATTAGACTTTGGCTTAAGGGAATGTTGTGGCTGGTTTCATCTTCTATCCTGACCACCTAAACTTTCTCTATTTCAGCAGTAAGGCAATTTTGCTTTCTTATTAGTGTGTTCACTGGAGTATTAGTATTATTATTTCCTTCAAGAACTTTCCCTTTGCATTATATACTATTATTTCCTTCAAGAACTATTCCTTTGCATTCACAGCTTGGCTGTTTGGTGCAAGAGGCCTAGCTTTCAGCCTACCTTGGCTTTCAGCATGCTTCCTCACTAAGCTTAGCCATTTCTAGCTTCCGATTTAATGTGAGAGACATGTGACTGTTCGTTTCATTTGAACACTTAGCGGCCATTGTAGGGTTCTTAGTCATCCTAATTTCAGTGTTGCTGTGTGTCAGGAATTAGGAAGGCCCAAGAAAAGGAAGAGAGGCAGGGAAGCGCTCATCGATGGAGCAGTCAGAACACACACAACATTGGTCGATTAAGTTCGTCATCTCCTATGGGCGCAGTTCCTGTTACCCCCAAAACCATGACACACAACTGGGTGATTATAGTCAATAATAACTTAATTGTACATTTAAAAAAAATAAAGAGTGTAAGTGGATTGTTTGTAACACAAGGATAGATGGTTGAGGGTATGGATACCCTGTTTTCCATGATGTGAGTATTACGCATTGCATGCCTGTATCAAAGCATCTCATGTACCCCATAAGAATATACACCTACCATGTACCCACAAAAATAAAAAACCAAGATTTAAAACACTAAAGAACAACAAAACAATTGCAATCACAATATCAAAGCTCACTGATGACAGATCACCATACCAGATATAATAATAATGGAAAAGTGTAAAATTGGTGAGAATTTCAAAAACAAAATTGCGGTATCTGTGAGGCACTATAAAAATGAGGTGCAATAAAACAAGGTATGCCTGTGTGCCCTTAAATACATGCTGAATGAAAGGAGGTATAGGTGAATGTTCCCTTAAGTGAAGAGGTTGGGAATCTAAACCTGACAGCGGAAGGAGCCAGAAGCTAAAACTTTCATTGGCATTTGGCCTGTATTGGTGTGGGTCTAAGCTGTCAGCCTCTGTAAGCCAGCGAATGTGAAAAACTGGATGCAATGTTGCAAAGGTTTCTTAAACGTCAGTGACTGATACAGGGGAATCTGATGAGGGGAGTACATGCTGAACAGGAAACAGAGTGAGCTGGGCTTGACCAGGACACATGGCAATGGAGAAAAGCAGATGTGAGATGCTTATAGTGGTACTTGGTGTGTGTGTGTGTGTGTGTGTGTGTGTGTGGTGTGGTATGTAAATGCAGAGGAAAAAGTCTGAAATTAAACACTCAGAACTGCCCTCAGTAGTCACATCTGGGGAGAGAGGAGGGTAGTACTGTTCTATGCAGAGAATACCTGATAATACCTGTTTTCTAAGGTAGGTGCATGGATACACAAACCGAAATATGCATTAAGTATGCCTTGCTCATCAATGAAAAGGATAATATCTAACAGAACAGCACACTGTAAGAAAATACAATGGAGACGCTAACATCAAACTCTTGGCACACTAAGAAAAATGACGCTCAACTTTTCACTGTTGTGAACACTTGCTTTCACTTGCTATGCACCTGATGACGAGGGGTCCGCAGACATGCCCACGTTCGTGAATGGTGACCATGTTCTGTTTCTCATCATGGGCATGTGTCATATCCCCGAGGCTGAGGCAAGAGGAGATAAGGAAAGTAAGTGGCATGAGTTCCCACTGCCTGATAACTCAATCTCAACTCCTCCTGACCTGCAGACCCGGCACACTCCGATTCTGTCCTACCTCAGGACCTGCACACGCCTTCCATGGTTCCTCGAAGTGAACCATCTGCTCATGTCAAAGTGACTTCCTCGCCTGGGTTATCAATTTCTAGGCTAGAGGAAGGTGTGGCCCGCATATCAGGGCTGACCTGGGGTTTGGGAGCCCACAGCATCCTGGGTAGGGAGGATCCCTTAGATATACAGGACAGGGAGTAGAAAGAGCATGGGAAATCACCCGGGCACGGTGACTCATGCCTGTAAAGCCAGCACTTTGGGAGGCCGAGGTGTGCAGATCACGAAGTCTGGAGCCTGCTGAAAGTCATCTGAGGACGTTCAACTGAAAGAGAATACATCAGAATTTTTCTTTGTTGGTAAAGATTTCCAAACTCTAGAGAGACTTCTATTGCATGAGGGCATTCTGCAGCAGAGGGTTATGAGTCCACTCATTGTTGAGGAGTTATTGGAGATTCGCTTCTGAATTATGTTTAGTCATGGTTGGTTCATTTATCGGTGGCATCAATTCAGAATTTTCCATCTCATGGTTCATCACATTGGACTAAACCCCATCACAGTCTCATCTTATTCCATTACATATGTTTTACTTTTACCCAAATAATTAAATTGATTGGTTGGGAATCTGAACTATATTCACTCAAATGTACAACAACTAAAAATCATTGTACACTTAAAATGGGTGAATACTGTGGTATGTGAATTAAGCTGTTAAATGTGTGATGAACCATGGATGATTTAGTCCAGTGGCTCTGAAATATTTTCAGTATAAAGACACTCCTTTATTGTCAAAAACTTGGCAGATATTCAAGCACTGGATTTTCAGATCTCTTTTATTTTATTTTATTATTATTATACTTTAAGTTTTAGGGTACATGTGCACAATGTGCAGGTTAGTTACATATGTATACACGTGCCATGCTGGTGTGATGCACCCATTAACTCGTCATTTAGCATTAGGTATATCTCCTAAAGCTATCCCTCCCTCTTCCCCCCACCCCACAACAGTCCCCAGAGTGTGATGTTCCCCTTCCTGTGTCCGTGGGTTCTCAATGTTCAATTCCCACCTATGAGTGAGAATATGCGGTGTTTGGTTTTTTGTTCTTGTGATAGTTTACCGAGAATGATGATTTCCAATTTCATCCATGTCCCTACAAAGGACATGAACTCATCATTTTTTATGGCTGCATAGTATTCCATGGTGTATATGTGCCACATTTTCTTAATCCAGTCTATCATTGTTGGACATTTGGGTTGGTTCCAAGTCTTTGCTATTGTGAATAGTGCTGCAATAAACATACTTGTGCATGTGTCTTTATAACAGCATGATTTATAATCCTTTGGGTATATACCCAGTAATGGGATGGGTGGGTCAAATGGTATTTCAAGTTCTAGATCCCTGAGGAATCGCCACACTGACTTCCACAAGGGTTGAACTAGTTTCCAGTCCCACCAACAGTGTAAAAGTGTTCCTATTTCTCCACATCCTCTCCAGCACCTGTTGTTTCCTGACTTTTTAATGATTGCCATTCTAACTGGTGTTAGATGGTATCTCATTGTGGTTTTGATTTGCATTTCTCTGATGGCCAGTGATGGTGAGCATTTTTTCATGTGTTTTTTGGCTGCATAAATGTCTTCTTTTGAGAAGTGTCTGTTCATGTCCTTCACCCATTTTTTGATGGGGTTGTTTGTTTTTTTCTTGTAAATTTGTTTGAGTTCATTGTAGATTCTGGATACTAGCCCTTTGTCAGATGAGTAGGTTGCGAAAATTTTCTCCCATTTTGTAGGTTGCCTGTTCACTCTGATGGTAGTTTCTTTTGCTGTGCAGAAGCTCTTGAGTTTAATTAGATCCCATTTGTCAGTTTTGGCTTTTGTTGCCATTGCTTTTGGTGTTTTAGACATGAAGTCCTTGCCCATGCCTATGTCCTGAATGGTATTGCCTAGGTTTTCTTCTAGGGTTTTTGTGTTTTTAGGTCTAACACGTAAGTCTTTAATCCATCTTGAATTAATTTTTGTATAAGGTGTAAGGAAGGGATCCAGTTTCAGCTTTCTACATATGGCTAGCCAGTTTTCCCAGCACCATTTATTAAATAGGGAATCCTTTCCCCATTTCTTGTTTTTGTCAGTTTGTCAAAGATCAGATAGTTGTAGATATGCGGCGTTATTTCTGAGGGCTCTGTTCTGTTCCATTGATGTATATCTCTGTTTTGGTACCAGTATCATTGATGGGACATATCTCAAAATAATAAGAGCTATCTATGACAAACCCACAGCCAATATCCTACTGAATTGGCAAAAACTAGAAGCATTCCCTTTGAAAACTGGCACAAGACAGGGATGCCCTCTCTCACCACTCCTATTCAATATAGTGTTGGAAGTTCTGGCCAGGGCAATTAGGCAGGAGAAGGAAATAAAGTGTATTCAATTAGGAAAAGAGGAAGTCAAATTGTCCCTGTTTGCAGATGACATGATTGTATATCTAGAAAACCCTATCGTCGCAGCCCAAAATCTCCTTAAGCTGATAAGCAACTTCAGCAAAGTCTCAGGATACAAAATCAATGTGCAAAAATCACAAGCATTCTTATACACCAATAACAGACAAACAGAGAGCCAAATCATGAGTGAACTCCCATTCACAATAGCTTCAAACGGAATAAAATACCTAGGAATCCAACTTACAAGGGACGTGAAGGACCTCTTCAAGGAGAACTACAAACCACTGCTCAGTGAAATAAAAGAGGATACAAACAAATGGAAGAACATTCCATGCTCATGGGTAGGAAGAATCAATATCATGAAAATGGCCATACTGCCCAAGGTAATTTATAGATTCAATGCCATCCCCATCAAGCTACCAATGACTTTCTTCACAGAATTGGAAAAAACTACTTTAAAGTTCATATGGAACCAAAAAAGAGCCCGTATCGCCAAGTCAATCCTAAGCCAAAAGAACAAAGCTGGAGGCATCACGCTACCTGATTTCAGATCTCTTATAGTGATTGTGGGAGTTGAAAGAATCTGGCCTGTTTAGTTGGGGAGTTATCGGTCTATTGGAGACGGTTTGGACATTCTGACCTTGTCGTATATTTGTGTTGTCAGAGCAGAAGAGCCAGTAAACACATATGTCCCCTTTATATTCCTGAAATGTACAAAGATGTCTAGCCAAGAACCTTTCTTTTTTTCACCCCATGTTATCTCTGCTCACTGACAAGTGGGAAAGCTCTCTCTGTGTTGGATGAGGGATCACTCTTTCAAACTCTCTTCCAAGCTCATCACGGAGAATTGGGGTTGTTTGGGAATGAGAAGAGTATTTGGTTTTGATAAGATACAGAAAAACAGCGATCTTTATTACATAATGTGTTCATCACCCTCACTCCTAAGATACCTATCCAATACCTACTTGCTGTTAATGAAACAACCTCTTGAAGTTTTTGGCGGATCCACAGTTTTAACAGTTTCTTTCTTTTTTTGTCACTTTTAACATTTTCTTAACTGTCCTTTGATTCATTAACAGTGCTTAGGAAGAACAACATGTCCTTTAAAAAGAAATATTTCAAACAGAAAAGTATGGGGAATAATATTGAGTCTGGTCGGATCTCAACATTACCCCCAGCTATGTTAGGTCTGATTTATTTATTCAGAATATTAGAAATACTGCAAACAGGCTGAGCGTGGTAGCTCATACTTGTAATCCCAGCACTTTGGGAGGCTGAGGCGGGTGGATCACCTGAGGTCAGGAAGTTTGAGACCAGCCTGGCCTACATGGTGAAACCCCGTCTCTACCAAACATTAAAAAATGAGCTGGGTGTGGGGGCGGGCACCTGTAACCCCAGCTACTCTGGAGGCTGAGACAGGAGAATCACTTGAACCCAGGAGGTGAAAGTCAGAGTGAGCTGAGATTGCCTTATTGCACTCCAGCCTGGGCAACAAGAGTGAAACTCCATCTCAAAAACAAAAGCAAACAAAACACACTATCGACAAGTCACAGCTGAAGCTGTGTGTGCAGCACTCAGCAATCCCTGCTCTCCCTCCCTCCTCCACTTACAGCCAGTCACCTTAATTTGATGGCTTTTTATTCACATTCATGTTTGTATACATTTACCATTTACTTATTATCCATAAAAATATATATTCTTGTTTTGCATGTTTTAAAATTTTATATGAATGGCCTCTGTAGTTAACTTTCTGCATGCAATTTTTTTTTCACTCAGCCCTGATGTGTATGAGGGAACAAATGCCTGAGGCTCTTTCCCAGGTAGCTGAGCTGAAAAGCAGTTGGGCTTGAGGAGACCCTTTCCAGCCCCTTCCCATCTACTCACCCTGATTCCCGCAGTTATGGTCATTATCAAAATCATTCCCCTGGCAGTCTGCGGCCCCTTTGTCATCCATGAAAGTTGGGATGGTAGCCGTGAAACCTAGTAAGAAGCAAAATATTTATTCCTTAAGAGACACGCTTAGGCCTGCCATGGTGGCTCATGTCTGTAGTACCAGCACTTTGGGAGGCTAAGGCTGGAGGATTGCTTGAGGCCATGAATTCAAGGCTGTAGTGAGCTATGATTGCACTACTGTACTCTATCCTAGGTGACAGAGTGAGACTCAGACTCAAAAAAAAAAAAAAAAGACAGAGAGAGAGAGAGAGAGACAAGCCGAGAGAAGGAAGGTAGGGTGGGTGTGTTGGGGGCGGTGGCGGGGTGGGGGAGGCCTGGGATGCCACAGAGACAGTTGGGCTCATCACAACAGACTCCTAAGGGAGAGAAACGTGCAGGATCCAGGTATGAGCTCCACTGTGGCCAGTCCCTGCCCTCAGCCCTGACAGAATACAGAAGAGCAGAGCACCCAGAAGCTGCCTTGCGATTTTTCCCTGCACAAAAGGAAAATGTGGGGTACTTTCTGCAGCCTAAGAAGTAGCCAAAGCAGGAAAAGGGATGCTCATGTGTCCCCAGACTTGTCTGTACCTAGAACTTTCAGTTACCCTGTTTAGTCATGGCCTCATACTTTCTCTTCATATACACATGGATGATTTTCTCTGAGGCTTTCATCTTTTCCCATTCTTTCTCAGAGAAGTATTTGGCAGTATCATTGAAGGCCTAGGAAAAGATAAAAAGGGAATTCTGGCAGTACTCAGCTAGGCATCTCTGCCATTCAGCTGGAGCCGCTTCCTGTGTGCTGGATCTGGGAAGTGGGAATGATAATCTGTCCTGGTTGATGCCATGGCTAACTGACAGAAAATGAGGGACTTTCCCTAGCTTCTTCCCTGCCACACAGTAGGGCTTTAATGCTGCTGGCTGGCTCTCTTCCCACCTTCCAGAATGGACTGAGAGTCACCAAAGATGCAAATCAATTTTTTAGACTGAACGGGGAACCCTAGAGGGAAAGGTTTCTTTGTGGGATGCCACAATGGAGGCCTTGGCCAGCTCCTGCCTGATGACTGTATGTCCTGCTGGGGGTGCCCTAACAAGGGTAAACTCTTGTTGTCCAGGGGTACCACCTGTGCCCTCTGGGATTGCCTGTGTGCCCTGACTAGCCCATCACTCCCTTATTGCTGGAAGGCATTCACATCAGCTTCAGCTTCCTGGCCGGAGTTGTGCTGAGCCAGAAATGCTGGCTTGGGCTGGATAAAAATGGTTAATACAGAATCTTAGGAAGTCCCCTGCCTTTGTCAGATACACCTTCATCATTAATAGGATTTGTATAAGATGGCTATGATGGGAAATCTGATGTGTCAACTTTGCTAGGTCACAATGCATGAGAAATGTTCACTTTGACCAGGGTAGATGTCTCCGTGGAGGGTTTTCTTTACAAGAGAAGTAGCATTCAAATCAGCAGACTTTGGGTAAACCTCCCCAATGTGGGTGGGCCTCAATCAGTCACTTGAAGGCCTTCAGAGAAGAAGACTGGGGTCCTCCTCAAGATGAAGAAATTCTGCCTCCACCCTGCCCTTGGATTTGAGCTCTCATATCACCTCTGCCCAGGCTCTCCAGCCTGACATCCAGCTCTGTGAGATTTGGACTTGCCATTCACAACAGTTGCATGAGCTAGGTCTTCAAACTCAATCTCTCTCTCTCTCTCTCAATCTCTACACACACACACACACACACACACACACACACACACACACACACACACACACACGGGAACCCTAACCAATAGGCTGCTTACATCTGGGATGCTTAAAGGGCGTAACTGAGATTAGTACTGCAGGTTCGTCTCACTCTGCTGCATGGCATTCTCCTCCCACCCTCTGCAGACTGACCTCCATGGGGCTCATCACTGTGACTCAGGGTTTGGTCACCCAACCATGTACAGATCACTACCATTCCACAAGTGTTCCCTGCTCTCCTTCTGTATGTGAGGTCCTCTGTTCCATCCTGAGGATACAGAGATCTATAGGGTATGTTTCCAGCCTTCAGGAAGGCACTGGGAGCCTGGTGAGGGACATACATATGCAACATCAGTTACAGCAACAGGCATAGCCAGTGTGTTCACCAACTCATGAGAGATCACATTACCAACATCTCCCACTTAAGTTTCCCCATCAGCTAACAGCTTATCCTGGAAATGGTCACGTTCATAGGTAAGTTGCATTCCCCTTTTTCTATTTTCTCCAGGAATGGACGCATACAAAGCAAACTGATACCGGAATGTTGTGTCGGAGTAGAATCCAAGAGTGGAATGCGCTGCAGTGATGTGATTTCTCAAGCAGTCAATAAGTCTTTATAAGTTCCCAGATGAAGCAACATACAGGCCCCCCTCGGTTTAAAGGGAGTGACATGTATGGAAAATCCAGTTTAGTGAAGACTCTGGAAAAAGACGTTTGCTTCCCTGTAACACTCAGTCCCCAAATGCCAGTAGCCCCTGCCAATCATTCCAACAACTGCAGCTGCCCTCAAAAATTTCCAAAATGACCCAAAGTGGGCAAAGATATTGGGGCAATAAACCACAAGTTTATGATTGAAACAAAGTATCCTCAAGCTTCTTATTTACATCAAAAAATAGGAATGTTGGAGTTGGTGCAGAGGAAATAGCAGGGTAGCATGAAGAAGGACACAATTTTCCCCAGGAGGGCTTGCAGGCTCCTTCTTCCTCTATCTTGGTTTCTGTGATTAAAAAAAAAAAAAGTGGTTCAGGGATAGGTGAGGTGGCTCATGCCCCTAACTGCAGCACATTGGGAGGTTGAGGCATAAGTATTGCTTGAATCCAGGAGTTTGAGATCAACCTGGGCAACATAAGGATACCCCACCTCTACAAAAAAATAAAAAAATGGCCAGGGGTGGTGGAACCTGTGTGTTTTCCCAGCTACTTGGGAGGCTGAGATGGAAGGATCACTTGAGCCTGGGAGGTCAAGGCTGCAGTGAGCCATGGTTTCTCCACTGCACTCCAGGCAGAGCAACAGACCCTTTCTGAAACAACAATAACAAGTGGTTTGGGGCCAGCTGGGGTGTGTGGTGAAGCTTATCCTGGAAAAGATCCTGTTGGTAGGTAAGATGGATTCCCTTCATTGTTTCCCTCGGGCATGCAGAGCTACAAAGCAAACTGATACTGGCATGTTGTGTCAGAGTGGGATCCAAGAATGGAATGGCCTGAAGTGATGTGATCTTCCAATGGAGTCAGTAAGTCTTTCATAACTTCCCAGATGAAGCAACATACCAGCCTCCCTCAGTTTACAGTGAAGTGACATGTATGGAAAATCCGGTTTATTGAAGACTCTGGCAAAAGATGTTTGCCTCCCTGCGACACTGAGTCCCCAAATGCCAGTAGCCCCTACCAATCATTCCAACAACCACAGCTGCACTTGGAAATGTCGAAAATATCCCAAAGTAGGCGATGATATTCTGGCTATTAACCACAAGTTTATGATTGAAAAGAAGTATAGTCACACTTCTTATTTACATCAAAAGAATAGAAATATTGTGGTCAGTACAAAGGAAATAACACGGCATTAAGGAGGAGGCCTTAAGGAGGAGGCATTAAGGAGGAGGCATTAAGGAGGAGGAGACAAAGTGTCTTTGCACACTGTTGATTGTTTATTTTGCTGTGCAGAAGTTTTTGAGTTTGAGATAATTTTATTTGTTTACTTTTGTTGTTGTTCCCTGTGCTTTTAGAATCATATCCCAAAAAAATCATTGCCCAGACCAATGTCATGGAGCTTCTTCCCTATGTTTTCTTCTAGTAATTTCATAGATTCGGGTCTTACATTATAAGGTTTTAATTTACTTTAAGTTGACTTTTTTATATGGTGAGAGATGAGGGTTGAATTTCATTCCTCTGCATGTGGATATACCATTTTGCCATTACCATTTATTGAAGGCTGTCCGTCCCTCACTGTGTGTGCTTGACACCTTTGTCAAATTCATTTGATTATAAGTGCATGGATTTATTTCTGGGCTCTGCATTTTTTTCCCTCGGTCTATGTGTTTATTTGGGGGATGCCATTGTACTTTAGTTGTCTTTCTGGATTTACATTACTCTATTTTGTTGTACTTGCTTCTCTCTGTCAGTTTTCATGTATTCCTTGGCTTATCTCTTTATTCTTTCCTTTGGAGAATTGATTAAACATTATAGGTTTATGTTACGTGATGAACATAGATGCAAAAATCCTCAATAAAATACTAGGAAACTGAATCCAACAGCATATCAAAAAAACAATCCACTATGATCAAGTGGGTTTCATACCGGGAATGCAGGGATGGTTTAACATACGTAAGTCAATAAATGTGATACACCACATAAACAGAATTAGAAACAAAAGTCACATGATCATCTCAACAGATGCAGAAAGTGCATTTGACAAAATCCGGCATCGCTTTATGATTAAATCCCTCAGCAAAATCGGCATAGAAGGCACATACCTTAAGGATGTATTCTTCCTTCCCTTTGGCCACTACATTCATTGTTTTTTATTCCCATGGCTCCCTTCCCTGTGTTTCTCCTTTGCACTTCAGCTGCTCTTCTGTTTAAGGATCTCTCCACCCCACCACAGTGTGATAGCCCCCACGGAAAGTACCACGTGTTGTTGGTTGGTCTTCCAATTTCCAGCACCCCAGATATTTCCTGTAACATGGCAGGCCATCAGTGCATGTCTACTGAATTGAATAATCTATCTTCTGTAATGATCCTAACAGAAAAGCATCGCCTCTGTTTAGGAGACATTATTGTAGATGATATGTTTCCAGGCACCTTACATATGATCCTTGATTTTGTGCTGGACACTCTAGGGTAATGCATCTGCCACGGTGCCCTGGAGCTCTAACAGGTCACCACATAGGGCACATATGCAAAACTAGATTCCAGTCTAACCTGAGTCTTGGCAGAATACATTGAATGCCCTTGGAGCAAGGGGAGATAGGAAGCATGGTGGGGGAACTGCTACAGGTTATTTCTCACCAGTTCCCTATCTGGTTGGAGGCTGAAACAAGGCCATTCTTCATCCATCTCCCTAGTTTCAGGTAAGCACAGACCTTTCCTCATCTTAGGGTACAGTTATGGAGTATAAAAGTGCCCACTGCCTTAAGGTACGGCTGTGGGCTCCTCACAGGTGGAGAGACCAACCATCTTTGCTGTCACTGAGAACCCCCAATTCACTGTCATTCTATGGGACTAGGAACATGGTGCCAAAGCAATGCTGATCTTGCTTTTGCTGTGTCTGCAAGCAATCAACCACTTGGATCCATTTGGGCTCATGATCTCCTTATTGGCCAAATCTATGAATATGTGACAAGGTAAACTAATAACTGCAGTGGTGATCCTTGTGGCCCTGTTAGCCACGACAGGGCTGCTTACGGATGGCTTGAGCACTTGACACACTACTGTATTGAGTTGTGTGGTGCTGAATGGCCAGAATATTGACTTATTCTTCTTGGCATCACACATAGCAAACAGGTTTTCGGTACATAGTACTGACTTGGGGTTGGCTTTATCACACCTCGGTTATTTTCCAATCAACTTCAGAATCAATAACATGTCTGACACCAGCTACACTGCTATTTCACTAATACGTTTATTTAAATCAAATAATTTTCTGAAGTCAAATGCAGATTAAAAGTAACTTGACATTCCAAATTGAAATTCAAAAGCACTTATCACATACTAGAGATGCAGTTATAAGGAAAAATGAAATGAAAATGTTTGAAATCTAAAGGGAAAAAGGAAATCTAAGTAGTAATCCAAATTTATCTGCAATGTAATGCCTACTTGGTATGTTATTTCCTTCATTCTTCATAGCAAGTATTTAGTGTAAATATTGTAATTTCTACTTTGGAAGAAGGGAAACAGTCCCAAAGGATGTAAGCATATTGCCCACCATCTCAAGGCCAGTATGTGAGAGGCAGGATGGAAACCCATGACTATTTCATGCCATAACCTGTAAAGAGAGAGTGTAGGTAGGACCCAAGTCATCTTGCTTCAGCAAGTTGCCCTGGTTGCTTGCCCCTTTCTTCTACCTAGGCCCTAATTCTTTCATCCAGTTCTGTAGCTTAGGGACTTCTTACATGTTTTGTGGCAAATGGGATACCCTAAGAAAGGAAGCAGATAAGGAGACACATAGGGTGAGGTCTGGGGAAAGGGGCAGGGAGCTTCCATGCCCTCTACAGGTATGCTTCCTTCCATGTGTTCATCTAGGCTGGAGCCTCTCTGAATCCTGTCCTTTTGGGTTTTCATGGAGGTTTTCATTTTGTAGGCGTGATTGATTAAACCGTTGGCCCGCCACAGGTGGTCAACTTAACCTTCAGCCCCTCTCCCTTCCCTGATGTTTGGGGGTGAGGCTGAAAGTCCCAACCCTCTTATTCCCCAGCCTAGAGCTACTTAGGTGCTGCCAGCCATCAGTCAACTCACTAGCATACAAAAAGACACCACTTCGTAGAGATCCTAAAAATTGTAGGAGTTCTATACCAGGAAGCATGGTCTAGGACCAAATATGTATTTCATAATATCATAACTGTGCATACCAGCTGAGTCAGAATACAAAATTTCGAAAATTATACTAAATTTTTTAAAAAATGGAGTCTATAGTTAAAAAAAAATTAAGCTTGTAACTGGATTTTCCAAACATGTCACTCCCTGTAAACTGAGGAATGCTTGTATGTTGCTTCATCTGGGAACTTATAAAGACTTATTGACTGCTTCAGAAATCATACCACTACAGGGCATTCCATTCTTGCATTCCAATTTGACACAACATTTCAGTATCAGTTTGCTTTGAATCTGTGGATTCCTGTGGAAAACAGAATAAGGGGAGTCTAACTTAGCTACCAAAACTATCGTTTCCAAGATAAGCTGTTAGTTGATGGGGAAAATCAAGTGGGCGATGTTGGTAGTGTGATCTCTCGTGATTTGGTGAACACACCGGTTATGCCCATTGCTGTTACTGCACTGAAGTTCCCTTCGCAGGTGTATCTCCCTCACCAGGCTCCCAGGTCCTTCCTGGAAGTTTGGAAACATACCCAGTAGATCTGTGTGTCCTCAGGATAGAACAGAAGAACTCACAGGCAGAAGGAGGGCAGGGAACACCTGTGGAATTGTAGTGATCTCTACATGGTTGGATAACCAAACCCAGACTCACAGTGATAAGCCATTTGGATGTCAGTCTGCAGAGGATGTGAGGGGAATGCCACAGGCCTCTGCCTTAGGAGCCATGCAGCAGAGTGAGACCAACCTGCAGTAGTGATCTCAGTTATGCCCCTTAAGGGTCCCAGATGTAAGCAGCCTATTGGTTAGAGTTACTCTGTGTTCATGTGAGTGTGTGTGTGTGTGTTTGCATGCGTGTAGAGAGACAGACAGAGAGAGAGACATTGATTTTGAGGAGAGACATTGATTTTGAGGTACTGGGTCATGCAACTATGTGGGCTGGCAAGTCCAAATCTTGCAGAGCAGGATGTCAGGCTGCAGACCTGGGGAAGAGCTGATATGAGAGCTCAAATCCAAGAGCAGTGTGGAGGCAGAAATTCTTCATCTTGAAAGGACCCCAGTCTTTTTCTCTGAAGGCCTTCAAGTGACTGGATGAGGCCCACCGACATTATAGAGGGCAATTAGGTATACCCAAAGTCTGCCAATGTACATGTTAGTTCTTATGTGGAGAAAACTTTTCACAGAGACATCTACCATGGTCAAAGTGAACATTTTTTGTGCTTTATGGCATAACACAGTTGACACATCAGATTTCCCATAATAGCCGTCTTATACAAATCCTATTAATGATGAAGGTCTATCTTAGAAAGGCAGGGGACCTCCTTCCTAAGATTCTGTGTTAACCATTTTTGTCCAGCGTGAGCCACCATTTCAGGCTCAGCACAACTCTGGCCAGGAAGATGAAGCTGATGTGAATGCCTTCCAGGGATAAGGCAGTGATGGATAGTGAGTGCACACACGTAAAAACAATCCCAGAGGGCATAGGTGGTACTCCTGGGCACCAAGAATCTACTCTTGTTAGGGCACCCCCAGCAGGTCATACATTCATCAGGCAGGAGCTGGCCAAGGCCTCCAGTGTGGCCTCCCACTGAGGGACCTTTCCCTTTAGGGTTCCTCTTCCAGTCCAAACAATTCATTTGGGTCTTTGATTTAGGCAAACTGTTAGAAGGCAGTAAGTTCAGGGTACTCATTGACACCAGTTTCTCCTCTTCACAAGCGTGGATGACATCACTAAGTGTTCTGTGTGGGATGTTTGGGAGCTGGGTCACCCCTGCTGTCCCATAGTCGCAGTTCTGTCAGGGGTGATCTTGGGTTCAGGATTCAGTGTGGTTTCCAATTTGGCCTTAGGGTATGACTGTGGGCTACTCCCAGGCAGAGAGACCCAACATCTATGCTATCACTGAGTATCTCTGATTCAGTGTGGTATTGCGGGGCTAGGGACACAGTGCTGAGACAGTGTCGATCTGCATTAGCTGCGTCTGCAAGTGTTCAACCACTTGGATCAATTTGAGTTCATTGTCTTTTTACCCAGCAAATCTATGAATATATGACAAGCCAAAAGCAACTGCACTGGTGATCCTTGTGGCCCCATTAGCCACCACAGGGCTGCTTAGGGACTGCTTGAGCAACTGACACACTATTGTTTTGAGTTATGTGGTGTTACCTGACCAGAATATTGACTTATTCTTCATGGCATCACACACAACAAAGAAATTTTTTGGCCCAAACTGCTGCCATAGGGTTGGCCTTGTCACACCTCAGTTATTTACAAATCAGCTTCAGAATCAATGTCATGTCTGATACCAGCTACATTGCTATTTTATTTACATATTTAAATAAAATATGCTTGTGAAGTCAAATGCATTTAAGAAGGTAGATTGATATTCCTACTTGAAATTCCAAAGCATCGGTAACATACTAGAGATGTAATTATAATGCAAAATGAAAGAACATTATTTAAAATTTTAAAGGGATTAAGGAAATATAACTAATAAATTTATGTGCTATGTAATACCTGCTTCCTATGTTATTTCATTTATTCTTCATAGCAACTGTTTAGTGTAAATATTGTAATTTCAACTTCAGAAATGGGTAAACAGTCCCACAGGATGTGTCTTGCCCACCATGTCAAGGCCAGTGTGTGAGAAGCAGGATAGAAACCCATGGCTATCATAACTTATAAGAGACAGTGTAGGTAGGACCGAAGTAATTTTGCTTCAGGAAGTTGCCCTAGTTGCTTTCCCCTTTCTTCTACCTAGGCCCTAATTCTTTCATCCAGCTATATGGCCTAGGGAATGCTCACATATTTTGTGGCAAATAGGATACCCTAACAAAGGGTGCATATAAAGACCTACATAGGGGAAGGAATGAAGGAAGGGGAAGGGAGCTTCCATGCCCTCTATGGGCATGCTACCCTCCATGTGTTCAGCTAGCCTAAAGCTCTCTGAACCCTATACTTTGGGTTTTGACGGAGGTTTTCATTATATAGGCATAATTGATTAACCCGTTGGCCAACCATTGGCAATCAACTTAACCTTCAGCCCCTCTCCCTGCCCTGAATGTTGGGGATGGGGCTGAAAGTCCCAATGCTCTAATCCCCCATCCTAGAGCTACCTAGGAACTGCTAGCCTTCAGGCAACTCACTGGCATCACTATGTGGAGATTCTAAATATTGTAGGAGTTGTATATCAGTAAGTGGGGTGTGGGACCAAATATATATTTCACAATACCACACCTGTGGATACCAGATCAATGAGAATGCAAAGTTTGAAAAATTGTACTATTTTTTATTCAAACAGAGTCTCAGTCACCCAGGCTGGAGTTGTAGTGGCATGAACGTGACTACCTGCATCCTCGACCTGCTGGGCTCCAGGGATCCTCCCACCTCAGCCTCCAGAGTAGCTGGGACTACAGCTACATCCATACATGAATACATTCATGCATTCATTCATTTATTTTTGCAGAGAGGGTATTTTCCCATGTTGCCCAGGCACATCTCAGTCTCCCAAGCTCAAGCAATCCTGCTGCCTCAGCTTCCCAAAGGGCTGGGATTACAGGTGTGAGCCACTGCACCCAGCCACAATTTTCATTAGCGTCTAATATGTGAGAATAAATGAACAAAAGATGTGCAAGACTTCTTTGGAGAAAGCTGTGAAGCTTTATTGAGATTTTTTTAAAGCCAAATATCTCAGAAAAATTCAGCTTGCATTCTTTCAGCTTGTTTTCGTTTAAACCTGTGGTTGCCCTTTACCTGCAACAAAAATATAACAGGAGGGAACATTACTAGCAGAACTGTATTCAGATGAAATGAAAGGTATACAAAGGACACCAAAGTTTTAGTTTTATACAGTGGACTAAAACCAGAAGCCTAAAAGTCACCCTATGGCTAGCATTCAACTAGATCTCTGTAGAGACTTTGAAGATAGACTTCCAAGCATATACATTAGCAACATGTTTTAAACACAACCTGCTTTTGGTGCTAGAAGGAAACCAAAAGACAGTCCGAGGTCAGAATACATTAAATCCAGTGAACCTATTAAAAGAGGTTAAATTAGATAGTAAACATTGTGTAGGGTTTTACTCAAAATAAAACCAGAACACAAAAAACCTAAGAAACAGAAGGAATTTGTGAAAAATGTATAATTTAATGTTTTGGCTTGAAACTATGGTCTGGATATCCAATGGGCTCCTGCAAATAGTCAGAAAACTATGTTTTGAGAAAATAGTTAATGTTACATTAGGAAATACATAAGTGAAATGAATAGAAAGGCCAGTATTGCATTTGTTTTTTCTCTATTATGCAGAAGTGTAAAAATATTGCTTTGGGCTAGTTTACTCTTCTCTCTCTCTCTCTCTCTCTCTCTCTGTGTATGTGTGTGTGTGTGTGTGTGTTTTAACATACAGTAACCATTTGCATCTAGTTTTCACCTGCAGACCTCATGTTAATATGAATAATGATAGTTTTTTCACCAGAAAGTATTCCTCTTTGTATAATTAATTAAATGGTCATACAAGTTTTAAGCTGTCACTGTCATTATTGATATTACACTATGAAAGAGGTACGCATCGTAAACAGTGTGGCAAAAAAAAGAAATGGAGAGGGAAATGAAAAAGGAGAGAAAGACAACTGGGAAAGCTAAATATTTGCTTCTAAAAGTAATTGTTGTGAGGGACAACTGCCAAATTTCACAAGCTCATACAGAGTCTTTGTGATGTTCAGATATTCAGGTATTAAAAGGATAGATTGAATAATGTAGGCATTCCTAGCATGCCAAATATTTCATCCATACTCTGAAAATATTAGTATTCAAGAGTGTATTCACTTTCAATTATGCCCTACACTCAATATCTGTGTCTTGCTCATATTCCGTGCTGTGCTTTATCCATTTTCTTCAAGATTGTGTAAACTACTAGATGCTCTCTTCACAGCTATTTCTCAAAAGAACAATCTATTAAATTTATTAATTTTAGATTAGTTTTCCTTTTGTTAATGATTTGTACCTTTTATTTACTGCCTGCTTCCTTCTTCCTTAAGTTCATTCTGTGACTCTTTTATAATTTTTTTATTTCTTGGTATTATTTTCTTGTATCGTGTAATTTGCTATCTATTTTAATAAGATGTGCATTTAAGGCTATGACTCTCTGAAGAATTCAACTGATGCCTTTTCAATAGGCTCCTGAAAATCATCTGAAAAACTATCTTTTAATATAAATAGTCGAATGGAAGGGTTCTGCAGTGTAGAGTAAAAACATTTAGGTAATTTCTCCCTTGAACATGCAATGCTTCCTTTAAATTCAGAAGTTCTTCTAATTAAGTCAGCAATTTTGAAAATGTGTGTAAAAGAGATTTATGTCTACTACACAGGAATTGGTACATTACAGTCTTTGAACTTTACATCGTATCATCTGATGACTGAAGGCAGAAACCATGGTTAGAGGTGATCCTATCATATGTGTCTTCAATCTAATTACACACAGTAGCTCATGAAGGGACTGGAGGGCAGGGATCATGCTTAGCACAGGCATCTTACACCCACCTTGAGCATCACTGACCTACATGCATGCTCCCTACTTATCGGCCACAGAAACCTGACTGTCTCTTGCCATGTTATTATTCAGTCATTCGAGCCTTCACTGCGGGAAAGATTTAAAATGCAATCATTGTTTAAGAGCCTGAGAATTCAGAATCTGACAAAATCCAAGAACACTCATGAAAGTCTCCATTCACAAAAACAAAGATCAAGCAGAGTCCCCACTCATTTTCTTAGGAGCAATGAAATCTCAACTCAGATATTACAATTGAACTGAAGATGATTGTTACGAAAAACAAATCATGAAAATCAGAGTATCTTTGTTTTCTCTCCAACAGAACCAGAGCATGCAGAAATCAGCATTGAAATGGATTTTAGTCTATCTGATGTGCATTCACTACTTTCAATAAAAGCAAAAATGGGTGTAGGATTTATGTGATTTGTCCAGAATCTCACAAATTATGTTAGAGCTGGTACTAGGATCTCCTTCAGGGATCAGCATATTTCATATAAGATGGCATTACAAATGTATTATGCATTCATGAAAAGCAGAAATTAGAAAATAATATGAAAATTGTTAGCTGTTGGATATACTCAGAAGTAAGAAAATGCTTTCCTATTTGATGATTCAATATGGCTTTGAGCCTGTTTGTTTCTGTATCTGATAGTGTTTCAGTCTTGCAGTCAGGCATGTTGGGTCTGAACTACCTTCCAAGAAAGGTCTGCATTTGAACTCTGTTTAAAGAGGCAGTGATGTTCTCTCTTTTTATTATCAAAAATATAATTTTATGGAAAACAGAAAGCATATAATTCTGAATCTTAATGGATAACATACCTCCTTATGAGATTTTAAATTGCTCTGATTTTGGCAGAATCTTCCCCTGGACATCAGGACCATCTCTGCCTTTACCCCAGTCTTTGACTGAGACAGCTCCTGGAAATCAGCTGCCAGGTCAGGCGCTGAAAAACACAAAGGTTATTAATTAAAGCAGGCAAAGGAGATAACTAAGGAAATGATAATATTCTTTTCCTCAGTGTTACGCAATAAAAGCCTGTAGGCAACTGTGGTTATAAATGTGATGCAAAGATGCCACGCCTTTGTTTTCCTGTATTATGATACCTTATCTTAAATGACAATCTGAGGATAAATCACACCACACCTCTGTTTCCTATACTTTAACCTTGTGTATTATAAACAGTGAGTATCTGCTATCTGGGAATTCTGAAGACTGCCCCATGGAAAGCAATTAAATCATACCTTAAATGTAATTTTCTGAAGAATTAGATCAATGTATTGGTGGCCCTATGACAAATCTTACACTCCTGACACTCCTCCCGTGTTGAGGTACCTTGAAAATGTTGGAGTTAAACTTAATTAAAGCGATGCTTAGGTCCAAAGGCCCTCTATGTGACTTTCCATACATGATTGCCATTAAGAAACAGTACAGAATATAATAGCAAAATCACTGTCTTCCAGTGAGAGTACTGGAACTGAAGTGCAAAGAAATTAATGGGCATTGTTGACTCATATTCTGGAAATCCCTCAACAGTGAATTGCTAAAATAATACATGGCCCAAATTCGGTCTATGTTTAGTTTTAAAATGTTATCCATTGAGGAAATTATTTCTGTTTCATGATAATCTTATCGTACTTTGGGGTTTCTAATTACAAAAGTATTTAAACAACTTTTAAAAGCCCTTTCAAAATCCTACTAATATAGCTACCTGTATGCTAGTGTCCTGAATTAGCCAGCTTTTACCAAACATACTGTCAAAAATACAGAGGAAAACGCAACAGTGGCTTTCATTCACTGAGCTCTTTTCTGGGGTTGCTATCCTGCTTCACTGAACTGTGTTTTGTCCTGAGCCAATATTGAAGTATCTTATAGTACAGAGACATCCGAGTATTAAACATTCGTAAGCAAAATCATTCATATTTTCTAACAACATAGATGGTAGAAAGAATGCAAACCTTGGAACAAAATATGAATTCCTTCTCCATGAGTCAAGTGGTCTTGGAAAACCTCTATCTCCAAGTCTCAGGTTTCTTATTGATAAAATGGGGCTAACATCCCTTTGCAAATGGTCTTTATTCAGGATGTTAAAAGGTAGGGTGACTTGACACTCCACATGTTATTAAAGGGTGCTTACAACACTGTGGACAGCATGGCTGAGGAGGTCACACTGCAACATCCTAAGAAGATCAAATTAAATGAGTGAAATAATGTACATTTTTATACAACCAATTAAACAGTTTCATCTGATTTAGGAAGAACTGTATTTTCAAGCCTACAAAATGCATCTCGAAGAAAAAGAGAAGAATCATCATATCCAGGGACTGCAAGAAGCTGCAAACTATGCCTGTCACGTTTCCAGCCAACTCTCAGCAAATGTTTTAGATCCTTTCCTAATGTTTTCTTTCCTCCTGTTACTGGTCATGGCATAGGGCATGATGCACATACAGGCCTCCTTCCCCCCATAGACATTCTTTCTTTCCCTTCCCACCACCTCGAATCTCAGCTGCACCCTGATCTTCTTCTGTCTTCTGACCAGGTGTACCATTCTGACTTTCAGCTTGTGGTTCCTCTTGTTAAGGCTCTGGCACACTGGGCTCCTGGGACGAGGTGTGTGTGTGTGTGTGTCTGTGTGTGTGCAAAGTTTTATCAATACATGTCAATAATATGAATATACAGATTACATAGGTACTTCTGATCATAAGCATGTCGAAAGACATGCTCCAACACTATCCCCACACTATTCCACATACTTATTCTTCATAAAGTTACTCTTCCCATAGAGAGGTTACTCTAAGGCAGTTATCCTCAATGGCTTTGGAAGCCATTTTAATTTACCTTGGATTGAATGTATGTAATGTGCTATGGATAAGCATGAGGAAGGAATCATCAGCAAAATCCACGCAAAACCAGTACTTAGTCTTCTTGGGTTAGTCTTTCCTTCATGAGATGCCACAATCATTTTTTATCAACATGGGAGGCCTTTATCAGTGTATCTATACGAGTCCAACAACACTATCAGAAAAATAACTTTCTGCAAATAGAAAACATCGAATGGTAAGACATTCACAAGCAGAGGCCCAATCGGCTGAACAGGCTGTAAATATTGTCTTGATCTACATGTTAATCTTCCTCGCCAACTCATATTTCACTCTGCAAACAGAATACTGTGGGAAAATGCATGTAAGAGGATACTATATTTGAGCATTTCCATGGCTAAATGTTAACTTGTTATTTTTTAAAAAGTTGGTAATATATTGAAAAGTATGACACAGGGCATGTATCAATGTGCATGCCTTCTGAATCGAATGCTTGCACAGCCACTTAATTTGATCAAGCTAGCTGAGCAATGTCTTAATGCTCATGGCAAGACACATGGTATTTCCGATGAGGTTTAGTTTCACAGCTGGACTCTCCATCATGACGCATTTAGGAAAATACACCTTGAGAATTAAAATTAAACTGACCATGGCTTTTGTCACACACCCAGTTGCTAGGCCCATTTCCCCCTGAAAATCAAGTTTTGTTGGAACGCAGAGCCCCACCCATTGGAACTTCCAAGATGGAGTTGAGAAGTTGCCACACAGCGCTGGGTGGTCCTCACTGGTTGGGCACCTCTGCAGGGCACTATACACACCTTGTAGCCAAGGTCACCACCCCGAAGAGTTCCCACTTTCCAGGCCCCTTCCTTACCGCCCAAGCCGTCCCAGCCCTGATCCCCCTTGAGGAGTCTGGAATCTGTCCTCTGTTGGGGTTTTCAGGCGTTTCTGGAACTCGGATACCACCAACAGCACCCCAGTATCACCCTGGCTTCACCTACACCACCCCCCAACCCACTCTGAGGCCCTCCTTCTCCCTTTGTTCAGACTCCAACAAGACAAGAAGGCCCATAGTCGCCAGGCGGCATGAAAAGGATGGTGACCTCAAAGCCCTTCTCCTTTGGAGTCACCGACCACGATGCCCGAGCCTCCGAAAGCCCACTGGCTCCTCCTCACCCTCATTCACACTTCAACTCCCAGTTGAATTGGCCTGTGGACCTACCGGCTGCGTCTCAGTAGTGGAGAAAGAATCCAGACCTCAGGGTCCCGAGCTGCAGGCTGACAACCCCGTAGCGTTCACCATATGGGCAAAGGGGCAGATGGAAAGATGCCCAGTGAACATGTGCACTGAGGTGGGCACCCGAGGAGCATGCACAGTGAGGTCCTCTCTTGCCTTAAGGGCTGCACTGCCCTTCCTCCTCCGGTCCTGCCCTGTCCTCTGCCCCTTCCAAGGTCCCCACTAAGGACTTTGGAATCCATCTTCTCTGTGGTTTTTTATGCCTTCGAGACTGAAATACCTCAGATAATGTCATGCTTCAACTAATTCCATGTTTACTTGGCCTTCCTCCCCTCTACGGCCCTCCTTCCTCCCTTGCCCGGGACCCCACAACAGCAAGGCCATGGCGGTGTTGCTGCCTTTTAGTTGAAGGATGACGACCTCTATGAGGCCATGGAACAAGTGGTCCAACCCATGGGAAGCCCTCTGCTTTCCCTCACACTCACTGACACTTCAACTTCTGGGAGGACTGATCTGCAGACCTACCTGCTATGTCACAGTTGGCAAGAAAGAGTCACGACGTTTCCTTCCACAGCTCTGCAGGGACAGAAGGCAGACAGCAAGGTGCATGGGCAGCGGGAACTTACATAGCAAGGGGCATGCCCATTGAGTCAGGCACTTGCAGGACTTGCAGGGTGGGCCATGGTTTTCCTGCTGTTCTCATACCCGCATCCACGGGGTGCTTATAGTAGAAAGAAGGGGACTAGGCTGGGTGCAGTGGCTCATGCCTGAAATCCCAGCACGTTGGGAGGCCGAGGTGGGTAGGCAGATCACCTGAGGTCGGGAGTTCAAGATCAGCATGACCACCATGGAGAAACTCCATCTCTACTAAAAATACAAAATTAGCCGGGGGTGGTGGCACATGTCTGTAATCCCAGCTACTCAGGAGGTTGAGGCAGGAGAATCGCTTGAACCCAGAGGTGCAGGTTGCAGTGAGACAATATCACGCCATTGCTTTCCAGCCTGGGCAACAAGAGTGAAACTCCATGAAAGAAAGAAAGAAAGAAAGAAAGAAAGAAAGAAAGAAAGAAAGAAAGAAAGAAGGAAAGAAGGAAAGAGAGACTAAAGAGAGCTTTTGTTTTTGTTTGCCCAAACAATCTCATGCATTGAGAAACATTGTGAACACACAGTCTCATGTCACCTTTAATGGAGGATGTGTCCTATACCTCACTAAACTCTCGATCTCCTGGGTTTAAACAATCCTCATGGTGCAGCCTCCCAAGTGGGTGGTACTAGAGATGAGAACACCACACCTGGGCAATTAATTTATATTTAGAGGGGGGCCTCACTCTGTTGCCCATGCTGGTCTCAAATTCCTGGGCTCAAGTGGTCCTCACACCTTGGCCAATTTTTATACATGCTTTGATTAATCACTTTTTCCTCTGGTTTTCAGTTTTCTGCCATGCTTCTAATGAATGTAATGGAATAAACTCTTCTGCAGACTAAATATATTCACACGTGTTTACTTTTTTTAAGATTGTGTTATTGCACGTTTAAATCTGTGGAATGGTAACTGATTTACCTGAATATACCTGTAGGTCATTCACACTGTGTATTATGGTTCAGAAATATTCATAGATATTGATGACAGGATCTAGGCGCAGTCTACTGTGACATGATGCACAGCAGTGGTGACTATCTGCATCATATACTGTACTCCTCAAGTATCAGCCAAGTAGCCTGTTCATAAGGCAGGGCTGACATTATTTGCATAATGCCGTAAGGGAGAGCACTACCTTGACAGGGGCACTAGTATGTTAGAGGTCAAAGGGATTTAGGTATATTTATTCTGATTTTGAAATTGGCGTAAAGTGGGTCTTTTAAAGTGAGGGAGGCCAGGCGTGGTGGCTCATGCCTGTAATCCCAGCACTTTGGGAGGTCAAGGGGGGCAGATTACCTGAGGTCAGGAGTTCGAGACCAGCCTGGCCAACATGCCAAAACCCCGTTTCTACTACAAATACAAAAATTACCTGGTGAGCTGATGAGTGCCTGTAATCCCAGCTGCTAGGGAGTCTGAGGCAGGAGAAGTACTTGAACCCGGGATGCGGAGATTGCAGTGAGCCGGGATCTTGCCACTGTAATCCAGCCTGGGTGACAGAGCAAGTCTCCGTCTCTCTCTCTCTCCCTCTCTCTCTCTCTCTCTCTCTCTATATATATATATATATATATATATACACACATACAATACATATATATATAATATATATAGATATATATAATATATATAGATATATATAATATATATAGATATATATAATATATATAGATATATATTATATATATAGATATATATAATATATATCTATATATATAATATATATAGATATATATAATATATATCGATATATATAATATATATTAATGTATTATATTAATATATAATATATTAATATATATAATATATTAATATATTATATATAGTATATATACTATATATTGTGTATATATACTATATATATTGTATATGTATATATACTATATATATTGTATATGTATATATACTATATATATATATCGCTGTATTGTATCAGCGATATCTAGAAGGATAGAACTAATAGCATAGATGTAAATATGAAGTGGAGTTTATTAAGGAGTATTGACTCACACGATGACAAGGTGAAGTCCCACAAGAGGTCATCTGCAAGTTGAGGTGCAAGGAAGCCAGTCCGAGTTCCAAAACCTCAAAAGTAGGGAAGCCAACAGTGCAGCCTTCAGTCTATGGCTGAAGGCTCCAAAGCCCCTGGCAGATGACTGGTGGAAGTCCACGAGTCCAGATGCTGATGAACTTGAAGCCTAATGTTAGAGGGCAGGAAGCATCCAGCATGGGAGAAAGTGGAAGGCCGGAATACTCAGCAAGTCTAGCTTTTCCACCTTCTTCTGCCTGATTTATTCTACCCACACTGGAAGCTGATTAGATGGTACCCTCCATGATTGAGGGTGGATCTGCCTCTCCCAGCGCACCAACTCAAATGTGAATCTCCTTTGACAACACCCTCTCAGACACAACCAGGAACAATACTTTGCATTCTTCAATCCAATGAACTCGACACTTAATATTAACCATCACACACAGACCTGGACTTTAATGATTCCTGAGTGGCCTCACTCCAGCTCAAAGGGCAGGCTTGAATTTCATGTCAAATTTGAGCTTCCTGCTGCCATTCCTATGGAATATAACTCCAGACTTGCTGGATGAGTTCAAAGGATCATAATAGGATTGGGATCAGGGAAGCTGTGAAGGAGCCCTTGTGACTCACAGGCTGCAACAGAAAGTATAAAAGACACTGTAGAGAGAAGAGTTGCCTGATACATGACCCTAGCAACTCTCTAGCTGCTAAGGGAGGAAACAGAGCTGGGACCAACACAGCCAGTCTACCTGTGGGAGGGCTCAATTTCCCACATGAGCAGAGCTTCCCATCTTCCATGCACGGGAATCTATGACCAAACTTAGATTTCCACAGGATGTTTGGTGGGTGGGACAAAGTCTACAGATTCTGAGCAGCTGGCAAGTTTCAGGGCACAGGGTAAACACTGACATGTGAGCTCAGATTGCTTTGTGGTTGAGGCCAAATTATTTACTACCTACCATGTTCAGTGCAACTCTCCTGCTTGTCCCATAACATGGGAGCACAGTAGGGAAATGGAGGTCCCCCTGTGAATGGATGCCATAGATGACATTCAGCTATGCTGCAGCCCAGGCAAAGCCTGCATGTGATACCAAGAGGACAAGAAGTCACGTGTATTTTTTGTCCCTTTTGCCTGTGAGTTCCTGTCTGTGCAAGTAAGACTTCACCTGTGCAAAACAGACGCTGATAACTGACAAACATTTCATCAGTAACTGTACCTTTTGTTGTTGTCTTTGTGGCCCATATCAAAGAAGAACTTTTTGTCTAAAAACACTGAATTGCTAAGGAGGTGGACAAAAATGGGTTCTCACGTGTATTTGCATATATTCTATAGCAACATAAGGATGTTCTCTGAAAAGGTTTTAGTCGTTTCTAAACTGGTTTTTAATCCATGGTGGATCATAAGGTTAATGTTGTCAGCCAGCAACAGCATTTTAAAAAAAGGAGATAAAATAAATTACTAAAGAGCATTCACTGCATATAGAATATACAAATACAGTGCACATCCCCATACACATACATATATTTATTTGCGTAGTCAACTATATACAAACTGTGTACTCTTGAAGGGGGAATTAATGAATTTTATGAGTGTAATAGTCAAGAAATTTATTCTTTTCCTTAAAGGTAGAATTTAATATAGCCCCTCAACCCAGAGGCCTGGGTTGAAAGAGAATATTAACTGCTTATTTCTCCTCTATGCTCAGAGAGGCTTATCTGTGTTCCATCATTTCACATTCCTTGAGGCACAGCGAGTTCTTTCTTCCCTCCCTAGCGCGGCTGTGAAGTCACAAGGTTGATAAGCAAATGCTACAAAAACATGTATTCCCAAGGATGTAAGACATGTGGTGCAACAAATGTAAAAAAAAGATTAACTGCCTTTGTTCTTGCTTCCACAAGTACGCTTCCTGCAGCACGTAACTCCCGCCACAAACTACTTAAAAGGTGATTGATCCCTTTGTTCAGGGCTCAGACTTTCTGGACCCTAGTCCGACTGAGCCTGTGATCACCTTAACAATAAAGGGCTCTCCTGAACTCTGTTCTGTCTCTCCCATCTCTCATTTGTCCTGCAACATTTCTGGGGGCTCATCCGGGATTGGAGATGGTAGGTTTTTGTCTCCTTTACCTATGGGCTTGAGCCCCAGGACGCGGGAGATTTGGGACCCTTGGCGCCACTGGGTGAAGTTACCCAGAAGGAGAACGGCTCTCTCGTGTCTTGAAGCCTTCACTTGACAGCGCAAACGGAACCGACTCGGGAGTTGCAGGACAGTCACAGGAGCAGCATGCAGGCAGACTACTGAACCATGCTATATTTGGGCCCTAGGAAAGCCCGTCCCATAAGGACAGAAGGGGAGCCTGATCACCTCTCAGGGTGCGGCGATTAGTCCTACTCTAGAGAGCAATCAACGGGAGGGGCCTGTTGACTCAGACAAAACTCACGCCCAGATTGGCATTGGGCATGAACAAAGTTCATGAGCCAGTCTCAGGACACTGGTTCTTGGGAGAAAGGGGGAGGTGTGTGAAAAAGCATGAAAGAGACAGTCTTGTGAGAGGCCAATGCGGGGAGTGATGTTGGGAGGCATAAGTCTCTCAGCGCAGACTGTGTCCTCGGAAGTGAGTGTGGGACGAGCCAGACCTAGGTCGCTGCATAAGGCCGACAGGATCAGGTTTATACCTTCACAGCAGTAGTTGGCTGTGACTTGGCCAAGCAGCATCTGAACCTCCCATAATAGGACCTGGTCTGGTGACTCTGAGAGTGAAAGTGAGAGTGAAAGTGCACCGAAAGGGAAGAAATGGGAGGAAATGCATGGAAGCCAGCTCCATCAGAATGTATGTTGAAGAACTTTAGGAAAGGCTTTGATGGTGATTATGGAATGAAGTTAACACCACAGAGGCTGAGAACACTTTTTGAAATTGACTGGCCCTCTTTTAATGTAGGGTGGAACTGCCGAGGGAACCATAGATAGGGAAACAATTGGCCGAGTGTTCTGGGTGGTAACCAGAGTCGGGGAACAACCTGGGCACCCTGATCAGTTTCCACATATAGACTCCTGGCTGAGCGTAATTCAGAACCACCCAAAATGGCTACAGGCCTGCTTTGAAGATGATTGTAAGACTTTAGTGGCTCATGCAAATCAGGGCACTGTAGAACCCACAAAGCGCTGTCTCAGGAGAAGGAGCAGCAAGGAAAATGAGAAAAACCTGTCCTACAAGCCCCGCCCAAAGAGTTGGAAACTCCACCCCACTACATTCCAATCTACCCATCTCTGGAGAGGCTTAGGCAAGAGGCTGCTCCGGTAGCCACCTCTGGAGGGTTGGATTCATAAGAGAGTACTCCCCAAACTTCCCCATAGTGGGAAGGACTGGAACCACTGCCAGATAAATCAAAGGAGGAGTTTCAGGACGGGGCAGGCTGGCTCTGGTCCGGACGTGCCCGAGCCACGCAAATGCCCCTCCAAGAGACCAGAGGGCAAATCTATTTAGACGCACAAAATGAAGTTCAGGGAGGGGAGCAGATTTATGTCTATCAGCCCTTGTCCACTACTGACATTTTCAATTGGAAGCAACATACTCCCTCCTATACGGAGAAGCCCCAGGCTCTCATTGACCTAATGAAGTCCATCCTTCTAACCCACAACCCAACTTGGGCAGACTGCAAACAACTTTTCCTGTCACTGTTTAATACAGACGAATGCTGCCAAGTAATACAAACGGCTCATCAGTGGCTAGAGAGCAATGCCCCTGTGGGCACAGCCAATGTTAAGCAGTATGCGCAGCAGGCTTTACCAACTGAAATAGAGCCTGGCTGGGACCCAAATCAGGCTCAAGGACTGCAGAACTTGTTGAGATATCGAGAAGTGTTAGTACAAGGAATAAAAGCTGGAGGGAAAAAAGCAACAAACATTGGAAAAGTCTCAGAGGTCCATTAAAAACCAGATGAAAGCCCCAGTGAGCTCTGTGAAAGGCTTTGTAAGGCTTACCGGCTCTACACGCCATTTGATCCGGAAGCAGCAGGGAATCAGTGCATGGTTAATGCAGCATTCGTAAGTCAGGCACAGAATGACATAAAACGAAAGCTGCAGAAATTAGAAAGGTTTGAGGGTATGAACATATCCCAGTTAATCCAGGTGGCAACCAAGATTTATGTGAATTGGGATGAAGAAGCTAAGAGGGAAGCCAAGTGTAGGGCAAAGGAGAAGGCAGAGTTTTTAGCCGCAGCTTTGGTTGAAAGAGAAGCCAGATTTGCAAGAGGGCATGGACATGGTCAAGGATGTGGTCAAGGTAGAGAACAAGCTAGGTCAGGCCAGAAGGCCAGGACAGGTCAGGAAGGACAGCCAAGACTAGAGAGATATCAATGTGCCAGGTGCAAGCAAAGAGGGCATTGGAAAAATGAGTGCCCAGAGAAGGGAAAAGATAAAGGCAACAACCAGGGACGGAATGGCTGGATAGGACCTCCTTCTGCCACTGAACAGGACATAATAGGAGCAGACATGGATCTAACTGGGCTGGCAGGAGCCAACGATTATCTTGAGGACTGAGACAGACCAAGCTCCATTTCACTGGGCCCCGAGGAGCCTATGGTCTCAATGGTAGTAGGGGGCCAAAAAACAGACTTGATGATAGATACAGGTGCTGAACACTCGGTTGTGACTCAGACAATTGGACCGTTATCAAAGGACTATGTGAACATTATCGGAGCCACAGGTACCACAGAAAAGACACCTTTTTTCAAATCTAGGAGGTGTATGATTGGGAACCAAGAAGTCCAACACAAGTTTTTATTTTGCCAAATTGCCCAGTGCCACTATTAGGAAGAGACTTGCTACACAAGTTGCAGGCTCAGATCTCCTTTACACCCAGTGGAGATATGACCTTAAGCCTAGGACTGAAAGAGGCTATGGTATTAACACTCACTATTCAAAAAACAGAGGAATGGAGGCTTTACGAAAGCAATTGTCAAGAATGTGGAAAGAGATACACTGTAGCTAAAGGAGAAAAACTGTTTACAGATCTGCTCCTTAAATTGCCAGGTGTCTGGGCAGAGGACAACCCCACCGGGCTAGCAGTGAATAGAGCACCTGCGGTAGTAGAGTTACTGCGCAGAACCTATCCAGTGCGGATTCGCCAATATCTCATTCCCATGGAGGCCTATTGGGGAATTGAAAAACATTTAAAAAGACTCCTTGAGTTCTGGATAATAGAAGAATGTACCTCCTCCTGGAATACCCCCTTGCTGCCAGTGTTAAAACCGTCTGGTGACTACCAACCTGTACAAGACTGAAAGGCAGTCAACAAGGTGGCGGCTACACAGCATGCTGTTGTACTTAACCCGTATACTATGCTTGGACAAATGCCTGCTAGTGCTGCTTGGTTCACATGCCTGGACATAAAAGATGCATTCTTTTGCATTCAGTTAGCCCCTATGAGCTGAGACATCTTTGCTTTTGAGTGGGGACCACCTCAGTATACCTGGACTAGACTTCCCCAAGGATTTAAGAACTCCCCTATCTTTGAGGAAGGGCTTGTCTCAGACTTGAAGGCTTTCACGCCACCTAGTGACCGGTGTATCTTACTGCAATATATTGACTATTTATTGTTGGCCGCACCCACTAGAAAGGAATGTATCGAAGGGACAGAGAATCTCCTTTGAGTGTTGTGGGAGGCTGGCTATAAAGTGTCTAAGAAAAAGGCACATATCTGTGGCCAAGGAGTTCAGTACCTTGGTTTTCCTATTCCCCAAGGGCGGCGTGAGCTTGTGCGAGAGCGAAAAGAGACTGTGTGTAGCATTCCTTGGCCAGACACGACACTGGCATGTACGGGAGTTCCTTGGGGTGGCTGGTTTCTGCCGTATATGGATCCCCAACTACTTGCTCTTAGCAAAACCTTTATATGAGGCTACCAAAGTGGGGATAAAGGAGCCCCTCCTTTGGGGAAAAGAACAGGACATGGCCTTCAAGGAAATCAAGAAAGCTTTAATTCAAGCTCTGGCACTCGGGTTGCCAGACTTGACAAAGCCCTTTTATCTGTATGTTCATGAAAGAAAGGAGATGGCCACAGGAGTCTTGGTGCAAATGTTAGGGTCATGGTATCTACCTGTAGCATATCTGTCCAAGCAACTGGACTGGGTGGCCACAGGATGGCCGCCCCGTTTCAAGGTGCTGGCTGTCACTGCTCTGTTAGCTGAGGATGCTAACAAGCTCACTTTTGGACAGAAGTTGATAATTCAGGTGCCCCATACAGTTGTCACCCTGATGGAACAGAGAGGAGGACATCGTTGGCTCTCTAACCCTAGAATGCTGAGATACCAATGGCTCCTGTGTGAAAATCCATACATCACCTTAGAGACTGTAAACACCCTAAATCTGGCTACACTTCTGCCAATAGAATATGCAGAGCATGGGAAGCCCCCGTTATGTGCCCCAGGGTATCATTGCTGTGTAGAAACAGTAGATGAAGTCTTTTCAAGCCGGAAAGACCTAAAAGACCAGCCCCTAAAGGACCCAGACATAGAGTATTTTACTGATGGAAGTAGCTTCATATCCGAAGGTATCAGAAAGGCTGGATATGCAGTAGCCACACTGAACTCAGTCGCTGAGGCCTGCCCTTTACCAGTAGGAACCTCTGCACAGAAGGCAGAACTAATAGCTCTCATAAGAGCGCTACTTCTAGCAAAAGGAAAGTCAGTGAATATCTATACTGACTCAAAATATGCCTTTGCTACCTTGCATGCTCATGGAGCCATCTACAAGGAGAAAGGACTGTTAACTACTGAAGGGAAAGAAATAAAGAACAAAAAAGAAATAGAGCAGCTCCTAGAGGCAGTATGGACTCCAAAGAAAGTAGCATTAATTCATTGTAATGGACATCAAACAGGAGGAAGTAATGAGGCTACAGGAAACAGGAAAGTAGACAGGGAAGCAAAAAGGGCTGCAATAACAAAAATGACAGAAAAAAGAGAGACTTATGTCATGCCCTTATTAGAACCTCCCCTTGCAGAAACTCCTAACTACACCTCCAGTGAAAAGGCATGGTTCGCACAGGAAAACGGGGATTATCAAAGAAAGGAGGCTGGTGGAAGTTTTCAGACGGGAGGCTTGCCATCCCAGAAGCCGTCGCCCCTCGACTTATAAAGCAACTTCACCAAGGAACACAGATAAGGAAGACAGCCTTAGAAACTCTTGTAGGGTGATACTTCTTTGTACCACACCTGACTGCCGTCACAGGAGCCATCTGCGAGCAATGTGTCATATGTGCTCAAAATAACCCCAGACAAGGGCCCACTCGGCCCCCAGGAATTCAAGAAACAGGAGCAGTTGCCATGTGAAAACCTGCTTGTAGAATTTACCCAGCTGCCTTGGGCTGGAGACTATCAGTACATGTTAGTGTTAGTCTGCACCTTTTGAAGGTGGGTTGAAGCATTTCCCACCAGAACAGAGAAGGCTCGAGAAGTAACCAGGATACTACTAAAAGACATTATTCCTAGATTTAGACTGCCACTAACTTTAGGCTCAGATAACAGACCAGCCTTTGTGGCAGAAGTAGTGCAGCAGTTAACCCAAATGTTAAACGGAAGCTGCGTACTGCCTATCATCCACAGAGTTCCAGAAAAGTTGAAAGGATGAACCAAACACTGAAACAACTGTGGAAGAAGTTTTGCCAGGAAACTCATTTAAGGTGGGATCAGGTGTTGCCAATGGTCCTTCTCTGAGTCAGGTGTACCCCCACTAAATTAACTGGGTATTCACCCTATGAGATAGTGTATGGCCGACCACCCCAACTCATAGCTCAAATAAGAGGAGATTTAAAAGAAATAGGAGAACTAACTCTAAGGAGACAAATGCAGGCATTAGGTGAAGTAATGCAAGAAGTACAAGGGTGGGTAAGACAGAGAATACCTGTTAGTCTTACAGATGCAGTACAACCCTTTCAACCCAGAGACTCTGTATGGGTTAAACGTTGGAACCCCATCACCCTCAGGCCTTTATGGGATGGCCCCCATGTTGTGATCATGTATCGGGGGAAATTCAGCCAGATATCAGGCGAAATTCACCCCCAATATTTCACGTAGTTTCTTTTCTATTTTCCCTAAGTGTCAGCCGGTCTGAGAAATAAAGGGACAGAGTACAAAAGAGAGAAATAAAGGGACAGAGTACAAAAGAGAGAAATTTTAAAGCTGGGTGTCCGGGGGACACATCACATGTCAGCCGGTTCCATGATGCCCCCTGAGCCGTAAAACCAGCAAGTTTTTATTAGTGATTTTCAAAAGGGGAGGGAGTGTACAAGGCGAGGTCACAGGACCACAGGACCAGGGCGAAATTAAAATTGCTAATGAAGTTTTGGGCACGCGTTGTCATTGATAACATCTTATCAGGAGCCAGGGTTTGAGAGCAGACAACCGGTCTGACCAAAATTTATTAGGTGGGAATTTCCTCGTCCTAATAAGCCTGGGAGCGCTACAGGAGACTGGGGCTTATTTCATCCCTACAGCTTCGACCATAAAAGATGGCCGCCCCCTGAAGCGGCCATTTTAGAGGCCTACCCTCAGGGATGCGTTCTCTTTCTCAGGGATGTTCCTTGCTGAGAAAAAGAATTCAGTGATATTTCTCCCATTTGCTTTTGAAAGAAGAGAAATATGGCTCTGTTCTGCCCGGCTCACCGGCAGTCAGAGTTTAAGGTTATCTCTCTTGTTCCCTGAACATTGCTGTTATCCTGTTCTTTTTTCAAGGTGCCCAGATTTTATATTGTTTAAACACACATGCTCTACAAACAATTTGTGCAGTTAAAGCAATCATCACAGGGTCCTGAGGTGACATACATCCTCCTCAGTTTACGAAGATGATGGGATTAAGAGACTAAAGTAAAGATAGGCATAGGAAATCACAAGGGTATTGATTGGGGAAGTGATAAGTGTCCATGAAATCTTAGCAATTTATGTTCAGAGATTGCAGTAAAGACAGGCGTAAGAAATTATAAAAGTATTAATTTGGGGAACTAATAAATGTCCATGAAATCTTCACAATCCATGTTCTTCTGCCATGGCTTCAGCCAGTCCCTCCATTCGGGGTTCCTGACTTCCCACAACAATCATGTCTACCCCTACCACTGTTAAAGTTGCAGGTATCACACCTTGGGTTCATCATAGCCTGCTGAAACCTGCAGCCCCAGCTCCAGACTGGTGGACAAGTAAGCAAGATCCAGATAATCCAGCTGGACTGATCTTGCAGAAAGACCAAGGTGCGTCAGAGAAGGACGACTGCCCTGCTCCGACCACACTGGAGGCTGGTCGGTCCATGTATGGCTGAAGCTTGAAGAAACACCAAACCTTGCTCTAGTCACACAACCGGAAGCTGAGTAGTCTACACATGGCCGAAGCCTGAGGAAGCCAGTGCCAGATAAGTAAATGTGGATAGAATTTGCCAGTGTAGTTATTCTTTTGCTTGTACTAATTGTCTTACTGTCATGTTACCTTTGCAATTGCTGTCGAACTTGCTGCCCAGGAGGATGCCCGTGCATAGTCTAAACCTGATTGTACTAGTAGCAAAAATGCTAACAGCTGTCCAAGGAAACCAAGATAGTTGCCATCACTGCATGATGGATGCTTGGTCTGAAAAAGGCATAACTAAGACTCTGATATACCAGACCTACTATGAGTGCACAGGGACTCAGGTAGGAACTTGTGTTTATAACCAAACCAGCTACTCTGTTTGTGACCTGGGAAATGGGCAGCCTCAAATCTGTTATGATCTGGAATCCCTGCCCTACGATTTCTGGCTTGAAATCCGAATAGGGGAACCCTTGTTGCCATCATATACGAATCCAATAGACACTGGAGTAGGGAAGCTTGTAACCAAAACAAAGGTATTTCCTTTTTCACACAGAGGGCCTGTCTCAATATATTTTGATGCCTGCCAAGCTGCACATCTTAGCAAGTTGAACAATCTAGGAGTGGTCTGTAGGGATCTAGGCCAGGAAAGAATCAGCAGCAAAGCTGCTAAGATCTTAATGGGAGAAACAGAAAAGGATTGTCTTGACTGTCACAGTCAATGGACTACCCACGAGTTCAGTCAGCACCTTTACCCAGGAAGAGTGGCTTTGTTTGCCTGCCTGAAAGCCAAAATTGGGTGCACAACCCGAACATGCAACCCCCTCAATCTGACTATACTGAAACCAAATATGCCTTTCTGGACTAACGGACATAAAGGACTAATGGGCTTTAACCAGGAAGGAGCAAACCAAGGGATTCCGAATGTAATTATTAAAAAGACTCAACGAGCTAAAGTTCAAGTTAACCCAATGCAGCAATTCAGGTTTTATAAATTCCTTATTAAGCATTTCGACCCCAAAGAATCAAAGATTCAAATTCCACCAATAACAGCAGAAAATCTGTTTGCTCAACTAGCTGAAAGTATTGCTACTAATCTTGGGGTCACATCACGTTATGTTTGTGGAGGTACAAATATGGGAGATCAATGGCCTTGGGAAGCCAGAGAATTAATGCCACAAGATAATTTTACCATACCAGAATTTGTTACAAAATTCAATGCCAACCCAAGTGTTTGGCTACTAAAGGCCCCTATCATTGGGAGATATTGCATAGCACGATGGGGAAAAAAACTTTCAAACTCAGGTAGGGGATACAACTTGTTCACATCAACAATATTTCGAGGAATCAGAAAATAAGACCCAGGAGAGAAGTTGTACAGATAATTCCTCTGTGCTGGATTTCAATCCCCTCTCCCAATTTCCAGTGTTAAATCAGTCATGGTATCAGCTGGATGTCCCAAATATTTGGAAGGCACCAGCAGGACTATACTGGATCTCTGGGACAAAGGCCTACCAACTATTGCCTGAAAATTGGATCAGAGCCTGTGTATTAGGAACAATAAGACCATCTTTCTTCTTACTCCCATTAACCCAAGGAGAAGATTTAAGTTACCCAGTCTATAACAAAGAAAGGAAAAGGACCAGAAGAAATGTCTCTACCCAGATAAGTACCGCCAAAAAGGTAAACACAAACATAAGAAAAGACATTGAAATAAGAAATTGGAAAGACAATGAATAGCCTCCAGAGAGGATCATAAAATATTATGGACCAACTACGTAGGCCCAAGATGGGTCATGGGGTTACCATACTCCTATATACATGCTGAACTGAATTATAAGATTACAAGCGGTACTAGAAATTATAGTCAATGAGACAGCTCGAGCCTTAGATTTGCTAGCTATACATGCCACCCAAATGAGGGATGCCATATACCAAAATAGGCTAGCGTTAGACTATCTCCTAGCCTCCAAAGGAGGAGTTTGTGGCAAACTAAATTTGACCAACTGTTGCTTACAAATTGACAACAATGGAAGAGCTGTTATGGAAATTACTGCTAAGATGTGAAAGTTAGCCCATGTCTCAGTGCAGACCTGGTCCAGATGGAGCCCAAATACACTTTTTGGAGGATGGTTCTCATGGCTTGGAGGCTTTAAAACTCTAATAATCGGTTTTATAGTCATAACTGGAGGATGCCTAATACTGCCTTGGCTTTTACTTCTTCTCATCAGAAGCATCCAATCCACCACTGAAGCAGTAGTAGACCGGACGACTACCACCAAACTAATGGCACTGCAAAAATACCAATCAGTCCCTCAAGAAGAATATGAGCCTACACCGGAAGACATAAACGACTGTGGTGCCCTTTATTAATCTGCATGTATGGCAAGCACCAAAGTGGGGAAATGAAGGGGGAATTAATGAATTTTTTAAATATAATAGTCAAGAAATGTATTATTTTCCTTGAAGGTAGAATGTCATATAGCCCCCCAACCCAGAGGCCTGGGTTAAAAGAGAATATTAACTGCTTATTTCTCCTCTATGCTCAGAGAGGCTTATCTGTGTTCCATCATTTCACATTCCTTGAGGCACAGCGAGTTCTTTCTTCCCTCCCTAGCGCGGCTGTGAAGTCACAAGGTTGATAAGCAAATGCTACAAAAACATGTATTCCCAAGGATGTAAGACATGTGGTGCAACAAATGTGAAAGAAAGATTAACTGCCTTTGTTCTCGCTTCCACAAGTACGCTTCCTGCAGCACGTAACTCCCGCCACAAACTACTTAAAAGGTGATTGATCCCTTTGTTCGGGGCTCAGACTTTCTGGACCCTAGTCCGACTGAGCCGGTGATCACCTTAATAATAAAGGGCTCTCCTGAACTCTGTTCCGTCTCTCCCATCTCTGATTTTCCCGCAACACTCTCATGCATTGTAATAAAAGAGTTTGGATGTCAGTACTTTAGCGGTTGTCAGACAAGATATTTACAGGCCATTTCTGTTAGCCATCTGTGAAGATGATGGATTAAGACTTGCTCAGAATAAGTTCACTCTTGTCTGTAGCTTTCTACCTAAGGCTTGAAATGGCATTCAGTGATATTTAAATCGGTCAGTTTTACTGTAGACATTTGACCCTCAGCAAACTCATTTGTGAACTCATGAGCTGGTGAGAAGGATGGCTGATGAGTTGTGGGGCTTTACTTCCTACCATGTCTTTCCGCAGCTGCAGGGTGTGTTCATGTGTGTGCCTCTGCACTAGTCTGATGGTGCTTTGATATGTTCCCTTTTATTTCCCCCTTTATTATTGACTGTGTCTTATGGGTCCATTATGTACTTCATTAGCATCCAGTGACAGCGACATCTGTGGTATTCAGTGTTGATCAATTTTACATGAATTTTAAAATTATTTTGAAGCATGAATATTTTTCCTTACCAACTTTCCTTAAGTACTGTAAGCAGTCCAATGCAATTCAATATTAGTAATTACTGGGCTATAATCCTGCTAAATCACTAATCATACTAACTGTTATTACACCTGAGCTTTTATGTCACCATACTGCTTTGATAAATGACATAATGACAAACACATGGAAAGAGGGATTCTGAGATACTGACTTTTTTATTTCCAAAATTTATATTAAGTTCAGGGTTACGTGTGCAGGATGTGCAGATTTGTTACATAGGTAAATGAGTGCCACCATGATTTACTGCGCAGATCATCACATCACTCAGGTATTAAGCCTAGCATCCACAAGCTATTCTTCCTGATCCTCTCCCTCCTCCCACCCCCGCCCTCCAGTACGCCCCAGTGTGTGATGCTTCTCCCGTGTGTCCATGTGTTTTCATCATTTAACTCCCACTTATAAGTGAGAAGATCCGGTATTTGGTTTTCTGGTCCTGCATTAGTTTGCTAAGGATAATGGCCTCCACCACTGTCCACGTCCCTGCCAAGGACATGATCTCTTTAGTTTTATGGCTGCATAGTATTCCATGGTGTATATGTACCACATTTTCTTGATCTGGTTTATCATTGATGTGATGAACATATCAAATATCACAAAGACACTTGATACGTGCTGTGGGAAATATCGCACTATGTTGGGGCAGAAAGACAAACAGAAGACCAGTTGAAGTGCAAAGGAGAAACATAGAGAAGGGAACCAGAGGAATAAAAAACAATGTAGTGACCACGAGGTGGGAGAAAACCAACATCATTTATTTAAAAAAAACTTTCTCCTTTGCCTTTTCCCCTTCTCTGAAAATCAACTTATTATGTCTGTGAGTCTATTGCTGGACTCTATTCTGATCTGTTGATTTTCCCCAAATGCCACACTGTCTTGAATATTGGAGAAGTAACACAATTGCCATATGGGGCTGGATGATTAAAAATCATAATCAACAACTACATACAATTCTCCTAACTCAAGGGAGCACCCTCACCTCAGCTCGGGATGCCATGCCTCCCCTCTTCTCAGGGGCTTTACTCCTGCAGTGATCACTCCTCTCTCCTGAACCATCAACGGCTCCCTCTATATTAGATCAATCCCCAAGCTAAGAGAGAACTCCACTTCTTCCCATTCATTGAGAACATAGTCAATCAATCAATAAAATAGAATTAATGTGAATTTTGACATCATGTACGGTGAATACCCCAAAGTTATACTTCAGAATTGTTTTGGATATTGTGGTTCATTTTCCTTTGTAGATAATATGAGAACGGACTCCAGTGAAGTGTGATGCTTAAGTTCATGCAGTTTTCCTTTGCTGGGCAGCAGATACATGTGTTGGTACTTACAAAAGGACATGGGGGAAGAAGGTGAGTTTTCCCTTAGCTTGGGGAATGATCCAACGTAGAGGGAGCAGTCGATGGTTCAGGAGAAAAGAGTGATCATTGCAGGAGCAAAGCCCCTGAGAAAGTGGGAGACATGGTATCCTCACCTGAGGTGAGGGGGCTGGCTCCAGTCAGGAGTATTGTATGCAGAAGGGCAGCAGAGAATGCCAGGGAATCACTGAAGGTGAGGGTGGCCTTGAGGATCCCTGACACAGTGGCAGCAACAGTGTGATTCACCAGCAATACCCTGGCTCACTACAATATGGTGAAAACCTTGTTTGAATAAAGGAAGTGTGAAGGGATACAGAAGATGAAGTTGTCACTCCTTTGAGACTATGGATTTCCCCATAGTATGAAGCACCAGCTGAGCTGTTGTCTATTATGAAAAATACATGTACTCACAGCATTTAACAATAATCCCTCCAGCTGCAAGAGAACTGGCTCACTGGATCTCTTAAACGCTGTTCTGCACAGGATAATGTATGAAGGAAAAGTGCAGCCTGGTGCTGACTTTAATTTTTGTTTTCTCCTGTAGGCATGTAGAGAAAGGACGCAATTGTTGCCAAAGAACTTTCAGTAGGCCAAAAACCCTGACGTATGAATTGCTCTTTCCTGCAAGCAGGAGGGAAAAAACCAGTCTCCTGGACTGGAGCAAGGATTTAGATAAACCTTAAGCCTTATATAAAGGGAGAAGAGTGAGGAAAAAAAAAAGGCGACATGAGGTGGCTCACATCTGAAATCTCAGTATTTTGGGAAGCTGAGGGAGGAGAATCACTTGAGGCCAGGAGTTCAAGGCCAGCCTGGGCAACATAATGAGACCCCTGCTCTTCACAATTTTCAAAATTAGCTGGGCATCATGGCACGTGTCTGTAGTCCCATCTACTCAGGAAGGTAAGGCAGCAGGATCGCTTGAGCCCAGGAGTCCTAGGTTGTGGTGAGCTGTAAGTCCTCCAGTGTACTCCACCTTGGGCAACAGAGAGAAGCCCTGTTTCAAAAGGGCGATGCGGGTGTGTGAAGACACATTCCAGCCTTGTCATCAGCTGGGCTGCCACTGCTGCAGCACCCCACCACCCACAAAAAAAAATTTGAGGCAGGATCTCTCTTGGCCATGATACTTGTAACTCTGTGAATGGTGAATTTAGTGATAGGGGTTTGATGGAAATTACAATGAGATTAAAAGAAAAAAAAAGAAAAACAGGTACAGTTGTAAAATGGCTTTGCATTTTGTGGCCACTACATCTGAATGTATGATATTGATGGAAGGGTTCCAGAAGTTTGACTAATTAATGCAGCTGTCACAAGCAAGGAATTCATCTTTTCTACACTTCTCACTGGATAAGTGATGTAGACAAAAGGGATGGAGGTAATGTAAACTGATTTTTACAATTTTTATAAATTCAGGATTTCATCCTGACCATTTCTTAAATATGATGAGTCTTTTCACTAAATTTATATCATAATGTGTTTTTCTGAAAATGTTTTGTTCCATCTGCATACAACCCTTCCAGGAAAAAAAAAAGGTCTAGAGGAAAAAAACTGGATGATTAAAGAGATGAAAACTTTTCATCACAGAATACTACATGCTGATTTTGTAACAATGGAGAAAATAGAAAACCTGGCTCAGGAGGAGAGGCAAGGGAGGGAAGGAGGACATCGCTTGTCTCTGTTTTTCAAAATGGTTCCTGGAAACTCTCCACTTTCCTTCAAGAAATACTTCCCACGCAGGCTTTCCAAGTCACTGTGAGCCAATGTTGAAATCACACAGAGTTACCTTACAGGTGATTACCTTACAGGTATTAAGGGAAATCAGTTACCAGTGGAGAAGTATAAATATGCGTTAACACAACCTAAAGAATGGGTACAGATGTGAATTGATTGAGTCTACAGAAGTAGTTAATTACATTGTATGCATGGTAGAAAACCCAGAACCAGAGGAGAAAGTGACTAATCAAAGCATGTATAAAAGTTGGCCAAGATGGGAGGATCACTTGAGCCCATGTGTTTGAAAGCCACCTGAGCAAACAGTGACACCCCGCATCTAAAACAATAACAATTTAATACATTAGCTGGGCCTGGTGGCGTCTACCTGCAGTCCCAGCTACTTGGGAGGCAGCAGCTTGAGGAGGATGGCTGGAGCCCAGGAGATGGAGGCTGCAGTGAAGCATGGTCATGCCACTGCCCTCCTGCCTGGAGGGCAGAGCAACACCCTGAGAAAAAAGTATGTGTAAATGTAGACATACAAGTCTTTATTTCTGTCACAAAGGTCTTTCTGAGACACATCCTCCACTAAGGGTGACATGGGACTCTCTGTTCCCAATGTTTCTGGATGCATGAGAATGTTTGGGCAAGAGACAAAAAAAAAAAAAAAAAATCTCGTGTCTCTTTCTACTACAAACACCACCCTGGGGATGTGGGCCTGGGGACAGTGGGAAAACCCTGGCTGTCACTGCACGTGCCTGATTGTGTGCACGTCCTTTGTTGCCCAGGTGCCTTGTCTATTTGCCTCCTGTCCCTGTAGAGCTATGCAAGGAGACATCGTGACTTCCTTCTGTGTTGCTAAGAGTCAGCCAGTAGGTCCACAGATCAGTACTCCCAGAGTTGAAGTGTGAGAGAGTGTGAGAAGGAGCCTGCGGGCACGGTCCATGGCCTCCTAGGGGGAAGGGCCTTGAGGTCCCTGTCCTTCTACTAACAGGCGACAAAGGAGCTACGGCCTTGCTGTCGTGCAGGGCCTGGACAGGAGGAAGGAGGTCCATAGAGAGAAGGAGGGCCTGATGAAGATGGAGTGCATTTTGAAGGGGAAAACTATTCGTAGTATTTCAGTTCCGGAGGCATATGAAACCGCCCACGGAGGGCACATTTGAAGTCCACAGTGGTGACCTGGGGCAGGGGGCAGGCCTGCAGAGTGGGGGATGAGGTGAGGCAAGGCAGGGCACCACAGCCCACAAGGCAGGTACCGACTTCCCTGCCCATGCTCCTGGGGCCCCTGCCTCAGTGCGCATGTTCACTGGGCATCTTCCAGTCGGCCCCTTTGCCACGTGGTGAATGTCGCAGAGCTGTGAGGGTGTGAGGGTCACTTTCTCCCACTACTGAGATGCAGTCCGTAGGTCCACAGACCAGCCCTCCCAGGAGTGGAAGTGTGGGTGAGTGTGAGGAGGGGAACGTGGCCTTCCAGAGCATGGGGCAGCATGGTCCTTGGCCTCTCAGGGTGAAGGGTCATGAGGTGATTGTCCTTTTCCTCGTGTGTCGGCACCATCACAGGCATTGTTATGGTGGGTTCAGAACAAAGGAGAAAGGTGGGCCATGGACTTCAGGGGGATCAGGTGAAGATGGGGAGAGTGCTGGGGGCCCTGTTGAAGGTATCCGAGGCCCACAAGGGCCTGGAACACCTGAGAGATGACAGATTCCAGGCTCACCGTGAGGGACCCCAGAGAGGGCCAGGTGGGAGATAAGGAAGGGGCCTGGAAACTCAGAGCACCGCAAGTTGTTGATGGCAGCTCCCAGGTCTGTAGGAGCACTCAGGGATGCGTCTCAACTTGTCTACTCCACCGTAGAGGTTCGAATGGATGGGGCTCTGCATTCCAACAAAACTCGATTTTAGGGGAGAAATGGGACTAGCAAATGGTTGTGTGACAAAAGCCGTGGCCACTGCGGTTTTAATTCACTAGCTGTATATTTCTATATGTCTTTATGTGGAAGGTCCAGTTTTGAAACCAACCTCATCGGAAATACCCTGTGTCATTTGCCAAGAGCCTTAAGACATTGCTCAGCTAGCTTGACCAATGTAATGTGCAAGCATTTCATTCAGAAGGCAAACAAACTTATACTTGCCCTAGGACTTATATTCAAAGTCTTACCAAATTTTTAAAAAATTACAAGTTGAAATTTGGCTATGGAAGTGGTCAAATATAGCTATCCTGTCAAGTGCATTTTCCCCATCACAGTTTCCTGTTCGCACTGTGAAATATGAATTGGCTAGGAAGATCAACATATAGGCCTAGACCAAGATGATATGTACAACCTCCTGAGCTGATTGGGCCTATGCTTGTGAGTGCCTTGCCATTCAATGCTTTCCATTAGCAGAAATTCCTTTTCATGATAGTGTTGAACTAGTATAGGTACAATGATTAAAGTATCCCATGATTCCACACATTCATCCCAACATAAATTAAAATGGCTTCTGAAGCCCTTGAGGTTAACTCTATTAGAGTAACCTGTCTGTGAAAAGAGTAACTCTATGAACAATTAGTATATGGTATAGTGTTGGAGAAATGTCTTCAGACGTACTTATGATCAACAATATGTATGTATTATATACATTTATATTATTGACATGTAATTGATAACAAAACTTTTTATCTGGACAAACACACACCCCTGTTCCCAGGAGCCCAGTGATAAAGAGCCATGAGAGGAGGAACCACCAGCTGAAAGTCAAGATCCAAAACCTGGTCAGGAGAGAGAAGAATGATCAAGGTGCAGCTGAGATTCAAGGTCCTGGGAAGGGAAAGAAAGAATGTCTATGGGGGGAGGAGGCCTATGTGTGCATCATGCCTTATGCCTTGAGCAGTAACAGGAGGAAAGAAAGCATTAGGAAAGGGTCTCAAATGTTTGCTGAAAGTTGGCTGGAAAATTGATAAGTATAGTTTGTAGTTTCCTGGAGTCCCTGGATATAATGAATCATCTCTTACCTTTGAGATACATTTTCTATGTTGAAAATACTGTCCTTGCTAAATCAGAAGAAACCGTTATAATAAAATGGCAAGTGACAGTCTTATTTCTGTGGCTGATAAGTAGAGAGAATGCACGTAGGTCAGTGATGCTCAAGGTAGGTGTAAGATGCCTGTGCTAAGCATGCTCTCTGCCCTCCTGTCAGTCTTCATGACCTACTGTGTGCAATTAGATAGAAGACACGTATGATACAATCTCTTCCAACCATATCATAGGTTACATTTTACAGGTTTCTGCCTTGAGACCTCAGATGATAGGAATTAAATTTCAAGTATTCTAAGGGTACTAATTCCTGGGTAGTTGACATAAGTATTTTTTACGCATATAATGCCAATTGATGGCTATGAATTAGAAGACTTTCTGATTTTAACTGAAGAACTGCATGTTTAGGGGAGAAATTACCTAAATGTTTTTACTCTACACTGCTGAACCATTTCATTAGACTATTTACATTAAAAGATAGTTTTCAGACGATTTCTGGAAGCATATCGAACAAGCCTCAATTGTATTCTTAGGAAGATCATAGCCTTAAATGCACATGTTACTAAAATAGACAGAAAATTACATGACAAATAAAAATAATACAAAGAAATAAACATAATAGTAGAAGAGCCACAGAACAAACTTATGGGGAGACAGGTAGTGAATAAAAGACAGGTATGAATCATTAGTTGAAGTTATTCATAAGTAATAAATGTACTCTCTACAGAGAATACAGACATATTACGTCTCTACAGAAGTCTAATTCAATATAAGCCATAGAGTGACTCTTAGGCTCCTAGTTTTAGTCCATTGTGTAAAACTAAAACTTCGGTGTCCTTCTCATACCTTTAATTTTATCTGAATACAGTTCTGCTAGTAATGTCCCCTCCTGTTATGTTTCTATTATAGGTGATGGGCAACCACAGTTTTAAATGAAGACAAGCTGAAACAACACAAACTGGTTTTATATTAGATATTTGACTGAAAAATGTCTCAATAAAGTTTTAAGCCTTCTCCAAAGAATTCTTGCACATTTTTTATTCATTTTATTCCCAGGTAGTTAACACTTTTGTAACTTGTGGCCAGGTGCAGTGGCTCATGTCTGTAATCCAGTATTTTGGCATGCTGAGGGAGGTGGACTGCTTGAGCTCAGAGACTGACACCAGATTGAGCAACACAGCGAGACCCCCCCCTGCAAAAATAAATGAATGATTGTATGAATGTACTCATGTCTGTATGTCACTGTAGTCCCAGCTACTCTGGAGGCTTATAAAATGGGTTCTCTAAGAAAAACAGGAATAATAATACCTCACATTTATAGAGTATGTGTTATCCATTAGCCAATTCTGTGAGCTATGTTTCATTGATTCTGACCTCATTTAATTCTTTAATAAGGTGAGTCAGAGTTTCCTAAAATTAACAATAAATGACTCTAGTAAGAAGCAGATATGGGGACTCAAGTTCTAAGTTCACAGTCTGCGCTTTCTTGAAGCAAATGCTTCTGACAGTGTTGAACGTAGAACTGGTGTTGTACATGTTGACTTTCGTGGTAATCACATGATTTCATATAAATCTAGGATAATATATAAAATATATTTTTTCATTATTCAAGATAAGAGGCTTTGTTCTTCTCTTGAAGGAGGGGTTTCCCAAAACATGGCACATAGGCCTAACAGGCATCCCTAGATGAAACCATTGGTCCAAAAACTTTTTTTTTCTTTTTTTGAGATGCAGTCTCACTCTGTCACTGGGCTGGAGTGCAATGGTGCCATCTTGGCTCACTGCAACCTCTGCCTCCCTGGTTCAAGCAATTCTCACACCTCAGCCTCCCGATTGGGTGGGATTACAGTCGCATGCACCCACATCTGGCTAATTTTTGTATTTTTGTAGAGATGGAGTTTCACCTTGTTTACCAGGCTGGTGTTGAACCCCTGACCTCAGGTGATCAGACCACCTCAGCCTCCCAAATTGCTGCGATTACATTTAGGAGTCACATAGCGCCCGACCGGTCCAAAAACATTTTTAAAAAATTAATGAGAACACACCTATTTTACTGTGGTACAGAAACATGTAACTAGAATACTAAAGCCATCTGAAACAGTGAGTGGAAACACGGAGAGAAGAAATGATGTCTCAATCCCTGTGGAGCAAGTCCACAACATCTCATGCAAACACGTCCGACCTTTCTTTAAAATTATTAAGAGTCAGGGAAGGAGAAGCACCAAACCTCATTTTTCATCTACATAAAATCCATCAGCCTCACAGTCACCACATCTCATTCAGGAGCCCCTGCAGCTGCCTGGATCCAGCCTGATATCCCTCTTACTAATACATAATACACGACTGACACCTCTGAGCTCCATTTGTATCCTCACACCATAAAAGATAATTCTGCAGTAAAGGCCCCTTCTCAAAATCCACACTGCTTAGAGAGGGCAAGGGCATTATAATTAGCAATGATTTCTCTCTTTTACAGAGATTATAAATATTTTTGTTCAAAAGGACTGAAAAGCTAGGGTTCAAATAAAAAGTGAGTCTAAATGTAGGGGATCCCATTCGCCACAAAGTATGTGAGAAGTTCCTAGGCTGTAGAGCTGAATGAAAGAATTAGGGCCTAGTAGAAGAAAGGGGAAAGTAACCAGGGCAACTTGCTGAGCAAAATGACTTGGGTCCCAGCTACACTGTCTCCTCACAGACTATAACATGGAATACCCATGAGTTTCCATCATGGCCCTGACACACTGGCTTGAGATGATGAGCAAAGTACTTATATCCTGTGGGACTGTTTCCCCATTTCTAAATTAGAAATGAGATTATTTACACTAAATGATTGTTATGAAGAATAAAAGAAGTAACATACCGAGAAGGCATTACAGTGCACATAAATTTGGTTTACAAGTTATTTATTTTTTTCTTTAAAATTTAATCTTTTCACTTGATTTGCCTTTACAACTACATCTATATTAAGTGATAGCTACCTTTGTGAAATGCAAGTAAAAATACGAAGTTACCTTTTTAAATGCATTTGACTTCCATAGCTTATTTGATTTAAATATACATGTTCATTAATGGTGTCACACATGGAATGAATTCTGAAATATTTTTGTAAATACCCAACTGTGACAAGGAAAATCCTGTCAGTAGTATGTGCTGAAAACTTTGCTCCTTGCTCTGTGTGATGCCATGAGGAATAAGTCAACATTCTGATTGGGCAACACCACATAATTCAGTACAATTGTGTGTCAATTGCTCAGGCAGTACCTAAGCAGCCCTGTGGTGGCTAACAGGGCCACAGGGATCACCAATACGGTTGTTAGTCTGGCTTGTCACATATCCATAGATTTGTCCGGTAAGAAGACAGTGAGCTCAAATGGATCCAATTGACTGATTGCTTGCAGACGCAGCAAAAGCAAGATCACCATTGTGTCAGCACCATGTCCCTAGTCCCACAGTATGACAGTGAATCAGAGGTACTCAATGACAGACAGCATAGATGGAGAGTCTCTTTTTCTGTGAGGAACCTACAGCTGTACCCTAAGACCAATGGTGAAACCGCACTGAATACTCAGCTTAGGATCACACCTGACAGAGCTGCAACATCAGCCGGGACAGGAGGGGCAATCCAGCTCCTGAACACAGAAGACCTATGGAAGTCATTCATGCTTGTGAAGATGAGGAACTGGTGTCAATGACTATGCTGAACTGACTGCCTTCTGACAGTTCCCCTAAGCCAAAGATGCAGATGCATTGTTTGGACTGGATGAGGAACCCTAGAGGAAAGGTCTTACAGAAGGATGCCATGTTGGGGCCTTGGCCAACTTCTGCCTGACTAATGTATGTCCCGGAGGGGTGCTCTCACAAGGGTAAACTCTTGGTGTCCAGGGGTATCATGTGTGCCCTCTGGCAATGTGCTTGCATGTGTCCCCCGACTATCCGGACCCTGCCTGGGCCCTGGAAGGCATTCATGGCAGCTACAGCTTACTGGCCAGAGTTGAGCTGAGCCTGAAATGGTGGCTTGGACTGGACAAAAGTGGTTAATACAGAATCTTAGTTAGGAAGTCCCCTGCCTATCTAAGATAGACATTCATCATTAATAGCTTTTGTGCAAGACAGCTATGATGGGAAATTTGATGTGTCAACTTTGCTGGGCCACACTACGTAGGAAATTCTTCACTTTAATCAATGTAGCTGTCTCTCTGAAGGGGTGTTCTGATATGAGACTAACACTTAAATCAACAGACTTTGAGAAAAGCTAATTGTCCTCCACAATGTGTTTGAGCCTCATCCAGTCACTTGGAGGCCTTCAAAGAAAAAGACTGGGGCCCTCCATAAGATGAAAAACATCTGCCTCCACACTGCGCTTAAATTTGAGCTATCACATCACCTCTGCCAGGGGACTCCAGGGTGACATCCTGCTCTGCAAAGTTTGTACTTTCCAGCTCCCATAGTTGCCTGAGACAGTTTCTCAAAATCTCCTCTCTTTCTCTCTATCTCTCCACTCACTCCCCTCAACACCCACACAAACAGAGAAACCCCAACCAATAGGCTGCTTACATCTGGGACCCTTAAAGGGCATAACTGAGATCAGTACTGCAGGCTGGTATCACTCTGATGCATGGCTCCTAAGGCAGAGGCCTGTGGCATTCCCCTCCCACCCTCTGCAGACTGACATCCACGTGGCTCATCACTGTGCCTTAGGGTTTGATCATCCAACCATGTAGAGATCACTACAATTCCACAAGTGTTCCCTGCCCTCCATCTGCCTGTGAGGTCCTCTGTTCCATCCCAAAGACATAGGGGTCTACTGGGTAAAATTTCAACCTTTCACAAAGGACCTGGGAACCTAGTGAGAGAGATACATCTGCAAAGAGAACTTTCAGTGCAGTAACAGCAAGGGGCATAGCTGGTGTTTTCACCAACTCAAGGGAAATTACACTGTGAACATCTCCCACTTCATTTTCCCCAACAATTGACAGCTTATCTTGGAAAAGATACTGTTGGTAGACAAGCTGGATTTCCCTCATTCTATTTTTCCCAGGCATGCACAGGTGCAAAGCAAACTGATATTGGAATGTTGTATCAGAGTGGAATCCAAGAATGAAATGCCCTGCAGTGATGTGATTTTCCAAAGCAGTCAACAAGTCTTCATAAGTTCCCAGATAAAGCAACATATAAGTCTCCCTCAGTTTACAGGGAAGTGACATGTATGGAAAATCCAGTTTATTTAAGACTCAGGAAAAAAAACTTTGCCTCTCCCCATAACCTTAATCCCCAAATGCCAGTAACCTCTGACAATAATTCCAACAACCACAGCTACCCTCAGAAATTTCCAAAATGCCCCAAAATGGGCAATGATGTTCTGGCTATAAACCGCAAGTTTAGGAATGCAAAGGAGTACCCTCAAACTTCTTATTTACATCAAAAGCATAGCAATGTTGCAGTCAGTACAGAGGAAACAGCTCAGTAACAAGGGGAAGGACACAATGTTCCCCAGGAGGAGTTGCAGGCACCTTCCTCCTCTGTCTTGCTTTCCGTGATAAGAAAATGGTTCATGGCAAGGTGAGGTGGCTCAGACCTCAAATCTCAGCATGTTGGTTCATCGAAGTGTGAGTATTCTTTAAGCTCTGGGGTTCAAGACCAGCCAGGACAACAGAGGGTGACCCCATCTTTACAAAAAAGTTAAAAATATATACCTAGGCATGGTGGCCTGTGCATGGTATATGAGGATGAGATGGAAGGATTGCTGGAGTCTGGGAATTCAAGGCTACAGTGAGCCACAATTTCTCTATTACATTCCAGGCTGAGCAACACAGTGAGACCCTGTCTCAAATAAGACAAAAAGAAAGAAAATATTTCACGGCCAGCTGGGGTGTGTGGTGAAGCTTCATTTCATAGGTCAAGCACTGCCATGGGACATTGATGCTCAGGATGGTTCTGTGGTAGGCATGTCTCTGGGATCCTTGGATCAGTGTCCTTCCCCTTGGCGAGGACAGCCCTCTCCAGGTGGGGACACAGGAGGAAGGGGCCAGGCTAGGTCGTCAGGCTACCAGGGACACCTGTCTGCTGTGGGATGGCAGATGAGATCAGGAGAAGGACAGCTGAAAGGAAGAGAGGGGGAGACGCACTCCTCAGGTGAGGGGCCGGTCTCCTAAAAAGGGAAGACATTGGCCCTAAGTCGTGTCATTGCTCTAGGCTCCCGTGGAAGCACATGATGGTGCAAGAAGGAAACCAAGGCTGGTGGGAGGGGAACAACAGCTTGCATCACGCCCCATCCTATGTGTTCAGTGGCCCCTGAGAGGAGCCCATGCCTTTCTGGGATCTAAAAGGTCATTTCCTGACACAACTCCATTCACCACCCACGAGGAGCAGGGATTTGAGATAAACAGGCCTCTGGGGAGAAAGGCCAGTAAGAGTTGTGAGGTCTTCTCATAAGATACACTGCCTTACCCTTATGATGAGTCTCACACTGCGTTCATCCTGTCCTGTGTTCCTGTGTGTTGAGGTCGCTCTTCTCAACCTCATGTCTGTCCTGGGAATATTTTTCTGGGTATATTGCAGAGAGTCTTGTTACCTGAGGGATTTAATAAGGTTTCTGAAAGTTCCCTAGGATGGGGAGTAAATTCCCAGATCCTAGGACACAGTTGTGGCCACACTAAATGAGCTTCACTGGGTGTGATTCCTGGAATCTGCACTTTTAACAGATCTTGGATTCTAACTTTCATGGAAACTTGTCTGAGAACTATTAGAGCAGGGGAATAGTCTCATTTCCCAGCTACACGGCTTCTGTCTCCTTTGTAAAAGTATAGAAGGGACAGGTTTGGTGCCTTCTCTGATGGACGAACTCAAGACCTTCAGGTGAGGAGACGGACACTCACATGCTGGCTGTTATTCTAATGACACTCTCAGGATGCCGTCTCCAAATGATACCCAGACCAGTCCTTTCAAGTCTCCATCTCTTAAAGATTTCTGAAGAAATCAAATGTCTTTTGCCTGTGCAGTTTCATGCTCTAACATTCTAAAGTTTTGCAGTAGCCTTTGGATCTTACTCTTGATTACACAAATATGCAGCTCAGTAGAGTTTTCACCATGCCTGTGGCCTTTGGCTCCACCACTCACTGCTGGGTGACACTGAGACAGTTCCTTATCATCTCTGTGCCTCCTTTCTCCATTAGTATCATGGAAATACTACTAGTAATGTCATCTATTTCTTGGGGCAGTTTAGAGCATTGAGTGTATTAAGACATGCACAGTTGTCAGGACATTGCCAGCCATATCATAAATTTCCAATCAATTCTAGCTGTTATTGTTGCCAAGATTGTTGCTGTGTCCACATTTCCCTGGGACATGTTCCAGAGAGACTATGTCATGAATACCTTTGACCCCTTGGATGATCTTTCTGTTATCACTTCAGCTCTTTTGGGACTCAAGAAATGAGTCTGTGTGGCTGGAAGGAGGGCACATTTTTTTTAGAATAATGAATAATCAATGCTCCTCATGGGGTTATTCTAAAGCCTAAATTTAAAGCTGGGGTTTTGTCTTCATGAGCTGGTATGGAGAATTTGAATGAAAACTTTCTAGGAAATTAGAGCTCTAATTACCTCTTCATATCATTTGTATAATTCTTGGGCAAGTAAGTAGTCACTGGATGAGGGTAGCACATAATTATATAGAATTTTAAAAATGTATGCATGTACTATTTCATAGTTAGTGCTTTTTGTATCCTGTCTATCTTTGTCTTACAAGATGCTGCAGATTCCCTTACATTTTCTTCTACAAGTGTTGTAACAGTAGCTTTTACATTGAGTTCTATGATGTATTTTGAGTTCATTTTTGTATATGGCGTGAGGCAAAGATTAAGGTTCATTTTTTTGCATATCAATGTCCAATTGTTCCAGCACCATTCCTGGAATAAAACATCCTTCCCCACTGAATTATCTTGGCACTTTATGGAAAAATCTATTTAACTTGCATATATAGATCTAGCTTCAGACTCTTATGCCTTTTCCTCTGCCAATATCACAGTGTCCTGATTAGCATAGTTGTCAAATGCATCTTGAAATCAGATAATGTGAATACTCCAATATTATTTGCCCTTTATAACATTGTTAGGCTATTCTAGTCCCTTTGCTTTCCCATATAAATTTTGAAGTCAGCTTGTCAATTTATAGAAACAAGAGTTTGCAAGTATTTTAATTGGGTTTACATGGAATGTACAGATTATTTGGGAGAAACTGACATATTGACAATCTTAAGTCTTGGGATCCTTTAACGTGGTATGTCTCTCCACTTATTTCAGCGTGCTTTCATATTCCTCCAAAATTTTTTTTAGGGAGTCTAAGTCTCTTTGTAGGCCTCTAAGGACTTCCTTTATGAATCTGGGTGCTCCTGTGTTGGGTGTATATATATTTAGGATAGTTAGCTCTTCTGGTTGAATTGATCTCTTTACCATTATGTAATGGCCTTCTTTGTCTCTGTTGATCTTTGTTGGTTTAAAGTCTGTTTTACCAGAGACTACGATTGCAACCCCTGCTTTTTTTTTTTTTTTGGTTTCCGTTTTCTTGGTAGATCTTCCTCCATCCCTTGAATACAGCACACCGATGGGTCTTCACTGTTATTCAATTTGCCAGTCTGTGTCTTTTAATTGGGGCATTTAGCCCACTCACATTTAAGGTTAATATTCTTATGTGTGAATTTGATGCTGTCAATGTGATGTTAGCTGGTTGTTTTGCCTGTTAATTGATGCAGTTTCTTCATAGCGTCGATGGTCTTTACAATTTGGTATATTTTTGTAGTGGCTGGTACCGGTTGTTCCTTCCCATGTTTAGTGCTTCCTTCAGGAGCTGTTGTAAGGCAGGCCTGGTGGTGACAAAATCTCTCAGCATTTGCTTGTCTGTAAAGGATTTTCTTTTCCCTACACTTATGAATCTTAGTTTCACTGGATATGAAATTCTGGGTTGAAAATTCTTTGCTTTAAGAATGTTGAATATTGGCCCCCACTCTCTTCTGGCTTGTATGGTTGCTGCCAAGAGATCTGCTGTTAGTCTGTTGGGCTTCTCTCTGTGGGTAACCCAACCTTTCTCTCTGGCTGCCCTTAACATTTTTTCCTTGATTTCAACCTTGGTGAATCTGACAATTATATGTCTTGGGGTTGCTCTTCTCGAGGAGTATCTTTGTGGTGTTCTCTGTATTTCCTGAATTTGAATGTTGGCCTGCCTTGCTAGGTTGGGGAAGTTCTCCTGGATAATATTCTGAAGAGTGTTTTCTAACTTGGTTCCATTCTCCCCATCACATTCAGTCACACCAATCAAACGTAGATTCGGTCTTTTCACATAGTCCCATATTTCTTGCAGGCTTTGTTCTTTTCACTCTTTTTTCTCTAATCTTGTCTTCTCTCTTTATTTCATTAATTTGATCTTCAGTCACTGATATCCTTTCTTCCACTTGATCAAATCTGCTATTGAAGCTTGTGCATGCATCATGAAGTTCTCGTGCTGTGGTTTTCAGATCCATCCGGTCATTTAAGGTCTTCTCAACAGTGTTTATTCTAGTTAGCCAGTCGTCTAATCTTTTTTCAAGGTTTTTAGCTTCCTTGTGATGGGTTAGAATATGCTCCATTAGTTTGGTGAAGTTTGTTATTACTGACCTTTTGAAGCCTTCTTCTGTCAACTCATCAAACTCATTCTCCGTCCAGTTTTGTTCCTTTGCTGGCGAGGAGCTGCGATCCTTTGGAGGAGAAGAGGGGCTCTGGTTTTTGAGTTTTCAGATTTTCTGCTCTGGTTTGTCCCCATCTATGTGGTTTTATCTATCTTTGGTCTTTGATGTTGGTGACCTACAGATGGGGTTTTGGTGTGGATGTGCTTTTTGTTGATGTTGATGCTATTCCTTTCTGTTTGTTAGTTTTCCTTCTAACAGTCGGGCCCCTCAGCTGCAGGTCTGTTGGAGTTTGCTGGAGTTCCACTCCAGAACCTGTTTGCCTAGGTATCACCAGCGGAGGCTGCAGAACAGCAAATATTGCTGCCTGATCCTTCCTCTGGAAGATTCGTCCCAGAGGGGCACCTGCTTGTATGAGCTGTCTGTCGGCCCCTACTGGGGGTTCCCAGTCAGGCTACATGATGGTCAGGGACCCACTTGAGGTGGCAGTCTGTCTGTTCTCAGAGCTCGAATGCCATGCTGGGAGAACCACTGCTCTCTTCAGAGCTGTCAGACAGGGATGTTTAGGTTTGTGGAAGCTGACTGCTGCCTTTTGTTCTGATATGCCCTGCCCACAGAGGTGGAATCTAGAGAGGCAGTAGGCCTTGCTAAGCTGCAGTGGGTCCGCCCAGTTCAAGCTTCCGAGCCTCCTTATTTACACTGTGAGCACAGAATCACCTACTCAAGCCTCAGCAATGGCGGACGCCCCTCCCTTCGCCAAGCTGCAGCATCACAGGTCGATCTCAGACTGCTGTGGGAGCAGTGAGCAAGGCTCCATGGGCATGGGACCCTCTGAGCCAGGCACAGGAGGGAATCTCCTGGTCTGCCGGTTGTGAAGACTGTGGGAAAAGCGCAGGTACAGACTGTCATGGCTTCCCTTGGCTAGCAAAGGGAAATCCCCTGACCCCTTGCACTTCCCGGGTGAGTCCACGCCCCGCCCTGCTTCAGCTCACCCTCCGTGGACTGCACCCACTGTCCAACCAGTCCCAATGAGATGAACCAGGTACCTCAGTTGGAAATGCAGGAATCACCCGTCTTCTGCATCGATCTCACTGGGAGCTGCAGATTGGAGCTGTTCCTATTTGGCCATCTTCCAAAAATGATACTATTTTTTATTAAAACAGTCTCAGTCACCCGGGCTGGAGTTGCAGTGGCATGAAAATGTCTACCTGCATCCTCAACCTCCTAGGCTCAAGGGAACCTCTCACCTCAGCCTCCAGAGTAGCTGGAGTATACACCTGCATTACATGCATACATTCATTTAGAGTAGCTGGGACTACACCTGCATACATACATGCATACATTCATGCATTCATTCATTTATTTTTGTAGACAGGGGGTTTCAGCAGGTTGCCCAAGCATGTCTCAGTCTCCCAAGCTCAAGACATCCTCGTGCTTCAGCATCCCTATGGCTAACATTCAACTAAACCTCTGTAGAGACTTTGAAGATACACTTCCAAGGGTACATATTAGTAACATTTTTTAAACACACCCTTCTTTTAGTGCTAGAAGGAAACCAAAAGACAGTCTGAGGTCAGAACACATTAAATCAAGTGGACCTATTTAAAAGGTGCTTAGAGTAGATAGCAAACATTTTGTAGAGTTTTACTCAAAATACGACCAGGACATAAAAAACCTAAGCAACAGAAGGAATTTGTGAAAAATGTATAATTTAATGTGTTGGCTTGAAACTATGGTCTTGATGTCCAATAAGCTCCTGCAAAAAGTCTGAAAATTATCTTTGGAGAAAACAGTTAATGTCACATTAGGAAATACATAAGTGAAATGAATAGGAAGGCCAGTATTGCATTTGTTTTTTCTCTATTGTGCTGAAGTGCAGCAATATTCCTTTGGGCTAGGTTACCCTTCTGTGTTTTTTTTTAACATAAAGTAAACATTTGCATCCAGTTTTCACCTATAGTCCTCATGAGGATATGAATAATGACACTTTAATCACCAGAATGTATTCCCGTTTATATAATTAATTAAATGGTCATATAAGTTTTAAGGTATCAGGATCTTTATTGACATTAAAACGTGAAAGAGTTATACATCATAACCAGTGTGGCAAAAAAAAAATGGAGGGGGAAAAGAAAACGGAGAGTAAGGCATCTGGAAAAGCTAAATATTTGCTTCTAAAAGTAACTGTTTTGAGGGATGACCAGCAAATTCCACAAGCTCATGCACAGTCTTTGTGATGTTCAGATATTCAGGTATTAAAGGGATACGTTAAATAATGTAGGTGTTCCTAGCATGTCAACCATTTCATCCACACTCTGAAAATATTAGTGTTCAAGAATGTATTCCCTTTCAATCATGCCTTATATTCAATATCTGTGTCTTGTTCATATTCCGTGTTGTGCTTTTTCCATTTTCCTCAAGATTGTTTAAGCTACTGGATGCTCTCTTCCTAGATATTTCACAAAAGAACGATCTGTTAAATTTATTACTTTTGGATTAGTTTTCCTTTTGTTAATGATTCGTACCTTTCATTTACTGCCTGTTTCCCTTTCCCTTAAGTTTCTTTTGTGACTCTTTTTTTATTTCTTAGTATTATTTTCTTGTATCATGTAATTTGCTGTCTATTTTAATAGGATATGCATATAATGCTATGACTGTCCTAAGAATACTATTCAGGCTTGTTCAATAGGCTCCTGGAAATCGCCTACAAGCTATCCTTTAATGTAAATAGTCAAAGGGAGTGGTTCAGCAGTGTGAAGTAAAAACATTTAGATATTCTCCCCTATACGTGCAGTGCTTCCTTTAAATTCAGAAGTTCTTCTAATTAAGTCAGCAATTTGGAAAACATGTATGAAAAATACTTATGTGGACTACTCAGGACTTAGTACATTATAGACTTTGAACTCTAAATCATATCATCTGATGACTCAAAGCAGAAGCCTGTAATATAACCTCTGATATGGTTAGCGGTTACCATATGTGTCTTCAATCTAATTACACACAGTAGCTCATGAAGACTGACAGGAGGACAGGGAGCATGCTTAGCACAGGCATCTTACAACCACCTTGAGCATGACTGACCTACATGCATTCTCCCTACTTCATGGGTCACAAAAACCTGACTGTCTCTATCGATTTTATTACTCAGTCATTCAAGGCTTCACTGCGGGAAGACATTAAAATGTAATCATTGGGTCTGGCGCAGGAGGAGGTTCACCCCTATAATCACTCCCAACATTTTGGGAGGCCGAGACGAGTGGGTCACTTGAGGTCAGGAGTTCGAGCCCAGCCTGGCCAACATGGTGAAACCTCGTCTCTACTAAAAATAAAAAAATTGGTTGGCATGGTGGCAGGCATCTGTAATCCCAAATGCATGGGAGGCTGAGGCTTGAGAATCGCTTGAACCCGGGAGGCAGAAGTCGCAGTGAACCGAGATCAGAACACTGCACTCCATCCTGGGTGACAGAGTGAGACCCCATCTGAAAAAAAAATGCAATCATTGTTTAAGAGCCTGAGAGAATTCAGGATTTGACAAAATCCAAGAACACTCATGAAGGTCTCCATACAGGAAAACAAGCATCAAGCAGAGTGCCTTCTCATTTTCTTAGGAGCAATGAAGTCTCAACTCAGATATTTTAATTGGACTAAAGCTGATTGTTATGATAAACAAATCATGAAAATCAGAATATCTGTATATTCTCTGCAACAAGACGAAAGCATGGAGAAACCAGCACTGAAATGGATTTTAATGTATCTTATGTGCATTCACTATTTTCAATAAAAGCAAAAATGGGTGTAGGATTGATGTGATTTGTCCAGAATCTCACAAATTATGTTGGAGCTGGTACTAGAATCTCCTTCAGGGATCAGCATATATCATACAAAGTGGTATTACAAATGCATTATTTATTTGTGAGAAACAGAAATTGCAAAATAATCTGAAAATTGTTAGCTGTTGGTTATACTTAGAAGTAACAAAATGCTTTGCTATTCAATGGTTCAATATGGCTTTGACCCAATTTGTGTCTGTATCTGATAGTGTTTCAGTTTTGCAGTCAGGCTTCTAGGGTCTGATCTACCTTTCGAAGAAAGTCTGCATTTGAACTCAGTTTTTGGAGGGGCAGTAATATTCTCTCTTTTTATTGTCAAAAGTGTAATATTGTGGAATACAGAAAGCACGTAATTTTGAATCTTAATGGATAACATACCTCCTTCTGGCATTTTAAATTGCTCTGATTTTGGCAGAATCTTCCCCTGGATATCAGGATCATCTCCGCATTCATCCCCAGTCTTTGACTGAGACAGCTCCTGGAGATCAGCTTCCAGGTCAGGCACTAAAAAATACCAAGGAAATCAACTGGAGCAGCCAAAGCAGAATGATAAATAAGGAAATGATCCTGTTCTTTTCCTCAGTGTGATGCAATAAAAGCCTAGAGGCTACTGTGGTAATAAATGTGATGCAAAGATGTCCCCGTTTGTTTTCCTGTATTATGATATCTTATCTTAAATGACAATCTGAGGATAAGTCACAGCACACCTGCATTTCCCATACTTTACCATTGTGTATTATAAACACACAGCTACCTAGGAAACCTGAAGATGGCCTCGTGGATAGCATTTTAATCATAACTTAAATGTAATTTTCTGAAGGATTAGATCAATGTATTGGTGAGCTTATGACAAATCCTATAGTCCTGATACTCATCTCCTGTTGAGGTATCTTGAAAATGTTGGGGTTAAACTTAATCAAAGTTATTCTTAGGTCAAAAGGCGCTATATGTGACTTTCCATACATGAATGTCATTAAGAAAAAAGTACGGAATATAAAAGCAAAATCACTGTCTTCCAGTGAGAGTATGGGAACTGAAGTGCAAATAAATTAATGGGCATTGTTGACAGTCATATTCTGGAAACCCCTTAACAGGGAATTGCCAAAATAACCCATGGCCCAAATTCTGTCTCTGATTAGTTTGAAAATGCTATCTGTTGAGGAAACAGTTTCTGTTTCATGATAATCTTATCATACTTAGAATTTTCTAATTATAAAAATATTGCAACAACTTTTAAAAGCCCCTTCAAAATCCTACAAATACAGTTACCTGTATGCCATTGTCCTGAATTATCCAGCTTTTATCAAACATACGGTCAAAAATATAAATCAAAGGAAACAGTGGCTGTCATTTATTGGCCTCCTTTCTGGAGTTGCTATCTTGCTTCACTGAACTGCGTTTTGCCCTGAGCCGATACCAAATTACCTTATAGTACAGACACATTTGAATATTAAGCATTTTTAAGCAAAATCATTCACATTTTCTAAAATAGAATGCAAACCTTGGAACAAAATATGAATTCCTTCTCCATGAGCCAAGTGTTCTTGGTAAGTCTCAACCTCTGATTCTCAGTTTTCTTATTTATTTATTTATTTTTATTTTTATTTTTGGAGACAGAGTCTCGCTGTGTCACCGAGGTTGGAGTGCAGTGGTGCGATCTTGGCTCACTGCAACCAATGCCACCCGGGCTCAAGTGACTCTCCTGCCTCAGCCTGCTTAGCATCTGGGATTACGAGTGTGTGCCACCATGCCCAGCTAATTTTTGTATTTTTAGTAGAGATGGGGTTTCACCATATTGGCCAGGCTGGTCTTGAACTCCTGACCTCAAGTGATCTGCCCGCTTCGGCCTCCCAAAGTGCAGGGATTACAGGCATGAGCCACCACACCGGGCCTCAGTTTTATTTATAAAATGAGGTTAACATCCCTTTGCAAATGGGCTTTATTCAGGGTATTATAAGGTAGGGCGACTTGGCACTCCACATGCTATTAAAGGGTGCTTAAAACACTGTGAATACCATGGCTGAGAAGATCTCACTGCAACATCCTAAGAATATCAAGTTAAACTAGTGAAATAATGTACATTTTTATACAACCAATTAAATGATTTCATCTGATTTAGGAAGGACTGTACTTTCAAGCCTACAAAATGCATCTCGAAGAAAAAGAGAAGATTAATCATATCCAGGGACTGCAGGAAGCTGCAAACTATACCCGTCACGTTTCCAGCCAACCCTCAGCAAATGTTTGAGATCCTTTCCTAGTGTTTTCTTTCCTCCTCTTACTGGTCATGGCATAAGGCATGATGCACACATAGGCCTCCTCCCCCCGTAGACATTCTTTCTTTCTCTTCCCACCACTTTGAATCTCAGCTGCACCCTGATCTTCTTCTGTCTTCTGACCAGATGTACTATCCTGACTTTCAGCTGGTGGTTCTTCTTGTTGAGGCTCTGGCACACTAGGCTCCTGGGAAAAGGGGGTTTTCTGTGTGCATGTGCAGATAAAAAATTTTTCTTATCAATGCATGTCAATAACACGAATATACAGATTACATAGATACTTCTGATCATATGCATGTTTAAAGACATGCTGCAACACTAGCTATGTGCTAGTGTAATGAGCTATGAATAAGCATGAGGAGGAAATCACTAGTCAAATCTGGGGAACACAAATTCCCACATCCAGGCAAAACCAGTATGTAGTCCTCTTGGGTTACTGTTTCCTTCATGAGATGCCGCAATGGTTTTTTGTCAACATGGGAGACCTTTATCAGTGCATCTATGCTAGTTCAACAACACTATCACACACAAAAAAATTCTGCTAATAGAAAACATTGAATGTTAAGTCACTCACAAGCATAGGCCCAATCAGCTGAGCAAGTCGTAAACATCATCTTGGTTCTATATCATCTTCCTCGCCAACTCATATTTCAGTCTGCAAACAGAATAGTGTGCACTTTGGGAGGCCAAGGTGGGTGGACCACCTGAGGTCAGGAGTTCGAGGCCAGCTTGGCCAAAATAGTGAAACCCCATCTCTACCAAAAATACAAAAACTTAGCTGGGCGTGGTAGCAGGTACCTGTAATCCCAGCTAGTTGGGAGGCTGAGGCAGGAGAATCGATAGAACCCAGGGGCAAAGGTTGCAGCCAGCCGAGATCATGTCATTGCACTCCAGCCTGGGCAACAAGAGCAAAACTCCCTCTCAAAAAAACCAAACCAAATCAAAACAAAACAAAGCAAAAATTAGAAAACTGTGATTGGAAAAATGCACGTGAGAGGATACTACGTCCATGGCCAAATGTTAACTTGCAATTTATAAAAGTTTGGTAAGACATTGAAAAGTAAGTCAGAGAGCATGTATAAGTGTGTATGCCTTCTGAATCGAATACTTGCACAGCCACTTACGTTCGTCAAGTAATGCCTTAGGGCTTTACTGAGCTGAGCAATGCCTTAGGGCTTAGGGCAAGAGACACACAGTATTTCCAATGAGGTTTGGTTTCACAACTGGACTCTCCATGGTGAGACACTTAGGAAAATACAGCTTGAGAATTCAAATTAAAGTGTCCACAGCTTTTGTCACGCACCCATTTGCTAGGCCCATTTCCCCCACAAAATCGAGTTTTGTTGGAATGCAGAGCCCCGTCCGCGCATTCGAACGTCCAAGATGAAGTTGAAAACTTGCCACACAGCACTGGGCGGTCCTCACAGGTCGGGCGCCACTGGGAGTCACTACACAAACCTTGGGGTGGCGGGAACCAGTCTGGAGTGTTCCCACTTTGCAGGCCCTTTCCTTACCGCCCACACCTCCCAGCCCTGATCCTCCTTGAGGAGTTCAGAATCTGTCCTCTGTTGGGGGTTCCAGGGGTTTCTGGGACTCGAATACCGCCAGCAGCACCCCAGCATCGCCCCACTCCGAGGCCCTCCTTCTTCTTTCGTTCGCACTCCGGCAAGACAAGAAGGCCCATAGTGGCAGGGCCACATGAGAAGGACGACAACATCAAAGCCCTTCTCCCTCAGAGTCACCGACCAAGCTGCCCGGCCCTCTGGAACCCCAGTGTCTCCTCCTCACTCTCACTCACACTTCAATTCCCAGTAGGAGGGGCCTGCGGACTTACCGGCTGCGTCTCAGTAGGGGAGAAAGAATGCAGATCTCAGGGACCGAGCTGCAGGCTCACAGCTCTAAGGCACTCACCACGTGGGCAAAAAGGCAGATGGGAAGACGCCCAGTGAACCTGTGCACTGAGGCGGGCACCCAAGGAGCGTGCGCAGTGAGTTCCCCTCTTGCCTTAAAGGGCTGCACTGCACCTCCTTGTTCCTGCACTCACTGTCCTCTGCTTCTTCCAAGGTCCCCACTAAGGATGTTGGAACCCATCCTCTGTGGTTTCTTATGCTTCGGAGACTGAAATACCGCAAATAATGTCACGCTTCAATTCATTCCTTGATCATCTGACCCTCCTCGCCTCTACGGCCTTAACTCCTCCCCTCTCCAGGACCCCACAACATCAAGGCCATGGTGATGCCACTGTCTTTTAGTAGAAGGATGACGACCTCTATGAGGCCATAGACCGAGTGGTCCAACCCACAGGAAGCCCTTCCGCTCTCCCTCACACTCACTGACACTTCAACTTCTGGGAGGACTGATCTGGGACCTACGTGTTGTGTCATAGTAGGCAAGAAAGAAGTCACAACGTTTCCTTCCACAGCTCTGCAGGGACAGAAAGCAGACAGCAAGGCACATGGGCAGCAGGAACTTGCTTAGCAAGGGGCATGCCCATTGAGTCTGCTACTTGCAGGGCCGACCGTGGTTTTCCTGCTGTTCTCATACCCGCACCCACAAGTTGTTTGTAGTGGAAAGAAAGGGACTTAAGGGAGCTTTTCTTTTTCTTTGCCCAAACAATCTCATGCATTGAGAAACATTGGGAACACACAGTCCTATGTCACCCTTAATGGAGGACGTGTTTCAGAAAAGCCTGTTGTGAAATAAACTATTTTTATATCCTTATTTATAAATGTTTTTTTTTTTTTTTTTTTTTTTTTTTTTTTTTTTTAGACAGGGTGTCACTTTCTCACCCAGGCTGGATGGCAGTGGCATGATCATAACTCACTGAAGTCTGGATCTCCTGGGCTCAAATAATCCTCATGCTGCAGCCTCTCAAGTGGGTGGTACTACAGGTGCGAACACCACACGTGGGCAGTAAATTCATTTTTTAGAGCATGGTCTCACTCCGTTTCCATGTTGGTCTCGAATTCCTGGGCTCAAGCGATCCTCCTACCTTGACCAATTTTTATACGTGCTTTGATAATTCACTTTTTTCCTCTGGTTCTCAGTTTTCTGCCATGCTTCTAATGAATGTAATGGAATAAACTCTTCTGCAGACTAAATATATTCACACGTGCTAAATTTATGGGGAGGTGTGTTATTGAACATTTACATCTCTGGACTGGTGACTGATTTGCCTGAATATACTTGTAGGTCATTCAGACCGTATATGTATATTCAGAAATATACATAGATATTGATGACAGGATCTAGGCACAGTCTACTGTGACATGATGTCATGCAGTGGTGACTAACCAGATCATATACCGTACTCTCCAAATATCAGCCACATGGCCTGTTCGTAAGACAGGGCTGATATTATTTGCATAACGCTGTAAAAGAGAGCACTACTTCAACAAAGCACTAGTATGTCAGACGAGGGGATTTAAGTATCTTTATTCTCATTTTGAAATCTGGTGTAAAGTGGGTCTTTTAAAGTGGGGGACTGTTTGTTTGGAGTTAGATAGGAATCATAATGATTTAGGACTGGTGGAGCCAAGAAGACAAACACTTTTAGGCAATGATTCAATGTGTTTTGGGGTTGAAAAATGTCATTTGAATCTTTTGACTGAAGACTTGATGGATCTTTCAGACAGTTGCTGAAATTAACAGTAAAGTTCTTTGCAACTTTTATTTTCCTAAGCAAGAGATTCCTGTATTAGTAAAGTTATCTTAATGAAGCCAGTGGTGTATAAACTTTCCTTAAAGTAGACAGTAAGCTGTGTGCATGATTCCTGTTTTTATTACTTTTGTATTACTTAGCAGTTTAATGTGGGAAATAGTATATGAAACAGAAGGATAGGAAGGGGGGCCTGATGAGAATGCAGGCTTTTATAAATAAATTGAGATATATTGCTGAAATGACTCCTATATATTCCATTCACCTGGGCTTCTCTTAGGGAAATACCTTGAGTTGGAAATAAAAGTTTGCTCAGTCTCTCTGTCTCTCTCTCAAAAGCAATGTGAGTAGGAATTACGGCGTTTCAAAGATTTTTTTAAAAGGTGAGAGCAGTTGTAATCATGATGACTTAATTAATTTAACTTTTATCTTTTTATTCTTTCTTGGCAAGGGCACTATCATTATTAAATTTTACTTTATTTTGTTTCTTATTAACCCCAGTTTTTAATATAGTGCACTCAGACGTGCTCAAAGAATAGGAAATAGTGATTTCTGGACTCAGACTTTCTGTGGGCAACTATTTAGCAAATGGTCATGCCATCAGATGGCTGGATGGTACTCTTTCACACTGTATTAGTTACGGATCTGCAGAAGGACAGAACTGATGCATAGATGTATATGTGAAGCAGGGCTTATCAAGGAATATTGATTTACACAATCACAAGGCGAAGTCCCAAAATAGGCTGTCTGCAAGCTGAGGAGCAAGAAAGGCAGTCTGAGTTCCAAAACCTCAAACGTATTGAAGCCAGCATTGCAGCCTTTAGTCTGTGGCTGAAAGCCTGAGAGCCCCTGGCAGATCACCAGTGTAAGTTCAAGAGTCCAAAAGCAGAGGAACCTGGAGTCTGATGTTTGAGGACAGGAGGCATGCAGCACGGGAGAAAGTTGGAGGCTGGAAGACTCAGCAAGTCTGGTTTTCCATGTTCTTCTGCCTGGTTTATTCTAGTGGCACTGGCAAATGATTAGACGGTGCCCACCCAGATTGAGGGTGGGTCTACCTCTCCCAGTCCACTGACTCAAATGTTAATCTCCTTTGGCAACAACGTCTCAGACACACCCAGGAACAATACTTTGCACCCTTTGATCCAACCAAGTTGACACTTAATATTAAACATCACCTGCAGACCTGGACTTTAATGATTCCTGAGTGGCCTCACTCCAGCTTCAAAGGGCAGGCTTGAATTTCTTGCCAAATTTGAACTTCCCGCTGCCCTTCCTGTGGACTATAACTCCGGACCTCCTGGATAACTTCAAAGGATCATAATTGCATTGGTATTGGGAAAGTTGTGAAGGAGCCCTTGTGACAAACAGGAAGCAGCAGACAGTATGAAAGACACTGCAGAGACAAGAAGAGTTGCCTGATACATGACCCTAGCAACTCTCTAGCTGCTAAGGGAGGAAACAGAGCTGGGACCAACACAGCCAGTCTACCTGTGAGAGGGCTCAATTTCCCACATGACCAGAGCTTCCCATCCTCCACGCATGGGAATCTATGACCAAACATAGATTTCCACAGGATGGTGGGTGGGTGGGACAAAGTCTACAGATTCTGAGCAGCTGGCAAGTTTCAGGGTACCAGAGTAAACACTGTCATGTGAGCTCAGATTGCTTTGTGGTTGAGGCCAAATTATTTACTACCTACCATGTTCCGTGCCATTCTCCCACTTGCCTCATAAAATGGGACCACCGTAGGGGAATGGAGGTCCCTGTGCACTCACAGGGAGGTCTCCATGAATGCAGGAAATGCATAACATTCACGTATGCTGCAGCCCAAGCAAAGCCTCCACGTGATACCAAGAGGACAAGAGGTCATATGTACTTTCTGTCCCTTTTTGCCTGTGAGTTCCCATCTGTCCAAGTAAGACTTCACCTTTGCAAAAGAGAAACAGATATCTGCAGATGAAACACACATTTCATCAGTAATTGTCTATTTTGTAGTGGCTTTTGTGGCCCATATCAAAGACGACATTTTTGTCTAAAAACACTGAATTGCTAAGGAGGCGGACAAAATTGGGTTCTAATGTGTTTTTGGATATATACTATAGCAACATTTATCAACCATTCAAGATGTTCTCTGAAAAGGCTTTAATCATTTCTAAACTGGTTTTTAATCCATGGTCGATCATAAGATTAATGTTGTCAGCCAAAAACAGCATTTTAAAGAACGGAGATAAAATAAATTACTAAGTAGCATTCACTGCACACAGAATATACAAATATACAATATTCACTGCACATCCCCAAGCACATATATATATTTATTTGCCTAGTCGACTATATATAAACTGTGCGTTTCTCACACATTGTCATAAAAGAGTTTGAACGTCACTACTTTAGCGGTTATCAGACAAAATGTTTACAGGCCATTTCTATAGCCATCTGTGAAGATGATGGATTAAGACGTGCTCAGAATAAGTTCACTGTTGTCTGTAGCTTTCTACATAATGCTTGAAATAGCACTCAGTGATGTTTAAATTGTCAGTTTAACTGCAGGGTGTGTTCATGTGGGTGTTCCTGCATTCATCTGATGATGCTTTGATATGTCTCCTTTTATTTCCCCCTTTATTTTTGACTGGGTTTTATGGTTACTATTATGTAATTCATTAGCATCTAGTGACAGTGACATCTGTGGTAATCAGTGTTGATCCAGTTTACATGAATTTTAAAAATGTTTTCAAGTGTGAATACTTTTTCTTACCAACTTTCCTTAAGCACTTCAAGGAGTTGAATGCAATTCAATACTAGTAGTTGATGTTATATCATACTGAGCTATAATCCTGCTAAATTGCTAATCATACTAACTGTTGTTATGCCTCAGCTTTCATGTCACCATAATGCTTAGATAAATGACACAAAGACCAAAACATAGAAATAAGGATTCTGAGATATTGACTTTTTTTTAATTTCCAAATTTTACTTTAAGTTCAGGGGTACATGTGAAGGATGTGCAGGTTTCTTACACAAGTAAATGTGTGCCACGGTGATTTACCGCACACATCATCACATCACCCAGATATTAAGCCCAGTATCCGTGAGCTGTTCTTCCTGATCCTCTCCCTCCTCCCACCCCCGCACTCCAGTACGCCCCAGTGAGTGATGGTTCTCCCATGTGTCCATGTGTTTTCATCATTTACCTCCCACTTATAAGTGAGAACATCCGGTATTTGGTTTTCTGTTCCTGCATTAGTTTGCTAAGGATAATGGCCGCCACCACCATCCACCTCCCTGCCAAGGACATGAGCTCATTCATTTCATGGCTGCATAGTATTTCATGGCTGCATAGTATTCCATGGTGCATGTGTACCACATTTTCTTGATTCGGTTTATCATTGATGAGATGGACATAGCAAATATCACAAAGACACTTGGTCCTTGCTGTGGGAAATATCGCACTGTGGTGGGGCAGACAGACAAACAGAACAGCAGTTGAAGTGCAAAGGAGAAACACAGGAAAGGAAACCAGAGGAATAAAAAACAATTAATGTAGTGGCCACGAGGCAGGAGAAAATAACACAATTTTTAAAAGATAATCTTTGTCCATTGCCTTTGCCTCTTTTCTGAAAGTCAACTTATTAGGTTTGTGAGTCTATTGCTAGACTCTATTTTGATCTGTAGATTTTCCCCCAATATCACACTGTCCTGAATACTGGAGAAGTAACATAATTGCCATATGGGGCTGGATGATTAAAAATCATAATCAATAGCTTCATTCAATGCTCCTAACTCAAGGCAGCACCCTCACCTCAGCTGAGGATCCCATGCCTCCCACCTTTTCAGGAGTTCTGCTCCTGCACTGATCATTCCTCTCCCCTGAACCATCAACGGCTCCCTCTATATTGGATCAACCCCCAAGCCAAGGGGGAAGTCAACTTCTTCCAACTCACTGATAACATAATCAATCAATAAATAAAATAGAATTAATGTGAATCTTGACATTGTGTGGGGTGAATTCCCCCAAGTTACACTTCAGAATTGTTCTAGATATTCTGGTTCATTTTCCTTTGTAGAAAATTTTGAAAATGGACTCCAATGAAGTGTGTTGCATAAGTTCATGCAGTTTTCCTTTGCAGGGCAGCAGACACATGTGTTCGTAGCTACAGAAGGACATGGGGGAAGAAGGTGAGTTTTCCCGTAGCTGGAGAATGATCCAATGTAGAGGGAGCAGTCGATGGTTCAGGAGAGAGGAGTGATCACTACAGGAGCAAAGCCCATGACAAGGTGGGACGCATGGTATACTGACCTGAGGTGAGGGGGCTGGCTTCAATTAGGAGTATTGTATGCAGAAGGGCAGCAGAGAATGTCCATGAATCACTGAAGGTGAGGGTGGCCTTGGGGGTCCCTGACACAGTGTCAACAACCGTGTGATTCACCAGCAGGACCCTGACTCACTACAATATGGTGAAAGCTTTCTTTGAGTAAAGGAAGAGTGAAGGGGTAGAGATGATGAAGCTGTCACTCCTGGGAGACTATGCATTTCCCCATAGTATGAAGCAACAGCCGAGCTGTTGTCTGTTATGAAAAATACATGTACTCCCAGCATTTAACAATAATCCCTCCAACTGCAAGAGAACTGGCTCACTGGATCCCTCAAACGCTGTTCTGCACAGGATAATGTATGGAGGAAAAGTGCAGCCTGGTGCTGACTTTAATTTTTGTTTTCTCCTGCAGGCAGGTAGAGACAGGACACAATTGTTGCCAATGAACTTTCAGTAGGTCAAAAATCCTGAACGTTTGAATTGCTGTTTCCTCCAAGTGGGAGGGAAAAAATTCAGTTTCCTGGGCTGGAGCAAAGCCTTACATAAACCTTAAAACTTAGATAAAGGAAAAATAAGTGAGAAAAAGGCCACGGGCAGTGGCTCACGCCTGTAATCCCAGTATTTTGAGAGGCTGAGGGAGGAGAATCACTTGAAGCCAGGAGTTCAAGACCAGCTTGGGCAACATAGTGAGACCCCTGCTCTACACAATTTTTAAAATTACCTGGGCATTGTGGCACATGTCTGTAGTCCCATCTACTCAGAAACGTAAGGCAGGAGGATCGCTTGAGCACAGAAGTCCTACGCTGTGGTGCACTATAAGTCGTCCAGTGTACTCCAGCCTGGGCAAAAGAGAGAAACCCTGCCTCAAAAAAGGGGTTGCAGGTTTGTGAAGACACATTCCAGCCTCGTCTTCAGCCGGGTTGCCACTGCTGCAGCCCCCTCTCAACATTTCAGGCAGGATCTCTCTTGGCCATGGTACTTGCAAGTGTGTGAATATTGAATTTAGTGCTAGGGGTTTAATGGAAATTACAATGATATAAAGAAAACCGCCACAGTTGTAAAATGCCTTTGCATTTTGTGGCTATTAAATCTGGATGTGTGATATCGATGGACAGGGTGCAGCAGTTTGACTAACTAATGCCACTGTCACAAGCAAGGAACTCATCTTTTCTACACTTCTCACCGGATAAGTGATAGAGACAAAAGGATTGGAGGTTATGCAAACTGAGTTTTACAATTATTACAAATTCAGGATTTCATCCTGACCATTTCTTAAATATGATGAATTTTTTCACGAAATTTATATTACAATGTGTTTTTCTGAATATGTTTAGTCCCTTCTGCCTACCACCCTTCCAGAAAAAAAAAAAAAAAGTTTTGAGGAAGAAACGGGATGATGAAAGAGATAAAAGCGTTTCATCACATAATACTCCATGCTGATTTGTTAACAATTGGAGAAAGCAGAAAACCTGGCACATGAGGAGAAGCAAGGGAGGGAAGGAAGACATAAGTAGTCTCTGTTTTTCAAAACTGTTCCTGGAAACTCTCCAGTTTTCCTCAAGACATACTTCCCATGCAGGCTTTCCTAGCTGCTGTGAGTCAACGCTGAAATCACACTGACTGATGAGCCATGATCACCTTACAGGTTTTCATGGAAATCAGTTACCAGTTGACAGGTTCAAAGGTGGAGTAACACAATATTAAAAAAGCACACAAGTGTGAACTGATTGAGTCTACAGCATGTATAAAAAGCCTTTATAAAAATTGGCCAAGATGGGAGGATCACTTGAGGCTGTGTGTTTGAAGGCAGCCTGAGCAACACACTGACACACCTCATCTAAAAAAAAAATTAAATACATTAGGTGGGCATGGTGGCGGCCATCTGCACTCCCAGCTACTTGGGAGGTTTCAGTGTGAGGAGGCTTGCTTGAGCCCAGAAGATGGATGCTGCAGTGAGGCGTGATCATGCCACTGCCCTCCACCCTTCACAACAGAAAAACACCCTGAGAAAAAGGCATGTGTAAATATAGACATAAAATTCTTTATTTCTGTCACAAAAAGTCTTTCTGAGACACACTCCGCACTAAGGGTGACGTGGGACTCTCTGTTCCCAACGTTTCCGGATGCAGGAGAATGGTTGGACAAGACACACACACAGACAGACACACACACACAAACACAGACACACACAGACACACATACACACACACACACACAAGCACACACACAAAAGCTCTCGCGTCCCTTTGTTTCCACTACAAACACCCTGGAATTCGGGTGTGGGGATACCAGGAAAACCCTGGTCGGCCCTGCCTGTGCCTGACTCAGTGTGTCTGCTATAAAGACACATGCACACGTATGTTTATTGCAGCACTATTCACAATAGCAAAGACTTGGAACCAACCCAAATGCCCATCAATGATAGACTGGATAAAGAAAATGTGGCTCATATACACCATGGAATACTATGCAGCCATGAAAAAGGATGAGTTCATGTCCTTTGCAGGGACATGGATGAAATTGGAAACCATCATTCTCAGCAAACTGACACAGGAACAGAAAACCAAACACTCCATGTTCTCACTCATAAGTGGTAGTTGAACAATGAGAACACGTGGACACAGGGAGGGGAACATCACACACTGGGGCCTGTTGGGCGATGGGGGTCTATGGGAGGGATAGCATTAGGAGAAATACCTAATGTAGATGACGGCTTGATGGGTGCAGCAAACCATCATGGCACGTGTATACCTGTGTAACAAACCTACACGTTCAGCACACATATCCCAGAACTTAAAGTATAATAGTAATTTTAAAAGAAAGAAAATGGTTCACGGCAAGGTAAGGTGGCTCAGACGTCAAATCTCAGCATGTTGAGTCATCGAGGCATGAGGATTCCTTCAGCCCCAGAGTTCACGACCATCCTGGGCAACATAGGGAGACCCCGTTTTACAAAAAATTTTAAAAGCATATACCCAGGCATGGTGGAGCATGCATGTAATTCCAGCTACTTGTGAGGCTGAGATGGAAGGATTGCTTGAGTCTGGGAGGTCAAGGCTACTGTGAGCCATGATTTCTCCACGGCACTACAGGCTGAGCAACGCAGTGAGGGCCTGTCTCAAATGAGACAAAAAGAAAAGAAAGTGTTTCAGGGCCAGCTGCGATGGGTGGTGAAGCTTCATTTCAAAGGTCAGCCACTGCCATGGGACACTGATGCTAAGGATGGTTCTGTAGTAGTCATGGCTCTGGGACCCTGGGACTGATGTCCTTCCACTCGGGGAGGGCAGCCCTCTCCAGGCTGGGACATAGGAGGAAGGGGCCAGGCTAGATCATCAGGCTACGAGGGACAGCTGTCTGCTGTGGAATGGCAGATGAGATCAGGAGAAGGACAGCTGAAAGGAGGAGAGGGGAGACGCACTGCTCAGGCGAGGGGCCGGTCTCCTAAAAAGGGAAGACATTGGCCCTAAGTCGTGTCATTGCTCTAGGCTCCCGTGGAAGCACATGATGGTGCAAGAAGGAAACCAAGGCTGGTGGGAGGGGAACAATAGCTTGCATCATGCCCCATCCTATGTGTTCAGTGGCCCCTGAAAGGAGCCCATGCCTTTTGGGGATCGAAAAGGTCATTTCCTGACACAACTCCATTCACCACCCATGAGGAGCAGGGATTTGAGATAAACTGAGGCCTCTGGGGAGAAAGGCCAGTAAGAGTTGTGAGGTCTTCTCATAAGACGCACTGCCTTACCCTTATGGTGATTTTCACACTGTGTTCATCATGTCCTGTGTTTCTGTGTGCTCTGAGGTCGCTCTTCTCAACTTCATGTCTGTCCTGGGAAGAGTGGATATATTTCAGACAGTCTTGCTACCTAAGGGATTTAATAAAGTTTCTGGAAGTTCCCTAGGCTGGGCAGTGAATTCCCAGATCCTAGGACACCATTGTGGCCACACTACATAAGCTTCACTGGGTGTGATTCCTGGAATCTGCACTTTTAACAGATCTTGGGCTCTAACTTTCACAGAAGCTTGTCTGAGAACTACTAGAGCAGGGGAATAGTCTGCTTTCCCAGCTCCAAAGCTTCTTTCTCCTTTGTGAAGGTATAGAAGGGACAGGTTTGTAGTATATAAAATTTTAAAAATGTATGTTTGTTCTATTTCATAGTTTGTGCTTTTTGCATCCTGTCTATCTTTATCTTACACGATGCTGCAGATTCCCTTACATTTTCTTCTACAAGTGTTGTAACATTAGCTTTCACATTTAGTTCTATGAAGCATTTTGAGTTAACTTTTGTGTATGGTGTGAGGCAAAGTTTGAGGTTCATTTGTTTGCATGTCAATGTCCGACTGTTCCAGCACCACTCCTGGAATAAAACATCCTTCCCCACTGAATTCTCTTGGCACTTTATGGAAAAATCCATTTAACTTGAATATATAGATCTAGCTTCGGACTCTTATGCCTTTTCTTCTGCCAATATCACAGTGTCCTGATTAGCATAGTTGTCAAATGCATCTCGATATCAGGTAATGTGAGTCCTCCAATATTCTTGGTCCTTTATAAAATTGTTAGGCTATTCTAGTCCCTTTGCTTTCCCATATAAATTTTGAAGTCAGCTTGTCATTTTATAGCAACAAGAGGCTGCAGGGATTTTTATTGGTTTACACTAGACATATAGATTATTTGGGAGTAACTGACATATTGACAATCTTGAGTCTTGCAATCCATTAATGTGGTATGTCTCTCTATTTATTTCAACGTGGTTTCATATTTTTCTGAAATGTTTTTTAGGCTTCTGAGCACAGGTCTTGCACATATTTTGTTAAATTTTACCACTACAGATTTCACGGGGGGGTTTGCTGCTATATTAAGGGATATCGACTTTCAATTTTCAATTGTTTGTTGCTGGCATATAAAAATAGCATTGACTTTTCCATGTTCATCTTGTACCATGTTACTTTGCTAAACTCACATGGAGGAAATTCCATTTGGCTAGGATGTAAATTTTTTATGTTGCTAGTTTCTAACTCCGGTTAATTGTTTTTTACAGAGTTTGTGTCTATGTTCATGAGTTACATTGGTCTGTCATGTTATTTTCTCATAATGTTGTCTGGTTTTGATATCAGGCTTGTGCTTGCTCTGTAAAATGCTTTGGAAAGTGTGGCCTCTCCTCAATTATCTTGAGTGGAGAACTGGTGTTATTTCTCCCAGAAACGTTTGGCAGAATTATCCAGTGAAGTCACCAGAAACATGAGGTTTAATTGAGAAATATCTTTGTTGAGTTTCTTTGTTGCTTTTACTGAATCCAATTCCTTTAATTGATATACGGCTATATATGTCGTTTATTTGTTTTTTAACGTTTCATTTATGTCCATTTTTATGGGTATTTAGTAGGCACACATACTTGACATGTTTTGATGCAGCTTGCAATTTGAAATGAGGACATGATGGAGATTGAGGTATTCCTCCTCTCAAGCATTTATCCACTGAGTTGCAAATAATCCAATTATACTGTTCATGTTATTTTAAAATGCACAGTTACACTCTTTTTTTGTTTGTCTTTTTTAGCACTTGTCCACTGTTTATTCATTGGAAGGAAGGCCCGGTCCTAGGTAGACTCGACCTCCCCCGAGGAACCTTGGAGCCAAAGGCAGGAGGCTTCCAGAATGCTTAGACTCTGATCCTCCTTACTATCACCCTGAGACCTGTCTCACCAAAGCCTTCTTCTGTCCATGGTTTTCTCACTGGATCTACAAGGGAATCCCCCCACAAGTCTGGGGTCCAGTGTGGTCACTCCTGATGGTTTTCAAGAAGGGGAAGGCCAGGAACCTAGGGAAATACCTCATTTGGCCCGACCACAACTGGCCAGAGCAGGACAAACATGCCATGCCATGTCAGGCGCCCAGTTACCCAGCTGGAGGGAAAGTCAGTCCTGAGAGGGTGGAAGGGGCCAGTCACAAATCCCGGATAGATAGTGACCTGGGCTCCACAGGTGAGCTGGGCTCTGATGGCTTTCCCTGCCTTTGGAAACAAGGAGGAGAAGTTTTTTGCAGAAAAAGCCTCTTTTCCTTCCAGAACTGCTGTTTTATGACAGCTGTTTCGGCAGTGAGTCTTGTGTCTGTTATGAGGGTGGGTCCCCCTCTTGGCCCTGCTCTACAGAAAATGATGGAGCAGGGCAAGCTGTCCTCAGTGAATGTACACCAGAATGGCCTGGACGTGAGCCACGCCTTCAGAAACCATGCGTGCTCCAAGAGCGCTACAGCATCAAATAAGGCCTATGGAGGGTCCCCATCTGAAGGGCATCGGGGAGGTCTCTGAGTCGAGGTAGGTGTCTCAGAGAAGAGGGTGACAGCCCAGCCTACTGCCTGGAGTTCTGGCATTGGGTAGGGACTGCAGAGGGCCCGGGAACGGGGAGGCTTTCAGGGAAGTCCTAGGGGCTCTGAACACCTCTGCTCCTTCCATGAGGACAAGGAAATGTTGTGCACCCAGACTGCCACCTTAATGTGCTTCCCACAGCACTCAATTGATGGGGCAAGGATGCACAGGAGACCGCCCCCCCTCCCCAGTCCAGTGACCCTGCTGCCCACAGTGCCTGGCTTCCCCGCTGTAGGGTTCTGACCCCTCCAGAATGATCCTGCTCGTCTCCTCTGCACAGGAGGCAGAGGCACGTCCCTGCAGGGCACAGAAACCATGCCGACATCCCACAGCAGGGGCTGGGGCTCAGAGCCGGCATCGTGTGCAGACTGGGCTAGGACTCACCTTGGGAGAGAACTTGGGGAGCCCCTTCTTCCAGGGGCCACATCCCACTGAGATGAGTCGACCCCCATGAGGATCTGCAGGATCTTGTCTGACATAGCCTCATTGGGAAGGGGGGTCTGATACTGTGCAGAGTGGGTCCCCGGCACTACAGACTGGGATCCCAATAGGCTCTGCTCACTCCACCAGCCATCAGCCTTGACAGGCCAGGTCCTCCCAGGCCTGCTGTCCCCACAGACCCCTTTTGGGCTCATCCTGAGGCTCTGGGAGGTCTGCCTTCTGCAGGGCGAGCACAAGCTCACAGCCAGGACATAAGCGGCATTCAAAGTTCATAGAAACTTGTCCCCATGTGCCTGAAGGTAGCAGGAGGACCACACAAGACAGACCTCAACTGTCCTGAGGGCAGCACTTGCACTGTCCACACGACCCTCTGCTCTGGCCTAGAGGGAAGGCCAAGCCAAGCCAGGCCTGGTCAGCTGTGCAGGGCACCGTGAGTCCTTCTGGAAACTGAGCCCACCCCTGACACGACACAGATGAAAGGCAGGAGCGTGGTGAGCATTCCCCTGCCTGGGCCTTCCCTGCATCCATGGCCTCCTGTGCACAGCTGGACCCCAGGGTTGTCCAAAAGGGGCCCAGCACTGCCCACTGGGAAGTGCCCAGAGCAGAAACGAGGTGAAGGCACAGACCTCTCCCAGGAGACCCCACCTGGCCTGATGTGCAGCCCCATTCCTAGAACATCTCCTGAAGCTGTCTCTCTTTGGCCCATGGGAGCTCCTTCAGGACATGCTGTCTCAGGCCTGGACTCTTGAGGACCACGTGGTGCTCAGGCCTCCATGGTCGAGTTGAGAAGGACACACTGCGACCTGCATCCCACGTGGGCTCCAGCCTCCCGAGTCACCCTCTGAGGCATTAAATCATGGGGAGTGCCCAGAACCCTCCATCCCTACTCCCTGGGCCTTCCTCCTTTTCCTCTTCCTTCTCAAAGAAGTTTCTGAAAACAGGCCAGCTGGGCCCCAGGGCAGGTGCTAGACTCGCCTCAGTGACAGGGCATGGGATGAGGGCAAGACCCCTCCAAGCCCCTCCCCCACACCCTTCCCCTCCTGGCCTAGAAGAACCCTAGGGGGCACTGGAGGGGTTGGTCCCATCTGTGCGAGCCAACACCCACAGCTGCCAGCACCAACGCCAGAGAACAGCAGGGGCGCCTCACTCACAAGCACCCCTCCAAGTGTGTCACGACGGCAAGCCTTGAGCCAGGGAATGGAGAGAATCAGTGTCTCAGACCCAGAGAGAGGATTCAGGGAAACGGTGCAGTAGGCCCCTTGGTGTGGGAAGTCATGGCATGGCGTGGATTGTCCGGGATGGCAGAGGGGCCCAGTGCCCAGGAGCGTCTCACGCGCTATGGAGACAGATCCTCATCTTAGGTGGCAAGGGGGCCAGGTGACAGGTAAGGCCTCTCCCAGCTGGGTTCTGCACCAGGGCTGAAGCCCAGACCGAGCCGCCCTGGGGTGAGGGTATGAGGCCTGGAGCCCCGAGCCAGCCTGAACCCTGGGGTCCGTCTCAGGAGCAGCCTGAGATGCTCTGACAGCAACCATGCCCCAAGCTGCACGCACCCCTCACTCTGGGTTCAGCAGCCTGTGGGTGTTTCCTCAGTGTCACACCAGGTGGGCCACTAGAGACCCCCAAAACTCCAGGGGCCCAGGTTCATGAGGCCCAGCCCTGCAAGGAACAAATGGGCTTGGTGGAGAAGTGGACCAAATCTGCTTTTCTTTCAGCCAAACCCGCAAAGATCCCTAGGAAGGTCCTGGGCCTGGAGCGAGTGTCCCTGGCACCCAGGCCTCTGTGGGCATCCCTCAGCATGCAGACCCTCCCCAAGGGGGATGGGCTGGCCCTCCGTGGCCCACCAGCCCAGCTCCAGAAGTCCAGAAGCTGACCCTGAGGCCAAGGCCCAGCAGCATGAGGGGACTTCTGCAGAGCCCCGGGCAGCAGGACACTCTCTGGGGGCTCAGCCGCCCAGAGTGCAGCAAGTCTGTTCCTATCTCAGGACAGACCCCAGGATTTTGGGCGATTTCTGTGTGGGTGTCCTCTCCCAAAACTCCCCATGTACCTGGACATCCAGGGCTCATGGTTTCTACAGTGCAGCTTTGAGCAGGCATGCTGAACTCCTATTCCTTCCACATCTGCTCTGGACATCGCCAGGACCAATGGACAGGCCCATCCCTGCAACCCCAGCAGGGCTCCAACAACCAGACCCGGCCCACCCCACTGAAAACCCAGAGGTAGGACCACAGAAACTCCCCTTGCATGGTGGCATCTGGATCTGACGTTTCTCTGAGGATAGTGACCTGCACAGCCCCAAAGCAGTCAGTACTACTGCTAGGCCATATGGGATCAATATCAATGGGGAAGCTGGGCCCTCAGAGGCTGCTGGAGGGGAGAGTGACTGTGGCATCTGCACAGCCCCAGCCAGCCAGCAGCATATCACATGTCCTCATGTCTGCCCATTCGTGTGACAGAGCCTCTCTCACATGGCAAGCGTCCTAGAGCCATGGGGCTGCGATCCAGCCCAAGCCCTCCCCAACCAAAGCCCTAAGAGAAAAAGGACCCAGGGGAGCCATGGGTGCCCCAGAAACAGCTAAGATGGATACACAGGGGACTGAGTTCCTGGGACACTGGCCAGAACTAGACTGTGGCCCAAGGCAGGGCAAGCCCCTTAAAGCAGTGTGTGGGTACGCAGGGCCTGTGCATGCCTGGCAGAGCCAAGCCAGTGACGTTACCAGGCTCAAAGAGCAACCATCCACGACGGCCATGGTGGGGCAGGAGCAGGTGGGCCAGCCCCCTGCCTCATCAACTCAAGGAATCAGGGATGGCTGGGTTCCCAGGCCCTGAGTGCCCACCACCTGACCATTAGTGAGGCAGAGACATGAGGCCAATCACATGATCCTGGGGCCCTGCTTCCATCTTACAAGAACTCCTTCAGCTCACAGCACCAAGAAAAATCCTGGGCAAGTGAGGGTCCAGGAGGCCAGGTTCCTACGTCTATTCTCCTTGTCAGGTGCATTTTGCCACTGGGAAAAGTCAGAAAAGGTGGCCTCAGTCCATGTAAGCAGGCTCCAAAGTAGGCACCATAGCTGCAGGGGGAGAAGGAGCTCCTGGCGGCACTGGAATAGGCTCTGGCAGGATCCCAGATTCTGTGATTCTGTCCCCCGCAACCTGTTTTTTGTTTTGTTTTTTTTTTTGTTTTTTTTTTTTTTTTTTCCCCTTGAGTGCTTGGAATCGTCCCCATTTTACACGGAGTCTGCAGCCATTGACAATCAGTTTATTAGAGGACTTGTCGGCACCCACTTCTGTAGCCACCCTGTGGAAAGCTGGATGAAAGGCACACTGCTATCTCTGCACAACGGTGACCATCCGGATCTCACCAACAGGCAGAGACAATTTCTTAAATCTGTCTGAGTAATGGTATCCGCCAGATCACCAACATACACTCTGGTGGAATCCTTCTCTGCTGGTGATTCAAGATGAAGCGTGGTTGAAGCCTGCTTTAGAAGCTTATCTGCTACAGGGTCATTGTTTCCACAATATCGATCTTTAATATTTTGACCAGCAAGAGGGGGTCATCGGGATCTGCAGGCTTCTCATGTCTTTACGGACAGTCCTCTCCTTTCACCTGGACAGAACAAATGTAAGGCTTATTCCTCAGCCAGTACAGTGTGGTCCGGGCCAGTTTGAGCAGCATCTCACTACTGGACGTGGCTTTCCCCAGCAGAGCAACTGGCCATGTTCTATCAGGGTTAGAAATTCCTCTGTCCATATCTGCAGTCACCTTTAAAGGCAAGTCTGTGTCATGAACCTGTATGGGCAGTCATACTCTAGGTCTAAGAGGCAAGTCTGACAGACATTTCCTGCAGGCTTGGCCCCCTTCAGTCTTCTTGGGATGCATGTGCTCCCCCGGGCACCAGCCAAACACTGAATGGCCTGACAGAGTTTGCATTTTTTCTCATAGTTCTCCTTGGTCATGTTTCTCTGAGACATATCTGGCACAGAATGGAGAAATCGACGTCCTCCCAGTTTTGCCTGTTTTAGGCGCTGGAACCCAGAGAGGTCGCCATCTTGAGAGGGTCGGCAGGCAGCAGTAGATTTCCAGGTGGGAGAGAGGACCCCCAGAATCCCACCAGACCCAGCTCTCCTTCCTGGTGCTGTTCTTGAGGCCCTGGATAATTGCCTTTCACCATACGTGAGTCATCTTTCTTGAGTCAAGGTGAACCTCACTTCCAAGGAATCCCCATTCTTGTAGGACACTCTGTGCTTCCTGGTCTCTCCAGGAGCTGGCTAAAATTCTATGCTTTTTCATTGGAATACTGAGATAGACAGAAGTGCAGTTTTTTTACAAGTGTCTTTATCCAGCCATGGCATTAATTTCCCGTTTGGTAGGAGGACAATAGTCTTATTTTCATCAGTATGTGTAGTGCATGTTAGTGCACAGCATGAACCTTAGAGGAAGACTTCTACCTTGAGATGTGAAATGCATCAATACTTGTGTGGAGTTAATAAACCTGCTCTACCTCCACAAGTGTCAGCTTCCTCACCCATACAATGGGGATCACACAACGACTTCTTCAAGTTGTTGCCAGAGTTACATTCACCAAGATATTTAAAAGTACCTAACTACAAGGGTCCACAGCATTAATAAAACTGCATCAGACTTCAATGCACACAAAAGGAATAAAGTACATGCGTCCAAAGACGAGATGAGCAGCTTTCTAAGCAGCCTGATGAGCATCAGAATGAGATCTACATTTAAGTAGAATTCTTCACAGCTCCACTGAAGAGGACACACATGGGGGCTCCAAGAAGATAAGCACATGGCCATTGCACAGTAACTGGTGTAGTGTGGATGGAATCCCTGAAGACCCTCTGAAATATCATTACACAACTGGCTCTCAGGGAACACTGGAACAAATCAGGAAACTCAGCAGATGCTACCAGGAACTGGGTGAGCAGAGGGGGGTCACATCCACAAATTTAAGCAGAAGACACCAAACCGCAAGGAGCTCCTGGCTCTGCAACAGCAGCTGTGGTGGCATCGGGGCCAATCTTCTGAGACAGCTGCTGTGGGATTGCTGAGACCATGTGTTTTTGCAGCCACACACCCAAAAGCAGTGCATTTGAAAACGGATCACAACACTCTCCTCTCCATTCATCTTTGTTTTAAGATGACTGATGATGGATACCCTCACATTGCAACATCCCCACCAACACTTGTGGACAATCGTATTTAGAAAATCCCACCTAAAGAGGGAACAGTCAGGAGTAGGATGAGAATATTGAGGGATGGGGGAGAGATGCGGGTACTTCACCCCAGACTCTGTTTGAAACAAGAGCCATTGTGCTGTGGTCTCCCTATACTTCCTCATTTTGCCGCATTCGTAGATGCCACCTGGTTTTTGTCCCTTTACTTACAAAGGTGCTGATGAGCCCATGGGTGGTTAATCCTGAAGGAGGAAATTCTTCACAAAATACAATAACAGAGTCTAATTTCAATGACCAGGTTTTTTAGTTTTTTTTTTTTTTCATAGTATCCCACATTAAAAATCACAAATGAAACCTGTTGGAATGTGTGATATGAACAAAGTCTTATTTTCATGCAGATTAACAACTTGGCTTTTACGGATTACACATAAAAGCATAAAAGCTGGTACCATCCCAGAATCAAAGGAACAGTCCCAGAGGACATACGGAATTTAGTGACATCAATTATTAAGAGGCTACACGAAACTGGAAGTGCTCCCAGAAGTTTTCATTGTCTAGACAGAAAAATTCAAGACATCAGCCCCATCGAGTAAAGGTACGTCCCCTGGCTGCCGTGGGTGATGAGCTTTTCATTCAAAGCAGAGATATGAAGCCTGAGGTGTCTCAAAGTCACCCCAAGTGCTCCACACCTTGAAAGTCACTCCCACAAAGCTGGAACACCATCTGTTCCTGAAGGATCAGGTCATGACCTGTATCTTTGAGACACTGGGCAGTCAGGCCTCAGTTGAGATGAAGCCAATGATTTCAAGTGTAAAATACCTAAAACCAAATCTTTAGGTATCTATTAGCAGCCCCGTCCACTTAAATGGGTTGGTGAACATGGCCCATCAGACAGACACACACCTGAGCACTGGGGTTTTCTCCTCTGTTCTTAGCATCCCCTGGGTAAACCAGTAATTACCCTCCCTCATGCCTCAACGTTCACATCTGTGAAAAAGGTGATGGGGAGAGTGGCCTTTCCAGGAAAGCGGAGCACATGTCAACACCTGCTAAGCTCTGAATTTGTGCGTGGGCCCAGGCGACGGATTTCTCCAGAAAGCGGCTGAACTGGGACTCTGGCTGAAGAGAGCGGAGGTCAGCAGCACAATGCACAGCCCCTGGGACCTCAGGCCAGTTCCATAGCAGCTTAGGAAAGCAGTTGGGTCCCTAGGCTGGAGGAGGCCCGGTGCTCTGGAAAGATCCAGGGTGCGGGTGGAGAGGAAACGGAGCTGAGCAGTGAGAGGTGGGGTGAGCACCACGTCCATCCGGTTTGGGCAAAGGCAAGGTGTCCTTTGCAGTGTCACACCCTCCTCACTACTGAGCCCAGAACTGCCTCTCATGGCCTTCTCCAGACTCACTTCCCATGGCCAGGAGGTGGCACATGATCAGTAGCCGGCACATGATCAGTAGCCAGCATCATTCTTCTATACAGTTAACTTCTTATTGACTACCGTCTCTCGGCTGTGCTATCAAATAGGACGTCTTATTCAGTCTTTCTAACTATGTTTTTGGTACCCATTACCATCCCCACATCCCCCAAGCTCCCCACTACCCTTCCCAGCCTCTGGTAACCATCCTTCTACTCTCTGTGTCCATGAGTTGAATTGTTTGGATTTTTAGATCCCACAAATAAGTGAGAACAATTGATGTTTGTCTTTCTGTGAATGGATTATTTCACTTAACATATTGATCTCCAGTTCCATTCATAGTTTTGCAAATGAGTGGCTCTCAATTTTTTTTATGGCTGAAGAGTACTCCCTTGTGTGTATGTGCCACATTTTCTTCATTCCTCTGTTGCTGGACGCTTAGGTTGCTTCCAAATCTTAGCTATTGTGAACAGTGCTGCAACACACATGGGAGTGCAGATATCTCTTCGATATACTGCTTTCATTTCTTTGGGGCATAAACCCAGCAATAGGATTGCTTGATCATATGGAAGCTCTATTTTTAGTTTGTAGAGAAACCTCCAAACTGTTCTCCGTAGTGGTTGTATATTACATTCCCACTGACAGTGTATGAGGGTTCCCTTTTCTCCACATCTTCGCCAGCATTTGGTATTTCGTGACTGTTGGTTAAAAGCCATTTGAACTGGAGTGAGATGATATCTCATTGTAGTTTTGATTGGCATTTCTCCAAAGATCAGCGATGCTGAGCACCTTCTCACATGCCTGTTTTCCATTTGTATGTCTTCCTTTGAGAAATGTCCACTCAAATCTTTTGGTGATTTCTTGATCAGATATTAGATTTTTTCCGATAGAATTGTTTGAGCTTCCCGTATACTCTGGTTATTAATCCCTCGTGAGACGGGTAGTTTGCAAATATTTTGTCCCATTCTGTGTGCTGTCTCTTCAATGTGTTGATTGTATCCTCTGCTGTGCAGAAGCTTTTGAACTTGATGTGATCTCATTTGCCCGTGTTTGCTTTGGATGCCTGTGCTTGTGGGGCATTACTCAAGAAATTTTCGCCCAGGGAAATCTACAATCTAAATGTCTTGTAGAGTTTCCTCAATATTTTATTGTAGTAGTTTCATAGTTTGAAAGCTTAGATTTCTTTAACCCATTCTGATTTGATTTTTGTATATGGTGAGAGATAGGGGTCTAGATTCATTCTTCTGCATATGGATATCCAGGTTTCCCAGTACCATTTATTAATGAGACTGTCTTTCCCCAGTGTATGTTCTTGGCACCTTTGTGGAAAGTGAGTTCACTGTAAGTGTGTGGGTTTGTTTCTGCTTTCTGTATTCTGTTCAATGGGTCTATACGTCTGTTTTAATGTCAGTACCGTGCTGTTTGGGTTACTATCTCTCTGTAGTATGATTTGAAGTCAGGTAATGTGAGTCCTCCAGATTTGTTCTTTTTTGTTTAGAATAGCTTGGCTATTCTGGGTCACTTGTGGTTCCATATGAATTTTGTGATTGCTTTATCCATTTCTGTGAGAAATGTCACTGTCTGTTGTTGTTTGTTTTTTTTTTTTAGGGATTGCACTGAATCTGCAGATTGCTTGCTTGTATATGTTTTAGAATGAGTTTTGCTAGCTAGTGTCCTTCAAATAATTTTTTCTTTCAATATAAATATAAGTTTTTGGATAACATTTCTTGAAAGGTTCCCTGTTGTACATTTAATATCTAAAGGATCTGTATTGACGTAACGACCCTCTGGGTTTGCTGATATTAATATTTGTAGTCTCTGTGTCTCCCTCTCTCATCAGTCTGGATAAAGGTTTATTAATTCGAGTTGTCTTCTCAAAGAAACAATGTCTGGGTTTCACTGATAATTTCTATAGATTTTTATCAATTCTATTTAATTCATTTTTCCTCATGTCTTTTAAATTTTTTCCTTCTTTTTTTCTCCTTTTTTTTTTTTTTTTTTTTAACAGAATCTCGCACTGTCACCCAGGCTGGAGTGCAGTGGCATGATCTCGGCTCACTGCAGCCTGCACCTCCCAGGTTGAAGAGATTCTCCTGCCTTAGCCTCCCGAGTAGCTGAAACTATAGGCGTGCACCACCAGCCCAGCTAACTTTTGTATTTTTAGTAGAGACCGGGTTTCACCATGTTGGCCAGGCTGGTCTCGAACTCCAGACCTCAGGGGATCGGCCACCTCAGCCTCCAAGAGTGCTGGGATTACAGGCATGAGCCACTGTGCACGGTCTAACAGTTTTCCTTCTGACTTTGGGTATAATTTGATTTCATTTTTCTAGTTTCTTAATGTGGAAACCTAGATAATTGATTTGAGACTTTTCTTCCTTTCTGGCATAAGTATTGAAGGGTATAAATTTCCCTCTATGCTTTAGTTTCATCTTGCAAAGTTTGATAAGTTGAGTTTTCATTTTAAAATTTTTTCCTGCAATTTCTTCTTTGATCTCTGAGTTACTTAAATGTGACATTTAATTTCCAAGATTTCATGAGTTGCAGACATCTTTCTACAACTAATTTCCATTTCAATTCTTTTTTTGGTCATAGAACATGTTTTATAACATTTCATTCCTTTTGAATTTGTTGAGATTTGTTTTTTGGCCCACAATATGGTCTATCTTGGTGAACATTCTATGAGCACTTGAGAAGAATGTGCATTCTGCTGTTGATCTATGAATATCAATTAGGCCATGCTGTCTGATAGTGTTGTTCAAGCCTTCTGCATTTATATATCCTGATTTTTTGTACACTTTTTCTACCAAATGCTGGGAGTAATGGGGAAGTCTTCTACTAAAGGCACATGTGTTTATTTCTTCTTTGTGATGATGTATCAGTTGTCCCTCAAGTATTTTGAAGTTGCCTACATATCCGTGGTGTTTCTGTCTTCTGAATCAATGCACCTCTCTATGATTATTATGTAATGTCCCACTTTGTCCCTTGTAGTAATCTCCACTATAAAGTGTGCTTTGTGAGATACTAATTTCACACTTTGAGTTTATGTGATTCATATTTGCAGGAAATATCTTTTTCCATCTTTTACTTGTATCTTATTTATTTGTAGAGTGGGGCTCTTTTTTTCAAGATACAGATTACTGATAAATATACTGTGAAAATCAAGATCCTCTTGCAACTGTGCAACAACAATAAAAGTACCGAAAAATTAGATGCAGAAGTTAATATACAACTAAAATGTTACGCAGAAATCCACAGAATAATCTGCTCGGCTCTTCAAAAGAACCTCAATCAAACTCTTTGACAGCCTTCATAGAAAGATATCTTCACATTAAAGTGGTATATTTATATGAAAAATATAATTTTATCCCCCTATTTTCTACAGTAGGGTTTTGGGTAAAATTTCATTTCACGAAGGTGTTCTTTTGCTAAAAATCCTTTGAGAAACAACTATATAAAATGATCTCTCAGAGCTCTCTTAGCTTTGAAATGTGGAGATTCAAATATCCCTCTGTAGATTGAGGAGGAGATGTAAAAAAAAAAAACAAAACAAAACAAAAAAAAAAACAAAAAAAACCACGGGGGAGGAAATGTTGGTCTCCTGCACTTTTCTTTTCTTTTTCTTCCTAGACTAACCAGTTTGTGTTGGTCCTCCGCTGAGCTGTTAATCCAGGGAAGAGTTGCCCTTCTGAAGAATATGTGGATTTAATGGAGACCAAGGCAGGTTTGAATCGCTCAGAAACAACAGCCAGAATAACTTTTGAAGGGCTGTAAATGAAGATGATTCAAATCCTCTGATTTATGTTACTTTTCACTCAAGTTTCTAAAAGTGCCTTCCCATCAAGAGCTGTTTGGCTAGGGACAGAAACGTTTGTTCAGCCCTATTTTTCTCTTCCTTCCTTCCTTCCTTCCTTCCTTCCTGCCTCCCTTCCTGCCTCCCTCCCTCCCTCCTTTACTTCTTTCCACCCTCCCTCCCTCGCTCCATTTGTCCTTATTTTCTCCCTTCCTCCCTGGCTCCCTTCATGCCTCACTCCCTTCCTTCTTTCCTACCTTTTATAAAAAGAAGTGAACTGATATTTGTAAAGTAGAAAGATCAGAAGAGTTCACAATTATTTTCGAGTTTTCTTTTAACTTTTATTTTGGGTTCAGGGTGCATGTGCAGGTTTGTAATATAGGTAAACTCATGTCATGGGGTTTGTTGTACAGATTATTTCATCACCCAGGTAGTAAGGCCAGTGCCCATTAGTTATTTTGTTGATCCTCTCCCTCCTCCCAGCCTCTACCCTCTGATAAGCCCCAGCGTGTTGGCCCTCTCTGGGTGTCCATGTGTTCTCAGCAATTAGCTCCCATTTATAAGTGACTTCATGTGGTATTGGGTTTTCTGCTCCTGCATTAGTTTGCTAAGGATAATGGCCTCCAGCTCCATCCGTGTTCCTGGAAAGGACATGATCTCACTGTTTTTTATGGCTGCATAGTACTCCATGGTGTATATGTACCACATTTTAAAAAGTGCAGTCTGTTATTGATGGGCATTTAGGTTGATCCCATGTCTTTGCTATTGTGAGTAGTGCTACAATGATCATACATGTGCATGCGTCTTTATAATAGAAAGGTTTATGTACCTTTGGGTATAGTCCCAGCAATGGGATTGCAGGGCCAAATGGTATTTCTGTTCTTAAGTCCGTGAGGAATTGCCACACTCCTTTCCACAATGGTTGAACTAATTTATACTCCAACCAACAGGGTATAAGCGTTGCCTTTTCTGCACAAACTCACCAGCGTCTGTTATTTTTGTTCTTGCTTTTTATCCAGCCTTATAGACTCTGACTCTGTTTTTTGAGACAGGATGTCTTTCTGTCTGTGAACGTGAATTCCGCTGGTGTCTGAGACTTGCCAGGATTCCAGCTCTCTCAAATGCCTGTGTTCGAACTTTATGAATTTGCTACATTTTCACTGGTTTTCTTCTTACCCCCTGTTATGGCTGTCACTTCTTCCACACATGCTCTGCCACAGGTGATGCAGTTTGTTTGTCTCATCCCTCCTCAGAGGGACTAAGTCACCATTTTGGATCAGTTCCCATGGCTGCCTTGTTACCTCAGGTCTCTCATGATCTAAAAACAAAGCAAAACAAAAGATAACGTTATAGATTATTAGGCTGTTTTTCATTTTCAAGGCTAAAGTGACTTTCTCTTGAGGCTTTCTAAATCTTACCTGGTGGTAGAACTCTCCTTTGTTAATCTTTTGACTACTGGTACAAAAATACAGCATTCAAATATGTGAAGTAAAAGATAATCCAGGGGCTAGCTGACTATGGCTTGAGATCTAAATACAGCCCATGGCTTGTTTTGCATAGCCATTGAGATAAGGATTTTTTTCCATTTAAAAGTATTATTGCTAAAAAACACAACACTACGCCACAGAAACTACATGACCCACAAAGACTGAAATAATTACGATCAGATCTGTTAAAGCAAAATTTGGTGATGCCGTATTAATCAAATACCTGTTATTCTGCTTTGCATTATTGCATACATCTTTTCATCCATTAATTAATTTATTTACACACGGATTGAAAATATGGATGTTACTCTATCCCCTCAAGAAAGCGTCCAGCTTTATGATACCATGATTTCAGTCTGGGAAACTTGTCCCAGGGATCAGGTCAATACACAAACATACATTTGAGGTAGGAGACTGGCAGGACTTGTTTTCTGGTCATAACTGAGCCTAGAGCCTACAGTCAGAATCTATGGCTATTTCTGAAACATATACTGTCTGAATGACCTACAGGTATATTCAGGGAAATCAGTTACCAGTCCAGAGATTTAAATGTGAAGTAACACAACCTAAAAAGAAAAGAGTAAACAGGTGTGAATGTATTTATTCTACAGAAGAATTTATTCAATTACGTTTATTGGAAGCATGGCAGAAAACCCAGAACCAGAGAACAAAGTGATTAATAAAAGCATTTATAAAACTGGCCAAGGTGGGAGGATCACTTGAGCCCAGGAAATTGAGACCAGCATGGGCAACACAGTGAGACCACTATCTAAAAAATAAATAAATAATAAATAAACCAATTACCCAGGTGTGGTGTCTGCACCTGTAGTAGCAGGGACTGGGGAGGCTACATCGGGAGGATTGTTTGAGCCCAGGAGATGGAGGCTTCAGTGAGGTATGGTCATGCCACTGCCCTCCAGCCTGAGCAACAGAGTGACACTCTGTCTGGAAAAAAAAATAAATAAAAACGGCTTTATAAATAAAGATATGAAAATAATTTATTTCTTCCACAAAAGGTCTTCCTGAGACACATCCTCCAGTAAGGGACTGTCTGTTCCCAACGTTTCTGAATGCATGAGATTGGACAAAGAGAGACGAAAGCTCTCAAGTCCCTTTTTCTACTACAAACGCCATGGGGATGCGGGTCTGGGAACAGCGGAAAACCCTACCCTGCCCTGAAAAGTCCCTGGCTCAATGTGCATGTCCCTTTCTATGAAAGTTCCTTGCTGCCTATGCGCCTTGCTCTCTAACTTCTGTCCCTCCACAACTGTGAAAGGAGACGTCGTGACTTCCTTCTTTCGTGCTGACTATGACTTAGCCAGTAGGTCTGCAGATCAGTCCTCCCAGAAAGTGAAGTGTGAGTGAGTGTGAGGGGGAGCGTGGGGGGCTTCCTGTGGGTTGTGCCACTTGGTCCATGGCCTCTGAGGTCGTCATCTTTCTACTAAAACTCAGCGATACTGCCATGGCCTTGCTGTTGTGGGGTCCCGGGCATGGGACGAAGGAGGGCCATAGCGGGGAGGAGGGTCAGGTGAGCATGGAGTGAGTTTTTTTTTTTTTTTCACGGAGTCTTGCTCTGTCACCAGGCTGGAGTGCAGTGGCGCAATCTCGGCTCACTGTAACCTCCGCCTCCCGGGTTCAAGTGATTCTCCTGCCTCAGCCTCCCGAGTAGCTGGGAGTACAGGCGCGCACAACCACACCCAGCTAATTTTTGTATTTTTCAGTAGAGACGGGTTTTAACCATGTTGGCGAGGATGGTCTCGATCTCTTGGCCACATGATCCACCCGCCTCCGCCCCCCAAAGTGCTGGGATTACAGGCGTGAGCCACCGCGCCCGGTCATGGAGTGAGTTTTGAAGGCTGACTTTATTTGAGGTATTTGAGTCCTGGTGGGGGGGAACCCACACACAGAGAGGAGGGATTCCAAAGTCGTTAATGGGGACCTGGGAAGGAGCATAGGACAGGGCAAGGCGGGATAAGGAGGGGCACCACAGCCCTTAAGGCACGAGGGAACCTCACTGCGCATGCTCCTTTGGTGCCCACCTCAGTGCGCATGTTCACTGGGCGTCTTCCCATCGGCCCCTTCGCCAGTGTGGGGAACGCGGCGGAGCTGTGAGCCGGCGACTCGGGTCCCTGAGGTCTGGATTCTTTCTCCGCTACTGAGACACGGCGGGTAGGTCCACAGGCAGATCCAACTGGGAGTTGAAGTGTGAGTGAGAGTGAAGAGGAACCAGCAGGCTTCCGGAGGGTTGTGTGGTCAGTGACTCAGAGTGAGAAGGCCCTCGAAGTCGTCGTCCCTCTCATGCGGTGCCACGCCCATGGACCTTCTTGTCTCGTCACGGCCATAACTAGGGAGGAAGGAGGGCCGAGGAGTGGAGGGGCTCAGGCGAAGCTGGGGTGCTGTTGGGGGTATCCGAGTCCCAGAAGCACCTGGAACCCCGACAGAAGATTCTGGACTCCCCAGACGGGACCAGGAGAGGGACGGCATGAGCGGTATGGAAGGGTCCTGGAGACGGGGCATGCTGCGGGCTAGTGACCGCAGCCCCGAGGTCTGTAGAGTGCCTGGCATAGGGGTCCTGTGAGGAGTGCCCACTGCTGTGTAGCAAATTCTCAACTCCACTGTGGAGATTCCAATGGGCGGGGCCCTGAGTTCCTAAAAATGTGACTTTGGGGTGGGGGGGAAGTGGGCCTAGCAAATCATTATGTGACAAAATTGGTGGTCACTGCAGTTTCAGTTCTGTAGCTGTAATTTCCTACTTGTCTCCCTGATGGAGTGTCCAGTTGTGAAACCAACCTCATGGGAAATGCCCTGTGTTTTTTGCCAGGAGCCTTAAGACATCGCTCAGCTAGCTAGACCTACTTAAGTGGCTTTGCAAGCATTCGATTCAAAAGGTGCATACACTTATACTTGCCCGGGGACTTTCAGAGTATTTCTAAATTAAAAAAAAAAAAAATGTCCAAGTTAACATTTGACCATGAAAGCGGTCAAATCTAGTTGTCCTGTCAAGTGCATTTTCCCAATCGCAGTATTCTGCTTGCAGAGTGAAGTATGTGTTGATGAGGACGATCAACATATAGGCCTATGCCAAGAAGTTCACAACCTCCTGAGCTCATTGTGCCTCTGCTTGTGAATGTCTTAACATTCGATGTTTTCTCTTAGCAGAAAGTTATTTTTCTGATAGTGTTGATGGACTAGTATGGATACACTGATAATGGTCTCCCATGCTGATAAAAAATGATCATGGCATCCCATGAAGGAAAGATTAGTCCAGAGGGTTATATTTGGGTTTTGTGTGGGTGGATGATCGTGTGTGCCCAGATTTTGTCCATAACTTCCTCCTCATGCTTATTCAGAACAGATTACACACATTCATCCCAACATTGATTAAAACGGCTTCCAAAGTCCCTGAGGATATCTGTCTTTGAGTAACCTCTCTGAGGGAAGAATAGTGTTATGAAGATTAGGTATACGGGGTAGTGTTGGAGAAATGTCTCTAGACATACTTATAATAAGACATACCTGTGTATTCTGTATATTTATATTATTGACATGTATTAATAACAAAACTTTTTATCTAGACACACACAAACACAGAACCACACAGCCAGTCCCAGGAGCCCAGTAATGGAGAGCCCCAAAAAGAAGAACCAGCAGCTGAAAGTCGGGATCCTACACCTGGGCAGCAGACAGAAGAAGATCAGGATACAGCTGAGATCCCAGGTGCTGGGAAGGGAAAGTATGTCTATGGGGCGGGAGAAGGTCTATGTGTGCATTGTGGCCTATGCCATGAGCAGTAACAGGAGCAAAGAGAACATTAGGAAAAGATACCAAACATTTGCTCAAAGTTGGCTGGAAAAGGGAGAGTATAGTTTGCAGCTTCATGCTGTCCCTGGATATAATGAATCTTCTCTTGTTCTTCGAGATGGATTTTGTATGCTTGAAAATACAGTCCTTACTAAATCACTTGAAACCATTTAATTTGGTGTATAGAAATGTACATTTTTTTATTATGTGGCAGAGGCTCATCTGTCACGCAGTGTGGATTGTTGTGGCATGATCTTGGCTCACTGCCACCTCCAGCTCTTGGGTTCAAGCGACCTCGGCCTCCCAAAGTGCTGAGATTACAGGCATGAACCACTACGCCTGGCTCAGGCTTTATTTCGTAACGCGAAGGAAGAGAATATTATCATTTCCTTATTTATATTTCATGTTGGAATGCTTAAATCGATAACCTTTGTATTTTGAAGTGCGCGACATGGAAGGTGATCTGCAAGAGCTGCATCAGTCAAACACCGGGGATAAATCTGGATTTGGGTTCCGGCGTCAAGGTGAAGATAATACCTAAAGAGGAACACTGTAAAATGCCAGAAGCAGGTATGTTATCCAGCAAGATGCAAAGTTATGTGCTTTCTCATTTACACAGTATTATACTTTTGATAATAGAGGGATAACATTAGTGCTACTTTAAAAACACAGTGCAAATGCAAATGTTCTTTGAAACGTCGTTCAGACCCAAATGCCAGATTGCAAGACTTAAACACTATCAGATACAGAAACAAATTGGGTCAAAGCCATATTGAATCATCAAACGTGACAGCATTTTCTTAGTTTGGTGTATAACCAACAGCTAACAATTTTCAGATTCTTTTCTAATTTCTGCTTTTAACAAACACATAATGCATTTGTAATACCAGTTTGTGTGAAGTATGCTGAGCCCTGAAGCAGATTCTAGTACCAGCTCTACCATAATTTGTGAGAGTCTGGATGAATCGTATAAATTCCACAGGCATCCTTGCTCTTAGTGAAAAGAGTGGATGCACATCAGATAGATTAAAATCCATTTCGTTGCTAATTTCCACATGCTCTGGTTCTGTTGGATAGAAGACCAAGATATTCTGATCTTCATGATTTGTTTATCATAACAATCAGCTTCAGTCCAATTATAGTGTCTGAGTTGAGATTTCATGGTTCCTAGGAAAATGAGCGGGCACTCTGCTTGGTGTTTGTTTTCCTGTGTGGAGCCCTGTATGAGTGTTCTTGTATTTTGCCAAATTCTGAGTTCTCTGTCTCTTAAAGAATAATTGCATTTTAAAGCCTTCCCGCAGTGAAGCCTTGAATGACTGAATGATAAAATGGCAGGAGATCATCAGGTTTCTGTGGCCAGTGAAGTAGAGAGAATGCATGTAGGTCAGTGATGCCCAAGGTGGGTGTAAGATGCTTCTGCTAAGCATGCTCCCTGCCCTCCCGTCAGTCTTCATGAACTACTTCGTGTAATTAGATTGAAGACTCATATAGTAGAGTCACCTCTAACCATACCATAGGTTACATATTACAGGTTTCTGCCTTGAGGCATTAGATGATAGGGTTTGAAGTTCAACAACAGCACTGTGCTAGTTCCTGAGTAGTTGACACAAGTATGTTTTACACATATTTTCCAAATTGGTGACTGTTAATTACAATACCTCCTGAAGTTAAAGGAAGCACCCCATGTTTAAGGGAGAAATTACCTAAGTGTTTTTACTGTACCCTGCTGAACCATTCCATTATACTATTTACATTAAAAGATAGTTCTCAGACGATTTCCAGGAGCCCACTGAACAAGCCTCAGTTGTATTCTTAGGGAGATCATAGCTTTAAATGCACGTCTTATTAAAATAAATAGCACGTTACATGTTAAAGGAAAAGAATACTATGAAATAACAATAAAAGAGCCAGAGAATAAACTTAAAGGAAAAAGAAAGTGGTAGTGAATAAAAGACAGGTACGAATCATTAGTATAAGGAAAAGTAGTTCAAATGTCATAAATTGAAAAGATTGGTGTTTTGAAAATTAGCTACGAATATTCAGTAATTTACACAATCTTGAAGAAACGGAAAAAGCACAACATGGAATATGAACAAGACAGAGTGATTTAATACAGGGCTTTATTGAAAGTGAATACAGTCTTGAACGCTAAGATTTTCAGAGCATGGATGAAATGGTTGGTAAGCTAGGAAGGCATGCATTATTTATTTCTGTAATACCTGATTAAGCATCACAAAGCCTGTGGAAGAAACTGTGAAATTTTCCAGTTGTCCCTCAGAAACATTTACTTTTAGAAACAAATTTTGGCTTTTTCAGCTGTCCTACTCTTGTTTTCCATTCCCGTATCCCTCCATGTGTTCATGTGTGACACAGTTCATAATGCTATCACATATTGATGACAAAACTGATAGTGATAGCTTAAGAGTAATGCGACCATATACTTAATTATACAAATGGGAATACTTTCAAGTGTAAAAAGAGGCATGATTCATGTTGACATCACGGTAGGAGAAAACTGGGTACAAACGGTTGCTGTACCTTAAAAACCACAGAAGGGTAAACGAGCCCAAATAAATATTTTTGCCCTTCTGCGCAATAGAGTAAAAACAAATGCAATGCTGGCCTTTCTATTCACTTTACTTATTCAGTTCCTAAGGTGACAGTAACCGTTTTCTTCCAAGATAGTATTCAGACCATTTCCAGGAGCCCGTTTGGCATGCAGACCACAGATTCAAGCCAGAATATTAAAAGAGTGTTTGCCAAAAATTATACATTTTTCGTAAATTCCTTTTTTGTTTCTTAGGATTTTTGTGTGGTGCTGGTATTTTGAGTAAAACTATGCACAATGTTTGCTTTCTACTTTAAACCCCTTTTTAGTAGGTTCACTTCATTTAATGTGTTCGGACCTTGGACTGTCTTGCTTTCCTTGTAGCACTAGAAAGCAGGGTGTGTTTGAAAAACATCTTTAATGCATACACTTGGACGACTGTTGTCAAAGTCTCTTCAGAGGTCTACATGAATGTAAGCAAAAGGGTGACTCTTAGGCTTCTGGTTTTGTCCATTGTAGAAAACTAAAACTTTGGTGTCTTTTCCATATCCTTAATGTCATTTAAACACAGTTCTGCTAGTAATGTTCCCACCTGTTATGCTTCTGTTATAGGTGAAGAGCAACCACAAGTTTAAATGAAGACAAGCTGAAACAACGCAAGCTGGTTTTATATTAGATATTTGACTTAAACTATCTCAATAAAGTTTTGCAGCTTTCACCAAAGAAGTCTTGCTCATCTTTGGTTCACTTCCTTCCCAGGTATTTGATAATATTGGAAATTGTTTCTGGCTGCGGTTGTCCACGCCTGTAATCCCAGCACTTTGGGATGCTGAGGCAGGAGGATTGCTTGAGCTCAGTAGTTTGAGACCAGATGGGGCAACAAAGCAAGACTCTCTCTCTACAAAAATAAAAGAGTGAATGCATGAATGTATGCAAGTTTGTATGTAGCTATAGCCCCAGCTACTCTAGAGCCGAAGGGTGGAGGATGCCTCCAGCCCAGGAGGTCCAGGATGAGGTTAATTTTTTTTTGAGATAGAGACTCTATTTTTTTTTTTTTTTTTAAAATTCAGTATCATTTTTGAAATTTTGTGTTCTGATTGAGCTGGTATGCACAGGTGTGATATTGTGTAATACATATTTGGTCCTAGACCCTGCTTCCTGGCATACAACTACTACAATTTTTAAAATCTCCACAAAGTGGTGTCTTTTTATATGCTAGTGAGTTGACTCATGGCTGGCAGCACCTAGGTAGCTCTAGTTTGGGGAATAGGAGGGTTGGGGCTTTCAGCTGCCCCTCCCCCCCCCCCAGCATTCGGGAAGAGGCAGAAGGTTAATTTGATCCCCAGTGGCAGGACAACAGTTTAATCAGTCACGCCTACAGAATGAAAACCTCCATCAAAACCAAAAGGACAGGATTCAGACGGCTTCTGGCTAGCTGAACATATGGAGGGCAGCATGCCCCTAGTGGGCACAGAAGCTCCCTACCCCTTTCCCCATACCTTGCGCTATGTCTCTCCTCATCTGCTTCCTTTCTTAGGGTATCCCATTTGCCACAAAACATGTGAGAAGTCCCTAGGCTATAGAGCTGGATGAAAGAATTAGGGCCTAGGTAGGAGTAAGCGGCAAGGAACCAGGGCAACTTGCTGAAGCAAGATGACGGGTCCTACCTACACCGTCTCTTTAGAGGCTATGTCATGAAGTAGCCATGGGTTTCCATCTTGCCTCTCACACAGTGCTCTTGATATGGTGGTCAAGATACTTACACCCTTTGGGACTGTTTTTCCATTTCTAAAGTTGAATTTACAATATGTACACTAAAAATACTTAGTATGAAAAATAAAGGAAATAACATCAAGGAGGCTTTACATTGCAGATAAATTTGGCCTGCTACTTAGATTTCCTTTTTTCCTTTAGATTTCAAACTTTTTCATTTCATTTTTCCTTACAACTACATTTCTGGTGTGTGATAACCTGCTTTTGAATTTCAAGTAGGAATGTCAAGTTCACTTTTAAAATACATTTGAATTCAGAAAATTATTTGATTTAAATATGTTAATTTAATAGCAGTGTAGCCGGTGTCACCCACGGCATAGATTCTGAAGTTGATTTGTAAATAACCGAGGTGTTATAAAGCCAACTGAATGTCAGCAATGTGTGCTGAAAACTTGTTTGCTATGTGTTATGCGGGTGGATCACCTGAGGTCAGGAGTATGAGAGCAGCCTGGCCAACATGGTGAAACCCCATCTCTACTAAAAATACAAAAATTAGCCAGATATGGTGGTATATGCATGTAATCTCAGCTACTGGGGAGTCCGAGGCAGGAGAATCGCTTGAACCCAGGAGGCGGGGCTTGCAGTGATCGGAGATCGTGCCATTGCACTCCAGTCTGGAAAATAAAGAGTGAAACTCTGTCAAAAAAAAAAAGGAAGGAAGAAAGGAAGGAAGGCAGACAGGAAAAGAGAAAAAGAGAAAGAGAAGGGAAGAAAATGAAGAAAGAAAAAGGGGAGAGAGAGAGAGAAGGATGGAGAGGGGGAGGAAGGAAGGAAGGAAGGAAGGAAGGAAGGGAAGTCCCTCTGTCCGTATTTGCAGTCACTTTAAAGGCACGTCTGTGCCATGAACCCGGATCGGCAGTCATACTCTAGGTCTAAGAGGCAAGTCTGAAAGACATTGCCTGCAGGCTTGACATCCTTCATTATTCTTGGGATGCACGTTCTCCCCAGGGCACCAGCCAAACACCGAATGGCCTGACACAGAGTTTGCATTTTTTCTCATAGTTCTCCTTGGTCATTCAGATAATATGGGTTCTCTCTAAGACATATCTGGTGCAGAATAGAGAAGGTTGCATCCTCCCAGTTTTGCCTGTTTTAGGTGCTGGAACCCAGACAGGTCGCAATCTTGAGAGGGTCGGCAGGCAGCAGTAGATTTTCAGGTGGGAAGGAGGACCCCCGCAATCCCACCAGACACAGCTCTTCTTTCTCATGCTGTTCTTGAGGCCCTGGGCAATTGCCTTTGACCGTATATGATTCATCTTTCTTGTGTCAAGGTGAACCTCACTTCCAAGGAATCCCCATTCTTGTAGGACACTCTGGACTTCCTGGTCTCTCCAAGAACTGGCTAAATTCCATGTTTTTCCATCGGAATACTGAGATAGACAACCTTGAAGTGCAGTTTCTTTACAAGTGTCTTTATCTGGCCATGACATTAATTTCGCATTTGGTAGGAGGGTAACAGTCTTATTTTCATCAGTATGTTCAGTGCATGTTAGTGTACAGCATGAACCTTAGAGGAAGACTTCTACGTTGAGATGTGAAATGCATCAAAAGCTTGTGTGGAGTTAATAAAGCTACTCTACCTCTACGAGTGCCAGTTTCCTCACCCATAAAATGAGGATCACAAGATGACTTCTTCAAGTTGTTGCCAGAGTTAAATTCAGAAAGATATTTAAAAGTACCTAACTGCAAGGGTCCACATCATGAATGAAATAGCATCAGATTTCAAAGTACACAAAAGGAATAAAGTACACATGACCTAAGATGAGATGATCAGCTTTCTAAGCAGACTGACGAGCATCAGAATGAGATCTATATTTAAGCGATTTCTTCGCAGCCCCACTGAAGAGGACACACATGGGGGCTCCAAGAAGGTACGTACACGGCCATTGTAGAGGAACTGATGTTGTGAGGGCGGAATTTGAAATGTCATTACACAACTGGTTCTCAGGGAGCACTGGAAGAAACCGTGCAACCCAGCAGATACTACCAGGAATTGGGTGAGCAGAGGAGGGTCATGGCCACAAATCTAAGCAGAAGACACCAAACCACAAGGAGCTTCTGGCTCTGAAACAGCAGCTGTGATGGCATAAGGAGCAATCTTCTGAGATAGCTGCTGTGGGATTGCTGAGAGCACATGATTTTGCATCAATACACCCAAAAGCAGTGCATGTGAAAACAGATCACAAAACTCTCCCCTCCATTCATCTTTGTTTTACCATGACCAATGATGGATACCCTCACGTTACAACATCCCCACCAACACTTGTGGACAAGTATATTTAGAAACTCCCACCTAAATTGGGAACGCTCAGGAGTAGGGTGAGAATATTGATGGATGGGTGAGGGATGTGGGTTCTTCACCTCATAGACTCTGTTTGAAACAAGAGAAGAGCTGCTGTGCTGTGGTCTCCCTATACTTCCTCATCTTGCCACATTCATAGATGCCACATAGTTTTTGTCCCTTTATTTACAAAGGGGCTGATGAACCCATGGGTAATTAATCCTGAAGGAGAAAATTCTTCACAAAGTACAATAACAGGGTCTAATTTCCATGGCCAAGTTTTTTAGGTTTTTTTTTTTTTAATAGTGGCTCACATTCAGGAATCACAAAAGAAACCTGTTGGAATGTGTGATATGAACAAGGTCTTATTTTGATGTAGATTAGCAACTAGGCTTTTACAGATTAGACATAAAAGCATAAAAGCTGGTACCATCCCAGAATCAAAGGAATGGTCCCTGAGGACATACGGAATTAGGGACATCAATTACTAAGAGGCTACAGGAAACTAGAAGTGCTCCCAGAACTTTTCATTGTCCAGATAGAAAAATTCAACAAATCTGCTCTAATAAGTAAAGGTACCTCCCTGACTGCCATGGGTGATGGGCTTTCCATTCCAAGCAGAGAAGTGAAGCTTGAGGCCCTTCAAAAGCACCCCAAGTGCTCCACACCTTGAAAGTCATTCCCACAAAGCTGGAACACCATCTGTTCCTGAGGGATCAGGTCATGATCTGTGTCTTTGAGACACTGGCCAAACAGACTCTGAGTCCTGAATGGATCTTCACTGGGTAACTGCATCTCTATTCCTGCATTCTGCTGAGATGGTTGATGGAGCCATGAGTCACATACCTCACCTCTTAAGCAATCAATTGTCCAGCTACATCCTTGGCCATGTTTTCATGGCATGCTATCTGAATAGGCTGAGAATCTTCCAAATCATCACAGGCTGATTTCTTTTTCTTAGCAGTTCTGTTGTTGATTTATTTCTCCTCTCTTGGATTTTGCTATCAGCAGCAGGGAGAAACATGGCAACATCTTCAATACTTGGCTTAGAAATCTTAGCTAAATACCCACGTTCATCACTTGCAAATTCTACTTTGCATCTAAGAGTATGCAGTTTAGCTAAATTCTCTGCGATTTTCTCATAAGGAATGTGAATCCATGTTTCCAATAACATGTTCCCCATTCCTGTCTGAGACCTCACCGGAAGCACCTTTAACATTCATTTTTCTAGCAACATTCTGTTCTTGATGTTGGATGTATTCTCTAAGATGACAGAAATTTTCTGTATAGCTCTCCTGTTTTTTTCTGAGCACTTGCCAGAATTTATCTTAATGTCCATATGTCTACCAATTGCCCCTTCAAGGAAGTGTAGGCTTTTTCTGTCACTTACTTTGAAACTCTTCCAGCATCTCTTCACGACCCAATTCCAAAGCTACTTTCATGCTGTTAGGTATTTGTTAGAGCCGCACTTCATTTCCTGGTACCACAATCTTTGAGAGTTCTCTAGGGCTGCAGTAACAAATCACCACAAACTCACTGGCTTCAACAACAGACATTTATTGTATCACAGTTCCGGAGGCTAAGAGTCTGAAATCAAGGTGTGGGCAGGGTTGACTCCTTCTGAGGCCTGAATGGAAGAATCTGTTCCATGCCTTTCTCATAGTTTCTGTTGGCTTGCTGGCAATCCTTGACATTCATTGACCAGTAGATGCATCACCCCTATCTCTTCCTTCATGCTCACGTGGTTTTTTCCCTGTGTGCACGTCGTAGTCCATTTTGTGTTGCTATAAAGGAATACCTAGAACCAGGTAATTCATAAGGAAAAGATATTTATTTAGCTCACAGTTCTACAAACTGAGAAATTCAAGGGAATGCATAGCCCTCTGGCTTTCGGTGAGGGATTTCGATCCACATCACAACATGGTGGAGAAGGCCAAAGTGGAAGTGGACACTTGTGAAGAGGGGAAAACCTGAGGGGTGTCGTGGCTTTACAACAACCCACTTTAAAGGGAATGAATCCATTCCTTCAAGAGCTACTCCAGCATTCTGAAACTGAGAACTCACTTACCATTTCACCAAGAGATCAGCACCAAGTTATTCATAAGGGATCCACATCCATAACCCAAACTCATCCTAACAGGCCCCACCTCCCAACACTGCCACGGGAAGTGGGGGGTCAAATTTCTTTTTTTTCCTTTTTCTTTTTTTGAGACAGAGTCTTGCTCTGTTTTCCAGTCTACAGTACAGTGGTGCGATCTCAGCTCACTGCAAACTGTGCTTCCCAGGTTCAAGTGATTCTCCTGCCGCAGCCTCCTGAGTAGCTGGGACAACAGGTGCATGCCACCACTTCCGGCTAATTTTTGTATTTTTTTTTTTATTAGATACAGAGTTTCACCATGTTGGCCAAACTGGTTTTGAACTCCTGACCTCAGGTGATCTGCCCACCTGCCTTGGCCTCCCAAAGTGCTGGGATTACAGGCATGAGCCACCGCACCAGGGCAAGGGGGTCAAATTTCAACATGAGTTTTCCTGGAGACAAACCAACCATACCCAAGCCATACCAACGTCTGTGTACAAATTTCCCCCTCTTCTAATAACAACAGTCATATTAGATTAGGGGCCCACCCAACCTCATTATGACCTCATCTGAAATTAATTATATTTTCAATAACCCTATTTCCAAATAAGGTCACATTCTGCGGTACCTGGGGTTAGGACATCAACATATGAATTTTTCAGGAAACCCAAAATAAACTATGTGTATTTTGCCACAATAAAAAATGTTTAACCTCCTCCTGTGCAGTAAACTGCTTCAAGGGCACCTTTGGAAACATCTCCATGTGAACCTCACTGTCCAGAAAGCTTCTTTCACAATAAACACCATAGAAAGCTCTTGACAGGTATAGTCTCCACAAGAATTTGAACAACAGCCACTCCCATCTCCTCTGCTCTCCCCTGTATTGCTACTTGTTGCTGCTGCTGCTGCTGCTGGAATGTTGATAACTGCTCCTCCCTGGATCCCTTGCAGAGGGTTGTGCGCCACAGTTTACCAGGTATTGCTAATGATATGCCCTATTATAAGGTTTGGGAATTAGAAGTAATTTTTTAGTTCTACCAAAAATGGTTGCAGTGTGAATCATGAATGTGGCAAAGTTTAGGCAGGTGGGAATGGCGAATGTGAGAATTTTCAGCAGGTGCGCATGGTGAATATGGAATGTTTAGGCAGATGTGCATGGTGATTGTGGAATATTTGGGCAGGTGTGAATCGTGAATGTGAAATGTTTGGGCAGGTGTGAATAGTGAATGTGGGAATGTTTGGACAGGTATGAATGATGAATGCAGAATGTTCTGGCAGGTGTGAATGGTGAATGTGCGAGTGTTCAGGCAGGTGTGAATAATGAGTGTGCGAGTGTTTGTTATGGCCCCGGGATTCCCCTACTGATCACCTGCCTCAGGATTCCAGGAGGCAGAGACATTTGGCAGAGGTTTCCTCCAGTTGCCTGACCATCAGGTATATTTCAGTGGACTCCAAATCTAGTATGATTTCCATTATGTCTGTAGGTTTTATGAGACTTGAAGATTCTTCATTACTATTTTCTGTACTGATAATTTAATTAATAATTTTCTGTACATATAATTTAATAACACATGAATTCATGATAAGAAATGTAACAAATTTGACTTTCTCAGTTACATTCCACTCAAAAACACATGAGTTTTGTCTGTTTGACTAGTACTTCCATTCCTGGTAAGGTTCAGCAAGAGCTGAGATTTCTGAGCTTCAGTGACTACATCCTACCTTGCAGGTTACTTGCAATAATGAAATAAATGATAGTGATAATAGTAGTAAAAATAGTAGTAAAAGAAGGCTGGGCTCAGTGGCTCATGCTTATAATCCCAGCACTTTGGGAGGCTGAGGCAGGAGGATCGCATGAGCACAGGAGTTCCAGACCAGCCTGGAGAACATGGCGCAACCCCCCGCCCCTGTCTACAAAAAGGTTAACAAAATTTAGTCCAGTGTGGTGTCACACGCCTGTACTGCCAGCTACTAGGAAGATGACATGGCAGGATCCCTGGAGCAAGGAGTTCCAGACAGTAGTGAGCCATGGCAAAGTCAGTGCACTCCAGTCAGGGTCACCCAGTGAGACTTGGTGTCAAAAATAATCAGTTTTAATATAAAACCAACAGTCATACTGTTACGGACTGACTTCTGTCTGCACGAGATTCATATGGTGAAGTCCTAACCCCTAGAGCCTCAGACTGTAACTGTATGTGAGATAGATGGGGTCTTTAAAAAGGTAATTAAGTGAAATGGGGTCATTAGAGTAGAGTCTAAGGCAATGTGCCTGGTGCCCTTACAAGAAGAGGAAATGAGGACACAGACTTGTACAGAGGGAGGGCTAAGGCAGACACGGAGAAAACAGCTGCCTGCAAGGCAAGGAGGGAGGCCTTAGAAGAAACCAACTCTGCTGACACCTTGATCTCAGATGTGTAGCCTCCAGAATTGTGAGAAAATACATTTTTGTTGTTTAAGTCACCCAGTTCATGGTAGTTTTTGATGGCAGCCCTAACAAACCAATAGAAACACTTTTAGTGCCGCTCAGAAGGCAAGCATTATCATATCTATTTTATGAGCTAGAACTCCTGCTCCTCCAACTAATATAATGAGCATGTAATGATACCTGTATCTGAGCAACTGAGCAGTGATGAGAAAACTTCAAAACTTTGGAATTATTTTACCTTAAGTCTATGACCACGAGAGAATCGCTTCTCCCTTTCGCACTCATCCTACTTCCACTACTACAATACTCTCACAAATTCCTAGGAACCCTCCTCCATTTGAATGACCTACCCTAATGATTCCTTCAGAAGACAGAAGCTATCTGCTGGGAATTCTCAGAGCATCCCAAACCCAGGCTACCCCTGTTGGGCCTGGCATTCTCTGCCACCCTTGTGCATACAATGCTCCTAACGGAAGCAAGCCCCTCACCTCAGCTCAGGATCCCATAACTCCCACTTTCCCAGGGGCTTTCCTGCTGCAATGATCGTTCTTCTCTCCTGAACCATCAATGGCTCCCCCTATATTGGATCACTCCCCAAGCTAAGGGGGAAACTCACTTTCTTCCCCCATGTCCTTCTATAGCTACGAATACATTTAGCTGCTGCCCTTCAAAGCAAAACTGCCTCAACATATACAACTCACTTCACTGGAGTCATTTTCCAAAATTACCTGGCAACAAAAATGAACCAGAACAGCTGAAACAATGCTGAACTATAACTTTGGGGAACTCACACTACCTAATAGTAAGAGTGATGTTAATTCTATAGTAATCAAGAGAACGTGGTAATTTGGAAAAATCAACAAATCAGAATGGAGTCCAGCAATAGACTCACAGACATGATATATTGATTTTCAGAAAAGGTGCAAAGGCAATGGAGAAAGATTGTCTTTTCGTGAAAGTGTTATTTTCCTCCTGCCTCTTGGCCACTACATTGATTGGTTTTTATTCCCCTGGGTCCCTTCCCTGTGTTTCCCCCTTTGCACTTCAGCTGCTCTTCTGTTTAGTGGCCTCTCTGCCCCACCACAGTGTGACAGCCCCCACAGCAAGTACCATGTGTTGTTGGTTGTTCTTCCAATTTCCAGCATCCCAGGTATTTCTTGTAACATGGCAGGCCACTCATGCATGTCTACTGAATTGATGAATTAACCTTTTGTAATGATCCTAACAGAAAAGCATCTCCTGTGTTTAGGAGACATTATTGGAGATGATATGTTTCTAGGCACCTTACATATGGTCTTTGGTTTTGTGCCGGACACTCTAGGGTAATGGCTCTGTATGTTGCTCTGGAGCTCCTGCAGGTCACCACTAATAGGGGAAGTAGGCAAAGCTAGACTACAAGCTAACCTGAGTCTGGGCACAATATCTTGACTGCCCTTGGAACAAGGAAAGATAGGCAGGGCGGTGGGAGCTGCCACAGGTATTTTTGCACCAGCTCCCTATCTGCCTGGAGGCTGACACAAGGCCATTCTTCATCCGTCTCCCTAGTTTGAGGTAAGCACAGGCCTTTCTTCATCATAGGGTACAGTTGTGGAGTATAAAATTGCTCACTGCCTTTGGGCACAGGTGTGGGCTCCTCACCAGCAGAAAGACCCACTATCTGTGCTGTCCATCACTGAGTACCTCCGATTCACTGTCACACTATGGAAATAGGGATACGGTGCTTACACAATGCTGATCTTGCTTTTGCTTTCTCTACAAGCAATCAACCACTTGGATCTGTTTGGGCTCATTGTCTCCGTATTGGCCAAATTTAAGAATATGTGAAAAGGCAAACTAACGACTTTAGTGGTGATCCTCATGGCCCTTTTAGGACAACACAGGGCTGCTTACGGACCGCTTGAGTAATTGACACACTACTGTATTGAGTTGCGTGGTGTAGCATAGACAGAATATTGATTTAGTCTTCATGGCATCACACACAGCAAATAAGTTTTCAGCACATACTATTGACTTATGGTTGGCCTTGTAACACCTCGGTTATTTACAAATCAACTTCAGAATCTATGCCGTGGGTGACACCGGCTACACTGCTATTAAATTAACATATTTAAATCAAATAATTTTCTGAATTCAAATGTATTTTAAAAGTGAACTTGACATTCCTACTTGAAATTCAAAAGCAGGTTATCACACACCAGAAATGTAGTTGTAAGGAAAAATGAAATGAAAAAGTTTGAAATCTAAAGGAAAAAAGGAAATCTAAGTAGCAGGCCAAATTTATCTGCAATGTAAAGCCTCCTTGATGTTATTTCCTTTATTTTTCATACTAAGTATTTTTAGTGTACATATTGTAAATTCAACTTTAGAAATGGAAAAACAGTCCCAAAGGGTGTAAGTATCTTGACCACCATATCAAGAGCACTGTGTGAGAGGCAAGATGGAAACCCATGGCTACTTCATGACATAGCCTCTAAAGAGACGGTGTAGGTAGGACCCGTCATCTTGCTTCAGCAAGTTGCCCTGGTTCCTTGCCGCTTACTCCTACCTAGGCCCTAATTCTTTCATCCAGCTCTATAGCCTAGGGACTTCTCACATGTTTTGTGGCAAATGGGATACCCTAAGAAAGGAAGCAGATGAGGAGAGACATAGCGCAAGGTATGGGGAAAGGGGTAGGGAGCTTCTGTGCCCACTAGGGGCATGCTGCCCTCCATATGTTCAGCTAGCCAGAAGCCGTCTGAATCCTGTCCTTTTGGTTTTGATGGAGGTTTTCATTCTGTAGGCGTGACTGATTAAACTGTTGTCCTGCCACTGGGGATCAAATTAACCTTCTGCCTCTTCCCGAATGCTGGGGGGGGGGGAGGGGCAGCTGAAAGCCCCAACCCTCCTATTCCCCAAACTAGAGCTACCTAGGTGCTGCCAGCCATGAGTCAACTCACTAGCATATAAAAAGACACCACTTTGTGGAGATTTTAAAAATTGTAGTAGTTGTATGCCAGGAAGCAGGGTCTAGGACCAAATATGTATTACACAATATCACACCTGTGCATACCAGCTCAATCAGAACACAAAATTTCAAAAATGATACTGAATTTTAAAAAAAAAAAAAAAAATAGAGTCTCTATCTCAAAAAAAAATTAACCTCATCCTGGACCTCCTGGGCTGGAGGCATCCTCCACCCTTCGGCTCTAGAGTAGCTGGGGCTATAGCTACATACAAACTTGCATACATTCATGCATTCACTCTTTTATTTTTGTAGAGAGAGAGTCTTGCTTTGTTGCCCCATCTGGTCTCAAACTACTGAGCTCAAGCAATCCTCCTGCCTCAGCATCCCAAAGTGCTGGGATTACAGGCGTGGACAACCGCAGCCAGAAACAATTTCCAATATTATCAAATACCTGGGAAGGAAGTGAACCAAAGATGAGCAAGACTTCTTTGGTGAAAGCTGCAAAACTTTATTGAGATAGTTTAAGTCAAATATCTAATATAAAACCAGCTTGCGTTGTTTCAGCTTGTCTTCATTTAAACTTGTGGTTGCTCTTCACCTATAACAGAAGCATAACAGGTGGGAACATTACTAGCAGAACTGTGTTTAAATGACATTAAGGATATGGAAAAGACACCAAAGTTTTAGTTTTCTACAATGGACAAAACCAGAAGCCTAAGAGTCACCCTTTTGCTTATATTCATGTAGACCTCTGAAGAGACTTTGACAACAGTCGTCCAAGTGTATGCATTAAAGATGTTTTTCAAACACACCCTGCTTTCTAGTGCTACAAGGAAAGCAAGACAGTCCAAGGTCCGAACACATTAAATGAAGTGAACCTACTAAAAAGGGGTTTAAAGTAGAAAGCAAACATTGTGCATAGTTTTACTCAAAATACCAGCACCACACAAAAATCCTAAGAAACAAAAAAGGAATTTACGAAAAATGTATAATTTTTGGCAAACACTCTTTTAATATTCTGGCTTGAATCTGTGGTCTGCATGCCAAACGGGCTCCTGGAAATGGTCTGAATACTATCTTGGAAGAAAACGGTTACTGTCACCTTAGGAACTGAATAAGTAAAGTGAATAGAAAGGCCAGCATTGCATTTGTTTTTACTCTATTGCGCAGAAGGGCAAAAATATTTATTTGGGCTCGTTTACCCTTCTGTGGTTTTTAAGGTACAGCAACCGTTTGTACCCAGTTTTCTCCTACCGTGATGTCAACATGAATCATGCCTCTTTTTACACTTGAAAGTATTCCCATTTGTATAATTAAGTATATGGTCGCATTACTCTTAAGCTATCACTATCAGTTTTGTCATCAATATGTGATAGCATTATGAACTGTGTCACACATGAACACATGGAGGGATACGGGAATGGAAAACAAGAGTAGGACAGCTGAAAAAGCCAAAATTTGTTTCTAAAAGTAAATGTTTCTGAGGGACAACTGGAAAATTTCACAGTTTCTTCCACAGGCTTTGTGATGCTTAATCAGGTATTACAGAAATAAATAATGCATGCCTTCCTAGCTTACCAACCATTTCATCCATGCTCTGAAAATCTTAGCGTTCAAGACTGTATTCACTTTCAATAAAGCCCTGTATTAAATCACTCTGTCTTGTTCATATTCCATGTTGTGCTTTTTCCGTTTCTTCAAGATTGTGTAAATTACTGAATATTCGTAGCTAATTTTCAAAACACCAATCTTTTCAATTTATGACATTTGAACTACTTTTCCTTATACTAATGATTCGTACCTGTCTTTTATTCACTACCACTTTCTTTTTCCTTTAAGTTTATTCTCTGGCTCTTTTATTGTTATTTCATAGTATTCTTTTCCTTTAACATGTAACGTGCTATTTATTTTAATAAGACGTGCATTTAAAGCTATGATCTCCCTAAGAATACAACTGAGGCTTGTTCAGTGGGCTCCTGGAAATCGTCTGAGAACTATCTTTTAATGTAAATAGTATAATGGAATGGTTCAGCAGGGTACAGTAAAAACACTTAGGTAATTTCTCCCTTAAACATGGGGTGCTTCCTTTAACTTCAAGAGGTATTGTAATTAACAGTCACCAATTTGGAAAATATGTGTAAAACATACTTGTGTCAACTACTCAGGAACTAGCACAGTGCTGTTGTTGAACTTCAAACCCTATCATCTAATGCCTCAAGGCAGAAACCTGTAATATGTAACCTATGGTATGGTTAGAGGTGACTCTACTATATGAGTCTTCAATCTAATTACACGAAGTAGTTCATGAAGACTGACGGGAGGGCAGGGAGCATGCTTAGCAGAAGCATCTTACACCCACCTTGGGCATCACTGACCTACATGCATTCTCTCTACTTCACTGGCCACAGAAACCTGATGATCTCCTGCCATTTTATCATTCAGTCATTCAAGGCTTCACTGCGGGAAGGCTTTAAAATGCAATTATTCTTTAAGAGACAGAGAACTCAGAATTTGGCAAAATACAAGAACACTCATACAGGGCTCCACACAGGAAAACAAACACCAAGCAGAGTGCCCGCTCATTTTCCTAGGAACCATGAAATCTCAACTCAGACACTATAATTGGACTGAAGCTGATTGTTATGATAAACAAATCATGAAGATCAGAATATCTTGGTCTTCTATCCAACAGAACCAGAGCATGTGGAAATTAGCAACGAAATGGATTTTAATCTATCTGATGTGCATCCACTCTTTTCACTAAGAGCAAGGATGCCTGTGGAATTTATACGATTCATCCAGACTCTCACAAATTATGGTAGAGCTGGTACTAGAATCTGCTTCAGGGCTCAGCATACTTCACACAAACTGGTATTACAAATGCATTATGTGTTTGTTAAAAGCAGAAATTAGAAAAGAATCTGAAAATTGTTAGCTGTTGGTTATACACCAAACTAAGAAAATGCTGTCACGTTTGATGATTCAATATGGCTTTGACCCAATTTGTTTCTGTATCTGATAGTGTTTAAGTCTTGCAATCTGGCATTTGGGTCTGAACGACGTTTCAAAGAACATTTGCATTTGCACTGTGTTTTTAAAGTAGCACTAATGTTATCCCTCTATTATCAAAAGTATAATACTGTGTAAATGAGAAAGCACATAACTTTGCATCTTGCTGGATAACATACCTGCTTCTGGCATTTTACAGTGTTCCTCTTTAGGTATTATCTTCACCTTGACGCCGGAACCCAAATCCAGATTTATCCCCGGTGTTTGACTGATGCAGCTCTTGCAGATCACCTTCCATGTCGCGCACTTCAAAATACAAAGGTTATCGATTTAAGCATTCCAACATGAAATATAAATAAGGAAATGATAATATTCTCTTCCTTCGCGTTACGAAATAAAGCCTGAGCCAGGCGTAGTGGTTCATGCCTGTAATCTCAGCACTTTGGGAGGCCGAGGTCGCTTGAACCCAAGAGCTGGAGGTGGCAGTGAGCCAAGATCATGCCACAACAATCCACACTGCGTGACAGATGAGCCTCTGCCACATAATAAAAAAATGTACATTTCTATACACCAAATTAAATGGTTTCAAGTGATTTAGTAAGGACTGTATTTTCAAGCATACAAAATCCATCTCGAAGAACAAGAGAAGATTCATTATATCCAGGGACAGCATGAAGCTGCAAACTATACTCTCCCTTTTCCAGCCAACTTTGAGCAAATGTTTGGTATCTTTTCCTAATGTTCTCTTTGCTCCTGTTACTGCTCATGGCATAGGCCACAATGCACACATAGACCTTCTCCCGCCCCATAGACATACTTTCCCTTCCCAGCACCTGGGATCTCAGCTGTATCCTGATCTTCTTCTGTCTGCTGCCCAGGTGTAGGATCCCGACTTTCAGCTGCTGGTTCTTCTTTTTGGGGCTCTCCATTACTGGGCTCCTGGGACTGGCTGTGTGGTTCTGTGTTTGTGTGTGTCTAGATAAAAAGTTTTGTTATTAATACATGTCAATAATATAAATATACAGAATACACAGGTATGTCTTATTATAAGTATGTCTAGAGACATTTCTCCAACACTACCCCGTATACCTAATCTTCATAACACTATTCTTCCCTCAGAGAGGTTACTCAAAGACAGATATCCTCAGGGACTTTGGAAGCCGTTTTAATCAATGTTGGGATGAATGTGTGTAATCTGTTCTGAATAAGCATGAGGAGGAAGTTATGGACAAAATCTGGGCACACACGATCATCCACCCACACAAAACCCAAATATAACCCTCTGGACTAATCTTTCCTTCATGGGATGCCATGATCATTTTTTATCAGCATGGGAGACCATTATCAGTGTATCCATACTAGTCCATCAACACTATCAGAAAAATAACTTTCTGCTAAGAGAAAACATCGAATGTTAAGACATTCACAAGCAGAGGCACAATGAGCTCAGGAGGTTGTGAACTTCTTGGCATAGGCCTATATGTTGATCGTCCTCATCAACACATACTTCACTCTGCAAGCAGAATACTGCGATTGGGAAAATGCACTTGACAGGACAACTAGATTTGACCGCTTTCATGGTCAAATGTTAACTTGGACATTTTTTTTTTTTTTAATTTAGAAATACTCTGAAAGTCCCCGGGCAAGTATAAGTGTATGCACCTTTTGAATCGAATGCTTGCAAAGCCACTTAAGTAGGTCTAGCTAGCTGAGCGATGTCTTAAGGCTCCTGGCAAAAAACACAGGGCATTTCCCATGAGGTTGGTTTCACAACTGGACACTCCATCAGGGAGACAAGTAGGAAATTACAGCTACAGAACTGAAACTGCAGTGACCACCAATTTTGTCACATAATGATTTGCTAGGCCCACTTCCCCCCCACCCCAAAGTCACATTTTTAGGAACTCAGGGCCCCGCCCATTGGAATCTCCACAGTGGAGTTGAGAATTTGCTACACAGCAGTGGGCACTCCTCACAGGACCCCTATGCCAGGCACTCTACAGACCTCGGGGCTGCGGTCACTAGCCCGCAGCATGCCCCGTCTCCAGGACCCTTCCATACCGCTCATGCCGTCCCTCTCCTGGTCCCGTCTGGGGAGTCCAGAATCTTCTGTCGGGGTTCCAGGTGCTTCTGGGACTCGGATACCCCCAACAGCACCCCAGCTTCGCCTGAGCCCCTCCACTCCTCGGCCCTCCTTCCTCCCTAGTTATGGCCGTGACGAGACAAGAAGGTCCATGGGCGTGGCACCGCATGAGAGGGACGACGACTTCGAGGGCCTTCTCACTCTGAGTCACTGACCACACAACCCTCCGGAAGCCTGCTGGTTCCTCTTCACTCTCACTCACACTTCAACTCCCAGTTGGATCTGCCTGTGGACCTACCCGCCGTGTCTCAGTAGCGGAGAAAGAATCCAGACCTCAGGGACCCGAGTCGCCGGCTCACAGCTCCGCCGCGTTCCCCACACTGGCGAAGGGGCCGATGGGAAGACGCCCAGTGAACATGCGCACTGAGGTGGGCACCAAAGGAGCATGCGCAGTGAGGTTCCCTCGTGCCTTAAGGGCTGTGGTGCCCCTCCTTATCCCGCCTTGCCCTGTCCTATGCTCCTTCCCAGGTCCCCATTAACGACTTTGGAATCCCTCCTCTCTGTGTGTGGGTTCCCCCCCACCAGGACTCAAATACCTCAAATAAAGTCAGCCTTCAAAACTCACTCCATGACCGGGCGCGGTGGCTCACGCCTGTAATCCCAGCACTTTGGGGGGCGGAGGCGGGTGGATCATGTGGCCAAGAGATCGAGACCATCCTCGCCAACATGGTTAAAACCCGTCTCTACTGAAAAATACAAAAATTAGCTGGGTGTGGTTGTGCGCGCCTGTACTCCCAGCTACTCGGGAGGCTGAGGCAGGAGAATCACTTGAACCCGGGAGGCGGAGGTTACAGTGAGCCGAGATTGCGCCACTGCACTCCAGCCTGGTGACAGAGCAAGACTCCGTGAAAAAAAAAAAAAAACTCACTCCATGCTCACCTGACCCTCCTCCCCGCTATGGCCCTCCTTCGTCCCATGCCCGGGACCCCACAACAGCAAGGCCATGGCAGTATCGCTGAGTTTTAGTAGAAAGATGACGACCTCAGAGGCCATGGACCAAGTGGCACAACCCACAGGAAGCCCCCCACGCTCCCCCTCACACTCACTCACACTTCACTTTCTGGGAGGACTGATCTGCAGACCTACTGGCTAAGTCATAGTCAGCACGAAAGAAGGAAGTCACGACGTCTCCTTTCACAGTTGTGGAGGGACAGAAGTTAGAGAGCAAGGCGCATAGGCAGCAAGGAACTTTCATAGAAAGGGACATGCACATTGAGCCAGGGACTTTTCAGGGCAGGGTAGGGTTTTCCGCTGTTCCCAGACCCGCATCCCCATGGCGTTTGTAGTAGAAAAAGGGACTTGAGAGCTTTCGTCTCTCTTTGTCCAATCTCATGCATTCAGAAACGTTGGGAACAGACAGTCCCTTACTGGAGGATGTGTCTCAGGAAGACCTTTTGTGGAAGAAATAAATTATTTTCATATCTTTATTTATAAAGCCGTTTTTATTTATTTTTTTTTCCAGACAGAGTGTCACTCTGTTGCTCAGGCTGGAGGGCAGTGGCATGACCATACCTCACTGAAGCCTCCATCTCCTGGGCTCAAACAATCCTCCCGATGTAGCCTCCCCAGTCCCTGCTACTACAGGTGCAGACACCACACCTGGGTAATTGGTTTATTTATTATTTATTTATTTTTTAGATAGTGGTCTCACTGTGTTGCCCATGCTGGTCTCAATTTCCTGGGCTCAAGTGATCCTCCCACCTTGGCCAGTTTTATAAATGCTTTTATTAATCACTTTGTTCTCTGGTTCTGGGTTTTCTGCCATGCTTCCAATAAACGTAATTGAATAAATTCTTCTGTAGAATAAATACATTCACACCTGTTTACTCTTTTCTTTTTAGGTTGTGTTACTTCACATTTAAATCTCTGGACTGGTAACTGATTTCCCTGAATATACCTGTAGGTCATTCAGACAGTATATGTTTCAGAAATAGCCATAGATTCTGACTGTAGGCTCTAGGCTCAGTTATGACCAGAAAACAAGTCCTGCCAGTCTCCTACCTCAAATGTATGTTTGTGTATTGACCTGATCCCTGGGACAAGTTTCCCAGACTGAAATCATGGTATCATAAAGCTGGACGCTTTCTTGAGGGGATAGAGTAACATCCATATTTTCAATCCGTGTGTAAATAAATTAATTAATGGATGAAAAGATGTATGCAATAATGCAAAGCAGAATAACAGGTATTTGATTAATACGGCATCACCAAATTTTGCTTTAACAGATCTGATCGTAATTATTTCAGTCTTTGTGGGTCATGTAGTTTCTGTGGCGTAGTGTTGTGTTTTTTAGCAATAATACTTTTAAATGGAAAAAAATCCTTATCTCAATGGCTATGCAAAACAAGCCATGGGCTGTATTTAGATCTCAAGCCATAGTCAGCTAGCCCCTGGATTATCTTTTACTTCACATATTTGAATGCTGTATTTTTGTACCAGTAGTCAAAAGATTAACAAAGGAGAGTTCTACCACCAGGTAAGATTTAGAAAGCCTCAAGAGAAAGTCACTTTAGCCTTGAAAATGAAAAACAGCCTAATAATCTATAACGTTATCTTTTGTTTTGCTTTGTTTTTAGATCATGAGAGACCTGAGGTAACAAGGCAGCCATGGGAACTGATCCAAAATGGTGACTTAGTCCCTCTGAGGAGGGATGAGACAAACAAACTGCATCACCTGTGGCAGAGCATGTGTGGAAGAAGTGACAGCCATAACAGGGGGTAAGAAGAAAACCAGTGAAAATGTAGCAAATTCATAAAGTTCGAACACAGGCATTTGAGAGAGCTGGAATCCTGGCAAGTCTCAGACACCAGCGGAATTCACGTTCACAGACAGAAAGACATCCTGTCTCAAAAAACAGAGTCAGAGTCTATAAGGCTGGATAAAAAGCAAGAACAAAAATAACAGACGCTGGTGAGTTTGTGCAGAAAAGGCAACGCTTATACCCTGTTGGTTGGAGTATAAATTAGTTCAACCATTGTGGAAAGGAGTGTGGCAATTCCTCACGGACTTAAGAACAGAAATACCATTTGGCCCTGCAATCCCATTGCTGGGACTATACCCAAAGGTACATAAACCTTTCTATTATAAAGACGCATGCACATGTATGATCATTGTAGCACTACTCACAATAGCAAAGACATGGGATCAACCTAAATGCCCATCAATAACAGACTGCACTTTTTAAAATGTGGTACATATACACCATGGAGTACTATGCAGCCATAAAAAACAGTGAGATCATGTCCTTTCCAGGAACACGGATGGAGCTGGAGGCCATTATCCTTAGCAAACTAATGCAGGAGCAGAAAACCCAATACCACATGAAGTCACTTATAAATGGGAGCTAATTGCTGAGAACACATGGACACCCAGAGAGGGCCAACACGCTGGGGCTTATCAGAGGGTAGAGGCTGGGAGGAGGGAGAGGATCAACAAAATAACTAATGGGCACTGGCCTTACTACCTGGGTGATGAAATAATCTGTACAACAAACCCCATGACATGAGTTTACCTATATTACAAACCTGCACATGCACCCTGAACCCAAAATAAAAGTTAAAAGAAAACTCGAAAATAATTGTGAACTCTTCTGATCTTTCTACTTTACAAATATCAGTTCACTTCTTTTTATAAAAGGTAGGAAAGAAGGAAGGGAGTGAGGCATGAAGGGAGCCAGGGAGGAAGGGAGAAAATAAGGACAAATGGAGCGAGGGAGGGAGGGTGGAAAGAAGTAAAGGAGGGAGGGAGGGAGGCAGGAAGGGAGGCAGGAAGGAAGGAAGGAAGGAAGGAAGGAAGAGAAAAATAGGGCTGAACAAACGTTTCTGTCCCTAGCCAAACAGCTCTTGATGGGAAGGCACTTTTAGAAACTTGAGTGAAAAGTAACATAAATCAGAGGATTTGAATCATCTTCATTTACAGCCCTTCAAAAGTTATTCTGGCTGTTGTTTCTGAGCGATTCAAACCTGCCTTGGTCTCCATTAAATCCACATATTCTTCAGAAGGGCAACTCTTCCCTGGATTAACAGCTCAGCGGAGGACCAACACAAACTGGTTAGTCTAGGAAGAAAAAGAAAAGAAAAGTGCAGGAGACCAACATTTCCTCCCCCGTGGTTTTTTTTGTTTTTTTTTTTGTTTTGTTTTGTTTTTTTTTTTTACATCTCCTCCTCAATCTACAGAGGGATATTTGAATCTCCACATTTCAAAGCTAAGAGAGCTCTGAGAGATCATTTTATATAGTTGTTTCTCAAAGGATTTTTAGCAAAAGAACACCTTCGTGAAATGAAATTTTACCCAAAACCCTACTGTAGAAAATAGGGGGATAAAATTATATTTTTCATATAAATATACCACTTTAATGTGAAGATATCTTTCTATGAAGGCTGTCAAAGAGTTTGATTGAGGTTCTTTTGAAGAGCCGAGCAGATTATTCTGTGGATTTCTGCGTAACATTTTAGTTGTATATTAACTTCTGCATCTAATTTTTCGGTACTTTTATTGTTGTTGCACAGTTGCAAGAGGATCTTGATTTTCACAGTATATTTATCAGTAATCTGTATCTTGAAAAAAAGAGCCCCACTCTACAAATAAATAAGATACAAGTAAAAGATGGAAAAAGATATTTCCTGCAAATATGAATCACATAAACTCAAAGTGTGAAATTAGTATCTCACAAAGCACACTTTATAGTGGAGATTACTACAAGGGACAAAGTGGGACATTACATAATAATCATAGAGAGGTGCATTGATTCAGAAGACAGAAACACCACGGATATGTAGGCAACTTCAAAATACTTGAGGGACAACTGATACATCATCACAAAGAAGAAATAAACACATGTGCCTTTAGTAGAAGACTTCCCCATTACTCCCAGCATTTGGTAGAAAAAGTGTACAAAAAATCAGGATATATAAATGCAGAAGGCTTGAACAACACTATCAGACAGCATGGCCTAATTGATATTCATAGATCAACAGCAGAATGCACATTCTTCTCAAGTGCTCATAGAATGTTCACCAAGATAGACCATATTGTGGGCCAAAAAACAAATCTCAACAAATTCAAAAGGAATGAAATGTTATAAAACATGTTCTATGACCAAAAAAAGAATTGAAATGGAAATTAGTTGTAGAAAGATGTCTGCAACTCATGAAATCTTGGAAATTAAATGTCACATTTAAGTAACTCAGAGATCAAAGAAGAAATTGCAGGAAAAAATTTTAAAATGAAAACTCAACTTATCAAACTTTGCAAGATGAAACTAAAGCATAGAGGGAAATTTATACCCTTCAATACTTATGCCAGAAAGGAAGAAAAGTCTCAAATCAATTATCTAGGTTTCCACATTAAGAAACTAGAAAAATGAAATCAAATTATACCCAAAGTCAGAAGGAAAACTGTTAGACCGTGCACAGTGGCTCATGCCTGTAATCCCAGCACTCTTGGAGGCTGAGGTGGCCGATCCCCTGAGGTCTGGAGTTCGAGACCAGCCTGGCCAACATGGTGAAACCCGGTCTCTACTAAAAATACAAAAGTTAGCTGGGCTGGTGGTGCACGCCTATAGTTTCAGCTACTCGGGAGGCTAAGGCAGGAGAATCTCTTCAACCTGGGAGGTGCAGGCTGCAGTGAGCCGAGATCATGCCACTGCACTCCAGCCTGGGTGACAGTGCGAGATTCTGTTAAAAAAAAAAAAAAAAAAAAAGGAGAAAAAAAGAAGGAAAAAATTTAAAAGACATGAGGAAAAATGAATTAAATAGAATTGATAAAAATCTATAGAAATTATCAGTGAAACCCAGACATTGTTTCTTTGAGAAGACAACTCGAATTAATAAACCTTTATCCAGACTGATGAGAGAGGGAGACACAGAGACTACAAATATTAATATCAGCAAACCCAGAGGGTCGTTACGTCAATACAGATCCTTTAGATATTAAATGTACAACAGGGAACCTTTCAAGAAATGTTATCCAAAAACTTATATTTATATTGAAAGAAAAAATTATTTGAAGGACACTAGCTAGCAAAACTCATTCTAAAACATATACAAGCAAGCAATCTGCAGATTCAGTGCAATCCCTAAAAAAAAAAAACAAACAACAACAGACAGTGACATTTCTCACAGAAATGGATAAAGCAATCACAAAATTCATATGGAACCACAAGTGACCCAGAATAGCCAAGCTATTCTAAACAAAAAAGAACAAATCTGGAGGACTCACATTACCTGACTTCAAATCATACTACAGAGAGATAGTAACCCAAACAGCACGGTACTGACATTAAAACAGACGTATAGACCCATTGAACAGAATACAGAAAGCAGAAACAAACCCACACACTTACAGTGAACTCACTTTCCACAAAGGTGCCAAGAACATACACTGGGGAAAGACAGTCTCATTAATAAATGGTACTGGGAAACCTGGATATCCATATGCAGAAGAATGAATCTAGACCCCTATCTCTCACCATATACAAAAATCAAATCAGAATGGGTTAAAGAAATCTAAGCTTTCAAACTATGAAACTACTACAATAAAATATTGAGGAAACTCTACAAGACATTTAGATTGTAGATTTCCCTGGGCGAAAATTTCTTGAGTAATGCCCCACAAGCACAGGCATCCAAAGCAAACACGGGCAAATGAGATCACATCAAGTTCAAAAGCTTCTGCACAGCAGAGGATACAATCAACACATTGAAGAGACAGCACACAGAATGGGACAAAATATTTGCAAACTACCCGTCTCACGAGGGATTAATAACCAGAGTATACGGGAAGCTCAAACAATTCTATCGGAAAAAATCTAATATCTGATCAAGAAATCACCAAAAGATTTGAGTGGACATTTCTCAAAGGAAGACATACAAATGGAAAACAGGCATGTGAGAAGGTGCTCAGCATCGCTGATCTTTGGAGAAATGCCAATCAAAACTACAATGAGATATCATCTCACTCCAGTTCAAATGGCTTTTAACCAACAGTCACGAAATACCAAATGCTGGCGAAGATGTGGAGAAAAGGGAACCCTCATACACTGTCAGTGGGAATGTAATATACAACCACTACGGAGAACAGTTTGGAGGTTTCTCTACAAACTAAAAATAGAGCTTCCATATGATCAAGCAATCCTATTGCTGGGTTTATGCCCCAAAGAAATGAAAGCAGTATATCGAAGAGATATCTGCACTCCCATGTGTGTTGCAGCACTGTTCACAATAGCTAAGATTTGGAAGCAACCTAAGCGTCCAGCAACAGAGGAATGAAGAAAATGTGGCACATACACACAAGGGAGTACTCTTCAGCCATAAAAAAAATTGAGAGCCACTCATTTGCAAAACCATGAATGGAACTGGAGATCAATATGTTAAGTGAAATAATCCATTCACAGAAAGACAAACATCAATTGTTCTCACTTATTTGTGGGATCTAAAAATCCAAACAATTCAACTCATGGACACAGAGAGTAGAAGGATGGTTACCAGAGGCTGGGAAGGGTAGTGGGGAGCTTGGGGGATGTGGGGATGGTAATGGGTACCAAAAACATAGTTAGAAAGACTGAATAAGACGTCCTATTTGATAGCACAGCCGAGAGACGGTAGTCAATAAGAAGTTAACTGTATAGAAGAATGATGCTGGCTACTGATCATGTGCCGGCTACTGATCATGTGCCACCTCCTGGCCATGGGAAGTGAGTCTGGAGAAGGCCATGAGAGGCAGTTCTGGGCTCAGTAGTGAGGAGGGTGTGACACTGCAAAGGACACCTTGCCTTTGCCCAAACCGGATGGACGTGGTGCTCACCCCACCTCTCACTGCTCAGCTCCGTTTCCTCTCCACCCGCACCCTGGATCTTTCCAGAGCACCGGGCCTCCTCCAGCCTAGGGACCCAACTGCTTTCCTAAGCTGCTATGGAACTGGCCTGAGGTCCCAGGGGCTGTGCATTGTGCTGCTGACCTCCGCTCTCTTCAGCCAGAGTCCCAGTTCAGCCGCTTTCTGGAGAAATCCGTCGCCTGGGCCCACGCACAAATTCAGAGCTTAGCAGGTGTTGACATGTGCTCCGCTTTCCTGGAAAGGCCACTCTCCCCATCACCTTTTTCACAGATGTGAACGTTGAGGCATGAGGGAGGGTAATTACTGGTTTACCCAGGGGATGCTAAGAACAGAGGAGAAAACCCCAGTGCTCAGGTGTGTGTCTGTCTGATGGGCCATGTTCACCAACCCATTTAAGTGGACGGGGCTGCTAATAGATACCTAAAGATTTGGTTTTAGGTATTTTACACTTGAAATCATTGGCTTCATCTCAACTGAGGCCTGACTGCCCAGTGTCTCAAAGATACAGGTCATGACCTGATCCTTCAGGAACAGATGGTGTTCCAGCTTTGTGGGAGTGACTTTCAAGGTGTGGAGCACTTGGGGTGACTTTGAGACACCTCAGGCTTCATATCTCTGCTTTGAATGAAAAGCTCATCACCCACGGCAGCCAGGGGACGTACCTTTACTCGATGGGGCTGATGTCTTGAATTTTTCTGTCTAGACAATGAAAACTTCTGGGAGCACTTCCAGTTTCGTGTAGCCTCTTAATAATTGATGTCACTAAATTCCGTATGTCCTCTGGGACTGTTCCTTTGATTCTGGGATGGTACCAGCTTTTATGCTTTTATGTGTAATCCGTAAAAGCCAAGTTGTTAATCTGCATGAAAATAAGACTTTGTTCATATCACACATTCCAACAGGTTTCATTTGTGATTTTTAATGTGGGATACTATGAAAAAAAAAAAAAAACTAAAAAACCTGGTCATTGAAATTAGACTCTGTTATTGTATTTTGTGAAGAATTTCCTCCTTCAGGATTAACCACCCATGGGCTCATCAGCACCTTTGTAAGTAAAGGGACAAAAACCAGGTGGCATCTACGAATGCGGCAAAATGAGGAAGTATAGGGAGACCACAGCACAATGGCTCTTGTTTCAAACAGAGTCTGGGGTGAAGTACCCGCATCTCTCCCCCATCCCTCAATATTCTCATCCTACTCCTGACTGTTCCCTCTTTAGGTGGGATTTTCTAAATACGATTGTCCACAAGTGTTGGTGGGGATGTTGCAATGTGAGGGTATCCATCATCAGTCATCTTAAAACAAAGATGAATGGAGAGGAGAGTGTTGTGATCCGTTTTCAAATGCACTGCTTTTGGGTGTGTGGCTGCAAAAACACATGGTCTCAGCAATCCCACAGCAGCTGTCTCAGAAGATTGGCCCCGATGCCACCACAGCTGCTGTTGCAGAGCCAGGAGCTCCTTGCGGTTTGGTGTCTTCTGCTTAAATTTGTGGATGTGACCCCCCTCTGCTCACCCAGTTCCTGGTAGCATCTGCTGAGTTTCCTGATTTGTTCCAGTGTTCCCTGAGAGCCAGTTGTGTAATGATATTTCAGAGGGTCTTCAGGGATTCCATCCACACTACACCAGTTACTGTGCAATGGCCATGTGCTTATCTTCTTGGAGCCCCCATGTGTGTCCTCTTCAGTGGAGCTGTGAAGAATTCTACTTAAATGTAGATCTCATTCTGATGCTCATCAGGCTGCTTAGAAAGCTGCTCATCTCGTCTTTGGACGCATGTACTTTATTCCTTTTGTGTGCATTGAAGTCTGATGCAGTTTTATTAATGCTGTGGACCCTTGTAGTTAGGTACTTTTAAATATCTTGGTGAATGTAACTCTGGCAACAACTTGAAGAAGTCGTTGTGTGATCCCCATTGTATGGGTGAGGAAGCTGACACTTGTGGAGGTAGAGCAGGTTTATTAACTCCACACAAGTATTGATGCATTTCACATCTCAAGGTAGAAGTCTTCCTCTAAGGTTCATGCTGTGCACTAACATGCACTACACATACTGATGAAAATAAGACTATTGTCCTCCTACCAAACGGGAAATTAATGCCATGGCTGGATAAAGACACTTGTAAAAAAACTGCACTTCTGTCTATCTCAGTATTCCAATGAAAAAGCATAGAATTTTAGCCAGCTCCTGGAGAGACCAGGAAGCACAGAGTGTCCTACAAGAATGGGGATTCCTTGGAAGTGAGGTTCACCTTGACTCAAGAAAGATGACTCACGTATGGTGAAAGGCAATTATCCAGGGCCTCAAGAACAGCACCAGGAAGGAGAGCTGGGTCTGGTGGGATTCTGGGGGTCCTCTCTCCCACCTGGAAATCTACTGCTGCCTGCCGACCCTCTCAAGATGGCGACCTCTCTGGGTTCCAGCGCCTAAAACAGGCAAAACTGGGAGGACGTCGATTTCTCCATTCTGTGCCAGATATGTCTCAGAGAAACATGACCAAGGAGAACTATGAGAAAAAATGCAAACTCTGTCAGGCCATTCAGTGTTTGGCTGGTGCCCGGGGGAGCACATGCATCCCAAGAAGACTGAAGGGGGCCAAGCCTGCAGGAAATGTCTGTCAGACTTGCCTCTTAGACCTAGAGTATGACTGCCCATACAGGTTCATGACACAGACTTGCCTTTAAAGGTGACTGCAGATATGGACAGAGGAATTTCTAACCCTGATAGAACATGGCCAGTTGCTCTGCTGGGGAAAGCCACGTCCAGTAGTGAGATGCTGCTCAAACTGGCCCGGACCACACTGTACTGGCTGAGGAATAAGCCTTACATTTGTTCTGTCCAGGTGAAAGGAGAGGACTGTCCGTAAAGACATGAGAAGCCTGCAGATCCCGATGACCCCCTCTTGCTGGTCAAAATATTAAAGATCGATATTGTGGAAACAATGACCCTGTAGCAGATAAGCTTCTAAAGCAGGCTTCAACCACGCTTCATCTTGAATCACCAGCAGAGAAGGATTCCACCAGAGTGTATGTTGGTGATCTGGCGGATACCATTACTCAGACAGATTTAAGAAATTGTCTCTGCCTGTTGGTGAGATCCGGATGGTCACCGTTGTGCAGAGATAGCAGTGTGCCTTTCATCCAGCTTTCCACAGGGTGGCTACAGAAGTGGGTGCCGACAAGTCCTCTAATAAACTGATTGTCAATGGCTGCAGACTCCGTGTAAAATGGGGACGATTCCAAGCACTCAAGGGGAAAAAAAAAAAAAAAAAACAAAAAAAAAAACAAAACAAAAAACAGGTTGCGGGGGACAGAATCACAGAATCTGGGATCCTGCCAGAGCCTATTCCAGTGCCGCCAGGAGCTCCTTCTCCCCCTGCAGCTATGGTGCCTACTTTGGAGCCTGCTTACATGGACTGAGGCCACCTTTTCTGACTTTTCCCAGTGGCAAAATGCACCTGACAAGGAGAATAGACGTAGGAACCTGGCCTCCTGGACCCTCACTTGCCCAGGATTTTTCTTGGTGCTGTGAGCTGAAGGAGTTCTTGTAAGATGGAAGCAGGGCCCCAGGATCATGTGATTGGCCTCATGTCTCTGCCTCACTAATGGTCAGGTGGTGGGCACTCAGGGCCTGGGAACCCAGCCATCCCTGATTCCTTGAGTTGATGAGGCAGGGGGCTGGCCCACCTGCTCCTGCCCCACCATGGCCGTCGTGGATGGTTGCTCTTTGAGCCTGGTAACGTCACTGGCTTGGCTCTGCCAGGCATGCACAGGCCCTGCGTACCCACACACTGCTTTAAGGGGCTTGCCCTGCCTTGGGCCACAGTCTAGTTCTGGCCAGTGTCCCAGGAACTCAGTCCCCTGTGTATCCATCTTAGCTGTTTCTGGGGCACCCATGGCTCCCCTGGGTCCTTTTTCTCTTAGGGCTTTGGTTGGGGAGGGCTTGGGCTGGATCGCAGCCCCATGGCTCTAGGACGCTTGCCATGTGAGAGAGGCTCTGTCACACGAATGGGCAGACATGAGGACATGTGATATGCTGCTGGCTGGCTGGGGCTGTGCAGATGCCACAGTCACTCTCCCCTCCAGCAGCCTCTGAGGGCCCAGCTTCCCCATTGATATTGATCCCATATGGCCTAGCAGTAGTACTGACTGCTTTGGGGCTGTGCAGGTCACTATCCTCAGAGAAACGTCAGATCCAGATGCCACCATGCAAGGGGAGTTTCTGTGGTCCTACCTCTGGGTTTTCAGTGGGGTGGGCCGGGTCTGGTTGTTGGAGCCCTGCTGGGGTTGCAGGGATGGGCCTGTCCATTGGTCCTGGCGATGTCCAGAGCAGATGTGGAAGGAATAGGAGTTCAGCATGCCTGCTCAAAGCTGCACTGTAGAAACCATGAGCCCTGGATGTCCAGGTACATGGGGAGTTTTGGGAGAGGACACCCACACAGAAATCGCCCAAAATCCTGGGGTCTGTCCTGAGATAGGAACAGACTTGCTGCACTCTGGGCGGCTGAGCCCCCAGAGAGTGTCCTGCTGCCCGGGGCTCTGCAGAAGTCCCCTCATGCTGCTGGGCCTTGGCCTCAGGGTCAGCTTCTGGACTTCTGGAGCTGGGCTGGTGGGCCACGGAGGGCCAGCCCATCCCCCTTGGGGAGGGTCTGCATGCTGAGGGATGCCCACAGAGGCCTGGGTGCCAGGGACACTCGCTCCAGGCCCAGGACCTTCCTAGGGATCTTTGCGGGTTTGGCTGAAAGAAAAGCAGATTTGGTCCACTTCTCCACCAAGCCCATTTGTTCCTTGCAGGGCTGGGCCTCATGAACCTGGGCCCCTGGAGTTTTGGGGGTCTCTAGTGGCCCACCTGGTGTGACACTGAGGAAACACCCACAGGCTGCTGAACCCAGAGTGAGGGGTGCGTGCAGCTTGGGGCATGGTTGCTGTCAGAGCATCTCAGGCTGCTCCTGAGACGGACCCCAGGGTTCAGGCTGGCTCGGGGCTCCAGGCCTCATACCCTCACCCCAGGGCGGCTCGGTCTGGGCTTCAGCCCTGGTGCAGAACCCAGCTGGGAGAGGCCTTACCTGTCACCTGGCCCCCTTGCCACCTAAGATGAGGATCTGTCTCCATAGCGCGTGAGACGCTCCTGGGCACTGGGCCCCTCTGCCATCCCGGACAATCCACGCCATGCCATGACTTCCCACACCAAGGGGCCTACTGCACCGTTTCCCTGAATCCTCTCTCTGGGTCTGAGACACTGATTCTCTCCATTCCCTGGCTCAAGGCTTGCCGTCGTGACACACTTGGAGGGGTGCTTGTGAGTGAGGCGCCCCTGCTGTTCTCTGGCGTTGGTGCTGGCAGCTGTGGGTGTTGGCTCGCACAGATGGGACCAACCCCTCCAGTGCCCCCTAGGGTTCTTCTAGGCCAGGAGGGGAAGGGTGTGGGGGAGGGGCTTGGAGGGGTCTTGCCCTCATCCCATGCCCTGTCACTGAGGCGAGTCTAGCACCTGCCCTGGGGCCCAGCTGGCCTGTTTTCAGAAACTTCTTTGAGAAGGAAGAGGAAAAGGAGGAAGGCCCAGGGAGTAGGGATGGAGGGTTCTGGGCACTCCCCATGATTTAATGCCTCAGAGGGTGACTCGGGAGGCTGGAGCCCACGTGGGATGCAGGTCGCAGTGTGTCCTTCTCAACTCGACCATGGAGGCCTGAGCACCACGTGGTCCTCAAGAGTCCAGGCCTGAGACAGCATGTCCTGAAGGAGCTCCCATGGGCCAAAGAGAGACAGCTTCAGGAGATGTTCTAGGAATGGGGCTGCACATCAGGCCAGGTGGGGTCTCCTGGGAGAGGTCTGTGCCTTCACCTCGTTTCTGCTCTGGGCACTTCCCAGTGGGCAGTGCTGGGCCCCTTTTGGACAACCCTGGGGTCCAGCTGTGCACAGGAGGCCATGGATGCAGGGAAGGCCCAGGCAGGGGAATGCTCACCACGCTCCTGCCTTTCATCTGTGTCGTGTCAGGGGTGGGCTCAGTTTCCAGAAGGACTCACGGTGCCCTGCACAGCTGACCAGGCCTGGCTTGGCTTGGCCTTCCCTCTAGGCCAGAGCAGAGGGTCGTGTGGACAGTGCAAGTGCTGCCCTCAGGACAGTTGAGGTCTGTCTTGTGTGGTCCTCCTGCTACCTTCAGGCACATGGGGACAAGTTTCTATGAACTTTGAATGCCGCTTATGTCCTGGCTGTGAGCTTGTGCTCGCCCTGCAGAAGGCAGACCTCCCAGAGCCTCAGGATGAGCCCAAAAGGGGTCTGTGGGGACAGCAGGCCTGGGAGGACCTGGCCTGTCAAGGCTGATGGCTGGTGGAGTGAGCAGAGCCTATTGGGATCCCAGTCTGTAGTGCCGGGGACCCACTCTGCACAGTATCAGACCCCCCTTCCCAATGAGGCTATGTCAGACAAGATCCTGCAGATCCTCATGGGGGTCGACTCATCTCAGTGGGATGTGGCCCCTGGAAGAAGGGGCTCCCCAAGTTCTCTCCCAAGGTGAGTCCTAGCCCAGTCTGCACACGATGCCGGCTCTGAGCCCCAGCCCCTGCTGTGGGATGTCGGCATGGTTTCTGTGCCCTGCAGGGACGTGCCTCTGCCTCCTGTGCAGAGGAGACGAGCAGGATCATTCTGGAGGGGTCAGAACCCTACAGCGGGGAAGCCAGGCACTGTGGGCAGCAGGGTCACTGGACTGGGGAGGGGGGGCGGTCTCCTGTGCATCCTTGCCCCATCAATTGAGTGCTGTGGGAAGCACATTAAGGTGGCAGTCTGGGTGCACAACATTTCCTTGTCCTCATGGAAGGAGCAGAGGTGTTCAGAGCCCCTAGGACTTCCCTGAAAGCCTCCCCGTTCCCGGGCCCTCTGCAGTCCCTACCCAATGCCAGAACTCCAGGCAGTAGGCTGGGCTGTCACCCTCTTCTCTGAGACACCTACCTCGACTCAGAGACCTCCCCGATGCCCTTCAGATGGGGACCCTCCATAGGCCTTATTTGATGCTGTAGCGCTCTTGGAGCACGCATGGTTTCTGAAGGCGTGGCTCACGTCCAGGCCATTCTGGTGTACATTCACTGAGGACAGCTTGCCCTGCTCCATCATTTTCTGTAGAGCAGGGCCAAGAGGGGGACCCACCCTCATAACAGACACAAGACTCACTGCCGAAACAGCTGTCATAAAACAGCAGTTCTGGAAGGAAAAGAGGCTTTTTCTGCAAAAAACTTCTCCTCCTTGTTTCCAAAGGCAGGGAAAGCCATCAGAGCCCAGCTCACCTGTGGAGCCCAGGTCACTATCTATCCGGGATTTGTGACTGGCCCCTTCCACCCTCTCAGGACTGACTTTCCCTCCAGCTGGGTAACTGGGCGCCTGACATGGCATGGCATGTTTGTCCTGCTCTGGCCAGTTGTGGTCGGGCCAAATGAGGTATTTCCCTAGGTTCCTGGCCTTCCCCTTCTTGAAAACCATCAGGAGTGACCACACTGGACCCCAGACTTGTGGGGGGATTCCCTTGTAGATCCAGTGAGAAAACCATGGACAGAAGAAGGCTTTGGTGAGACAGGTCTCAGGGTGATAGTAAGGAGGATCAGAGTCTAAGCATTCTGGAAGCCTCCTGCCTTTGGCTCCAAGGTTCCTCGGGGGAGGTCGAGTCTACCTAGGACCGGGCCTTCCTTCCAATGAATAAACAGTGGACAAGTGCTAAAAAAGACAAACAAAAAAAGAGTGTAACTGTGCATTTTAAAATAACATGAACAGTATAATTGGATTATTTGCAACTCAGTGGATAAATGCTTGAGAGGAGGAATACCTCAATCTCCATCATGTCCTCATTTCAAATTGCAAGCTGCATCAAAACATGTCAAGTATGTGTGCCTACTAAATACCCATAAAAATGGACATAAATGAAACGTTAAAAAACAAATAAACGACATATATAGCCGTATATCAATTAAAGGAATTGGATTCAGTAAAAGCAACAAAGAAACTCAACAAAGATATTTCTCAATTAAACCTCATGTTTCTGGTGACTTCACTGGATAATTCTGCCAAACGTTTCTGGGAGAAATAACACCAGTTCTCCACTCAAGATAATTGAGGAGAGGCCACACTTTCCAAAGCATTTTACAGAGCAAGCACAAGCCTGATATCAAAACCAGACAACATTATGAGAAAATAACATGACAGACCAATGTAACTCATGAACATAGACACAAACTCTGTAAAAAACAATTAACCGGAGTTAGAAACTAGCAACATAAAAAATTTACATCCTAGCCAAATGGAATTTCCTCCATGTGAGTTTAGCAAAGTAACATGGTACAAGATGAACATGGAAAAGTCAATGCTATTTTTATATGCCAGCAACAAACAATTGAAAATTGAAAGTCGATATCCCTTAATATAGCAGCAAACCCCCCCGTGAAATCTGTAGTGGTAAAATTTAACAAAATATGTGCAAGACCTGTGCTCAGAAGCCTAAAAAACATTTCAGAAAAATATGAAACCACGTTGAAATAAATAGAGAGACATACCACATTAATGGATTGCAAGACTCAAGATTGTCAATATGTCAGTTACTCCCAAATAATCTATATGTCTAGTGTAAACCAATAAAAATCCCTGCAGCCTCTTGTTGCTATAAAATGACAAGCTGACTTCAAAATTTATATGGGAAAGCAAAGGGACTAGAATAGCCTAACAATTTTATAAAGGACCAAGAATATTGGAGGACTCACATTACCTGATATCGAGATGCATTTGACAACTATGCTAATCAGGACACTGTGATATTGGCAGAAGAAAAGGCATAAGAGTCCGAAGCTAGATCTATATATTCAAGTTAAATGGATTTTTCCATAAAGTGCCAAGAGAATTCAGTGGGGAAGGATGTTTTATTCCAGGAGTGGTGCTGGAACAGTCGGACATTGACATGCAAACAAATGAACCTCAAACTTTGCCTCACACCATACACAAAAGTTAACTCAAAATGCTTCATAGAACTAAATGTGAAAGCTAATGTTACAACACTTGTAGAAGAAAATGTAAGGGAATCTGCAGCATCGTGTAAGATAAAGATAGACAGGATGCAAAAAGCACAAACTATGAAATAGAACAAACATACATTTTTAAAATTTTATATACTACAAACCTGTCCCTTCTATACCTTCACAAAGGAGAAAGAAGCTTTGGAGCTGGGAAAGCAGACTATTCCCCTGCTCTAGTAGTTCTCAGACAAGCTTCTGTGAAAGTTAGAGCCCAAGATCTGTTAAAAGTGCAGATTCCAGGAATCACACCCAGTGAAGCTTATGTAGTGTGGCCACAATGGTGTCCTAGGATCTGGGAATTCACTGCCCAGCCTAGGGAACTTCCAGAAACTTTATTAAATCCCTTAGGTAGCAAGACTGTCTGAAATATATCCACTCTTCCCAGGACAGACATGAAGTTGAGAAGAGCGACCTCAGAGCACACAGAAACACAGGACATGATGAACACAGTGTGAAAATCACCATAAGGGTAAGGCAGTGCGTCTTATGAGAAGACCTCACAACTCTTACTGGCCTTTCTCCCCAGAGGCCTCAGTTTATCTCAAATCCCTGCTCCTCATGGGTGGTGAATGGAGTTGTGTCAGGAAATGACCTTTTCGATCCCCAAAAGGCATGGGCTCCTTTCAGGGGCCACTGAACACATAGGATGGGGCATGATGCAAGCTATTGTTCCCCTCCCACCAGCCTTGGTTTCCTTCTTGCACCATCATGTGCTTCCACGGGAGCCTAGAGCAATGACACGACTTAGGGCCAATGTCTTCCCTTTTTAGGAGACCGGCCCCTCGCCTGAGCAGTGCGTCTCCCCTCTCCTCCTTTCAGCTGTCCTTCTCCTGATCTCATCTGCCATTCCACAGCAGACAGCTGTCCCTCGTAGCCTGATGATCTAGCCTGGCCCCTTCCTCCTATGTCCCAGCCTGGAGAGGGCTGCCCTCCCCGAGTGGAAGGACATCAGTCCCAGGGTCCCAGAGCCATGACTACTACAGAACCATCCTTAGCATCAGTGTCCCATGGCAGTGGCTGACCTTTGAAATGAAGCTTCACCACCCATCGCAGCTGGCCCTGAAACACTTTCTTTTCTTTTTGTCTCATTTGAGACAGGCCCTCACTGCGTTGCTCAGCCTGTAGTGCCGTGGAGAAATCATGGCTCACAGTAGCCTTGACCTCCCAGACTCAAGCAATCCTTCCATCTCAGCCTCACAAGTAGCTGGAATTACATGCATGCTCCACCATGCCTGGGTATATGCTTTTAAAATTTTTTGTAAAACGGGGTCTCCCTATGTTGCCCAGGATGGTCGTGAACTCTGGGGCTGAAGGAATCCTCATGCCTCGATGACTCAACATGCTGAGATTTGACGTCTGAGCCACCTTACCTTGCCGTGAACCATTTTCTTTCTTTTAAAATTACTATTATACTTTAAGTTCTGGGATATGTGTGCTGAACGTGTAGGTTTGTTACACAGGTATACACGTGCCATGATGGTTTGCTGCACCCATCAAGCCGTCATCTACATTAGGTATTTCTCCTAATGCTATCCCTCCCATAGACCCCCATCGCCCAACAGGCCCCAGTGTGTGATGTTCCCCTCCCTGTGTCCACGTGTTCTCATTGTTCAACTACCACTTATGAGTGAGAACATGGAGTGTTTGGTTTTCTGTTCCTGTGTCAGTTTGCTGAGAATGATGGTTTCCAATTTCATCCATGTCCCTGCAAAGGACATGAACTCATCCTTTTTCATGGCTGCATAGTATTCCATGGTGTATATGAGCCACATTTTCTTTATCCAGTCTATCATTGATGGGCATTTGGGTTGGTTCCAAGTCTTTGCTATTGTGAATAGTGCTGCAATAAACATACGTGTGCATGTGTCTTTATAGCAGACACACTGAGTCAGGCACAGGCAGGGCCGACCAGGGTTTTCCTGGTATCCCCACACCCGAATTCCAGGGTGTTTGTAGTGGAAACAAAGGGACGCGAGAGCTTTTGTGTGTGTGCTTGTGTGTGTGTGTGTGTATGTGTGTCTGTGTGTGTCTGTGTTTGTGTGTGTGTGTCTGTCTGTGTGTGTGTCTTGTCCAACCATTCTCCTGCATCCGGAAACGTTGGGAACAGAGAGTCCCACGTCACCCTTAGTGCGGAGTGTGTCTCAGAAAGACTTTTTGTGACAGAAATAAAGAATTTTATGTCTATATTTACACATGCCTTTTTCTCAGGGTGTTTTTCTGTTGTGAAGGGTGGAGGGCAGTGGCATGATCACGCCTCACTGCAGCATCCATCTTCTGGGCTCAAGCAAGCCTCCTCACACTGAAACCTCCCAAGTAGCTGGGAGTGCAGATGGCCGCCACCATGCCCACCTAATGTATTTAATTTTTTTTTTAGATGAGGTGTGTCAGTGTGTTGCTCAGGCTGCCTTCAAACACACAGCCTCAAGTGATCCTCCCATCTTGGCCAATTTTTATAAAGGCTTTTTATACATGCTGTAGACTCAATCAGTTCACACTTGTGTGCTTTTTTAATATTGTGTTACTCCACCTTTGAACCTGTCAACTGGTAACTGATTTCCATGAAAACCTGTAAGGTGATCATGGCTCATCAGTCAGTGTGATTTCAGCGTTGACTCACAGCAGCTAGGAAAGCCTGCATGGGAAGTATGTCTTGAGGAAAACTGGAGAGTTTCCAGGAACAGTTTTGAAAAACAGAGACTACTTATGTCTTCCTTCCCTCCCTTGCTTCTCCTCATGTGCCAGGTTTTCTGCTTTCTCCAATTGTTAACAAATCAGCATGGAGTATTATGTGATGAAACGCTTTTATCTCTTTCATCATCCCGTTTCTTCCTCAAAACTTTTTTTTTTTTTTTCTGGAAGGGTGGTAGGCAGAAGGGACTAAACATATTCAGAAAAACACATTGTAATATAAATTTCGTGAAAAAATTCATCATATTTAAGAAATGGTCAGGATGAAATCCTGAATTTGTAATAATTGTAAAACTCAGTTTGCATAACCTCCAATCCTTTTGTCTCTATCACTTATCCGGTGAGAAGTGTAGAAAAGATGAGTTCCTTGCTTGTGACAGTGGCATTAGTTAGTCAAACTGCTGCACCCTGTCCATCGATATCACACATCCAGATTTAATAGCCACAAAATGCAAAGGCATTTTACAACTGTGGCGGTTTTCTTTATATCATTGTAATTTCCATTAAACCCCTAGCACTAAATTCAATATTCACACACTTGCAAGTACCATGGCCAAGAGAGATCCTGCCTGAAATGTTGAGAGGGGGCTGCAGCAGTGGCAACCCGGCTGAAGACGAGGCTGGAATGTGTCTTCACAAACCTGCAACCCCTTTTTTGAGGCAGGGTTTCTCTCTTTTGCCCAGGCTGGAGTACACTGGACGACTTATAGTGCACCACAGCGTAGGACTTCTGTGCTCAAGCGATCCTCCTGCCTTACGTTTCTGAGTAGATGGGACTACAGACATGTGCCACAATGCCCAGGTAATTTTAAAAATTGTGTAGAGCAGGGGTCTCACTATGTTGCCCAAGCTGGTCTTGAACTCCTGGCTTCAAGTGATTCTCCTCCCTCAGCCTCTCAAAATACTGGGATTACAGGCGTGAGCCACTGCCCGTGGCCTTTTTCTCACTTATTTTTCCTTTATCTAAGTTTTAAGGTTTATGTAAGGCTTTGCTCCAGCCCAGGAAACTGAATTTTTTCCCTCCCACTTGGAGGAAACAGCAATTCAAACGTTCAGGATTTTTGACCTACTGAAAGTTCATTGGCAACAATTGTGTCCTGTCTCTACCTGCCTGCAGGAGAAAACAAAAATTAAAGTCAGCACCAGGCTGCACTTTTCCTCCATACATTATCCTGTGCAGAACAGCGTTTGAGGGATCCAGTGAGCCAGTTCTCTTGCAGTTGGAGGGATTATTGTTAAATGCTGGGAGTACATGTATTTTTCATAACAGACAACAGCTCGGCTGTTGCTTCATACTATGGGGAAATGCATAGTCTCCCAGGAGTGACAGCTTCATCATCTCTACCCCTTCACTCTTCCTTTACTCAAAGAAAGCTTTCACCATATTGTAGTGAGTCAGGGTCCTGCTGGTGAATCACACGGTTGTTGACACTGTGTCAGGGACCCCCAAGGCCACCCTCACCTTCAGTGATTCATGGACATTCTCTGCTGCCCTTCTGCATACAATACTCCTAATTGAAGCCAGCCCCCTCACCTCAGGTCAGTATACCATGCGTCCCACCTTGTCATGGGCTTTGCTCCTGTAGTGATCACTCCTCTCTCCTGAACCATCGACTGCTCCCTCTACATTGGATCATTCTCCAGCTACGGGAAAACTCACCTTCTTCCCCCATGTCCTTCTGTAGCTACGAACACATGTGTCTGCTGCCCTGCAAAGGAAAACTGCATGAACTTATGCAACACACTTCATTGGAGTCCATTTTCAAAATTTTCTACAAAGGAAAATGAACCAGAATATCTAGAACAATTCTGAAGTGTAACTTGGGGGAATTCACCCCACACAATGTCAAGATTCACATTAATTCTATTTTATTTATTGATTGATTATGTTATCAGTGAGTTGGAAGAAGTTGACATCCCCCTTGGCTTGGGGGTTGATCCAATATAGAGGGAGCCGTTGATGGTTCAGGGGAGAGGAATGATCAGTGCAGGAGCAGAACTCCTGAAAAGGTGGGAGGCATGGGATCCTCAGCTGAGGTGAGGGTGCTGCCTTGAGTTAGGAGCATTGAATGAAGCTATTGATTATGATTTTTAATCATCCAGCCCCATATGGCAATTATGTTACTTCTCCAGTATTCAGGACAGTGTGATATTGGGGGAAAATCTACAGATCAAAATAGAGTCTAGCAATAGACTCACAAACCTAATAAGTTGACTTTCAGAAAAGAGGCAAAGGCAATGGACAAAGATTATCTTTTAAAAATTGTGTTATTTTCTCCTGCCTCGTGGCCACTACATTAATTGTTTTTTATTCCTCTGGTTTCCTTTCCTGTGTTTCTCCTTTGCACTTCAACTGCTGTTCTGTTTGTCTGTCTGCCCCACCACAGTGCGATATTTCCCACAGCAAGGACCAAGTGTCTTTGTGATATTTGCTATGTCCATCTCATCAATGATAAACCGAATCAAGAAAATGTGGTACACATGCACCATGGAATACTATGCAGCCATGAAATACTATGCAGCCATGAAATGAATGAGCTCATGTCCTTGGCAGGGAGGTGGATGGTGGTGGCGGCCATTATCCTTAGCAAACTAATGCAGGAACAGAAAACCAAATACCGGATGTTCTCACTTATAAGTGGGAGGTAAATGATGAAAACACATGGACACATGGGAGAACCATCACTCACTGGGGCGTACTGGAGTGCGGGGGTGGGAGGAGGGAGAGGATCAGGAAGAACAGCTCACGGATACTGGGCTTAATATCTGGGTGATGTGATGATGTGTGCGGTAAATCACCGTGGCACACATTTACTTGTGTAAGAAACCTGCACATCCTTCACATGTACCCCTGAACTTAAAGTAAAATTTGGAAATTAAAAAAAAGTCAATATCTCAGAATCCTTATTTCTATGTTTTGGTCTTTGTGTCATTTATCTAAGCATTATGGTGACATGAAAGCTGAGGCATAACAACAGTTAGTAGATTAGCAATTTAGCAGGATTATAGCTCAGTATGATATAACATCAACTACTAGTATTGAATTGCATTCAACTCCTTGAAGTGCTTAAGGAAAGTTGGTAAGAAAAAGTATTCACACTTGAAAACATTTTTAAAATTCATGTAAATTGGATTGACACTGAGTACCACAGATGTCACTGGCACTATGCTAATGAATTACATAATAGTGTAGCCAGACGAGCCGCAGACAAAACCTCTCAGACACCGAGTTGTAGAAGGAAGGGCTTTATTCAGCTGGGAGCATCGGCAAGCTACTGTCTTAAAATCCGAGCTCTCCGAATGCACAATTTCTGTCCCTTTTAAGGGCTCACAACACTAAAGATTTCACATGAAAGGGTCGTGATTGATTTGAGCAAGCAATGGGTATGTGACAGGGGCTGCCTGCACCGGTGGTCAGAGAGAAACAGAACAGGGCAGGGAGTTTCACAATGTTCTTCTATACAATGTCTGGAATCTATGAATAACATCGGTTTCTAAGTCATGAGTTGATTTTTAACTACTAGGTTTAGGCCAGGCAGGCCCGGGTCAGGTTTTGGGCCTGGCGCGGGGCTGCCTGTCTTTGGTTTTACTTCCTTGTTGTTTTTTCTTAAAAAAGATACTGAATATAAAACAATATAAAACAATATGAGAGGATCTCTCTCTTCTCTCAATAGTAACCATAAGACCCAGTAAATAATAAAGGAGTAAATAAAAGGAGACATATCAAAGCATCATCAGATGAGTGCAGGAACACACACATGAACACACCCTGCAGTCAAACTGACAATTTAAACATCACTGAGTGCTATTTCAAGCATTATGTAGAAAGCTACAGACAACAGTGAACTTATTCTGAGCATGTCTTAATCCATCATCTTCACAGATGGCTATGGAAGTGGCCTGTAAACGTTTTGTCTGATAACCCCTGAAGTAGTGACGTTCAAACTCTTTTATGACAATGTGTGATAAATACACAGTTTATATATAGTTGACTAGGCAAATAAATATATGTATGTGTATAGGAATGTGCAGTGTATTTGTATATTCTCTATGCAGTGAACGCTATTTAGTAATTTATTTTACCTCCATTTTTTAAAATGCTGTTCTTTAAAATGCTGTTTTTGGCTGACAACATTAATCTTATGATCGAACATGGACTAAAAACTAGTTTAGATGGCACATGTATACATATGTAACTAACCTGCACAATGTGCACATGTACCCCAGAACTTAAAGTATAATAATAAAAAAAAGAAATAATTAAAGCCTTTTCAGAGAACATCTTGGATGGTTGGTAAATGTTGCTATAGAATAAATGCAAAAACACATTAGAACCCAATTTTGTCGCCCTCCTTAGCAATTCAGTGCTTTTAGACAAAAATGTCATCTTTGATATGGGCCACAAAAGCCACTACAAAATATACAATTACTGATGAAATATGTGTTTCATCTGCAGATATCAGTGTCTGTTTTGCACAGGTGAAGTCTTAGTTGGACAGATGGGAACTCACAGGCAAAGGGGACAGAAAGTACATGTGACCTCTTCTGTTGGTATCATGAGGAGGCTTTGCTTGGGCTGCAGCATAGCTGAATGTCATGCATTGCATGCATTCACGGAGACCTCCCTGTGAATGCACAGGGACCTCCATTCCCTTATGGTGCTCCATTTTATGAGGCAAGTGGGAGAGCTACACTGAAAATGTTAGGTAGTAAATAATTTGGCCTCAACCACCAAGCAATCTGAGGTCACGTGACAGTGTTTACTCTGGTACCCTGAAACTTGCCAGCTGCTCAGAATCTGTAGACTTTGTCCCACCCCCCCACCATCCTGTGGAAATCTAAGTTTGGTCGTAGATTCCCATGCATGGAGGATGGGAAGCTCTGGTCATGTGGGAAATTGAGCCCTCTCACAGGTAGACTGGCTGTGTTGGTCCCAGCTCTGTTTCCTCCCTTAGCAGCTAGAGAGTTGCTAGGGTCATGTATCAAGCAACTCCTCTTGTCTCTACAGTGTCTTTCATACTTTCTGCTGCTTCCTGTTTGTCACAAGGGCTCCTTCACAACTTTCCCAATCCCAATACTATAATGATCCTTTGAACTCATTCAGCAGGTCCGGAGTTACAGTCCACAGGAATGGCAGCAGGAAGTTCAAATTTGGCAAGAAATTCAAGCCTGCCCTTTGAAGCTGGAGTGAGGCCACTCAGGAATCATTAAAGTCCAGGTCTGCAGGTGATGTTTAATATTAAGTGTCAACTTGATTGGATCAAAGGGTGCAAAGTATTGTTCCTGGGTGTGTCTGAGAGGTTGTTGCCAAAGGAATTCTCTGGCTCTTAAAGAATAACTGCATTTTAAAGCCTTCCCGCAGTGAAGCCTTGAATGACTGAATGATAAAATGGCAAGAGATCATCAGATTTCTGTGGCCAGTATAGCAGGGAGAATGCATGTAGGTCAGTGATGCTTAAGGTGGGTGTAAGATGCTTCTGCTAAGCATGCTCCCTGCCCTCTTGTCAGTCAGTCTTCATGAGCTACTTCGTGTAATTAGATTAAAGACTCATATAGTAGAGTCACCTCTAACCATACCATACATTACACATTACAGGTTTCTGCCTTGAGACATTAGATGACAGGGTTTAAAGTACAATAACAGTAATGTGCTAATTCCTGAGTGGTTGACATAAATATATTTTACACATATTTTCCAAATTGGTGACTGTTAATTAGAATACCTCTTGAAGTTAAAAGAAACACTCCATGTTTAAGGGAGAAATTACCTAAATGTTTTTACTCTCCTCTGCTGAACCATTCCATTAGACTGTTTACGTTAAAAGATAGTTCTCGGACGATTTCCAGCAGCCTATTGAACAAGACTCTGTTTTATTTTTTGGGAGATCATAGCTTTAAATGCAAATCTTCTTAAAATAAATAGCTGATTACATGATAAAAGAAAATAATACTATGAAATAATAATAAAAGAGCCACAGAATAAACTTAAAGGAAAAAGAAAGAGGTAATGAATAAAAGACAGTTACAAATCATCAGTAAAAGAAAAAATAATTCAAATGTAATGCATTTAAAAGAATGGTCTTTTGAAAAATAGGTATGAATAGAGTATTCAGTAGTTTACACCATCTTGCAGAAAATGGAAAAAGCACGACATGGAATATGAACAAGACAGGGTGATTTAATATAGGGCATTATTGAAAGTGAATAAAATCTTGAACTCTAATATTTTCAGAGCATGAATGAAATGGTTGATAAGCTCGGAAGGCATCCCATTTACTTTCAGAAACTGATTTTGACTTTTTCAGATGTCTTACTATTGTTTTCCATTTCCATATCCCTCCATTTTTTCGTGTGTGGCACAGTTCATAATGCTGTCACACATTGATGACAAAACTGATAGTGATAGCTTAAGAGTAATGTGACCTTATATTTAATTATACAAATGGGAATACTTTCAAGTGTAAAAAGAGGCATCATTCATGTTGACATCACGGTAGAAGAAAACTGGGTACAAACGGTTACTGTACCTTAAAAACCACAGTAGGGTAAACGAGCCCAAATAAATATTTTTGCCCTTCTGCACAATAGAGTAAAAATAAATGCAATGCTGGCCTTTCTATTCACTTCCCTGATGCAGTTCCTAAGGTGACATTAACCATTTTCTTCCAAGAGAGACTATTTCCAGGAGCCCATTTGGCATACAGACCATAGATTCAAGCCAGAACATTAAAAAGAGTGTTTGCAAAAGATTATACATTTTACATTATACATCAAAAAGGAAGAAATACATCAGAAACAAAGAAATGAAATAAAGATTTTTTCTCAAATAAATTTCACGTTTCTGGTGACTTCACTGGATAATCCTGCAAAACATTTGTGAAAGAAATAATGTTGTTTCTACACAAACTCTTTATAATTGAAAAGAGATCACACTTTTCAAAACATTTTACAGAGTCCACATCAACCTGGTATCAAAACCAGACAAACATCATGAAAAAACAACATGACAGACTAATATAACTCATGTCTATAAAAGCATAGATTTATGTTTATGCTATAATAATAGCAGGTCAAAACTAGGAATATATTAAAAATTTACAACATCATAGCCAAATGAGATTCACCCCATGACTTGAATATATTTATACATGTATATGTGAGTTTAGCATGGTAATATGTACAAGAGAAGTTTGACTTTCGCAGCAACAAACTATTGAAAATTTAAAATCAATGCCACTTAATATAGCGGCAAAATCTCATGAAATGTTTAGTGGTAACATTTAACAAAATATGTGCAAAACCTGTACTCAGAAGCCTAAAAAACATTGCTGTGAAATATTAAAGCAGGCTGAAATCAGTGGAGAGGTATACCACGTTAATGGATTGCAATACTCAAGATTGTGAACATGTCAGTTTCTCCCAAATGAACTACACATTCAATGTAACCACAATCAAAATCCATGCAACTTTTTGTTTCTACAAATTGATAAGCTGAATTCAAAGTTTATATGGAAAAGCAAAGGGACTGGAATAGTCTAACAATTTTATAAAGAACAAAGAATATTGGAGGAATCGTTACCTGTTTTCAAGATGTATTTCATAACTGTGGTAATCAGGACACTGTGATATTGGCATAAGGAAAGAAATAAGGGCCAAAGCTAGACCTATATATTCTCGTTAATTTTTTTCCATAAGGTCCCAAGATAATTTAGTGGGAAAGGATGCTGTATTCAGAGAATGATGGTGGAACAATTGGACATTGACATGCAAACAAGTGAACCTGAACCTTTGTCTCACACCATATACAAAAGTTAATTCAAAATGCATCATAGAACTTATCACACTTCTAGAAGAAAATGTAGGAGAATCTGTGGCAACATGTAAAACAACGATAGATGGGATACAAAACACACAAACTATGAAATAGAAAATTCATAAAATTTTTAATATTTATATATTTACATGCTATCCTTATCCAGTCACTAATTACTTTTCCAAGCATTATACAAATCACATGAAGAGGTCATTAGACTTCTGATTTCCTAGAGAAATTTCCATTTAAATTTTTCATACAAGCTCATGATGATGAAATCCCAGCATTACATTTAGGCTCCACAATACCCTGTAAGGAGAGCTGAATATTTATTATGCTCATAAAAATATGGCCTCACCCTGCCCCCACAGACTCAGTCCTTGAGTCCCTGAAGAAATGAAGTGATAATCAAAAGATCATGGAAGGGGTCAAAGGTAGTTGTGACATTGTATCTCTGGAACATGCTCCCAGGGAAATGTGGGAACAGCAACAATATAAACAGCAAAACAGTAACAGCTAGAATTGATTGGAAATTGACCATATGCCAGGGACTTTCCTGACAACCGTACATGTTTTCTTCACACACTCAGTGCTCTAAACTGCCCCAAGAACTACATAAATTTACTAGTAGTATTTCTATGGTACTATTGGAGAAAGGAGTCACAGAGATGTTAAGTAACTTTCTCAGTGTCACCAGCACTGAGTGGTGGAGGCACAGGTCAGAGGCATCATGGAAAACTCTATTGTGCTGCATATTTGTGCAAGGGTAAGATCTGAAGGGTAAGAGCCAAAGGCTATAGCAAAATATTTAGAATTTTATAGCATGGGACTGCACAGGCAAGAGACATTTGATTTCTTCAGAAATAGTTAAGAGATGGAGACTTGAAAGGATTGGCCTGGGTATGATTTGGAGACAGTGCCCTGAGTGTGTCATTACCATAACGGCAGCATGTCTTCACCTGAAGATCTTGGGTTTGTACATCAGAGAACACAAAAAAACCTGTCCCTTCTATACCTTCACAAAGGAGAAAGAAGCTGTGCAGCTGGGAAAGGAGACTACTCCCCTGCTCTACTAGTTCTCAGACAAGTTTCCATGAAAGTTGGAATCCAGGATCCTTTAAAAGTGAAGATTCCATGATTCACACCCAGTGAGTCTCATGTAGTGTGGTCGGAATGGTGCCCTAGGATCTGGGAATTTACTGCCCAGGCTAGGGAAGTTTCAGAAAACTGATTAAATCCCTTAGGTTGCAAAACTGTCTGCAATATACCCACTCTTCCCAAGACAGACATGAGGTTGAGAAGAGAGACCTCAGAGCACACAGGAACACAAGACATGATGAATGCAGTGTGAGACTCACCATAAGGGTAGGGCAGAGGGACTTTTGAGAAGGCCTCACAACTCCATCTGGCCTTTCTCCCTGAAGACCTCAGTTTATCTCAAATCCCTTCTCTTTGTGGGTGGTGAATGGAGGGAATGCCAGAAAATAACCCTTTAGATTCCAAAATTGCATGGACTTCCCTAAGGGACCAGTGAACACATAAGATGGGAGGTGATGGAAGCTATCGTGCTCCTCCCACCAGCCTTGGATCTTTCTGGTACCATCGTGTCCATCCATGGGAGCCTAGAGCAATGTCAGGACTTAGGGCAAATGCCTTCCCTTCAGTAACAGACACCTGCACCTCCTCTGAGGAGGTTGTCTCCCTTCTCCTCCCTTCAGCTGTCCTTCTCCTGATCTCATCTGTGATCCCACAGCAGACAGCTGTCCCTGGTAGCCTGATGACCTAGCCTGGCACCTTGCTCTTGTGTCCCAGCCTGGAGAGGGCTATCCTCATCAAGAAGGACATCAGTCCCAGGATCTCAGAGCTATGACTACCACAGAACCATCTGAGTATTAATGTTCATGGCAGTGATTGACCTTTGAAATGAAGCTTCACCACCCATCGCAGCTGGCCCTGAGACACTTTCTTTTATTTCTGTTTTATTTGAGATGGGGTCCCACTCTGTTGCTCAGCCTGGATTACAGTGGAGAAATCATGGCTCACTCCCACGCTCAAGCGATGCTTCCATCTCAGCCTCCCAAGTAGCTGAGACTACAGGCATGCTCCACCATGCCTGGCTGTTTTTCAAAATTTTTAGTAGAAAAGGGGTCTCCCTATGTCCCCCAAGCTGGCGGGAGCCACCACGCCTATCCCTGAACCACTTTCTTATCACAGAAAGCAAAGCAAGACAGAGGAGGAAGGTGCCTGTAACCCCTCCCAGGGACATTGTGTCCTCCTCCTTGGTGCCCTGTTATTTCCTTTGTACCGACCACAATATCCCTACTCTTTTTATGTAAACAAGAAGTTTGAGGATACTTCTTTTCAATCATAAACTTGTGGCTTATAGCCAGAATATCGTTACCTACTGGGCCATTTTGGACTTTTCTGAGTGCAGCTGTGGTTGTTGGAATGATTGGTAGGGGCTGCTGGCATTTGGGGAATGAGTGTTACAGGGAGGCAAACATCTTTTTCCAAAGTCTTCCATAAACTGGATTTTCCATACATGTCACTTCCCTGTAAACTGAGGGAGACTTGTATGTTGCTTCATCTAAGAACTTATAAAGACTTATTGACTGCTTCAGAAATCACATCACTGCAGGGCATTCCATTCTTAGATTGCACTCCAACACAACATTCCAGCATCAGTTTTCTTTGTATCTGTGCATTCCTGGGGAAAATAGAATAAGGGGAATCCAACATACCTACGAACACGATCATTTCCATGATAAGCTCTTTGTTGATGGGGAAATTTATGTGGGAGATGTTGGTAGTGTGATCTCTCATGAGTTGGTGAACACACTGGCTATGCCCGTTGCTGTTACCGCTGTTGCAGGTGTATCTCCCTCACCAGGCTCCAAAGTCCTTCTTGGAAGGATGGAAACATACCCAGTAGATCTCTGTGCCCTCAGGATGGAACAGAGGACCTCACATGCAGAAGGAGGGCAGAGAACACTTGTAGAATTGTAGTGACCTCTACATGGTTAGATGACCAAACCCTGAGTCGCAGTGACGAGCAGCATGGATGTCAGTGCATGGGAGGGGAACACCACAGGCCTCTGCGTTTGGAGCCATGCAGCAGAGTGAGATCAACCTGCAGTATCGATCTCAGTTATGCACTTTAAGGGCCCCAAATATAAGCAGCCTATTGGTTAGGGTTCTTCTGTGTGTGTGTGTGTGTGTGTGTGTGTGTGTGTGTGTGTCGTGGGGTGGGCTGTGCACCCAAGTATTTATGTGAGTGAGTAGAGAGAGAGAGAGAAAGATTGAGTTTGAAGACCTAGCTCATGCAGCTGTTGTGACCGGGAAGTCCAAATCTCGCAGAGCAGGATGTCAGGCTGGAGACCCGGGGAAGAGATGATATGAGAGCTCAAATCCAGGGGCAGTGTGGAGGCAGAATTTCTTCATCTTGTGGAGAACCGCAGTCTTCTTCTCTGAAGGCCTTCAAGGAACTGGATGAGGCCCACCCACACTGGAGAGGGCAATTGGGTTTACTGAAAGTCTGCTCATTTAAATGTTAGTTCTCCTAAAGAAAACCCTTCACAGAGCATCTACCCTGGTCAAAGTGAACATTTCTCATGCATTGTGGCGTAGCAAAGTTGACACATCAGCTTTCCCATCATAGCCATCTTATACAAATCCTAATAATGATGAAGGCCTATCTGACAAAGGCAGGTGACTTCCTAACTAAGATTCTGTATTATCCATTTTTGTCCAACCCAAGCCAGCATTTCAGGGTCATAACAACTCTGGCCAGGAAGCCGAAGCTGATGTGAATGCCTTCCAGGGATGAGGCAGTGGTGGGATAGTCAGGGCATACAGGTAAGAACAATCCCAGAGGGCACAGGTGATACCCCTGGACACCAAGAGTTTACCCTTGTTAAGGCACCCCCAGCAGGACATACAGTCATCAGGCAGGAGCTGGCCAAGGCCCCCAATGTGGCCTCCCACTGAGGGACCTTTCCCTCTAGGGTTCTTTGTCCAGTCCAAACAATTGATTTGCATCTTTCATTTAGTGGAACTATCAGCAGGCAGTCAGTTCAGAGTAGTCATTGACACTAGTTCTTCCTATTCACAAGTGTGAATGACATCCCTAGGTGTTCTATGTGGGATGTTCAGCAGCTGGGTCACCCCTGCTGCCCAATGGTCACAGCTCGGTCAGATGTAAGTTTGGGTTCAGGATTCAGTGTGGTTTCAAAATTGGCCTTAGGTTTTGACTGTGGGCTCCTCACAGGCAGAGAGACCCACCATCTGTGCTGTTACTGAGTATCTCCAATTCAGTGTAGTACTGTGGGAGTAGCGACACAGTGTTGACACAATGCCGATCTTGCTTTTGTTCCGTCTGCAAGTAATCAACCATTTCGATCCATTTGGCCTCATTGTCTTCTTACCCACCAAATCTATGAATATATGACAAGACAAAATAACAACCGCACTGGCGATCCTTGTGTCCCTGTTAGCCACCACAGGGCTGCTTAGGGACTGCCTGAGCTCTTGACACACGATGATATTGAGTTGTGTGGTGTTGACTGACTGGAGTAGACTTATTCTTCATGGCTTCACACACACCAAACAAGTTTTCAGCACGTACTACTGACTTAGTGTTGGCCTTGTCACACCTCGGTTATTTACAAATCAACTTCAAAAGCAATGCCATGTCTGATACCAGCTACAACTGCTATTTAATTTACATATTTACATCAAATCAGTTTCTGAAGTCAAATGCATTTTAAAAGGTAGACTAATATTCCTACTTGAAATTCCAAAGCACTTATCACATACTAGAGATGTAGTTGTAAAAAAAATGTGAAATTTTAAAGGGATTAAGGAAAGATAACTAGTAAATTTATCTGCAATGTAATGCCTGCATCTTATGTTATTTCATTTATTCTTCAAAGCAAGTATTTAGTCTAAATATTCTAATTTCTACTTTGGAAATGGGGAAACAGTCCCACAGGATGTAAGTATCTTGCCCAACATCACAAGGCCAGTGTTTGAGAGGCAGGATGGACACCCAAGGCTATGCCATGCCATTGCCTGTAAGGAGACAGTGTAGGTAGGATCCAAGTAATTTTGCTTCAGCAAATTGACCTAGTCGCTTTCCTTTTTCTTCTGCCTAGGCGCTAGTTCTTTCATCCAGCTCTATAGTCTAGGGAATTCTCACATATCTTGTGGCAAATGGGATATCCTAACGAAGGATGCAGATACAGAGATACACAGGGGAAGGAATGAAGGAAGAGGCAGGGGGCTTCCATGCCCTCTACGGGCATGCTACCCTCCATGTGTTCCGCTAGGCAGAAGCTCTATGAACCCTGTCCTTTTGGGTTTTGATGGAGGTTTTCATTATAAAGGCATGATTGATTAAACTGTTGGCCCGCCATTGGCAATCAACTTAACCTTCAGCCCCTCTCCCTGTCCTGAAGGTTGGGGATGCAGCTGAAAGTGCGAACCCTCTAAGCTCCCATCCTAGAGCTACCTAGGAGCTGCCAGCCATCAGTCAACTCACTAGCATACAAAAAGACGTCGCTATGAGGCGATTCTAAAACCTGTAGGAGCTGTATGACAGTAAGCAGGGTCCAGGACCAAATATATATATTTCACAATATCACACATGTGTATACCAGCTCAATCAGAATGCAAAGTTGCAAAAATGATACTATATTTTATTCAGACAGAGTCGCATTCGCCCAGGCTGGAGTTGCAGTGGTGTGAACATGACTACCTGCATCCTCGACCTCCTAGACTCAAGGGATCCTCCCATCTCAGCCTCCAGAGTAGCTGGAACTACACCTACAAACATACATGCATACATTCATGCATTCATTCATTTATTTTTGTAGAGAGGGGGTTTTGCCATGTTGCCCAGGCATGTCTCACTCTCCCAAGCTCAAGCAATCCCCTTGCCTCAGCATCCCAATGTGCTTGGATTACAGGCATGAGCCACTCCACCCGGCCAAAATTTACAATAGGGTCTAATATGCGAGAATAAATGAACAAAAGATGTGTGATACTTATTTGGAGAAAACTGGAAATCTTTATTGAGATTTTTAAAAGTCAAATATCTCGGATAAATCCAGTTTGCATTCTTTCAGCTTGCCTTTGTTTAAAGCTGTGGTTGCCCTTCCCCTGCAATAGAAACACAACAGGAAGGAACATTACTAGCAGAACTGTATTCAGATGAAATTAAAGGTATACAAAGGACACCAAAATTTTAGTTTTATACATTGGACAAAAACCAGAAGCCTAAGTAAGAGTCACCCTATGGCTAACATTCCACTAGACCTCTGTAGAGACTTTGAACATAACACCTCCAAGCATACACATTAAACAACATTTTTTAAACACACCCCGCTTTTGGTGCTAGAAGGAAACCAAAAGACAGTCTGAGACCAGAACACATTAAATCAAGTGAACCTATTAAAAGGGGCTTAAAGTAGATAGCAAACATTGTGTAGAGTTTTACTCAAAATGCAACTAAAACACAAAAAACCTAAGCAACCGAAGGAATTTGTGAAAAATATATAATTTAATGTTTTGGCTTGAAACTATCACCTGGATGTCCAATAGGCTCCTGCAAATAGTCTGAGAAGTATGTTTTGCCATAATGTAACTGAAAACAGTTATGATACATTAGGAAATACGTAAGTGAAGTGAATAGAAGGTCCAGTATTGCATTTGTTTTTTGTCTATTGTGCAGAAGTGCAATAATATTGCTTTGGGCTAGTTTACCCTTCTTAGTCCTTTTTTGACATACACTAACCATTTGCATCCAGTTTTCACCTATAGTCATTATGTCAATATGAATAATGATACATTTTTCACCGGAAAGTATTCCCATTTGTATAATTAATTAAATGGTAATATAAGTTTTAAGATATCACTGTCATTATTGACATTAAAACGTGAAACAGTTATACATCATAAGCAATGTGGCAAAGAAAAAGAAATGGAGAGGGAAACAAAATCGGAGAGTAACACATCTGGAAAGCTAAATATTTGCTTCTAAAAGTGACTGTTTTTGGCTGGGCGCAGTGGCTCACGCCTGTAATCCCAGCACTTTGGGAGGCCGAGGCAGGCAGATCACCAGGTCAAGAGATCAAGACCATCCTGGCTAACACGGTGAAACCCCGTCTCTACTAAAAATACAAAAAATTAGCCAGGCGTGGTGGCTGGTGCCTGTAGTCCCAGTTGCTCGGGAGGCTGAGGCAGGAGAATGGCATGAACCCGGGAGGCGGGGCTTGCAGTGAGCCAAGATTGTGCCACTGCACTGCAGCCTGGGCAACAGAGAGAGACTCCATCTCAAAAAAAAAAAAAAAAGGTGACTGTGTTTTGAGGTACAACTGGCAAATTTCACGTCCTTCCACAGTCTTTGTGATGTTCAGATATTCAGGTATTTCAGGGATATATTAAATAGTGTAGGCATTCTGAGCATATCAACCATATCATCCACACTCTGAAAACATTAGTGTTCAAGAATGTATTCCCTTTCAATTATGCCCTACATTCAATATCTGTGTCTTGTTCATATTCTGTGTTGTGCCTTTTCCATTTTCTTCAAGATTGTTTAATCTACTGGATGCTCTTCCTAGCTATTTCTCAAAAGAACATTCTATTAAATTTATTAATATCAAATTAGTTTTCCTTTTGTTAATGATGCATACCTTTCATTTACTGCCTTTTTCCCTTAAGTTTATTCTGTGACTCTTATTATTTTGCTCTTTCTTAATATTATTTTCTTGTATCATGGAATTTGCTATCTATTTTAATAAGATATACATTTAATGCTATGACTGTCCTAAGAATACAACTGAGGCTTGTTCAGTAGCCTCCTGGAAATCATCTGAAAACAATCTTTTAATGTTAATAGCCTAATGGAGTGGTTCAGAAGTGTGGAGTAAAAACATTTAGGTAATTTCTCCCCTAAACATGCAGTGCTTCCTTTAAATTCAGAAGTTCTTCTAATTAAGTCAGCAATTTGGAAAACATGTGTAAAAGATACTTACGTGGACTACTCAGGACTTAGTATGTTATAGTCTTTGAACTTTAAATCGTATCTTCTGATGACTCAAGGCAGAAACCTGTAATATATAACCTCTGATATGGTTAGAGGTTACCATATGTGTCTTCAATCTAATTATACACAGTAGCTCATGAAGACTGACAGGAGGGCAGGGAGCATGCTTAGCCCAGGCATCTTACAAACACCTTGAGCATCACTGACCTACATGCATGCTCCCTACTTCTTGGGTCACAAAAACTTGACTGTCTCTTTCCATTTTATTATTCAGTCATTCAAGGTCTCACTGCGGGAAGACTTTAAAATGCAATCACTGGGTCCAGCAAGGGAGGTGGCTCATGCCTATAATCCCAGCACTTTGGGAGGCTGAGGCAGGTGGATCACTTGAGATCAGGAGTTCGAGCCCAGCCTGGCCAACATGGTGAAACTCTGTCTCTACTAGAAATACAAAAATTAGTCCGGCGTGGTGGCACACACCTGTATTCCCAGCTACACAGGAGTCTGAGGCATGAGAATCCCTTGAAACCGGGAGGTGGAGATCACAGTGAACCGAGATCAGACCACTGCACTCCAGCCTGGGCGACAGAGTGAGACCCCTACTGAAAAAAAAAAAGCAATCATTGTTTAAGAGCCTGAGAGAATTCAGGATTTGACAAAATCCAAGAACACTCATGAAGGTCTCCATACAGGAAAACAAACATCAAGTAGAGTGCCAGCTCATTTACTTAGGAGCAATGAAATCTCAACTCGGATATTATAATTGGACTGAAGCTGATGGTTATGATAAACAAATCACGAAAATGAAATTATCTTTGTATTTTCTCCAACAGAACCGAAACATGCAGAAATCAGCAATGAAATGATTTTAATCTATCTGATGTGCATTCACTACTTTCAATAAAAGCAAAAACCGGTGCAGGATTTATGTGTTTTGTCCAGAATCTCACAAATTATCTTAGAGCTGGTATTAGAATCTTCTTCAGGGTCAGCATATTTCATACGAAGTGGTATTACAAATGTATTATGTATTTGTGAAAAGCAGAAAGTAGAAAATAATCTACAAATTTTTAGCTGTTGGTTATACTCAGAAGTAAGAAAATGCTTTTCTTTTCTTTTCTTTTCTTTTCTTTTTTCTTTTCCTTTCTTTTTTTTCCCCCCGAGATCGGAGTTTCACTCTGTTGCCCAGGCTGGAGTACAGTGGCATGATCTCGGCTCACTGCAACCTCCACCTCCTGGGTTCAAGCAGTTCCTCTGCCTCACCATCCCGAGTAGATGGGATTACAGGTGCCTGCCATGAAGCCCGGCTAATTTTTTGTATTTTTAGTAGAGACTGGGTTTCACCATTTGCCCTGGCTGGTCTCGAACTCCTGACCTCAAATTATCCACCCGCCTCGGCCTCCCAAAGTGCTAGGATGACAGGCGTGAGCCCCCGCTTCTATTTGATGATTCAATATGGCTTTGACCCAGTTTGTGTCTGTATCTGATAGTCTTTCAGTTTTGCAGTCAGGCTTCTGGGGTCTCGACTACCTTCCCGAGAAAGTCTGCATTTGGACTCTGTTTTTAAAGGGGCAGTAATGTTCTCTCTTTTCATTATCAAAAGTGTAATATTATGGAATACAGAAAGCACGTAATTTTGAATCTTAATGGATAACATACCTCCTTCTGGCATTTTAAATTGCTCTCATTTTGTCAGAATCTTCCCCCTGGACACCAGGGCCAACTCCACATTCATCCCCAGTCTTTGACTGAGACAGCTTCTGGAGATCAGCTTCCAGGTCAGGTACTAAAAAATACCAAGGATATCGACTGGAGCAGCCAAACCAGAATGATAAATAAGGAAATGATCCTATTCTTTTCCTCAGTGTGATGCAATAAAAGCCTGTAGGCTACTGTGGTAATAAATGTGATGCAAAGATGTCCCCGTTTGTTTTCCTGTATTATGATATCTTAACTAACAATCTGAGGATAAATCACACCACACCTACATTTCCCATACTTTTTAACATTGTGTGTTATAAACACTCAGCTACCTAGGAAATCTGAAGTATCTCAGCTACCTAGGAAATCTGAAGACTGCCCCGTGGATAGCATTTTAATCATACCTTAAATATAATGTTCTGAATGATTAGATCAATGTACTGGTCTGCTTATGACAAATCTTATAGTCCTGACACTAATTCCCTGTTCAGGTACCCTGAAAGTGTTGGGGTTAAACTTAATTAATGTTTAGGTCCAAAGGCCCTATATGTCATTAAGAAAAAGTACCTGATACAACAGCAAAACCACTGTCTTCCAATGAGAGTACGGGAACTGAAGTGCAGAGAAATTAATGGGCATTGTTGACAGTCATATTCTGGAAACCCCTTAACAGTGAATTGCTAAAATAATCCATGGCCCAAATTCTGTCTATCTTTAGTTCGAAAGTGCTATCTATTCGTTGAGGAAACAATTTCTGTTTCACGATAATCTTATTGTACTTGGAGTTTTCTAATTATAAAAATATTGAAACAACTTTTAAAAGCCCCTTCAAAGTCCTACTGATATAGTTATCTGTATTCCAGTGTCCTGAATTATCCACCTTTTACCAAACATACTGTCAAAAATAGGCATCAGAGGAAACAGTGGCTGTCATTTATTGGCCTCTTTTCTGGAGACGCTATCCTACTTCACTGAACTGCGTTTTGTCCTGAGTCAATGCTGAGTACCTTACAGTGCAGACATATTTGAGTATTAAGCATTTTTAAGCAAAATCATTCACATTTTCTGACATGGATGGTGGGAAGAATGCAAACCTTGGAACAAAATATGAATTCCTCCTCCATGAGTCAAGTGTTCTTGGTAAGTCTCAATCTCTGAGCCTCATTTTTCTGTTATTTATTTATTTATTTATTTATTTATTTATTTATTGACACAGAGTTTCATTCTTTTTGCCCAGGCTGGAGTGCAATGGTGCAGTCCCGGCTCACCGCAACCTCCACCTCCTGGATTCAAGCAGTTTCTCTGCCTCAGCCTCCCGAGTAGCTGGGATTGCAGGCATGTGCCACCACGCCCGGCTAATTTTTGTATTTTTAGTAGAGACGGGGTTTCGCCATGTTGCCCAGGCTCGTCTCGAACTCCTGAACTCAGGTGATCCACCCACCTTGGCCTCCCAAAGTGCTGGGATTACAGATGTGAGCCACTACGCCTTGTGCAGCAAGGGGCATGCACACTGAGTCAGGCACATGCAGGGCCGGCCAGGGTTTTCCTGCTATCCCCACACCCTTATCCCAGGTAGTTTGTAGTAGGAAGAAAGGGACATGAGAGATTTTTTAAATTTTTTTTGTCTCTTGCCCAGCCATTCTCAGGCATCCAGAAACATTGAGAACAGAGAGTCCCATGTCACCCTTAGTGGAGGGTGTGTCTCAGAAAGACCTTTTGTGACAGAAATAAAGAATTTTATGTCTATATTTACACATACTGTTTTCTCAGGGTGTTTTTCTGTTGTCCAGGGTGGAGGGCAGTGGCATGACCATGGCTCACTGCAGCCTCCATCTCTTGGGCTCAAGCAATCCTCCTCACACAGCAACCTCCCCTGTAGCTGGGACTGCAGTTGGCCGCCACCACGCCCTCCTAACGTATTTAATAATTATTATATTTTAGATGCGGGGTGTCACTGAGTTGCTCAGGCTGCTTTCAAACACATGGCCTCAAGTGATCCTCCCATGCCTGCCAATTTTTATACATGCTGTAGACAATCAATTCACACCTGTACTTTTTTTTAAGGTTGTGTTATTGCACTTTTATACCTCTTGACTGGTAGCTGATTTCCTTGAATACCTGTAAGGTAATCACCGGCTCACCAATGAATGTGGTTTTAACAATGGCTCACAGTGGCTTGGAAAGCCCTCATGGGAAGTATTTCTGAGGAAAAGTGGAGAGTGTGCAGGAATAGTTTTGAAAAACAGAGACAACCGATGTCCTCCTTCCCTCCCTTGCCTCTCCTCATGTGCCAGGTTTTCTGTTTTCTCCACTATTACAGAATCACCATGTTGTATCCTGTGATGAAAAGTTTTTATCTCTTTAATCATCCCATTTCGTCCTCCAGACCTTTTTTTTTCTGGAAGGGTTGTAAGCAGAAGGGACGAAACATCTTCAGAAAAACACATTATGATATAAACTTAGTGAAAAGATTCATCATATTTAAGAAATGGACAGGATGAAATCCTGAATTCATAAAAATTTTAAAAATCAGTTTACATAACATCCATCCCTTTTGTCTCTATCCCTTATCCAGTGAGAAGTGTAGAAAAGATGAATTCCTCACTTGTGGCAACTGCATTAAGTAGTCAAACTGCTGGACCCTCTCCGTCAGTATCACACATCCAGATGTAATAGCCACAAAACACAAAGACATTTTACAACTGTACCTTTTTTTTTATCTCATTGTAATTTCCATCAAAACCCTAGCACTGAACTCAGCATTCACAGAGTTATGATTCCATGGCCAAGAGAAATCCTGCCTCAAATGTTGGGAGGAGGCTGCAGCAGTGGCAGTCCAGCTGAAGACAAGGCTGAAATGTGTCTTCACACACCCCACTCCCTTTTTGAGACAGGGTTTCTCTCTGTCATCCAGGCTGGAATACACTGGAGGACTTAGAGCTCACCACAACCTAGGAGTCCTAGGCTCAAGCAATCCTCCTGTGTTACCTTCCTGAGTAGATGGGACTACAGACATGTGCCATGATACCCAGCTAATTTTAAAAATTGTGTAGAGCAGGGGTCTCACTATGTTGCCCAGGCTGGTCTTGAACTCCTGGCTTCAAGTGATTCTCCTCCCTCAGCTTCTCAAAATACTGGGATTACAGGTGTGAGCCACTGCCAGTGGTCTTTTTTTCTCACTTTTTTTCCTTTATCTAAGACTTAAGTTTTATCTAAGGCTTTGCTTTAGCCCAGGAAACTGATTTTTTCCCTCCCACTTAGAGGAAAGAACAATTCAAACCTTCAGGATTTTTGGCCTACTGAAAGTTCATTGGCAACAATTGTATCCAGTCTCTACCTGCCTGCAGGAGAAAACAAAAATTAAAGACTGCGCTTTCCCCCCATATATTATCATGCACAGAACAGCAGTTGAGGGATCCAGTGAGCCAGTTCCCTTGCAGTTGGAGGGATTATTGTGAATGTTGTGAGTACAAGTATTTTTCATAATAGACAACAGCTCAGCTGCTGCTTCATACTATGGGGAAATCCATAGTCTCCCAGGAGTGACAGCTTCCTCATCTCTACCCCTTCGCTCTTCCCTTACTCAAAGAAAGTTTCACCATGTTGTAGTGAGTCAGGGTCCTGCTGGTGAATCACACGGTTGCTGACACTGTGTCAGGGACCCCCAAGGCCACCCTCACCTTCAGTGATTCATGGACATTCTCTGCTGCCCTTCTGCATACAATACTCCTAACTGAAGCCAGCCCCCTCACCTCAGGTCAGTATACCATGCCTCCCACCTTGTCATGGGCTTTGCTCCTACAGTGATCACTCCTCTCTCCAGAACCATCAACTGCTCCCTCTACATTGGATCATTCCCCAAGCTAAGGGAAAACTCACCCTCTTCCCCCATGTCCTTCTCTAGCTACGAACACATTTAATTCCTGCCCTGCAAAGGAAAACTGCATGAACTTATGCAACACACTTCACTGGAGTCCATTTTCAAAATTATCTACAAAGGAAAATGAATCAGAATATCCAAAACAATTCTGAAGTTTAACTTTGGGGAATTCACCCTACAGGAGGTCAAGATTCACATTAATTCTATTATATTTATTGATTGATTATGTTATCAGTGCATTGGAAGAAGGTGACTTCCCCCTTGGCTTGGGGATTGATCCAGTATAGAAGGAGCCGTTGATGGTTCAGGAGAGAAGAGAGATCAGTGCAGGAGCGGAGCCCCTGAGAAGGTGGGAGGCATGGGATCCTCAGCTGAGGTGAGGGTGCTGCCTTGAGTTAGGAAGCATTGCATGAAGTTGTTGATTATGATTCTTAATCATCCAGCCCCATATGGCAATTGTGTTACTTCTCCAGTATTCAAGACAGTGTGGTATTGGAGAAAAGTCAACAAATCAAAATAGAGCCAGCAATAGACTCACAAAACCTAATAAGTTGATTTTCAGAAAAGTGGCAAAGGCAAAGGAGAAAGATTACCTTTTTAAAATATTGTGTTGTTTTCCCCTGTCTCATGGCCAATATATTGTTTTTTATTCCTCTGGTTCCCTTCCCTGTGTTTCTCCTTTGCTCTTCTACTGCTGTTCTGTTTGTCTGTCTGCCCCACCACAGTCCGATATTTCCCACAACAAGGACCAAGTGTCTTTGTGGTATTTGAGATGTCCTTCCCATCAATGATAAACTGAATCAAGAAAATGTGGTACATATACACCATGGAATACCATGCAGCCATAAAAAAATGAGATCATGTCCTTGGCAGGGACATGGATGGTGGTGGCAGCCATTATCCTTAGCAAACTAATGCAGGAACAGAAAACCAAATACCGGATGTTCTCACTTATAAGTGGGAGGTAAATGATGAAAACACATGGACACATGGGAGAAGCATCACACACTGAGCCTACTGGACTGCGGGGGTGGGAGGAGGGAGAGGGTCAGGTAGAGTAGCTCGTGGATGCTGGGCTTAATGCCAGGGTGATGTGATGATGTGTGCAGTAAATCACAGTGGCACATATTTACCTATGTAAGAAACCTGCACATCCTGCACATGTACCCCTGAGCTTAAAGTAAATTTTGGAAATAAAAAATGTCAATATTTCAGAATCCTTCTTTCCATGTGTTGGTCATTGTGCCATTTATCTAAGCATTATGGTGACATAAAAGCTGAGGCGTAACAACAATTAGTATTATCAGTAATTTTCCAGGATTATACCCCAGTATGGTCTAACATCAACTACTAATATTGAATTGCATTTGACTCCTGGAAGTACTTAAGGAAAGTTGGTAAGAAAAAATATTCATGCTTGAAAATATTTTTAAAATTTGTGTAAATTGGATCAACACTGAATACCACAGATGTCGCTGTCACTGGATGCTAATGAAGTACATAATAGGAACTATAAGACACAGTCAATAATAAAGGGGCAAATAAAAGGGAACATATCAAAGCACTGTCAGACGAGTGCAGAAGCACACACATGGTCACACCTGCAGCTGCAGAAAGACATGGTAGGAAGTAAAGCCCCACAACTCATCAGCCTTCCTTCTCACCAGCTCATGAGTTCACAAATGAGTTTGCTGAGGGTCAAATGCCCACAGTAAAACTGACCAGTTTAAGCATCACTGAGTGCCATTTCAAGCATTATGTAGAAAGCCACAGACAACAGTGAACTTATTCTTAGCAAATCTTAATCCATCATCTTCACAGATGGCTAAAGAAATGGCCTGTAAACATTTTTTCTAATAACCACTAAAGTAGTGACGTTCAAACTCTTTTATGACAATGTGTGAGAAATACACAGTTTATATATAGTCAACTAGGCAAATAAATATACGTTTGTACATGGGGATGTGTAGTGTATTTGTATATTCTATATGCAGTGAACGCTATTTAGTAATATATTTTATCTCCATTCTTTAAAATGCTGTTTGTGGCTGACAACATTAATCTTACAACCCACTATGGATTAAAAACCAGTTTAGAAATGATTACAGCTTTTCAGAGAACATCCCCCATGGTTGATAAATGTTGCTATAGAATATATGCAAATATGCATGAGAACCCAATTTTGTCCACCTCCTTTGCAATTCAGTGTTTTTAGACAAAAATATCATCTTTGTTATGGGCCACAAAGGCTACTACAAAATATACAATTACTGATGAAATATGTGCTTCATCTGCAGATATCAGCGTCTGTTTTGCACAGGTGAAGTCTTACTTGGACAGATGGGAACTCACAGGCAAAAGGAACAGAAAATACATGTGACCTCTTGTCCTCTTGATATCATGTGGAGGCTTTGCTTGGGCTGCAGCATAGCTGAATGTCATGCATTGCATGCATTCACAGGGAGGTCCCTGTGTGACCTCCATTCCCTTATGGTGCTCCATTTTATGAGGCAAGTGGGAGAGCTACACTGAAAATGGTAGGTAGTAAATAATTTGGCCTCAACCACCAAGCAATCTGAGGTCACGTGACAGTGTTTACTCTGGTACCCTGAAACTTGCCAGCTGCTCAGAATCTGTAGACTTTGTCCCACCCACCCACCATCCTGTGGAAATCTATGTTTGGTCATAGATTCCCATGCATGGAGGATGGGAAGCTCTGGTCATGTGGGAAATTGAGCCCTCTCACAGGTAGACTGGCTGTGTTGGTCCCAGCTCTGTTTCCTCCCTTAGCAGCTAGAGAGTTGCTAGGGTCATGTATCAGGCAACGCTTCTTGTCTCTGCAGTGTCTTTCATACTGTCTGCTGCTTCCTGTTTGTCACAAGGGCTCCTTCACAACTTTCCCAATACCAACGCAATTATGATCCTTTGAAGTCATCCAGCAGGTCCGGAGTTATGGCCCACAGGAATGGCAGTGGGAAGTTCAAATTTGGCAAGAAATTCAAGCCTGCCCTTTGAAGCTGGAGTGAGGCCACTCAGGAATCATTAAAGTCCAGGTCTGCAGGTGATGTTTAATATTAAGTGTCAACTTGATTGGATCAAAGGGTGCAAAGTATTGTTTCTGGGTGTGTCTGAGAGGTTGTTGCCAAAGGAGATTAACATTTGAGTCAGTGGACTGGGAGAGGTAGACCCACCCTCAATCTGGGTGGGCACCATCTAATCAGTTGCCAGCAGCACTAGAATAAACTAAGCAGAAGAACATGGAAAACTAGACTTGCTGAGTCTTCCAGCCTCCAACTTCTCCCGTGCTGCATGCTTCCTGTCTTCGAACATCAGACTCCAGGTTCTTCTGCTTTTGGACTCTTGAATTTACACCAGTGATCTGCTAGGGGATCTCGGGCCTTCAGCCACAGACTAAAGGCTGCAATGCTGGCTTCAATACGTTTGAGGTTTTGGAACTCAGACTGCCTTTTTTGCTCCTCAGCTTGCAGACAGCCTATTTTGGGACTTCGCCTTGTGATTGTGTAAGTTAATACTCCTTAACAAACCCTGCTGCACATACACATCTATCCATCAGTTCTGTCCTTTACAGATCCCTAACTAATACAGTGTGAAACAGTAAAATCTAGCCATCTGATGGCTGCACATCCTGCACATGTACCCCATTTTTCCAATCACAGTATTCTGATTTTTGTTTTGTTTTGATTTGCTATGGTTTGGTTTGGTTTTTTTGAGAGGGAGTCTTGCTCTTGTTGCCCAGGCTGGAGTGCAATGGCGTGATCTCGGCTGGCTGCAACATTTGCCCCTGGGTTCTATCGATTCTCCTGCCTCAGCCTCCTGATTAGCTGGGATTGCAAGTACCCGCACCATGCCCAGCTAAGTTTTTGTATTGTTAGTAGAGACGATGTTTCACCATTTTGGCCAAGCTGGCCTTGAACTCCTGACCTCAGGTGATCCACCCACCTCGGCCTCCCAAAGTGCACACTATTCTGTTTGCAGACTGAAATATGAGTTGGCGAGGAAGATGATATAGACCAAGACGATGTTTACGACTTGCTCAGCTGATTGGGCCTATGCTTGTGAGTGACTTAACATTTGATGTTTTCTATTAGCAGAATTTTTTTTGTGTGATAGTGTTGTTGAATTAGTATAGATGCAATGATAAAGGTCTCCCATGTTGACAAAAAACCATTGCGGCATCTCATGAAGGAAACAGTAACCCAAGAGGACTACATACTGGTTTTTCCTGGATGTGGGAATTTGTGTTCCCCAGATTTGACTAGTGATTTCCTCCTCATGCTTATTCATAGCTCATTACACTAGCACATAGCTAGTGTTGCAGCATGTCTTTAAACATGCATATGATCAGAAGTATCTATGTAATCTGTATATTCGTATTATTGACATGCATTGATAAGAAAAATTTTTTATCTGCACGCGCACACACAAAACCCTCTTTTCCCAGGAGCCCAGTGTGCCAGAGCCTCAACAAGAAGAACCACCAGCTTAAAGTTGGGATCGTACACCTGGTCAGAAGACAGAAGAAGATCAGGGTGCAGCTGAGATTCAAGGTGGTGGGAAGGGAAAGAAAGAATGTCTATGGGGGGGAGGAGACCTATGTGTGCATCATGCCTTATGCCATGACCAGTAAGAGGAGGAAAGAAAACACTAGGAAAGGATCTCAAACATTTGCTGAGGGTTGGCTGGAAACGTGACGGGTATAGTTTGCAGCTTCCTGCAGTCCCTGGATATGATTAATCTTCTCTTTTTCTTCGAGATGCATTTTGTGGGCTTGAAAATACAGTCCTTCCTAAATCAGATGAAACCATTTAATTGGTTGTATAAAAATGTACATTATTTCACTAGTTTAACTTGATATTCTTAGGATGTTGCAGTGAGATCTTCTCAGCCATGGTGTTCACAGTGTTTTAAGCACCCTTTAATAGCATGTGGAGTGCCAAGTCGCCCTACCTTATAATACCCTGAATAAAGCCCATTTGCAAAGGGATGTTAACCTCATTTTATAAATAAAACTGAGGCCCGGTGTGGTGGCTCATGCCTGTAATCCCTGTGCTTTGGGAGGCCGAGGCGGGTGGATCACTTGAGGTCAGGAGTTCGAGACCAGCCTGGCCAACATAGTGAAACCCTGTCTCTACGAAAAATACAAAAATTAGCTGGGCATGGTGGCACACACTCATAATCCCAGCTGCTAAGCAGGCTGCAGCAGAAGAGTTGCTTGAGCCCGGGTGGCATTGGTTGCAGTGAGCCAAGATTGCACCACCGCACTCCAACCTCGGTGACACAGCGAGACTCCGTCTTGAAAAATAAAAATAAAAATAAAAAAATAAATAAGAAAACTGAGAATCAGAGGTTGAGACTTACCAAGAACACGACTCATGGAGAAGGAATTCATATTTTGTTTCAAGGTTTGCATTCTTCCCGCCTTCTGTTTTAGAAAATGTGAATGATTTTGCTTAAAAATGCTTAATACTTAAATGTGTCTGTACTATAAGGTAATTTGGTATTGGCTCAGGGCAAAACGCAGTTCAGTGAAGCAAGATAGCAACTCCAGAAAAGAGGCCAATGGATGACAGCCACTGTTTCCTTTGATTTATATTTTTGACCATATGTTTAGTAAAAGCTGGATAATTCAGGACAATGGCATACAGGTAACTGTGTTTGTAGGATTTTGAAGGGGCTTTTAAAAGTTGTTCTAATATTTTTATAATTAGAAAACTTCAAGTACGATAAGATTATCATGAAACAGAAACTGTTTCCTCAACAGATAGCATTTTCAGACTAATCAGAGACAGAATTTGGGCCATGGATTATTTTAGCAATTCCCTGTTAAGGGGTTTCCAGAATATGACTGTCAACAATGCCCATTAATTTCTTTGCACTTCAGTTCCCATACTCTCACTGGAAGACAGTGATTTTGCTGTTATATTTTGTATTTTTTCTTAATGACATTCATGTATGGAAAGTCACATATAGGGCCTTTCAACCTAATAATTACTTTAATTAAGGTTAACAACAACATTTTCAAGATACCTCAACAGGAGATGAGTGTCAAGACTATAGGATTTGTCATAGGCTCACCAATACATTGATCTAATCCTTCAGAAAATTACATTTAAGTTATGATTAAAATGCTATCCACGAGGCCATCTTCAGGTTTCCTAGGTAGCTGTGTGTTTATAATACACAATGGTAAAGTATGGGAAATGCAGGTGTGCTGAGACTTATCCTCAGATTGTCATTAAAAATAAGATATCATAATACAGGAAAACAAACGGGGACATCTTTGCATCACATTTATTACCACAGTAGCCTACAGGCTTTTATTGCACAACACTGAGGAAAAGAATAGGATCATTTCCTTATTTATCATTCTTGTCTGGCTGCTCCAATCGATTTCCTTGGTATTTTTTAGTGCCTGACCTGGAAGCTGATCTCCAGGAGCTGTCTCAGTCAAAGACTGGGGATGAATGCGGAGATGGTCCTGATGTCCAGGGGAAGATTCTGACAAAGTCAGAGCAATTTAAAATGCCAGAAGGAGGTATGTTATCCATTAAGATTCAAAATTATGTGCTTTCTGTATTCCACAATATTACACTTTTCATAATAAAAAGAGAGAATATTACTGCCCCTTTAAAAACAGAATTCAAATGCAGACTTTATTTGTAAGGTGGTTCAGACCCCAGAAGCCTGACTGCAAAGCCGAAACACTATCAGATACAGACACAAATTGGGTGAAAGCCATATTGAACCATCAAATAGGAAAGCATTTTGTTACTTCTAAGTATAACCAACAGCTAACAATTTTCAGATTACTTTGTAATTTCTGTTTCTCACAAATATATAATGCATTTGTAATACCACTTTGTATGAAATATACTGATCTCTGAAGGAGATTCTAGTACCAGCTCCAACACGATTTGTGAGATTCTGGACAAATCACATCAATCCTACACCCATTTTTGCTTTTATTGAAAGTAGTGAATGCATATCAAATAGATTAAAATCCATTTCAGTGCTGATTTCTGCATGCTATGGTTCTGTTGGAGAGAATACACAGATATTCTGATTTTCATGATTTTTTCATCATAACAATCAGCTTTAGTCCAATTAAAATATCTGAGTTGAGATTTCATTGCTCCTAAGAAAATGAGAAGGCACTCTGCTTGATGCTTGTTTTCCTGTATGGAGACCTTCATGAGTGTTTTTGGATTTTGTCAAATCCTGAATTCTCTCAGGCTCTTAAACAATGATTGCATTTTTTTTTTCAGATGGGGTCTCACTCTGTCACCCAGGATGGAGTGCAGTGTTCCGATCTCGGTTCACTGCGACTTCTGCCTCCCGGATTCAAGCAATTCTCATGCCTTAGCCTCCCGTGTATTTGGGATTACAGGTGCCTGCCACCATGCCAACCAGTTTTTTTATTTTTAGTAGAGACGAGGTTTCACCATGTTGGCCAGGCTGGGCTCGAACTCCTGACCTCAAGTGACCCACTCGTCTCGGCCTCCCAAAATGTTGGGAGTGATTACAGGGGTGAACCTCCTCCTGCGCCAGACCCAATGATTACATTTTAAAGTCTTCCCGCAGTGAAGCCTTGAATGACTGAGTAATAAAATCGATAGAGACAGTCAGGTTTTTGTGACCCATGAAGTAGGGAGAATGCATGTAGGTCAGTCATGCTCAAGGTGGTTGTAAGATGCCTGTGCTAAGCATGCTCCCTGTCCTCCTGTCAGTCTTCATGAGCTACTGTGTGTAATTAGATTGAAGACACATATGGTAACCTCTAACCATATCAGAGGTTATATTACAGGCTTCTGCCTTGAGTCATCAGATGATATGATTTAGAGTTCAAAGTCTATAATGTACTAAGTCCTGAGTAGTCCACATAAGTATTTTTCATACATGTTTTCCAAATTGCTGACTTAATTAGAAGAACTTCTGAATTTAAAGGAAGCACTGCACGTATAGGGAAGAAATTATCTAAATGTTTTTACTCCACACTGCTGAACCATTCCATTCGACTATTTACATTAAAGGATAGTTTACAGACGATTTCCAGGAGCCTATTGAACAAGCCTGAATTGTATTCTTAGGACAGTCATAGCATTATATGCGTATCCTATTAAAATAGACAGCAAATTACATGATACAAGAAAATAATACTTAGAAATAAAAAAAAGAGTCACAAGAGAAACTTAAGGGAAAAGGAAACAGGCAGTAAATGAAAGGTACGAATCATTAACCAAAGGAAAAGTAATCCAAATGTAATAAATTTAATAGATCGTTCTTTTGTGAAATATCTAGGAAGAGAGCATCCAGTAGCTTAAACATTCTTGAGGAAAATGGAAAAAGCACAACACGGAATATGAACAAGACACAGATATTGAATATAAGGCATGATTGAAAGGGAATACATTCTTGAACACTAATATTTTCAGAGTATGGATGAAATGGTTCACATACTAGGAACACCTACATTATTTAACATATACCTTTAATACCTGAATATCTGAACATCACAAAGACTGTGCATGAGCTTGTGAAATTTGCTGTTCGTCCCTCAAAACAGTTACTTTTAGAAGCAAATATTTAGCTTTTCCAGATGCCTTACTCTCAGTTTTCTTTCCCTCTTCATTTTTTTTTGCCATACTGGATATGATGTATAACTCTTTCACATTTTAATATCAATCATGATCGTGATACCTTAAAACTTATATGACCATTTAATTAAAACTGAAGCCCTTACTGGAGTAGAGCCAATTACCCTGTTATGCCCTCCACAGTGGAAGAAGCTCTCCTTAAAACTGAATCTGCAACAGAGATTCCCTTATAAAATGGTCTTCCCAGACTCCAGCTAAAATCAACCCTACTGGAGTGTCACATCCCATGAGCAAATAGCCACATGCCCTGCCCATAAGGCTAACTTGCCAAACCCCAGAAATGGCTTCATCCCTTGCTCAAGGGGAGCCAGAGGGAGGAAGGCCAGCACTCAAAAAACAAGAGAAGCAATGCTTTTTTTCCTCTCCCAAGTATATTACCTAGACAATGGAGATATAATTAGCAAATCCCTGTAGTTATTTTTTATATAATAACCTACGACAGGATATAAACTTAAAACCACATTTATCCTGAGTAGGATCCACTATAGTTACAGGTTTGGTGATTATAGGAAATGTCAAGACATTAGGGAAATTGAATTTTCCTTGCAGGATCCATGAACATCTTCAACCAAAGCAGAAATAGCCTAATCAGAAGAGAGGTGAGGGTTCAGGTCACCAAGTAAGGTTCAGTTGATTTGGGGTTGGAGGAGCTTCAAATCTTCTAAATCTTCGCATAATATAGCCCTGATAATTTAAATGAGACAGTGCTTCATAAACTTGGTTGAAATAAGAATTTCAATGGAGTCATAGTTTATTTAAAAAGAAAAATTTACCTCCAAGGGGCAGATGAAAGAGTCAGTGTTCCTCTTCTGACTGAAGGAGAAAACTCACAAATGTGAGTTTAATGTACATCTTAAAAGAAAACAGAAGCTGTGATCGGTGGTTCACATGTATAATCTCAACACTTTGGAAAGCAGAGGCAGGAGGATCGCTTTAACTCAGGAGTTCGAGACATGTTGTCTGTCATATGTGGGAGCTAAAAATTTTGATCTAATGGAGTAGAATTTTGGTGACCAGAGGCTGGGAACAGGGGGTGGGTGGGATGAAGCGAAGTTGGTTAATGGGTACATACAATTAAGTAAAAGGAATAACTTCTATTTGATAGCACAGTAGGGTGACTAATGGTAACAATAAATTATCATATATTTCAAAATGGCTAGAAGGGAAGATTTGAAATGTTCCCAGCACAAATAAATGATAAATGTTTGAGGTGATGGATATCCTAAATACCCTGATTTAGTCATTGTCCTTTGTATACATATATCAAAGTGTCACATGTACCCCATAAATATGTACAACAATGTATCAATAAAAAAGAAATAAGTAAACAAAATACAATCTAATTTACATTGGTGTATGTATACACAATGGAATACTATTCAGTCATATAAAAGAATGAAATCCCATCATTTGAGGCAACATGTATGGGCTTCAGATGTGTGAGCCTGGAGGACATTAAGTGAAATAAGCCAGACACAGAAAGATAAATACTGAATATTCTCATTGATATGTGGAAGCTAAAAGCTTTTATTTCATAGATGTAGAGAGCAGAATAGAGAATAGTAGACTCTGGGAAGGGTGGGAGATGAACAGGTAGAGTTTAGCTAATGGATACAAAATTAAGACTAAATAGGAGGAATAATCTCTAGTCGTCTATTTAGCACTGTAGGGTGACTATAGTTAACAATAATCTATTGTATATTTTCAAATAGCTATAAAAGAGGATTTTGAACATTTCCAACACAAAGAAATGCTAAATGTTTGAGGTGGTGGATATGCTGATTATCCTGATTTGATCATTACAAGTTGTGTATGTGTATCAAAATATCTCACTGTACCCTGTAAATATGTACAATTATTATGTATGAATAGGATATATGTACACACACACACACACACACATATGTCCTCATTTACTAACAAAAAGCAACTAGCTAATCAAGGCCCCCTTCCTCTCCTTCCCTTTCCTATATGACCTACCACGCTCATAAGTTATCTAAAAGTAAGTAATGAGAACTGAAACCACACACACAGCTTACTGCCTATATGAACAAGAGTTTACTATTCCACTGGCTTCATTAACATAACATTATTACTACAAGAATCTCTTGCCTGGGAAGATAAAAGTTGAACATAACTTTATTATTGATTCTAGGAACTGCTTAAAAGGCCTATCCACTGTTCAGTAAAAAGTGCCAAATGACAAACCCACAGCCAATATCATACTGAATGGACAAAAACTGGAAGCATTCCCTTTGAAAACTGGCACAAGACAGGGATGCCCTCTCTCACCACTCCTATTCAACATAGTGTTGGAAGTTCTGGCCAGGGCAATCAGGCGGCAGAAAGACATAAAGGGTATTCAATTAGGAAAAGAGGAAGTCAAATTGTCCCTGTTTGCAGATGACATGATTGTATATCTAGAAAACCCCATCGTCTCAGCCCAAAATCTCCTTAAGCTGATAAGCAACTTCAGCAGTCTCAAGATACAAAATCAATGTGCAAACATCACAAGCATTCTTATACAACAATAACAGACAAACAGAGAGCCAAATCATGAGTGAACTATTCACAGTTGCTTCAAAGAGAATAAAATACCTAGGAATCCAACTTACAAGGGACGTGAAGGACCTCTTCAGGGAGAACTACAAACCATTGCTCAATGAAATAAAAGAGGATACAAACAAATGGAAGAACATTCCATGCTCATGGGTAGGAAGAATCAATGTCATGAAAATGGCCATACTGCCCAAGGTAATTTAGAGATTCAATGCCATCCCCATCAAGCTACCAATGATTTTCTTCACAGAATTGGAAAAAACTACTTTAAAGTTCATATGGAACTAAAAAAGAGCCCGCATTGCCAAGTCAATCCTAAGCCAAAAGAACAAAGCTGGGGGCATCACACTACCTGACTTCAAACTATACTACAAGGATACAGTAACCAAAACAGCATGGTACTCTTACCAAAACAGAGATATAGACCAATGGAACAGAACAGAGCCCTCAGAAATAATGCCACATATCCACAACTGTCTGGTCTTTGACAAACCTGACAAAAACAAGCAATGAGGAAAGGACTCCCTATTTAATAAATGGTGCTGGGAAAACTGGCTAGCCATATGTAGAAAGCTGAAACTGGATCCCTTCCTTACAACTTATACAAAAATCAATTCAAGATGGATTAAAGACTTAAATGTTAGACCTAAAAACATAAAAATCCTGGAAGAAAACCTAGGCAATACCATTCAGGACATAGGCATGGGCAAGGACTTCATGTCTAAAACACCAAAAGCAATGGCAACAAAAGCCAAAATTGACAAATGGGATCTAATTAAACTCAAGAGCTTCTGCACAGCAAAAGAAACCACCATCAGAGTAAACAGGCAACCTACAAAATGGGAGAAAATTTTTGCAATCTACTCATCTGACAAAGGGCTAATATCCAGAATCTACAATGAACTCAAACAAATTTACAGGAAAAAAACAAACAACCCCATCAACAAGTGGGCAAAGGATATGAACAGACACTTCTCAAAAGAAGACATTTATGCAGCCAAAAAACACATGAAAAAATGCTCATCATCACTGGCCATCAGAGAAATGCAAATCAAAACCACAATGAGATACCATCTCACACCAGTTAGAATGGCGATCATTAAAAAGTCAGGAAACAACAGGTGCTGGAGAGGATGTGGAGAAATAGGAACACTTTTACACTGTTGGTGGGACTGGAAACTGGTTTAACCGTTGTGGAAGTCAGTGTGGCGATTCCTCAGGGATCTAGAACTAGAAATACCATTTGACCCACCCATCCCATTACTGGGTATATACCCAAAGGATTATAAATTATGCTGCTACAAAGACACACACACACATATGTTTATTGCGGCACTATTCATAATAGCAAAGACTTGGAACCAACCCAAATGTCCAACAACGATAGACTGGATTAAGAAAATGTGGCAAATATACACCATGGAATACTATGCAGCCATAAAAAATGATGAGTTCATGTCCTTTGTAGGGACATGGATGAAGCTGGAAACCATCATTCTCAGCAAACTATCACAAGGACAAAAAACCAAATATTGCATGTTCTTACTCATAGGTGGGAATTGAACAATGAGAACACATGGACACAGGAAGGGGAACATCACACACCGGCGACTGTTGTGGGGTCGGGGGAGCGGGGAGGGATAGCATTAGGAGATATACCTAATGGGTGCAGCACACCAACATGGCACATGTATAGAAAGAAAAGTACTGTATGATCTCACTTATGTGTGGAATCAGAAAGAAAGGTGGGGGGAGAAAGAAAGAGAATGAGAAAGGGAAAAAAGGAAAGAAAGAAGGAAAGAAAGAAGGAAAGGAAGGAAGAAGAAAGAAAGAGAGAAAAAGAAAGAAAGAAAGGGCAAGCAATAGGGAGATAGAAGAAAGAGCAAGCAATAGGGAGATAGAGAATAAATTGGTGGTGATCAGGGACAGGGGAGGATAGAGGAGGAAATGGGGAGATGAAGGTCCAAGGATACAAAGTAGCAGGTATGTAGGATGAACAAGTCTAGAGAGCTAAGGTACAACATGAAGATTGTTGCTATTATATTAGGCACTTTGATTAAATAAGTAGATTTTAGCTGTTCTTGTCACACAAAAGTCACTGTGAGATGATATAATAGGTTAATTTCCTTCACTACATTAGCCACATTACTATCTTTATGTAACCCATACCATCATGTTGTAAACCTCAAATATACACAATGATTTTTTTTTTAAAGGGACAAGGTTTTCGAAGCAATCAGGGTTTCTTGCCAACGAAGATGCCCCCAGGCCTCCGTGGATTCCTCCAGTCTTCCTCATGAATGCCAGATGGTGGTGTGCAGGAAAAAGCTGGCAAGTGAATGTGGATTCCACTTGTGTCTGAGACTTTCTGGGATTCCAGCTCTCCCAATTGCCTGTGTTTGGCCTTTATGAATTTGTTACATTTTCAATTACTTCCTTCTTATCCCCTCTTATGACTGTCACTTCTTCCACATGTGCTCTGCCAGAGGTGATGCAGTTTGTGTGTCTCATCTCCCCTCAGAGAGACTAGCCACCCTTGGTATCAGTTCCCATGGCTGCCTTGTTACCCCAGCTAATTTATTTTTATTTTTTTGTAGAATCAAGGTCTCACTATGTTGCCAGGACTGGTCTCAAACTCCTGGCCTCAAGCAATCCTCTGACCTGGCCTCCCAAAGTGCTGGGAGTACAGGTGTGAGCCACTGTGCCGGGCTTTTTGCTCAGGTTTTAATCAGATTATTTGTTTTCTTACTGTTGAGTTCCTTATATATTTTAGGTCTTCACCCCTTCTCAGATGTATGGTTTGCAAATGTATTCTCTCATTCCATAGGTTGTCTTTGCACACTGTTGATTGTTTCCTTTGCTCTGCAGAAGTTTCTGAGTTTGAGATAATCTCATTCGTTTACTTTTGCTTTTGTTCCCTGCACTTTGGGGATTATATCCAAAAACTAATTGCCCAGACCAGCGTCATGGAGCTTTCTCCCTATGTTTTCTTCTAGTAGTTTCATAGATTCAGGTCTTACATTATACAATGTTAATTCATTTTAAGTTGACTTTTGTATATGGTGAGAGATGAGGATGGAATTTCAGTCCTCTGCATGTGGATATATCATTTTCCAAATACAATTTATTGAAGGCTGCCCTTCCCTTACTGTGTGTTCTTGGCACCTCTGTCAAAAACCAATTGACCGTAAGTGCATGGATTTACTTCTGGGCTCTCTATTCTGTTCCTTTGGGTCACATGTCTATTTTGGGGATGCCATAATACTTCAGTTCTCTTTCCGGATTTATATTCCTCAATTTTATTGTCCTTGCTTCTCTCTGTCAGTTTTCATGTATTCCTTAGCTTTGCTCTATATTCTTTCCTTTGGAGAATTGATCCATCATTATAAGTTTAGGTGTTAGAAGTTACGGGGAGGCAAAAGGATGCTCAATAGCCTCTTCCCTCAAAGGATATGCAATTTGGTTAAGGACACATATAAATTAATTAAAGTTTTTCTTTCTTTGTTTTTGAGACAGGGTCTGGCTTTGTCACATAGGCTGCACTGCAGTGGTGTGTTGCTACTTCACTGTAGCCTTGAGCTCCTGGGCACAAGTGATCCTCCTACCTCGACCTCCCATGGGAACTGGGATTACCAGTGTGAACCATCAAAACAAAACAAAACAAAAACAAGTGTGAACCATCAAACCCAGCCCAGAGACATGTAAATTTATCATTATAATTTTTAAAATTGCATAATTCAATTTAATGTTGTCATAATTTTTTTCAAAGGAATTGCGTCCGGAGAAATTTATTGTTTTTAAGACTAAAATAGTCATTAAAAAGATGGATGCTGGCTGGGCACGGTGGCTCACACCTGTAATCCCAGCACTTTGGGAGGCCGAGGCAGGCAGGCCACTTGAGGTCAAGAGTTCGAGATCAGCCTGGCCAAAATGGTGAAACCTCGTCTCTACTAAAAATACAAAAATTATCCAGGACTGGAGGCAAGTGCCTGTAATCCCAGCTACTCAGGAGGCTGAGGCAGGAGAATTACTTGAGCGTGGGAGGCAGATGTTTCAGTGAGCTGATTGCGCCACTGAACTCCAGCCCAGGCAGTAGAGTGAGACTGTCTTAAAAAAAAATGGATGCTAAAAAAAGAAAAAAACTTAAAGGCAGAATTAACATTTTGGATTAAAAATCAAAGTACATGAGGGGATAGATTCCTCATTTGCCCTGATGGGATTATTATGCATTGTATGCCTGTTTCAAAATATCTCATATACCCCATAAATATATACACCTTACTATGTACTCATAAAAATTAAAAATTAAAAAATAGAAAATTTGCCTGTGTTTGGCCTTTATGAATTTGTTACATTTTCAGTTCAGAAAAAATTCTGAGAAAAATCAAAAAGAAGAAAGTAATGTTCACTTTTTGAGGGACAAAGTTTCTCTTAATTGTTAACTGCTTGGAGTTACATAATTTAGCCATTGCTAATTCTATGGTGTTTTCATTCCAATTTTAAGTTTAAAAATTTCATTAATTATGTTATCCAGTGGGTCTGAGGTAGAAGAATCAATGTTGTTGATGCTGCTTTCACAGCAAAGGGACTGGTTCCAGAGTCATTATAGTGGAGAAGATTGGGAGTTAGTAAAGGAGCCAACCTAAGTAAGTTTTGGACAAAAAAAATACGAAAATAGCCACTTTCTGAACCCCTAAATGATGATAGATGAGGAAATATTTGGAAGAGGCTAAGGTAAATTTACAGATGACAGACTGCTAAACGGCTACTCTAAGAAGCAAAGATATCCTCTGGCATTCACATTGATGGACTTTTGCTTCTTGTCTGATGACTGAGCACCATGATTATTTCCCTTTGCTGTAATGATGAAAGAAATAAAGATAAAGATGGTATTGATGTCGTGAAATACTATTACAGCAAATATTGTAGCCTTCTTTCTTTCACAGAAAGCAGCATTCATTAACTTTCACCAAGAAAAATGGAAACTAAGGTCCTCTCTATCCTCCACCCCTAAATGATACCTAAAAAGGAAAACTGACATAACCAAGTGTGACCTTAATAGTGAGTGTCAAGTTGATTGGATTGAAGGATGAAAATTATTGATCCTGGGTGTGTCTGTGAGGGTGTTGCCAAAGGAGATTAACATTTGAGTAAGTGGGCTGGGAAAGGCAGACCCACCCTTAATCTGGGTGGGTACCACCTAATCAGTTGTCAGTGCGGCTAGAATATAAAGCAGGCAGAAAAATGTGAAAAGGCTAGAGCAGTCTAGCCTCCCAGCCTACACCTTTCTCTCATGCTGGAATCTTCCTGCCCTTGAACATTGGACTCCAAGTTCTTCAGTTTTGGGACTCAGACTGGCTTTCCTTGCTCCTCCACTTGCAGATGGCCTATTGTGGGACCTTGTGATCTTGTGAGTTAATACTTAATAAACTCATATATATATATGTATATATATGTATATATGTGGATACATATGTGTATGTACATATATACGCACACACATATATAGGAGATATATATATATACATATATATATAGGAGCTATATATATATATATCTCTTATTAGTTCTGACCCTCTAGAGAACCCCAGCTAATAGGCCAAGAAAATGTATTCAAGATAGCACACTGCTATTTATTTTATCAAAGATTTGTGATAGTATATTCTCTCTGAGGGAATTTAATATTGATTTTCCTGATGTAAAATAATATTTCTTTTCTGATTAAAAAAGTAGTAGATGCTTTTTATAGAAACTTGTAAAATATGGAATAGCAGAATAAACACTAACAACCACAATTTCTCCAGTCTGAGGTAAACAATGTGTTGCACTTCTATCCAGTACCTTTTATAACTGATGCAACTCTTAAGTTGTATACATATATCAAAACATCACATTGTACCCCATAAATACATATAATAGTTGTTAATTAAACAGGTTTTAAAAAAGAAAAAATAGTAAGTCAACAACCTTCGAACAATATATATACAGAAAAATTAGTCTTTATATAATATGTAGAGTTGATATTCTTCACACAGACAAAAAAACTCTTGAAGTGAAAAATAAATTTAAAGCACTACATAAGTAACAAGATGAATAAATAACACAATAAAATAAAAAATTAGTACTAAAACAATTCAAAGTACAAAGCTATGGAAATAATTATGCAATCTAGTAATTTTAGAATGAAAAATAAGGCAAAATTGAGATTAAAATTTTCTCCATCAAAGTAGAAAACACTTAATTTTTTAAAAACAAGGAATACAGTGAAGCTGATCCTGGAAAAGGTCATGTTGGTAGGGAAGTTGGATTCCCATCATTCTTTCCCCCAGGCATGCACAACGACAAAGTAAACTGATATTGGACTGTTGTGTCAGAGCAGAATCCAGGAATGGAATGCCCTGCAGTGATGTAATTTTCCAAAGCAGTCAATAAATCTTTATAAGTTCCCAGATGAAGCAACATACCAGCCTCCCTCTGTTTATGATTTGTATATGGTGAGAGATGAGGGTCAAATTTCATTCATCTGCGTGTGGATGTACAATTTCTCCAATACCATTTATTGAAAGCTGCCCTCCCCCCACTGTCTGTGCTTGGCATCTTTGTCAAAAATCAATAGAGCGTAAGTGTGTGGATTTATCTCTGGGCTTAATGATTTTTCATTACTCTTTTCTTTACTGATGCTGAGCATGTAAAATTTAACAATAACAAATAAATTCATGATAAGAAATCTAACAAATCTGACTTTCTCAGTTACACTCCACTTGAAAACACATGAGGTTTGTCTGTTTGACTAGTACTTCCTTTCCTGGTGAGGTTCAGCAATAGATGAACTTTGTGAGCTTCAGTGACTACTTCCTACCTTTCCAGGTAATTGTAAGAATAAAATAAATGATAGTGACAATAGTAGTGAAGATAGTATTAAAATAAGGCTGGGCTTGTTGGTTCATGCTTGTAATCCCAGCACTTTGGGAGGCCGAGGCAGAAGGATCACTTGAGCACAGGAGTTCCAGACCAGCCTGGGAAAAATAGTGGGATGTCCCATGTCAAAAAAAAAAAAAAAATTAAACCATTAGCCTGGTGTGCTGTTACATGCCTGTACTACCAGCTAATAGGGAGGGTGACATGGCAGGATCCCCTGGAGCCCAGGAGTTGCAGGCTGCAGTAACCCACATTAACATCACTGCGCTCCAACCTGGGCAACAGAATGAGACCCTGTCTCAGAAATAAAAAACGGTATTAAGATAAAGCTAACAGCAATACTATTATGGGCTGAATTGTGTCTGCTCAAAATTCATATGGCGAAGTCTTAACCCCTAGTGCCTAAGAATGTAACTGTATGTGACATAGGTGGGGTCTTTAAAGAGGTAATTAAGAGAAATTAGGTCATTAGACTGGGCCCTAAGGCAATTTGCCCAGTGCCCTTATAAGAAGAGGAAATGAGGACACAGACACACGTACAGAGGGAGGACTAAGGCAGACACAGGGAGAAAACAGCTGACTACAAGGCAAGGAAGGACGCCTTAGAAGAAACCAACTCTGCTGACACCTTGATCTCAGACATGTAGCCTCCAGAATTGTGAGAAAATACATTTCTGTTGTTTAAGCCACCCAGTCGGTGGTAGTTATTGATGGCAGCCCTAACAAACGAATAAAAATCCTTTTAGTGCCCCTCAGGAGGTGAGCATTATCATATCTATTTTATGAACTAGCACTACTGCTCCTCCTACTAATTTAATGACCGCATAATGATGCCTGTATCTGAGCAACTGAGCAGTGATAAGAAAACTTCAAAACCTTCTGAATTATTTTACCTTAAGTCCATGACCACGAGAGAATTTTCTCCCTTTCATGCTCTTCCTACTTCCACTACTACAATACTCTCACAAAATGCCAGGAACCCTCCTCCATTTGAATGACCTCTCCTAATGATTCATTCAGAAGACAGAAGCAATCTGCTGGGAACTCTTAGAGCTTCCCAAACCCAGTCTACCTGTGCTGTTCTGGCATTCTCTGCGGCCCTTCTGCATGCAATTGCTCCTGACTGAAGCCAGCCCCTCACCTCAGCTCAGGATCACATAACTTCCACTTTCCCAGGGGCTTTGATCCTGCAATGATCACTTCTGCCCCTGAACCATCAACGGCTCCCTCTATACTGGATTATTCCCCAAGCTAAGGAGGAACTCACCTTATTCCCCCATGTCCTTCTGTAGCTACTAACACATTTATCTGCTGCCCTTCACAGCAAAACTTCATGAACTTATACAACTTCACTTCATTGGAGTCCATTTTCATCCATTGCTCTAGTTTCAGAAAACCACAGGCCTTTTCCACAACTTAGGGTACAGCTGTTATCCTAACTTGTTATAAAACTGCTCACTGCTTTAGGGTATGGCTGTGAGCTCCTCACAGGCAGAGAGACCCACCATCTGTGCTGTCTGTCACTGAGTACCTGCTATTCAGTGTTGTATTATGGGACTAGGGACACGGTGCCTACACAATGCTGCTCTTGCTTTTGTTGTGTCTGCAAACAATCAACTACTTGGATCCATTTGGGCTCATTATCTCCTTATTGACCAAATCTATGAATATGTTACACGGCAAACTAACAACTGCAGTGGTGATCCTTGTGGCCAGGGCTGCTTAGGGACTGCTTGAGCACTTGACACACTACTGTATTGAGTTGTGTGGCATTGCATGCCCAGAATATTGATTTATTCTTCATGGCATCGCACACAGCAAACAAGTTTTCTGCACGGACAATTGACTTAGGTTTGGCCTTGTCACACCTCAGTTTTTTAGAAATCCACTTTAGAATCGATCCCGTGTCTGACACCAGCTACACTGCTAATTCATTAACATATTCATTGAAATCAAATAATTTTGTGAAGTCAAATGCATTTTAAAAGGTAACTTGACATTCCTACTTGAAATTCAAAAGCAGATATCACATACAAGAGATGTAGTTTTAAAGAAATATGGAAGGAAAAAGTTTGAAATCTTAAAGGAAACAAGGAAATCTAGTAAACCAAATTTAACTGCAAAGCAATGCCTACTTGGTATGTTATTTCATTGATTCTTCATAGCAAGTAATTAGTGTAACTATTGTAATTTCTACTTTAGAAATGAGGAAATGGTCCCAAATATTGCAAGTATCTTGCCCACCATCTCAAGGCCAGTGTGTGGGAGGCAGGATGGAAACCCATGGCTAATTCATGCCATAGCCTCTAAAGAGACAGTGTAGGTAGGACCCAAGTCATCTTGCTTCAGCAAGTTGCTCTGGTTGCTTTCCCCTTTCTTCTACCTAAGCCCTAATTCTTCCATCCAGTTCTACAGCCTAGGAACTTCTTACATATTTTGTGGCAAATTGGATATCGTAACAAAGGAAGCAGATGAGGAGACACATAAGGTGAGGTACGGGGGAAGGGGCAGGGAGCTTCCATGCCCTCTATGCGCAAGCTGCCCTCCATGTGTTCAGCTAGAGGGAAGCTCTCTGAACCATGTCCTTTTCGGTTTTCATTATGTAGGTGTCATTGATTAAACTGTTGGCCCGCCATTTGTGATCAACTTAACCTTCAGCCCTTGTCCCTTCCCTGAAGGTTGTGGGTGGGGCTGAAAGGCCCAACTCTCTTCTTCCCCAACCTAGAGCTACCTAGGTGCTGCTAGCCATCAGTCAATTCACTAGCATACAAAAAGACACCACTTTGTGGAGATTCTAAAAATTGTAGGCGTTGTATGCCTGGAAGCAGGGTCTAGAACCAAATATGTGTTTCACAATATCACACCTGTGCATACCAGCTCAATCACAATACAAAATTTCAAAAATGATTCTTAATTTTTTTTGAAATTGAGTCTCCATTCCAAAATAATTTAACCACATCCTGGACCTCTTGGGGGCCCAAGAGGTCCCACCTTAACCTCCAGATTAGCTGGGACTACAGCTACATACATATATGCATACATTCCCACCTTAGTCTCCAGAGTACCTGGGACTACAGCTACATACATATATGCATACATTCATGTATTTATTCTTTTATTTTTTAAAAAAGGGGGTCTCTTTCTGTTGGCCAGGTTGGTCTCATCTCCTGTGCTCAATCAGTCCTCCTGCCTCAGCATCCCAAAGTGCTGGGATTAGAGGCTTGAGCTACCACATCAAGCCACAGTTTTCAATAGTATCAAATACCTGGGAATAAAATGAACAAAAGATGTGCAAGACTTTTTTGGTGAAAGTTGCAAAACTTTATTGAAATATTTTTAATTCAAATATCTCTAATATAAAACCAGTTTGTGTTGTTTCAGCTTGTCTTCGTTTAAAACTGTGGTTGCCTTTCTCCTATAATAGAAACATAAAAGTTGGGAACATTACTAGGGGAATTATATTCAGATGAAATTAAAGATATGGGAAGGACACCAAAATCTTAGTTTTATACAGTGGACAAAAACCAGAAGTCTAAGAGTCACCCTTTTGCTTACATTGAGGTAGACCTCTGTAGAGACTTCGACGATAAACATCCAAGCATATGCATTAAAAACATTTTTAAAACACACCCTGCTTTCTAGTCCTGCAAGGAAACCAAAAGATAGTCCAAGGTCCGAACATGTGCATAGTTTTACTCAAAATATCAGCACCACACAAAATACCTAAGAAACTAAAGGAATTTACAAATAATGTGTACTTTTTCTGTAAACTTGCTTTTAATGTTTTGGCTTCAAACTACGGTCTGGATGCCTAATAGGCTCCTGGAAATACCCTGAAAAGTATCTTTGGAGAAATCAGTTAATGTCACATTAGGAACTGCATACAATATGGTGAAAGCCTTGTTTGAATAAAGGAAGAGTGAAGGGGTAGACATGATGAAGCTGTCATGCCTGGGAGACCATGGATTTACCCATAATATGAAGCAGCAGCCGAAGCTGTTGTCTATTATGAAAAATACATGTACTCACAGCATTTAACAATAGTCCCTCCAACTGCAAGAGAGCTGGATCCCTGGATCCCTTAACCACTGTTCTGCTCCAGATAATATATGGGGGAAAGGTGCAGCCTCATGCTAATGTTAATTTTTGTTTTCTCCTGCAGGCAGGTAGACAAAGGACTCAATAATTGCCAAAGAGCTTTGCACAGGCCAAAAATCCTGAACATTTGAATTGCTCTTTCATCCAAGTGGGAGGAAAATTATCAGCTTCCTGGGTTGGAGCAAAGCCTCAGAAAACCCTTAAGCCTTAGATTTTAAAAGGCGGGTAAAAGTGGCTGCATGCACTGGCTCACACCAGGAATTCCAGCATTATTGGAGGCTGAGGCAGGAGAATCACTTGAGGCCAGGAGTTCAAGACCAGCCTGGACAGCATAGTGAGACTCTTGCTCTACACAATTTAAAAAATTAGCTGGGCATGGTGACACATGCCTGTAGTCCCATCTATTCAGGAAGGTAAGGCAGGAGGATCACTTTAGCTCAGGAGTTTCATGTCGTAGTGAGTTGTGAGTCCTCCAGTGTACTCCAGCCTGGGCAACAGAGAGAAATCCTGTCTGAAAAAGGGTGGGGGGGGTTGTGAAGACACATTCCAGCCTTGTCTTCAGCTGGGCGCCCACTGCTACAGCCCCCTCCCAACATTTGAGCCAGGATCTCTCTTAGCCACAGTACTTGTAACTCTTTGAATGCTGAATTTACTGCTAGGAGTTTGATGGAAATTTCAATGAGATGGATGAAATCAGGGAAAGTTTTAAACAGGCCTTGCATTTTGTGGCTATTACATCTGGATATATGATATTGATGGAAGGTGGCCAGCAGTTTGGCTACTCAACGCAGCAGCCACAAATAAGGAATTCATCTTTTCTACACTTCTCACTGGATAAGTGATAGAGACAAAAGGGATGGAGGTTATGTAAACTGATTTTTACAATTTTTACAAATTCAGGATTTCATCCTGACCATTTCTTAAACATGATGAATCTTTTCACTAAATTTATATTATAATGTGTTTTTCTGAAAATGCTTTTGTTCCTTCTGCATACCACCCTTCCAGAAAGAATAAAAGGTTTGGAGGAAGAAACGGGATGATTAAAGGGATAAAAACTTTTCATCACAGAATACTTCATGCTGATTTTCTATCAGCTGGAGGAAACAGAAAACCTGGCACATGAGGAGAGGCAAGGGAGGGAAGGATGACATCGGTTGTCTTTGTTTTTCAAAACTGTTCCTGGAAACTCTCCACTTTTCCTCAAGCAATACTTCCCATGCAGGCTTTCCAAGCTGTTGTGAGCCAACGTTGAAATCACACTGACTGCTGAGCCCATGATCACCTTATAGGTATTCAGGGAAATTAGTTACCAGTCGAGAGATTTAAATGTGTAATAACACAACCTAAAAAAAAGGGTAGAGGTGTGAATTGATTGAGTCTACAGAAGTAGTTAAATTCATTGTACACATGGTTGAAAACCCAGAACCAGATAAGGAAGTGATTAATCAAAGCATGTATAAAAATTGGCCAAAATGGGAAAATCACTTGAGCCCATGTGTTTGAAAGCAGCCTGAGCAACACAGTAACACCCTGCATCTGAAAAAATAATTAAATACATTAGGTGTATTTAATTATATATCATATTATATTCAAAATACATGAGGGGAACACCCATACATGAGAAAGAAGATACAAACACATCTGCACTTATAGTAGGAGATTTCAACATTTCTCTCAGCAATTGGTAGAAACAGTGTACAAGAAAATCAGGATATATATATATATATATGCAGAAGGCTTGAACAATGGTATCAACCAACTCGGCCTAATTGTTATTTATAGAACAACAACAGAATATACATTCTTCACAAGTGCACATGGAATGTTCACCGAGATAGACCTTATTTATGGGCCAAAAAACAAATCTCAACAAATTCTAAAGGAATGAAATCTTACAAAACATGTTTTGTGACCACAAAAGAATTGAAATAGAAATTAGTTGTAGAAAGATATACGGAATCCCTGAAATATTGGAAATTAAACGACACTTTTAAGTAACGCAGGGATGAAAGAATAAATTGTAGAGAAAATTTGAAAATGAAAACACAGCCTATCAAAAAATGCAAGATAACACAGTAAAGCAGTGCACAGAGGGAAATTTATAGCATTCAATACTTATATCAGAAAGGAAGAAATGTCTCAAGTCAATTACCTAAGCTTCCACATTAAGAAACTAGAAAAACAGTTGGCCGGGCATGGTGGCTCACGCCTGTAATCCCAGTACTTTGGTAGGCCGAGGCAGGCAGATCACAAGGTCAGGAGTTCAAGACCAGCCTGACCAACATGGTGAAACCCTGGCTCTACTAAAAATACAAAAATTAGCTGGGTGTGGGGGCACGCACCTGTAATCCCAGCTACTCAAGTGGCTGAGGCAGCAAAATCGCTTGAACTGAGGAGGCGGAGGTTGCAGTGAGCCAAGATCGTGCCATTGCACTCCAGCCTGGGTGAAGGAGTGAGACTCTGTCTCAAAAAAAAAAAAAAAAAAAAAAAATTAGCTGGGCATAGTGGCTGAGGCAGGAGAATCTCTTGAGCCCAGTAGGTGGAGGTTGCAGTGAGCTAAGGTCGTGCCACTGCACTCCAGTCTAGGTGACAGTGCCAGACTGTCTATGAAAAAAAAAAAAAACCTAAACAAATAAATAAAATAAGAAACTGGAAAAATAAAATCAAATTATACCCAAAACAACAAGAAGGAAAAATTAATAAAGATATGAATAGAAATAAATTAAATAGAAATGAAAAAATCTATTAAAAAAATCAGTGAAACCAGAAGTCGCTTGTTTGGGAGGAACAGTCAAATTAATAAACCTTTAGACAGACTGATGAGAGAAGTGGAGAGAGAATACAAATCACAGATATCAGTAGCGCCAGAGGGCACATCAATACAAATCATTCAGATATTAAATATATGATAGGGAACATGGTGAAAAGCACTATCCAAAATATTATTTTTTAAATGGAGTGGGAAGATTCCTTGAAGGACACTAGCTAGCAAACCTCATTCCCCCCAAAGAAATAGATGACATATATAGTGTTTATACCAATTAAAGAAATTGAATTCACTAAAACCAACAAAGAAATGAAACAAAATTTTTTTCTCAAATAAAATTCATGTTTCTGGTGATTTCACTGGTTAATTCTGCAAACATTTGTGGAAGAAATAGTATCAATTCTACACAAACCCTTTATGATAATTGAAAGAGATCACACTTTTCAAAGCATTTTACAGAGCCCACATCAGCCTTATATCAAAACCATACAAACATTATGAGAAAATAACATGACAGACTAATATAACTCATGTTCATAAAAGCATAGATATATATATATGCTATAATAATAGCAGTTCAGAACTAAGAATGTATTAAAAATATACAACATCATGGCCAAATGAGATTCATCCCATGACTTGAATATATATACATATGTGAGTTTAGCAAAGTAATATGGTACAAGATAAGTATGCAAAAGTCAATGTGATTTTTAAATATCATCAACAAATAATTGAAAATTGAAAATCATTACCACTTAATATAGCAGCAAAAATCCATGAAATATTTACTGGTAAAATTTAACAAAATATGCACACAAACTATACTCAGAAGCCTAAAAAACATTGCTGTGAAATATTAAAGCAGGCTGAAATTAATGGAAAGGTATACCACGTTAATGGATTGCAACACTCAAGATTGTGAATAAGTTAGTTACTCCCAAATGAACTATACATTCAATGTAAACACAATCAAAATCCTTGAAGCCTTTTGTTTCTACAAACTGATAAGCTGGCCTTAAAATCTATATGGAAAAGCAAAGGGACTAGAATAGTCTAACAATTTTATAAAGAACAAAATTATTGGAGGACTCAGTACCTGTTTTCAAGACGTATTTCATAACTGTGGTAATTAGGACAGTGTGATATCGGCATATGAAAAGAAATAAGGGGCCAAAGCTAGACCTATATAGTCACGTTAAATTGATTTTTTCCATAAGGTGCCAAGATAATTTAGTGGGAAAGGATGTTGTATTCAGAGAATGATGGTGGAATAATTGGACATTGACATGCAAATAAGTGAACCTCAACCTTTATCTCACACGATATAAAAAAGTTACCTCAAAATGCATTATAGAACTTAATGTAAAAGCTAAAGTTTTGACACTTCTAGAAGAAAATGTAAGAGAACCTGTGGCATCGTGTAAAACAAAGACAGATAGGATACAAAAAGCAGAAACTAAGAAATAGAAAATTCATAATCTTTTAAATATTTATATCCTTATGTGCTATCCCTATCCAGTCACTAGTTACTTTTCCAAGCATTATACAAATCACATGAAGAGGTCATTAGTGTTCCGATTTCCTAGAAAAATTTCCATTCGAATTTTTCGTGCAAGCTCATGATGATGAAATCCCAGCATTACATTTAGGCTCCACAATACCCTGTAAGGAGAGCTGAATATTCATTATGCTCTTAAAAATATGGCCTCGCCCTGCCCCACAGACTCAGTCCTTGAGTCCCTGAGGAAATAAAGTGATAATCAAAAGATCATCGAAGGGGTCAAAGGTAGTCGTGACATTGTATCTCTGGAACATGCTCCAGGGAAATGTGGGAACAACAACAATATAAACAGCAAAACAGTAACAGCTAGAAATCATTGGAAACTGACAATGTGCCAGGGACAGTCCTGACAACTGTGCATGTCTTCACACAGTCAGTGATCTAAACTGCCCCAAGAAGTAGATGCAATTACTAGTAGTATTTCAATGGTACTAATGGAGAAAGGAATCACAGAGATGTTAAGTAACTTTCTCAGTGTCACCCAGCAGTGAGTGCTGGAGCCACAGGTCAGAGACATCATGTAAAACTCTACTGTGCTGCATATTTGTGGAATCAAGAGTAAGGTCCAAAGGCTATTGCAAAATATTTAGGATTTCATAGCATGAGACTGCACAGGCAAGAGACATTCGATTTCTTCGGAAATAGTTAAGAGATGGAGACTTGAAAGGATCGGCCTGGGTATCATTTGGAGATGGTGCCCTGAGTGTGTCATTACCATAACAGGCAGCACGTCAGTGTCGGTCTCCTCACCTGAAGGTCTTGGATTTGTACATCAGAGAACACACCAAACCTGTCCCTTCTATACCTTCACAAAGGAGAAAGAAGCTGTCTTGCTGGGAAAGCAGATTATTCTGCTCTGCTACTAGTTCTCAGACAAGTTTCCATTAAGGTTGCAAGCCAGGATCCTTTAAAATGAAGATTCCACGATTCACACCTGGCGAATCTCATGTAGCGTGGCCACAATGGTGTCCTAGGATCTTGGAATTTACTGCTCAGGCTTGGGAACTTTCAGAAACCTTATTAAATTGCTTAGGTAGCAAGACTGTCTGCAATATACCTACTCTTCCCAGGACAGACATGAGGTTGAGGAGATCGACATCAGAGCAAAGAGGAACACAGGACAAGATGAGCGCAGTGAGACTCACCATAAGGGTGGGGCAGACAGACTTTTGAGAAGGCCTCACAACTCCATCTGGCCTTTCTCCCTGAAGGCCTCAGTTTATCTCAAATCCCTTCTCTTCATGGGCGGTGAATGGAGGGAATGTCAAAAAATAACCTTTCAGATTCCAAAATGGCATGGGCTCCTCTCAGGGACCATTGAACGCATAGGTGGGAGGTGTTCCCAGCTATTCTGCTCCTCCCACCAGCCTTGGATTCTGCTTGGCACCATCATGTCCTTCCATGGGAGCCTAGAGCAATGTCAGGACTTAGGGCCAATGTCTTCCCTTCACTAACAGGCACCTGCTCCTCAACTGCAGAAGTTGTCTCCCTTCTCCTCCTTTCAGCTGTTCTTTTCCTGTTCTCATCTGTGATTCTACAGCAGACAGCTGTCCATGGTAGCTTGACAACCTAGCCTGGCACCTTCCTCCTGTGCCCCAGCCTGGAGAGGGCTGTCCTTGCCGAGAAGGACATCAGTCCTGGGATCTCAGAACTATGACTACCAAGGAAACATCCTGAGCATCAATGTCCAATAGCAGTGATTGACTTTTGAAATGAAGCTTCACCACAGACCCCAGCTGGCCCTGAAACACTTTCTCTTATTTTTGTTTTGTTTGAAATGGGGTCCCACTCTCTTTCTCAGCCTGCGGTGCAGTAGAGCAATCATGGCTCACTCCTAGGCTCAAGTGATGCTTCCACCTCAGCCTCCAAAGTAGCTGAGACTACAGGCATGCTCCACCACGCCTGGCTGTTTTTTTTAAATTTCTTTAATATGGTGGTCTCCCTATGTTCCCCAGGCTGGCTTGAGACACCATGCCTATCCCTGAACCACTTTCTTGTCACTAAAAGCAAAGCAAGACAGAGGAGGGAGTTGCCTGTAACCCCTCCTGGAGAACATTGTGTCCTCCTCCTTGGTGCCTTGTTATTTCCTCTGTACTGGCCGCAATATTCCTACTCTTTTGATGTAAATAAGAAGTGTGAGGATACTTCTTTTCAATCCTAAACTCATGGTTTATAGCCAGAATATCATTGTCTACTTTGAAACATTTTGGTTGTTTCCGAGTGCAGCTGTGGTTGTTGGAATGATGGGTAGGAGCTACTGGCATTTGGGGACTGAGCGTTACAGGGAGGCAAAGATCATTTTCCAGAGTTTTAAGTAAACTAGATTTTCCATACATGTCACTCCCCTGCAAACTGAGGGAGGCTGGTATGTTGCTTCATCTGGAAAGTTATGAAAGACTTATTGACTGCTTTGGAAAATCACATCACTGCAGGCCATTCCATTCTTGGATCCCACCCTGACACAACATTCCAGTATCAGTTTGCTTAGTAGCTCTGCATGCCTGGGGTAAAAATGAAGGGAATCCAACTTACCTAGCAACAGTATCTTTTCCAGGATAAGCTTCCCGGCACACCCCAGCTGGCCCCAAACCACTTGTTGTTGCTGTTTCAGACCGGGTCTGTCACTCAGCCTGGAATGCAGTGGAAAAATCATGACTCAGTGCAGCCCTAACCTCCCAGGCTGAAGTGATCCTTCCATCTCAGCCTCCCAAGTAGTTTCACTACATGGAGGCTCCACCGCCCACGGCCAATTTTTTTTTTGTAGAGGTGGGGTGTCCTTATGTTGCCCAGGCTGATCTCACACTCCTGGGTTCAAGCAATACTCACTCCTCAACCTCTATTAGAGGTAGGAGCCACCTCACCTATCCCTGAACGACTTTCTTATCACAGAAAGCAGGACAGAGGAGGAAGGTGCCTGCAAACCCTCCTGGGGAACATTGTGTCCTTCTCCACGCTACCCTGCTATTTTCTCTGTACCAACGGCAACATTCCTATTCTTTTGATGTAAATAAGAAGTTTGAGGATACTTCTTTTCAATCCTAAACTTGTGGTTTATAGCCAGAATATCTTCGGCCACTTTGGGGCATTTTAGAAATTTCTGAGGGCAGCTGCAGTTTTTGGAATGATTGGCAGGTGCTACTTGCATTTGGGTACTGAGTGTTACAGGCAGGCAAACGTCTTTTTCCAGAGTCTTCAATAAACTGGATTTCCCATACATGTCACTCCCTTTAAACTGAGGGAGGCCTGTATGTTGCTTCATCTGGGAACTTATAAAGCCTTATTGATTGCTTCGAAAATCACATCACAGCAAGGCATTCCATTCTTGGATTTCACTCTGACAGAATATTCCAGTATCAGTTTTTTTGTATCTGTGCATATTGGGGGCCAATAGAATAAGGGGAATCCAACTTACCTACGAACATGATAATTTCAGGATAAGCTGTTAGTTGATGGGGAAACTTAAGTGGGAGATGTTGGTAATGTGATCTCTCATGAGTTTGTGAACACACTGGCTATGCCCCTTGCTGTTACTGCTGCTGCAGGTGTATCTCCCTCACCAGGCTCCTGGCTCCTTCCTGGAAGACTGGAAACATACCCAGTAGATCTCTGTGTCCTCAGGATGGGACAGAGGACCTCATAGGCAGAAGGAGGGCAGGGAACACTTGTGGAATTGTAGTGACCTCTGCATGGTTGGATGACCAAACCCTGAGTCACAGTGATGAGCCACATGGATGTCAGTCTGCAGAGGGTGGGAGGGGAACGCAACAGGCCTCTGCCTTAGAAGCCATGCAGCAGAGTGAGACCAACCTTCAGTACTGATCTCAGTTATGCCCTTCAAGGGTCCCAGATATAAGCACCCTATTTGTTAGGGTTCCTCTGGGTGTGTGTGTGTGTGTGTGTGGAGAGAGAGAGAGAGAGAGACGGGGGAGCGGTTTTGAAGACCTAGCTCATGCAGCTGTTGCGACTGGCAAGTCCAAATCTCCCAGAGCAGGATGTCAGGCTGGAGAGCCAGGGCAGAGGTGATATGAGAGCCCAAATCCAAGGGCAGGGTGGAGGCAGAATTTCTTCAACTTGAGGAGGACCCCAGTCTTCTTCTCTGAAGGCCTTCAAGGGACTGGATGAGGCCCACCCACATTGGGTAAGGCAATTAGGTTTACTTGAAGTCTGCTGATTTAAATGCTAGTTCTCATGTAAAGAAAACCCTTCACAGAGACATATACCCTGGTCAAAGTGAACATTTCTCATGTATCGTGGCCTAGCAAAGTTGACACATCAGATTTCCCATCACAGCCATCTTATACAAATCCTATTAATGGTGAAGGTCTATCTGACAAAGACAGGTGACTTCCTAACTAAGATTCTGTATTTTTGTCCAGCCCAAGCCACCATTTCAGGCTCAGCACAGCTCTTGCCAGGAAGCTGAAGCTGATGTGAATGCCTTCCAGGGATGAGGCAGTGATGGGCTAGTCAGGGAATACAGGTAAGAACAATCCCACGGGGCACAGGTGATACCCCTGGACACCAAGAGTTTACCCTTGTTAGGGCACCCCCAGCAGGACATACAGTCATCAGGCAGGAGCTGGCCAAGGCCCCCGATATGGCCTCCCACTGAGGGACCTTTCCCTCTAAGGTTCCTCGTCCAGTCCAAACAACTGATTTGCATCTTTGGTTTAGGGGAACTGTCAGAAGGCAGTCATTTCAGGGAGGATAAGTCTCAGCACACCTACATTTCCCATACTTTACCATTGTATATTATACACACACAGCTACCTTGGAAATCTGAAGACTGCCCCATGGATAACATTTTAATCAAAACTTAAATGTAAATTTCTATGATTAGATCGATGTATTGGTGGGCCTAGGAAAAATCTTATAGTTCTGACACTCATACCCTGTTGAGGTACCTTGAAAATGTTGGGGTTAAACTTAATTAAAGTAATGCTTAGGTCCAAATGCCCTTCATGTAACTTTCCATACATGAATGTCACTAAGAAAAATGTATGCAATGTAACAGCAAAATCACTGTCTTCCAGTGAGAGTATGGGAACTGAAGTGCAAAGAAATCAATGGGTATTGTTGACAGGCATATTCTGGAAACCCCTTAACAGTGAATTGCTAAAATAATCCATGGCCCAAATTCTGTCTATCTTTAGTTTGAAAATGCTATCCGTTGAAAAAACAATTTCTGTTTCATGATAATCTTATCGTACTTTGAGTTTTCTAATTATAAAAATATTGAAACAACTTTTAAAAGCCCCTTGAAAATCCTACTAATATAGTTACCTGTATGCCAGTGTCCTGAATTATCCAGCTTTTTACCAAACATACTGTCAAAAATACACCTCAAAGAAACAGTGGCTTTCATTCACTGCCCTAGTTTCTGGAGTTGCTTCACTGAACTGCATTTTGTCCTGAGCCAATAGTGAAGTACCTTACAATACAGATGCTTTTGAGTATTAAATATTTTTAAGCAAAATCATTCACATTTTCTAACATAGATGGTAGGAAGAATGCAAACCTTGGAACAAAAATATGAATTCCTTCTCCATGAGTCAATTGTTCTTGGTAAGTCTCAATCTCTGAGGCTCAGTTTTCTTATTCATTTTTTATTCATTTATTTATGTATTTATTTTGAAACGGAGTCTTTGTCACCCACTTGCTCTGGAGTGCAGTGGCACAATCTTGGCTCACTGCAACCTCCGTCGCCCAGGCTCAGGGGATTCTCCTGCCTCAGCCTGCTTAATAGCTGGGATTACGGGGGTGTGCCACCATGCCCAGCTAATTTTTGTATTTTCAGTAGAGACGGGGTTTCACCATATTGGCCAGGCTGATCTCGGACTCCTGACCTCAGGTTATCCCGCATAGGCCTCTCAAAGTGCTGGGATTACAGGCGTGAGCCACTGCGCTGTCTGGCCTCATTTTTCTTATTTATAAAATGAAGCTAACATCCCTTTGCAAGTGGGCTTTATTCAGGGTGTTATAAGGTAGGGTGACTTGGCACTCCACATGCTATTAAAGGGTGCTTACAACACTGTGGACAGCATGGCTGAGGAGGTCACACTGCAACATCCTAAGAAGATCAAATTAAACTAGTGAAATAATGTACATTTTTATACAACCAATTAAATGGTTTTATCTGATTTAGGAAGGACTGTATTTTCAAGCCTACAAAATGCATCTCGAAGAAAAAGAGAAGAATCATCATATCCAGGGACTGCAGGAAGCTGCAAACTATGCCTGTCACCTTTCCAGCCAACTCTCAGCAAATGTTTGAGATCCTTTCCTCATGTTTTCTTTCCTCCTGTTACTGGTCATGGCATAAGCCATGATGCCCATATAGGCCTCCTTCTCCCAATAAACATTCTTTTTTTCCCTTCCCAGCACCTTGAATCTCAGCTGCACCCTGATCTTCTTCTCTCTTCTGACCAGGTGTAGGATCCCAACTTTCAGCTGGTGGTTCTTCTTGTTGAGGCTCTGGCACACTGGGCTCCTGGGACAAGGGGTGTGTGTGTGCGCATGCACACGTGTTCGTGTGTGTGTTTGTGTGTGTGTGCGTGTGTGTGTGCAAATAAAAAATTTCTTATCAATGCCTGTGAATAATATGAATACAGATTACATAGATACTTCTAATCATATGCATGTTTAAAGACATGCTCCAACACTATCCCAACACTATTCCACATACTTATTCTTCATAAAGTTACTCTTCCCATAGAGAGGTTACTCTAAGACTGTTACCCTCAACAGCTTGGGTAGCCATTTTTATTTATGTTGGGTTGAATGTGTGTAATGCTCTATGAATAAGCATGAGGAGGAAATCACCAGTCAAATCTGGGGAAAACAAGTTCACACATTCAGGCAAAACCAGGATGTAGACCTCTTGGGTTACTCTTTCCTTCATGAGACGCCACAATCACTTTTTATCAACATGGGAGAACTTTATCAGTGTATCTATACTGGTTCAACAACACTACCACAAAAAGAAATTGCTCCTAGTAGAAAACATTGAATATTAAGTCACTCATAAGGAGAAGCCCAATCATGTGAAGAGGTTGTAAATATTACTTTGGTGTAAGCCTATATGTTGATCTTCCTCACCAACTCATATTTCACTCTGCAAACAGAGTACTGTGATTGGGAAAATGCACTTGAGAGGATAGCTATATTTGTCCACATCCGTGGACAAATGTTAACTTGTTTTTTTTTTGAAGAATGGAAATACTTTGAAAGTATGTTTTAGAGCAGTTATAAGTGTGTGAGCCTTCTGAATAGAATGCTTGCACAATCATTTAAGTTGGTCAAGCTAGTTGAGCAATGTCTTAAGGCTTCTGGCAAGAGACACACAGTATTTCCAATCAGGTTTGGTTTCACAACTGGACTTTCCATTGTGGAGACATTTAAGTTTACACACCTAGAGAATTAAAATTGGAGTGACCACTGCTTTCATCACACACCCATTTTCTAGGCCCATTTTACACCTCCCCCAAAATCAAGTTTCATTGGAATGCACAGCCCTGCCCATTAGAAACTCCAGGGTGGAGTTGAGAAGCTGTCACACAGCACTGGGCGCTCCTTACTGGACACCTTTATCAGAAGCTCTGCAGACCTTGGAGCCATGGTCATTAGCCTGCAGCGTTCCGAGTTTCCAGGCTCCTTCCTTAGTGCCCACGCCACCCTTTCGTGGGTCCCCACCGAGGAATGTGGAATCTGTCCTCTGTCGGGGGTTCCAGGCCCTTCTGGCACTCAGATACCCACAACAGCACCCCCATGTTCACCTGACCCCACATCCCCTGTCTGCAGCCTTCCTTCCTCCCTCATTCTGACACTCCCCACAATAGGGCCCATGGCGGCGCCCCCACAAGAGGAGGACGATGAACTTGAAACTCTTCTCCCTGTAAGCCAGGGACCACATCACCCGACCCTTCCAAAGCTTACTGACTCCTCCTCACACTCATTCACACTTCAACTTCTGGGAGGACTGGCCTGCAGACCTACCAGCTGAGTCTCAGTAGGGGAGAAAGAGTCCAGACTGCTGGAACGGTGACCTTTACACCTTCACAGCTTCCCCGCGTTCACCACGTGGGTGAAGGGGCCCACGGGAAGACACATAATGAACATGTGCCCTGAGGCCAGCCCCCAAGAAGCATGCACAGTGAGATTGGTGCCTGCCTTGTGGGCTCTGGTGACCCACCTCACAATACTCTATCCCCCGCTGCCGTCCTCTGCTCTCTCCCAGGTCCCAAATGAGCATTTCTGAATCTGTCCTCTGTGAGCAGTTTCATATGCCTCTGGTACTCAAATAACACACATAGTTTCCCTGCTCAAAACTCACTCTACCAGGAGTTTGAGACTAGCCTGGGCAACATGGTGAAACCCCTTCTCCACTAAAAATACAAAAAATTAGCTGAGCATGGTTGTGCCTGCCAGCAGTTCCAGCTATGTGGGAGGCTGAGGTGGAAGGATCACCTGAGCCCAGGAGGTTGAGGCTGCAGTGAACCATGATCATGCCCCTGCACTCTAGCCTAGGTGGCACAGTGAGACCCTGTCTCAAAAACAAAAACAAACAACAACAGCAAAAATACTCCATGTTCACTTGACATTCCTCCCCTCTATGGCCCTCCTTACTCCCGCGTCTGGGCTGCCCATGACACCAAGCCCATGGCTGCATCACTGCCTGTTAGGAGAAGGATAAGGACCTCAAGGCCCTTCTCCCTAGGAAGCCATGGACCACACCCACGGGCTCCTCCTCACACTCACTCACACTTCAACTTTCTGGTAGGATTGACGTGAGCATCTACCGACTTATTTGTAGTTGGTACAACAGAAGGAAGTCACGACATCTCCTCGCCCAGCTCTGCAGGGACAGAAGGCAGACAGCACAGTGCACGGGCAACAAGGGAGTTGGGCAGCAAGGAGCATGCACATTGAGTCAGGCACATGCAGGGCCGGCCAGGGCTTTCCTGCTGTCTCCAGACCCACATCCCCAGGTTGTTTGTAGTAGAAAGAAAGGAAGTTGAGATTTTGTTTTTGTTTTTAGAGTCTTGCTCTGTTGCCCAGCTGGAGTGCGGTGGCATGATCTCAGCTCACTGCAACCTCTGCTTCCTGGGCTCAAGCAATTCTCCTGCCTCAGCCTCCAGAGTAGCTGGGAATACAGGTGTGCGCCACCACGCCCGGCTAATTTTTTGTCTTTTAGTAGAGACGGGGTTTCACCATGTTGGCCAGGCTGGTCTTGAACTCCTGACAGGTGATCCCCCTGCCTTGGCCCTCCAAAGTGCTGGGATTACAAGCATGAGTCACCACACCCGGCCAGTTTTTTTTTCTCCCTCTTGCCCAACTATTCTCATGCATCCAGAAACTTTGGGAACAGACAGTCCTATGTCACCCTTAGTGGAGGATGTGTCTCAGATCTGTGACAGAAATAAGGAATTTTATGTCCATATTTACACATGCTTTTTTTTCAGGGTGTTGCTTTCTTGCCCAGGCTGGAGAGCGGTGGCATGACCATACCTCATTGCAGCTTCCATCTCCTGGGCTCAAGCAATCCTCATGCTGCAGCCTCCTGAGTAGTTGGGAATACAGGTGGACGCCACCATGCCCAGCTAATTTATTTAATGTTTATTATTTTTATTATTTATTTATTTATTTTTTTAGATGCGGGGCCTCACTGTGTTGCTCAGGCTGGTCTCAAATACGTGGGCTCAAGTGATCTTCCCACCTGGGCCAATTTTTATACATGCGTTGATTAATCACTTCCTTCTCCGGTTCTGGGTTTTCTTCCATGCATACAATGAATTTAACTATATTTCTGTAGACTCAATACATTCATGCCTCTTTACTTTTTTACATTGTGTTATTGCACATTTAAATCTCTGGACTGGTAACTGAAATCCCTGAATACCTGTAGGTGATTGTGGGCTCAGCAGTCAGTGTGATTTCAACGTTGGCTCACAGTGGCTTGGAAAGCCTGTATGGAAAGTATTTATTGAGGAAAAGTGGAGAGTTTTTAGCAACAATTTTGAAAAACAGAGACAACTAATGTCCTCCCTCCCTCCTTTGCCTCTCCTTATTGCCAGGTTTCATGTTTTCTCCAATTGTTAAAAATCACCATATACCATTTTGTGATGCAAACATTTTACTTCTTTAATCATCCCCTTCCTTTCTCTAGACCTCTTTTTCTGGAAGAGTTCTCTGCAAGAGGGACAAAAGGATTTTCAGAAAAAAGTATTTTAATATAATTTAGGTGAAAAGATTCATCATGTTTAAGAAATAGTCAAGATGAAATCTTGAATTTGTCAAAATTCAAAAAATGGGTTTACAGAAACTCCATCCCTTTTTTCTCTATCATTTATCCAGTGAGAAGCATGGAAAACATCACTCCCTGGTTTGTGGCTGCTTCACTGAGTAGTCAAACTGCCGGACCTCTTCCGTCAATATCATCACACATCCAGATGTAATAGCCACAAGATGCAAGGCCAGTTTAAAACTTCCCCCTTTTTTCTTCTCATGGAAATTTCCTTCAAACTGCTAGCACTAAATTCAGCATTACAGAGTCACAAGTACCATGGCCAAGAGGGATCCTGGCTCAAATGTTTGGGAGGGGGCTGCAGCAGCGGTAGCCCAGCTGAAGACAAGGCCGGAATGTGTCTTCACACTCCCCCAACCTCCTTTTTGAAACAGGGTTTCCCTCTGTTGCCCAGGCTGGGGTGCACTGGCGGGATCATAACTTAAGCTACCTCGGGCTTCTGGGCTCCAGCAATCCTCCCGCCTCACATTCCTGAGTAGGTGGGACTACAGGCTATGCCACCATGCCCAGCTAATTTTTAAAATTTTGGCCTGGCCTCACTATGTTGCCCAGGCTGGTCTTGAACTCCTGGTCTCAAGTGATTCTCATGCTTCAGCCTCCCAAAATGCTGGGATTACAGGTGTGAGCCATTGCATGCGGCCTTCCCCCCGCCCCGCTCCCTGCTTTTTTTCATTTATCTAAGGCTTAAGGTTGATCTAAGGCTTTACAGAAGTCCAGGAAACTGATTATTTTCCTCCCACTTGGAGGAAAGAGAAATTCAAACTTTTAACATTTTTGGCCTACACAAAGCTCACCTTTGGTAACGTATGGGTCCTTTCCTTACCTGCCTTTAGAAGAAAAGAAAAGCCAAAGTCAGCATCTGGCTGCACTTTTCCCCCTTAAATTATCCAGCACAGAACTGCGGACGAGGGATCCAGTGAGCCCCCTCTCTTGCAGTTGGAGGGATTATTGTTAAATGCTGGGAGTACATGTGTTTCTAACAGATAGCAGGTCGGCAGCTGCTTCACATTATGGGGAAATCCATAGTCTCCAAGGTGTTACAGCTTCATCATCTCTACCCCTTCACTCTTCCTTTATTGGAAGAAGGATTTCACATTTTATAGTGAGTCATGGTCTTGCTGGTGAATCACACTGCTGCTGCTATTGTGTCAGGGATCCCCAAGACCACCCTCGCTTTCAGTGATTCCCTCAAATTATCTCCCATCCTTCTGCATAGAATGCTCCTAACTGAAGCCAGCCCCCTCACCTCAGCTCAGGATCCCACGCCTCCCACCTTCTCAGGGGCTCTGCTCCTGCAGTGATCTACTTCTCTCTCCTGAAGCATCAACTGCTCCCTCTATATTGGATCATTCCTCAAGCTAAGGTGGAACTCACCTTCTTCCCCCGTGTCACTCAGTAGCTACTAATGCATTTATCTGCTGCCATTGAAGGAAGAACTGCATCAATGTAAACAACCCACTACATTGAAGTAAATTATCTAGAAAGGAAAATGAACCAGGACAAAACAATTTTGAAGCATAACTTTGGGAAACTCACACTACAAAATGACAAGATTCATATTAATTTTATTTATTTATTTACTTATTATTTTATTATGATGATTTTAATCATCCAGCCTCATACATCAATTATGTTAATTCTATAGTAATCAAGACAGTGTGGTATTGGGAAAAATCCCAACAGATTAGAATAGAGTCCAGCAATAGACTCACAGACATTAAAAATTGATTTTCAGAAGAGGTGCAAAGGCAAAGGAGAAAGATTATCTTTTCAAGAAATTGTATTGTTTTCTTCCTGCTTCATGGCCACTGCATTTACTGTTTATTTATTCTCCTGGGTCCCTTCCCTGTGTTTCTCCTTTGTATTTCAGCTGCTTTTCTCTGTAAGGGTCTGTCTGCCCCATCACAATATGATAGCCCTCACAGCAAGTACCACGTGTTATTGTGATTACTTGATGTATCAATCCCATCAGTGGTGGACTGGATAAAGAAAATATGGTACATATACACCATAAAATACTATTCAGCCATAAAAATGAATCAGATCATATTCTTTGCAGGGATATGGTTGGAGGTAAAGGCCATTATCCTTAGCAAACTAAAGCAGGAACAGAAAACCAAATACTGCATGTTCTCACTTAAAAGTGAGAGCCAAATGATGAAAACACATGGACACATCTGGGGGAACAACATGCATTGATTGGGTCCTAGCAAAGAGCAGGGAGTGAGCAGATGGAGAGGATCAGGAAGAATAGCTAATGGATGCTGGTCTTAATACCTGGGTGATGGGATGATCTGTGCAGGCAACCACCATGGCACACATTTACCTATGTAACAAACCTGCACCTCCTCCTGCATTTGTATGCCTGAACTTAAAAGTAGGAAATTTAAAAAGTGAATATCTCAGAATCTTACAACTATGTCTTGGTCAATGTGTTATATATCGAAGCATTATGGTGACATAAAAGCTTGGGTGTAGCAACACTTAGTATGATTGGAAATTTAGCAGGATTATAGCCCAGTAAGATCTAACATCAAATACTAATATTGAATTGCACTGGACTTCTCCAAGTACTTAAAGGAAAGTTGGTAAAAATAAATATTCATGCTTGAAAATATTTTGAAATACATGTAAAATGGATCAACACTGAATACCACAGATGTCATTGTCACTGGATGCTAATGAAGTACATAATAGGAACCATAAGACACAGTCAACAATAACAGGAGGGAAATGAAAGAAGCACATCAAAGCACCATCAGATGAGTGCAGAAGCACACACATGAACACACCCTGCAGCTGCAGAAACACATGGTAGGAAGTAGAGCCCCACAACTCATCAGCCTTCCTTCTCACCAACTCAGGAGTTCACAAATTTGTTTACTGAGGGTCAAATGACCACAGTAAAACTGACCAATATAAACATAACTGAGATATATTTCAAGCATTATGTAGAAAGCTACAGACAACAGTGAACTTATTCTGAGCAGGTCTTAATCCATCATCTTCACAGAAGCCTAAAGAACTGGCTTCTAGACATTTTGTCTGATAATGGCTAAAGTAGTGAACTTCAAAATGTTTATTGCAATGCATGAGAAATACACAGTTACAATGCATGAGAAATACACCATTTGTGTATATTCTACTAGGCAAATAAATATGTGCATGTGTATGTTGGTGTGCAGTCTATTTAAATATTCTATATGCAATAAATGCTATTTACTATTTTATTTTATCTCATTTCTTTAAAATGCTGTTTGTGGCTGGCAACATGTGTCTTAGGAACCACTATGGATGACAAACCAGCATGGAAAATATTTAATCCTTTTCACAGAACATCCTCAATGGCTAATAAATGCTGTTATAGAAGTATATGCAGGCCGGGTGCAGTGGCTCACGCCTGTAATCCCAGCACTTTGGGAGGCCAAGGCAGGCAGATCACGAGATCAAGAGATCGAAACCATCCTGGCCAAAATGGTGAAACCCCACCTCTACTAAGAATATAAAAATTAGCTGGGCATGGTGACACGTGCCTGTAGTCCCAGCTACTCAGGAGGCTGAGGCAGGAGAATCGCTTGAACTCGGGACGTGGAGGTTGCAGTGAGCCGAGATCCCGCCATTGCACTCCAGCCTGGGCAACAGAGCCAGATTCCATCTCAAAAAAAAAAAAAAAAGTATAGGCAAATACACACGGGAACCCAATTTTGCCCCCTCCTTGGGAATTCAGTCTTTTCAGACAAAAAGGTCGTCTTTTATGTGGACCACAAAGGCTACCACAAAATATGTAATTACTGATGAAATGTGTGTTCCATCTGCAGATAACTGTGTCTGTTTTGTACATGTGAAGTGTTACTTGGACAGACAAGAACTCACAGACAAAAGAGACAGCAAGTACATGTGACCTCTTGTCCTCTCGGCCTCATGTGGAGGCTTCACTTGGGCTGCAGCATAGCTAAATGCATTTATTCACAGGGACCTCCATTTCCCTACTCTGCTCCCCTTTTATGAGGCAAGTAGGAGACTTCCACTTAACATGATAGGTAGTAAATAATTTGACCTCAATCACCAAGCATTCTGAGTTCAGGTGACAATGTTCACTACAATACTCTGAAAATTGCTAACTCCTCAGAATCTGTAGACTTTGTCCACTTACCATCCTGTTGAAATCCAAATTTGTTCAGAGATTCCTGTGCTTGAAGTATGGGAAGCTCTAGTCATGTGGGAAATTGAGCCCTCCCACAGGTAGACCGGCTGTGCTGGTCCCAGCTCTGACTCTTCCCTTAGCAGCTAGAGTTGCTAGGGTCATGTATTAGACAACTCTTCTTGTCTCTACAGTATCTTTCATATTTTCTGCTGTTTCCTGTGTGTTGCAAGGGCTACTTCACAACTTGCTCCCATCCCAATCCATTATGATCCTTTAACCCATCCACTTGGTCCTGGGTTGTCTCCCACAGGAATGGCAGGAGGAAGCTCACATTTGGCATGAGGTTAAAGCCTGGCCTTTGAAGCTGGAGTGGAGCCATTCAGCAATCATTAAATTCCAGGTCCTTGTGAAGCAGAACCGTCCAGCCATCTGATGACATGACCTTGACCATTTGCTAATGAGTTGCTCACAGAAAGTCTAAATCCATTCTTTGAGAACCTATGAGTGCACTATACTAAAAACTAGAGTTAATACGGGACAAAAGAAAGTAAAATTTAATGGTGTTCTTGCCAAAAAAGAACCAAAAAGATAAAAGACAAATTAATAATAGATCAGGATTATGACTACTCTCACTCCTTAAAAAAACTTTGAAGAACCACAATTCTTACTCAAGCTGCTTTTTACAGAGAGGGAGGGAGGGACTGAGGAACCACACATTTCCTTCTCAAGGTATTTCCTTAAAAGGAGCCCAGCTAGATGGAATATATAGGAGTCAATTCAACAATATATCCTAATTTGTTTACAACAAGCTACATTCTGATCAGGGCCCCCTTCTTATCCTTCTCTTCTATATACTATTTCTCATATAAAACTGGGAATAATATAAAAGTAATAAGAAGAGGAATCATGCACACAGCTTACTATCTACATAAATGAGAGTTTATACTCCACTGGCTTCATCAATGTAACTTTAGTAATACAGGAATCCCTTGCCAAGGAAAATAAAAGTTGTAAAAAAAAAAAAAACAAAACTATTGTTCATTCCAGCAACTGCCTGAAAGATCCATCAACTCCTCAGTAAAATGTGTCAAACGACATTTCTCAATGCCAAAGCTCTTTGAACCCTTTGTCTAAAAATCCTCCTCTTGTTGTGTTCACCAATCCTCAATTATTATGATTCCTACCGAATTCTAACCAAACCATCCCCCACTTTAAAAAATGCACTTCACACCAGACTCCAAAATCAGAATAAATATACCTAAAGCCCTTCCACATGTGTGACATACGAGTGTCTCTGTCGAGGTAGTGCTCTTTCTTACAGCGTTATGCAAATAATGTCAGTACTGTCTTATGAACAGGTTGTTTGGCTGATATTTGGGAGTATATGATGAGCATAGTCACCACTGCTGTGCATCATATCACAGTAGACTGAGCCTAGAAGCTACGATCAATATCTATGGATATTTCAGAACCCTATTGCCTGAATGATCTACAGGAAAATTCAGAAAAAAACAGTTACCAGTCTAGAGATGTAAATGTGCAACAACACAACCTTAAAAAGTAAAATGGTGTGAATTTATTGAGTATACAGATAGTCAAACTCATTGTGCACATGACAGAAAACCCTGAACCAGAGAAGGAAGTGATTAATCAGGGCATGTATAAAAATTGGCGGAGGTGGGAGGATCACTTGAGTCCATGTATTTGAGACCAGCCTGAGCAACACAGTGAGACCTTGCATCTAAAAAAATAAATAAATTAGCTGGGCATGGTGGCACCCACCCATATTCCCAACTACTCAGAGGGCTGCAGCATGAGGATTGCTTGAGCCCAGGAGATAGAGGTTGCAGTGAGGTATGGTCATGCCACCTCCCTCCAGCCTGGGTGACAGAGCAATACACTGAGGAAAAAGCACATATATATATATACATAAAATTCCTTATTTTTGTCACAGATATTTCTGAGACACATCCTCCACTAAGAGTGACATGGGACTGTCTGTTCCCAAAGTTTCTGGTTGGACAAGAGAGAGAGACAAAAAAAATCTCCTAAGTCCCTTTCTTTCTACTACAAACAGCCTGGGGATGTGGGTGTGGGGACAGCGGGAAAACCCTGGCCTGCCCTGTATGTGCCTGACTCAGCGTGCACGCCCCTTGCTGCCCAAGTCCCTTGTTGCCCGTGCGCCTTGCTGTCTTCTGCAGAGCTGTGCAAGTAGACATCATGACTTCCTTCTGTCTCACTGACTACGACTAAGTCAGTAGATCCTCAGATCAATCCTCCCAGAAGTTGAAGTGTGAGTGAATGTGAGGAGGAGCCCGTAGTCATGGTCCAGGACCTCCTAGGGAGAAGGGCTTTGAGGTCCCCGTTTTTCTCCTAACAGTCAGTGACGCAGCTATGGCCTTGCTGTGGTGGGGGGCCTGGACAGGGGAGGAAGGAAAGTCATAGAGCAGAGGAGGTTCTGGTGAACATGGAGTGAGTTTTGAAGGGGGAAATTATTTGTGGTGGTTGAATCCTGGAGGCATATGAAACCCCCCACAGAGGATGGATTCCAAAGTCCTCAATGGGGACCTGAAAGGGGGTGAAAGAGTGCAGGACTACAGGGTGCCAAATGGACTGGTGTGAGGCTGGGCACCAGGCACCAATCTCACTTTGCATGCTCCTTGAATGCCCACCTCAATGCATGTTCACTGGACATCTTCCAATTGATCCCTTTGCCAGCGTGGTGAACTCTGTGGAGCTGTGAGGGTGTGAGGGTTGCATTCCTGCATTCTGGATCCTTTTTCCCCAATTTGGACCCAGCTGGTAGAACCTCAGACCAGTCCTCCCAGGAGTTGAAGTCTGAATGAGTGTGGGGAGGAGCCAGTGAGCTTCTGGAGTGTTGGGCAGCATAGTCCCTGACCTTGGAGGGTGAAGAGTCTTCGTCCTTTTCCTGGTGTAATAGCATTGCCATGGGCCTTGTGGGACACTCAGAATGAAGGAGGAAGGTGGGCCACAGAGTGGAGGGGGTGCAGGTGAAGATGAGGAGAGTGCTAGGGGGAGCTATTGGAGTTTTCTTAGTCCTGAAAGCACCTGGAACCCTCAACAGAAGACACATTCCAGACCCCTTGGTGGAGACCTGGGAAACAGGGAGGTGGATGGTTAGGAAAGGGCCTGGGAACTGGGAACCCCGCGGGCTGGTGACCAGGCCCGAGATCTCTTGAGCACCCTGAAGAGCTGTCCAGTGAGGAGTGCCCTGTTCTGTGTGCCAACTTCACAACTCCACCCTGGATGTCCAAATGGGACTGTGTGTTCCAACAAAACTTGATTGTACAGAGGAAATGGGCCTAGCAAATGGATGTGTGACAAAAGCCGTGGTCACTGTAGTTTTAATTCTCTAACTGTATTTTCCTAAATGTCTCCACAGAGCAGAGTTCAGTTGTGAAATCAAACCTCATCGGAAATATCCTGTCTTTTGCCAGGAGCCTTAAGACATTGCTCAGCTAGCTTGACCACATTAAGTGGCTTTACAAATATTTGATTCAGAAGGCACACACACTTATACTTGCCCTGGGACTTTCAAAGTGTTTGCAAATTTTTAAAAAAATTTTGCAAGTTAACATTTGTCCATGAAAGTGGTCAAATATAGCTGTCCTCTCAAGCGCATTTTCCCAATCATAGTATTGTGTTTGCAGAGTGAAATATGAGTTGGCGAGGAAGATCAACATATAGGCCTAGACCAAGATGATATTTACAACCTCTTCAGCTGATTGGGCCTATGCATGTGAGTGACTTAACATTCAATGTTTTCTATTAGCAGAAATTTCTTTTTGTGGTAGTGTTGTTGCACTATTATAGATGCAGTGATAAAAGTATCCCATTCTGATAAAAAATGATCATAGCATCTCATAAGGAAACACTAGCCCAAGAATATTATGTTCTGGTTTTGCCTGGATGGATGATCTGTGCTCCCCAGATTTTGCACCTGAATCTCTCCTCATGTTTATTGATAACAGATTACACAAATTCATCCCAACATAAATTAAAATGGCTTCCGAAGCCCTTGAGTGTAACTGTCTTAGAGTAACCTCTCTGTGGGAAGAATAACTTTATGAAGAATAGGTTTATGGAATAGTGTTGTAGAAATGTCTTTAGACTTATTCATGATCAGGGAAAACTCTGTATTCTGCATATTTATATTATTGACATGTATTAATGAAAAAAACCTTTTATCTGCACACACACATATATACCCCTAGCCCCTGGAGCCCAGTCATGAAGAGCCTCAAGAAGAGGAACCACAAACTAAAAATCAGGATCCTACACCTGTTCATGACAGAGATCAGGGTACAACTGAAATTCAAGGTGCTGGGAAGGGAAAGAAAGAATGTCTATGGGGGAAGGAGGCCTATGTGTGCATCATGCATTATGCCATGACCAGTAACAGGCGGAAACAAAATATTAGGAAAGGATCTCAAACATTTGCTGACAGTTGGCTGGAAAAGGGAAGAGGATATTTTGCAGCTTCATGCAGTCCCTGAATATAATGAATCTTCTCTTTTTGTTTGAGATGTATTTTGTATGCTTGAAAATATAGTCCTTTCTATATAATAAATAAGAAAACTGAGGCTTAGAGATTGAGGCCTATGAAGAAGAGTTGACTCATGGAGACAGAACTCATATTACATTCCAAGATTTGCGTTGTTCCTACCATCTATGTTGTTAGAAAACATGAATGATTTTGCTTAAAATGTTTAATACTCGAATGTGTCTGTATGGTAAAGTACTTCAATATTGCCTCACAAGAAAACACAGTTCAGTGAAGCAGGATAGCAACTCCAGAAAAGAGCTCAATGAATGGCAGCCACTGTTCCCTTTCTTTGGTATTTCTGGCAGTATATGTGGAAAAGCTGGATAATTCAGGACACTGGCATGCAGATAGATATATTAGTGTGATTTTAAGGGACTTTTAAAGGTTGTTTAAATACTATTATAATTAGAAAATTCAGATTGTGATAAGATTATCTTGAGACAAATTATTTCCTCAATGGGTAGCATTTTCAAGCTAAACATTGACAGAATTTGGGCCATGAATTATTTTAGCAATTCACTCTTAAGAGGTTTCCAGAATAAGATCGTCAACAATGCCCAGTAATTTCTTTGAACTCAGGTTCTCATACTTTCACTGGAAGACAGTGGTTTTGCTATTATATTTAGTACTTTTTTCTTAATGGGATTTATATATGGAAAGTCACATATAGGACAGTTGGACCTAAGCATAACTTTAATTAATTTTAACTAAAACATTTTCAACAGGGGATGGGCATCAGGACTATGTTTGTCATAGACCCACCAATACCTTCATCTAATCCTTCAGAAAATTATATTTAAATCATGATTAAAATGCTATTCATGAAGCAGGCTTCAGATTCCTAGATAGCTGATACTCACTGTTCATAACATTGTACTTTTGATAATTCAAAGAGAGAACATTACTGCTCCTTTAAAAACAGAGTTCAGGCCAGGTGTGGTGGCTCATGCCTGTAATTCCAGCACTTTGGGAGGCTGAGGTGGGCAGATCACTTGAGGTCAGGAGTTTGATACCAGCCTGGCCAACATGGCGAAACCCCGTCTATACTAAAAATACAAAAATTAGCCGGGCATGGTGGCACACGCCTGTAGTCCCAGCTACTTGGGGGGCTGAGGCAGGAGACATCAGATAATAGCATTTAAAGTTCAAAAACCATAAGGAACTAATTCCCGAGTAGTAGATATAAGTATCTTTTACACATATTTTCCAAATTGCTGACTGTTAATTAGAAGAGCTTCTGAATGTAAAGGAAGGACTCCATGTTTAGGGAAGAAATTACCTAAATGCGTTTACTCTGCACTGCTGAACCATTCCGTTAGACATTTACATTAAAAGATAGTTTTCAGACGATTTCCAGGAGTCTATTGAACAAGGCTCCATTGTATTCTTAGGAAGATCATAGCCTTAAGTGCATATCTTATTAAAATAGCAAATTACAGGATAAATGAAAGTGATAATAATAAATAAAAATAGTAATAGAAGACCCACAGAATAAACTTAAGGGAAAAGGAAAGCAGGAGTGAATAAAAGGTATGAATCATTAGGAAAAGGAAACGTAATCCAAAAGCAATAAATTGAAATGTTGTTCTTTTTAAAAATAGCTATGAATAGAGTATCTAATAGTTTACATAATCCTGAAGAAAATGGTAAAAGCTCAACACAGAATATGAACAAGACCCTAACAGAACTCAATATACGGTATAATTGAAAGTGAATATATTCTTGAACTCTAGTATTTTCAAAATATGGACGAAATGGTTGATAAACTAGGAATGCATACATTAGTAAATATATCTCAGGAATACCTGAATATCTAAACATCACAAACACTGTGGAGGAACTTCTGAAATTTTCCAGTTGACACTCAGAAACACTTACTTCTAGAAACAAATATTTGCCTTTTAAAGATGTCTTACTCTCCTTTTCCATTTTCCTCTCCCTCCATTTCTTTTTTTTTTTGCCCCATTGTTCATGATATATGCCTCTATCTAAAATGATAGTGATAGATTAAAACGAATGTGACCATGTAATTTATTTTACAAAAGGGAATACTTTCAGGTGTAAAAAGAGGCACTCTTCATATTGACATCATAATGATAGGTGAAAACCTTGGACAAATAGTTACTGTACCTTGAAATCCACAGAAGTGTAAACTAGCTAAAGCTACATTTTTGCACTTTTGTGCCACAGAGACAAACAAATACAGTATGGGCTTTTCCATTCAATGTACTTATGCAGTTCCTGATGTGACATTAACTGTTTCCCAGGAGCTTGTCAAACATCCAGTCTATTATTTCAAGCCAAAACACTAAATTATACAATTTTGTAAATTCCTTTTTTTCTTAGATGTTTTGTGTATCAGTGATATTTTTAGTAAATGTATACACAATGTTTGCTTTCCACTTTGAGCCACTTTTTATTAGGTTCACTTGATTTAATGTGTTCTGACCTTAGACTGTCTTTTGGTTTTCTTGTAGAGCACAGAAAGCAGGGTGGGTTCAAAAAAAGTTAATACTGTATATGCATGGAAGTCTATCTTCAAAGTCCCTACAGGGGTCTTATTGAATGTTAGCCATAGGGTGACACTTAGGCTTACAGTTTTAGTCTTTTGCATAAAACCAAAACTTTGCATACCTTTAATGTCATCTAAATACAGTTCTGCTAGTAATATTCCCTCCTGTTATGTTTCTGTTACACGTGAAGGGCAACCACAGTTTTAAATGAAGAGAAGCTGAAAGAATGCAAACGGTTTTTATATTTGATATTTGACTTAAAAATATCTCAATAAAGTTTTACAGTTTTATTCAAAGAAGACTTGCACATCTTTTGTTAATTTTATTTCACATATTTTATACTACTGAAAAGTGTGGCCAGGTGCAGTGGCTTACACCTGTAATCTGAGGACTTTGGGATGCTGAGGCAGGAGGATTGCTTGAGCTCAGGAGACTGACACCAGATTGGGCAAAATAGTGAGACCCTGTTCTCTACAAAAGTAAATGATTGACTGAATGTATGTATTTATGTAGCTGTAGTTCAAGCTACTCCAGATGCTGAGGTGGGAGGATCACTTGAGCCCAGGAGGTAGAGGATGCAGTGCATGTTCATGCCACTGCAACTCCAGCCTGAGTGACAGAGGGAGATTTTTTCAAGAGTAAAGGTATCATTTCTTTAAATTTTGTATTTCAAAGTTTTGAAATTTTGAAAATTGAGTTGGTATACAAGTGTTGGTATGGTTTGGCTGGGTGTCACCACCCAAATCTCATGTTTAATTGTTCCCAGTGTTTGGAGAGGGACCTGGTGGGAGGTGATTGGATCATGGGAGTGGATTTCCTCCTTGTTGTTCTCCTGACAGTCAGTTAGTACTCAAGGGTTGGGGCTGAAAGTTCCAACCCTCTAATGGTTTAAAAGTGTGTGGCACTTCTCGCTTCATGCTTTCTCCTGCCTCCATTTGAAGAGGTGCTTGCTTTCCCTTCCTCCATGATTGTAAGCTTCCTGAGGCCTTCCAATTATGCTTGCTGTCAAGCCTGTGGAACTGTGAGTCAATTAAACCTTCATCAGTTCCCCAGACTCAGGTAGTTCTTTATAGCAGTGTGAAAATGGTCTAATACAGGTGTGATTTTGTGAAATGTGTATTTGGTCCTTGACCCTGCTTACTGGCATACAGTTTTTAAAATGTTTAGAATCTCCAAAAAATGATATCTTATTGTATGCTAATTAGTTGGCTGATGGCTGGCAGCCCCTAAGTAGCTCTAGGATGGGGGATTAGAGGGTTGGGACTTTCAGCCCCACCCCTAACCTTCAGGGAAATGAGAGGGACTCAAGGTTAACTTGGTCAAAAATGGCTAGCCATTGGTTTCATCAATCATAGCTACATAATGAAAACCTCCAAAAAACCCAAAATGACAGGGTTCAGAGAGCTTCTGGCTAGCTGAACACAAAGAGGGCAGCATGCCTGTAGAGGGCATGGAAGCTCCTTGCCCCTTTCCCCATTCCTTACTCTATGCATCTCTTTATCTGCATCCTTTCTAATATCCTGTTTTAATAAACCCATAAACGTATGTGTTTCCCTGAGTCTTGTGAGATGCTGTAGGAAATTAACTGACTGAACCTGAGTAGGACTCATGGAAAACTCAATTTATAGCTGGTGGGTCAGAAACACAGGTGAAACAACCTAGGGCTTGTAGTGAGGGAAATCTTATGGGACTGAGCCCTTAACCTGTGCAATCTTACTCTATGTCAAGGTAGCTTGTGTCAGAATTGAATGAGAGGACACCCAGCTGGTGTGTGCTGCAAAACTCATTGCTTGTTTGGTGTGTGTAGAAAAGCCCCCACACATTTGATCACAAAACTCTTCCATGTTAATTGTTGTGAGGTAAGAACAGAGAAAAAACTTTTTTAATCCATTCAATGGATTCAGTGTTTGTTTATTGGTTTTCTATCCAGTAACCTTGCTAAATATACTTATTCCAAATTTATCTCTAGATCCTTTCTGAATTTCAACTTACACAATCATATCATCTTTGAATAACAACAGCTTGTTTCTGACATTTCAAACAGTACGCTTTGTCCTTTTTCCTATTTTACAACATTGGACAGACCCACCCAATAGAATGCTGAATAGAACCAGTAATTGTGGCCATCCTTCTCTTATGCCTAATAGGCACTGGAAAGTTTTTTTTAACATTTTACAATGTTTCCTGTGTTTTTTAATATAGATACACTTTATCACAATAGAGAGTTCCATTGTATTCCTCATTTCCTAGGAGTATTTATCTTCAATAGATGTTGAATTTCATCAAGCACTTGTAGTGCATCCACACAGATGATCATAGGACTTTTTCTTTTATTAATCTGTTAACGTGGTGAATTTCATTGGTAAGTTGCTATGTTTAAACAAACCTTGCCTTTCTAGGGGAAAAAAATGGGTCACAACATATTATCCTTTTTTAATAATCTATGCCTTACTAATTTGTTTAGGATTTTTATGTATGTCCTCATAAGTGGCATTAGCCTATATTTTTATTTCATGTACAGATGCTCCTTAACTTACCATGACATTATGTCCCAATAAATCCATCATAAATTGAAAATTGTGTAAGTTGAAGATGCATTCAGTACACTAACTTAGCAAACATTATAGCTTAGCTTAGCCTACCTTAAAAGTGCCCATTACCCTACAGTTACAGTTACGTTGACATTACCCTACAGTTGTGCATTACCCTACAGTTATATTACCATACAGTTACAGTTACACTTACATTACTCTACAGTTGTGCAAAATCATCTAACACAAAGCCTATTTTATCATAACATTGAATGTCTCATGTAATTTATTGAATATTTTCCTGGAGATGAAAAACACAGTGGTTATATGGCTACTCAAAAAACTGTTTCCACTGAACGCATTTCATTTTCACACTATCATGAAGTCAAGAAATTTTAAATGGCGGCATCAGGAGTCAGGGGCCATCTGTATTCTCTTTGTTGGACTTTGGTATCAAGGTTACACTGGCTTCATGAAATGAATTGGGATATAAAACCTCTTTCTATTCTCAGGAACTGAAATGTCTGCAAGAGTGAATCACTTACAGATAGGATTTCCCATGTGTGTTTGTTTGAGATTGCATATCTTTTTTAACTTTGGACACTACTTAAAAGAAAGACAGAAGGGGCAGCTCCAGATTTCCATGCCTTTAAACTTTGTAAGGCACCTCTCTTCCCCACAAAGATGCCTCTAATGATGATGTCACTCTGAAAACAATCTGCTCCTGTTTCTGTACTGACATTATCCTCTGTACACAGAAAGTTAAAAATTGCCACTCTATTAATTTGCTTACATAAGTTTTTTCAGAGATGTGTTCTTGCTAAGTTGCCCAGGCTGATCTTGAACTCTTGAGCTCAAGTGATTCTCCCTCCTCAGCCTCCAAAAGTGCTTGGATTACAGGTGACTGCCACCGTGGCTGGTCTGTCTACCTGATGTTGATCTGTGGTATGTGATTGTGAATGGATTGGCTAAACCAAAGCTGTGAATAGTTAGGACAATAGCTCCATTTATTTAGTTCTTTAAGAAGAATAGGAATAATAACTCACATTTATAGAGTGTTCAGTATCTGTTAGCCAGTTTTCTGAGCTATGTTTCATTGTTTCTGACCTCATTTAATCCTTTAAAAAGGGGAGTCAGAGTTTTCATAAAATTTACAACAAATGACTCTAGTAAGAAGCAAATATGAGGATTCAAGTTCTAAGTTCACAGTCTGTGTTTTCTCAAAGTAAATACTTCTGAAAGTGTTGAATACAGAACTAGTGTTGTATATGTTGATTTTATTGGTAATTGCATATTTTCATACACATCTATGGTAATATATAAAATATATATATTTTTCATTTTTCAACATAAAAGATTTTGGTCTTATCTTGAAGAAGGTGTTTCCCAAAATATGGCACATAGAGCTAACAGACATTACCAGATGAAACCATTGGTACAAAAACATTTTTAAAAATTAATAATAACATGCCTATTTTACTCTGCTACAGAAAAATAGAACACTAAAGCCATTTGGAATAGTTTGTGGGAACACAGAGAGAAGGGATTTCTCAGTCCCCATGGAAAAATGCCACAATAACTTCTGCAAACGCTTCTGACCTTTCTTTAAAAGTTATTAAGAGGCAGGGAGGGAGAAGCACCAAGCCTCTTTTTCCATCTGCATAAAACTCCATCACCCTGACAGTCACCACATCTCATTCAGAAGCCCCTGGAGCTGCCTGGATCCAGCCTGATATCCCTTTTACTGTAAATAATACACCAATTGCAACTCTGAGCTCCATGTGTATCCTCACACCCAAAAAGATATTTTTCCAACAAAGGTCCCTACTCAGAATCCACAGTGTTTAGGGAGTAGCAGGGGATTATAATCAGCAATTATTTCTCCCTCTTACAGAGATTTTAATGTATATTCTGATCCAAAATGACTGAAAAGATAGAGTTGAAAAAAAAAGTGAGACTAAGTGTAGGGGATCCCATTTGACATAAAATATGTGAGAAGTCCCAAGGCTGTAAGGTTGGTTGAAAGAATTAGGGTGTAGGTAGAAGAAAGGGGAGAGCAACCAGGGGAGCTTGCTAAGGCAAAATGACTTGGGTCCTAGCTACCCTGTCTCCTTATAGGGTATAGCATGAAATTGGCATGGGTTTCCATCGTGGCTCTAACACTCGGGCTTCAAGATGGTGGGCAAGGCACTTATACCCTGTGGGACTATTTCCACATTTCTAAAGTAGAAATTAGAATATTTACAGTAAATGATTGCTATGGAGAATAAATGAAATAATATACTAAGTAGGCATTACATTGCAGATAATGTTGTTTACTAGTTATATATTTTTCTTTTACAATTTATTTTTTCATTTGACTTGTCTTTACAGCTACATCTATAGTAAGTGATAACTGCTTTGGAATTGTAAGAAAATACCAAATTGCATTTTAAAATGCATTTGACCTCCCAAGATTATTTGATTTACATAAATATGTTCATTAATGCTGTCATTAGTATGTGCTAGTCAGTAGTATGTGCTGCAAACTGTTCTCCTGGATCAGTGTGATTTCACAAGGAATAAGTCAATATTCTGGTCAGGCAACACAACACACACCTCAATACAATAGTGTGTAAAGTGCTCAAGAAATCCCTAAGCAGCCCTGCGGTGGCTAAAAGGGCCACAGGTATCACCATTGCAGTTCTTAGTTTGATTTGTCATATATCCATAGATTTGGCCAGTAAGAACAAAATGAGCCCAAGTGGATCCAAGTGATTGATTGCTTGAAGGCACAGCCAAAGCAAGATCAGCATTGTGTCAGCACTGTGTCCCTAGTCTCACAGTATGACACTGAATTGGAGGTACAAAATAACAGCACAGGTGGTGGGTCTCCTTGCCTGCGAGGAGCCCACAACCATACCCTAAAGCCAATGCTGGAACCACACTGAATACTGAGATCACGATCACACCTGACAGCTGTGACTATGGGACAGCAGGGGTGACCCAGCTCCTGAACATTCCATGTAGAACACTTAGGGATGTCATCCAGGCTTGTGAAGAGGAGGAACAAGTGTCAATGACCACCCTGAACTGACTGCCTTCTGAGAGTCCCACTAAAACCAAAGATGCAAATGAATTATTTGGACCGGACGAGGAACCCCTAGAGGGAAAGGTCACACAGTGGGAGGCCACAGTGGGGGCCTTGGCCAGCTCCTGCCTGACAACTGTATGTCCTGCTGGGGGGTGCCCTATCAAGGGTAAACTCTTGGAGTCCAGGGGTATCACCTATGCCCTCTGAGATTTTTCTTACATGTGCGCCCTGACTATCCCTTCACTGCCTCATCCCTGGAAGGCATTCACATCAGCTTCAGCTTCCTGGCCAGAGTTGTGCTGAGCCTGAAATGGTGGCTTGGCCTGGCCAAAAAAAAAGTTTAATACAGAATCTTAGGTAGGAAGTAATCTGCCTTCCTAAGGTAGACATCCATCATTAATAGGATTTGTATAAGATGGCTGTGATGGGAAGTTTGATATGTCAACTTTGCTAGGCCACGATACACACAAAAAATGTTCACCTTGAGCAGAGTAGATGTCTCTGTGAAAGGTATTTTTTACATGAGAACTAACATTTAAATCAGCAGACTTTGGGTAAGCTTAATTGCCCTCCACAATGTGGAGTGGCCTTCGTCCAATCACTTGAAGGCCTTCAGAGAAAAAGACTGGGGTCCTCCTCAAGATCAAGAATTTCAGGCTCCATGCTGCCCTTAGATTTGAGGTATCATATCACCTCTGCCTTGGGTCTCCAGCCTGACATCCTGCTCTGCAAGGTTTGGGTATGCCAGCACACAGAGTTCCATGAGCCAGTTCCTCAAAATCAATCAATCAATCAATCAATCTCTCTCTTTCTTCCCATGCACACACCCACAGAAGAAGCCTAATCAATAGGCTGCTTACATCTGGGATCCATAAAGGGTGTAACCAAGATCAGTAATGCAGGTAGGTGTCACTCTCCTACATGGCTCCTAAGACAGAGGTCTCTCCCACCCTCTGCAGACTGACATCCATGTGGCTCATCACTGTGACACTGGGTTTGGTCATCCAACCATGTAGAGATCACTACAATTCCACAAGTGTTCCCTGCCTTCTGCCTGTCACATTCTATGCTCCATCCTGAGGACACTGGGATCTACTGTGTATGTTTCCAACCTTCCAGGAAAGACCTGGGAGCCTAGTGAGGGAGATACACCTGCAAAGAGAACTTCAGTGCAGTAATAGCAATGGGCATAGCCGATGTTGTTCACCAACTCATGAGACTTCATACTGTGAACATCTCCCACTTAAGTTTCCCCATCAACTAACAACTTATCCTGGAAAAGACCCCATTGGTCAGTAAATTGAATTCCCCTCACTATTTGCCCCAGGGATGCACAGCTACAAAGCAAACTGATACTGGTATATTGTGACAGAGTGGAATCCAAGAAAAAAATGCCCTGCAGTGATGTGATTTCCACAGCAGTAAATAAGTCTTTATATGTTCCCAGATGAAGCAATATGCAAGCCTCCCTCAGTTTACAAGGAAGTGACATGTATGGAAAATCTAGTTTATGTAAAATTCTGGAACAAGACGTTTGCCTCACTTAACACTCAGTCCCCAAATGCCAGTAGCTCCTGCCAATTATTCCAACAACAGCAGCAGCCCACAGATATTTCCAAAATGCCTCAAAGTGGGCGATGATATTCTGGCTATAAATCACAAGTTTAGGATTGAAAATAAGTATCCTCAAACTTCTTATTTACATCAAAAGAATAGGAATGTTGTGGTTGGCACAGAGGAAATAACACGGCACCAGGAAGGAGAACACAATGCTCCCCAGGAAGGGCTGCAGGAACCTTCCTCCTATGTCTTGTTTTCTGTGATAAGAATGTGATTCCAGAATAGGTGTGGTGGCTCACATCAGCCTGGGAACATAGGGAGACCCCGTCTCTACAAAAAATTTTATAAAACATAGCCAGGGTTGGTGGAACATGCCTGTAGTCCTATGTACTAGGGAGGCTGAGATGGAAGCATTGCTTGAGCTTGAAAGTGAGCCATGATTTGTCCACTGCACTCCAAGCTGAGCGACAGAAAGAGATCCTGTCTCAATTAAAACAACAAAGAAAGAGAGATTGCAGCACTGACTCGGATGGACAGAGCAGTGTGTGGAGGCTCACATCATGAATTTTTGCTCCAGAACAACTGCAGGAATAAATTGGGAAATCTGAGAGGACCCACAGACCCTCTGAAGGAAGCGGATTGCTCCTGTAGGACCTGGGAGACATCCCAAATACTGTGAGTGCCCAAACTGTGGAAGTGGGAAAGGGAGATCACCCAACCCTGAGCACACACTCCCACTGGGGAAACTGAAGGTCTAGATTACTGAAGAAGATTCTGGCCTTACCTGGAGCTGAGTCAGTTTAGAGAGCTAAGCAAAATACAGGAGTAGAGGAAGCAGCAGAAAAAGCCCTGTGAGTGTGCTGTGTTCCCTAGCAAGTCGTCTCTGCTTGGCCTCACAAGAGTCCTTCAGGAGGGCAGCCAGAGGCACTGGGAAAAGGCCACAGAAAGAAGGAAATCTCCAGCTGAACTTAGTAACAATTTGAACTGATCCAAGTGTCCTGGCCAGAACTTGGGGGAGGGTGTGAATCCGGTGTGCAGATTCCATAGGCAGGGGAAGAAGGAAAGCCAACTTACTTTCACAGCTAGGAGGCAGGTAGCCTGGGACAAGTTCTCAGCCCTGCTCACCCACTGCCTGGAAACAGACTTGGTGCTGTTGGGTGGGGGACGGTGGGAGTGAGACCAGCCCTTCAGATTGTGTGGGAACTGGGTGAGGCCTGTGACTGCAAGCTTTCCCTGACTCCTCTAACAACCTGCGTGACACAGTAGAGACAGCCATAATCCTCCTAGGAACATCACATCACAGGATGGTTCACATCACAGGACTCTGTGCAGACAACCCCCAGTACCAGCGTAGAGCCTGGTAGACTTGCTGGGTGTCTTGATCCAGAAGAGAGATAACAATCACTACAGATCAGCTCTCAGGAAGCCACATCCATAGGAAGGTGAGAGAGTACTACATCAAGGGAATACCCCGTGGTACAAAAGAATCTGAACAACAGCCTTCAGTCCTAGACCCTCCCTCTGACAGAGCCAGCCTAAATGAGAAGGAAGCAGAAAACCAGCTCTGGAAATATGACAAAACAAGGCTCTTTAACACACCCCAGAAATCAACCTAGCTCACCAGCAATGGATCCAAACCAAGAAGAAACCCCTGATTTACCTGAAAAAGCATTCAAGAGGCTAGTTATTAAGCTAATGAGGCAGGCACCAGAGAAAGGCAAAGCCCAATGTAAGGAAATCCAAAAAGTGATACAAGAAGTGAAGGGAGAAATATTCAATGAAATAGATAGCATAAATAAAAAACAATCAAAACTTCAGGAAACAATGGACACACAGAAATACAAAATGCTTTGGAAAGTCTCAGCAGTAGAATTGAACAAGTAGAAGAAAGAAATTCAGAGCTCAAAGACAAGGTCTTTGAATTAACCCAATCCAACAAAGACAAAGAAAAAAGAATAAGAAAATATGAACAAAGCCTCCAAGAAGTCTGGGATTATGTTAAATGACCAAACCTAAGAATAGTTGGTGTTCCTGAGGAAGAAGAGAAATCTAAAAGTTTGGAAAACATATTTGGGGGAACCATCGAGGAAAAGTTCCCCAGCCTTGCTAGAGAACTAGACATCCAAATACAAGAAGCACAAAGAACACCTGGGAAATCCATCACAAAAAGATCACCGCCAAGGCATATTGTCATCAGGTTATCTAAAGTTAAGACAAAGGAAAGAATCTTAAGAGCTGTGAGAAAAAAGTGCCAAGTAACCTATAAAGGAAAACCTATCAGATTAACAACAGATTTCTCAGCAGAAAGCCTACAAGCTAGAAGAGATCAGGGCTCTATCTTCAGCCTCCTCAAACAAAACAATTATCAGCCAAGAATTTTGTATCCAGAGAAACTAAGCTTCATATATGAAGGAAAAATACAGTCTTTTTCAGACAAACAAATGCTGAGATAATTCAGCACGATCAAGCCACCACTACAAGAACTACTAAAAGGAACTCTAAATCTTGAAACAAATCCTGGAAACACATCAGAACAGAACCTCTTAAAGCATTAATCTCACAGGACTTATAAAACAAAAATACAATCTAAAAAACAAAAACACAAAACAAAAAATCAAGGTATACAGGCAACGAATAGCACAATGAATGGAATGACACCTCACATCTCAATACTAACGTTGAATGTAAATGGCCCAAATACTCCACATAAAAGATACAGAATTGCACAATGGATAAGAACTCACCAACCAACTATCTGCTGCCTTCAAGAGACTCACCTAATATAGAAGGACTCGCACAAATTTGAGGTAAAGGGGTGGAAAAAGACATTTCACACAAATGGACACCAAAAGTGAGCAGGGGTAGCTATTCTTATATCAGACAAAACAAACTTTAAAGCAACAGAAGTTTAAAAAGACAAAGAGGGACATTATATAATGATAAAAGACCTTGTCCAACAGGAAAATATCACAATCATAAACATGTATGCACCTAACGCTGGAGCTCCCAAATTTATAAAACAATTAGCAATAGACCTAAGAAATGAGATAGACAGCAACACAGTAATGGTGGGGGACTTCAACACTCCACTAACAGCACTAGACAGGTCATTAAGACAGAAAGTCAACAAAGAAACAATGGATTTAAGTTATACCCTGGAACAAATGTTCTTAACCAATACATACAGAACATTCCATCCAATAACTGCAGAATACACATTCTATTCAACAGCACATGGAACTTGCTCCAAGATAGACCATAGGATAGGCCACAAAATGAGCCTCAATAAATTTAAGGAAATTGAAATTTTATCAAGCACTGTCTCAGGCCACAGTGGAATAAAACTGAAAATCAACTCCAAAAGGAACCTTCAAAATCATGCAAATACATGGAAATTAAATAACTTGCTATGAATGATCATTGGGTCAAAAATGAAATCAAGATGGAAATTTAAAAATTCTTCAAACTGAACAACAATAAAGACACAACCTATCAAAACCCCTGGGATACAGCAAAGGCAGTGCTAAGAGGAAAGTTCGTAGCCTAAACACCTCCATCCAAGAGTCTGAAAGAGCACAGACAATCTAAGGTCACACCTCAAGGAACTAGAGAAACAAGAACAAACCAAACCCACACCCAGGAGAAGAAAGGAAATAACCAAGATCAGAGCAGAACTAAATGAAATTGAAACAAAAAAATACAAAAGATAAATGAAAAAAAATCCGGTTCTTTGAAAAGATAAAATTGATAGACCATTAGCAAGCTTAACCAAGAAAAGAAGAGAGAAAATCCTAATAAGCTCAATAAGAAATGAAACTGGAGATATTACAACTGACATCACAGAAATACAAAAGATCATTTAAGGCTATTATGAACACCTTTACATGCATAAACTATAAAACCTTGAAGAGATGGATAAGTTCCTGGAAAGATACAACCCTACTCACTTAAATCAGGAAGAATTAGATACCGTGAACAGACCAATAAGAAGCATCGAGATTGAAATGGTAATTAAAATATTACCAACAACAAAAGAAAAATCCAGGACCAGAAGGATTCACAGCAGACTTCTACCAGACATTCAACGAATTGGTGCCAATCCTGCTGACACTATTCCACAAGATAAAGAGGGAATCCTCCCTAAATCATTCTATGAAACCAGTATCATCCTAATACCAAAACCAGAAAGGGACATAACCAAAAAAGAAAACTGCAGACCAATACCCTTATGAACATAGATGCTAGGAGAAATACCTAATGTAAATGACGAGTTAATGGGTGCAGCAAACCAACATGGCACATGTATACCTATGTAACAAACCTGCATGTTGTGCACATGTACCCTAGAACTTAAAGTTTAATAATAAAAAAATACTAGCTAACCAAATCCAACAACATACCAAAAAGATATTCCACCATGATCAAGTGGGTTTCATAGCAGGGATGCAGGGATGGTTTAACATATGCAAGTCAATAAATGTGATACACCACATAAACAGAATAAAAAATAAATATCACATGATCATCTCAATAGATGCAGAAAAAGCATTGACAAAATCGAGCATCCCTTTATGATTATAACTCTCAGAAAAATCGGCATACAAAGGACATACTTTAATGTAATAAAAGCCATTCATGAAAAACCCACAGCCAACATAATACTGAATGGGAGAAAGTTGAAAGCATTCCCTCTGAGAACTGGAACAAGACAAAGATGCCCACTCTCACCACTCCTCTTCAACATAGTACTGGAAGTCCTAGCCAGAGCAATGAGAGAAGAGAAAGAAATTAAGGGCATCAAAATTGGTAAAGAGGAAGTCAAACTGTCACTGTATGCTGTTGATACGATTGTTTACATAGAATACCTAAAGATTTCTCCAGAAAGCTCCTAGAACTGATAAAAGAATTCAGCCCAATTTCTGGATACAAAATTAATCTACACAAATCATAGCTCTTTTATACACCAACAGTGACCAAGCTGAGAATCAAATTAAGAACTCAACCCCTTTTACAATAGCTGCAAAAAAATAAAATACTTAGGAATATACCTAACCAAGAAGGTAAAAGACCTCTACAAGGAAAACTACAAAACACTGTTGAAAGAAATCAAGGATGACGAACAAATGGAAACACATCCCATGATCATAGATGGGTAGAATCCATATTGTGAAAATGACCATACTGCCAAAAGCAATCTACAAATTCAACGCAATTTCCATCAAAATACCACCATCATGCTTCACAGAATTAGAAAAAAATTCTAAAATTCATATGGAACCAAAAAAGGAGCCCATGTAGCCAAAGCAAGAACAAGCAAAAAGAACAAATCTGGAGGCATCACATATCTGATTTCAAACTATACTATAAGGCCATAGTCACCAAAACAGCATAATACTGGTGTAAAAATAGGCACATAGACCAATGGAACAGAATACAAAACCCAGAAATAAACCCAAATACTTACAGCCAACTGCTCTTCAACAAAGCAAACAAAACATAAAGTGGGGAAAGACACCCTTTTCAACAAATGGTGCTGGGATAATTGGCTAGCCACATGTAGGAGAATGAAACTATATCCTCATCTCTCACCTTGTACAAAAATCAGCTGAAGATGGCTTAAGGACTTAAATCTAAGACCTGAAACTATAAACATTTTAGAAGATAACATTAAAAAACCCTCCTAGACATTGGCTAAGGGAAGGATTTCATGACCAAGAACCCAAAAGCAAATGCAATAAAAACAAAGATAAATAGCTGGGACTTAATTAAACTAAAGAGCTTTTGCATGGCAAAAGGAACAGTTGGCAGATTAAACAGACAACCTATAGAGTGGGAGAAAATCTTCATGATCTATACATCTGACAAAGGACTAATATCCAGAATCTACAACAATCTCAAACAAATCAGCAAGAAAAAATCGAACAATCCCATCAAAAAGTGGGCTAAGGACATGAATAGACAATTCTCAAAAGAAGATATACAAATGGTCAACAAACATATGAAAAAATGATCATTGTTCGATTCCCACCTATGAGTGAGAACATGCGGTGTTTGGTTTTTTGTCCTTGCTATAGCTTGCTGAGAATGATGGTTTCCAGCTTCACACACCGGGGCCTGTTGTGGGGTGGGGGGAGGGGTGAGGGGTGAGGGATAGCATTAGGAGGTATACCTAATGTTAAATGACGAGTTAATGGGTGCAGCACACTAACATGGCACATGTATACATATGTAACTAACCTGCACGTTGTGCACATGTACCCTAAAACTTAAAGTATAATTAAAAAAAAGAAAAAATGATCAACATCACTAATGATCAGGGAAATGCAAATCAAAACCACAATATGATACCACCTTACTCCTGCAAGAATGGCCATAATTTAAAAATAAAAAAATAGTAGATGTTGGCATGGATGCAGTGAACAGGGAACACTTCTACACTCCTGGTAGGAATGTAAACTAATACAACCACTATAGAAAACAGTGTGCAGATTGCTTAAAAAACTAAAAGTAGAACTACCATTTGATTCAGCAATCCCACTACTGGGTATCTACCCAGAGGAAAAGAAGTCGTTATATGAAAAAGATACTTGCACACTCCTGTTTGTAGCAGCACGATTCGCAGTTGCAAAAAAATGTGGAACCAACCCAAATGCCCATCAATCGATGAATAAAGAAATATATATATGATGGAATACTACTCAGTCATAAAAAGGAATGAATTAATGGAATTCATAATGACCTGGATGAGGTTGGAGACTATTATTCTAAGTGAAGTAACTCAGGAATGGAAAAATAAATATCATATGTTCTCACTCATGAGTGGAAGCTAAGCTATGAGGATGCAAATGCATAAGAATGATAGAATGGACTTTGTGGACTCAGGGGGAAAGGATGGGAAGGAGGTGAAGGATAAAAGACTACAAATTGGGTGCAGTGTATAATGCTTGGGTCATGGGTGCACCAAAATCTCACAAATAACCACGAAAGAACTTACTCATGTGAACAAACACCACCAGTTTCCCAATATTTTTTCATTAAAAATAAATAAATAAATAAATAACAAAGTCTTTCAACCTAAAAACAAAGTGTTTCAGTGCCAGCTGGGGTGTGTGGTGAAGCTTCATTTCAAAGATCAACCACTGCCATAGGACATTGACGCTCAGTATGGTTCTGTGGTAGTCATGGCTCTGGGATCCTGGGACTGGTGTTTTTCTCCTCAGCAAAGACAGCCTTCTCCAGGCTGGGACACAGGAGGTAGGGGCCAGGCTAGGTCATCAGGCTACTAGGGACAGCTGTTTGCTGTGGGATCACAGATGAGATCAGGAGAAGGATAGCTGAAAGGAGAAGGGAGATGATCTCCTCAGGTGAGGTGCAGGTAGGTGTCTGCTAGTGAAGAGAAGACATTGGCCCTAAGTCCTGGCATTGCTCCAGATTCCTGTGGAAGGACATGACAGTGCAAGAAAGAAATCAAGGCTGGTGGGAGGGAGATGGTAGATTACATGACCTCCCATCCTATGTGTTCAATGGTTGCTGATAGGAGCCCATACCCTTTGGGTATCTAAAAGGTCATTTCTTGACACCCTTCCATTCACTGTGCATGACAAGAAGAGGCCTTTGGGAAGAAAGACCAGTAGGAGTTATAAGGTCTTCTCAAAAGATGCACTACCTTACCCTTATGGTGACTCTTACACTGTGTCCATCATGTCTTGTGTTCCTGTGTGCTCTCAGGTCGGTCTTCTCAACCTCACGTCAGTCTTGGGAAGAGTGGGTATATTGGAGGCAGTCATGAAACCAAAGGGATTTAATAAGGTTTCTGAATGTTTCCTAGGCTGGGCAGTAAATTCCCAGATCCTAAGGCACCACTGTGGCCACACTACATGAGATTCACCGGGTGTGAATAGTGGAATCTGCATTTTTAAAAGATCCTGGGTTAAAATTTTCATGGAAATTTGTCTGAGAACTACTGGAGCAGGGGAATAGTCTCCTTTCCAAGCTACACAGCTTCTTTCTCCTTTGTGAAGGTATAGAAGGGACAGGTTTGGTGTGTTCTCTGATGGACGAACCCACGGCCTTCAGGTGAGGAGACTAAAACTGACATGCTGCCTGTTATTCTAATGATGCTCTCAGGGCCTGTCTCCAAATCATACCCAGACCAATCCTTTCAAGTCTCCATCTCTTAAATATTTCTGAAGAAATCAAATGTCTCTAGCCTGTGCAATCTCATACTGTAAAATTCTAAATATTTTGCAATAGCCTTTGGATCTTACTCTTGGTTACATAAATATGCAACACAGTAGAGTTTTTCATGACGCCTCTGACCTGTGGCTCCACCACTCATTGCTGGGTGACACTGAGAAACATCCTTAACATCTCTGTGACTCCTTTCTCCATTAGTACCATGGAAATACTACTAGTAAAGTCATCTACTTCTTGGGCAGTTTAGAACACTGACTGTTAAGACATGTACAGTTGTCAGGACAGCGCCTGCCATATGATAAATTTCCAATCAATTCTAGCTGTTATTGTTTTGCTGTTTATATCGTTGTTGTTCCCACATTTCCCTGGAGCATGTTCCAGAGAGACAACGTCAAGAGTACATTTGACCCTTTGGATGATCTTTTGATTATCACTTTAGCCCTTCAGGGACTCAAGAACTGAAGCTAGGTAGCTTGGGGGACAGCTTATTTTTATAAGCGTAATGAATATTCAGCTCTCCTCACAGGGTTATTGTGAAGCCTAAATGCAATGCTGGGGTTTCATCATCATGAACTTGTGTGGAAAATTTGAATGGAAATTTCTCTAGGAAATTAGAACTCTAATGACCTCTTCATGCGATTTGTATAGCGCTTGGAAAAGTAACTAGTGACTGGATAAGGATAGTACATAAGTATATAAATACTAAAAAGATCATGATTTTTCTATTTCATAGTTTGTGCATTTCATATCCTACCTATCTTAGTTTTACATGATGCTACAGATTCTCCTACGTTTTCGTCTAGCAGTTTGATAACGTTGGCTTTTACATTTAGTTCTATGATGCATTTTAAGGCAACTTTTGTATATGATGTGAGACAAAGGTTGAGGTTCATTTGTTTGCATGTCAATTTCCAATTGTTCCAGCACCATTCCCTGAATAAATCATTTTTTCCCACTGAATTATCTTGGCACCCTATAGAAAAATCAATTTAATCTGAATATATAGGTCTAGATTTGGACCCTTATTTCTTTTCTTATGCCATTATCATGCTGTCCTGATTACCATAGTTGTGAAAACGTCTTGAAACAGGTAATGAGTCCTCCAATATTCTTTGTTCTTTATAAAATTGTTAGACTATTCTAGTCCCCTTGCTTTTCCACGTAAATTTTGAAGTCAGCTTGCCAATTTCTTAAAACAAAAGGCTGCATGGAATTTGGTTGGGTTTACACTGAATGTATAGATTATTTGAGAGAAACTGACATTTCACAATCTTGCAATCCATTAACGTAGCATACCGCTCCATTTGTTTCAGCCTGCTTTAATATTTCTCTGCAGTGAGGTTGCAGTGAGCCAAGATTGCGCCACTGCACTCCAGCCTGGGTGACAGAGCGAGACTCTGTCTCTCTCTCTACATATATATATATATATATATATATATACACACACACATATTTCTCCACAGTGATTTTTAAGCTTCTGAGTACTGGTCTTGCACATATTTTGTTAAATTTTACCACTAAATATTTCTTGGGGTTTTTTGCTGCTATATTAAGTAATACTGATTTTCAATTTCCAATTGTTTGTTGCTGGTATATAAAAATAGCATTGACTTTTGCATACTTATCTTGTGCCATATTACTTTGCTAAACTCATATATATATATATATATATATATATATATATATATATATATATATATTCAAGTCATGGAGTAAATCCCATTTGGCTACGATGTTGTGTAGAAGTGGCGTTATTAGTATTATTTCCCTCTGTGACACTGCCCTAGTGTCATCTTGCAAATGTTGATATATTGTTGATACAAGAGTGGGGCAGGGAAGTGCTGGGAGGAGTAGAGGAGGGTCCCTGGTGAAGGCTCCATCCTCGGGCCTGTGCCCATGGACCTAGGTGAGGACAGGCATTTCTATTTTCATGTCAAAACGTTGCATTTTCCAAGACCACCCTGGCCCACCATGCTCCCATCCTGTGCCTATAAAAGCCCCGAGATCCTACCAGGCAGAGACACAGGTGGCTGGACATCGAGAGGAACACACCGGCAGAACACACCGGCAGAAGAACACAACAGCAGACAGCAGCAAATGCTGGTAGGCCATTGAATGGCTGAGTGATGTGGTTGCCGACAGGAATTTGGCCACAGTGGTCAAAGGAGAGTTCGGCCACTGATCGGCCTGACTCCAGGGGAAGACCACCTTCCCACTCCCTCCACCTTCTAGCTCCCCATCAATCTGAGAGCTACTTCCACCATTCAATAAAACCTTGCACTGATTTTCCAAGCCCACGTGTGATGCGATTTTTCCAGTTCACTAAGGCAAGTTCCCCAGGATACAGAAAGCCCCCTGTTTTATATATATATATATATATATATATATATATATATATATATATATATATATATATCCTGATTTTTCTCTACATTCTTTGTACCGATTGCTGGGATGAATGTTGAAGTCTTCTACTATAAATGCACATGTGTCTATTTATTTCTTCTTTCTGATGTATCAGTTTTTCCCTCATGTATTTTGATGGTGCATACATACTCATGGTGTTTCTGTCTTCTGAATCAATGCACCTCTCTATGATTATTATGTAATGTTCCACTTTGTCCATTGTAATAATCTCCACTATAAAGTGTGTTTTGTGAGGTATTAATTGAGCACCTCCAGTTTCTACGTGATTCATATTTGCAGGGTATATCTTTTAACTGTTTACTTTGAACTTACTTTTAACATCCTTTACTTTTAACTTCTTTATTTTTAAACTGTGGTTCTTTTTAACAGCATATAATTTGTTCTTGCTCTTTTTATCCATTCTTACAATCTCTAACGTTTTACATTTGAGACAGGGTCTCGCTCTGTCACCCAAGCTGGAGTACAGTCATGTGATCGTAGCTCACTGCAGCCTCAACCTCCTGGGCTCAAGCTATCTTCCCACCTCAGCTCCCCCAGGAGCTGGAACTACAGGTGTGCACCACCATGCCTGCCTCATTTTTAATATTTGTAGAGACAGGGTCTGACTATGTTGCCCTGGCTGGTATGGCCTTGGCCTCTCGAAGTGCTGGGATTAGAGGCATGAGCCACTGGGCCCGGCCAAACTCTGACTTTTAATAGACAAGTGTAAGCAAATTAAATTTAATGTGGAACCAGTTTACCTTTAAATTACCAACTTGCTTTATATTTTTATTTATCATATCTGTTTTTTATTCAGGTTTTTCTGTTTCCTCCCTTCTCTTAGACGAGTTGAACATTTTATACTACACCATGTTAATCTCCACTATTGGCTTATTAGTTACATATCTTTGTTTTCTAGGGATTGCTCTATGGATTACTACATGCATCTTTAAGTAACAGTAAGCCTTCAAATAATATTACTCCACTACATGTACAGGATGTAGTGGCGTAATATTTGTTTACATTTGTTTTTCTTCCCTGTGCTTTTGGGATCATATCCAAAAAATCGCTGCCCAGACCAATGTCATGGAGTTGTCTTCTTGTGTTTTCTTCTAGTAGTTTCATAGATTCGGGTCTTACATTATAAGATTTTAATTCATCTTAAGTTTACCTTTACATATGGTAAGAGATGATGGTAGAATTTCATTCTTCTGTATGTGGATATACAGTTTTCCTGATACCACTTATTGAAGGCTGCTCTTCTCTCACTCTGTGTTTTTGATAACTTTGTCAAAAATCAATTGGCTGTAAGTGCATGGATTTTTTTCTGGGCTTGATGAGTCTTCATTACTATTTTATTTATTGATGCTGAACATAATGACAAATAAATTCACTATAATAAATCTAACAAATCTGACTTTCGTAGTTAAACTCCACTCAAAAACACAAACGTGAGTTTTGTATGTTTGACTAGTACTTCCATTCCTGGTGAGGTTCAACAAGAGATGAACTTTCTGAGCTTCAGTAACTACTTCCTACCTTGCAAGATAATTGCAAGAATGAAATAAATGACAGTGACAATAGTAGTAAAGATCTCACAGGATATAAGTACCTTGTCTACCATCTCAAGGCCTGTATGTCAGAGCCATGATGGAAACCCATGGTTATTTTGTGCCATAAGGGGACAATGTAGCTAGGACCCAAATAATTTTGCTTCAGCAAGTTGTGGTGGTTGCTTTCCCCTTTCTTCTACCTAGGGCCTAATTCTTCATCTGGCTCTGTAGCCTAGGGACTTCTCACATATTCCATGGCAAATGGGATCCCCTACATTTAGTCTCACTTTTTATTTGAACCCTAGCTTTTCAGTCCTTTTGGATCCAAAAATGTTTTAAAATCTTTGTAACAGGGAGAAATAATTGCTGTGTATATTCTTCTGCCCCTCCCTAAGCAGCGTGGATTCTGAGTAGGGCCCATTGTTGGAGAATTATCCTTTTGGGTGTGAGGATATAAATGGAGCTCAGGGTTGTTAGTCGTGTATTATGTACAAGAAGAGGCATATTAGGCTGGATCCAGGCAGCTGCAGGGGCTTCTGATTGAGATGTGGTGACTGTCAGGCTCAGAAGAAAAAGAAAGGTTTGGTGTTTCTCCCTCTCTGCCTTGTATCATTTAAAGAAAGGACATGTTTGCAGGAGATGTTGTGGCATTTTTCCATGGGGATTGAGACATCAGTTCTTTTCTCCATCCCACAAACTATTTCAAAAGAATTTAGTATTCTTATTATATTTTTTCTGTTGCACAGTAAAACAGGTATGTTATTATTAATTTTTAAAATGCTTTCATAACAATGATTTCATCTGGGAACCCGTGTTAGGTTTATGTTCCACATTTTGACAAATACTTCGAGAGAACAACAAATCCTTTTATGTTAAACAATAAAATATATGTATTTTATATATTACCATGGATTTACATGAAAACATCAGATTACCACTAAAGTCAATATACACAACACCAGTTCTGCATTCAACACTTTCAGAAGCATTTACTTTCAGGAAGCACAAAGACTGTGAACTTAGACCTTGAATCCCCATATCTGCTTCTTACTAGAGTCATTTATTGTAAATTTTATGAAAACTCTGGCTCACCTTTTTAGTGGATTTAATAATGAGGTCAGAAATAATGAAACACAGCTCAGATAACCGGTTAACAGATACTAGACAATCTATAAATATGAGTTATTATTTCCATTAAAGAACTCAATAAATGCAGTTATCATCCTAACTATTCACAGCTTTGGTGTAGTCAATCCATTCAAAAACATACACCACAGATCAAAATCAGGTAGGCAGGCCAGGCAAGGTGGCTGTCACCTGTAATCCCAGCACTTTTGGAGGATGAGGAGGGAGAATTGCTTGAGTCCAAGAGTTCAAGATCAGCCTGGGCAACTTAGCAAGAATGTATCTCCGAAAAAACTTACGTAAGCAAATTAATAGAGTGGCAACTTTTAACTGGCTGTATACAGAGGTTAATGTCAGTACAGAAACAGGAGCAGGTAGTTTTCAGAGTGACGGCATAATTAGAGGCATCTTTGTAGGGAAGAGAGGCACCTTACAAAGTTTAAAGGCATGGAAACCTGGAGCTGCCCCTTCTATCTTTCTTTTAAGTAGTGTCCAAAGCTGAAACAAAACAAAACAAAACAAAACAAAAAGACCTGCAATCTGGAAACAAACACACATGGGAAACCCTATCTCCAAGTGATTCATTCTTGCAGGGATTTCAGTTCCAGAGCATAGAAAGAGGTTTTATATCCCAATTCATTTCATGAAGCTAGTGTAACCTTGATACCAAAGTCCAACAAAGAGAATACAGATGGCGCCCACTTATGATTCTGCTTCTTGGTTATACTCAGAAGAAAATGCTTTAATATTTGATGATTCAATATAGCTTTGACCCAATTTGTGTCTCCATCTGGTGGTGTTTAAATCTTGCAGTTAGGCATCTGTGGTCTGAACTAACTTTCAAAGTAAGTCTGCATTTGAACTCTGCTTTCTGTTTTTAAAGGGGCAGTAATGTTCTCTCTTTGTATTATCAAAATTATAATATTGTGGAAAACAGAAAGCACATAATTTTGCATCTTAATGGACAGCATACCGCCTTCTGGCATTTTAAATTGATCTGATTTTGGCAGAATCTTCCCCTGGACATCGGACTATCTCCCCATTCATCCCCCGTCTTTGACTGAGACAGCTCCTTGAGATCAGCTTCCAGGTCAGGCACTAAGAAATATTAAAGGGTATCAATTGAAGCAGGCAAACAAGAATGATAAATAAGGAAATTATAATATTGTTTTTCTCAGTGTTAGGAAATAAAATCCTGTAGGCTATTGTGGTAATAAATGTGATGCAAAGATCTCATGTCTTTGTTTTCCTATATTATGAAATCTTATTTTAAATGACAATCTGAGGGTAAATCACACTACACCTCCATTTCCTATACTTTACCATTGTGTATTATAAACAGTGAGTATCAGATATCTAGGAAATCTGAAGCCTGCTGCATGGATAGCATTTTAATCATAAATTAAATGTAACTTTCTGAAGGATTAGATCAATGTAGTGGCAGGTTTATGACAAATCTTATAGCCCTGACATCCATCCCCTGTTTAGGTAACTTGAAAATTTTGGGGTAAAAATTAGTGAAAGTTATGCTTAGGTCCAAAGGCCCCATATATAACTTTTTTTCCCACTTTTTTTTTATTATTATTATACTTTAAGTTTTAGGGTACATGTGCACAATGTGCAGGTTTGTTACATATGTATACATGTGCCATGCTGGTGTGCTGTACCCACTAACTCGTCATCTAGCATTAGGTATATCTCCCAATGCTATCCCTCCCCCCTCCTCCCCACCCAACAACAGTCCCCAGAGTGTGATGTTCCCCTTCCTGTGTCCATGTGTTCTCATTGTTCAATTCCCACCTATGAGTGAGAATATGCGGTGTTTGGTTTTTTATCCTTGCGATAGTTTACTGAGAATGATGATTTCCAATTTCATCCATGTCCCTACAAAGGACATGAACTCATCATTTTTTATGGCTGCATAGTATTCCATGGTGTATATGTGCCACATTTTCTTAATCCAGTCTATCATTGTTGGACATTTGGGTTGGTTCCAAGTCTTTGCTATTGTGAATAATGCCGCAATAAACATATGTGTGCATGTGTCTTTATAGCAGCATGATTTATAGTCCTTTGGGTATATACCCAGTAATGGGATGGCTGGGTCAAATGGTATTTCTAGTTCTAGATCCCTGAGGAATCACCACACTGACTTCCACAAGGGTTGAACTAGTTTACAGTCCCACCAACAGTGTAAAAGTGTTCCTATTTCTCCACATCCTCTCCAGCACCTGTTGTTTCCTGACTTTTTAATGATCGCCATTCTAACTGGTGTGAGATGGTATCTCATTGTGGTTTTGATTTGCATTTCTCTGATGGCCAGTGATGATGAGCATTTTTTCATGTGTCTGTTGGCTGCATAAATGTCTTCTTTTGAGAAGTGTCTGTTCATATCGTTTGCCCACTTTTTGATGGGGTTGTTTGTTTTTTTCTTGTAAATTTGTTTGAGTTCATTGTAGATTCTGGATATTAGCCCTTTGTCAGATGAGTAGGTTGTGAAAATTTTCTCCCATTTTGTAGGTTGCCTGTTCACTCTGATGGTAGTTTCTTTTGCTGTGCAGAAGCTCTTTAGTTTAATTAGATCGCATTTGTCAATTTTGGCTTTTGTTGCCATTGCTTTTGGTGTTTTAGACATGAAGCCCTTGCCCATGCCTATGTCCTGAATGGTAATGCCTAGGTTTTCTTCTAGGGTTTTTATGGTTTTAGGTCTAACATTTAAGTCTTTAATCCATCTTGAATTGATTTTTGTGTAAGGTGTAAGGAAGGGATCCAAAAGTACCAAATATAACATCAAAATCACTGTCTTCAGTGAGAGTATGGGAACCTGAGGGCAAACAAATTAATGGGCATTGTTGACAGTCATATTCTGGAAACCTTTTAACAGTGAATTGCTAAAATAATCCATGGCCCAAATTTGGTCAGTATTTAGCTTGAAAATGCTACCCTTTGAGGAAATAATTTCTGTTTCATGACAATCTTATTATACTTTAAACTGTCTAATTATAAAAGTATTGAAGCAACTTTTAAAAGTCCCTTAAAAACCATACTAATATAGCCAATATAGTAATATACCTGTATGCCAGTATCCTGAATTATCCAGCTTTTCCCAAACATACTGTAAAAAATATTGATCGAAGGGAACAGTGGCTGTTTCCTTTGGTCAGTATTCTTTTGATTGAGCTCGTTTCTGGAGTTGCTATCCTGTATCACTGAACTGTGCCTTTTCCTGAGCCAATACTGAAGTACCTTACAGGAGAAGCACATTCGAGTATTAAGCATTTTAAGCAAAATCAGTCATGTTTTCTAATAACATAGACAGTAGGACAAATACAAACTTTGAAATGTAATTTGAATTCTTTGTCCGTGAGTCAAGGGTTCTTGGTAAGCCTCAATCTCTAAGCCTCAGTTTTCTTATTTATAAAGTGGGGCTAACATCCCTATGCAAATGGGCTTTATTCATGGTGTTACAGGGTAGGGTTACTTGGCACTCTACATGCTATTAAAGGGTGCTTACAACACCATTGACACCATGGCTGAGATAATCATACAACAACATTCTAAGAACATCAAATTAAACTAGTGAAATAATGTACATTTGTATATATAAAATTAAATGGTTTCATCTGATTTAGCAAGGACTGTATTTTTAAGCATGCAAAATAAACCTCAAAAAAAGAGAGAAGATTCGTTGCATCCAGGGACTTCATGAAGCTGCAAACTACACTCTTCACTTTTCCAGCCACATTTCAGCAAGTGTTTGAGAACCTTTTCTAATGTTTTCTTTCTTCTGTTACTGTTTATGGCATAATGCATGATGCACATATAGGCCTCCTCTGCCCCCACCGCCACCATAGACATTCTTTCTTTCCCTTCCCAGCACCTTTAATCTCAGCAGCACCCTGATCTTCTTCTCTCTCCTGACCATGTGTAGGATCTTGACTTTCAGTGGGTGGTTTCTCTTCTTGAGGTTCTTCATCACTGGGCTGCTGGGACGAGGGGTGTGTGTTTATGCAGATTAGAAAGTTCTGTTATCAATATATGTCAATAATATAAATGTACAGAATACATATTTTTCATCATAAGTCTAAAGACATTTCTCCAACACTATTCCATATCCTTATTCTTCATAAAGTTACTCTTCCCACAGGGAGGTCATACTCTAAGACAGTTACCTTCAAGGGCTTTGGAAGCCATTTTAATTTATGTTGGGAGGAATGTGTGTAATCTGTTATGAATAAACATGGGGAGGAAATCATGGGTGAAATCTGGGGAACACAAGATCATTCATCCACACAAAACCAGAATGTAATCCTCTTGGGCTTGCCTTTCCTTCATGAGATGCCATGATCATTTTTCAGCAGCAGACCTTTATTAGTATATGTACGCTAGTTCAACAAGACTATCACAAATAGAAATTTCTGCTAACAGAAAACATGGAATGTTAAGGCACTAATGAGCATAAGCCCAATCAGTCCAGGAAACTGTAAACTTCCTCTTGGTCTAGGCTTATATGTTGATCTTCCTTGCCAACTCATATTTCATTCTGCAAACAGAATACTGTGATTGGGAAAGTGCACTTGAGAGGATTGCTGTATTTGACCACTTCCATCGCCATATGTAAACTTGTAATTTTATTAAAATTTGGAAATACTTTGAAAGTAAGTCCCAGGACAAGTTTAAGTGTGTGTGCCTTCTGAATCGAATGCTTGCAAAGCCACTTAAGGTGGTCAAGTTAGCAGTGTCTTAAGGCTCCTGGCAAAAGACACAGGGTATTTCTGATGAGGTTTAGTTTCACAACTGGACTTTCCATAGTGGAGACATATAGGAAAATACAGCTACAGAATTCAAATTGGAGTGAACACAGCTTTCGTTACACATCTGTTAGCTAGGCCCATTTTCCCTCTAAAATCAAGTTTTGTTGAAATGCACAACCCAGCCCATTCGAACATCCATGGGGGAGTTGAAGTTGCCACACAGCACTGGCCACTCCTCACTGGACACCTATGTGGGCACTCTACAGACCTCGGGGCCTGGGTCACCAGCCCACAGCATTCCCACTTCCCAGGCCTGTTCCTTCCCACCCACCCTGCCCCTTCCTGGTTCCCCACCGAGGAGTCTGGAATCTGTCTTCTACTGGGGTTTCCAGGGGCTTCCAGGACTCAGATACCTCCAACATTACCTTCAGCACTCGCCCCATCTTCACCTGAGCTACCTCCACTCTGTGGTCCACCTTACTCATGACGTCGAAGGCTTTCACCTGCTGAGGCCAGGGACTAGGCTGCCTGAAGCTCAGGAAGTCTGCTGGCTTCTCCTCACATTCACTCACACTACACCTCCTGGGGGGACTGGCCTTCGCACCTACCAGCTGTGTCTCAGTAGAGGAGAGAGTCTAGACCACAGGACCGCCACCCTCCCACCCTCACAGCTCCACGGCATTCACCATGTGGTCGAAGGGGCCGACTGGACCATGCCCAGTGAACATGCCCACTGAGGTACAAGGAGCATGTGCAGTGAGATGGGTGCCTGCCTTGTAGGCTGTGGTACCCTGCCTCACTGCATTCTCCACTTCCTCCAAGGTATCCACTAAGGACTCTGGAATCCATCCTTTTTGGGCAGTTAGTTCCATATGCTCTAAGGATTCAAATACCTCAAATAGTGTCCCCCTTCATAACTCACTGTATGCTCACCAGGCCCTCCTCCCCTCTATGGCCCTCCTTCTTCCCTTATCCGGCACCCCCAAGCAGTGCATCGCTGCCTGTTAGGAGGACAACAACCTCAAGGCCCTTCTGCCTAGGAGGCTATAGACTGTGCCCGCGGGCTCCTCCTCACACTCACTCACACTGAAACTTCTGGGACAACTGATCTGACAGCAGGGCACATGGGCAACAAGGGGTGTACACACAGAGTCAGGCACATGCAGGGCCAGCCAGGGTTTTCCCGCTGTCCCCAGACCCACATCCACAGGCTATTTCTAGTAGAAAGAAAATGACTTAAGAGATCTTTTTTTTTCTCTCTTGCCAAACCATTCTCAGGGGGCCCATGGAAACATCGCCACATGAACCTCACTGTCCAGGAAGCTTCTTTCACAACATAGACCATGGAAAACCCTGGCAGGTATAATTTCCACAAGCATTTGAACAACAGGCACTCCCATCTCTTCTGCTCTCCCTTGTATGGCTACTGCTAGAATCTTGATAAATACCCGTCCCAGGATCCCTTGCAGAGGGTGGTGTGCCACAGCTTCCCAGGTGATGCTAATAATATGCACCTCTTAAAAGATTTGGGAAGTAGAAGTCATTTTCTTATTTCACCCCAAAATGGTCAAAGGTGTGTATGGTCAATACGGGAATGTTTGGGCAGGTGTGAATGGTGAATCTGAAAATGCTTGGGAGGTGTGAATGGTAAATGGAATGTTTGGGCAGGTGTGAATGGCGAACATGAGAATGCTTAAGCAGGTGTGAATGGTGAATGTGGGAACGTTTGGGCAGGTGTGAATGGTGAATGCTGGAATATTTTGGCAGGTGTGAATGGTGAATGTGTGAGTGTTTGCAGTGGCTTCAGGATTCTCCTACTAATCATCTGTCTCAGGACTTCAAGGGGCAGATAGGTTTGGCAGACGTCTCCTGCAGTTGCCTGAACAGGCATATTTCACTGTACTCCAAATCTAGTATGATTTCCATGATAACTGTGTATTTTATGAGACTTGATTATTCTTCCATACTATTTTTTTACTGATGCTGAACACATATAATTTAATAACAAGTGACTTCATGATAAGAAATTTCCAATACTATAATACTCTCACAAAATACCTCATTCAAATCGAGGAGGGGTTTTGGCATTTAGTGAGAGTAATATGGTATTGGAAACAGGATGAGAGTGAAAGTGAGAAGTAATTCTCTCTTGGTCATGAATTCAGGTTTTGAAGTTCTCTCATCACTGCTCAGTTGCTCAGATATAGACATCATTACATGGTTATTACATTAGTAGAAGAAGCAGGAGTGCTAGCTTATAAAATAGATACAATAATACCTCCACAAGGGCACTAAAAGTATTTCTATCTGTTTGTTAAGGCTGCCATCAAAAACTACCACAGACTGGGTGGCTTAAACAACAGACATGTATTTTCTCACAATTCTGGAGGCTACACGTCTGAGATCAAGGTGTCAGCAGAATTGGTTTCTTCTAAGGCCTCCCTCCTTGCCTTGTAGTCTGCTGTTTTCTCCCGGTGTCCGCCTTAGTCCTCCCTCTGTACATGTGTGTGTCATCATTTCCTCTTCTTATAAGGGCACCAGGCAAATTGCCTTAGGACCACTCTAATGACCCCATTTCACTTAATTACCTCTTTAAAGACCACACCTATCTCAAATATAGTTACATTCTGTGGCACTAGGGGTTCAGACTTCACCATATGAATTTTGAGCAGACACAACTCAGCCTATATGGTACTAAAGACAGTATTAAAATAAGGCTGGGCGTGGTATGAATTTTGAGCAGAGACAACTCAGCCTATAACAGTATGACTGTTAGTTTTATATTAACACTGTTTATTTTTGAGACATAGTGATTCATTCAGAGGACAGAAGCAATCTGCTGGGAATTATCAGAGGTTCCCAAACCCAGTCTACCCGTGTCTGCCCTGGCATTCTCTGTTGCCCTTCTACATACAATGCTCTTAACTGAAGCCAGCCCCTCACCTCAGCTCAGGATCCATACCCCCCACCTTCCCAGGGGCTTTGCTCCTACAGTGATCACTCCCCTCTCCTGAACCATCAATGGCTCCCTCTACATTGGATCATTCCCAAAGCTAAGGGGGAACTCACCTTCTTCTCCCATGTCCTTCTGTAGCTACTAACATGTTTATCTGCTGCCCTTCAAAGGAAAACTGCCTCAACTTATACAACTAACTTCACTGGAGTAAATTTTCAAAGTTACCTAGAAAGGAAAATGAGCCAGAACAGCCAAAACCATTCTGAAGTATAACTTTGGGGAACTCACACTACCTAATATCAAGAGTCATGTTAATTCTATAGTAATCAAGAGAATGTGGTATTGGGGAAAAATCAACAGATCAGCAGGAAGTCCAGTAATGGACTCACAGACATGATAAACTGATTTTCAGAAAAGGCACAAAGGCAATGGAGAAATTATCTTTTCGAGAAACTGTCTTGTTTTACTCCTGCTACTTGGCCACCACATTCATTGTTTTTATCCCCCTGGGTCCCTTCCCTGTGTTTCTCCTTTGCACTTCAGCTGCTCTTCTGTTTAAGGGTCTTCTGTAAAGGTGCCCTCCTCCCCCCACCAACAGTGTGACAGCCTCCACAGCAAGTACCACATATTGTTGGTTGGTCTTCTCATTTCCAGCATCCAAGACATTTCCTATAACATGGCAGTCATCAATGCATATCTGTTGAATTAAATTATCAGTCTTTTGTAATGACCCTAACAGAAAAGCATCCCCTCTATTTAGGAGTCATTATTGGAGATGGTATGTTTCTAGGCACCTTACATATGGTTTTGTGTCAGACACTATAGGGCAAAGGCTCTGCCATGGTGTCTTGGAGATCTTGCAGGTCACCACATAGGACACGTAGGCAAAGCCAGACTGCAGGCTAACCTGAATGTTGGAAGAATACCTGGATTCCTTTTGTTGCAAGGGGAGATAGGCAGCGTGGTGGGAGCTGCCACAGGTATTTTCTCACCAGCTCCCTATCTGGTTGGAGGTTGACACGAGACCATTCTTTATCCATTTTCCTAGTTTCCATTAAGCACGGGCCTTTCCTCATCTTAGGGTACAACTGTGGAGTATAAAACTGCTCACTGTCTTAGGGTACAGCTGTGGGCTCCTCACAGGCAGAGAGACCCACCGTCTGTGCTGTCATTGTATACCTCCGATTCAGTGTCATACTGTGGGACTAGGGACACAGTGCTGACACAATGCTGACCTTGCTTTTACTTTGCCTGCAATCAATCAACCATTTGGACCCATTTGGGCTCATTGTCTTCTTATTGGTCAAATCTATGGATGTGTGACAAGCCAAACTAACAACGGCAGTGGGGCTCCTTGCTGCCGTTAGCCACTACAGGTGTACTGCTTGAACACTTGACACACTATTGTGTTGTGTGGTGTTGGCTGACCAGAAGGACTTATTCTTCACGGCATCACACACAGCAAAGGGCACAGTGTTCGGCACATTCCATTGACTTAGGGTTGGCCTTGTCAGACTGCGTTTATTCACAAACCAACTTTAGAATTGATGTCATGTCTGACACCAGCTACCCTGGTTTTTAATTAATATATTTATTTAAATTAAGTAAGTCTCAGAAGTCAAATTCATTTAAAAAGGTAACTTGATACCCCTACTTGAAATTTAAGAGCAGTTATTACTTACTAAACATGTGGTTGTAAAGGCAAAGGGAATGAAAAAAATTGAAATTTTAAAAGAAGAAATATAATAAACCAAATTTATCTACAGTGTATTGCCTAATCCATATGTTATTTCATTTATTCTTCATAACAAGTATTTAGTGTAAATATTCTAATTCCTACTTTAGAAATGGGGACATTGCCTCACAGATTATAATATCTTGCCCACCCCCTCAAGGCCAGTGTGTAAGAGGCAGGATGGAATCCCATGGGTATTTCATGCCATAGCCTATAAGGAGACAGTGTAGGTAGGACCCGTCATCTTGCTTCAGCAAGTTGCCCTGGTTCCTTGCCGCTTACTCCTACCTAGGCCCTAATTCTTTCATCTAGCTCCATAGCCTAGGGACTTCTCACATATTTTGTGGCAAATGGAACACCCTTAGAAAAGATGCAGATGAGGGGACACATAGGGTGAGGTATGCAGGGAGGGGCAGGGAGTTTCCATGGCCTCTACGGGCATGCTACCCTCCATGTGTTCAGCTAGCCAGAAGCTCTCTGAACCGTGTCCTTTTGGGTTTCATGGAGGTTTTCATTATGTAGGCATGACTGATTAAAATGTTGGCTTGCCATTGGTGAACAACTTAACCTTCAGCCCCAACCTTCCCTGAAGTTTGGGCATGGGGCTGAAAGTCCCAACCCTCTAATTCCTCATCCTAGAGCTCCTAGGGACTGCCAGACATTGGTCAACTCACTAGCATACAAAAAGACATCACTTTATAGGAGTTGTATGCCAGTAAGCACAGTCAATGACCAAATATACATTTCACCATACCACACTTGTGTATCAGCTAACTCAGAATACAAAATATCAAAAATGATACTTTTTTTTGAAACAGAGTCTTGCTCTGTCATGGAGGTTGGAGTTGCAAGTGGCGTGAACATGACTACCAGCATCCTCGACCACCTGGGCTCAAGGGATCCTCCCACCTATGCCTCCAGAGTAGCTGAGACTATAGTTGCATTCATTCATTCACTCATTGTAGTAGAGAGGGGTTCCTATATTCCCCAGACTGGTGTCACTTTCCTGAGCTCTAGCAATCCTCCTACCTCAGCATCCCAAGGTACTGGGATTACAGGTGTGAGCCATTACACCTGGCCACAATTCTCAATAGTATCAAAATACCTGGGAATGAAATTAACAGAAGAGGCTGGGCACGGTGGCTCATGCCTGTAATCCCAGCACTTTGGGAGACCAAGGCAGGCAGATCACGAGGTCAGGAGATTGAGACCATCCTGGCCAACATGGTGAAACCCCATCTCTACTAAAAATACAAAAATTAGCCAGGTGTGGTGGAACGTGCCTGTAGTCCCAGCTACTCAGGAGTCTGAGGCAGGAGAATTGCTTGAACCCAGGAGGCAAAGGTTGCAGTGAGCCAATATCATGCCACTGCACTCCAGCCTGGCGACAGAGCAAAATTCCATCTAGAAAAAAAAAAAAAAGAAAGAAAAAAAGAAATTAACAGAAGATGTGCAAGACTTCTTTGGAGAAAAGCTTAAAACTTTATTAAGATATTTTAAAGTAAAATATCTAATATAAAAACAGTTTGTGTTGTTTCAGCTTATCTTCCTTTAAACCTGTGATTTCCCTTCACCTGTAATAGAAACATAACAGGTGGAACATTACTAGCAGAACTGTATTTAGATCACATTAAGATATGCAAATGACACCAAAGTTTTTGTTTCGTACAGTGGACTAAGACCATAAACCCAAGAGTCACCCTCTGGCTTACATTCAATTAGACCTCTGTGGAGACTTTGGAGATAAACTTCCAAACATATACATTATTAATATTTTTTAAACACACCCTGCTTTCTAGTGCTACAAGGAAACCAAAAGACAGTCCGAGGTCAGAACACATTAAATCAAGTGAAACTCTTAAAAAGGGATTTAATGTATAAAGCAAAAATTGTGTATAATTTTACTAAAAATATAACAAATACACACAAAAAAACTAAGAAACAAAGGAATTTATAAAAAATGTACAATTTAATATTTTGGCTTGAAACTATGGTCTGGATGTCAAATAGGCTCCTGGAAATAGTATGAAAACTATCTTTTAAGAAAAGAGTTAATGTCACATTAGAAGCTGCATATGCGTGGTGAATAGAAAGGACAGTATTGCATTTGTTTTTTCCTCTATTGTGCCAAAGTGCAAAAATGTTGCTTTGGGTTAGTTTACCCTTCTGTAGATATTAAGGTATGGTAAACATCTGTCCCCAGTTTTCACCTATAGTCCTGATGTTAATACAAATATCTCTTTTTACACTTGAAAAAATTCCCCTTTGTATAATTAATTATATGATCGCATTACTTTTAATCTATCATTATCATTATTGATATCAAAATATGAAAGAGGTATATATCATGAACAGTATGGCACGAAAAAAAAGAAACGGAAAGGGAAATGGAGATGTAGAGGAAGACATCTAGAATAACTAAATATTTATTTCTAAAAGTAAATATTATCAAGGGACAACTAGCAAATTTCACAAGTTCATGCACAGTCTTTGTGATGAATAGATATTCAGGTACTACTGGGATATATTTAATAATGCATGCATTCCTAGCTTATCAACCATTTCATCTATATTCCGAAAATATTAGAGTTTAAGAACGTATTCACTTTCAGCTGGGCGTGGTGGCTCACATCTGTAATCCCAGCACTTTGGGAGGCCAAGGCAAGTGGATCACCCGAGGTCAGGAGTTCGAGAACAGCTTGTCCAACATGGCGAAACCTCGTCTCTACTAAAAATACAAAAAATAGCCAGGCATGGTGGTGCATGCCTGTACTCCTAGCTACTCAGCTGAGGCAGGAGAATCACTTGAACCTGGGAAGTGGAGGTTGCAGTCAGCCAAGATCATGCTGCTGCACTCCAGCCTGGGTGACAGAGCGAGACTCTGTCTCAAAAGTAAAACAAAAGAAAACAAAAGAATGTATTTACTTTCAGTTATACTACATATTCAATATCTGTGTCTTCTTCATATTCTGTATTGTGCTTTTCCCATTTTCTTCAAGACTGGAGAAACAAATAGATAGTCTATTCATAGCTATTTTTAAAATAAACAATGTGTTAAATGTATTACTTTTGGATTAGTTTTCCTAATCCAAAATCCAGGTTCCTACCTGTCTGTTATTAAGTACCTCTTTCCTTTTCCATTAGGTTTATTCTGTTGCTCTTTTATTATTATATTGATTATTACTTTATCATGTAATTTGCTATCTATTCTAATAAGATGTGCATTTAAGGCTGTGATCTTCCTAAGAATACAACTGAGGCTTGTTCAATCGGCTCCTGAAAACTATCTTTTAATGTAAATAGTTTAATGGAATGGTTCAGCAGTGCAGAGTAAAACATTTAGGTAATTTCTTCCCTAAACATGGAGTTCTTCCTTTAAATTCAGAAGCTCTTCTCATTAACAGTCAGCAATTTATAAAAAAAAATGTGTAAAAGATACTTATGTTGACTACTCAAGAATTAGTACATTATAGTCTTTGAACTTTAAGTCCTATCATCTGATGTCTCAAGGCAGAAACCTGTAATATGTAACCTATGATATGGTTAGAGGTGATTATATCATGTGTGTCTTTATTACACACAGTAGCTCATGAAGACTGACAGGAGAGCAAAAAGCATGCTTAGCACAGGCATCTTACACCCACCTTGAGCATGACTGACCTACATGCATTCTCCCTACTTCATTGGCCACAGAAAGTAGACTGTCTCTTGCCATTTTATTATTCAGTCATTCAAGGCTTCACGGTGGGAAGGCTTTAAAATACAATTATTCTTTAAAAGCCAGATAATTCAGAATTTGACAAAATCCAAGAACACTCATTCAAGTCTCCATGCTGGAAAACAAACATCAAGCAGAGTGCCTGCTCATTTTCTTAGGAGCAATGAAATCTCAGCTCAGATATTGTAATTGGACTGAAGCTGATTGTTAGGAAAAACAAATCATGGGAATCAGAATATCTTTCTATTCTCTCCAACAGAACCAGAGCATGCAGAAATCAGCATTGAAACGGATTTTAATACATTTGATCTGCATTCACCATTTTCAATAACAGCAAAGATGGGTGTAGAATTTATGGAATTTGTCCAGATTCTCACAAATTGTCATAGAGCTGCTACTAGAATCTCCTTCAGTACTCAGCATATTTCACACAGTCTGGTATTACAAATGCATTATGTATTTGTTAAAAGCAGAAATTAGAAAAGAATCTGAAAATTGTTAGCTGTTGGTTATACTCAGAAGTAAGAAAATGCTGTCATATTTGATGATTCAATATGGCTTTGACCCAATTTGTGTCTGTATCTGAGAGCATTTAAGTCTTGCAGTCAGGCATTGGGATCTGAAGTACCTTTCAAAGAAAGTGTGTATTTGAACACTGTTATTAAAGTGGCAGTAATATTATCTCTCTATGATCAAAAGTATAATATTGTAAAAAATAGAAATCACATAACTTTGTGTCTTAATGAATAACACACCTGCTTCTGGCATTTTAAAGTGCTCTGCTTTTGGTAGAATCTTCCCCTTGACATCAGTACCACCTTCACATCCATCCCCAGTCTTTGTCTGACATAGCTCCTGGAGATCGGCTTCCAGGTCAGGCACTAAAAAATACAAAGGTTATTGAACTTGAGTACAAAAACATGAAGTATAAATAAGGAAGTAATAATATTCTATTCCACAGAGTTATGACATAAAAGCCTGTAGGCTAGTGTGATAATAAATGTGATGCAAAGCTGTCACACTTTTGTTTTCCTGTATTATGAATTCCTATTTTATTTGTTTTTTAATACAGGGTTTCACTCTGTCATCCAGGCTGGAGTACAGGGGTGCAGTCACAGGTGACTGCAGCCCTGACCTCCTGAGCTCAAGTTATCCCCCTGTCTCAGCCTTGTGAGAGGCTGAGACTATAGGCACATGCCACCACCAAGGCTAATTTTTGTATTTTTTTGGCAGAGAAAATTTTCTGGTGTTTCCCCATGTTTCCCAGGCTAGTTCCTAACTCTCAGGCTCAAGGGACCCACCAGCCTCGGCCTTCCAAAGTGCTGGGATTACAGGTGTGAGCCAATGTACCTGGCCTGAAATCTAATATAAAATGACAATCTAAGGATAAATCACACTACACCTTCATTTCCTATACTTTGCCAGTGTGCATTATAAACAGTGAGTATCAACTATGTAAGATATCTGAAGTTTGCTGCATGAATAGCATTTTAATAATAACTCAAAGATAATTTTCTGAAAGACTAGATCAATGTATTCCTGGGCTTATGACAAAAACTTACAATTGTGACAACCATATCTTGCTGAGGTAATTTGAAAATTATTTGGTTAAAATTAATTAAAATTATGCTTAGGTCCAAAGGCCCTAAATGTAACTTTTCATAAATAAATCCTATTGAGAATATAGTACCAAAAATAAGAGGAAAAAAAGTCACAGTTTTCCCATGAGAATTCAGGAAATTGAGTGAAAGAAAGTAATGAGTGTTGTTGACAGTCATATTCTGGAAACCTCTTAACCGTGAACTGCTAAAATAATCCATGGTCCAAATTCCGTCAACTTTAGCTTGAAAATGCTATCTGTTGAGGACACAATTTCTGTTTCATGATAATTGTATCATACTTTGAGTTTTCTAATTATAAAAGTATTTAGGCAACTTTTAAAAGTTCCTTAAAAAGCATACTAATATACCTACCTGTATGCCAGTGTCCTGAACTATCCACCTTTTACCAAACATACTGTCAAAAAATACTGATCAAAGGGAACAGTGGCTGTCATTCATTGAGCCCTTTTCCGGATTTGCTATCCTGCTTCACTGAATTTGTTTTCTCCTGAGCCAATACTCAAGTACCTTACAGTACAGACACATTCGAGTATTAAGCGTTTTAAGCAAAATAATTCACGTTTTCTAATAACGTAGATGTTAGGAAGAACACAGACCTTGGAACGTAATATGAATTCTGCCTCCATGACTCAAGCGTTCTTGGTAAGCCTCTATCTCTGAGCAACCATTTCCTTTTTATAAAATAGGGCTAATATCCCTATGCAAATGGGCTTTATTCAGGGTGTTATAAGGTAGGGTGACTTGGCACTCTATATGCTATAAAAGGGTGCTTATAACACTGTGGACACCATGGCTGAGCCAATCATACAGCAACATTCTAAGAAGATCAAATTAATCAAGTGAAATAATGTACATTTTGATACATCAAATTAAACAGTTTCATCTGATTTAGCAAGGGATGTATTTTCAAGCATACAAAATAAATCTTGAAAAAAAGAGAAGATTTATTATATCCAGGGACTGCATGAAGCTGCAAACTATACTCTTCACTTTTCCAGCCTACTTTGAGCAAGTGCTTGAGATCCTTTCCTAATGTTTTCTTTCCTCCTATTACTGGTCATGGCATAAGGCATGATGGACACATAGGCCTCCTTCCCCCTATAGGCATTATTTCTTTCCTTTCCCAGCACCTTGAATCTCAGCTGCACCCTGATCATCTTCTCTCTTCTGATCAGGTGTAGGATTCCGACTTTTAGTGGGTGGTTTCTCTTCTTTAGGCTCTTCATCAGTGGGTTCCTGGGACAAAGGGGAGGCAGTATGTGTGCAGATAAAAAGTTTTGTTAGTAATACATGTCAATAATACAAATATACAGAATACACAGGTATTTCTAATCACAAGTAAGTCTAAAGACACTTCTCCAACACTGTTCCACATACTTATTCTTCACAAAGTTACTCTTCCCAAAGAGAGGTTACTCTAAGACAGTTACCCTCAAAGGCTTTGGAAACCATTTTAATCTATGTTGGGTTGGATGTGTGCAATCTGTTATCAGTAAGCATGAGGAGGAAGTCATGATGGGGAACACAAGATTATCCATGAAGGCAAAATCAGATTGTAATACTCTTGGATTAGTCTTTCCTTCATGAGATGCATGATCATTTTTATCAACATGGAAGACCTTTATCAGTGTATCTATACTAGTTCAACAACACTATCACAAAAGAAATTTCTGCTAATAAAAAACATCAAAATATTAAAGCACTCACAAGCATAGCCCCAATCAGCTCAGGAGGCTGTAAACTTCTTCTTGGCCTAGGCCTATATGTTGATCTTCCTCGCCAACTCATATTTCACTCTGCAAACAGAATACTGTGATTGGGAAAGTGTGTTTGAGAGGATAGCTGTATTTGACCACTTTCATGGCCAAATGTTAAATTTCAGTTTTTAAAAAAGTTTGGAAATAATTTGAAAGTAAGTCCCAGGGCAACTAGAAGTGTGTACATCTTCTGAATCGAATGCTTGCATAGCCACTTAAGTTGGGCAATCTAGCAGAGCAATGTCTTAATGCTCCTGGCAAAAGATACAGGATATTTCTGATGAGATTTGGTTTCACAGTTGGATTCTCCATAGTGGAGACATTTAAGTTTATACAGCTAGAGAATTAAAACTGCAGTGACCACGGCTTTCGTCACACACCCATTTGTTTGGACGATTTCCCTCCCTAAAATCAAGGTTTTGTTGGAAAGCACAGTCCCGCCCATTCGAACCTCCAGGGTGGAGTTGAGAAGTTGTGACACATCACTGGACGCTCCTCGCTGGACATTTCTACCCGGAGCTCTACAGACCTCGGGGTCGCGGTCACCAGCTCATAGCATTCCCACTTCCCAGGCCCCTTTCTTACCGCTTACACAGCCCATTCCTGGGTCCCTACCAAGAAGTCTGGAATCTGTCCCATTGGGAGTTCCAGGCACTTTCGGGACTCAGATACCTCCAACAGCACCCCGAGCATTCACCCTATCTTCATCTGGCTCCCCTTCACTCCGCGGCCCACCTTCCTTATGACCTGGAAGCTTTTTACTCTCTGAGGCCACAGACCACGCCGCCTGACCCTCTGGAAGCCCGCTCACTCCTCCTCACATTCACTCACATTTCAGTTCCTGGGAGGACTGGCCTGCGGACCTATAGGCTGCGTCTCAGTAGGAGAGAAAGAGTCCAGACGGCTGGAACGTGCCCCTCACACTCTCACAGCTCCCCAGCGGTCACCACGTGGGCAAAGGGGTCGAAGGGAAGATGCCCAGTGAACATGCACACTGAGGCAGGTGTCCAAGGAACATGCACACTGAAGTCGGTGCCTGCGTTGTGTGCTGCAGTGCCCCGCCTCGCCCCACCCCATCCCGCGTCATGCAGTCCTCCCTCCCCTCCCTGGTTCCCACTGAGGACTCTGGAATGCATCGTCTGTAAGCAGTTTCATATGCCTCGCGGACTCAAATACCACAAATAGTTTCCCCCTTCAAAACTCACTGCTTGTTTACCTGACCCTCCTCCCATCTATGGTCCTTCTCCCTCCCTTGTCCGGCACCCCCACCACAGCAAGGCCATGGCTGCATCGCTGCGTGTTAGAAGGACGGGGACCTCAAAGCCCTTCCACCTAGGAGGCCATGGATCGTGCCCGCAGGCTCCTCCTCACACTCACTCACACTCAAACTTCTAGGACTACTGAACTGCAGACCTACTGGCTGACTCCTAGTCGGCAAGACAGAAGGAAGTCACGATGTCTCTTTGCACAGCTCTGCTGGGACAGAAGGCAGACAGTAAGGCGCATGGGCAACAAGGGACTTGGGCAGTAAGGGGCGTTCACACTGAGTCAGGCACATGCAAGGCCAGCCAGGGTTTTCCCACTGTCCCAAAACCAGAATCCCCAGTATGTTTGTAGTAGAAAGAAAGGGACTTAAGAGATATTTTTTTTTCTCTCTCTCTTGTCCTACCATTCTCATGCATCCAGAAACTTTGGGAACAGAGAGTCCCATGTCACCCTTAGTGGTTGATGTGTCTCAGAAAGACCTTTTGTGACAGAAATAAATTATTTTAATGTTTATATTTATACATGCTTTTTTTTTCCAGACAGGGTGTTACTTTGTCGCCCTGGATGGAGGGCAATGGCATGACTTTACCTCACTGCAGCCTGGATCTCCTGGGCATAAGCAATACTCAAGACGCAGCCTCCGAAGTAGTTGGGACTACAGGTGTGTGCCACCATGCCCAGCTATTTTATTTATTTATTTACTTAGAGACAGAATCTCACTACATTGTCCAGGCTGGTCTCAATTTCTGGGATCGAGTGATCCTCCCACCTTGGCCAATTTTTATTCATACTTTGATTAATCACTTCCTTCTCTGGTCTGAGGTTTTCTGCCATGCTACCAATGAATAGAACCACTTCTGTAGACTAAATAAATTCACACCTCTTCCTTTTTTAGGTGGTATTATTGCACATTTTAATCTCTGGACTGGTAACTGATTTCCCTGAATATACCTGTAGGTCATTCAGACAGTGTATGGTTCAGAAATATCCATACATATGATGTGGTTTGACTCTGTCCCCACCCAAATCTCTCCTTGAATTGTAGTTCCCATAATCCCCACATGTCATGGAAAGGACCCTGTGGGAGGTAATGTAATCATGGGGTGGTTACCTTCATGCTGTTCCCCTGATAGTGAGTAAGTTTTCACAAGATCTAATGGTTTTATAAGGGGCTTTTCCCCTTTTGCTCACTCTTCTCTCTCCTGCTGCCATGTGAAGAAGGATGTGTTTGCTTCCACTTCTTCCATGATTGTTAAGTTTCCAGAGGCCTCCCCAGCCCTGCAGAACTATGAGTCAATTAAACCTCTTTCCTTTATAAATTACCCACTCTCAGGTATGTCCTTATAGCAGCATGAGAACGGACTAATACAACATTGGTCCTAGGATTTAAACTTAGTTTATTGTGACATGATGTACAGCAGTGGTGACTGTGCTCATCATATACTCTACTCCCCAAATAGCAGCCAAATAACCTGTTCATAAGACAGCGCTGACATTATTTAAATAAAGCTATAAGGTAGAGCACTACCTCCACAGAGGCACTAGTATGTCAGATGTGGAAGGGCTTTGGGTATATTTGTTGTGCTTTTCATGTCCGGTATAAAGTGGGTATTTTAAAGTGGGGGATGGTTTGGTTAGAATTGGGTAGGAATGACAATGATTTAGGATTGGTGGATGCAACAAGACTTTTTAGGCAATGGGTTCAAAGAGTTTTGGGATTGAAAAATGTCATTTGACACTTTTTATTGAGGAGTTGATGGATCTTTCAGGCAATTGCTGGAAAGAACAATAAAGTTTTTTTGAAACTTTTATTTTCCTTGGTAAGAGATTCCTGTATTAGTAAAATTATGATAATGAAGACAGTGGAATATAAACTCTTGTTAATGTAGACAGTAAACTATGTCCATGACTCCTGTTCTTATTACTTTTATATTACCTAGCAGTTAATGTGGGGAATAGTATATGGAAGGGAAGGATAGGAAGGGAGCCCTGATCAGAATGTAGCCTTTTATAAATAAATTAGGATATATTGTTGAACTGACATCTATATATTCTATCTAGTTGAGCTTCTTTTTTTTTTTCTTTTGAGACGGAGTCTCACTCTATTATCCAGACTGGAGTGCAGTGGCATGATCTTTGGCTAACTGCAATATCTGCCCCCCAGATTCAAGTGATTCTCCTGCTTCAGGCTCGCAAGTAGCTGGGATTATAGGCACGTGCCAATACACCCAGCTAATTTTTGTATTTTTAGTAGAGACGGAGTTTCACCATGTGGGCCAGGCTGGTCTCGAACTCCTGACCTCAAGTGATCCGCCCACCTCGGCCTCCCAAAGTGCTGGGATTACAGGTGTGAGCCACCGTGCCTGGCCACAGCTGCACTCCTTTTAAGGAAATACCCTGAGTAGGAAAAAAGAGATTCCTCAATCTCTGTCTCCAAAAAGTGGCTTGAGTAGTCATTGTAGTTCTCAAAGTTTATTTAAGGAGTGAGGGCACTCATAAACTATTATTTAGTTTATCTGTTATCTTTTTTGTTTTTTCTTGGCAAGGACATTGTCATTACTAAATTTTACTTGCATTTTTCCCTTATTAACTCCGGTTTTTAGTATAGTGCACTCAGAAATGTTCAAAGAATGAGAGATAGTGACATCTGGGTTTAGATTTTCTGTGAGCATCGAATTAGCAAATGGTCAAAGTCATGCCATCAGATGGCTGGATGGATGTGCTTCACAAGGACCTGGATTTTAATGATTCCTGAGTGGACACACTCCAGCTTCAAAGGGCAGGTTTTAACTTCCTCCCAAATTTGAGCTTCCTCCTGTTATTCCCATGGCAGGTGACCCTGGTCCAGCTGGATGAGTTCAAAGGATCATAATTGGATTGGGATGGGAGCAAGTTGTGAAGTAGCCCTTGTGACACTCACAGGAAGCAGCAGAAAGTATGAGAAACTCTTTAGAGGCAAGAAGACTTGCCTGATACATGACGCTAGCAACTCTGAGGGCTGCTAAAGGAGAAGTTGGAGCTGGGACCAACACAGCCCATCTACCTGTGGGTGGGCTCAATTTCACCACATGACAAGACCTTCCCATCCTCCAAGCACTGGAATATGAACAAACTGAGATTTCCACAGGACTGTGGCTGGGTGGGACAAAGTCTACAGATTCTGAGCAGCTGGCAGTTTTCAGAGTACCATAGTAAACACTGTCACCTGAGCTCTTCAGATTGCTTGTTGGTTGAGGTCAAATTATTTACTACCTACCATGTTAATTGCAACTCCCCTATTTGCCTCATAAAGCGGGAGCACAAAAGGGAAATGGAGGTCCCTGTGCATTCACAGGGAGGTCCGCGTGAATGGATGCAATTCATGACATTCAGCTATGCTGCAGCCCAAACAAAGCCTCCTCATGATACCAAGAGGACAAGAGGTCACATGTACTTTCTGTCCCTTTTGCATGTGATTTTATGTCTGTCCAAGTAACACTTCACCTGTGCAAAACAGACATGGTTATCTGCTGATGGAACACACATTTCCTCTGTAATTACATATTTCGTGGTAGCCTTTGTGGCCCATATCAAAGACCACGTTTTTGGCCAAGTGCAGTTGCACACACCTGTATTCCCAGCAATTTGGGAGGCCGAGAAGGGTGGATCACTTGAGGTCAGGAATTCGAGATCAGCCTGGCCAACATTGTGAAACCCCATCTCTACTAAAAATACAAAAGTTGGCCAGGTGAGGTAGTGCAGTCCTGTAATCCCAGCTACTCGGCAGGCTAAGGTGGGAGAATCGCTTGAACCTGGGAGGCAGAGGTTGCAGTGAGCCAAGACTGGGGTGACAGAGGGAGACTCTGTCTCAAAACAAAAAAAAAAAAAACAAACAAAAACGACCATTTTTTTTCTGAAAAGACTGAATTCCGAAGGAGGAAGACAACATTGGGTTCTCATGTGTCTTTTCATATACTTCTATAATAACACTTATTAACCATTGAGGATATCTTGTGAAAAGGCTTTAATCTTTTCCATACTGGTTTGTCATCCATAGTGGTTCATAAGATTAACGTTGTCCTCCACAAACAGCATTTTGAAGAAATGAGATAAAATAAATTAGTAAATAGCATTCACTGCATATAGAATATTCAAACAGACTGCACACACACATACACATACATATATTTATTTCCCTACTGAATTATATACAAACTATGTATTTCCCATGAATTGTAATTTAAAAAGTTTGAAGGTCATTACTTTAGAAGTTATTGGACAAAATGTCTAGGGACAATTTCTTTAGCCATTGATGAGGATGATAGATTAAGACTTGCTAAGAGCAAGTTCACTGTTGTCTGTAGCTTTCTACATAATGCTTGAAATAGCTCTGAGTGATGTTTAAATTTGTCAGTTTTACTGTGAGCATTTGACTCTCAGCAAACTCACTTGTGGACTCATGAGTTGGTGAGAAGGAAGGCTGATGAGTTGTGGGGCTTTACTTCCCACCATGTCTTTCTGCAGCTGCAGGGTGTGTTCATGTGTGTGCTTCTGCACTCGTGTGATGGTGCTTTGATATGTTCCCTTTTATTTCCCCCTTTATTATTGATTGTGTCTTATGGTTCCTATTATGTACTTTATTGGCATCCAGTGACAGCAACATCTGTGGTATTCAGTTTTGATCCATTTTACATGTATTCAAAGATATTTTCAAGCACGAATATTTATTCTTAAAAACTTTTCCTTACATAATTGGAGGAGTTCAATGCAATTAAATATCAGTATTTGATGTTAGATCTTATTGGGCAATAATCCTGCTAAATTTTTAATCATACTAATTCCTGTTACACCTGAGCTTTTATGTCGCCATAATGCTTAGATAAATGACACATTGACTATGACAAAGATGAAAGATTTTTAACAAATCAACTTGAGAAATATGCAATCATGGAATATTTGGAAGCGTTCTCCTCTTATAACTGATGCAAGACAGGTGAGCCCAGATTTGGAGCTTAGCCCAGGAGGGTTCTTGGCTTTGCCCAGGAGAGAATTCAAGTGTGAGCTGGTGGTGTTAGACAGCAATACTTTTATTGAACAGTACTTCTCCTTTCCAAGTAGGGCTAAGTCACAGGCAGTGAGCCAGAAGTCAGCAACCTATGGGCTCTTGGCAACTGTATTTATACTCGTTTATACCTACTTTAAATTATGAGTCAGTTTAACGCAAATTGAGGGGTGGGTTATTTAGAACTTTCTAGGAAAAGGGTGCCAGCTTCTGTGTCATTGCCATGGAAAGTGGTAGTAACTAACTTCTGGGTGGTTGCCATGGAAAGGGGTGGTAACTTCTGGAATGCTGCCATGTCGTGTAAACTGTCATGAGTCTGTTTTATGCTGATAAGCAATGAATGCAGCTAGGGATTGCTCTTATCGCCATCTGCTGCTTCATGCGGGTTTCTTCACTTCATCCTCTCGGGACCAGGAATTAAGTCCTGCGTTTCTTCTACTTCAAAACTACAGAGGGAATGTAGTGTTTTCTTTCTCATTAAAATCAGGTATCCCTTTAATTATTGGCATATTTCTCATTGCATACAGTCATTCAAAGTTTGCATTTTATACAAAGTCTTGTCCTAAATCTTCTATTCAGCTTCACTTTCAGCTTAGGATGTTTAGGAAGACCAAGTAGCCAAATTTGATGCCAACAAGATTTCCGGGATCCCTGTACTAGGTGTGATCCTTATCATTCTTATGTGACCATCATATCTAATCAATGACACATCATCAGTACTATAAGCAAGCCATAACACTTGGAGTTGTGGTTATCATGTGAGCATTTGCTTTCAATGATAGGTAATATTTTTAGATGTAACTCTGAATAAAAATCTATTTATATGCTAAATATGTTGCTATACTGCTACTCCGTGAAAGTACAAATGTATATTTGTCATAAGTAGAGTAGCATTCTGAAATAATTAATGATGATTATAAAAACTCCTAATATTATGTTTAGAAACAAAGAAAAAGGTTTCAAATGATTAGTTGGGAAATAGATTGACAGTTCCATAAAATATTAAGAGAGCGAATGCGAGTTTGAAAATATTTGGAAGAATGTTATGTGCTTTTTAAGTGGACCAATGTTTCTAAAATGTATGCATGATAACATAAATATGTCTTTACATTAATATAAATTATTTTAAACATAATTAAAAACATTCTTTTGTATCTTGAGTTTTTCATGTTGCTTGTTGAAAAATTATAAAACAGAAAATTATAAACAAAAAAATTTCAGCAATGGGTGATTTATAAAAATACCCATTTTACTGCATCATTATGAAAAACATCCATTGGGTATTTCTTGTTTTTTCAAAAATAATTAAGGGTTTTCTAATTTGACTGAGAAAATTTAATGTCATTTTTACTTTATTTTTTATTCTCAGATTACTAGAAAGTGTGTAAGTGATCATATATCTTTGTAATTTGAACTGTTTGGGTTCTAATTTTCTACTTTATTTTTATATTTACTTTTATTATTTCCACTGAGCTTTAATTTTTTTTTCATTTCAAGGGTTTTTTTTTTTGTTTTCTTTTTTGAGACAGGATCTCACTTTATCACCCAGTCTGGGGCTCACCATGTAAACATGACTCACTGCACCTTATACCTCCAGGGCTTAATCTTCCTGTCTCTGCTCCCCAAGTAGCTGGGACAACAGGTGCACACCACCACGCTCGGCTAATTTTTGTATAGCTAGGGTTTCACCATGTTGCCTAGACTGGTCTCGAACTACTGAGCTAAAGCAATCCACGCCCCTCACCCTCCCAAAGTGTTGGGATTACAGGCGTGAGCCACCGCGCCCGGCCCATTTCAAGACTTTTGTGTGTGTGTACAAAGAATATTTACACTGTCATATTATATAAAGAATAATTTTTCTGTTTATATATTGTTTTAAGGTTGTTGATGGCTTTCATTATTTTTTTCTTTTTTAAGAAATGTTTCATTAATAAATAATAATTATATATATATTTATGGGGTACAATATGATGTTTTGATATATGTGTACAATTTAAGAGATGAGTAAATTATAAAAGACTGGATAGAAGTGCAACAAATTGTTTACCACAGAGTGGTGAAATTGTGGATGTTAGTTTTGATTCTGCTATTCCATATTTTATAATTTTCTAAAAAAACCATCTACTACTTTTTAATCAGAAAAGAAATAATATTTAACATCAAGAAAATTAATATTAAGTTTCTTTACAGAGTATACAACCACAAATCTTTGATGAAATAAATAGTAATGTGCTATCTTGAGTACATTTTCTTGGTAAAGACAATTTTCCTTTTTAGGTATCATTTGGTGGGTGGAGGATAGAGAGTACCTTGGATTCTGATTTTGCTTGGTTAAAGTTAATGGAATGTAGCTTTTTGTGCCAGAAAGAAGGCTATGATATTTGCTGTAATAGCATGTCCTGACATCTATCCCATCTTTATCTTTATTCGTTTTATCACTGCAGTGAAGGCAAGGAATCATGGTGTTCAGTCAGCAGACAAGAAACAAAAGTTCATCACTCTGAATGCTCAAGGATATCTCTGCTTTTCAGAGTAGCCACTTAGGAGTCTGTCATCTGTAAATGTGCCTTAGTCTCTTCCAAATATATTTATATTTTCTCATCTATCATTATGTACATGGGGTTCAGAAGTTGGCTATTTTTATATAACTCTTTTTGTGCAAAACTTACATAGGTTGGCTCCTTTACTAACTCCCAAACTTCTCCACTATCATGACTATGGAGCCAGTCCCTTTTCTGTGAAAGCAACATCAATGACATTGATTCTTCTACTAATGGGTTCTCTGGTTTAACTATTACAACAACCTGAAGGAACCAAAAACCTGTGGCATGTGTCTTAGTGGGCACTGAGCTAAGAGATGAAAGAAATTCCCTCTTATTTTTTTCTACCTTATACTCATTGAATATCACATTTAAAAGAAATTTCTAAAATTAAAATTGGAATAAAAACATTATAAAACTGGCATTGGCTACACTATGCAACTCCAAGCAGTTAACAATTGTGAGAAACTTTCTCCCCAAAAAAGTGAAAATTACCTTTTTACTTTGCTGTTTTTAATAGCAAAGGTGCGTTTCTGTAGTCCCAGCTACTCAGGAGGCTGAGGTGGGAAGATCACTTGAGTTTAGAAGGTCGAAACTGCAGTTAGCCTTGATCATATGACATAGATTGAGACCTTATTTCAAAACAAAAGCAGGACAAAACAAGGCAAAAGATCTGAATAGATATTTCTCAGAAGAAGATATACAAAGGGCCAAGAGGTATATGAAAAAATGCTCAACATCACTAATCATCAGGGAAATCCAAATGAAGACCACCAATGAGATCTCATCTCACACCCGTTAGAGTGCCTATTATCAAAAGGATGAAAGTTCTGGTGAGAAAATGGAACACTTGTACATTATTACTGGGAAAAGAATATGGAGGTTCCCCCTCAAAATTGCTAGCCCACTACTGGATATATATCCAAAGGACATGAAATCAGTATGTTGAAAAGTTATCTGCACTCCCATGTTTATGAAGCATTATTTACAACAGCCAAGGTATGAAACTGCTGCAGGACAAGTGAGCCTCAATATTGTGGCTTAATCTAGGATGATTCTTGACTTCACCCAGGAAAGAATTCAAAGGTAAGCTAGTGGTGTTAGACAGCAGTCTTTTATTGAATGGTACTGCTGCTTACAGAGCAGGGCTAACTGATAGGCAGTAAACCAAGAGTCAGCAACCTATGGGGTCTTAGCAACTATATTTCTACTCACTTATACCCACTTTCAATTACGTGTATATTAAGGGCGGGTTAATGCAAATTTAGGGGTGGGAGCAGGTTATTTCGAACTCTTTAGGAAAGGGCTGGTAACTTCCAGCCCATTGCAATGGCAAGCTGTTGTAACTTCTGGGTTCTTGCCAAGGCATTTGTAATCTATGATGCTGCTGGGTGGGAGCGTCCCATGCTAATAAGCAAGGAGGGCAGCCAGGGATCACTCTCATGGCCATCTGCTAGTTTCTGCCAGTTTCTTCCCTTTATCCTGTCTGAATCAGATCCTGTTTTATTTTATTTTTAAAATTTTTTCTAGACAGAGTCTCGTTCTGTCACACAGGCTGGAGTGCAGCCGTGCGATTTTGGCTCACTGCAACCTCTGCCTCACGGGTTCAAGCGATTATCATGCCTCAGCCTCCAGAGTAGCTGGGATTATAGGTGCACGCCACTATGCCTGGCTAATTTTTGTATTTTTAGTAGAGATGGGTTTTCACCATGTTGGCCAGGCTGGTCTCGAATTCCTGACCTGAGGTGATCCTCCCACCTCAGCCTCCCAATTCAGATCCTGTTTTAGTCAGCAGGGTTATAGCCAGAAACAAGTCCTGCCGGTCTCCTACCTCAGATATATGTTTGTGTATTCACCTGAGCCCTGGGCCAAGTTTCCCAGATTGAGACCATGGCATCATAAAGCTGGATGCTTTATTGAGGGGATAGGGCAAGATCAAAAAGTAATCCATGCTTTTCAATATGTGAGTAAATAAATAAATGGATGAAAATGTATGCAATAATATAAAGCAGAATAATAGATATTAGATGAATACAGGGTCACCAAATTTTTCTTTAAAGGGCCTGGTAGTAAATACTTCAGTTTTTATGGGCCACATCGTTTCTGTGGCATATTGTTGTGTTTTTAAAAAATAATACTTTAAAGTGTAAAAAAAATCCTTATCTCCAAGGCTGTGCAGAAATAAGCCATGGGCTGGATTTAGCTTGCAAGCCATACCCAGCTTGTCCCTGGATTATATTTTAATTCAAATATTTCAATACTGTATTTTTGTACCAGTAGTCAAAATATTGACAAAGGAGAGCTCTACCTCCACATAAGATGCAGAAAGCCTCAACAGAAAGTCACTTTACCCCTAACAATGAGAAAAAGCCTAATAATGTATGACATTACAGTTTTTTATTAGATCGTCAGAGAGCTAACAAGTCAGCCATGTTCCCATGATATATGTTCCATGATATAAAAGGGTGACAAGTCATTCTGAGGAGAGATGAGACACACAAACTGCGTCACCTCCGGCACAGCATGTATGGAAGAAATGACAGCCATAAAAGTGGGTAAGAAGGAAACAACTGAAAATGTAACACATTCATAAAGGCCAAACACAGGCAATTGGGAGAGCTGGAATCCCTGGAAGTCTCAGACACAAGTGGAATCCATGTTCACAGACAGAATGAGATCCTGTCTCAAAAAAAAAAAAACAAAACAGTCAGAGTTTATAAGACTGGGTAAAAAAAAGCAAGAACAAATTATATACTGTTAAAAAGAACCCCAGTTAGAAATAAATAAGTTAAAAGTAAAGGATGGACCTTGCAAATATAAATCACATAAAAACTAGAGGTACTAAATTAAGACCTCACAAAGCATACTTTATAGTGGAGAGTATTACAAGGAATGAAGTGGGGCATCACACAACAATCATAGAGAGTTGCATTTATTGAGAAGGCATAAAACCATGAATATGTATGCAACTTCAAAATATATGAGAGAAAAACTGATACATCAGAAAGAAGAAATAGACACATCTGCAGTTATAATTGAAGACTTCAACATTCCTCCTAGCAATTGGTAGAAACAAAAATTCAGGAGATATATATATATATAAATACTTTAAAATGTAAAAAAAAATCCTTATCTCCAAGGCTGTGCAGAAATAAGCCATGGGCTGGAGTTAGCTTGCAAGCCATACTCAGCTTGTCCCTGGATTATATTTTAATTCAAATATTTGAATGCTGTATTTTTGTACCAGTAGTCAAAATATTGACAAAGGAGAGCTCTACCTCCACATAAGATGCAGAAAGCCTCAACAGAAAGTCACTTTAGCCCTAAAAATGAGAAAAAGCCTAATAATGTATATATATGTATATGGATATATATAGACATAGATACATATATACATATATATATATATATATATATATATATATATATATATATATATATAATATCTATATATAGAGAGAGCACTATCCACCAGCTTGGCCTAATTGATATTTTCAGAACAACAGTAGAATACCTACTCTTCTCAAGTGTAAATGGAATGTTCACCAAGACAGATGATATTCTGGGCTGAAAACCAAACCTCAACAAATTCAGAAGGAACGAAATTTTACAAAACATGTTCTGTGACCACAAAATATTTGAAATAGAAATTATTTATAGAAAGATATGTGGAATCCATGAAATATTAGAAATTAAACAATACTTTTAAGTAATTCAGAGCTCAAAGAAGAAATTACAAGGAAAATTTAAAGATAAAAACACAAAATATCAAAACTTGCAAGATGAAACTAAAACAGTGCATAGAAGGAAACTTATAGCATGAAGTACTTACACCAAAAAGGAAGAAAAGTTCCAAATCAACTATCTAAGCTTCCACATCAGGAAACTAGAAAAATAAAATGTACCCAAAGCAAGAAGAAGGAAAAATTAATTAAGATATGAGGAGAAATAAATTAAATAGAAATGAGAACTTCAATTGGAAAAAAATCAGTGAAACCAGAAGTTGTTTAGTTGAAAAGATCAGAAAAATTAATAAACTTTTAGCCAGACTGATGATAGAGAGAAAGAGAATACTAGAGGACACATCAATACAGATCCTTCAGATATTAAATGTATGATACATTATGAAAAATATTATCAAAAAAATGTATTTTTTTAATTTAATGGGAAAGTTCCTCAAAGGACCCTAGCTAACAAAACTTATTCAAAAATAAATAGATGACATATATATCTATATAAAAATAAAAGGAATTCATAAAAACAACAAATAAATAAAACAAAGATTTTTCTCAAATAAACTTCAAGTTTCTGGTGACTTCATTGGCTAATTCTGCCAAGCGTTCCACCAAACGTTTGTGGAAGAAACAATTCCATACCAGGAAAGGGAGATGGAAAAAAAATTAATGTCAATTCTACACAAACTCTTCATGAAAATTGGTGAGAGATCACACTTTCCAAAGCACTTTACAGAGCTGGCGTCAACCTGATATCGAAACCAAACATTATGAGAAAATAACATGACAGACCAATATAACTCATGAACATAGACACAAAATGTGTAATAAAAATTAGCAATATATAAAAACTAGCAATATATAAAAAATTTACATCATAGCCAAATGGAATTTATTCCATGACTTGAACATAAATGTGAGTTTAGCAAAGTAACATGCTCAAGATAAATATGCAAAAGTCAATGCTGTTTTTATATACCAGCAACAAACAATTGAAAATTAAAAATCAATATCACTTAATATAGCACCAAAAACCCCATGAAATATTTAGTGGTAAAATTTAACAAAATGTGTGCAAGACCTGACTGAAAAGCATTGCTGAGAAATATTAATGCAAGCTGAAATAAATGAAGAGACATACCATGTTAATGGATTGCAAGACTGAAGATTATCAATATATAAGTTTCTCTCAAATAATCTATACATTCAATGTAAACCCAATCAAAATCCTTGCAGCCTTTTGTTTCTATAATAGAAATTGGCAAGCTGACTTTAAAATTTATATGGAAAAGAAAAGGGAATATAATAGCCTAACAATTTTATAAAAGACAAAGAATATTGGAAGACTCTTATTACCTGATTTCAAGATGTGTATGGTAACTATGGTAATCAGGACAGTGTGATATTGGACAGTGTGAGATGGTCTCCTCTCTTCTCCTTTCAGTTGTCCTTCTCCTGATCTCATCTGTGATCCCACAACAAACAGCTGTCCCTAGCAGACTGACAACCTAGCCTGGGCCTTTTCTCCTGTGCCCCAGCCTGGGGCTGCCCTTGCCTAGGAGAAGGACACTAGTCTCAGGATACCAGAGTTATGACTACCACAGAACCATCCTGAGCATCAATGTCCCATGGCAGTGGTTGACCTTTGAAATGAAGCTTCACTGCACACCCCAGCTGGCCCTGAACCACTTTTTTTTTAATCACAGAAAGCAACACAGAGGAGGAAGGTGCCCACAATCCTTTCTCGGGAATATTGTGTCCTGCTCCATGGTGCTGTGTTATTTCCTTTGTACCGACTGCAACATTCCTATCCTTTTGATGTAAATAAGAGTTTTGAGGGTACTTCTTATGAATTCTAAAGTGGTGGCCAGAATATCATTGCCCACTTTGGGGCATTTTGGAGGGCAGCTTTGATTGTTGGAATGATTGGCGGAGTCTACTGGCATTTGGGGACTGAGTGTTACAGTGAGGCAAATGACTTTTTCCAGAGTCTTAAATAAACTGGATTTTCCATACATGTCACTCCCTGTAAACTGAGAGAGGCTTGTAAATGGTACTTCATCTGGGAACTTACAAAGACTAATTGACTGCTTTGGCAATCACATCACTGCAGAGCATTCCATTCTTGGACTCCACTCTCACACAACATACCAGTATCAGTTTGCTTTGTAGCTCCACATGCCTTGGGGAAACAATGAGGGGAATCCAACTTACCTACCAAAGGGATTGTTTCCAGGATAAGCTGTTAATTGATGGGGAAAATCAAGTGGAAGATGTTGATAGTGTGATCTCTCATGAGTTGGTGAACACACCAGCTATGCCTGTTGCTGTTATTTCACTGAACTTCTCTTTCCAAGTGTATCTCCCTCACCAGGTTTTCAGGTCATTCCTGGAAGGTTGGAATCGTATCCAGTAGATCGCTGTGTCTTCCGGATAGAACAGAGTACATGACAGGCAGAAGGAGAGCAGAGAACCCTTGTGGAATTGTAGTGATTTCTAATGGTTGGATGGCCAAACCCTGCATCACAGTGATGAGCCACACGGATGTCAGTCTGTAGAGGGTGGGAGGGGAACACCACAGCACTCTGCCTTAGAACCCATGCAGCAGAGTGAGACCAACCTGCAGTACTGATCTCTGTTATGCCCTTTAAGGGTCCCAGATGTAAGCACCCTATTGGTTCGGGCTCCTCCGTGTGTGTGTGTGTGTGTGTGTGTGTGTGTGTGTGTGTGTGTGTAGAAAGAGAGAGAGAGAAAGACAAAGAGAGAGAGAGAGATTGTTGAAATTGATGTTGAGGAACTGGCTCATGCAACTGTGGGGGCTGGCAAATCCAAATTATGTAGGGCAGGACATCATTCTGGAGACCCATGTAAGATAGCTCAAATTCACAGACAGTCTGCAGGCAGAATATTTTCTTCACTGGGGGAAACCCAGTCTTTTTTCTCTTTAAGGCCTTGAAGTTATTGGATGAGGCCAACCCACATCATGGAGTGTAATTTGCTTTACTCAAAGTCTACTGATTTTAATGTTAGTCTCATTTAAAATTACCTGCACAGAGATACCTAGTCTGGTGTTTGAACAAATACCTGTGTACTCTGGCCCAGTCAAGTTGACAAATCAAGTTTACCATCACAGCCAATTAATACAAATCCCAGTAACCATGAAGGTTTATCTTAGAAAGGCAGCTGACTTCCTACTTAAATTTTTGCATTAACCTTTTTTGCCCAACCCAAGCCACCAATTCAGGCTCAGCATAGCTCTGGCCAGTAAGCTGAAGCTGATGTGAAGGCCTTTCATAGCTAAGTCAGTATCAGGATAGTTAGGGGGCACATGCAAGTACATGATTATATCCCTGGAAACCTAACATTTACCATTTTAAGTGCACCCTCAGCAGGACATACATTAGTCAGGCAGGAACTTGCAAAGGCCCCCAGGGTGGCCTCCCACTGTGGGACCTTTCCCTCTAGGGTTCCCTGTGCATTCCAAACAAGTCATTTGTGTCCTTGGTTTCAGAGGGACTGACAGAAGGCAGTCAGTCCAGGTTCTGTTAACCATTGACACCAGTTCTTCCTCTTTACAAACCTGGATGACATCTGTAGGTGTTCTGAGTGGGATGTTCAGGAGCTGGGTTGCCCCTGCTGTCCCTTCGCTAGTTGCAGCTCTGTCAGATGTGATTGTGTGCTCAGCAGTCAGTGTGATTTCAATATACTTACAGTAGCTTGGGATGGCTGAATGGGGAGCGTTTTTTCAGGAAAAAGGGAAAGTTTTCAGAAACCATTTTGAAAAACAGAGATCATTAACGTCCCCTCTCTCTGGCTTGACTCTTTCCAGGTGTCAGGTTTCGTGTTTTCTTCATTGTTAGAAAATCAGTGTGTGCCATTCTGTAATCGAAACTTTCCATTTCTTCTATTATCATCGATTCTCCTCTAGACCTTTTGTCTGAAATGGTCATATGCAAGCAGAACAAAATAATTTTCATAGAGGTTTTTTTTTTTTTTTTTTTTTTTTTTTTGAGACAGGGTCTTGCTTCATCACCCAGGCTGGAGTGCTGTGGTACAATCATGGTTCTCTGTAGTCTCTACCTCCTGGGCTCAAGGGATCCTCATGCCTCAGCTCCCAAAGCAGTAGAATTACAGGTATGAGCCACTGTGCCCAGCCCAGAAAAAACAATTTAATAAATAACCAGTAATACTCATGATGTTCTGAAATTGATTGGGATGAAAATTCACATTTTAAAACAAATTTAGATGGGTTTGCATAACTTCTTATCCCTTTTGTCTCTATCATTTATTTAGTGAGCAGGCTGGAAAAGTTCAATGCTTTGCTGGTGACAGCTGTATTGAATGGTCAAAGTGCCTTACCAAAGTGTGTGCACCAGGAGAAAGGTTAGGGAAGCAGAGTCAGGCTATTAGTCCTTTGTTATGTAGGGGCCATGGGCCTTGGCCCTTTAAAGGCTCACTGGAAATCCCTGACATGAGGCAGATTAATAGGAGAAAAGGCATACAAATTTATTTAATATGTATGTATGGGAGCCTTCAGAATTAAGATCCAAAAATATAGGGGACATTGTCCATTTTCATGCTCAGGTTCAACAAAGTATGGACAGCCAGGCAAAAATATGATTGGAAAAAAAGGGTATGATCTAATGCAAATAGATTGAGTGGGGAAACCCAGCAAGACCCGTCTGTCTGGATTCTTCTAGGCCTTTCTGAGCAGCATTCCTTCCTTCTGGGTATGGGGGGCAGGACCCTCTCTGGAATGGGTGTCTTATGACTTATATAGTTGAACAAGGTAGGACAGGTAATTTCTTTATGGCCTGTTTTTTACACAGAAAAACAGAGGGAAAATTAGAATCATATTTTTAGGCTTGATGACTAGCTTGGAGAAAAGGACTTCTGGTTTCTAAGACCCACTTTGGGGAGGAGGGATCCTAGTTTCTATGGCTAGCCTCAAGGGAGAATGGGACTGAGAGATAAGAGGGCAGGATAAGGTCACAGAAAAACTTTTACTTCTGAGGCTGCTTCTGAGGCCTCCATTCTGGGATATTGTTTTCTGAGCCACAACACTTGCAAACTGCAATTAGTCTAGAAAGTGGAACCTGTCCTGACGCAGTGGCTCATTCCTGTAATCCCAGCACTTTGGGAGGCCAAGGCAGGATGATCCCTTGTGGCCAGGAGTTTGAGACCAGCCTGGCCAACATAGTGAGACCCCATGTCTACACACACACACACACACACACACACACACACACACCAGCTGGGCATGGCGGTTTGTGCCTGTAGTCCCAGCTACTTGGGAGGCTGAGGTGGGAGGATCACTTGAGAGGGTGGTGGACACCACAGTGAACTATTATTGCACCACTGCACTCCAGCCTGGGTGACAGAGTGAAGCCCTGTCAAAAGAAGAAGAAGAAGGAGAAGGAGAAGGAAGGAAGGAAGGAAAGAGGAAAGAAAGAAAGAAAGAGAGGAGGAAGGAGGAAGGAGAAAACAAAAAAGAAAGGGGAACCCCAAGTCAATACCAGTGACATATTCCCTAGAGGAGATCTAGAGACTGATCTGTCAGGAGTGCATGGAGGAGTCACTCTCTGTGATATATTCTCCCCTTCCCTTCAGTTTCGGCAGGAATAACAAATGAGGAATGTAATTAGCCTTTGCATCAGAAATAGAGCTGATAAGCCCCTAGATTGTAAATGGTCCCATCAGAGAATAAGCCCTTTTCCATGGGCAACTGCAAGTGACCCAGATGGCCCAGCAAGCATCCTTGATGTTTCTATTGTTGAAGTCTTTACAGAGGGGTTTCTTGAATCTGTAAAAGTCAGCCACACATGGTGGCTCATGCCTGTAATCCCAGCATTTTGGGAGGCCGAAGCAGGAGGATCTCTTGAGCACAGCAGTTTGAGACCAACTTGGGCAACACAGGGAGACCCCATCTCTAACAAAAGATTAAAAAAAAAATAAAAAATTTTAATTCTGTAAAAGTTACAGAGTCAGAGTCCTGTGTATTGAGCCTGTGCCTGCTTCAGGTTCTGCACAGCTCCTACTGAGGCTGAAATAGCCCATAGCAGACAATATCAATTTCAGCTTACAGTGAGGTCCAGGCCATTAGGATCTATGAATTCAGCATATGAAAAAACAAAACAAAACAAAGAGACTTTTCTTTGGCAGCAGCAAAAAGAAGAAGCTGAAAACCAGACAGCCTTGTTCCAAGCTGAAGTAACAAGCAAAATTATCCTAAGCCCAATTTTCTTGTCAGCCTTAGAATTTAATGGACCCACTCAAAAATGTGCACATCTGGCTGACAAATCTTCACTCTCTAAGGGTCAGATATCTGATTTCATTAGAGTTCATTAACAATTGAAAACCACTTCAAAAACTCTAAAAGTGCACCTCCACCTGGACATTGCCTATCTTTTCATGTTGCCTTCCTTGTTCCAAAGGCAATCATCAGAGCAAAAATCCTATTATGGAGATTCGTTTTCTTTGTAACATTCAAAGCTAAATTTGACTTTAAATTCCAATATCCTCACCTGAGTCAAAAAGCAAAAAAGTTGTATCCCATTAAAATCTTTTTCCTGTCCAGCTTTCCCTGAAGGGGATGGTCCCTCTAGCATTTATGACATTATAAGTATATAACATTTCACATCACTTTTATTATATATCTGGATGTAACAGCCATAAATTAAAAAGCCACTTTTAATTCCTTTTTTTTTTTGGCTCTCATTGCAATTATAAGGTTAACATCATAGCTGCCAGGAGAGATTCTTTCTGGAAGGCTGGGAGGGGCTGCAGTAGCAGCAGCAAAGCTGAAGAAAAGACTGGAGGATTTTTTCCTTTTCCCTCTACTTGGTTTATCTAAGCTTTGCTCCAGCGCAGGGAACTGATTTAATATTTTTCCCTTCCACTTGGAGGAGAGAGAAGCCCAAATTTTTAACATTTTTCGCCACCCTAAAATTACTTTTGTGCATTCCCAGCCCCTTTCTTCTATTTGGAGGAAAGGAAAAACACCAAAATCTTCACCTGGCTGTGTTCCCACCCCCCATCTCCAGCATGGCGAAAGACGCCAAGGAATGCAGTGATTCAGGTCTCCCAGAGTTGGATGTGTTCTTTTTAAAATCTATAAGTAACATTTACCTCTCACAAGAGACAAAAGCTAGCTACTGTTTCACAGTATGCATAAGGCCATAATCACCTGAGCACCTTCATCACCCCCTACTCCTTCAGTCTTTCTTTACTCAAACAAGGCTTTCACCATATTTTAGTGAGTCAGGCTTATTCTGGCAAATCCAACCATTGTGACAACTGTGTCAGGGGTCCCCAAGACCACTCCCATTTTTTATTATTTGCTGGGAGGACTCACAGGACTCACAGTCAGCATATAGCTGGACTCATGGTGATGAAGATTTATTACAATGAAAGTATACAGCAAGCTTAGCAAAGAAAAGGTGTATGGACCAATGGCCTGAGGAAAGCAGCCCAAGTTTCTAGGAGTTCTTTTCTAGGAGAGTCACAGAATTCGTTCCCCCAGCAATGAATTGTGACATGTGTGACGTGACATATTTTCTACCAGGGCAGCTTATTAGAGAGTCAGTGTCCAAGACTTTTACTTGATGCTGGTCATGTAGGTACCCTCTGATTAGCATGTGCTAAGATGCCAGACTTCAGGAATGGAAGCACCAGGCCGGGTACGGTGGCTCATGCCTGTAATCCCAGCACTTTGAAAGGCCAAGGCAAGCGGATCGCTTGAGCTCAGGAGTATGAAACCAGCCTGGGCAACATGATGAAACCCCATCTCTACAAAAGGTACAAAAGTTAGCTGGGCATGATAGTGTGTCTGTAGTCCCAGTTGCTCAGGAGGCTGAGGCAAGAGGATCACTAGAGCCCAGGAGGTTGAGGCTGCAGTGAGCCAAGATTGCATTTGTTCTTTGAAAAGTTTAATACAAGTTAGAGGCCACACAAAAATGAAAAGGATGCTATGAATAACTCTACACATATACATTCAGCAGCTTAGATGACAATGGAACAATTCCTTGAAAGACACAAACTGCCAAAGCTCACTCAAAAATAAACATAATCTGAATAGATGTATACCTATTAAAAGATGGAATTGACAGTTGGAATATTTACCAAATCATCTTAAAAGATCAGCATTATTCTGACACCAAAATCAGACAAAGATAGCTTAAAAAATATAATCTAATCTCTCCTATGAACATAGATGCAGAAAATTCTCAACAAAATATTAGCAAACAAATATTTTGTTAATATTGAATCCAATAATATATAAAAAGAATAATGCACCACAACCAAGTGGGGTTTGTCCTGAGAATACAAAGCTGGTTCAATATTCCAAAAATAATCAATGCAATTCAGCATACTAACATGCCGAAAAAATAAAAATAAAAAACCCCAATCCCAACCACATGGTCAAACTTTGATGCAGAAAAAGCCTTTGACAAAATTCAACAGCCATTTATGATTACAGACAACAGTATCAAACACTTAGCAAACCAGGAGTAGAAGGAGCTTGCTTAACTTGATATGGAGCAACTAAAAGCAAATCCTACACCTTACATTATACTTAATAAAGACTAACTGCTTTCTCCATAACATCAGGAACCAAGCAAGGTTGCTAACTCTCACCCCTGCTATTCAGTATTGTACTAGAAGTTCCAACCAGTTTAAAAAGGCAAGAAAAGGAAATGAATGGTGTACAGATTGGAAAGGAGGGTCTACAACTACTCCAACTCACAGATGTTATGATTATCTTGTTGGAAATCTTGCTGAATTCATAAAAAATATTTCTAGAATGAACAAGGGAGTTAAGCAACATTGCAGGATACACGTTCAACAAAGAAATCAAAGCACTTCTATAGACTAGTAATGAAGTTCCAGGAACAAACATTTTAAAAAATACACAATAAGATTTACAATAGCTGCTCCTCAAAATCTGACAAAACATGTGCAGGAGTCATATGCTGAAAACCATCAGAAGTGAATGAAAGAATTAAAAGAAGAACTAAATAAAGAGAGGGACATACTGTACTCATAGATTGGTAGACTCAATGTAGGCATGATGTCCCCAAATTGATGTATAGATTTAATGCAATTCCAATCAAATTCCCAGCAGAAATTTTTTTTTAGATACAGACTAACTGATTCTAAAATTTATGAGGAAAGGCAAAGGAACTAGAACCATCAAAATAACTTTGAAAAAGAACAAAATTTAAAAAGTATTATAATACTAGAACAATCTTGACAGTTTCATACATAGCCCAAAAATAAAAGCACCTTTGTAAAAAAAGAAAAATCAATTGATCTTATTTTTGTAGGCAATTCAAAAGAAAGGGGATGGTCTTTTCAACAAATGGTGTTGTAAAGATTGGACATCTGGGATATTTATCATAGAAGAATGAAAATTTATATTCACACAAAAATTCATGCACAAACGTTTATGGCACAAATGTTCACAATTACACCAAATTAGAAATAACCCAAATGTCCTTCAATGGGTGAATGGATAAAGAAAATCTGCTACACTCATACAATAGAATATTATTCTGAAAAAAAGAACTATTGATATATTCAACAACTTGAATTAAACTCAAAGACACTATGCTGAGTGAAGAAGCCAGTCTCAAAAGACTACAGGCTGTATTATTCCATTTCTATGATATCCTGGAAAAGACAATAGTATAGTGATAGAGAACAGATCCGTGGGTGCCAGCGCTTAGGGGTGGGAGAAGGAAGTGACTATACAAGGGCAGCACAAGGAACCCAGGAAGTTCTTTGGGGTGATGCATATGTTCTGGATACTGACTGTGATGGTGGTTATATCTATCTATACATGCGTTCAGATTCGTAGAACTATACCTCAAGTGTCCATTTTACTGTATAATTTCAAAAATTAAGAAAATTTGCCCACCAGGCAAATTAGAATCCTTGCTGTCTGTAAAATTGTTATAATATAGGCATATGTATGCCTAAACACTATTGTTATTTGCTTTTGAGCCATGTAGAAAGGGAATCACATAGCGTGTCCTCTTTTGTATTTGACTTCTTTCACCTAATGTTATGTCTCTGCATGGTCTAGCTCATTCCTTCTCATAGCTGTGCAGTAATTCATAGTGTGAATCTGGCAGAATTTATTTATGTGACTTCTTATTGGTGTGTAATTGGGTTGTTTCCAGTTTTTAGCTATTACAAGTAGGGTTACTCTATGAACATCACTGCATGTACAAGAATTCTCATTACAGGTCTGGATGGTCAAAAAGTAAATCAAACACTAATTAACGATCCAATAGGAGAATGACTGAATAAACTATGGCTACACTAAATGATGGCATATCATCCAAATCAGGTCAGAACAGGTGAGTCATTATTTGGATAAATTACCCAAGTGTTAACCTGGTGGCTGTTGTGATGATGATGCATGGCTCTAATGACTGCATGTGGGTCACAGTGACTCACAGTGAGCTCACTGGGCTCATCTCTAGGCTCCCCATGGGCAGGGGTGAGGACAAACAGGAAGAAACAGTGACACAGCGGCTGGCCACCCCAGAACACTATAGAGACAACCTCACCTGGTCCCCAGCCCACAGTTCTTGCTCACTGCCTCAGAAATTGCCCCACCTGACTGCCCTGAGCACTTCCAGGAAGGCAGCCCCTGGCTTTCCCCGAGGTGGCCTCATCCATCCTTCCCCACCAACCTTGACCCACTCTTCCTTCTCTTGGGGCAAATCTGCTTTCTCAATGCCTCAGCTCCCTTCCATTCACGAGCATCCCCTGCATGTTGGGGCTGAATGATGCCCATTGCACAGGTGAGGAGACTGAGGTCGGTAGAGGGAAGCAGCTGGGCCTGCAGCTGCACAGCAGGTCAGTGGATCTGTGCTGGGTGGGCCGGGCCTCACCCTATAGCTGTGCACCCTCTCAAGCTGTACAGAGATTGTCTGCTGCCTCCTCTTCCGAGGGATCCTTCCAGCCCGTATCTCCCCCAGACCACCAGTCCTGGAGCTTCTAGACCCAGAGTTCAGGCCCTGGGAGATGACTGGGTGGAGGCAGAGCTGGCAGTTGGCCAGGATCTGGCTAGGAGGTTGGTGGCCTTTTCCTGAGCCCCAGGCTCTGTTGGGGCCTGTCCCCAGTGCCTTCAGGATTCAGGCCGGTGCCCTCAGGACTAGCCAACCTATAGCCTGATCTGCCCTGGGCACAGGCCTCTGAGCCAGTGCATCTTGTAGAAGAAAGCATATGATGCAATCATTAAATAAGAAAAGGAAGATAAAATTATATGAGAATTTTCCTTTAGCCATGGAAATGAGCTTCTGGTACAAGGAAAGGGAGTAGGAAGGAGTGAAAAGCCATCTGCAGATGACCCCGAACAGCACTAAAACCTGGCCCTTGGCTGCCCCTACCTGTCCACATGCAGAGAGGGAGGCTCCAAGGGACACCCAGCCTGGAGTTCATGCACCCTGAGGCCTGTGACCCCACCAGTCATGAATGTTTTTGTTTGTTTGTTTGTTTTGAAACAGAGTCTCACTCTGTCACCCAGGCTGGAGTGCAGTGGTGTGATCTCAGCTCACTGCAACCTCCACCTCCTGGGTTCAAGTGATTCTCCTGCCTCAGCCTCCTGAGTAGCTGGGATTAAAGGCCACCACGACTGGCTACTTTTTTTTTTTTTTTGTATTTTTAGTAGAGACGAGGTTTCACAGTGTTGGCCAGGGTGATCTCGATCTTCTGACCTTGTAATCCACCCACCTCAGCCTCCCAAAGTGTTAGGATTACAGGCCTGAGCCTGGCCAGGAGTGAATGTTTAAGACTGTTCCTCTGTCTTCTCTGAGGTTTTTCCAGTCTTGGAGATGAGATGCCCCCTGCTGGCAAAGGTGGGTATCACTGCAACATGGATGCACTGTGCCTAGAGACACCAAGACCTCACCGTGGGACCACAGGCTTCAGTCAGGCTTCCCTGACTGAAAGGAAAAGGTCACTTTGACTTAGCAGGAAGCTCAGGTTTGGACTTGGTCTCACCCTGGACAACAGACACGGAGAAGAGGGAGTGGAGGGGTTGTAGGATGTGGGTGGGTGACAGCAGGGCTAAGGGCTGAGGACCTAGAGAGCAGGGGCCACTGTGAGACTAAGATGCTAGCTCTGGCCAAGCGTGGTAGCTCATGCCTGTAATCCCAGCACTTTGGGAAGCCAAGGGAGGTGGACCACTTGAGGTCAGGAGTTCAAGACCAGCCTGGCCATCATGGCAAAACCCTCTCTCTACTAAAAATACAAAAATTAGCCAGGTGTGGTGGCATGTGTCTGTAATCTCAGCTACTCAGGAGACTGAGGCAGGAGAATCGCTTGAACCCAGGAGGTGCAGGTTTGAACTGAGATCACACCACTACATTCCAGAGTGGGCAACAGAGTGAGACTGTCTCAAAAAAAAAAAAAGAAAAAAAGAAAAAAGATGCTAGCCCTGGTCACAAGGAGGAGGAGAAGGAAGAGGAGAACTGGGAAAACCTCTGCAAAGGACTGTGCTCAGAGATGGGGCTGATGAGAATACAGAAGGCCCTCACCTGTGAATGGGTGATAGAAGTAGAGTTGACAGTCGCGGAGTTGGGTGAGAAAAGCATGATTCATGTTAGGTGGTCAGCCAGTGTCTGGTACAGAATCATGGTGAGGTGAATGCTGATAGTATTCGTATGGATGGTTGTATTAGTCAGAGTTCTCCAGAGAAATAGAACCAATAGGATACCTAGCTATAGATATATAAGAGGAGACTTGTTATGGGAATTGGCTCACATGACTGTGGAGGCTGAGAGGTCCCGCCATCTCCGTCTACAAGCTGGAGAGCCAAGAAGGTGGATGGTGTGATTCAGTCTGAGTCTAAAGGCCCGAGAACCAGAAGAGCCAGAGGCATAACTCGTGGAGTCTGAAGGCTTGAAAACCTGGAGTTCTTATGTCCAAAGGCAGGAGAAGACGGGGTGTCCCAACTCCAGAAGACAACAAATTCCCCTTTCCTCCGCCTTCTTGTTGTACCTGTGCCCTCGAGGGATCGGACAATGCCCACCCACGCCGATCTTCCTCCATCAGTTCACAGATTCAAAGGCCAGAAACACCCTCACAGACACACCCAGAGATAATGGTTTGCCAGCTATTTGGGTTTTTCTTAACCCCGTCAAGCAGACACCTAAAACTAACCATCACAATAGTGATATAAAAGGCATCACTCTGTGAACTGCCTGCGACATGCTGTTCTCCTCTACAGGGTGGGCACTCACTCTCTTGGAGGCTAAGGTCCATCTGTCTACCTCTGTGGCCCCAGTATGGGGACAATGACAGTTATCATCAAGGCTTGCCAAGGAAGAGGGTATGTGGTAGGCAGAATAGTGGCCCCCTAAACACATCCATGTCATTATTGCTAGAACCTATTCCAGCCAGGGAGATGACAGTGGGCCTGTACTCAGCCTTGCCCTGTGCCCAGCACTGCTCTCGGTGACTGACCAGTTGTCTCACCTCTCCTTCACATAACCCTGTGAGGAGGGAAAGTTAGTACCCTGATGACAGACGAGCAAAGGGAGGCAGAGAGAGCTGAAGCCACTTGCCCACCGTCTGATCCGGGGCAATTTAGTCCCTGCCAATGTCACTCCAGCCCCTGCTCCTACCCTGCCTCAACTACTAGACCCATCTAACATGGGCTCGGGAGGAGGGCAGTACACATGTTTTCCCCAAAACCTGCACCTACCCTGCTTGGCGGGCATTAGCCTCCTTTATGAATGGGGAACTGAGGCTGGTCAAGGACAGGTGACTTGCCCAAAGTCACACCACCAGGGCTTGGGGTTCCAGGCTTCTATGAAGCCTGCCAGGCCCCAAAGCCCACGTGTCCTGGGCTATTGTGGGTGTAAATGAGGCCTGAGGGGAGATGGATCCCAACATCTGAGGACAAAATGGGCAGGTCCTGTCCATCCCCTGAGAGGTGGTGTTCCTGCTCCATGGCTGGCATCAGGAGCACAGGATAGAGGATTTCCCACCAGACAATCTCCACAAACAGGCCTGAGGGAGCCTCTGGAGCCTCCAGGATAGAAGGCAAGACCTGGAGCCCAGGGGAGGTTCTGCAGGAAGGAGGCTGCCTACACTGCGTGGTCCACACCAGGAGGCCGGGGCGCTGCGAGCCTGTGTGCAGGAGTCAAGGACACTCACGCTACTCCCACTTCCCACTGCACTCTGCTTCACTTATGAGGGTTTTTGTGTGTGTCTGTGCCCGAGAGTGTATGAAACATAAGTCTATGTTTTATAAGCTGTACATTCATGTAACAACCACATAGTTCAAGGTTGATCATCATCCCAGAAGTCCCCAGGGTCCCTTCTCAATCAGTGTGTTTTTCCTCACTGTCCCCCACCTTCCCCTTTCTGCCTCTCTCTTCCATCCCAGTTCCTTTCTCATTCCTAAAGTCCTGCCTTCCCATTGGAAGTAGAAATGTCATGCTGGCCATGGTTCCCATATTATCATTAATAATTTCTACTGGCTGGCTGGCTGACTTTCAGTGTGGATGGCACCTTCCCCCCAGCTGTGGGCTCAAGCCCTATGTCTCCTGTGGTGCAACAGAAGGTCATCCCTCTTTTAGGAATTTCAGGTGTGAGCAGGAGAGCAGGCTCAGGGCACTTCTCTGAGCCTCAGGTCCTTCATCTGTGACATGGGAGAACCCCATCTCCCTCTCAGGTTGTGGGAGAAATAGAGATGGGGACACCAGGCACCTGTCAATGAGTGCCACATGTCAAAACCTTGGATGAGCCTTTCTTTACCATCACACATCCTTGAGATCCCGGACCCACCAGGTGCTTCCCCTGCTCCAGGGCTGTTGCACTTGCTGTTCCTTCTGCCTGGAATGCTCTTCCCTCAGGTAATTGCAAGGCCTGCTCCTCACTGCCTCCAGGTCTCTGCTCAGTCATCACCTCTTCAGGGATGCCTTCCCCACACATCCTGAATAAAATAACAACATCCTGCCCATTTACCCATTTACCTGACCCTGTCTTAACTTTTTTTTTTCTAAGATGGAGTTTCGCTTTTGTCACCAAGGCTTGAGTGCAATGGCGCAATCTCGACACGCTGCAACCCCCGCCTCCAGGGTTCAAGTAGTTCTCCTGCCTCAGCCTCCCTGGCAGCTGGGATTACAAGCGCCCACCACCATGCCCAGCCAATCTTTTGTATTTTTAGTAGAGATGGAGTTTCACCATATTGGCAGGCTGGTCTCGAACTCCTGACCTCAGGCGATCCACCAGCCTCGGCCTCCCAAAGTGTTGGGATTACAGGCATGAGCCACCGCGCCCAGCTCCTGTCTTAACTTTCTACCTAGCACTTGCTGCCCTGTGATATGCTATGTATTTACTGATAACTTCTATTGTGTCAGAGTCTCTTTCGGTTTTGTTACCTGTTGTATCCTCTACACCTAGAACATAGCTCACGAAATCCTTCTTAAAGGGTGATTGGGAGCCAGACACTTTAAACACATCACTAAGATGCATAGATTCTCTCCAAGGAGGGTATTGGAATCATTTTATTGATTATGATTTCTATTGAGTCTTGAGAAGACAGTTTCCCTAGGCTTTGAAAATATGTCTGCATGTCTGCCAGGCTTCAAAACTCATAGTGTCCTGGACACTATAATAATGAGTGTTGATTTGGTCTGAGGGGAGATAGACTCCAATATTTGAGAACAAGATGGGCAGTACTCTCATTCTGTGATTAATTATGACTCACTCTGTGGTTGGTTTCAGAAGTCATGAAGTAAATACTCCTCAGTGAGATATCCACAAGTGGCATCAAAGGAGGCTGTATAATTTACAGGAGGATGGGGTGACTGCAACTGTAGGGGAGAGACTGAAGGTCACATAAACACTATGTTCATAGACAAGAAGGAAGCTAGGTTCACAGGAGGCTGGTGTGGACAAATTCATTGTTAATCACATCAGACCAATTTCTTACTGCATCTTTGGACACTGATCAGATTGGCAGGTCAGGTCCAGACTGCAATCACTTCCCATCTTAAATTTTGAAATGTGACAATGTTTCTCATCCTGGATATAGGTGTCCAGAAAATCCAGAAACCTTACAACCAAAGGTTTCTTGGCTGGGCATGGTGGTTCACGCCTGTAATCCCAGCACTTTGGAAGGCCAAGGTGAGAGGATCACCTGAGGTCAGGAGTTGGAGACCAGCCTGGCCAAAATGGCGAAACCCTGTCCCTACTAAAAATACAAAAAATTAGCCTGGCGTGGTGGCTCATGCCTGTAGTCCCAGATACTTGGGAGGCTGAGACACGAGGATCACTTGAACCTGGGAGGTGGAGGTTGCAGTGAGACAAGATCGCACCACTGCACTCCAGCCTGGGTGACAGAGTGAGACTCCGTCTAAAAAAAAAAATGATTCCGATTTGAGGAAACTATTTTGACAGTTTTGTGAGTTGTTTGTTAAGGGCCTCACTCTGCCGATCCTTCCTGGTAACCTCAGCACCCCCTAGACTGACCAGGCCATGACCAGAGCCTCTCCAATCTTCAGGGGATCTCCTGCCCACCTACGTCTCCTCTATCTGTGGTCGTGCCCTGGGCCTCGGGAAAGACCAAGCTGCTCCACGATGTCCATTTCTTGCATCCCCCACTCTCACCATGGGCAACACCCAATCCAATCCTAACAGCTCCCTCCTTCCAATGGCCCAACATCCATAGCCTTCAGCCTCAAGGAGGCCTCCTGTCCACTGACCCCAACGGCATTCCTTACCATTCACCTTCCTTACCCAGCTTACTCAAAGCTATTAACTCTCGCTCCTCAAACGCATCTCTTCATTTTCCCTCCTCCTACTCTCCTGGCAACCCCCGCCCCCCCCGCCACCAAACAAGTAGACAAACGATGTGCACCCTCCACAAGTGTATCTTCTCTCTCCTCTTCCTACAATAACCTCCACAAGGACTAGCACCAACTCTTCTCATGATATTCCTTGATATTCCCCTGAGAAAACAGGAGCAATTGGAGAGAAACTCTCACCACTTCCCAACAGCAGTGGGCCTGCACTTGTAATCTCAGCTGCCCCACTGGAGGAAGTGACAGGATCCTACTTGAGGCCAGCCCTTCACCTGAATCCTATGCCCTCTACTTTCTCAAGGTAGAGGCTTTTGTAGTAATTATCACTTTTTCCTGAATTGTCACATTCTTTATTTATTCTGGATTCTTCTGTCATCTACAAACATGCTCTTGTTTCTGACATTTTATACAAAATGTAATAAAACAGAAACCCGTTCCTTATCCCATATTTCTCCAAGGTAATGACACATTTCCCTGATGCTCCAAGCAGCAAATGTGTCTTCCCTTGTTCTATAACCATTATCATCACAAACCACTTAAATGCAGCTTCTATCTGCTCACCTCCCAACAGAAAAATGCTTTGGTTAAAGGCACCAATGGCCTTCATATTGCCTAACCCTATGATCACGTCCTCATCCTTTTATACTATATGTCCAAATGCCTTCAGTACATTTGACACCTCCCTCCTTCTCAAAGCCTACTCTCCTCCCTCCCTCCCTGCTTTCTCTCCTCTCTCTTTTTATGCTATATTTTAAATTTTAGATTTGTGAAAATACCTCTCCTGGTGTACCTCCAACCATATTGGTCACTCCACTCTTTCTCACTAGCCATTGCCCATTGCTTGCTCTTCCTTTCGGCATGAAGTTTAGCCAGTTCCCCTTCTCATTCTACACTCTCCCCCGGGTTGTTTCTTCCATTTTCCCATCATACAGCAGTATCCTTATAAATCTTAGGGTTTCTGCTCAGAGAAGCTTTCTCTGACTGTCCTGTTTAAAGTAGTGAGTTTGTAGACTAGCACCTAAAGTATTTGCTTCCTAACACTGATCGCAATCTGGACTTATTTATTCATTTATTGGTTGGTCTTCTGCTGCTCCCTGGTTCAGTGCTAAATTACCAACTTATATAAGACTACCAAATAGCTATTACGAGAGATTACACAAATATCTGTTTAATACTTAATAAAGAATCACTTGCGACTTTATGCTTCCTTGCCAGGGTGGAGGCATGACTGAAGAATCTCTCTTCAACTCTGCAAGAAATTTTGCAATGCGTATGTTCCCCACAATAACTCCTGTAGATTTCTGGTTATGTATAGTAAAGCCATAGGAATACTTTGCCCTGCCTTGTTTTTCTTCTTAATCATAAAATTATTTTACTGATGTTTTACATGGCATATACAATAAATTTGAGGGAAAAAGAGGAAGATGTTAGCTAATGAAAAGGTCATGTAGGCCTCCATAAAGTTTCAGAAATAATACAGACATGAACATACACCTGAGCTTGCCCCCGTAACTCCACAAACACACCACAAGCTTCAGGATAGTTTGTCTCTGATTCTCAAGTAGTCTCAGAAGTTATCAGACAATGCTGGGGATAGCTTGCTTAAGTGACGCTCTCTGGACACACATATTGAAAATGCTGATGCCACACCTTGTAAGCCCCTTTTAAAGCATGATGACTCCTGTGACGGTTAATAGTGAGTGTCAACTTGATTGGATTGAAGGATGCAAAATATCGATCCTGGGTGTGTCTGTGAGGGTGTTGCCAAAGGAGATTAACATTTGAGTCAGTGGGCTGGGAAAGGCAGAACCACCCTCAATCTGGGTGGGCACCATCTAATCAGCTGCCACTATGACTAGGATATAAAGCAGGCAGAAAAACATAAAGAGAATAGACTGTCTCAGCCTCGCAACCTACGCCTTTCTCCCATGCTGGATGCTTCCTGCCGTCAAACATTGGACTCCAAGATCTTCAGCTTTGGGACTTGGACTGGCTTCCTTGCTCCTTAGCTTGCAGATGGCCTATTGTGGGACCTTGTGATTGTGTGAGTTAATACTACTTAATAAACTCATATATATATGTGTATATATATATATATATATATATACACATATATATATATATACATACACATATATATATATATACACACATATATATATATATATATATTCTATTAGTTTTGTCCCTCTAGAGAACCCTGACTAATACAACTCCCTTTGAACTCCAAGTTTATTTTTACAGAGAGCTTGCCCTGCTACTGATGATGTATTGACTTGTATTTGGTAATCCCTTCCATTTTGAGTTTCTTTATCTGTTAGTCAATTTCCTTCAAACATTTCAAATGAATTTGAATTCTACAAGAGAAAGTACAAATCCTAAAGACTTCCCTTTATGATCTGGATTTACTATGGGAATCCTTATGTCAACATGAAAGATAAAGAAAATAAAAGAGTGTTCTGTTCCAGCCTTGGGGGTGTAGAAGGCATGGAGACAGTGTCAGATGGAGGTAAGAGACTCTCATCACAGTCTCTCTTCTATGGGCCTTATCTTACATGTGACAGGTGTGTCAGAGAAGTGGAAGGGAGTCCCAAATAAAGAGATTTTTTGCCCAGCTGAAATTTAGGACTCAGTTTACTTCTGCAGAAATAAATAGCAAGATCCTTGGTTAGAGAAATGGCTGGAGTTCAAGAATTTCAGTTTTTGGAGCTGATCTTTGTTCCTGCAGGGCGCTACATTCTCTGAGAAGGGAATGTGGAAGTGGCTGATTCAAGAGCCAGGAGTGTTACCATGAAGCAAGCATAACCCAGATAGGTGCTAGGTGACCCTGCAGCTGAGGCTGTGCTATGGACAGCCCTGCCCAGATGTGGGAAGGAGGATGAGGCCCCGATTCAGAGGGGTCTGCTGATGCCAGCACAGGTGGGCTGAGGCTGAGTCAGCCAGGGAGCACCAGATCCTGACCAAAATGAGAGAGACAAAAATGCAAGTTACACCAGCCAGAGAAATGGGTGAGCAAATCAGCATCGTCAGCAGAACCTGAGAGAGAAGATTGAGCCTTCCCTCATAAACAACTAAGGACACTGCAGTCAACATAAGATGTCATAGGCCCCTTCCCATATCACCATGAAGACTCGAAAGCCATACACACCATTAATCGTCTTGGAAAGGAGTAGGGAGGTGGGGTGGAAATCTGAGAGACTGATCATTTTCAGCAAAACAGGCTGAGCATTTATACAAATGGACCATTCACATGATAGCATCAGCTGACACCAGATTAGACATAACTCCAGTATTTTCTCACCTTACTGTCCAGTACAGAGGTTATGCACTCATAATGAAAATCAAATCAGCCTTAGCAAGTAAATGCACCAGACCCCCGTCTGGTCTGAGAAGCACGAATTAATTTGTGGTCTCTGCATACCATCTCTTCCAGCTCCCCCTCTGCCCACTGTCTTATCAGTCAGTGGAAGAGGGGATTGGGACATCCTTGCCTCTTCTTCTCCTTTAACCCAGGACAATTTTAACCTGCTATATATTGACCCTGACAACAGAGCACAGAAAGAGAAGACCAGAAGAGAGACACACAGAGTGGAGTTACTGATGAGAGTTATTGCTGAGGTGAGCAGGGCCTCCTCAAGGCTTGCAGCTGCCCTCCACTAGTGATTCCAGGCTCCACTGCCCTTTGCCAACACAGGCCTCATTTCCCATGGTCTGAGCCCTGGAGCTTAGAGTCAGAAAATGTTCGCAGCTCTGTGTACTGCTGGGGAAATTCATAGAACCACATGTTAGAACCACTGCACTTTCATAGTCATCTCCTAGGGTCTCAGTGCCCAGGAGCAGGCTTTCTTGGCATCTCTGGTCCCTCCCCTAGTCCCTTCTGTGGGGACCCCAAGATTTCACCTCTCTCCTCGAACCCTCTACCACATATCTATCCCCTCACTCTTAGCCACATCACATTCCCATTCTCACCTGAGATCCAAGCAGGCAGGGGGAGGGAGGAGGGCCTCGGTACTGGAAAGGGGTATGGATTCTGTTGTTTTGGCAACATTCTTCTTATCGGCACTGGGTCACTCAGCTCAGATCCATAGTTGGTTACCTGAGAATCTGAAGCCTAATCCATCTGACTCCAGAGAATAACAAACAAAGGAGTGGAAACTAAGACAGGATGTATCAAGGGAGGCCACCCACAGACATGGAATCGTGACTCTCAATAGATGTGTTTGTCACAAGGGTCCTTGAACATGCAGAGACACGTGTACACATGTGTACTCAGGAGCACTCATTGCTCCCTAGAGGATCACAGTGACTGTGGCATAAGTCCCAAATGTGTACATTGGGGACGCCTGGGATGAGGCGGGAATGTAGGCACATGGTAGATCATGAAAGATGAAGAGGCAAGATTTGTCTTTTAAAAATTATTACCTACCCTTTCTTTCAAGGCTGATTTTGACATTTGCATTACAGTTAGAGCCTCATGCACAACTATTTATTTAGAGTAAACTCTATACTAAATCTGTCTCACCTGAGAGATGAAGCCCCATTTCTTTTAAAAAGTCATAATAGTGCTGCAGTGAACATACGCGTGCATGTATCTTTGTAATAGAATGATTTATATTCCTTTTGGTATATACCCAGTAATGGGATTGCTGGGTCATATGGTATTTCTGGTTCTAGATCAGTGAGGAATCACCATAGGCTTAATACCTAGGTGATGGGTTGATAGGTGCAGCAAACCACCGTGTCACACGTTTACCTATGTAACGAACCTGCACATCCTGTACATGTACCCCAGAACTTAAAATAAAAATGAAAATTAAAAAAATAAAATGAAAACTAAAAACTGTAATATTACATTGCTGGCTCTTCTGATTTTGTTATCTTGTGTAGTTGCTCTTGAGTTCAGCGGATGCTGAAATGACAACTCTTGAACACCAGAGTAAGAGGTGGGTTGAACATGTTGCTTTTCATTTATAGTAGCTTAGGTCCAAAAAAGAAGATAGACCTAGATAAATAGGGACGGAAATGTACTCACTGATATTAGGAAATGAATGAATAGATGGAGAGATGGTGGTCCAATACACGGAAGTCTTAACCTACATATGAGAATTCATCCCCAAATTGTACTTTTTCAAGCAAAACTTTAGTTATTATTCTTCCTGCTGTGTGATGCATATTGAGTTAAGAAGCACTACTCAAGTGGGTATGTGGCATTTACATCATTTGTATATTTTCTAGTGCTCGGATGTTGGTCAGTGAGGAGAATTCCAGTGATTCGGCAGCCAAATAGATGCATTAAAAGCATCATGCAACTGCAAGCTTTTATTTATGAGCTGGTGATAAACATGTCACACAATGCCTAAAGGTGGCATTCGGGCCCGGAGGAGGTCACAGAGAACCATAGTGTTAAAATTAGGAAGAAGGTCCCTTTAGAGAGTCCGTTGATCTGCCTTATAGAATGATGCTGAGGCTTTTTAATGGAGTATGGCCTATTGAAGCTCTTAAAGTATATTTCTTGGATGGATAGATGGATAGAGTCATGATTGCATGCATGGCTGGATGGAGAGATGGATGGATGGACTTAAACAAGATTGTGCAGTGTCTGTGAGAGTTTCTTTGCTGATATAAAGGTATTTGTGTGATTGGCATAATAGAGGGAAGCCTGAGATCTTTCAGTGCAGACTTTTTAATGGTAACAACCACTGCAGGGATGATAGATTCAGCTAGGATTCAGACCCCTGGTCTTCCCTTGGTAATGACAATGTTACAGAGGGATCTGTATAAAATAGGCAGGCAGCACAAGTAAGTGGTCTTTTGCTTTGGAGTCATCTACCTCACAAGATACTGTTGGGAGATTAAACAAATCAAGGTATTAAAGTGTTCCCAGCACATACTAAATACTCAGTAATGTTCATTTCCAGTGTTACTTTTTGTGGTGCCTTAGAAGACCAAGGATTTGTACCTATTAAGATGAGTAGGAGTGTCAGTAGTCACATGACCATGCTCATTACATCTACAGATATTAGTATTGTAGCAGATTATATATTTTTTTCCATGTTTCAATTGTTGCTCATAATTTCTGGTCTTCAGTGAAGCCCTCCACTGCCGCTTTTTAATAACACATTAATTTTCAATAAAATCATCATTTGAGTGACTTATAACTCCAAGCAGAATCTATTGCACTCAGACCACCAACTTGTTATAACTTCCAATTCAATTGTACACTCCATAAAATACAGTGAGGAAACAGGCTAAAGAAAAATCACAAGATCATATCAATAGATGCAGAAAAAGTGTAGACAAAATCCAACATCTACTTATGATTAAAACTCTAATACAGCTAGAAACAGAGGGGAACTTCTTCAGCTTGATAAAGAACATCTGTAGAAACCCTACAGCTTACATTATTCTTAATGGTGAGACACTAGAAGCTTTCCTGCTAATATCAGGAAAAAAAGCAAGCAAGTCCCCTCTCACCACTCATTTTCAACATCATATTGGAAGTACAAGCTAATGCAATAAGACAAGAAAATGAAATAAAAGGTATACAGAGTGGGGAGGAAGAAATAAAACTGTCTATGTTTGCAGATTACATGACTGTCTATGTAGAAAATTCGAAAAACAATAGACAATAAACCATCCTGGAACTATTAATAAGTAACAAGGTTGCAGGATACAAGGTTAATATACAAAATTTAATCACTGTCCTATATACCAGCAATAAACAGGTGAAAGTGGTATAAATCTAACCAAATATGTACAAGATCTATATGGGAAAAAGTACAAATATCTGATAGAATAAATCACAGAAGAAATAAATAAAGAGATACTTTATGTTTATGGATAGGAAGGGTCTATATTGTCAAGATGTTAGTTCTTCCAAACTTAATGTATAGATTCAACACAATCGTAATGAAAATCCCAACAGGTTATTTTGTGGATACCAAAAAACTGATTCTAAAGTTTATATGGAGAAACAAAACACCATGAATATCCAAATCAATATTGAAGGAGAAGAACAAAATTGGAGAACTGACACTATTCTACTTCAAGACTTACTATAAAGCTACAGTAATCAACATGGCATGGTACTGGTGAAAGAATAGATAAGTAGAGCAATAGAACAGAATATAGAGCCCAGAAATAGACTCATATAAATATAGTCAACTGATCTTTGACAAAGGAGCAAAGGCAATATAGTGGAGAAAAGATAGTCTTCTCAACAAATGGTGGTGAAAGACTCTACATTGACATATGAAAAAAAAAGAATCCAGACACAAAAATTAACTCAAAATATATCATAGACATAAATGTAAAATGAAAAACTATAAAAACTATAAAACGCCCTGAAGAAAACATAGGAGAAAATCTATATGACATTGGGTATGGTGATGACTTTTTAGATATAACACCAAAGACATGATCTATGAAAGAAAGAATTGATCAACTGAACTTAATTAAAATTAAGACTTTAATTAATTAAACTTAATTAAAATTAATTATACATACATATATATATATATATATATATATATATATATATATATATATATATATATATATATATATATGTATGCCCAGCCTGGGCAACAAGAGCAAAACTCCATCTCTCTCTCTCTCTCTCTCTCTCTCTATATATATATATATATACACACACAGAACTCTTAAAATTCAACAATATAAAAATGAACAACCCAATAATAAATGGGCAAAAACCTGAAGAGACACCTCACAAAGAAGTAATACAAATGGCAAATAAGTATATGAAAAGATACTTAACATCACTAGGAGGTTGTAAGTTAAAACAACAATAATATACTTTTACATAGAATGGCCAAAATCCAAAACATGTACAACATTAAATACTGAGGAAGATGTGGGTGTGGAGCAATAAGAACTCCCATTTATTGTTGATGGGAATGCAAAATGGTATAGCAATGTTGGAAAGCAGTTTGGCAGGTTTTGTTTTGTTTTGTTTTTTTCACAAGACTAAACATACTCTTACCATATGATCCAGCAATCACACTCCTTGCTATTTACCTGAATGAGTTAAAACTTATGTCCACACAAAAACTTGCACATGGATGTATAAAGCAGCTTTATTAATAATTGCCAAAGCATGGAAGCAATCAATATGTCTTTCTGTAGGTGAATGGGTACACTGTGGTACACCCAGACAATTATTTATTATTCAGAGCCAAAAAGAAACAAGCTATCAGGACATGAAAAGACACAGATGAACCTTAAATGCATATTACTAAGTGAAAAAAAGCCAATCTGAAAAGACCACATACTGTGTGATTCCAACGACGTGACATTCTGGAAAAGGCAAAACTATGAAGATAGTAAAAGGATTGGTGGTTGCTAGGGGTTGGAGGGAGGCAGGAATAAATACACAACGCACAGAGGAATTATTTAGGGCAACGAGACTACTGTATGTGATACTATAATGGTGGAAACATGTCATTATACATTTGTCCAAACCCATATAATGCATGACACCAAGAGTGAACCCTAATGTACACTATGGGCTTTGGATGATAGTGATATATCAATGTAGGTTCATCAATTGTAACAAATGCACTATTCTGGTGAGGGATATTGATAATTGGGAAGGCTATGCATGTGTCGGGGCAGAGGCATATGGAAAATCTCTGTGTCTTCTGTTCAATTTTACTGTGGACCTAAAACTGCTCTAAAAACTAAAGTCTATAAAAGCAACCCAATCAGGAGTTCCACTTTTGGCCACCATGGAGTTGGCATAGTACTGCCTATCTCTCCCACTGATTATAACTAAAGATTCTAGACCAAATGAAAAAAAAAAACACCAAAAAAACAAAACAAAACATAAACAAAACAAAACAAAAAAACAAAATCAAAAACAAAAACACTTACCTGAGGAATCTGAAAAGTAAGCAGAAGCAGATGCCTTATACCAGAGAGTGAACCCATGGAAAAGTGACTGGTACAGGTTGAATTATAACTTTTCTTTTACTCTTTTCTCTTTCAGCTTTGATCTGGAAACAAGTCTCTTCGTGGATCTGTGCAGACCAGTGGCACAGGCGGTTGACAGAGGAAGAGAAAACTTGGCCCTGCTTTACGGATGGTTCTGCATGATATGCAGGAACCACCTGAAAGTGAAGAGCTGCAGAATTATCGTCCCTTTCTGAGACATCTCTGAAGGGCAGTGGTGAAGGGAAATCTTCCCAGTGGGCAGAACTTCAAGCAGTGCACCTGGTTGCTTATTTTGCTTAGAAAGAGAAATGGCTGGACATGTGACTAGGTACCAGTTGATGGGCTGTGGACAATGGTTTAGCTGAGTGGTCAGGCGCTTGGAAAAAATATGATTGGAAAATTGGTGACAAGGAAGTATGGGGAAGAGGTATGTGGATAGACCTCTCTGAATAGGTGAAAAATGTGAAAATATTTGCTTCTCATGTGAATGCTCACCAAAGGGTGACCTCAGCAGAGGAGGATTTTAATAATCAAGGGGATAAGATTATCTGTTCTATGGACACCACTCAGCCTCCTTCCGCAGCCACCCCATCATTGCTCAATGTGCCTATGAGTAAAGTGCCCATGGTTGCAGGGATGCAGGTTATGCACGGGCTCAGCAACATGGACTTCCACTCACCAAGGTCAACCTGGCCACGGCCACTGCTGAGTGCCCAACCTACAAGCAGCAGAGACCAACATTCAGTCCAGGATATAGCACCATTCTCTAGGGTGATCATCCAGCTACCTGGTAGCAGGTTGATTAGATTCGACTGCTTCCATCATGGAAAGTGTAATGTTTTGTTCTTATTGTATTAGACACTCTGAACAAGGATTTACCTTCCCTGCAGGTAATGCTCTGTCAAAACTACCATCTATGAATTTACAGAATGCTTAATCCACCATTGTGCTATTCCATATGACATTGCTTCTGATCAAGGAACTCAATTTACAGCAGTGGCAAAGGGCCCATGCTCTTAAAATTTATTGGTCTTACCATGTTCCTGACCATCCTGAAGTAGCTGGCTTGGTAAGACTGTGGAATGCCCTTTTAAAGACTCAGTTACAGTGCCAGCTAGGTGGCAATACTTGCAAGGCTGTGGCAAAGTTCTCCACAAGGCTGTATATGCTCTGAATCAGTGTCCAGCATGTGGTGTTGTTTCTCCCATAGCCAGGATTCACAAGTCCAGGAATCAAGGGATGGAAATGAGAGTGACACTACTCACTATTACTCCTAGTGATCCACTAGCAAACTTTTTGCTTCTCGTTTCTATGTCTTTATGCTATGCTGGCCTAGAGGTCTTAGTTCCAAAGGGAGGAATGTTTCTACCAGGAGACACCACAATGATTCCATTGAACTGGAAGTTAAAATTGCCAACTAGCCATTTTGGTTTCCTCATGTCTCTGAATCAACAAGCAAATAAGGGAGTTTCTGTGCTGGCCGAGGTGATTGATCCTGACTACCAAGGGGGAAACTGGACTGCTCCTCCACAATGGAGGTAAGGAACAGAATGTCCAGAAAATAGGAGATTTCTTAGGGTGTCTCTTAATATTACCATGCCTTGTGATTAAGATCAATGGGACACAACAACAACCCAGTAATGCAGGTAGGACTACTAATGGCCGGGAGAATTTAGGAATGAAGGTTTGGGTCACCCCACCAGGTAAGAAATACAATTAGCTGAAGTGCTTGCAGAGGGCGAAAGGACTTAAGGAATGGATAGTGGAAGAAGGTAGTTATAAATACCAGGTATGATCATGTGACCAGTTTTACAAACAAGGACTACAATTGAGTATTTCTTCTTTATTTTGTCATGAAATGTATGTGTGTATATGCACAGGGATGGAGGTTGTGCCTATATACACGTTAAACAAATAGCTTTTTTTCTATCTTTTATCCCCTTATCATATGAGATTTATTGACTTTACATTGTAGTATTTAAGTTACAGGATATCATGGAGAAGAGTCAACATCACCCAAGTGCATCCTTATCTGGGGAAAGGGTTAGTGCGCTTTTGGTTTTACATAGGATACTTGTATCTTGTTAGGTGGAAGCACAACCTCATTATTATATTTACTTGGAGATTAGGAATGGTTTAAAGATATGTATTTGGGTGCCAAATTGACAAAAGGTGGACTTGTAATACTTAATTTTACGTGTCAAGTTGGCTAAGCCATGGTATCTAGATATTTGATCAAATACCAATCTAGGTGTTGCTGGGACACTATTTTTTTAGATCAGATTAATGTTTAAATCAGTAGATATTGAGAAAAGCATACTACTCTCCGTAATGCAGGCCTCATCCAATCAGTTGAAGACCTTGGGAGTAAATAAGCTGGAGTCCCCTGAGGAAGAGAGAATTTTGCCCCCAGACTGTCTTCAAGCTTGATCTGCAATATAAACTCTTCCCTGAGTCTCCAGAGTACCAGCCTATCCCACAGATTTTGGATGCCACAGATTTTGGACTTGGTAGCCTCTACAATCATGTGAGCCAATTCCTTAAAAATAAAAGTCTTCCTTTGTCTTTTCTCTCTTTCTATATGTTTGTGTGTGTGTGTGTATAGATAGATAGTGTGTGTATATATACATATATGAGTGTGTGTGTGTGTGTATATATATATATGCACATTTGTTCTGTTTCTCTGGGGGACCCTAATATTTTAAGACATCCAGCCATACTTCTTCTAAAACTTATATATAAATGCAAAGAACCTAGAATAGCAAACTCAATCTTGAAGAATAAGGTTGTATTGTTTGTCAATGTTTTCTCCCCCAAAAACCTGCCTTGATTTTAATCAGTTCCAAGCTGGTTGTATCTTTAAATGTACATGCACCTATATGTATTTGGAATATTGCCAGAGTCATAAGAAAACTATTATATTTCTCTGAAAACATATCACATTTTACATAATGAAATTAGGCCATGACCTTTCAAATGTATAAAATATGCAATTTTTTACACTGTCCTCTTGAATTGTGGTATAAACAATACAGGATTACTTTAACTCTCATACTCTGATGAAATCACAAGCCTAGGATCCAGTCCATATTAATTTGTATGTCCTCAAGTGTTTATGTGTGAAAACATTATGGAGTTTTTGCTCTATTGCACCACTGAAGATTGCCTAAGAAAGCAGATTTCCCCAGAGCCAAACTTATTTTCCCATCAGCAGAATATTATGACCTGTGGTGGGATAACTCTCAGAGGGCTCTATAGGAAAGAAATTAGCACAATCAATTTCATATTATGAAAAGAAAACGCATATATACTGTTGGTCACACAACTGGCAGAAGTAAAAACAACATAATAATGCTCTGGGCCCCCGCGCCAATAGCAAGCATGAGAGTGCTGGGGCACCTGAGAGGGAAGAATCTATTGTGGAACACCTAAATCCGTGGCAGCTGCACAACACGCATATGCTTACATGGTGGGCAGGGTACTGCTTCCCACTGCTATCACAAAGCGGGAGTTGGACCATCCAATGGCTACTTCACATGCTGCCCTGATTATGGTACCATAAAGAGTAATGCAAATGTTTTCAAAGGTCCCTTTCCTACATCCCTATTCTAATCTGCAAGTAGTTCCCCTTGACAAACTACCATCCAAGTAATATTAAATAAAAATACACAGGTATTGTTGTTGACAATTGAGACAACACATTGGAAATTTCTTCAGGGAGGTGTTTAACAATTATAAAGGAGCATAAAAATATTTTCCTGGCCGGGGGTGCAGTGGCTCATGCCTGTAATCCCAGCACTTTGTAATGGTGGATAACCTGAGCTCATGAGTTCAAGACCAGCTTGGCCAACATGGTGAAACCCCGTCTCTACTAAAAAATGCTAAAATTAGCTGGGCATGGTGGCAGGTGCCTGTAATCCCAGCTACTCGGGAGACTGAGGCAGGACAATCTCTTGAACTCGGGAGGCAGAGGTTACAGTGAGCCGAGATCGTGCCACTGCACTCCAGCCTGGGCAACAAGAGTGAAACTCCGTTTCAAAAAAAAAATTTTTTCCTATACGTGCCTCATGAAAAGTAGTTTATCCAAACAATTCAATGTGAAGCCCACAAATTCTATTCACACATCCTTTTGTCACACATTCTTTTGATTCAAAACTTTAAAAGTGGATCTCATCTTTTTATTAACCTCAGAATTCCAAAACACAAATAAATTTCATCAGACATTGTGTTTTTGCTTTTTTTTTCCTTTTGGTCAATCCATGAGACTGAACAAAAACATTTCAAAACCAGCAAGACATTTACACTACACATATCCTTTATACCTTACTGGAAACAGGATGGGGAAAAAGAGATCTAAGGAGAAGAAAGACAGGTCCTATCATAAAAACTAAATAATAAGTTAAGAAGCATTGTTTATGAGAACACTTGGACACAGAGCGGGGAACATCACACACTGGGGCCTGTCGGGGGGTGGGGTCTGGGGGAGGGATAGCATTAGGAGAAATACCTAATGTAAATGATGAGTTGATGGGTGCAGCAAACCAACATGGCACATGTATACCTATGTAACAAACCTGCACATTGTGCACATGTGCCCTAGAACTTAAAGTATAATAATAATAATAAAAAGAACCATTGTTTACCCATCTTCCTTGCCGCAGAGTAGATCATCCCAGTATTTCCCAGATTAACTCTAAAATTACTGGGAAAATGATCGTTGCTTTCCTAGAACTAGATCAAATCTCATACTGATACAATTTTTTTTTGTCAAAATACTGGTTCTTGCTGCTTCTAATGACCATTCCTAATTGTATAGTTCCCAAAAATTTCCACCCAAGCAACTGGCTAAAATCAATATTCACACATCTGAATCAATTCTGATCTAATCACGAGGATTAGAGTCTTGGATTTATTTCGACTGTCATTTTAGGAGCCTAGGCTCTTTTGCCTTTCTTCTGGCTCTCATGATGGCTCTTCTCTCTTTACTTCTCTTGAGCAGCTCCTCTGGTAGATGACAGGTCTGTATGGTACCAGGGCTGAAGGTCAAGTGGTTAAGGCCCTGCACTAGCGTTTTCCAAGAGGATGGATTCTACCCACTAGGGCTCCTAGAATTATCCTCCCTATAGATCTGGCAGTAAAGATATTTACATTTATTTTTATCTTTATCATATGAGGAAGAGATTTTTACTTTCCCTTCAGCCCAGTAAGGTGCCATGGGATTGAGGATTTTCTGTCTTATGTTCTCCATGAATATCTTTTTCTTCTCAGGGAATGCTGACCTTTCCCATTGCCTCTCTTGTTGGGTCATCTCATCTTCATACTGCAGTTGGAGCAGCCCCTCTGGCTGAGGGTTGACGTAGTTGCTACAAGGACCATGGTTGAAGTTAATTGGGCCCAGGTTTTGCATTTCAGGGAAGGATGTTTGGGAGGTTGATGTAACTTTCTGGGGCATTTCTTTGGTTGGAATCAGAGATGAATCAGAATTCAAAGTTGGAGTGACTCTCTGTGGTGGATCCATGAAGTTACAGTCCCAGCTTGAAGCTCTTATTGGATCTTCAGGGCTGGACAGGAAATTGAAGCTTGACGTTCTCAAATTACTTGAAATTAGTGAGGAAAAGACCGCAGCCAAAAGTTGTTAAACTGCAAAAAAAAGTGGTGGAGGTAAAAGAAAGAACAGGGAGGGTCACAAAAACGCTTTGTATTTTTTTATGGTAGAAAACATCTTTCTACCCCAAATAGAAATTATACCAACAACAGTGAAGCATGTTAATAATTGAACATACAGTGAAAGTCATATTAAAGTGGCTTCCTTGGTCCAGGCTTGCTCCCCTCCTGAAAGCATGGAAGCCAAAGGTCTACTAGTTTTCTAATTATTATGCTGTATCTTGTGAATTTTATACCATTAGCTGCAATGAGCACACCTGACACCCAGGTCTTGGTTTCTTTATACCATTCTCTAATAAAAAGAACCAGGGCTTCTGGGATAAATGGCTGATTCTAGAAGACTGAGGCGACATGACATCTAAATATAATGTGGCATGCTGGAAAGACTGAGGAATTGTTACAGACTGGTGCCTACACAAATAACCCTTCAGTACTCATCCAAGACTTAAGGGGATGTTTTTCCAATCAGGGTCATTAAAAAGATTAATTAACCCAATATATATTCAAAGAAGCCTACTATATTTCAGGCAGTATCATGAAACAGTATCCTACATGCTATGTTCCAGCCAATCTGAACAACTTTCTGTTCATCAGATGGCCCATTTTCTCTCTGATTTTCATAACCTCACCCATGTTGTTCCCTCTGTGTAGGATGCTTTCCCTCTCCATCTGGCTAATTGCTACTTAATCTCCATCTTTCAAGTTACACTTATATTTCTCTAGGAGGCTTTGTCTGCCTTCTTGAAGTTAGATTATTTCCTGTCATGTGCAGACAAAATCCATACAATTGCCTTCTCCTTAATACAAAGCACTTATCACAGTTTCTTGTCAGTGCTTATTTTATGGAATCTTTCCTAACAGAGTAGGAGTTCCTTGAGGGCAGGGGTCATATGTATCTTTTCCCCCCTTGAATCCCAGGACCTAACATAATTTAGGATACTATTTTATGTATCTAGAGTGATAGTTAAATATCAGACATTAGTAAGGGGTAATAATCAAGTATGAAACCACACATCAAAAATTCCTACTCATCCAACAAAGGTTAAATCTGGATGGAAGAGCGTAGCTAATAATCTTTATATTTTTACTGGGTGGAACATGGGAATTCGTAATAAATTCCACAAATAGAACAATATTTTATTCAGGTTCAGAATGAGCTGACTGGAAGTGCAATCTAATTTCTGGCATTTCAGGAGGTTTCCTTGCTCATAATAGAATCCACATAGCAAGTGTCAGGCCCTTGTTTTCCACTGAATGTCATTGTGTCTGAATATGGTGCCTGGAATTGTAGCCACAATTTTGGTAACACGAGGAGATCCTGGCTGAGGAGAAGCCTATCCAGTAAGGACAGAAGCCCAAAAATACAGAGTTTGTTACTTTACAGTGTCATAGAACTATGAAATTAATCATGCCTGAAACCATCATACTTATGGACTTTTTGTTATATGAGATAATTTTTCATCATAGATTAAACCTATTTAGTCATGTTTTCTGCTATATAAAAAATGTATCTTAACTAAGTTACCCTAGCTCTGTCAAGGGGTTCATTTCTGGTCCTTTCTCATCACCAGGGAGATATGGATCAGTTGTCTGCTGACCCTGGGGACCATCTCAGAGAATTTGACAAGCCTCATCCATCCCCTTTGGCTCCTCAATAGATTTGTTAAACCCACTCAGGGTTGTGCCTGTTCCTACAATGTTCATTGAAAAGCTGGGACTCCACTGTTGGTACGGATGACTACAAAATAAGCTATGAGGATTAGCTCCATAACTTTGCAGCATATTATTTTACCTCTTCTTAGTACAACTTAACTAAGGATAAAGTGAAGCATGTACATTGAAAGTATAAACAAAAAGAAAAGTACTGGTGAGGTAATGGGGTGTGGAAGGATGACACTGATGTGTAGCATTTGCTAGCTAATGTCTGTGGTGTAAATACTTCCATCATCGCAGATTTCAAGTTGTTGACAATTTCATAAATGGTTTGAAAAATTCCTGGGGTATTTAGAGATCAGCTTTTGTGACTTGATATGATCTGGGTCCAGAACACCACTGAGTGCTGCTAAGCTAAATGAGATTTTCAGGGGTCCTGGCACCCTTCATCTCCTCACTGATGTGTGACTTATGCAGGCCCGTGGTTAATGGTACCTCCTAGCCTGTAACTAGGCTGTCTGTATCCTTCCATTTCCCATACTGAAGAGAGCAGGGGCAGTAGGGATGGGTCTTGTGGTCTCATCTTCACAGAATGGATGAAGTCATAGGAGCCATGTTCAAGTCTCTGACCAGGGCTCAAAATTTGTCTATGTCTCTCACTCCTCTTACCCCTCAGATGTGTACAGCAAAACTGAGGCACCCAGAGCTACAGTAACTTGCCTAAAAAACAGTTAGTAAGTGATGGAGCTGGAAATTCTGCTTCAGATCTTCCTATCCCCAAAGCCAGAACTCTTCATATCTGTGCCATGAGGCCTTTCTTAGGGAACAGGTACAAAAAATCAGAACATTTTACTGGCTTGTTCTGGAGGATCAGGACAAAGGCATGTTTGATTTAGTGATATATCATGATATAAAGACTGAAGAGAAAGAAAGCTTCAGTTATAGTTCTTTTATTTAACAAGAGAAAATTATTATCCAGAGCAAGATTGTCATATAAAGGTTGAGACTTGCTTTACTTCCTTTTTAATCCTACCCCTGGAAAAGATACTAAAACTAATTAAGCAAATAATCAAATAATGTTGGAGAGGATAAGGGATATCAGTTACCTTCATACACTTCTGGCGAGATTGGAATCCAGGCTAAGAATATGCATTGCATCACAATTTCAGTGTAAAATCTATACGATCCAGACATATTACTTATAAAAAACTTTTCATGAAATGATTGGACAGATATACAAAAGTTTCTCTTTTTTTGAGTTGTTCAAATCCTCTAAAGTCTTTTTTTATTGTATTTTTTATTATTATACTTTAAGTTTTAGGGTACATGTGCACAACATGCGGGTTTGTTACATATGTATACATGTGCCATGTTGGTGTGCTGCACCCATTAACTCGTCATTTAACATTAGGTATATCTCCTAATGCTATCCCTCCCCCCTTCCCCCACTCCACAACAGGCCCCGGTGTGTTATGTTCCCCTTCCTGTGTTCATGTGTTCTCATTGTTCAATTCCCACCTATGAGTGAGAACATGTGGTGTTTGGTTTTTTTGTCTTTGTGATAGTTTGCTGAGAATGATGGTTTCCAGTTTCATCTATGTCCCTACAAAGGACATGAACTCATCCTTTTTTATGGCTGCATAGCATTCCATGGTGGATATGTGCCACATTTTCTTAATCCAGTCTATCATTGTTGGACATTTGGGTTGGTTCCAAGTCTTTGCTATTGTGAATAGTGCCGCAATAAACATACATGTACATGTGTCTTTATAGCAGGATGATTTATAATCCTTTGCCTATATACCCAGTAATGGGATGGCTGGGTCAAATGGTATTTCTAGTTCTAGATCCCTGAGGAATCACCACACCAACTTCCACAATGGTTGAACTAGTTTACAGTCTCACCAACAGTGTAAAAGTGTTCCTATTTCTCCACATCCTCTCCAGCACCTGTTGTTTCCTGACTTTTTAATGATTGCCATTCTAACTGGTGTGAGATGGTATCTCATTGTGGTTTTGATTTGCATTTCCCTGATGGCCAGTGATGATAAGCATTTTTTCATGTCTGTTGCCTGCATAAATGTTTTCTTTTGAGAAGTGTCTGTTCATATACTTTGCCCACTTTTTGATGGTGTTGTTTGTTTTTTTCTTGTAAATTTGATGGAGTTCATTGTAGATTCTGGATATTAGCCCTTTGTCAGATGAGTAGATTGCAAAAATTTTCTCCCATTCTGTAGGTTGCCTGTTCACTCTGATGGTAGTTTCTTTTGCTGTGCAGAAGCTCTTTAGTTTAATTAGATCGCATTTGTCAATTTTGGCTTTTGTTGCCATTGCTTTTGGTGTTTTAGACATGAACTCCTTGCCCATGCCTATGTCCTGAATGGTATTGCCTAGGTTTTCTTCTAGGGTTTTTATGGTTTTAGGTCTAACATTTAAGTCTTTCATCCAACTTGAATTAATTTTTGTATAAGGTGTAAGGAAGGGATCCAGTTTCAGCTTTCTACATATGGCTAGCCAGTTTTCCCAGCACCATTTATTAAATAGGGAATCCTTTCCCCATTTCTTGTTTTTCTCAGGTTTGTCAAAGATCAGATAGTTGTAGATATGTGGCATTATTTCTGAGGGCTCTGTTCTGTTCTATTGGTCTATATTTCTGTTTTAGTACCAGTACCATGCTGTTTTGGTTACTGTAGCCTTGTAGTATAGTTTGAAGTCAGGTAGCGTGATGCCTCCAGCTTTGTTCTTTTGGCTTAGGATTGACTTGGCAATGCAGGCTCTTTTTTGGTTCCATACGAACTTTAAAGTAGTTTTTTCCAATTCTGTGAAGAAAGTCATTGGTAGCTTGATGGGGATGGCATTGAATATATAAATTACCTTGGGCAGTATGGCCATTTTCACAATATTGATTCTTCCTACCTATGAGCATGGAATGTTCTTCCATTTGTTTGAAATATACAAACATTTCTAAACAAAGGTATTTACACTACCTATATTTGAAACTGTGGAAAAGTGGAAACAAATATACACCCGTAAGGGTTTAACTGCAATAAATAGGCTACTTCCATGCATGGAGTTATATACATTTTACATTCTAAGTATGTCTTGAAATATTCAGGCTACATCCAGTAAATAAAACTTGGCCTCCGTTAGAGTAGGTGTTAAGATCACAAAGAACATAAGACTCCAATGTGTTGTTTTGGAGTCAAAGTATCTCACACATGCTTTTTGTGTTAGTCCAAGCCTTTGAGAAGCTGATACTGAAGTAGGATTCAACCTGCACAAAATTTATGAGGGGAAACAAATAATACATTTATTGGGTGAGAGTGAATGGCAGACTAGGGGGAGCTGGGTCTGAACTTGGGTCCCTCAGGTCTGAACTTGAGTGAGGAAGAGAGAGAAATAAGGAATCAGGTGGGATGAAAGCATTTTAGATTGCACACCAGTTCTAAGTAGAGTTTGGAAAGGTCGTTGGGGAATCCTTGAGCCAAAGTTGGTCATCAACTTGTTTCTAGACAAAATGGAGTAACAGTAACCAGATTTAACCTCCCACCTGAAACAACCCTCCCCCACCCCCATAAAAAAACAGACAAGATAGATAAAACAACGACTGGAAAGTCACTGTACATCAGGCAGCAAAGGACAGTGATCCTGGAGAGAAAGGAAACAAAAAAGGTGGGACCAAAGATTGCCTCAACTTATTGCCTTGAGAGAGCTTTCAGGCTTCTGCACATGTAGAGGGAAACCAGGTGGAGCCCAATGGACTCCCTGAGCTGAGTGTCTGAGGAGATCAAGACAATTGGAGCTCAGAGAGTACCAGAGAAGAGAAAGTTGCAAAGGGAGAGAACCCCAGGGATCTTAAAAGAGTCTCTCTCAGGTATTCAGCAGATTACTGTTCTGAACATGCATGTTAGGTAACTTCCTGAGGCCAGGGAAAGAACCATCTCATAGGATTAGAGAGAAGAGTAGCTAGCACAGGTACAGGACTGGAAATAGTGCCTGTTCTCACCAGTCACACTAGAAAACCTCAAGATTCATAAGACATTCGGTAGAGTACTCATAAGGATCTTTTTTCTCAGTAGTGTGGTGTAACTTAGCCCTAGACTGAGCACTATTTCAGTCCTGCCTAACAATTCACATGAAATATAAGTAAGTAAATGAATGAATGAAAGAGCAAACACATAAATAATATTGGAGAATATGAAGGATAATGGTTACTTCTATATACTCCTGGTGACACTGGAAGGCAAGCTAGGAATATGCATCAAGATTTAAATATAAAATCTATAAGGTCTTAATAGGGTCTCCCTCAGCACCTCACTGTGAGGTAACTTCCTGAGGCCTAGAAAAGAACCATCTCACAGGATTAGAGGGGATAATACCCAGTGCTCTTGCAGAAATGGGAATAGCATCTGTTCCCACCAGTCAGGCTATAAAACCTAGCAGGCATGAAAATAGTCATTAAAATTCAACCCATAATTAGAAGATAAGTCAATCAATTGAAACTGACCCAAACATTAGAAATAGCATATTAGGATATTAAAACAGTTACTATACCTGTATTCCGTATGTTCAAAAAATTAAGTTGAGTCGTGAAAAATATCAACAAGACACAAATGACCTATAGATAAAAACGGCAATGTGAAAGATTAAAAATACACTGGATGAGATTAATGGTATATTAGATATCGCAGAAAAAAAATACCAAACTTGATGACAGCAATACAAATGATCCAAAATGAAACCACCAAGAAAAGACAATAATTTAAAGAAACTAACAGAGTATCAGTGAGCCAGAGGACAACTTCAGGTGGTCTCATACATTTGCAATTGGAGTTCCTGAAGTAGTAGAGCAAGGGGTGAGGACAGAGAAAATATTTGAAGAAAAAATGGCCAAATTTTTTTCCACATTTTATGAGAACTATAAATGCACAGGTACAAGAAGCTCAACAAGCCTGAGCACAAGTAACATGAAGAAAATTTCTTTTTTTCTTTTTCTTTTTTTTTTTTTTTTTTTGAGACGGAGTTTCGCTCTTGTTGCCCAGGCTGGAGTGCAATGGCATGCCATCTCGGCTCACCACAAGCTCCACCTCCTGGGTTCAAGCAATTCTCCTGCCTCAGCCTCCCGAGTAGCTGGGATTACAGGCATGTGCCACCACACCCGGCTAATTTCGTATTTTTTAGTAGAGATGGGGTTTCTCCATGTTGGTCAGGCTGGTCTCAAACTCCTGGCCTCAGGTGATCCGCCCACCTTGGCCTCCCAAAGTGCTGGGATTACAGGTGTGAGCCACCGCACCCAGCAAAGAAAATTATACCAAAGCACATGATAATAAAATAGCTCAAAACCAGTGATACAGAGAAAAGTCCTAAAACCAGCCAGATAAACAAGACACGTTAATTACAAAGAGGAAATTTCTTTTCTGAACAATGCAAGTGAAGACATACAGGGATATCTTAAAGTACTGAGTGAAAAAAAAATCCCTGTCAGCCTAGAATTCTATACACAGTACAAATAACTTTTAAGAACAGTGGCAAAATAAAGTCTTTTTCAGACATACAAAATCAGAGAATTCATCACCAGCAGAACTGCATTACAAGTAATATTAAAGGAAGTCCTTCAAGCAGGAGGAAAATGACACCAGATGAAAATATGGATCTAGACAAACGAATGAAGAGCACTGGAAATATTAACTGTATGGGTTAAGGTATATGATTTCATTACTATTTAAACTCTTTGAAAGATATTTGTTCATGAAAAAACAATGTAGTGTAGGGATTTTCACATATGTAAAAGTAAAATGTATGAAAAGTAACACAAAGATTGGGAGGAAAGAGATGGAGTATACTGTAACATTCTAATAGTATAAATTAAGTTATATAATATTACTTAAATGTATACAATGACAGGTTAAAAGTATATTTTAAACCCAAGAGCAAACACTGAAATAACAAAGTTATTGCCAATAAGCTTACAAAGGAAATAAAATGAATCCACAAAAATAAACAAAAAAAAAAAAAGCAGAATAAGGGAAAAGGGAACAAAGGGCAGATGGAATGAACAGACAATAAAGTCAGCCATCACAAGAGTCCCTTGCCCCTTGGGAACAGTCCTACCTTAGTGTCTCTGCTACACTCAGTCACAGGCAAAGAGCAGCCTGCAAGATTCGTGGTCTAGTAAAAACATGGAGATGCATTTTAGAATGTAGCAGCTGGTGCCCTCTGACAATTACATTCCCTGTAGGCAGAATTCTAAGCTGCACTTCCTAATGGAAGGTCATACCTTTGCATCTTGTTTAGAAAACTCTTCTCCACATCCTGGCTAACTCCTCCTATCCTTTTAGTTCTGAGATTCGTGGCACTTCCTCAGGGGAGCTCATCTGACTTGCCCAAAAGCCAAATGCTGACAAAGTACTCTTCATTCTGACATAGGTAGTGCTTACACGTTTCTTGTAATTGCTTGTGCAATTCTCTATCCTTCCCACGTCCCCTAGACTGTGATTTTAAAATTGTGACACAAGTGCCCAGCTCAGTGTGCTTGGAACTCAGAGCATACAAACTCCTCTTTGTGTGCATGAGCTGTACTCGGTGCCTACAGCATTGTTCCTCTAGATACCACTGTTCCCTTACTCTTCACAGTCTTCAAGTATCTGCTCACATGTCATCTTCTCAATGAGGCGGACCATGAACATCCCATTTAAAATGGCATACCCACCAACCAGCACTCCCAATCCCCCTTTCCTGCTCTACTTTTCCTGTAGCATGAATTGCCAACTACTGCACTGCATTATTTGTTGACTTATTTAAATTTATTATTTATGACTGTCTCCCCCACAAGAATATAAACTGAACAAAGGCAGGCATTTAAGACCGCTTAGTGCACTGGAGAATCCCCAGCTCCTAGGACACTGCCTGGCACACAGATGGCCCTCAATTAATGTTTATATCTGGAATGAATGAAGTGTCTGGCACAGAGTGGGTGCTGAGGGAATTACAGCCTTTATTATTGCTGATTTCCTGGTTGAATGAAACTGGAGAGGAGAGGAGATAGTCAATCACAGAACAGTGCAAGTTGCTGAATCACTGAGGAAGGAGTTGCTTGGATGTGGTCACCACCGTCTACCTAGTTGCCTAGACTAGAACCCTAGCAGTCATTCTTGATTGAGCAGGTGCCACCTGGTCCACACCCAGCATGGAGATGAGGCAGGAAGTGGGAGCTGGAGTCCTTTGTAGCTTACTCCATGCCACCTCATCAAGCCTCAAGTTTACTTTTTAAGTGCTTCAAATTCCCAGTCATCCCATGTTCAGTTGTCTGTTAATAATAACTGATATATTACCCCACTAAATATGAATGCAATTCCACTGCAATCTGATCATTCCATTCTATTAAATGACTATCAAGAGTAATGACAATGATTATTATTTCCATTCGCCATGTGTTGATCATGAGAAATTCGAATAAGAATTATTAGGTCTCTTTATCTGAGGAAACTGAGGATCAGCAAAGGAGAGTAACTGGACCAAAGTTAATGTAGCCGATAAATGACAAAGCACTGATTTAGCATCTCAGCCTGTGAACTTTCTTTCACACAATTACAGGAAAATATTGACAATTGTGAGAAAAGCAGTATTACAGCTGAAACTCAAATATTAGGATGGGACTCACAGGTAGATATGAATTAGTGGCCAGGTTCCCTGTTCAACAAAGGGAGGCTAAAGCTGCTTAAGAATTCACAAGTGAAATGACAAAGTTTTTTTATTACATTTTAAGTTTTAGGGTACATGTGCACAACGTGCAGGTTTGTTACATATGTATACATGTGCCATGTTGGTGTGCTGCACCCATTAACTTTACTCAATAGAATATCATGGAGTTTCACTATAAATTCTCCGAATGGAGCAAGATCTAATTTTGGCTTATTTAAAGATAATTAGAAATATATTTTTACATTATTGATATATGCAGTATGCAGTCTAAGAGATAATACATGAATATTTAATTTTCTGCCAAATGGTATTTATTGTATCATATAAAATTTTGCTTAGATAATCTTAAATGTCATTTTATGGCCATTTTTTGTTATAAAGGTAGACTATTTAGGGTGGCATACAATTTCAAAGGCACACAAAAGGAAATAACCTAGAGACAAACACTATTAACATTTTGGCATATCTCTGTCCAGTCATTTTTCTGTATGTGTGGGAGTGGGCATATATATGCATAGTTTACAACATTAAAATCATACTTTATATACAATTTTTGCCAGCATATTTTGTTAAATTGCTTTTCTCTTAAAATGAAACAACGTTAAAAGCAAATATTGAGCAGAAGACATCTAGAAAACAGTAAGAAAAAAATCTGGCAATATAAATCTCACGTTGAAATCTATGTGAAGTAAACAGAGGTGCTCGCTGTTTGAAAAGACATGATTTTTGTGTATCGGTGTGATTATTTGCCCAGAAAATCAAGAGAACTAGTGGGAAATTTCTTAGAATAAAATACTGAGAAACTATAAAGTGAAATCTGTAGTGCTTAATAGCAGAGCATGATAAAACTTTACTCACCACTCTGAAAAACAATTTAAATGAATCAAGAGACTTTCAGGATAGCTTGTGGTGAGGCTGGTGATTGGCTGGGATGGGGATAAGAGATCACAGTCACCATGGCCCTCCACAGTTATAAATCCCCCAGTACGCACTGACATCATGGATCTATCTCTCACAATTACAAGGCTGTGTTGCCATGCTACATCATGGGTGCCATGTGGTACTGCATCAGGACCACATCAGATCATGCCTCTTCAATCCCAATGCTTCTGCTTGGCATCCGCAGGGTGGAGAATTAAATTATAGTACATGAGAGGGAGTTAAGAGGGTATCCTTATTCCCGAACACTATTGGCAGAGACCGGGCACATGACTGTATCAAATGAACCATAAATTATATTTCAACCATCACCACCCCTGAGGTAATATAAGCTTTTGTAGGACAGGAATCTTTGTCTGTTTTGTGAACTGCTGTATCTTAAATATTCAGAACATTGTCTGGCATGTCATAGGCACTTAATAAATTCATGTAGATTAGATGAATGGGTCTGTCTCTGCCACAGAGCTGTGAGCCCCTCTAGGACAAGGACCCTGGTCTTTGGAAGCTGATCATTCAGGACACTTCCCAAATCTTACTACATACCACTGAATGTTGAATTAATCATTTAATTAATTCCCAACTTCAATCATTAAGTACTACCTTCAGAGTTACTACTTTCTCTGCTTTCTACCTGTGACTTGATAACTTTACTTAAATAAAAATGTCACTTGGCAAAAAGAAACAATAAAAACAACAAACTCCCAAAGAACAACAAAAATCTAATTAAAATTAAGTACAGCAAAATCAAAATTATATAATAACATTTAAAAAAAATAAGGCTCAGATTGGATATAAGTGCTGTGGTCTGAATGTTTCTGTCTCTCTCTCCAAATTTATATGTTGAAATCCTAATCCCCAGGGTGATAGCATTAGCATATGGGGACTTTGGGGAGGTGATTAGATTATGAAATCTCATGCATGAGGGCTTTGCCCTTGTGACCTAATCACCTCCCCAAAAAGGTGTGCCTTCATAAAGTAAGACTCAGGGAGCACATTTTCCCCTTCTACCATGTGAGGACACAGTGAGGTGTCATCTGTGAACCAGTGAGCCCTCATCAAACACCAAATCTTCAACTTTCCAGCATCCAGAACTGTGAGAAATACATTTCCGTTGTTTATAAACCACCCAGTTTATGGTATTTTGTTATAGCATCCCAAATAGAACAAAACAATAAGTAATAGTAGAATTTTATGATTTTTACAAATTCATAGGGACAGAAGGTAGAGTAGCGGCTCTCAGAGCCTGGGAGGAGGAAGCAATGGGAAGTTGTTTTTTGATGAGTATAGGTTTAATGGGTTTGTTATGCAGGATAAAAAGAGTTCTGGAAATTGGTCGTACAACAATGTAAATGTATGTAACACTACTGAACCGTACACTTTAAAATGGTTAAGATGGTAAATTTTGTTATGTGTATTTTGCCAGAATTAAAAACGAAAATAAGAAAAATTTAAAAATTTCCGAAGAAAAATGTTGCATAATTTTATGCACTTTATGGTCTATCATCACAGACTAGAATACAGAGACCCAGAGAAGTTAGTTAACTTTCTCAGGGTCAGACAGCTAGTATGGGAGGACCAGGACTCTAACCCAAGTCTATCTGATACTAAAGCCCACGTAGAGTGCACTGCAGGCAGTCCCCAACTTTATTATTCCCAGTTGATTCCCCTGGTTCCTTCCTCCTTTTCTCACTGATCTAGCTCTCCTTGGTTCTCAGACCATCTGCTCTTAACACTTTCAGCAACTTCTCATCCTAGAGAACATTCTGCAGATCCTCTGGCCCGTTGCCTATACATCTGATGCTGAGGCCTACTAGAATGGAGGGAAGATAATTTTTAAATATTTTGAGAGCATAAAACAATTGTGTACACTTTCCTAAGGACTATGAAGGAGTGAGCATCCTGAAGAGGGCTCTTAGTTACAGAGCTGTTTTTTGGAAGTAAGAATTCGGACAGGAACCTTAGGGAGAAATGGAAATTGTCCTCCTCGTGCAAAGGGCAGAGGAGGGGCTGAAGCATGGAGGACCTAGAGGTTGCTGTGGAGGGAAGGAGCTGAGACTGACCTGTTGATCAGCAGGAAACATGGGAAAAAAAGAGAGGTTACAGGGCCAGGCTTATGGTGGGCAACCATGAAATGTTCTTAGGATCTAACCAAAAGATATGGTAAATTGTGGGAATCCATATAATAAGGAAATTTCCTTCCCGACTGAAACTGTGACCAAGAAATTTCCCTCTGGGTTCACAGAAATCTTTCCTCTGTTTTCAGAAGCTGAGTAGCTAGATGAAGGAAACTTGAGGCAGGGGTGATTTAAGCAGATATTTGGTCTAAAGTATAATGGGCTGGTAACTGAAGCCAAGGAATAGAATGGGCAGTAAGAGGATGAAGTAAGAGAACTAGTGGTCTCTGGCACTCTCCCTCTACTGTGTCAGATAATTTACATGTGTTATTCCATGAAATCTTCAGAGCCAATCTGAAAGGCAGTTACCTCACATGACAGATAAGAAAATTGTTTCAGAGTGAGTAAATGTCTTGCCACAGGTCACACACACTGAAAATGGCAGAGATTAGGATGTTACCTCTGGTTGTTTGTGCCCCAAAGAAAAAGTTTTGAGGAATTCCTGGATTCTAGAGTAGAAATTTTACAATGGCAGAGCAGTGTGGTTCCCTAGAATAAGACCCTAGAGCAACCACAGGACTGACCCAGTACATATACAGAGTTCTTAAACCTCACATAATCATGTTCCAGGCCATAGCTCCCCAAATCATAGAATCTGAAGCAAACTATGTAAATGAGTGGCCCACAGGAAGAAGCTGTGTCCCTACAAAGAGTGAGATGGCAGCTAAGATCAGTATATGGTCACTTTATAGAATTATCTTCTGTCCTAAAATCTTCTGATAAGCTGCAGATACGAGAAAAGGCTGGCTTGGGTCATGACCATGTGTCAGAGCAGCCAGGGATGCTTTTGGATTCAGGGAGACCACACTGTGATTGAGGACAAGTCACTTAACATCTCTGAGCCTCAGTCCTATAAAACATGGATTCTTTTATGTACTGCCAGGGTTATTGTGGGGGAATGGAGATAATGGTAAACCAAGTGTTTTCAACTTCAGGAACTTTACTTTCTTTATTCCAGTGTTATCTTGTAAATAACTGCATGTATCTGCATTCAAAAAAACTTACACAACACCAAAAAAACAAGTAATGCTCATCTTGGGCATCATCTCAGTGTCTTAAAAAATATATATAATATGAAATATAAAGATCTTGTCCAGAGAACATGATTTTTGGCAGCAGCTATGGAAAATAAGGGATAAGACAAGAAGCCATCATTGCCTAGCATCTCCACCACTTCTGTAAGAAGGCCTTCAGCCTGCTTTAAACTTGCAATTTTTTATTATCTTATTTAGCTTTTAATGACATACCCCAAGAAAAGGGGGATTGACTAGTGGTATACTTTCAAGATCCTTCTTAAAGAAAATCGTTGTGACAAGAGTTGGCAAATTAGTCCTTATAAACATCTTCCACAGATTGCACTATGTCTTTCTCCAGTGATAGATCACAGTCTGGAATTTTCTATAGTAGTAATAGTAGTAATAGTATTGACCAAAATTATTATGATGTGTTGAGCATTTACTCTTTGCAAACAACTGGGCTAAGTACCTCATATGCGATTTCATCTACTCCACCCAGACACTGAGGCAGTGTATTCTATTGAACCCACCAAAAACAGAGGCAGTGCATATTGTAACTAATCCCAATTTATAGATGAGGAAATTGAAGTTCATAAAAGGGTAAGCCACCAACACAACATCATATAGACAGAACCTGGAAAACCTAGAATTTGCATTCAATTTGTGGCAAGTCAATGTCTCATTCCCTCAGCTTCTTCTATGTAAAGTGAGAAAAATATTATCTATGTGCCTGAAATGGTCTGGACTTTTACTGGGGTAGCACATAACTCAGTGCCTGGAACACATGTGCTCAATTAAGGTTTAGATTAACAACAATAATGAGGATTAAGGTTTCTAGGTACCCAGCATCTAGTATGAAACACAAGCTCAAGATGATAGCTGATTCCATCAATGAACAGCCAAATTGCACTTACCATCTAAGAGCAATGACAGCTATTTTCATATTGTTATTCATCAAAATATTGCAATGTGGACCTAGCTCCATTAATTTTTTAAAAGTAAAAATAGTGGAAAATTGTGCTGGGTTAATGGTTGGGAAAGGATTATGATGGGAGCTTCTGTGGTGCTGGTAATGTTCTATATCATGGTGTGAATATTGATTCTGAGAAACAAATGAAAAATTAATGTTTAACATTGCAATGTAACACATGACATGGAAGAGTGTGAATAGTGTTCTTTAACTTGGTAAAAATCTAATCTGTGTCTTAACTTTCATAACTATTTTCAAAAGGCATCATAAGAGTTACACTGCAAGGTTGAGAAGATAATGGGAACAGGATGTGGGGGCACAAAGGGAAGTGCCTGCTACATAGTTGGAGCTCCATATAATATGGCCACTAGTTCACTTAATCAACCTTGCAGCTTTCCCCAAAGTGACAGAGGATGGTAGGATATCCTTCCCTTCTTCCAAACACATCATCAGTCTGGGGGAGAAAATAATTTACTTGGTAGCTGATGGTGTGCTTTAAAGACCTGGCACCACAGGGCAATCCCCAAAGACAGGTGATAGGCTTTCCATGGTCAGCAAGAAGCTCCACAAAGTTCACAGGTTTCTGAGATGAAGATGACAAATCACATACGACTGTATATTTTGCCTTCAAAGTCTGGGGTCAGGAAAGTGCCTGTATTTCCTGTCCCACAGTAAAAGCCTCAAGTAACATCTGTACAATGAACATGTTTTGGACAGATACACCCTTACTAAGCAATATAGTAGAGTCATTACAACCATGGACTCAGAAATGGGTATCATATTCTGAAGAATCAAGTTTGGAAGAAAAATGGCTTCTTTTTACAATTTATTTCAGGCTATTTATCTCAGAACTAATTTTAGCAATCAGCTGTTGTGTTTATAGATTTCTCAAACTACAGGAGTGTTCTAACAAGGCCTTTAGCTTCTAAAGTTCAGTTTGGTTTTTCTGGGACTTCTTTTTTTGGAGGGTATGTTTTTTTTCATTACATACACCCCTAAATTTTAGTAATACAACTGGATGAATTTTACACAATGAACCATGCACATCACCAATATTCACAACATAATATACAGCATTACCAGCACCACCGAAGCTCCCATCATAATCCTTTCCCAATCATTAATCCAGCAAAAATTATCACTATTTTGACTTTTTAAAAATTAATAGACTGTATTTTTAGAGAAGTTTTAGGTTTACAGAAAAATTGCATAGGAAGCACAGATAGTTCCCTTAAGCCCTTCCCCTCAATTTCCCCTATTATTAATTTAGTACATTTACTACAATTAATAAACCAACATTGACATTATTATTGACCAAGGTCCATAATTTACATTAGAGTTCACTATTTGTGTTGTACAGTTCTATGAGTTTTAATAAATGCATAATGTATCTACCATTACAGTATCATACAGAGGAGTTTCACAATCTTAAATATCCCCTGTGCTCCATTTACATCACCAAAGAAGCCTCCATAGCAATCCTTTCCCAATCATTAATCCAACTTAAAAGAATAGTTTTGCTTGTTTTTTTGTAACATTCTGTGAATGGAATAGCACTATATGTAAGCTTTTCATGCCTGGCTTCTTTCATTCTTTCTTATGTTTGTGAAATTCATCTATCCTGTTACACATAGAAGTAGTTTAAGATTTTTCATTTCTGTCTAATAATTCATTGCTTGAATACTCAACAATTTTATTACTCATTCTAAAGTTGATGGACATTTGGATTATTTCCCATTTTTGATGTTATTAATCAATGCTATTAATATTCCTGTACATGTTTCATGTAAACCTATGGGCACATACCCGTTAGGTACAGTAACTTAATGTCATGAACAGGTTCTTGGAAACTGTGACTGTAAGTGAAGCAACATATAACAAAACCATTTTTTTCTTATAAATGCTATAACAAAATGATGTTGAAGGAAATGACGTTATTTGGGGACCTACTGTACATTTTTGCATAAAGTCGAAATTTCCAAGAACCTATCCAACTACATTAAGTGAAGACTTGGGCTGTATAAGCTAAGGAGTGGCATTGCTGTAATAGGGGATGCAGCTTTAAATGCTTAGCTTTTTTTGTTCTTTTTTTTTCTCTTTTTTCTTTTACTTTAAGTTCTAGGGTATATGTGCACAATGTGCAGGTTAGTTACGTATGTATACGTGTGCCATGTTGGTGTGCTGCACCCATTAACTCGTCATTTACATTAGGTATATCTCCTAATGCTATCCCTCCCCCCTTCCCCCACCTCACAACAGGCCCCGGTGTGTGATGTTCCCCTTCCTATGTCCATGTGTTTTCATTGTTCAATTCCCACCTATGAGTGAGAACATGTGGTGTTTGGTTTTTTGTCCTTGTGACAGTTTGCTGAGAATGATGGTTTCCAACTTCATCCATGTCCCTACAAAGGACATGAACTCATCCTTTTTTATGGCTGCATAGTATTCCATGGTGGATATGTGCCACATTTTCTTAATCCAGTCTATCATTGTTGGACATTTGGCTTGGTTCCAAGTCTTTGCTATTGTGAATAGTGTCGCAATAAACATACGTGTGCATGTTTTATAGCAGCATGATTTATAATCCTTTGCGTACATACCCAGTAATGGGACGGCTGGATCAAATGGTATTTCTAGTTCTAGATCTTTGAGGAATTGCCACACTGTCTTCCACAATGGCTGAACTAGTTTACAGTCCCACCAACAGTGTAAAAGTGTTCCTATTTCTCCACATCCTCTCCAGCACCTGTTGTTTCCTGACTTTTTCATTATCGCCATTCTAACAGGTGTGAGATGGTATCTCATTGTGGTTTTGATTTGCATTTCTCTGATGGCCAGTGATGATGAGCATTTTTTCATGTGTCTATTGGCTGCATAAATGTCTTCTTTTGAGAAGTGTCTGTTCATATCCTTTGCCCACTTGTTGATGGCATTGTTTATTTTTTTCTTGTAAGTTTGTTTGAGTTCATTGTAGATTCTGGATATTAGCCCTTTGTCAGATGAGTAGATTGCAAAAATTTTCTCCCATTCTGTAGGTTGCCTGTTCACTCTGATGGTAGTTTCTTTTGCTGTGCAGAAGCTCTTTAGTTTAATTAGATCGCATTTGTCAATTTAGGCTTTTGTTGCCATTGCTTTTGGTGTTTTAGACATGAAGTCCTTGCCCATGCCTATGTCCTGAATGGTATTGCCTAGGTTTTCTTCTAGGGTTTTTATGGTTTTAGGTCTAACATGTAAGTCTTTAATCCATCTTGAATTAATTTTTGTATAAGGTGTAAGGAAGGGATCCAGTTTCAGCTTTCTACATATGGCTAGCCCGTTTTCCCGGCACCATTTATTCAATAGGGAATCCTTTCCCCATTTCTAGTTTTTGTCAGGTTTGTCAAAGATCAGATGGTTGTAGATGTGTGGTATTATTTCTGAGGGCTCTGCTCTGTTCCATTGGTCTATATCTCTGTTTTGGTACCAGTACCATGCTTAGCTTTAAGTGTTACAAGAAAACAGATGGCAAAAGTGGTTGAAACAAACTATGTTCCAGAAGCAGTGTGGGAGTGCCCTCCAGCTGCAGTTGCTTCAGATCCCTGTCAACAGTGGATTTTTCTCCCTCTCCCTCTCTCTCAATTTAACCTTTATAGTGAGCATGTAGTAGTATCTTATTGTGGTTTTAATTGTATTTCCCTGATGACTAAAGATTTTGAACACTTATTGAGCACATATTCATATTTATTTTCTACTTGGTTATTGTTTTTTTGTGAAATGGCTTTCCAAGCCTTTTGCCTATTCTTACTAGATTGTCTGCCTTTTTCTTGGTCATTTGTGGAAGTTCCTTAGATATTCTCCATGAGTCCTTTTTTGGATATATGTATTAGAACTAACATATTCCCATTCAATGGCTAGTTTTTTCATCTTCTCAGTGGTGCCTTGGAGATGAACAGATGATCTTAATTTTAATCAATTATATATTGTCGATCTTTTATTCTTAGTGCTCATCATGTCCTGTTTTTTTTTAAACTATGCCTATTCTGAAGTCATAAGAATATTTTCCTATGCTACTTCTAGCTTGTTTTAACTTTCATATTTTGACCAATTTTGGTCAAAAGATCCATCAGGAATTGATTTTTGTGGCCGATATGACCAAAGGCCCAAGATTTAATTTCCATGTGGTATCCAGTGATCAAGAATCATTCTTTCTTCCCTTAGTTGCAATGGCTCCTTTGTAGTAAGTCAGGTGATTTTCTATGACTGGAACTATTTCTTGAGTCTATTCTGTTCCACTGGTTTATTTTTACTATCCTAGTGTCAATACATCACTGTATTAATTACTCGTATTTTATAATGAGTGTTGATTTTCGTACTGTAAGTTCTTCACCTGTGTTCTTCTTCAGCTTGGCTGTTTGTAGTCCATTGAATTTCTGTGTAAATTTTACAGATGGTTTATTCCCCAAGTCAAAAAACTTGAAAATAATATGTGCCTCTTAAAAATGTCCAGTGCAATATACTTATTCAAGGGGATCCATAGAACAGCAAATACACGTGAACCTCATCATTTAGAAAGCTTCTGTCACAAAGGACATAGATCAAATTCTGATACATTCTCTAGTGTTTCTGGTGACCAAATCTTGACACCTAAATGTCCAAGGACCCTGTACAAGCAGTGGTGTGCCACAATTTCTCAGGTGTTGCTAATGATATCCCCACTCCTAAAACTTGGGAAGTAGAGCCATTTTTTTGTTCCCTTCATAAATCGTTACAGATGTGTAGGTTTGAACAGGTGTGAATGTGAGAATGTTTGCAGTGGTCTCAGGATTCCCCTATTAATCACCTGCCTCGAGGATGCAGGGGTGAGGACACTTGGCAGCATTTTCCTGCAGTTGCCTGACCAAGCGCATCTCATTGGACTCTAAATTCAGTATGACTTCCATTATACTTGTAGATTTGATGAGACTGATTATTTTTCATTATTTTCTTTACCGATGCTGAATATTTATAATTTAATGATAACAAATGAATTCATGATAACAACTAGGTTGACTTTCTATCTCAGCTACATATACTACAAAACACATGAGTTTTGTCTGTTTGACTAGTACTTTCATTCCTGGTGAGGTTCAGCAAGAGATATAGCTCCTGAGCTTTAGTGACTACCTCCTACCTTGCAGGGTAATTTTAAAAATGAAATAAATTATAGTAACAATAGGAGTAAAACTAATAATAAAATAATACTGTTGTTTGGATGAGTTGTGTATGCTCAAAATTCACATTTGAAGTCTTAACCCCTAGTACCTCAGAATGTGACTGTCTTTGAAGAGGTAATTAAGTCAAATGGGGTAATTAGAGTGGGTCATAATGCAATATGCCTGGTGTCCGTACAAGAAGAAATTGGGACACAGACATGTATGTGGGGAAAACTATGATTAAGACACAGGGAGAAGACAGCCATCTACAAGGCAAGGAGAGAGGCCTTAGAAGAAACGAATTCTGTCAACACCTTGATCTCAGACTTTTCGCCTCTAGAATTGTGAGAAAATACATTTCTGTTGTTTAAGCCACCCAGTCGGTGGTAGTTTTTGATGGCAGCCTTAACAAACAAATAGAAATGCTTTTAGTGGTCTTCAGGAGGTATTATCATATCTATTTTGTGTGCTAGCACTCCTCTTCCTCCTACTAATATAATGACCATATAATGATGCCTGTATCTGAGCAACTGAGCAGTGATGAGAAAACCTTAAAACCTTCTAAATTCCCATAAAAAAGTGGGCGAAGGATATGAACAGACACTTCTCAAAAGAAGACATTTATGCAGCCAAAACACACATGAAAAAATGCTCTTCATCACTGGCCATCAGAGAAATGCAAATCAAAACCACAATGAGATACCATCTCACACCATTTAGAATGGCAATCATTAAAAAGTCAGGAAACAACAGGTGCTGGAGAGGATGTGGAGAAATAGGAACACTTTCACACTGTTGATGGGACTGGAAACTAGCTCAACCATTGTGGAAGTCAGTGTGGCAATTCCTCAAAGATCTAGAACTAGAAATACCATTTGACCCAGCCATCCCATTACTGGGTATACACCCAAAGGACTATAAATCATACTGCTATAAAGACACATGCACACGCATGTTTATTGCGGCACTATTCACAATAGCAAAGACTTGGAACCAACCCAAATGTCCAACAATGATAGACTGGATTAAGAAAATGTGGCATATATACACCATGGAATACTATGCAGCCATAAAAAATGATGAGTTCATGTCCTTTGTAGGGACATGGATGAAGCTGGAAACCATCATTCTCAGCAAACTGTCACAAGGACAAAAAACCAAACACCGCATGTTCTCACTCACAGGTGGGAATTAAACAACGAGAACACAAGGACACAGGAAGGGGAACATCACACTCCGGGGACTGTTGTGGGGTGGGGGGAGGGGGGAGGGATAGCATTAGGAGATACACCTAATGCTAAATGACGAGTTAATGGGTGCAGCACACCAACATGGCACACGTATACATATGTAACAAACCTGCACATTGTGCACATGTACCCTAAAACTTAAAGTATAATAATAATAAAATAGAAAACCTTCTAAATTATTTTACCTTAAATCCATGACCATAAGAGCATAGCTTTTCACTTTCACTCTCATCCTACCTCCACCACTACAATACTCCCCGATAATGCTAGAATCTCTTCTCCATTTGAATGGCTTCCTCTAATAATTCATTGAGAGGACAGAAGAAATCTGCTGGGAATTCTCAGAGCTTCCCAAACCTAGTCTACCCATGCCTGATCTGGCATTCTCTGCCGCCCTTCTGCATACAATGCTCCTAACTGAAGCCAGTGCCCTCACCTCAGCTCAGGATCCCATGCCTCCCACCTTCACAGGAGCTTTGCTCCTGCAATGATCACTCCGGCTCCTGAACCATCAATGGCCCCCTCTATATTGGATCATTCCCCAAGCTAAGGAGGAAAAACCTCATCCCCTTCTCACATGTCCTCCTGCAGCTACTAACACATTTATTTGTTTCCCTTCAAAGCAAAAACTGCTTCACTGTGCTTAGACCATTCTGTCTTCAACCTACTTCAATAAAGCTGATTCTCAAAATTGTATTGAAAGGCAAAGGAACTAAAATACCAAAAACAATTCTGAAGAAGGCCAATGATGAAGAATTCACTCTACCTGATTTTAAGACTCAACTATAATCCTACAGTAATCAAGAGGATGTGCAATTCGCCAGGCGTGGTGGTGCCTGCATGTAGTCCCAGCTACTTAGGAAACTGAAGCAGGAGTATCGCTTGAGCCCAGGAATTCGAGGCTGCAATGAGCTATGATCATGCCACTGCACTCCAGCCTGGGTGACAGAGTAGGACTCCCATCTCTTAAAAAAAAAAAAAAAAAAAGAATGTAGTATTGACAAAAAAAAATCAGTGACTAGAGTCTAGCAATAGACTCATTTAATCAAATGATTTTCAACAAAGGTGTAAAGGCAATGGGGAAAGACAATCTTTTCAACATATACTTTTGGGGTATTGGATTTCACAAGAACAAGAAATGAACCTTTACTTATAATCCATACCACATACAACAGTGAACCTAATTTGGAACATGGAGTGAAAGTTGTCACCAAAAGTAACAAAACTTCTAGAACAAAATATATAAGATACTTGTGGCCTTTAGTTAGTATAAATTCGTGTTCACCTGAATCCTCAGAATGTGACCTTATTTGGAAATAGGATCTTTGTAGAAGTAATTAGTTATGTTAAGATGAGGTCACGCTAGATTAAGATGGGCCCTAAATCCAATGAGTGGTGCTCTTATAATAAAAGAATAGAACACAGAGAAACACAAAACACTATCTGAAAATGGAGGCAGAAATTGGAGCAAGAATTTCCACCAGAAGCTAGGAGAGAGAAATGGAACATATTCTCCCTCAGAGCCTCCAAAAGGAACCAACCTTGCTAACACCTTGATTTTGGACCTTTGGTGTCTGGAAGTATAGAGAATACATTTCTGTTGCTTTAAGCCACCAATTTTATGGTAATTTGTTATGACAACCCTAGAAAATTAATAAAGTTAGGCAAAGATTTGTTACATAAGACACCAAAAACACCATCTATATGAAAAATACTGATACATTGAACTTCAACATTAAAATCTTTGGAGTTCAACATTAAAAAGACAAAATTAAGAGAAAAACAAGACAAGCCACATAGAAGAAGAAAATATGTGCAAAACACATATCTGATAAACTACTTGCTTTCAGAGTATATAAAGAATACTCAAATATCAATAATAATAAACAACCCAATTGAAATGAACCAAAGATTTGAACACTTCACCAAAGAAGATATATGGATGGCAAGTAAGCACAGGAAAAGATATTGATATCATAAATCATGAAGGAAATGCAAATCAAAATCACAATTACCTATTCTAAAAGCTAAAATGAGAAGAAAAATTTAAAAAGAACTCTGACAATATTAATTGCTAGTTAGGATACAGTGCAACTGGAACTCTCACATTGCTGGTAGGGATGCAAAATGATACACCCACTTTGGAAAACAGTTTGGCAATTTCTTATGAAGTTAAACATATACTTACTATATGAACCAGCAATTCCACTCCTAGATATTCATGCAAGACAAATGAAAAGTTATGTTCACACAGGACCTGCAGATGGACATTTATGATGGCCTTATTCATAGTAGCCCAAAACTGAAAACAGTTTCAAATATTTCAACTGATGAATGGATAAACATACTGTATTATATCCATACAAGGAAATACGACTCAGCAATAAAAGGAATGAAATACTGATATGTGCAATAGCATAGGTGAATCTGAAATGTATTATGCAAAGAGAAAAAAGACCCAAAAGGTTATGCATTTTATAACTTGATTTATATAACATTCTGCAAAAGGCAAAGCTAAAGGGATAGAGAACAGATTGGTGGTCTCCAGGGACTGGAGCTTGGTGGAGTGGTTGAATAAAAAAGGAAGGAGGAAATTTGGGGGAGTGATATAACTATTCTATATCTTATATAACTATTCTATATCCAGATTCTTGGATACCCTGCTCACGGAGTTTTAATTTTCCTGCTGAGTCTCATCCATTTTTTTCTACTTTGTACTTAAATTCCTTTTCTGTTTATATGTCTGTCTGCTCCACCATAGTGTGATATGACCCCCATGGCAAACACTGTACATCTTTGGTCTTTTCATTTCTAGTATCCCAGATATTTCCTGAACATGCTGTTGTAATGATCTTGGCAGTAAAAGCATCTCCTCCATTTAGGAGTCATTATTGTAGATATTATGTTTGCAGGTACCATACATACAGCTTTTCACTTTGTGCCAGATGTAGAAGAGTGGCTTTGCCTTGGTGCCCTGGTGACCTTGCATGTCACACAGGCCACATCAGCAAGGATTAACTGTACTCTGACTAGAATCTTGTCAAACATGCAGTGGTTCCTCTTGGGGCAAGGGGGAATAAGCAACCTAGTGAGGAGCTGCCACAAGGAACTTTTCCACCTGCCTCCCTATTTTGCTAGAAGCTGACACAAAGTCATTAATCATAAGCACAGGACATTCCTCCTTGCCCCATTTTAAGGTACAGCTGTGAGATATAAAACTGCTTACCACCTTACGGTATAGCTGTGGGCTCCTCACTGGAAGAGCAACCTACTATCTATGCTGTCACCGAGCACCTTTGACACTGGAAGAGCAACCTACTATCTATGCTGTCACCGAGCACCTTTGATTCAGTGTCAAACTGTGGAACCAGGGAACCAGGGAGCTGACACAATGCTGATCTTGCTTTTGCTGTGTCTGTAATATACTGTTTGGATCCATCTGGGCTCAATTATTTTCTTACTGGCCGAATCTATGGAAGTGTGACAAGCCAACCTGACAATTGCAGTAGTGATCCTTGTGGCCCTGTTAGCCACTGCAATGCTGCTTAGAAACTGACTGATCACTTGGCAGCCAGAATATTTTATTTCCCTTGACATCACACAGAACAAGAAGTTCTCAGCACATATCATGACTTAGGGCAGACTTTGCCAGACTTCGGTTATTAGAATAGATGCCATGTCCTACACCAGCTACATTGCTATTAAATGATTTATTTAAAGTTTATGAACTCAAATTCATTTAAAAAAGGTAACCTCATATTCCTACTCAAAATTCAAAAGCAGTATGACCTATTAGAGATCTAACTGTGAAAGTAAATGACATAAAAATTTTTCAAAATGTAAATGAAGTCTACGGTCTTACCACCTTACTGATCTCATCTGAAAATTTAAATGAAAAAAATAAAGAAAACTAAAGGATGTGAAGGGTAGAGGGAAGGGAAAGATAGGAGAGATTTGTTAAAGGATATAAAATAACAGCTAGATAAGAGGAATAAGTTCTAGTGTCCTATACCACTGTAGGATAACTATAGTTAACAATAACATATAGTTTCAAATAGCTAGAAGGAGGAAGGAGAATTGTCTTGGGCCACACATAAAATATATGAACACTAACAATAGCTGATGAGCTAAAAAAAAATCACAAAAAAAATCTCATAATGTTTTAAGAAAGTTTACGAATTTGTGTTGGGCTGCATTCAGAGCTGTCCTGGGGTGCATGTGGCCCTCAGGCCACAAGTTAAACAAGCTTGGTGTACCCCATAAATATGTACAATTATATGTCAATTAAAACTTTTAAAAAAAGAAAAATGGAATAAACCAAATCCATCTGCAAAGTAGTTCCTACTTCAAATGTTATCTCATTTATTCTTCATAGTAATCATTTAGTGTAAATATTCTAATTTCTACTTTAAAATTAGGGAAACAGACCAAATGAGTGTAACTTTCCCACCATCTCAAGGTCAGTGTGTAAGAGGCAGGATGGAATCCCATGGGTATTTCATGCCATAGCCTATAAGGAGACAGTGTAGGTAGGACCCAAGTCATTTCGCTTTAGCAAGTTGCCCTGGTTGCTTTCCCCTTTCTTCTACCTAGGCCCTAATTCTTTCATCCAGCTCCATAGCCTAGGGACTTCTCACATATTTTGTGGCAAATAGGATCCCCTACATTTAGTCTTACTTTTTATTTGAACCCTAGCTTTTCAGTCCTTTTGGATCAGAAAACATTTTAAAATTTCTGTAAAAGGGAGAAATAATTGCTGATTATAATCCCCTTCCCCTCCCTAAGCAGTGCAGATTCTGAGTAGGGCCCTTTGCAGCAGAATTATCTTTTGGAGGGTGATGATATGAACAGAGCTCAGAGTTGTAACTCATATATTATCTCTAGTAAGAGGGATATCAGGCTGCAATCAGGCAGCTGCAGGAGCTTCTGAATGAGATGTGGTGACTTTCAGGCTGATGGAATTACGTAGATGGAAAAAGAGGTTTGGTGCTTCTCCTTCTCCACCTCATAATTTTTAAAGAAAGGTCAGACATATTTGCAGATGTGTCATTTTTCCATGTGAAGATTCTGATATCAGTTGTTTTTTCCGAGTCCTCACAAACTGTTCCAAATGGCTTTAGTGTATTCTAGTTATATTTTTCTGTAGCACAGTAGAAGATGTCTAGCTAGCCATTCGTCTAACCTTTTTTCAAGGTTTTTAGCTTCCTTGCAATGGGTTAGAACATGCTCCTTTAGCTCGGAGAAGTTTGTTAGTACCGACCTTCTGAAGCCTACTTCTGTCAACTCATCAAAGTTATTCTCCGTCCAGCTTTGTTCCATTGCTAGCAAGGAGCTGCGATCCTTTGGAGGAGAAGAGGCACTCTGGTTTTTAGAACATTCAGCTTTTCTGCTCTGGTTTCTCCCCGTCTTTGTGGTTTTATCTACCTTTGGTCTTTGATGTTGGTGACCTACAGATGGGGTTTTGGTGTAGATGTCCTTTTTGTTGATGTTGATGCTATTCCTTTCTGTTTGTTAGTTTTCCTTCCAACAGACAGGTCCCTCAGCTACAGGTCTGTTGGAGTTTGCTGGAGGTCCGCTACAGATGCTGTTTGTCTGGGTATCACCAGCAGAGGCTGAAGAACAGCAAATATTGCTGCCTGATCCTTCCTCTGGAAGCTTCATCCCAGAGGGGCACCCAACTGCATGAGGTGTCTGTCAGTCCCTACTGGGAGGTGTCTCCCAGTTAGGCTACACAGAGGTCAGGGGCCCACTTGAGGAGGCAGTCTGTGTGTTCTCAGAGCTCAAATGCCATGCTGGGAGAACCACTGCTCTCTTCAGAGCTGTCAGGGACATTTAACTCTGCAGAAGTTTCTACTGCCTTTTGTTCAGCTATGCCCTGCCCACAGAGGTGGAGTCTATAGAGGCAGTAGGCCTTGCTGAGCTGCGGTCGGCTCTGCCCAGTTTGAGCTTCCTGGCCACTTTGTTTACCTACTCAAGCCTCAGCAATGGCAGACGTCCCTCCCCCAGCCAGGCTGCAGCCTCACAGTTTCACCTCAGACTGCTGCACTAGCAGTGAGCAAGGCTCCATGGGCGTGGGACTCACTGAGCCAGGCACAGGAGAGAATCTCCTGGTCTGCCGGTTGCTAAGACCATGGGAAAAGTGCAGTATCTGGGCAGGAGTATCCCGTTTTTCCAGGTACAGTATGTCATGGCTTTCCTTGGCTATGAAAGGGAAATCCCCCGACCCCTTGTGCTTCCTGGGTGAGGCGACACCCCGCCCTACTTCAGCTGGCCCTCCATGAGCTGCACCCACTGTTCAACCAGTCCCAATGAGATGAACCAGGTACCTCAGTTGGAAATGCAGAAATCACCCATCTTCTGGTTCAATCTCGCTGGGAGCTGCAAACTGGAGCTGTTCCTATTTGGCCATTTTGGAACAGAAAACCAAAACTGGTTAATGTTACATTTGGAATTATATAAGTGAAAAAACACAGAAAGGTCAGCACTGCATTTCTTCTTTTCTCTATTTTGCAGAAGTGCAAAAATATTTCTCTGGGCTAGTATAACCCTTTTGGAGTTGTTAAAGTAGGATAACCATTTGTCCCGAGTTTTCACCTATAGTCCTGTTGCAATTACGAGGAGTGCTTCTTTTCACACTTGAAAGCATTCCAGTTAATATAATACATCATATGGTTACTACCATCATTTTCAACATAAAAAAAATGTGGAGATATATACCATATCTCACAGTACGGCCAAAAAAAAAACGAAAAGAAAAAGAAAAAAAAAGAAAAATAAACAAATTAAATGAATGAATGAATGGAGAGAGGGAGAGGGAAATGGATAGAGAGAGTACGATACCTGCAAAAGCCAAGTATTTGTTTCTAAAAGTCAGTATTTTTGAAGAACAACTGACAAATTTCAGAAGTTCTTCCATGGTACTTGTGATGCTTAGATATTCAGGTATTACTGGGATATGTTAAAGACTATATGCTTTCCTAGCATATCAACCATTTCATCCATATTTTGAAAATATTAGAGTTCAAGAATGTATTCACTTTGGATTATACCATATATTCAATATCTGTCAGCATCTTGTTCATATTCCATGTTGAGTTTTTTCCACTTTTTTCAAGATTATGTAAATGACTTAATACTCTACTCATAGCTATTTTTTTTTGCCAGAAATTGTAATAGGTCTTTTATTTTTTATTTTTATTTATCTATTTATTTGTTTATTATTATTATTATACTTTAAGTTTTAGGGTACATGTGCACAACGTGCAGGTTAGTTACATATGTATACATGTGCCATGTCGGTGTGCTGCACCCATTAACTCGTCATTTAGCATTAGGTATATCTCCTAATGCTATCCCTCCCCCCTGCCCCCACCCCACAAAAGGCCCTGGTGTGTGATGGACCCCTACCTGGGTCCATGTGTTCCAATTGTTCAATTCCCACCTATGAGTGAGAACATGTGGTGTTTGGCTTTTTGTCCTTGCAAGAGTTTGCTGAGAATGATGGTTTCCAGCTTCATCCATGTCCCTACAAAGGACATGAACTCATCCTTTTTATGGCTGCATAGTATTCCATGGTGGATATGTGCTACATTTTCTTAATCCAGTCTATCATCGATGGACATTTGGGTTGGTTCCAAGTCTTTGCTATTGTGAATAGTGCCAGAATAAACATACGTGTGCATGTGTCTTTATAGCAGCATGATTTATAATCCTTTGGGTATATACCCAGTAATGGGATGGCTGGGTCAAATGGTATTTCTAGTTCTAGATCCCTGAGGAATCGCCACACTGACTTCCACAATGGTTGAACTAGTTTACAGTCTCACCAACAGTGTAAAAGTGTTCCTATTTCTCCACATCCTCTCCAGCACCTGTTGTTTCCTGACTTTTTAATGATAGCCATTCTAACTGGTGTGAGATGGTATCTCATTGTGGTTTTGATTTGCATTTCTCTGATGGCCAGTGATGATGAGCATTTTTTCATGTGTGTTTTGGTTGCATAAATGTCTTCTTTTGAGAAGTGTCTGTTCATATCCTTTGCCCACTTTTTGATGGGGTTGTTTGTTTTTTTCTTGTAAATTTGATGGAGTTCATTGTAGATTCTGGATATTAGCCCTTTGTCAGATGAGTAGATTGCAAAAATTTTCTCCCATTCTGTAGGGTGCCTGTTCACTCTGATGATAGTTTCTTTTGCTGTGCAGAAGCTCTTTAGTTTAATTAGATCCCATTTGTCAATTTTGGCTTTTGTTGCCATTGCTTTTGGTGTTTTAGACATGAACTCCTTGCACATGCCTATGGCCTGAATGGTATTGCCTAGGTTTTCTTCTAGGGTTTTTATGGTTTCAGATCTAACATGTAAGTCTTTAATCCATCTTGAATTAATTTTTGTACAAGGTGTAAGGAAGGGATCCAGTTTCAGCTTTCTACATATGGCTAGCCAGTTTTCCCAGTACCATTTATTAAACAGGGAATCCTTTCCCCATTTCTTGTTTTTGTCAGGTTTGTCAAAGATCAGATAGTTGTAGATACGCGGCATTATTTCTGAGGGCTCTGTTCTGTTCCCTTGATCTATATCTCTGTTTTGGTACCAGTACCATGCTGTTTTGGTTACTGTAGCTTTGTACTATAGTTTGAAGTCAGGTAGCGTGATGCCTCCAGCTTTGTTCTTTTGGCTTAGGATTGACTTGGCAATGTGGGCTCTTTTTCAGTTCCACGTGAACTTTAAAGTACTTTTTTCCTATTCTGTGAAGAAAGTCATTGGTAGCTTGATGGGGATGGCATTGAATCTATAAATTACCTTTGACAGTATGGCCATTTTCATGATATTGATTCTTCCTACCCATGAGCATGGAATGTTCTTCCATTTGTTTATATCCTCTTTTACTTCATTGAGCAGTGGTTTGTAGTTCTCCTTGAAGAGGTTCTTCACGTCCCTTGTAAGTTGGATTCCTAGGTATTTGATTCTCTTTGAAGCAATTGTGAATGGGAGTTCACTCATGATTTGGCTCTCTGTTTGTCTGTTATTGGTGTATAGGAATGCTTGTGATTTTTGCACATTGATTTTCTATCCTGAGACTTTGCTAAAGTTGCTTATCAGTTTAAGGAGATTTTGGGCTGAGATGATGGGGTTTTCTAGATATACAATCATATCATCTGCAAACAGGGACAATTTGACTTCCTCTTTTCCTAATTGAATACCTTTTATTTCTTTCTCCTGCCTGATTGCCCTGGCCAGAACTTCCAACACTATGTTGAATAGGAGTGGTGAGAGAGGGCATCCCTGTCTTTTGCCAATTTTCAAAGGGAATGCTTCCAGTTTTTGCCCATTCAGTATGATATTGGCTGTGGGTTTGTCATAGATAGCTCTTATTATTTTAAGATACGTCCCATCAATACCTAATTTATTGAGAGTTTTTAGCATGAAGGGCTGTTGAATTTTGTCAAAGGCCTTTTCTGCATCTATTGAGATAATCATATGGTTTTTGTGTTTGGTTCTGTTTATATGCTGGATTACATTTATTGATTTGTGTATGTTGAACCACCCTTGCATCCCAGGGATGAAGCCCACTTGATCATTGTGGATAAGCTTTTTGATGTGCTGCTGGATTCGGTTTGCCAGTATTTTATTGAGAATTTTTGCATCAATGTTCATCAGGGATATTGGTCTAAAATTCTCTTTTTTTTGTTGTGTCTCTGCCAGGCTTTGGTATCAGGTTGATGCTGGCCTCAAAAAATGAGTTAGAGAAGATTCCCTCTTTTTCTATTGATTGGAATAGTTTCAGAAGGAATGGTACCAGCTCCTCTTTGTACCTCTGGAAGAATTCAGCTGTGAATCCATCTGGTCCTGGACTTTTTTTGGTTGGTAAGCCGTTAATTATTGCCACAATTTCAGAGCCTGTTATTGGTCTATTCAGAGATTCAACTTCTTCCTGGTTTCGTCTTGGGAGGGTGTATGTGTCCAGGAATTTATCCATTTCTTCTAGATTTTCTAGTTTATTTGCATAGATGTGTATATAGTATTCTTTCATCGTAGTTTGTATTTCTGTGGGATCGGTGGTGATATCCCCTTTATCATTTTTTATTGCATCTATTTGATTCTTCTCTCTTTTCTATTAGTCTTGCTAGTGGTCTATCAATTTTGTTGATCTTTCCAAAAAAGCAGCTCCTGGATTCATTGATTTTTGAAGGGTTTTGTGTGTCTCTATTTCCTTCAGTTCTGCTCTGATCTTACATTATTTCTTGCCTTCTGCTAGCTTTTGAATGTGTTTGCTCTTGCTTCTCTAGTTCTTTTAATTGTGATGTTAGGGTGTCAATCTTGGATCTTTCCTGCTTTCTCTTGTGGGCATTTAGTGCTATAAATTTCCCTCTATACACTGCTTTGAATGTGTCCCAGAGATGCTGGGATGTTGTGTCTTTGTTCTCATTGGTTTCAAAGAACATCTTTATTTCTGCCTTCATTTCGTTATGTACCCAGTAGTCATTCAGGAGCAGGTTGTTCAGTTTCCATGTAGTTGAGCAGTTTTGAGTGAGTTTCTTAATCCTGAGTTCTAGTTTGATTGCACTGTGTTCTGAGAGACAGTTTGTTATAATTTCTGTTCTTTTACATTTGCTGAGGAGTGCTTTACTTCCAACTGTGTGGTCAATTTTGGAATAAGTGTGGTGTGGTGCTGAGAAGAATGTATATTCTATTGATTTGGGGTGGAGAGTTCTGTAGATGTCTATTAGGTCTGCTTGATGCAGAGCTGAGTTCAATTCGTGGATATCCTTGTTAACTTTCTGTCTCATTGATCTGTCTAATGTTGACAGTGGGGTGTTAAAGTCTCCCATTATTATTATGTGGGAGTCTAAGTCTCTTTGTAGGTCTCTAAGTACTTGCTTTATGAATCTGGGTGCTCCTGTATTGTGTGCATATATATTTAGGATAGCTAGCTCTTCTTGTTGAATTGATCCCTTTACCATTATGTAATGGCCTTCTTTGTCTCTTTTGATCTTTGTTGGTTTAAAATGTGTTTTATCAGAGACTAGGATTGAAAGCCCTGCCTTTTTCAGTTTTCCATTTGCTTGGTAGATCTTCCTCCATCCCTTTATTTTGAGCCTATGTGTGTTTCTGCATGTGAGATGGGTTTCCTGAATACAGCACACTGATGGGTCTTGACTCCTTATCCAATTTGCCAGTCTGTGTGTTTTAATTGGAGCATTTAGTCCATTTACATTTAAGGTTTATATTGTTATGTGTGAATTTGATCCTGTCATTATGATATTAGCTGGTTATTTTGCTCTTTAGTTGATGCAGTTTCTTCCTAGCCTCGATGGTTTTTATAATTTGGCATGTTTTTGCAGTGGCTGGTACTGGTTGTTCCTTTCCATGTTTAATGCTTCCTTTAGGAGCTCTTTTAGGGCAGGCCTGGTGGTGATAAAATCTCTCAGCATTTGCTTGTCTGTAAAGGATTTTATTTCTCCTTCACTTATGAAGCTTAGTTTGGCTGGATATGAAATTCTGGGTTGAAAATTCTTTTCTTTAAGAATGTTGTATATTGGCCCCCACTCTCTTCTGGCTTGTAGAGTTTCTGCCGAGAGAGCAGCTGTTAGTCTGATGGGCTTCCCTTTGTGTGTAACCCGACCTTTCTCTCTGGCTGCCCTTAACATTTTTTTCCTGCATTTCAACTTTGGTGAATCTGACAATTATGTGTCTTGGAGTTGCTCTTCTCAAGGAGTATCTTTGTGGCGTTCTCTGTATTTCCTGAATTTGAATGTTGGCCTGCCTTGCTAGATTGCGGAAGTTCTCCTGGATAATATCCTGCAGAGTGTTTTCCATCTTGGTTCCTTTCTCCCCATCACTTTCAGGTACACCAATCAGACATAGATTTGGTCTTTTCACATAGTCCCATATTTCTTGGAGGCTTTGTCGTTTCTTTTTATTCTTTTTTCTCTAAACTTCTCTTCTTGCTTCATTTCATTCATTTGATCTTCCATCACTGATACCCTTTCTTCCAGTTGATCGAATCGTCTACTGAGGTTTGTGCATTCGTCACGTAGTTCTTGAGCCTTGGTTTTCAGCTCCATCAGCTGCTTTACGGACTTCTCTGCATTGGTTATTCTAGTTAGCCATTCGTCTAATTTTTTTTCAAGGTTTTTAACTTCTTTGCCATGGGTTCGAACTTCCTCCTTTAGCTCAGAGTAGTTTGATCATCTGAAGCCTTCTTCTCTCAACTCATCAAAGTCATTCTCCGTCCAGCTTTGTTCTGTTGCTGGTGAGGAGCTGCGTTCCTTTGGAGGAGGAGAGGCACTCAGATTTTTAGAGTTTCCAGTTTTTCTGCTCTGTTTTTCTCGCCATCTTTGTGGTTTTATCTACCTTTGGTCTTTGATGATGGTGACGTACAGATGGGGTTTTGGTGTGGATGTCCTTTCTGTTTGTTAGTTTTCCTTCTAACAGTCAGGACCCTCAGCTGCAGGTCTGTTGGAGTTTGCTGGAGGTCCACTCCAGGCCCCGTTTGCCTGGGTATCAGCAGCAGAGGCTGCAGAACAGTGAATACCGGTGAGCAGCAAATGTAGCTGCCTGATTGTTCCTGTGGGAGCTTTGTCTCAGAAGAGTACCCGGCCGTGTGAGGTGTCAGTCTGCCCCTACTGGGGGGTGCCTCCCAGTAGGGCTACTCGGGGGTCAGGGATCCACTTGAGGAGGCAGTCTGTCCGTTCTCAGATCTCCTAGTGCATGTTGGGAGAACCACTACTCTCTTCAAAGCTGTCAGATAGGGACATTTAAGTTTGCAGAGGATTCTGCTGCCTTTTGTTTGGCTATGCCCTGCCCCCAGAGGTGGAGTCTACAGAGGCAGGCAGGCCTCCTTGAGCTGTGGTGGGCTCCACCCAGTTTGACCTTCCTGGCCGCTTTGTTTACCTACTCAAGCTTCGGAAATGGTTGGTGCCCCTCCCCCAGCCTCACTGCTGCCTTGTGGTTTGATCTCAGACTGCTGTGCTGGCAATGAGTGAGGCTCCGTGGGCATAGGACCCTCCGAGCCATGTGCAGGATATAATCTCCTGGTGTGCCGTTTGCTACGACCATTGGAAAAGCGCAGTATTAGGGTGGGAGTGACCCGATTTTCCAGGTGCCGTCTGTCACCCCTTTCTTTGACTAGGAAAGGGAATTCCCTGGCCCCTTGCGCTTCCCAGTTGAGGCGATGCCTCACCCTGCTTTGGCTCAAGCTGGGTGCACTGCACCCGCTGTCCTGCACCCACTGTCTGACAATCCCCAGTGAGATGATCCCGGTACCTCAGTTGGAAATGCAGAAATCCCTGTCTTCTGCATCACTCACGCTGGGAGCTCTAGACTGGAGCTGTTCCTATTTGGCCATCTTGCCTCCACCTCATAGCTATTTCTAAAAAGAGTAATCTTTTTAAAATTTACTAGTTGGATTACTTTTCTTTTTACTAATAATTCATACATGTCTTTTATTAAGTACCTCTTTCCTTTCCCCTTAGGTTTGTTCTGTTGCTACTGTATCATTATTTTTATATTGGATGTTCATGTAATTTATCTGTTTTAATAACATACACATTTAAAGGCTATGATCTTCCTAAGAGTGCATTTTAGCCATATTCAGATGGCTGCTTGAAGTGGTCTGAAAACTATCTTTTAATTTAAGTCATCTGATGGAATGGTTCAGCAGTGTAGAGCAAAAACATTTAGAAGACTAATGCAAGGTAATTTTTTCCCTAAACATCAAATGCTTCCTTTAAATGCAGAATCTTCTGTAATGAACAGTCAGCAATTTGGAAAACATGCAACACATACTTATGTTGACTACTCGTGAATTACTATGTTATGGTCTTTGAATCTCAGATCCTATCAATGGATGTCTCAAGGCAGAAACTTGTAATATGTAACATATGATATATAGAGGTGATTATATCATATACACGTCTATAGTCTAATTAGAAATAGTAGCTCATAAAGACAGAGAGTAGAGTAGGGAGAGTGCTTAGTACAGATATCTTACACCTACCTTGGGCCTTACTGACCTCCATGCACTCTCCCTAACTCATCAGTGACAGAAACTAGAAACTAGACTATCTCTTGCCATTTGATTATTTGGTCATTTGAAGCTTCACTGGGGGAAGAACTTAAAGAGCAATTATTCTTTAAGAGCCAGAGAATTCAAAAGTTGATAAGATCCAAGAACAGTCATTCAGGTCTCCATAAACAAAAACAAACATTAAGCAGAGTGCACACTCATTTTCTTAGGAGCAATCAAATCTCAATTCAGATAGTATACCTTGACTCAAGCTGATATTTTATGATAAACCAACCATGGAAAACAGAATATCTTTGTATTCTATCCAAAAGAACCAGAGAATACAGAAATCAGTATCGAAACTGATTTTAAAACATCTGGTTTGAATTCATTATTTTCAAAAAGCACAAAGATAGGTGTATAATTTATGGGATTCATCCAGAATCTCACAAATTATAGCAGAGCTAGTACTACAATCTCCTTCAGGGCTCAGCATATTTCACACAAACTGGTATTACAAATGCATTCTGTGTTTGTTAAAAGTAGAAATAAGAAAAGAATCTGAAAATTGTTAACTGTTATACTCAAAGGTAAGAAAATGGTTGCATATTTTATGACTCAATATGGCTTTGATCCAATTTGTTTCTGTATATGACAGTGTATTAGTCAGGTAACCAGGCATTTGGGATCAGAATTACCTTTCAAAGACCATTTGTAATTGAACTCTGTTATCGAAGTAGCAGTGTCATTATCAGTATATTATTATATATAATCTTGTAGAAAACAAATTCACATAATTTTGCATCTTAATGAACAATGTGCCTGCTCCTGGCACTCAAGCAGGCTCTATATTTGACACAAACTCCCCCTTTATATCAGTACCATATCCATGTTTACCTCCATTCATCATTTGAGACAGTTCCTCAAGATTGGCTTCCAGGTCAGTTCCTTAAAAATGAAAAGATTATCAGTGACCAAACTACCAAAAGTGATCTACAGTTCAAGGCAATTTTTATTGAAATGTCAATTACATTCTTCACAGAAATGAAAAAAACATCCTAAAATTCATATGGAACCAAAGAAGACCCCAAATAGCCAAAGCCATCCTGGGCAAAAAGAAAAAAGCTGGAAACATCACACTACCTGACTTCAAAATATTCCACAAAGCCAGAGTAACCAAAACATCATGGTGCTTGCATAACACCATGCCACACACAGACCAGTGGAACAGAATAGAGAATCTGGATTTACATCCACATATTTAAAGCCAAGTGATTTTTCATGAAAGCAGCAAAAACATTCGGTGGGGAAAGGAAAGTTTCTTCAATAAGTGGTGCAGGGAACACTAGATATTCCAGTGCAGAAAAATGAAACTAGACCCCTATCTCTTACCATATAAAAAAGCCAACTCAAGTTGGATTAAAGAATTTAATATAAGACTTGAAACTAAGAAAATACTAGAAGAAAACACTGGGAAAATGCTTCAAGACATTGGTCTGGGCAAACATTTTTTGCTTAAGACCTTAAAAGCAAAACCAAAGCACAAATAGACAAATGGGATTATATCAAGCTAAAAACCTTCTGCACAGCAAAGGAAACAGTCAACAGAGTGAAAAGGCAACCTACAGAATTGGAGAAAATATTTGCAAACTATCCACCTGACAAATAATTAATAACCAGAATATATAAGAAACTCAAACAACTCAATAGCAACAAAACCAAGTAATCCAATTAAAAATGGCAAAGATCTGAATAGAAATTTCTCAAAAAAAAGACACACCAACAGCCAACAGGAATATGAAAAAATGCTCAATATTACAAAATGTCACAGGATCATCAGGTGTCACATTTCCAGATGGAAACCTCTGTGGCCAATGGCGCTTTTGTCCGAGTTTTGCTTGGGTCTGCTGGGGCTCACTCTGCCCATTCGGCCTGGGAGGCTGTGTTCAGCTCACACTACCAGTCCAGATTCCAGGCCTGCCAAGGGCAAGACAGGCATAGAGCAGTGAGGGGTGCATGAGCAAGTGAACACAGGGTCCGGCCACTGTTCACAGCCAGGCATGCCAGCTGCTGCAGCAGGGGAGGCAGTGCCAGTCACTGGCACAGGTGCTAGCTCCATGCAAGCCTGCAACTGGATCAGATGCACCAGAAGTGGCTTCTGCTGCAGGCACCTGTGTCTGCATGAGGGGAACACAGTGCCACCTGGAAGTTTGGAGATACCAGAAACTGCAAGCCCCAAAGAGGGTGTCATAGCCCTGGCTTGGAAAGCACCTAGGTCTGGGCTCCCCGAAGAGCCACAACTCTTCCCTCATTCTTGTCACCCACAATGTGGCAAGTGGAAGGGCGTGTTTTAGCCCTGTTTGTGTTACAACTTTTTCAGTCCTGCCATTCAGTGGGTGGATCCTGAGTTCTTGTCCCATGTCCAGGAATAACAAGGTACACAGACAACTAGAGGGTGAGCAAGGCAGAGAGGAGTTTTATTGAGCCACAGAGCAGCTTTCAGGAGACCCAAAGTAGGTAGCTCCTTTCTGCAAGCAGGTCATCCTGACGAGTTTCCAGCTTTCAGTGGAGAGGAGACCCATAGTGGGTAGCTTCTTTCCACAGGCAGGTAGTCCTGATGAGTGCAACCCTCAGCAGAGAGGAGACCTGGAGTGGGTAGCTCTTATCCGCAGGCAGGTTGTCCCAACAAGTGTCTAGTCTAGCTAGCAGCAAGGAGACCCAGGGTGGGCAGCTCCTTTCTACAGGCAGGTCATCCCAACGAGTTTCCAGCTTTCAGTGGAGGGGAGACCCATAGTGGGTAGCTTCTTTCCACAGGCAGGTAGTCCTGATGAGTGCAGCCCTCAGCAGAGAGGAGACCTGGAGTGGGTAGCTCCTATCCGCAGGCAGGTTGTCCCAACAAGTCCAACAAGTGTCTAGCTAGCAGCAAGGAGACCCAGGGTGGGCAGCTCCTTTCTACAGGCAGGTCATCCCAACAAGTGTCCAGCTGTCAGAAGAGAGGAGACCCATAGTGGGTAGCTCCTTTCTGCAGGTAGGTAGACCTGACAAGTGCAGCCCTCACCAGAGAGAAGATCTGGAGTGGTAGCTCCTATCTGCACACAGGTTGTCCCAATGAGTGTCCAGCTCTCAGTGGAGAGGAGTTCTATAGTGGGTAGCTCCTTTCCGCAGGCAGGTAGTCCTGATGTCTGTATGAGTCTGGCTGAGTCTGGGGTTTTTATGGGCTTAGAAGGGAGGAAGCATGTGCAGACTGGTTCATGGGCAGTCATGGGCAGGCCCAGAAAAAGCTCCATAAGTTTTCATTCCAGGCCACAGACTCCACCCAGAACAGGCAGCTTGGCCCGCAGGCTTCATTCAGGCCACCCATGGCTTGAAAGTGGGACTTCACAACAGACCTGCCCCTTTCTGCCCAGGAACCTGTCTGCCTCCTACTGCCATCAACATGCCATCAATGCTTCCCAGGCTGTTTGTGCAGAGGGGACTGTTTGGTGCTGCAGGCCTGCACCAAGCCACCCTCAGCACCCCTGGCCTCCCTCCCACTCTCATCAGTGCCCAAAGTCCAGAGGGGCCTGAGGGAGCAAGGCTCCTGCCCATTCCCAGCACCAACCAGCTCCAGGGAGTGCACAGCCATTGCTGAGCCTTCCCTGTTGCAGCCAGTGTTTTCACAGCAGCCACTCCAGATGGGCTGCCACTGCCATCACAATCTTCAGAGAAATGCATATTAAAACCACAGTGAGATATCATCTCATCCCAGTTAAAATGGCTATTATCAAAAAGACACAAAATAGCAGATGCTAGAGAGGATACAGACTAAGGGGAATGCTGGTACACTGCTGGTGGGCATGCAAATTTCCACTACGGAAAACAGTATGGAGGTTACTCAAAATAGAAAAAATAGATCTACCATATGATCCAGCATTCTGAATACTGGGTATATATCCAAAAGGAAGGAAATCAGTATATAGAAGAGATACCTGCATGTCGATGTTTATTGCAGCAGTATTCACAATGGCCAAGATATGGAGTCAAACTAAGTGTCCATCAATGGACAAATGGATAAAGAAAATATGGTATATATACACAATGGAATACTATTCAGCCATAAAAATAAATGAAATCCTGTCATTTGCAGTAACATAGATGGAGCTGGAGGTCATTATGTTAAATAAAATAAGTTAGAAAGAATAAAAAGGATCTAGTATTTGACATTACAACAGGGTGACTATAGTCAATAATAATGTAATGGCATTTTAAAAATAACTAAAAGAGTATAACCAGATTGTTTGTAACACAAAGGATAAATGCTTAAGGTGATGGATACCCCATTTATCCTGATGTGATTATTACATATTGTATGCCTGTATCAAAATATTCTATATACCCCCCAAATATATGCACCTACTATGTACCCACAAAAATTAAAAATTTTAAAAAGTCATATTTAGGTCCAAAAGCCCTATAAGTAACATTTCATAAATGAATCCTATGTGAAACAAAGTACCAGAAATAATAGCAAAATTAATTGTGACTAACAGTGAATTTACTGTCTTGAAGTGAGAATAAGGAAGTAGGGTGGGAAGAAATTAATGGGCATTGTTGTCAGTCATGTTTTGGAAACTCCTTAACAGTGAATTGCTAAAATAATCCATGGACCAAATTATGTAAATGTTTAGTTTGGAAATACTATATTTTGAGGAAATAATCTCTGTTTCATGATAATCTTATGATACTTTTGATTTTTCTAATTATGAAAGTATTTAAACAACTTTTAAAAAGCCTCTTAAAGTCATAGTGATATAACTACTTATAGGTCAGTATCTTGAATTGTCCAGCTTTTACCAAATTTACTGCAAAAAATATCAACCAAAGGACAATGGCCATCATTCACTGAGCTCTTTTCTGGAGTCTCTTCATTGAACTGTGTCTTTTCCTGAGCCAGTACTGAGCTACCTTACAGTGCAGACACATTTGATCATTAAGCATTTTAAGCAAAACCATTCACTTTTTACTTACAAAAACAGAGAGGGGAAAAATACTATTTAGGGAATGAAGTACCAATCTATCCCAACCAGTCAAGTGCTCTTTAGTAAGACACGATCTCAGAGTCTGAGTTGTCTCATTTAGAAAGGAGTTAAAAACGCCATGTAAACAGGCCTTATCCTAGGTGTTATAAGTGTGTTGACTTGGCACGCTATACGTTTTATTAAAAGATGCTTATGTTTTTGATGCAATAACTAAGAGATAGTGCACAATTTTATGACTAATATTAAACATTGTTTTCTTGGATTTGCTAATATAGAACACTGATGAGAAAGGTATTTTCAAACACAGAAAATAAGTCTCAAGGAAAAAGGGAAATTCTTTATAGTGAGGGACTGCACAAAACTGCATACTATACTCTTCACTTTTCCAGCCAACTTTCAGGAAATGTTTGAGATCCTTTCTTAATGTTTTCTTTCCTCCTGTTACTAGTTATGGCATAATGCATGATGAACATATAGGCCTCCTCTCTCTCCACCACAGACATTCCTTCTTTTCCTTCCCAGCACCTTAAATCTCAGCTGCACCCTGATCTTCTCTCTCACTTGGCTCCTGGGACTAGCGTTGTATGTATGTGTGCCCGCACGCGTGTGTGCGCAAATAAAAAGTTTTGTTATTAATACATGTCAATAATATAAGTATACAGAATATATAGATATTTCTAATCCTAAGTAAGTCTAAAGACATTTCTCCAACATGATTCCATATGATGGCAGGGGCAGGGGTGGCCCATCTGGAGCAGCAGCTGCCATCATACTGGCTGCAGCACGGCCCGGCCTCCTGTTCCACAGAGCAGGCAGGAGCCCTGCCCCCTGTATGGCTGCAGCTGCTCTACTGTGGCTCCAGATCTGGGTGTCTCTGGGCTCTAGGGGGCCAAGGAAAGGCGCCCCCCGGCAGGTTTGGAAGTGCCTGCTCCCACTGCCTGGTTTCTCCGCACTGTCAGCGTCCACTCCGATCTCAGAGGCATGGCCGGGGCTGCACACTGCATGAAACTGGTGGGAGCCAAGGACAAGTGGGAGCCAGGGACAAGCAGGAGCCTCGCCTCTTCCAAGTTGGTGGGACGGGAGCTGCCCAGGTGCAGCTGCAGCCTGCCGAGCTCGGCTTTGGACCTAGGCATATCTGTGCTCTTGGGAGCCCTGGACGGCCCCTGTTCCCCCGCTCAGAAGTGCCTGTTCCCACTGCCTGGCCTCTCCCTACTCCCAGTGCCCGCTCTGATTGTGGAGCAAGGTTGGGGCCGCCTGGGCACTGTCACAGCCCGGCTGGGTGGATGCACGCTCAGGGTAGTGCTGACCTGCCAGACACCTTTTGCCTGAGTCCCCCAGGCTTTGGGCACCAATGAACACAGGAGGGAAATGGAGTCGGGGGGCGGAAGGAAGTTCAGCACTGGCCTGCAGGCAGCCCTTGGCACAAACAGTCTGGGAGCCATGAATGGTGGTAGGAGTCCGACAGGCTTCTGGGCAGAAGGGGGGTCCCTGGTGAAACGCCACCTTTAGGCCCGGAAAGGCCTGAAGCCTGGGATCCAGGCTGCCATTCCTGCGGACTGGAGGGGGAACTCATGGTGCTTTTTACCAGGCCTGCCCACGGCTGCCCATGGACCAATCAGCATGCACTTTCTCCCTGAAGCCCATACAAACCCCAGATTCTGCCAGAGCAGCAGACTTCAGGACGACCAGTTGCAGAGGGGAGCTACCCTCTTCAGAGCCTTCTCTCTGCTGAGAGCTGCAGACAACAGGATGACAAGCTGCAGAAAGGAGCCACCCTCTATGCTGAGAGGTGAACACTCATCAGGACGACCTGTCTGCAGAGAGGAGCCACTCACTCCAGGCCTCCTCTTTGCTGAGAGCTGAACACTGTATGATAGGAGGAACTACGTACAGAGAGGAGCTACACACTGCAGGTCTCCTCTGAGCTGTTCTAACACTCAATAAAGCTCTTTTTCATCTTGCTCACTCTCCACTTGTCTGCCTACCTCCTTCTTCCTGGACACAAGACAAGAACTTGGGCAAAGATGCCACCAGCCGCAGAGGTTTCTGGCCAGAAAAGCAACACCCCATAGATCCCACAAAACATATACTTATTCTTCATAAAGTTACTCTTCCCATGGAGAGGTTACTCTAAGACAGAGACACCCTCAAGGGTTTTAGAAGTCATTTTAACCTCTGTTGGGATAGATGTGTGCAATCTGTTATCAATAAGCATGAGGAGGGAGTCATGGGCAAAATCTGGGAAACACAAGATCATTCATCTAGGCAAAGCCAGAACATAATCCTCTTAGATTAGTCTTTCCTTCATGAGATGCCATGATCATTTTTTATCAGCATGGAAGATCTTTATCAGTGTATCTATACTAGTTCAACAACACTATTACAAAAAGAAATTTCAGCTAATAGAAAATATCAAATGTTAAAGTACGCACAACCACAGGCCTATCAGGCTGAGAAGATTCTTGTCCATTTCTTCTTGGTTAAGGCCTGTATGCTAATCTTCCTCACCCACTCACATTTCACACTCAAATCAGTTCTCACCAGAGGACTCTGTGACTATAAAAGTTTACACCTTCAGCAGCTCAAAACAGCCATCTTCACTGATACCTTCTTGCAGTCATTTATGATAAGAACTTGGCATCTGCTGCCAAAGGCTCTGCCACCACAAACACTCTTCCTTGCAAGACCAATTGACTGGCTGGCCCAGACCAGGATTCCTTTTGTCTTCTTCATTCCACCTAGACAGATTCCTTAATCCTTTATCTTATCTCTTTTTCTTCTTGATGGTAAATTTTACTTTGTTTGTTGTGGAGTGTTTAACCTATAACACTTGCATATTGATTTGGCATACTGTTATGTATGGTTTGCAATACTGACTGACTTGTGGAGTGGCTTAAGCTTGTGTGCCTGTGGCTCTGACTACTAAGTGAACAGGAAGAACTAAGGGGAAGCGTCTCCTTGGGAACTCCATGTAGTTCATGGCTTTTGTGATTGGATAGCATCAATAAAAACCTGATATTGTTGAAAGACACAAGCATGCATGGACCTGGTTATTTCTAATCCAGTACTTCTCATGATAAGCTGGCATAGTCAGCTTACTGGGCACAACTGGCACAGTTGGCTTACTTGGCATAATTGGTGTACTCAATTTTAAGGCCAAAGCCCCCACTAAAACTTCCATTGGAAATCACGCCATTTGACAAAACAAACTGCCATGCTCTCTGACAGCAGACATAATCTCGCCTCACCTTGAAAGCCTGGCTACTTGAGGAAAACCTTGGGTGATAAGACAACTTGCTCAAGTTGTGAAGATCCAACGGCTGACAAGGTCTTGGTTGATGCCAAGCTAGGAAGCTGGGGGAGCCAGGAATGCTCACATCAAGCAGGTCTCAATTTATGGGATGCTGACTGGCAAAACAAATTTTTAATTTGGCCAAAAGAAAGTCAATTATTACATAACCTCCACTCAGACAGTCGGTTAAGGTGGGAAATTGAAATATTATTAAGAAACTATATAAAGTAGCTACTAATATGGCATAATGTGGGTTCTAGTTAAGAAAATTAAGCAGGCATGCCAGAGGGCTCATCGCCCAAATACAGTACTTAGTGTTGAGAGTCCTTGGTACCCAACAGAGTTGGAAGTCAGAAAGAGTCCCTGTAGGATCCCCCAAGGATGTATGGTCAGACTTGAGGGACCTGACAAAATGTTAAGCCTTTAATTACCAGAGCCCCCAGAGAAGAAATCCCTGCACTTTTTTTGAGACATACACAACTTTATTTAATAATCTGTAAAAAGTCATACTCTGGCAGAGTGATACATTCCTTATCTCAGCAGAAAGCAAACAATGTGTCTGACAAGCCTCTTCCCAAGATTCGAAAATGTAACTCTGAGCTTACATTTCAATGCTCCCAAGAGCTAGGCTTTTGAAGAAATTCCTGCACTTTTAATGCAAAGTAGCTCACAGATATACAGGGGTCCTCAGAAAGCCAAAGAGCTAGCTCACAGAATTTTAAGGAAAAGTAAATCCCTTTCAGATGTAACTTTTAAGGAGGAACCCCTGGGTCCTAAGGACCCCCAACTAGTGGACCTAGGAGAATATAATGATCCCAGAGGTGGGTGGGATATATGCAGCAAGACCTATAATAACTACAAAAAGAGTTATAGATTATAACAGTGGAAATGGCAGACCTCAGGACATCAGTGAGGACAGAGAATACACCACAGCAGAATTACAAAAACTAAGAATAAATTTTTGCCAAAGACAGACCACAGATGCAGACTGACTCCTTCCATTATGCAATAATGAAGCAAACACCACAGCACTATCAGGCACAGAAATGCATCAGATCAAAACATTAGCAGAAAACCCATCACTAAATCAGAAATTATTAGAACTAACAACAAATTATCCAACATGTGTCCTATCCATCTGGGACTGGATTACATTAGCCTGATATCTATCTACCCAATATTTAAACCCAACAAAATTTGGTGATGGACTTAAATGGACTGATCTAACACAGGCACAAAAGGATACAAGAAAATTATCTATCTTAGGAATTATAAATGATGGATATAATCAATATACCATTCCATCTGAAATTCCAGCTACAAATGAAATTGAAAGAGCACTTACAGGAGCACCACCTAACCTAAAAGTCTCCTACATTAATTCTCTCTCAGCATGAAGAACCATAGAAAGTATACTAGAAAATTTTCAACTTTCTGCCGAATTATCAGGAACTCACAAGGTAACATTTATGGCAAACCTGATTTAAAAAAACACCAAGAGATAATCTCAGGAAGGCACCAAAATTCTTTACATTTAATACATAAGTCTGAATGTTTATTCAAAACAGACCTGGAGGACCTTGGAAAAATAAACCAAGGCAGACAAGTTGGCAACCCAGGCAAAATAACTGGCAACTAAGGCCACAAGGACCAAACTGGTGTTAGGTACAGTAAGTTCCTCTTCAAAAAGTCAGCTTGGTCAACTTCTTTGTTCTTTGTTCTCTATTTTCAAAGCCTAACTTCCTCATTCTTTGTGCCTCCTTGCCCCTAGTTACAGTAAACAACCTTCCAGCCAGTTCTAATCAATAATTCACACCTGTTCCCTTGGTTACCCACTCTGCAACTGCAACTATTCTTCCCGCCAAAACCACCAGTCCCAGCCTGTAACTCACATCCCCCTTCCCTTCCCTTATTTGGGAAAATATTCACAAATAGCCAATCAAGTCAGCTTAGATTGTGCGGTCTGACCCCAGCCCATGGGGGAGTGACACAGAGGTAGGGAGTGTGTTAGGGATAAAAACCCCTTCCCTCCTTTGTTCAGTGTGCTCTCGTAGTGGCCAGAGGTGCAAGCAGCACCCTTCTGCAGAAGTAAATTTACCTTGCTGAGAAATCCTTTGTTCGAGTGCTCGTTTTCTTTGTGACTCCAAGTTCTTATTTCCAACACTGGCAACAGGGCCATCTAAGGCCACCAGCCAGATACCAAAATAAGGTCCAAAATAATGGACCTCCCGAGGTCCAGGGCCAAACTCACAATGTCAAAAACAGCAACAACAACAGAAAAATGTTGCAAGAAAATGTTTCTCAACAAATGAGAAACCCCCTGGGTATGAACTGTAACACTCAATCCTGGGGATAATAGACCATACATACAATTAACTATACAAATTGACAAATATACACATACTTATACATTTATTTAGAAACTGAATCACAAGCTGTCTTAGATATAATGCAACAAACCTTAACACAAACATCCTCATAGAAGGACTTGGAGGAAAACTAACTTGAGGCTTCCCTATCTCTGCTTCTATATGGTTCTGTAACTCTAAACTTATACATTGCACTATTTACTATTCACCTGAACTAGAAAACATTATAGGAATGGATCGAGTTGTGAAACTTTTTAACCCATGGTGGTCTATTAAGAAACTTAGGAACTAAAATTCTCTTACATAGCACAAATTAAAATGAAGCGCATAAGACTGTCTACACCATACCAGGTTGCGTACAGTAAACAATATCCATTAAAGGGAGGACACAAAGAAATAAAAGCAAAGATTCTAGAACTTCTTAAGGAAGAACTTATTACAATTGGCATTTCAAATAACTTTAATGGTCTAGCATGGCCTGTCCTGAACCCAAATGGGAGCTATAGAATAACTATTAACTATAGAAATTTAAATAAAGTCATACCTAAAATGCCAGGAGTATTACCAGATGAAGAAGTCATTAATAAGATCACTAACTGTAATGACAAATACTGTGTAACTATAGACATGTTGGACATGTTCTTTGCCATACCAATAGACCAAGAAAGTCAGGAATATACCGCTTTTGCCTGGGAAGGCAAACAATTCCAATATAAAATATTACCACGGGGATATTTAAGTTGTCCAGTAATAGCTCACTCCATTTTATCATCACACATAGACCAGTCAAAATACACATCACTAACAATATCATATATAGGTGACATTATAATGGTAAACAATGACCATGAAACACTTAAACAAGAAAAAAAATCTCAATAACACACTTAAGATCACTGGGATGGACTATTAATAGAGATAAAAACACAGGTCCAAACACCAATTGCAAATTTTTAGGAGTACAGTGGTCATTAAAAGGGAGAAAAATCCCCACCACAGTGGTAGATAAAATAAAAAGCCTTAAGGCACCAAAGAATACACAGGAAGCACAAAGACTTGCAGATGTATTTGGATACTGGAGACAACATATACTTCATTTAAACATCATCCTAAAACCAATATGTAAGATGACTAGGAAATCCTGACTTCACATCGGGACAAGAACAAACACAAGCACTCGAAACACTCAAAGACTACATTACCACATTCCAAACACAACATTAGCCATCTCCAGATACACAACTTAGGTTGAAAATTTTAATGAGCAATGAATATGGAACATTGTCATTATGGACAAAGAAACCAGATTCTAAATCCTTCCTACTGGTCGGATTTTGGACAACAAAATTCCCATGCTCTAAACAACAAATATAGCCCATTTGAAAAATATATATGGCTTACACATGAAGCCCTCACAAACATTGAGCCTCTGACTGGTAACAACACCATTACCATTAGATACCATATACCTCTCCTTCACTGGATAAAATTGAGTCCTGAAGAATAAATAGGTATCCAAATTGATTGCATGGAAATGGTACATCCAGGGTCGAGATACAGGCTTTAAGGGTCAACCAGGCCTCCTCACCAAGGAGATCCACAAGACTGAAATAAACTTGCTGGAATTTATTCTGAGGACAGGGACAATCCATGCAAATGTAGGTAAATGGGGCCCAGTGTAGTCTGATGTACTGTCCAACACCTGGTTTACAGAGGGATCAGCCTCCATGACCCAAAGCCAGACCCAACGGACAGCAACAGCACTCAGACCCCAGAAATAAACAATCCTGAAGGAAGCAGGTAAATCTCTCCCCACACAACATGCAGAACTGAGTGCAGCTGTCCTACCAGTCAGACACTATCAGAAAATTGAAAGAAAATTTATATTTTTACAGACTCATGGGCAGTTGCAAATGGCATAGTCCTATAGTCACATAAATGAAAACAAAATAATTTTACAATTAATGGTAAAGACATACAGTCCACATCTTACTGGAAGGAACTATATGAATTATCAAACTGAATTTAGATATTTGTGATGCATGAATCAGCACACCAAAAAGACAATTCAGAGACCACAAAATTTAATAACCAAGTAGATGCATTAACAGGGAATATAAACATTGACACTCAAAACATACCCAAATTAAAACTACACAGAAATCCAGACAACCCATGGAGACATTCATTACCACTTCTACAACTCAGGAGATAATCAGACAATGAATGTGAGATAGTACAAGTACCCCCCAATAACTATAATGAAACAGGGGTATGACTTGAAAATTAAACAGACAGCTGAGTGTGGTGGCTCAAGCCTATAATCCCAGCATTTTGTGAGGACGAGGCAGGTGGATCACGAGGTCAGGAGTTCGAGATCAGCTTGACCAACATGGTGAAACCCTGTCTCTACTAAGAACACACAAAAAAATTAGCCAGGCGTGGTGGCACTTGCCTGTAATCCTAGCTACTCAGGAGGCTGAGACGAGAATCGCTTGAACCCGGGAGGCAGAGGTTGCAGTGAGCTGAGATCGTGCCACTGCACGCCAGCCTGGGCAACAGACCGAGACTCCACCTGAAAAAAAAAAATTAAACAGACACCAGAAGCAGCTTACATTCCACAAATGCTCCTACAATTACGTAAGCAGAAAGGACATTTAGGCACACACTCACTGTACAAGTGGCTGTCAGAAATCAAAAGGTGACATGACATCAAATTAAAAAGGCTACAGGTAATTGTGAATAATGTAAAACTAATCTGGACAAATATAAATATACTAAACCAATATACATACAAATCTGACATCTTTAATTTCTGCTTACAGGTAAATTTTATAGAACCATTAAATCGCTCCTACTAACAAAAATATGCAGTTACAATGGTGGATATATATAAAGGGATTGGCATAGCAACAGCAGCTAGCCACTCATTTGCCAAATATAATATCTCAGCCTTAGAAATTTGGGCGGCTCACTATGGAGCCCCCAAAATGATTGAAAGTGATCAAGCAACTCATTTTACATCAAGGACCACACAAGCATTGGTGGACCAATGGGATATATAATTAAATTTTTACCTACCTTGCAATCTTACAGCAGTGGGATATATAGAAAGATTTAATGGCTAATAAAAAGAGAATGGAAAGCCTTAGACCAAATGAGTACATTTCAACAAGCTCTTAACCTGGCATGTTTCAACTTAAATCAAAGAGAAAGACTATAAGAGCAGCCTCCATTCTTATCTTAATCACCCAAACTTAACTGTCACAAAAGATAAGGAAGAATATGATACAAATATTATACCTTACAAGGTGAGCACTAGACTAAATAACAACACTATCTCCCAACAGGACACTGTGGCCCATGGACACGGAAACACATGTTAGACTACAGGAAACAGGAGAGTTAGAATTAGACAAAATCTCCAATCTCTCTTTACAATGCTTTATTCTAGTCATTGCATTAATATTATCCACGAGAATAAGTGAAGGTGTACTTCAATCCAATTTTGCTTACCACTAATCTAATATTTTTAACTTCAACATCACTCCTAGCTATCACTGGAATAATTAAATACTTTACTCACTTAGGACATCAAGATGGCTACAAATTTGTGTAGCTTCTCAACTGGTCTTATCAACTTTCTCATTCACCTCATATTAGCCATCATAGTAACTTTACTGCCTTGTTATTACTTATATTGCCACCAGGGAGACTGTAACCAGATAAATCAAACTAACACAAGCACACACACCCCTCACAGCAGAAAAATTACAAATTTCACTATCTGCTTGTTAAGTATATTATTTGATTAATAATTTGCAGACTGACAGCTATAATGCATCCCCAGCATATGGACTTAGCCTCTCCAGGATCTCCATCATCCATGTATATCCCGCCTTGCCCTCCTTCCTTTTAAGCTTCAGCCTCATGTTCGCCACCTATAGCTTTCAGAGCCCCTTCACCAGATTTCCTTCAGGAATTAGCTCAAGCAGACTGGCCCATACAGGCAGGCATGGACTGGAATTTCAGACCAGACTTTGTAGAATCTAGGCGCCACTGCCACCTTCCTGCTCCTTACGTTTATGAACTAACTGCAGCATTAGGAGCTATTGAAGGTTTAGTTGAAAGTGTACACCCCAATGACTGCATAAGTCTTGCTTGGCTACTAACCTATTATATAAGTTGCATTGCTAAACTGCTTAATAAGAGAGGACAGACCCCATAGAACTACCTTACTTTGTTCTACCCCAACCTAACCCAGCAGCAATACTACTACTGGAAGCAATCTTTGACTATACTACTTAGAGAAATATTAGGATGACATAGATTATTATATCTTAGTTTGTTTTCAGTGCTATATTTAATGCCTATACATCTGATAATTAATAGCAAACATAAGATTGATGCAAATAGCTTAAAATATGTTAGGAGATATAGAAGGGAAATAACAGATACTACTACTACTACTACTACTACTACTACTACTACTACTACTACTGCTACTACTGTTTATTCCTAAAGTAACCATTAAAATTTCTGAGCCTCAAACACATACATATCCAACAGTGCCAACTCATACAGCACCTAAAATCACACGATTACCAGAACAAATTCCGCAATATATACTTCATGAAAATATATCATTTTTGAACAATTGTTAGAAAGTCAAGGGACTGATAAAAGAATACTTAGAGCTTCAATTAGACTATTTTGTTCATATTCATTTGACCCAAAGCAATGCCTGAAGAGCTTTTAGCTTTTACACACACTTCCAATCATTGTATCTTTATAGAATCTTTGCGCATATTCCTAAACATACTTTAGAAGAATGCATAAATGACATGACTAAATGTGACACCCCAACTTATGCAGCTACAATGAAGCATTCAATAACATCTCAAACCATGGATGGCTCACATAATAGGTAGAGAAATGCTAATAGAAACAGACATGCCAATCAAAACAGTTCATTACATAAGAAGCGCTATATCATACCAATCCCCAATCATAGTACCACAGATAGAACCATATGTTGGAAGATCTCACATGACATGCTTGGATATGATACGACACTCCTACAAGTCATTTGTTAATAGTTGGTATGAATTCTGGTACCAATCTGGACTTGAAGGAAATGAACATTATGATTATGAAGTAGATTCAAGGGATGACACAAGACTAAATATAGCTACAAAACCAACCACTTCATCTTACACCCATATATCAGACCCCCACAGGAAAAAGTGTCAATGCCACTAGGATATCCATTAGATTATGATATAATAACAACAGAAGAGGATAAGACATACTATAACTATCATCTAATTAACTTTCCTAACTTGCTGTTTTTTGGAAATTTTGCCTTCACCCACCCTGTTCATCTTATGATTATTACGCAAAAAGCCAAAATTATTTGACAGTCTCACAATTCTTCTTTTTTCTTTTTATTAGACAAAAGAGAGCTGGAGTAACAATTCTTTAATAAGGCTAAAAAATTCTCACTGGCAGAATTATATTGAAAACATAGATGACACCCAGTAATCTTAACTAATGCTGACTATCACTTTACACACACTACCTTTGAAACACACACTAAAACAATGTATGTAGATAAAGCTTGTCTTGAATACAAGTATACTTATACTTGCCCTCCACAAATAAGGAACTTATAAAGATAAAAAATAGAATCAACACTACCCAACAAGATATACATTTTGAGGGACAACCAACATTAATATGCTTTAACCTTAACTTTACATATATTAAAGCTACATTTCATTATCCCACGGATGAAAACCTTATCCTTGCCCATTCTACACTATAAGTTGCTTACTAACATGGTTACACGTTCCAAGATCAACAGGCTTTACAAAACAAAACAAACCAACAGACACAGCACAATTCAGACTTTGGCATAATAAAACACATGCTAAATTTACAACATTAAATGGCAAACTTGGCTACAATATATCAAAACTACCTTTACACAATAAGCAAAGAGTTTATAGAGAATGTAGACAGATATGTTATCATAACTGGAAAGTCCACTCTATGGTGGAATGTGACAGAAACCAAAGCAGGCTTATGTTGGACACAACCACAAAAACCACACTAGTTCCCAGTCATCACAATAGATACAATGACATAGAAAATCCCTACTAAATTTACTGATTGCTGGATGTCGACATCTTCTAGAAACCCATGGACATTAGAAACTGGACATTAGAAACAGTTATTTTTGATAAATTACAACAAACAAAATGGGAACAATTAATATTCACATCTACTCACAGACCAGATATATACAATCTGCTATTATCTAACTCACTCTTAGTACTTGGACCATTCACACTGACCTACAAAACAGCAGAGGTTATTGGCACATTCTTTACAGGAAATGAACCAAGAGACATAACTATATTAGACAAATTTACCAGGAAAACTAAGTATATACAAAATCAAGTTATTTTTACAATGTATCCACTGGTAATTCAGGATGATGTAAACTTTAATTTTGAAGATGTAGATAGAAACAATACACAATTTAAGTCAATTAACTGGTGGGAAACACTAGGAACCAAAATAAATATGGATAAAGTCACAAAAATAGACTCAGGTATGTCAAATTACTTTTTCTTCATGATTCAGCCATTTGATGGATCATAGAATAAAGTTATATGGTCAGTCCAACATCCTATTTATCAAAATATAGCCAAACTAGACTCCCACTTACCTGTATTTGTAGCTAGAGATATCTCTTTTGCAAAATGCTATGTTAAACCCCAGAACCTTGGGCCATGCATAATTCGCAGAGGATGCTGGACTGACACATTGCTTAGGAACACACCACTGGACACCACAGTGTACCAAAGGAATAACAAACCCTCTATCTAAATTATGAAAACCAAATTTAGTTGAACCTATCCTAATTAACCCATTAAGATTAATTTACAAACCAGCACCTAGGAGAGTCAAAATATTTTTCAAAAAAGAACTTAAAGTCACATACATCAAACCACAAGTTATGTAATTTGAGGGACAAGGATATGACAAGCAGTTCATTTTACCAAATTTACCTTCACTAGATAAATATCATCTAAGAAAACCACCACAACTATTTGCAGCAATTGGAATTATTTCAAACTCAGTCATTTCAGGAATACAAGAAGCAAAAATTTAGGAAGTTAATACAGACCTATGAACATAAACGTAACTCCTGCAAACAACTACCACATCTATACTTTCATCTATCTCATAGGCAATTAACGAGATATAGTCAATGATGACTCATACACACGACCTCCCAGAATCCCAAAAGGAATTCAATTACAATATTGATCACAAGTTAAACACCTAAAAACTAACCTATTTACATTAAGAAACTTTATGGTGAAAAACTTGCTGCAAACACAGTGTATTAGGCTAAGTATTTTACTAACTCAGACTTGGAATGACATAAGGAACATTATACACATCAGGAAAATTATTCACAGAAAATTGGGACAAAATGTCTATAGTTAAATTGGATACATCCAAAGCATCAGGATTCAGGGCAATGTATATTAAATCTACTTGAATTAAGAGGAGGAGACTCAATGGCATAAGACACAATGGCAATTACACAGAAAGATAAGACATAATCTACATATAACTGCCTTAGAAAGACCACTATTTATTGATGGTTATTTTATACAAAAAGAATTAATATTCCAATGATCAAACACTATATACTCTACCTGTCAGGACAAAGTTCCTAAACTAGATTACTCAACTATCAGCATCACGAAAATCCCCACAATGACTCTAGACTTATGAAACTTCAATTAGATAATAAGCTTAGAGAGGAACAACACACTGACCTATTATAACTGTGAACCCTGAATATCTGAGACAGGTCTCAGTTAATTTAGAAAGTTTATTTTGCCAAGGCTGAGCACACATGCCTGTGACACAGCCTCAGGAGGTCCTGATGACATGTCCCCAAGGTGGTCAGAGCACAGTTTGGTTTTATATATTTTAGGGGGACATGCAACATCAATCAACATATGTAAGATGAACATTGGTTCAGTCTGGAAAAGGCGGGACAACTCGAAGCAAAGGCTGGACAACTCGAAGCAGGGAGGAGACTTCCAGGTCATAGGTAGATAAGAGACAAATAAATGGTTGCATTCTTTTGAGTTTCTGATGAGCCTCTCTAAAGAAGGCAATCAGATATGCATTTACCAGGGTTATTCCTTGCTGAGAAAATAATTCAGCGATATTTCTCCTATTCACTTTCTGAAAGAAGAGAAATATGACTCTGTTCTGCCCGGCCTCACAGGCAGTCAGACTTTATGGTTATCTTCCTTGTTCCCTGAAAATCGCTGTTATCCTGTTCTTTTCAAGGTGCCCAGATTTCATATTGTTCAAACACACGTGCTTTTCAAACAATGTGTGCAGATAACGCAATCATCACAGGGTCCTGAGGTGACATACATCTTCAGCTTACAAAGATGACAGGATTAAGAGATTAAAGTAAAGACAGGCATAGGAAATTATAAGATTATTGATTGGAGAAGTAATAAATGTCCATGAAATCTTCACAATTTATGTTCAGAGATTGCAGTAAAGACAGGCATAAGAAATTATAAAAGTATTAATTTGGGGAACCAATAAATATCCATGAAATCTTCACAATTTACGTTCTTCTGCCGTGGCTTCAGCCAGTCCCTCCGTTTGGGGTCCCTGACTTCCTGCAACATCCATCTGCTGAGAACTTCCACTCAATAAAACATTGCATTCATTCTCCAAACCCACATGTGATCTGATTCTTCCAGTACACCAAGGCAAGAAATCCTGGCATACAGAAAGCCCTCTGTCCTCGCGATAAGGTAGGGAGTCTAATTGAGCTAACACAAGCTGCCTACAGATGGCTAAACTAAAAGAGCACCTTGTAACACACTCCCACTGGGGCTTCAGGAGCTGTAAGCATTCACCCCTAGACACTGCCTTGGGGTCAGAGCCCCACAACATGCCTGTCTGCATGCTCCCCCTAGAGGTTTGAGCAGCAGGCACTGAAGAAGCAAGCCACACCCACATCACATGCCCTGTGAGGGGATAAGGGAACTTTTCCTCTTTCACAAGGAAGCTCTAAGGAACTTCAACAAGTTCATGACACATTCCAAACAGAATTAGCACAATTAAAACACACCACTGAGGTAGTAACACATGGACTAGCAATACTAAACACAAATAAAATAGCATTCAAACTAGATGGCTTACACAGAAGATGCATCTTCTTCCAAATGATTAAGAAGACTTTTAGCCATACCCCTTATGAAGGCTCATGGTCAGACTGGAACCCAATCAATATATTAAAAACTGGACTCTGGAATTGGTCTAAATATATCTGTGAACATTTACAGAACGTTGTCATCTTCATTGTAAACATCCTCTTTGCTTACCATATACTTAAGATCTGCGTTTTCAGCCTTTGTAACACAAAATTGTAAACAAGTTACCAAGAGGAAATTAATTCCCATGGTGACTTGTCATTTTTTATTTTTGTAACCCCTTCCTCAAACATTGTTTGCATTATGATTACTAAAATCTTGGAGTAGATTGTATAGAGCACCCTTGACATAACTAACACCATCTTAGAAAAATACTCCATTTTATATTTCATAGGGCACTTTGCCAACAATAATAGCATGTTTTGTTTAATAAACAAATAAAACATGAAGACTGCATCCAACCAGATAAGGACACAAACAAGCACTCTTCCACGATCAGCTCTTACCAGAGGACCCTGTGACTATAAAAGATTAGGCCTTCAGCAGTTTCAAACATCTGTCTTAACTGACACCTTCTTGCAATCAATCATGACAAGAACTTGGCATTTGCTGCCAAAGGCTCTGCCACGTCAAAGACTTCCTTGCAAGACCCATGGACCACTCAGCCCAGACCAGGACTCTTTTTGTCTTCTTCACCCCCCCTGGACTGGTTCCTTAACCCTTTGTCCTCTTTTTCCTCTCAATGAAAAAGTTTTACTTTGATGAAAAGTGTTACTTTGTTGTGGAATGTTTAACTTATAACACTTATAAATTGATTTAGCATACTGTTATGTATGGTTTGCAATACTGACTGACTTGTGGAGTGGCTTGAGTTTGTGTGCCTGCTGCTCTAACTACCAGGTGAACGATAAGTGCTAAGGAGAACTGCCTCCTTAGGAACTCCGTGTAGCTTGTGGCTTTTACGACTGAATTAGCATCAATAAAAGCCTGATATTGTGGAAAGGCACAAGCACATGTGGACCTGGTTATGTCCAACTTGTCACCATTCATGGCAGCTGTGGTGCACCAGTCTGTCCCACCCTCTCTCCCAGTTCCCCACTAAAGACTCCGGAATCCATCCTCTGTGTGCGGTTTCATAGCCTCAAAGGCTCAGATGCCTCAAATAATGTCCTCCTCCAAAACTCACCTCATCTTCTGCTGACCTTCCTCCCCTCCATGACCCACTTTCCTCCCCTGTCCCACAACGACAAGGCTGGCGGCAGAATAGCCACCTCTTAAAAGAACAATGACCTCCAGGCCCTTCCCGCTGTGAAGCCACCTACCACACTGCCTGACCTGCCCAAAGCCTGCTAACTCCACCTGACACTTCACTGACACTTAAACTCCTGGGAGGACTGACCTATGGACCTATCAGCTGTGTCTCAGTCATCCAGAAAGAGTCCAGACGGTAGGAATGTAACCAGCACCCGCGCAGCTTGGCGGCATTCACCACGCAGTGCGAAGGGGCAGACGGGAAGACACCCAGCAAACATGTGCACTGAGGCCGGCTCTTGCCTCTTAGACTGCAGTGCCCCGCCCCATCCTACTCCACCCTGCCCCTTCCCAGGTCCCCACTAAAAACTCCAGAATCAGTTATCTGTGGGCAGTTTCATATGCCTCCAGGACTCAAATACTTCAGATAGTGTCTCCTTTCACAACTCACCCTTTTCTGAGCTGATCCACCTCCCCTCTATGGCCCACCTTCCTACCCTGTCCAGGGGGCGCCACAACAGCAAGACCATAGCGGCATCGTAGAATAAATACATTAAGACCTGTTTCCTTTTTTTGGTTACGTTCTTTTACATTTAAATCTCCTGACTGGTAACTGATTTCCCTGAATATGCCTGTGGTCACAGTGCATGGTTCAGAAATATCCATAGATACTGGACCTAGGATTTAGGCTCAGTCTACTCTGACATGAAGTACAGCAGTGGTGACTATACTCATCATATGCTGTACTCCCCAAATATCAGCCAAATAACTTGTTGATAAGCAAAGCTAACTTTATTGCATAAGGCTGTAAGGAAGAGTACTTCCTGAACAGGGTCTTAGCAGAGTCTCAGAGGTAGAAGGATTTGGGGGACACTTATTCATATTTTGAAATCTGGCATAAAGCAGGTCTTTCAATGTAGGGGAAGGATGTGATTGGGTGGGAATAGTGATATGCTGGTTTTAGGTTTGGTGGACACAGCAAGTCAAGGATTTTAAGGCAAGTGGTTCAAAGAGTCTTGAGGTTGTAAAATGCCATTTGGCACTTTTTACTGAACAGTGGATAGGCCTTTTATGCAGTTCCTAGAATCAATAATAAAGTTATGTTCAACTTTTATCTTCGCAGGCAAGAGATTATTGTAGTAATAATGTTATGTTAATGAAGCCAGTGGAATAGTAAACTCTTGTTCATATAGGCAGTAAGCTGTGTGCATGGTTTCAGTTCTCATTACTTACTTTTAGATAACTTATGAGTGTGGTAGGTCATATAGGAAAGGGAAGGAGAGGAAGGGGGCCTTGATGAGCTAGTAGCTTTCTGTTAGTAAATTAGGACATATGTGTGTGTGTGTGTGTGTGTGTGTGTGTGTACATATATCCTATTCATACATAATAATTGTACATATTTACAGGGTACAGTGTGATATTTTGATACACATACACAACTTGTAATGATCAAATCAGGATAATCAGCATATCCACCACCTCAAACATTTAGCATTTCTTTGTGTTGGAAACGTTCAAAATCCTCTTTTATAGCTATTTGAAAATATACAATAGATTATTGTTAACTATAGTCACCCTACAGTGCTAAATAGACGACTAGAGATTATTCCTCTTATTTAGTCTTAATTTTGTATCCATTAGCTAAACTCTACCTGTTCATCCCCCACCCTTCCCAGACTCTACTAATCTCGATTCCACTCTCTACTTCTATGAAATAAAAGCTTTAAGCTTCCACATATCAATGAGAACATTCGGTATTTATCTTTCTGTGTCTGGATTATTTCACTTAATGTCCTCCAGGCTCACACATCTGAAGCCCATACATGTTGCCTCAAATGATGGGATTTCATTCTTTTATATGACTGAATAGTATTCCATTGTGTATACATACACCAATGTAAATTAGATTGTATTTTGTTTACTTATTTCTTTTTTATTGATACATTGTTGTACATATTTATGGGGTACATGTGACACTTTGATATATGTATACAAAGGACAATGACTAAATCAGGGTATTTAGGATATCCATCACCTCAAACATTTATCATTTATTTGTGCTGGGAACATTTCAAATCTTCCCTTCTAGCCATTTTGAAATATATGATAATTTATTGTTACCATTAGTCACCCTACTGTGCTATCAAATAGAAGTTATTCCTTTTACTTAATTGTATGTACCCATTAACCAACTTCGCTTCATCCCACCCACCCCCTGTTCCCAGCCTCTGGTCACCAAAATTCTACTCCATTAGATCAAAATTTTTAGCTCCCACATATGACAGACAACATGTCTCGAACTCCTGAGTTAAAGCGATCCTCCTGCCTCTGCTTTCCAAAGTGTTGAGATTATACATGTGAACCACCGATCACAGCTTCTGTTTTCTTTTAAGATGTACATTAAACTCACATTTGTGAGTTTTCTCCTTCAGTCAGAAGAGGAACACTGACTCTTTCATCTGCCCCTTGGAGGTAAATTTTTCTTTTTAAATAAACTATGACTCCATTGAAATTCTTATTTCAACCAAGTTTATGAAGCACTGCCTCATTTAAATTATCAGGGCTATATTATGCAAAGATTTAGAAGATTTGAAGCTCCTCCAACCCCAAATCAACTGAACCTTACTTGGTGACCTGAACCCTCACCTCTCTTCTGATTAGGCTATTTCTGCTTTGGTTGAAGATGTTCATGGATCCTGCAAGGAAAATTCAATTTCCCTAATGTCTTGACATTTCCTATAATCACCAAACCTGTAACTATAGTGGATCCTACTCAGGATAAATGTGGTTTTAAGTTTATATCCTGTCGTAGGTTATTATATAAAAAATAACTACAGGGATTTGCTAATTATATCTCCATTGTCTAGGTAATATACTTGGGAGAGGAAAAAAAGCATTGCTTCTCTTGTTTTTAGGGTGCTGGCCTTCCTCCCTCTGGCTCCCCTTGAGCAAGGGATGAAGCCATTTCTGAGGTTTGGCAAGTTAGCCTTATGGGCAGGGCATGTGGCTATTTGCTCATGGGATGTGACACTCCAGTAGGGTTGATTTTAGCTGGATTCTGGGAAGACCATTTTATAAGGGAGTCTCTGTTGCAGATTCAGTTTTAAGGAGAGCTTCTTCCACTGTGCAGGGCATAACAGGGTAATTGGCTCTACCCCAGTAAGGGCTTTAGTTTTAAGAAGTGCCCAGTACACTGCCAGGTGGTGCCTCGCTCATGGTGAATATCTTTGGGCTTAGGCTGGGAGCCACTTACAGCAAAAGCTGATGGGTAGGTGTTTGCCTATCCATTTGGTCCAGAGGCGCCTGGAAGCAAATTTGGCATGGCAGAAAATTCTCATTGTAAGTCATGCCTTTGGAGCAGATGAGAGAAGAGAAGTAATAGCTTCCTTTAGTTTCTCTAGTGTCTGTTGCTCAGGTCCCCACTGGAAAGCAGAAGACTTAAGGGAGACTCCATAGATAGCATCCAGCAAATATTGGATGTGAGGAATGTCATGGTGCCAGAATCCAAAGTTTCCTACCACATGTTGGGCTTCCTTAATAGATTTGGAAGGTTGGAGCTCTGGGGACTTGTTTTTCTACCATATTGGGAATAGTTTGCCTTTATGAGTTCTAAATGTAGCCCCCAAATTCAACCGTTGAAGAGGGGCCTTGTACATTATGGAGAAGCAGTTGCCCATACCCTCACAGTGAGGTGCTCACTCATGGCTGCAAGGGACTGTGAGACAGCATCTTGGTTACGTTCAGTGAAGAGGTTGTCGTTGATATTATATGTTCCATGCTTTTCATGATCTGTCACGTGCCTACATTCCCACCTCATCCTCTGCCTCCCCAATGTGTACCTTTTGCCATAGTCACTGTGCTCCTCTAGGGAGCAATGAGTGCTACTGAGTAAACACATGTACATTGTCTCTGCATGTGCAAGGACCCTTGTGACAAACACATCTATTGAGAGTCACGATTCCATGTCTGTGGGTGGCCTCCCATGATAATCCTCTTAGTTTCCACTCTTTTGTTTGCTATTCTCTGGAGTCAGATGGATAAAGCTTCAGTTTCCCAGGTAACCAACCATGGATCTGAGCTGAGTGACCCAGTGCCGATGTGAAGAAGAATGTTGCCAAGACAACGGAATCCATACCCCTTTCCAGCACTGAGGCCTTCCTCCCTCTCACTACCTGCTTGGATCTCAGGTGAGAATGGGAATTTGCTATGGCTAAAAGCGAGGGGATAGATGTGTGGTAGAGGGTTCCAGGAGAGAGGAGAAATCTTGGGATCCCCTCAGAAGGGACTGGAGGGGGGACAAGAGTCACCAAGAAAGCCTGCTGCTGGGCACTGAGATCCCAGGAGACAATGATGACTATGAAAATGCAGTGGTTCTAACATGTGGTTCTGTGATTTTCTCCAGCAGTACACAGAGCTACGAATATTTTCTGACTCTAAGCTCCAGGGCATAGACCCTGAGAAAGAATTTCTGTGTTCATAAAGGGCAGTGGAGCCTGGTATCACTTGTGGAGGGCAGCTGTAAGCCTTGAGGAGGCCCTGCTCACCTCAGCAATAACTCTCATCTGTTACTCCACTCTGTGTGTCTCTCTTCTGGTCCTCTCCTCTTTCTGTGCTCTGTTGTCAGGGTCAATTTATAACAGGTTAAAATTGTCCTCGGTTAAAGGAGAAGAGGAGGCAAGGATGTCTCAATGCCCTCTTCCACGGACTGATAAGACAGTGGGCAGAGGGGGAGCTGGAAGAGATGGTGTGCAGAGACCACAAATTAATTCGTGCTTCTCAGACCTGATTGGGGGCTTTGATGCATTTACTTGCTAAGACTGATCTGATCTTCATTATGAATGTATAACCTCTGTACTGGACAAGAAGGTGAGAAAATACTGGAGTTATGTTTAATCTGGTGTCAGCTGATGCTATCATGTGAATGGTCCATTTGTATAAATGCTCACCCTGTTTTGCTGAAAATGATCAGTCTCCCAGTTTTCTGCCCCACCTCCCTACTCCTTTCCAAGATGATTAATGGTGCGTATGGCTTTCCAGTCTTCATGGTGATAATGGGAAGGGGTCGGTGACATCTTATGTTGATTGCAGTGTTCTCGGTGGCTTGTGAGGGAATCTGGTGCTCCCAGGCTGACTCGGCCTTGGCCCACCCGTGCTGGCATCAGCAGACCCCTCTGAATCTGGGCCTCATCTCCCTCCCACATCTGGGCAGGGCTGTCCACACCACAGCCTCAGCTGCAGGGTCACCTAGCCCCTATCTGGCTTATGCTTGTTTCATGGTAGCACCCCTGGCTCTTGAATCAGCCACTTCCACAGTCCCCCTCTCAGAGAATGTTAGCTCCCTGCAGGAACCAAGATCAGCTCCAAAAATAGAAATTCCTGAACTCCAGCCATTATTCTAACCAAGGAGCTCACTATTTCATCCTGCAAAAGTAAACTTCTGAGTCCTAAATTTCAGTTGGGCAAAAATCTCTTTATTTGGAACTCCCTTCCACTTCTCTGACACACCTGTCACATGTAAGATAAGGCCCTTAGAAGAGAGACTGGGATGAGACACTGTCTCCATGCCTTCTACTCCCCCATGACTGGAACAGAACATTCTTTTGTTTTCCTTATCTTTCATGTTGACATAAGGATTCCCATATTAAATCCAGATCATAAAGGGAAGGCTTTAGGATTTGTACTTTCTCTTGTAGAATTCAAATTTATTTGGAATGTTTGAAGGAGATTGACTAACAGATAAAGAAACACAAAATGGAAGGGATTACCAAATACAAGTCAATACACTGTCAGTAGCAGGACAAGCTCTCTGTAAAAATAAACTTGGAGTTCAAAGGGAGTTGTATTAGTCAGGGTTCTCTAGAGGGACAAAAGTAATATATATATATCTATATGGGAGTTTATTAAGTAGTATTAACTCACACGATCACAAGGTCCCACAATAGGCCATCTGTAAGCTGAGGAGCAAGGAAGCCAGTCTGGGTCCAAAGCTGAAGATCTTGGAGTCTGATGTTCGAGGGCAGGAAGCATCCAGTATGAGAGAAAGATGTAGGCTGCGAGGCTGAGCCAGCCTAGTCTCTTCACGTTTTTCTGCCTGCCTTACATTCTGGCCGCACTGGCTGCTGATTAGATGGTGCCCACCCAGATTAAGGGTGGGTTTGCCTTTCCCAGCCCACTAACTCATATGTTAATCTCCTTTGGCAACACCCTCACAGACACACCCAGGATCAATACTTTGCATCCTTCAATGCAGTCAAGTTGACACTCAGTATTAACCATCACAGGAATCATCACGCTTTAAAAGGGGCCTACAAGGTGCTGCATCAGCGGTTTTTATATGTGTGTACAGAGAGCGTCACTTCTAAGCTATCTCTCCCCACCATTGTCTGGTAACTCCTGAGACTACTTGAGCATCAGAGACAAACTATCCTGAAGCTTGTGGTGTGTTCGCGGAGTTACAAGGGCAAGCTCAGGTGTCTGTTCATGTCTGTATTAGTCCTGAAGCTTTGTGGAGGCCTACATGACCTATTCATTAGCTAACATCTTCCTCATTCTCCCTCAAATTTATTGTATTTATGCCACTTAAAATATCAATAAAATAATTTTATGATTAAGAAGAAAAACAAGGCAGGGCAAAGAGGAGAGAAGACAGGGAGGGAAATAAAGAAGGAGGGAGGAGAGTAGCTTTGAGAAGGAGGGAGGTGTCAGATGTACTGAAGGCATCTGGACATATAGTGTAAAAGGATGAGGACGTGATCATAGTGTTAGGCAATATGAAGGCCATCGGTGCCTTTAACAAAAGCATTTTTCTGTTGAGAGGTGAGCAGGTAGAAGCTGCATTGAAGAGGTTTGTAATGATAATGATTATAGAACAAGGGAAGACAGATTTGCTGCTTGGAGCATCAGGGAAATGTGTCATTACCTTGGAGAAATATGGGATAAGGAACTGATTTCTGTTTTATTACATTTTGTATAAAATGTCAGAAACAAGAGCATGTTTATAGATGACAGAAGAATCCAGAATAAAGAAAGAATGTGACAATTCAGGAATAAGGGATAATCACTACAAAAGTCTCTACCTTGAGAAGGTAGAGGGCATGGGATTCAGGTGAAGGCCCGGCCTCAAGTAGGATCCTGTCACTTCCTCCAGTGGGGCAGCTGAGATTACAAGTGCAGGCCCACTGCTGTTGGGAAGTGGTGAGAGTTTCTCTCCAATCGCTCCTGTTTTTTCAGGGGAATATCAAGGAATATCATGAGAAGAGTTGGTGCTAGTCCTTGTGGGGGCTATTGTAGGGAGAGGAGAGAGAAGGTACACTTGTGGAGGGTGCACATTGTTTGTCTACTTGGTTACAGGGGGGCGGGGGAAGGCAGGGGGTTGCCAGGCGAGTAGGGAGGAAGGAAAATGAAGAGATGCGTTTGAGGAGCGAGAGTTAATAGCTTTGAGTAAGCTGGGTAAGGAAGGTGAATGGTGAGGAACGCGGTTGGGGTCAGTGGACAGGCCTCCTTGAGGCTGAAGGCTGTGGATGCTGGGACATTGGAGAGAGGGAGCTGTTAGGACTGGATGGGGTGCTGCCCATGATGAGAGTGCGGGATGCAAGAAATAGACATCGTGAAGGGGCGCGGTCTTTCCTGAGGCCCAGAGCATTACCGCGCGCGGAGGAGACTTAGGTGGGGAGGAGGAGGCCCCCTCAAGACGGAGGAGAGCCGGCCGCGGCCTGGTCAGCCCCGGGGGCGCTGAGGTCGCCGGGGAGGATCCGTGCTGTGAGGGCTGAGAGGAGGACAGGGCGTGCGTCACATGAGAAGCGTGTCCAGGGGCTGGCTGGGAGAGTGTCCATGGGATTGGCACAGGTCTCGAACGTGAGGCGGCTGGTGCAGCCATGCAGTAGAGCCTGGCCTTCAGCGGTCGCGAGCCTGAGCCATCAACTCTCAATAGCAGGGAAGGAGTCCTGCGGCTGACCCTGAGGAGACTAGCGCCTACCTCCCCGGACTCCGATGCGCAGGCCCAGAGCCCGTCAATCCTAGGCCAGCCCCGCCCCGAGAGCTGCTTTTTCCGGTGGCGCAGGAACTTCCTGCTGGGTTGCTATGGTTCCGAGGGCGGGACTATGGGAGGCTGCCTTGTACGGCCGGTTCGTCGGGGCCTGTCTGACCGGTACTAGTCTATTCTCTGGTCCTCATCTTCATTCTGCGTAGCTTCCTCAGGTTAGCTCTACCGGCTCTTTGCCGAGAAGCAGTAGAAAGGATGAATTTTCTTCCGCGGTTGGTGGCGCTTCATTCTTGTGGCCTGCAGGTGGCAATATTGCTCCATGGATACGCCCAACTCGCCTCTCCCCCCGCCCTTCTTGCTTGAAAAAAATGCCGCGGAATCTTTTTTGAGAGAAGAGGTTGGTTCTTAAACCTGCCAAGTCCTGCTGCTGGGGCTGCCTGTTTTTTAGGGGGTGAAGCGGAGCGGGTAGTGTCTCTTAAGAAAACTCAGAGCTGATGAACAAAATCTTTTTGCTTTTGAAATTGGCATTCCTCTTGAGATGATGCCTAGGTTCCTTAGTAACTTGTATTTTGACTTCTCTCAATGGTCTTGTCATTCACTGTCCCCAGGTTGTACTGGGCTTTGTGGACCTGGTTTTATATTGATAAATGCACGCACTCTTTTATTATGGAAGTGACTCAACCTCACTGTAGAAAATTTGGAGGACAAATACAGTGTAATAAAGAAAGCCAGTCTTACCCTCAGTCCCATCACCCAGCAATGACCACTGATAATATTTGTTGTTTCCTTAGAGTTTTTCATTCCCAAAGGTGCATTTTAAACACGAGTTCATATTCCATCGTTAGTTCATCTTTTTTAAACTCAGATTTTCAGTGTGAGTTACCGTGTCCTAAAAATCATTTGAAAAATGCTTGAAAATTTTTATTCATTTCCCATTCTAAAACAATACACAGTCTAGAAGCGTCGAAAAAATACTTAATAACTGAAATGGAAAGCAAAAATAACCCCTGACCCCCTATCTCATTGGTAAATGTGATCATGTAACCTTTCTAAGAACAGAAACTGTGATTGTTCTGCTTTGTTTTTGCTCACCATTGCCTTTTCGGCAAACTGACAAGAGTGTAGAGGAGTGTTCTTAACATACAGTTTTGAATACATGAACAAGTACCTTATTTCTTCCAGATGTTTATCTTTGTAAATACGGTGTATTTTTAAATAATGTTTGGATGATACTGGATGAAACAACGTGGCTTCCCCCTCACCCTTCCACTTAGCACTTTATTGTGAGCATTAAATTATTACCATTTTGAAAAAAGTTTTGCTGGCTGTTTTACACTCTACCCAGTTTGTCTTTTATTTCATTCTTGCACTGGAGGCAGGAAAACGTTCTGTAAACCAGCGTATAATCTTGTGTATGATAGACCGGTGATCTGAACGCCAGTGCCCTCTTTGAGGAACCCCAAGAACCTTGGCAATTTACTGCTTCTTCCTGTATCACAGTTTCCACGTGAGCAAAATGAAGGTTATAATAGCACGTGCTTCATGGAGGATGGTGGTCACCATAAATAGCACAACAGGTTCTTAGTTCCTGGCAATTGTAGACATATAATTATTGTTGTTGTTATCTCCAGTATTCACAACAATGTGTGTATTAGGATTTGCAATCCATGAGACCGAGTTTGATAAAATGTACTCTTCAGATTTACATAGAGCTGACACCTTTCCTTCAATTTCCCATTTCTGCCTTCTAGTAGAAAATTCATACTACTAGTTTTTAGGGCCATTCAGTCAAGGAAATGTGTAGGAGGAAAGCACATTGATAGATTTCTTAAAGTTTATCCCTTCATTAAATGAAAAGAATACTTTTGCACACATATATTTTTTACCATCTCTGATTATTTATAATAGATTTCCAAAAATAGATTTACTGGTTTGAAAGGCATGATCGCTTTTAACTCTCTTGGTGCATTGCAAGAAACACAATACCCATTTATATTGCCACTGACATTATGTGAGAATTCTTGTTTTTTTTATACCCTAACCAGTATTTATCAATGTTTTAAAGATAATTATCTTAATGATTGTAAGTTATATGTCAAGATACTGATCTTCCATTCTGTCACATACATTGCAAATACTTTTCCTGGTTTTTGCTTCCTAAATGTGTAGTTTTCAGAGGCATAGATAATTTTACTTTTATGTAGTCTTCTCAATCTTTTTTTGTGTAACTTCACTCTATTCTTAATAGAAGGCTGAAAAGGCTCCCTAACCACCTGTCCTGTTACTTATTTTTATCCCCATTCTTTGTGATTTCAGTTTCCTAAGTTACGGTTGGCTGCCAACTACTTGGCAAAATCTGAGAGGATTTCCTACTGACTAAGAGGCTGACTGAAATGGCTTCCAGATTTACATTAGTTAACACACCTTTTAGTAGAACCTGGAGGTGCTAGAACCTGGTGTGACAAGGCCAAATGGGTTACCATAAATGAGGATTTAGGCTAACCTTGATGCCCTATAGATACAAGAAGGTCTTTTAAATGGTATATTGAAGTTTATCCCTCTCACAGTTACTGGGGAACAGTCTAACCCTATTGACAGAGATGGAATGAATCTTTATTGTAAATCACTTTAAAGAATGCTCAGGGTTGGGAATTAATGCTAACATCAGCATTGAAATTACCACCTTTTTTGTTAATAGCCCTAAGCCTGAAATATCAGCTGCTGTTCAGAAGCAGAAAATAGGCTGGCAGACAATACCCATTCATGAGTTACAACAATTAGTCCAGCATTTTGAGGATACCCTGAAAAACAAAGATAAAACTACATGCAAAAACTTGCAACACTACAGCTTAACTTGAGGGAAACAAAAGACCCTCCACAAATACAAAACAGATAGGCAAGAATACTTGCATATATTGGGAGGAGGATGTTACTATGCCTACAATTTTATTGCTTTGACCAGGACACAAGCAGCCCAAAAAGCTGCTCGATTGGAAACAATATGATTCCCAAGGAATCTGTCCTTAGTGTCTCCAATTGCTTTTGATTTAGCAAAGAGAAAGAACTCTGTTAGTAAATGGCCATTGTATTAATCACGGTTCTCCAGAGAACCAGAACAAGTGTGTGTGTGTGTGTGTGTGTGTGTGTGTGTGTGTATTTTAAGGAACTGATACATGATTGTGAGGCTGTCAAGTCCAAAATTGCAGGTAGGCCAGCAGCCTGGAGACCCAAGGGTTGACCTTGCAGCTTGTGTCTGAAAGCTATCTCCTGGCAGAATTCCCTCTTCCTTGGGTAACATCAGTCTTTTTTCTATTAAGATCTTCATCTGATTGGATGAAACACACCACCTACATTATGCAAGGTAATCTGCTTTATTCAGTCTATTGTAATCTCATTTTAAAAATATCATTATAGAAGCATCTAAAGTAGTGTTTCTATGGCCTAGCTAAGTTGACATAAAATTAACCATCACGGTCATCTACTTTTTTATAGACATTGGAGCCACAGTCTTCACCAATAGTTCCTCCCAATTTCTTTCCAACTTACCTTGAAGTAATAAAGAGATTTCAGTGGTGTGACTTACCAGTTGAATATATTCTTTCTCTTTACCCCTTTGCCCACCTCTTTAGGTAACTTCACATCTTAACTTGCCTTTCTCCTCAGTCTTTCCACCCAGTCCAACCTATCAGGATAGGATGTTTTGGCTCAATGAGGAGTCATGATTAGGTGCATATCTGAAAGATTTTTTCTTGATCTCCCTGAATGGGATGACCCAATGTACCATCTTATGGTGGCTTCCCTTTTCTATCCTGCACTGTTTCCAACTCTCTTATCCCTAGAATAACCTTAATTTTCTGATTTGTTTTTTTCAGTACCCCATATTTTCTGGTCCACATCATCTGCAGACATGGGGTAAATAAGTAATATTAAAGCCATACAAGTCAATACTGACACCATAATGCTTCTGCCTAAATTGTCCCAGTATCTCCTAAAACTGTAAGTGTTGGAGGGAATACAGCCCATTGTTGCAGATTTCATAGCTAAGGGCTTACTCATTCCTTGTACTAGTCTCTGCAGCACCCCATCTCCAGATAAGAAGTCCAAATGAATGTGAATAACTCTATGAATAAAGATTTAAGGGATATAAATTACATAATGTACACATTTCCCTTGGTCCCCAACACAAATATTATCCTAGCTTTTCTGCCTCCAAATTGAACATAGTAGTAGGTCTCTCTTTAGCCTTTTTTAGTATCCCCTTTTCCTTACTCCCACTGTCTTTTTTTCACATAGAATAAACAATACGCTTGGACTATGATGCTTCAAGGCATCACTGAAGTTCCCTCATATTTCTCTCAGGTTTGCAAACTAAGATACATATAAAGAAGGGAAAAGCATCAGAGAAGAAATAGTGAAGGTAAAATAACTTTATTTTCCTTATTAATTGGTCGAACAGATAACAGTTTGTTCAAAATAATAATAGCAACAGTATATCCAGTTATGTATGCTTATGTGTAAGCACATATGCTTATGTGTGCTTATGTATAACTGAAATGAGTGATAGCTATTATAGAAGGGACCAGAGGAAATAATTAGAATATTTTATTATTACAAGGTATTCAGACTACCCATGAAGCAGTATAGTGTTATTTGAAAGTGGACTTAGATTAGTTGTAAGTACATATTGCAAACTCTCTGGCAACCAGTAAAAACAGTTACAAAAAAGAGGTATAACTGATATATTAGGAAAGGAGAGAAAATAAAATCATATAAAATGCTCAAAGCCACGAAAGGTAGAAAAAGAGTGGAAGACAAAAATCAGAACAAAGAACAAGGGCAATGAATAGAAAACAGTAGCAAATATGGTAGCTGTTAATTCAACTATATAAATAATCCCTGTGAACATCAGCCTTCGAAATGCACCAATTAAAAGACAGAGATTGACAAAGTGGATCAAAAAACAAGACCCAAATATATATTGTCTCAAGAAATGCACAATGAATATGATGACACATACAGATTAAATAGATGGAGAATTATATGCCATGCTAACACCAATCAAAAGAAAAGAATAGCTGTATTAATTTCAGAGAGTAGACTTCAGTGCAAGGAAAGTTATCAGGAATAAAAGGGGTATTCCAAATGATGAAGGGTCAATTTTTCCAGAGGACGTAACAATCATTAACATGTATGTGCCTAACAAGAGAGCATCAACATATGTGAGGTGAAAACTGATAGAATTGCAAGGAAAAATGGATGAATCCACCATTATAGTAACAGACATCAACATCTCTGTATCACAACTGACACATTCAGCAGGCAGAAAACCAATAAGTATGTAGTTGAAGTCGATAACACCATAAATCACCTGGTATGGTGGATATCTATAGACTACTTAATGCAACATTAGCAGAATATACCTTCTCAAATTTTTATGAAACATTCACCAAGCTAGACTCCATTATGGACCATAAAACATACCTCAACAAATATAAAAGAATAGAAATCATACAAGTATGCTCTTAGACCAAATGGAATTAAATTAGAAATTAGTAACAAAAAAGCTGGAAAATCTTCAAGTACTTGGAGAATAAATAACATAATTCCGAATAACACATGTATCAATGAAGAAGCATCAAAGAAATTTAAAAATATTTTAAATGAAAATACAGTGTATTAAAATTTGTGGGATGCAGTGAAAGCAGTGCTCAGGGGAAATTTGTAGTATTGAATGCATGTATTAGAAAAGAAGAAAGATCTAAAATCTATAGGCTTTCACTGTAGGAAACTAGAAAAAGAAGAGTAAATTAAATCCAAAGTGAGCATTAAAAAAATAAAAAGTAATGCAGAAATCAATGAAAGTGAAAATAGAAAATCAGTGGAGAAAATCCATGAAGCCAAAAGCTGGTTCTTTGAAAAGATCAATAAAACTGACAAGACTCCAGCTAGGCTAAGAAAAAAAAAGAGAGGAAACAAATTACTAAAATCAGAAATGAAAGAGGGGACATTGCTATAGATGCCATGGACCTTAGAAGAATAATAAAGAAATACTATGAACAACTCCATGCCCACAAATTTGATAATCTAGAGAAAATGGACCAATTCCTTGAAAGATACAATTTGCCAAAACTTACAGAAGAAATAGACAATCTGAATAGGCCCATATCTATTTTAGAAATTGAATCAATAACAACCTTCTAAAACTAAAGCATTAGGTCAAATTGAGTTCAGCAGTGAATTCTGCCAAACATTGAAGAAATTTTACCAATTATTTAGAGTATCTTTTAGAAAATAAAAGCACAGGGAATACTTGATAATTCATTCTATGAGGCCATCATAAACCTAATACCAAAGCCAGACAAAGACATGACAGAAAATTATAGACCAATATGTCTCATAAACATAGATGCAAAAATTCTGAAATTTTTCAAATTAAATCCTACAATGTATCAAAAGCATTATACATCATGACCAAGTGAGATTCATCCCAGGTATGCGAGACTGATTCAACGTTCAAAAATCAATTAATGTAATTCATCACATCAACAGGCTAAAAAAGAAAAACCACATAATCATATCAATAGACAAAGAAAAAGCATTTAACAATGTCCAACACCCATTTATGATAAAAAAAAAACTCTCAGTAAACTAGGAATAGAGAGGAATTTACTCAACTTGGTAAAGAACATTCACAAAAACCTGCAGCTAACATTATACTGAGTGGTGAGAAACTACAAGTTTTCCCACTAGATCAGGATTAAGGCAAATAGTTCCCCCTCATCACTGCTTTTCAACATCATACTGGAAGTCCTAGCTAATGTAATATGACAAGGAAAAGGAATAAAAGGTTTGCATAACAGGAGAGAAAAATAAAAACTTTTTGTTCACAGATGACGTGACTGTCTCTGTAAAAAATTTAAAAGAACTGACAGAAAAACTTCTGGGACAGCTAAGCAATTATAGCAAGTTGCAAGATACAAGAAAAATCAATCACTGTCATATATATCAGCAGTGAACAAGTGGAATTTGAAAATAAGAGCACAATATAATTTACATTAGTATCCAGAAAAATGAAATGCTTACATATAGATCTAGCAAAATATGTAAAAGATTTATATGAGGAAATGTACAAGTCTCAGATGAAAGAAATCAAAGAACTAAATAAATGTAGAGAGATTCCATATTCATGGGTAGGAAGACAATATTGTCAAGATGCCAATTCTTTTCACCTTAATCTATAGATTCAGTGCAATTCCAATCAAAATCCCAACAGGGCGATTTTGCTGGATTTCCATGGAAATTTACAAATTAATTCTGAAGTTTCTGCTGAGAAAAAAAATGTTGGAAGACTGCCCAACTTTAAGACTTACTATAAAGCTGCAGTAATCAGGACAGTGTGGTATTGGTAAGAGAACAGACACTTAGGTCGATGGAATAGAATAGAGAGCCCAGCAGTAGTTCCAATACAAGTATATTCAATTGAGCTTTGACAAAGGAGCAAAGGCAATACAATGGAGTAAGGTAGTGTTTTCAGCAAACGATATTGAAACAACTGGACATCCACATGTAAAAAATGAATCTATATACAGAACCTACACCCTCCACAAAAATTAACTCAAAGTGAATCACCAACCTAAATGTAAAATGCAAAATTATGAAACTACTAGAAAATAACATCGAAGAAAATCTAGATAACCTTGGGTTTGGTGATGACTTTTTAGATATAATGCCAAAGGTACATTCTATTTAAAAAGTATGGGTAAGCTGGACTTCATTAAAATTTAAAATTTCTGCTCTGTGAAAGACACTTTTAGTAGAATGAAAAGATAAGCCACAGACTGGAAGAAAGTATTAGCAAAAGACACATCTGATAAAGTAACGTTATCCAAAATATATGAATAACTCTTTTTTTGTAGTTCTTTTTTTTTCTTTTTTTTAAATTATACTTTAAGTTTTAGGGTACATGTGCACAACGTGCAGGTTAGTTACATATGTATACATGTGCCATGTTGGTATGCTGCACCCATTAACTTGTCATTTAACATTAGGTATATCTCCTAATGCTATCCCTCCCCCCTGCTCCCACCCCACAACAGGCCCGGGGTGTGTGATGTTCCCCTTCCTGTGTCCATGTGTTCTCATTGTTCAATTCCCACCTATGAGTAAGAACATGCGGTGTTTGGTTTTTTGTCCTTGCGATAGTTTGCTAAGAATGAATAACTCTTAAAACTAAACATTCAGAAAAAAGACAACTCTATTAAAAAATGGGCGAAAGACTTTGGCAGACACCTCACCAAAGAAGATACATAGATGGCAAATGAGCATATGAAAAACTGCTCAACATCGTATGTCATCAGGAAAATAAAACTTAAAACAACAATGAGACGTCATTATATACTTATTAGAACCACCAAAATCCAGAACATTAACACCAAATGCTGACAAGGATGTGGAGTAATGGGAACTCTCATTCATTGTTGTTGGTATAGCCTTGTAAGGCAGTTTGGCAGTTTCTTACAAAATTAAACATATTCTTACTGTATGATCTAGCAGTCAGACTCCTTGGTATTTACTCAATAAGATGAAAACTTATGCCCACGCAAAAACCTGCACATGGATGTTTATAGCAGTTTTATTCATAATTGCCAAAAGTTGGAATCAACAAAGATGTGTTTCAGTACGTGAATAGATAAACTGTGGTACATCCAGACAATGAAATACTATTCAGTACCAAAAATGAGCTATCAGGCCATGAAAAGACATGATGAAGGAAGCTTAAAATGCATATAACTAAGTGAAAGAAGTCAATCTGAAAAGACTACATACTGTATTAGTTTAAATATTTGATAGTCTGGAAAAGACAAAACGAAGGAGACTATAAAAAGGTCAGTGGTTGCCAGAAGTTAGAAGGAAGGGATGATAAATAGGCAGAACACATATTTTTAGAGCAGTGAAATTATTCTGTATGATACTATAATGGTGGACACATGTCTTTATACATTTGTCCAAACCTATAGAATGTACAACGCCATATGTAAAACCTAATGTAAATTATGGACTTTGGGTGATAATGTGTCAAAGTAGATTCATTGGTTGTAACAAATGTACTACTCTGGGGGGGGGGCGGATATTAATAGTCAGGGAGGCTGTGAGTGTGTATACAGAGTTCTTCCTGTTCAGTTTCGTTGTGTACCTGAAACTGTTCTAAAAAATAAAGCTGGTTAAAAAAAGTCACATACCAATAAGTTTTAAGTTTATCATGTAAGTGAGGTTTGAAAGAATTCTGATGGGAGTATGTTTTTAGAAAATCCCTAATATCACTCTGTAAGGAACAGACAAGAATTATGGAGACCTCCTCTTTCAGGTAGGGAATATCATAACCTGCTTCATTTGTCATTGTTAAAATGTTTATCTTGGGAATCTTTTGAATATTTCATGATGAAGTATTCATGCCTTTATCTGGGACACTGGAATGTTATCAGATCCTTTCTCTTTAGCAAAATTACTCATGCTCATATTTTTAATTTGTTGGATAAAAAATCTACTAAATAGGTAACCTTACATTTAGGAGCCATGAATGTATTAGTCCCCTGGCACAGGTAAATATTATCAACTATAACCATTAAACACCAAGGTGTGTGTTAATAAAATAAGCTGCAATATGTTGTGAATGTTTCTCAAGTTATATGTTGTGTTATAATTCACCGTGAGTCAGTATTGTTAACACAGTCCGATACTGAGTCTTTTAGCCAAGTCTTTCTTGTAGTGCTCAGATGAACTTAAATAGAAAAATGCATCCCATCCAGAAACCATTTTACCACATCTATCTTAAGTTTGTCGTGAGGTCTTTCATTCTCATTTTCTGAGCATGTTTTAGGGAATACTTAGTGCATTACCATTTCTCTAGGGTTCAATTTGAGTGATGGCACCATGTGATATGAGTGTGATCTCAGTAGTGATTTTATTTTGGGATGGCAGATGAATGTGGGCATGAACAGAGCCTATGGGAACAGAGAACTGATTTTCCAGTAGTGAACAAACTGTTATAGAACAGGCAGCTTAGGATGGATTATAGAGACTGTAGAGAAGACACCACCTGTTCATGTGGAAGCATATTTGGAAACTGATCACCAAAGAGAAGCTTATCTCATCCTATTTTGACTCTATTCACAGTTGACATTGACCTGCATGAGATTTTGTGACAAGGAAAAAATTATCTATTTATCTAATCTATCTATCTACCTACTTACATACCTATCTCTATCTATCTATCAATTAATCATCTATCTATATTGGTAAGTGGTAGTGATAATGCAGGACATCTGGGCTACCTCTAAGTAAGGAGAAAATTTGAAATACAAGACTTAGTGATAGCTGGAAGGCATGTCTTAAAAGTGAGTGATATATGTTTTCTATGTGAAGGCAATTGTAAAATGTGAATGAAGTACATAAAATAACATTGTATGCAAGGAAAGATGATGATTATTTAGATATGGGGAAGTAATTACTGAAGAGGACCGTAAGTGGCCAATTCCAACAGAAGCCAGTGAGTGAGTCAGCCATGGGATGTATTTGCAATTTGGATCATATAAATGTCAAGTTCAAAGTTCTGAGGGCTTAAATGAGGCCCAAATGAAGACAACCTGTTTTTGTGAGATCAATTTAAAAACCAGAATACTGGCTTCCTGTTATCTGAGGTTGATGCATGAGCCCCTGAGGAAAGAGACAAGGGTGGGGGAACCACTGGAATTCAGGAGGCCTTGACCATCTTCACATCAACAGATATTTACCTTATCCCTTCATGCATGGAATCCACCAACCATGCCTGAAAACACCAAGTACTGACCTCTAGATGGTAGCATGATTAGGGAATGGTTTCATGTGATGCTTCAATGTGAGTTGTGACATTCGGGTCACCATCTATACCATCTATAATGGAGTGAGAGACATCCAAATGTATATACTGGTGAGAATCTGACAGTGTGGGGCTAGTATTTGTCCAGAGGACACAAAAATGCCCCACTTTTACCCTACACTGCTGCTCTGTCTCTTCCCAGGGTTTTCTCTGAAGGAGACACGCACACAAGGACCCTGAATATAATTCACGGGGCCAATTCCCATGACCCTCAATGCAGAGATCTCAGGCCAAGCTGGGTTGAAGCACAGGCCCAGACTCAAGAAGGAAGCAGGGTCTCTCCAACTCTCTAACTCTGCATCTTATAACCAGTTGACCCCTAGTGTGTGGAAAACAGAGTCCCAAATCTCCAGTAAGAAGAAAGGAATAGGGAGTAATGTGGCAGAGCCCAGCCTTCATAGTAGGCACTGGCTCAGCTTATCACTTTGGTATTGTGAGAGGGAAGAGCATGGCCATGTCCTACACGCATGGGTGTCACATTGGAAGGTGGTACTGCTGATAGTGCTCCTGAATCTGACCCATCACATCAGTCTTCCCTTGTCCAAGGGAGGAGTGACAAAAGGGCTTGGGAGAAAAGCTGTTTTCTGTAAGATTAGGAATACTGAAAAGAGAAACCTGCCCCTACCTCCAGTGACCTGGAACTATAGATAGAAACTGGTCTGAACATAGAGAAAGTAGGATGTGTGTAAAAAATTGATTTTGCTATTAAAATCTCAAATATATCAAATCTGAAAACTTAAAATGTGGGTCAGTTGACAAAACCAAAGGTAAATTCACAAAAGGAAATTTTCAATAGAAAATTAAAAAGGAACAAAATCTTGCATATACATGCCCAAGATTTTAAGGTTTTTAATCATAGTGTTAATAAGCTACATGCTTTGATTGACAATATATTGTTACACTTACAATATATAACAGGGTGAGTTATACATAAATTTAAAAACAGAACAATGACTTCATAAATTTATTAGAACATTTTTATTGTTTTAAAAATCAAGCACTGGAATTGTTTTAAGAGCTTGTAGCAAAAAACATCAAGTACTGCAAGAAAATATGAAGGCAGATAAATTAAATTAAATCAAATTGCAACCTCCAGAATTAGCTAGTTCGGACACTGGGTCAAAATCATTACAAATATCTTTTTATTCACTATGAAATAAATGGATAGACTAGTAGATAGCCAGAAAGAGAGATAATTTTACAGAAATAAATTTTACAATGATGAGCTTATACTATATGTGCTATTCAAGTTTTTAAAGTACTAGATTTTATTTTACTAGACTACGATAAAATAAAGGGAAGGAGAACAAGAAAGAGGTGAATCTTTAGTTAATAATTTCTCTAACTGAAAAGATATTCATTCCTGAAAGTTTCCTTCAGGGTTAAGCTAAAAGAATTTCAAAAACAACACCAGTTTGGAACCACAATTATTTTTAATGACCTTTAAGAATTTATGCAAAAAAACAGGAAATTCCTTGCTTTGGAAGATGAAATTTCAGGAGGATAAGCTCCTTGTACTTTCTGCCACACTGTCCTCTGCCTTCTAATTTTTCACATACATTTAGTCATTACAGTATGACATATGTAAAAGTATAGAAATTATAAGTATATTGCTCTATGAAATTGCACAGTGAACATACCTATGTAATGACCACTCAAATTAAAAGTTAGTATAATGCATAATTCCCTACAAGTCCCCTTTGTTTCCCTTCACAGTTCTCAGTTATCTTGATCCCTCTCCCACAAAAGTAACTACTATCCTTACCTCCAATGGCCTTTTTTTGTCTGATTTTAAATTTATGTAAGTAGAATCATATGATATGCAGTCTTTTGTGTTTAGCTCCTTTAGCTCAACATAATTTTCCCATGTTTTATTTATGCTCTTGGATATGGTAGTTTTTCAGTCATTGTATTGCTACAACGTATTTCATCATATGAATGTAGGAAAATTCATTTATTAATTCTACTCATTGTGTCTGCAATATTATATATTGTGCTGTATGAACAATCTTGCACATATTTTTTGGTGATAATTATACTCGTGTGTGGATTTCCCTAAGTATTTACCTGTATGTGGAACTACTAGATCATAGGACATTGCATACATCCAGCTTTCTTATATGCTACCAAAGTGGCATGTAAGTCTCAAAATGGCCATATAAATTTACACTCCAATCAGCTGTGTATCACAGTTTGTTTCTCCACATTCACTAAAATTTGGCATTTTTTTCCCTTTTAGCCACTCAAGTTGACACACAGTGGCAATGTATAGGTTTAATTTCCTGATGCCTAATGATGTAAACCATGCTGTCACATATTTTTTAGTGATTTGGAATATTTTGTGCAGTGCCTGTTCTACACTTTTGCCATTTTTTCTGTTAATTTGTTTGTCTTCTTTATGTTGATTTTTGGTGTTCTTTACACATCCTTAGTAAAAAAAAATTTTGGAGATATGTATCACATAATATATCCCATCCTGTGGCTTGTATTTTCACTCTCTTAATAGTATCTTTTGATGAACAGAAGTTCTTCATGTTAATTGTAAGGAATACAATAATAATCATTTTTTATTCTTTATACCCTGCATATACACATATATAAACTTAAAAATCTTTAACTTTTTGACTGTTTGGGCTTTGTTTAATCTTCAAAGTGGAAATTTTACAAACAACATTACCCGATCACAATGTAATGAAACAAAAAATTATAAATAAACTAAGAAAGCACACAAGGCCTTCCGACTGGAATTTTAAGAAAAGTCTGTTTTAAAACTCGCAGGTAAAGTGGGAAGTACAAACAAAAATGATAGGATTTCTAAACAAAGAATAATGAAAACACTGTGTATGAGAATCTATGGCATACATTTAAAATGATGATCAAAGAAAAAATATCTAGTCTTATACATTTTCATCAATAAAAATGAAGGAATGAAAATAAATTAATTGACCTCCCATCTCAAAAAGCTAAAAAAAGCAATCAAATAAACCAAAAGAAAGCACAAGAAAGAAAATAATAAAGAAAAAAGGAGAAAGTAATGAGTTAGAAGAGAGATAAATACTAGATCTATAAATGCTAGATGTATTAGTTAATTAAAATCATAGATTTTTAGAAAAAATAAAGTAGGCAACACACTAGCTAACTTCACTGTATTAACAACCAGAGAAATTACAAATATACAATCTAAGCTATAATGGATAATAACAGTTAAAATGAGAGTACTTTTTTAAAAATCATAAATATTTCTTTCTGATACTCTATGCATATAAAATTGAAACCCAAATGAAATGTATAATTGTTTAGGAAAATACTGTGTGTCAACATTGACTCCATTAGAGATGGAAAATTTAAACAGACTAAGTTTCATAGAAAGAATAAAATATAAATTTATAACTATCCCATTAAAATCTCCAAGCCAAGACGGTTTTAAAGGGGAATTCTCCCTATATTCAAAAACTAGATAGTCCCAATGCTTCATTAACTATTCCAAAGCGTTGAAAATTATGGGAAATGTCATAGTTGTTTTTATGAAAGCAACTAAAGCATTGATACTTAAACTGGGCAAGACAGTATCAAAAAGAATAATACAGGTAGACATCACTTATTAATATTGTATATTACACGTACCCACACACCCTTCATACTAAAACTCATCGTCTTTCTTAATGATGAAACACTAAATGCATTTCACATTAAGACATTAAGAGATCATTTCACATTAAGACATTAAGAGATCAGGACACAGATAAGGATATAATTTGTTTCACATCTATTCATCATTTTCCTGGAGGTATTAACTAATGCAATTAGAAACATCAATTAGAGCTGTAAGATCTCAGAAAGAATTGAAACTACTTCTATTAGCAAATATGATTGTTTATCTGGAAAACCTAAGAGAATCAATGATAAAGGCTACTCAAACAAGAAAACAATTCAATTCAATAAATAGGATAGAAAATTACCATATAGATCTCAATAGTTTTTATAGAAACAAATTAATTAGAGATTATAATCCTGTAGGGTAAATCCGTTTGAAATAGAAAAAACATGATAAGATACTTAAATTTATTGAGAGGCCAGGCACAGTGGCTCACGCCTGTAATCCCAGCACTTTGGGAGGCTGAGGCCGGTGGATCACTAGAGGTCAGCAGCTGGAGACCAGCCTAGCTAACATGGTGAAACCCCATCTCTACTACCCTGGAGAATCGCTTGAACCTGGGAGGTAGAGGTTGCAGTGAGCCCAGATTGTGCCATGGCACCCCAGCCTGGGTGACAGAGTGAGACTCCGTCACAAAAAAATAATAATTAATTAAAATTTCAATACTTGTGAAAGACACAAGTAAACTTGAATAAATGGAAAGACTTCACATTTTCTTGGATAGAATTATTCAGCATCATAAAATTATAATTTTTCTGTAAGTTAATTTGTAAATTTCACTCAATCTCAATTAAAAATGTCAATCACCATTTTGATGGATCCAGACATTTTGGTATAAAACTCCATATGGAAAAATAAACATAATATACAATAATACACGCTAAAAGAAAAAGCTACAGCTGGGCATGGTGGCATGTACCTGTAATCCTACCTACTTGGGAAGCCGAGGCAGAAAGATTGCTTGAGCCCAGGAGTTCAAGTCCAGCCTGGACCATATAATGAGATCCCAGTCTTTTAAAAAGGAAAAAAGAAAAAGCTGCAAGGGGGGAGGGGGACTAGCCCTTTAAGACTATCCATTAAATAAAAGTACATGTAGAATTTCAGTATGAGATGAAGCTGGCATTTCAAATGGCTAAAAGATCAACTGTTTAATAAATTTTGCTTAGATGACTGGTTTTGCCAAATAGATAAAAAATGATCATATAAATACCAGAAGAATGTGTATAAATTCCTCTTTAACGTGTGTATAGTGAAAGGATTTCCAACTAACATCGAAAATCCAGAGGCCATAAAAATGGATTCATTTGAAGTTATAAAATATAAGTTCTATTATTAGATATTATTACATCAATATTAGTTGTCTGATTTTTCTAATTGAACTGTGATTAGAAAAGAGAATTTCCTAGTTTTTAAGAAAATATGCAATAAAATATTTAGAGATAAAAGGACATCATGCCTGCAACTTACTCTCAAAGGCTTCAGAAAAAATATATAGAGATATATAGAGAATTAAAGAGAGAGGAGAATTTAGGAAATGACATAATATAATATTAAGATGTATATAGGCCTTTTAGTGTTGTTCTCGTAACTTTTCTGGAGGTTAAATTGTGTCGAAGATTTAAAAATGAATAAATAAAAGGAATACAGAAATTTTAAAAGACACATTTGATACTGCAAGTTTATGGTCATTTTCTTCTATGTTTTCCTCTAAAATATTTATTACTTTACCTCTCACATTTAGATCTAAAATACTTCTAGAACTGATTATTTTGTATGTTATGCAGAAGGAGTTAAGATTTGCTTTTTTTCCATAGCAATATCCAATTGACAAAGCACAATTAGAAATACTTTTTGCCACTGCAGTGTTATGGTACTGTGTCATAAATCAAGTGACCATATATGTGTATGTGTGTTTCTGGGCTGTCTAGCCTGTTCGTTTGGTCTAGTTTTTATTCTTTTACCCATAATACAGTCTCTTAATTACTACAGTTTTTAAATAAGCCTTGCTATCTGGTAATGTGAACCTTTCAGCTTTAGTATTCTTTTTTTTTATTATTATTATACTTTAAGTTCTGGGGTACATGTGCAGAACGTGCAGGTTTGTTACATAGGTATACAAGTCCCATGGTGGTTTGCGGCACCCATCAACCCGTCCTCTGCATTAGGTATTTCTCCTAATGCTATCCCTCCCCTAGCCCCCTACCCCCCGACAGGCCCTGGTGTGTGATGTTGCCCTCCCTGTGTCCATGTGTTCTCATTGTTCAACTCCCACTTATGAGTGAGAACATGTGGTGTTTGGATTTCTGATCTTGTGTTAGTTTGCTGAGAATGATGGTGTCCAGCTTCATCCGTGTCCCTGCAAAGGACATGAACTCATCCGTTTTTATGGCTGCATAGTATTCCATGGTGTATATGTGCCACATTTTCTTTATCCAGTCTATCATTGATGGGCGTTTGGGTCGGTTCCAAGTCTTTGCTATTGTGAACAGTGCCGCAATAAACATACATGTGCATGTGTCTTTATGGCAGAATGATTTATAATCCTTTGGGTGTATACCCAGGTGGTTCCCATAATGAAATTGCTGGGTCAAATGGTATTTCTGGTTCTCGATCCTTGAGGAATCGCCACACTGTCTTCCACAATGGTTGAACTAATTTACACTCCCACCCACAGTGTAAAAGCATTCCTATTTCTCCACATCCTCTCCAGTATCTGTTCTTTCCTGATTTTTTAATGATCGCCATTCTAACTGGCGTGAGATGGTATCTCATCGTGGTTTTGATTTGCATTTATCTAATGACCAGTGATGATGAGCTTTTTTTCTTCTGTTTGTTGGCTGCATAAATGTCTTCTTTTGAGAAGTGTCTGTTCGTATCCTTCCCCCACTTTTTGATGGGGTTGTTTTTTTCTTGTGAATTTGTTTAAGTTCTTTGTAAATTCTGGATATTAGCCCTTTGTCAGATGGATAGATTGCAAAGTTTTTCTCCCATTCTGTAGGTTGCCTGTTCACTCTGATGATTTGTTTTTTTTTACTGTGCAGAAGCTCTTTAGTTTAATTAGATCCCATTTGTCTATTTTGGCTTTTGTTGCCATTGCTTTTGGTGTTTTAGTCATGAAGTCCTTGCCCATGCCTATGTCCTGAATGGTATTGCCTAGGTTTTCTTCTAGAGTTTTTATGGTTTTAGGTCTTACATTTAAGTCTGTAATCCATCTTGAGTTAATTTTTGTATAAGGTGTAAGGAAGGGGTCCAGTTTCAGTTTCCTGATTTAGCTAGCCAGTTTTCCCAGCACCATTTATTAAATAGGGAATCCTTTCTCCACTGCTTGTTTCTGTCCTCTTTTGTAATGTTCTCATGATTTACGCCCTATTTAGGGAAAATAAATCATGTAGAAACTTCTGGGAGTTGGTCATTAAAAGAAGAACCTACAGTGAAATTTGGCAATATAGGAGAAAATAACCTGGTAGCACAACTTCTGGAGATTAATCCTAAGGAAAAAATCAGAGATTAATGAGAATTTATATTTATATGTATGTATTTATTTATTTATTTATTTATTTATTTTTAGAGACAGGGTCTCACTTTGTCACCTGGGCTGGAGTATAGTTGCATGATCATAGCTCATGACAGCCTTAATTTTCAGGGCTCAAGCGATACTCCCACATCAGCCTCCCGAGTAGCTAGGACTACAGGTGTGTGCCACCTTGCCTGGCTATTTATTTATTGTAGAGACGGGGTCTCACTATGTTGATAAGGCTGGTATTAAACTCCTGGTCTTAAGTGATCCTCCCACCTCAGCCTCCCTGGCCTAATAAGAATTTTATGTACAGTATGCCCATTACAACAGTATTTGAAATAAGATATTATAAATTGTTTGTCTAAGACTTCCGAGGTATTCCCATTCAACTAACTCTGAGTAAATTGGTGATCTTTGGCAGCAGCAAGAGGCAAGAAGATAAGTCAAGATAGTGGTCTGAGAACAGCTGACAACTCCCATCAAAACAAATAAGCCACCACCCACTCCCAGATATACCTGCACCCAGGCTTTCCCTCTTCTCTCCGCTCTCCTGTTATTCTCTTCTAAATATAATAGAAATATGCAGTTTGGACTTAAGAAAGACTTGGTTGCCAGACGCGGTGGCTCACGCCTGTAATCCCAGCACTTTGGGAGGCCGAGGTGGGCGGATCACGAGGTCAGGAGATTGAGACCATCCTGGCTAACACGGTGAAACCCCCGTCTCTACTAAAAAAAAAAAAAAAAAAACCAAAAATTAGCCAGGCGAGGTGGTGGGCGCCTGTAGTCCCAGCTACTCGGGAGGCTGAGGCAAGAGAATGGCATGAACCCGGGAGGCGGAGCTTGCGGTGAGCCGAGATCGCGCCACTGCACTCCAGGCTGGGTGACAGAGCGAGACTCCGTCTCAAAAAAAAAAAAAAAAAAAAAAAAAGACTTGGTTATTTTACCTTGATCCTACTCATTGCAGCTGGGGAGATGACAGGCAGATACAAAGATCAAGAATTTCTCAAGTTTGCAGGTTCAAAATACATCTTGTGTTTAGCTTCAAGCCCTTCTCCATAGAATGTCACACTTTATTCCTTTATTCTCTAGTCAAACATCTCCCAAATTCTCCCCCTAGTTAAAATTCATAAAAGCCCTGTATCTCTGCTCTTCATTTCTACTTATTTAACTTGTGGCTGGATTTGCCTCATATAATTTCAACAGCAAATGTGTCCTTGGGGGTGGGTGGGGAGAGGTGAGGAGGTGGTTCTCATAAATGGAAAAACCTGAAGTAGATTCGTCCCTTCAGTTTTACATGAAACGTGTCCCCCACTCTCTCAGATTCCAGCTATATCCTTAGTTCAGTTACATTTTGTGGTCCTTAGCCTTGAGAATATTTGTAGTCTTCTTTTTCTTTTCTTTGAGACGGAGTTTCGCTCTGTTACCCAGGTTGGAGTTCAGTGGCGTGATCTTGGCTCCCTGCAGTCTCCGCCTCCCGGGTTCAAGTGATTCTCCTGCCTCATGTTCCCAAGTAGCTGGGACTACAGGCAGGCGCCACCACACCCGGCTAATTTTTGTAGATACGGGATTTCGCCATGTTGACCAGGCTGGTCTTGAACTCCTGACCTCAGGTGATCCACTCGCCTCGGCCCCCCAGAGTGCTGGGATTACAGGCATGAGCCATCGCGCCTGGCAATAGTCTTCTTTTTTTTTTTTAAATCTCATCTCTGTCTCCTCATATTTTATTGACTAAGAGTTTTTCTACTAACTACATTAATTTAGTCCTTTAAAATTCTTCTAACATAAAATATAATCTTCAAGAATAATTAAGAACATGTCTGTGCTTTAAAAAACTACCTAACCAATTATATTGTGTGTAGCTATTGCTCAAACATACTTATCACCAGGAGAAAAATCTAAATGACCACCAACAGGGGAGTGTTTAAATAAATTATGGTACATCCATATGGCATTGTAGTATACAGGCATTAATAAATATATAGTTAAAGATTATGTACAAATATCCAAATATGTCAGTAATACATAGAATATAAAATTTACAACAGGTTTTATGGAGTATTATTTTGATTTTTTTTCAAAAAATAAACATGAAGGCATCTAGTCAGGAATAATTTGTGGTGGCTTTTAGTTAGAAATGACTTGTGTCAGGCAGTCCTTAATGTACCTTCTTTGAACATACCATTTAAATAACTATTAATAGATGTGTCACTTCCATTTCAGAGGTAGAATATCATGACAGACCATTGTGACAATTGTATCAACTAAGACAAAAAACTGACAAAATAAAAGAAAACTCAAAAAAGTACTCATTTGTAAAGACACGAAAGATCTGTGTAGACAAATAAATTTAAAGAAACTAAATTCCATAATAGGACATGTCCTTGTTTGGTGAACAAAGATCACTAGCTGCTAGAGTTATGTGATGAGTCTGTGCAATGGTGGACAAGGTATCAGAACAATAATAGGAGAAGGAACTTTACTGGAGTGAGAAAAAGCCAGTAGAACTTTTAAGAGCATGTAGAGTAGCTTGCCAGATTGGTGTCTTCAAGAGGCCCAAACAGTGGACAGTAATAAGATAAGGATGTACAATCGTGTATTGTTTAATGATGGGGATATGTTCTGAGAAATGCATTGTTAGGCAAATTCATAATTGTGCAAATATCATAGAGTGTACTCACATGACCCTAGATGGTATAACCTACTACACACCTAGACTATATAGCTTGCTATATACCTAGCCATATTGTTCCTGGGCTACACACCTGTACAGTATGATACTATACTGAATATTATAACTGATTGTGGCACAATGGTAAGTATCTGTATACATAAAACTATATAAACATATAAAAGGTACAATAAAAATACTGTATTACAATCTTATGGGACCACCATTATATATGTGGTCTGTCATTGACTGAAATATTGCTATTTGGTGAAGGACCATATATGAAGTCTGATAGGGATCAAGGATCAAATTTCTTTTCATATTGATATTCAACTGATCAGCACCATCTTTTAAAAAGATTTTTGCTGAGTGCTTATGGTTTGAGCTCAGAAATGCCCATAGATGTCAGGAGCATCATTCCTACTCATAAAACAAGAAAAAGAGGTGGAAAAACTGCAAAGTAATGACTTCTTGGGAACACTTCAGAGAACGGAGGTCTCATGAAATACATTTAACACAAAAATTAGTGAAACTCAGGTGCTCGCAGGTGGAAAGAGGACATGAGCATTTGCTTGCATGGGACAGACACTGCCCAAATGCCATGTAAGCCAGGGGTCCCTAACCCCTGGGCCACGGACTGGTACTGGTCCGTGGTCTGTTAGGAGCAGGGTCGCACAGCAGGAGGTAAGCGGAGAGTGAGTGAGCAAAGCTTCATCTGTGTTTACAGCCACTCCCCATCACTTGCATTACGCCTGAGCTCCACTTCCTGTCAGATCAGTGGCGGCATTAGATTCTCATAGGAATGGGAACCCTATTGTGAACTGTGCATGCCAGGGATTTGGTTGCACGCTCCTTATGAGAATCTAATTCCTGATGCTCTGTCACTATCTCCCATCACCCCCAGAAGGGACTGTCTAGTTGCAGGAGAACAAGATTAGGGTTCCCACTGATCCTACATTATGGTGAGTTGTATAATTATTTCATTATATATTACAATGTAATAATAATAGAAATAAAGTGTACAATAAATGTAATGCACTTGAATCATCCCGAAACCATACTCCATGCCCAGTCCGTGAAAAATTGTCTTCCGGCCGGGCGCGGTGGCTCACGCTTGTAATGCCAGCACTTTGTGAGGCCGAGGCAGGCAGATCATGAGTTCAGGAGTTTGAGACCAGCCTGACGAACATGGGGAAACCCGTCTCTACTAAAAATACAAAAATTAGTCAGGCATGGTGGCACGCGCCCATTATCCCAGCTACTCGGGAGGCTGAGGCAGGAGAATCTCTTGAACCCAGGAGGCAGAGGTTGCAGTGAGCCAAGATCACGCCATTGCACTCCAGCCTCGGTGACGGAACGAGACTCCATCTCAAAAAAAAAAAAAAAACGTATTGTCTTCCACGAAACTGGTCCCTGGTGCCAAAAAGGTTGAGGACCACTGACACTGACATAAGACATTAAGAAGATTAAAATAGAAAATTTCAAGAAATGTCTGAAATTTCAAGACAAGGCTGAATGTGGGCTACTAGGAGAGTATGAAGTCCCTGGAGGGGTCTCACATTGTCTCCTGAGCTTTTTCTCCAAGAACCTCTCTAGATGCCCACAAAAAGATCTGAGAGGATCCTTAGAACGAACACCAATAGAGCTTGCTGGGAGAGAGAAAGAGAAGCCCCTACCAAAAGTTCCAGCTGACTCGTCTTCCCTATTTTCCTTACAGTACAAAAGATTTAATCTATAGGGAAAGAGGTATCAAAACTGTAACCTAGCTGTAGGAGGGGAACATAGAAAAAAGAAAAGCAGTGCTACTCCTTGGGAAGGAGCAGGAGGAGAAATTTTTTGTCTTGTTATTGTCTCCCTACTCCCCTTTTCTTTGCATCTTCCCTTTGTCCTGCTTCCCCCAGAAAGTGTCTCAATGTATCAATCTTAAATCTCTGGTTCATGTAGAGTAACCATTGCAACAAGGAACTTCAAATGCCCAGGTCAACTCCTTACTATATTAGCAAACTCCCCATAATAAAATTCTAGCAAAATGAAAGCCATACTCATGTCCAAGCATAAAATGTAATATTTATGTTTGTATCTCCTGTCCTATACACATGTCCTGCTTTTAACAAAAATTATGAGGTATACAAATATCTCACATTCTGAAGAATCAAAGCAATAATTAGAACCAGACTCAGGTATGAAACACATGTTCTAACTATCAAAGAATTAAAAGTAACTGTGATTTAAATGTATCAAAATCTCTAATGAGAAATGTAGACAGCATGCAAGGTCAGACAGATTATTTTAGCAGAGAGATGAAAATGATGAGAACAGGTCAAATGTAAATGGTAGAAATAAGAAACATAGTAGCAAAGATGAAGAATGCCTTCAGTGGGTATATCAGTAGACTTAATATAGCCAAGGGAAGAAGCACTGAACTTGAAAAAGTATCATGCAAAATTTCATAAACTGAAACAGAATAAAGAGTGAAAACAAAGCAGAATAGAGCTTCCAACATCTATTAGACAATATCAAATAGGTTAATATATGCATAATTGAAGTCTTAGAAAGAGAAGGAAAGGGCCATAAGATAAATTTGAGCAGAAAAATAGCCCCAAATTTTCCAAAATTAATGACAAATAACCCCTCCCCACATGGGTCCAAGAAGCTCAGAAAACATCAAACAGGATAGATAGCAAAATAAAACCACATACAGTCAAGTCATATTCAAGTTTTTGAGAACCAAAGAAAGACATTCTCGAAGGTAGCCAATGGATGGGAAGGGGCACATTATCTATAGAGAAACTATAATAATAATTACAGCAGACTTCTCATCAGAAATCATGCAAGCCAGAAGACAATGAAGTTACATATTTAAAGTGCTGAAAGAAAAAAAAAACCCTTTCAACCCAGAATTCTATCTCTCGTGAAACTATTCTTCAAAAGTAAAAGAGAAATAAAGGCTTTCTCAGATAAATGTAAGTTGAGATAATTTATTGTTAGCAGACCATTTGTAGAAATGTTAAAATAAATTCTTCAGGCAAAAGGAAAATGATAAGGCCAGAAACTTGGATCTACACAAAGAAATCTAGAACATTGAAAACGGAATAATACATGAGGATAAAATATAATCTTCCTTCTATTTACTAGAAAATAGGACAGATTATTTAAAACAATAGTAACAAAATACTATGTGTTGATAGCTTATGTAAAAATGAAACGTAATGCCACAAGGTATGAGAGGGGACAATAGGAATGTACTGTTATAAGGTTCTTACACTACACAAAAATTCATATAATAGTATTTGAAATTGGACTTAGGTTATTTAAAAATGTTCATTGCAAATGTAAGAACAATCATGTAAAAAGCAAAATAGAGGTATAAATAATAATTCAATAAAGCATATAGAAAAGTCATAAACACATCAATTAAACCCAGAGAAGGTAGACATAAAAGGAAAAAAGAAACAAAAAACAAATGAAACAAATAGTAAAGATCTAGAAAGGTTATATATTTTAATCCAACTGTATCAATACCACTGCAAATGTGAATGATCTAAATATACCAATTAAAAGATGGAGATTAAGACCTTAAAAGCACAAGCAACAAAACCAAAAGTAGACAATGGGACTTAATTAAACTAAAGAGCTTCTACATAGCAAAAGAAATAATCTTAAAAATATTCTAAGTGTCTTTTGTGTGCGTGCAGCATGTACATTTGGTGTTATGTGAATGTTAAGTGTTTTTTCTTCTAATTTTCACTTCAGCAGTGTTTAGGGCTTTCAGATGCCTTATTCAAGTGGGAACAGAAAAAGTTCATATTTTACATGGTTAATGCTTTGATGTGTCACATAAAGAGTAGTTTGTATAAAATGTTGGCAGAATTTTAACTTCTTAGTGGCTTGTGACATTATATATTATATATATATGTACATATATCTTTATAACATTCCTGTGTTTAGTAGTGTAAATGTTCTGGGCAAGTTTTAATATTTTGAATGCCTTTGGATATTCCAGCAATAAAGGCATTATGTTCTGCAATAGGATTTCTTACTCATTTACCTATTTTAACACTAAAATAGGCCATAACTGAGGACAAATTATTTTTGTAAATGTTATAGAAGCAGGGAAGAATAATAAACAAATTTGTGAATTGTGGTTCAGTTTATCTTTAGGGAAGGCTGATCATTTATCTTATAGCAGATAATACCAGCTATCGGGGAACCTGCCCCGATAGTCACGTAGGTTCTTTTCTATTTTCCCTAAGCATCAGCCGGTTTGAGAAATAAAGGGACAGAGTACAGAAGAGAGAAATTTTAAAGCTGGGCGTCCAGGGGAGATATCACATGTCAGTAGGTTCCGTGATGCCCCACAAGCTGCAAAACCAGCAAGTTTTTATTAGGGACTTTCAAAAGGGGAGGGAGTGTACGAATAGGGTGTGGGTCACAAAGATCAGGTACTTCACAAGGTAACAGAATATCACAAGGCAAATGGAGGCAGGGCAAGATCACAGGACCACAGGACTGGGGCGAAATTAAAATTGCTAATGAGGTTTCGGGCACCATTGTCATTGATAACATCTTATCAGGAGACAGCGTTTTGAGAGCAACTGGTCTGACCAAAATTTATTAGGCGGGAATTTCCTCTTCCTAATAAGCCTGGGAGCACTATGGGAGACTGGGGTTTATTTCACCCCTACAGTTTCGACCATAGAAGACGGCCACACCCAAGGGGGCCATCTATAGACCCACCCCCAGGCATGTATTCTCTTTCCCAGGGATGTTCCTTGCTGAGAAAAAGAATTCAGCGATATTTCTCCCATTTGCTTTTGAAAGAAGAGAAATATGGCTCTGTTCCGCCCGGCTCACCGGCGGTCAGAGTTTAAGGTTATCTCTCTTGTTTCCTAAACATTGCTGTTATCCTGTTCTTTTTTCAAGGTGCCCAGATTTCATATTGTTTAAACACACATGCTCTACAATTTGTGCAGTTAACGCAATTATCACAGGGTCCTGAGGCGACATACATCCTCCTCGGCTTACCAGATGACAGGATTAAGAGATTAAAGTAAAGACAGGCATAGGAAATCACAAGGGTATTGATTGGGGAAGTGATAAGTGTCCATGAAATCTTCACAATTTGTTTAGAGATTGCAGTAAAGACAGGCATAAGAAATTATAAAAGTATTAATTTGGGGAATTAATAAATGTCCATGAAATCTTCACAATCCATATTCTTCTGCCATGGCTTCAGCTGGTCCCTCCGTTTGGGGTCCCTGACTTCCCGCAACAACTAGCCTCTTATTCATTAAGGTTAACTATTATAATTTATCTTATTTTATAATTTAAGAATATAGTACATATCCGTTGGGTTTGGTTTTAGTCATCGAGACTAAAAGTTCCAACAAAACAGAACTTTGTGTTTTCTGCTAACATATTTAATGACACAAGTTTTAAGAGAACCACAGTTCATTGATTCACTTATTCTTTTCCCTAATTGTGAATTTTAGTGATAAATACACTTGTACTACTGAGAAAAATATTTTGACACTTCACGTGTGCAAAGTATAGAATTGACAGTGTCAGTTTCAGATTTTGTATATATGATTTTTGGCTTATATATCCAATGGTGCAGATTTTGAAATTTGTAAGAACAAAATTTGTTAAGAAAAACAACTTGCTCTAGTTTTGTGACCTTGTGTACTTTTGAAATAAAATCAAGAAAGCAAAAAAAAAAAAAAAAAAGGAAAAAAAAAAAAGAAATAATCCACAAAGTGAACAGACAATTTGCAGAATGGGAGAAAACTGCAAACTATGAATCTGACAGGGGACAGATATCCAGAATTTACAAGGAACTCAACTTAACATAAACCCCCAAATAACTCCATTAAAAAGTGGACAAAGGATATGAACACACATTTTTAAAAGAAAACATAAAAATGGCCAATAAGCTTATGAAAAAATGCTCAACATCACTAATCATCAGAGAAATGCAAATTAAAATCATAATGAGGTATCACCTTACACTACTTAGAATAGCTATTATTAAAAAGACAAAAAAACCCCACAGATGTTGGTGAGGATGGGAAATAAGGGAACACTTATACACTGTTTGTGGGAATGTAAATTAGTACAGCCTTTATGGAAAACAACATGGAGATTCCTCAAAAAACTAAAAATAGAACTATCATTTGATCCAGCAAAATCCCACTACTGAGTATCTACCCAAAGAAAACGAAACCATTATTTCAAAAAGATACCTACACTCATGTGTTTATCACAACATTATTTACAATAGCAAAGATATGGAATCAACCTACGTGTCAATCAATGGATGATTGGGTAAAGAAAATGTGATATATATACATACATATATACATATATATCTCACAAATATATGCATATATAAAACTGTGATATATACATATACATATATATATATATACACACACATAATGGAATACTATTCTGCAATAAAAAAGAATAAAATCATGTTTTCAGCAGCAATGTGAATGGAACTGGAGGCCCTAATCTTAAGTGAAACAATTCGGAAACAGAAAGTCAAATACTACATGTTCTCACTCATAAGTGGGAGTTAAATAACATGTACAAATGGACAAATAGTGTGAAATAATAATCATTGGAGACTTGAAGGATGGGAAGGTGGGAGGGGGATGAGGGATGAGAAATGAGAAATTACTTAATGGGTACAATGTACACTGTTCAGGTGATGGTTACACTGAAAGCCCAGACTTCATTGCTATACACTATATCCATGTAACAAAATTGCACTTGTACCTCTTAAATTTTTACAAATAAAAACAAGATAGAGATTATCAGATTGAATTAAAAGCCAAGACCCAGCTATTTGTTGTCTACAGAGAGCCACTTTAAATATAAAGACTTAGGTTAAAAGTAAAGGGATCAAGAAAGGTATACAATGCTAACACTAAAAGGAAACTGGAATAGCTATATTGATTTTGGATAAGTAGACTTCAGGTCACATAAGATTATAACAGATAAAGAGGAACATTGCATAGTGATAATGATGTCGCTTCTCCAAGAAGACATAACAATCCTAAAAATGTATGTGCCTAACAACAGAGCTTTATTTAAAATACATGAGACAAAAATGGATAGATCTGAAAGGAGAAACAGACAATTTCAGAGTAATAGTTGGGGAGTTTAAAACTCATTTCTCTGTAATCAATAGAACAAGTAGGCAGAAAATTTATAAAGATATAGATTACCTGAATGACACTTCTAACCTACTTGACCAATTGAACATTTTATAGAGCACTCTACTCAACATCAGGACAATATATATTCTTCATCAAGAGACATCACATTCCGGGCCATAAGTCTTAACAAACTTAAGATAATAGAGATCACACAAAATACATTTTGTAAAGTAGGAAAAAAAAACTAAACAAGCTAATTGTTTTTTCTCCTATTATACTCCCAAGACAGATCACTTCTGTGGCCAGATGTGTAGGGGCTTACCCCTACACCAAACAGTTCTTCAGTGGACACTAATCATGTGTCCTATGATTTAATTCAATTCTGACATTATCCACCTGGAGTTAGATTCAGGTCCCTCAGATTGAGGGCATGTGTTAACACTGGTCATGAAAGGAGAGGTTCACTTCTCATTGCGTTACATCAAGCATGATGTTACTATTGATCACTTGTTTAAGGTGTTGTCTGCCATGTTTCTTCACTGTAAAGTTGCTATTTACCTTTTCCATAATCTACTGTTAGGAAGCAAGTCACAAAATTCAGCCCACACTCTAGGGAAGAAATTAAGCTCCAGCTTCTGGAGAGAAAGATGCAAAGGAGGAAACTTCACCTTTTCTGATATTCTTCTCCCAAACTTATAACCCCATTTAATCATGAGAAAACATCAGTTATATTCAAATTGAGGAACATGCTGCAAATTACCTTAACAGAATGCTTCAATTGTATCAAGGCCATAAAAAAAGAGAAACAATAAAAACTATCACTGAGTAGAGGAGAATACAGAGACACAATAACAAAATGTAATGTGATATACTGCATATTATCAGTAAAAGGGTATTAGTGGTGTTAGGGCTCAGAAAATAATACCCCAAAGTATGGTGTTTTTGTATGATGAGTACTTTGAACTAAAGGAGACCAGAAGACCTCAGAAGTAGCTGCAGAAGCAAAGTCTCTCCGACCTTCTCCTGCCCTCCTGTCTCTCACCCTTCTTTCTCCCCTCAAACAAGTCATAGAAACAAAATTCTTCTTCCCCAAGGATAGTTATAGAAACTACAACTCCTCTCCCCCAAAGCCAGCCATAAAACCTAGAAATACTACTCTAACCTACTCCCTCCTTTCTGTGTAAGAACGGGCCATAAAGAAATTCTCTGAACTAACTTGTCTGACAGTAGGTCATAAGACCTCCATTCCAGAAGGGTCTTGCTCCATACCATGGATGAAGGAATGCTAAACAGAGAGGCCAAGAAGAATCTGGACAGGCCTTGCCAGGTTCCCCCTCTTGGCCTATTATTATTAGGTCATACCTTTTTGTCCAATCACGTTTCCATATGGCTGTCCATTATTCGTAGAATCTAAGCATAAACATGGGCAGTTTTCCCTGGGTCTTTGAGCCTTCATTTCTGAATTCTCCCATGTCGTGTAAAACTTTGATTAAATAAACTTGTTGTACATTTCTTTTGTTAATCTGTCTTTGTTATAAGAATGTTGGTCATGACTGTTATGATGGTTGAAGAAAGGTATCACACCTTTTCTGCCCCTACATTAGAAAATTAGTGAAATCTGATAACGTCTATAGCTATTGGTATTGTACGAATGTTGATTTCTTAGTTCTGACAAAAGTATCATTGTATGTTAACATTAAAGGAAACTTGGTAGAGGCTATACAAGAATTCTTTGTACTATCTTTGGAACTTTTATGTAAACTTAAAATTATTTACCCCAAAAGATTATTAAAACTAAGACTTTCTTTAAGAAAGATACAAATAGTAGCTCCTAACATCTAGAAATTGGTTTTAAGAAATCACGTGTGTGTCTTAAATTGTGTCAAAAGTTTTCTCTTAATCTACTGAGATAGTTACACTATCATTCCTTTATTCTGTTAATGAGATATATTACATTGCTTGATTTGGAAATACTTAAGAAACTTAACATTTTATCTAGTTGATGCTGGTCTCATAGAATGAGTTGGGAAGTTTTTAATTCTATTCAATTTTCTGAAAGAAATTCTGTAGAATTGGCATTGTTTTCCTGCTTGATTATCAAGAGAATACACTGGTGAAGCTAACTAGGATAGAAGGCTTTTGACTAAGTTCTATGTGGGACCACTTACATGTTCTATATTTTCATGTGTAAGTTTGTTAAATTATATTTTTCAAGAAATTTTGTTCATTTTATCCAAGTTTTCCAAATTTTTGTTATCCAGTTTTTATATATTTTTACTTTCCTTTAATTTCACTAGAGTCTACAGTAATTTCCACTTTTACATTCCTTATGTTGGTATTTTGAGTCATTTTGGTTCTTAATCACTCTGGCTAGGGTTATATAAACTTTACTAATATTTTTTAAATGGCCTTTTGAATTTGTTTTTTTATTTTTTATATTTTCTCATTATGACATCTACCACTTTAATTATTTATTCTTTTATTTACTTTGGGTTTAATTTTCTACTCCTTTTCTTGAGTCTTAAGGCATAAGATGATTGATTTGAGATCTGCCTAAAAAAATTGATGACAATTCAGTAGAAAATATTTTATAAATTCCTTATGATTTATTCCTGAATAGATTAGTTATTTAAAAGTGGATTGTTTAATTTCCAAATAGATATTTCTTGATATATTATTATTATAGATAACTCATTTAATAATGATCTGATCAGAAAATATAATCTGAATTTCAGTCCTCTGATATTTACTGAGACATGCCTTAGAGCCTAGAACACAGTCAATCTTGGTAGATGTTTCTTATGGACTCACAAAGAATGTATTATAAACATCAATTAGGTCGAGTTGGTTGGTAGTGTTTAGTTTTTAAAATGTTCTTTCTGGTTTTCTTTTGTCTACTTGTGTAAATTTTTGGCAGAAAGATGTTGAAAGTCTTCAGTTATATTTGTATATTTGTCTATTTATTATTTTATTATTGTCAATATTTTCTTCATATATTTTGAATCTCTGGAATTAGCTGATAACATATTTGGATGGTTATGTATTTTTGATGAAGTGACACAAGGTTTCTTCCTGCTTCTAGATTTACTGAGGTACAACTGGTATATAAAAACTGTACCTAATTAATGTGTACAATTTGATGAGTTTGGACATATGTATACACTCATGTCGCCATACTACAATCAGAGTAATAAACATATCCGTAACCTGCAAAAGTTTCCTTGTGTTCCTTTGTTGTTGTTTTTTAATGTTGTTTTTTAACTTTTCTTTTTATAAGAAAAGTTAACATGACATATACCCTTTTAACAAATGTTTAAGTGCACAATACCTCATTGTTAACTACAGACACTATGTTGTGCAGGAAATCTCTGGAACGCACTCATCTTGTATAAATGTAACTTTATAACCACTGAAAAAAGAGCTCCTAATATCCCATATCCCCATCTCCTGGTAACCACCACTCTATTTTCTACTTCTACATGTTTGACTATTTTTGATGCCTCATAGAAGAGAAAGTATGCAGTATTTGTCCTTCTGCAACTGATTTATTTCACTTAGCTAGTATCTTCTAGGTCCATCGATGTTGTCATGAAAGATAGAATTTCCTTTTTTATTTTAATTTTTTTTATTTTTAATTTTTGTGGGCATACATGAGATGTTTTGGTACAGGAGTGTGCTGTACAATGATCACATCATAGAGAATGGGATATGCATCCCCTCAAGCATTTATCCTTTGTGTTATAATAAAAGAAACCAGTTACACTCTTTTAGTTATTTTTAAATGTACAATTAAATTATTATTGACTACAGCCACCCTGTTGTACTATCAAATAGTAGGTGTTATAAATTCTTTTTATTTTTTTGTACCCAATAATGATCCTTACCTTCTCACCAGCCCCCACTACCCTTCCCAGCCTCTGGTACCAGGCTTCTATTCTCTGTGTCCATGAGTTCAACTGTTTGGATTTTTAGATCCTACAAACAAGTGAGAACATGCAGTGTTTGTCTTTCTGTGCTTAGCTTATTTCACTTAATATAATCATCTCCAGTTCCATCCATGTTGTTGCAAATGACAGGATCTCATTCTTTTTATGGCTGAATAGTACTCCATTGTGTATATGTACCATGTTTTTTATCCATTCATCTCTTGATGGACACTTAGGTTGCTTCCAAATCTTAGCTATTGTGAATAGTGCCACAACAAATATGTGAGTGCAGATATCTCTCCAATATACTGATTTTCTTTCTTTGGGGGTATATATCCAGCACTGAAATTGCTGGATCATATGGTAGCTCAAGTTTTAGTTTTCTGAGGAACCTCCAAACTGTTCTCCATAGTGGCCGTACCAATGTATACTCCCACCAACAGTGTACAAGAGTTCCCTTTACTCCACATCCTCGCCAGCATTTGTTATTGCCTGTCTTTTGGATAGAAGCCATTTAAACTGGGGTGAGATGATATCTCATTGTAGTTTTGTTTTGCATTTCTATGATGATCAGTGATGTTGAGCACCTTTTCATATGACTTTTTGTCATTTGTATGTCTTCTTTTGAGAAATGTCTATTCAAATCTTTTGTCCATTTTTTGATCGGATCATTAGATGTTTTATAGAGTTGTTTGACCTCCTTCTATATTCTGGTTATTAATCCCTTGTCAGATGGGTAGTTTGCAAATATTTTCTCCCATTCTATGGGTTGTCTTTTCACTTTCTTGATTGTTTCCTTTGATGTGCAGAAGAAGCCTTTTAACTTGATGTGATCTCATTTGTCCATTTTTGCTTTGGTTGCCTGTGCTTGTGGGGTATTGCTCAAGAAATCTTTGCCCAGTCTGATGTCCTGGAAATTTTCCCCAATGTTTTTGTGCAGTAGTCCCATAGTTTGAGGTCTTAGATTTAAGTCATTAATACATTTTGATTTGATTTTTCTATATGGTGACAGATAGGGGCCTAGTTTCATTCTTCTGCATATGGATATCCAGTTTTCTCAGCAACATTTATAGAACAGACTGTCTTTTTCCTACTGTAGGTACTTGGCACCTTTGTCGAAAATGAGTTCAGTGTAGGTGTGTGGATTTGTTTATGGGTTCTCTATTCTGTTCTATTGGTCTCTGTGTCTCTTTTGATGCCAGTACCATGCTGTTTTGGTTATTATATCTCAGTAGTATAAACTTTAAGTTCATAATGTTTTATTTTTATTTGTTAGCCAAATAGTGCTGGCTATTCTTGGTCTTTTTTGGTTTCATATAAATTTTAGAATTGTTTTTTCTATTTCTGTGAAGAATGTCATTGGTATTTTGATAGGGATTGCATTGAATCTGTAAATTGCTTTGGGTGGTATGAAGATTTTAACAGTGTTGATTCTTCCAATCTGTGAACATGGAATATTTTTCCATTTTTTCGTGTCCTCTTCAATTTATTTCATCAGTGTTTTATAGTTTTCTTTATAGAGATCTTTCACTTCTTCGGTTAATTCCTGGGTATTTAATTTTATGTGTGGCTATTGTAAATGGGATTACTTTTTTATTTCTTTTTCAGATTGCTCACTGTTGGCATATACAAATGCTACTGATTTTCATATGTCGATTTTGTATCCTGCAACTTTACTGAGTTTGTTTATTAGCTCAAATAGTTTTCTCACGGAGTCTTTAGATTTTTTCATTTATAAGATCATATTTTCTGCAAACAAGAATAATTAAACTTCTTGCTTTCCAACTTGGATGTCCATTATGTCTTTCTCTTGTCTGATTGCTCTAGCTAGGACATCTAGTACCATGCTGAATAGCAGCAGTGAAAGTGGGCTTCCTTGTTGTGTTTCAGATCTTAGAAGAAATGATTTCAGTTTTTCCCCATTCAGTGTGATGCTAGTTGTGGGTCTGTCATAAATGACTTTAATTATGTTGAGGTATATTCCTTCTTTTTTTTTATTATACTTTAAGTTTTAGGGTACATGTGCACATTGTGCAGGTTAGTTACATATGTATACATGTGCCATGCTGGTGCGCTGCACCCACTAACTCGTCATCTAGCATTAGGTATATCTCCCAATGCTATCCCTCCCCCCTTCCCCCACCCCACAACAGTCCCAGAGTGTGATATTCCCCTTCCTGTGTCCATGTGATCTCATCGTTCAATTCCCACCTATGAGTGAGAATATGCGGTGTTTGGTTTTTTGTTCTTGCGATACTTTACTGAGAATGATGATTTCCAATTTCATCCATGTCCCTACAAAGGACATGAACTCATCATTTTTTATGGCTGCATAGTATTCCATGGTGTATATGTGCCACATTTTCTTAATCCAGTCTATCATTGTTGGACATTTGGCTTGGTTCCAAGTCTTTGCTATTGTGAATAATGCCACAATAAACATACGTGTGCATGTGTCTTTATAGCAGCATGATTTATAGTACTTTGGGTATATACCCAGTAATGGGATGGCTGGGTCAAATGGTATTTCTAGTTCTAGATCCCTGAGGAATCGCCACACTGACTTCCACAATGGTTGAACTAGTTTACAGTCCCACCAACAGTGTAAAAGTGTTCCTATTTCTCCACATCCTCTCCAGCACCTGTTGTTTCCTGACTTTGTAATGATTGCCATTCTAACTGGTGTGAGATGGTATCTCATTGTGGTTTTGATTTGCATTTCTCTGATGGCTAGTGATGATCAGCATTTTTTCATGTGTTTTTTGGCTGCATAAATGTCTTCTTTTGAGAAGTGTCTGTTCATGTCCTTCGCCCACTTTTTGATGGAGTTGTTTGTTTTTTTCTTGTAAATTTGTTTGAGTTCATTGTAGATTCTGGATATTAGCCCTTTGTCAGATGAGTAGGTTGTGAAAATTTTCTCCCATTTTGTAGGTTGCCTGTTCACTCTGATGGTAGTTTCTTTTGCTGTGAAGAAGCTCTTTAGTTTAATTAGATCCCATTTGTCAATTTTGTCTTTTGTTGCCATTGCTTTTGGTGTTTTGGACATGAAGGCCTTGCCCATGCCTATGTCCTGAATGGCAATGCCTAGGTTTTCTTCTAGGGTTTTTATGGTTTTAGGTCTAACGTTTAAATCTTTAATCCATCTTGAATTGATTTTTGTATAAGGTGTAAGGAAGAGATCCAGTTTCAGCTTTCTACATATGGCTAGCCAGTTTTCCCAGCACCATTTATTAAATAGGGAATCCTTTCCCCATTGCTTGTTTTTCTCAGGTTTGTCAAAGATCAGATAGTTGTAGGTATGTGGCATTATTTCTGAGGGCTCTGTTCTGTTCCATTGATCTATATCTCTGTTTTGATACCAGTACCATGCTGTTTTGGTTACTGTAGCCTTGTAGTATAGTTTGAAGTCAGGTAGTGTGATGCCTCCAGCTTTGTTCTTTTGGCTTAGGATTGACTTGGCAATGCGGCCTCTTTTTTGTTCCATATGAACTTGAAAGTAGTTTTTTCCAATTCTGTGAAGAAAGCCATTGGTAGCTTGATGGGGATGGCATTGGATCTATAAATTACCTTGGGCAGTATGGCCATTTTCACGATAGTGATTCTTCCTACCCATGAGCATGGAATGTTCTTACATTTGTTTGTATCCTCTTTTATTTCCTTGAGCAGTGGTTTGTAGTTCTCCTTGAAGAGGTCCTTCACATCCCTTGTAAGTTGGATTCCTAGGTATTTTATTCTCTTTGAAGCAATTGTGAATGGGAGTTCCCTCATGATTTGGCTGTCTGTTTGTCTGTTGTTGGTGTATAAGAATGCTTGTGATTTTTGTACATTGATTTTGTATCCTGAGACTTTGCTGAATTTGCTTATCAGCTTAAGGAGATTTTGGGCTGAGACAATGGGGTTTTCTAGATATACAATCATGTCGTCTGCAAACAGGAACAATTTGACTTCCTCTTTTCCTAGTTGAATACCCTTTATTTCCTTCTCCTGCCTAATTGCCCTGGCCAGAACTTCCAACACTATGTTGAATAGGAGCGGTGAGAGAGGGCATCCCTGTCTTGTGCCAGTTTTCAAAGGGAATGCTTCCAGTTTTTGCCCATTCAGTATGATATTGGCTGTGGGTTTGTCATAGATAGCTCTTATTATTTTGAAATACGTCCCATCAATACCTAATTTATTGAGAGTTTTTAGCATGAAGGGTTGTTGAATTTTGTCAAAGGCTTTTTCTGCATCTATTGAGATAATCATGTGGTTTTTGTCTTTGGCTCTGTTTATAGGCTGGATTACATTTACTGATTTGCGTATATTGAACCAGCCTTGCATCCCAGGGATGAAGCCCACTTGATCATGGTGGATAAGCTTTTTGATGTGCTGCTGGATTCGGTTTGCCAGTATTTTATTGAGGATTTTTGCATCAATGTTCATCAAGGATATTGGTCTAAAATTCTCTTTTTTGGTTATGTCTCTGCCCGGCTTTGGTATCAGAATGATGCTGGCCTCATAAAATGAGTTAGGGAGGATTCCCTCTTTTTCTATTGATTGGAATAGTTTCAGAAGGAATGGTACCAGTTCCTCCTTGTACCTCTGGTACAATTCGGCTGTGAATCCATCTGGTCCTGGACTCTTTTTGGTTGGTAAACTATTGATTATTGCCACAATTTCAGATCCTGTTATTGGTCTATTCAGAGATTCAACTTCTTCCTGGTTTAGTCTTGGGAGAGTGTATGTGTCGAGGAATTTATCCATTTCTTCTAGATTTTCTAGTTTATTTGCGTAGAGGTGTTTGTAGTATTCTCTGATGGTAGTTTGTATTTCTGTGGGATCGGTGGTGATATCCTCTTTATCATTTTTTATTGTGTCTATTTGATTCTTCTCTCTTTTTTTCTTTATTAGCCTTGCTAGCTGTCTATGAATTTTGTAGATCCTTTCAAAAAACCAGCTCCTGGATTCATTGATTTTTTGAAGGGTTTTTTGTGTCTCTATTTCCTTCAGTTCTGCTCTGATTTTAGTTATTTCTTGCCTTCTGCTAGCTTTTGAATGTGTTTGCTCTTGCTTTTCTAGTTCTTTTAATTGTGATGTTAGGGTGTCAATTTTGGATCTTTCCTGCTTTCTGTTGTGGGCATTTACTGCTATAAATTTCCCTCTACACACTGCTTTGAATGCCTCCCAGAGATTCTGGTATGTTGTGTCTTTGTTCTCTTTGGTTTCAAAGAACATCTTTATTTCTGCCTTCATTTCGTTATGTACCCAGTAGTCATTCAGGAGCAGGTTGTTCAGTGTCCATGTAGCTGAGTGGCTTTGAGTGAGATTCTTAATCCTGAGTTCTAGTTTGATTGCACTGTGGTCTGAGAGATAGTTTGTTATAATTTCTGTTCTTTTACATTTGCTGAGGAGAGCTTTACTTCCAACTATGTGGTCAATTTTGGAATAGGTGTGGTGTGGTGCTGAAAAAAATGTATATTCTGTTGATTTGGGGTGGAGAGTTCTGTAGATGTCTATTAGGTCTGCTTGGTGCAGAGCTGAGTTCAATTCCTGGGTATCCTTGCTGACTTTCTGTCTCGTTGATCTGTCTAATGTTGACAGTGGGGTGTTAAAGTCTCCCATTATTAATGTGTGGGAGTCTAAGTCTCTTTGTAGGTCACTCAGGACTTGCTTTATGAATCTGGGTGCTCCTGTTTTGGGTGCATATATATTTAGGATAGTTAGCTCTTCTTGTTGAATTGATCCCTTTACCATTATGTAATGGCCTTCTTTGTCTCTTTTGATCTTTGTTGGTTTAAAGTGTGTTTTATCAGAGACTAGGATTGCAACCCCTGCCTTTTTTTGTTTTCCATTTGCTTGGTAGATCTTCCTCCATCCTTTTATTTTGAGCCTATGTGTGTCTCTGCACATGAGATGGGTTTCCTGAATACAGCACACTGATGGGTCTTGACTCTTTATCCAATTTGCCAGTCTGTGTCTTTTAATTGGAGCATTTAGTCCATTTACATTTAAAGTTAATATTGTTATGTGTGAATTTGATCCTGTCATTATGATGTTAGCTGGTGATTTTGCTCGTTAGTTGATGCAGTTTCTTCCTAGTCTCGATGGTCTTTACATTTTGGCATGATTTTGCAGCGGCTGGTACTGGTTGTTCCTTTCCATGTTTAGCACTTCCTTCAGGAGCTCTTTTAGGGCAGGCCTGGTGGTGACAAAATCTCTCAGCATTTGCTTGTCTGTAAAGTATTTTATTTCTCCTTCACTTATGAAGCTTAGTTTGGCTGGATATGAAATTCTGGGTTGAAAATTCTTTTCTTTAAGAATGTTGAATATTGGCCCCCACTCTCTTCTGGCTTGTAGGGTTCCTGCCGAGAGATCCGCTGTTAGTCTGATGGGCTTCCCTTTGAGGGTAACCCGACCTTTCTCTCTGGCTGCCCTTAACATTTTTTCCTTCATTTCAACTTTGGTGAATCTGACAATTATGTGTCTTGGAGTTGCTCTTCTCGAGGAGTATCTTTGTGGCGTTCTCTGTATTTCCTGAATCTGAACGTTGGCCTGCCTTGCTAGATTGGGGAAGTTCTCCTGGATAATATCCTGCAGAGTGTTTTCCAACTTGGTTCCATTCTCCCCATCACTTTCAGGAACACCAATCAGATGTAGATTTTGTCTTTTCACATAGTCCCATATTTCTTGGAGGCTTTGTTCATTTCTTTTTATTCTCTTTTCTCTAAACTTCCCTTCTCACTTCATTTCATTCCTTTCATCTTCCATTGCTGATACCCTTTCTTCCAGTTGATCGCATCGGCTCCTGAGGGTTCTGCATTCTTCACGTAGTTCTCGGGCCTTGGTTTTCAGCTCCATCAGCTCCTTTAAGCACTTCTCTGTATTGGTTATTCTAGTTATACATTCTTCTAAATTTTTTTCAAAGTTTTCAACTTCTTTGCTTTGGTTTGAATGTCCTCCCGTAGCTCAGAGTAATTTGTTCGTCTGAAGCCTTCTTCTCTCAGCTCATCAAAGTCATTCTCCATCCTGCTTTGTTCCGTTGCTGGTGAGGAACTGCGTTCCTTTGGAGGAGCAGAGGCGCTCTGCGTTTTAGAGTTTCCAGTTTTTCTGTTCTGTTTTTTCCCCATCTTTGTGGTTTTATCTACTTTTGGTCTTTGATGATGGTGATGTACAGATGGGTTTTTGGTGTGGATGTCCTTTCTGTTTGTTAGTTTTCCTTCTAACAAACAGACAGGACCCTCAGCTGCAGGTCTGTTGGAATACCCTGCTGTATGAGGCGTCAGTGTGCCCCTGCTGGGGGGTGCCTCCCAGTTAGGCTGCTCAGGGGTCAGGGGTCAGGGACCCACTTGAGGAGGCCGTCTGCCAGTTCTCAGATCTCCAGCTGCATGCTGGGAGAACCACTGCTCTCTTCAAAGCTGTCAGACAGGGACATTTAAGTCTGCAGAGGGTACTGCTGTCTTTTTGTTTGTCTGTGCTGTGCCCCCAGAGGTGGAGCCTACAGAGGCAGGCAGGCCTCCTTGAGCTGTGGTGGGCTCCACCCAGTTCGAGCTTCCCGGCTGCTTTGTTTACCTAAGCAAGCCTGGGCAATGGCGGGCGCCCCTCCCCCAGCCTCGCTGCCGCCTTGCAGTTTGATCTCAGACTGCTGTGCTAGCAATCAGCGAGATTCCGTGGGCGTAGGACCCTCCGAGCCAGGTGTGGGATATAGTCTCATGGTGCGCCGTTTTTTAAGCCGGTCTGAAAAGCGCAATATTCGGGTGGGAGTGACCCGATTTTCCAGGTGGGTCCATCACCCCTTTCTTTGACTCGGAAAGGGAACTCCCTGACCCTTTGCGCTTCCCAGGTGAGGCAATGCCTCGCCCTGCTTCGGCTCGCGCACGGTGCGCGCACCCACTGGCCTGCGCCCACTGTCTGGCACTCCCTAGTGAGATGAACCCGGTACCTCAGATGGAAATGCAGAAATCACCCGTCTTCTGCGTCGCTTACGCTGGGAGCTGTAGACTGGAGCTGTTCCTATTCAGCCATCTTCACGTTTGCCGAGGTATATTCCTTCTATCCCCAGTTTTTGAGGGTTTTTATCATGAAGGGATGTTGGATATTATCAAATGCTTTATATAGAAATGATCCATTGAAATGGTTATATCATTTTTATCCTTCATTCTGTTGATAGGATGTATCATATTGATTGATTGGCATATGTTGAATCATCCTTGCATTCCAGGGAGAAATCCCAGTTGGTCGTGATGACTGATCTTTCTAATGTATTATTGAATTCAGTTAGCTAGTATTTTGTTGAGGATTTTTGCATTAATATTCCTAAGAGATATTGGCCTGTAGCTTTCTTTTTTTGATGCCTGGTTGTGGTATCAGGGTAATACTGGCCTCGTAGAATGAGTTTGGAAGTAGTCTCTCTTCCTCTATTTTTCGGAGTAGTATTGAGTAGGATTAGTATTAGCTCATCTTTAAATATTTGGTAGAATTCAGCAGGGAAGCCATTGGGTCCTGGGCTTTTCTTTACTGGCAGACTTTATTATGGCCTCAATTTTGTTACTTGTTATTGGTCTGTTCAGGTTTTGGGTTTCTTTCAGGTTCAATGTTGGTGGGTGTATGTGTCTAGGAATTTGCCCATTTCTTCTAGATTTTCCAGTTTATTGGCATTTAGTTGCTCATATTAGTCACTAATAATCCTTTGAATTTCTGCAGTATCAGCTTTAATGTCTCTTTTTTCATGTCTGATTTTATTTATTTGGATCTTCTCTCTTAGTCTGGCTAGAGGTTGGTCAATTTTGTTTAAGTTTTCAAAAAAGTAACTTTTTTAGTTCATTAATCTTCTGCCTTCTTTCTTCAACATTATTTCTGCTCTGATATTTATTATTCCTTTTCTTCTACTAATGTTGGGGTTTGATTTGCTCTTGCAAACTATTAGAGCCATTTGATTTACAATAAAGATTAAATCTGATGTTTCTTTCTTGGTTCTCTGACTGGAAGATCTGTCCAGTGCTGAAAATGGGGTGTTGAAGTTTCCAGCTATCATTGTATTGGGGCCTGTCTCTTTCACTCTAATAATATTTGCTTTATATATTTGGGTGCTCCAGTGTTGGGTGCATATATACTTAAAATTGTTATATCCTCTTGCTAAGTTGAACCCTTCAGCATTATACAGTGACCTGTTTCTTTTCTTATGGTTTTGGTCTTGACATCTATTTTGTCTGATGTAAGTACAGTGACTCCTGCTGCTTTTTGGTTTCCATTGCTATGGACTACCTTTTTCCATCCTTTTATTTTCAGTCTTTGTGTGTCTTTATAGGTGAAGTGTGTTTCTTGTAGGCAACAGACTGATGGGTATTGTTTTTTATCCATTCAGCTAGTCTATGTCTTGTGATTGGAGAGTTTAGTCCATTTTCATTCAATATTGATATGGCTTGGATGTGTCCACACCCAAATTTCACCTTGAATTGTATTATAGTTCCCATAATCCCCACGTCATGGGAGGGACCTGGTGGGACGTAATTGAATCTTGGGGGCGGTTACCACATGCTGTTCTCGTGATAGTGAGTGAGTTCTCACAAGATCTGATGATTTTGGTCAGAGAGACCCTAACCCAGCAGCACTAGAGGAATTAAAGACACACACACAGAAATATAGAGGTGTGAAGTGTGAAATCAGGGTTCTCACAGCCTTCAGAGCTGAGAGCCCCGAACAGAGATTTACCCACGTATTTATTAACAGCAAACCAGTCATTAGCATTGTTTCCATAGATGTTAAAATAACTAAAAGTATCCCTTATGGGAAACGAAGGGATGGGCCGAATTAAAGGAATAGGTTGGGATAGTTAACTGCAGCAGGAGCATGTCCTTAAGGCACAGATCGCTCATGCTATTGTTTGTGGCTTAAGAATGCCTTTAAGCTGTTTTCCACCCTGGGTGGGCCAGTTCTTCCTTGCCCTCATTCCCGTAAACCCACAACCTTCCAGCTTGGGCATTAGGGCCATTATGAACATGTCACAGTACTGCAGAGATTCTGTTTATGGCCAGTTTTGGGGCCAGTTTATGGCCAGATTTTGGGGGGCTTGCTCCCAAAACTTCTCCTTCCTGCTGCCATGTGTAAAAGGATGTGTTTGCTTCCCCTTCTGCTATGGTCACAAGTTTCCTGAGGCCTCCCCAGCCCTGTGGAACTGTGAGTCAATTAAACTTCTTTTCTTTATAAATTACCCAGTCTCAGACAGTTCTTTAAAGCAACATGAGAATGAAGTAATACAAATATTACTGATAAGTAATAACTTATTCCTGCCCTTTTGTTATTTGTTTTCTGGTGTTTTGTGGTCTTTTCTTCCTTCTTTCTTTCCTTCCTGTCTTCCTCAAGTGAGGGTGATTTTCACTGGTGATATATGTCGGTTTCTTGATTTTTTTGTGTGTGTCCCTTGTGTATGTTTTTGGTTTGAGGTTACCATGAGGCTTGCAATTTCTATCTTATAACCAATTGTTTTAAGCTGATAACAACACTGTTTGCATAAATAAGCAAACATGCAAAAAGAAAGCTAATAAAAATGCTATACCTTAACTTTGTCCCCCTACTTATTAATTTTTTCTTTTTTCTCTTATATCTTATTGTACTGTTCATGTCGTGAAAAACATTGTAATTATTATTTTTGATTGGCTCATCATTTAGCCTTTCTACTTAGGGAAAGAGTAGTTTACACACTGCAGTTACAGTGTTGTAATATTCTGTGTTTTTCTGTGTATTTACTATTACCTGTGAGTTTTGTATCTTTAGGTGATTACTTGATGCTCATTATTGTCCTTTCCTTCCAGTTGAAGTACCTCTTTTAGCATTTCTTGTGGGACAGGTCTGGTGTTCATGAAATCTCTCAGCTTTTGTTTGTCTGGTAATGTCTTTATTTTTCTTTCATGTTTGAAGGATTTTTTTTTTTTTTTTGCCAGATATACTATTCTAGGGTAAGCGTTTCTTTCCTTCAGCACTTTAAATATGCCATGTGACTCTCTCCTGGCCTGTAAAGTTTCTACTGAAAAGCCAGCTACCAGATGTATTGGAATTCTATTATATGTTATTTGTTTCTTGTCTCTTGCTGCTTTTAGAATCCTTTCTTTATCCTTGATCTTTGGGAGTTTGATTATTAAATGTCTTGAGCTAGTCTTCTTTGGGTTAAATCTGCTTGGTGTCCTATAATTTTCTAGTACTTGCATATTGATATCTTCCTCTAGGTTTGGGAAGTTCTCTGTTATGTTCCCTTTGAATAAACTTTCTACCCCTATCTCTTTCTCTACCTTCTTTTTAAGGCTAATAACTCTTAGCTTTGCTTTCATGAGGCTATTTTCTAGATCTTTTAGGTGTGCTTCATTGTTTGTTTTTCTTTTTCCTTTTGTCTCTTCTGTGTATTTTCAAATAGCTTGTCTTCAAGCTCACTAATTCTTTGTTCTGCTTGATCAATTCTGGTATTAAAAGATGCTGATCTATTCTTCAGTATGCCAATTGCATTTTTCAACTCCAGAATTTCTGCTCAATTCATCTTAATTATTTCAATATCTTTGTTAAGTTTATCTAATAAAATTCTGAATTCCTTCTCAGTGTTACTCTTGAATTTCTTTGAGCTTCCTCAAAACAGCTATACTGAATTATCTGTCTGAAAGGTCACATATCTCTGTTTCTCCAGGATTGGTCTCTGGTGCCTTATTTAGTTCACTTGGTGAGGTAATGTTTTCCCAGATGATGTTGATGTTTGTAGATGTTTGTCAGTGTCTGTGCATTGGTATTTATTGTAGTCTTCATTGTCTGGGCTTGTTTGTACCTGTCCTCCTTAGTAAGGCTTTCCAGCTATTCAAAAGGAGTTGGTGTTGTGATTTAAGCTGTATTTGCTTTAGGGGGCACCCCAAGCCCATAATGCTATCATTCTTGCAGATGTGCAGAGGTACCACCCTGATGGTCTAGGACAGATTTCGGGAGAATTCTCTGAAATACCAGGCAGAGACTCTTATTTTCTTCCCTTATTTTCTCCCAAACAAATGGAGTCTCTCTCTGTGTTCCAAGCCACCTAAAGCTGGTGGTAGAGTGACACAAGATGCCCTGTGGCCACCACCACTGGGACTGCACTGGGTCAGACCTGATGCCTGAACAACACTGGGTTTTGAACAAGGCCTGATGTAACCACTCCCTGGCTACTGCCTATGTTCACTCAAAGCCCTGGGATTCCACAATCAGCAGGGGGCAAAGCCAGCCAGACCTCTGTCCTTCCCTTCAAGGCAGTGAGGTCCCCCAGGCCCCAAGTGGGTCCAGAGATACCGTCCGGGAATTAGGGGTTAGAGTAAAAATCCTTAGAAATCTACCTGGTGTTCTATTGTACTGTGGCTGAGCTGGCAATCAGACCACAAGATGCATCCCTTCTCACTCTTCCCTCCTCTTTCCAAATGCAGAGGAGCCTCACCCTATAGCCAATACCACCACAGGCCACAGGGAGTGCTGCCAGACTATCACTGATGTTCCTGTAAGGCCCAGGGGCTCCTAAGTCAGCTTGTGGTGAATGCTGCCTGGCCTGGAACTCACCTTTCAGGGCAATGGGCTCCCATTTGCCCCAGGGCAGGTCCAGAAATGCCATCCAAGAGTCAAGTCCTAGAATCAGGAACTCCAAGAGCTTGCTTGGTCCTCAACTCCCCTGTGGCCAAGCTGGTACCTAAGGTGCAAGACAAAGTCCCTTTTACTTTTCCCTCTGCTTTTCACAGGCAGAAGGAGTTTTGCTCTCTAGCCACCACAGCTAAGAATGTGCTAAGTCTCTCCTGAATCCAGAAAGTCTCAGAGACTCTCCCAAGGCCCTCAACGTAGTACCTGGGTATCACTTCTGGTTTTTAAGGGCCCAAGCACACTTCAGTTAGCAGGTGATAAAAGATGCCAGGACTGGATCCTTCCCTTCAAGACAGTGGGTTCCCTTCTGGCCCAGGGAGTGTCTAGACATGTATGGGAGCTAGTGCCAAGAATGGGGGCCTTATGGCTCTGACTGGTGCCCTATCCTGCTGTGGCTGAGCTGGTATCCAACATGTAAGACAAAGTCCTCCCCAGTCTTCCCTCTCCTCTCCTCAAGTGGAAGGAAGGGGTCTCTTTTGGAGCTGCAAGCTGTGCAACCTGGGGTTCAGGGAGGGTGATGCCAGCACTCCCTTAGCCACACCAGCTGGTGTCTCAGTAGGTCACGTGCCCTCCCAGTCCACTGTCTCTGGGTCCAGTTCAGCACTAGGACTTGCCTAAGAGTTGCAGTTCTTGTGGCCTAGACTGCCTTCCAAGTTTACTTAGAGACCCAGAGCATGTTACTCCTCAGTGGCGAGGTTTGTGGGAACTCAAGTTCTGACTGCTGGCATTGGCAATTCCCCTCTGGCTAGGCTGGTTTAAATGCTCCCTTTGTGGGTAGGCATCAGCTGAGTTGATGGCTGTGTTTTCCTTTCTGCTCTAACAGGACAGCATTCAGTTCAATGCCTTGCAGTTGCTGTGCTCTCCTTCCACCAGCGTGCAAAAGTGCTCTCCACACCACACCACTGCTGTTGGGAGGTGTGGGATGGGTCATGTCAGCAATTCAAGACAGTCCCTTTTACATCTTAAGTGCATCTTTCAGTGATACAAAGTGAAAACCAGGTACTGTGATTTTTGGTTCTCATGAACATATTTTTGTGTGTAGATAAATTGATGTCCTTGCGGAGTAGGGATGGGGGGTCGATCGGAGGAGCCTTCTATTCTGCCATCTTGCTCTACCTCCTCCACAGGAAGTCTTCCTTCTTAAAGTCTGAATAATATCCCATTGTGTGTCACCATATTTTCTTGATCCATTCATCTGTCAATTGACATTTGGGTTTTTTCCATCACTTGATTATTGTAAATAATGCTGAAGCAAACATAGAGTGCAGATATCCCTTTGAGATCCTGTATTCGTCTTTTTAATATATCTAGAAGTGGGATTGCTGGATCATATGGCAATTTTTTCGTGGAACCCTGTAATGTTTTTGATAATGACTGCATCACGTTGTATACCTACCATATTTTAAAAGGGTTTCAATTTCTCGGCAATATTGTCAATACATATTGCCCTTAGTGTTTTCTGTTGTTACAACTATTCTAACAGGCACGAGGTGATATCTCCTTCTAGTTTTGATTTGCATTTTCCTTATGCTTAGTGATATTGAGCATCTTTTCATATACATGTTGGCCATTTGTTTGTATTCTTTAGAGAAATGTCCATTCAAGTCTTTTGCCATTTTTAAATTTTTAATACATGTTTTGCTATTGACTTTTAGGAGTTTCTATACATATTGGAAATGTATAGAACACAAGATGTCTTTCCATTCATCTGTGTCTTCTTTAATTTATTTCATCAATGTTCTGTAATTTTCAGTGTACAGGTCTTAAACTTCTTCAGTTGGCTTTATTCCTAAGTATTTTATTATTTAATTATTTTTGTTACTGTTGTGAATGGGTTGTTTTCTTAACTTCATTTTTGGATAGTTCACTGTTTGCGTGTGGAAATGTGACTAATTTTTGTATGTTGATTTTATATCCTGCAATTACACCGAATTGGTTTATGAATTCTAACGTTACTTTTGGTTGAGTCTTTATGGTTTTCTTTGTTTATGATGATGTCAAAACATCATCGTTTTACAAACATTGTTTAAACAAAACGTTTTTATGATGATACTGAAAACAGAGATAATTTTACTTTTTCCTTTCCAATTTGGAAGCATTTTATTTCTTTTTTGTATCTCGTTGTTCTGGCTAAAACTCCAAGACTTCCAGTACTCTATTGAATAGAATTGGTGAGAGTGGGCATATTTGCCTAGTACCTGAACTTGGAGGGACAGATTTTAGGTTTTCCCTATTGATTATAAAGTTTGCTGTGGGATTTTCATACATGGCCTTTATTGTGTTGAGGTAAGTTCCTTCTACATCTATCTTGTTGAGAGTTTTAATCATGGACAGATTAATCAATCGATGTTGAAATTTGCCAAATGCTTTTTGTGCATCTATCAAGGTAATCATGTGGGGTATATTTATGTTCATTTTGTTAATGTGATGTATCACACTGATTGATTTGAGCACGAAGAATCATTCTTGTATCCCAGAGATAAATCCCACTTGGTTATGACGTATGATACATTTAACGTGCTGTTGAATTCAATTTGCTAATATTTCATTGAGGATTTCTGCATCTATGTTTGTCAGGGATATAGGTCAGCAGTCGTATTTTCTTTTGGTATCTTTAGTGATCAGGGTGATGCTAACTTTATAAGATGAGTTTGCCAGTATTCCATCTTCTATTTTTTGGAAGAGTTTGAGAAGGATTGTTAGCACTTTTTCTTTGAATGTTTGTTAGAAGTCACCCATGAATCCATCTGCTTCTGGGGTTTTATTTGCTGGGCTATTTTTAATTAATAATGCAATACCCTTATAGTTTTGGTCTGTTCAGGATTTCTACTTCGCTTTATTCAGTTTTGGTAGGTTTTATGTTTCTAAGAATGTATCCATTGTAGGTTATCTGATTTGTTGGTGTATATACATTGATAATCTTCCCTTAGGATATTCTTTGTTTCTGAGGCATCCATTGAAATATCTTCTCTTTCAAACCTGATTTTATTTATTAGTGGCTTCTCTCTTTTTTCTTAGTAGGTCTAGCTGTAGGCTTATCAATTTTGTTAATCTTTTCAAGAAGGAAACTCCTAATTTTGGTGATTTTGTTTACCATTTCTCTATTTGACTTGTTATTTATTTGGCATATTTCTGCTCTAGTCTATATTATATTTTATTATTTCCTTTTGCTAACTTTGGACTTCGTTTTTACTTTTTATTCTAGTTCCTTCACGTGTAAAGTTAAGTTGTTTATTTGTCATTTTTCTACTTTTTAATGTAGGCATTTATTACTATAAACTTTCCTCTAAGGATTGCTATTGCATTTATTTGTTAAAGACCATGAAGAAAGGCAGGTTTAAAGGTCTGAAGGGGATAAAAGACATTGACAGTGGAGATGAGGAAGTGGTGACAACCAGTTTAGACAAGATATCAGAAAAGTTTTGCTGTGAAGGGCAGCAAATATATGGAACAATAAGTAGTAGGGAAGTGTGAACAAGGGAAGGTATTTAAGATAGAGGATGGTGGAGTATGCTGATGTTAAGTATCAGTGGAGCAGAAGAAATTGAAGATGCAGAGAAACAATGGTCATCTTTAGAAATAAAACATTTCAAACAGTGAGAGGTAAAGATGAGATCAACCAGAAAGGCTAGCTTTGTTTAATTAAAAAAAAAAGTCACCCCGCCAGCCCCACACTTCATGCTATTGGTTAAAGACATGCTGATAATCTGTATCCCCAGGGATGGCCAAATTGAGAATGATGGATTGGCAGGACAGAGATGTCCAGAGGATGAGGAATTGAACTTTGAAGACTCTGAGACTCAGACTGAGTAATGGAGGTTAACCTACGCTGACAAATTCAGATTTTGCAAAGTGAATTGGTTAGGGATTATTGTGTGACAGTCATCGTTCCTTAGCTTTTGTGTGAGTATCCCTATGTGTACATATGTTCATAGAGAGGTGGAGATGTGGACAGATTCCACTGATGAGACATAAAGAAATCCCTACAGTGAAGCAGATTAATGAAGGGGACTTTCCCCTTTACAGGGTGAGAAAAGGGCAGTGCTCAAAACAGGAAGAAAAGCCATGAACAGGGATTCACCCAAAATGAAGTGTCCCTAGAGAAACTTACCTTTTCTGTGGGAGGCAGGAGATGGGTGGTTCTTTTTGGACTCCCGGGGCAATGATATTTAGCCATTGCTCACTAGTGGTTTGTTCCACTATCATTTCATATAGAAACTATTGACTTTTCATTGAAGTCTGTAAGCGGCATAGAGTCTACAGTCTTGTAAGTGGTGTTTTTTGAGGACTTAAGAGCAAAGCAGTCAAGCGAAGCATTACCTTCCTCACATAAGCATTTCCCATTGGCCCTTCTCTAAGGGAAACTGGTACTAGTCATCCAGACAGAGACCAGCACCCAAGTGGATCTGGGATCCCCTGAGAGGGGTGTGAAACACAGAGGAGTCACTGGCAGGTGGGTACCAAGGAGAGCATATGAGACAAACCCCCAGACCAAAAGGAGACTGGGCATCGCCTACTGTCCATGGAGGTCAGGAAGATGGGCAGACCTTCATGTGGTTCCTTCTGGTGGAGGGCATGGCTATGGGTGTGGGTTGCTCCACTGCAGTGAAGATGAGGGATATGGTTTGGACCTGTGTCTCTGCCAAAATCTCATGTCCAGTTGTAATCCCCAATGTTGGAGGTTGGGCCTGATAGGAGGTGATTGGATGATGGGGGTGGTTTCTAATGGTTTAGCATCATTTCCCTAGTGCTGTTATCAGGATAGAGCTCTCATGAGAGCTGGTTGTTTAACAGTGTGTAGCATCTCCTCCTGACTCTCTTCTTTCTGCCCCACCCATGTGAAGTTCTCCCTCCCCCTGTGAAGTGCTCCTTCTTCCTTTGCCTTCCGCTAGGATTGCAAGTTTCCTGAGGCCTTGCCAGAAGCCGAGCAGATGCCAAAATCAGGCTTCCTGTACAGCTTGCAGAACTGTGAGCCAATTAAACCTTTTTTCTTTATAAATTACCCAGTCTCAGGTATTTCTTTACAGCAATGCAAGAAAGGAATAGTACAATGAAGTTACTTGGGTATTTTGGGCCGAGAGTTTCCAGGACATGGGAAATGGCAGCTGGGTCCCAGGAAAGGAGAGTGCAGCTGGACAAAGGGACTTCAGAGACTCGCTGGAATAAATGGAAGGAAGGGAGTTGAAGTTGGGGGCCTATGCCCAGCTTTTGTGTGTTTTTTCTTCACAAATTTATGGTGTGGAATGTGTCATGTCCTGCCTGGAACCCTATTTGTCCAGCCTCTGATACAGGGAGCCAATACAAAGGAGATAGCTACTCAGGAAAAAGGGACAGGGAAGAGGCCCCTCATTAGTTTGGCTGCTTCCCCAAACAGGAGACTGTCAGAAACTTCCCTCCTTTGGGTCTCCCCCCAGGCCCTGGTGGAATGGGAGTGTGGCAGGAAGTGGGAGCCCATGATCTGGGCCGAGGTCTCCCAGGCCACAGAGGAGAAAAGGGAGGGAGTCAGTTCTGTTCTGTGCGATCTGGCAGGAAGGGTCAGGGAACTTTTCTGGGGCAGCATTTCTGAAATCGGGCTGGAACTATCTGACATAAAATGGGGATGACTGAAAACCTCCCATATTATGATAGCGGCTAGTGGGTGGGGAACAGGGCAAGTGGATTGGGATAGCAAGAATCCTAGATTCCACGGGCATGATTTGGAGGTACAACACATTGTTGGTAAGATGGTGGCTAAGGGACAAGGAAGCCTGGATGTAAACGCTTAAGATTGGTATTGGATCCCTCTGCCTTTCCGTTCTCCTCCACCCAGCAGTGAGGGGAGGTCAGGGCAGAACTAAAGTGAATGTTCTTTTCATTTGCTGAATAGGGGCTTGTGTACCTCACAGGAAGACAGAATGTGCACATTTCTCTGTGTTTCTCTTTGTCTCATTCTTAGTCCTGAGACCATTAGTCCTAGTTACCATGGGAACCAAAGCTGAGTGTCTGACGCATTCACTGGACTCTGGGAGAAAATTCGAGTTGGTCCCTGATTTCAGTAATCATCCGTTTACCACCTTCACTCTTTTTGCGATATTTAATTGTGGTAAAACTATTATAATACCAAATGCTTCCGATCTACGTTAATATTTCACTTGCATTTCTTATAGTTTGTTTAGAATTTTAATTCATTAATATCACACGCTATCTTCATTGTCGTGTTTAGAAGGCATAGTGTTTTCCTTTGAACAAAATAGTTTTTCATCAATAAGTATATTTTCAAAGGAAACTTAATATCACTACCATAAGTGGAAATCCAACATGACTTGTCATAAATAGAAAGTTACTGTAAAAAACAAACGTGAGGCAAAATGTACCATTTAGGAAAAATTATTTAATGTGTTTTAAAATTGTCAATGTTTCATTCAAATGATGCACCTGACCTCATTTTGTGTACCATATGGGTATAATTTTGGTAAATTTTATCAATGTGAGGCAGTCTTCTGTAGCCCAATTCCCTCTGGATGTGTGGACAACGTTTAATTGCTGCACCTACAAAACTGGGAATAACGGTGATCATAGCATGGTACTGACTTCCCCTGTGGGGGACCTGACCGGATGACGAGATGGCCTTCCCCAGGCATCCTTGGAGTCATTATACCTTTTAAAATGATGAGAACCGGCTTGTGAATGTTTCCCTTGCCAGTTCAGGGTACATGGATTCATTAGTGATCTGGACAGAGGCATTGTTCATTTCCTCTGTAGCTCTCAAAACTTGCACACTATTTGGGGAAGACAGAGCTCTCAAAAAATGTGTGTCAAATAAGCTTCCTTCTTTGCAAATTCTGTTCCTTCTTCCCAGAATGTCATTGCCACAGCTTTGATGGTTGATAACCTGCAATTCATCGCTTAAACTTGGAGCAAGTGCTCCTGACTCCCTCAGGAAGTTGTTTCTTCCCTCCTCTTTGTTCCTGTAAGAAAGGTAATATTCACTATGATAAGTATCATTGTCTATGAGCCTTATCTCTCCCACCGGACTCTGAACTTCTCAATGGCAGTGACTAATTCTCGTCCATCTTTTCGAAGGCTCTTCAGCTTATATAGCACCTTTCGTTGTATTGAATAATGTCATGTATGGGTCCCATTTTTCAAACCAGATTGGGAGTTCCCGTGGTAAGAGGAAGCCTGATCTTCCATTCTGTATGCTGTGTGATTCTACAGCCATCAGTCCTGCTCCTAGTGCCCCAGCAAGCCTTTCCTTGGCTATGAAGATTGCCAAAATACTGAAGCCTCAGTGAAGCCTCTTCGTTCCCCCAGGTTTCATTTTCTGGACTCAGGGATTTTATTACCCACTGTAAAGACTAAATATGCTTTTCACTGTGTGGAAGAAAGTATAGAAGTTCAACGGCACATTGTTTCTTCATCATCCTATGTTCTCTGAAAAATATTTGGGTTCGGAAATATTTTGTGCGCCTCTTATCCAATCCACTGTTGGAGAAAGAGAAATTTCATCTAAAGTTCTGCAAACTCCTTCGAATTCCTTGTGGTAGATGTAAATGGGGAGGGAGAGAGGATGGGCAGGAAGGTGAAGGGAGGACCTGGGAGATAAGGGGTGCACAGGATGATATCTGACCCCACTATCCATCCACTCCTCATTCTACTCCTAGCAGGTGCCTCCGCCCCACCACCACCTGGAGAAGACTGCTTAGAGAAAAGAAGACCTTCCAGACTCAGCCCATTCACATTCCTCTTAGTCTTTGAGGTTCATGAAAGTTAGGTAACTTGCTCAAATTCACTGAAGTCATTCTATGAGACCAATATTACCCAGAAACCAAAGGCAGAAGAGGACATCCCAAGAAGAGCATACTACAGAACAATATCTTTTATAAATGTAGAAGAAAATGCCCTCAACAAAACCAAAAGGAGAGATTGGCAGAACAGATTTGTTTAAATGCTCCAGTTACATGCTATCTTGAAGAGGTGTGCTTTACTTTCAAAGACATAAATTGCTTAAAATAAAAGCGTGGAAAAGTATAGTGTGGAAACAATCATGAAAAGAGAGTTGGAGTGGCTCTACTAATATTCTCTGAGACAAAAATATACTTTAAGACAACAATTCGATTTAGATACAGAGAAGGACGTTTTATCACGGTAGAGTGCTCAATCCATCAAGAAGATATAAAGATTTTTATAAAAATATATAGACACATAGCAATAGTGCCCCACAATACACGAAGCAAAAATGGACACAACTGAAGGGAGAAAGATGCACACAAGATCCCAGCCTTGTAGGATGTGGCTAAATTAGCTCTTAGATGCAAATGTATAGCTATAAACACCTATATTGAAAAAAGAGTAGTGCTCTCAAAAAATTCTTCTAAATTTTTATGTTAAGACACAGGAGCAAGAAAATTAAACTAACCCCAAACAGGCAGAAGGAAGGAAATAAGGACTGTTAGAGTGATATAAATAAAAAGAATATAGGAAATAATAGAGAAAATTAACCAAACCAAAAGTTGGTTCATTAACAAAGATCAACGAAATTGACATGCTTTTGCTAGACTAAGAAAGAATAGAAAAGATGCATATTACAAAAATCAAAACTAGAATATAGGATATTAATACAATCTTACAGAAATAAAAAGGTTATGGGAAATACTGTGAACAACAGCATGGCAACAAATTAGATAATCTTGTGACAAGGACAAATGTCCAGAAACACACAAATTACTGAAACTGCCTAAAGGAGAAGTAGAAGATTTGAATTGATTTACAACAAGTAAAGGGATTGAATTACTAACAAATATATTCCCCCAAAGAAAAGTCCAGGGTTAACTGGTGGAATTCTACCAAATATTTAAAGGACACTTAACACCAAAGCTTCACAAGATTGCTCAAGAACAGAAGGGCGCCCTTCCCAGCTAGTTTTTCGAGCCCAACTTTAACCAAACTCCAAAATTAGACAAGGCATCAGAAGGAAATAACTAACCTAATTACAGATGCATATCTGTTATGTATACACAAATCTCCTCCACAAATTACACACATACCTAATCCAGCAACACACACACGTGCACACACACACACACACACACACACACAGATTTTACACAAAGACCAAGTGGAACTTGCTCCAGGAATGTAAAGTTGGTTCAACGTACAAAAATCAATCAATATAATATACCACACTAACCAAATAAAAACCCCATATTATCGTTTCCGTAGACACAGAAAAAACTTGTGACAGATCCAAAACCGTTTCACAATTAAAAAAATATGAAGAAACTGGAGAAAAAAGGTGCTTCTGCAACTCAGTAGACTCTACCAAAAACTCACAACTGCCATCATGATTAATGGTGAAAGGCTGAAAACTTTCACCCTCAACAAGCAACAATGTGTGCTCTCACCATTTCTATTTAACATTGTACAGGAGCTTCTAGCTAATGCATTTAGGCAAGAAAAAGAGATAGAAGACCTCCAGACTTGAAAGGAATAAGTAAAACTCTCTCTGCTCACAGATGACATTATCTTGTACATAGAAAACACTAAAGAAGCCGGAAAAGAAAATACTATCAGGACGAGTCATTGAATTTATTCCATATAATATCTACATCAATGTAAAACATACAATTTTATGTCTTTGTACTACCAATGAATAATCCAATAAAGGACACTTTAAAAACAATTCCACTTATCATAGCATCCAAAGAAACACAATAGTTAGAAATAAATTCCACAAAAGAAGTGTAAGACTTGTACGCAGAACACTACAAAACCTTATTGAAAGAAATTAAAGAAGACCTAAAGAAATGTGAAGGTGTCCCTTACACATGGACGGGGAAGACTGTGTATCATTAAAATAGTAACAGTCCACAAGTGGATCTATAGATACAACATACTCACCGTTTCAAATCCCACCAGGATCTTCTTGCCATAATTGACAATCTGATTCTGACATTCCCTTGGCAACGCAAGGGACCCAGAAAAGCCAAAACAATCTTGAAAAAGAGCAATGATGGAGGACTCACACGTCTCTATTTCAAAACTTACTGCAAAGCTACAGTAATCAATGTGTTGTGGTACTGGCATAAATTTAGGCATATATATATCAGTGTCATAAAAATGCAAATTTTAGAAATAAACCTCTTCTTTTAAGTTCAGTTGATTTTCCACAAGTGTATCAAGGCAACTCAAAGTGAGAAAGAATAGCATTTTCCACAAACGGTGCTGGGACAAATGGTTATGCCCATGGAGAAGAATGAAGTGGACCCACCATCTCATGCCATGCCTGAAAATTAATTCAAAATGAATGATAGACATAAACCTAAGGGGAAAAAAACTATGTAACTTTTGGAAAAAAACTTTGGGGATAACCTTCATGACCTTGAAATTGGAATTGGCTTTGTAGATATGGTACCCATATCACGGGTGAAAAACATGAAACACAGAGGAATTGTACTTCATTAAAATTAAATACTTTTGTGCTTCAAAGCCCACCATCAAGGACAGGGAAGACAACTTATGAGATGATTGAAAAGATTGGAAAATCATATATCTCATATTTGACTCTATTTGCAATATCTACTAAACACTTACGACTGCCTAATAAAAAAGACACACAGCCCAAATAAAAGTGGGCAAAGCATTGCAATAGACATTTCTCTAAAGAACATGTACAAATGGCTAATAAGCTCAAGAAAAGATGCTCAGTGTCATTAGTCATTAGGGAAGTGCAAGTCAAATCCACGTTGTGATACCACTTCCCACTCACTAAGATGGCTGAAATCAAACAGATAGACAATAACAAATGTTGGCAAGGTTGTGGAGGAACTGGAATCTTAAGACATTTCTCATGGGATTGTAAGATGGCCCAATCACTTTGGGAGAGGGTGCAGCAGTTCCTCCAAAAGTAAGAGTTCCTTTATGACCCAGCAAGTCCACTCCAGGTGTTCACCCAAGAGATTTCAAAAAATAACTCAGGTAAAATCCTGTACAAGAGTGTCCATAACAGCCTCCTCCATAGTAGCCAAAAAGTGAAAGAATCTAAAAGTCCATCCACAGTTGAATGAGTAACCAATATGTAGTATCATTATATGGTAGTTAATGGAATGTACGAGCCACAACATTGATTAATCTGGAAAACATAGTGCTTACTGAAAGAAGCCGGTCCAAAAGGTCACGCATTGTATGATCTGATTTATAGGAAACATTCACTACATGCAAAATCAGAGAGCCAGAAGATAGATCAGAGGGTACCAGTGGTTTGAAGAAGAGGGGAGATTAGGTCACTTAAATACATACAGCGTGTTTTTTGAATAAAAAAGTTCTTAAATTACATGGTTGTGATAGTTGCACAACTTTTCCGTTTTTTAAATTTTATTTTATTGTGCTAAGAACACGTAACATGAGATCCGCCCTCACTAAAATTTTAAGTGCAAAATACCATATTCTTAACCATAGGCACAGGGTTGTACAGGAGATCTCAAGAATGTATTCACCTGGCACAACGGAAACTTTATACCCATAGAATAGCAACTCCCTGTTTCCCCCTCCCTCCAGGTTCAAGCAGCCGACACTGCACTCTGGTTTTTAAATTTGACTATTTTAGATAGCTGAAATATTTAGAACCCACATTATTTGGGTGTGATGGCAGGAATTCCTTCTTCATGGAAGTGGAATAATGTCCCATTTTATGTGTATACCACATTTTTAATATCCATTCATCTGTCGATGAACATTTAGGTTGTTTCCACATTGTTTTTAAATTTTGACTGTTAGATGTAATGCTTCAATAGAGGTGGGAGTGCATATATCCCTTCGAGGTCCAGATTTCAATTCTTTTGGATATATACCCAAAAGTGGGATTGCCAGATCACATGGTCGTTCTATTTTCAATTTTTTGAGGAACCACTACGGTGTATTCCATAGTGGCTGCACCGCTTTATGTGCCTACTCCAGTGTGCCCGTGTTGGAATTTTTACACATCTTCTCCAAAACAACACTTGTTATCTTTTCTTTCTTTCTTTCTTTCTTTCTTTTCTTTCCTTCTTTCTTTCTTTCTTTCTTTCTTTCTTTCTTTCTTTCTTTCTTTCTTTCTTTTTCTTTCTTCTTTCTTTCTCTTTCTTTTTTCTTTCTCTTTCTTTCTTCTTTCTTTCTTTTTTGTTTTGATAATAGCTATCGTTCAAAGTGTGAGGTGATAGCTCATTGTGGTTTGGATTTGCATTTCTCTGCTGAGTAGTGACGTTGAGCACTTTTTCATATACTGTTGGGCATGTGCATGTCCTCTTTGAAGAAATGTCTATTCAAGTCTTTTGCCCATTCTTTAGTCAGTTTGTTGTCTTCTTTTTTGGTATTGAGTTGTAGGAGTTCCTTGTATAGCTTGGATATTAATCCCTTATCATATATATCCTTTTCAAATATCTTTTCCTGTAAATCTCCTAGAAGAGAACATAGGTGAAAAGTTCCATGGCATTTGACTTGGAAATTATCTCTTGAATATGACAAAAAGCACAAGCAACAAAAAGCCACGTTAGACTGGTGAGACTAAGTCGAACCAAAAACCTATGGTGAACCCACCGGGGCCTGTTGTGGGTAGGGGGAGGGGGGAGGGGGGAGGGATAGCATTAGGAGATATACCTAATGCAAAAGACGAGTTAATGGGTGCAGCACACCAACAGGTAACAAACCTGCACGTTTTGCACATGTACGTTAGAACTTAAAGTATAATAAATATATATATATATATATATATATAAAAAATAAAATAAAATGAAAGCAAAAACCAAAAACGAAAACAAAAACCTATGGTGAACCAAATGAAACAATCAACACGGTGAAAAGGCCACCTACGGAATGGGAGTTGCTCAACTTTTGGAATATACTAACAACCACTGCACGGTACACTTTAAAAGGGTGAGCTTTGTGGTATCTGAATTATATCTCAATAAAGCTGTTTCTTTTAATGAAGGAGGAAAGAATCTCTGAAGGAATTCAAAATGTTCATAACTTATTCCTAAGTTAACATACATGCTAGTATATTAGGATACAAGTTGGAGGGATATTTTTGAATTATTACAAAACGAAACCTATACGAAGACTTCCATAAGGCTGAAAAATTAAATGTGGTAGGAGGCTTCCAAAGCGGCCTCTCTGGCAGAGTAGCAAGGTTGCAAGAACAATGTCAAAACAAAGCTATTTCTCAGGCATGACCTTTGTGATTGTTTCTATGTCTCAGACTCCCGTGGATCCTACCTGCTTTCCAATTCTGGTTATGCAGCCCTCTTATTGACTTCGTGTGCAACCTGATATTCTTGCATCAGGTTTGTTTGTTTGTTTTTTTTTTTTTTTTTGGTTGAGCAATCGTGAGTGTTTTTCTGTTGTTGCTAACCAAACATTCTGATGGACACAGGAGGTGGCAGATGTAGGTGTTATTTACATCTGTAAAGTGAAAGGAAATTTCTTCGAGAAAAAAATGTAGAAAAGGAGGAAACAAGGCCACAATCTGGAGCATATCAAAAAGTAGAGGAGTTTACAAGAAGAGGAGCCAGGAAACAACTCAAAGAATAGGATCTATCCTGGAAGGAAGATCACCAGAAGAAGATGGTTTCATGGAATCCACAAGATCTCAAGAGACCGATAGTGGCCAGCACGTTCAATGCTACTAAGAGGGCAAGCCAGGTCAGAGGGATGATAATTGGATTTGACATCATGTAAGTTACTAAAGAGCATGAAAAAGAAAAAAAGCATATTGGAGGACAGAAGGCCATGCAAGACATCGGAGGTGGAGATGAGGAAGTGGTGACAACCTGTTCAGACAACTTACCAGAAAAGTTTTGCTGTGAAAGGCAGCAGGTATGTGGGAGAACAGCTGGTAGGGAAGTGTCGCCAAGGGAAGGTATTTGTTTAAAATGGAGGACAGTGGAGCGTAATTGTATGCTGAGGGGAATAGCCACTGGAGCAGAAGAATTTGAAGATGCAGAGAAACAGTGGACATCTGCAGGAATTCAAACTGTGAGAAACAGTGAGGGGTAAAGATGGGGTCAACCAGAGAGGCTGGCTTTGTTAAAAATATGAGCCACCAGCCCCATGCTTCATGCTCTCAGTTAAAGCCATGCTGATAACCTCCATCCCCGGGGATGGCCAAATTGAGAATGAGGGATTGGCAGGGCAGAGATGTCCAGAGGATGAGGAAATGAAGTTTGAAGTCCATAGGATCCAGGCTGAGTAACGAAGGTTAATGTAAACTGACAAATTCAAATTTTGAGAAATGTATCGGTCAGAGATATTTTTAATTTTTTTAAATTTAATTTTATTTTTTTTCTGCAGTTGGGGTCTCGCTGTGATGCCCAAGCTGGTCTTGAACTCCTGCCTTCAAAGTGCAGCCTCCCAAAGCTCTGTGCAGTGGTGCTGTCATAACTCACTGCAGCCTCAAACTCCTGGGCTCAAGTGATCCTCCTGCATGAGTCTCCCGAGTAGCTGGGACCACAGATGCGTGCCACCATATAAGGCTAATTTTTTCTATTTTTATAATTTTAGAGATGAGGTCTCGCTACATTGACCAGGCTCGTGTCCAACTCCTGGCCTCAACCAATCCTCCTGCCTCGGTGTCTTGCATAGCTGGGGTTATAGGTGTGAGCCACTGCGCAGAGCTAGGTGAGGGATTATGATGTGACACTCATAGCTCCTTAGTGTTTGGTGATTGTCTCTGGGTGTTCACATGTTCACAGGGAGGTGGAGACATAGACAGATCCCATTACTGAGAGATAAAGAAATCCCTACAATGAAGCAGATTAATGGAGGGACTTCCTTCTTTCCAGGGAGAGAAAAGGGCAGTGCTCAAAACAGGAAGAAAAGCCATGAACGGGAATTCACCGGAAATGGAATGTCCTCAGAAGACCTTATCTTTTCCGTGGGAGGCAGGGGATGGGTGATTCTTTTTGGATTCTAGCAGCATGGATGCTTAGCCATCGCTCACTAGTAGTTTGTTCCACTATAATTTCATGTAGTCACTATTGACCCTTCGCTGAAGTCTGTAACTGGCATAGCGTCTACAGTCCTGTGAGTGGTGCTTTTGGGGATTTAAGGAGCAGAGCAGTCAAGCGAAGCGTTGCCTTCCTGGCATTGCCATTCCCCATTGGTCCTTCTCCAAGGGAAACTGGTCGTGGTCATCCAGACAGAGACCAGGAGCCGAGTGGATCTGAGATCCCCCGAGAGGGGTGTGAAACACAGGGGAGTCACTGGCAGGTGGGCACTCAGGAGTGCATATGAGACAAACCCCCTGACCCAGAGGAGACTGGATGTCGCGCAACATCCGTGGAGGTCAGGAAGATGGGCAGAACTTCATGTGGTTCCTTCTGGCGTAGGGCATGGCTGTGGGTGTGGGTTGCACATTGCAGTGAAGACGAGTTTACTTAGGTATTTTGGACTGAGGGGTTCCAGGACATGGGAAATGGAGGGCAGCTGGGTCCCAGGAGAGGAGAGTGCAGCTGGACAAAGGGACTTCTGAGACTCACTGGAATAAATGGAAAGAAGGGAGGGAAAGTTGGGGGCATATGCCCAGCTTTTGAGTTGTTGTTTATCACAAATTTATAGTGTGGGACGTCTCATGTCGGGCCTGGCACGCTGTTTGTCCAGCCTCTGGTAAGGGGAGTCAATACACAGGAGGTGGTGGGCTTCTCAGGAAGAGGGGCAGGCAAGAGGCCTCTCATTAGTTTGGCTGCTTCCAGAAGTGGGAGACTATCAGAAACCTCCCTCGTCTGAGTCTCCCCAAGGCCCTGGCGGAACAGGAGTGTGGCAGGAAGGGGGAGCCCTAGGAACTTGTCCCATGGTCTGGGCAGAGGTCTCCCAGGCCACAGAGGAGAAGAGGGAGGAGGTGTGTCCTGTGTGACTCTGGCAGGAAGGATCAGGGAGCCCTCCTGAGACAGCGCTTCTGAAATTGGGCTGGCTGGAACTTTCTGTCAGAAAATAGGAATGACTGAAAAAACTCCCCTACTGTGATAGAGGCTAGAGGGTGGTAAAGAGGAAGGTGAGTTGGGGTAGCAGGAATCCTAGGTTCCACAGGCATGGTTTGCAGGTACAATACATTGTTGGTAACATGATGGCTCGGGGACAAAGAAGCCTGTCTCCAAACCGTGCAGGTGCATTGAGAGGATGTAGAAATTCTGGATTCATGTCAGGCCCGTCTGCGTTTCTGCCCTCCTCCACCCAGCATTGAGGGGAGGGCAGGGTAGAACTAAAGCGAATGTTCTTTTCAATCCCTGAATAGGGGCTTGCGTACCTCAGAGGAAGACAGAACACGCACATTTCTCTGCGTTTCTCTTTGTCTCATCTTTAGTCTCTAGGCCATTAGCCCCTGTTGCCATGGGAACTGAAGCTGAGTGTCTGATGCATTCATTGGGCTGTGGGAGAAAAGCAGAGTTGGTCCTTGAAATAAAGGCCCCTGGGAGAGGGGATTCTAGCAAGGCAGTCACATTGAAAGAATTCACAATTCCCACAGATATATTGATCCTTGTGATTATTAGTACACACACACACACACACACACACGCACACATCCCACACACCCCCACCCCATACACACACACACACACACACACACACACACACACACAGGCTTCATCCTGAACAGATACGATGTACAGAGCATCGCACTGGCTGGCCCATAGGGTTCTTGTGGGAGAGGCCAGGCCTCTGTGACCATGAAAGGGGTTGCAACTGATACAGTCAGGGAGGGATCCCAGGAAGGGGAGTGATTCCCTTAAATTTGCTTGTTGAAACCCGTATCTGGCAGGGGAAAGGAGGATCCGGTGCAGAGCTTGGATTCAGCAGAGGTGGCTGTTGATGTGACCAGTCCCCCTGTTTGGGTGGGAAGGCCCTGAATGACACATGCAGCAAGGCAAGAGTGGTCCCGTGCACCCTTTGCTCTTTCTTGGCTTATCCAGCTCCTCCCTCTGAGATAGTCCCATGGGGAGCCCCAGGTTGACCTGGGATGGGGATCCCCTCTTTCCAGGGGCAGGGTAGAGTTCTCAAAGCTGGCAGTTTTCTCCTCCTTTCCCTTTCTCCCTCGCTGCCCCTTCTTCTTGCCCCCTGCTCATCAATCACCCTTTGGTAAAGGACCTCTCCCCTTGTTCCTTTCTCTTTACTCCCTCATCCATTTCCTCTACACTCCTTTCCTCTTTCCTCTCTCTTCCTACCTCACTTCAGCCTCTGTCATCACCTCTCATCTCCCCTCTCTGCTCTCTCTCCTCCATGCCTTGTCTTTCCCTTTGTCCTCCCTCCGAGTTCCCATATCCCTCACTGCCCTTTCTCTCCCTCTTTCCTTTCTCATGTTGTCCTCCCCTGGTTTTCCCCTCATTTTGCTTTTTCCTTCTCTCTATGCCGTTCCCTCCCCTCACCCTCCCCGCCCTCCCCTCCCCTGATACTCACCCAGTGACTAATCCGCAGTTCCTTAAGTGGTACTGGGCGTAACGTGGGCTCTATGTGTTTAGCTTTCAGCCTCGGAGGGCAGTACATCCTAAAGTGAATCACCAACTTAATTATTCCTCTGCAAATTACCATCAGTGATACGAGATTCAACGACAAGGAGCTGTGAGAGCGCACAGGAAGGGAGCTCATTTCTGGGGTGGGCTCAGTGAAGAAAATGTCATTGATGATAGTCCTTGTTCTGCCATCCACCATCCTCTGCTTGCCTCTTTCTGTCACTGCCTTCCCTTTTATGTTGGGGGCAACTCTCCTCTTCTATCTTTTGCAGCAGGGTGGGACTCCTCTCATGGTGTCCTGCCCTCCACACCCCAAGGTGTGAGTTCTCATGAAGTCCAACCGGATGCCCATTTCCTGCAACCTGAGCACCCAACAGACCAAAGAGCATGAGGGGTAGTTTCAACTCGCCCGGGGACCCTTGTTCCTGCTCCCAGCTTCCCCAGGGCACCTTTGGTCATGTACTTCACTCACCCCTTCTCTTTCTCACGTTCACTTCTCACCTCTCTTCCCCCTCCCTCTTTCCTGGCTGCATCCTTTTCTCCTAAGGCTTTACCCCATAAAGACAAAGAAACTGGCTGAGGAGACAAGAGAAAGAAAGTAGCAGAAGATGGGAAGGAAACAGGTGAGTGACACTGACTTAGCTGATTAAGAGAGCTTGATCTTTTTTGAGGGTGTGGGGGGTTCTCGCTCTGTCGCCCAGGCTGGAGTTCAGTGGTATGATCATAGCTCCCTGTAGCCTCGAACTGCTGAGCTCAAGGGATCCTCCAGCCACAGCCTCCAGAGTAGCTGGGAGTACATGTTAATTTTTTTTTTATGTTTTGTTTTTTTACAGACGGAGTCTCACTTGTGTTGCCAAGAGAGCTTGAGCATCAACTGGCAGTGAGGATGGCAGGAAAGCAACTGACTTATCCCCTCTCACCAGACCTTCCAACTGTCTGCAACACTGGCATTGCCACGTATCCCGGCACGTTGTTGGTAATGGTGGGGGCTGTAAATTGCACGATTGCTCTAGAAAGTGTATTTACAAATCACTTAGACGCCCAGATCCCCTCTCAGCTCCTCGTAGCATGACAAATCGCTCTCCCCCCACTCTGGGAGATGGCGGACAAATGTACTCTCTGCAGAGCATGAACCAGCAGATTTATGGGCTTTGGAACTTCAGGCTCACTTCAAGGCATACATCCCAACCCGGCGTAGGGATTTCAGTTGCTGTCTACAGCAATCTTCAGTCCCTCACCTCCGCTGGAGTTTGGCGTCCAGATTGCTGGCATCTTGCCCCTTCTCAGAGATGCAGGAGAGTCTTCCTGTGTAATCTAAACTTCCCCAGAGAGGAGACTTAGTAATATTGGCAGGCAAAGACCTCTGGAGTTTGCTTCATTAGTAAGCTCAAAATATTTTCTTATTTCAACGTTAGTTTTTCTTAGAGCCATGGGTTACTTAGGAGGATGTTTCTTAATTTACCAACATATACGGGGGTTTGTAATGATCTTTTGTTATTAATTTCTAGATCCCATTGTGGCATTGTGGTCAGAGAATATACAAATCGCTGAAGAATCCATTGTTTATGGACATTCCTGGGATAGTATTCATTTAAATATCTCTATGTACACTGTAATGGAATATAATACAAAAATGGAGTTGCACGCAAAATGAGGGTACCACTCAGTAAATGGTTCCACAGGGACGTCTGATCCCCTACGATCTGGGTTAAGAAATGGTGTAGTGTATTGCCGGCAGCTCAAAAGCACTCTCATGCCAGTCACTCTTGTCTTCCACCTCAGCAAATCTAACCACTCTTGTGACTTTTAACACTTGACGATAATCCTGCCTGTTTGTGAACGCATTACACATGAGTAGACTCAGTACAGTACGTATTTTATAATCCGGGTTTCTCTTGGCAACATTAGGTTTTTCTCCTTGCTATTCACTTTTGTCGTGCTGTGTAGCTGAATTTCGTTTCTTTGCATTCCTGCGCAGTGTTTTGAATTGTATGACGATGCCACAATTTATTCATGCCTTTTATTTCTAATGGGCTCTTCAGTAGTTTCCAGCGCTGGAGTGTTAGTGTTATTATTGTGGTGCACGTTCACAAGGATGTCCTTTGGTTAACATGCGTATGCATTTAAGGCTGTGCTTGCAGGACTGCTTTGATTACTTTTTCTTCCTTCATGGCACTGTAAGTGGTGACAGTGGATGTATCTGGTTTTTTTTTCCCCCTGATCTCAGAGGGAAAGCTGTCAACATGTCACCCGTAAGTATCGTTGTTTTTGTAGGCTTTTAAAATATATTCCAACGGAATCAAGAGACTTCCCTTTTGTTCGTAGTTGGCTAAGAGGTTTTATCATAAGTGCATGGTCATTTAAAAAAAATCAAACCCATGAAATACCCTTCCTGCGTCTGTAGGGAATATCATATTTTTTCTCCTTCATACATTACTTCTGAGAGATAGATTTTTCAAGCGCTGAACCGCTTCATTTCTAGAATACTCTTGACTTGTTTGTGATACGTTTTCCTTTTTGGAGATTTAACTGATTTGTTTTGCTAATGCTTTATTCAAGATTTCTTCTTCTGTGCTTATGTAAAAGATAGGCCTGTGCATTTCATTTCTTACCATGCCCTTTAAGGTTTTTCCCTCATAAAACGGGATGGGAAGCATTTCCCGTTTTTTATGTTACTTGGCAAGAAGGTAAGATTGATATTCCTTCCTTCACAAACGTTTTGTAGAATTAATCGGTGGCAGCATCAGAGTCCGTAGGTTCTTGTGGCTGTTGCTGTTGTTTCCTTCAGATTCCGCCCGTTTAGAATTTGTAGGACAATTCAGATGTTTAGTCTGTTTTCTGTCATTTTGTTGTATTTTCTTGAAATGTGTAAATTATATCCAAAGTTTCACGTTTGTGGGCATAAAGTTGCTCATGGTTTTGAATAATGATCTCTTTAATGCCTTCATTGCCCATAGTGATGTCTCCTTAGCCACTCCAGACACGGGTTGCTTCATGATTTCTCTCCTTTTTGTTCAGGCCTACACAAGGCATGTCTTAATCACATCATCTTTTCAAAAAACCACCTCTGGCTGTGTTGTTTTATCTTTAACTGATTTGTACTTTTATCGTTATTTCATTTCTTCTGCTTTCTTCAGGTTTAATCTGTTGTTCAACATGGTTAAGAAAGATGCAAATGTTGTGCCTTTCTTTTTCATGCAATCTAGACAATTAAAATATATCCCATAAGATTTCATCAGGTTCAAAATACTTTGCGATTTCATTGGTGATGTTTTCCTTGAGCTATGGGTTATTTAGAAAATAGGAAATAAAAAGGATGCCTTTTCTAAAAATAAAATGAAGTGAAATAAAAAGGATGCCCTTTTATTTCATTTTCTTGCTTAATTGCCCTCTGAACTTCCGGGACTATGTTGAGAAGAAGTAGCAAAAGCGGGCATCTCTGTCTTGCTCCTGATCTTAGAGGAAAAGCTTTCACTCTTTCGCCATCGTGTACAGTGTTCACAATGAGTATTTTATATAGGACTTTTGTGACGTTGAGGTTGTTTCCTTCTGTTTCAAGGAGTTTGAGTGTTTTTATCACGAAGGGGGTTGACTTTTGTCAGATGCTTTTAGTGCATCAATTGAGCCGATCATGTGGTTTTGTCCTTCATTTTGTTGATGCCGTACACTAAATTAGTTGATTTTCATTGATCGAAACTTCCTTGCATTCCACGAATAAATCCCACGTGGTCATGGGCCTTTCATGTGTTGTTGAACTCGGTGTGCTAGACTTTTGTTGAATATGTATGCACAAACATTCTTTTGGGAAGTGTGTGTGTGTGTGTGTGTGTGTGTGCGCGCGCGTTTCTGGTCCTAGTTCTTCTCTAACTGTTTAGTAGAATTCTCCACTGAAGCCATCTAGTCCTGCGGTTTTCTCTGTTGGGAGGTTGATGAATACTGGTTAAGTCTCCTTATGAGTTGTCGAGATCTGCTGAGATTTTTTATTTCTTCAGGAGTCAGTCTTGGCAGCGTGTACGTTTCTCAGAATTTATCCATTTCTTCTAAAGTATCAAATTTGTTGGGGTATAGTTGTTCCTGGTCTTCTCCTTATAATCTTTTTTATTTCTGTAGTAACAATTGTAATGCCCCTCTGTCATTCTGATTTTAGTTATTTGACCCTTCTCTGTTTTTTTCTTAATCTGCTTAACCTATGTTGACCTTTTCAGAGACACCAGCTCTTAGTTTCATTGTTTTTTTTTTCCTATTATTTGTCTATTCTCCATTTCCTTTATTTGTGCTCTAATCTTTATTACTTCCTTCCTTCTGCTAACTTCGGGTTTACGTTGTTCTTCCTTTGCTAGTTCTCGAAACACAAAGATAGGCTGTTGATTTGAGATCTTTCTTCTTTTTCACTGTAAGGATTTACCACAATAAACTTCCCTCTTAACACTGCTTTCCCTGCATCTCCTTAGTTGTGGTATGTGGTGTTTTCATTGTCATGTGTCTCAAGATACTTTCTAATTTCCTTGTGGTCTGTTCTTTGACCCACTGGTTGTTGAAGAGAGTGTTGTAATTTCCACCTGTTTGTGACTTTTTCAATTCTCCTTCCGGTATTGCTTTCTAGTTTCATTCCATTGTGGTCAGAAAAGATAATTGGTATGATTTCAAACTTCTGAAGTTTGTGAAGATCCTAAATGTCAACAAAAAAGCTAAAGCATAAGACCTCTGGAAGAGAATTCAGGATAAAGCCTTGAAAAACTTGCTGTAGGCGAAGGACTCTTATAGCTATGACACAGAAAGCAATAGCCATGCAAAAACACCTTAAGTGAATTTCATCAAATTTAGAAATCTGGCTTTTCATCATTAGCGAAATGAAAAAGCAAACCATTCATTGCGGCAATGTTTGCAATATATACTACCCGACAATGGAAAAGTTTGCACGCAAAAAAGCACTCTTATAATTCAGTATTAAGACGACAAATGATAATCAATGTGCAAACCATGTGAATGGTTCTTCACATGCAACACGGAACGATATGCAACTGGTCAAGAGAAGAGGCTGGGCCAAGGTCACTAGTGGAGGCAGCGGCAAAGCTGGGTCAGAGATCTCAGGCAAGTCACCTCCCTTCTCTGAGTCTGTTTCCTCAAGTGCACAGTAGTAGCTCAGACGATCTTTGAGGGTGTCACGAGGTAGTGGGCAAAACGCCCTTGGCCCAGGGCCTGATGACGACAAAAACAAGGAGGAGCAGCAGGATGGATGCCCAGGAAGGAAAGCACCCAACCTGATGTCTCAGGAGGCTGGGAGGGCGGTGGCAGGCCTCAGAAACCTAGGGTGGAACCTGTCGTTCAGGGAAGCCGTGAGGGGTAGCGAATCATGCACGATGAAGGGAGATGGGGAGCGGTATGTGCACGTGGGTGCGAGGGTGGGTGTCAGGAGAGAGTGCCCAGCAGGTGGGTGTATCACCCCCAGGACACTGCAAGACCCTGGATGGCAGGGGAGGCCGACAGCAGGGCCCAGTGCACGCACCCTGGCCTCAGAGGGTCCCAGGTTCAAGTCTGTGCTCTGCCACTTCCTGGCTGTGTGACTTGGGGAGAGCATCTTCCCTCTCGGAGCCTCAGTTGGCTGAGACCATGAAATGGCCTTACTGCCCCCACCTCTCGGGCTTGGCCGAGAAACAGAAACATAGGCCCAGATGAGAAATTGTACATGAATATTCAGAACAACTTTATGCATAATGTCAATAACTGGAAACAAGTGAATGCACGAATGCTCGTCCATCGCCAGGCCTGGGGCAGGGGTGATCAGAGGGAGCAGGCCAAGCTGGGAGAAGGCTGTGAGTGCTGTCCACTGACACAGCAGGGCCTCAGAAAACACTTGCTGACATGGACTGTGGGCCTTTGCAGTGCGGGGTCTGCAGAAGGCCCCAGGCCGGGGGCAGGGGGGAAACCTGCCTAGGTCTCCTGTTTGCCATGTGAGTGAGGTGGTGGCCGTCTCCAGGGTGGCCGGTCTGACCCTTCTGCAGGACGCGCAGTCCAGTCCGCCCCCATTTCCCACCAGGGTGCTCTCACCTCCCTGCTCTCCTCCTCTCTTCCCAGGTGCTCTCAGCGCTGCCCCTACAGGGTAGGGGGAGTGGGTCCCTGGTGAGGCCCCACCGCAGCAAGGTGATGTGAAAGGGAGAGTGTCCAGCAAGCCTGGAGGCCTGAGGAGGCCGTGACCTGGCCAGCACCCCACCTCTGAGGGCTGCTTCCTGTTCCTTTCCGGTGGAACTTCCGTATCTCAAGTGCCCTCTGCACACAGTGTTCAAACTCACTCCTGTGGCTTATGGTGACTACCCCCACCCTGATCCAAGGACAGGCATGTGCCCGCTATGTGCACAAGGGTGTCCGGGGAGGTTCCAGCCAAATAGCATTAAATTTATGACGCCAGGGGTGGTGGAGTCCCAGGCATCCCTCATCTCTTCCACAGCCCAGACCACAAACCAGGAGACATAAAGGGAAGGGGACTCCATTGTGTGTGTGTGTGTGTGTGTGTTCCAGTAAAACTTTGGAACTGGATTTCTGTCAGAGTCCCAGAATGTCAGTGTGGCCAAGCATGGACCCAAGCACCAGAGAAGCAGAAATCACAGCGGCAGCCAACACGGAGACCCACCCAAAGCCTTTCTGACGGACAGCTTCTGGGGTGTGCAACCAATGCAGTCTGATGCTCACCAGGGCTCCCCATGTGGCTCCATGCTCTGCTGTTGTTGTTTTGAAATCCTTCATAGTTTTTGACAAGGAGACTCGTGTTTTCATTTTCCACTGGGCCTCCCAAATTAGGTAGCCCGGTCTGGGTCAGGATCTGGCCGTGGCGGAGATGGCAGCCCCTCCTGGGGAAACAGAGGCTGGGGCTGGGTGAGGGGGTGGGAAGCAGGGAGCCTTCCACTGCTATGTTTTCCCTCCTTATCTAGGGCTCTGTCCTCCCAAGCCCTGGACATTACCGGGGAACTCCAGAAGCCCTGGACACTGTCCCTGCCTGCCACTGAGCCCTTCCCAGGAGACCAAACTGTCTCTGCCCTCACTGTCTTGTACCTGAAGCATGTGCAGCCCTACCTCAGACCCCTCCAGACATCACCCAGCCCTTGAACACACCAGGACCTAGGTAGGCCTGGTGTTGTCCTCACTGGGAGAGCCCTGCTGCTGGGGGAGAAGGGCTGCGAAGCTCCAAACAGGCCGCCGTTCCGTCACAGGCAAGGGGCTGTGTACGCGTGCACCGTGCGTTGTTTTTATTACATCCTGCTCCCTCAGCAATCACGGCCCCTCCTTCTACCCACTGGAGGGCTGCGAACATCACTGCGGGGCCCACCTCATTGTCCGTCAGACTCTGTACCGAGGACGGGGTCCTGAACTGTGTGGATGATGAGCCAAGGGTTCCGGAACATCATCTCCAAGGAGGGGGTGTGGGAGGTGGGTCCTGGTGAGAGCCTTGGACCCTGTCCCTCGGCGGGAGGGGCAGTGGCACCAAGCTGCAATTTTCCACCCCGCCCCTGCTGTGGCCCCGACTCTTGCCATGTCCCTGGGGCTGCTGAGCAAGGTTTGTAGAAAATCACATAACGATGAGCACTGGGGCCTCTCCAAACTCCTGCTCACGCACTCAGGCGTAACCAACCTCCGCACCTCCCAGCATCCCACCTGTCCCTGTGGGCCTTTTTGGCAGAGGTGGGGCCCACCTACCCCAGAGAGCCTGAAGAAGTTTCCTTGCTACAAGCCCAAGCGTGGCCAGGTATAGCAATGGGTGTGCAGGTAAAGGAAGAAACATCCAAATTAATTTTGCAACTTTAATGTAACACTGATACCCAAAACATGAAAACACAAGGAAAAGCACAAAATGAAAGCAGGAAGAGCAAAGAGAGCTTCATCTTGCATGCCACCTCCGACTGACAGGAAGAAGCCGCCTAGGGTGCTGTGTCGAGAAGGAATCTGAGAGGAGGCGCTCTGGCTTGGCCAGTAAGATCGCTGCAGTTCGTCAACGGTGCCTATAAAAGCACAAGAAACCAAAGTGACAACATCCGTGGACACACGCGAACCAGGGAGGGGTGTACGTAACAAAATAAGTGTCCGTCCATGCTGTTGCCGTTGCCCCCAGCGCCCCCACCCTGGCCCTCCCTCTGACATCTCACCCCCCTCCGCAGCCCTCCTGCAGAGTCTCATTTCTCTACCGAAACTCTTACTGGATCCAGGAGAAGAAGCTGGCGCCAGCTCTGGCAGCATTTCTGGTCCGGATGGTGGAGCTGGTGCTGGGGCCATCTAGGACGCTGGTGCTGGCCCCTCCATTGGTGCCACTGCTGACGCCAGCTCTCCACGTGGCCCTCCTGTTGGCACGGTTGCTATTCAGAATGTACTGATGGTATCTGGCCCAGAAAGCAAAGGGGATCCTGGCCCAGGCATCGCCAAAATCTCCGTCCTCATCCCAGGTCAGGAGCTCGACTTGTATGTCATCCCAGCTCCACCGTCCAATCAGCGCTTCATCCCCGATATTCATCTGGGCCCTCATCTGGGCCCTGGCATGTTCCTCGGCCATATCCACATCCATTGTCTTGAAAGCATCATCCACAGCCTCCAAGAAATGAGCCTTCCATTCCCGGGGGTCTCGGTTCTGATTCTGAGGAGGAAAAGGGCAGGCATAGACACAGAGCTACCCCACACTGGCTGAGCACCCGCGGCCCGCCTCACCCCCTCCCGTGTGCTTTGTGCAATGATGGCAAAAATCAGGACCACAGGGATTGGGGGCTCCTACTCTCCTGTGCCAGACCTGGGATTTTGCCCCATCTGTGACCTTGTGTAGGGTGCTCAGGTGCCTCTGTGAGTGTTTGGTACCCTCACTGGAATACGGGGTAATGGGAAGGAGGCCTCGACCAAGAAACAAGCAAGGTGTGGAGAGCACCACCCCCGGTGCCGGGCACCCAACAGAGGCGCTCCCTTACCTGGGCGATGAATCTCAGGACCCTCATCTTGCTGGTCTCATGGCGGGCTCGCAGGCCCCAGAGGAATTCATACTCAGGTGGGTTGCTGTTGGGGATCTTCTTGTATTCCAGGTACCTTGGCATGAGAGGAAAGTAAACTTTGCTGCTAGCCAAGCAGACCTGTTGCTGAACGGATGGGTTCCAGGGGGCCCCTCCTCAACCCGATGCCGCAGCTCAGCTCCTGGAAGAGGACTGTCCTGCCCCTCCAGCCCTTCACTCATTCCCAAACCCACTCCCAGGACTTCTGCCTGCAAAAGTGAGGCCTTCAAAGCCTTTTGCCATTGGTCCTCCCCGGAAGCCATGCGGAGGTGCAGGGGGTCCACATGTAGGGCATTTGTCTGTAGGGAGGCCACAAGTTTGTGCCCCTCATCACGATGACCCCAGCTTCCTGTTGGGTGTGTTGTAAACAGAGGAGCCATTCTTCAGGCCCCCTGCTCTGAGCACACCCCACCTCGAGGGTCTTGGCCACACCCCGGCGGAGCCCTGGAGAGGCCCACCAGAGGAAACGACTGGAGAGGAAGAAACAGTCAGCCAGGAGAAGCGTGCTCCAGGCATCCTCCTCAAGTCCTGACCCTTTGTTGGTGTGCATGCGCGCCTGTGCGTTGGCAAGTCCTCCAGGGACGGGGAGAGGGTGGCCCCTGGCCTGAAAATCAGGAGAGTTGGGCTGAGGCCCTTACCAGCTGGGAGCCATGCTCAGAGGCGTCTCCTCTCTGAGCTCCGGGTTCCTTAGGTGTAAACCAGGGGGAACTCTTGTGTCAGTCTACAGGGCAGGTGCTCAAGGTGATGGCGGCCGTTTTCACACCCCACACCGTGTTCTCAGGTGACGTGAGCTCCCTTTTCCCAAGACCGCCCTGGCCTTCGGCTCCCCACACACTCGCATACCCCCCACTGCCACTCACTCCCAGGTCAGAGGCACCCATCCCTCCAGTTGAAGATTTGGGATAGGGAACTGCTTTCTCAGCCAGACCAGCACACAAAGGATGCTCGAGTGAGAGCCGCAGTTAGCTCAGGTGATACTTACTTCTGCTTCACAAAGTCATCTGTGATGAGCTTCCTCAGATCGCCGAGGAATGGGTGCCTCACCCTGAGGGCAAGGAAAGGAATCCATGAGCAGAGACGGTGGCAGGGGCCCTCCCTAGCATGACTATGACTTCCCAGCCCCCGGGGAGTCGCTGTGGAGGCCTGGGCATGCAGCAGAGGCCAGAGGACTGTTGGTCAGGGACGCCCCAGGTAGGGATTTGATGGAATCCCTGACTCTGACTGTCTCTCTTAGATGTCATCTGGGGCCACAGAGCAGAGAGAGGGCTGAGCAGCGTCCAGCACCGCTTCCCCATCCGCCCTGGTGAGATCCTTTGCTCTCTACCGAGCCCAGGGCACCCCACGCCCTTGCGCCAGACCACCAGGCTATTGCAATCCCAGGACCTCTTTGGCCAGAGGATAGCACCGAGGGGAGGAGCTGGAGAGGCCAATCATACCCAGGGCGCAGTCCCATCTTGCGTAGTGCCTCCCAGAGGACAGCTGCGAGGGGAGAGGAGGTACGAGAGTTTGGCACCCAGAAGATGAGACTATGGGCAGCCCCCCAGTTGCAGGTCCAGCCACTCACCCTCGCTGGCACGGTTGCCATTCATGAAGATGACGCCCAGAATCACCAAGAGGAGACTCAGCCTGGGAGTGTCCTTGGTTCTAAAGGTGTGGAAAGAGAAATCCTGTTTAGCAGCTATTTGCCTGAGAGACACCACCAGGCTCTCCCAACTAGCCTCTCTCAGGTTTCCCAGCTTGAGGGGAACTCTTCCCAGGACAGGCACAGTTCACTAGCTGCTGACAGACCATTCGCACCTCCGCCTGAGACTTAATCGCCTCCTCTATAAAACATGGGTACTAACACTTCCCTGACAGGGTTCTGCAGAGGACAGGGCGAGGCAGGGAGCCGAAGCTCTGCAAATGGCAAACGTGTGCCCAGAGATGGCTCCAGACCTTTCCTGCCCCTTCCACATCAGCACCTACACTGAAGAGGCAGCTCTCCCCTAGGCCAGCTCTGCCAGGCCCAGGCCAGGCAGGCAGGAGGAAGAGGCACTTTCCTCCGAAGCTTTGGGGATAAAGCCCGGCAGCAGCTTGGGGAGAACTGATGGCAGCAAGGCCTCACCCCAGGCTATCATTCCTTTCATCCAGCAGTCACCAGGCAGCCCTCGCTGTGTGTGGGAGCGGTGCGCCGCACTCAAGCCCCGTCTTCCTGCTTCACTGAAGGGGTGTGGGCAGGGAAGGGACACCACCGAGGAAGGCCACGACCCGCTTTCCCTTTCTTACTTTCCAAGGAGGCGAGCTGAGGAGTCCCGTGTGCAGACAAGAATATACAGGTGTTCTTCCTTGTCGATCTCCTTCAGGTGGATCCCAAACTTCTACGTGGGGGAGAAAACAGAGTGTGAGATCCAAACCCCATGCTGGGCATCCTGCCGGCAGACAGTGATTCCGGGTTAGAACTGCTCCTCAGCAAGGAATCCAAACTCGTGAGCGAGGGCAGAAGAAGACAGCACACGGAAGACCTTCGCTGTGGGAGCTGACGCTGGCAGAGGCGATGAGACCCACCTGGCCAGACGGCGAGACACTCAGAGAGCATGAGAGAGAGAAGCCGAGGGCAGGAAGCACGAGTCAAACTGCCAGTGCAGTGGAAGCTCAGAGTCGGAGAGGTGAGAGATGGCTCCAGAGACTGGGCCTTGAGGGGCTGCAGGGTCACCGCACCCCCATGCCCGCTCTTCCCCCACAGAGCTGCTCCCATCCTGCACCCACCTTTTCCAGGGTGTACGTTGCTCGTTCAATGATCTCAGGGAAATGTTCATCATATTCTCTGATGACATCCTTCAGCATGTCTGCAGGAGGGGGAAGAGTTGGAGAAAGCACCTGGGCTGAGCAGGGGTCATAGAGCTGTAGCCCCTTGGTCAGCTCTGCCGAGGGTGACGCAGCCAGGACCCCGTCCTGTGGCTATGGAGGGACCAGCCGTGGCACGCAAGCAAAGGGATGCCCACAGACTAGGGGATGGTGAAGGGGGCACAGGCTGCCTACCTGCGCGCTTGATGGGGATCTTCTTGTAGTCCTTAATCATCAGGTATTTCACCAACTTATTTGCCTGGAGAAGGAGGAACATGCGGGGAGGTCAAGGCATGGGTGACAGCAGAGACGTGGCCCACAAGGGAGGAGAGGAAGGAGATGGGGGAGGGTGGGCTTCTTACCCTCTCCTGCAGAAGGGTCACGTTGCGGGGGGGCAGGCACAGTACGTGCCTTGAGGGTATCTGGGACCTCGGGGCCATCGGGGGCCGAGGGGCCAACTGAGCCCGCACCGTCAATGAGGGCTGTGATGCTCTCCAGGTGGGTGGGACCGCGGGAGTCTCTCTCTCCTCCTCGCTGCTCTCATACTCATCATCCAGGTGCTTGGACTGTATCATTTGAGAGAGGAGAGACCCAGGGCTACCAGGCTCCCCGTGCCAAAGCACCCGGCACGCACCTCACCCGTAGCAGGCTCTTGGAAATGAGAGCAGTACCAGCAGCGGCTGGCATGTGCTGCGTGCTTACTAAGTGCCAGGCACTGAGCCAGCCTCTTCTCCCACCAGTCCTGAGGGTAGGGACTACGTGGAGTGAAAACATGCTCAGCAAACTTGTGTTGGAGAAACATGGACTAGCTGAGAGGAGAGGAGGGGAGGAGAGGGGAGGTGAGGAGAGAAGGAGGGGAAAGAGGAGAAGAGAGGAAGAAGGGGGAGAGGAGAGGGAGGAGAGGAGCAGGAAAGGGAGGAGAAGGAAAGGACAGGAGCAAGGGGGTGTGGAGGTGGCAGGGGGCAGGGGGATCTCACCTTCTTGGTCCTCTTGCCTCCCATCCTGGCCCAGGGCTCAGCACTGTGCTGAGCAGTGGCAGCAGCTGCACCCTCCGGCTCAGGGATGCTCGTGGCCATCTTGGCCTTGGCAGCAGCTGCTGCCACAACATTCTGAGGCTCCACCCACCGAGTCTTGGCCAGCGCCTTCCCCGACTTGGTGGTCTTGGGCCGGGTGGCTGCCACCTCCCTGCCAGGTCCCGTCTGGGGCACACCAGAGGCAGCACTGGGGCCCTCTGTGGCAGCCTCTTGGGCTGGGGCAGGTCTCTTGGGGCGCGGGAAGGCCATGCCACTGACACCTGCCGGCTGAGTGAAATCGAAGACATCATTCTGGCCCAGGAAGGCTGTGCTGGGCCGGTTGGCGTCCACCTCCCTGGCACACGGAGCCTGAGAGAAAGCACAGGCGCTACTAGGGCCCTCAGTAGCAGCCTCCTGGGCCGGGGAGCCTGTCTGGGACTGTGCGGAGGTTGCCGGAGCCTCGGGGGCAGCCATCTTACTGGTGACTAACATCTGGGAGGTCTGCGGAGAAGCAAGGGGTGGCTCAGGGGTGGGCCCCTGAGCCTCGGCGGCGTAGGTCGTGGGCTGGGTATCCTCTCCTGAGACCTGCGGCGTGGCCACCCGGTGGCTAGCGACCACCTGACTGAAGGCGGTACGGGCAGCGGCGGCAGCGGCCCGAGCCGCACGGTTGGAGGCGGCGGCGCGGGCTACGTTGGCAGCACGGGCGGCCGTCTCATTGGCAAGTGTTTCCGGATCCAGCTGCAATGCCTCCACCAGGGTCTGGGCCAGCACAGGGTTTTCCAGTTCCCAGGGCTCATTCTGCAAGGCCAGAGAGAGGGGTTGGGGAAGGCAGGCCACTCGACGACATACTTGTGTTAGCTTCCCTGTGCTGGCCAGCCTCTTCCCAGCAGTCAGCCCTGAACACCCCAAGACCTTCCCAAATCTTCTTCTTCCGAGCAGGGGAGGGAAGGCTTGGGAAGCTGGGCAGTCCTTTCCCACACAACCCTCCTGGCTCCCCCCTCCTCCCTCCCCCATTCACAGGGGAAAGGCCCAGGCCAGCAGGTGTCCAGGAAGGGGCCTCACCGATAAGATGCGAAGGCCTGGACCCAAGCTTCCGAAGGCTCTGAGGATATGGATGTCAAAGCTGGTGAGGGTGCCATAGCCACCAAACGCACCGAATTCTTCATAGTCGTTGCCTTCAACCATCTCTTCCTCCCCGACTTCGTCGCTACCCTCATCCATGTCTTCAACACTGTAGCTTTCCGATTGCACGCTGAAGCTTCCCTCAGCCATGCTGCGGGTCCCAGGGAGATGAGAGCTCAGCCTGAGAGGGAGGGTGAAGCAGCTGCAGGGGGAGGGGGCGGGATCCAATGGGAGGCGGGATCTCCCGGGAGGTGAGGGGCGACAATCATCAGGTTACTAGGCAATATTAGGCAGTAGGGGGCGGGGGGGGGGAGGAGGAGCGGGGGGGAGACGGTTTGGCTTTCTGATGGGGTAGACCTGGTCAGGGACAGAGCCCAAGGAAAGGGACAGAGGAGGTCGCAGGAGGCGCCGCACTGAAAGCGGAGTTTAGGATGGGCAGGCTCGCCATCCCAGCGGCTAGATTTGACGAGGGGGTGTTCTGGAGGGCTGGGGTCCGAAGAGTCCCAAAGGGAATGCATTGGGGAAGAGAGAAACAAAGGGTTTGGATTTACGGGCCAGAGAAGGGGACCGGGATGAAGGGGGAGCAGATGGGAGAGCTCAGACAACAGGGACAGTGGCAAGCCGCAAGCTCTGCGAAACAGAACCCCAGGGACCTTTGGCTAGGTCCGGGCGGGGGGCCTAGGTGGGGCTCAGACTCGAGCACTAGAGGCGGATGGAGTGGGGGCCTCAGACCTAGGTGAGGCTCCAATCGGAGCGCTGCAGATCTCAAACGCGAGGACTGGGCACTCCAGGAAGGGGGCAAGCGGTCAGCTCGGTTCGAGTAATCTAGGAGTGGTTGGGGTGGGGGTGGGGCCTCAGGTCCAAGGGAGCTCAGCTCGGAGCACACGGGTCTGCTAAAGGGGTGAGGATCCTGGGCTCCGGTTTCAGTAGGGCTCAGATCGGGGCGCCTGGGTCTGATGGTGATGGGGGCTCCTATCTAGACCTTGGGTCTAATGGGGTTCCGGTTCTGAGTGCTTGGGCTTTGTTCAGATCCGGAGGCGGAGGGAGGGCGCAGCGTGTCGGGTTCCACTCGCCCTCTCCCGGTCCTGTCTGGGGCTGGATCCTTACCTTCTCGGGAACTCCAATGGCGTCCGTCCTCAGCACCAGGAACCCCGCAGCCGCGCCCTCGCCTACTGCTGCCAGCACAGCAGCCCGGACCACCCCGCCCCTTTTCTCCGTGCACCCCCCGCGGCTGGGTAGCCTGCGCATGCGCGGACCCCTCCAGCCCGCCCGCTTTCCCAACAAAAGCCCTTTCCTCCAGGTCTCCAGTGCGCATGCGATTCCGCGGGTGGGTGGGCGGTGGGGTCGAAGGTAGGGTGCGGGGGGCTCTTCCCGCCAGATCCACTTCACCTCTCCTCCTCCTCCTCCTCCTACCGCGGGCGCGCACACTCATACCCTGCAGTGCAGCTCGACCCACCCAATCATCTCTTCTCAGTCCCCCCACTTTTGCACAATGCTTCTCTGTCCTGCCCTGCCCTTTCACCCAAACTCCTCCAGCCTGGTCTGGGATACACTATGCCCCGTTTCCCCGGCAAGACCCCTTAGGTCACAATTAGTGAGGTCTCACAATTAATAAGCTGGGTCTCTAACTGCAACAAGTGGAAATCCTCAACCTGCGGGGCTACGAAATGGACATGGCCAGAGGATGGCACTTCGCTTTGTGTGCTTCTCCACTAGCCAACTCTCTGGCCCCCAGACATACTGGGAACATCTGCTTCCTCAGCTACCCTTTATGCAGCTTGTATGTCACAGAGGGATCTGTGCTGGGGCTTTTCTTCCTCTCACAGCAGCGCTGGGAAGTGGATGTCAGCATCCCCATTTGGCGTGTCAGGAAGCTGAGGCACAGACACATTGCATGAACTAGACCACAGAGCCAGGAAACAGAAAATGCAAAATTTGAACCTGGGTCTTCCGGACTCCAAAGTCCACCTCCTGCTCCTGCTGGCCTGGGGACAGAGGCACCGCCTCCTCCGTCTGAGTGACAGGCCTCCCCCACCCCAACATCTGTCCCAAAGAAGCAAGGTTTGTGCTGTAGAAGGCCTAAGTTCATGCTCCGCATTCAGGACACAGGGAGACAGAGCCTCCCCCCGCCTCGCCCCCAGCCTCTGCGGCTCTATGTGGGTCCATCCAGGTATGAGAATTGCTCCACCGGGTCCACTCTCTACTCAGATTGTCAGGCCTCTTCCTTATCAGCGATACAATCACGCTGCCGCTGAGACCCTCCTGGTGTCCGCCAGGACAATTAGACACCTGTGTGTCTGAGCTAATTACTCCACAATCTACAAGCCCAGTTCAAACTTCACTTTTGAGGTCCAAGTGCATAGTACATTCACCTGCCTACGTGACATCTCCACTTGGATGTCTTTTGAGGCAGAAAATGCTGTGGTCTCATCTGCAGTCGAACCTGGACTGTTTGTAAAATTCGTAGTAGATTTTTATATTTGTTTTTATGTCAGCCTCACCAGGACCCCTGTGTATGAATGGAAGGTATTGCTAGGACAGCAGCTTTTACTCTCCGCTGACCAGTATCCATTCTGCCTGGCTCTGTGGTTTTCTCCAGCTGTTATATATCAATCTCTCCTGTCAGCTGCTTGTGCCTCTTTAGCCCTTCCCCTGTAACATATCCTCTGCGGGAGAGGAACACACCCTACAAACGAAAGCCTTCAGAAAGTGCTACGTGCTAATCACTCCAAAAAATCTACAACCCCAGTCTGAACTTCACTTTTGAGGTCCAAGTACATACATTCACCCACCTACGTGGCATCTCCACTTGGAAGTCTCAAGGGCTCTTCATGGTTTGCCTGTCCAAAACTGGTCACTTGGTATACTCACTCCTCCCATACACTCACACATCCCCATCGCTCCTGTTCCCCCCCCCCCCAACCCATCTTCACAGTCTCAGTAAATGGCGCCATTATCCACACAACCACTCACTCCAGAAACTGGGAGTCATCGATCACCACTCCCCGTTTCTGATACGCTGCATCCAGAAGGGCAAGCTCTGAAGGGTCTCCAGAGCTGCCTCTCTGTGCAGCTGTCTTCTCTCCATTACTCCCGGCAAATTCTGGTCCTATGGACCTCTTGAGCTCTCAACTCTGTCTCCTTCACTCAGACGGTCCACCGGGCTCTGTTGTGTTCAGCTCCCCTGTGCTGCAGCCTGCAAACTCTATCCGGGCAAGAAGTTGGTGGAATTGGGCGATCAGAGGGCTCACCTGGTCAGGTTCCCTTTCTCTCAGGGATCACTGTCCCGTATGCAGGTGGTGCCATGACGTTAAGCCTTATAATTTTTTTGGTTTATAGGTATTTAGGCGAGACGGTAAGTCCGGTTCCTGTTAATCCATCATGGCTGGAAATACAAGTATCCACCGGATTTCTTAATTTTCTTTTCACTGAGCCCTGTGCTTTCAGGAGGCCTCCACGTTGCCACGCATAATCTAAAGTATGTCCAAGGTGCTATGCACAGAGAATCCATGGTGTGCATTCCTGACATTTTACCTATCTGCTCGCCCAGAGATTTACCCTTTCTCCTAAGTAACTAGAAAATCAGAAGAAAACCATAAGAAACATTTAGATGTCCAAAGAGAAGAATGACAGCACATTTCTCATTAGCAATATGCAAGTCAGAAGTCATGTGGCACACCATCTTTAAAATCGTGAAATAAAAATAAATGTCAACTCTTAAGTCTATACTCAATGAATATCTTTTCAAATGAAGTTAAAATAGTAGGTGTTTAGACATACAGAAGTTGAAAGAATTGATCATCAATAGACTTGCACTGTAATATTTTTTAAAACTTTTATGTTTGGGGGTACATGTGAAGGTTTGTTACATAGATAAACACGTGTCACGGGGGTTCGTTGCACACATGACTACATCACCCAGGTATTGAACTCACTATCCAAGAGTTATCTCTTTTCTGCTCCTCTCCGTCATCCCACCCTCCCCCTTAAGGAGACCCCAGTGTCTGTTGTTTCCTTCTTTGTGTTCATAAGTTCTTATCATTTAGCTCCCAATTCTAAGTGAGAACATGTGGGATTTGCTTTTCTGTTCCTGCGTTAGTTTGCTGAGCTTATAGCCTCCAGCTCCATGCCTGTTCCCACAAAAGACACGGCCTTGTTCTTCTTTATGGCTGCATAATATTCCATGGTGTATATGCACCACATTTTCCGTATCCAGTCTGTCATTGATGGGCATTTATGTTGATTCCACGTTTTTGCTCTTGTGAACAGTGCTGCAGTGAATAGTCCAGGTGCATGTGTCTTTATGGTAGAATGCTTTATATTCCTCTGGCTCTATACCCAGTAATGGGATTGCTGGGTCAAATGGTAGTTCTGCTTTTAGCTCTTTGAGGAATTGCGATACTGCTTTCCACAATGGTTGAGCTAATGTACACTCCCGCCAACCGTGTATATGGGTTTCCTTTTCTTGGCAACCTCGCCAGCATCTGCTATTTTTTGTTTTTAGTAACAGCCATTCTGACTGTTATGGGATGGTATCTCATTGTGGTTTTGATTTGCATTTCTCTAATGATCAGTGATATTGAGCTGTTTTTCATATACTTCTTGGCTACATGTATGTCTTCTTTTGAGAAGTGTCTGTTCATGTCATTTGCCCCCTTATTAATGGGGTTGTTTGTTTTTCTCTTGTGCATTTGTTTAGGCTTTTTATAGATGCTGGATATCAGACCTCTGTTAGATGAATAGTGTTGCAAAAATTTTCTCCCACTTTGTAGGTTGTCTGTTTACTCTGTTGATAGTTTCTTTTGCTGTGCAGAAGCTCTAAGTTTAATTAGATCCCATGTGTCAATTTTTACTCTTGCTGTGATTGCTTTTGGTGCCTCTGTCGTGAGATCTTTGCCTGCTCCTATGTCCAGGATGGTATTGCCTAGGTTGTCTTCCAGGGTTTTTATGGTGTTGGGTTTTACATTAAAGCCTTTAATCCATCTCATGTGGATTTTTGTAGATAGTGTAAGGAAGGGGTCCAGCTTCAATCCTCTGCATACGGCTAGCCAGTTATCACAGCACCATTGATAGAATATGGAGTCTTTTTCCCACCGCTTGTTTTTGTCAGCTTTGTCAAAAAAAAAAAAAAAGAAAAAAGCTGGTTGTAGATGTGCGACATTATTTATGGCCTCTCTATTCTGTTCCATTGGTCTATGTGCCTGTTTTTGTGCCAGTACCAGTACCATGCTGTTTTGGTCATTGTAGCCTTGCAGTATAGTTCTTTTAGCTTACGATTGCCTTGGCTATCCGGGCTCCTTTTCTGGTTCCATGTACATTTTTAAATAATTGTTTCTAGCTCTGTGAAGAATGTCCTTGGTAGTTCGATGGGAATAGCATTGAATCTATAAATTGCTTTAGGCAGTGTAGCCACTTTAATGATATTGGTTCTTCCTATCCATGAGCATGGGATGTTTTTCCATATGTTCATGTCTGCTCTGATTTCTTTGAGCAGTGTTTTGTAATTCTCATTGTGGAGATCTTTCACCTTCCTGGTTAGCTGTATTCCTAGGTGTTTTATTTTTGTGTGTGTGGCAATTGGGAATGGGATTGCCTTTCTGATTTGGCTCTCAGTTTGGTTGGTGGTGGTGTATAGGAATGCTAGTGATCTTTGTACATTGATTGTGTATCCTACAACTTCGCTCAAGTCGTTTATCAGCTGAAGGAGCTTTTTGGCCAAGACTATGGGGTTTTCTAGATATAGAATCATGTCATCTGCAAACAGAGGTGGTTTGGCTTCCTTTCTTCCTATTTGGATACACTTTATTTATTTCTCTTGCCTGGTCGCCCTGACCAGGTCTTCCAGTACAATGTTGAGTAGGAGTAATGAGAGAGGGCAACCTTGTCTTGTGCCGGTTTACAAGGAGAATGCGTCCAGCTTTTGCCCATTCAGTATGATATTGGCGTGGGTTTGTCACAGATGGATTTTCATTATTTTGAGGTATGTTCCTTCAATATTGAGTTTATCGAGAGTTTTTACCATGAAGAGATGTTAACTTTTATCAAAAGCCTTTTCTGCATCTATTGAGATCACCATACGTTTTTTGTCTTTAGATCTGTGTATATGATGAATCACATTTATTGATTTCCGTATGTTGAACCAAACTTGCATCCCGGGGATGGAGCCTACTTGATCGTGGTGGATTAGCTTTTTGATGTGCAGCTAGGTTCGGATTGCCAGTATTTTGTTGAGGATTTTCGCATCGATGTTCATCAAGGATATTGGCCTGAAGTTTTCTTTTGTTGTGTGTGTGTCTCTGCCAGATTTTGGTATCAAAATGATGCTGGCCTCATAGAATGAGTTGGGGAGAAGTCCCTCCTCCTCAGTTTTTGTTTTTTTTTTTTTTTTTGGAATAGTTTCTGTAGGAATAGCACCAGCTCTTCTTTGTACATCTGGTAGAATTAGCTGTGAATTCCTCGGGTCCTTTTTTCTTGTTGTTGTTGTAGTTGTTTTGTTGTTGTTCTTGTTGTTAGGCTATTTATTACTGAATCAATTTCAGAGCTCATTATTGGTGTGTTCAGGAACCAATTTCTTCCTGGCTCCATCTTGGGAGGGTGTATTTGATTGATTTGGGAGGAATTTATTGATTTCTTGTAGGTTTTCTAGTTTGTGTCTATACAGGTGTTCATAACAGTCTCTGGGGTTTTTCGGTACTTCTCTGGGGTTGGTGGTAATGTCCACTGTGTCATTTCTGAGTGTGTTTATTAGGATCTTCTCTCTTTTTTTTAAAAATTAGTCTAGATAGGGGTTTATCAGTCTTATTTTTTCTTTCAAATAACCAACACCTGGTTTCATTGATCTTTTGTATGGTTTTTTGCAACTTAAATTCATTCAGTTAAGTTCTGATTTTTGTTACTTCTTGTTTTCTGCTAGCTTTGGGGTTGGCTTGCTCTTGTTTTTCTGGTTCCTCTAGGTATGATGTTAGATTATTAATTTGAGATCTTTCTAAGTTTTTGACATGGGCATTTTGCACTAAAAACTTTCCTCTTAACACTGCTTTAGCAGTGTCCCAGAGATTCTGGTATGTGGTAGCTTTGTTTTCATTAATCTCAAAGAATTTCTTGATTTCTGCCTTAATTTCATTGTTTACCCAAAAGTCACTCAGGAGCAGTTTGTTTAATATCCTTGTTATTGTATGGTTTTAAATGATCTTCTTAGTATTGATTTCTGTTTTTATTGTATTGTGGTCTGAGAGGGTGGTTGGTAATTTTTCGGTTTGTTTTTATTTTGCTGAAAATTGATTTATGGCCAATTGTGTGCTCAGTTTTACAGTATGTTTCATGTGCAGATGAGAAGAATGTAGATACTGTTGTTTTGGGGTGTAGAGTCCTGTAGAATAGTCTGTTCAGTCTATGTGGTCAAGCATACTGTTCAGATCCCGGATAACTTTGTTAGTTTTCTGCCTGATGATCTGTCTAATACTGTCAGTGGGGTGTTGAAGTCTCCCACCATTATTTTGTGGTTATCTAAGACCCTCTGTCAGTCTCTAAGAACTTGTTTTATGAATCTGAATGATCCTGTTGTTAGGTGCCAGTGCTCCTATTGTTGGGTGCATATATATTTAGGATTGCTAAGCCTTCTTGTTGAATTGAACCCTTTACCCTTATGTAATGCCCTCTTTGAGGAAATTACAACTTTCTTCATCTTTTTGGTTTTGGCAAAGATTTTCAAAATGAGACACCCAAACCACAAACTATAAAAGAAGAAAAATTAATACATTTGATTCCACCACAATTAAAGTTTTTGGCCTTTAAAAGGCATTCTTTTGAAATTGAAAGAGAAATCCACACTCTGTGATAAAATATTTAGAATTCATATATCTATATCCAACACAGGACACTTCTAGACTATAAAGAAGTCTTATAACTCAATTATAAGAAGGCAAATACTCAACTATAAATATGGAGAAAAGACTTCAACAGACTACCTCACCAAAGAAGATACACAGATGGCTAACAACCACACAAAAAGATACCATCATTTATCATTCAGGAAATGCAGATTAAAATCAAATTTAAATACTGTCGTAGATACATGAGCATGATTGAAATTAAAATAACTGATTATACCCAGTGCTAGCAATGATGTGGAACTTCTGAATGATGGAAACACTTCGGAAATTGGTTTGGTAGTCGCTTACCCAGTTAAATATTCACCTCCCATAAACCAGCCATTCCACTCCAAGACATACACAGGAGAAAAGAAAATATATTTTCATATGATTACTTGTTTATGAATATTCATAGCAAATTTATTTGTAATAGCCAAAAGCCTGAAGACAACCCAAGTGTCCATCAACAGGGAGATGAATTATGAAATTGTGCTATGTCCATACAACGGAATACTACAGCGCATTAAAAAGAAATGAATTGTTGATACTTATGACAACATAAACGCATCTGAAAATATGCTCTCTGAAAGAAGCTAAACCAAAAAAAAAGGGTGCAGGGAGTAAGATTACGTTTATTAAAATTCTGGAATTTCAAAGGAGCCCGAGGATATATTTTTGTTTGTAATACAGGTGTTCATTATCATTACTATAATGATTGTTTCACAGGTGTGATACCAAAACTTATTAGATCATATATGTTAAATATGCTCAGTCTAACATATGTCGATTATAATTAATAAAGATGTAAAGAAGCCGGGCGTGGTGGCTCACGCCTGTTATCCCAGCACTTTGTGGGGGCGAGGCAGGAAGATCGCTTGAGGCCAGGAGTTGAAGATCAACCTCACCAACATAGTGAGCCCCAGTCACTATAAAAAATTTAAAAATTAGCCAGGTGTGATGGGGCATGCCTCCAGTCCCAGCCACTTGGGAGACTGAGGCAGGAGTATCACTTGAGCCAAGGAGTTCCGGGCTGCAGTAAGCTAAGAAGATGCCACTGCACTGCAGCTGGGGTGACAGAGTGAGACCCTATCTCGAAAAAAATAAAAAATAGACACAGTATGGGATATCCCTATCTATCTATATATCATATTATATAATATGCATAATGATATATCTAAAAATAATCTTACGTAAAACAAGAACACATGTCACACATTATGTGTTTTTGCTTTTTTTAATTTTCAAAAATAGCTAGCCTCTACAAAGCTCTCTTATAATTATTATTATTATACTTTAAGTTCTAGGGTACCTGTGCACAATGTGCAGGTTTGTTACATATGTATACATGTGCCATGTTGGTGTGCTGCACCCATTAACTCGTCATTTACATTAGGTATATCTCCTAATGCTATCCCTCCCCCCTCCCCTCACCCCATGACAGGCCCCGCTGTGTGATGTTCCCCTTCCTGTGTCCAAGTGTTCTCATTGTTCAATTCCCACCTATGAGTGAAAACATGCGGTGTTTGTTTTTTTGTCCTTGTGATAGTTTGCTGAGAATGATGGTTTCCAGCGTCATCCATGTCCCTACAAAGGACATGAACTCATCATTTTTTATAGCTGCATAGTATTCCATGGTGTATATGTGCCACATTTTCTTAATCCAATCTATCATTGATGGACATTTGGGTTGGTTCCAAGTCTTTGCTATTGTGAATAGTGCCGCAATAAACATACATGTGCATGTGTCTTTATAGCAACATGATTTATAATCCTTTGAGTATATACCCAGTAATGGGATGGCTGGGTCAAATGGTATTTCTAGTTCTAGATCCTTGAGGAATTGCCACACTGACTTCCACAATGGTTGAACTAGTTTACAGTCCCACCAACTGTGTAAAAGTGTTCCTATTTCTCCACATCCTCTCCAGCACCTGTTGTTTCCTGACTTTTTAATGATCGCCATTCTAACAGGTATGAGATGGTAACTCATTGTGGTTTTGATTTGCATTTCTCTGATGGGCAGTGACGATGAGCATTTCTTCATGTGTTTTTTGGCTGCACAAATGTCTTCTCTTGAGAAGTGTCTGTTCATACCCTTTGCCCATTTTTTGATGGAGTTGTTTGTTTTTTTCTTGTAAGTTTGTTTGAGTTCTTTGTAGATTCTTGATATTAGGCCTTTGTCAGATGAGTACATTGCAAAAATTTTCTCCCATTCTGTAGGTTGCCTGTTCACTCTGATTGTAGTTTCTTTTGCTGTGCAGAAGCTCTTTAGTTTAATTAGATGCCATTTGTCAGTTTTGGCTTTTGTTGCCATTGCTTTTGGTGTTTTAGACATAAAGTCTTTGCCCATGCCTGTGTCCTGAATGGTATTGCTTAGGTTTTCTTCTAGGGTTTTTATGGTTTTAGGTCTAACATGTAAGTCTTTCATCCATCTTGAATTAATTTTTGTATAAGGTGTAAGGAAGGGATCCAGTTTCAGCTTTCTACATATGGCTAGCCAGTTTTCCCAGCACCATTTATTAAATAGGGAATCCTTTCCCCATTGCTTGTTTTTGTCAAGTTTGTCAAAGATCAGATAGTTGTAGGTATGTGGCATTATTTCTGAGGGCTCTGTTCTGTTCCATTGGTCTATATCTCTGTTTTGGTACGAGTACCATGCTGTTTTGGTTACTGTATCCTTGTATTATAGTTTGAAGTCAGGTAGCGTGATGCCTCCAGCTTTGTTCTTTTGGCTCAGGATTGTCTTGGCAATGTGGGCTCTTTTTTGGTTCCATATGAACTTTAAAGTAGTTTTTTCCAATTCTGTGAAGAAAGTCATTGGTAGCTTCATAAGGATGGCAGTGAATCTATAAATTACCTTGGGCAGTATGGCCATTTTTATGATATTGATTCTTCCTCTGAATGAGCATGGAATATTCTTCCATTTGTCTGTGTACTCTTTTATTTTGTTGAGCAGTGGTTTGTAGTTCTCCTTGAAGAGGTCCTTCACATCCCTTGTAAGTTGGATTCCTAGGTATTTTATTCTCTTTGAAGCAATTGTGAATGGGAGTTCACTCATGATTTGGCTCTCTGTCCGTTATTGGTGTATAAGAATGCTTGTGATTTTTGCACACTGATTTTGTATCCTGAGACTTTACTGAAGTTGCTTATCAGCTTAAGGAGATTTTGGGCTGAGACGATGGGGTTTTCTAGATATAAAATCATGTCATCTGCAAACGGGGACAATTTGACTTCCCGTTTTCGTCATTGAATGCCCTTTATTTCTTTCTCCTGCCTGATTGCCCTGGCCAGAACTTCCAACACTATGTTGAATAGGAGTGGTGAGAGAGGGCATCCCTGTGTTGTGCCAGTTTTCAAAGGGAATGCTTCCAGTTTTTGCCCATTCAGTATGACATTGGCTGTGGATTTGTTGTAAATAGCTCTTATTATTTTGAGATACGTCCCATCAATACCTAATTTATTGAGAGTTTTTAGCATGAAGGGCTGTTGAATTTTGTCAGAGATCTTTTCTGCATCTATTGAGATAATCATGTTGTTTTTATCGTTGGTTCTGTTTATATGCTGGATTACGTTTATTGATTTGTGTATGTTGAACCAGAATTGCATCCCAGCGATGAAGCCCACTTGATTGTGGTGGATAAACTTTTTGATGTGCTGCTGGATTCGGTTTGCCAGTATTTTATTGAGGATTTTTGCATCGATGTTCATCAAGGATATTGGTCTAAAATTCTCTTTTTTGGTTGTGTCTCTGCCAGGCTTTGGTGTCAGGATGATCCTGGCCTCGTAAAATGAGTTAGGGAGGATTCCCTCTTTTTCTATTGATTGGAATAGTTTCAGAAGCAATGGTACCAGTTCCTCCTTGTACCTCTGGTAGAATTCGGCTGTGAATCCATCTGGTCCTCGACTTTTTTTGGTTGGTAGGCTATTAATTATTGCCTCAATTTCAGAGCCTGTCATTGGTCTATTTAGGGATTCAACTTCTTCCTCGTTTAGTCTTGGGAGGGTGTATTTGTCGAGGAATTTTTCCATTTCTTCTAGATTTTCTAGTTTATTTGCGTAGAGGTGTTTATGGTATTTTCTGATGGTAGTTTGTATTTCTGTGGGATCGGTGGTGATATCCCCTTTGTCATTTTTTATTGCGTCTATTTGACTCTTCTCTCTTTTCTTCTTTATTATTCTTGCTAGTGGTCTATCAATTTTGTTGATCTTTTCAAAAAACCAGCTCCTGGATTCATTGATTTTTTGAAGGGTTTTTTTGTGTCTTTATCTCCTTCAGTTCTACTCTGATCTTAGTTATTTCTTGCCTTCTACTTGCTTTTGAATGTGTTTGCTCTTGCTTCTCTAGTTCTTTTAATTGTGATGTTAGTGTGTCAGTCTTGGATCTTTCCTGCTTTCTCTTGTGGGCAATTTAGTGCTATAAGTTTCCCTCTACACACTGCTTTGAATGTGTCCCAGAGATTCTGGTATGTTGTGTCTTTGTTCTCATTGGTTTCAAAGAACATCTTCATTTCCACCTTCATTTCGTTATGTACCCAGTAGTCATTCAGGAGAAGGTTGTTCAGTTTCCATGTAGTTGAGCGGTTTTGAGTGAGTTTCTTAATCCCGAGTTGTAGTTTGATTGCACTGTGGTCTGAGAGACAGTTTGTTATAATTTCTGTTCTTTTACATTTGCTGAGGAGTGCTTTACTTCCAACTATGTGGTCAATTTTGTAATAAGTGCTATGTGGTGCTGAGAAGAATGTATAATCTGTTGATGTGGGGTGGAGAGTTCTGTACATGTCTATTAGGTCCACTTGGTGCAGAGCTGAGTTCAATTCCTGGATATCCTTGTTAACTTTCTGTCTCATTGATCCGTCTAATGTTGACAGTGTGGTGTTAACATCTCCCATTATTATTGTGTGGGAGTCTAAGTCTCTGTGGGTCTCTAAGGACTTGCTTTATGAATCTGTGTGCGCCTGTATTGGGTGCATATATATTTAAGGTAGTTTGGTCTTCTTGTTGAATTGATCCGTTTACCATTATGTAATGGCCTTCATTTTCTCTTTTGATCTTTGTTGGTGTAAGATCTGTTATATCAGAGACTAGGATTGCAACCCCTGCCTTTTTTTGTTTTCCATTTGCTTGGTAGATCTTCCTTCATCCTTTTATTTTGAGCCTATGTGTGTCTCTGCACGTGAGATGGGTTTCCTGAATACAGCACACTGATGGATCTTGACTCTTTATCCTATTTGCCAGTCTGTGTCTTTTAATTGGAGCATTTAGTCCATTTACATTTAAAGTTAATATTGTTATGTGTGAATTTGATCCTGTCATTATGATGTTAGCTGGTTATTTTGCTCTTTAGTTGATGCAGTTTCTTCCTAGCCTTGATGGTCTTTACAATTTGGCATGATTTTGCAGTGGCTGGTACAGGTTGTTCCTTTCCATGTTTAGTGCTTCCTTCAGGAGCTCTTTTAGGGCAGGCCCAGTGGTGACAAAATCTCTCAGCATTTGCTTGTCTGTAAAGTATTTTATCTCTCCTTCACTTATGGAACTTAGTTTGGCTGGATATGAAATTCTGGGTTGAAAATTCTTTTCTTTAAGAGTGTTGAATATTGGCCCCCACTCTCTCCTGGCTTGTAGAGTTTCTGCCGAGAGATCAGATGTTAGTCTGATGGGCTTCCCTTTGTGGGTAACCTGACCTTTCTCTCTGGCTGCCCTTAACATTTTTTCCTTCATTTCAACTTTGGTGAATCTGACAATTATGTGTCTTGGAGTTGCTCTTCTCGAGGAGTATCTTTGTGATGTCCTCTGTTATTTCCTGAATTTGAATGTTGGCCTGCCTTGCTAGGTTGAGGAAGTTCTCCTGGACAATATCCTGAAGAGTGATTTCCAACTTGGTTCCATTCTCCCTGTGACTTTCAGGTACACCAATCAGACGTAGATTTGGTCTTTTCACATAGTCCCATATTTCTTGGAGACTTTATTCATTTCTTTTTACTCTTTTTTCTCTAAACTTCTCTTCTCACTTCATTTCATTCATTTGGTCTTCAATCACTGATACCCTTTCTTCCAGTTGATTGAATCGGCTACTGAATCTTGTGCATTCATCCTGTAGTTCTCGTGCCATGGTTTTCAGCTCCTTCAGGTAATTTAAGGACTTCTCTTCACTGGTTATTCTAGTTCGCGGTTCATCTAATCTTTTTTCAAGGTTTTTAGCTTCTTTGCGATGGGTTCGAACTTCCTCTTTTAGCTTGGAGAAGTTTGATCATCTGAAGTCTTCTTCCCTCAACTTGTCAAAGTCATTCTCCGTGCAGCTTTATTCGGTTGCTGGCAAGGAGCTGTGTTCCTTTGGAGGAGGAGAGGCACTCTGATTTTCAGAATTTTCAGCTTTTCTGCTCTGTTTTTTCCCCATCTTTGTGGTTTTATCTACCTTTCATCTTTGATGATGGTGACATACAGATGGGGTTTCGGTGTGAATGTCCTTTCTGTTTGTTAGTTTTCCTTCTAACAGTTAGGACCCTCAGCTGCAGGTGTGTTGGAGTTTGCTGGAGGTCCACACCAGACCCTGTTTGCCTGGGTATCAGCAGCAGAGGTTGCAGAATAGTGGATATTGGTGAACAGCAAATGTTGCTGCCTGATTGTTCCTCTGGAAGCTTCATCTCACAGGGGTACCCAGCTGTGTGGGGTGTCAGTCTGCCCCTACTTGGGGGTGCCTCCTAGTTAGGCTACTTAGGGGTCAGGGACCCACTTGAGGAGGCAGTCTGTCTGTTCTCAGATCTCAAACTCCGTGCTGGGGGAAGCACTACTCTCTTCAAAGCTGTCAGACAGGGACATTTAAGTCTGCAGAGGTTTCTGCTGCCTTTTGTTCGGCTATGCCCTGCCCCCAGAGGTGGATACTACAGAGGCAGGCAGGCCTCCGTGATTTGCGGTGGGCTCCACCCATTTCGAGCATCCCGGCTGCCTTGTTTACCTACTCAAGCCTCAGCAATGGCGGGTGCCCCTCCCCCAGCCTTGCTGCTGCATTGCAGTTCGATCTCAGACTGCTGTGCTAGCAATGAGACAGGCTCTGTGGGCGCATGAGGCCCTCCAAGCCATGCACGGGATATAATCTCCTGGTGTACCATTTGCTCAGACCATTGGAAAAGCACAGTATTAGGGTGGGAGTGACCCAATTTTCCAGGTGCCATCTGTCACAGCTTCCCTTGGCTAGGAAAGGGAATTCCCTGGCTCCTTGTGCTTCCTGGGTGAGACGATGCCTCACCCGGCTTCGGCTCACGCTCAGGGGGCTGCATCCACTGTCCTGCACCTGCTGTCTGACAAGCCCCAGTGAGATTAACCCAGTACCTCAGTTGGAAATGCAGAAATCAACTGTCTTCTGTGTTGCTCACACTGGGAGCTGTAGACTGGAGCTGTTCCTATTCGGCCATCTTGGAACCGCCCCCCTACAAAGCTCACATTTTGTGTTTTTATCACATAAGAAAAATGATAAATAATAAACATATTAGAATGGTACATTTAGATGAGCAGTGCACAGTGGGAGTAGAGAATGTAAACAAAAAGGATCAAATAAATGAATGGCAAGAAGATGGGGGCCTTGCCTAACAGAATGGCAAGAACAGTGATATGAGCTGGAAATGATTTTCTCAACCCTCTGACCCTAACATATCCCCACCCTCCCCTTGCTTGAATTATTCTGACCTTCTCTTAATCCCCTGTTGAAGCCATGCTTGTTGGTTTTAGTGACTGACTTTATAGTTTTGCTTCCAATACCCCTGAACTGGTAACCCTCTTTGCTGTTCACCTGTCTACCTCATGCATATTTCCAAGTCCTCAGCTTAAATGTCACTTCTTCATGATAGCATTTTCTGGCCACAAAACACTTCACCCTCAATTTAAATTATTTTTTCTCTTTTACTTTCTCTTAGTGCTCTGGAAACTTCCTCTATACCATTTATCCCAGTATATGTCATAATGATACATAGTTTTAGAGGGATTCTTTTTGAAACATCTCTCTCCCCATTGCAGTGAAAGCCCCAGGGTGAAAGTATCATTGTCTGTTTTCTTCTCCACTGTATATCCTAAGGGCCTGCATAGTCCAGTGCCTATTATATATTAGAATCTCAAATATGTTTATTGGAGGCATGAATGAGTGAATGAATGAATGAGTTGAAAAACCAAATGGAAAAAATGAATGGCCTGACAGAGAGACTGGTGGATATGTGTATGTACTGATGATCTTCCCACATGTTGGCTTTCCCGGTAGTGGGGAAACAGCCAGAGATGTGTGTGGGAGAGCAAAGTGATGAAAGAGTCTCAAACCTGGAATACAGAAGGAGAAATCATGGATAGGAGAAGGATGGAATGAAAAGCCAGTTGGAGGACTGAAACGATGCAGGAAAGAGGGGGGGAGAGAGAGAAAGAAAGTGAGATAGATAGATAAAAGATAGATAGATAGATAGATGATAGATAGATAGATAGATAGATAGATGGCAGCAAACAGAGAGGGCAGAGGCAGGGGAGATGAGGGAGCGATGGAGGAGAGAGACAGGAGGTTGTACTACAAGGTGACAAGCAGAAAGCCAGGAGCAGGAAGAAGGCATAGGAACACATCTTCCTGATGCCTGTGCAGTGATCAAAATATGAAATTCCGCAAGTTCCCCTTTTCTTTTCCTTACCACAAGCTCTTAACATTAGCTATCGGAAATTAAAGCTGTTTGTAAAACTTAACATAGCAAAGGTCTCACTTTAAACATTGCTTTTGGTGAAAAGCTAGTTGCTGACATCTCACCAGTAATAAAGCTGCAGGGAAAGGTACAAGGACATGAAGGCACTCCTCTTTTAGAAGCAAGCTGCATTCATGTGTCTGCTTGGGAAACATATTGCAAAGGTAGTAGACTGATGTATGCTTTGCTGTTAAAAGAAAAAAGGAACGAAATATTGAGCCTCTTGTATAATATCCCATGAAGAATTCCCCACCATGGGGCACAAGGGGTGAAACTGAATCATCTTCTCAGGGACATAACAAGGAATTCCAGATGGAATTTGCCCTGCTGCTGTTATTGGAAATTCATTATATCAAACTTCTAAAATGAAATAGAGAATTTAATTTCACAAGCCATAAAAATGTTGAATCCATGTTTGTTAGATACCAAGGACGATTTTGCAAGTGCTGTAGAGTAACAAAACAGTGGAACCCATCTATTTCAGAATTTTAGTGATATATTTCCCAAGATATATGTCTTGTTATAATTCACTGTGGGCCTGAATTGTTATCAAGCTGATAGAAAATTATAAGCAACATTTTGATTTTGAATGAAGTGAAATGAAGACGTTCTTCTCATATTGAAATCACTGTAATCTTCCGATTTCTTGCCATAAGATCTTTCCTTCCCCTCTCCTGAGACATGAAGTGGGTAGAAATTTGCAATGATCCCACTGTGCATGCAGCATGGGAGTGGCCTCACAGTGGGATTTACTTGGGGAGGGCAGAGGAAAAGACTCTGATGAGAGCTTATGTAAAGTGCAACATTGGTTTTTCAATGGTAACCAGCAGCTCTAGGACAGTTAATACAGGCCACCGTGAGACACTGATCAACTAGCATACTTGTGAGGCTTATTCAGATAGTTGTCATAGAGGAAAAATTTGTCATCAGATAAATAATTTCTTTCCACAGATCCTTTTGTTTGGGGTAGATAGGGCAGTTTTTGTCTAGGTACACAAGAATGTGCAAAAATATTTTCAATATACAACTTAGTAATAGCTGAAAAGCAAAAAGACAGTAGTGATATGTGTTGTCTATCTGAAGGTAAAATGTGAGGGGTAGCTGACCCTTGCATAACACAGGATTAGGAGCACTGACCCCCCTCCACCGTGAAGTTGAAAAATCTGTGTATAACTTTTGATTCCCTGCCAAAATTAACTTCTAATAGCCTACTATTAACCAGAAGCCTTACTGATAGCGTAAGTAGTTAATTAACACATATTTTATATGTTATACCTATTATATACTCTATCTTACAATAAAGTAAGCTAGAGAAAAGAAAATGTAAGAAAATCATAAAGAAGAGGAATAAATTTACTATTCATTAAGTGAATGTTTGAGTATTGATCATCATAAAGGTCTTCATCCTTGTCATCTTTACAATGACTAGACTGAGAAGGAGGAGGAGAAAGAGGGGTTGGTCTTTCTGCATCGGGAGTAGTAGAGGTGGAAAAGGTGGAGCAGATGGAAGGGGAGGCAGGAGAGGTAGGCACATTTGGTGTAACTGTACAGAAACACATTGTAATTTCTGTCTGACTTTTCTGTTTTTCATTTTTCTAAAAATGTTTCTATACTGTACCAATCCTTCTCCCACTGTTTGCTTTCATTTCAGTGCCTGTATCATAGAAGGTCAGTGTCCTAAAAGAAATCAAAAGCAGTCTTAAATAACTGGAACTCTACTGTCATATTATCTAATGTCAATTGGTTTTCTGGCATTGCTTCTTCTGTCTTCTTTCTCATCGTCTGACATTGAAAGCACTTGTCTCCATCAAGTTGCATTCTGTCAATTCCTCTGGTGTGGTGTCTGTTAGCTCTTGAATTTCTCCAAGATCCGTATCTTGAAATCCTTCACCCCCTACCTTGTTTTTTCAATATTCACAATCTCTTTCATGATGTCCTTGATTGCCTCCACCATAAATCCTGTTAACTCGTACACAAAATCTGGACAGTTTTCCCCAGCAGGAATTTATTGTTTGGGGCTTGATGGCTTTCATAGCTTTTTCTGTAACAACGATGGCATCTTCAATGATGTAATCCTTGTAGACTTCCATTATGTTCTTTCCATCAGGGTTCTCTTCCATAGTGTTGATAATCTTTTTCTTAGAGTACCATATATAATGAGACTTAAAGGTCCTTATGACCCCCTGATCTAGAGGCTGAATTAGAGACATTGTGTTGGGGGACAAGTAGACTACTTCCATGCATTTGGTGTTGTACTTATAGGATTCTGGGTCTCCAGGGACATTGTTCAAAATTAAAAGAACTTTAAAAGGTGGTCCCTTAGTAGCAAAGTACTTCCTGCCTTGAGGGACAAGGTGTAAATGTAACCAATTCAGTAAAAGCTCTCATTGTCCAGGCCTTCCTGTTGTACAATCAAAAGACTGCCAACTGTTATTTATTTTTTCCCTTCCAGGCACAGGGGTGAGCAGCAGTTCCAATTATAAGGCTGACTGCTTTTACACAAAACAGTAGAGATAGCCTATCCCTTCAAGCCTTAAGTCCTGGTGTTCATTTCTCTTCCTTATTAATAAATGTCCTTTGTGACATTTTTTCCAGAATAGGGCACTTCAATCTGCATTAAAACCTGTTATGACAAATACCCTTTCCCCTCAATGATTTTCTTTTTCTTTTTTCTTTTTTTCTTTTCTTTTCTTTTTTTTTTCTTGAGACAGAATATCATTCTGTCATCCAGGCTGGAGTGCAGTGGTGTGATCTCGGCTCACTGCAACCTCCAAATCCCAGGCTCAAGCGATTCTCCTGCCTCATCCTCTCAAGTCACTGGGATTACAGGCACACACCACCAAGCCTGGCTAATTTTTTGTATTTTTAATACAGATGGAGTTTCATCATGTTGCTCAGGCTGGTCTCAAACTCCTGACTTCAGGTGACCTGCCTGCCTTGGCCTCCCAAAGTGCTGTGATTACAGGAGTGAGCCTCTGTGCCCGGCCTCCCCTCAATGATTTTCTTAATAGTGTCGAGGAACTCACTTGCTTCTTGGTTGGCAGAAGCTATTTCTCCAGTTATTTTGACTTTTTATTTATTTATTTTTATTTATTATTATTATTATTATTATACTTTAAGTTTTAGGATACATGTGCATAACGTGCAGGTTTCTTACATATGTATACACGTGCCATGTTAGTGTGCTGCACTCATTAACTCATCATTTAGCATTAGTTATATCACCTAATGCTATCCCTCCCCCATCCCCCCACCCCACAACAGTCCCCGGTGTGTGATGTTCCCCTTCCTGTGTCCACATGTTCTCATTGTTCAATTCCCACATATGAGTGAGAAGATGTGGTGTTTGGTTTTCTGTCCTTGCAATAGTTTGCTGAAAATGATGGTTTCCAGCTTCATCCATGTCCCTACAAAGGACAAGAACTCATAATTCTTTTTTTATTATTATACTTTAAGTTTTGGGATACATGTGCACAACGTGCAGATTTGTTACATATGTATACATGTGCCATGTTGGTGTGCTGCACCCATTAACTCATCATTTAGCATTAGGTATATCTCCTAATGCTATCCCTCCCCCCTTCCCCCACCCCACAACAGTCCCCACTGTGTGATATTCTCCTTCCTGTGTCCATATGTTCTCATTGTACAATTCCCACCTATGAGTGAGAACATGCAGTGTTTGGTTTTTTGTCCTTGTGATAGTTTGCTGAGAATGATGGTTTCCAGCTTCATCCATGTCCCTACAAAGGACATGAACTCATCATTTTTTATGGCTGCATAGTATTCCATGGTGTATATGTGCCACATTTTCTTAATCCAGTCTATCATTGTTGGACATTTGGGTTGGTTCTAAGTCTTTGCTATTGTGAATAGTGCCACAATAAACATACATGTGCATGTGTCTTTATAGCAGCATGATTTATAGTCCTTTGGGTATATACCCAGTAATGGGATGGCTGGGTCAAATGGTATTTCTAGTTCTAGATCCCTGAGGAATCGCCACACCAACTGCCACAATGGTGGAACTAGTTTATAGTCCCACCAACTGTGTAAAAGTGTTCCTGTTTCTTCACATCCTCTCCAGCACCTGTTGTTTCCTGACTTTTTAATGATTGCCATTCTAACTGGTGTGAGATGGTATCTCATTGTGGTTTTGATTTGCATTTCTCTGATGGCCAGTGATGATGAGCATATTTTCATGTGTGTTTTGGCTGCATAAATGTCTTCTTTTGAGAAGTGTCTGTTCATATCCTTCACCCAATTTTGATGGGGTTGTTTGTTTTTTTCTTGTAAATTTGTTTGAGTCCATCGTAGATACTGGATATTAGCCCTTTGTCAGATGAGTAGGTTGCAAAAATTTTCTCCCATTCTGCAGGTGGCCTATTCACTCTGATGGTGGTTTCTTTTGCGTGCAGAATCTCTTCAGTTTAATTAGATCCCATTTGTCAATTTTGGCTTCTGTTGCCATTGCTTTTGGTGTTTTAGACATGAAGTCCTTGCCCATCCCTATGTCCTGAATGGTATTGCCTAAGTTTTCTTCTAGGGTTTTTATGGTTTTAGGTCTAACATGTAAGTCTTTCATCCATCTTGAATTAATTTTTGTACAAGGTGTAAGGAAGGGATCCAGTTTCAGCTTTCTACATATGGCTAGCCAGTTTTCCCAGCACCATTTATTAAATAGGGAGTCCTTTCCTCATTGCTTGTTTTTGTCAGGTTTGTCAAAGACCAGACAGTTGTGGATATGTGGCATTATTTCTGAGGGCTCTGTTCTGTTCCATTGGTCTATATCTCTGTTTTGGTAAGAGTACCATGCTGTTTTGGTTACTGTATCCTTGTAGTATAGTTTGAAGTCAGGTAGTGTGATGCCCCCAGCTTTGTTCTTTTGGCTTAGGATTGACTTGGCAATGTGGGCTCTTCTTTAGTTCCATATGAACTTTAAAGTAGTTTTTTCCAATTCTGTGAAGAAAGTCATTGGTAGCTTGATGGGGATGGCATTGAATCTATAATTACCTTGGGCAGTATGGCCATTTTCACGATATTGATTCTTCCTACCCATGAGCATGGAATGTTCTTCCATTTGTTTGTATCCTCTTTTATTTCACTGAGCCGTGGTTTGTAGTTCTATTTGAAGAGGTCCTTCACATCACTTGTAAGTTGGACTCCTAGGTATTTTATTCTCTTTGAAGCAATTGTGAATGGGAGTTCACTCATGATTTGGCTCTCTGTTTGTCTGCTATTGGTGTATAAGAATGCTTGTGACTTTTGTGCATTGATTTTGTATCCTGAGAATTTGCTGATGTTGCTTATCAGCTTAAGGAGATTTTGGGCTGAGACGATGGGGTTTTCTAGATATAAAATCATGTCATCTGCAAAGAGGGACAATTTGACTTCCTCTTTTCCTAATTGAATGCCTTTTATTTCCTTCTCCTGTCTGATTGCCCTGGCCAGAACTTCCAACACTATGTTGAATAGGAGTGGTGAGAGAGGGCATCCCTGTCTTGTGCCAGTTTTCAAAGGGAATGCTTCCAGTTTTTGCCCATTCAGTATGATATTGGCTATGGGTTTGTCATAGATAGCTCTAATTATTTTGAGATACGTCCTATCAATACCTAATTTATTGAGAGTTTTTAGCATGAGGCCTTGTTGAATTTTGTCAAAAGCCTTTTCTGCATCTATTGAGATAATCATGTGGTTTTTATCTTTGGTTCTGTTTGTGTGCTGGATTACGCTTTCTGATTTTCATATGTTGAACCAGCCTTGCATCCCAGGGATGAAGCCCGCTTGATCGTGGTGCATATGCTTTTTGATGTGTTGCTGGATTCGGTTTGCCAGTATTTTATTGAGGATTTTTGCATCAATGTTCATCAAGGATATTGGTCTAAAATTCTCATTTTTTGTTGTGTCTCTGCCAGGCTTTGGTATCAGGATGATGCTGGCCTCATAAAATGAGTTAGGGAGGATTCCCTCTTTTTCTATTGATTGGAATAGTTTCAGAAGGAATGGTACCAGTTCCTCATTGTACCTCTGGTAGAATTCGGCTGTGAGTCCGTCTGGTCCTGAACTTTTCTTGGTTTTTAAGCTATTAATTATTGCCTCAATTTCAGAGCCTGTTATTGGTCTATTCAGAGATTCAACTTCTTCCTGGTTTAGTCTTAGGAGGGTGTATGTGTTGAGGAATTTCTCCATTTCTTCTAGATTTTCCAGTTTATTTGCGTAGAGGTGTTTATAGTATTCTCTGATGGTAGTTTGTATTTCTGTGGGATCGGTGGTGATATCCCCTTTATCATTTTTTATTGCATCTATTTGATTCTACTCTCTTTTCTTCTTTATTAGTCTTGCTAGCGGTCTATCAATTTTGTTGATCTTTTCAAAAAACCAGCCCTGGATTCATCGATTTTTTGAAGGGTTTTTTGTGTCTCTATTTCCTTCAGCTCTGCTCTTATCTTAGTTATTTCTTGCCTTCTACTAGCTTTTGAAGGTGTTTGCACTTGCTTCTCTAGTTCTTTTAATTGTGATGTAAGAGTGTCAATCTTGGATCTTTCCTGCTTTCTCTTGTGGGCATTTACTGCTATAAGTTTCCCTCTACACACTGCTTTGAATGTGTCCCAGAGATTCTGGTATGTTGTGTCTTTGTTCTCATTGGTTTCAAAGAACATCTTCATTTCTGCCCTCATTTCGTATGTACCCAGTAGTCATCCAGGAGCAGGTTGCTCAGTTTCCATGTAGCTGAGTGGTTTTGAGTGAGTTTCTTAATCCTGAGTTCTAGTTTAATTTCACTGTGGTCTGAGAGACAGTTTGTTATAATTTCTTTTCTTTTACATTTGCTGAGGAGTGCTTTACTTCCAACTGTGTGGTCAGTTTTGGAATAGGTGTGGTGTGGTGCTGAAAAAAATGTATATTCTGTTGATTTGGGGTGGAGAGTTCTGTACATGTCTATTAGGTCCACTTGGTGCAGAGCTGAGTTCAATTCCTGGATATCCTTGTCAAGTTTCTGTCTCGTTGATCTGTCTAATGTTGACGGTGGTGTGTTAACCTCTCCCATTATTATTGTATGGGAATCTAAGTCACTTTATAGGTCACTAAGGACTTGCTTTATGAATCTGGGTGCTCCTGTATTGGGTGCATATATATTTAGGATAGTTAGTTCTTCTTGTTGAATTGATCCCTTTACCACTATTTAATGGCCTTCTTTTTCTCTTTTGATCTTTGTTGGTTTAAAGTCTGTTTTATCAGTGACTAGGATTGCAACCCCTGCCTTTTTTTGTTTTCCATTTGCTTGGTAGATCTTCCTGCATCCCTTTATTTTGAGTCTATGTGTGTCTCTGCACGTGAGATGGGTTTCCTGAATACAGCACACTGATGGGTCTTGACTCTATCCAATTTGCCAGTCTGTGCCTTTTAATTGGAGCATTTAGCCCATTTACATTTGAGGTTAGCATTGTTATGTGTGAATTTGATCCTGTCATTATGATGTTAGCTGGTTATTTTGCTCGTTAGTTGATGCAGTTTCTTCCTAGCCTTGATGGTCTTTACAATTTGGCATGTTTTTGCAGTGGCTGGTACCAGCTGTTCCTTTCTATGTTTAGTGCTTCCTTCAGGAGCTCTTTTAGGGCAGGCCTGGTGGTGACAAAATCTCTCGGCATTTGCTTGTCTGTAAAGGATTTTATTTCTCCTTCACTTATGAAGCTTAGTTTGGCTGGATATGAAATTCTGGGTTGAAAATTCTTTGCTTTAAGAATGTTGAATATTGGTCCCCACTCTCTTCTGGCTTGCAGAGTTTCTCCCAAGAGATCAGGTGTTAGTCTGATGGGCTTCCCTTTGTGGGTAACCTGACCTTTCTCTCTGGCTGCCCTTAACATTTTTTCCTTCATTTCAACTTTGGTGAATCTGACAATTATGGTTCTTGGAGTTGCTCTTTTCGAGGAGTATCTTTGTGGCGTTCTCTGTATTTCCTGAATTTAAATGTTGGCCTGCATTGCTAGATTGGGGAAGTTCTCCTGGACAATATCCTGCAGAGTGTTTTCCAACTTGGTTCCATTCTCCCCATCACTTTCAGGTACACTAATTAGACGTAGATTTTGTCTTTTCACATAGTCCCATATTTCTTTGAGGCTTTGTTCATTTCGTTGTATTCTTTTTTCTCTAAACTTCCTTTCATGCTTCATTTCATTCATTTTGTCTTCCATCGTTGATACCCTTTCTTCCAGTTGATCGTATCAGTTACTAAGGCTTGTGCATTCATCACGTAGTTCTCGTTCCATGGTTTTCAGCTCTATCAGGTCCTTTAAGAACTTCTCTGCATTGGTTATTCTAGTTATCCATTCGTCTAATTTTTTTTCAAAGTTTTTAACTTCTTTGCCATTGGTTGAGCTTCCTCCTTTAGCTCGGAGTAGTTTGATCTTCTGAAGCCTTCCTCTCTCAACTCGTCAAAGTCATTCTCCGTCCAGCTTTGTTCCATTGCTGGTGGGGAGCTGAGTTCCTTTGGAGGAGGAGAGGTGCTCTGATTTTTAGAGTTTCCAGTTTTTCTGCTCTGTTTTTTCCCCATCTTTGTGGTTTTATCTACCTTTGGTCTTGGATGTTGGTGATGTACAGATGGGTTTTTGGGGTGGATGTCCTTTCTGTTTGTTAGTTTTCCTTCTAACAGTCAGGACCCTCACCTGCAGGTCTGTTGGAGTTTACTGGAGGTCCACTCCAGACCCTGTTTGCCTGGGTATCAGCAGCAGTGGCTGCAGAACAGCGGATATTGGTGAACCACAAATGCTGCTGCCTGATTGTCCCTCTGAAAGTTTTGTCTCAGAGGAGTACCCAGCCGTGTGAGGTGTCAGTCCACTCCTACTTGGGGGTGCCTCCCAGTTATGCTACTCGGGGGTCAGGGACCCACTTGAGGAGGCAGTCTGCCCGTTCTCAGATCTCAAGCTGCATGCTGGGAGAACCACTACTCTCTTCAAAACTGTCAGACAGGGACGTTTAAGACTGTAGAGGTTATTGCTGTCTTTTGTTTGTCTGTGCCCTGCCCCCAGAGGTGGAGCCTACAGAGGCAGGCAGGCCTCCTTGAGCTGTGGTGGGCTCCACCCAGTTTGAGCTTCCTGGCTGCTTTGTTTACCTACTCAAGCCTGGGCAATGGCGGGTGCCCCTCCCCCAGCCTCGCTGCCACCTTGCAGTTTGATCTCAGACTGCTGTTCTAGCAATGAGCGAGGCTCCGTGGGTGTAGGACCCTCCGAGCCATGTGCAGGATATAATCTCCTGGTGTTCCATTTGATAAGCCCATTGGAAAAGTGCAGTGTTAGGGTGGGAGTGATCCGATTTTCCAGGTGCCGTCTGTCACCCCTTTCTTTGACTAGGAAGGGGAATTCCCTGACCCTTTGTGCTTCCTGGGTGAGGCAATGCCTCACCCTGCTTTGCTCATGCACAGTGAGCTGCACCCACTGTCCTGCACCCACTGTCTGGCACTCCCCAGTGAGATGAACCCGGTACCTCAGTTGGAAATGCAGAAATCACCCATCTTCTGTGTTGTTCACACTGGGTGGTGTAGACTGGAGCTGTTCCTATTCGGCCATCTTGGCTCCACCCTCCATGTTTATTTTTTAAGAACCTCCATACTGTTTTCCATAATTGCTTTACCAGTTTACATCCTTACCAACAGTATACAAGGGTTCTCTTTTCTTTACACTCTCACCAACACTTGTTACCTCTTGTTCTCTTGATAATAGCCATCCTAACAGGTGTGAGGTGATATCTCATTGTGGTTTTCATTTGCATTTTCCTTATGATTAGTGATGTTGAACACATTTTAATATACCTTTTGGACTTTTTTTTTTTTTTCAAATGGAGTCTCACTCTGTCACCCAGGCCGGAGTGCAGTGGCACCATCTCGCCTCACTATAAGCTCTGCTTTCTGGGTTCACACCATTCTCCTGCCTCATCCTCCCGAGTAGCTGGTACTACAGGCGCCTGCCACCACGCCTGACTAATTTTTTTGCATTTTTATTAGAGACGGGGTTTCACCATGTTAGCCAGGGTCGTCTCGATCTCCTGAACTCATGATCTGCCCGCCTTGGCCTCCCAAAGTTCTGGGATTACAAGTGTGAGCCACTGTGCCTGGCCTGGACATTTTTATGATTTTTTTTGGAAAATGTCTATTTAGGTCCTTTCCCCATTGTTAAATTGGGTTATTTGTTTCTTTGCTATTGAATTGTATGAGTTCCTTATATATTTTGGATGATAATTTCTTATCAGTTACATGGCTTGTAATTATCTTCTCCCATTCTATAGTCTGCCTGTTAATTCTATTGTTTGTTTCTTTACTGTGCAGAAGCTTCTCAGTTTGCCGAAGTCTCACTTGTTTATTTTTGTTTTATTTGCTTTTCGCTTTTGGTGTCATAGCCAAAAAATAATTGCCAAGAGCAATGTCAAGGACTTTTTCCCTTATATTTTCTCCTAGGAGGTTTCTGGTTTTAAGTCTTACATTTAAGCCTTTAAACTATTTTGAGTTTGTTTTTGTGTATGCTGTAAGATAGGAGTTCAATTTCAGTGTTTTGCATATGAATGTCCAGTTTCCCCAACATCATTTATTGAAGAGACTCTCCCATCCCCATTGTGTATTCTTGGCACACCTGCCAAAGGTAAGTTGACCTTATGTGCTTGAGTTTATTTCAGGGCTCTCTGTTTTGTTCCCTTGGTCTATATGTCTGTTTTTAAGCCAGTATAATACTGTTTTGAGTATATATCCTTGTAATATAATTTGAAATCAGGAAATGTGATGCCTGGAATTTGGTATGGATTGCATTGAATCTATAGGTCCACTTTGGGTAGTATGGACATTATAACAATATTAATTCTTGCACACCACGAGATATCTTTCAATTTATTTGTGTCCTTTCAATTTCTTTCATCAGAACTTTTTCCTTATAGTTTTCAGGGTACAGATCTTTCACTTCCTTGGTTAAATTTGTTCCTAAGTATTTTATTGTTTCGAGTTTAGTAAATGAGATTGTTTTCTTCATTTCTTTTTCAGGTAGTTCACTGTTAGTGTATATAAATGCAACTGACTTTTTGTGGGTTTACTTTGTATAACTTTACTGAATTAATTTATGAATTCTAATGGGTTTTGTTTTTTTTAGGGTTTTCTATATGTAAGAGCGTGTCATCTGCAAACATGGTCAATTTTACTTTTCCCTTTCTAATATGTATACTTTTGTTTCTTTTTCTTGCCTAATAGCCCTAGCTAGGACTTCTAGTAGTATGTTAAATAGAAATGGTGAGAGTAGGCACCCTTATCTTATTCTTCATCTTAGATGAAAAATTTTTAGTTTTTCACTGTTGAGTATGTTAGCTGTGGGGTTTTCATATATGGCCTTTATGATGTTGAGGCACAATCTTTCTATACTCAATTTGTTGAGAGTTTTTATCATGAAAGGATGTTGGATTTCGACAAATGCTTTTTTTCTTAAACCTGTTAGGATAGGTATAATCAAAAGGACAAGAGATAACAAGCGTTAGCAAGAATATGGAGAAAAGAAAACCCTGTACACTGCTGGTGGGATTGTAAATTGATGCAACCATTATAGAAAATAGTAGGGAGTTTCCTCAAAAAATTAAAAATATACTACCATATGATTCCTTGGGTATATATCTGAAGGAGATGATATCAGTATGTCTTAGAGATCTCTGCACTCCCATGTTCATTGCAGCATTATTCACAACAGCCATTATTCATTGCAGCAATATTCACAATATCCAATAGACATGGAAGCAATCTAAGTGTCTGTCAACAGATGAACGGACAAAAATTATGTATATATGTATTATGCATATATACCTATACTGTGTGTATATATATATGAATGGAATAGTATTCAACCATAGCAAAGAAGGAACTCTTGCCATTTGTGACAACACGGATGAATCTTGAAGGCATTATGCTAAATGAAATAAGTCAACTACAGAAAGATAAATTCTGAGTGATCTCACTTATACTGCACTCCACCTATATGTGGAACCTAAAAATGCCAGATTCGTAGAAACAGACAGTAGTAGAATGATGGTTATGAGGGGCTGAGAAGTGTGGGAAATGGGGAAATGTTGGTCAAAGAGTACCAACTTTCAGTGATGAGATGAATAAGATTTGATGTACGCATGGTAACTATAGTTAAAAATAATGTATTGTATATCTGAGATTTGCTAAAACAGTAGATGGTAAATTTCTCACCACAATGCACCAAAATGATAACTAGGTGTGGTGAAAGATGTGTTAAATAACTTGATTGTGATTTTTACAATGTGTACATATATCAAATCATCACATTGTATACCTTAAATTTATACAATTTTATTTGTCAATTATACCCACAATAAAGGTAGAAAAAAGATTAGAGGGGTATCCTATAATGCCAGAAAGTAAGAAAGTGCTCAAAAATACAATAAATGACAAGAGTAAGTCAAAAGGACACAGGAGTCCGCTGAAAAAGTTCCAATGATCAAAGCTGAAATAGGTTGAGCAACAAAATAAAGTAGGTTTAGATTATAATCCAGAGTATGAAATAATTATCCACAATTCCATATTAATATAAATACATTATTGAAGAAAATATACGGAGGAGAATAGAATGGACACAGGGAGAGGAACAACACACACCAGGGCCAGTAGTGAAGTGGGGGGCGAGGGAATGGAGAGCATTAGGACAAATAGCTAATGCATGCGGGGCTTAAAACCTAGATGATGGGTTGATAGATGCAGCAAACCACCATGACACATGAATACCTCAATAACATAAAATACAATGAAAATAAATAAAAAGATAGAAAATGTGGGTTTCTCATAGTGACTTTATTTCAAAGAGTAAAGTATGCAAAGGTGAAAAAATTAGTAGCTTTTCCGTGTTCAAGCCTGACAAACACCATCAGCCAAGTGATCAAAGTAAAACTCAGCAGTGAAAAATCATGTTGATATTATGTACACTTGATATAATGTGATGAGAATGGCATTTTACCTCTGTAGGCTTCTTCCGCAAATCCTGTAATCCCACTCCAATCATTATAAAAACACCAGACAAATCCCAAGTAAGAGACATTCTATAAAATTCCTGACCAGTACACCTAAAAACCATCAAGGTAATCAAAAACAAGGGAAATCTGAGAAACTTTTAGAGCAGGAGGACCTAAGGAAACATGATGACTAAATGTAATGTGATATCCTGGATGGAATCCTAGAATAGAAAAGAGTTATTAGGTAAAAACACAGAAATCTAAGTATAGGCTTTAGTTAATACATGCTAATATTGACTTATTTTTTTATTTATTATTATTATACTTTAAGTTTTAGGGTACATGTGCACAATGTGCAAGTTAGTTACATATGTATACATGTGCCATGCTGGTGCGCTGCACCCACTAACTCGTCATCTAGCATTAGGTATATCTCCCGATGCTATCCCTCCCCCCTCCCCCCACCCCACAACAGTCCTCAGAGTGTGATGTTCCCCTTCCTGTGTCCATGTGTTCTCATTGTTCAATTCCCACCTATGAGTGAGAATATGCGGTGTTTGGTTTTTTGTTCTTGCGATAGTTTACTGAGAATGATAATTTCCAATTTCATCCATGTCCCTACAAAGGACATGAACTCATCATTTTTTATGGCTGCATAGTATTCCATGGTGTATATGTGCCACATTTTCTTAATCCAGTCTATCATTGTTGGACATTTGGGTTGGTTCGAAGTCTTTGCTGTTGTGAATAATACCACAATAAACATACGTGTGCATGTGTCTTTATAGTGTATTGACTTATTAATTGTGACAAATCTGCAATACTAATGTAAGATGTTAATAACAGAAGAAAGTCTCTCTGCTATTTGTACTATCTTCACTTTTTTTGTAAATCTAACACTATTCTAAAATAAAAGGTTTATTTTTAAAAAGAATAACTTCAGGAAAAAATGTCTTGTGATCATTACAGTGTGTTTGAACAAGAACACAAAATTATAGAAATTAGGGAAATCATAAAAATGGAGAAAAAAAGTTAATATAAAATTAGTTTAGTTGGATTCCTTAAAGTAGAGGATGCTACAATGGAATATAATATAAACAGTATAATATAGAAAATTTTCCTTGAAATAGAAGATGTAATAAAGCTGCGGATCAAAAAAATCACACCACATATCAGAAAAATGTGTAAAGAAATAATGACAAAGATGAATCCAATTTAAGTTATTTAAGTTCAAAGATAAAAACGTAGTTATTCAGATATCCAGGCAGAGAAAGCAAATTACATACAAGGAGGAAACATAGTTTGAGCTCAGATTTTCACACCAGCGTTTTAAGCCAAAAGGCAATGAAGCTATATTCACAAACTGTTAGCAAGTTTTTTTGTTTGTTTGTTTCATAAATCCACTCATCTACTGAGGGAATTTAGGTTGTTTCCACTTCTTGGCTATTGTGAATAATGCCACTATAAACATTGGAGTGCAGATACCTCCTTGACATCCTGATTTCAATTCTTTTGGATAAATACCCAAAAGTGGAATTGCTGAATCATATGGCTGTTCTATTTGTAGTTTCTTGAAGGAATCTCCATGCTGTTTTCCATAGCAGCTTCACTGTTGCATTCCCACCAACAGCATGCAAGTGTTCTAATTTCTCCACGTCCTCGCCAACACTTGTTGTCTTTTCCTGTCTTGACAACAGCCATCATGAGGACATTATGTTACGTGAAATAAGCCAGCCACAAAAGGACAAATACTGCATGTTTCCACTCTTATGAGGTAAGTAAAATAGTCAAACTCATAGAATCAGACACTAAAAGGGTGGTTGCCAGTGGCTGGGGGAGGGAGAAATGAGATGATGATCAAAGGATACAAAGTTTCAGTTATGCAAGATGAATACATTCTGAAGATCTAATGTACAGCAATGTGGCTATAGTTAACAACACTGCATTATATACTTGAAATTTGCTAAGGAGACAGATCTAAATTGCTCAACACAAAAAGCGGTAAAACCCAAAATTATATGAGTTGATGGATATATTAATTAATTTGATTGTGGTGATTATTTCACAATGTATACCAAAACATCAAGATATAACTTAAAGATATACACTTTTATTTGTCAATTATACTTCAATAGATCTGTAAACAAGAAAAATCACTTTTAAAAATTTACATCCGTTTTTGTCTATGGACCCTCATTTTAACAGATTCCAGAACTGGTGGATTTGGGATTTTAGCAGTAAAATGAATTTTTACACACAGTCTACTTTTCTCTGTGTTCAGACCAGCTTCTATCCATAGTTCCAGGTCATTGGAGGTGGGGGCAGGATTCTCTTTTCAGTATTCCTAATCTTACAGAAAACGCTTTTCTCCCAAGCCCTTTTGTCACTCCTCCCTTGGACAAAGGAAGACTGACGTGATATGTCAGATTCAGGAGCACTATCAGCAGTACCACCGTCCAACGTGACACCCATGCATGTAGGACATGGCCATGCTCTTCCCTCTCACAATACCAAAGTGATAACCTGAGCCAGTGCCTGCTATGAAGGCTGGGCTCTGCCACATTACTCCCTATTCCTTTCTTCTTACTGGAGATTTGGGGCTCTGTTGTCTGCACACTAGGGGTCAGCTGGTGATAAGTTGCAGTTAGAGAGTGGAAAAGATCCTGCTTCTTTCTTGAGCTTAAATTTGTTCTTTTATTCAACTCCACCAGAAGGCTCTTCATTGAGGGGTTATAGAAACTGGTCCAGTAAGGGATATTGTAGGTATCTGTGTGTATGTCTCCATTATAGAAAGCCTTGTGACAGAGCAAAGCAGCAGTGTAAGACATAAAGTAAAGCATTCTTGTCTACTCCAAACAAATACTAGCCCCATTCTGTTGGATTTTCACCAGTGACCCCACATATTCAGATGTATCTCAGTGACATTGAAACGTTACATTGTACCCATTAAGATAAGTATGCCCTCAGTCTTTGCCAGGTTCCCATCCAGAGGTCAGTACTTGGTGTTTTCAGGCATGGCTGGTAGATTCCATCCGTGAAAAGATAAGGTAAATGTCTGTTGGTGGGAAGAGGTCAAGGCCTCCTGAAACCCAGTGGTTCCCCTACACCTGTCTTTTCCCTCAGGGGTTCATGCACCAGCCTCAGTAGCAGAAAGACAGTGTTCTGCTTCTTAAACTGATCTCAAAAAAAAAAAAACAGATTTTCCTCATTTGGGCCTCATTTTAGCTCTCTGAACTTTGAACTTGACATTTAGACAGTCCAAACTGCAAACACATCTCATGGCTGACTCACTGGCTTCTGCCATTTCTCAGTTGGAATTGGCCACCTTAGTTTATCTTAAGTATTCTCCCATATCTAAATCATCATCATCATCTTTCTTTACATAGAATGTTATTTTATAATAAAATTGACCTTTGAAAAACATGGGTTTGAACTTTTTAAGTCCACTTCTATGTGGATTTTTAAAAATAAATATATTGGAAAATTTTCTGGAGATTTGTGACAATTTGAGAAAACTCAAAGGTCAACTGCATAGCCTGGAAATATGGGGAAAAAAAGTTAAGTATGTAACAAATGCATAAAATGTATATAGATAACTAGTCTATTTTATCATTTACTATAATAAAATATATATAAACATATTATAAAAAATTAAAAGTTATCAAAACATGCACACACAAAAACAGACCATACATTGTACCACTCGCAGTCAAAAGAAATGTAAAAAAATGTAAAGATGCAGTATTGAATCATGACTGCATAAAATTAACTGTAGCTACATACTGTAGCACTACTTTTCTACTACTATAAGAAGTAGTACTATAAGAAGTACTACTGCAATAACTTCTTATCCACCTTATGATGCTATTGTGGTGAGCTCAAGTTTTTAAAATATCAGCTTAAAACTCCATGTGATGGTAATGATCTTCACTTGAGCAATTTCTTCCTCTGGTAAAGTATGCATCACAGAAAAAGTAATCTCTCATGTTTCCTGTATGTTTTTCATCATGTTTAGTGCAATATCCTAAACCTTGAATAACACCATGAAATGTACACGAAGTGCTACTAGTGATTCTGGAAGTGCTCCCAAGATGTAGAGAAGAGTCATGACATTCCAAGAAAAAGTTGAATTGCCTGATATGAACCATAGATTGAGTCTGAAGCTGTGGTTGTCTGCCATTTCAAGATAAATTAATCCAGCATAAGGAACAGTGTAAAAAAAGAAAAGGAAATTTGTGAAGTTGTCACTGCAGGTATGCCAGCAGGCACTAAAATCTTGCATTTTTGGCAAAATACCTTTTTATCTTGTACTGAAAATTCAGCTCATATGTGGGTGAAGGACAGCTCTAAGAAAGAGATTTGAGAAAAAGTGAAGTGATTGTATGACACCTTAAAGCAAAAAAAAAAAAAGTGAATGATTTAAAGCTGAAGAATTTAATGCCTGCAAATGATGGGTGGATCATTTTAGAAAGAGGTTTGGCTTTTTCTTTAAAAAAAAAAAAAGTCATTCTGTAGGGTGGCTGTTCACTCTGATGGTGGTTTCTTTTGCTGTGCAGAAGCTCTTTAGTTTAATTAGATCCCATTTGACAATTGTGGCTTTTGTTGCCATTGCTTGGAGAAAATTTTTGCAACCTACTCATCTGACAAAGGGTTAATATCAAGAATCTACAATGAACTCAAACAAATTTACAAGAAAAAAACAAACAACCCCATCAAAAAGTGGGTGAAGGATATGAACACACACTTCTCAAAAGAAGACATTTATGCAGCCAAAAAACACATGAGAAAATGCTCATCATCACTGACCATCAGAGAAATGCAAATCAAAACCACAATGAGATACCATCTCACACCAGTTAGAAAGGCGATCATTAAAAAGTCAGGAAATAACAGGTGCTGGAGAGGATGTGGAGAAATAGGAACACTTTTACACTGTTGGTGGGACGGTAAACTGGTTCCACCATTGTGGAAGTTGGTGTGGCGATTCCTCAGGCATCTAGAACTAGAAATACCATTTGACACAGCCATCCCATTACTGGGTATATACCCAAAGGATTAGAAATCATGCTGCTATAAAGACACATGCACACGCATGTTTATTGCGGCACAATTCACAATAGCAAAGACTTGGAACCAAGCCAAATGTCCAACAATGATAGACTGGATTAAGAAAATGTGGCACATATACACCGTGGAATACTATGCAGAAATAAAAAATGATGAGTTCATGGGTGGAGCCAAGATGGCCAAATAGGAACACCTCCAGTCTACACCTCCCAGCATGAGTGACACAGAAGACGGGTGATTTCTGCATTTCCAACTGAGGTACCGGGTTCATCCCACTGGGGAGTGCTGGACAGTGGGTGCAGGACAGTAGGTGCAGTGCACCATGCATGAGCCAAAGCAGGGCAAGGCATTGCCTAACCCAGAAAGTGCAAGGGGTCAGGGAATTCCCTTTCCTAGTCAAAGAAAGGGGTGACAGACGGCACCTGGAAAATCGGGTCACTCCCACCCTAACACTGCGCTTTTCCAACGGGCTTATCAAATGGAACACCAGGAGATTATATCCTGCACCTGGCTCAGAGGGTCCTACACCCACGGAGGCTCGCTCATTGCTAGAACAGCAGTCTGAGATCAAACTGCAAGGTGGCAGCGAGGCCGGGGGATGGGCGTCCGCCATTGCCCAGGCTTGAGTAGGTAAACAAAGCAGCCAGGAAGCTCAAACTGGGTGGAGCCCACCACAGCTCAAGGAGGCCTGCCTGCCTCTGTAGGCTCTACCTCTGGGGGCAGGGCACAGACAAACAAAAGACAGCAATAACCTCTGCAGTCTTAAATGTCCCTGTCTGACAGTTTTGAAGAGAGTAGTGGTTCTCCCAGCATGCAGCTTGAGATCTGAGAACGGGCAGACTGCCTCCTCAAGTGGGTCCCTGACCCCCGAGTAGAGTAACTGGGAGGCACCCCCCAGTAGGAGTGGACTGACACCTCACACGGCCGGGTACTCCTCTGAGACAAAACTTTCAGAGGAACAATCAGGCAGCAGCATTTGTGGTTCACCAATATCCGCTGTTCTGCAGCCACTGCTGCTGATACCCAGGCAAACAGGGTCTGGAGTGGACCTCCAGTAAACTCCAACAGACCTGCAGCTGAGGGTTCTGTCTGCTAGAAGGAAAACTAACAAACAGAAAGGACATCCACCCCAAAAACCCATCTGTACGTCACCATCACCAAAGACCAAAGGTAGATAAAACCACAAAGATGGGGAAAAAACAGAGCAGAAAAACCGGAAACTCTAAAATTCAGAATACCTCTCCTCCTCCAAAGGAACTCAGCTCCCCACCAGCAATGGAACAAAGCTGGACGGAGAATGACTTTGACGAGTTGAGAGAGGAAGGCTTCAGAAGATCAAACTACTCTGAGTTAAAGGAGGAAGTTCGAACCAATGGCGAAGAAGTTAAAAACTTTGAAAAAAAAATTAGACGAATGGATAACTAGAATAACCAATGCAGAGAAGTCCTTAAAGGACCTGATGGAGCTGAAAACCACGGCACGAGAACTATGTGACAAATGCACAAGCCTCAGTAAGCGATGCGATCAACTGGAAGAAAGGGTATCAGCAATGGAAGATGAAATGAATGAAATGAAGCATGAAGGGTAGTTTAGAGCAAAAAGAATACAAAGAAATGAACAAAGCCTCAAAGAAATATGGGACTATGTGAAAAGACCAAATGTACATCTAATTAGTGTACCTGAAAGTGACGGGGAGAATGGAACCAAGTTGGAAACACTCTGCAGGATATTATCCAGGAGAACTTCCCCAATCTAGCAACGCAGGCCAACATTCAAATTCAGGAAATACAGAGAATGCCACAAAGATACTCCCCAAGAAGAGCAACTCCAAGACACATAATTGTCAGATTCACTAAAGTTGAAATGAAGGAAAAAATGTTAAGGGCAGCCAGAGAGAAAGGTCAGGTTACCCACAAAGGGAAGACCATCAGACTAACAGCTGATCTCTCAGCAGAAACTCTACAAGCCAGAATAGAGTGGGGGCCAATATTCAAGATTCTTAAAGCAAAGAATTTTCAATCCAGAATTTCATATCCAGCCAAACTAAGCTTCATAAGTGAAGGAGAAAGAAAACCCTTTACAGAGAAACAAATGCTGAGAGATTTTGTCACCACCAGGCCCGCCCTAAAAGAGCTCCTGAAGGAAGCACTAAACATGGAAAGGAACAACTGGTACCAGCTACTGCAAAAACATGCCAAATTGTAAAGACCATCAAGGCTAGGAAGAAACTGCATCAACTAACGAGCAAAATAGCCAGCTAACATCGTAATGACAGCATCAAATTCACACATAACAATACTAACCTTAAATGTAAATGGGCTAAATGCTCCAATTAAAAGGCACAGGCTGGCAAATTGGATAGAGTCAAGACCCATCAGTGTGCTGTATTCAGGAAACCCATCTCACGTGCAGAGACACACATAGGCTCAAAATAAAGGGATGCAGGAAGATCTACCAAGCAAATGGAAAACAAAAAAAGGCAGGGGTTGCAATCCAAGTCTCTCATAAAACAGACTTTCAACCAACAAAGATCAAAAGAGACAAAGAAGGCCATTACATAATGGGAAAGGGATCAGTTCAACAAGAAGAACTAACCATCCTAAATATATATGCACCCAATACAGGAGCACCCAGATTCATAAAGCAAGTCCTTAGTGACCTACAAAGTGACTTAGGTTCCCACACAATAATAATGGGAGACTTTAACACCCCACTGTCAACATTAGACAGATCACCGAGACAGAAAGTTAACAAGGATATCCAGGAATTGAACTCAGCTCTGCACCAAGCAGACCTAATAGACATGTACAGAAATCTCCACCCCAAATCAACAGAATATACATTTTTTTCAGCACCACACCACACCTATTCCAAAACTGACCACACAGTTGGAAGTAAAGCACTCCTCAGCAAATGTAAAAGAACAGAAATTATAACAAACTGTCTCTCAGACCACAGGGCAATGAAACTCGAAGCTCACTCAAAACCACTCAACTACATGGAAACTGAACATCCTGCTCCTGAATGACTACAGGGTAGAACTAGAAAAGCAAGAGCAAACACATTCAAAAGCTAGGAGAAGGCAAGAAATAACTAAGATCAGAGCAGAAACGAAGGAAATAGAGACACAAAAAACCCTTCAAAAAATCAATGAATCCAGGAGCTGGTTTTTTGAAAAGATCAACAAAATTGTTAGACCGCTATCAAGACTGATAAAGAAGAAAAGAGACAAGAATCAAATAGGCACAATAAAAAATGACAAAGGGGATATCACCACCAATCCCACAGAAATGCAACTACCATCAGAGAATACTATAAACACCTCTACACAAATAAACTGGAAAATCTAGAAGAAATGGAGAAATTCCTCGACACATACATTCTCCCAAGACTAAACGAGGAAGAAGTTGAATCTCTGAATAGACCAATAACAGGAGCTGAAATTGAGGCAATAATTAATAGCTTACCAACCAAAAAAAGTTCAGGACCAGACGGACTCACAGCCGAATTCTACCAGAGGTACAAGGAGGACCTAGTACCTTTCCTTCTGAAACTATTCCAATCAATAGAAAAAGAGGGAATCCTCCCTAACTCATTTTATGAGGCCAGCATCATCCTGATACCAAAGCCTGGCAGAGACACAACAAAAAATGAGAATTTTAGACCAATATCCTTGATCAACATTGATGCAAAAATCCTCAGTAAAATACTGGCAAACCGAATCCAGCAGCACATCAAAAAGCTTATCCACCATGATCAAGTGGGCTTCATCCCTGGGATGCAAGGCTGGTTCAACATATGAAAATCAATAAGCATAATCCAGCATGTAAACAAAACCAAAGATAAAAACCACATGATTATCTCAATAGATGCAGAAAAGGCCTTTGACAAAACTCAACAACGTTTCATGCTAAAAACTCTCAATAAATTAGGTATTGATGGGACTTATCTCAAAATAATAAGAGCTATCTATGACAAGCCCACAGCCAATATCTTACTGAATGGGCAAAAACTGGAAGCATTCCCTTTGAAAACTGGCACAAGACAGGGATGCCCTCTCTCACCATTCCTATTCAACATAGTGTTGGAAGTTCTGGCCAGGGCAATCAAGCAGGAGAAAGAAATAAAAGGCATTCAATGAGGAAAAGAGGAAGTCAAATTGTCCCTGTTTGCAGATGACATAATTGTATATCTAGAAAACCCCATCGTCTCAGCCCAAAATCTCCTTAAGCTGATAAGCAACTTCAGTAAAGTGTCAGGATACAAAATCAATGTGCAAAAATCACAAGCAATCTTATACATCAATAACAGACAAACAGAGAGCCAAATCATGAGTGAACTCCCATTCACAATTGCTTCAAAGAGAATAAAATACCTAGGAATCCAACTTATAAGGGATGTGAAGGACCTCGTCAAGGAGAACTACAGACCACTGCTCAACAAAATAAAAGAGGACACAAACAAATGGAAGAACATTCCATGCTAATTCATAGGAAGAATCAATATCATGAAAATGGCCATACTGCCCAAGGTAATTTATAGATTCAATGCCATCCTTATGAAGCTACCAATGACTTTCTTCACAGAATTGGAAAAAACTACTTTAAAGTTCACATGGAACCAAAAAAGAGCCCGCATTGCCAAGACAATCCTGAGCCAAAAGAACAAAGCTGGAGGCATCACGCTACCTGACTTCAAACTATACTACAAGGCTACAGTAACCAAAACAGCATGGTACTGGTACCAAAACAGAGATATAGATCAATGGAACAGAACAGAGCCCTCAGAAATAATGCCGCATATCTACAACTCTCTGATCTTTGACAAACCTAACAAAAACAAGCAATGGGGAAAGGATTCCCTATTTAATAAATGGTGCTGGGAGAACTGGCTAGCCATATGTAGAAAGCTGAAACTGGATCCCTTCCTTACACCTTATACAAAAATCAATTCAAGTTGGATTAAAGACTTACATGTTAGACCTAAAATCATAAAAACTCTGGAAGAAATCCTAGGCAATACCATTCAGGACATAGGCATGGGCAAAGACTTCATGTCTAAAACACCAAAAGCAATGGCAAGAAAAGCCAAAATTGACAAATGGGATCTAATTAAACTAAAGAGCTTCTGCACAGCAAAAGAAACTACTATCGGAGTGAACAGGCAACCTACAAAATGGGAGAAAATTTTTGCAACCTACTCATCTGACAAAGGGCTAATATCCAGAATCTACAATGAACTCAAGCAAATTTACAAGAAAAAAACAGACAACCCCATCAAAAAGTGGGTGAAGGATATGAACACACACTTCTTAAAAGAAGACATTTATGCAGCCAAAAAACACATGAGAAAATGCTCATCATCACTGGCCATCAGAGAAATGCAAATCAAAACCACAATGAGATACCATCTCACACCAGTTAGAATGGCAATCATTAAAAAGTCAGGAAACAACAGGTGCTGGAGAGGATGTGGAGAAATAGGAACACTTTTACACTGTTGGTGGGACGGTAAACTGGTTCAACCATTGTGGAAGTCAGTGTGGCTATTCCTCAGGGATCTAGAACTAGAAATACCATTTGACCCAGCCATCCCATTACTGGGTATATACCCAAAGGATTATAAATCATGCTGCTATACAGACACATGCACATGTATGTTTATTGTGGTGCTATTCACAATAGCAAAGACTTGGAACAACCCAAATGTCCAACAATGATAGACTGGATTAAGAAAATGTGGCACATATACACTATGGAATACTATGCAGCCATAAAAAATGATGAGTTCATGTCCTTTGTAGGAACATGGATGAAGCTGGAAACCATCATTCTCAGCAAACTATCGCAAGGACAAAATAACAAACACTGCATGTTCTCACTCATAGGTGGGAATTGAATAATGAGAACACATGGACACAGGAAGGGGAACATCACACACCAGGGACTGTTGTGGGTGGGGGGAGGGGACAGGGATAGCATTAGGAGATATACCTAATGCTAAATGACGAGTTAATGGGTGCAGCACACCAACATGACACATGTATACATACATATGTAACAAACCTGCACGTTGTGCACATGTATCCTAAAACTTAAAGTATAATAAAAAAAAAAGGAATGCAAAATCGTGCAGCTGCTATGGAAAATAGCATAGCGATCCCTCAGAAAATTAAAAATAGAATTACCATTAAAAAAAACATAAAACTACCGTAAGATCCGGCAGTTACACTCTGAGTATATATCCGAATGAAATAGAATCAGTATGTCATAAAGATATCTGCATTCCCACATTTATTGCAGCATTATTCTCAACAGCCAAGATGTAGAAACAACCTAAATGTCCATTGACAGTTGAATGAATAAAGACAATGGAGGTAATACACACACACACACACACACACACACACGTGCACACACACATTGGAATATTATTCCACCAAAAAAAGAAGGAAATTCTGCCAATTGTAATAACATGAATCAACCTGGAGGACATTATGTTAAGTGAAGTAAGTCAGAGACAAAAAAGCAAATATATATGATATCCCCTTATATGTGGAATCTAAAGAAGTTGAACTCATGGAAGCTAAGAGTAGAATGGTGGTTGCCAGGTACTGGGGGGTAGAGGAAATTGGGAGATGTTAGCAAAGGGCACAATATTTCTGTTATAAGGTGAATAAGTCCTGGAAATCTATTAATAATATACAGCATGGTAACTATAATTAATAATACTGTATTGTATCATTGAAATCTAATAAGAGAGTAGATCCTAAATGCTCGCACTACACGCAAAAAGTGGTAACAGCTGTGCACAGAGGCATACACCTGTAGTCCTGGCTACTTAGGAGGCTGAGGTTGTGGGGGTTACTTAAGTTCAGAGTCTGTGAACAGCCTGGGCAACATAGCAAGACCCTCTCTAAAAAATAAAAATTTAAAAAGTGGTACACAGACATAAAGATGGAAACAATAGACACTGGAGTCTCCAAAAGTGGGGAGGGAGGGAAGGGACAAGGGTTGTAAAACTAACTATTAAGTACTATGTTCACTATTTGGGGGACGGGTTCAACAGAAGTCCAAACCCCAGCATTACATAATATATCTGTTTAACAAACTTGCACATGTACCACTGAAACTAATTTTTTTAAAAAAACTGGTAACTATGTGAGGTGATGGTTGTGTTGATTAATCTGATTGTGTTAATCATTTCACAATGTGTACATATATCAAATTATCATGTTGTATAGCTTAAATATATACAAGTTTTATTTATCAATTATAACTTAATACAGCTGGGGAGGGGGAAAAGCATAAAAACTCAAACAGGTTGTTAAAGTCCTTGGGAAGACTGGTCCTGCCCCTTTAGGGGAAACCAATGAAGAGTTGCATATTATTTAGGTTACCTAGGACCTGGTCAGGTGTGTGTGTGTGTGTGTGTGTGTGTGTGTGTGTGTGTGTGTGTGTGTGTGTGTGTCTGTGGGCACGTAAGAGAGAGAGAGTTGTGATAGACCATCCTTTTCTCCCATCTGCTCTTTTTATACATTTCCCATTCTACCTAAGAGAGATCAAAACCTGCCCACATGGAAAAGGTCATGGACAAGAAAACTGAGAGTCCAAAATTATGTAATTATTGGGAAACCAGCAATGATTCAAGGACATGTAAGTAAAATACCTAACCTGATTGTGAGGGTAACATCAGGATAAATGTGCACATCACACAAAGAAGTGTGAGATAAATAAATGTTTTGAATATCTCATTGTAAGCATTTTATATCTGATATAGTTTAGATATTTGTCCCCTCAAAATCTCAGGCAGAAATGTAATTCTCAATGTTGGAGTTGTGGCCTAATGCGGGGTGTTTGGATCATAGTGGTGGATCCCTCATGAAAAACTTTGTGTCATTCTTGCAGTAATGAGTTCTCACTCTTATTTTTCGCAAGAGCTGATTGTTGAAAAGAGCTTGGCACCTCTCTCCCCTCTCTCTTCCTTCCTCTTTTGCCATGTGATGCCTGCTCCCCTTCACCTTCTACCTTCAGTAGAAGCAGATGTTGGTGCCATGCTTCTTGTACAGCCTGAGGAACTGTGAGCCAAGTAAATCTGTTTTATCAATTACCCAGCCTCAGGTATTCCTTTATAGTAACACAAATGGACTAAGATAACATCCAATTAAATGTGTGTGACATATAGACTGAACATGGATTATACCTTAGAATGTGGACTAGCTGAATATGTGGTTTGCATCCTATTAAGTGTATTTTGATCTGAGAAGTGGTTATGACATCCAATGAAGGGTTTAACCTTAGAATGGGTATATTCCATTTCATTGTGTGAGCAACATGTCAAATAGTTTGCATATGTATTATCTGAATGTGACCTTTTAAATGTGTGGATAATATTTGAATGTGTAGATTAAAACTAATTGTGTCCTCTGCATGAACGTATAAGACTACTCAATGAGGGGTTCACAACTGAATGACTGTAATGACAAAAAACATTATAACTTCTCAATGAGTGTTTGGCATCTAAGAGAGTGTGTATTGCATTTTGTTGAGTATATTTGATATCATGATGAATGTGTGATTGTCAAAGTTGACATCTGCATGTGTAATATCTGAATTTTTTAATATCCCAATTAAAACATTCAATTAAACATTGAATGGGTGTTTGTGGCATCCATGTAAGCAAGCTATTCATCTAAACTTTGTATTAAACACCTGAATTAGGGTATGTGTTATAATATGTGAGTAATGTCCAAAAGAGTGTAAGTAACAGTTGTATACCTATGACAGCTAAGATACTATGTATGATATGTGGAGGACTGTGTGCTACATCTGAAAAAAATATATGTAAAATACCTGAGTGTGTGTTTGACATCTGAATTAGGAAATGGGTTATAAATGAGTGCCACAAAAGAATAAGTGAGTGTAACATCTGAGTGTATATTCTAACTGAATATGTGAAAAACATTTATTTGACTCCTTTAAAAATATTTATTGCATACCTATTGTGTGACAAGCAAAGTAAAGATGCTGGGAGTACAGCAATGGGCAAGAGAGACAAGGTCAGCTTTGAATGAGTTCATGTGACATCTGAATGTGATGTCTTAAGGAATAATTGTAGCCACAGGGAAAATGTCTTTAATTCAATAGAATTAGTGAGTTTTTAAGATAAATATTTCATTTTTTGAATGGTTTAAGATTTTTTTAACTTGAAGTACAGAGTTTTTTGTACCCTATTTCTGATTAACATTAACATCTTATATAACTATGGCACATTTGTCAAAACTAAAAACATTAACGTTGGCACATTACTATTAACTAAATGGCAGATTTTATTCAGATTTCACTAGTTTTTTTCTACTAATGTTCTTTTACTATTCAAGTATCCAATCTGGGATACCACATTGCAATTATTCATCATTTCTCTTTTGTCTTCTGGAATCAGCCATTGTAAACATTAGTTCTGGTTCATGTTATTGGATAATGGTATTTAGAAGTCAAGATCGGGGCATGGAGTGTGCACATTATTACCATGGCACTCCTGCTTCTCTGTTCTCTCAGTGGAAAGAGCTAAGTAATATATGTATGTGTACTGATCTATGTACACCCCCTCAGTTCATATTGATACCTCTCACTCTAATATCACAGAGTTTTATTCCGACCTTTTGTTTTTGCTTATTTATAACTTCTTTGAAACATTGAAAGACCTGGGTATAAGTGGTAATGTAGTTTCAGAAATGCTAATCTGTACCCCTGTGATAAATTAACAACTAGAGTACAATGTTTATGTATATTTGTCAGGTTTTTGTTTTAGCCATCCTAATACATGTGCAGTGGTATTTAATAGTTTTAAATTTCCTTTCAATCATGGAAAATGATGTTGAACATTTTTTGTACTTGCTTATTTACGATTCATGTATCTTTTTTAGTGCAGTGCCTATTCAAATCTTTGCTACTATTATTTTTAGTAGTTTTGTCTTTTAATCTTCATACTAAAGATATAAGTGATTTAAACACAACTCTTTTAGTATTAGTGTATTTTGAATTTTACTGTGTGCTTACTATTACCAGTGAATTTTATGCCTTCAGATTCTTTGTGTTAAGAATTAACATTTTTTTTTCTTTCAGCTTGAAAAACTCCCTTTAGCATTTCTTGTAAGACAGGTCTGGTGGTGATGAATTCCCTTAGCTTTTGTTTGTCTGGGGAAGTCATGGCTCTCCTTCATTTCTGGAGGATAGGTTTCTTGGGTACAATATTCTTTATTGGCCGTTTTTTTCCTTCAATATATTGAATGTATCATCTCACTGTCTCTTGGCCTGTAAGGTCTTCATAAAGAGATCCACTGCTAGCCTTATTGAAACTCACTTATGTGTGATTTGCTTCTTTTGGTGCTTTCAGGATCCTTTCTTTGTCCTTGATTTTTAACAACTTGATTATAATATGTCATGGTGTAGTCTTGTTTGAACTGAATCTGATTGGAGACTTTTGACATTCTTGTACCTGGATATTTATATCCTTTTCCAATTTTGAAAAATTTTCTGCTATTATTTCTTTAACTAAGCTTTCTACTCCTGTCTTTTTCTTCCATTTCATAAATTCTGTTGGCTTTCTTGATTCCTTTTTATTCTTTTTTCTTTTTTCTTCTCTGACTATATGTTATCAAATAACTTGTCTTCAAGTTCAGATTCTTTTTTCTGCTTGATCAGTTTTAATTTAATTCATTATATTTTTCAGCTCTAGAATTTCTGATTGATTTTTAAAATAATTTCAATCTGTCTCTAGAATTTCTCATTTTGTTCATTCATTGTTTTCCTGACTTAAATGCTTTATTTATCTGTATTTTCTTGAAGTTAGATGAGCTTCCTTAGTACAATTATTTTGAATTATTCATCTGGGAGTTTGCATATCCTGATTTCTTTAGGGTCAGCTACTGGGTGCTTACTGTGTTCTTTTGGTGGTGTTTTGTCCTTTAGTTGTTCTTATTTCTTATTGCCTTACCTTGATGTCTGCACATTTGAAGAAATAGGGATTTATTTTAGTCTTTGCAGAACTGGCTTTGTCTGGGAAAGCTCTTCACATCCAGAGATTATGGGCAGGCCATCTTGTGTCGAGTGAGGGTATGCTTGCTGCAGGAGTCCTTGGGCAGGTTGGCCTGGTGCCTGGATCAGCAGGTAGGCTGACCTGGTGTCTGGGTCCACAGGGGATCTGCTGACACTGGAGTGGCCCTGGTACCTGGGAACTCTGAGACAGGCCTGGAGCCTGAGTCCTTGGGAGCTTGCATAGCACTGGAGCAGACCTGGAGCTTGAGTTCAAGGAGGTAGGTCTGGATTTTGAGTCCACAGGGTCTGGTCTGAAGCCTGGGTCTGTAAGGGTGGTCATTGAGCCTCAGTTCATGGCATCTGGCCTGGTACCAGGGTCTGCCAGGGTGGGCCTGGCCCCTGAGTCTTGTGGGGCATACCTGGAACCTGAGTGCTCTGGAGCCAGAGGCTATGGAGTCTGGCCTTAAGCCTGAGACCTGCCTGGTGCTGGGTCTGAGATGGAACCTAGGTCCACAAGGGCTGCTCTGGGGCCTGGGATTGTAGGCACTGTCTGTTGCCTGGAGCCATGGGGACTGACCTGGAGCCTGAGGCCATAGAGACTGGCCTGTAGCCTGTGTCTGTTGGTGCTGGCTTAGAAGTTTTCTGTAAAGACTGGCATAGGTCATGGGTCCTTGGAGGCTGGCCTAGGACCTGGATACATAAGGGCATTCCTAGAGCCTGAGTCCATGGAGACCCATACAGTGCTAGGATCTACTGGGACAGACCTAGACCTTGCATCTTCTGGTCCTGGCCTGGACACTGGATCTGCTGGAATGTGAACCCACATAAGCTGGTCTAAAGGGTGGGGCTACAGGAGCCAGTCTGGTACTAGGCTGACCTGAAGCCTGTGTCTGCAGGTACCTGCCTGGTGGTTGAGGCCAGAGTTGCCAACATGTTGCCATGGTAGGCCTGAAGTCGGGGGCTGGCTTGGTGCTGTGCGGACCTGGATCCTGTATCTGCAAGAGCCAGCCAAGGTTCTGGGTCCATGGGTGCTGGCCTGTGCTAGAGTGGGCTTGAAACCCCTGGTGCTTGGCTGGGCCCAAAGCCTAGGGCCTACCTGTTGCTGGGACTAGTCTAGAGCATGGAATAGCTGGAGTTGGCCTGGCACTGAGTTCAGTCCAGAAACCACTTCTGCCAGGAAGGCCTGAAGCCTGTGGCTACAAGTTCCTGCCTGGCAATGGGAAGGGCTTGCAGGTTCAGTCCATGGTACCTGCCTGATGACTAGTGCTGTGGGGTTGGCCTAGTGCTAGGGCAGGCCTAAAGCCTGTGGCTGTGAGGGTCATCTGGGTACTGGAGGTGATCCAGAACCTGGGGCCACTTGGTTCAGCCTGGAGGTAGGGCAGCCAGGGACCTGAGGCCACTGGGGCTGGTCTGGTGCTGAGGGAAGTCTGGAGCCTGGGGCTGCTGAGGTTGGCCTGGTGGTGGGCTGTCCTGGAGACTGAGTCTACTGGGTAGGCTAAGAACCTGGGGCCATGGGATATAGCCCTGTGTCAGAAAGGGCCTGAAGCCTCAGTCTGAGAGTACCAGCTTGAAGTCTGGGTCTGTGGGGACCTGCTTGACATTGGGTTTTACTGTAGCAGGCCCAGTTTTGGGATTCAGACAAAACTGTGTACTCAGTTCCTTCTCTTTCCCCCACATGAAGGTTGTTTCTCCATGCTGTGCTGTCTGCAGTTGGGGAAGGGGTAATGTAAAATTATTTTTCCTACCCTCTTCAATGCATCTTTTCTTATTTCAGCGCTATATCCAGGTGCTATAATCTCTCACCTTGTTTCCTTAGCTCTTATGAAGGTATTTTCATGCATGGATAGTTGTTCAAATTGATGTTTCTGAAAGGGGTCAAGCATTGTTGAGTCCTATTCTGCCATCTTGCTGATGTCCATCTCCTGTTTTCCCTATTTTTTAATTGGGTTGTTTGATTTCTTATTATTGAGTTTTTGATGTTCTTTATATATTTTTGATATAAGTAATTTATTGGATATATCACTTGTAAATATTTCTTCCCAATGTGTGCCTTATCTTTTCATTCTCTTAAAGTGTCTTTTACACATCAGGTTTTAAAATTTTCAACAAAGTTCAATCTATTCTTTTTTTATTTCATGGACCTTGATATTAGTATCATATCTGAAATTTCATTGCTAATGTCTAAGTTAAGCATATCTACTGTTATATTTTCTTCTAAAATTTTTATAGTTTTATAACTTATAATGAGTTCTATGATCAATTATGAGTTAATTTTTGCATAAGGTGTTAATTTTATTTTTTGTTATGTATGAGTGTTCAATTGTCCAGTTGTTCCAGTACAATTTGTTGAAAAAATTATCTTTGTTTTTTCATTAAATTTGTTTAAAACTTGTCAACATTAGTCAATGTTATATATTAGGGTCTATTTCTGGGCTCTCTATTCTGTTCCTTTGATCTATGTGTCTATGCCAGTAAAAAACTGGCTTGATTACTGTAGCCTTATAAAAAGTCTTAGGATCAGGTAATGTGAGTCCTCCAACTTTGTTAATCTTTTTCAAAGATATTTTTTGCTAGTTCCTTATGTTCCTTTTTCCTTTCCATATACATTATAGAATAAAGTTTTCAATGTCTATAAAATTGCTTTCTTGAATTTTGATTGAGATTACATTACATCTATAGATAAAGTTGGGGAGAATTTACATTTTAAAAATGGTGAGTCTTCAAATTAGTCAACATAGTATGTCTCATTCATTTATATCTTCTTTTATTTCTCTCATCATTGTTTTATACTTTCTGCATACAGATTTTGCATATATTTTATTATATTTATATTTAAGTCCTTCATTATTTGGTGCTATTGTAAATAGGGTTGATTTTAAATTTCAGATTCCAATTGTTTATTGATAGTATATAGGATCACAATTGACTTTTGTAGGTTAATCTGGTATTTTGGATCTTTGCTAAACTTATAAATTTCAGCAGCACTTTTTGTAGACATTGGTATTTTCACATTAAAAAAATTAGTTTATCAGAGAACAAATATAATTTTATTTATTTCCACATTGCCTGTCTTTTATTTCTTTTTCATGACTCATATCATTAGCTAGGAATTCCAGCACAAAGTTGAACAGGAGTTGTTAGTGAGGCCATCCTTGTCTTACTATAAATCATACAAGGAAAATGTTGTGTCTCACCATTAATATATCACCTGTAGATTTTGCATAGATTGCCTTTATCAGATTGAGGAAGTTATCTTCCATTTCTAGTTTACAAAGAATTTTTATAATGAATGGGTATCAAATTTTCTCAAAAGATTTTCTTCCGCATCTACTGATGTGATTATATGATTTTAAAAATTTAGTCATTAGTATGGTGAATTACATTGATTTTTTTTACTATTTAATCCACTTGGATTACTGGGACAAACCTGCTTATGATGATATTTTATCCTTTTTTATATATTGATGAATTCTTTTTGCTAATATTTTGTTAAGGATTTTTATGACTGTATTTATGAGAGATATTGATCTACAGTTTACTTATAATGTTTTTGTATGGCTTTAATATTAGGCTAATGCTGGCCTCATAAAATATGTTGAGAGGTGTTCTCTCCTTTTCTGTTTTCTGGGAGAAAATGTGGAGAATTGATGTTGTTTCTTTTTTCAAGTTTTGGTAAAACTCACCAGTGAAACCATCTGGGCCTGAAATAGGTTTTTTTGGAAGATTTTTAATTTTGTTTGTTTGCTTTTACTATAAATTCAATTTAATAGGTCCAGGGATGTTCAGATTATCTCTTTCTCTTCTTTAGTACGTTTTGGTAGTAAGTGTTTTTTTTTCCCTGAGGAATTGGTTTAATTTGCCAAAATTTTAAAATTGAATGGCACAAACTTGTTCATTGTTTTTCCTTATCATCTGTTTAACAGCTGTGTGATCAGTAATCATTCCCTTACTTTTATTCCTGATATTGGTAATAAGTGTTTTCTCTCTCTCATTCTCTTTGGCTAGAGGTTTATCAACTTTATTAATCTTTTCACTAACCAACTTTTGCTTTCATTGATTTTCTTTGTTTTCCCATTTGCAATTTCATTGATTTCTGCTCTATTTTTTATTATTTTATCCCTTCTGTTTAAGTTAAATTTTCTCTTCTTTCTGTACTAGGGTGGGATCTTAATAAACAGATTTTAGGTATATTTTTTCTTTTCCAATGTATACCTTCAGTGCTACACATTTTCTCTTCTTTTAAAGGCAACAGTCAAATTGAATTGGAGCCCACTTTAATTGAGTATGACCTCATATTAACATGATTGCATCCACAAAGACTCTATTTGCAAATAAGGTCACATCTATCCATAGGTACTAGGGGTAAGAACATCAGATATCTTTTGGAGGGACACAGTTCAATCCATAACACATTTTGTGACGAGAATTTACTCGAACTCTTAATCTTGTTTCTTTATAGGTAAGTTGTTCATTTTCTCTGGTTGCCTTCAAGATTTTCCCTTTGTCTTTGTTTTTCAGGAGTTATATTTTGATATGCCTAGTGGTGTGTGAGTGTGTGTTTTTATTTGGTTTTTATTTATTTGGTTTTATTTTATTTTTATTTTACTCTGTCTGGTGTTCTCTGAGCTTCTTGGATCTTTGGTTTCATGTCTATCACTAATACTGGAAAAAAACACCCACTGTTTTTTCAAATATTTTCTCTGTCTTATTTTTATTTCTGTGATTCCAATTACTTATGTGTTACATCATTTGCTATTACCCCACATCTCTTAGATTTTCTGTTCTGCTTTTTACACTCTTTGTGTAACTTCCATAGTTCTATTTTCAAGTTCACTAATTTATCCCTTTGCTCTGTAAATCAGTGATGATCCTCTAAAAGACATTTTTCATATTTGTTATCATATTTCTTATTTCTACTATTTTTCTTGGTTTCACATTTATGGTTTCAATTTCTTTACTGAAATCACCTATCTACTACTCTTGCATGTGGTCTACCTTTTCTATTAGAGGTTTTAACATATTAATCATAGTTATTTTAAATTCCCCGTATGATAGTTCCAACATATGTATCATTGCTGAGTTTGGTTCTGATTACTTGTTTGTCTCATCAGACTGTGTTTTTTTTTTCTGTTTTTTTATTTTTCTTTTTTTTCTTTTTTTTTCTTTTTTTATTTTATTATTATACTTTAAGTTTTAGGGTACATGTGCACATTGTGCAGGTTAGTTACATATGTATACATGTGCCATGCTGTTGCGCTGCACCCACTAACTCGTCATCTAGCATTAGGTATATCGCCCAGTGCTATCCCTCCCCCCTCCCCCCACCCCACAACAGTCCCCAGAGTGTGATGTTCCCCTTCCTGTGTCCATGTGATCTCATTGTTCAATTCCCACCTATGAGTGAGAATATGCAGTGTTTGGTTTTTTGTTCTTGCGACAGTTTACTGAGAATGATGATTTCCAATTTCATCCACGTCCCTACAAAGGGCATGAACTCATCATTTTTTATGGCTGCATAGTATTCCATGGTGTATATGTGCCACATTTAATAACGCTGCATAACTACAACTATCTGATCTTGACAAACCTGAGAAAAACAAGCAATGGGGAAAGGATTCCCTATTTAATAAATGGTGCTGGGAGAACTGGCTAGCCATATGTAGAAAGCTGAAACTGGATCCCTTCCTTACATCTTATACAAAAATCAATTCAAGATGGATTAAAGACTTAAACGTTAGACCTAAAACCATAAAAACCCTAGAAGAAAACCTAGGCATTACCATTCAGGACATAGGCATGGGCAAGGACTTCATGTCTAAAACACCAAAAGCAATGGCAACAAAAGCCAAAATTGACAAATGGGATCTAATTAAACTAAAGAGCTTCTGCACAGCAAAAGAAACTACCATCAGAGTGAACAGGCAACCTACAAAATGGGAGAAAATTTTCACAACCTACTCATCTGACAAAGGGCTAATATCCAGAATCTACAATGAACTCCATCAAATTTACAAGAAAAAAACAAACAACCCCATCAAAAAGTGGGCGAAGGATATGACTTTTCTTTCTTTCTTTTTTTACTGTGGAGATAGAGACATAATGTTCTTATTATGTCTTAGTCTTTGGAGTACACAGCGGGCCTGTCTCTCAGGGTGTGGCCCTTACAGGCTTTTCTATCACTCCTGGATGGCTAGAGCTTTCACCATCCTCACTCAATTCCCTGAGCTGCCGTGGATATCAGCCAATATTCTGTGTCTTCAACTTGAGGACCTTCCTTCTGCAGATTAAGACTTTTTTGTTATTTTTTGACGTAGGTGAGGTTGTGGATGGGATCTGAGCATTTCTCCAGCTGCAGTGGTATTTCACTAGTGCCCCCAGTGATATTCTGCACCCTGCTAATTAGGAATTTTTTTCTATAAGGTAAAAGCGTCTGAGAAGATATCCCAGTGGCTTGATGTTCCGTTGCCCCAGTCATCACTATGGGAGAGGGAGGTAATTTTTCTAGGTTCTTCTTTATTCTCACTTTGAGAGCCTGGTGGAGTTCCTTTAAAAGCCTGCATAAGAGTGGTGTCCCCCTCTATGAGTGTGGCCTCCAGGAATTCACACTTTCTAGCTATATTTGTAGGCTATATTTGGTCTCCAACACTTTACTAAAATTTCTATTTTAATCTTCATACCAGCTTACATGAAATTCAACACCTTCTTCCCTAGGTAATAAGATGCTCAAGGCATTGTGTGTCTGTCTCAAAATTTCAGGAAGGCTGTTATTTTTGTGAACCCAGATCCATGTTGGAATCAGATAACAAAATTAATATACTGTCTGTCCAGCTGTTTTTTTATTGTGAGTATAAGTCTTACCTCTTTCTATCTCCTTCCATGTTTGAGCTGAAAATTGAAGTCCAGTCTTCATTTGTGTGTGTACGCATGGGGTATACTTTTATTTGTGGAGGATTTCACAGCCAACTTTTTTTTTAGCATAGTACCCAATAGGTAGTTTTTTGATCCTCAACCTCCTCCCACCATTCACCCTCAAGTAGGCCCCAGCATGTATTGTTTCCTTCTTTGTTTCCGTGTGTACTCAATGTTTAGCTCCCACTTATGAGTGAGAATGTATGATATTTTATTCCCTGTTCTTGCATTAATTCACCTAGGATAATGGCCTCCAGCTGCATCCATGCTGCTACAAAGGACATGATTTCACTTTTTTATGACTGTGTAGCATTCCATCATATACATGTACCACATTTTGTTTATCCAGTCCACCTTTGATGGGCTTTACGTTGCTTCCATATCTTTGCTACTGTGAATAGTGCTGCAATGAACATACACATGCATGTGTCTTTATGGTAGAACAATTTATATTCTTTTGGATATATAGCCAGTAATGGAATTGCTGGGTTGAATGGTAGTTCTAAGTTATTTGAGAAATCTCCAAACTGCTTTCCTCAGTGGCTAAGCTAATTTACATACCCACCAACAGTGTATAAGCATTCCTTTTTTTCTGAAGCTTGGCCAGCATCAGTAGTTTTTGGACTTTTAAATAGTAACCATTGTGCCTGGTATGAGATAGTATCTCATTGTGATTTCGATTTGCATTTCTCTAATTATTAGTGCTGTGGAGCATTTTTTCATATGTTTTTTGGCCGTGTGTTTGTCTTCTTTTGAGAAGTATCTGTTCATGTCCTTTGCCTATTTTATAATGGGGTTGTTTTTACTTGCTAATTTTTTTAAGTTACATATAGATTCTGTATATTGAACATTATAGTCAGATGCATAGATTGCATATATTTTCTACCATTCTGTAGGTTGTCTGTTAACTCTGTTGATAGTTTCCTTTGCTGTGTGAAAGCTCTTTAATTAGGTCCCACTTGTCAATTTTTTGTTTATATAGCATTGTTTTTGGAGTCTTCATTATGAAATCTTTGCCAGAGCCTATGTTCAGAATGGTATTTCCTAGGTTTTTTTTCCAGGGTTATTATAATTTTCGGTTTTACATGGAAGTCTTTAATCCATGTTGACTTGATTTTTGTATATGGTGAAAGGTTGGAGTTTAGTTTCAATCATCTGCATGTGGCTGGCCAGTTATCCCAGCACCATTTGTTGAATAGGGAGTCTTTTCCCCATTGTTCATTTTTGTCAGCTTTGTCAAAGATCAGATGGTTGTAGGTATGCAGGTGTATTTTTTCGTTCTCTGACCTATTCCATTGATCTATGTGTCTGTTTTGGACCAGAAACATGCTGTTTTGGTTACTGTAGCCTCGTAGTATAGTTTGAGGTTGGGTGGTGTGATGCCTGTAACATTGCTCTTTTTGCTTAGGACTAATTGGCTCTTTTTTGGTTCCATATGAATTTTAGAATCATTTTTTCCTAATTAAGTGCAAAATGTCATTGGCAGTTTGATAGCAATAGCACTGAACCTGCAAATTGCTTGGGGCAATATGGCAAATTTAACAATATTGAATCTTCTAATCCATAAGCATGGAATATTTCTCCATTTGTGTCATCTCTGATTTCTTTCTTCAGTGTTTTGTAATTCTCATTGTGGAGATCTTTCATCTCCATGGCTAGCTGTATTTCTATGCATTTTGTTGTTTTTATGGCTATTGTGAATGGGGTTGTGTTCTTGATTTGGTTCTCAGCTTGGATGTTGTTGGAGTATAAAAATGTTGCAGATTTTTGTACATTGATTTTGTATCTTGAAACTTTTCTGACATTGTTCATCAGATCTAGGAGCTTCTGGGCAGAGACTATTGGGTTTTCTAGGTAGAGAATTATATCATCTGTAAACAGGGACAGTTTGACTTCCTCTCTACCTATTTGGATGCCTTTTATTTCTTTCTCTTGTCTGATTGCTCTGGCTAGGACTTCTAGTACTATGTTGGCTAGAAGTGGTGAGAATGGATATCCTTGTCTTGTTCTGGTTCTTAAGAGGAATGCTTCCAGTTTTTGCCCATTCAGTATCTTGTTGGTCGTGGGTTTGTCATAGTTTTGAGATATGTTTATTTGATGCCTAGTTTATTGAGGATAATTAACATGAAGGGATGCAGAATTTTATTAAAAGCCTTTCTGGCTGGGCACGGTGGCTCACGCCTGTAATCCCAGCACTTTGGGAGGCCGAGGCGGGCGGATCACGAGGTCAGGAGATCGAGACCATCCTGGCTAACATGGTGAAACGCCGTCTCTACTAAAAAAAATACAAAAAATTAGCTGGGCGTGGTGGCAGGCGCCTGTAGTCCCAGCTACTCGGGAGGCTGAGACAGGAGAATGGCGTGAACCCGGAGGCGGAGCTTGCAGTGAGCCGAGATTGCGCCACTGCACTCCAGCCTGGGTGACAGAGCAAGACTCCATCTCAAAAAAAAAAAAAAAAAAAAAAAAGCCTTTCTGCATCCATCGAGATTATCATGCATGTGGTTTTTGTTTATGTGATGAATCACATTTATTGATTTGTGTATATTGAACCAACCTTGGATCCCAGGAATAAAATCTAGTTGATTTTGGTGGATTAGCTTTTTAATGTGCTGCCAGATTTGGTTTGCTAGTATTTTGTTGAGAGTTGCATCTATGTTCATAAGAAATATTGGCCTGAAGTTTTCTTTTTTTGTTGTGTCTCTGCCAGATTTTGGTATCAGAATGATGCTGGGCTCATAGAATGAGTTATGGAGGAGTCTCTCCTACTCGATTTTTGGGAGTAGTTTCAGAAAGATTGGTACCATCTCTTCTTCATAGGTCTGATAGAACTCAGCTGTGAATCCATCTGTCCCAGGGCTTTTTCGGGTTGGTAGGCCTTTTATTACTGACTAAATTTCAGAACTGATTATTGGCCTGTTCAGGGTTTCAATTACTTCCTCATTCAACCTTGGAGGGTTGTATATTTCCTAGAATTTATCTATTTCTTGTCGGCTTTCTAGTTTGTGTGCATAGAAATATTCATAATAGTCTCTGAGGGTTTTTTGTATTTCTCTGGGGTTAGTGGTAATGTCCACTGAGTCATTTCTGGGTGTGTTTATTTGGATCTTCTCTCCTTTTTTCTTTATTAGTCTAGCTAGTGGTCTATCAGTCTTATTTTTTTCAAAGAACAAACTTTTGCTTTTATTGATCTTTTATGTGGTTTTTTCCTGTCCCCATTTTATTCAGTTAAGATCAGATTTCGGTTATTTCTTATTTTCCGCTAGCTTTGGGGTTGGCTTGCTCTTGTTTTTCTAGTTCCTGTAGGTGTGATATGAGATTGTTAATTTGAGATCGTTCCAAATTATTGACGTGGGCATTTAGCACTAAGAAGTTCCCTCTTAATACTGCTTTAGCTGTGTCCCAGAGTTTCTGGTATGTTGTAGCTTTGTTTTCATTAATTTCAAAGAATTTCTTGATTTCTGCCTTAATTTCATTGTTTATCAAAAGTCATTCAGGAGCAGATTGTTTAATTTTCATGTTGTTATATGGTTTTGAGAGATTTTCTTAGCATTGATTTCTATTTGTATTGTGCCATGATCCGAGCATGTGGTTGCTGAAATTTCAGTTTATTTGAATTTTTTGAGAATTACTTTATGGCCAAGTGTGTGGTCAATTTTAGAGTGTGTGCCATGTGCAGATAAGAAGAATGTTGTTGGATAGAGTCTGTAGATATATGTTAGGTACATTTGATCAAGTGTTGAATTTAGGTCCCAAATATCTTTGTTAGTTTTCTGCCTCAATGATCTCTATAATACTGTCAGTGGGGTGTTGAAGTCTCCCACTATTATATTACTGTGTGGTTATTCTAGTTTCTTCATAACTCTCTAATAACTTGTTTTATGAATCTGAGTGCTCCAGTGTTGTGTGCATGTATATTTAGGATACTTAAATCTTCTTGTTGAATGAAACCATCTTTCATTATGTAATGTCCTTGTTTATTTTTTTTTAAATAATTGTTGGCTTAAAGTCTGTTTTGTCTGAAATAAGAAAGGCAACCCTTGCTTTTTTTCTTTTCCATTTTCTTAATAGATCTTTCCCTATCCCTTTACTTTGAGCCTGTGGGTATCATTGCATGTGAAATGGGTCTCTTAAAGGTACCATAGAGTTTGATCTTGCATCTTCATACAATTTGCTACTCTGTGCCTTTTAAGTGGAGTGTTTAACCCATTTACTTTCAAGGTTAATATTGATATGTGCTGATTTCATCCTGTTAATTGTGCTGTTAGCTGAATGTTCTGTAAACTTTGTGAACCCAAAGTATCTGAGACAGGTCTCAGTCAATATAGAAAGTTTATTTTGCCAAGGTTAAGAATGCAATTATGACACAGCCTCAGGAGGTCCTGATGACATGTGCCAAGTTGATTGGGGCACAGCTTGCTTGTATACATTTTAGGGGGACATAATACATCAATCTCTATATATAAGACTTACATTGGTTCAATCTAGAAGGGTGAGACAACTCGAAGCAGGGGTGTGGGTGGGAGGGGAGCAGTATTCCAGGTCAAAAGTAGATTTAAACATATTCTGATTGGTAATTGGTTAAGAGTTATTATCAGTAGAAAGAAATATCTGGGTTAAGATAAGGGGTTGTGGAGACCAAGGTTTTATCATGCAGATGAAGCTTCAGGCAGCAGGCTTCAGAGAAAATAGATTGTAAGTATTTCTGATCAGACTTAAGGTCTGTGTTGATGTTAATGCTGGAGGGGTATAATAGGCACGTCCAATACCCACTTTCCATCATGACCTGAACCAGTCTTTCAGATTAAATTTTAGAGTGCCCTAGCTAATAAGGGAGTCCATTCAGATGGTTGCAGGAGGCAGGGGTGTGGGGGAGTGGGGCGGGGGGCTTCGAATTTTATTTTTGGTTTACAACTTGATTGTGTCATTGTTTTATTAGTGTCAATGATTTATATACTAAAGCATGTTTCTGTTTTGGCTGGTAAGAGTCTTTCATTTCCATATTTAGCACTCCCTTAAAGGACCTTTTGTGAGGCAGGTCTGGTGGTAATGAATTCCCTTTGCATTTGCTTGTCTGAAAAGGATTTTATTTTATTTCTCCTACACTTATGAAGCTTAGTTTAGCTGGATATAAAATTCTTGACTGGAATTTTGTTTCTTTAAGAATGATGAATATAGGCCCCCAAGCTCTCCTGGCTTGTGGAGTTTCTGCTGAAAGTTCTGCTGTTAGTCTGACAGGGCTCCCTTTGTAGATGACCTGCCCCTTCTTTCTAGCTGCCTTTAAGATTTTTTCTTTCATGTTTATCTTGGAGAATCTGATGATTACGTGTCTTGGGGATGGTTGTCTTGTATAGTATCTTGCAGGGTTTCTCTACATTTCCTGAATTTGAATGTTGACCTCTCTAGTGAGGTTGGGGAAATTTTCATGGATAATATCCTCAGCTAAGTTTTCCAAGTTGCTTGTTCTCTTTCCCTTTCTTTCATGGACACAAATAAGTCATAGGTTTGGTCTCTTTTGCTCATTCTTTTTTATTCTTTTTGCTGTATTTTTGTCTAAGTCAATTTGAAGAACTGGTCTTTGAGCTCTGAGATTCTTCAGTTTGGTTTATTTTGTTGTTAATACTTCTGATTGTATTACAAAATTCTTGTAGTAAACTTTTCATCTCTATCAGATCAGTTTGCTTCTTTCTTAAAATGCTTCTTTCACCTTTCAGTTCTTGTATCATTTTACTGGGTTCCTTGGATTCCTTGGATTGGGTTTCAAGTTTCTTTTGAATGTCGATGATCTTCATTGCCATCCAGATTCTGAATTCTATGCTTTTCATTTCTGCCATTTCAGCCTGGATAAGAACCATGACTCCAGAGCTAGTGTGGTCATTTGGAGGTAAGAAGACACTCTGGTTTTTTGAGATGCCAGATTCTTATGTCAGCTCTTTCTCATCTGATGTTCTTTTAGTCTTTGAAGTTGCTGTCTTTTGCATGGGGCTTTTTGCTTTTATATTCTTTGATGTCCTTAAGGGCTTGACTTTAGTATAAGTTGGATTCAGTCCACTAGCTTCATTTCTGGATGATTTCAGAGGGCCAAGACTCAGCTCGGCACTCCTGGGCTGCATGCTGTAACACTAGAGGACTGGGCCCAGGCCCATGGCTTTGTTATCTGGCCCCTCAAAATTAAGCATCTGTTGCATTGGAGGAGCCAAGATGTTTCTGATCCACTGGCAACAACACTCTGATGGGGGATGCAGGCAAAATCATTTTATAGAGGTGGCAAGGCCCATGCTGGCATATGCATAACAGTGCTGGCAGGGTGGGCGTAAGGCAGTGGCGTCCACATGTGCGTGCACCAGCACATGTGGTGCAGAAGCAGGAACCATGTATATGCACTTGTGCTGGCAGTGGCTAGGCAGCAAAGTTCACATGCTTATACCTGCCAGCAAAGTGGTAGGCAGAGGGTGTGGCCAAGTACATGCTGGCAAGGCAGTGGGGGAAGCCTGTGGGTGGGTGCATGCTTATAGGGGATCATCTGCAGAAGCTCTGCAATGGTTAGGTGGGATCTGCCAATGAAGGAGTTATGGTATTAGCCACCAGGATGCTCCCCAGTTGAACATCTGAGACTGTGCTTCAAGTGGGCATGGCCAGGAAGGTACTCTGAGAGAGGCCAGCAAAGAGTGGCCTGCTCAAATCTGACTGGATCCATTTCACAGGCAAGATAGCCCTGTTCTGTCCATACTTGACAGTCAACAAAGGCCAAAGCCACCCAGAGGAGGATGGTAAGCCTTGGTAAATGGACATCACTGGCTATGCTCCACTGCAGCCATTCCTATGCTAAACCCTCTGGGCTCCATGCAGGCTGGAGTCCCATCCTGGCTAGCTCTCCAAGCAGCTCTCCCTGACAGCTCAAATGTCCGTGGAGGTCATGAGATCTCCTGCAGCTAGTATTCATAAAGTTTATGGTGAAAGTAGGCCACCCCATGCCTACTCACCTCTTCCCCAGGAGCCACTTGAGGCCAGGAATGAGTCCTAGTGTTTGGCAACCTCATGCAGAGTTCCCAGTTTCCTCTCCCTTTACCCCAGGGTCTGCATCCTCCCTCTATCCACCATCAATGCCTTACTTCAGAAGATCTGCTTGGAGTGTGCTTGTCTTTTTGATGGTCTAATCTCTCAGTGGGGGAAGCTCTTCCTGGCTGTGTCTAGTCAACCGTCTTGGCTCTACCACCCAGCCTTCATTTTTGAAGCATAGTTTTGCTGGGTAAAGCATACTTGATTGGCAATTTTTTTTCCAACTCATGGAAGATGTCAGTCAATTGCCTTCTTGTTTGCATTTTTTCCAATGATAATTCTGCTGTAAATCTTATCATTTCTCCTTTGTGGGTAATATGTCTTTTTTTTCCTATGACTATCTTCAAGATGTTCTCTTTTCCTTTGGTTTTCAGAATTTTGAATACTATATGCCTAGTTGTGTGCATGCATGTGTGTGTGTGTGTGTGTGTGTGTGTGTGTGTGTGTGTGTCTGTGTTGGTATTTATACTGCTTGATGCTCTCTGCCTTCTTGGATCTGTGGCTTGGTGTCTGTCACTAATTTCAGATAACTCTTGGCCATTATTTCTTCAAATATGTATTCTGATCCACTCTCTATTTCTTCTATTTATGGAAGTGCACATATATTAAATTGTTTGATATTGTCCTATAGCTCTTGGATGCCCTATTCTGTTTTCTTCACTTTTTTTTTTTTGGTATTTGAAAGTAGATAATTTTTTGACCTATATTGAAGTTCACTGGTTCTTTCATAGCTGTTTTGAGTTTACTGCTGATCCTGTTGAAGGCATTCTTCATTTCTGTTACTGTATGTTTTATTTGTAATATCTCTTTATTATTTTTTATAATTTGCCTCTGTCTGCTTAATTGCCTATCTGATCTTTCATGTTGCGTACCTTTTCCAATGGAAACTTTAACACACTAATTGTAGTTGTTTTGAATTCCCTGCCTGATATTTCCAACGTCTAAATCACATCTGAACTTGCTTTTAGGATTGCTTTGTCTCTCTTCAGGCTTAATTTCTGTTGCCTCACTTTATGCCTTATAATATTTGTTGCAATCTGCACGTGTTGTATAGGTTAGTAGATACTGAAATAAATATATTTTTTAATCTATTTTTAAATTTTATTTATTTTTTTAAGAGACAGCCTTATTTTTTTTTATTATTATACTTTAAGTTCTAGGGTACATGTGCACAATGTGCACGTTTGTTACATATGTATACATGTGCCATGTTGGTGTGCTGCACCCATTATCTCATCATTTACATTAGGTATATCTCCTAATGCTATCCCTCCCCCCTTCCCCCACCCCACAACAGGCTCTGGTGTGTGATGTTCCCCATCCTGTATCCAAGTGTTCTCATTGTTCAATTCCCACCTATGAGTGAGAACATGCGGTGTTTCGTTTTCTGTCCTTGTGATAGTTGGCTCAGAATGATGGTTTCCAGCTTCATCCATGTCCCTGCAAAGGACATGAACTCATTCTTTTTTATGGCTGCATAGTATTCCATGGTGTATATGTGCCACATTTTCTTAATCCAGTCTATCATTGATGGACTTTTGGGTTGGTTCCAAGTCTTTGCTATTGTGAACAGTGCCACAATAAACATATGTGTGCATGTGTCTTTATAGCAGCATGATTTATAATCCTTTGGGTATATACCCAGTAATGAGATGGCTGGGTCAAATGGTATTTCCAGTTCTAGATCCTTCGGGAATCGCCACACTGTCTTCCACAATGGTTGAACTAGTTTCCAGTCCCACCAACAGTGTAAAAGTGTTCCTATTTCTCCACATCCAGTCCAGCACCTGTTGTTTCCTGACTTTTTAATGATTGCCATTCTAACTGGTGTGAGATGGTATCTCATTGTGGTTTTGATTTGCATTTCTCTGATGGCCAGTGATGATGAGCATTTTTTCATGTGTCTTTTGGCTGCATAAATGTCTTCTTTTGAGAAGTGTCTGTTCATATCCTTTGCCCACTTTTTGATGGGGTTGTTTGTTTTTTTCTTGTAAATTTGTTTAAGTTCATTGTAGATTCTGGATATTAGCCATTTGTCAGATGGGTAGATTGCAAAAGTTTTCTCCCATTCTGTAGGTTGCCTGTTCACTCTTTTGGTAGTTTCTTTTGCTGTACAGAAGCTCTTTAGTTTAATTAGATCCCATTTGTCAATTTTGGCTTTCGTTCCCATTGCTTTTGGTGTTTTAGACATGAAGTCCTTGCCCGTGCCTATGTCTTGAATGGTATTGCCTAGGTTTTCTTCCAGGGTTTTTATGGCTTTAGGTCTAACATTTAAGTCTTTCATCCATCTTGAATTAATTTTTGTATAAGGTGTAAGGAAGGGATCCAGTTTCAGCTTTCTACATATGGCTAGCCAGTTCTCCCAGCACCATTTATTAAATAGGGAATCCTTTCCCCATTTCTTGTTTTTCTCAGGTTTGTCAAAGATCAGATGGTTGTAGATGTGTGGTATTATTTCTGAGGGCTCTGTTCTGTTTCATTGGTCTATATCTCTGTTTGGTACCAGTACCATGCTGTTTTGGTTACTGTAGCCTTGTGGTATAGTTTGAAGTCAGGTAGCGTGATGCCTCCAGCTTTGTTCTTTTGGCTCAGGATTGTCTTGGCAATGCGGGCTCTTTTTTGGTTCCATGTGAACTTTAAAGTAGTTTTTTCCAATTCTGTGAAAAAAGTCATTGGTAGCTTGATGGGGATGACATTGAATCTATAAATTACCTTGAGTAGTATGGCCATTTTCATGATATTGATCCTTCCTATCCATGAGCAGGGAATGTTCTTCCATTTGTTTGTATCCTCTTTTATTTCCTTGAGCAGTGGTTTGTAGTTCTCCTTGAAGAGGTCCTTCACATCCCTTGTAAGTTGGATTCCTAGGTATTTTATTCTCTTTGAAGCAATTGTGAATGGGAATTCACTCATGATTTGGCTCTCTGTTTGTCTGTTATTGGTGTATAAGAATGCTTGTGATTTTTGCACATTGATTTTGTATCCTGAGACTTTGCTGAATTTGCATATCAGCTCAGGGAGATTTGGGGCTGAGACGATGGGGTTTTCTAGATATACAATCATGTCATCTGCAAATAGGGACAATTTGACTTCCTCTTTCCCTAATTGAATACCCTTTATTTCTTTCTCCTGCCTGATTGCCCTGGCTGGAACTTCCAACACAATGTTGAATAGGGGTGGTGAGAGAGGGCATCCCTGTCTTCTGCCCGTTTTGAAAGGGAATGCTTCCAGTTTTTGTCCATTCAGTATGATATTGGCTGTGGGTTTGTCATAAATAGCTCTTATTATTTTGAGATACATACCATGACTACCTAGTTTATTGAGAGTTTTTAGCATGAAGGGCTGTTGAAATATGTCAAAGGCCTTTTCTGCATCTATTGAGATAACCTTGTGGTTTTTGTCTTTGGTTCTGTTTATATGATGGATTACATTTATTGATTTGTGGATGTTGAAGCAGCCTTGCATCCCAGGGATGAAGGCAACTTGATCGTGGTGGATAAACTTTTTGATGTGCTGCTGGGTTCAGTTTGCCAGTATTTTATTGAGGATTTTCGCATCAATGTTCGTCAGGGATATTGGTCTAAAATTCTCTCTTTTGGTTGTGTCTCTGCCAGGCTTTGGTATCAGGATGATGCTGGCCTCATAAAATGAGTTAGGGAGGATTCCCTCTTCTTCTATTGATTGGAATACTTTCAGAAGGAATGGTAGCAGCTCCTCTTTGTAACTCTGGTAGAATTCAGCTGTGAATCTGTCTGGTCCTCGACTTTTTTTGGCTGGTAAGCTATTAATTATTGCCTCAATTTCAGAGCCTGTTATTGATGTATTCAGGGATTCAACTTCTTCCTGGTTTAGTCTTGGGAGGGTGTATGTGTCCAGGAATTTATCCATGTTTTCTAGATTTTCTAGTTTATGTGTGTAGAGATGTTTATAGTATTCTCTGATGGCAGTTTGTATTTCTGTGGGATCAGTGGTGATATCCCCTGCATCATTTTTTATTGCATCTATTTGATTCTTCTCTCTTTTCTTCTTTATTATTCTTTCTAGCAGTCTATCAATTTTGTTGACCTTTTCAAAAAACCAGCTCCTGGTTTCATTGATTTTTTGAAGGGTTTTTTGTTTTTCTATCTCCTTCAATTCTTCTCTGATCTTAGTTATTTCTTGCCTTCTGGTAGCTTTTGAATGTGTTTGCTCTTGCTTCTCTGGTTTTTTTATCTCTGATGTTAGGGTGTCAACTTTAGATCTTTCCTGCTTTCTCTTGTGGTCATTTAGTGCTATAAATTCCCCTCTACACACTCCTTTAAATGTGTCCCAGAGATTCTGGTTTGTTGTGTTTTTGTTCTCACTGGTTTGAAAGAACATCTCTATTTCTGTGTTCATTTCATTATGTACCCAGTAATCATTCAGGAGCAGGTTGTTCAGTTTCCATGTAGTTGAGTGGTTTTGAGTGGGTTTCTTAATCCTGAGTTCTAGTTTGACTGCACTGTGGTCTGAGAGATAGTTTGTTATAATTTCTGTTCCTTTACATTTGCTGAGGAGTGCTTTACTTCCAACTATGTGGTCAATTTTCGAATAAGTGCAGTGTGGTGCTGAGAAGAATATATAATCTGGTGATTTGGGGTGGAGAGTTCTGTAGATGTCTATTAGGTCTGCTTGGTGCAGAGCTGATTTCAATTCCTGGATATCTTGTTAACTTTCTGTCTCATTGATCTGTCTAATGTTGATGGTGGGGTATTAGTCTCCCATTATTAATGTGTGGGAGTCTAAGTCTCTTTGTAGGTCTCTAAGTACTTGCTTTATTTGCTTTATGAATCTGGGTGCTCCTGTATAGAGTGCATATATTTAGGATAGTTAGCTCTTCTTGTTGAATTGATCTGTTTACCATTATGTAATGGCCTTCTTTGTCTCTTTTGACCTTTGTTGGTTTAAAGTCTGTTTTATCAGAGACTAGGATTGCAACCCCTGCCTTTTTTTGTTTTCCATTTGCTTGGTAGATCTTCCTCCATCCCTTTATTTTGAGCCTATGTGTGTCTCTGCACGTGAGATGGGTCTCCTGAATACAGCACACTGATGGGTCTTGACTCTTTATCCAATTTGCCAGTCTGTGTCTTTTAATTGGAGCATTTAGTCCATTTACATTTAAAGTTAATATTGTTATGTGTGAATTTGATCCTGTCATTATGATGTTAGCTGATTATTTTTCTCTTTAGTTGATGCAGTTTCTTCCTAGCCTCGACGGTCTTTACAATTTGGCATGTTTTTGCAGTGGCTGGTACTGGTTGGTCCTTTCCATGTTTAGTGCTTCCTTCAGCAGCTCTTGTAAGGCAGGCCTGTGTTGACAATATCTCTCAGCATTTGCTTGTCTGTAAAGGATTTTATTTCTCCTTCACTTGTGAAGCTTAGTTTGGCTGGATATGAAATTCTGGGTTGAAAATTCTTTTCTTTAAGAATGTTGAATATTGGCCTCTACTCTCTTTTGGCTTGTAGAGTTTCTGCTGAGAGATCAGGTGTTAGTCTGATGGGCTTCCCTTTGTGGGTAACCCGTCCTTTTTCTCTGGCTGCCCTTGACATTTTTTCCTTCATTCCAAGTTTGGTGAATCTGACAATTACGTGTCTTCGAGTTGCTCTTCTCGGGGAGTATCTTTGTGGCGTTCTCTGTATTTCCTGAATTTGAATGTTGGCCTGCCTTGCTAGATTGGAGAAGTTCTCCTGGATAATATCCTGCAGAGTGTTTTCCAACTTGGTTCCATTCTCCCCGTCAGTTTCAGGTACACCAGTCAGACATAGATTTGGTCTTTTAACATAGTCCCATATTTCTTGGAGGCTTTGTTTGTTTCTTTTTACTTTTTTTTTTCTCTAAACTTCTCTTCTCACTTAATTTCATTCATTTGATCTTCAATCACTGATACCCTTCCTTCCAGTTGATTGAATCGTCTACTGAAGCTTGTGCATTCATCACATAGTTCTCGTGCCATGTTTTTCAGCTCCAACAGGTCATTTAAAGTCTTCTCTATGCTGTTTATTCTAGTTAGCCGTTTGTCTAATCTTTTTTCAAGGTTTTTAGCTTCTTTGCTATGGGTTCCAACATCCTCCTTTAGCTTGGAGAAGTTTGTTATTACCGATCGTCTGAAAGTTTCTTCTCTCAACTCATCAAAGTCATTGTCCGTCCAGCGTTGTTCTGTTGCTGGCGAGGAGCTGCATTCCTTTGAAGGGGGAGAGGTGCTCTGATTTTTAGAATTTTCAGCTTTTCTGCTCTGGTTTCTCCCCATCTTTGTGGTTTTATCTACCTTTGGTCTTTGATGATGGTGACGTACAGATGGGGTTTTGGTGCGGATGTCCTTTCTGTTTGTTAGTTTTCCTTCTAACAGTCAGGACCCTCAGCTGCAGGTCTGTTGGAGTTTGCTGGAGGTCCACTCCAGAACCTGTTTGCCTGGGTATCACCAGTGGAGGCTGCAAAAGAGCAAATATTGCGGAATGGCAAATATTGCTGTCTGATCATTCATCTGGAAGCTTCATCTCAGAGGGGTACCCGGCCATATGGGGTATCAGTCAGCCTGTACTGGGAGATGCCTCCCAGTTAGGCTACTTGGGGATCAGGGACCCACTTGGGGAGGCAGTCTGTCCATTCTCAGATCTCAAACTCCGTGCTGGGAGAACCACTACTCTCTTCAAAGCTATCAGACAGGGACGTTTAAGTCTGCAGAAGTTTCTGCTGCCTTTTTTTCAGCTATGCCCTGCCCCCAGATGTGGAGTCTACAGAGGCAGGCAGGCCTCCTTGAGCTGTTGTGGGCTCCACCCAGTTCGAGCTTCCGGGCCGCTTTGTTTACCTACTCAAGCCTCAACAATGGCAGACGCCCCTTGCCCTGCCTCGCTGCCACCTTGAAGTTCAATCTCAGACTGCTGCGCTAGCAGTGAGCAAGGCTCCATGGGTGTGGGACCCTCTGAGCCAGGCATGGGATATAATCCCCTGGTGTTCTGTTTGCTAAGACCATTGGAAAAGGACAGTATTAGGCTGGGAGTGACCCAATTTTCCAGGTGCCATCTGTCACAGATTCCCTTGGCTAGGAAAGGGAATTTCTTGACCCCTTGTGCTTCCCAGGTGAGGCAATGCCTCGCCCTGCTTCGGCTCATGCTTGGCGGGCTACACTCACTGTCCTGCACCCACTGTCTGACAAGCCCCAGTGAGATGAACCCGGTACTCAGTTGGAAATGCAGAAATCACCCATCTTCTGTGTCACTCACACTGGGAGCTGTAGACTGGAGCTGTTCCTATTCGGCCATCTTGGAACCTCCCCTGAAGTAAATATTTTTATGCTCAGTTATGGCCAGGCTTTCCCTCTTCTAGGCCTTTACTGTGTAAGTTTGTGTTAATGTAGTCAAGAGTTGGACTACAGTTTAAGTTTGTTGTTGTGATGTTTACCAGAGTTAAATATTATTGTTGCTTTGGTTACCACAGTTTAATTTTTTTGTTGTTGCTATTGGTACCAGGGCCTTAATATTCCTCTAGTAATATCCTTTCTTTCTCAGCTCTTGTGCTGCTCCTCATAATGAATCTGCATTTTGCAGTACTGCCAGCTGTATTCCACTATTATTGTTACTCTATACTTGCTAGCTTGGTGTTTGGCGTGGACAAGATGAGTGTGTTTGAGCTTTTGATTTAACCCCAGTGCTAGGCAGGCACTGAATACCTGGGTCTCAAGGATGTGGCCTTCAAAATTGTTCCTGTCTCTCCTTTAGATGTAATGGTTGGCTTAATAAGTATTCCTTTACCTCTCCAAGGAATAGAGCCTTGTTCTTCCCCCATTTTCTTACCCTGTCTGCAGCGAGCTTCCACAAGAGTTCTCAAATTATTGTCATGATGTCCCCCCTTTCTCACATATTAAAGCTTTTGTTATTTAGGAGAACTGGAGAGATGAGTCTAAGCAGTTTTGATGGTGACTTATGTTTCCCTCCTCAGTTGCAATGAGATTGCATCAGTGCCCTCAGCATACCACTATTGATGGCTCTTCCCCTGCAGATTAACTTTTTTCTTCTCTAATGGAGTTAAAGGAGGTGTGTCTGGGTGGATTTGGCAGTGACTCTTGTTCCCTTCCCCGAGACGGCAGCAAGGAGGGAGTTTTTTCTGGTTACTTGCTAATCTTTCTTCTAAGAGCTAGGTCAGATTCCTTGAAGAAAAGTCCACTAAAAGTGTGGGCTTTCTATGCCTCCAGGGGTCTCACATTCTCAATCTTGTCCATACTGGGCCTTTAGCAGTTCATTAAACTTTCCAGTTAATTCTCCCTACCATCTTATATGATAACGTGATGACATGTGCATTAGGTAAGCAGATACTGTGGTACTGGTTCTTTCTATAGGCTTTTATCTCTCTCCAAATTTTGAGTTAGCTTTTTGCTCTGTTTTCTAATGAGTTCAAGATTGGTTAACTTGCAGTCTGTATGGTTTTTCTTGCTGAAATTATGGAAACAATGCTCTTTCCAGCCTGCTACATCTCTGAGCTAAAAGCAGAAGTGAATGAATAAGCCATTCTATATCTGAATTTGGGTGTAACAGACAATGTGTTATTTTGACATCTGAATGAATATGAGACAACTGTGTTTATCTAATGCCTAAATGAGATTTTGAGACAACTGAATGAGAAAATATGAGCATCTGATAATGGGCATTTGTTATAGTTTCTTTCAGATGATGCACACATCCATTCTGGTGTTACCATTGCCCACCTACTGTCACAAATTCATTCAGACATCACTAGTGACTTCAATTATTCTTATAATCCACACATATTCATTTGGATATTTCCTCACTTTTCACATACATTCCTTCTCTTAAAGCTGCTGCTCTCCTGTTTGCTAATTTAGTAAATGGCACCAGCACCACCCACTCAAGCCATGAACCAATATGGGAATCATAGAATTTTCCACACACTTCCTCATCAAGACCATTTCAGCTAACCTTCACTGTGTGTCTGGAGTCCATTCTTTTCTTGGAAACCCTATTGCTACTGCCTTATTTCAGTCTCCCCTGGACCACTATAGCAGCATTCTCATTGACATCCTTCCAATTCATCATCCACCCTGTAATCAAAGTGGTCTTTATGAAGCACAAATATGATAACAATACTCGCCTGACTAAATACTCTTTAGTAACGACTTCCCATTTTTCCATAGGATAAACCCCACTTCTTTTTTATTATACTTTAAGTTCTGGGCTACATGTGCAGAAAGTGCAGGTTTGCTACATAGGTATGCGCGTCCTGTGGTGGTTTGCTGCACCCATGATCCCGTCATCTACATTAGGTATTTCTCCTAATGCTATCCCTCCCCTAGACCTCCACCCCCCAGTAGGCCCCGGTGTGTGTTGTTCCCCTCCCTGCGTCCATGTGTTCTCATTGTTCAACTCCCACTTATGAGTGAGAATATGCGGTGTTTGGATTTCTGTTCTTGTGTTAGTGTGCTGAGAATGATGGTTTCCAGCTTCATCCATGACCCTAACAAGGACGTGAACTCATCCTTTTTTATGGCTGCTTAGTATTCCATGGTGTATACATGCCACATTTTCTTTATCCAGTCTATCATTGATGGGCATTTGGGTTGGTTCCAAGTCTTTGCTATTGTGAACAGTGCCACAATAAACATACATGTGCATGTGTCTTTACAGTAGAATGATTTATAATCCTTTTGGTATATACCCAGTAGTGGGATTGCTGGATCAAATAGTATTTCTAGTTCTAGATCTTTGAGGAATCGCCACACTGTCTTCCACAAGGGTTGAACTAGTTTACAGTCCCACCAACTGTGTAAAAGTGTTCCTATTTCTCCACATCCTCTCCAGCACCTATTGTTTCCTGACTTTTTCATGGTCGCCATTCTAACTGGTGTGAGATGGTATCTCATTGTGGTTTTGATTTGCATTTCTCTAATGACCAGTGATGATGCGCATTTTTTCATATGTGTTTTGGCTGCATAAATGTCTTCTTTTGAGAAGTGTCTGTTCGTATCCTTTGCCCACTTTTTGATGGGGTTGTTTGTTTTTTTCTTGTAAATTTGTTTAAGTTCTTTGTAGATTCTGGATATTAGTCCTTCGTCAGATAGAGAGATTGCAAAAATTTTCTCCCATTCTGTAGGTTGCCTGTTCACTCTGATGGTAGTTTCTTTTGCTGTGCAGAAGCTCTTTAGTTTAATTAGATCCCATTTGTCAATTTTGTCTTTTGTTGCCATTGCTTTTGGTGTTTTAGTCATGAAGTCTTTGCCCATGCCTATGTCCTGAATGGTATTGCCTAGGTTTTCCTCTAGGGTTTTTATGGTTTTAGGTTTTATGTTTAAGTCTTTAACCCATCTTGAGTTAATTTTTGTATAAGGTGTAAGGAAGGGACCCAGTTTCAGTTTTCTCCATGTGGCTAGCCCGTTTGTCCAACACCATTTATTAAATAGGGAATCCTTTCCCCATTTCTTGTTTTTGTCAGGCTTGTCAAAGATCAGATGGTTGTGGATGTGTGGCATTATTTCTGAGGCCTCTGTTCTGTTTCATTGGTCTATATATCTGTTTTGGCACCAGTGCCATGCTGCTTTTGTTACTGTAGTCTTGTAGTATTGCTTGAAGTCAGGTAGCGTGATGCCTCCAGCTTTGTTCTTTTTGCTTAGGATTGTCTTGGCTATGTGGGCTCTTTTTTGGTTCCATATGAACTTTAAAGTAGTTTTTTCCAACTCTGTGAAGAAAGTCAATGGTAGCTTGATGAGCATAGCATTGAATCTATAAACTACTTTGGGCAGTATGGCCATTTTCAAGATATTGGTTATTCCTATCCATGAGCATGGAAGGTTCTTCCATTTGTTTATGTCCTCTCTTATTTCCTTGAGTGGTGGTTTGTAGTTCTCCTTGAAAAGGTCCATCACATCCCTTGTGAGTTGTATTTTATTCTCTTTGTAGCAATTGTGAATGGGAGTTCACTCATGATTTGGCTCTCTGTTTTTCTGTTATTGATATATAGGAATGCTTGTGATTTTGGCACATTGATTTTGTATCCTGAGACTTTGCTGAAGTTGCTTATCAGCTTAAGGAGATTTTGGGCTGAGATGATGGGGTTTTCTAAATACACAATCATGTCATCTGCAAACAGGGACGATTTGACTTCCTCTTATCCTAATTGAATACTCTTTATTTCTTTCTTTTGCCTGATTGCCCTGGCCAGAACTTCCAATACTATGCTGAATAATTGTGGCGAGAGAGGGCATCCTTGTCTTGTGCCAGTTTTCAAATGGAATGCATCCAGTTTTTGCCCATTCCATATGATATTGGCTGTGGATTTGTCATAAATTGCTCTTATTATTTTGAAATACATTCCATCGATATCCAGTTTATTGAAAGTTTTTCACATGAAGCGCTGTTGCATTTTGTCGAAGGCCTTTTCTGCATCTATTGAGATAATCATGTGGTTTTTGTCATTGGTTCTGTTTATCTGATGGATTACGTTTATTGATTTGTGTACATTGAAACAGCCTTGCATCCCCGGGGTGAAGCCGACTTGATTGTGGTGGATAAGCTTTTGGATGTGCTGCTGGATTCGGTTTGCCAGTATTTTATTGAGGAATTTCGCATCAATGTTCATCAGGGATATTGGCCTGAAATTTTCTTTTTTTGTTGTGTCTTTGCCAGGTTTTGGTATCAGAATGATGCTGGCCTCATAAAATGAGTTAGGGAGGATTCCCTCTTTTTCTATTGATTGGAATAGGTTCAGAAGGAATGGTACCAGCTCCTCCTTGTACCTCTGGTAGAATTCGGCTGTGAATCCGTCTGGTCCTGGACTTTTTTTTGCTGGTAAGCTAATAGTTATTGCCTCAATTTCAGAGCCTGTTATTGGTCTATATGGAGATTCAACTTCTTCCTGGTTTAGTCTTGGGAGGGTGTATGTGTCCAGGAATTTATCCATCTCTTCTAGATTTTCTAGTTTATTTGTGTAGAGGTGTTTATAGTATTCTGTGATAGTAGTTTGTGTTTCTGTGGGATCGGTGGTGATATCCCCTGTAGCATTTTTTATTGCATCTATTTGATTCTTCTCTCTTTTTTTCTTTATTAGTCTTGCTAGCGGTCTATCAATTTTGTTGATCTTTTCAAAAAACAAGATCCTGGATTCATTGATTTTTTGAAGGGTTTTTTGTGTCTCTATTTCCTTCAGTTCTGCTCTGATCTTAGTTATTTCTTGCCTTCTGCTAGCTTTTGAATGTGTTTGCTCTTGCTTCTCTAGTTCTTTTAATTGTGATGTTAGAGTGTCAATCTTGGATCTTTCCTGCTTTCTCTTGTGGGCATTTACTGCTATAAGTTTCCCTCTACACACTGCTTTGAATGTGTCCCAGAGATTCTGGTAAGTTGTGTCTTTGTTCTCGTTGGTTTCAAAGAACATCTTTATTTCTGTCTTCATTTCATTATGTACCCAGTAGGCATTCAGAAGCAGGTAGTTCAGTTTCCATGTAGTTGAGCGGTTTTGAGTGAGTTTCTTAATCCTGAGTTCTAGTTTGATTGCACTGTGGTCTGAGAGACAGTTTGCTATAATTTCTGTTCTTTTACATTTGCTGAGGAGTGCTTTACTTCCAACTATGTGGTCATTTTTGGAATAGGTGTCTTGTGGTGCTGAAAAAAATGTATATTGTTTTGATTTGGGGTGGAGAGTTCTGTAGATGTCTATTAGGTCCACTTGGTGCAGAGCTGAGTTCAATTCGTGGATATCCTTGTTAACTTTCTGTCTCGTTGATCTGTCTAATGTTGACAGTGGGATGTTAAAGTCTCCCATTATTATTGTGTGGGGTGTCTAAGTCTCTTTGTAGGTCTCTAAGGACTTGCTTTATGAATCTGGGTGCTCCTGTATTGGGTACATATATATTTAGGATAGTTAGCTCTTCTTGTTGAATTGATCCCTTTACCATTATGCAATGGCCTTCTTTGTCTCTTTTGATCTTTGTTGGTTTAAAATGTGTTTTATCCGAGTCTAGGATTGCAATCCCTGCCTTTTTTTTTTGTTTTCCATTTGCTTGGTAGATCTTCCTCCATCCCTTTATTTTGAGCCTATGTGTGTCTCTGCATGTGAGATGGGTCTCCTGAATACAGCACACTGATTGGTCTTGCCTCTATCCAATTTGCCAGTCTGTGTCCTTTAATTGGAGCATTTAGCCCATTGACATTTAAGGTTAATATTGTCATGTGTGAATTTGATCCTGTCATTATGATGTTAGCTGGTTATTTTGCTCATTAGTTGATATAGTTTCTTCCTAGCCTCGATGGTCTTTACAATTTGGCATGATTTTGCAGTGGCTGGTACTGGTTTTCCGTTTCCGTGTTTAGTGCTTCCGTCAGGAGCTCTTTTAGCATAGGCCTGGTGGTGACAAAATCTCTCAACATTTTCTTGTCTGTAAAGGATTTTATTTCTCCTTCACTTATGAAGCTTAGTTTGGCTGAATATGAAATTCTGGCTTTAAAATTCTTTTCTTTAAGAATGTTGAATATTGGTCCCCACTGTCTTCTGGCTTGTAGAATATCTGCCGAGAGATCAGCTGTTAGTCTGATGGGCTTCCCTTTGTGGGTAACCCGATCTTTTTCTCTGGCTGCCCTTAACATTTTTTCCTCCATTTCAACTTTAGCGAATCTGACAATTATGTGTCTTGGGGTTGCTCTTCTTGAGGAGTATCTTTGTGGTGTTCTCTGTATTTCCTGAATTTGAATGTTGGCGTGCCTTGCTAGATTGGGGAAATTCTCCTGGATAATATCCTGCAGAGTGTTTTCCAACTTGATTTCATTATCCCTGTCACTTTCAGGTACAGCAATCAGATGTAGATTTAGTCTTTTCACATAGTCCCATATTTCTTGGAGGCTTTCTTCATTTCTTTTTATTCTTTTTTCTCTAAACTTCTCTTCTTGCTTCATTTCATTCCTTTGACCTTCCATCACTGATACCCTTTATTCCAGTTGATCGCATTGGCTACTGAGGCTTGTGCATTCGTCACGTAGTTCTTGTGCCTTAGTTTTCAGCTCCATCAAGTCCTTAAGGACTTGTCTGCGTTGGTTATTCTAGCTAGCCATTCGTCTAATTTTTTTTCAAGTTTTTTAACTTCTTTGCCATGGGTTCAAACTTCCTCCTTTAGCTCGGAGTAGTTTGATCATCTGAAGCCTTCTTCTCTCAACTCATCAAAGTCATTCTCCATCCAGCTTTGTTCCATTGCTGGTGAGGAGCTGCGTTCCTTTGGAGGAGGATAGGCACTCTGATTTTTAGAGTTTCCAGTTTTTCTGTTCTGTCTTTTCCCCATCTTTGTGGTTTTATCTACCTTTGGTCTTTGGTGATGGTGACGTACAGATGGGTTTTTGGTGTGGATGTCCTTTCTGTTTGTTAGTTTTCCTTCTAACAGTAAGGACCCTCAGCTGCATGTCTGTTGGTGTTTTCTGGAGGTCCACTGCAGACCCTGTTTGCCTGGGCATCAGCAGCAGAGGCTGCAGAACAGCGGATATTGGTGAGCAGCAAGTGTTGCTGCCTGATCGTTCCTCTGGAGGTTTGGTCTCAGAAGAGTACCCAGCCGTGTGAAGTGTCAGTCTGCCCCTACTGGCGGGTGCCTGCCAGTTAGGCTACTCGGGGGTCAGGGACCCACTTGAGGAGGCAGTCTGTCCATTCTCAGATCTCAAGCTGCATGCTGGGAGAACCACTACTCTCTTCAAAGCTGTCAGACAGGGACATTTAAGTCTGCAGAGGATTCTGCTGCCTTTTTTTTGGCTATGCCCTACCCCCAGAGGTGGAGCCTATAGAGGCAGGCAGTCCTCCTTGAGCTGTGGTGGGCTCCACCCAGTTTGAGCTTCCCAGCCGCTTTGTTTACCTACTCAAGCCTCAGGGCAATGGTGGGCATCCTTCCCCCCGGCCTCGCTGCCGCCTTGCAGTTTGATCTCAGACTGCTGTGCTAGCAATCAGTGAGACTCCGTGGGTGTAGGACCCTCTGAGCCAGGTGTGGGATATAATCTCCTGGTTTGCCGTTTTTTAAGCCCATTGGAAAAGTGCAGTTTTAGGGTGGGAGTGACTCGATTTTCCAGGTGCCGTCTTTTACCCCTTTCTTTGACTAGAAAAGGGAATTCCCTGACCCCTTGCACTTCCCAGGTGAGGTGATGCCTTGCCCTGCTTTGGTTCACACTCGGTGCACTGCACCCACTCTCCTGCACCCACTTTCTGACACTCCCCAGTGAGATAAACCTGGTACCTCAGTTGGAAATGCAGAAATCACCTGTCTTCTGTGTCGCTCACACTGGGAGCTGTAGACTTGAGCTGTTCCTATTCGGCCATCTTGGCTCCACCCCCCTTAATACTGTTTTATATTTAAAAATCCTTCAACAAACTGAGGCTAGAAGGAAATTATTTCAAGATAATAAAAGCCATATGTGAAAAGCACACAGCTAACATCATAGCCAGTGGTGAAAAACTGCAAACTTTTCCTCTAAAATCAGAAACAAGGTATGGGTTCCCACTTTTCCTACTTCTATTCAATATGCTGTTGGAAGTTCTACCCAGAGCAATTAGGGAAGAAAAAGAAATAAAACTCATCCAAAGCAGAAAGAAATAAGTAAAATTACTCAAAAATTACATAATTTTATATGTAGAAATGCCTAACAAATAAACACACACATGCCCCCACACACACACACTTAGAACTAAGTAAATGAATTCAACCAAATTGCAAGGTACAAAAGCAACATGCAAAAATCAGTCGTGTTTCTACACACTGAGAATCATCAATTTGTAAAAGGAATTAAGAAAAACAATTCTATTTATAATAGCATCAAATAAAAAATACTTAGGCATAAATTTAAACAAAGAAATGAAAAACCTATATACTAAAAATTATACAATATTGCTGAAAGAAATTAGATAATTACACAAATAAATGGAAAGACATCCTGTGTTAATGGATTTTAGGACTTCATATTTTTAAGATGTCCATACTACCCAATGCAATTCTTTCAAATTGAATGCAATTCCTATCAAAATTCCAGTAATGTTTATGGCAGAAATAGACAACTTCATCCTAAAATTTATATAGATGGTAAAGGAACCCCAAAAAGCCAAAACAATTTTGAAAAAGAGGAAAAGTTAGCAGAATCACACTTCCTAGTTTCAAAACTTACTATAAAGCTACAAGAACCAAAACAGTATGATACTGGCATAAAGACAAAAATATAGACCAATGGAATAAAATAGAGACACCCTGTGTTAGCCCATTTTTGCATTGTTATAAAGAAATACCTGAGGCTGGGTAATTTATAAAGAAAAGAGGTTTTTTAATTGGCTCACAGTTCTGCAGACTGTACAAAAGTGTGACACCAGCATCTCCTTCCCTTCTGGTGAGGCCTCAGAGAACTTTTACTCACAGCAGAAGGCAAAGCAGGGGCAAGCATATCACATGGCAAGAGAAGGACCAAGAGAGACAAGGGGGTGATTCCATACTGTTTTTAAAAAAACAGATCTTCCATAAATAGAGCTAGAATCTACTCATCACCAAGGGGATGGCACTAAGCCATTCATGAGAAATCTGCCCCCATGGTCCAATACCTCCCACTAGGCCCAACCTCCAACATTCAAAATCACATTTCAACATGAGATTTGGAGGGAATATCCTTTCTGTATTGTGTATTCTTATTGCTTTTTTTGAAGATTAGTTGACCATATACGTGTGGATATATTTGTGAACTATCTATTTTGTTCAGTTGGTTGATGTATCTGTTTTTATGCCAGTACAATTCTCTATTGATTACTATATCTTTATAATATACTTGGAAATTAGGCAGTGTGATGCCTCCAGATCTGTTGTCTTTTCTTATTATGTCTTTGGCTACTTAGGGTCTCCCAGGTAGATGAAAAGGTGCTTAACATAATTAATCATCAGGGGAATGCAAATTAAAACCACAGTGAGATATCACTTCACATCTGTTAGTATGAATATGATCAAAATGCCAAGTGATAACAAGTATCAATGTAGGCTTCTCAAAACAACGAATACTAGGACAGGGAGGCAGGGCAAGATGACTAAATAGAAGGCTACAGCAAGTTTCCCCCTACCACACAGGAACACCATATTGAACATAAATAAAGCACCTTCAAAAGAACCAAATATCAAGGGAGTGGTCACAGTACTTGCTTTAACACCATATTAAGGAAAAAGGCAATGAAGAGGGTAGGAAACACAGTCTTTCTTAAATAGCCTACACCACCCCACTCGTATCCCCCAGCAGTGGCTACATGGAACAGAGAGAATCTCTGTACTTAGGGAAAGGAAAGTGCTGAAATTTTGGGACTACACATTCAAACTCAGTGCTGCCCTACCATAGTCAAAAGCAACACAGGGCAGAACTCAACCAGCACCCACGGAGGGAGCATTTAGACCAGCCATAGTCAGAGATGAATTGTCCATCCCAGCAGTCGACACCTGAGTTCCAGCAAGCCCTGCCACTGCAGGCTAAAGTGCTATGGGGCCCTAAATAAACTTGAAAGACAGTCTCAGCCACAAGGACTCCAATTCCTACGTGAGTCCTGGTACTATGCTGGGCTCAAAGCCAGGTAGACTTGGAGTGTAGACAATGTAGTGATGCACCAGCTAGGGCAGCCTAGGGAGTGCTCATGTCACCCTTCCCTCAAACCCAGGCATCACAACTTGCAGCTCCAGGAGAGACTCCTACCTTCACCTTGAAGAGACGAGAGGAGAGTGGGGAGTGAAGAGGACTGTGTCTTGCAATTGGGTACCAGCCCAGCCACAGTAGGATAAGGCAACAGGAATAGTCCCAAGGCTCCCATTACAAGCCCCAGCTCACAGATGACATTTCTTAACACACTGTGGACTAGAAGGGAACATGCTACCTTGAAGGGAAGGACCAACTCCTGGCAGGATCTATCACCTGCTAACAAAAAAGCTCTTGGGCTCTGCATAATCATCAGTGGTAACCAGCCAGTGCTTGCTGTGGGCCTGGGGTGGTGGTGGCTATGGGGAGAAACTCCTCTACTTGAGGATAGGGGAGGCAAGTGTGAGAAGGACTTTGTCTTGCAGCTTCTTGCCGGCTCAGCCACAGTTTAACAGAGCACCAGGTAGATTCCTAAGGTTCTGAACTCCAGGTCCTAGGTCCAGAAGAGCAACTTTTGACCCACCCAGGGCAAGGGAGAACTTGCTGCCCTTAAGGGAAGAACACAAGACTGACTGGCTTCACCACCTATTGACTGTAGAGCATTTTGGCTTTAAGTGAACATAGGCAGTAGCCAGGCAGTGGTCACTGTGGTATTGGGCAAGACCAAGTGGCATGCTGACTTTGGGTCTGACCCAGCACAGTCCCAGTGGTGAGTACCATAGAGGTACTTGTGTCATCCCACACCCAGCTCCAGGCAGCTCAGCACAGAGACTCAATTGGTTTGGGGTAAAGTAAGGAAAGAAAACAAGAACCTCTGTGAGGTAATCCAGGTAATTCCTCCATGATCTTACCCAAGACCACCAAGGCAGTACCTCAGAGTCTACAAGAGCCATAACATTACTAGACTTAGGGTGTCCCCTAATAGAGACAAAGCTGCAGTGACCAAAGGTTTAGAACAACACCTAAATCCCTTTGAATACCTGGAAAGCCTACCCAGGAAGGATGGGTACCAAGCCCAGACTGTGAAGACTACAATAAATACCTAACTCTTCAATGCTCAGACACTGAGGAACATCCACAAGCATCAAGAACATCCAAGAAAACATTAATTCACCAAATGAACTGAATAAAGCACCAGAACCTTAATACACTGTTGGTGGTAAGGTACATTAGTACAACCACTATGGAGAACAGTTTGGAGGTTCCTCAGACAACTAAAAATAGAGCTACCATACAACCCAGCAATCCCACTGCTGGGTATATGCCCCAAAGAAAGGACATCAGCATATTGAAGACATATCTGCATCCCCATGTTTATTGCAGCCCTACTTACAATAGCCAAGATTTGGATGCAACCTATGTATCCATCAATAGATGGATGGGTAAAGAAAATGTAGTACATATACACAGTGGAGTACTATTCAGTCATAAAAAAGAATGAGATCCTGTCATTTGCAACAACATGGATGAAACTGAAGGACATTATATTATGTGAAATAAGCCTGAAACAGAAAGGCAGCTTCACATATTTATGGGAGCTAAAAATTAAAACACTTGAACTCATGGAGATAGAGAGTAGAACAATGTTTACCACAGTCTGGGAAGGGTAGTGGGGGTAGGGGGAGTGTGAATGGTTAATGGGTACCAAAAAATAGAGTAGATAAGATCTGGTATTTGATATCACAACAGGATAACTACAGTCAACGAAAGTTTATTATACATGCCAGGTGTCACGGCTCTTGTCTGTAATCCCAGCACATTGGAAGGCCAAGGCAGGAGGACAGCTTGAGTCTGGAAGTTCAAGACCAGCCTGGGCAACATAGAGAGAACTTGTCTCTACAAAAAATAAAATAAAATAAAATAAAAATTAACTGCATGTAGTGGCATGCACCCGTAGTCTCAGATACATGGGAGGCTGAGGTGGGAGGATCACTTAAGCCTGGGAGGTCAAGGCTGCAGTAAGCCATGATCATGCCACTGCACTCAGTCTGGGTGACAGAGTGAGAATAAATAAAAGTAATGTGCAGTTAAAAATAACTAAAAGAGAAGATTGTATTGGTTGGGTGGAGCCAAGATGGCCGAATAGGAAAAGCTCCGGTCTACAGCTCCCAGCATGAGCGACACATAAGACGGGTGATTTCTGCATTTCCATCTGAGGTACCGGGTTCATCTCACTAGGGAGTGCCAGACAGTGGGAGCAGGACAGTGGGTGCAGCACACCATGCGTGAGCCGAAGCAGGGCGAGGCATTGCCTCACTCGTGAAGCACAAGGGGTCAGGGAGGTCCCTTTCCTACTCAAAGAAAGGGGTGACAGACAGCACCTGGAAAATCGGGTCACTTCCACCCTAATACTGCGCTTTTCCAACAGGCTTATAAAAGGGCACACCAGGAGATTATATCCCGCACATGGCTCGGAGGGTCCTATGCCCACGGAGTCTCGCTGATTGCTAGCACAGTGTTCTGAGATCAAACTCCAAGGTGGCAGTGAGGCTGGAGGATGGGCGCCTGCCATTGCCCAGGCTTGATTAGGTAAACAAAGCAGCCTGGAAGCTCAAACTGGGTGGAGCCCACCACAGCTCCAGGAGGCCTTCCTGCCTCTGTAGGCTCCACCTCTGGGGGCAGGGCATAGATAAACAAAAAGACAGCAGTAACCTCTGCAAACTTAAATGTCCCTGTCTGACAGCTTTGAAGAGAGGAATGGTTTGCCCAGCATGCAGCTGGAGATCTGAGAACAGGCAGACTGCCTCCTCAAGTGGGTCCCTGACCCCTGACCCCCAAGCAGCCTAACTGGGAGGCACCCACCAGTAGGGGCAAACTGACACCTCACACGGCTGGGTACTCCTCTGAGAAAAAACTTCCAGAGGAACAATCAGGCAGCAGCATTTGCAGTTCACCAATATCCACTGTTGTACAGCCACCGCTGTTCTGCAGCCACCACTGCTGATACCCAGGCAAACAGGGTCTGGAGTGGACCTCCAGCAAACTCCAACAGACCTGCAGCTGAGGGTTCTGTCTGTTAGAAGGAAAACTAACAAACACAAAGGACATCCGCACCAAAAACCCACCTGTATGTCACCATCACCAAAGACCAAAAGTAGATAAAACCACAAAAATGGGGAAAAAACAGAGCAGAAAAACTGGAAACTCTAAAAAGCAGAGCACCTCTCCTCCTCCAAAGGAACTCAGCTCCTCACCAGCAATGGAAAAAAGCTGGATGGGGAATGACTTTGACGAGTTGAGAGAAGAAGACTTCAGATAATCAAGCTACTCCGAGCTAAAGGAGGAAATTCAAACCAATGGCATAGAAGTTAAAAACTTTGAAAAAAAAATTAGACGAATGGATACTTAGAATAACCTATGCAGAGAAGTCCTTAAAGGAGCTGATGGAGCTGAAAGCCAAGGCTCCAGAATTATGTGAAGAACTCACAAGCCTCAGGAGCCGATGCGATCACCTGGAAGAAAGGGTATCAGTGATGGAAGACGAAATGAATGAAATGAAGTGTGAAGGGAAGTTCAGAGAAAACAGAATAAAAAGAAATGAACAAAGCCTCCAAGAAATATGGGATTATGTGAAAAGACCAAATCTACGTCTGATTGGTGTACCTGAAAGTGACAGGGAGAATGGAACCAAGTTGGAAAACACTCTGCAGGATATTATCCAGGAGAACTTCCCCAATCTAGAAAGGCAGGCCAACATTCAGATTCAGGAAATACAGAGAACGCCACAAAGATACTCCTCGAGAAGAGCAACTCAAAGACACATAATTGTCAGATTCACCAAAGTTGAAATGAAGGAAAAAAATGTTAAGGGCAGCCAGAGAGAAAGGTCGGGTTACCCACAAAGGGAAGCCCATCAGACTAACAGCGGATCTCTCAGCAGAAACTCTACAAGCCAGAAGAGAGTGGGGCCAATATTCAAGATTCTTAAAGAAAAGAATTTTCAACCCAGAATTTCATATTCAGCCAAACTAAGCTTCATAAGTGAAGGAGAAATAAAATCCTTTACAGACAAGCAAATGCTGAGAGATTTTATCACCACCAGGCCTGCCCTACAAGAGCTCCTGAAGGAAGCACTAAACATGGAAAGGAACAACCGGTACCAGCCACTGCAAAAACATGCCAAATTGTAAAGACTATCAAGGCTAGGAAGAAACTGCATCAACTAACGAGCAAAATAACCAGCTAACATCATAATGACAGGACCAAATGCACACATGACAATATTAACTTTAAAAGTCAATGGACTAAACGCTCCAATTAAAAGACACAGACTGGCAAATTGGATAAAGAGTCAGGACCCATCAGTGTGCTGTATTCAGGAAACCCATCTCACGTGCAGAGACACACATAGGCTCAAAATAAAGGGATGGAGGAAGATCTACCAAGCAAATGGAAAACAAAAAAAGGCAGGGGTTGCAATCCTAGTCTCTGATAAAACAGACTTTAAACCAACAAAGATCAAAAGAGACAAAGAAGGCCATTACATAATGGTAAACGGATCAATTCAACAAGAAGAGCTAACTATCCTAAATATATATGCACCCAATACAAGAGCACCCAGATTCATAAAGCAAGTTCTTAGAGACCTACAAAGAGACTTAGACTCCCACACATTAATAATGGGAGACTTTAACACCCCACTGTCAACATTAGACAGATCAACGAGACAGAAAGTTAACAAGGATATCCAGGAATTGAACTCAGCTCTGCACCAAGTGTACCTAATAGACATCTACAGAACTCTCCACCCCAAATCAACAGTATATACATTTTTTTCAGCACTACATCACACCTATTACAAAATTGACCACATAGTTGGAAGTAAAGCACTCCTCAGCAAATGTAAAAGAATAGAAATTATAACAAACTGTCTCTCAGACCACAGTGAAGTCAAACTAGAACTCAGGATTAAGAAACTCACTCAAAACCACTCAACTACATGGAAACAGAAGAACCTGCTCCTGAATGACTACTGGATGCATAACGAAATGAAGGCACAAATAAAGATGTTCTTTGAAACCAATGAGAACAAAGACATAATATACCAGAATCTCTGGGACACTTTCAAAGCAGTTTGTAGAGGGAAATTTATAGCACTAAATGCCCACAAGAGAAAGCAGGAAAGATCCAAAATTGACACCCTAACATCACAATTAGAAGAACTAGAAAAGCAAGAGCAAACACATTCAAAAGCTAGTAGAAGGCAAGAAATAACTACGATCAGAGCAGAACTGAAGGACATAAAGACACAAAAAACCCTTCAAAAAATTAATGAGTCCAGGAGCTGGTTTTCTGAAAGGATCAACAAAATTGATAGACCGCAAGCAAGACTAATAAAGAAGAAAAGAGAGAAGAATCAAATACACGCAATAAAAAATGATAAAGGGGATATCACCACCGATCCCGCAGAAATACAAACTACCATCAGAGAATACTACAAACATCTCTACCCAAATAAACTAGAAAATCTAGAAGAAATGGATAAATTCCTGGACACATACGCCCTCTGAAGACTAAACAAGGAAGAAATTGAATCTCCAAATAGACCAATAACAGGCTCTGAAATTGTGGCAATAATCAATAGCTTACCAACCAAAAAAAGTCCAGGACCAGATGGATTCACAGCCGAATTCTACCAGAGGTACAAGGAGGAGCTGGTACCATTCCTTCTGAAACTATTCCTATCAATAGAAAAAGAGGGAATCCTCCCTAACTCATTTTATGAGGCCAGCATCATCCTGATACCAAAGCCTGGCAGAGACACAACCAAAAAAGATAATTTTAGACCCACATCCTTGATGAACATTGATGGAAAAATCCTCAACAAAATACTGGCAAACTTAATACAGCAGCACATCAAAAAGCTTATCCACCATGATCAAGTGGGCTTCATCCCTGGGAGGCAAGGCTGTTTCAACTTACGCAAATCAATAAATGTAATCCAGCATATAAACAGAACCAACAACAAAAACCACATGATTATCTCAATAGATGCAGAAAAGGCCTTTCACAAAATTCAACAGCCCTTCATGCTAAAAACTCTCAATAAATTAGGTATTGATGGGACGTATTTCAAAATAATAAGAGCTGTCAATGACAAACTCACAGCCAATATCATACTGAATGGGCAAAGACTGGAAGCATTCCCTTTGAAAACTGGCCCAAGACAGGAATGCCCTCTCTCACCACATCTATTCAGCATAGTGTTGGAAGTGCTGGCCAGGGCAATTAAGCAGGAGAAGGAAATAAAAGGTATTCAAATAGAAAAAGAGGAAGTCAAATTGTCCCTGTTTGCAGATGACATGATTGTATATCTAGAAAATCCCATTGTCTCAGCCAAAAATCTCCTTAAGCTGATAAGCAAATTCAGCAAGGTCTCAGGATACAAAATCAATGTGCAAAAATCACAAGCATTCTTATACACCAATAACAGACAAACAGAGAGCCAAATCATGAGTGAACTCCCATTCACAATTGCTTCAAAGAGAATAAAATACCTAGGAGTCCAACTTACAAGGGATGTGAAGGACCTCTTCAAAGAGAACTACAAACCACTGCTCAAGGAAATAAAAGAGGATACAAACAAATGGAAAAACATTCCATGCTCATGGGTAGGAAGAATCAATACTGTGAAAATGGCCATACTGCCCAAGGTAATTTATAGATTCAATGCCATCCCCATCAAGCTACCAAGGACTTTCTTCACAGAATTGGAAAAAACTACTTTAAAGTTCATATGGAACCAAAAAAAGCCCCCATCGCCAAGTCAATCCTAAGCCAAAAGAACACAGCCAGAGGCATCACACTACCTGACTTCAAACTATACTACAAGGCTATAGTAACCAAAACAGCATGGTACTGGTACCAAAACAGATCTATAGATCAATGGAACAGAATAGAGTCCTCAGAAATAATGCTGCATATCTACAACCATCTGATCTTTGACAAATCTGAAAAAAAAAAAGCAATGGGGAAAGGATTCCGTATTTATTAAATGGTGCTGGGAAAACTGGCTAGCCATATGTAGAAAGCTGAAACTGGATCCCTTCCTTACACCTTACACAAAAATTAATTCAAGATGGATGAAAGACTTATATGTTAGACCTAAAACCATAAAAACCCTAGAAGAAAACCTAGGCAATACCATTCAAGACATAGGCATGGGCAAGGACTTCATGTCTAAAACACCAAAAGCAATGGCAACAAAAGCCAAAATTGACAAATGGGATCTAATTCAACTAAAGAGCTTCTTCACAGCAAAAGAAACCACCATCAGAGTGAACAGGCAACGTACAGAATGGGAGGAAATTTTCACAACCTACTCATCTGACAAACGGCTATTATCCAGAATCTACAATGAACTCAAACATATTTACAAGAAAAAAACAAACAACCCCATGAAAAAGTGGGCAAAGGATATGAACAGACACTTCTCAAAAGAAGACGTTTATGCAGCCAAAAGACACATGAAAAAATGCTCATCATCACTGGCCATCAGAGAAATGCAAATCAAAACTACAATGAGATACCATCTCACACCAGTTAGAATGGCGATCATGAAAAAGTCAGGAAACAACAGATACTGGAGAGGATGTGGAGAAATAGGAACACTTTTACACTGTTGGTGGGACTGTAAACTAGTTCAACCTTTTTGAACGTCAGTGTGGCGATTCCTCAGGGATCTAGAACTAGAAATACCATTTGACCCAGCCATTCCATTACTGGGTATATACCCAAAGGATTATAAATCATTCTGCTATAAAGGCACATGCACACGTGTGTTTATTGCGGCAGTATTCACAATAGCAAAGACTTGGAACCAAGCCAAATGTCCAACAATGATAGACTGGATTACGAAAATGTGGCACATATATACTATGGAATACTATGCAGCCATAAAAAGTGATGAGTTCATGTCCTTTGTAGGGACATGGATGAAACTGGAAACCATCATTCTCAGCAAACTATCACAAGGACAAAAAAGCAAACACTGTATGTTCTCACTCATAGGTGGGAACTGAACAATGTGAACACATGGACACAGGAAGGGGAATATCACACTCCGGGAACTGTTGTGGGGTGGGGGGTGGGGGGAGGGATAGCATTTGGAGATATATCTAATGCTAAATGACGAGTTAATGGGTGCAGCACACCAACATGGCACATCTATACATATGTAACAAACCTGCACATTGTGTACATGTACCCTAAAACTTAAAGTATAATAATAATAAAATAAAATAAATAACTAAAAGAGTATAATTGGTTTGTTTGTACCATAAAGAAAGGATAAATAATTGAGATGATGGATACCCAATTTCCATGATGTTATTATTATACATTGTATGGCTGTATCACAATATCTCATGCACTCTACAAATATATATGCCTACTAGGTACCCACAAAAAATAAAAAGGTAGGTAGCTTGCAAGTATTTTCTCCCATTCTGTGGGTTGCCTCTTCACTTTGTTGATAGTTTTCTTTGCTGTGCAGAAGCTTTTTAATCTGATGTGATTCCATTTGTCCATTTTTGCTTTGGTTGCCTGTGCTTGTTGCATATTGCTCAAGAAATTTTTGCCCAGACCAAAGTCCTGGAGATTTTCACCAATGTTTTCTCATAATAATTTCATTGTTTATGGTCTTAGATTTATGTCTTCAATCCATTTTGATTTGATTTTTGTATATGGCAAAAGATAGGTATCTAGTTTCATTCTACTTTTGTATATGGCAAGAAATAGGCATCTAGTTTTTATTCATTCTAATTGCAGAAGGAAAAAATTTGATCAGGCCAACTATATATTGATAACAGTTGACTTAGCAGAGATTCTGCATTTAATGTTGCAACTTGGGGAATTAGAAATGGCTCTAACAGTTTGGTTGGTGTGCTGAAATGTGGACTAAAATATGGCCCACGGTGAGTGAATTGGAAATGCCCAACTTCCCTTGATTTAATGTAGAGGAAGGGATTCAAAAGCTTAGGGAGATTGGAATGTTACAGTGGATTTGTCATTTAAGATCTACTCATTCACAAAGGAGGCTCTAGAGACATACCTTTCATCAATACTTTAAGAAATAAAATTGTGAGTGGAGCCCCAGTATCCTTAAAGAGCTCCTTGATTACTCTTCTCTATAGACTAGACTTTACAGTGGAAACCATAGCCTCCCAATTGGAAAACCTAAGTGCACTGGGAGTAACTGAATCCTCGGGTGGCAAGGCCAAGAGATGTCACTCATCATCCAAAGGCAACATGGGAATGGTTACCATGATGGACAGCAGAGTCAAGGCAGCAATCAGAATAGCCTGACTCATGGCATTGGCAAGTTATTTATGCTTGATCTTATAAGATCAAACTTTACTCGATATGTATAAACAGAAAATTTCTAGGTCAAGTGAACAAATATCTAACTTGAATCATTAAAAAGAGAGTCATGGCCCCTCAACCAATTACCAGGCTTGAGCCAGTTTACAGACCCAGAACTCCTTGAATGAACGGGATGCTGGTTTTCCTTGAGGACAGACCCCAATACACTAACAAAATTTTATGCTGCTAATATTTCTGCCAGCCTTCTCCAAAGGGGCCTATGGCCTTTTACCTGAGTAACTGTGCATTGGAGAAAAGAAAGAAAAAGGCCTTTTGGGAACTACTCAACACCAGCTCTGAACTGACACTGACTCTAGGAAATCCCAAATGTCACTGTGGTCCTCCAGTCAGAGTAGGAGCTCATGGAGGTCAGGTGATCATTGAAGTTTTACCTCAGGTCTGTCTCACAGTAGGTCCCCAAATACATCCTGTAGTTATTTCCCTAGTTTCAGAATGCATAATTGGAATAGACATACTTAGCAGCTTGCAGAATTCCTACATTGGTTCCCTGCCCTGTGCCATGAGGGCTACTGTGGTGGGAAAGGCCAAATGGAACCCACTAGAACTGCCTCTACCTAAGAAAATAGTAAATCAAAAGCAACACCATATCCCTGGAGGAACGGTAGAAATCAGTGCCATTATCAACAATTTCAAAGATGCAGGTGTAGTGATTCCCACTACAACTCCATTCAATTCTTCTCTTTGAACTCTGCAGAAAATAAATGGACCTTGGAGAATGATGATGAAATCTTGTAAGCTTAACCAAATGGTGACTTCAATTGCACTGCTGTGCTAGATGTTGTTTCGTTGCTTGAGCAAATTAACATATTCCCTGGTACCTGGTATGTAGCCATTAATCTGGTATATGCCTTTTTCTTCATACTTTTCCACAAGGTCGGCCCTCCAGAGCTGTTTGTTTTCAGTTGGCAAGGCCAGCAACACACCTTCACTACATACCTCAGAGTTACATCAATTCTCTAGCTCTATGCCATAATTTACTTTGCATGGACCTTGATCATCTTTCCCTTCATACTGATATCATACTGGTCCATTACATTAATGACATTGTGGTGATTGGAGCTAGTGAGCAAGAAGTAGCAACGACTCTAGACTTACTTCTGTGTCAGAGGGTGGGAAATAAATCTGACTAAAATTCAGTGAAATTTCTTTAGGTCCAGTGATGTGGGCCATGTCAATGTATTCCTTCTAAAGTGAAGAATACGTTGTTTCATCCAGATTCTCCTACAACCAAAAAAGATACACAATGTGTTGTGGGCCTGTTTGGGTCTTGGAGGCAACATATTACTTATATGGATGTGTTACTCTGACACATTCACTGAGTGACCTGAAAAGCTGCTAGTTTTGAGTGGTGCCCAGAACAGGAGAAGACCTGCAAGAGGTCTAGGCTGCTGTGCAAGCTGCTTTGCCACTTGGGCCATATGATGCATCAGATCCAGTGGTGCTTGAAGTGACAGTGGGAGATAAAGATGCTGTTTGGAACCTTTGGCAGTCCCCTATAGGTGAATCACAGTGCAATGTTTCAGGACTTTGAAACAAGTCCCTGCCATTATCCTCAGATAATTATTCTCCTTTTGAGAAACAGCTCTTGGTCTGCTACTGGGCTTTAGTAGAAACTGAATGCTAGACCATGGGCTACTAAGTTACCATGTAACCTGAGTTGCCATTCATGAGTGGGTGTTATCTGATTAAGCTAGCTACACACCATCATCAAATGGAAATGGTCTATACAGATCAGGCCTAAGCAGGCTCTGAATGCACAATTAAGTTACATAAAAGAGTGATTGAAATGCTCATGGTCCTCAGTCCTTCTACACCATCTTCTCTCTTCCAGCTCATACCTATGGTCTCATGCAGAGTACCTTACAATAAGTTGTCAGAAGAGGAGAAGACTTGGGGCCAGTTTACAGACAGCTCTGCGTATGTGGATACCACTCAAAATTGGACAGATGCAGCACTATAGCCCACTCTGGGATATTCTTAATTGAGACTTATGAAGGGAAATCTTTCCAATGGGAAGAACTTTGGGCAGTGTACCTGGTTGCACACTTTGCTTGGAAGGAGAAATAGCCAGACACACTATTATGTACTGATTCGTGAGCTGTAGCAAATGATTTGGCTTACTAGGGAAATACAAATTATAAACACAGTCAGGGACTTGGAAAGAGCATAATTGGAAAATTGGTGACAAATATTTCTAGGGAAGAGACATGTGGGTAGACTTTTTTTTTCTTTTTTTGATACAGATCTTGCTCTGCCACCCAGGCTGGAGTGCAAGGGCTTGATCTTGGCTCACTGCAAACTCCGCCTCCAAGGCTCAAGTGATTCTCCTGCCTCAGCCTCCCAAGGAGCTGGGATTACAGGCACCTGCCACCATGCCCAGCTAATTTTCTTATTTTTAGTAGAGATGGGGTTTTGCCATGTTGGCCAGGCTGGTCTGGAACTCCTGAACTCAGGTGATCCACCCGCCTTGGCCTCCTAAAGTGCTCAGATTACAGGCGTGAGCCACCTTGTCCAGCCAGACCTCTTTTAATGGGCAATAAATGTGAAGATATTTGTGTTCCATGTAAATGTTCACCAAAGGGTGACCTCAGCAGAGGAGTATTTTAATACTTAAGTGGAAAGGATTGATCAATTTTGTGGTTACCAGTAAGCTTCTATTCCTGGTTACTCTTATCATTGTCCAGTGAGGTTATGAACAGTGGCCATGGTAGCAGGGATGATGGTTCTGCATGGGCTCAATAACATGAACTTCTACTCACCAAAGCTGACCTGGCTATGGCTACTGGTGAGTGTCCAACCTGCCAGCAGCAGAGACCAACATTCAGTCCAGGTTATGGCACCAGTCTCCAGGGTGATCAACCTGGTGGACAGTTGATTACACTGGATAGCTTCCCTTATGGAAGGGACAGTGCTTTGTACTTAGCGAAATAGATACTCTGGATACAGATTTGCATTCCCTATGTGCAATGCCTATGCCAAAACTACCATCAGTGGACTTTTTTTTCTATTCAGGCCCTCATCAGATTGGGTGATGCCCACTTACATTGGTGAGAGCATTCTTCTTTATTTATTTATTTATTTATTTATTTATTTATTATACTTTAAGTTCTAGGGTACATGTGCACAACGTGCAGGTTTGTTACATATGTATACATGTGCCATGTTGGTGTGCTGCACCCATTAACTCATCATTTACATTAGGTATACCTTCTAATGCTATCAGCCGCCCCCTCACCCCACAACAGGCGCCAATGTGTGATGTTCCCCTTCCTGTGTCCATGTGTTCTCATTGTTCAATTACCACATATGAGTGAGAACACACAGTGTTTGGTTTTTTGTCCTTGCAATAGTTTGCTGAGAATGATGGTTTCCAGCTTCATCCATGTCCCTACAAAGGACACAAACTCATCATTTTTTATGGCTGCATAGTATTCCATGGTGTATATGTGCCACATTTTCTTTTTTTAAATTTTATTTATTATTATTATACTTTAAGTTTTAGGGTACATGTGCACAATGTGCAGGTTAGTTACATATGTATACATGTGCCATGCTGGTGTGCTGCACCCACTAACTCGTCATCTAGCATTAGGTATATCTCCCAATGCTATCCCTCCCCCCTCCCCCAACCCCACAACAGTCCCAGAGTGTAATGTTCCCCTTCCTGTGTCCATGTGTTCTCATTGTTCAATTCCCATCTATGAGTGAGAATATGCGGTGTTTGGTTTTTTGTTCTTGTGATAGTTTACTGAGAATGATGATTTCCAATTTCATCCATGTCCCTACAAATGACATGAACTCATCATTTTTTATGGCTGCATAGTATTCCATGGTGTATATGTGCCACATTTTCTTAATCCAGTCTATCATTGTTGGACATTTGGGTTGGTTCCAAGTCTTTGCTATTGTGAATAATGCTGCAATAAACATACTTGTGCATGTGTCTTTATAGCAGCATGATTTATAGTACTTTGGGTATATACCCAGTAATGGGATGGCTGGGTCAAATGGTATTTCTAGTTCTAGATCCCTGAGGAATCACCACACTGACTTCCACAAGGGTTGAACTAGTTTCCAGTCCCACCAACAGTGTAAAAGTGTTCCTATTTCTCCACATCCTCTCCAGCACCTGTTGTTTCCTGACTTTTTAATGATTGCCATTCTAACTGGTGTGAAATGGTATCTCATTGTGGTTTTGATTTGCATTTCTCTGATGGCCAGTGATTCTGAGCATTTTTTCATGTGTTTTTTGGCTGCATAAATGTCTTCTTTTGAGAAGTGTCTGTTCATGTCCTTTGCCCACTTTTTGATGGGGTTGTTTGTTTTTTTTCTTGTAAATTTGCTTGAGTTCATTGTAGATTCTGGATATTAGCCCTTTGTCAGATGAGTAGGTTGAGAAAATTTTCTCCCATTTTGTAGGTTGCCTGTTCACTCTGATGGTAGTTTCTTTTGCTGTGCAGAAGCTCTTTAGTTGAATTAGATCCCATTTGTCAATTTTGGCTTTTGTTGCCATTGCTTTTGGTGTTTTAGACATGAAGTCCTTGCCCAAGCCTATGTCCTGAATGGTAATGCCTACATTTCCTTCTAGGGTTTTTATGGTTTTAGGTCTAACATTTAAGTCTTTAATCCATCTTGAATTAATTTTTGTATAAGGTGTAAGGAAGGGATCCAGTTTCAGCTTTCTACATATGGCTAGCCAGTTTTCCCAGCACCATTTATTAAATAGGGAATCCTTTCCTCATTGCTTGTTTTTGTTAGGTTTGTCAAAGATCAGATAGTCATAGATATGTGGCATTATTTCTGAGGGCTCTGTTCTGTTCCATTGATCTATATCTCTGTTTTGGTACCAGTACCATGCTGTTTTGGTTACTGTAGCCTTGTAGTATAGTTTGAAGTCAGGTAGTGTGATGCCTCCAGCTTTGTTCTTTTGGCTTAGGATTGACTTGGTGATGCGGGCTCTTTTTCGGTTCCTTATGAACTTTAAAGTAGTTTTTTCCAATTCTGTGAAGAAAGTCATTGGTAGCTTGATGGGGATGGCATTGAATCTGTAAATTACCTTGGGCAGTATGGCCATTTTTACGATATTGATTCTTCCTACCCATGAGCATGGAATGTTCTTCCATTTGTTTGTATCCTCTTTTATTTCCTTGAGCAGTGGTTTGTAGTTCTCCTTAAAGAGGTCCTTCACGTCCTTTGTAAGTTGGATTCCTAGGTATTTCATTCTCTTTGAAGCCATTGTGAATGGGAGTTCACTCATCATTTGGCTCTCTGTTTGTCTGTTGTTGGTGTATAAGAATGCTTGTGATTTTTGCATATTGATTTTGTATCCTGAGACTTTGCTTCAGTTGCTTATCAGCTTAAGGAGATTTTGGGCTGAGATAATGGGGTTTTCTAGATATACAATCATGTCATCTGCAAACAGGGACAATTTGACTTCCTCTTTTCCTAATTGAATACCCTTTATTTCCTTCTCCTGCCTAATTGCCCTGGGCAGAACTTCCAACACTGTGTTGAATAGGAGTGGTGAGAGAGGGCATCCGTGTCTCGTGCCAGTTTTCAAAGGGAATGCTTCCAGTTTTTGCCCATTCGGTATGATATTGGCTGTGCATACCAGAATCTCTGGGATGCATTCAAAGCAGTGTGTGGAGGGAAATTTATAGCACTAAATGCCCACAAGAGAAAGCAGGAAAGATCCAAAATTGACACCCTAACATTACAATTAAAAGAACTAGAAAAGCAACAGCAAACACATTCAAAAGCTAGCAGAAGGCAATAAATAACTACAATCAGAGCAGAACTGAAGGAAATAGAGACACAAAAAACTCTTCAAAAAATTAATGAATCCAGGAGCTGGTTTTTTGAAAGGATCAACAAAATTGATAGACCGCTAGAAGACTAATAAAGAAAAAAAGAGAGAAGAATCAAATAGATGCAATAAAAATGATAAAGGGGATATCACCACTGATCCCACAGAAATACAAACTACCATCAGAGAATAGTACAAACATCTCTACGCAAATAAACTGGAAAATCTAGAAGAAATGGAGAAATTCCTCGACACATACATTCTCCCAAGACTAAACGAGGAAGAAGTTGAATCTCTGAATAGACCAATAACAGGAGCTGAAATTGAGGCAATAATTAATAGCTTACCAACCAAAAAAAGTTCAGGACCAGATGGATTCACAGCCGAATTCTACCAGAGGTACAAGGAGGAACTGGTACCATTCCTTCTGAAACTATTCCAATCAATAGAAAAAGAGGGAATCCTCCCTAACTCATTTTATGAGGCCAGCATCATCCTGATAGCAAAGCCGGGCAGAGTCACAGCCAAAAAAGAGAATTTTAGACCAATATCCTTGATGAACACTGATGCAGAAATCCTCAATAAAATACTGGCAAACCGATTTCAGCAGCACATCAAAGAGCTTATCCACCGTGATCAAGTGGGCTTCATCCCTGGGATGGAAGGCTGGTTCAATATACGCAAATCAATAAATGTAATCCAGCATATAAACAGAACCAAAGACAAAAACCACATGATTATCTCAATAGATGCAGAAAAGGCCTTTGACAAAATTCAACAACCCTTCATGCTAAAAACTCTCAATAAATTAGGTATTGATGGGACGTATCTCAAAATAATAAGAGCTATCTATAAGAGCATTCTTCGTCAAATTGACAGATAAAATTAACCATCACATCACATTCTTTCTTTTCACTTGGGTAAATGCATGAGTGTTATGGCTAGATGATATGGTAGGTGAGTGTTTAAGCTTTTAAGAAACCAGCAAACCATTTTCCAAAGTGGTGGTATTATTTTACATTACCACAAAGTGTACGCAAGTTTCAACTGGTCATCACACTTGACAACACTTAATATGGACAATCTATGTTTTAAATTTAGCCATCTTAGTTGTTGTGTAGGGGCATCTTATTTTTTTGTAATTTGTATTTTCCTAATAACTAAAGATGTTGAGCATATTTTCATATCTGATTTGCCTTCAGTTTATCTGCATTGTGAAGTGTCTCTTCAAATATTTTCCCTATTTTTATTGCATGTTTTGTATTCTTATGTTTGAATTGTGAAGGTTTCTACACATTCTAGATACAAGTATCATATGTATGTCTACAAGTATTTTTAATACTCTTTAAATTGCATTTTTACTTACTTTTTTTTTTTTTGAGACAGAGTCTCTCTCTGTCGCCCAGGCTGGAGTTCAGTGGTGCAATCTCGGCTTACTGCAAGCTCTGTCTCCCAGGTTCATGCCATTCTCCTGCCTCAGCCTACCGAGTAGCTGGGACTACAGGCGCCCGCCACCACGCCTGGCTAAATTCTTTTTGTATTTCTAGTAGATATGGGGTTTCACCGTGTTAGCCAGGATGGTCTCCATCTCCTGACCTCGTGATCCGCCTGCCTGGGCCTCCCAAAGTGCTGGGATTACAGGCGTGAGCCACGGCGCCCGGCAGCATTTTTACTTTCTTAATAGTGTATTTTGAAAGCCAAATGATTTTAATTTTGATTAAGTTCAATTTATTGATATTGTTCTTATATAGTTTGCTCTTTTTGTGTCTGACTTAAGAAATCATTGCTAAACACAATGTCAATAAGATCTTTTCTCTATGTCTTACATTTTCTTCTAATAATTTATAGTTTTAGTTTTTAAATTTAGGTTTATAATCCTTTTCAGTTACTTTTTGTATATTGTATGAAGTAGTGATTGAAATTTACTATGTTGTTAATAGTAATCCAATTGTATTCATAGTATTTATTGAAAATATTTTTTATTTATTGAATTGTCAACTTTGTCAAAAATTGATTGAACTTCTATGTGTATCTTTATTAACTTTACTTCTGTTCATTTATACCTCAATATTTCATGGTTTTAATTACTACTACTTTGTAATAACTCTTGAAGTCATATAGTGTAAGTTCTTTAATTTGCTCTTGTCAAAATTGTTTCTTATATTGTAAGGCATTTGCACTATCAGATAAATTTTATAATAACCTTGTCAATTTCTATGGAAAAAGCCTTCTGGGGTTTTAACTGTGATTGAATTAAATGTATAAAACAATTTGGAGAAAATTGATACCTTAACAACATTAAGTCTACAAATCTAAGAATACAGCTAATTTCTCCATTTATTTACATTTTCTTTAATTACCCTAAGTAATGTAGTCACTTAGTGTGCTATAGTAATGTGCAGGTCTTGAAAATATTTTATCAATTTATTAATGCATTATCTCAATTTCTACTACATTGCTGGTTCATTAATTTAACCAGTATATAGAATTCATTGCTAGAGTATAGAAATATAGTTTATTACTATAGATCAATGTTATATCCTGAAAACTTCCCAACTTATCATTAATTCTAGTAGCCTTTTGTAGATTCCTTAGGATTTTCTACATATCATCTCCTGATAAAGACATTTTTACTTCTTCCTTTCTGATAATGTTAATTTTATTTCATTTTCTTACTTTATTGCTTATTGCACTTTAAACAGAAGTGGTGAAGAGTGATTATTCTTCCCTTTTTTCCTAATATTGTGTGGAAAGCATTTGGCCTCTCATTTAATGTTATCTTACTTGTAGGAAATTGCCCTTTACCAGCTTGGGAGAGGTATTGTCTATTCACATTTTTCTGAGAGACATTTTATCAGTAATGGATGTTGGGTTTTGTCAATTGTTTTCTTCATCTATGAGATCATTATACATTTTTAGAATATTAAAGAAAATTAAATTGCTTTTCAAATGTAAAACCACATTTGTATTTCTGGGATACACACATCTTGGTCAGAATGTATATTTCATTCCTTTAGATTGTTGGATTTTATTAATATTTGCTGAAATTGTGTTAATAATTTTTCAACTGTGGTCATGAGAGATATTGGCTTGTAGTGGTCTTTTCTTTTTTGATACCTAATAGCTGTACATATTTTCAGGGTACATGTGTGTATTATTCTGTTCTTGCGTTGCTATAAAGAACTACCTGAGACTGGGTAATTTATAAATAAAAGAGGTTTAATTTGATTCAGTTCCACAGGCTGTACAGGAAGCATGGCTGGGGAGGCCTCAGGAAACTTACCATCATGGTGGAAGGTGAAGGGAAAGCAAGTACATCTTAGATGGCCAGAGAAAGAGGAAGGTAGCGAAGGGGGAGGTGCTACACACTTTTGAACAACCAGATCTCATGAGAACTCACTACCACGAGAACAGCAAGGGGAAAGTCCGCCCCCATGATCCAATCACCTCTCACAAGGCTCCTCCTCCAACATTGGGGATTATGATTCGACATGAGATTTGGGTAGGGTCACTTTCTGTATCCTGGGTTCTTGCCCTAGTGTACTGGAAAAATTGGATCACACATGGGCTTGGAGAAAGAGTGAAAGGTTTTATTGAGTGGCGGAAGTAGTTCTCAGTGAGATGGATGGGGAGCCAAAAGGGGAATGGAGTGGGAAGACGGTCTTCCCCTGGAGTTGGGCCACCCAGTGGCCAGACTCTTCCAACCACCCCTGACCGAATTCCACACCATCTGGCCATCCGATGGCCTGCCGGTGTCTGCTGGTGTCTGTCGGTGTGCTGTTCTGCTCCTCTTGACACCCAGGTGCTTGTGTGTGTGTCTGCTATGGTCTCAGGTTTTTATGGGCACAGGATGAGAGGCATGGCAGGCCAGAGTGGTCTTGGAAAATGCAACATTTGGGTATGAAAACAGGAGTGCCAGTTCTCACTTAGGTTCATGGGAACGAGCCTGATGGTGCAGCCCTTGCCAGGGACCCTGCCCTTCTCTACCCAGCACATCCCTGCCCCCCTCCTGTATCAGAGCCTTGGCAGAGCAGCCACTCAGGCATTCATGGAGACCCAGGAGCTTTAGATACTCTGTCTGGCTCTGGGCTTCCCAGAAAAAGTAACTGCAACTCTGGCAAACTGGGAAGTTAGATCCCCCTACATACTTCTAGGAAAGAGCCTGAATCCAGGAAGCCAAGCAGTGACAGTCTGCGGTCCCCACTTCCACAATGCCTCACAGGACAAGGCCCACTGGCTGGGAATTTCAGCCAGTCACTGGTAGCAGTGTTGTGCTTCCCTGGGACAGAGCTTCCAAGGGGAGGGGAAGGCTGCCATCTTTGGGCAAGCCATTCCAGCTTGTGGGCTTTGGAGAGTCCAAACCAACTGGGACAGAAGGGATCCCCCAGCACAGCACAACTGCTCTACCAAAGAATGGCCAGACTGCTTCTTTAAGTGGCCACTGATTCCATTCCTTCTCACTGGGCAGAAACTCCCAACCAGGGCCTCCAACCAACACTGCCAGTGTTCTACAGCTGAAAGTGATTTGAAAGCTCCATGGGATGGAACTCCCAGAGGGAGGGGTAGGCCACCATATTTGCTGTTTGGACAACTTAGCAGTTCCAGCCTTTGGGCTTTGGAGGGCCTAAACTGAACAGGAGTGGACACAGTACCCCAGCACAGCACAACAGCCCCACAAAAACATGGCCAGAGTGCTTTTTTAAGCATGTCCTTAACCCTGTTCTTCATCACCAGGTAGAGCCTCCCAACCAGGGTCTCCAGCTACCCCCACCAGCGTTCTCCAGCTGACAGAGGTTTCAGGCCTCCTTGGGACACAGCTCCCGGGAGGAGTGGCAGGCCTCCATCTTTGCTGTTTGTGCAACTTAGCCATTCCAGCCTTTGGGCTTCACAGTGTCTGAGGCAACCAGGGGCTGAAGTGGACCCCCAGCATAGCACAATTGCTGTGTGAAAACTTTGTCAGGCTACTTTTTAAAGCAGGTCCCAATCCCATTCTTTCTGACTGGGTCAGACTTCCCATCTGGGGTCTCCAGCCACCTCCTACAGGTGTGTTCAGGCTAGCAACAGGTCTGTACTTCCCTGGGATGGAGCTCCCAGAGGAAGGGGCAGGCTTTCATCTTTGTTGTTTCACAGACTGGTGATACTTTCAGTTACTGGAAAATCTGAGGTGACTAGGGGTGAGTGGAACCCCAGTATACTGCAGCAGCCCTACAGAAAAGTGGCCAGACTATTAAAAGAAAAAAAAAGGTCCAGAGTTCAGCAATCTCAAGAATTGAAGATGGAGAAGCCCACAAAGATGAGAAAGAATCAGTGCAAGAACGCTGGAAACTCAAAAATCCAGAGTGCCCTCTTTATTCCAAATGACCACATCACCTCTCCATCAAGGGTTCAGACCAAGGCTGAGGCTGAGATGGCCAAAATGACAAAAGTAGAATTCAGAATACGGACAGAAATAAAGTTCACTGAGCTAAAAGAGTATGTTGTAACCCAATGGAAGGAAGCTAAAAATCATGATAAAACATTGCAGGAGCTGACAGATAAACTAGTCAGTATAGAGAAGTAGGTAACCAACCTGATAGAGCTGTAAAACACACTGCAAGAATTCCATAATCCCATCACAAGTATTAATAGCAGAATAGACCAAGCAGAGGAAAGAGTCTCAGAGCTTGAAGACTGGCTTTCTGAAACAAGACAGGCAGACAAGAATAGAGAAGAAAGAATGAAAAGAAATGAACAAAACCTCTAAGAAATATAAGATTATATAAAGCAACTGAATCTGTGACTGGCATACCTGAAAGAGACAGGGAGAATGGAACCAACTTGGAAAACACATTTCACGATATCATCTATGAGAACTTCCCCAACCTTGCTAGAGAGGCGAACATTCAAATTCAGGAAATGCACAGAACCCCAGCAAGATACACCACAAGAAGATCATCCCCAAGACACATAATCATCAGATTCTCCAAGGTTGAAATGAAAGAAAAAATGTTAAAAACAGCTAGAAAGAAAGGCTAGGTCACCCACAAAGGGAAGCCCATCAGGCTAACAGCAGACCTCTCAGCTGAAATCCTATAGGCCAGAAGAGATTGAGGGCCAATATTCAACATTTTTAAAGAGAAGAAATTCCAACCCAGAATTTCATATCTACCCAAACAAAGCTTCATAAGTGAAGGAGAAAAAGGATCCTTTTCAGACAAGCAAATGCTAAAGGTACTTGTTACCACTAGATCTGCCTTACAAGAGCCCCTGAGGGAAGCATTAAATATGGACAGAAAAGACCCTTACCAGCCATGACAAAAACACACTGAAGTACACAGACCAGTGACATTATAAAGAAACCACATAAACAAGTTTGCAAAATAACCAGCTAACATCATGATGCAAGGACCAAATCCACACATATCAATACTAACCTTATATGTAAATAGGCTAAATTCCCCAATTAAAAGACACAGAGTGGCAAGCTGGGTAAAGAACCAAGACTCATTGGTATGCTGTCTTCAATAGACCCATCTCACATGCAATGACACCCCTAGGCTCAAAATAAAGGGGTGGAGGAAAATCTACCAAGCAAATGAAAAACAGGAAAAGCAGGGGTTGCAATTCTAGTTTCTGACAAAACAGACTTTAAATCAACAAAGATTTTAAAAGACAAAGAAGGGCATTACATAATGGTAAAGGGTTCAATTCAACAAGAAGACCTAGCTATCCTTAATATATGTGCACCCAACACAGGAGCACCTAGATTCATAAAGCAAGTTCTTAGGGACCTTCAAAGAGACTTAGACTCCCACACAATAATAGGCAGAGAGTTTAATGCCACACTGACAATATTAGATAGATCACTAAGACAGAAAATTAATAAAAATATTCAGAACCTGAACTCAGCTCTTGATCAAATAAACCTGATAAGATATCTACAGAACTCTCCACCCAAGCACAAAGGAATATACATTTTTCTAATTGCCACATGGCACTTACTTGAAAATTAGTCAATAATTGGAAGTAAAACACTCCTCAGCAACTGCAAAAGAACTGAAATAATAATAAAAAGTCTCTTGGACCACAGCAGGATCAAATTTAAAATTAAGACTAAGAAATTCACTCAAAACTATTCAATTACGTGGAAGTTGAATAACCTGTTCCTGAATGACTTTTGGGTAAATAATGAAATTAAAGCAGAAATCAAAAAGTTCTTTGTAACTGATGAGAACAAAGATACAATGTACCAGAATTTCTGGGACACAGCTAAGGCAGTGTTAAGAGAGAAATTTATAGCACTAAATGCTGACATAAAAAATAGGAAGATCTCAAGTAACAACCTAACATTACAACTAAAAGTACTAGAGAACCAACAGCAAACAAGTCCCAAAGCTAGGAGAAGAAAATAAATAACCAAAATCAGAGCTGAACTAAAGGAGATAGACACACAATAAACCATTCAAAAAATCAATGAATACTGGAGCTGTTTTCTTGAAAAATTAATGAAATAGATAGACTGCTAGCTATACTAATAAAGAAAAAAAGAGAGAAGATTTAAATAGATATAATCAGAAACTGCAAGGGGGATATTACCACAGAAATAAAGACAACCATAAGAGAATAATATGAACATGTCTATGCACATAAACTAGAACATCTAGAAGAAATCTATAAATTCCTGGACACATACACCCTCCCAAGACTGAACCAGAAAGAAATTGAATCCCTGAACAGACCAATAACAAGTTCTGAAATTGAGACAGTAATGGATAGTCTACCAACCAAAAAAAAAAAAAATCCCAGGACCAGGTGAATTCACAACTAAACTCTACCAGATACACAAGGAAGAGCTGGTATCATTCCTACTGAAACTATTCCAAAAAATGGAAAAGGAAGGACTCCTCTCTAACTCATTCCATGAGGCCAGCATCATTCTGATACTAAAACCTGGCAGAGACACAACAAAAAAAGAAAACTTCAGGCCAATATTCTTGATAAACATAGATGCAGAAATTCTCAACAAAATACTTGCAAATTGAATCCAGCAGCACATTAAAAAGCTTATCCACCATGATCAAGTAGGCTTCATCCTTGGGATGCAAGGTTGATTCAACATATGAAAATTAATAATCACATAAACAGAACTAAAGACAAAAGCTACATGATTACCTCAATAGGTACAGAAAAGACTTTTGATAACATTAAACATCCTTTCATGTTAAAAACTCTCAATAAACTAGGTATTGAAGGAACGTACCTCAAAATAATAAGAGCCAACTATGACAAACCCACAGGCAGCATCATACTGAATGAGCAAATGCTGGAAGCATTCCCCTTGTAAACTGGCACAAGACAAAGTTGCCCTCTCTCACAACTCCTATTCAACATAGTATTAGAAGTTCTGGCCAGGGCAATCAGGCAAGAGAAAGAAATAAAGTCTATTCAAATAGGAAGAGAAGTCAAACTATCCCTGTTTGCAGATGACATGATCCTATATCTAGAAAACCCCATAATCTCAGCCCAAAAGCTTCTTAAGCTGATAAGCAACTTCAACAAAGTCTCAGGATACAAAACCAGTGTGCAAAAATCTCTAGCAATTCTATACACCACCGACAAGCAAGCCAAGAGCTAAATCACAAATGAACTCCCATTCACAATTGCCATAAAAAAGAATAAAATACCTAGAAATACAGCTAACAAGGGAAATGAAGGACCTCTACATGTAGAACTACAAACCACTGCTCAAAGAAATCAGAGATGACACTAACAAATTGGAAATCATTCCATGGGCATGGATAGAAAGAATCAATATTGTGAAAATGGCCATACTGCCCAAAGCAATTTATAGATTCAATGCTATTCCCATTAAACTACTATTGATATTCTTCACAGAACTAGAAAAAACTATTTTAAAATTCATATGGAACCAAAAAAGAGTCTGAAGAGCCAAGGCAATCTTAAGCAAAAAGAACAAAGCTGGAGATAACACGCTACCCGACTTCAAACTATACTACAAGGCAGTAGTAACCAAACCAGCATGGTACTGGTACAAGAACAGACACATAGACCAATGGAACAGAATAGGGAACCCGGAAAGGAGACCACACACCTACACCTTATTTTCAACAAACCTGACCAAAAAAAAGCAATGGGGAGAGAATTCCATATTTAATAAATGATGCTGGGAGAACAGGCTAGCCATATGTGGAAAACTGACACTGGACCCCTTCCTTATACCATATACAAAAATCAACTCCAGTTGGATTAAATACTTAAATGTAAAACCCAAAACTATAAAAAATAGAAGAAAACCTAGTCAATCTCATTCAGGACACAGGCACAAGCAAAGATTTCATGATAAAGACAACCAAAAGAAATTGCAATAAATACAAAAATTGACAAACGAGATCTAATTAAACTAAAGAGCTTCTGCACTGCAAAAGAAATTGTGAACAGAGTAAACAGACAACCTACAGAATGGGAGAAAATTTTTGTAAACTATGCATCTTACAAAGGTCTAATACCCATTATCTATAAGAAACTTAAATTTACAAGAAAAAAACAAACAACCCCATTAAAAAGTGAGCAACGGACATGAACAGCCACTTCTTAAAAGAAGACGTGCATGTGGCCAACAATCATATTTAAAAAGCTCCACATAACTAATCATTAGAGAAATGCAAATCAAAACCACAATGAGATACCATCTCACACCAGTCAGAATGGCTATTATTAAAAAGTCAAAAAATAACATGCTGGCGAGGTTGTGGAGAAAAAGGAATGCTTTTAAACTGTTGGTGGGAGTGTAAATTAGTTCATCCATTGTAGAAGACGGTGTGGTGATTCCTCAAAGATCTAGAGAAAGAAATACCATTTGACTCAGCAATCCCATTACTGGGTATATACTCAAAGGAATATAAATCATTCTATTATAAAGACACATGCATGCAAATGTTAATTGCAGCACTATTCACAATAGCAAAGACATGGAATCAACCTAAATGTCCATCAGTGATAGGCTGGATAAAGAAAATGTAGTACATATACACCATGGAATACTATGAAGCCATAAAAGAATGAGATCATGTTCTTGGCAGCAACATGGATGGAGCTGGAGGCCATTATCCTTAGCAAACTAACACAGGAACAGAAAACCAAATACCTCATGTTCTCACTTATAAGTGTGAGCTAAATGATAAGAACATATGGACACATACAAAGGAACAACACACACTGGGGCCTACTGGAGGGCAGAGGGTGGGAGGAGGGAGAGGATCGGGAAAAAATAACTACAAAATAAGCAATGGAAAAAGGACTGCCTATTCAATAAATGATGCTGGGATAACTAGCTAGCCATATGCAGAAGAATGAAACTGGACCCTTACCTTTCACCATATAGAGAAATCAACTCAAAATGGATTAAATACTTAAACATAAGACCTAAAACTAAAAGAATCATAGGAGCAAACCCAGGGAACACCATTCTAGACATTGACCTTGTGAAAGAATTTATGACTAAGTCCTCAAAAGCAATTGCCAAAAAGAAAAATTGACAAGTAGAACCTAAGTAACCTAAAGAGCTTCTGCACAGCAAAAGAAACTATCAACAGAGTGAAAAGACAACCTACAGAATGGGAGAAAATATTTGCAAACTATGTACCTGGAAAAAGTCTAATATCCAGAATTTATATGGAATATAAACAATTTCACAAGCAAAAAATAAATAACCCCATTAAAAAGTGGTCAAAAGACATGAACAGATACTTCTCAAAAGAAGACATGTGGCCAACAAACATACGAAAAAAATGCTCCACATCATTACTCATCAGAGAAATGCGAAGCGAAACCACAATGAGATACCATCTCATGCCAGGCAGAATGGCTATTAACAAAACGTCAAAAAACAACAGATTCTGGTGAGGCTGCAAAGAAAAGGAAATGCTTATACACTGTTGGTGGGAATGTAAATTAGTCCAGCAACTATGGAAAGCAGTTTGGAGATTTCTCAAATAACTTAAAACAGAACTACCATTCAACCCAGCAATTCCATTACTGAATATATATCCAAAAGAAAGTAAACTATTCTACCAAAAAGACACATGCACTTGTATGGGCATCACAACACTATTCAAATAGCAAAGACATGGAATCAACCTAGGTGCCCATCAATGGTAGATTGGATAAAGAAAATGTGGTACATGATACACTATGGAATATCACATTGCCATAAAAAATAACTAAATCATTTCCTTTGCAGCAACGTGGATGCAGCTGGAGGCCACTATCCTATGGATTAACATAACTGCAGAAAACCAAATACTGCATGTTCTCACTTATAAGTGGGAGCTAATCATTGGGTACTTGTGGACATAAAGATGGCAATAATTAACACTGGGGACTACTAGAAGATGGAGTGAGGGACTGGGGAGAAATGAGAAACTAACTTTTGGGTCCTATGCTCACTACCTGGGTGATAGGATCATTCATATCCCAAACTTCAGCATCACACAATATACCCATGTAACAAACCTGCACGTGTACCCCCTGAATCTAAAATAAAAGTTAAAATCATGAAAGAAAGAAAAGATCCTTGATATGATTCCCACTTTTTTTTTAATTTGATGAGAATTATTTTGTGGCCCAAGGTATGGTTTATTCTGGAGAATGTTCCATGTGCTGATGAAAAGAATGTGTATTATGCAGCATTTGGATGAAATACTCTGTAACATTAGTTAGGTCCATTTGATCTAGAGTGTAGTTTAGCTGAAATGTTTCTTTGTCAATTTTCTGTCTAGATGATCTGTCCATTACTGAAAGTGGGGTGTTGAAGTCCTCTATTACTATTGCATTTCAGTCTATCTCTCCATTCAGACCTGCTAATGTTTGATTTATATACTTGGAAGCTCTGGTGTTGCCTGTGTAGATATTTATAATGGTTATAGCTACTTGCTGAATTGATTCCTTTATCATTTTATAGTGACCTTCTTTGTATCTTTTTATAGCCTTTGATTTGTAGTGTATTTTATCTAATGTAAGTATAGTTGAGCCTGCTCTTTTTTAGTTTCCACTTGGGCAGAATATCTTTTTCTGTTCCTTCACTTTTAGTCTGTGTTTGTCTTTATATGTGAGATGGGTTTCTTGTAGGCAACATACAGTTGGGTTTTGTTTTTATCCATTCTGGAAAATAGAGTTTTATGTTTTTAATTCGAGAATTTGGTTCATTTGCATTCAGTGCTATTATTGGTAAGGACTTACTACTGCCATTTTGTTGCTTGTTTTCTGGTTGTTTCACAATTTTTCTGCTTCTTTCTTCCTTTCTTACTGACTTCCTTTGTGGTTAAATGATTTTCTCTGGCACTATATTTTAATTCATTGCTTTTTTACTTTTTGTGTATCTATTATAGTTTTTTGCATTGTGGTTACCATGAGGCTTGCAAAAAATATCTTATAGATATAACAAGTTATTTTAATGAGATGACAAAAATAATAGAAACAAATAAAAACAACCCTGTACACTTTAACTCCATCCCTCTATATTTTGACTTTTTGTTGTCTCAAGTTACATACTTTCTTATTGCATATCTCTTAACAGGTTGTTGTAGCTATTATTGTTTTGATAGATTTGGCTTTTGGGCTTCATACTAGAGATATGAGTAGACTGCTCACCACAATTACAGTATTAGAGTATTCTGGGTTTGTCTGTGTACTTAATTTTACCAGTGGGTTTTATACTTTCAAATGGTTTATTGTTGAATATTTAGTGGCTTTTTTTTTCAGATTGAATAACTCCCTTTAGAATTTCTCGTAAGATGGATTTGATGGTGGAAAATTCTCTCAGCTTCTGTTTGCCTGGGAAAGTATTTATCTGTTCTTCATTTTTGATGAGTAGCTTGGCTGGATACAGTATTATTAAATGACAGTATTTTTTTCAGCATTTTGAAAATGTAATAAAACTCTCTCCCACTCCCAATCTGTATGGTTTCCATTGAGAAGTTTGTTGCCAGATGAATTGGAACTCCTTTATATGTTACTTGCTTCTTTTCTTTGCTGCTTTTAAGATTCTCTCTTTGCTCTTGACCTTTGATAGCTTGATTATTATATGCCCTTGGGTAGTTTTACTTGAGTTTTATCTGTTTGGTGTTATCTAACCTTCCTGTACCTGATATATTTCTTTCTTTCTCAAGTTTTGGAAAGTTTTCTGTCAGCATTTCTTTGAATAAACTTTCTACCCCTTGATCTTGCTCAAATTCCTCTTGAACACCAATAATTCTTAGATTTGTTATTTTGAGGTAATTTTCTGTATCTCGCAGATGATCTTCATTCCCTATCATTCTTTTTTCTCCTTTGACTATGTGTTTTCAAGTAGCCTATCTTTGAGCCCACTGATTCTTTTTTGTTTGATCCAGTCTGCAGATGAGGGCCTCTAATGAATTTTTCAGTTCATTAGAAAATAAATATTTCTGTTCCAAGATTTCTGTTTGATTTGTTTTATTATTTCAATCTCTGTGTTAAATTTCTCTCATAGGCTGGGCATGGTGGCTCATGCCTGTAATACCAGCATTTGGGGAGGCTGAAGCAGGCAGATCACTTGAGGCCAGGAGTTTGAGACTAGCCTGGGCAATATAGAGAGACCCCGTCTCTACAAAAACTAAAAATAAATAAATACATACATACATACATAAATTTATTTCTCTCATAAATTCCACAATTGATTTTCTGTGTTATCTTGGAGATGACCGCATTTCCTTAAAACTACTATTTTGAATTATTGGTCAGAGGGCTCACATATGATCATCTCATTAGGGTCAGTCAGTTGTTTCTCGGTTTGTCCATTTGGGGAGGTCATAGTTCCCTGTCTGCTGTTGTTTCTTGTGGATGTTTCTGTGAGACCTTACACTAGTCTCATAGAAAGCAAGTGATCCTTATTTAGGCCTCATTTGATCTCTAAGAACTTTGAATTTGACATTTAGATGGTGCAAGTTGAAAACACATCCCATGGCCAAGTCACTGGCTTCTGCTATTTCTCAGTTAGAACTGATCATTTAGGTCCTCTTCAGTAAGTACTCCCCTATATCTAAATAATCGTCTTTCTTTGCACGCAATTTTAAAAATGGATCTCACATTTTATAATTGCCTTGAAATAGACAATATATATCACTACTGGTCTCTTGAGAAATCTATTATAGCTATTACTAAGTAATATTTTGAAAATATTTGGCACAATACTTTTTGGCTTCTCACCAGTCACCACCCACACTCTCCACAAAAGGATCTTAAGATAAAAAGGGATTATTTGATTATAATTTTTTTTCTTAACAACGAGCCTTACAAGTATGCTGGTTGATCAGCCACTTGGTTAAGTCTGTATTAACTGTTCTAAGGCTGCTAGTTACCAATGGATAACCAATGCTGGACTCTTACAAGTTGTCATAATGGTTTTTTCCTCTGTCCTTCCCAAATAAATACCATTGTAAAGCCATACCCATGCCACAGGCACCATTAAAAGGTAGTCAGACTTGAATCATTGTAAAATGTAACCTAACCCATATTTCAGGAGAGAGGAAAGGAAGAGCTTATGTGAAAGCTAAAATCACAGTATTACAGAGATTTCAGTATGGGAAGCATTTCTCCATTAGAGCTCATTAAACTATGCAAGATATTGCGCATAATACTCTATCAGGGTCAAGTAACAATTCACGCTTATGGTGAATTAAAACACCGTGGAGCTTTGGAAAAATCAACATTTAAAGAAAATGACTGTTTTCTCTGAGTCTCCTTACTCTTACAATACCTGCAAAAACATTCTTGGTATCTAATGATGATGGTTACAATATTTTTATGGCTTCTGAAATTAAATTCTCTATTTCATTTTAGAAGTTTGATATAATGAATTTCCAATGCCAGCAGCGGGGCAAATTCCATTCTGAATTCCTTGTTTTGTCCCTGAGAAAATGATTCAGTTTCATCCCTTGCGCCCCATAGTGGGGAATTCTCCATGGCATATTATACAAAAGAGTTGATATTTCATTATTTTTCTCCTTAACAAAAATTAAAGGAGAAACCCTATATCAGTCTACTACCCTTGCAATATGTGTTTCCCACACAGACACATGAATGCAGCTTGCTTCTGAAAGAGGAGTGCCTTCTTGTCCTTGTCCCTTTCCCTGCAGCTTTATTACTGCTGAGATGTCAGCAACTAGCTTTTCACCAAAAGCAATGCCTAAAGTGGTACCTTTAGGTTTTACAAACAGCTTTAATTTCTCATAGCTAAAGTTAAGAGCTTGTGGTAAGGAAAAGAAAAGGGGAACTTGTGGTGTTTCATATTTTGATCACTGCACAGCTGTCAGGAAGACATGTTCCTGTGCTTTCTTCCTGCTCCTGGCTTTCTGCTTGTCACCTTGTAGTACAACCTCCTGTCTCTCTCCTCCATCGCTCCCTCATCTCCCCTGCCTCTGCCCTCTCTGTTTGCTGCTATCTATCTATCTATCTATCTATCTATCATCTATCTATCTATCTATCTATCTATCTATCTATCTATCTATCATCTATCTATCTATCTCCCTTTCTTTCTCTCTCTCTCCCCCTCCTTCCTGCATCATTTCAGTCCTCCAACTGGCTTTTCATTCCATCCTTCTCCTATTCATGCTTTCTCCTTCTATATTCCAGGTTTGGGACTCTTTCATCACTTTGCTCTCCCACACACATCTCTGGCTGTTTCCCCACTACCAGGGAAGCCAACATGTGGAAAGATCATCAGTACTTACATGTATTCACCAGTCTCTCTGTCAAGCCATCCATCTTTTCCATTTGGTTTTTCAACTCATTCATTCATTCACTCATTCATGCCTCCAACAAACATATTTGAGATTCTAATATATAACAGTCACTGGACTAGGCAGGCCCTTAGGATATACAGTGGAGAAGAAAACAGACAATGATAACTTTCACCCTGGGGCTTTCACTGCAATGGGGAGAGAGATGTTTCAAAAAGAATCCCTCTAAAACTGTGTATCATTATGACATATACTGGGATAAATGGTATAGAGGAAGTTTCCAGAGGACTAAGAGAAAGTAAAAGAGAAAAAATAATTTAAATTGAGGGTGAAGTGTTTTGTGGCCAGAAAATGCTATCATGAAGAAGTGACATTTAAGCTGAGGACTTGGATATAAGCATGAGGTAGACAGGTGAACAGCAAAGAGGGTTACCAGTTCAGGCGTATTGGGAGCAAAACTGTAAAGTCAGTCGCTAAGACCAACAAGCATGGCTTCAACAGGGGACTAAGAGAAGGTCAGAATAATTCAGGCAAGGGGAGGGTGGGGATACGTTAGGGTCAGAGTGTTGAGAAAATCATTTCCAACTCATATCACTGTTCTTGCCATTCTTTTAGGCAAGGCCCCGTTCTTGTTGCCATTCATTTATTTGATCCTTTTTGTTTGCACTCTCTACTCCCACTGTGCACTGCTCATCTAAATGTACCATTCTAATATGTTTATTATTTATCATTTTTCTTATGTGATAAAAACACGTAAAGTGTGACATGTGTTCTTGTTTTACGTAAGATTATTTTTAGATATATCATTATGCATATTATATAATATGATATATAGATAGATAGGGATATCCCATACTGTGTCTATTTTTTATTTTTTTCGAGATAGGGTCTCACTCTGTCACCCCAGCTGCAGTGCAGTGGCATCTTCTTAGCTTACTGCAGCCCGGAACTCCTTGGCTCAAGTGATACTCCTGCCTCAGTCTCCCAAGTGGCTGGGACTGGAGGCATGCCCCATCACACCTGGCTAATTTTTAAATTTTTTATAGTGACTGGGGCTCACTATGTTGGTGAGGTTGATCTTCAACTCCTGGCCTCAAGCGATCTTCCTGCCTCGCCCCCACAAAGTGCTGGGATAACAGGCGTGAGCCACCACGCCCGGCTTCTTTACATCTTTATTAATTATAATCGACATATGTTAGACTGAGCATATTTAACATATATGATCTAATAAGTTTTGGTATCACACCTGTGAAACAATCATTATAGTAATGATAATGAACACCTGTATTACAAACAAAAATATATCCTCGGGCTCCTTTGAAATTCCAGAATTTTAATAAACGTAATCTTACTCCCTGCACCCTTTTTTTTTGGTTTAGCTTCTTTCAGAGAGCATATTTTCAGATGCGTTTATGTTGTCATAAGTATCAACAATTCATTTCTTTTTAATGCGCTGTAGTATTCCGTTGTATGGACATAGCACAATTTCATAATTCATCTCCCTGTTGATGGACACTTGGGTTGTCTTCAGGCTTTTGGCTATTACAAATAAATTTGCTATGAATATTCATAAACAAGTAATCATATGAAAATATATTTTCTTTTCTCCTGTGTATGTCTTGGAGTGGAATGGCTGGTTTATGGGAGGTGAATATTTAACTGGGTAAGCGACTACCAAACCAATTTCCGAAGTGTTTCCATCATTCAGAAGTTCCACATCATTGCTAGCACTGGGTATAATCAGTTATTTTAATTTCAATCATGCTCATGTATCTACGACAGTATTTAAATTTGATTTTAATCTGCATTTCCTGAATGATAAATGATGGTATCTTTTTGTGTGGTTGTTAGCCATCTGTGTATCTTCTTTGGTGAGGTAGTCTGTTGAAGTCTTTTCTCCATATTTATAGTTGAGTATTTGCCTTCTTATAATTGAGTTATAAGACTTCTTTATAGTCTAGAAGTGTCCTGTGTTGGATATAGATATATGAATTCTAAATATTTTATCACAGAGTGTGGATTTCTCTTTCAATTTCAAAAGAATGCCTTTTAAAGGCCAAAAACTTTAATTGTGGTGGAATCAAATGTATTAATTTTTCTTCTTTTATAGTTTGTGGTTTGGGTGTCTCATTTTGAAAATCTTTGCCAAAACCAAAAAGATGAAGAAAGTTGTAATTTCCTCAAAGAGGGCATTACATAAGGGTAAAGGGTTCAATTCAACAAGAAGGCTTAGCAATCCTAAATATATATGCACCCAACAATAGGAGCACTGGCACCTAACAACAGGATCATTCAGATTCATAAAACAAGTTCTTAGAGACTGACAGAGGGTCTTAGATAACCACAAAATAATGGTGGGAGACTTCAACACCCCACTGACAGTATTAGACAGATCATCAGGCAGAAAACTAACAAAGTTATCCGGGATCTGAACAGTATGCTTGACCACATAGACTGAACAGACTATTCTACAGGACTCTACACCCCAAAACAACAGTATCTACATTCTTCTCATCTGCACATGAAACATACTGTAAAACTGAGCACACAATTGGCCATAAATCAATTTTCAGCAAAATAAAAACAAACCGAAAAATTACCAACCACCCTCTCAGACCACAATACAATAAAAACAGAAATCAATACTAAGAAGATCATTTAAAACCATACAATAACAAGGATATTAAACAAACTGCTCCTGAGTGACTTTTGGGTAAACAATGAAATTAAGGCAGAAATCAAGAAATTCTTTGAGATTAATGAAAACAAAGCTACCACATACCAGAATCTCTGGGACACTGCTAAAGCAGTGTTAAGAGGAAAGTTTTTAGTGCAAAATGCCCATGTCAAAAACTTAGAAAGATCTCAAATTAATAATCTAACATCATACCTAGAGGAACCAGAAAAACAAGAGCAAGCCAACCCCAAAGCTAGCAGAAAACAAGAAGTAACAAAAATCAGAACTTAACTGAATGAATTTAAGTTGCAAAAAACCATACAAAAGATCAATGAAACCAGGTGTTGGTTATTTGAAAGAAAAAATAAGACTGATAAACCCCTATCTAGACTAATTTTTAAAAAAAAGAGAGAAGATCCTAATAAACACACTCAGAAATGACACAGTGGACATTACCACCAACCCCAGAGAAGTACCGAAAAACCCCAGAGACTGTTATGAACACCTGTATAGACACAAACTAGAAAACCTACAAGAAATCAATAAATTCCTCCCAAATCAATCAAATACACCCTCCCAAGATGGAGCCAGGAAGAAATTGGTTCCTGAACACACCAATAATGAGCTCTGAAATTGATTCAGTAATAAATAGCCTAACAACAAGAACAACAACAAAACAACTACAACAACAACAAGAAAAAAGGACCCGAGGAATTCACAGCTAATTCTACCAGATGTACAAAGAAGAGCTGGTGCTATTCCTACAGAAACTATTCCAAAAAAAAAAAAAAAAACAAAAACTGAGGAGGAGGGACTTCTCCCCAACTCATTCTATGAGGCCAGCATCATTTTGATACCAAAATCTGGCAGAGACACACACACAACAAAAGAAAACTTCAGGCCAATATCCTTGATGAACATCGATGCGAAAATCCTCAACAAAATACTGGCAATCCGAACCTAGCTGCACATCAAAAAGCTAATCCACCACGATCAAGTAGGCTCCATCCCCGGGATGCAAGTTTGGTTCAACATACGGAAATCAATAAATGTGATTCATCATATACACAGATCTAAAGACAAAAAACGTATGGTGATCTCAATAGATGCAGAAAAGGCTTTTGATAAAAGTTAACATCTCTTCATGGTAAAAACTCTCGATAAACTCAATATTGAAGGAACATACCTCAAAATAATGAAAATCCATCTGTGACAAACCCACGCCAATATCATACTGAATGGGCAAAAGCTGGACGCATTCTCCTTGTAAACCGGCACAAGACAAGGTTGCCCTCTCTCATTACTCCTACTCAACATTGTACTGGAAGACCTGGTCAGGGCGACCAGGCAAGAGAAATAAATAAAGTGTATCCAAATAGGAAGAAAGGAAGCCAAACCACCTCTGTTTGCAGATGACATGATTCTATATCTAGAAAACCCCATAGTCTTGGCCAAAAAGCTCCTTCAGCTGATAAACGACTTGAGCGAAGTTGTAGGATACACAATCAATGTACAAAGATCACTAGCATTCCTATACACCACCACCAACCAAACTGAGAGCCAAATCAGAAAGGCAATCCCATTCCCAATTGCCACACACACAAAAATAAAACACCTAGGAATACAGCTAACCAGGAAGGTGAAAGATCTCCACAATGAGAATTACAAAACACTGCTCAAAGAAATCAGAGCAGACATGAACATATGGAAAAACATCCCATGCTCATGGATAGGAAGAACCAATATCATTAAAGTGGCTACACTGCCTAAAGCAATTTATAGATTCAATGCTATTCCCATCGAACTACCAAGGACATTCTTCACAGAGCTAGAAACAATTATTTAAAAATGTACATGGAACCAGAAAAGGAGCCCGGATAGCCAAGGCAATCGTAAGCTAAAAGAACTATACTGCAAGGCTACAATGACCAAAACAGCATGGTACTGGTACTGGCACAAAAACAGGCACATAGACCAATGGAACAGAATAGAGAGGCCATAAATAATGTCGCACATCTACAACCAGCTTTTTTCTTTTTTTTTTTTTTTGACAAAGCTGACAAAAACAAGCGGTGGGAAAAAGACTCCATATTCTATCAATGGTGCTGTGATAACTGGCTAGCCGTATGCAGAGGATTGAAGCTGGACCCCTTCCTTACACTATCTACAAAAATCCACATGAGATGGATTAAAGGCTTTAATGTAAAACCCAACACCATAAAAACCCTGGAAGACAACCTAGGCAATACCATCCTGGACATAGGAGCAGGCAAAGATCTCACGACAGAGGCACCAAAAGCAATCACAGCAAGAGTAAAAATTGACACATGGGATCTAATTAAACTTAGAGCTTCTGCACAGCAAAAGAAACTATCAACAGAGTAAACAGACAACCTACAAAGTGGGAGAAAATTTTTGCAACACTATTCATCTAACAGAGGTCTGATATCCAGCATCTATAAAAAGCCTAAACAAATGCACAAGAGAAAAACAAACAACCCCATTAATAAGGGGGCAAATGACATGAACAGACACTTCTCAAAAGAAGACATACATGTAGCCAAGAAGTATATGAAAAACAGCTCAATATCACTGATCATTAGAGAAATGCAAATCAAAACCACAATGAGATACCATCCCATAACAGTCAGAATGGCTGTTACTAAAAACAAAAAATAGCAGATGCTGGCGAGGTTGCCAAGAAAAGGAAACCCATATACACGGTTGGCGGGAGTGTACATTAGCTCAACCATTGTGGAAAGCAGTATCGCAATTCCTCAAAGAGCTAAAAGCAGAACTACCATTTGACCCAGCAATCCCATTACTGGGTATAGAGCCAGAGGAATATAAAGCATTCTACCATAAAGACACATGCACCTGGACTATTCACTGCAGCACTGTTCACAAGAGCAAAAACGTGGAATCAACATAAATGCCCATCAATGACAGACTGGATACGGAAAATGTGGTGCATATACACCATGGAATATTATGCAGCCATAAAGAAGAACAAGGCCGTGTCTTTTGTGGGAACAGGCATGGAGCTGGAGGCTATAAGCTCAGCAAACTAACGCAGGAACAGAAAAGCAAATCCCACATGTTCTCACTTAGAATTGGGAGCTAAATGATAAGAACTTATGAACACAAAGAAGGAAACAACAGACACTGGGGTCTCCTTAAGGGGGAGGGTGGGATGACGGAGAGGAGCAGAAAAGAGATAACTCTTGGATAGTGAGTTCAATACCTGGGTGATGTAGTCATGTGTGCAACGAACCCCCGTGACACGTGTTTATCTATGTAACAAACCTTCACATGTACCCCCAAACATAAAAGTTTTAAAAAATATTACAGTGCAAGTCTATTGATGATCAATTCTTTCAACTTCTGTATGTCTAAACACCTACTATTTTAACTTCATTTGAAAAGATATTCATTGAGTATAGACTTAAGAGTTGACATTTATTTTTATTTCACGATTTTAAAGATGGTGTGCCACATGACTTCTGACTTGCATATTGCTAATGAGAAATGTGCTGTCATTCTTCTCTTTGGACATCTAAATGTTTCTTATGGTTTTCTTCTGATTTTCTAGTTACTTAGGAGAAAGGGTAAATCTCTGGGCGAGCAGATAGGTAAAATGTCAGGAATGCACACCATGGATTCTCTGTGCATAGCACCTTGGACATACTTTAGATTATGCGTGGCAACGTGGAGGCCTCCTGAAAGCACAGGGCTCAGTGAAAAGAAAATTAAGAAATCCGGTGGATACTTGTATTTCCAGCCATGATGGATTAACAGGAACCGGACTTACCGTCTCGCCTAAATACCTATAAACCAAAAAAATTATAAGGCTTAACGTCATGGCACCACCTGCATACGGGACAGTGATCCCTGAGAGAAAGGGAACCTGACCAGGTGAGCCCTCTGATCGCCCAATTCCACCAACTTCTTGCCCGGATAGAGTTTGCAGGCTGCAGCACAGGGGAGCTGAACACAACAGAGCCCGGTGGACCGTCTGAGTGAAGGAGACAGAGTTGAGAGCTCAAGAGGTCCATAGGACCAGAATTTGCCGGGAGTAATGGAGAGAAGACAGCTGCACAGAGAGGCAGCTCTGGAGACCCTTCAGAGCTTGCCCTTCTGGATGCAGCGTATCAGAAACGGGGAGTGGTGATCGATGACTCCCAGTTTCTGGAGTGAGTGGTTGTGTGGATAATGGCGCCATTTACTGAGACTGTGAAGATGGGTTGGGGGGGGGGGGAACAGGAGCGATGGGGATGTGTGAGTGTATGGGAGGAGTGAGTATACCAAGTGACCAGTTTTGGACAGGCAAACCATGAAGAGCCCTTGAGACTTCCAAGTGGAGATGCCACGTAGGTGGGTGAATGTATGTACTTGGACCTCAAAAGTGAAGTTCAGACTGGGGTTGTAGATTTTTTGGAGTGATTAGCACGTAGCACTTTCTGAAGGCTTTCGTTTGTAGGGTGTGTTCCTCTCCCGCAGAGGATATGTTACAGGGGAAGGGCTAAAGAGGCACAAGCAGCTGACAGGAGAGATTGATATATAACAGCTGGAGAAAACCACAGAGCCAGGCAGAATGGATACTGGTCAGCGGAGAGTAAAAGCTGCTGTCCTAGCAATACCTTCCATTCATACACAGGGGTCCTGGTGAGGCTGACATAAAAACAAATATAAAAATCTACTACGAATTTTACAAACAGTCCAGGTTCGACTGCAGATGAGACCACAGCATTTTCTGCCTCAAAAGACATCCAAGTGGAGATGTCACGTAGGCAGGTGAATGTACTATGCACTTGGACCTCAAAAGTGAAGTTTGAACTGGGCTTGTAGATTGTGGAGTAATTAGCTCAGACACACAGGTGTCTAATTGTCCTGGCGGACACCAGGAGGGTCTCAGCGGCAGCGTGATTGTATCGCTGATAAGGAAGAGGCCTGACAATCTGAGTAGAGAGTGGACCCGGTGGAGCAATTCTCATACCTGGATGGACCCACATAGAGCCGCAGAGGCTGGGGGCGAGGCGGGGGGAGGCTCTGTCTCCCTGTGTCCTGAATGCGGAGCATGAACTTAGGCCTTCTACAGCACAAACCTTGCTTCTTTGGGACAGATGTTGGGGTGGGGGAGGCCTGTCACTCAGACGGAGGAGGCGGTGCCTCTGTCCCCAGGCCAGCAGGAGCAGGAGGTGGACTTTGGAGTCCGGAAGACCCAGGTTCAAATTTTGCATTTTCTGTTTCCTGGCTCTGTGGTCTAGTTCATGCAATGTGTCTGTGCCTCAGCTTCCTGACACGCCAAATGGGGATGCTGACATCCACTTCCCAGCGCTGCTGTGAGAGGAAGAAAAGCCCCAGCACAGATCCCTCTGTGACATACAAGCTGCATAAAGGGTAGCTGAGGAAGCAGATGTTCCCAGTATGTCTGGGGGCCAGAGAGTTGGCTAGTGGAGAAGCACACAAAGCGAAGTGCCATCCTCTGGCCATGTCCATTTCGTAGCCCCGCAGGTTGAGGATTTCCACTTGTTGCAGTTAGAGACCCAGCTTATTAATTGTGAGACCTCACTAATTGTGACCTAAGGGGTCTTGCCGGGGAAACGGGGCATAGTGTATCCCAGACCAGGCTGGAGGAGTTTGGGTGAAAGGGCAGGGCAGGACAGAGAAGCATTGTGCAAAAGTGGGGGGACTGAGAAGAGATGATTGGGTGGGTCGAGCTGCACTGCAGGGTATGAGTGTGCGCGCCCGCGGTAGGAGGAGGAGGAGGAGGAGAGGTGAAGTGGATCTGGCGGGAAGAGCCCCCCGCACCCTACCTTCGACCCCACCGCCCACCCACCCGCGGAATCGCATGCGCACTGGAGACCTGGAGGAAAGGGCTTTTGTTGGGAAAGCGGGCGGGCTGGAGGGGTCCGCGCATGCGCAGGCTACCCAGCCGCGGGGGGTGCACGGAGAAAAGGGGCGGGGTGGTCCGGGCTGCTGTGCTGGCAGCAGTAGGCGAGGGCGCGGCTGCGGGGTTCCTGGTGCTGAGGACGGACGCCATTGGAGTTCCCGAGAAGGTAAGGATCCAGCCCCAGACAGGACCGGGAGAGGGCGAGTGGAACCCGACACGCTGCGCCCTCCCTCCGCCTCCGGATCTGAACAAAGCCCAAGCACTCAGAACCGGAACCCCATTAGACCCAAGGTCTAGATAGGAGCCCCCATCACCATCAGACCCAGGCGCCCCGATCTGAGCCCTACTGAAACCGGAGCCCAGGATCCTCACCCCTTTAGCAGACCCGTGTGCTCCGAGCTGAGCTCCCTTGGACCTGAGGCCCCACCCCCACCCCAACCACTCCTAGATTACTCGAACCGAGCTGACCGCTTGCCCCCTTCCTGGAGTGCCCAGTCCTCGCGTTTGAGATCTGCAGCGCTCCGATTGGAGCCTCACCTAGGTCTGAGGCCCCCACTCCATCCGCCTCTAGTGCTCGAGTCTGAGCCCCACCTAGGCCCCCCGCCCGGACCTAGCCAAAGGTCCCTGGGGTTCTGTTTCGCAGAGCTTGCGGCTTGCCACTGTCCCTGTTGTCTGAGCTCTCCCATCTGCTCCCCCTTCATCCCGGTCCCCTTCTCTGGCCCGTAAATCCAAACCCTTTGTTTCTCTCTTCCCCAATGCATTCCCTTTGGGACTCTTCGGACCCCAGCCCTCCAGAACACCCCCTCGTCAAATCTAGCCGCTGGGATGGCGAGCCTGCCCATCCTAAACTCCGCTTTCAGTGCGGCGCCTCCTGCGACCTCCTCTGTCCCTTTCCTTGGGCTCTGTCCCTGACCAGGTCTACCCCATCAGAAAGCCAAACCGTCTCCCCCCCGCTCCTCCTCCCCCCCCCCGCCCCCTACTGCCTAATATTGCCTAGTAACCTGATGATTGTCGCCCCTCACCTCCCGGGAGATCCCGCCTCCCATTGGATCCCGCCCCCTCCCCCTGCAGCTGCTTCACCCTCCCTCTCAGGCTGAGCTCTCATCTCCCTGGGACCCGCAGCATGGCTGAGGGAAGCTTCAGCGTGCAATCGGAAAGCTACAGTGTTGAAGACATGGATGAGGGTAGCGACGAAGTCGGGGAGGAAGAGATGGTTGAAGGCAACGACTATGAAGAATTCGGTGCGTTTGGTGGCTATGGCACCCTCACCAGCTTTGACATCCATATCCTCAGAGCCTTCGGAAGCTTGGGTCCAGGCCTTCGCATCTTATCGGTGAGGCCCCTTCCTGGACACCTGCTGGCCTGGGCCTTTCCCCTGTGAATGGGGGAGGGAGGAGGGGGGAGCCAGGAGGGTTGTGTGGGAAAGGACTGCCCAGCTTCCCAAGCCTTCCCTCCCCTGCTCGGAAGAAGAAGATTTGGGAAGGTCTTGGGGTGTTCAGGGCTGACTGCTGGGAAGAGGCTGGCCAGCACAGGGAAGCTAACACAAGTATGTCGTCGAGTGGCCTGCCTTCCCCAACCCCTCTCTCTGGCCTTGCAGAATGAGCCCTGGGAACTGGAAAACCCTGTGCTGGCCCAGACCCTGGTGGAGGCATTGCAGCTGGATCCGGAAACACTTGCCAATGAGACGGCCGCCCGTGCTGCCAACGTAGCCCGCGCCGCCGCCTCCAACCGTGCGGCTCGGGCCGCTGCCGCCGCTGCCCGTACCGCCTTCAGTCAGGTGGTCGCTAGCCACCGGGTGGCCACGCCGCAGGTCTCAGGAGAGGATACCCAGCCCACGACCTACGCCGCCGAGGCTCAGGGGCCCACCCCTGAGCCACCCCTTGCTTCTCCGCAGACCTCCCAGATGTTAGTCACCAGTAAGATGGCTGCCCCCGAGGCTCCGGCAACCTCCGCACAGTCCCAGACAGGCTCCCCGGCCCAGGAGGCTGCTACTGAGGGCCCTAGTAGCGCCTGTGCTTTCTCTCAGGCTCCGTGTGCCAGGGAGGTGGACGCCAACCGGCCCAGCACAGCCTTCCTGGGCCAGAATGATGTCTTCGATTTCACTCAGCCGGCAGGTGTCAGTGGCATGGCCTTCCCGCGCCCCAAGAGACCTGCCCCAGCCCAAGAGGCTGCCACAGAGGGCCCCAGTGCTGCCTCTGGTGTGCCCCAGACGGGACCTGGCAGGGAGGTGGCAGCCACCCGGCCCAAGACCACCAAGTCGGGGAAGGCGCTGGCCAAGACTCGGTGGGTGGAGCCTCAGAATGTTGTGGCAGCAGCTGCTGCCAAGGCCAAGATGGCCACGAGCATCCCTGAGCCGGAGGGTGCAGCTGCTGCCACTGCTCAGCACAGTGCTGAGCCCTGGGCCAGGATGGGAGGCAAGAGGACCAAGAAGGTGAGATCCCCCTGCCCCCTGCCACCTCCACACCCCCTTGCTCCTGTCCTTTCCTTCTCCTCCCTTTCCTGCTCCTCTCCTCCCTCTCCTCTCCCCCTTCTTCCTCTCTTCTCCTCTTTCCCCTCCTTCTCTCCTCACCTCCCCTCTCCTCCCCTCCTCTCCTCTCAGCTAGTCCATGTTTCTCCAACACAAGTTTGCTGAGCATGTTTTCACTCCACGTAGTCCCTACCCTCAGGACTGGTGGGAGAAGAGGCTGGCTCAGTGCCTGGCACTTAGTAAGCACGCAGCACATGCCAGCCGCTGCTGGTACTGCTCTCATTTCCAAGAGCCTGCTACGGGTGAGGTGCGTGCCGGGTGCTTTGGCACGGGGAGCCTGGTAGCCCTGGGTCTCTCCTCTCTCAAATGATACAGTCCAAGCACCTGGATGATGAGTATGAGAGCAGCGAGGAGGAGAGAGAGACTCCCGCGGTCCCACCCACCTGGAGAGCATCACAGCCCTCATTGACGGTGCGGGCTCAGTTGGCCCCTCGGCCCCCGATGGCCCCGAGGTCCCAGATACCCTCAAGGCACGTACTGTGCCTGCCCCCCCGCAACGTGACCCTTCTGCAGGAGAGGGTAAGAAGCCCACCCTCCCCCATCTCCTTCCTCTCCTCCCTTGTGGGCCACGTCTCTGCTGTCACCCATGCCTTGACCTCCCCGCATGTTCCTCCTTCTCCAGGCAAATAAGTTGGTGAAATACCTGATGATTAAGGACTACAAGAAGATCCCCATCAAGCGCGCAGGTAGGCAGCCTGTGCCCCCTTCACCATCCCCTAGTCTGTGGGCATCCCTTTGCTTGCGTGCCACGGCTGGTCCCTCCATAGCCACAGGACGGGGTCCTGGCTGCGTCACCCTCGGCAGAGCTGACCAAGGGGCTACAGCTCTATGACCCCTGCTCAGCCCAGGTGCTTTCTCCAACTCTTCCCCCTCCTGCAGACATGCTGAAGGATGTCATCAGAGAATATGATGAACATTTCCCTGAGATCATTGAACGAGCAACGTACACCCTGGAAAAGGTGGGTGCAGGATGGGAGCAGCTCTGTGGGGGAAGAGCGGGCATGGGGGTGCGGTGACCCTGCAGCCCCTCAAGGCCCAGTCTCTGGAGCCATCTCTCACCTCTCCGACTCTGAGCTTCCACTGCACTGGCAGTTTGACTCGTGCTTCCTGCCCTCGGCTTCTCTCTCTCATGCTCTCTGAGTGTCTCGCCGTCTGGCCAGGTGGGTCTCATCGCCTCTGCCAGCGTCAGCTCCCACAGCGAAGGTCTTCCGTGTGCTGTCTTCTTCTGCCCTCGCTCACGAGTTTGGATTCCTTGCTGAGGAGCAGTTCTAACCCGGAATCACTGTCTGCCGGCAGGATGCCCAGCATGGGGTTTGGATCTCACACTCTGTTTTCTCCCCCACGTAGAAGTTTGGGATCCACCTGAAGGAGATCGACAAGGAAGAACACCTGTATATTCTTGTCTGCACACGGGACTCCTCAGCTCGCCTCCTTGGAAAGTAAGAAAGGGAAAGCGGGTCGTGGCCTTCCTCGGTGGTGTCCCTTCCCTGCCCACACCCCTTCAGTGAAGCAGGAAGACGGGGCTTGAGTGCGGCGCACCGCTCCCACACACAGCGAGGGCTGCCTGGTGACTGCTGGATGAAAGGAATGATAGCCTGGGGTGAGGCCTTGCTGCCATCAGTTCTCCCCAAGCTGCTGCCGGGCTTTATCCCCAAAGCTTCGGAGGAAAGTGCCTCTTCCTCCTGCCTGCCTGGCCTGGGCCTGGCAGAGCTGGCCTAGGGGAGAGCTGCCTCTTCAGTGTAGGTGCTGATGTGGAAGGGGCAGGAAAGGTCTGGAGCCATCTCTGGGCACACGTTTGCCATTTGCAGAGCTTCGGCTCCCTGCCTCGCCCTGTCCTCTGCAGAACCCTGTCAGGGAAGTGTTAGTACCCATGTTTTATAGAGGAGGCGATTAAGTCTCAGGCGGAGGTGCGAATGGTCTGTCAGCAGCTAGTGAACTGTGCCTGTCCTGGGAAGAGTTCCCCTCAAGCTGGGAAACCTGAGAGAGGCTAGTTGGGAGAGCCTGGTGGTGTCTCTCAGGCAAATAGCTGCTAAACAGGATTTCTCTTTCCACACCTTTAGAACCAAGGACACTCCCAGGCTGAGTCTCCTCTTGGTGATTCTGGGCGTCATCTTCATGAATGGCAACCGTGCCAGCGAGGGTGAGTGGCTGGACCTGCAACTGGGGGGCTGCCCATAGTCTCATCTTCTGGGTGCCAAACTCTCGTACCTCCTCTCCCCTCGCAGCTGTCCTCTGGGAGGCACTACGCAAGATGGGACTGCGCCCTGGGTATGATTGGCCTCTCCAGCTCCTCCCCTCGGTGCTATCCTCTGGCCAAAGAGGTCCTGGGATTGCAATAGCCTGGTGGTCTGGCGCAAGGGCGTGGGGTGCCCTGGGCTCGGTAGAGAGCAAAGGATCTCACCAGGGCGGATGGGGAAGCGGTGCTGGACGCTGCTCAGCCCTCTCTCTGCTCTGTGGCCCCAGATGACATCTAAGAGAGACAGTCAGAGTCAGGGATTCCATCAAATCCCTACCTGGGGCGTCCCTGACCAACAGTCCTCTGGCCTCTGCTGCATGCCCAGGCCTCCACAGCGACTCCCCGGGGGCTGGGAAGTCATAGTCATGCTAGGGAGGGCCCCTGCCACCGTCTCTGCTCATGGATTCCTTTCCTTGCCCTCAGGGTGAGGCACCCATTCCTCGGCGATCTGAGGAAGCTCATCACAGATGACTTTGTGAAGCAGAAGTAAGTATCACCTGAGCTAACTGCGGCTCTCACTCGAGCATCCTTTGTGTGCTGGTCTGGCTGAGAAAGCAGTTCCCTATCCCAAATCTTCAACTGGAGGGATGGGTGCCTCTGACCTGGGAGTGAGTGGCAGTGGGGGGTATGCGAGTGTGTGGGGAGCCGAAGGCCAGGGCGGTCTTGGGAAAAGGGAGCTCACGTCACCTGAGAACACGGTGTGGGGTGTGAAAACGGCCGCCATCACCTTGAGCACCTGCCCTGTAGACTGACACAAGAGTTCCCCCTGGTTTACACCTAAGGAACCCGGAGCTCAGAGAGGAGACGCCTCTGAGCATGGCTCCCAGCTGGTAAGGGCCTCAGCCCAACTCTCCTGATTTTCAGGCCAGGGGCCACCCTCTCCCCGTCCCTGGAGGACTTGCCAACGCACAGGCGCGCATGCACACCAACAAAGGGTCAGGACTTGAGGAGGATGCCTGGAGCACGCTTCTCCTGGCTGACTGTTTCTTCCTCTCCAGTCGTTTCCTCTGGTGGGCCTCTCCAGGGCTCCGCCGGGGTGTGGCCAAGACCCTCGAGGTGGGGTGTGCTCAGAGCAGGGGGCCTGAAGAATGGCTCCTCTGTTTACAACACACCCAACAGGAAGCTGGGGTCATCGTGATGAGGGGCACAAACTTGTGGCCTCCCTACAGACAAATGCCCTACATGTGGACCCCCTGCACCTCCGCATGGCTTCCGGGGAGGACCAATGGCAAAAGGCTTTGAAGGCCTCACTTTTGCAGGCAGAAGTCCTGGGAGTGGGTTTGGGAATGAGTGAAGGGCTGGAGGGGCAGGACAGTCCTCTTCCAGGAGCTGAGCTGCGGCATCGGGTTGAGGAGGGGCCCCCTGGAACCCATCCGTTCAGCAACAGGTCTGCTTGGCTAGCAGCAAAGTTTACTTTCCTCTCATGCCAAGGTACCTGGAATACAAGAAGATCCCCAACAGCAACCCACCTGAGTATGAATTCCTCTGGGGCCTGCGAGCCCGCCATGAGACCAGCAAGATGAGGGTCCTGAGATTCATCGCCCAGGTAAGGGAGCGCCTCTGTTGGGTGCCCGGCACCGGGGGTGGTGCTCTCCACACCTTGCTTGTTTCTTGGTCGAGGCCTCCTTCCCATTACCCCGTATTCCAGTGAGGGTACCAAACACTCACAGAGGCACCTGAGCACCCTACACAAGGTCACAGATGGGGCAAAATCCCAGGTCTGGCACAGGAGAGTAGGAGCCCCCAATCCCTGTGGTCCTGATTTTTGCCATCATTGCACAAAGCACACGGGAGGGGGTGAGGCGGGCCGCGGGTGCTCAGCCAGTGTGGGGTAGCTCTGTGTCTATGCCTGCCCTTTTCCTCCTCAGAATCAGAACCGAGACCCCCGGGAATGGAAGGCTCATTTCTTGGAGGCTGTGGATGATGCTTTCAAGACAATGGATGTGGATATGGCCGAGGAACATGCCAGGGCCCAGATGAGGGCCCAGATGAATATCGGGGATGAAGCGCTGATTGGACGGTGGAGCTGGGATGACATACAAGTCGAGCTCCTGACCTGGGATGAGGACGGAGATTTTGGCGATGCCTGGGCCAGGATCCCCTTTGCTTTCTGGGCCAGATACCATCAGTACATTCTGAATAGCAACCGTGCCAACAGGAGGGCCACGTGGAGAGCTGGCGTCAGCAGTGGCACCAATGGAGGGGCCAGCACCAGCGTCCTAGATGGCCCCAGCACCAGCTCCACCATCCGGACCAGAAATGCTGCCAGAGCTGGCGCCAGCTTCTTCTCCTGGATCCAGTAAGAGTTTCGGTAGAGAAATGAGACTCTGCAGGAGGGCTGCGGAGGGGGGTGAGATGTCAGAGGGAGGGCCAGGGTGGGGGCGCTGGGGGCAACGGCAACAGCATGGACGGACACTTATTTTGTTACGTACACCCCTCCCTGGTTCGCGTGTGTCCACGGATGTTGTCACTTTGGTTTCTTGTGCTTTTATAGGCACCGTTGACGAACTGCAGCGATCTTACTGGCCAAGCCAGAGCGCCTCCTCTCAGATTCCTTCTCGACACAGCACCCTAGGCGGCTTCTTCCTGTCAGTCGGAGGTGGCATGCAAGATGAAGCTCTCTTTGCTCTTCCTGCTTTCATTTTGTGCTTTTCCTTGTGTTTTCATGTTTTGGGTATCAGTGTTACATTAAAGTTGCAAAATTAATTTGGATGTTTCTTCCTTTACCTGCACACCCATTGCTATACCTGGCCACGCTTGGGCTTGTAGCAAGGAAACTTCTTCAGGCTCTCTGGGGTAGGTGGGCCCCACCTCTGCCAAAAAGGCCCACAGGGACAGGTGGGATGCTGGGAGGTGCGGAGGTTGGTTACGCCTGAGTGCGTGAGCAGGAGTTTGGAGAGGCCCCAGTGCTCATCGTTATGTGATTTTCTACAAACCTTGCTCAGCAGCCCCAGGGACATGGCAAGAGTCGGGGCCACAGCAGGGGCGGGGTGGAAAATTGCAGCTTGGTGCCACTGCCCCTCCCGCCGAGGGACAGGGTCCAAGGCTCTCACCAGGACCCACCTCCCACACCCCCTCCTTGGAGATGATGTTCCGGAACCCTTGGCTCATCATCCACACAGTTCAGGACCCCGTCCTCGGTACAGAGTCTGACGGACAATGAGGTGGGCCCCGCAGTGATGTTCGCAGCCCTCCAGTGGGTAGAAGGAGGGGCCGTGATTGCTGAGGGAGCAGGATGTAATAAAAACAACGCACGGTGCACGCGTACACAGCCCCTTGCCTGTGACGGAACGGCGGCCTGTTTGGAGCTTCGCAGCCCTTCTCCCCCAGCAGCAGGGCTCTCCCAGTGAGGACAACACCAGGCCTACCTAGGTCCTGGTGTGTTCAAGGGCTGGGTGATGTCTGGAGGGGTCTGAGGTAGGGCTGCACATGCTTCAGGTACAAGACAGTGAGGGCAGAGACAGTTTGGTCTCCTGGGAAGGGCTCAGTGGCAGGCAGGGACAGTGTCCAGGGCTTCTGGAGTTCCCCGGTAATGTCCAGGGCTTGGGAGGACAGAGCCCTAGATAAGGAGGGAAAACATAGCAGTGGAAGGCTCCCTGCTTCCCACCCCCTCACCCAGCCCCAGCCTCTGTTTCCCCAGGAGGGGCTGCCATCTCCGCCACGGCCAGATCCTGACCCAGACCGGGCTACCTAATTTGGGAGGCCCAGTGGAAAATGAAAACACGAGTCTCCTTGTCAAAAACTATGAAGGATTTCAAAACAACAACAGCAGAGCATGGAGCCACATGGGGAGCCCTGGTGAGCATCAGACTGCATTGGTTGCACACCCCAGAAGCTGTCCGTCAGAAAGGCTTTGGGTGGGTCTCCGTGTTGGCTGCCGCTGTGATTTCTGCTTCTCTGGTGCTTGGGTCCATGCTTGGCCACACTGACATTCTGGGACTCTGACAGAAATCCAGTTCCAAAGTTTTACTGGAACACACACACACACACACACACAATGGAGTCCCCTTCCCTTTATGTCTCCTGGTTTGTGGTCTGGGCTGTGGAAGAGATGAGGGATGCCTGGGACTCCACCACCCCTGGCGTCATAAATTTAATGCTATTTGGCTGGAACCTCCCCGGACACCCTTGTGCACATAGCGGGCACATGCCTGTCCTTGGATCAGGGTGGGGGTAGTCACCATAAGCCACAGGAGTGAGTTTGAACACTGTGTGCAGAGGGCACTTGAGATACGGAAGTTCCACCGGAAAGGAACAGGAAGCAGCCCTCAGAGGTGGGGTGCTGGCCAGGTCACGGCCTCCTCAGGCCTCCAGGCTTGCTGGACACTCTCCCTTTCACATCACCTTGCTGCGGTGGGGCCTCACCAGGGACCCACTCCCCCTACCCTGTAGGGGCAGCGCTGAGAGCACCTGGGAAGAGAGGAGGAGAGCAGGGAGGTGAGAGCACCCTGGTGGGAAATGGGGGCGGACTGGACTGCGCGTCCTGCAGAAGGGTCAGACCGGCCACCCTGGAGACGGCCACCACCTCACTCACATGGCAAACAGGAGACCTAGGCAGGTTTCCCCCCTGCCCCCGGCCTGGGGCCTTCTGCAGACCCCGCACTGCAAAGGCCCACAGTCCATGTCAGCAAGTGTTTTCTGAGGCCCTGCTGTGTCAGTGGACAGCACTCACAGCCTTCTCCCAGCTTGGCCTGCTCCCTCTGATCACCCCTGCCCCAGGCCTGGCGATGGACGAGCATTCGTGCATTCACTTGTTTCCAGTTATTGACATTATGCATAAAGTTGTTCTGAATATTCATGTACAATTTCTCATCTGGGCCTATGTTTCTGTTTCTCGGCCAAGCCCGAGAGGTGGGGGCAGTAAGGCCATTTCATGGTCTCAGCCAACTGAGGCTCCGAGAGGGAAGATGCTCTCCCCAAGTCACACAGCCAGGAAGTGGCAGAGCACAGACTTGAACCTGGGACCCTCTGAGGCCAGGGTGCGTGCACTGGGCCCTGCTGTCGGCCTCCCCTGCCATCCAGGGTCTTGCAGTGTCCTGGGGGTGATACACCCACCTGCTGGGCACTCTCTCCTGACACCCACCCTCGCACCCACGTGCACATACCGCTCCCCATCTCCCTTCATCGTGCATGATTCGCTACCCCTCACGGCTTCCCTGAACGACAGGTTCCACCCTAGGTTTCTGAGGCCTGCCACCGCCCTCCCAGCCTCCTGAGACATCAGGTTGGGTGCTTTCCTTCCTGGGCATCCATCCTGCTGCTCCTCCTTGTTTTTGTCGTCATCAGGCCCTGGGCCAAGGGCGTTTTGCCCACTACCTCGTGACACCCTCAAAGATCGTCTGAGCTACTACTGTGCACTTGAGGAAACAGACTCAGAGAAGGGAGGTGACTTGCCTGAGATCTCTGACCCAGCTTTGCCGCTGCCTCCACTAGTGACCTTGGCCCAGCCTCTTCTCTTGACCAGTTGCATATCGTTCCGTGTTGCATGTGAAGAACCATTCACATGGTTTGCACATTGATTATCATTTGTCGTCTTAATACTGAATTATAAGAGTGCTTTTTTGCGTGCAAACTTTTCCATTGTCGGGTAGTATATATTGCAAACATTGCCGCAATGAATGGTTTGCTTTTTCATTTCGCTAATGATGAAAAGCCAGATTTCTAAATTTGATGAAATTCACTTAAGGTGTTTTTGCATGGCTATTGCTTTCTGTGTCATAGCTATAAGAGTCCTTCGCCTACAGCAAGTTTTTCAAGGCTTTATCCTGAATTCTCTTCCAGAGGTCTTATGCTTTAGCTTTTTTGTTGACATTTAGGATCTTCACAAACTTCAGAAGTTTGAAATCATACCAATTATCTTTTCTGACCACAATGGAATGAAACTAGAAAGCAATACCGGAAGGAGAATTGAAAAAGTCACAAACAGGTGGAAATTACAACACTCTCTTCAACAACCAGTGGGTCAAAGAACAGACCACAAGGAAATTAGAAAGTATCTTGAGACACATGACAATGAAAACACCACATACCACAACTAAGGAGATGCAGGGAAAGCAGTGTTAAGAGGGAAGTTTATTGTGGTAAATCCTTACAGTGAAAAAGAAGAAAGATCTCAAATCAACAGCCTATCTTTGTGTTTCGAGAACTAGCAAAGGAAGAACAACGTAAACCCGAAGTTAGCAGAAGGAAGGAAGTAATAAAGATTAGAGCACAAATAAAGGAAATGGAGAATAGACAAATAATAGGAAAAAAAAAACAATGAAACTAAGAGCTGGTGTCTCTGAAAAGGTCAACATAGGTTAAGCAGATTAAGAAAAAAACAGAGAAGGGTCAAATAACTAAAATCAGAATGACAGAGGGGCATTACAATTGTTACTACAGAAATAAAAAAGATTATAAGGAGAAGACCAGGAACAACTATACCCCAACAAATTTGATACTTTAGAAGAAATGGATAAATTCTGAGAAACGTACACGCTGCCAAGACTGACTCCTGAAGAAATAAAAAATCTCAGCAGATCTCGACAACTCATAAGGAGACTTAACCAGTATTCATCAACCTCCCAACAGAGAAAACCGCAGGACTAGATGGCTTCAGTGGAGAATTCTACTAAACAGTTAGAGAAGAACTAGGACCAGAAACGCGCGCGCACACACACACACACACACACACACACTTCCCAAAAGAATGTTTGTGCATACATATTCAACAAAAGTCTAGCACACCGAGTTCAACAACACATGAAAGGCCCATGACCACGTGGGATTTATTCGTGGAATGCAAGGAAGTTTCGATCAATGAAAATCAACTAATTTAGTGTACGGCATCAACAAAATGAAGGACAAAACCACATGATCGGCTCAATTGATGCACTAAAAGCATCTGACAAAAGTCAACCCCCTTCGTGATAAAAACACTCAAACTCCTTGAAACAGAAGGAAACAACCTCAACGTCACAAAAGTCCTATATAAAATACTCATTGTGAACACTGTACACGATGGCGAAAGAGTGAAAGCTTTTCCTCTAAGATCAGGAGCAAGACAGAGATGCCCGCTTTTGCTACTTCTTCTCAACATAGTCCCGGAAGTTCAGAGGGCAATTAAGCAAGAAAATGAAATAAAAGGGCATCCTTTTTATTTCACTTCATTTTATTTTTAGAAAAGGCATCCTTTTTATTTCCTATTTTCTAAATAACCCATAGCTCAAGGAAAACATCACCAATGAAATCGCAAAGTATTTTGAACCTGATGAAATCTTATGGGATATATTTTAATTGTCTAGATTGCATGAAAAAGAAAGGCACAACATTTGCATCTTTCTTAACCATGTTGAACAACAGATTAAACCTGAAGAAAGCAGAAGAAATGAAATAACGATAAAAGTACAAATCAGTTAAAGATAAAACAACACAGCCAGAGGTGGTTTTTTGAAAAGATGATGTGATTAAGACATGCCTTGTGTAGGCCTGAACAAAAAGGAGAGAAATCATGAAGCAACCCGTGTCTGGAGTGGCTAAGGAGACATCACTATGGGCAATGAAGGCATTAAAGAGATCATTATTCAAAACCATGAGCAACTTTATGCCCACAAACGTGAAACTTTGGATATAATTTACACATTTCAAGAAAATACAACAAAATGACAGAAAACAGACTAAACATCTGAATTGTCCTACAAATTCTAAACGGGCGGAATCTGAAGGAAACAACAGCAACAGCCACAAGAACCTACGGACTCTGATGCTGCCACCGATTAATTCTACAAAACGTTTGTGAAGGAAGGAATATCAATCTTACCTTCTTGCCAAGTAACATAAAAAACGGGAAATGCTTCCCATCCCGTTTTATGAGGGAAAAACCTTAAAGGGCATGGTAAGAAATGAAATGCACAGGCCTATCTTTTACATAAGCACAGAAGAAGAAATCTTGAATAAAGCATTAGCAAAACAAATCAGTTAAATCTCCAAAAAGGAAAACGTATCACAAACAAGTCAAGAGTATTCTAGAAATGAAGCGGTTCAGCGCTTGAAAAATCTATCTCTCAGAAGTAATGTATGAAGGAGAAAAAATATGATATTCCCTACAGACGCAGGAAGGGTATTTCATGGGTTTGATTTTTTTTAAATGACCATGCACTTATGATAAAACCTCTTAGCCAACTACGAACAAAAGGGAAGTCTCTTGATTCCGTTGGAATATATTTTAAAAGCCTACAAAAACAACGATACTTACGGGTGACATGTTGACAGCTTTCCCTCTGAGATCAGGGGGAAAAAAAAACCAGATACATCCACTGTCACCACTTACAGTGCCATGAAGGAAGAAAAAGTAATCAAAGCAGTCCTGCAAGCACAGCCTTAAATGCATACGCATGTTAACCAAAGGACATCCTTGTGAACGTGCACCACAATAATAACACTAACACTCCAGCGCTGGAAACTACTGAAGAGCCCATTAGAAATAAAAGGCATGAATAAATTGTGGCATCGTCATACAATTCAAAACACTGCGCAGGAATGCAAAGAAACGAAATTCAGCTACACAGCACGACAAAAGTGAATAGCAAGGAGAAAAACCTAATGTTGCCAAGAGAAACCCGGATTATAAAATACGTACTGTACTGAGTCTACTCATGTGTAATGCGTTCACAAACAGGCAGGATTATCGTCAAGTGTTAAAAGTCACAAGAGTGGTTAGATTTGCTGAGGTGGAAGACAAGAGTGACTGGCATGAGAGTGCTTTTGAGCTGCCGGCAATACACTACACCATTTCTTAACCCAGATCGTAGGGGATCAGACGTCCCTGTGGAACCATTTACTGAGTGGTACCCTCATTTTGCGTGCAACTCCATTTTTGTATTATATTCCATTACAGTGTACATAGAGATATTTAAATGAATACTATCCCAGGAATGTCCATAAACAATGGATTCTTCAGCGATTTGTATATTCTCTGACCACAATGCCACAATGGGATCTAGAAATTAATAACAAAAGATCATTACAAACCCCCGTATATGTTGGTAAATTAAGAAACATCCTCCTAAGTAACCCATGGCTCTAAGAAAAACTAACGTTGAAATAAGAAAATATTTTGAGCTTACTAATGAAGCAAACTCCAGAGGTCTTTGCCTGCCAATATTACTAAGTCTCCTCTCTGGGGAAGTTTAGATTACACAGGAAGACTCTCCTGCATCTCTGAGAAGGGGCAAGATGCCAGCAATCTGGACGCCAAACTCCAGCGGAGGTGAGGGACTGAAGATTGCTGTAGACAGCAACTGAAATCCCTACGCCGGGTTGGGATGTATGCCTTGAAGTGAGCCTGAAGTTCCAAAGCCCATAAATCTGCTGGTTCATGCTCTGCAGAGAGTACATTTGTCCGCCATCTCCCAGAGTGGGGGGAGAGCGATTTGTCATGCTACGAGGAGCTGAGAGGGGATCTGGGCGTCTAAGTGATTTGTAAATACACTTTCTAGAGCAATCGTGCAATTTACAGCCCCCACCATTACCAACAACGTGCCGGGATACGTGGCAATGCCAGTGTTGCAGACAGTTGGAAGGTCTGGTGAGAGGGGATAAGTCAGTTGCTTTCCTGCCATCCTCACTGCCAGTTGATGCTCAAGCTCTCTTGGCAACACAAGTGAGACTCCGTCTGTAAAAAAACAAAACATAAAAAAAAAATTAACATGTACTCCCAGCTACTCTGGAGGCTGTGGCTGGAGGATCCCTTGAGCTCAGCAGTTCGAGGCTACAGGGAGCTATGATCATACCACTGAACTCCAGCCTGGGCGACAGAGCGAGAACCCCCCACACCCTCAAAAAAGATCAAGCTCTCTTAATCAGCTAAGTCAGTGTCACTCACCTGTTTCCTTCCCATCTTCTGCTACTTTCTTTCTCTTGTCTCCTCAGCCAGTTTCTTTGTCTTTATGGGGTAAAGCCTTAGGAGAAAAGGATGCAGCCAGGAAAGAGGGAGGGGGAAGAGAGGTGAGAAGTGAACGTGAGAAAGAGAAGGGGTGAGTGAAGTACATGACCAAAGGTGCCCTGGGGAAGCTGGGAGCAGGAACAAGGGTCCCCGGGCGAGTTGAAACTACCCCTCATGCTCTTTGGTCTGTTGGGTGCTCAGGTTGCAGGAAATGGGCATCCGGTTGGACTTCATGAGAACTCACACCTTGGGGTGTGGAGGGCAGGACACCATGAGAGGAGTCCCACCCTGCTGCAAAAGATAGAAGAGGAGAGTTGCCCCCAACATAAAAGGGAAGGCAGTGACAGAAAGAGGCAAGCAGAGGATGGTGGATGGCAGAACAAGGACTATCATCAATGACATTTTCTTCACTGAGCCCACCCCAGAAATGAGCTCCCTTCCTGTGCGCTCTCACAGCTCCTTGTCGTTGAATCTCGTATCACTGATGGTAATTTGCAGAGGAATAATTAAGTTGGTGATTCACTTTAGGATGTACTGCCCTCCGAGGCTGAAAGCTAAACACATAGAGCCCACGTTACGCCCAGTACCACTTAAGGAACTGCGGATTAGTCACTGGGTGAGTATCAGGGGAGGGGAGGGCGGGGAGGGTGAGGGGAGGGAACGGCATAGAGAGAAGGAAAAAGCAAAATGAGGGGAAAACCAGGGGAGGACAACATGAGAAAGGAAAGAGGGAGAGAAAGGGCAGTGAGGGATATGGGAACTCGGAGGGAGGACAAAGGGAAAGACAAGGCATGGAGGAGAGAGAGCAGAGAGGGGAGATGAGAGGTGATGACAGAGGCTGAAGTGAGGTAGGAAGAGAGAGGAAAGAGGAAAGGAGTGTAGAGGAAATGGATGAGGGAGTAAAGAGAAAGGAACAAGGGGAGAGGTCCTTTACCAAAGGGTGATTGATGAGCAGGGGGCAAGAAGAAGGGGCAGCGAGGGAGAAAGGGAAAGGAGGAGAAAACTGCCAGCTTTGAGAACTCTACCCTGCCCCTGGAAAGAGGGGATCCCCATCCCAGGTCAACCTGGGGCTCCCCATGGGACTATCTCAGAGGGAGGAGCTGGATAAGCCAAGAAAGAGCAAAGGGTGCACGGGACCACTCTTGCCTTGCTGCATGTGTCATTCAGGGCCTTCCCACCCAAACAGGGGGACTGGTCACATCAACAGCCACCTCTGCTGAATCCAAGCTCTGCACCGGATCCTCCTTTCCCCTGCCAGATACGGGTTTCAACAAGCAAATTTAAGGGAATCACTCCCCTTCCTGGGATCCCTCCCTGACTGTATCAGTTGCAACCCCTTTCATGGTCACAGAGGCCTGGCCTCTCCCACAAGAACCCTATGGGCCAGCCAGTGCGATGCTCTGTACATCGTATCTGTTCAGGATGAAGCCTGTGTGTGTGTGTGTGTGTGTGTGTGTGTGTGTGTGTATGGGGTGGGGGTGTGTGGGATGTGTGCGTGTGTGTGTGTGTGTGTGTGTGTACTAATAATCACAAGGATCAATATATCTGTGGGAATTGTGAATTCTTTCAATGTGACTGCCTTGCTAGAATCCCCTCTCCCAGGGGCCTTTATTTCAAGGACCAACTCTGCTTTTCTCCCACAGCCCAATGAATGCATCAGACACTCAGCTTCAGTTCCCATGGCAACAGGGGCTAATGGCCTAGAGACTAAAGATGAGACAAAGAGAAACGCAGAGAAATGTGCGTGTTCTGTCTTCCTCTGAGGTACGCAAGCCCCTATTCAGGGATTGAAAAGAACATTCGCTTTAGTTCTACCCTGCCCTCCCCTCAATGCTGGGTGGAGGAGGGCAGAAACGCAGACGGGCCTGACATGAATCCAGAATTTCTACATCCTCTCAATGCACCTGCACGGTTTGGAGACAGGCTTCTTTGTCCCCGAGCCATCATGTTACCAACAATGTATTGTACCTGCAAACCATGCCTGTGGAACCTAGGATTCCTGCTACCCCAACTCACCTTCCTCTTTACCACCCTCTAGCCTCTATCACAGTAGGGGAGTTTTTTCAGTCATTCCTATTTTCTGACAGAAAGTTCCAGCCAGCCCAATTTCAGAAGCGCTGTCTCAGGAGGGCTCCCTGATCCTTCCTGCCAGAGTCACACAGGACACACCTCCTCCCTCTTCTCCTCTGTGGCCTGGGAGACCTCTGCCCAGACCATGGGACAAGTTCCTAGGGCTCCCCCTTCCTGCCACACTCCTGTTCCGCCAGGGCCTTGGGGAGACTCAGACGAGGGAGGTTTCTGATAGTCTCCCACTTCTGGAAGCAGCCAAACTAATGAGAGGCCTCTTGCCTGCCCCTCTTCCTGAGAAGCCCACCACCTCCTGTGTATTGACTCCCCTTACCAGAGGCTGGACAAACAGCGTGCCAGGCCCGACATGAGACGTCCCACACTATAAATTTGTGATAAACAACAACTCAAAAGCTGGGCATATGCCCCCAACTTTCCCTCCCTTCTTTCCATTTATTCCAGTGAGTCTCAGAAGTCCCTTTGTCCAGCTGCACTCTCCTCTCCTGGGACCCAGCTGCCCTCCATTTCCCATGTCCTGGAACCCCTCAGTCCAAAATACCTAAGTAAACTCGTCTTCACTGCAATGTGCAACCCACACCCACAGCCATGCCCTACGCCAGAAGGAACCACATGAAGTTCTGCCCATCTTCCTGACCTCCACGGATGTTGCGCGACATCCAGTCTCCTCTGGGTCAGGGGGTTTGTCTCATATGCACTCCTGAGTGCCCACCTGCCAGTGACTCCCCTGTGTTTCACACCCCTCTCGGGGGATCTCAGATCCACTCGGCTCCTGGTCTCTGTCTGGATGACCACGACCAGTTTCCCTTGGAGAAGGACCAATGGGGAATGGCAATGCCAGGAAGGCAACGCTTCGCTTGACTGCTCTGCTCCTTAAATCCCCAAAAGCACCACTCACAGGACTGTAGACGCTATGCCAGTTACAGACTTCAGCGAAGGGTCAATAGTGACTACATGAAATTATAGTGGAACAAACTACTAGTGAGCGATGGCTAAGCATCCATGCTGCTAGAATCCAAAAAGAATCACCCATCCCCTGCCTCCCACGGAAAAGATAAGGTCTTCTGAGGACATTCCATTTCCGGTGAATTCCCGTTCATGGCTTTTCTTCCTGTTTTGAGCACTGCCCTTTTCTCTCCCTGGAAAGAAGGAAGTCCCTCCATTAATCTGCTTCATTGTAGGGATTTCTTTATCTCTCAGTAATGGGATCTGTCTATGTCTCCACCTCCCTGTGAACATGTGAACACCCAGAGACAATCACCAAACACTAAGGAGCTATGAGTGTCACATCATAATCCCTCACCTAGCTCTGCGCAGTGGCTCACACCTATAACCCCAGCTATGCAAGACACCGAGGCAGGAGGATTGGTTGAGGCCAGGAGTTGGACACGAGCCTGGTCAATGTAGCGAGACCTCATCTCTAAAATTATAAAAATAGAAAAAATTAGCCTTATATGGTGGCACGCATCTGTGGTCCCAGCTACTCGGGAGACTCATGCAGGAGGATCACTTGAGCCCAGGAGTTTGAGGCTGCAGTGAGTTATGACAGCACCACTGCACAGAGCTTTGGGAGGCTGCACTTTGAAGGCAGGAGTTCAAGACCAGCTTGGGCATCACAGCGAGACCCCAACTGCAGAAAAAAAATAAAATTAAATTTAAAAAAATTAAAAATATCTCTGACCGATACATTTCTCAAAATTTGAATTTGTCAGTTTACATTAACCTTCGTTACTCAGCCTGGATCCTATGGACTTCAAACTTCATTTCCTCATCCTCTGGACATCTCTGCCCTGCCAATCCCTCATTCTCAATTTGGCCATCCCCGGGGATGGAGGTTATCAGCATGGCTTTAACTGAGAGCATGAAGCATGGGGCTGGTGGCTCATATTTTTAACAAAGCCAGCCTCTCTGGTTGACCCCATCTTTACCCCTCACTGTTTCTCACAGTTTGAATTCCTGCAGATGTCCACTGTTTCTCTGCATCTTCAAATTCTTCTGCTCCAGTGGCTATTCCCCTCAGCATACAATTACGCTCCACTGTCCTCCATTTTAAACAAATACCTTCCCTTGGCGACACTTCCCTACCAGCTGTTCTCCCACATACCTGCTGCCTTTCACAGCAAAACTTTTCTGGTAAGTTGTCTGAACAGGTTGTCACCACTTCCTCATCTCCACCTCCGATGTCTTGCATGGCCTTCTGTCCTCCAATATGCTTTTTTTCTTTTTCATGCTCTTTAGTAACTTACATGATGTCAAATCCAATTATCATCCCTCTGACCTGGCTTGCCCTCTTAGTAGCATTGAACGTGCTGGCCACTATCGGTCTCTTGAGATCTTGTGGATTCCATGAAACCATCTTCTTCTGGTGATCTTCCTTCCAGGATAGATCCTATTCTTTGAGTTGTTTCCTGGCTCCTCTTCTTGTAAACTCCTCTACTTTTTGATATGCTCCAGATTGTGGCCTTGTTTCCTCCTTTTCTACATTTTTTTCTCGAAGAAATTTCCTTTCACTTTACAGATGTAAATAACACCTACATCTGCCACCTCCTGTGTCCATCAGAATGTTTGGTTAGCAACAACAGAAAAACACTCACGATTGCTCAACCAAAAAAAAAAAAAAAAACAAACAAACAAACCTGATGCAAGAATATCAGGTTGCACACGAAGTCAATAAGAGGGCTGCATAACCAGAATTGGAAAGCAGGTAGGATCCACGGGAGTCTGAGACATAGAAACAATCACAAAGGTCATGCCTGAGAAATAGCTTTGTTTTGACATTGTTCTTGCAACCTTGCTACTCTGCCAGAGAGGCCGCTTTGGAAGCCTCCTACCACATTTAATTTTTCAGCCTTATGGAAGTCTTCGTATAGGTTTCGTTTTGTAATAATTCAAAAATATCCCTCCAACTTGTATCCTAATATACTAGCATGTATGTTAACTTAGGAATAAGTTATGAACATTTTGAATTCCTTCAGAGATTCTTTCCTCCTTCATTAAAAGAAACAGCTTTATTGAGATATAATTCAGATACCACAAAGCTCACCCTTTTAAAGTGTACCGTGCAGTGGTTGTTAGTATATTCCAAAAGTTGAGCAACTCCCATTCCGTAGGTGGCCTTTTCACCGTGTTGATTGTTTCATTTGGTTCACCATAGGTTTTTGTTTTCGTTTTTGGTTTTTGCTTTCATTTTATTTTATTTTTTATATATATATATATATATATATATTTATTATACTTTAAGTTCTAACGTACATGTGCAAAACGTGCAGGTTTGTTACCTGTTGGTGTGCTGCACCCATTAACTCGTCTTTTGCATTAGGTATATCTCCTAATGCTATCCCTCCCCCCTCCCCCCTCCCCCTACCCACAACAGGCCCCGGTGGGTTCACCATAGGTTTTTGGTTCGACTTAGTCTCACCAGTCTAACGTGGCTTTTTGTTGCTTGTGCTTTTTGTCATATTCAAGAGATAATTTCCAAGTCAAATGCCATGGAACTTTTCACCTATGTTCTCTTCTAGGAGATTTACAGGAAAAGATATTTGAAAAGGATATATATGATAAGGGATTAATATCCAAGCTATACAAGGAACTCCTACAACTCAATACCAAAAAAGAAGACAACAAACTGACTAAAGAATGGGCAAAAGACTTGAATAGACATTTCTTCAAAGAGGACATGCACATGCCCAACAGTATATGAAAAAGTGCTCAACGTCACTACTCAGCAGAGAAATGCAAATCCAAACCACAATGAGCTATCACCTCACACTTTGAACGATAGCTATTATCAAAACAAAAAAGAAAGAAAGAAGAAAGAAAGAGAAAGAAAAAAGAAAGAGAAAGAAAGAAGAAAGAAAAAGAAAGAAAGAAAGAAAGAAAGAAAGAAAGAAAGAAAGAAAGAAAGAAAGAAGGAAAGAAAAGAAAGAAAGAAAGAAAGAAAGAAAAGATAACAAGTGTTGTTTTGGAGAAGATGTGTAAAAATTCCAACACGGGCACACTGGAGTAGGCACATAAAGCGGTGCAGCCACTATGGAATACACCGTAGTGGTTCCTCAAAAAATTGAAAATAGAACGACCATGTGATCTGGCAATCCCACTTTTGGGTATATATCCAAAAGAATTGAAATCTGGACCTCGAAGGGATATATGCACTCCCACCTCTATTGAAGCATTACATCTAACAGTCAAAATTTAAAAACAATGTGGAAACAACCTAAATGTTCATCGACAGATGAATGGATATTAAAAATGTGGTATACACATAAAATGGGACATTATTCCACTTCCATGAAGAAGGAATTCCTGCCATCACACCCAAATAATGTGGGTTCTAAATATTTCAGCTATCTAAAATAGTCAAATTTAAAAACCAGAGTGCAGTGTCGGCTGCTTGAACCTGGAGGGAGGGGGAAACAGGGAGTTGCTATTCTATGGGTATAAAGTTTCCGTTGTGCCAGGTGAATACATTCTTGAGATCTCCTGTACAACCCTGTGCCTATGGTTAAGAATATGGTATTTTGCACTTAAAATTTTAGTGAGGGCGGATCTCATGTTACGTGTTCTTAGCACAATAAAATAAAATTTAAAAAACGGAAAAGTTGTGCAACTATCACAACCATGTAATTTAAGAACTTTTTTATTCAAAAAACACGCTGTATGTATTTAAGTGACCTAATCTCCCCTCTTCTTCAAACCACTGGTACCCTCTGATCTATCTTCTGGCTCTCTGATTTTGCATGTAGTGAATGTTTCCTATAAATCAGATCATACAATGCGTGACCTTTTGGACCGGCTTCTTTCAGTAAGCACTATGTTTTCCAGATTAATCAATGTTGTGGCTCGTACATTCCATTAACTACCATATAATGATACTACATATTGGTTACTCATTCAACTGTGGATGGACTTTTAGATTCTTTCACTTTTTGGCTACTATGGAGGAGGCTGTTATGGACACTCTTGTACAGGATTTTACCTGAGTTATTTTTTGAAATCTCTTGGGTGAACACCTGGAGTGGACTTGCTGGGTCATAAAGGAACTCTTACTTTTGGAGGAACTGCTGCACCCTCTCCCAAAGTGATTGGGCCATCTTACAATCCCATGAGAAATGTCTTAAGATTCCAGTTCCTCCACAACCTTGCCAACATTTGTTATTGTCTATCTGTTTGATTTCAGCCATCTTAGTGAGTGGGAAGTGGTATCACAACGTGGATTTGACTTGCACTTCCCTAATGACTAATGACACTGAGCATCTTTTCTTGAGCTTATTAGCCATTTGTACATGTTCTTTAGAGAAATGTCTATTGCAATGCTTTGCCCACTTTTATTTGGGCTGTGTGTCTTTTTTATTAGGCAGTCGTAAGTGTTTAGTAGATATTGCAAATAGAGTCAAATATGAGATATATGATTTTCCAATCTTTTCAATCATCTCATAAGTTGTCTTCCCTGTCCTTGATGGTGGGCTTTGAAGCACAAAAGTATTTAATTTTAATGAAGTACAATTCCTCTGTGTTTCATGTTTTTCACCCGTGATATGGGTACCATATCTACAAAGCCAATTCCAATTTCAAGGTCATGAAGGTTATCCCCAAAGTTTTTTTCCAAAAGTTACATAGTTTTTTTCCCCTTAGGTTTATGTCTATCATTCATTTTGAATTAATTTTCAGGCATGGCATGAGATGGTGGGTCCACTTCATTCTTCTCCATGGGCATAACCATTTGTCCCAGCACCGTTTGTGGAAAATGCTATTCTTTCTCACTTTGAGTTGCCTTGATACACTTGTGGAAAATCAACTGAACTTAAAAGAAGAGGTTTATTTCTAAAATTTGCATTTTTATGACACTGATATATATATGCCTAAATTTATGCCAGTACCACAACACATTGATTACTGTAGCTTTGCAGTAAGTTTTGAAATAGAGACGTGTGAGTCCTCCATCATTGCTCTTTTTCAAGATTGTTTTGGCTTTTCTGGGTCCCTTGCGTTGCCAAGGGAATGTCAGAATCAGATTGTCAATTATGGCAAGAAGATCCTGGTGGGATTTGAAACGGTGAGTATGTTGTATCTATAGATCCACTTGTGGACTGTTACTATTTTAATGATACACAGTCTTCCCCGTCCATGTGTAAGGGACACCTTCACATTTCTTTAGGTCTTCTTTAATTTCTTTCAATAAGGTTTTGTAGTGTTCTGCGTACAAGTCTTACACTTCTTTTGTGGAATTTATTTCTAACTATTGTGTTTCTTTGGATGCTATGATAAGTGGAATTGTTTTTAAAGTGTCCTTTATTGGATTATTCATTGGTAGTACAAAGACATAAAATTGTATGTTTTACATTGATGTAGATATTATATGGAATAAATTCAATGACTCGTCCTGATAGTATTTTCTTTTCCGGCTTCTTTAGTGTTTTCTATGTACAAGATAATGTCATCTGTGAGCAGAGAGAGTTTTACTTATTCCTTTCAAGTCTGGAGGTCTTCTATCTCTTTTTCTTGCCTAAATGCATTAGCTAGAAGCTCCTGTACAATGTTAAATAGAAATGGTGAGAGCACACATTGTTGCTTGTTGAGGGTGAAAGTTTTCAGCCTTTCACCATTAATCATGATGGCAGTTGTGAGTTTTTGGTAGAGTCTACTGAGTTGCAGAAGCACCTTTTTTCTCCAGTTTCTTCATATTTTTTTAATTGTGAAACGGTTTTGGATCTGTCACAAGTTTTTTCTGTGTCTACGGAAACGATAATATGGGGTTTTTATTTGGTTAGTGTGGTATATTATATTGATTGATTTTTGTACGTTGAACCAACTTTACATTCCTGGAGCAAGTTCCACTTGGTCTTTGTGTAAAATCTGTGTGTGTGTGTGTGTGTGTGTGTGTGCACGTGTGTGTGTTGCTGGATTAGGTATGTGTGTAATTTGTGGAGGAGATTTGTGTATACATAACAGATATGCATCTGTAATTAGGTTAGTTATTTCCTTCTGATGCCTTGTCTAATTTTGGAGTTTGGTTAAAGTTGGGCTCGAAAAACTAGCTGGGAAGGGCGCCCTTCTGTTCTTGAGCAATCTTGTGAAGCTTTGGTGTTAAGTGTCCTTTAAATATTTGGTAGAATTCCACCAGTTAACCCTGGACTTTTCTTTGGGGGAATATATTTGTTAGTAATTCAATCCCTTTACTTGTTGTAAATCAATTCAAATCTTCTACTTCTCCTTTAGGCAGTTTCAGTAATTTGTGTGTTTCTGGACATTTGTCCTTGTCACAAGATTATCTAATTTGTTGCCATGCTGTTGTTCACAGTATTTCCCATAACCTTTTTATTTCTGTAAGATTGTATTAATATCCTATATTCTAGTTTTGATTTTTGTAATATGCATCTTTTCTATTCTTTCTTAGTCTAGCAAAAGCATGTCAATTTCGTTGATCTTTGTTAATGAACCAACTTTTGGTTTGGTTAATTTTCTCTATTATTTCCTATATTCTTTTTATTTATATCACTCTAACAGTCCTTATTTCCTTCCTTCTGCCTGTTTGGGGTTAGTTTAATTTTCTTGCTCCTGTGTCTTAACATAAAAATTTAGAAGAATTTTTTGAGAGCACTACTCTTTTTTCAATATAGGTGTTTATAGCTATACATTTGCATCTAAGAGCTAATTTAGCCACATCCTACAAGGCTGGGATCTTGTGTGCATCTTTCTCCCTTCAGTTGTGTCCATTTTTGCTTCGTGTATTGTGGGGCACTATTGCTATGTGTCTATATATTTTTATAAAAATCTTTATATCTTCTTGATGGATTGAGCACTCTACCGTGATAAAACGTCCTTCTCTGTATCTAAATCGAATTGTTGTCTTAAAGTATATTTTTGTCTCAGAGAATATTAGTAGAGCCACTCCAACTCTCTTTTCATGATTGTTTCCACACTATACTTTTCCACGCTTTTATTTTAAGCAATTTATGTCTTTGAAAGTAAAGCACACCTCTTCAAGATAGCATGTAACTGGAGCATTTAAACAAATCTGTTCTGCCAATCTCTCCTTTTGGTTTTGTTGAGGGCATTTTCTTCTACATTTATAAAAGATATTGTTCTGTAGTATGCTCTTCTTGGGATGTCCTCTTCTGCCTTTGGTTTCTGGGTAATATTGGTCTCATAGAATGACTTCAGTGAATTTGAGCAAGTTACCTAACTTTCATGAACCTCAAAGACTAAGAGGAATGTGAATGGGCTGAGTCTGGAAGGTCTTCTTTTCTCTAAGCAGTCTTCTCCAGGTGGTGGTGGGGCGGAGGCACCTGCTAGGAGTAGAATGAGGAGTGGATGGATAGTGGGGTCAGATATCATCCTGTGCACCCCTTATCTCCCAGGTCCTCCCTTCACCTTCCTGCCCATCCTCTCTCCCTCCCCATTTACATCTACCACAAGGAATTCGAAGGAGTTTGCAGAACTTTAGATGAAATTTCTCTTTCTCCAACAGTGGATTGGATAAGAGGCGCACAAAATATTTCCGAACCCAAATATTTTTCAGAGAACATAGGATGATGAAGAAACAATGTGCCGTTGAACTTCTATACTTTCTTCCACACAGTGAAAAGCATATTTAGTCTTTACAGTGGGTAATAAAATCCCTGAGTCCAGAAAATGAAACCTGGGGGAACGAAGAGGCTTCACTGAGGCTTCAGTATTTTGGCAATCTTCATAGCCAAGGAAAGGCTTGCTGGGGCACTAGGAGCAGGACTGATGGCTGTAGAATCACACAGCATACAGAATGGAAGATCAGGCTTCCTCTTACCACGGGAACTCCCAATCTGGTTTGAAAAATGGGACCCATACATGACATTATTCAATACAACGAAAGGTGCTATATAAGCTGAAGAGCCTTCGAAAAGATGGACGAGAATTAGTCACTGCCATTGAGAAGTTCAGAGTCCGGTGGGAGAGATAAGGCTCATAGACAATGATACTTATCATAGTGAATATTACCTTTCTTACAGGAACAAAGAGGAGGGAAGAAACAACTTCCTGAGGGAGTCAGGAGCACTTGCTCCAAGTTTAAGCGATGAATTGCAGGTTATCAACCATCAAAGCTGTGGCAATGACATTCTGGGAAGAAGGAACAGAATTTGCAAAGAAGGAAGCTTATTTGACACACATTTTTTGAGAGCTCTGTCTTCCCCAAATAGTGTGCAAGTTTTGAGAGCTACAGAGGAAATGAACAATGCCTCTGTCCAGATCACTAATGAATCCATGTACCCTGAACTGGCAAGGGAAACATTCACAAGCCGGTTCTCATCATTTTAAAAGGTATAATGACTCCAAGGATGCCTGGGGAAGGCCATCTCGTCATCCGGTCAGGTCCCCCACAGGGGAAGTCAGTACCATGCTATGATCACCGTTATTCCCAGTTTTGTAGGTGCAGCAATTAAACGTTGTCCACACATCCAGAGGGAATTGGGCTACAGAAGACTGCCTCACATTGATAAAATTTACCAAAATTATACCCATATGGTACACAAAATGAGGTCAGGTGCATCATTTGAATGAAACATTGACAATTTTAAAACACATTAAATAATTTTTCCTAAATGGTACATTTTGCCTCACGTTTGTTTTTTACAGTAACTTTCTATTTATGACAAGTCATGTTGGATTTCCACTTATGGTAGTGATATTAAGTTTCCTTTGAAAATATACTTATTGATGAAAAACTATTTTGTTCAAAGGAAAACACTATGCCTTCTAAACACGACAATGAAGATAGCGTGTGATATTAATGAATTAAAATTCTAAACAAACTATAAGAAATGCAAGTGAAATATTAACGTAGATCGGAAGCATTTGGTATTATAATAGTTTTACCACAATTAAATATCGCAAAAAGAGTGAAGGTGGTAAACGGATGATTACTGAAATCAGGGACCAACTCGAATTTTCTCCCAGAGTCCAGTGAATGCGTCAGACACTCAGCTTTGGTTCCCATGGTAACTAGGACTAATGGTCTCAGGACTAAGAATGAGACAAAGAGAAACACAGAGAAATGTGCACATTCTGTCTTCCTGTGAGGTACACAAGCCCCTATTCAGCAAATGAAAAGAACATTCACTTTAGTTCTGCCCTGACCTCCCCTCACTGCTGGGTGGAGGAGAACGGAAAGGCAGAGGGATCCAATACCAATCTTAAGCGTTTACATCCAGGCTTCCTTGTCCCTTAGCCACCATCTTACCAACAATGTGTTGTACCTCCAAATCATGCCCGTGGAATCTAGGATTCTTGCTATCCCAATCCACTTGCCCTGTTCCCCACCCACTAGCCGCTATCATAATATGGGAGGTTTTCAGTCATCCCCATTTTATGTCAGATAGTTCCAGCCCGATTTCAGAAATGCTGCCCCAGAAAAGTTCCCTGACCCTTCCTGCCAGATCGCACAGAACAGAACTGACTCCCTCCCTTTTCTCCTCTGTGGCCTGGGAGACCTCGGCCCAGATCATGGGCTCCCACTTCCTGCCACACTCCCATTCCACCAGGGCCTGGGGGGAGACCCAAAGGAGGGAAGTTTCTGACAGTCTCCTGTTTGGGGAAGCAGCCAAACTAATGAGGGGCCTCTTCCCTGTCCCTTTTTCCTGAGTAGCTATCTCCTTTGTATTGGCTCCCTGTATCAGAGGCTGGACAAATAGGGTTCCAGGCAGGACATGACACATTCCACACCATAAATTTGTGAAGAAAAAACACACAAAAGCTGGGCATAGGCCCCCAACTTCAACTCCCTTCCTTCCATTTATTCCAGCGAGTCTCTGAAGTCCCTTTGTCCAGCTGCACTCTCCTTTCCTGGGACCCAGCTGCCATTTCCCATGTCCTGGAAACTCTCGGCCCAAAATACCCAAGTAACTTCATTGTACTATTCCTTTCTTGCATTGCTGTAAAGAAATACCTGAGACTGGGTAATTTATAAAGAAAAAAGGTTTAATTGGCTCACAGTTCTGCAAGCTGTACAGGAAGCCTGATTTTGGCATCTGCTCGGCTTCTGGCAAGGCCTCAGGAAACTTGCAATCCTAGCGGAAGGCAAAGGAAGAAGGAGCACTTCACAGGGGGAGGGAGAACTTCACATGGGTGGGGCAGAAAGAAGAGAGTCAGGAGGAGATGCTACACACTGTTAAACAACCAGCTCTCATGAGAGCTCTATCCTGATAACAGCACTAGGGAAATGATGCTAAACCATTAGAAACCACCCCCATCATCCAATCACCTCCTATCAGGCCCAACCTCCAACACTGGGGATTACAACTGGACATGAGATTTTGGCAGAGACACAGGTCCAAACCATATCCCTCATCTTCACTGCAGTGGAGCAACCCACACCCATAGCCATGCCCTCCACCAGAAGGAACCACATGAAGGTCTGCCCATCTTCCTGACCTCCATGGACAGTAGGCGACGCCCAGTCTCCTTTTGGTCTGGGGGTTTGTCTCATATGCTCTCCTTGGTACCCACCTGCCAGTGACTCCTCTGTGTTTCACACCCCTCTCAGGGGATCCCAGACCCACTTGGGTGCTGGTCTCTGTCTGGATGACTAGTACCAGTTTCCCTTAGAGAAGGGCCAATGGGAAATGCTTATGTGAGGAAGGTAATGCTTCGCTTGACTGCTTTGCTCTTAAGTCCTCAAAAAACACCACTTACAAGACTGTAGACTCTATGCCGCTTACAGACTTCAATGAAAAGTCAATAGTTTCTATATGAAATGATAGTGGAACAAACCACTAGTGAGCAATGGCTAAATATCATTGCCCCGGGAGTCCAAAAAGAACCACCCATCTCCTGCCTCCCTGATGCCTGCAATCCCAGCTACCTGGGAGGCTGAAGCAGGAGAATCACTTGAACCTGAGAGGCGGAGGTTGCAGTGAGCCAAGATTGAACCACTGCACTGCAGCCTGGGCAACAAGAGCGAAACTTCGTCTCAGAAAAAAAAAAAAAAAGAAAGAAAGAAAAGAAAATATGTCCAATATTGAAAGTGGGGTGTTAAAGTCTCCAACTATTATTGTATTGTTTCTTATCTCTCTCTTTAGCTCTAATAATATTTGCTTTATATATCTGAGTGCTCCAGTGTTAGGTGCATATGTATTTAAAATTGTTATATACTCTTGCTGAATTGATCCATTCATCATAATACAATGACTTTGTCTCTTCTGATAATTTTCATCTTAAAATCTATTTTATCTTATATGAGTATAGCTACTCCTGTTTCTTTTGATTTTCATTGGCATGGACTGTCTTGTTCCATCATTTTATTTTCAGTCTATGTGTATATTTATAGGTGAAGTGTGTTTCTTGTAGGCCACAGATCCTTGGATATTGTTTTTTCATCCTTTCAGCTACTCTGTCTTTCAGTTGGAAAGTTTGGAAAGTTTAGTCTATTTACATTCAATATTATTATTGATAGTATGAATTTATTCCTGCCATTTTGTTATTTGTTTTCTGATTGTTTGTAGTCTTCTCTTCCATTTTTCTTTTCTTCCTGTCTTCCTTTTAGTGAAGGTGATTTTCTCTGGTGATATGATTTAGTTTCTTACTTTTTATTTTTTGTGTATTTATCGTATTTTTTTAGTTTGAGGTTAACATGAGGCTTGCAAATACTATCTTATAGTGCATTATATTAAGCTAATAACAACTCTGTTTTCTTTAACAAATAAACATACAAACAAGCAAAAAGGTAATAAATTCTGTATGCCTTAACTTTGTCCCCCAGCTTTTTAATATTTTTTGTTACTATTTATATATTTTTGTATTGTCTATGTCTTGAACAGTTGTTGTAGTTATTATTTTTAATTGGTTTTCTATTTAATATTTCTTAAAATAAGAGTACTTTACACACTACAGTTACAGTGTTATACTATTCTATGTTTTTCTGTGTACTTACTATTACCAGTGAGTTTTGTACCTTTAGATGATTTCTGACTGCTCATCAATATCCTTTTCTTTCTGATTGGAGTACTTCCTTTAGCATTTCTTGTAGGACAGGTATAGTGTTGATGAAATCCCTCAGCTTTTGTTTATCTGAGAAAGTATTTCTCCTTATGTTTCAAGGATATTTTCACCAGAAATGCTATTCTGGGGTAAAAGGTTTTTTCCTTCAGCACTTTATTTTTTTTTTAAATTTTACTTTCAGTTCTGGGATACGTGTGCAGAATGTGCACGTTTGTTACATAGGCATACATGTGCCATGGTGGTTTGCTGCACCCATCAACCTGTCATCTAGGTCATCACTTTAAATATGTGATGCTACTGCCTCCTGGCCTGTAAGGTTTCCACTTAAATGTCTGCTGCCAGGCATATTGGAGATCCATTTTATGTTATTTGTTACTTCTCCCTCTGCTTTTTCTCAAGCAGGGGTCTTGCCCTGCAGCCACCAAAGCTGAGAATGTTCTGAGTCTAACCTGAAGCCCGCAAGTCTTAGAGTATTGTCCAAGGTCCTTGATGTAGTACCTGGATATCATTGCTGGTTATTCAGGACCTAAGGGATCTTCAGTTAGCAGGTGATGAATCCTGACAAGACTGAGTGCTTCCCTTCAAGGTATTATGTTCCCTCCTTGTCCAGGGTGTGTCTAGAAATGTTGTCCATGAGCTAGGTCCTAGAAAGGTAGATTTATGACTCTGCCTGTCGCCTTATCCTGCTGTGGCTAAGCTGGTATCCAAGATGCAAGAGAAACTCCTCCTCACTCTTCCCTCTTCTCTCCTCAGTTATTAGGAAGGGACCTCTTTTGGAGCTACACGCTCTGCAGCCTGGGGTGAGGGAAGGGGTGATGCCAGAACTCCCTTAGGATCCTGGTTGTTGTCTCAGTAGGTTGTGTGTCCCCCTAGTCTTCTGGCTCTGGGCCCTGTTCAGCAGTAGAACTTGCCTAGGAATTGTAGTCCTTGTGGCCTAGACTGCATTTCATATTATTTAGCATCCCAGAGAACTTTAGCCCACAGGGGCGAGATTTGCTGGAACTCAAGCTCTGACCGCTGGGACTGGTGATTCTCATCTGATTAAGGCTGGTTTAAATGCTCTTGCCATGGGCAGACATCTGCTAAGTTTGATCCCATTTTGCTTTCTGCTGTATAAAGGGCAGCATTGAGTCTGGTGCCTCACAATTGCTGGCTCTTCCTTTCCACAGAGCACAGAAACGCTCTTCACACAATGCTGCTGCTGCTGGGGTGTGAAAGAGAGGTGGTGTCGGTGATTCACGACTGTTTTTACTACCTCTTCCATGCCTCTTTCAGCAATATAAATTTGAAACCAGGTACTGTGAGTGTTCAGCTGATTTTTGTTCCTATAAAAATGCTTTTTTCTGTGTAGATAGTTGTTAAATTGGTGTTCTTGTTGCAGGGACAATTGGTGGATCCTTCTACTCTGCCAACTTGCTCCACCCCCACCCTCACACCATAAATTTGTGAAAAAAGACAACAAAAAAGCTGGTCATAGGCCCCCACCTTCCCCTCCCTTCTTTCCCCTTATTCCAACGAGTCTTGGAAAGTCTGTCCAGCTGCACTCTCCCCTCCTGGGGCCCAGCTGCCTACCATTTCTTATGTCCTGGAACTCCTCTGTCTGAAATACCCATGTAACCTTGTCTTCACTGCAATGGAGCAACCCACATCCATAGTCATGCCCTACACCAGAAGGAATCACATGGAGGTGTGCTGCTCTCCCTGACCTCCAGGGATGTTGTGTGACATCCAGTCTGCTTTGGGACAAGGGGGTTGTCTCATACGCACTCCTGAGTATCCACCTGCCAGTGATTTCTCTGTGTTTCACATCCCTCTCAGGGGATCCCAGATCCACTTGGCTGCTGGTCTCTGGATGACCAGGACCAGTTTCCCTTGGAGAAGGACCAATGGGGAATGGCAATGCCAAGAAAGCAATGCTTCTCTTGACTGCTCTGCTTCTTAACTCTCCAAAAGCACCACTCACAGGACTGTAGACTCTGCCAGTTACAGACTTCAATGAAAGGTCAATAGTGACTACATGAAATTATAGTGGAACAAATTACTGGCGAGCAATGGCTATGTATCCATGCTCCTAGAGTCCAAAAAGAATTGCCCATCCCCTGCCTCCCATGGAAAAGATAAGGTCTTCTGATGACATTCCATTTCGGGTGAATTCCTGTTCATGGCTTTTCTTCCTGCTTTGAACACTGCCCTTTTCTCTCCCTGGAAAGGAGATAGTCCCCTCCATTAATCTGCTTTACTGTGGGGTTTTCTTTTTTAATCAACAATGGGATCTTCCCACATTTCCACCTCCCTGTGAACATATAAACACACACAAACTTGAAGGAACTATGAGTGGCACACAATAATCCCAAACCAATACATTTCTCAAAATATGAATTTGTCAGTACAGATTAGCCTCTAGTAGTCAGTCTGAGTCTTAGGGTCTTCAAGCCTCTCATTTCCTCATTCTCTGGACATCTCTGTCTTGCCAATCCCTCATTCTCAATTTGACCATCCCTGGGATGTAGGTTATTGGCATGCAGGTTATCACTGAGTATGAAAGTTGGGGCTGGTGCGTCACCATTTTAACAAATCCAACATCTCCAGTTGATCTAATCTTTACCTCTCACCCTTGCACAGCTTTAATTCCTGCAGATGACCACTGTTTCTCTGCATCTTCAAATTCTCCTTTTCCAGTGGTTATTACCATCGGCATACACTTATGCTCCATTATCCTCCATTTTAAACAAATACCTTCTTCTGATGACACTTCTCTACCAGCTATATACCTGCTTCCCTTCACAGCAAAATTTTTCTTATAAATTGTCTACATGGGTTATCCCCACTTCCTCCTCTCAATCTCCAATGTCTTGCATCCCATTATGTTCTCTAAACCTGCTTTTTTTATAGTTTATAATAGATAAATACAATAGCAATCCTAAGAGGAAAATGTATAGTGATATATACCTACATTTTAAAAAGAAGAAAAATATGAAATAAACAACCTAAATATACACCTGAGGGAACTAGAAAAACACGTGAAAATCTAGAAACACCAATATAATCATTTAGAGTAAGGGTGTTAGACACAGATCCTGGTCCAAATCCTAGGTCCATCACTTCTGGCCATGTGACAATAGGAGAATTACTTTTGCTTTCTCAATTCCAAAATCTTCTGTGAAATTTCTATAATGACCAAACTCAAGGGGTGTTTGAGAGAATTAAATGAGGTAGTCCCTATAAAGTAGTAGTAGGATACCTGGCAAATAGCGAGTGATCAATACATTTTAGCTACCATGAATGTCATTGTTCATGTTACTAGTGACCATTACTTCTCAGGTCATTGCTCCTCCCTTCATCATAGTAACTCAGATGCCAGGAAGATGCTTGCAACGAGGGCTTGTTATTGAAAAGGGGGAAGATGTAGGTATGTCACAGACTGGCGAGGCTGGTCTAGTGATTCTTATGGTTCCCCTGCCGTATTTCCCTTCCATTTCCTTTAAGATGAGTTCAGGAGGTAGTTAGCCTTGTAAATTCCCTTTGAAGGATTACGGTTTGCATTATATTCTTCAAAGAGATCACCCAAAAGGACATTAATTGCAGGGAATATTGCATTTTGATATTTTGAAAAGGCTCTTGATTTTCAAGTTTCATTACCACATGACATTTTAGGTACTGCTGAGTCACAGTCTGGCACTTGGAAGAGCAGAATTTTGCTGGGAATGAAGGTGATGTGTTGCAAGATGGATGAGCCTGGTGTAAACTCTGTTTCTCACACAATAGCTGGCCAGCTGGTAAGGCTTCATCTTGCCAACTCTATATTAGAAAGCTGTTTCCATATAACATATAAAACAGAGCTTCTAAGTACACACATGGGTTGATGTGTGGACCACAGTACCAAGCTATTCCATATCATGCCAACCATTTGAAGCCAATATTCTTCACACCAGAAAGCCTAAAAGCCCCCTCATTTACCAGGCAAGAGTTTAAATTCAGCATCTCCATTCCAGGCCCATGTGAAGGCCCTATGAGAAGTAGAGGCACAGGGACAACACTGGGAGTGGGGAGGGGGGCCATAAGCCACATGTCCATTCTTTCTCTGTCTCTTTTTCCTTCACTATCTTCTCTAGGATCATATTAAAAATTAACATGGGCCGGGCATGGTGGTTCACACCTGTAATCCCTGCACTTTGGGACGCCGAGGCAGGCGGATCACCTGAGGTCCGGAGTTTGAGACCAGCCTGGTCAACATGGTGAAACCTCGTCTCTACTAGAAGTACAAAAATTAGCCGGGCTTGGTGGCGGGCGCCTGTAATACCAGCTACTTGGAAGGCTGAGGCAGGAGAATTGCTTGAACCTGGGAGGTGGAGGTTGCAGTGAGCCAAGATCGCACCACTGCACTCCAGCATGGACAATAAGAGTGAAACTCCATCTCAAAAAAAAAAAATTAACATGTAAGATATCTGATTTAATATAATTGTTATATATTATCATTTTATACCATGCAAAAAAGAGGAAACTATCTTCAAAGCTACTAAGTATGGAAGACATTTGTGCATCAAAAATAATCACTAAAACGAGTGCAGTGGGAAAAATTCTCTGGGTTCAAATCCTGACTCCACCACGGGATGTGTGACCTTGAAGAAGTTATTAAACAAGTCTCTTTGATTCACAGGGATCAGTGGTGGTACCTGTGTTGGTGAGGGCATATATGTATAGGAGAACTGTGAACATGTTTTTTCTTCAACTTTTCTTCTAATTCCTACCATTTAGATATCTTGAGATCATTTCTATTACTTGCTGCTTTTGTTGATTCTGGTTCACACTTCTTGATATGTCTAGAAACGTTTTTGTGTGCAGTACATTGTGAATGATGCATTGTTTGAAATTTGGACTTTAACATCTTCCAGAAAGGTTGCTCAGTTTTGTTGTGGCAGGTAGTTGAATTACTATTGGGCCTTTTGGTCCTGCCAAGCTTGCTTTTATTCTTTGTTAGGATGGTTATACATCAGTTTTGAACTTAGTTCTAGGGCAAAGTATTTACTCTGAAATATGTCCTTACTCCTAATGCCTGGCCTAGTTGTGGTCTGAATTGAATGTCCACAATGTTCAGCAAGGTCTCTGTGCTTAGCCCCACATCACTTGCTCTGTCATAGGTTTCTTGGACTCTTGCCCTAAACCCTTGACCAGAACTGCCTTCTCTCCAGATATGACAAGCAACTTCAAATGCTTCAGTAGCCACAAACTGTCTCTCCAGCTCAGCGAAGTCCTTGCACTTTGTTTGGACTCCATCTCCTTGTGCCACAGCCTGGAACATACCCCCAGGCACATTGTATCCTGTAGAAAACATTGGTTTATCTCATGGGATTTCCTTCTCTCAAAGATCACAATTCTGCACTGCCTGTTTTACAATGCTCCCAAACGGTCTCCTAATGAATTTTGTACAATTTTATAGTTGCTTACACTGTAAGTACATGTCATGAGCCAGTTACTATGTCATAGCCCAGCTAGTATAACTAGTTTTACAAATCTCAATCACCATTCTATTGAGAGGAGGAATTTAATCTCAAAAGGGATTTAACATATTTTTCATTGCTTTTTGCAGAACACAGATTAATTTAGAAACAATACACGATCTAAAAAATTCTGTCTGTCTCAGTCTCTCCCGGGAAAAGGTTATCTAATCTCTACTGTCAGAGAAACAATCTTTGAGTACATAGAATGGGATTGTGGGAAGAGAAGGACCGTATTCAGCCTTCATTGACACATAGACAACCTCCTCATGTGAGGGAGAATGGAGGTACCTATCTTTTCTGCTTTCCCTAAATCAGTGAATGGCTGGCTGAATGACTGACTGATTTTGTAGTGCAAATCCAGAGAAGTATGAAGAAATATGGAAGGAAAAGTTAGTTAATATTGCAAAATTTTGCACAGCTCAAGTTATAAAGTTCTCTGTGTACTCTACATAATCCATAAACCAGAACTAGACATTTACCTCTCTGAACAGAGTTTGCTTAGTGAGTAGTGACTACGAAATTTTAAATATTGCAAAAGGCCTACTGGACATTGACAAGAACCTGGTTTCACTAAAAGCCACTGACCTTGGCAATGGCAAAGGTGGGTTTATCCTCCAGAATGACATGGGCTGGAGGTTGAAGAGGCTATCCAGAAGTTTCAGCCAGGAGCTGATCACCAACCTGAATCATGTTGCCCACCTGCATCCCTCACAAACATCACAGAATTGTAGTAGCCTTCCTTGGTTTATATGAGGAGTCAGATTGTTCATGCTTATCTTAGAAATTGAATTAAATACAAGTCAATCCTATCTACTTTGAAAACAGTACAAAAACAAACTTAGGGCAGCAATGTTGTTTTGGGAGTGCTCTAAAAAAATCCTATTCTTGCTCTCACTTGCTAAGCCCAAACCCTCCTTGCTCTTTCTTCATGTTCTACTGCTCTAATTCTGGGATTAAAAACCCAAGTGTTAGAGGTTTCCAAATGCGGAACATTAGGCCACCAAAAACAAGGACCCCTAGTATCTCTGAGGCAGCCCTTGTTCCTTTCCTATAATTGGCTTAGGAGATGAGAAAGTAGTTTAGAATATTCAGGAGGTTGGGCAAAGAGAGGGAAAAGGGTGGGGAAGCAGACTTACTCCTCACTGCTCTCACCTTCTTGGTACCTTGACTTAAACTTTGCCCTAACACCTTTCAAATAGGATTGAAAAGCATGAAAGGAAACATAAAAAATTAGAAACGCAGCATCAACCCCATGGAACCAGGGAAATTCAATTAGAACAGAAGGACAAGACTGGGAGGCTTTCACCTTGGGGAGTTGTTACTAAACTCCTTCATGATTAGAATGCATCCAGTTTCCCCAGCGTGGAATATTTAGAGGCCAGAGATATAATGCTTCTGAAAGGAGTGCCACACCTGGAAATAATGAAAAGTCTATTGCTCAGCTCCCAACCCTGCCCAGAGCAGCACTACTGAGTCAACGGGCTGCCTTCTCTTCCTGATGTAATGACAACAACATTCTTCCCATAGGTTCCAGGGTGAACAACCCAGAATCACTGTCAATTTAGGACAAGAAAACACCAAACGTCAGTGGCTGTAAGGAGGACAGAGCAGTCACCGAAAAATAAGTTATGACCCAGACCCTCAGGGAAGAATACATCAATGACTTAGTAAAGAACAGAGAGTTCTGTGCTGACGTGGGTGTCAGGTAAAGGAGAATGGAATAAACCTCAGTTGAGTAGGGTGAGAGATAAGTCTGCTAAGGTATTTTGGTGCAAATATAGAAAGTTTTTTAAAGGCACATGCCAAAGAGTTTTAACTTTATTTTATTAGTGATGGTTGAAATAATTTTTATCAAGGGTGTGCTTTTGTAAAATTCATATTAGAAGCACTATGGGGCACAGAAAAAATGATGAAGGCCTCCTCTCTTATGTAGTGAATAGCATAAACTGCTGCACTTGTCATCACTAAAAAGTTTCTCCTGGGAATTCTTTGAATATTTCATAATGAAGTATCCATGCCCCTGTCTCAGACACTGGGATGTTATCTAATCCCCTCTCTTAGTAAAATACTCATGCTGGTATTTTAAATTCATTAGATAAAAATAAATCTGTTAAATAGGAAACTTACATTCAGGAGACATGAAAATGTTATTCCCCTGGCACAAGTACATATTATAAACTATGACCACTAAGCACTAAGCTAAGTATTTTTTAAAGTTATTTCTCAAGTTATGCTGTGTTATAATGCACCATGAACAAATATTTTGAATGCTGGCTGATACAGAGTCTTTTAGCCAAGATTATTGGTAGTCTGATGAACTCAAATGGAAAAGTGCCTCTCATCCTGAAGTCATTTTACTGCACCAATGTTAGCTTTGTCATAAGGTTCTCCCAGTCCCCTTTCCTGAGTATGTATTAGGGAATACTTACTTTATGACCATTCCACTAGGGCTTAATTTGAGTGATGCCACCATGTGACACGAGTGTGATCTCAGTAGTGGGTTTATTTTCGGATGGCAGAGGAATGCAGGCTTGACCACAACCTATGAGAACAGAGAACTGATTTTCCAGTCATGGAGAAAAAGTTGTGGAGCCAGCATTATAAAACAGATTATGGAGAGTATAGGGAAGATGCCACCTGTTTATGTGGAGGCATATTTGGAAACTGATCACCTAAGAGAAACTTATCTCATGTGATTTTTGACTCTCAATAATTAACAATTGACACGGGTCTGAGTGTGAGATTTTTGTGCAAGGGTAATATTACATGTTGATAAGTGGTAGTGATTCTGCAGGACATTTGGGCTACCTCTAAGAAAAAAGGTAAGTTAAAATACACAACTTAGTGATAGCTTAAAGCCATTCCTAAAAGGATGGTACTGATATGTGTCATCTCTTTCAAAGCAAATGTAAAATGTGAGGTAAATAATTAACATTTGGGTGAAGAAAAACTGATAATTAGTTAAATATGTAGAAACAGTTACTGAAGATGACCAGAAATTTCTAATTTTAAATGAGAAATAGCAGAAGCCAGTAAGTCAGCCATGGGATATTTGCCAACTTGGGCAGTGTAAATTTAAAGGTTAAACTTCTGACAGATAAAATGAGGCCTAAATGAGGACAACCTATTTCTGTGAGACTTGTTCTAGAACCAGAACACTGGCTTTCTGGTATTTGAGGTTTTGGTGCATGGGCCCCGGATGGAAAAGACACGTGTTGGGGAACCAGTGGGATTCAGGAGGCTTTGACCATCCTCTCATCAACAAACGTTCACCTTATCTTTTCACACATGAAATCTACCAACCATGCCTGAAAACACCAAGTGCAGAGCTCTAGATGAGGGCATGGCAACACCTGAGGGCATGACTATCCGAATGGGTATATGTGACATTTTAATGTCACTGAGAGACATCAAGTATATGTGGTCACTGGTGAGAACTGGAGAGTTTGGGGCTAGTATTTGTCCAGAGGACATAATAATGCTATACATATGACATTTTCTTTCTCCATTGTCAATGGACCATCAATGGACTTAGGCTGTTTCCATTTATTGCCTATTATAAATCATGCAGCAATAAATATGGGGTGCAGATATCTCTTTGATTTCATTTCCTTCTGTTACATACACAGGAGTGGGATTGCTGTATCATATGGTTGGTTGTTCTGTTTTTAATTTTTTGAGAAACTTTCGTAATGTTTTCCATAATGACTTTACTAGTTCATATTCCCACCAACAGTGTATCAGGTCTCCAATTTCTCCACATCTTCACCAACAGCTTTTATCTTTTGACTTACTGATAATAGTCATCCTAACAGGTGTGAGGTGGTATCTTATTTTGGTTTTGATTTTCATTTCCTGATTATTAGTAATGTTGAACATCATTTCACATACTTTTAGCCATGAGTATGTCTTTGGAAAAATATCGACCCAGTTCCATTACCTATTTTTTAAATCAGGGTTTTTTGCTGTTGATTTGTAGGAGTTCCTTATATATTTTAGTTATCAACTCCTTATAGAACATATGATTACAAATATTTCCTCTCAATCCACAGGCTTTTTCATTTCGTTGATTCTTTTTTCCTTTGCTGTGAAAGAACTTTTTAGTTTGATGTAGCTCCACTTGTTTATTTTTGCTTTTGTTACCTGAGCTTTTGGAATGTTCTTTGTGTATAAAAATGTGATTTTAATTTGGTGTATTGATTTTGTATCTTGTATTTTATTGAATTTACTTATTAGTTCTAATAGTTTATTTTTGTTAAGTCATTTCAGTTTAGGTTTAGGGCTTTCTATGTGTATGATCATGTCTTCTGGAAATGGAGATAATTTTTCTTCTTCCTTTCTGGTTTGAATGATTTTTATTTCTTGTCCTTACCTAGTTGCTGTGGCTAGGAATTCCAGTGCCATGTTAAAAATAAGTGACAAGACTGCAAAAACATACCAAATTGTAAAGACCATTGACACTATAAAGAAACTGCATCAAATAATGGGCAAAAAAACCAGCTAGCATCATAATGACAGAATCAGATTCACACATAATAATATTAACCTTAAATGTAAATGGGCTAAATGTCCCAATTAGAAGACATAGACTGGCAAATTGGATAAAGAGTCAAGACCCATCAGTGTACTGTATTAAGGAGACCTATCTCACATGCAGAGACACACATAGACTCAAAATAAAGGGATGGAGGAAGATCTACCAAGCAAATGGAAATCAAAAAAAAAAAAAAAGGCAGAAGTTGCAATCCTAATCTCTGATAAAACAGACTTTAAAACAAGTTCTCAGAGACCCACAAAGAGACTTAGACTCCCACACAATAATAGCAGGAGACTTTAACACCCCACTGTCAATATTAGACAGATCAATGAGACAGAAAATTAACAAGGATATTCAGGACGTGAACTCAGCTCTAGACCAAGTGGACCTAATAGATATCTACAGAACTCTCCACCCCAAATCAATGGAATATACATTCTTCTCAGCACCTCATTGCACTTATTCTAAAATTGACCACATAATTGGAAGTAAAACACTCCTCAGCAAATGCAAAAGAACAGAAATCATAACAAACAGTCTCTCAGACCACAGTGCAATCAAATTAGAACTCAGGATTAAGAAACACACTCAGAACTGCACAACTACATGGAAACTGAACAACCTTCTCCTGAATGACTACTGGGTACGTAACGAAATGAAGGCAGAAATGAAGATGTTCTTTGAAACCAATGAGAACAAAGACACAACATACCAGAATCTCTGGGACACATTCAAAGCAGTATGTAGAGGGAAATTTATAGCACTAAATGCCCACAAGAGAAAGCAGGAAAGATCTAAAATCAACACCCTAACATCAAAATTAAAAGAACTAGAGAAGCAAGAGCAAACAAATTCAAAAGCTAGCAGAAGACAAGAAATAACTAAGATCAGAGCAGAACTGAAGGAAATAGAGACACAAAAACCCTCCAAAAAAATCAATGAATCCAGGAGCTGTTTTTTTGAAAAGATCAAAAAAATAGATAGACCACTAGCCAGACTAATAAAGAAGAGAGAAGAATCAAATAGATGCAATACAAAATGATAAAGGGGATATCACCACCGATCCCATAGAAATACAAACTACCATCAGAGAATACTATAAACACTTCTACACAAATAAACTAGAAAATCTAGAAGAAATGGATAAGTTCCTGGACACATACACCCTCCCAAGACTAAACTAGGAAGATGTCAAATCCCTGAATAGACCAATAAAAAGTTCTGAAATTGAGGCAGTAATTAATAGCCTACCAACCAAAAAAAGTACAGGATTAGATGGATTCACAGACGAATTCTACCAGAGGTATAAAGAGGAGCTGGTACCATTCCTTCTGAAACTATTCCAAACAATAGAAAAAGAGGGACTCCTCCCGAACTCGTTTTATGAGGACAGCATCATCCTGATACCAAAACTTGGCAGAGACACAACAAAAAAAGAAAATTTCAGGCCAATATCCCTGATGAACATCGATGCAAAAATCCTCAATAAAATACTGGCAAACTGAACCCAGCAGCACATCAAAAACTTACCCACCACAATCAAGTTGGCTTTATACCTAGGACACAAGGCTGGTTCAACATATGAAAATCAATAGACGTAATCTACCACATAAACAGAACCAATGACAAAAACCACACAATTATCTCAACAGATGCAGAAAAGGCCTTTGACAAAATTCAACACCCTTCATGCTAAAAACTCTCAATAAACTAGGTATCAATAGAACGTATATCAAAATAATAAGAACTATTTATGACAAACCCACAGCCAATATCATATTGAATGGGCAAAAACTGGAAGCATTCCCTTTGAAAACTGGCACAAGACAAGGATGCCCTCTCTCACCATTCCTATTCAACATAGTATTGGAAGTTTTGGCCAGGGCAATCAAACAAGAGAAAGAAATAAAGGGTATTCAAATAGGAAAAGAGGAAGTCAAATTGTCTCTGTTTGCAGATGACATTATTGTATCATCTCGGCCCCAAATCTCCTTAAGCAGATAAGCAACTTCAGCAAAGTCTCAGGATACAAAATCAATGTGCAAAAATCATAAGCATTCCCATACACCAATAACAGACAAACAGAGAGCCAAACTATGAGTGAACTCCCATTCACAACTGCTACTAAGAGAATAACATACCTAGGAATACAACTTACAAGGGATGTGAAGGACCTCTTCAAGGAGAACTACAAAACACTGCTCAAGGAAATAAGAGAAGACACAAACAAATGGAAAAACATTCTTCTCACGGATAGGAAGAATCAATAGCATGAAAGTGGCCATACTGCCCAAAGTAGAATATAGATTCAATGCTATCCCCATCAAGCTACCATTGACTTTCTTCACATAATTGGAAAAAACTACTTTAAACTTCATATGGAACCAAAAAAAAGCCTGCATAGCCAAGACAATCCTAAGCAAAAAGAACAAAGCTGGAGGCATCACGCTACCTGACTTCAAACTATACTACAAGGCTACAGTAACCAAAACAGCATGGTACTGGTACCAAAACAGATATATAGACCAATGAAACAGAACAGAGGCCTCAGAATTAATACCACACATCTACAATCATCTGATATCTGACAACCCTGAGAAAAACAAGCAATGGGGAAAGGATTCCCTATTTAATAAATGCTGTTGGGAAAATTGGCTAGCCACATGCAGAAAACTGAAACTGGACTCCTTCCTTACACCTTATACAAAAATTAACTTGAGATAGATTAAAGACTTAAACATAAGACCTAAAGCCATAAAATTCCCAGAAGAAAACCTAGGTGATACCATTCAGGATATAGGCATGGGCAAAGACTACATGTCCAAAACACCAAAAGCAATGGCAACAGAAGCCAAAATTTTCTAATGGAATCTAATTAAAACAAAGAGACTCTGCACAGCAAAAGAAACTGTCATCAAAGTGAACAGGCGGTCGGGCAGCCAAGATGGCCGAATAGGAACAGCTCCAGTCTACAGCTCCCAGCATGAGCGACACAGAAGATGGGTGATTTCTGCATTTCCATCTGAGGTACTGGGTTCATCTCACTAGGGAGTGCCAGACAGTGGGTGCAGGACAGTGGGTGCAGTGCACAATGCACGAGCCAAAGCAGGGCGAGGCATTGCCTCACTCGGGAAGCACAAGGGGTCAGGGAATTTCCTTTCCTAGTCAATGAAAGGAGTGACAGACAGCACCTGGAAAATCGGGTCACTCCCACCCTAATACTGCGCTTTTCCGACAGGCTTAAAAAACGGCGCACAAGGAGATTATATCCCACACCTGGCTCAGAGGGTCCTACGCCCACGGAGTCTCACTGATTGCTAGCACAGTAGTCTGAGATCAAACTGCAAGCTGGCAGCGAGGCTGGGGGAGGGGCGCCCGCTATTGCCCAGGCTTGCTTAGGTGAAAAAAGCAGCCGGGAAACTCCAACTGGGTGGAGCCCACCACAGCTCAAGGAGGCCTGCCTGCCTCTGTAGGCTCCACCTCTGAGGGCAGGGCACAGACAAACAAAAAGACAGCAGTAACCTCTGCAGACTTAAATGTCCCTGTCTGACAGCTTTAAAGAGAGCAGTGGTTCTCCCAGCATGCAGCTTGAGATCTGAGAACGGGCAGACTGCCTCCTCAAGTGGGTTCCTGACCCCTGACCCCCGAGTAGCCTAACCGGGAGGCACCCCCCAGTAGGGGCAGACTGACACCTCACACAGCGGGGTACTCCTCTGAGACAAAACTTCCAGAGGAACGGTCAGACAGCAGCATTTGCGGTTCACAAAAATCCGCTGTTCTGCACCGACTGCTGCTGATACCTGGGCAAACAGGGTCTGAGGTGGACCTCTAGCAAACTCCAACAGACCTGCAGCTGAGGGTCCTGTCTGTTAGAAGGAAAACTAACAAACAGAAAGGACAGCCACACCAAAAACCCATCTGTACATCACTATCATCAAAGACCAAAATTAGATAAAACCACAAAGATGGGGGGAAAACAGAGCAGAAAAACTGGAAACTCTAAAAAGCAGAGTGCCTCTCCTCCTCCAAAGGAACGCAGTTCCTCACCAGCAATGGAACAAAGCTGGATGGAGAATGACTTTGACAAGTTGAGAGAAGAAGGCTTCAGACGATCAAACTACTGCGAGCTACAGGAGGAAATTCAAACCAAAGGCAAAGAAGTTAAAAACTTTGAGAAAAAATTTAGACGAACGGATACCTAGAATAACCAATACAGAGAAGTGCTTAAAGGAGCTGATGGAGCTGAAAGCCAAGGCTCGAGAACTACATGAAGAATGCAGAAGCCTCAGGAGCCGATGTGATCAACTGGAAGAAACGGTATCAGTGATGGAAGATGAAATGAATGAAATGAAGTGAGAAAGGAAGTTTAGAGAAAAAAGAATAAAAAGAAACGAACAAAGCCTCCAAGAAATATGGGACTATGTGAAAAGACCAAATCTATGTCTGATTGGTGTACCTGAAAGTGACAGGGAGAATGGAACCAAGTTGGAAAACACTCTGCAGGATATTATCCAGGAGAACTTCCCCAATCTAGCAAGGCAGGCCAACATTCAGATTCAGGAAATACAGAGAAGGCCACAAAGACACTCCTCGAGAAGAGCATCTCCAAGACACATAATTATCAGATTCACCAAAGTTGAAATGAAGGAAAAAATGTTAAGGGCAGCCAGAGAGAAAGGTCGGGTTACCCACAAAGGGAAGTCCATCAGACTAACAGCGGATCTCTCAGGAGAAACTCTACAAGCCAGAAGAGAGTGGGGGCCAATATTCAAGATTCTTAAAGCAAAGAATTTTCAACCCAGAATTTCATATCCAGCCAAACTAAGCTTCATAAGTGAAGGAGAAATAAAATACTTTACAGACAAGCAAATGCTGAGAGATTTTGTTACCACCAGGCCTGCCCTAAAAGAGCTCCTGAAGAAAGCACTAAACATGGAAAGGAAAAACTGGTACCAGCCACTGCAAAATCATGCCAAATTGTAAACACCATCGAGGCTAGGAAGAAACTGCATCAACTAAAGAGCAAAATAACCAGCTAACATCATAATGACAGGATCAAATACACATAACAATATTAACTTTAAATGTAAATGGACTAAATGCTCCAATTAAAAGACACAGACTGGCAAATTGAATAAAGAGTCAAGACCCATCAGTGTGCTGTATTCAGGAAACCCATCTCACGTGCAGAGACACACAGAGGCTCAAAATAAAAGGATGGAGGAAGATCTACCAAGCAAATGGAAAACAAAAAAAGGCAGGGCTTGCAATCCTAGTCTCTGATAAAACAGACTTTCAACCAACAAAGATCAAAAGAGACAAAGAAGGCCATTACATAATGGCAAAGGGATCAATTCAACAAGAAGAGCTAACTATCCTAAATATATATGCACCCAATACAGAAGCACCCAGATTCATAAAGCAAGTCCTGAGTGACCTACAAAGAGACTTAGACTCCCAGACAATAGTAATAGGAGACTTTAACACCCCACTGTCAAAATTAGACAGATCAATGAGACAGAAAGTTAACAAGGATATCCAGGAATTGAACTCAGCTCTGCACCAAGTGGACCTAATAGACATCTACAGAACTCTCCACCCCAAATCAACAGAATATACATTTTTCTCAGCACCACACCACACCTATTCCAAAATTGACCACATAGTTGGAAGTAAAGCTCTCCTCAGCAAATGTAAAAGAACAGAAATTATAACAAACTGTCTCTCAGACCACAGTGCAATCAAACTAGAACTCAGGATTAAGAAACTCACTCAAAACCGCTCAACTACATGGAAACTGAACAACCGGCTCCTGAATGACTACTGGGTACATAACGAAATGAAGGCAGAAATAAAGATGTTCTTTGAAACCAATGAGAACAAGACACAACATACCAGAATCTCTGGGAGGCATTCAAAGCAGTGTGTAGAGGGAAATTTATAGCAGTAAATGCCCACAGGAGAGAGCAGGAAAGATCCAAAATTGACACCCTGACATCACAATTAAAAGAACAAGAAAAGCAAGAGCAAACACATTCAAAAGCTAGCAGAAGGCAAGAAATAACTAAAATCAGAGGAGAACTGAAGGAAATAGAGACACAAAAAACCCTTCGAAAAATCAATGAATCCAGGAGCTGGTTTTTTGAAAGGATCAACAAAATTGATAGACCACTAGCGAGACTAATAAAGAAGAAAACAGAGAAGAATCAAATAGACGCAACAAAAAATGATAAAGGGGATATCGCCACCGATCCCACAGAAATACAAACTACCATCAGAGAATACTATAAACACCTCTATGCAAATAAACTAGAAAATCTAGAAGAAATGGATAAATTCCTCGACAGATACAACCTCCCAAGAATAAACCAGGAAGAAGTTGAATCTCTGAATAGACCAATAACAGGATCTGAAATTGTGGCAATAATCAATAGCTTACCAACCAAAAAGAGTCCAGGACCAGATGGATTCACAGCCGAATTCTACCAGAGGTACAAGGAGGAACTGGTACCATTCCTTCTGAAACTATTCCAATCAATAGAAAAAGAGGGAATCCTCCCTAACTCATTTTATGAGGCCAGCATCATCCTGATACCAAAGCCGGGCAGAGAAACAGCCAAAAGAGAGAATTTTAGACCAATATCCTTGATGGACATTGATGCAAAAATCCTCAATAAAATACTGCAAACCGAATCCAGCAGCACATCAAAAAGCTTATCCACAATGATCAAGTGGGCTTCATCCCTGGGATGCAAGGCTGGTTCAATATACACAAATCAATAAATGTAATCCAGCATATAAACAGAGCCAAAGACAAAAACCACATGATTATCTAAATAGATGCAGAGAAAGCCTTTGACAAAATTCAACAACCCTTCATGCTAAAAACTCTCAATAAATTAGGTATTGATGGGACGTATTTCAAAATAATAAGAGCTATCTATGACAAACCCACTGCCAATATCATACTGAATGGGCAAAAACTGGAAGCATTCCCTTTGAAAACTGGCACAAGACAGGGATGCCCTCTCTCACCATTCCTACTCCACATAGTGTTGGAAGTTCTGGCCAGGGCAATTAGGCAGGAGAAGGAAATAAAGGGTATTCAATTAGGAAAAGAGGAAGTCAAATTGTCTCTGTTTGCAGACGACATGATTGTATATCTAGAAAACCCCATTGTCTCAGCCCAAAATCTCCTTAAGCTGATACGCAACTTCAGCAAAGTCTCAGGATACAAAATCAATGTACAAAAATCACAAGCATTCTTATACACCAATAGCAGACAAACAGAGAGCCAAATCATGAGTGAACTCCCATTCACAATTGCTTCAAAGAGAATAAAATACCTAGGAATCCAGCTTACAAGGGATGTGAAGGACGTCTTCAAGGAGAACTACAAACCACTGCTCAATGAAATAAAACAGGATACAAAGAAATCGAAGAATATTCCATGCTCATGGGTAGGAAGAATCAATATCGTGAAAATGGCCATGCTGCCCAAGGTAATTTATAGATTCAATGCCATCACCATCAAGCTACCAATGACTTTCTTCACAGAATTGGAAAAATCTACTTTAAATTTCTTATGGAACCAAAAAAAGGGCCTGCATCACCAAATCAATCCTAAGCCAAAAGAACAAAGCTGGAGGCATCACACTACCTGATTTCAAACTATACTACAAGCCTACAGTACCCAAAACAGCATGGTACTGGTACCAAAACAGAGATATAGATCAATGGAACAGAACAGAGCCCTCAGAAATAACACTGCACATCTACTACTATCTGATCTTTGACAAACCTGACAAAAAAACAAGCAATGGGGAAAGGATTCCCTATTTAATAAATGGTGCTGGGAAAACTGGCTAGCCATATGTAGAAAGCTGAAACTAGATCCCTTCCTTACACCTTATACAGAAATTAATTCAAGATGGATTAAAGACTTAAACGTTATACCTAAACCCATAAAAACCCTAGAAGAAAACCTAGGCATTACCATTCAGGACAAAGGCACAGGCAAGGACTTCATGTCTAAAACACCAAAACCAATGGCCACAAAAGCCAAAATTGACAAATGGGATCTAATTAAACTAAAGGGCTTCTGCACAGCAAAAGAAACTACCATCAGAGTGAACAGGCAACCTACAAAATGGGAGAAAATTTTTGCAAACTACTCACCTGACAAAGGGTTAATATCCAGAATCCACAATGAACTCAAACAAATTTACAGGAAAAAAACAAACAACCCCGTCAGAAAGTGGGCAAAGGACACGAACAGACACTTCTCAAAAGAAGACATTTATGCAGCCAAAAAGCACATGAAAAAATGCTCACCATCACTGGCCATCAGAGAAATGCAAATCGAAACCACAATGAAATACCATCTCACACCAGTTAGAATGGCAATCATTAAAAAGTCAGGAAACAACAGGTGCTGGAGAGAATGTGGAGAAATAGGAACACTTTACACTGTTGGTGGGACTGTAAACAGGTTCAACCATTGTGGAAGTCAGTGTAGCGATTCTTCAGGGATCTAGAACTACAAATAGCATTTGACCCAGCCATCCCATTACTGGGTATATACCCAAAGGACTATAAATCATGCTGCTATAAAGACACATGCACACATATGTTTATTGCGGCACTATTCATGATAGCAAAGACTTGGAACCAACCCAAATGTCCAACAACGATAGACTGGATTAAGAAAATGTGGCACATATACACCATGGAATACTATGCAGCCATAAAAAATGATGAGTTCATGTCCTTTGTAGGGACATGGATGAAATTGGAAATCATCATTCTCAGTAAACTATTGCAAGAACAAAAAACCAAACACCGCATATTCTCACTCATAGGTGGGAATTGAACAATGAGATCACGTGGACACAGGAAGGGGAATATCACACTCTGGGGACTGTGGTGGGGTGGGGGGAGGGGGGAGGGATAGCATTGGGAGATATACCTAATGCTAGATGAGGAGTTAGTGGGTGCAGCGCACCAGCACGGCACATGTATACATATGTAACTAACCTGCACAATGTGCACATGTACCCTAAAACTTAAAGTATAATAAAAAATAAATAAATAAATAAATAAATAAATAAATAAGAAAATGTGGCACATATACACCATGGAATACTATGCAGCCATAAAAAATGATGAGTTCATGTCCTTTGTAGGGACATGGATGAAATTGGAAATCATCATTCTCAGTAAACTATTGCAAGAACAAAAAACCAAACACCGCATATTCTCACTCATAGGTGGGAACTGAACAACGAGAACACATGGACACAGGAAGGGGAGCATCACACTCTGGGGACTGTTGTGGGGTAGGGGGAGGGGGGAGGGATAGTATTAGGAGATATACCTAATGCTAGATGACGAGTTAATGGGTGCAGCACACCAGCATGGCACATGTATACATATGTAACTAACCTGCACATTGTGCACATGTACCCTAAAACTTAAAGTATAATAATAATAAAATAAAATAAAACAAAGTGAACAGGCAACCTACAGAATGAGAGAAAATTTTTGCAATCTATCCATCTGACAAAAGCCTAATATCCAGAATCTATAAGGAACTTAAAGAAATTTACAAGAAAAAAAAACCCCATCAAAAAGTGGGCAAAGGATATGAACAGACACTTCTCAAAAGAAGACATTTTTGCAGCCAACAGACAAATGGAAAAGTGTTCATCACTGGAGAAATACAAATCAAAACCACAATGAGATAACATCTCACACCACTTAGAATGGCAATCATTAAAATCTCAGGAAACAGCAGATGCTGGAGAGGATGTGGAGAAATAGGAACGCTTTTACACTGTTGGTGGGAGTGTGAATTAGTTCAACCATTGTGGAAGACAGTGTGGTGATTCCTCAAGTATCTAGACCTAGAAATAACCATTTGACCATGCAATCCCATTACTGGGTATATACCCAAAGGATTATAAATCAGTCTACTATAAAGACACATGCACACATATGTTTATTGTGGCATAATTCACAATAGCAAAAACTTGGAACCAACCCAAATGTCCATCAATGATAGACTGGATAAAGAAAATGTGGCACATATATGCCATGAAATATTATGCAGCCATAAAAAGGATGAGTTAATGTCCTTTGCAGGGACATGGATGAAGCTGGAAACCATCATTTTCAGCAAACTAACACAAGAGCAGAAGTCCAAACACCACATGTACTCACTCATAACTGGGAGTTGAACAATGAGAACACAAGGACACAGGGAGGGGAACATCACACAGTGGGGCCTATTGGGGGTGGAGGGCTAGGGAAGGGATAGCATTAGGAGAAATACCTAATGTAGGTGATGGGTTGATGGGTGCAGCAAACCCCATGGCACATGTATACCTATGTAACAAAACTGCACGTTCCATTCTGCACATGTACCCCAGGACTTAAAGTATAATAAAATACAAAAATAAAAATAAGTGACAAGCGTGGGCATCCTTGCTTTGTACTGGATCTTAGAGTGAAAGCTTTTAATTTTTCCTCATTTATTGTGTTAGCTATGGGATTTTCATATATATCCTTTATTGTATTGAGGTAAATTGCTTGTGTACCTATTTTGTTGAGAGTTTTAATCATGAATGGATGTTGAACTTTGTCAAATGGATTTTATGCATCTATTCAGATGATCATGTGGATTTTTTCTTTCATTTTCTTAATGCGTTGTATCACAATGAATTACTTGTGTATATTGAACTATTCTTACATCTGAGGAATAAATTCCACTTGGAATTTATTCAACTGGGATATGTTCCTTTTAAAATGTTTTTGTATTCAGTTTTCTAGTATTTTATTGAATAATTTTGCATATATGTTCATCAGGTATATCAGACTATAGTTTTCTTGTAGTGTCTTTGTCTGTTTTGGGTATCAGGCTGATACTGGCCTTCTATGATGAGTTTGGAAATGTTCCCTCTTCTATCTTTGGGAAGACTTTTAGAAAGATAGGTATTAATTCTTCTTTGACAGTTTGATAGAATTCAGCTGTGAATTACTTGGTCCTTGGTTTTGTTTGCTGGGATAGTTCTGGTTACGGATTAAATTTTCTTATTTTTTATTGGTATGGGCTTTCTTTTTTTTATAATGTTTCTAGGAATTTATCCATTTCTTCTAGGTTATCCCGTTTGTTGGCATATAATTGTTCATAATAATCTCTTATGATCCATTTGATACTGAGGTGTCTTAATCTATTTGTGCTCCTGTAACAAAATATCTGAGACTAGGTAATTTATAAAGAATGGAAATTTATTTCTCATACTTCTGGAGGCTGAGAAGTCTAACGTCAAGGCAATGGTAGGTTCAGCGTCTGGTGAGGGCTGCTCTCTGCTTCCAAGATGGTGCCTCATTGCTACATCCTCCTGGGAAATGAATAATGCAGTCTCACACGGCAGAAGGGACAGAAGGGTAAAAAGAGTCAAAAGCTGTGTGAAGCCTTCTATACAGCAGTTTTAATCCCATTCATGAGATAGGAGCCTTCATGACCTGATCACCTCCTAAAGGCCCCTTCTAATACTATCGAATTAAAGACTAATTTTCATGAATTTTGGAAGGGTATGATGGTTAACGTTATGTGTCAACTTGATTGATTGAATTGAGAGATGCCTACGTGGCTAGTGAAGCATTGCAGATGGGTGTATATGTGAGGACGTTTCCCAAGGAAACTGACATATGAGACAGTGGACTGAGAGAGAAAAACCCACCCTAATGTAGGCAGGCATCATCTGATTGACTAGGGGCTTGTCTAGGACAAAGCAGGCAGAAATGGGGATATTCAGTTTGCTCTGGCTTCTTCTCTCTCTCCTTTCCAGAGCAGGAGGCCTTTGTTCTTCTCTTGCCCTTGGACATCAGACTCCTGGTTCTCCTGCTTTTAGATTCAGACTTGCTCTAGTGGCCTCACATGGGCTCTCAGGTCTTTGGCCTCAGACTGGTGATTGCACTGGTGGCTTCCCTGGTTTTGAGGCTTTCAGACTTGTACTGAGCCAGGCTACTGGCTTCTCTGGGAGCCACATGACAAGCTTCTCTGGTCCTTCAGCTTGCAGATGGCCTATTATGAGACTTTACCTTTCTGATTGTGTGATCCAATTCCCCCTAATAAATTCTCTTTCACATATATACTATTGTTTCTGCCCCTCTGGAGAAACCTGACTATTACAAGGAGACGCAAACATTCAAACCATAGCATAAGGCATCAGCTGCAATGTCTCCTCTTTCAGTTACGATTTTTTAAAATTTTAGTCTTCTCTCTTTTATTAATTAGTACAACTAAAGGTTTGTTGAGTTTGTTCATCTTTTCAAAAAACAAACTCTTGGTTTTGTTGAGTTTTTTATTTTTAAAAATCCTCCGCTTGATTTATTTCAGTTCTAATTTTATTATTTCCTCTTTCTGCTAACTTTAGACTTAGTTTGTTGTTCATTTTCTAGTTCCCTGAGTTGGAAAGTTAGTTTGTATTTTGGGGAGCTTTATTCTTTCTTCGTGTAGGAATTTATTGGTATAAACCACCCTTTCAGTACTGCTTTAGCTGCATCTAAAAAGTTTTGGTATGTTCTGCTTTCATTTTAGTTTGTCTTGAGATACGTTTTGATTTCCTCTTTGACACAATGATTGTTTAAGAGCATGTTGTTTAGGTTCCACACCTGTATATTTTCTGGTTTTCTTGCTGTTATTGATTTCTAGATTCCACTGTGACCAAAAAAGATACTTGAAATGATTTTGATTTTCTTGCATTTGTTAAGACTTGTTTTGCAACCTAAATGTGATCTATTTGGTAGAATGTTCCACGTGCACTTGAAAATAATGTGTATTCTTCTGCTGTTGAACGGAAAGTTTGGCTTACGTCTTTTGGCTTTGATCTGTAGTGTTGTTCAAGTCAGTTCTTTCTTTACTGATTTTTCTGACTGGATATCCATTCCAAAATGGAATATAGAAGTCCCCTACTATTAATTTATTCCTGTGAATTTCTGTCTTCAGATCTGTCCATATTTCCTTTATATATTTAGGTGTTCTCATATTGGATGTTTATATATTTACAATAGATCTTTTGGTTGAATTGACCTTTTCATCATTCTACAATGACTTTTTTGTCTGTACAAAAAGTTTTAGACTTAAAATCTATTTTGTCTGATACAAGTATAGCCACTACTGCCTATTTCAATTACTGTTTGCATGAAATGTCTTTTTCTATCTCAGCACTTTCAGCCCATGAATGCCTTTAATGTAAACCAAAAAGTGTCTGAGACAAATCTCAATCAATTTAGAGGTTTCTTTTGCCAAAGTTGAGGATGTGCCCAGGAAAAAGAAACACGAGTTATAGCAAGATCTGTAGCCTGTGCTTTCTCCAAAGAGGATTTTGAGCACTTCAGTATTTAAAGGGGAAAGAGTGGGCAGGAGGAAAAGGAAGGGAAACAAAGAAAGAAAAAGTGGGGTAGGTGGTGAACCAAGTGTTGCATTCTTGTGAGGCTTTGATTTGTGCTCACTGAATTCACATTTTACATGTGAAAAGAGAGGAGTGGGGACAGTCAATTATGCATTCGTCTTGTGCTGCATACATTACACTTGATGTAAGATAAAGTAACCATGTGAAATTTACAGTTACCTGGGAACAAAAAGGAAGGCAGATTTTTGCGATTTTTGCATGACTCAGTTCCCAAGCTTAACTTTCTCTTTGGCATAGTGAGTTTGGGTCCTGAGATTTTATTTTCCTTTCATGTTTCCCCCTTGTTCTTCAAAATCTTTTGGAGAAAGCATTGTAGAAGAAAATGAGTCTCCGGTAATGGGTTTGGTCTGATCCTTCATTGCTAGGATGGTTTATTCCTAGGATGGTAGGTCCCATGTTGTTAGGAAGCCTCATTCTAGAAAGTTGTGAAGTCTCACATCCCATGGAGAGAAATAGCAGGAGGAAGAAAGGTGGAGAAAAAAAGGACCAAATCCAGATTATAGCAATAAAGGGGAAAGCAACCCTGGAAAACTGATTTAGGCTATATTGCAAAGTCCATACATCATTAGGCAGGCAAAAAAGTGGTTTATGTATATAAATAAGTTGCTGTTATTTCTCCCAAAGTTTAAGTTGTCTAGCTTCAGCCTACAGAGCTTTAAGAAAAGCATAGTTTTAATTTCCAGTGATTCCAAGTCAGAAAAATGGGAGAGAAAAAAAATTGAAAACAGTTTGGAGACTTATAGCCTGTAAGGAATTCAGGATTCAATCTAGTTAAACCATAGACAAATAATAAAAGTGGAAAACAAAGGCCAAGGCTTGAATCTAATAAGAGGTGTACTATAGTTTCTTTTGAAACGTGATTTTTCTCTCTTCACTTCCTCATTTTTATTAAAGACAAATCATAATGGAATCAATTTGTTTGCAAAATAAGTTGCAGTCTTATTATACTTGGCCTGATTATTTGCATAAAATGCAACAAGAATAAGTATTTTCCACATAGGCTTTCTTTAAATTGGCTTTGCTGGAACTTTCTTAAAAATAAGGAATCTCAGATTTGACTTTTCAAAAGCCTCCTGAACCCAGCCAAGGATTCATCTGTGTCTGTAGATACTTGAATGAATTGAGTGAATTCTTCTCTTCTTGTGGTACCAAGATAACTTGGGGTTCCTGGGTCTGTCAGAAAGTGACATATTTACTTTCCACAGGTCAGGAACCCTGTAAAGGAACCACATAGACAAGGTACAAGGCCAGGTTTTCCAAGGTGCTTTTATCAGCTCTATAAGTCAACTTCTATTTTTCAAAGCAGTCTGCTCCACATCTGAATATATACCATTTCAGTCAAGGCCTTGGTAAAATAACCAGTATCTCCAATGGTGTTCTGTTATAAAAGGAAATAGATTCTTGTTGAATTTATGCAAATAACTATATTGCCAGAAATTAAGAAGATGCACAAACGGTTTCCGAATTCTGAAGAAATCAGGTAGAGAGAAAGAAATAGAAATATGCTTCAAATTTTGCTCACAAGAGTATACTTTACTCAATTGTTAAAAGAAAAGCTATAAGTAGCTCAAAAGGTTAGTTTTCTTGACTCTGAAAAACATCAGAAATATTTAGCAATGTTTCAAAAAAAATGGTCATAAAAATTATTTCAGTCTTCTGTTTGTTCAGTCCCATGTAATTAAGTCATTCCACTTGATATTGGGTTAGCAATACTCATGAACATATCAGACTTTTAATTAGAGTCTTGGAAGTTTTTGTTTCTGTTTTATTTGCTAGTACTATGGCACAGTCTCCAAAGTTATCAGAAACCTGCATTCAAGAACACCTGTCAGAGTCCTTTTCATGAATTCCCCTAAAAAAGCACGTTTGGGGCTGCAGCTTTTTTATAAACAGCCTTTTTTTTAGAAGAATAAAAGTAAAATAATAATTGTGATGACCAAAATCTTAGGACAGTCATGGTTAAAGACACAACTGACATGAAAATTTGTTTTTTTTTCCCTGTGGCATACAACAATTTAACATAATAATTATAACTATTACTGGTAACATATACTAAGACATACCAGAATTACAGGAATCTCATACAGTTTTGGAACATATATTAATTACAAGCTTATATAAATAGAACCCAAGGAAAGCTAAACATTTCATATTTGACGATGCTTCCTGTATGATTTTAACCTATCAAATAAGCCAAATATGTCTTCTTTGGAATTCAGACAATCTAACATTTAAAAGAGTTAATGAAGTCAAAAAGACTGAATTTAGACTTGATTTTGGAATGTTTATTAAATATCAAAGGTTTAAAACATTTGATATCACAAAATAGGATCACAGGTCACTGCAAAATATTCTTTTAGCCAAAGTAATAATTTAAAGATTTTTAAAAAGCAAAAACTTTTATTATTTGATAGAGAGGAAACTCAATTTCTCAAATAATGAGACCTAAGAAAGACAGTAAAAGGGCAACTAAATCTGTCCTCTCTCCCCTCTTTTTTGCAGTTTACTCAAAACACAAACAAAAATCTTTACTATCTCTTAATATTACATGAAAACCTTGTTCAAAAGAGAAAATCAAGTTTTATCTTTGCATAATGTATTAACAGTAAAGCTAATTTTAATAAAATCACATAAACAAACTCATCGTTAAAACCTCTAAACTAGACAAAATTACTTTCCCTTTAGCAAAGAACATATTTCCATGACTTTCTATAACCCCTTTTTCCAAACACATCCTAATTTCCTTATGTACTCTCTATATAGAAATGTTTCTCTTATACTAGTCATTTTAATCATATATAGTAATTAGTGTATTACTCTAAGCAACTCCTTTTTAGTGAACAACCTAGGACGTAAGCAATTTTAATTATGTATCAGATGCAGAACCCAGGACAAAAGACGGAGTTGCAGATAATGTCTAACCCTTCCCAACATAGTCAAGTAGCATAGTTGGGCCAGGGAGAACTTCACATTTCCCCAGGGCTTACTATAAGATAGACAACTCAAACAATTATTTAAAATGTCACAGAAGCAGTTTATGACCTTAAAATATCTAACAAAGACAGTATCTGACCTGCCTGACCAGATCAGATCAAATCATTAAATTAAATTTTGAAGACATTTTCATTCTATTTTACCAATAATTTAAATTAGCTTTACTTACTAAAGGTTATTACAGTCACAAGAACGAAAAGGTGTTCAAATAAAGTTTTTATTTTTCTGATGAAATATTTGAGCACTTACTTTTGTCTATAAGCCTATTAATTAGAGCTTTTTAGATATTTTGGTAGTGAAACATCACAAACACATGACATGTATAAACACATAGACATGAAGACATATAGACAGAAACAGATTTTATAGATTTATAAGATTTTTCATTTGCTAGTTTTTAAAGTTCCCCTCCCCCGCTTTAGATGCTCAATCTCTTTTAATTAACTGTTTCATTGTTCTAGGCAATTGTTAGCCATGACACCTTAAATTTGCATTTCTAAAGGGACAACTCCTAGATGAAATAAGATAGAGAATTTACAAGTCAAAGTTCAGAACTAAGAAGTTATTCTTAATATTGTATCGTTATTTGCTCAAACCCAGGGCAAAAACCAGGGTAAGTAAATTGCAGATAAGATAGGAAAAGTGCTTCAACAAGCATATGACATAAATTTAAAGCAATGGTGAGAGGTTTTATTTTTTATTTTATTTTATTTTTTTTTATTACACTTTAAGTTCTAGGGTACATGTGCACAGCAGGTTTGTTACATATGTATACATGTGCCATGTTGGTGTGCTGCACGCATTAACTCGTCATTTACATTAGGTATACCTTCTAATGCTATCCCTCCCCCTCCCCCCACCCCACAACAGGCCCCGGTGTGTGACGTTCCCCTTCCTGTGTCCAAGTGTTCTCATTGTTCAATTCCCACCTATGAGTGAGAACATGCAGTGTTTGGTTTTTTTGTCCTTGTGATAGTTTGCTGAGAATGATGGTTTCCAGCTTCATCCATGTCCCTACAAAGGACATGAACTCATCCTTTTTTATGGCTGCATAGTATTCCATGGTGTATGTGTGCCACATTTTCTTTCTTTTTTTTTTCTGAGACGGAGTCTTGCTCTTTCACCCAGGCTGGAGTGCAGTGGTGCCATCTCGGCTCACTGCAAGCTCCACCTCCCGGGTTCATGCCATTCTCCTGCCACAGCCTCCCGAGTAGCTGGGACTACAGGTGCCTGCCACTATGCCCAGCTAATTTTTTGTATTTTTAGTAGAGACGGGGTTTCACCATGTTAGCCAGGATGGTCTCGATCTCCTGACCTCATGAACTGCCCGCCTCGGCCTTCCAAAGTGCTGAGATTACAGGCATGAGCCACCGTGCCCAGCCTAATGTGCCACATTTTCTTAATCCAGTCTATCATTGATGGACACTTGAGTTGGTTCCAAGTCTTTGCTATTGTGAATAGTGCCTCAATAAACATATGTGTTCATGTGTCTTTATAGCAGCATGATTTATAGTCCTTTGGGTATATACCCAGTAATGGGATGGCTGGGTCAAATGGTATTTCAAGTTCTAGATCCCTGAGGAATCGCCACACTGACTTCCACAATGGTTGAACTGGTTTCCAGTCCCACCAACAGCGTAAAAGTGTTCCTGTTTCTCCACATCCTCTCCAGCATCTTTTGTTTCCTGACTTTTTAATGATCGCCATTCTAACTGGTATGAGATGGTATCTCATTGTGGTTGTGATTTGCATTTCTCTGATGGCCAGTGATGATGAGCATTTTTTCATGTGGCTGTTGGCTGCATAAATGTCTTCTTTTGAGAGGTGTCTGTTCATATCCTTTGCCCACTTGTTGATGGGTTGTTTGTTTTTTTCTTGTAAATTTGTTTGAGTAATCTGCAGATTCTGGATATTAGCCCTGTGTCAGATGGGTAGATTGCAAAAAGTTTCTCCCATTTTGTAGGTTGCCTGTTCACTCTGATGGTAGTTTCTTTTGCTGTGTAGAAGCTCTTTAGTTTAATTAGATCAAATTTGTCAATTTTGGCTTTTGTTGCCATTGCTTTTGGTGTTTAAACATGAAGTCCTTACCCATGCCTGAGTCCTGAATGGTATTGCTTAGGTTTTCTTCTAGGGTTTTTATGGTTTTAGGTCTAACATTTAAGTCGTTAATCCATCTTGAATTAATTTTTGTATAAGGTGTAAGGAAGGGATCCAGTTTCAGCTTTCTACATATGGCTAGCCAGTTTTCCCAGCAATGGTAAGTGGTTTTAATGTACACAGGCAGACTCCCTTACAAATAGAAATTTTTCTTAAAATGTAAATTTATTTTACAAAAGGATTTTAAAAAAGACTTCAGTCAGCTGGAAAAAAAAAATTCCCCAAATCAGGATCCATAAAAAGAAAAGGCATAAAGGCCTTTAAATATTTAATATATAGCTTGGATATCAGCTTTTAATTAAACTGACTTTTAACCATAGAGTTCTTTTTAAAACAACCATTTTAAATCTCTTATTATCAGATTTTAGCCAGGATAAACAGCCAATATTTTTGGCTTTTGAAGTTCTTTACCAAAGGTATCCTCCCAAGTGCCTTAACCAAGATTATGACTTAACCAGAGATGCATGAGATGTCTCCAAAGCGGTGGCAAGTAGGTTTTTCAAGATCCAGAATCACCCAAAAGATACCTTAGAGAAGGTAAAATTCAAGACAGGAAATCATAAGCAGTCCATCAAAGGGAAAGGGATCAATAAGTGGCAAAATTCTTGCAAATATCAAATGAAAAAAGACTCATTCCCTGGCTGGGAACTGAACACAGGCTGCTATGGTGAAAGGGCAAAACCTTAGCTACTAAACTACAGCATGGGGAAGTCTCTACTGTTATTCCAAGAAGAAATCTAGAGCAGGCAGTTTTGAGCTTGGAAAGGATTCTAACTTTCTTTCAAGTCAAAAATAATTTTTTTTTTTTTTTTGCTTTTCAATTTAGTGAGGTCTCATGACACTACTATGTGTCCTTTTTAAATTTAATTTTCTCATCAATTGTTTAGAATAAGATATCTCTAAAATCTTTATCTTTTGGCCATTGACAATCAGAATTTTCAATAATATACTTTATTCCAATAGTGAATATTCATAGCACAAAGTACCAAAAATACACCAGAGTCACTATACCAAGGCTAGTCACAAAAATCCTTTTTTAAAAATTAAAACTTTGCAGACGAGACGATTTTACCATCCATTCACCTGGAGTTCAGAGAGAGAGGCCAGGAGCCTAGCTGGTAAGAAAGTCTTCCCCCTTTGGCAATTAGGCAGGAGAAGGAAATAAAGTGTATTCAATTAGGAAAAGAGGAAGTCAAATTGTCCCTATTTGCAGATGACATGATTGTATATCTAGAAAATCCCATTGTCTCAGCCCAAAATCTCCTTAAGCTGATAAGCAACTTCAGCAAAGTCTCAGGATACAAAATCAATGTACAAAAATCACAAAAATTCTTATATACCAATAACAGACAAACAGAGAGCCAAATCATGAGTGAACTCCCATTCACAATTGCTTCAAAGAGAATAAAATACCTAGGAATCCAGCTTACAAGGGATGTGAGGGACCTCTTCAAGGAGAACTACAAACCACTGCTCAATGAAATAAAAGAGGATACAAAGAAATGGAAGAACATTCCATGCTCATGGGTAGGAAGAATCAATATCATGAAAATGACCATACTGCCCAAGGTAATTTATAGATTCAATGCCATCCCCATCAAGCTACCAATGACTTTCTTCACAGAATTGGAAAAAACTACTTTAAAGTTCATATGGAATCAAAAAAGAGCCCGCATCGCCAAGTCAATCCTAAGCCAAAAGAACAAAGCTGGAGGCATCATGCTACCTGACTTCAAACTACACTACAAGCCTACAGTAACCAAAACAGCATGGTACTGGTACCAAAACAGAGATATAGATCAATGGAACAGAACACAGCCCTCAGAAATAACGCCACATATCTACAACTATCTGATCTGTGACAAACCTGACAAAAACAAGCAATGAGGAAAGGATTCCCTATTTAATAAATGGTGCTGGGAAAACTGGCTAGCCATATGTAGAAAGCTGAAACTGGATCCCTTCCTTACACCTTATACAGAAATTAATTCAAGATGGATTAAAGACTTAAATGTTAGACCTAGAACCATGAAAACCCTAGAAGAAAACCTAGGCATTACCATTCAGGACATAGGCACAAGCAAGGACTTCATGTCTAAAACACCAAAAGCAATGGCAACAAAAGCCAAAATTGACAAATGGGATCTAATTAAACTAAAGAGCTTCTGCACAGCAAAAGAAACTACCACCAGAGTGAACAGGCAACCTACAAAATGGGAGAAAATTTTTGCAGTCTACTCATCTGACAAAGGGCTAATATCCAGAATCTACAATGAACTCCAACAAATTTACAAGAAAAAAACAAACAACCCCATCAAAAAGTGAGCAAAGGACATGAACAGACACTTCTTAAAAGAAGACATTTATGCAGCCAAAAAACACATGAAAAAATGTTCAACATCACAGGCCATCAGAGAAATGCAAATCAAAACCACAATGAGATACCATTTCACACCAGTTAGAATGGCAATCATTAAAAAGTCAGGAAACAACAGGTGCTGGAGAGGATGTGGAGAAACAGGAACACTTTTACACTGTTGGTGGGACTGGAAACCAGTTCAACCATTGTGGAAGTCAGTGTGGCGATTCCTCAGGGATCTAGAACTTGAAATACCATTTGAACCAGCCATCCCCTTACTGGGTATATACCCAAAGGACTATAAATCATGCTGCTATAAGGACACATGCACATGTATGTTTATTGCGGCACTATTCACAATAGCAAAAACTTGGAACCAACCCAAATGTCTGACAATGATAGATTGGATTAAGAAAATGTGTCACATATACACCATGGAATACTATGCAGCCATAAAAAATGATGAATTCATGTCCTTTGTAGGGACATGGATGAAATTGGAAATCATCATTCTCAGTAAACTATCGCAAGGACAAAAAACCAAACACTGCATGTTCTTACTCATAGGTGGGAATTGAACAATGAGAACACATGGGCACAGGAAGGGGAACATCACACACCGGGGACTGTTGTGGGGTGGGGGAAGGGGGGAGGGATAGCATTAGGAGATATACCTAATGTTAAATGACGAGTTAATGGGTGCAGCACACCAACATGGCACATGTACACATATGTAGCTAACCTGCGCATTGTGCACATGTACCCTAAAACTTAAAGTATAATAATAATAAAATAAAATAAATAAAAAAAGAAAGTCTTCCCCCTTTGTTGGCAGATCAGTTTCCTGGGTTCCCTTCACCATGGGTTCCAGAGGAGAAGAGCAGCTTTAGTCACCTTGCTTGCTGCACCAAACTGTGGGGGTCATGACTGCTTGTGCCCAAAGGTTCACTGAAAAATCACTGGAATGAGGCAATTGATTAATTGGAGAAAAGGCATAGAAATTTATTTAATATATATTCATAGGAACCTTCAGAATGAAGGCCCAATTTCCCAATAAATAACAGAAGCTCATATACCATATTGAAATGAAAGAAAGCATGCAGTTTCAAGGTATGTAAAAAAACACACACAAAAAAACAAAAACAAAAAAATAGTTTTAGTGGCAAGACAGGTTATTGGAAGAAGAAAGGAAAAGACTTGGTTAGCAAAAGTTAGTAAAAGGTGGCCTTGTTATGTGGGCAAAACTTTTCAGGTAGTCAAATTTTTTAACTTTCTTAACTGGCCAGTTTTCTATTTAGAGATGGAATTTTGACTTTCTAATTTCAGTCAACAGTAGAGGGGGCCAGGAGTTGGTCAAATCTAGTGGAAGATGAACTGAAACAAACAAACAAACAAAAAAAAAAACAGAAAAAAAGTGATCACACAATTTACATACAGTTGAGATCTCTGAGCATAAAAGTTATAGCCAGCTGACAATAAACCTTGACCTTCAGCTATCAAATCCCCAAATGAAACCCCAAACCAGCTTCTTACTTGAAGATGGAGGCCAATGTGAAGACTGATTTTCACCTGCACAAAAGAAGAAAACTCCAAGGAAATGAGTTCTACAACAGAATACAACTCAAAATTCAACCAAAAAAAATTGGGAGATCAGGGATCTCTGGAGAGAGAAGCTCCCATATTTCAGCAAATAGTTCAATCAGTCAGAGCAATAAAGAGCTTCCAGCTGGTACCAGATCCTTGCTAGGAGAATTGCTGCAAGCCAAAGGACCAAACTCCATTCAAAATCCCTTAGGGGTTGCCAACTGTAAACCAAAAAGTATTTGAGACAGATCTCAATCGATTTAGAGTTTTATTTTGCCAAGGTTGAGGACACACCTAGGAAAAAGCACACAAGTCACAGTAGGATGTGTAGCCTGTGCTTTGTCCAAAGAGTGTTTGAGGACTGCAATATTTAACGGGGAAAGAGCAGGCAGGAGGGAAAGGAGGGGGAAAATGGAGGTGTAAGAGGTGAGGGCAGTGTTACATTCTTGTGAGGCTTTGAATAGCACTCACTGAATCCACATTTTACCTCTGAAAAGAGAAGAGTGCGGGGGAAAGACTATGCATTCATCTTGTGCTGGGTAGATCCATATTCTATGTAAGATAAAGTAATCATGTGAAATTTACAGCTATGTGGGAACTAAAAGAGGACGTTTTTTTGCATGACTAAGTTTCCAAGCTTAACTTTCTCATTGGTATAGTGGGTTTGGGGTACAGAAATTTAATTTTCTTTCATATTAAATATAAAGTAAATCTCTTGTACTAAGCATATCACTGGATTCTGTTTTTATAAAAATCCACTCATCGGCCAGGCATGGTGGCTCATGCCTGTAATCCCAGCACTTTGGGATGCCGAGGCAGGTGGATCACCTGAGGTCGGGAATTTGAGAACAGCCTGACCAACATGGAGAAACCCCATCTCTACTAAAAACACAAAATTAGCTGGGCATGGTGGCACATGCCTGTAATCCCAGCTACTCGGGAGGCTGAGGCAGGAGAATCGCTTGAACCCGGATGAGCTAAGATCACTCCATTGCACTCCAGCATGGGCAACCAGAGCGAAACTCTGTCTCAAAAAAAAGAAAGTCCATTCATCAGAATGTACAGACCTTCTGATCAGTGGGTTTATTCCATTTCAAAAGATATAGAGCAGCTGAATGAATGAAAAAAATAATAATAAGACAAGACAAAACACTGTGCTGTTTACAAGAGACTTACTTAAGCTTTAAAAACACACATGGACTGAAGTGAATAGACGGTAAAAATATTCCAGGCAAGTTGAAACTATGAGAGAGCAGGAGTAGCTATCTTATAACAGACAAAATAGACTTTCAGTAAAAATCTATCAGAAGAGAGAAAGAACACCACTATGTAATGATAAAAGGGCCAATACATCAAGAGGATATAACAATTGTAAATACATATGCACTCAATATTAGAGCACTTAAATATTTAGGCAAATGTTAACAGAACTGAGGGAGAAATAGGCGCAATACAATAATAGTAAAGGACTTCAATACCAAACTTGCAACATTGGATAGTTCATCCAGACAGAAAATCAGTAAGGAAATCTTGAACTTGAACTGTATTTTAGATCAAATGGATCTAACGAACACATACAGAACATTATATCCAACAGCAGTAGAATACATATTTTTCTCAAGGGCATATAGAACATTCTCCAGGATAATAGGTTGTGCCATAAAACATGTCTTAACAATTCAAGAAGATTGCAATCATATCAAGTATCTTTTCCAACTACGACAGGATGAAACCAGAAATTAGTAACAGGAAAAAAACTGAAAATGTCACAAATATGTGAAAATTAAACAACAGGCTCCAGAATAACCAATAATCAAAGAATAAATCAAAGGAGAAATTAAAAAGTATCTTGAGACAAATGAAAATGAAAACACAGTATACCAAAACTCGTGGAATGCAGCAAAAGCAGTTCTATGAAGGATATTTACAGTGATAAATACCTACATTTAAAAGGAAGAAAGAATTCAAATAAAAAAAGTAATGTTATACCTCAAGGATCTAGAAAAAGAAAACAAAGTCCAAAGTTAGTAAAAGAAAGGAAATAACACAGATCAGAACATAAATAAGTATAATAGAGACTAAAAAACACCATAAAAATAAAACTTTAGTTGTTGGTTTTCTGAAAAAATTAAATATTTGACAAACCCTTAGCTAGACTAACAAAGAAAAAGACACAAGTTAATAAAATAAAAAATGAAAGAGGAACATTACAACTAATAGCACAGAAATATAACGGATTATAAGAGGCTACTATGAACAATTATATGCCAAAACATTGGATAACCTAGAAGACGTGGATAACGTTCTAAAAGCATACAATCTATCAAGTTGAATCATGAAGAAATAAAAAACCACAGAGCAATAATAGTAATAGTAAAGTAATAACAATAGTAATAGTAGATAGTAATTGTAAAGAGATTGAATCAGTACTCAAAAATCTCCCATTATTAAAAAGCCAAGGACATGTCTTCTTAGGTGAATTCTACCAACCATTTAGAGAAGAAATAATAAAAGTCCTTCTTGAACTCTTATACAAATGTTAAGAGGAGAGAACTCTTTCAAACTTGTTGTGAGGCAGCAGCAGTGATATATCAAAGCCAGACAAGGACACTACAAGAAAAGGAAATTAGGGAAGTGACATCAGGAAGATGGAAGAATAGGAGGCTCCTGCTTTCCTTCCTACCACAGATGCACCAAATAAGTTCTACACATGGATCAATTTCCTCTGAGAGAAATCCAGAAATCCTGACTCCTGTACTCCAGGCAGCTGAGAAAATATTCACTTCCAATTAGGTAGGAAAGGCTAAGATATATTCATGCACAAATCCCATCACAAGCACAGCACCTTACAATCAGGAAGAAATCCCTAACTCCCAACTTCTCCCTAAAGAGTGAAAGCTTTGGACCACACATAGAGCATTTCAACTTTTACTGCTCTCCTCACAGTGTTTGGGTCCTAAATCACCCAGCTCTGGAAGCAGAAAAGACTTGGCATTACCAGATCTCCCCAGACCACAGAGAACAAAGAGACAGTTTTAAACGGGTGTGTGAGCAGGTTCAGTGACTATCCTACCCCTTTCTTCACCTCTGTACTCAAAAAAGAGAAAACTGACAAAAGCTTCAAGCTCCCAGTTTCTTCCTGGTATTTGTCTATACACTTTTCCAGTTGCTGTTAGAGGATTGGATGTCTGACTAACCTGATTCCAGGAGCTGATGGGGCAGATAAACAGTAGGCCTTTGGGAGCCTGAATGAGAATGTGGGCACTTTCCATGCCATCTCCCCTGGCTCACTCCAGTGATTAATTCAGGTCTGCAAATTCTCCCTAGAAGGAGTTTGTGCATGCGTCAAGCAGCCTCACTTTTACAGCTCCTACCCAAGGGAATGAAAATTAAAATCAAATGAAATGTCACTTCATATCTGTTAGCATGACTACTATCAAAATGTCAAGAGATAAAAAGTGTTGGCAAGGGAGTTGAGAAAAAGCAACCCTTGTACACTGTTACTGCAAATATAATTTGCTACAGCCATTAGAGAAAACAGTATGGAGGTTCTTAAAATAATTAAAAATAGATCTACCATATAATCCAGCAATTACACTTCTGGGTATACATCCAAAGGAAATAAAACCACTGTTTCAAAGAGATATCAGCACTTTCATGTTCATTGCAGCAATATTCACAATAGTCAAAATATTCAAACAACCCAAGTTTCCATCAATGGGTAAAGAAAATGAGTTTTACACACACACACACACGCACACACACAATTTAGCCTTAATTCTACCATTTGTGACAGCATGGATGAACCTGGAGAACATTATCCTAGACGAAAAGAGCCAGACACAGAAAGCAAATACTGTACGATTTCTCTTATATGCAAGAAATCTAAAAAAGTTGAACTCATAGGAAAAGAGTAGAAGGGTTGTTACTGGTGGTCAGAGGTGGGAAAAATGGGGAAATGTTTGTCAAGAGTACAAACTTCCAGTTATGAGATGAATAAGTTCTGGAGACTCAATGTACACCATGGTGACAATAATTAATAATACTATATTGTATACTTGAAATATGCTAAGAGACTAGATTTTAGCTATTCTTACTGTATACACACACACATACACACACACACGGTAACTGTGTAAGGAGATGAATAAGTTAGTGTGATTGTGTTAATTATTTTACAATGTATATCGAAGCATCACATTGCATACCTTGAATATACACCATTTTCATTTGTCTATAATTTCTCAATGCATCTTTAAGAAGTAATTTTAAAAAGCCATGACCCCTATGCCTGTTCACTCTTTGGAAATATCTTATTCTAGAATCCAACAAATTCTAGATTTCTAGACTTGAGCTTTGCATGATTATTCCAGGTGACTTGTGATACTCTGTTCCCAAGAAGGCTATGTAACATGGGTTCCATTTATAAATTAAACTTAATTAAAAGAAAATTGTCAAGAAAAAGACAAGACAAGAGCTGCACTTTGAAAGGACTGAATTAGAAGATGTGGAAGAGAGGAATCCAGGGAATGGGTTAACAATTCCATACTATTTCGTGATTTAGGGGTGTGAAGCTCTCATTCTTCTCTTGGATCAACAGTTTCATCTATTAGCATTTCATCTGTTAGACGAATAATTTTGGAAGAAGAAGACACCTATATATTTTTCTACCTTTTCACATTATCCTTCCATGTTTTAAAGAGGGATATGATGTCCCATCTATTTGTTAGCCAAGTCCCATAAACACAGTGCAGGAATAAAATAATGCCTGTGTTCTAAGACTGTACTGGACTCATGACACATAGAATTTTAAAATTTTCAAAAGAAGACATTTATGCAGCCAAGACACATGTGAAAAATGCTTATCATCACTGGTCATTAGAGAAATGCAAATCAAAACCACAATGAGATACCATCTCACGCCAGTTAGAATGGCAATCATTAAAAAGTCAGGAAACAACAGATGCTGGAGAGGATGTGGAGAAATAGGAACGCTTTTACACTGTGGGTGGGAGTGTAAATTAGTTCAATGACAGTGTGGCGATTCATCAAGGATCTAGAACTAGAAATACCATTTGAACCAGCAATCCCATTACTGGGTATATACCCAAAAGATTATAAATCAGTCTTCTATAAAGACACATGCACATGTATGTTTGTTGTGGCATGATTCACAATAGCAAAGACTTGGAACCAACCCAAATGTCCATCAATGATAGACTGGATTAAGAAAATGTGGCACATATACACCATGGAATGCTTTGCAGCCATAAAAGAGGATGAGTTAATGTCCTTTGCAGGGACATGGATGAAGCTGGAAACCATCATTCTCAGCAAACTATCACAAGAACAGAAAATCAAACACTGCATGTTTTCATTCATAAGTGGGAGTTGAACTGAGAACACATGGACATAGGGAGGGGAACATCACACACCGGGGCCTGTTGGGGGGTCAGGGGCTAGGGGAGGGATAACATTAGGAGAAATACCTAATGTAGGTGATGGGTTGATGGGAGCAGCAAACCACCATGGCACGTGTATACCTATGTAACAAAACTGCACATTCTGCACATGTTCCCCAGAACTTAAACTATAATAAAAAATAATAATATATGAAAATGTCACCATTGTTGTTGTCTGAGGGGATACATATAATGTGTTTAAAGATTATTCAGTTCAATAGGAGAGTCCATCAGTGAATATGGCCAATAAAATAATCCTACTACAAAAAATAAATAATAAGGGTCAAAACTGGAAAGGAAGAAGTAAAATTATGTCTGTTCATATGACATAATCTTTTTAAAATATTTTTTATTTCAATAGCTTTTGGAGTCCAAGTGGTTTTTTATTAGATGTATGAATTGTATAGTGGTGAAGTCTGAGATTTTAGTGCACTTATCACCCAAGTGGTGAACACTGTACCCAACATGTAGTTGTTTTTACCCCTCACCCCCTCCCATGCTCCCTCTTCTGAGTCTCCAAAGTCCATTATACCACTCTGTATGCCTTTACATATGCACAGCATAGCTCCCAGTTATAAGTGAGAACATATGGCATTTGGTTTTCCATTCCTGAGTTACTTCACTTAGAATAATCTTATATGTAGAAAACCCCAAGTATTCTTTTTAAAAACTGCTATAATTAATACATAAATTTAGCAAAGTTGCAAGGTTCAAAATCATCACAAAAAAGAAGGTTTTTTTTCCTATGTACTACTAACAGTGAACAGTACAAAAAGATAATTAAGAAAACAATACAATTTACAATAGCCTCAAAAATAATAAAACACTTAGGGACAAACTTAACCAAGGTGAAGGACTTACACACTGAAAACTAAAAAACATTGCTCAAAGAAATCAAAGATAACACGTAAATGGAAAAAAAGAATCCTGTGTTTTTGGATTAGAAGACTTAATATTGTTTCAACTTCATACTACCCAAAGCAATCTATAGATGTAGTGCAATCCCTATCAAAATCCTAGTGACATTTTTTACAGAAATAGGAAAAACCATCTTAAAATTCATATGAAATTTCAAGGACCCTGAATAGCCAAAACAATCTTGAAAAAGAAGAGCAAAGTTGAAGGTCTCACTTTTCCTGATTTTAAAATACACAAAAATGCTACAGTAATCAAAACATTGTGGTACTGGTTCAAAGACAGACATATAGGCCAATGGAACAGAATATAGAGCCCATAAATAAACTCTTGTGTATATGGCCAAATGATTTTCAACAAGAGTGCCAAGACCACATAGTGAAAAAAAAAGAACAGTCTTTTCAACAAACACTGTTGATAAAACTGAGAACCTACATGCAAAAGAATAAAATGGGCCAGATGTGGCAGCTTCCACCTGTAATCCCAGCTACTTGAGAGGCTGAGATGGGACGATTGCTTAAGAATAAGAGTTCAAGGCTGCAATGAGCTTTGATTAGGCCACTGTACTCCAGTGTGGGTGACAAAGTGAAACCGCTTCTCTTAAGCAGAAAAAGGTTAAAGTGGAATCCTAACCTTAAGCCATATACAAAAATTAACTAAAAATGGATTAAAGACCTAAACATAAGACCTAAAACTATAAACTCTTAGAAGAAAATTGTATTAGTCTCTTCCCACACTGCTAATAAAGACATACCTGAGACTGGGTAATTTAAAAAGGAAAGTGGTTTAATTGACTCACAGTTCAGCATGGCTGGGAAGGCCTCAGGAAACTTACAATCAGAAAGTTTCTCAGGAAGGAGAAATGCCAAGCAAAAGGGGTAAAAGCCTCTTATAAAACCATCAGATCTCCTGCAAACTGACTCACTATCATGAGAACAGCATGAAGTTAACCGACCCCATGATTCAATTACCTCCCACTGAGTCCCTCCCATGACACACAGGGATTATGGAAACTACAATTCAGGATGAGATTTGAGTGGGGACACAGGCAAACCTTATCAAAAACATAGGGAAAAAGTCTTCATGACACTGGATTTGGTAACGATTTCTTACATATGACAACAAAAGCACAGGTAACAAAAGCAAAAATAAACAATTGAGACTACATACAACTTCAAAACTTCTGTAAATCAAAGGATACAATCAATAGAATGGAAAGGCAATGTATGGAATGCAAGAAAATATTTTCAAATCGTAATCTGATACAGGGTTAATATCCAGAATGTATAAAGAACTTTTTCAGCTCAACAACAAAAACAAATAACCCCATTTAAAAATAGGCAAAGCAAAGCAATCTATAGATTCAATGTTATTCCTACCAAATTATCAATGTGATTTTTCACAGGATTAGAATAAAACTATTCTAAAATTCATATAGAACCACAAAAGAGCCTGAATAGCCAAGGCAATCCTAAGCAAAAAGAACAAAGATGGAGGCATCACATTACCGAACTTCAAACTATACTATAGGCAATACTAACCAAAACAGTAAAGTACTGGTACAAAAACAGGCACATAGACCGATGGAACAGAATAGAGACCTCTGAAATAAAGCCACACACCTAAAACCAACTGATCTTTGGCAAAATCAAAAAAAAAAACAGTGAGGAAAGAACATGCCATTCAAAAAATGGAGCTGGAAAAACTGGCTAACCACGTACAGAACAATGAACCGGGACCACTATCTCTCACCATACTTAACTTAAGATGGATTAAAGACTTAAATGCAAGACCTTAAACTATAAAAGTCCTAGAAGAAACCCTGGGAAATACCCTTCTAGACATCGGCCTAGGCAAAGAATTTATGACTAAGTTCTCAAAAGCAAATGCAAATAAAACAAAAATTGACAAATGAGATCTAATTAAATTAAATAGCTTCTCCACAGCAAAAGAAACTATCAACAGAGTATACTGACAACCTATAGAATGGAATGAAGAAAATATTTGCAAACTATGCATCTGACAAAGGACTACCATCCAGAATCTATAAGGAACTTGAACAAATCAAAAAGAGTAAAACAAATAACATCATTAAGAAACGAGCAAAGTACATGAACAAAAATCTCTCAAAAGAAGACAAAAAAGCAGCCAAAAAACATATGAAAAAATGCTCAGCAGTAATAATCAGAAAGATACAAATCAAAACTACAATGAGACATCATCTCACACCAGTCAAAATGGTTATTACTAAAAAGTTGGAAAATAAGAGATTTTGTTGAGGTTGCAGAGAAAAGGGAAAACTTGTATACTATTGGTGGGCATGTAAATCTGTCCAGCCACTGTGGAAAGTAGTCTGAAGATTTTTCAAAGAACTTAAAACAGAGCTACATATCCATAGGAAAATAGATCATTATATTAAAAAGACACATGAACTCATATGTTCATCACCACACTATTCACAACAGCAAAGACCTGGAATCAACCTAGGTGTCCATCAGTGGTGGATTAGATAAAGGAAATATAGTACATATACACCATGGAATACCACACAGCCATAAAAAAAGAATGAAATCATGTCCTTTGCAGGAACATAGTTGCAACTGGAGACCATTATCCTAAGTGAATTAACACAGAAACAGAAAACTAAATACCACATGTTCTCACTTATAAGCAGGAGCTAAATATTGAGTACACATGGGCACAAAGACAGGAACACTAAACAATGGGGATTTTAAAAGGGGGAAGAAAGTAGGGGGAAAAGGGCTGAAAAACCATCTATTGAATACAGGGTTTACTACTTGGGGGACAGGAACATTAGAAGCCCAACCTCAGCATCATACAATCTACCCATTTAACAAACCTGCACAAGTACCCCCTGAATCTAAAATAAAATTTTAAAAACGGAAAAAGGACTTGAATAGACCTTTTTGCAAAACTAATCAAATGGCCAAAAAGTCTACGAAAAGAAGCTGAACATTACTAATCATTAAGGAAATGCAAATTAAATCTACATATCACTTCACATTCATTAGGATGGCAAATATCAAAAACAAAAATAACAAGTGTTGTCAAGGATGTGGAGAATTTGGAACCTTGTGCACAGTTAGTGGAAATGTTAAATGTGCAAGCAATATGAAACACAGTTTGGGGGGGGTGGAGCCAAGACGGCCGAATAGGAATAGCTCCCGTCTACAGCTCCCAGCATGAGCGACGCAGAAGACGGGTGATTTCTGCATTTCCAACTGAGGTACTGGGTTCATCTCACTGGGGAGTGTTGGAAAGTGGGTGCAGGACAGTGGGTGCAGTGCACTGAGCATGAGCTGAAGCAGAGCGAGGTGTTGTCTCACCTGGGATGAGCAAGGGGTCAGGGAATTTCGTTTCCTAGTCAAAGAAAGGGGTGACAGATGGCACCTGGAAAATTGGGTCACTCCCACCCTAATACTGTGCTTTTCCAACAGTCTTAGCAAACGGCACACCAGGAGATTATATCCCATGTGTGGCTCGGAGGGTCCTATGCCCACGGAGCCTTGCTCATTTCTAGCACAGCAGTCTGAGATCAAACTGCAAGGCATAAGCGAGGCTGGGGGAGGGGCGCCTGCCATTGCTCAGGCTTGAGTAGGTAAACAAAGTGGCCAGGAAGCTCAAACTGGGTGGAGCCCTCTATAGACTCCACCTCTGGGGGCAGGGCATAGCCAAACAAAAGGCAGCAGAATCCTCTGCAGACTTAAATGTCCCTGTCTGACAGCTTTGAAGAGAGTAGTGGTTCTCCCAGCATGCAGCTGAAGATCTGAGAACGGACAGACTGCCTCCTCAAGTGGGTCCCTGACCCCTGAATAGCCTAACTGGGAGGCACCCCCCAGTAGGGGCAGACTGACACCTCACATGGCCAAGTACTCCTCTGAGAAAAAACTTCCAGAGGAACAATCAGGCAGCAAAATTTGCTGCTCACCAATATCCACTGTTCTGCAGCCTCTGCTGCTGATACCCAGACAAACAGGGTCTGCATTGGACCTCCAGCAAAATCCAATAGACTTGCACCTGAGGATCCTGTCTGTTAGAAGGAAAACTAACAAACAGAAAGGACATCCACACCAAAACCCCATCTGTACGTCACCATCATCAAACACCAATGGTAGATAAAACCACAAAGATGGGAAAAAAACAGAGCAGAAAAACTGGAAACTCTAAAAATCAGAGCGCCTCTCCTCCTCCAAAGGAACACAGCTCATCACCAGCCACGGAACAAAGCTGGACGGAGAATGACTTTGATGAGTTGAGAGAAGAAGGCTTCAGATGATCAAACTAATCCAAGCTAAAAGAGGAAGTTCCAACCCATGGCAAAGAAGTTAAAAACCTTGAAAAAAAATCAGACGAATGGCTAGCTAGAATAACCAATGCAGAGAAGTCCTTAAAAGACCTGATGGAGCTGAAAACCATGGCACAAGAACTACGTGATGAATGCACAAGCCTCAGTAGCCAATTCGATCAACTTGAAGAAAGGGTATCAGTGATGGAAGATCAAATGAATGAAATGAAGCGAGAAGAGAAGTTTAGAGAAAAAAGAATAAAAAGAAATGAACAAAGCCTCGAAAAAATATGGGACTATGTGAAAAGACTAAATCTACGTCTGATTGGTGTACCTGAAAGTGATGGGGAGAATGCAACCAAATTGGAAAACACTCCGAAGGATATTATCCAGGAGAACTTCCTCAATCTAGCAAGGCAGGCCAACATTCAAATTCAGGAAATACAAAGAACTCCACAAAGATACTCCTCGAGAAGAGCAACTCCAAGATACATAATTGTCAGATTCACCAAAGTTGAAATGAAGGAAAAAATGTTAAGGGCAGCCAGAGAGAAAGGTCGGGTTACCCACAAAGGGAAGCCCATCAGACTAACAGCAGATCTCTCAGCAGAAACTCTACAAGCCAGAAGAGAGTGGGGGCCAATATTCAACATTATTACAGAAAAGAATTCTCAACCCAGAATTTCATATCCAGCCAAACTAAGCTTCATAAGTGAAGGAGAAATAAAATACTTTACAGAAAAGCAAATGCTGAGAGATTTTGTCACCACCAGGCCTGCCCTAAAAGAGTTCCTGAAGGAAGCACTAAACATGGAAAGGAAAAACTGGTACCAGCCACTGCAAAAACATTCCAAATTGTAAACACCATCGAGGCTAGGAAGAAACTGCATCAACTAACGAGCAAAATAACCAGCTAACATTATAATGACAGGATCAAATTCACACATAAGAATATTAACCTTAAATGTAAATGGGCTAAATGCTACAATTAAAAGGCAAAGACTGGCAAATTGGATAAAGAATCAAGACCCATCAGTGTGCTGTATTCAGCAAATCCATCTCATGTGCAGAGACACACATAGGCTCAAAATAAACGGATGGAGGCAGACCTACCAAGCAAATGGAAAACAAAAAAAGGCAGGGGTTGCAATCCTAGTCTCGGATAAAACAGACTTTAAACCAACAAAGATCAAAAGAGACAAAGAAGGCCATTACATAATGGTAAAGGGATCAATTCAACAAGAAGAGCTAACTCTCCTAAATATATATGCACCCAATACAGAAGCACCCAGATTCATAAAGCAAGTCCTTAGAGACCTAGAAAGAGACTTAAATTCCCAGACAATAATAATGGGAGACTTTAACACCCCACTGTCAAAATTAGACAGATCAATGAGACAGAAAGTTAACAAGGATATCCAGGAATTGAACTCAGCTCTGCACCAAGCGGACCTAATAGACATCTACAGAACTCTCCCCCCTAAATCAACAGAATATACATTCTTTTCAGCACCACACCACACCTATTCCAAAATTGACCACATAGTTGGAAGTAAAGCTCTCCTCAGCAAATGTAAAAGAACAGAAATTATAACAAACTGTCTCTCAGACCACAGTGCAATCAAACTACAACTCAGGATTAAGAAACTCACTCAAAACCGCTCAACTACATGGAAACTGAACAACCTGCTCCTGAATAACTACTGGGTACATAACAAAATGAAGGCAGAAATGAAGATGTTCTTTGAAACCAATGAGAAAAAAGACACAACATACCAGAATCTCTGGCACACATTCAAAGCAGTGTGTAGAGGGAAATTTATAGCACTAAATGCCCACAAGAGAAAGCAGGAAAGATCTAAAATTGACACCCTAACATCACAATTAAAAGAACTAGAGAAGCAAGAGCAAACACATTCAAAAGCTAGCAGAAGGCAAGAAATAACTAAGATCAGAGCAGAACTGAAGGAAATAGAGACACAAAAAACCCTTCAAAAAATCAATGAATCCAGGAGCTGGTTTTTTGAAAAGATCAACAAAATTGATAGACCACTAGCAAGACTAATAAAGAAGAAAAGAGAGAAGAATCAAATAGATGCAATAAAAAATGATAAAGGGGACATCACCACCAATCCCATAGAAATACAAACTACCATCAGAGAATACTGTAAACACCTCTACACAAATAAACTAGAAAATCTCGAAGAAATGGATAAATTCCTCGACACATACACTCTCCCAAGACTAAACCAGAAAGAAGTTGAATCTCTGAATAGACCAATAACAGGCTCTGAAATTGAGGCAATCATTAATTGATTACCAACCAAAAAATGTCCAGAACCAGACGGATTCACAGCCGAATTCTACCAGAGGTACAAGGAGGAACTGGTACCATTCCTTCTGAAACTATTCCAATCAATAGAAAAAGAGGGAATCCTCCCTAACTCATTTTATGAGGCCAGCATCATCCAGACACCAAAGCCTGGCAGAGACACAACAAAAAGAGAATTTTAGACCAATATCCTTGATGAACATTGATGCAAAAATCCTCAATAAAATACTGGCAAACCGAATCCAGCAGCACATCCAAAAGCTTATCCATCATGGTCAAGTGGGCTTCATCCCTGGGATGCAAGGCTGGTTCAACAATCGCAAACCAATAAATGTAATCCAGCATATAAACAGAACCAAGGACAGAAACCACATAATTATCTCAATAGATGCAGAAAAGGCCTTTGACAAAATTCAACAACATTTCATGCTAAAAACTCTCAATAAATTAGGTATTGATGGGATGTATCTCAAAATAATAAGAGCTATCTATGACAAACCCAGAGCCAATATCATACTGAATGGACAAAAACTGGAAGCATTCCCTTTGAAAACTGGCACAAGACAGGGATGCCCTCTCTCACCACTCCTATTCAACATAGTGTTGGAAGTTCTGGCCAGGGCAATCAGGCAGAAGGAAGTAAAGGGCATTCAATTAGGAAAAGAGGAAGTCAAATTGTCTCTGTTTGCAGATGACATGATTGTATATCTAGAAAACCCCATCGTCTCAACCCAAAATCTCCTTAAACTGATAAGCAACTTCAGTAAAGTCTCAGGATACAAAATCAATGTGCAAAAATCACAAGCATTCTTATACAACAATAACAGTCAAACAGAGAGCCAAATCATGAGTGAACTCCCATTCACAATGGCTTCAAAGAGAATAAAATACCTAGGAATCCAACTTACAAGGGAGGTGAAGGACCTCTTCAAGGAAAACTACAAACCACTGCTCAAGGAAATAAAAGAGGATACAAACAAATGGAAGAACATTCCATGCTCATGGGTAGGAAGAATCAGTATCATGAAAATGGCCATACTGCCCAATGTAATTTATAGATTCAATGCCATCCCCATCAAGCTACCAGTGACTTTCTTCACAGAATTGGGAAAAACTACTTTAACGTTCATATGGAACCAAGAAAGAGCCCGCATTGCCAAGTCAATCCCAAGCCAAAAGAACAAAGCTGGAGGCATCACGCTACCTGACTTCAAACTATACTACAAGGCTACAGTAACCAAAACAGCATGGTACTCGTACCGAAGCAGAGATATAGACCAATGGAACAGAACAGAGCCCTCAGAAATAATGCCACACATCTACAACTATCTGTTATTTGACAAACCTGAGAAAAACAAGCAATGGGGAAAGGATTCCCTATTTAATAAATGGTGCTGGGAAAACTGGCTAGCCATATGTAGAAAGCTGAAACTGAATCCGTTCCTTACACCTTATACAAAAATTAATTCAAGATGGATTAAAGACTTACATGTTAGACCTAAAACCATAAAAACCCTAGAAGAAAACCTAGGCATTACCATTCAGGACATAGGCATGGCCAAGGACTTCATGTCTAAAACACCAAAAGCAGTGGCAACAAAAGCCAAAACTGACAAATGGGATCTAATTCAACTAAAGAGCTTCTGCACAGCAAAAGAAACCACCATCAGAGTGAACAGGCAACCTACAGAATGGGGGAAAATTTTTGCAGCCTACTCATCTGACAAAGGGCTAATATCCAGAATCTACAATGAACTCAAACATATTTACAAGAAAAAAACAAACAACCCCATCAAAAAGTGGGCAAAGGATATAAACAGACACTTCTCAAAGGAAGACATTTATGCAGCCAAAAAACACATGAAAAAATGCTCATCATCACTGGCCATCAGAGAAATGCAAATCAAAACCACAATGAGATACCATCTCACACCAGTTAGAATGGCGATCATTAAAAAGCCAGGAAACAACAGGTGCTGGAGAGGATGTGGAGAAATAGGAACACTTTTACACTGTTGGTGGGACTGGAAACTAGTTCAACCATTGTGGAAGTCGGTGTGGCGGTTCCTCAGGGATCTAGAACTAGAAATACCATTTGACCCAGCCATCCCATTACTGGGTATATACCCAAAGGACTATAAATCATGCTGCTCTAAAGACACATGCACACGTATGTTTATTGCGGCACTATCCACAATAGCAAAGACTTGGAACCAACCCAAATGTCCAACAATGATAGACTGGATTAAGAAAATGTGGCACATATACACCATGGAATACTATGCAACCATAAAAAATGATGAGTTCATGTCCTTTGTAGGGACATGGATGAAGCTGAAACCGTCATTCTCAGCTACTATCGCAAGGACAAAATACCAAACACCGCATGTTCTCACTCATAGGTGGGAATTGAACAATGAGAACACATGGACACAGGAAGGGGAATATCACACACTGGGGCCTGTTGTGGGGTGGGGGGAGTGGGGAGGGATAGCATTTGGAGATATACCTGGTGTTAAATGGCAGTACACCAACATGGCACATGTATACATATGTAACTAAGCTGCACGTTGTGCACATGCACCCTAAAACTTAAAGCATAATAAAAAAAAGAGACAGAGTATAATTGTTCCTCAAGAAACTGAAAACTGATTTACCGCACGATCCAGCAATCCTACTTTTAGCAATATACCAAAGGAATTTTAAGGAAAATCTCAAAGAAATATGCATACTCCCGTGTTCATTGCAGCACTATTCACCATAGTGAAGAGGTGGAAGAAATCCAAACGTTCATTGAATGGATTAATGGATAAAGAAAATGTGGTATATGCACTCTTATTCCACATAGCATTGGAAGTTCTGGGCAGGTCAATCAGGCAAGAGACAGATATATAGGGTACTCAAATAGGGAAAGAGGAAGTCAAATTATCTTTGTTTGCGTATGACATGATCCTATATCTAGAAAACAGCATCGTTTCAGCCCAAAAGCTCCTTAAGCTGATAATCGACTTCAGAAAAGTCTCAGGATACAAAATCAATGAGCAAAAACTGCTACCATTCCTATACACCAATAACAGGCAAGCAGAGAGCCAAATTATGAATGAACTCCCATTCACAATTACTACAAAAAAAAAATACCAGAAATTCGGCTAACAAAGGAAGTGAGGGACCTCCTCAAGGAGAACTACAAACCACTGCTCAAGGAAATAAGGGAGGACACAAACAAATGGAAAAACATTCCATGCTCATGGATAGAAAGAATCAATATCCTGAAAATGGACATACTGCCCAAAGTAATTTATAGATTCAATGCTATTCCCATTAAATTACCATTGACATTCTTCAAAGAATTAGAAGAAACTGTTTTAAAGTTCATATGGAACCAAAAAGGAGCCCAAGTATCCAAGACAATCTAAGCAAAAAGAACAAACCTGGAGGAATCATGTTACCCAACTTCAAACTATACTGCAGAGCTACAGTATAAAACAGCATGGTACTGTTGCAAAAACAAACACATAGACCAATGGAACAGAATAGAGAACTCAGAAATTACACCGCACACCTACAAGCATCTGATCTTCAGCAAACCTGACAAAAACAAGCAATGGGAAAAGGACTTCTTATTTAATAAATGGTGTTGGGAAAACTGGCTAGCCATATGCAGAAAATTGAAACTGGACCCCTTCCTTATGCCTTATACAAAAATTAACTCAATATGGATTAAGGGCTTAAATGTAAAGTCCAAAACTATAAAAACCCTAAAGTAAGATCTAAGTAATACCATTCAGGACATAGACACGGGCAACGATTTCATGACAAAAACGCCAAAAGCAGTTGCGACAAAAGCAAAAATTGACAAATGGGATCTAATTAAACTAAAGAGCTTCTGCACAGCAAAAGAAGCTATCATCGGAGTAAACAGACAAACTACAGAATATGAGAAGAATTTTGCAATCTGTCCACCTGCCAAAGTCTAATATCCAGAATCTACAAGGAACTTAAAATAATTTACAAGAAAAAAAACAAACAACCCCATTAAAAAGAGGGCAAAGGACATGAAAAGACAATTCTCAAAAGAAGACATTTGTGTGGCCAAAAAACACATGAAGAAAAGCTCAACATCACTGATCATTGGAGAAATGCAAATCAAAACCACATCGAGACACCATCCCACATCAGTCAGAATGGCGTTATTAAAAAGTCAAAAAACAACAGATGCTGGTGTGCTGGTGAGGTTGCAGAGAAAAAGGAGTGCTTTTACACCGTTGGTGGGCGTATAAATTAGTTCAATCATTGTGGAAGACAGAGTGACGATTCCTCAAAGATCTAGAACCAGAAATACCGTTTGACCCAGCAAGTCCCACTACCAGGTAAATACCCAAAGGAACATAAATAATTCCATTGTAAAAATACATACACATGTTTGTTCACTGCAGCACTATTCACAATAGCAAATACATGGAATCAACCTAAATGCTCATCAATGATAGGCTGGATAAAGAAAATGTGGTACATATACACCATGGAATATTATGCAGCCATAAAAAGGAACAAGATCATGTCCTTTGCAGGGACATGGATGGAGCTGGAAGTCATTATCCTCAGCAAACTAATGCAGGAACATGAAACTAAACACCACAAGTTCTCACTTATAAGTGGGGGCTCAATGATTAGGACACACGGACACATGGTGGGGGGGAACAACACACACAGGGTCCTGTTGGGGGGTGGGTAAGGGGAGGGAGAGCATCAGGAAGAATAGATAGTGTATGCTGAGCTTAATATCTATGTGATGGGTTGATCTGTGCAGCAAACTACCATGGCACATGTTTACCTATGTAACAAACCTACACATCCTGCATATGTACCCTGTAACTTAAAATAAAAGTTAAAAAAAAAGAGAAAGATCTACAGGATAAAAGGCGTGCTTTAGTAGAAAGTAGGGGATGATATCTAATACACACGCCTTTCCATTGCCATCACTCAAATGACAAGTGCTGGGGGAATTCTTGGGCTACAACCATTTTTTTCCCCAGAGCACTACAGAGGTTACTCCATTACCTTCTCTATCAGATACCTTTTGTGCCCACCTTTGACACCAATTGTTTTCTTGTCTTGGCATGCCTGACCTCACAGTGCTTTACATCAGCTGCGATTCTCCTCCTTTCTGCCCTCGGGCTTCCCTAACGCTGAGCAGTAAGAGGCTCAAAAAATAACAGATGTTGAAGTGGATGTAGTGAAAAAGAAACATTTTTACACTGTTGGTAGGAATGTCAACTAGTACAACCACATGGAAAACAGTGTGGAGATTCCTTAAGGAACTAAAAGTAGTTCTACTGTTTGATCCAGCAATCCCACTACTAGGTATTTACTCAGAGGAAAAGAAGCCATTATACCAAAAAGATACTTTCACACACGTGTTTATAGTAGCACAATTTGCGATTGTAAAAATATGGAACCAGCCCAAATGCCCATCAATCAACGAGTGGATAAAGAAAATGTGGTAGATATATACCATGGAATACTACTCAACCATAAAAAGGAAAGATATAATGGCATTCGCAGCAACCTGGATGGAATTGGAGACTATTATTCTAAGTGAAATAACTCAGGAATGGAAAACCAAACATCGTTTGTTCTCACTCATATGGGAGAGCTAAGCTATGAGTACACAAAGGCCTAAGAATGATACACTGGACTTTGGGGACTTGGGGGAAAGGGTAGGGGTGGTGAGGGATAAAAGACTACACATTGGGTATAGTGTACACTGCTTACGTGATGGGTGCACCAAAATCTCAGTAATCACCACTGAAGAACTTATTCATGAAACCAAACACCACCTGTTCCCCCAAAAACCTATTGAAATTTAAAGAAAAAAACAGATGCTGGCGAGGTTGCAGAGAAAAAGGAACACTTTTATACTGTTGGTGGGAGGGTAAATTATTTCAACCATTGTGGAAGACAGAGTGGCAATTCTTGAAAGACCTGGAGGCAGAAATACCATTTGGCCCAGCAATTCCATTACTAGATATATACCCAAAGGAATGTAAATCATTCTATTATAAAGATACATGCATGTGTATGTTCACTGCAGCACTATATACAATAGCAAAGACATGAAATCAACCTAAATGCCCATCAGTGATAGACTAGGTAAAGAAAATATGGTACGCATACACCATGGAATACTATGCAGCCATAAAAAGGAAAGAGATAATGTCTTTTGCAGGGACATGAATGGAATTGGAAGCCATTAACCTCAGCAAACTAATGCAGGAACAGAAAACCAAACACCACATGTTCTCACTTTTAAGTGGGAGCTGAATAATGAGAACACATGGACACATGGTGGGGAACAACACACACTGGGGCCTGTTGAGTGAGGTCGGGGAAGGGAGAGCATCTGTAAGAATAGTTAATGGATCCTGGGCTTAATACCTAGGTGATGGGATGATGTGTGCAGCAAACGAACATGGCGCACGTTTACCCATGCTAAAAACCTCCACATTCTGTACATGTACCCCTGAACTTAAAATAAAAGTTGAAGAAAAAAATAAAATGAAATAAAAGCTAACCACTAACATAAGTCAAAAAAGAAAAGAAAAGAAAAATATATTCTACTGAGTACAGTGGCAGGCGCCTGTAGTCCTAGGTACTCAGGAGGCTGAGGTGGAAGGATTGCTTGAGCCAGGAGTTTATGTCCACCCTGGGCAATATAGCAAGGCCATGTCTCAAAAAAAGAAAAGATCCTATGCAAATAGTCATCAAAGGAGAAAAGGATAACTATGCTAATATCAGACCAAATAGATTCCAAGTTTACATTTACTATAAGAGAAAATGATGGGCATTACATATTGATAAAAATATTAATATATTAAGAAGATATAACCATTATAAATATATATACACAAAACAAAGGAGCCCCCAAATATGTGAACCAAATATTGACAGATCAAATCTATGGGTGAAATAGACCATTCTACAATAATAGCTGGAGATTTCAAGACTCCACTTTCAATACTTCATAGAACATCTAGACAGGAGATAAGAAAACAGAGCACTTGAACACCACTATAAACCAACTAGACCTAACATGTTCAAAATGGAATGAAGCTAAAAATCATAACAGTAGACAAAAAAGAAAATTCACAAATATGTAGAAGTTAAGCCACACAGTCTTAACCACCAGATCGGAAAACAAATCACGAAGGAAATTTGAAAATACCTAGAGATAAATGACCATGAAAGATAACATTCCAAAATTTATGGGATGCAGTGGAAGCAGTGCTCAGGAGGAAATCTATTGCTGTAAAAGTCTAAAATAAAAAGATAAAAACAATTCAACTTCTTCCTTTCCAATAGATGTCTTTTTATTTCTTTTTATTGCCCAATTTATCTGGCTAGGGCTTCCCGTACTATGTTGAATGGAATTTGTGAGAGTGGACATCCTCGTCTTGTTTTGATCTTAGAGGAAATGCTTCCACCTTTCCATTACCAAGTATGATGTCAGTTGTGGGATTGTCATATATGGCCCTTATTATGTTGAGGTACATTCCTTCTACACATAATTTATTATCAGAAAAAGATATTGAATTTTGTCAAATGCTTTTTCTCTATTGTCATGATTATATGATTTTATCTTTTATTCTGTTGATGTTGTGTATCACATTTATTGATGTGAGATACCATCATGTATCTCAGAGAAAAATCTAACTTGATCACAGTGTATGATCCTTTTAATGTGCTGTCAAATTCAGTTTCCTTGTATTTTGTTCAGGATTTTTCCATCTATCTTCACTAGGGATATTGGCCTGTAATTTTCTCTTCTTGTTTTGTTCTTATCTTGCTTTGTTGTCAGGGTAATGCTGGCCTTATAAAATGAGTTTGGAAGTTTTCCCTCCTCTACGATTTTTTGAAGGAGTTTGAGAAAGCTTGGCATTAATTCTCCTTTAAGTTATTATTATTATTATTATTATTATTATTATTATTATTATTATTTGAGATGGAGTGATGCTCTGTTGCCCAGGCTGGAGTGCAGTGGTGTGATCTTGGCCCACTGCAAGCTCTGCCTCCCGGGTTCATGCCATTCTCCTGCCTCAGCCTCCTGAGTAGCTGGGACTACAGGCTCCTGCCACCATGCCTGGCTAATTTTTTGCATGTAGTAGAGATGGGGTTTCACCGTGTTAGCCAGGATGGTCTCGATCTCCTAACCTCGTGATCCACCCATCTCCCAAAGTGCTGGGATTACAGGCGTGAGCCACCACTCCCGGACCTCCTTTAAATTATTGGTCAAATTTACCAGTAAAGCCATGTGGTCCTATGCTTTTCTTTGTTCGGAGAGTTTGGTTAGTGAATCAATCACTTTATTATTATTGCTCTGCTCAGATGTTCTAATTTTTCATGATTCAGTTTTGGTAGGTTGTAAGTATCTAGGAATTTATCCATTTCTTCTGAGTTATTCAATATGTTGTTGTATAATTGTTTATAGCAGTCTCTTATGATCCTTTGTATTTCTCTGGTATCAATTGTAAAGTCTGTTCTTTCACTTATAATTTTATTAATTTGATTGAGATCTTTCTTTCTTCTTGGTTAGTCTAGCTAAGCATTTCTTTTGGGCATATATCCAAAGGAAATGAAATCACTGTTTCAAAGAGGTGTCTGCACCTCCATGTTCATTGCCGCATTATTCACAATAGTCACAATATTAAAGCAACCTAAATGTCCATCAATGGATAAATGGATAAAGAAAACGCGATATACATGATTATCTCAATAGATGCAGAAAAGGTTTTTGATAAAATTCAGCACCCCTTCATGATAAAAACTCTCAATAAATTACATATTAAAGGAACATGCCTCAAAATAATAAGAGCCATCTATTGCAAACCCACGGTCAACATTATACTGAATGGGTAAAAGCTGGGAGCATTCCTGTTGAAAACTGGCACAAGACAAGGATGTTCTCTCTCACCACTCCTATTCAACATAGTATTAGAAGTCATAGCCAGAGCAATCAGGCAAGAGAAAGAAATAAAGGACATCCAAATAGAAAGACAAGAAGTCAAGCTATCTCTGCAGACGACATGATTCTATACCTAGAAAACCCCATAATCTAGACCCAAAAGCTCCTTCAGCTGATAAACAACTTCAGCAAAGTTGCAGGATATAAAATCACTGTACAAAAATTACTACCATTCCTATACACCAGCAACAGCAAAGCCGAGAGCCAAATCATAAAGGCAATCCCATTCACAGTTGCCACAAAAAGAATAAAATACCTAAGAATACATCTAACCATGGAGGTGAAAGAACTCTACAATGAGAATTATAAAACCCTGCTCAAAGAAATGAGAGAAGACACAAACAAATGGGAAAACATCCCATGCTCATAGATAGGAAGAATCAATATCATTAAAATGGCCATACTGCCCAAAGCAATTTAAAGATTCAATGCTATTCCTACCAAACTACCAATGACATTCTTCACAGAACTAGAAAAAAAACTATTTTAAAACTCATATGGAACCAAAAAGGAGTCCAAATAGCCAAGGCAGTTCTAAACAAAAAGAACAAAGCTGGAGGCATCATGTAACCCAACTGCAAACTATACTGCAGGGCTACAGTATAAAACAGCATGGTACTGTTACAAAAACAGGCATATAGACCAATGGAACAGAATAGATAGCCCAGAATTAAGGCCATACACCTACAATCATTTGATCTTCAATAAAGCTGACAAAAACAAGCAATGGGGAAAAGACTCCCTATTCAATAAATGGTGCTGGGATAACTGGCTAGCCATATAAACAAGATTGAAGCTGGAACCCTTCCTTACATCACATATAAAAATAATCTCAAGATGCATTAAGGACTTAAATATAAAACCCAAAACTATAAAAACCCTGGAGGACAACCTAGGCAATACCATCCTGGACATAGGAAAGGGTGAAGATTTCATGATGAAGACACCAAAAGCAATCGTAATAAAAGCAAAAATTGACAAATGGAATCTACTTAAACTGAAGAGCTTCTGCACAGCAAAACAAACTGTCAACAGAATAAACTGACAACCTACAGAATGGGAGAAAAAATGTGCAAACTATGCATCTGACAAAGGTCTAATATCCAGCATCTATAAGGAACTTAAACAAATTTACAAGAGAAAAACAAACGACCCCATTTAAAGTGGGCAAAGAACATGAACAGACACTTATGAAGAGAAGACATACATGAGGCCAACAAGCATTTGAGAAAAAGCTCAATGTCACTGATCATTAGAGAAATGCAAGCCAAAACCAAAATGAGATACCATCTCATGCCAGTCAGAATGACCATTATTAAAAAGTAAAAAAAAAAAAAGGCAGATGCTGCTGAGGGTGCAGAGAAAAGGGAACACTTATACACTGTTGGTGGGAGTGTAAATTAGTTCAACCATTTTGAAAAGCAGTATGGTAATTCCTTAAAGAGTTAAAAGCAGAACTACCATTCAACCCCGCAATGACATTACCGGGTATACACCCAAAACAATACAGATCATTCTACCATAAAAATATATGCATGCAAATGTTCATTGCAGCACTATTCACAATAGCAAAGACATGGAATCAATATAAATGCCCATCAGTGACAGAGTGGATAAAGAATATGTGGTACGTACACACCATGGAATACTATGCAGCCATTAAAAAGAGCAAGATAATGTCTTTTGTGGGAACATGGACGGAGCTGGAGGCTCTTATCCTTAGAAAACTAACCCCGGAGCAGAAAACAAAATACCACATGTTCTTACTTATAAGTGGGAGCTAAATAAATTATGAGAACTGATGAACACAAAGAAGAAAACAACAGACACTGAGGTGTACTTGAGAGTGGAGGGAGAGAAGCAGAAAAGATAATTATTGGGTACTCGGCTTAATACCTGGATGATGAAATAATCTGTAAAATAAACTCCCATGACACAAGTTTACCTATGCAACAAACCTTCACATGTACCCTAGAACTTAAAATAAAAGTTAAAAAAAAGAAAATGTGATATATATACAATGAAATATTACTCAGCTATAAAAAATATACTATTTTCAATAACATAGATGAGTCTGGAGGACATTATGCTAAGTGAAAAAAAATGAGACACAGAAAGACAAATACTGTATGATCTCTCTTATGTAGAGAATCTAAAAAAGTCAAACTCACAGCATTGGAGAGTAGAATGGTGGTTCTAGGAGAGGGGCGTGGAGGAAATGGGAAGATATTGGTCAAAGGAAACAAACTTTAAGTTATAAGATGAACAAGTCTGTAGACCTAAAGTACAGCATAGGTGGTGATAGGTCTTAATTTATTTGATGGTGGTAACCATTATATAACATATAAATCAGATCATCCCATGGCACACCTACAATATTTACAATCTTTGTCAATTAAATACTTTTTTAAAAAAACACAAATCTCTAATCAGTAAACTAACTTTAAACCTTTAGAAACTGGAGAAACAAGAGCAAACAAAAGCCAAATCTAGTAGAAGGAAGGAAATAATAGATCAGAGTGGCAATCTGTGAAATAGGAAACCAATAGGAGAAGCAACAAAACTCAATTTATTTCCTTGCAAATACCAACTAAACTGACAAAACTTTAGCTAACCTGAATTTAAAAAGAGAGAACAGGTAAACAACTAAATTATAAGTGAAAGCAGGGCTATTACTACTGACCTTAATGAAATAAGAAATAGAATTCTATTAAGAACTGTATTCCAAGGAATGAGATAAACTATATATAATGGCCAACTTCCTACAAAACACAAATTACCACAACTGTCTTAAAAAGAAATAGAAAATCTGAAAATGTATATCAAGTAAAGAGATTGAATCAGTAATTTTAAAGACCTCTCCACAAAGAGGAGACCAGGAACAGATGGCTTCACTATGAATTTTGCCAAATATTTAAATAAGAAGAAATGAGAGTTCTACTCAAGCTCTTCCAAAAAAAGTAGTAAAAGGACACTTCCTAATTCATTTTATGAGGTCAGCATTATTCTGATACAAAAACCAGATAAAGTCTTCACAAGAAAACTACACACCAATATCCCCTATGAATACAAGTGCAAAAATACTTAATGCATACAAACTGAATCCAACAGCATATTGAAAGGATTATAAACCATGAACAAGTAAATTTATTCAAAGAATGTAAGGGTGTTTCAACATATTACTATCAATCAATGCAATAAACCACGTTAATAGAATGAAGAAAAGAAAAACTATAACCAACCAAATTGATGTTTAAAAGACATGTGACAAGATCCAACACCCTTTCATGATAAAAACAGAAAAAAAATCCTAAGTGTAAAAGGTAACTTCTTCAACATGTTAAAAGGCATTTATTTAAAAAACTATAGCTATCACCATGCTCAGTTTCAAAACACTAAAAGCTTTCCCCCAGATCAGGAACAAGACAAGCTTTTATCACTGATATTCAACATTGTACTGAAAGTTCTAACTGGGGCAATTAGGCAAAAAAATGAAATAAAAGGCATTCAAAATAGGAAAAAGTAAACCTATCTCTATTTGCAGGTGCGATAATCCTATATGTAGACAATCACATATAATCCACAAAAAAAGCTACTAGAGTTAATAAATGAATTCAGCAAAATTATATGATAGTCTAAAATTCAGTTGTTTCTACATACCAGCAATGAACTAAACAAAAAATAAAGAAATCTATGACATTTGCAATAACATACAAAGAATACCTGGGAATAAATTTACCCAAGGATGTGAAAGACTTGCACACTGAAAACTATAGAACATTGCTGAAAGACATTAAAGAAAACCTTTAAAAAATTGAAAAAATATATTTTCGTGTCTTGAAAGACATTATTCTCAAAATATCAATGCTATCTAAAGTGATGTACAGATTTAGTTTAATCCTTATCAAATTCCAGTGGCCTTTTGTGTAGAAATGGAGTAGTAGAACCATAAAATGTATAAAAAATTTCAAGGGATTCTAAATCACCAATATAATCTTGAAAAGGAAGAACGAAGTTGGAGGAATCACAATTCTCAATTTCAAAAGTTACTTCAAAGCTACAGTAATCAATAGTGTTGGTACTGGCATAAAGACAGACACATAGACCAATGGAATAGAATAGACAGTCCAGAAATAATCCCCTGCATACATAGTCAAACAATTTTTTGGAAATTTTCTTTTAATTGACACATAATAATCATACATATTTATGGAGTAGGAAGTGATATTTCAATAAATGTATACAATATGTAATGACCAAATTGGGGTAATTAGAATGTATATCACCTCAAACATTTACAATTTCTTTGTGTTGGGAACATTCAAAATCCTTGTTTCTAACTGTTTAAAAATATACTGTAAATTATTATTGGAGAGTGTATTAGTTTGTTCTCACACTGCTATGAGGAAATACCCAAGACTGGGTAATTTATAAAGAAAAGAGGTTTAATTGACTTACAGTTCTGCATGGCTGGGGAGGCCTCAGGAAACTTACAATCATTTTGAAAACACATCCTTCTTCACAGGGTGGAAGGAGAGAGAAGTGCCGAGCAAAGGGTGAAAAGCCCCTTATAAAACCATCAGATCTTGTGAAAACTCATTCACTATCACAAGAACTGGATGGGGGTAACCATCACCATGATTCAATTACCTCCCACTGGGTCTCTCTCACCACATATGAGGATTATGGGAACTACAATTCAAGATGAGATTTGGATGGAGACATAGCCTAAACATATCAGAGAGCTTCCTGGTAGCTGAACATTTAGAGGTTCCTGGAGCATGGCATGCCTACCTCACTCTACACATCTCTTCATCTTTATCCTTTGCAATATCCTTTATAATAAACCCATAAAGGCATTGAAGATATGTGATTGTGAGACAAAAGTGTCTACAAAACTATGGATGGTACAAGAACTTCACTTGATATTGAATAGTACCCAGATACTGAGGTGCAAAAAAAACAAGTACTAACTCTGCAAGAATGGCAAGACAAGTGGGTGAACTGAAATATTGGTTTTCGTCAAAAACAAGGACATCAGCTATTAAAGCAGCATTTAGATACTTTTCTTAAAGGCAAGAGTGGAGTGAGGGTATTTTTTCCTCTGTGTGGAAAAGCAGTTGAGATGAAATATTTTGCAGACTGGGGACACAGTGTACTTGATGTGGAAATTACCAAGTACTTTTGGTGTGGAAATCACCAAGTACTTGCTGTGGAAATCACCAAGTACTTGGTGTGGGATATGAGATTTTTTTACAGAGCAGAATCTTTCTTACTCAGAAGAGCCAATCACCAAAATTCCTGGAGCCAAAGTGTTTAAGAGTTCTTTGGGGAACATTTCATTGTACTGTTGCTGTATTTTTTATCCTCCTAGAGCAAATATTGGCAAATTTGACAGGATTTAGGATGGAAGAGCATTAGTTGCCATTAATCCAGCTGATCACAAATGCTATGCAGTTATAATGTCGTCCAACCTGGGTAAAGGGTTTCAGTACCTCATGTGTGTTCTTTCTTATGATCCAACTAAACATGCAGGCCCACCATTTTGTGTTCTACTTGCTGAAATTGAAAGGCTGTTCAGTACAGTATGTAATATTCGTTGTCTTGAGAAGGTTGGTGCTTTTGAGGAATAACATAAAAGTTTGGGAATTGACCACATTTTTAAAAGATTGTATCTATTTACAGAAAAGTAAGTAAGATGTAAGTAAAATAAAGTAACATCAAAATGTTTTTGAGTTTTTGAATTTCTGAGCAATTGAAAATTATGCTGAGGCCTCAAAATGTAATGGATGAATTTTTTATTGCTTATAAATAATATAGTAGATTCTTGCTCAAAAATGCATAGAAGTTTTTAGAAGAACTTACATAGTAAAATGGTAAAGTAGCTCCTTTGAAGAGGAGAGTATGATGGTGAAAGATTATACCTGTGTGTCATATAGACTGAAAGACCTTTTAAAAATCAATCGGCATGTATTATTTGTATAATTAAAAAATAAAAGAAAAATGCAATGCATATTACATAAATATAGCAGACCTAGAAAAACCGACATTATTTTTTTTTGAGATGGGGTCTCACTCTGTTACCCAGGCTGAAGTGCAGTGGCACAAACATTGCTCACTGCAGCCTCAACCTCCTGTGTTTAAGCCACCCTCTCACCGCAGCCTCCCAAGTAGCTTGGACCACAGGCACATGCCACCATACCCAGCTAATTTTTTCTTTAATTTTTTGTAGAGACGAGGTCTTGCCATGTTGCCCAGGCTGGTCTGAAACCCTGGGTTCAAGCAATCCTCCCACTTCAGCCTCCCCAAATGCTGGGATTACAGGCTGAGCCACCCCACCTGGCAGAAAAACTGACAATCTTTATGAAATTTAGAATGATTGAAGGACGTAACACTTCAATAGAGTTCAAGATGGTCCCAAGAGTTATATAAAAGATTATCTTTTACTATAAACCCTTGTGTTTTTACTCAAATTCTAGTATCCCTTTTCACACATATTCTCCATACATAATTTTAGGTGTAACAGAATCAATAAACAAATAAATTTTAATTAAATAATCCAGTCTATGTGAAGCAAAATATTCCCAAGTTGTACTAATTTTTTAAGTTACAAAATTATTCTTAACTACAGTGACTCTATAGTTCTATAGAATACTAGAATGTGTTCCTCCTATCTAGCTGAAATTTTGTATCCATCGATCAACCTCTCCCTATCCTTTCCTCCTCCCTACCCTTCCTAACCTCTAACAACCACAATCCTACTCTTCTAATACTTTTATGAGCTCAACTTTTTTAGCTCCCACATGAGTAAAAACATGCAATATTTATGTACCTGTGCTTGATATTTCTTTTTCATTTATTTATTTATTTATTTATTTATTTATTGAGACAGGTGCTTGCTTTGTTGCCTAGGCTGTAGTGCAGTGGCATGATCATGGCTCACTGCAGCCTTGACCTCCCAGGCTCAAGCAATCATCCCACCTCAGCCCTCTAAGTAGCTGGGACTACAGACATGAGCCACTACACCTAGCTAATTTCTTAATTTTTTGTAGAGACAGGGTCTCATTATGTTGCCCAGGCTGGTCTTGAACTCCTGGGCTCAAGTGATCCACCCACACTGGCCTCCCAAAGTGCTGGGATTACAGGTGTGAGCCACTGTGCCCAGCTATGCCCGATATTTCACTTAGCATAATGTCCTCTAGGCTTAACCATATTGCAATGAATGATAGGATTTACTTTTTTATGACTGAATAGTATTCCATTGTGTATATATACCACGTTCTCGTTATCCATTCATGTGTTGACAGACACTTAGGTTGATTCCATATCTTGACTATTGTGAATAGTACTGCAATAAGCATGGGGATTCAGACATCTCTTTCCTTTCCTCTGGATAAATGCCCAGTAGTAGAATTGCTGGATCATATGGTAGTTCTATTTTTAACTTTTTGAGGAACTGCCATACTGTATTCCATAAAAGTTACAGCAATTTACACTCCCATCAACAGTATAGGAGTTCCTTTTTCCTCACATCCTCACCAGCATTTGTTATTTTTTTTCTTTTGATATTAGCCATTTTAACTGGAGTGAGATAATAGCTCATTATGGTTTTGATTTGCATTTCCCTGATGATTAGTGATGTTGAGCATTTTTACGTGCACTTATTGGCCATTTGCATGTTTTTTTTTTTTTAGAAATCTCTGTTCATATCATTTGCCCACATTTATTAGATAATCTGTTTTTTTCCTGTTGAGGTTTTTGAGTTCATTGTATAGTCTGGATATTAATCTCTTGTCAGATGAATAGTTTGCAAATATATTTGCCTGCTCTTCACCCTGTTCATTGTTTTCTTTACTGTAAAGAAGCTTTTTAGTTTGATATAACCAAGTTGTCTATTTTTGCTTTTTTGCCTGTGCTTTTGAAGTTTTACCCATAAAATATTTCCCAGCAAATATATCCTTCAGAAGTAAAACATTTCACAAACAAGCAAAAAATAAGGGAATTAATTGCCACTAGACCAGACTTACAGGAAATGCTCAAAGGAGTTTTACATCTGGAAGTGAAAAGATGATCATGAAAACATGTGAAACTACAAAACTCACTGGTAGAGCCAACACACAAAGGAGAAAAAGAAAAAAGTCAAACCTTATCTCTACAGAAAGCCACCCAACTGCAAAAATAAACAATAAGAGAAGAAGTAAGGAACAAAGTACATACAAAACAACTAGAAAATCAATAAAATGAAAGGAGTAAGTCCTCACCTAATCAATAACAACTTTGAATGTAAATGGATTGCATTCCCTGTTTAAAAGATATAGATTGGCTGAATGATTTTTTTAAAGACCCAACTATATACTGCCTACAAGAAACTCACCTCATCTGTGAAAACACACACGTATACTGAAAGTGAAGGGATGGAAAAAGATATTCCTTGCAAATGGAAACCAAAAGTGAGCAGGAGTAATTATGCTTATGTCAGACAAAACAGACTTCAAATCAAAAGCTATAAAAAGAGACAAAGAAGGACATTATACAGTAAAAAAACATCCAACAAAAGAATATCACAATTGTAAATATATGTGTGCACACAACACCAGAGCACCCAGATATATAAAGCAAATATTATTAAAGCTAAAGGGATAACCAGACCCCAATAAATAATAGTTGAGGACTTCAACACCCCACTGTGCAGCCCTGTAGGTGGTTGTGGTGGGATATTGACAGGGCTCCAGGGATGTGGAGATACAGGGGCCATTGAACATCAAGGGCAATACATACTCCCGTGACTCTGCTCTCAAAATGGCACCATACTGCAGCAGTCTGAGTCCCCGTGAGTCCTGGGGTCACGGGAAAATGTAGTGTGAATTCCCTCTCTAAAAGAATGCAGTCACATGAACTCTAGGCAGCTCCCTATACTGGACTCAGGACCTGTGAGGGCTGTCAGGATCTCCTGTAGCTAGGATTGCAGGCATCCATGGTGAGAATGAGCACTGCTAGGGATTTTCTGCTTACCTTTTTCCCACAATGGGGAGTGCCTCTTGACTCCAAAGCCTATTTAGGCCAGGGGCTTCACTTCCCTCTCTATGCTGCTATCTCGAGTTTCTGTGCCTCCGAAGTTCTTCATCATCGCCTTGTTGAATTCTGGTGTACACTGGAATTTGTATACTTGCTAAAATTTATTTGTAACCCCCAAATCAATACTTGTAGCATGTTTGTGGTCATTTGCAGACATGCACAGACCAGCAAAAACATTGAGTCACCTGACACACATGTTCCCAGCTGAGACTGAGCAAGAGAATATTCTACTGTCTTTTTTCAGCTCTCATATGTAAACACATACCCATTTCAAGTTCTGTTTGATCTTCTCTGTGGGCTGAAAAACGGAGAGGCAGAGGTGGAGAAAAGCCTCTCTCTCTCTCTCTCTCTCTCTCTCCCTGTCTGTCTCTTCCAACAATACCAAGTAAGTTCCTTCTGAGACGGTTACCTGGCTGACTACAGGAACTCTCTCTTAATATATATTAAATTCCCCGGGCAGTGCTTACATGTTCCAGAAATCCATGGGGGTTGTTACTTGTCACCTCCGGCTTAGTTGGCAGTTCCAGCCTTCTCTAGCGGGGAACTGTCAGGGTCTCCATCCAATTCCGCAGGCTACTGCTCTTTCCTTTCCCAGATCTACCTGTTCCTTCATTCCCAAAACACTGCTAACAGCAGACTATAACGTTTAACAAACATGCTACCCATTTTAGGAAACTAGAGGATATTACAGTGCACAAAAGGGTGACACTATGGTTTTCCATATCATGGAATGTCCACTACTTATGCACTGACCTACCACAATATTGCAGGAATCTAATTACTTCGTCAGACTGTGATCCCACTTGACTCTGCCCCACATTCTCTAAGACTAGAAAACTAACTCCCATTCTCTCTGGCCCAGCCAAAAAGGAGGTAACGTCTTGATCTCTGCCAAGATATACCTTATATTATCAATACAGCTTTTTATATTATTCAGCTTAGTATTTACTACCTTAATTTGAAGCATCTGCATATAAATCATGCCCCAGTGCATGGATTTTCTCAAAATAATACATAGATATGTCTATTTTGATGGCTGCATAATGAAAATGGCTTGTAAAAGTGGATTCCCTCATAATAGAGTGTCTCTTTCAAGCTCAAATTTCAGCTGACACAAGAGTAAGAAACGGATTCCACCTGAAGCATCTGGAAAATGTTGCTGGCACTCTAACAAAGTAGGCCTTTTTATGGCTCTTAGTAACTCAATAAACAGTGCCTATTATTATTAGTATCTTTTCTATAATACAGTTCAAGCTAGATTGAGAAAACCGAAGTTATCACCCCATTGCACATTCAAGCTTTGCCTCTTGAAACAGAGGATGCTTTAAAATAATCGATACACATTATTTCTCTTCAAATGCCATAATTCCTCTTGGTCCCAGACTGGCAACCCTAAGCAACATGAATGTAGATTTGTGAGGCTGTCAGTTTTTTGTTGACCCAGAACCATTCGTTGTGCGCCTACTATGCCTCTTATATTGTTCAAGAGATTATATCTCAATCAATGATGTTAATGCCTCCCTAGGGGCATTAACAGTCCCACCAACAGTGTAAAAGTGCTCCTATTTCTCCACATCCTCTCCAGCACCTGTTGTTTCCTGACGTTTTAATGATCGGCATTCTAAATACAAACTACCATCAGAGACTACTATAAACAACTCTACACAAATAAACTAGAAAATCTAGAAGAAATGGATAAATTCCTCGACACATACGTCCTCCCAAGACTAAACCAGGAAGAAGTTGAATCTCTGAATAGACCAATAACAGGCTCTGAAATTGAGGCAATAATCAATAGCTTACCAACCAAAAAAAGTCCAGGACCAGATGGATTCACAGCCGAATTCTACCAGAGGTACAAGGAGGAGCTGGTACCGTTCCTTCTGAAACTATTCCAATCAATAGAAAAAGAGGGAATCCTCCCTAACTCATTTTATGAGGCCAGCATCATCCTGATACCAAAGCCTGGCAGAGAAACAACCAAAAAAGAGAATTTTAGACCAATATCCCTGATGAACATCGATGCAAAAATCCTCAATAAAATACTGGCAAACCGAATCCAGCAGCACATCAAAATCTTATCCACCATGATCAAGTGGGCTTCATCCCTGGGATGCAAGGCTGGTTCAACATATGCAAATCAATAAATGTAATCCAGCATATAAACAGGACAGCAGATATATAGAACAATAGCTGGTAGGGAAGTGTCATCAAGGGAAGGTATTTGTTGAAAATGGAGGACAGTAGAGCATAAATTGTACATTGATGGAAGTAACCACTAGAGTAGGAGAATTTGAAGATGGAAGAGAAATGGTGGTTATGTGTAGGAGTTAAAATTTTTAAAGAGTGGGAGATAAAGATTAGATCAACTGGAGATACTGGCTTTTTAAAAATTGTGACTCGTCAGCCTCAAGTTTCATACCCTTAAATGCTGATAACCTACATCCCAGTGGATGACAAAATTGAGAATGAGGGATTGGCAAGGCTGAGATATCCAGAGGGTGAAGAAATGAGGTTTGAGGTCCATGAGATCCAGACTGAGTAACAGAGGTTAATCTAGACTGACAAATTCAGATTTTGAGGAATGTGGTTTGTCCATTCAGCAATTGATGGACATTTGTGTTGCTTTCACTTTTTAACCATTGTTAGGATTTCTGCTATAAACATTCATGTAAAAATCTTTGCACGAATGAATATTTCTGTATCTATTTGGAAGATACTCAGGAGTAAAATTTCTGGGTTATATTTTTATCTTTTAGAATTGTGTTTTTACTGACTGGAATTATTTCACTTATTAAGGGTTGTTATTCTGTTCCATTGTTCAATATGCCTGTGTTTATACCAATACCACACCTTCTTGATTACTGGCTTGATGGTAAGATTTCACACACACACACACACACACACACACACACACACACCTGCATATATATAATGCAAGCAATTTGGTAAGTTTGGACATAGGCATACACAATAAATCCATCACTACAATTAAAGTAATTAACATATATCCATCATCTCTAAAAGTTTCCTCAGGACTCTCCTTTTATTGTAGTAAGAATGCTCATTATGAGGTCTACCCTCAGCAATTTTTTAAAGTGCACAATACAGTATTGTTGACTATAGACACCAACTTGTATAGCAGATCTCTAGAAGTTACTCATCCTGCATAACTGAAACTTTATACACATTTAACATATTCCCCATTTCTTCCTTGCCCCAGCCCCTACAACCACCATTTTACTCTCTGCTTCTATGAGTTTGACTATTTTAGATACCTTCTGTTAGTGGAATCATTGAGTATTTGTCTTTTGTGACTAGCTTATTTTACTTAGCATAATGTTCTCTAGATTAATTCACATAGTCACATATGGCAGGATTACCTTCTTTTTAAAGACTGAATAATATTCCATTGTTTGTATATGCCACAGTTTTTTTTCTTATCCATTCATCTGTCAATAGACATACAAGTTGTTTTCATATCTTGGCTCTTCTGAATAATGCTACAATGAATTTGGGAGTGCAGCTATCTCTTCAAGATCTTGATTTCAATTCTTTTGGATATATAATGAGAAGTGAGATTGTTTTATCATATGGTAGTTCTGTTTTTAATTTTTCAAGAATTCTCCATACTGTTTTCCTTAATGTACACCAATTTACATTCCCATCAACCTGTGCAAGGGTTCACTTTTCTCTATATCCTAGTCAACATTTGTTATCTCTTGTCTTTTTTATAATAGCTATCCTAACAGATGTGAGGTGATATTTCATTGTGGTTTTGTTTTCTTTGATGATTAGTAATGTTGAGCAACTTTTCATTATATCTGTTGGCCATTTGTATATCTTCTTTGCAAAAATGTCTATTCAGCTTCTTTGCCCATTTTTAATAGGATTATTAGGAGTGGGTTTTTTGTTGTTTTCTGGGTTTTGTTTTTCTTGTTTTGTTTTTGCTAAGGAGTTGTAGGACTTCCTTATAAATTTCAAATATCAACCCTTTATCAGGTATATGGTTTACAAATATTTTCTCCCATTCTGTCAGTTACATTTTCATTTTATTGATTGTTTTCATTGTTGTGCAAAAGCTTTTTAGTTTGATGTAACCCCACTTGTTTATTTTTGCTTTTGGTGTCATGTGCAAAAAATTATTGTTGAGAACAATGTCAAGGAGATCTTTTTCCTGTTTTTTTTGGTAGGAGTTTAAGGTTTCAAGTGTTACATGTATGTCTTTAATTCATTTTGAGTTCATTTTTGTAAGTAGTGTAAAATAAGGGTCCTTTTTTTTTTTTTTTTTTTTGCCTGTGGATATCCAGTTTTCCCAATACAATTTATTGAAGAGCCTTTCCCCATGACATGGTTTTGACACCTTTGTCAAAGATAAATTGACTGTAGATGGATGAGTATATTTCTGGGCTCTCTATTCTATTGCTCTATGTGTCTGCTTTTATGCCAGTACCATGCTGTTTTGCTTTCTACAGCTTTGCAATACAGCTTGAAATAGGAAGTGTGATGCCTCTAAATTTGTTAGTCTTTCTTAAGATTGCTTTGAAATCAGGGTCTTTCGTGGTTTCATGCAAATTTAGGATTTTTTATTTTCTGTGAAAAATAAGATTAGAATTTTGATAGGATTTTCATTTATTTTCATCGGATTGCTTTGAGTAGTATGGACATTGTAACAATGTTAATTCTTCTGTTTCAATAACTCAGGATATCTTTCTACTTACGTGTGTCTTCAATTTCTTTCATCAATGTCCTATAGTTTTCACTGTACAGATATTTTACCTCCATGGTTAAAGTTATTTCTAAATATTTTATTCTTTTGGATGCTATTGTAAATAAGATTGCTTTTCCAACTTTTCTTTCTGATTCTTCATTGATTAGTTCTATCGTTTTTTATGGATTCCTTAAGATTTTCTGTATACAAGATGATGCCATCTTCAAATAGAGATAGTTTTAACCCTTCCTTTGTAATCTGGATACATTTTATTTATTTTGCTGGACTAATTGCACTGGTTATAACCTCCAGTAAAATCCTGAGTAAAAACGGTGAGAGCAGACATCCTTGTCATGTTCCTGATCTCAGGGGGAAGCCTTCAGTCTTTGAACAGAAGTATGACATAAGCTGTTGATTTTTCATAGATGTTCATTATCATGTTGAGGAAGTCCCCACCTACTCCCAGTTTTTTAGTGTTTTTGTCATGAAAGAATGTTGGATTTTGTCAAATCCTTTTTTTGCATTTATGGAGATAGTCATGTATTTTTTAGTTTTGTTTTATTAATATGATGTATTATATTAAGTGATTTTTTAAAATATTAAACCAATCTTGCATTCCTGGGATAAATACCACTTGGTCATGGTGTATAGCTCTTTTTATGTGCTGCCATATTCAGTTTGCTAGTATTTTGTTGAAAATGTCTGTATCCATATTCATAAGAGATTTTGATCTGTAGGTTTTTTTTTTCTTGTGGTGTATTTGGTTTCGGTGTCAGGGTATAAAAAGCTATAAATTTATAAAATGAGATGAGAAGCATTCCTTCTTCTGTTTTTTGGAAGAGTTCAGGAAGAATTAGTATTTCAAAAAATGATTGATAGACTTTAGTGATAAAGCAATGTGGGTCTCGTCTTTTCTTTATGGGTGGTTTTAAATTATTGATTCAAGCTCTTCACTGGTTATGGGCCTATGAAGACTCATACTTGAATCAGTTTCAGCAGTTTGTGTTTCCAGGAATTTGTCCATTTCATCTAAGTAATCTAATTTGTTGGTGTACAATTATTCATAGTATTTCTTTATACCCCTTCTTATTTCTGTAAGGTCAGTAGTAATCATCTCTCTTTAATTTCTGATTCTGGTAATTTGTGTCTCCACTCCCTTTTTACTTGGTCAACCTAGATAAAAGTTTTTCAATTTTGTTGAGCTTTTAAAAAAATAGCTTTTTGTTTCTTTGATTTTCTTGATAGGTTTCCTATTATCTATTTCATTAATTCCCATTCTAATCTTTACTATTTCCTCTGCTTGTTTAAGGTTTGGGTTGTTTTTCTTTTTGTGTCTTAAGTTGGAAGGTTAGGTTATAGATTTGTAGTCTTTCTTCTTTCTTAACATAGGTATTTACAGCTATAAATTACCCTCTAAGCACCGAGTTTGTTGCATTGCATAAATTTTGTTATTCTATGTCGTCATGTTATTCATTTCAAGAGATTATCTAATTTCCCCTTTCATTTGTTCTTTGACCCATTGGTTATTTGGGAGTATCTTGCTTAATTTTCACATATATGTGAGTTTCCCAAATTCTTATTATTGATTTCAAATTAAATATTTTGTGGTCAGAGAACATACTTCATATTATTTCTCTCATTTTAAATTTACTGAAGTTTTGTCTATGGACTAGCATTTGCTCTATCCTGGAGAATGTTCCATATGCACTTGAGAAGAATGTATATTCTATTGTCGTTGAATGGAAGGCTCTATTGATGTCTCTTAGGACTCATGGCTTTATAGTGTTGTTCAAACCTAATCTCTTGCTAATCTTATGTGTGGTCATTGTATCATTATTGAAAATGGGATATTGACATCTTCAACAACTATTTTTGATTTATATATTTTTACCTTCATTCCTGTCAGTTTTTACTGCATGTATCTTGGTGCTCTGTTATTAGATGCATATATAATTGTTATAACTTTCTAATGCATTGACTCTTTTATCATTATAAAATGTCCCTTTGTGTCTCTAGTAACATACTTTTTGGTTTAAAGTCTCTCTTGATTGATAATGGTATAACTACTCTAACTTTGCTATGGTTGCTACTTTCTTTTTCCCTCCACTTCAGAAGGTTTTATACTCTGAGTATCTAGCCAGAACAAGTCATATGACTCTGCCTCACCAAGTGGTTGTGTGAGAAATCAAGAGCAGAAAATGGAATATTTGGTAAATGCTATTGTGATTTACATAGGTACTAAATTGCAGAGAAACTTGACAGAGTTAAATGCAGTTTCACTCCTCATTATATATGGCAAATAAAAATAAAAATATAGAATAGGATGGGTTGGAGCAAGATGGCAGAATAGGAGCCTACACCATTTGTCTCACATGCAGGAACACCAAATTTTAACAACTGTCTGCACACAGAAAAGCACCACCGCAGAACCAAAAATCAGGTGAGCAATCATAGTACATGTTTTTAACTTCATATCTTTGAAAGAGGCATTGAAGAGAGTCAAAGAGACAGTCTTGAGTCGCCAATGCCACATCTCCTCCATCCCCCAGTAGAGCCATGCTGCATGGAGACTCTGTGCACTTGGGGGAGGGAGAGTGCAGTAACTGGAAGACTTAACATCGAACTCGGTAATGCTCTATCACAGCAGAGAGGAGAGCAAACTGTGCTGGGTTCAGCCAGCATTCATGCAGAGAGAGAGCATTTGGACCAGACTCAGCCAGAGGAGAACTTCCCACTCCAGCAGTTGGAACTTGAATTTCTTGGCAAGCCTTGCTACTGTGGGTCACAGTGCTCTGGGGTCCTTGATAAACTTGAAAGGCAGTCTAGCACACAAGAACTGCAATTCCTAGACAACTCTTACTGCTGGGCTGGGCCCAGAGCCAGAGGACTAGGGTGGCACATGACATAGGGAGACAAGCTGGGCAGGTAAAGGAATGCTTGCACGACCCCTTCCCCAACCCAGGCAGTGAAACTCACAGCAGCAAAAGTGACTACTTCCTCAGCTCAGGCAGAGTCAGTCATGAGGTTCCTGTTCCAGGCCCTAGCTCCCAGACAGCATTTCTAGATATACCCTGGGTCAAAAGGGAACACGCTGCCTTGAAGGGAAGAAACGGTCTTGGCAGAATTCATCACCTGCTTACTAAAGAGCCCTTGGGCCCTGAATAACCAGCAGCAATACCCAGGTAGTATGCCATGGGCCTTGGGCTGTGAGACCTGCTGGCTTCAGGTATCACTGAGCACATTGCCAGCTGTGGTGTATGGATAAAGACTCCTTCTGTTTGAGAAAAGTAGAGTGAAAAGTTAAGGAGATTTTGTCTTGCACCTTAAGTATCAGCTTGACTACAATTGGGTAGAGCAACAAGCATGCTCTTGGGGTCCCTGAGTTCAGGCCTAGAATCTTGGACAGCATTTCTGGGCCTTCTCTGGGCCAGAGAAGAGATCATTGCCCTGAAGGGTGAGTTTAGGGCCTGGCATCATTCACCACAAGCTGACTGAAGAGAACTTGGGCCTTAAGTGAACACTGGCAGTGGCCTGGCAGAAACCCCTATAGGGCAGTGTTGGTGGTGGCCACAGGGAAATGTTCCTCTGACTATGGAAAGGGAGGGAAGGACTGCATCTTGTGGTTTGAGTGCCAGCTTAGCTGCAGTAGCACAGAGCATCAGGCAAATTTCTAAGTTTTTTTTCCTCAAATCCCTGGCTCCCAGACAGCATCTCTGGACCCACCTGGGGCCTGGGGGAATTCACTGCCCTGAAGGGAAGGACACAAACCTGGGTGAATTTGCCAACTACTGGTCATAGAGCCCTAGGGCCTTGAGTGAACATAGACGGTAGCCAGGTAATGGTTACTGAGGGCCTTGGGCAAGACCCAGTGCTGTGTTGGCTTCAGGTCTGACTCAGTGAAATCCCAGTAGTGTAGCCACAGTGGTCCTTGCACCATCACACTCCATGTGGCTTGGCAGAAAAAGAGAGAGAGAGAAAGAGAGAGAGACTATTTGTTTGGGAGAAACTAAGGAAAAAGAACAAGAGCCTCTGACTGGTAATCCAGAAAATTCTTTTGGATCTTATCTAAGACCGCCAACACAGTACTTATACAAGTCTGCAAAAACCAGTGTTATTGGGCTTAGGGCCCAAGTCCCTTGGAATACCTGGAAAGCCTTCTTAATAACGACAGGAGCAAACAAGCCCAGACTGTGAAGACTAAAATAAGTACTTAACTCTTCAATGTCCAGACACTGATGAATATCTACAAGCATCAAGATCTTCCAGAAAACATGACCTCATCAAATCAATTAAACAGGACACCAGTGACCAAACCTGGAGAAACAGATATGTGGCCTTTCAGATGAGAATTCAAAATGGCTGTCTTGAGGCCCTCAAAGAAATTCAAGATAATACAGAAAAGGAATTCAGAATTCTATCAAATAAATTCAACAAAGAAACTAAAATAATTATAAAGAACCAAGAAGAAATTCTAGAGTTGAAAAATGCAATTGATATACTAAAGAATGCATCAGAGTCTCTTAATAGCAGAATTTATTAAGCAGAAGAAATAATTAGTGAGCTTGAAGACAGGTTATTTGAAAATACACTGTCAAAGGAGAAAAAATTCAAAAATAAAATGAAGCATACCTACAAGCTCTAGAAAATAACCTCAAAGGGGCAAATCTAGGAGTTAATCCCCTTAAAGATGAAGCAGAGAAAGAGATAAGGGTAGCAAGTTTATTCAAAAAAAAAATCAGAGAACTACCGAAACCTAGAGTAAGTTATCAACATTGAAGTATAAGAAGGTTTTAAGCACCAAGCAGATTTAACCCAAAGAAGACTGCCTAAAGGCATTTAATACTCAAATTCCCAAAGGTCAAGGATGAAGAGATGATTGTAAAACAAGCAAGAGAAAATAAATAAATAACATACAATGGTGTTCCAATACATCTGGCAGCAGACTACTCAGTGGAAATCAAACAGGTCAGGAGAGTGTAGCATGACATATTTAGAGTATTGAAGGAATAGTCTATCTGGTGAATATATCCTCCAAGAATGAAGGAGCAATAAAGACTTTCCCAGAAAAACAAAAGCTGAGATATTTCATAAAACCAGACTTGTACAAGAATTGCTAAAAGGTGTTCTTCAATCAGAAAGAAAACGATGTTAATGAGCAAGAAGAAATCATATGAAGGTACAAAACTCACTGGTAATAGCAAGCACAAAGAAAAGCAAAAGATATTATAACACTGTAATTTTAGAGTATAAACTGCTCTTATTTTAAGTAGAAAGACTAAATAATGAGCCAATAAAAAATGCAACTTTTCAAGACATAGACAGTACAATAAGACATAAAGAGAAACAACAAAAAGTTAAAAAGTGGGGGGATGAATTTAAAGTGTAGAGTTTTTATTAGTTTTCTTTTTGCACATTTATGCAATCAGTTTTAAGTTGTCATCTGTTTAAAATAGTGGGTTATAAGATAGTATTTGAAAGCCTCATGGTAACCTCAAATTGAAAAACATACAATGAATACACAAAAAACAAAAAGCAAGAAATTAAATCATACCACCAGAGAAAATCTCCTTTACTAAAAGAAAGACAAGAAGGAAAGAAAGGGAGGAGCCAAGATGGCCGAATAGGAACAGCTCCGGTCTACAGCTCCCAGCGTGAGCAACGCAGAAGACGGGTGATTTCTGCATTTCCATCTGAGGTACCAGGTTCATCTCACTAGGGAGTGCCAGACAGTGGGTGCAGGACAGTGGGTGCAGTGCACCGTGCACCAGCCAAAGCAGGGCCAGGCATTGCCTCACTAGGGAAGCACAAGGGATCACGGAGTTCCCTTTCCTGGTCAAGGAAAGGGGTGACAGACGGCACCTGGAAAATCGGGCCACTCCCCACCCGAATACTGCGCTTTTCTGACTGGCTTAGGAAATGGCTCACCAGGACATTATATCCCGCCCGCATCTGGCTCAGAGGGTCCTACGACCATGGAGTCTTGCTGATTGGTAGCACAGCAGTCTGAGATCAAACTGCAAGGTGGCAGCGAGGCTGGGGGAGGGGCACCCGCCATTGCCCAGGCTCGCTTAGGTAAACAAAACTGCCAGGAAGCTCGAACTGGGTGGAGCCCACCACAGCTCAAGGAGGCCTGCCTGACTCTGTAGACTCCACCTCTGGGGGCAGGCCACAGACAAACAAAAAGACAGCAGTAACCTCTGCAGACTTAAATGTCCCTGTCTGACAGCTTTGAGAAGAGCAGTGGTTCTCCCAGCACGCAGCTGGAGATATGAGAATGGGCAGACTGCCTCCTCAAGTGGGTCCCTGACCCCTGACCCCCGAGCAGCCTAACTGGGAGGCACCACCCAGTAGGGGCAGACTGACACCTCACACCACCAGGTACTCCTCTGAGACAAAACTTCCAGAGAAATGATCAGAAGGCAGCATTCACGGATCACGAAAATCCGCGGTTCTGCAGACACCGCTGCTGATACCCAGGCAAACAGGGTCTAGAGTGGACCTCTAGCAAACTCCAACAGACCTGCAGCTGAGGGTCCTGTCTGTTAGAAGGAAAACTAACAAACAGAAAGGACATCCACACCAAAAACCCATCTGTACGTCACCATCATCAAAGACCAAAAGTAGATAAAACCACAAAGATGGGGAAAAAACAGAGCAGAAAAACTGGAAACTCTAAAAAGCAGAGTGCCTCTCCTCCTCCAAAGGAATGCAGTTCCTCACCAGCAACGGAACAAAGCTGGATGGAGAATGACTTTGACGAGTTGAGAGAAGAAGGCTTCAGACGATGAAACTACTCCGAGCTACAGGAGGAAATTCAAACCAATGGCAAAGAAGTTGAAAACCTTGAAAAAAATTTAGACGAATGTATAACTGGAATAACCAATACAGAGAAGTGCTTAAAGGAGCTGATGGAGCTGAAAGCCAAGGCTCGAGAACTATGTGAAGAATGCAGAAGCCTCAGGAGCCGATGCAATCAACTGAAAGAAAAGGTATCAGTGATGGAAGATGAAATGAATGAAATGAAGTGAGAAGGGAAGTTTAGAGAAAAAAGAATAAAAAGAAATGAACAAAGCCTCCAAGAAATATGGGACTATGTGAAAAGACCAAATATACGTCTGATTGGTGTACCCGAAAGTGACAGGGAGAATGGAACCAAGTTGGAAAACACTCTGCAGTATATTATCCAGGAGAACTTCCTCAATCTAGCAAGGCAGGCCAACATTCAGATTCAGGAAATACAGAGAACGCCACAAACATACTCCTCGAGAAGAGCAACTCCAAGACACATAATTGTCAGATTCACCAAAGTTGAAATGAAGGAAAAAATGTTAAGGGCAGCCAGAGAGAAAGGTCGGGTTACCCACAAAGGGAAGCCCATCAGACTAACAGCAGATCTCTCAGCAGAAACTCTACAAGCCAGAAGAGAGTGGGGGCCAATATTCAACACTCTTAAAGAAAAGAATTCTCAACCCAGAATTTCATATCCAGCCAAACTAAGCTTCATAAGTGAAGGAGAAATAAAATACTTTACAGACAAGCAAATGCTGAGAGATTTTGTCACCACCAGGCCTGCCCTAAAAGAGCTCCTGAAGGAAGCACTAAACATGGAAAGGCACAACCGGTACCAGCCGCTGCAAAATCATGCCAAAATGTAAAGACCATCGAGACTAGGAAGAAACTGCATCAACTAACGAGCAAAATAACGAGCTAACATCGTAATGACAGGATCAAATTCAAACATAACAATATTAACTTTAAATGTCAATGGACTAAATGCTACAATTAAAAGACACAGACTGGCAAATTGGATAAAGAGTCAAGACCCATCAGTGTGCTGTATTCAGGAAACCCATCTCACGTGCAGAGACACACAGAGGCTCAAAATAAAAGGATGGAGGAAGATCTACCGAGCAAATGGAAAACAAAAAAAGGCAGGGGTTGCAATCCTAGTCTCTGATAAAACAGACTTTCAACCAACAAAGGTCAAAAGAGACAAAGAAGGCCATTACATAATGGTAAAGGGATCAATTCAACAAGAAGAGCTAACTATCCTAAATATATATGCACCCAATACAGGAGCACCCAGATTCATAAAGCAAGTCCTGAGTGACATACAAAGAGACTTAGACTCCCACACAATAATAATGGGAGACTTTAACACCCCATTGTCAACATTAGACAGATCAACGAGACAGAAAGTTAACAAGGATATCCAGGAATTGAACTCAGCTCTGCATCAAGCGGACCTAATAGACATCTACAGAACTCTCCACCCCAAATCAACAGAATATACATTTTTTTCAGCACCACACCACACCTATTCCAACATTGACCACATAGTTGGAAGTAAAGCTCTCCTCAGCAAATGTAAAAGAACAGAAATTATAACAAACTGTCTCTCAGACCACAGTACAATCAAACTACAACTCAGGATTAAGAAACTCACTCAAAACTGCTCAACTACATGGAAACTGAACAACCTGCTCCTGAATGACTACTGGGTACATAACGAAATGAAGGCAGAAATAAAGATGTTCTTTGAAACCAATGAGAACAAAGACATAAGATACCAGAATCTCTGGGACACATTCAAAGCAGTGTGTAGAGGGAAATTTATAGCACTAAATGCCCACAAGAGAAAGCAGGAAAGATCCAAAATTGACAACCTAACATCACAATTAAAGGAACTAGAAAAGCAAGAGCAAACACATTCAAAAGCTAGTAGAAGGCAAGAAATAACTAAAATCACAGCAGAACTGAAGGAAATAGAGACAAAAAAAACCCTTCAAAAAATTAATGAATCCAGGAGCTGGTTTTTTGAAAGGATCAACAAAATTCATAGACCGCTAGCAAGACTAATAAAGAAGAAAAGAGAGAAGAATCAAATAGACACAATAAAAAATGATGAAGGGGATATCACCACTGATCCCACAGAAATACAAACTACCCTCAGAGAATACTACAAACACCTCTATGCAAATAAACTAGAAAATCTCGAAGAAATGGAGAAATTCCTCGACACATACACTCTCCCAAGACTAAACCAGAAAGAAGTTGAATCTCTGAATAGACCAGTAACAGGATCTGAAATTGTGGCAATAATTAATAGCTTACCAAACAAAAAGAGTCCAGGACCAGATGGATTCACAGCCGAATTCTACCAGAGGTACAAGGAGGAACTGGTACCATTCCTTCTGAAACTATTCCAATCAATAGAAAAAGAGGGAATCCTCCCTAACTCATTTTATGAGGCCAGCATCACCCTGATACCAAAGCCGGGCAGAGACACAATGAAAAAAGAGAATTTTAGACCAATATCCTTGATGAACATTGCTGCAAAAATCCCCAGTAAAATACTGGCAAACAGAATTCAGCAGCACATCAAAAAGCTTATCCACCATGATCAAGTGGGTTTCATCCCTGGGATGCAAGGCTGGTTCAATATACACAAATCAATAAATATAATCCAGCATATAAACAGAACCAAAGACAAAAACCACATGATTATCTCGATAGATGCAGAAAAGGCCTTTGACAAAATTCAACAAAGCTTCATGCTAAAAGCTCTCAATAAATTAGGTATTGATGGGACGTATCTCAAAATAATAAGAACTATCTATGACAAACCCACAGCCAATATCATACTGAATGGGCAAAAACTGGAAGCATTCCCTTTGAAAACTGGCACAAGACAGGGATGCTCTCTCTCACCACTCCTATTCAACATAGTGTTGGAAGTTCTGGCCAGGGCAATTAGGCAGGGAAAGGAAATAAAAGGCATTCAATTAGGAAAAGAGGAAGTCAAATTGTCCCTGTTTGCAGATGACATGATTGTATATCTAGAAAATCCCATTGTCTCAGCCCAAAATCTCCTTAAGCTGATAAGCAACTTCAGCAAAGTCTCAGGATACAAATCAATGTACAAAAATCACAAGCATTCTTATACACCAACAACAGACAAACAGAGAGTCAAATCATGAGTGAACTCCCATTCACAATTGCTTCAAAGAGAATAAAATACCTAGGAATCCAACTTACAAGGGACGTGAAGGATCTCTTCAAGGAGAACTACAAACCACTGCTCAATGAAATAAAAGAGGATACAAACAAATGGAAGAACATTCCTTGCTCATGGGTAGGAAGAATCAATATTGTGAAAATGGCCATACTGCCCAAGGTAATTTATAGATTCAATGCCATCCCCATCAAGCTACCAAAGACTTTCTTCACAGAATTGGAAAAAACTACTTTAAAGTTCATATGGAACCAAAAAAGAGCCCACATCGCCAAGTCAATCCTAAGCCAAAAGAGCAAAGCTGGATGCATCACACTACATGACTTCAAACTATACTACAAGGCTACAGTAACCAAAACAGCATGGTACTCGTACCAAAACAGAGATGTAGATTAATGAAACAGAACAGAGCCCTCAGAAATAACACCGCATATCTACAACTATCTGATCTTTGACAAACCTGACAAAAACAAGCAATGAGGAAAGGATTCCCTATTTAATAAATGGTGCTGGGAAAACTGGCTAGCCATATGTAGAAAGCTGAAACTGGATCCCTTCCTTACACCTTATACAAAAATTAATTCAAGATGGATTAAGACTTAAACGTTAGACCTAAAACCATAAAAACCCTAGAAGAAAACCTAGGCATTACCATTCAGGACATAGGCATGGGCAAGGACTTCATGTCTAAAATACCAAAAGCAATGGCAACAAAAGTCAAAATTGACAAATGGGATCTAATTAAACTAGAGAGCTTCTGCACAGCAAAAGAAACTACCATCAGAGTGAACAGGCAACCCACAAAATGGGAGAAAATTTTTGCAACCTACTCATCTGACAAAGGGCTAATATCCAGAATCTACAATGAACTCCATCAAATTTACAAGAAAAAAACAAACAACCCCATCAAAAAGTGGGCAAAGGATATGAACAGACACTTCTCGAAAGAAGACATTTATGCAGCCAAAAGACACATGAAAAAATGCTCATCATCACTGGCCATCAGAGAAATGCAAATCAAAACCACAATGAGATACCATCTCACACCAGTTAGAATGGCAATCATTAAAAAGCCAGGAAACAACAGGTGCTGGAGAGGATGTGGAGAAATAGGAACACTTTTACACTGTTGGTGGGACTGGAAACTAGTTCAACCATTGTGGAAGTCAGTGTGGCGATTCCTCAGGGATCTAGAACTACAAATAGCATTTGACCCAGCCATCCCCTTACTGGGTATATACCCAAAGGACTATAAATCATGCTGCTATAAAGACACATGCACAAGTATGTTTATTGCAGCACTATTCACAATAGCAAAGACTTGGAACCAACCCAAATGTCCAACAATGATAGACTGGATTAAGAAAATGTGGCACATATACACAATGGAATACTATGCTGCCATAAAAAATGATGAGTTCATGTCCTTTGTGGGGACATGGATGAAGTTGGAAATCATCATTCTCAGTAAACTATCGCAAGGACAGAAAACCAAACACTGCATATTCTCACTCATACATGGGAATTAAACAATGAGAACACATGGACACAGGAAGGGGAACATCACATTCTCGGTCTGTTGTGGAGTGGGGGGAGGGGGGAGGGATAGCATTAAGAGATATACCTAATGCTAAGTGACGAGTTAATGGATGCAGCACACCAGCATGGCACATGTATACATATATAACTAACCTGCACATTGTGCACATGTACCCTGAAACTTAAAGTAAAATAATAATAAAAAAAAAGAAGGAAAGAAAGAAGGAAGAGAAGACTAGAAAAGATCTGGAAAACAAATAAAATTGCAGGGGTAAGTCCATATTTATCAATAATATCATTGAATGTAAATGGAACAAATGCTCCAATTCAAGACATAGACAGGTTGAATAGATTAAAAAAAAAACAAGGCCTGGCCAGGCACGGTGGTTCACGCCTATAATCCCAGCACTTTGGGAGGCCAAGGCAGGTGGATCGCGAGGTCAAGGGGTCGAGAATATACTAGCCAACATGGTGAAACCCTGTCTCTACTAAAAATAAAAAAATTAGCTGGGCGTGGTGGCATGTGCCTGTAGTCCCAGCTACTCCGGAGGCTGAGGCAGCAGAAACCGGGAGGCGGTGGTTGCGGTGAGCCAAGATCACACCGCTGCACTCCAGCCTGATGACAGAGCGAGATTCCATCAAAAAAAAAAAAAAGACCCAAGGGTCTGTTGCCTGCAAGAAACACACTTCACCTATAAACATACACATAGATTGAAAATAAAGGGATGGAAAAAAGTATTCCATGCCAATGGAAACCAAAAAAAGAGAAGGAGTAACTTTAATTATATCAAACAAAATAGATTTCACAATAAAAAATAAGAGACAAAGAAGATTATTATATAATGACAAAGGGGTCAATTCAGCAAAAGGATATTACAATTGTAAATACATAAGCACACAACACTGGAGCAACAAGATATATGAAGCAAACATTATTAGAGCTAAAGAGAGATAGACCTCAATACAATAATACCTGAAGACTTCAAAGAAATATCAGACGTAATCTGCACTATAGAACAAATGAACATAATAGATATTTACAGAACATTTCATCCAATGGCTGTAGAATACACATTCTTCTCTTTAGTACATGAATCATTCTCAATGATAGACCATATGTTAGGTCATAACACAAGTCTTAAAACATTCAAAAAAATTAAGATTATATCAAGCAATGGAATAAAACCAGAAATCAATAACAAGAAAAAATTTTGAAACTATATAAACACATGGAGTTAAACAATGTGCTCCTGAATGACCAGTGGGTCAATGAAGAAATTAAGAAGACAATTTTAAAAATTCTTGAAACAAATTATAGTGGAAACACAACATACCAGAACATGTGGGAGACAGCAAAAGCAGTACTAAGAGAGAATCTTATAGCTATGTGCCTACATCAGAAAAGGAGAAACATTTCAGATAAATAACCTAATGATACATCTTAAAGAATGAGAAAAGTTAGAGCAAACTGAATCCAAAATTAGTAAAAGAAAAGATCAGAGCAGAAATAAATGAATTTGAAAGAAAGAAAAGACACAAGAAGAAAAGAAAACTACAGGCCAATATCCCTGATGAACATAGATGCAAAAAGCCTCAAAAAATTACTATCAAGCCAAATACCAAAGTGCAGTAAAAGAATCATATACCATGACCCAGTGGGATTTATCCCTGGGCTACAATGATGGTTCAACATATGCAAATCAATCAATGTGATACATCTTATCAACAAAACAAAGGATAAAAACTATATCATAATTTCAACTGATACTGAAAAGGCATTTGATAAAATGTAACATCCCTTCATGCTAAAAATCCTCAAAAAACTGGGCATAAAAGGAAAATACCTCAACATAATAAAAGCCATATACAGCAGACCTACAGCTAGTATTGTACTGAATGGGAAAAAACTGAAAGCCTTTTCTCTAAAATCTGGAATATGACATTGATGCCCATTTTCACCTCTGTTATTTAACATAGTACTGGAAACCCCAGCTAGAGTAGTTAGACAACAGAAAGAAATAAAGGACATCCAAATTGGAAAGGAAGAAGTCAAATTATCCTTGTTTGGAGATGATATGGTCTTATATTTGGGAAAAGCCTAAAGATGCCACAGGGAAACTTTTAGAACTGTTAAATAAATTCAGTAACATTGCAGGACACAAATTCAACATACAAAAACCAGTAGCTTTTCTACATGCCAACAATGAATAATTTGAAAAAGAAATCAAAACATAATCTCATTTACAATAGCCACAAATAATATTAAATACCTACCAGTCAACTTAACCAAAGAAGTGAAAAACCTCTACAATGAAAACTATAAAACTATATATAGACTGGAAGAATCAATATTGTTAAAATGTTCATACTATCCAAAGCAATCTACAGATTTAGTGCAATCCCTATCAAAATAGCAATGACATTCTTCACAGAAATAGAAAAACAACCTTAAAATTTATGTGGAAATGCAAGAGTCCATAATAGCCAAAGCTATCCTAAGCAGAAAGAACAAAACAGAAGGAATCACATTACCTGATTTCAAATTATACTACAGAGCTATAGTAACCAAAACAGCATGGTACTACCCCCAAAAGGCAGGTAGACCAATGGAACAGAATAGAGGACTCAGAAGCAAATGCACACACCTGCAGTGAGCTCAAAGGGGCCAAGAATATACACTAGAGAAAAGACAATTTCTTCAATAAATGGTGCTGGGAAAATTGGGTATTTATATGTAGAAGAATAAAGGTAGACCCCAGTATCTCACTATATACAAAAATCAAACCAAAATGGGTTAAAGCTTTAAATGTAAGACCTCAAACTATGAAACTACTACAAGAAAACATTTGTGAAAACCTCCAGGACATTGGTCTGGGCAAAGATTTCTTGAGCAATACCCACAAGCACAGGCAACCAAAGCAAATATGTACAAATGGGATCACATGAAGTTAGAAAGCTCCTGCACAGCAAAAGAAACAAGCAACAAAGTGAAGAAAGAGCCCAAAGAATGGGAGAAAATATTTGAAAACTACCCATCTGACAAGGAATTAATAACCAGAATATAAGGCATTCAAACAGCTCTATAGGAAAAAGTCTAATAAGATCATGTCACCTGCAAACAGATATTTTTACTTTTTCCTTCCCAATTTGGATGTGTTTTATTTCCTTCTCTTGCCTAATTCCTCTGGCTATGACATCCAGTACTGTGTTAAATTGAAGTGGTGGGAGTAGGCATCCTTGTCTTGCTCCATATCTTACAGAAAAAGCTTTCAGTTTTTCGTCATTGAATATGATGTTTGCAGTGGGATTTTCATATATGGTCTGTATTGTTTTAAGTTCCTTTTATACCTAGTTTGTTGAGTTTTTAGCATGAAAGGGTCTTGAATTTTGTCACATATTTTTTGTGCATCTATTAATATGATCATGTGATGTGTAGCCTTCATTCCATTAATGTGGTGTATTACATTGATTGATTTGAGTATGTTGAACCATCCTTGCATCCTAGGGCTAACTTACACTTGGTTATGGCATATAATTCTTTTAATGTGCTGTTGAATTTCATTTGGTAATATTTTGTTGAAGATTTTTGTTAGGTCTATTCAGTCTGTAGTTTTTCCTTATTGATCTTATCTCTGGATTATCTATCCCCAGTTGTAAGTGGGGTCTTAAAATCTCCTACTTCCATTGTATTGCTATGTATTTCTCCCTTCAGATCTGACAACGTTTACTTTACATATTTAGGTGCTTTGATGATATGTGCTTATATATTTATAATTTTTATATTTTACTGTTGAATTGGCCCTCTTATCATTATGTAACAATCTCCTTTGTGATTACATTTATAGTGACAGTTTTTTACTTAAAGTCTATTTTGTTTAAGTATAGAGTCTCAAAAGGCAGAGGAAAAAGAAAAGGGTCTAGCTGCTATAAAAAGTTGCTGGAATCCAACTTTTTGATGAGCATTTTTCTGCTCATGCCCACTGGATTGCTCAGGTCAGGCAGGAAGCTTGGTGAATAGAAGCCAGGGACAGGTGAGAAAACATGTCTCTCTACTGTCTTTGTCTTCTTGTGGTGACAGGTTAAGGCAAACGACTGAGACAGGCTATTATGGAAACCGAAGCTAATCTGAGTCACGACAAAAATAACAAGTGAAACTTGAGACACAAGTTATATTATGGAGGCTCATTCACAGGTGTGCAGTTCTGAGCAGATTAGCACAGTGATTCAGTGTGACTAGAGTAAAAGAAGTTGTGGTCGTTGTGGTGAAGAGGAATGCTATGAGGCTGAAAGGAAAGTAGGACCCAGATTACAGAAACAGTACATGTATGTTGTGTTCAGGGAGTCTTTATTATTTAAAGATCATTACATAGCTTTTCCTTCAATATTCATATTTCACATTTTCTTTACACTTTGAACTATGTTAACAATTTATTTAGACCTAACTCTTTTCATTTGAAATGTGGTACATCTACTTTTTTAAAATTGGGGAAGAGTATCTCTGAAACCTGTAAGTCTTTGATGTTTTGCGGCAGCTCTGGAGGGTAACAGATTTGGAACTGTCAAATCCTGAATACCAGAGAGAGTGATCAGTTGAACAAGTTGCATTTGATTTATTCCAGTTTACAGGTAAGATATGTAGATAGCTTTGACTATGGCCTAAACCTCTTGCTGTTTCCAAACTACAAATAAGCTAGATTTAACTTGAGTTAAATGCATCTCTGCCCCTCCAAAAATCAGTCTCCCTTCTCTGTCCAAACATGACCTTTTGTCCTGTTCCCTTATCTCTATTCTGTCTTTGCTCTGGACTTTGACATTACAGACATATCTAGATATTACAGACTTCTATTAAGCTGCAAATATGAATCATTCTTCTCTTATAAAAATTATTATCCAGCTCTTCTTGCACTTTTCCCCCAAGACACATACACATAATTAATAATGTTTACATGCTAACAGACTTAGGTTTTTCTCTGGTGATGCTCCCCATTATCTTTTCTCTCTGAACCCCTGGACTTGATCCCATTTATGGATAGGCAAGAGATCAACTCAAAATCCTTTTCGTTTAGAGGTGTTCACCACAGAAGAATAAATACCAGCCAGACTTCTGTGAGGTAGTGTCCTCATTGTTCCTTGAATAGGTAGAAACACAACTACTCTAGATGTGAGAGAATAGAGCTCAGCAAGGAATTGACAGGCAGGCTTTCTGCAAGGAGATCCTGCAGTAATTATGGAACCATATTGTGCAGAGAGGTGGCCATTAGGAGATTCTTCCTACAATGTCATTCATCCACTCCCACTCAACAAATATTTACTTATCTTCTATGGTTTACCAAGTACTGTGTTAGGTGCTGAAAATATAGTAGTGAATGAGATAGGTAAAATTACCTGAACTTGTGAAGTTTATATTATAATTGAAGAAGATAGATAAAAAATCTAAATAAATAAAATGCATAGGATTTTAATGGTGATAAGCAGTAAGGAGAAATGTAAGGTGTGGAAGTGAGCTGGGAAGGATGAGGGGGTTACAGTGTTAGGTAGGGTTGTTAGAGATGGGCTCACTGTGTAAGTTATATCTGAGTAAATAACTGAGGGAGGTAAGGTAGAAAATCATTTGGATATCGGCTGTGATGGTAACGATGATGGCAGTTGTGGTGGATATTTCAGACAGAGGAGACATCAATGGCAGTTTCCTGAAGAAATATTCTTCCTGGAAGTTTTACTAACAGCCAGAAGGGTGGTGCAGATGGGGCAATGTGAATGAAGGGGAAAAGAATAGGAGATTAGGTCACAGATTTTACGTTAGTTCATATCATCTAGAGCCCTGCAGGCTATTGTATGAACTTTGGCTTTAACTCTGAAAGCAGCAGAAAATCACTGGAGGGTTTTGAACAGAAAATTTATGTTATATAACATGCTTTAATAGGATCCTCTGGCTGCTGTACTGAAAAGGACTGAAGAGGGGAAAAGATCGAAGCCAGTTAAGAGGCTATTGTGAAAATCTAGTGAAGGAGATTATAGTAGTTTAGACGAGAATGATAGAAGTGGTAATGGTGAGATGTTGTCACATTCTGGATATATTTAGAAATGTAAATCCTTTCATAGTTTCCTATGGATTAGATGTGGAGTGTGAGAGAGTCAAAGATGACTACAAGGTTTTTGGCCTGAGGAAAAAGAAGAATGGATTTGCAATTAACTGGAGTGTGAAAGACTGTGATTTCAGATTTGGCAGTGAGGGAATCACGAGTTAGATTTTACACATGTTAAATTTGCAATCTATTGCTTTTCATCAAATTTTTTATTGAAGAAAAATTCACATAACATACAATAACCATTTTAAAGTGCACAATTTAGAGTCATCTAGCATATTTACAATGTTGCAACAAGCACCTTGACCTGGCTCTGAAACATTTTCATCACTACAAAAGGAAACCCTGAACCCATTAAGAAGTCGCTGGCCATTTCCTTCTCCTTCAGTACCTGACAACCACTAACCACTTTCTCTCTGTATGGATTTAACTATTCTGGATATTTCATACAAATGGAATCATACAATACTTGGTATTTTGTGTCTGGTTTCATTGATTTAGCACGTTTTTGAGGTTCATCTGTGTTGCATCATGGATTAGTACTATATTCCTTTTTATGGCTCAATATTTCTTTAAATGTTTTTATTTTTCAATTTGTATCTATTTATTTATTTATTTTGAGACCAAGTTATGAGGCTGGCTAATTTTTGTATTTTTCGTAGAGATGGGGTTTTGCCTTGTTTCCCAGGCTGGTCTTGAATTCCTGGGCTCAAACGATCTGCCCACCTTGGCCTCCCAAAGAGCTTGGATTACAGGATGAGCCATTGAGGCCAGCCATCAATATTTCATTGTATGGATATGCCACAATTGTTGGTCTATTCATCAGTTGATCGAAATTTCATTGATTCCTTACTTTGGCTATTGTGACTAGTACTGCTATGAACATTGGTGTACAAGTTTTTAGGTTTTTTTGTTTAATACCTGTTTTCAATTATTTTGGACATACAATTACAACTAATCTAAGTCCATTTTCAAATGACACTGTACCGCTTCGCAGGCAGTGTGAATACCTCATAATAACAAAATAACCTAATTTCTCCCTCCCGTTCCTTGTATCAAAGATACATTCATTTCACTTGTATGTAAGCATACATAAGCTATATATGATATATACATTCACCTACATAATTGATTATATTGCTGCTATTATTTTGAACAAACTGTTATCTGTTAGATCAATTAAGAATTGTAAAATAAAAGTTTTCATTTTACCTTTACTTATTCCTTCTTTGATGGTTTTACTTTCTTCATGTAGATCAGAGTTTCTGTCCTTTATCATTTTCCTTCTCTCTAAAGAACTTCTAACGTTGCTTGCAAGGCCGGTCTACTAACAATAAATTCCCTCAGTTTTTGTTTCTCTAAGAAAGTCTTCATCCTTCACTTTTGAAGGATAATTTTGCAAAATATGCAATTCTAGGTTGGTGGATTTTTCCCTCAACACTTTGAATATTTTGCTCCGCTCTCTTCTTGTTTGCATGGTTTTTGAGGAGTTGGAAGTAATTCTTATCTTTGTTACTCTATAGATAAGAATCCCCCCCAACCCTTTGGCTTATTCCAGGATTTTTTTCTCTTTGATTTTCTGCAGTTTGAAAATGATGTGCTTAGGTGTCATTTTTTAGCATTTATCCTGCTTGATGTTCTCTGAACTGAGACTCTCCCCAAATAATGCCAGACACAAAACCACCTGGATCTGTGGTTTGGTGTCTGGAATTATTTAGGGAAATTCTCAGTCATTATTGACTCCAATATTTCTTATATTTCTTTCTTTCTCTTCCCCTTCTTGTATTCCCATTATGCATATGTTATACCCTTGCAGTTTTCCCACAGTTTTTGGATAATCTATTCTGTTGTTTTATTTCAGTTTCTGTTCTCTTTGCTTTTTTAGTTTTTGAAGTTTCTAATGATATATCCTCAAGCTCAGAGATTCTTTACTCAGTTGTATCCTGTCTACTAATAAACCCAACAAAGGCATTCTTTATTTCTGTTACAATGTTTTTGATCTTGAGCATTTCTTTTTGGTTCTCTCTTAGGATTTCCATTTCTCTGTTTACATTGCCCATCTCTTCTTGCATACTGCCTACTTCATCCTTTAGAACCCTCGGCATTTTTAAATTCCAGGTCTGATAATTTCAACACCCTGCCATATCTGGTTCTGATGCTTACCCTATCTTTTGAACTTGTGGGGTTTTTTTTTTTGCCTTTTGATATGTCTTGTAATTTTTTCTTAATAATGAGACATGATGTACTATGTAAAATGAACTTCTGCAAATAGGCCCTTGGTAATGTGGTAAAGTGGGGTGGGGAGAAGAAGCATTCTATGGTCCTATGAATAAGTCTTAGTCTTTATGTACTCTGAGTACTTTGGTGTATTTCAAAATGGTTCCTTTTTCCTTCCCACTGCTGAAAGCGTGAGAAGATTTTCCTCCAATATTTACTATGGCAACATGGCTGAGCTCCTGGAGGTAAATCTCATAATACTGTAAAAACCCGTCTATCACTGGGTCCTCCTGGAGTTTTTAATTCTTAGACTTGTCTGCACTGAACCTTCAGCAATTATTTAATTACAGTTTAGATTTTCCTACCCTAGTACCGGTTCCTCTGGCAGTTTCTGCTCATGAGTCATGACTATATTTACCTGTATCTCCAACCTTGGGAGTAGTAGTTTCCCTGTGTCCTCCCCTATCTTACAGATCCAAGAAGAGTTGTTGACTTTTTCAACCTATTCAGCTTTGTAGTTGTTAAGAAGGCATGGATTTCCAAGCTCCTTACATGCAGAACCACAAACCAGAAGTCCATACACAGCTTTTAACAACAACAATAAAAATGAAAAGAAACACCAGAGAGGCAAGAAGGAAAATACTCTGAAGGGACATATCAATTATCAGAACCAGACTCAGATATGAAATGGGGAGAATGTTTAATATATTTAGGCTTTAACGTAAAAGAAGGCAACATGCATGACCAGAAAGGTGGCAATTTTAAGAAAGAATCAAAAGGAAATTTTACAAATAAAAAATACAGCAACAGAAATGAAGAATGCCTTTGACAAGTTTGTTAATAGAATGGACACAGCCATCAATAGAATCAGTTAACTTGATGATAGACCAATAGAATCTTTCCAAACTAAAATAGAAAGAGAAAAAAGAATTATAGAAAAAAACCAGAGTAGAACATACAAGAACTGTGGAACAATAGGAACAAATATAACATATACATAATTGTGGCCGGGCTTGGTGGCTCATGCCTGTAATCCCAGCACTTTGGGAGGCTGAGGCGGGCAGATCACGAGGTCAAGAGATCGAGACCATCCTGGTTAACACAGTGAAACCCCATCTCTACTAAAAATACAAAAAAATTAGCCAGGCATGGTGGCGGGCGCCTGTAGTCCCAGCTACTTGGGAGGCTGAGGCAGGAGAATGGCGTGAACCCAGGAGGCAGAGCTTGCAGTGAGCCGAGATCGCACCACTGCACTCCAGCCTGGGTGACAGAGTGAGACTCCATCACAAAATAATAATAATAATAATAATTGTAATACTGGAAAGAGAAGAAAGAATAAATGTCACAGAAGAAATATTTGAAGAAATAGTGGACAAGAACTTTTCAAATTAATGACAGATACTAAACCACACATTCAAGAAGCTCAAAAAACACCAAACAGGATAAACATGCACAAACATGCACTACACATACACACACACACATATTATATCTAGATATATCACCTTAAAAGAGAAGAAGACCAAAGACAAACAAATTCAATCCATTTATCAAAGTGTCTACAGTTTCTGAATCTAGAGATATTAAACAATAATAAATTTGCAAAGGAAATTTTTTAAAAACAGCCCATAACATTGGTGAAGCCAATGTGCAGATAAGGTTATTTTATGGAGGTGCAAGTAAGGTTATTTTAGTATGAAAGGAACACATAATGATAAAGAAAGGTTTTGAATATAGAAAGAGGAGGCAGGAGGAAAATTTTGGAGGTGATGGATGTGTTCACTACCTTGATTGTGATGATGGCTTATAAATGTATGCATATCTCCAAATCCATCAAATTGTATATATTAAATATGTCCAGTTTTTTGTATATCACTTATACCTCAATAAACTGTGAACAAATATAGAGAAAAAGAAAGGGAAAGAAAGAAAGAGAGAAAGAAAAAAAGAAGAAAAGAAAGAAAGAGAGAGAGAGAAAGGAAGGAAGGAAGGAAGAAAGGAAGAAAGAGAAAGAAAGAAAAAAGAAAGAAAAAGAAAGAAAAAGAAAGAAAGAAAGAAAGAAAGAAAAAGAAAGAAAGAGAAAGCATGGAAGGAAGGAAGGATTTGAATAGAGTGATAGAGTCCTCTTACCAGAATTTGTTCTACCATTTAAAAGATAAAAGACATTTGAGTTTTGCAGAGAAGATTTGTGTGAAATACACATGGAGTAATTCTACTGTCTCTGTTCTCCAGCAACTTTACATCATTGTCTCTGTGGAGACGGCCTACTGCTCTCTTGATCCTGTTCACAAGCATGAGAGTTTACAAAGCCTCTAAGGAGTTTTGTCTTATACATATATTCAGTAAATTATTTTTGCCTTAGACTGTAAAGGAAATTTGTTTCATATATAAACACTTGGGAATACAGGGAAAGCATAAAGAATCCAGCCACTCATAGATAACCATTTCAATACCTTTTGGATAGTCTTCTCAACATTTAAGAAAAAAATTTTGCACGCAAGATAATATATTATCCAGTATTGAATCTACTTTAGTCCATTTAGTGTTGCTACAAAAGGAATATCTGAGGCTATTAATTTATAAAGAAGAGAGGTTTATTTGGCTTATGGTTCTGCAGGCTGCACAAGTAGCGTGACACCAGCATCTGCTTCTGGTGAGGGCCTCAGACTGCTTTCATTCATGGCAGAAGGTTAGCGAAGCTGACGTGTGCAGAGATCCCATGGCAAGAGAGAAAGCAAGAAAGGAGAGGGAGGTACCAGGCCCTTTTTAACAACCAGCTCTCTTGGAAGCTATCAGAGTGAGAAATCACCTATTACAGTGAGGACAGCACCGAACCATTCGTGAGGGACCTGCCCCAGTGACCCAAACACCTCTCATTAGCACCACCTTCAATGCTGGAGATCAAATTTCAACATGAGGTTTGAGGGGACAAACATCCAAACTATAGCAGAATCCTAAATATTTCTTTCTTTCTTTTTTTTTTTTTTTTTTTTTTTGAGACAGAGTCTTGCTCTGTCACCCAGGCTGTAGTGCAGTGGCGCGATCTCGGCTCACTGCAAACTCCGCCTCCCGGGTTCACGCCATTCTCCTGCCTCGCCCGCCACCACGCCCGGCTAATTTTTTTTTTTTTTTGTATTTTTTTAGTAGAGACGGGGTTTCACCGTGTTAGTCAGGATGGTCTCGATCTCCTGACCTTGTGATCCACCAGCCTTGGCCTCCCAAAGTGCTGGGATTACAGGCGTGAGCCACCGCGCCTGGCCGAATCCTAAATATTTATTTGCTACACATTATATAATCAGGGCTTCTCCCTTTACAATTCAAATTTCTTTGTAAACACCATTTAATGACTGATTGCCCAATACTAGAGGGTAAGAATCGTCATATGTTGCCTAACAATTTCTTTATTGCCTTTTATTTTATTTCAATAATGCAACATTGAACTTTTTGCATATTTGGCCACATTTAACACATATTGCTAAATTCCTTTCACTAAAAACATATAATAGTGTCATACGCTGTATTCATTATAGCACTGAATAATTTTTAACTATCGACAATTTGGTAGCTGAAAAATATCTCATTGTTTTGGCTTAAATAATATTTATTTGATTATATGTAAGTGCATATGTAATTATATGCACTTTAATACTTTTGTAATTATTTTAAAATTTGCTTTGAGAATGCATATGATTCACACAACATGTAATTAACATTTGAAAATAATTAAGACAAAAGGGAAATGGGTAGAAAAAAATAAAATCAATATTAAGAAGTTAAAACACAGAAGGAACACCATTAGGTGAACCGCAAATATGACCCTAAGTTTCTAGCAGCCAATTTAAAGAGGAAAACATAAGAAGATAGAGTGTATACTGGTGATGGCCAGAGCCAGGGAGCATATGGGGGAGAGGTGGATGAAGAGAGGTTGATTAAAGGGTACAAATATACAGTTTGATAGAAGAAATAAGACCTAGTGTTTGATAGATCAGTAGGGTAACTGTCTGTACAATCTACTGTATATTCCAAAACAGCTAGAAGAATACTTCCAATCTCATTAGGTATTGTGAATAGAATTGCTATGAAAATGAGTGTGCAAATATCTCTTCAAGATTCTGCTTTTGAATCTTTTAGATTATATGCATATATCAAATCTTTCCAGCATAAAGACAAATATTTAAGGTGATGGATATCCCAATTACAATGACTTGACCTTTACAAATTATGTGAATGTATTTAATTATCATATGTACCCCACATGTTTGAACTTTGGACATTTAGATAATCTTGATTTGTATCTTCTCCATTTTTCAATAATTTCTAGAACTACAGGAAAACTCATTAACTCTGTCCCTTCTCTGGATTTCGCACACAAAAAATTGCCTGTTTTTTTCTTTGGTTTTTTTTTGTATTGTGGTAAAAACATATAACATTTATGTTTTTAACTTAAAATTTTGTGTGTTTAATATGTACAGTGTGATGTTTTGATATAAATAAACAGTAAACTGATTATTACAGTCAAGCTAATTAACATATCTATCTCTTCACATAGTTACATTTTTATGGTAAGAATACTCAAGATCTAACCTTTTAGCAAATTTTAAATATCCACATAGGTATTAACTACTGTCCCCATGCTGTACATTAGATCGCTAGAAATTATTCATTCTGCACCATTGAAACTTTGTACCCTTTGACCACCATCTCCCATTCTTCCCCTCCTCCTGTAACTACCATTCTACTCTCTGCTTCTATGAATTCAACTTTTTAAGATTCCACATGTAAATAAGATTACGCAGTAATTTTCTTTCTGTGTCTAGCTTAATTCACTTAGCATAATGTCTACCAGGTTCAACCATATTGTCACAGAGGGCAGGATTTTCTTTTTTTCTAGGGCTGAATAATATCCCCTTGTATATACATTATTAAGTAAATTGACCAATACCATGTAACCAGTAGTGGAAGAAAGAGATGATAAACCCAGGACTAACTCCTGAGCAAAGCACTCATAAGCACTATAAAATAGTGTAGCTAACATTTATTGAGTGTATACTATGTGCAAAGCAGTAAGTTCTTTAAATATGTTATCTATTTTAGTTCTTATGACAAACCTGTAAGTTAGATTGGTACAAATATCCATGTTTTACTGATAAGCAAATCACTGTTATTAAGGATGTTATTTGCCATCAAAACAAAGGAATTGTATTATTAGCAGGAACAGTTGTATCTCTCATAAGCAATTGGTTTGTTATGACTTTATGGTCACTGTAGACCATGGAAAATATTTACTAAGTGCCTTCTATGTGTCAGGTCCTTGTTTAATGTTCTTCAGAAACATAAGACAAAACACCCAAATATTTCTTCCCTTTTGAATCTTATTTTCTAGTGGAAGAAATATTCTGTAAATAACCATATAGTGCATTACAAAATAAGAGTTGTGTAGAAGAGAAAAATAGAGCATAACAAAGGGGATCAGAATATTCTTGGGGTGCTCACTTGAGCTAATGGGGGGAATTAGTCATGCAGCTGTATTATGGAAGAGTATTTCTGTCAATGAAAACAGCTGAGAAAAATACCTAAAGTGGGAGAGCAAGCCTGGTATATTTAAGGATCTGGAAGGAAGCCAATATGGCTACAGTGGAGTGGATGAGACGGTGAGGCAATTAGATCATAGAGGTGATAAATGAATCCAGTTAGACTTTATAAACCACTGTAACAACTTTAATTTTCCTCTGAGTTTGATAAGAAATATGGAAAGATTTTGAGCAGAGAAGTGACATAAGATGTCACAGGATACCTCCAGATGCTGTGTGGAGAGGAGACTGCCTGAGACAGGGTCAAAGTAAGGAGACCAGTTGTATTAGTCCATTTTCACACTGCTATAAAGAACTACCTAAGACTGGGTAATTTATGAAGAAAAAAGGTTTAATTGACTCACAGTTCTGCATGGCTGGGGAGGCCTCAAGAAACTTACAATCATAGTGGAAGGTGAAAGCGAAGCAAGGACCTTCTTCACATGGCTGCAGGAGAGAGAGAGAGCAAGGGGGGAACTGCCAAACACTTTTAAACCATTAGATCTCGTGACAACTCACTCAATATCACTAGAACAGCATGGAGGAAACCACCCCCATGGTCCAATCACCTCCCACCAGGTCCCTCCCTCAACAGGAGGGGATTACCATTCAAGACGAGATTTGGGTAGGGACACAGAACCAAACCATATCACCAGTGAAAATACTATTGTAATGGTCCACATGAGCAATGATGGTGGTTGGAACCAGAGTGATAACTATAGAACTGGTAATAAGTTGCCAAATTTTAAATATATTTTGAAGATAAAACCAAAATATTTTCCTGAAAGATTGGTTGGATATTGAATGTGAAGAGAAAGAAGGAGTCAATGATAATTGAATAAACAACTAAATGTAAACAAAATATTTAAAATGATAACAGTAGTTATATTAGTGTAAGATTATAGACTTTATTTTGTTCTTCATTCTCTTATGTATTTTCCAGTTTCCTAGATAAATATAAATGGTTTCTATAATTAAAAGGCAGTAAATATATTTTTAAATAAAACAATATTAAATCACTTATTTTTCAAATACGAGGTTGGCGGCCAGCTGTGATGGCTCACGTCTGTAATCCCAGCACTTTGGGAGGCCAAGGCAGGTGGATCACTTGAGGTCAGAAGTTTGAGAACTGCCTGGCCAACATGGTGAAATCCTGTCTCTACTAAGAATACAAAAAAATTAGCCAGGCATGGTGGTGCACATCTGTAATCCCAGCTACTTGGGAATCTGAGGCACGAGAATTGCTTAAACCCAGGAGGCAGAGGTTGCAGTGAGCCAAGATCGCACCACTGCACTCCAGCCTGGGCAACAGAGTGAGACTCTGTCTCAAAATAAAAACAATATGAGGTCGGCAAATATTTAGAGAATAGTGGCCAGTGTTGATGATAATGCAGTAGAACTGGCATTCACACATAGCTGTAGCATTATGAATTGGTACAGCTATTCCGGAGAGAAATGTATTGATGAAAGCTTTAGAAATGTTCATATGGTCACATATCAATGATTCCAGTTTTAGGAATTAACTGCAAAGAAACAATCAGAGATTTACTTTAATATTTAAAAGTAAAAATATTCATGCTTCATATGCAATTGTAAAAATTGGAAAATACCTGAATGTCCAACAATATGGAATTATTTTATTATATTACAAAGAATGTAAATCCACAGTTAGCATACTTTTCTGCTCTTACAAAAAAAAAACACATCTTTTTGAGTAATATTTTCATGGCATTAGGAAAGGGTGAGGAAAAACCACAATTTAAGGAATAAAATTATCTTTAAGATTAATCCTAGAGAGCATTTGTAGATGTGGGAAGCCTGAGGACACTCCTCCCACCAGTGGCCAGATTCTCATGTGGAGGAGGTAAAGCTATATTGATATTAATACCTAATATAATGACACTGTGTTTTGTATGAGAAAAAACTGCATGGAGCAAAAAAACAAACCCCATTAAAAATAGGCAAATTATGTGAACAGTCGCTTTTCAAAATAAGACATACAAGCAGCTAATAAACACGCAAAAAAATGGTCAGCATCACTAATCATCAGAGAAACGCAAATTAAAACCAAAATGAGACACCATCTTTCACCAGTCAGAATGGCTATTATTTAAAAGTCAAAATATAACAGATGCTGGCAAGGCTGCAGAGAAAAGGGAATATTTATACACTGTTGGTGGGAATGTAAATTGGCCCAGCCACCATGGAAAGCAGTCTGGTCATTTCCCAAAGAACTTAAAACAGAGTTACCATTCGAACCAGCAATCCTATCACATACCCAAAAGAAAATAGATAATTATTTTTTTTGATTTCCAACTTTTATTTTAAGTTCAGGGTTACATGTAAAGGATGTGCAGGTTTGTTACGTAGGTAAATGTGTGCCATGGTTGTTTACTGCACAGACCAACCTATCACCTAGGTGTTAAGCCCAGCATCCATTAGCTATTCTTCCTGATCCTCTCCCTCCTCCCATCCCCGACCCTCCAAAGACCCCAATGTGTTATTTCCTCCCCCATGTGTCCATGTGTTCTCATCATTTAGCTTCCACTTATAAGTGAGAACACGGTTTTTGGTATTTGGTTTTCTGTTCCTGCATTAGTTTGCTAAAGACAGTGGCGTCCAGCTCCATCCATGTCCTTGCAAAGGACATTGTCTCACTTCTTTTTATGGCTGCATAGTATTCCATGGTGTATATACGACATTTTCTTTATCCAGTCTATCATTGATGGGCATTTGTGAATAGTGCTGCAATGAACATACACGTGCATATATCTTTATAATAGAAATATATATATATATGGTAATTATTAGGTATATACCTAATAATGAGATTGCTGGGTCAAGTGGTATTTCTGCCTCTACATCTCTGAGAAATCACCACACTGTCTTCCACAATTGTTGAACTAATTTACACTCCCAACAACAGCATAAAAGCATTCCTTTTTATCTGCAACCTCACTAGCATCTGTTGTTTTTGGACTTTTTAATAAGAGCCATTCTGACTGGCATGAAATGGTATCTCATTGTGGTTTTGATTTGCATTTCTCTAATGAACAGTGAAGATTTTTTTCATACGTTTGTTGGCTGCATGTATGTATGTATGTCTTCTTTTGAGAAGTGTCTGTTCATGTCTTTTTTTCACTTTTTAATGAGGTTGTTTGTTTTTTATTTTAAATTTGTTTAAGTTCCTTATAGATACTGGATATTAGACCTTTGTCAGATGCATAGTTTGCAAAAATGTTCTCCCATTCCGTAAGTTGTCTGTTTACTCTGTTGATAATTTCTTTTGCTGTGCAGAAGCTCTTTAGTTTAATTACATCCCATTTGTCAGTTGTTGATTTTGTTGCAATTGCTTTTGGCATGTTCATCATGAAATGTTTGCACATGCCTATGTCCTGAATGGTACTGCCTAGGTTTTCTTCTAGGGTTTTTACAGTTTTGAGTTTTACATTTAAGTCTTGGATCCATTTTGAGTTGATTTGTGTATATGGTGTAAGGAAGGGGTCCAGTTTTAATTTTCTGCATAAGGCTAGCCAGTTCTCCCAGCACCATTTATTAAATAGGGAATCATTTCCCCATTGCTTGTTTTCAACAGGTTTGTCAAAGATCAGTTGGCTGTAGATGTGTGGTCTAATTTCTGAGTTTACTATTGTATTCCATTAGTCTACTTTTGTAGCAGTACCATGCTGGTTTGCTTATTGTCACCCTGTAGTATAGTTTGAAGTCAAATAGCACGATGCCTCCAGCTTTGTTCTTTTTGCTTAGGAATTGCCTTGGCTATTTGGGCTCTTTTTTGGTTCCATTTGAATTTTAAAATAGTTTTTTCTAATTCTGTGAAGAACGTCAATGGTAGTGTAATGGGCATAGCATTGAATGTATAAATTGCTTTGGGCAGTATCGCCATTTTCACAATATTGACTCTTTCTATCCATGAGCACGGAATGATTTTCCATTTGTTTGTGTCATCTCTGATTCTTTGAGCCATGGTTTGTAGTTCTCCTTGAAGAGGTCCTTCACTTACCTTGTTAGCTGTATTCCTAGGTATTTTGTTCTTTTTTTGGCAATTGTGAATGGGAGTTCAATCATAATTTGGCCCTCAGCTTCCCTGTTGTTTGTGTATAGGAATGCTAGCAATTTTTGCACATTGGTTTTGTATCCTGAGACTTTACTGAAGTTGCTTATCAGCTTAGGAAGCTTTTGGGCTGAGACGATGGGGTTTTCTAGATATAGGATCATGTCATCTGCAAACAAAGATAGTTTGACTTCCTCTCTTCCCATTTGAATACCCTTTGTTTCTTTCTTTTGCCTGATTGCCCTGACCAAAACTTCCAATACTATGTTGAATAAGAGTGATGAGAGAGGGCAACTTTGTCTTGTGCCAGTTTTCAAGGGAAATGCTTCCAGCTTTTGCCCATTCATTACGATATTGGCTGTGGGTTTGTCATAGATGGCTCTTATTATTTTGAGGTATGTTACTTCAATACCTAGTTTATTGAAAGTTTTTAACATAAAGGGATGTTGAGTTTTATCAAAGGCCTTTTCTGCATCTATTGAGATAATCGTGTGGTTTTTGTCTTCAGTTTTGCTTATGGGATGAATCACATTTTTTGATTTGCATATGTTGAACCAGACTTGCATCCTGGGGATAAAGCCTACTTGATCGTGGTAAATAAGCTTTTTGATGTGCTGCTCATTTCAGTTTGCCAGTATTTTGTTGACGATTTTTGCATCGATGTTCATCAGGGATATTGGCCTGAAGTTTTCTCTTTTTTTTGTTGTATCTCTGCGAGGTGAAAATAAATTATTATATCAAAAAGAAGCACCCATTCATATGTTCATCACCACTCTATTCACAATAGCAAAGATATGGAATCAACCTAGGTGCTCATCAATGGTAGACTGGATAAAGAAAATGTGGTACATATATACCATGGAACACTACACGGCCATAAATAGAAATAAAATCATGTCCTTTGCAGCAACATCGATGGAGCTACAGGCCATAATCCTGAGCAAATTAATGCAAGAATGGAAAACCAAATACTGTATATTCTCACTTAGAAGTGGAAGATAATCATTGAATATATATGGACATAAATATAGGAACAATAGTCACTGTGGAATACTAGAGGATGGAGAGAAGAAGGGTAGGTTAAAAACCTACCTATTTGACACTATGTTCACTACCTGGGTGACAGGATCAATACTCCAAACCTCAGCATCATGCAATATTCCCATATAACAAATCACATGTACCCCCGTATCTAAAATAAAAATTAGAATTTCAAAAATTTTTTATTTCTTTTTATTTCTCAAGTAGTTTTTGCTAATATTCTGATTTGATTCTAATTTGATTAGTATCAAGATTTTAAATTTATTAGAATAGTTTTATATCACATTGTATATTTATATAAAAGTGTACATCCTATTATAATTTCTTATTTTAATTTCAGTTTTTTCTTCATGTGATTTACAAAAAAAAAAAAAATCCATTTTTTTTTTTCCAAATGATCAGCTCCTGGATTTATGATAATTTCTAGTTTTCTGATTTTCATTAAAAGGTTTCTGTGCTTATCTTTGATGTCTGGATTGTAGTGTCTAGTTCACTTGTTTTGCTTCTTTTTCTTTAATAAGGAAGAAAATATTTAATACTATGAATATGTAGTTTTATATGCATCCTGTTTGCTTTGATATATGCAATGTTTTCATTTTCTAAGTGCCCTGTGGATTTGCTCTTCTCTTTAATTCAATAGTTACTTTGAAGTGCATGTGTGAGAGTGTGCATGTATATGTGTATGCACAGTTTTATTTGTGGGTACAAGTGCTTTTTAACTTAAAAGTATGGTTTCTGTTTAACTTTTGTTCTAATTTCCTAGATTTGCCCTGTCCAATATGGTTGCCACTGGCCACATGTGGCTAGTTACATTCAGATTAATCACAATTAACTAAAAGTTAAAAATCAGTCCCTCCAATAAAGTAGCCACATTTCAAGTGCCCACTAGTCTCATGTGGCTAGTGATCACCATATTGGACACTGCAGATATGGACTATTTCCATCATTACACAAAGTTCTTTTAAACAGCATTGCTCTAGATTGCTTTTGGCATTGTGGTCACAGAGAAGGTTGTTTTATACTTTCTACTTTTGGGAATTTTTTGAGGTTTTCTTTGTGAGTTGGTATAAAATAAATTTTTATAAATGATTCTTTGATGCCTGGAAAGAGAGTAAATGATCTGTAAAGTAAAAAGTTATATAAATATCTCAATTAAAACTTAATAATTACACTAAAAAATAAAGAAAGGACTGTGTAGGAAGGAGGGAGGTGGGCTGTATGGAATCTATGAAGGGGACATCTAAGCAGCAAAAAATATGTGTAGTACTTTTGTCTGAGGCAGTCTAGCTGTGAGAGGATGACCTGGCTGCTGACAGGCCCACTAAAATATTTTTTAAGTTTATTTTTTATTGTGGTAAAATATAGTAAGTATATTTTCTCTTTCTTATGATTTTCTTAATTACATTTTCTTTTCTCTATCTTATTTTACTGTAAGAATAGAGTATATAATATATATAACAGAAAATAGGTTTTAATCAACTGTTTATGTTACCAGTAAGTCTTCCAGTCAACAGTAGGCTATTAGCAGTTAAGTTTTGGGGGAGTCTAAAGTTAGACGTGAGTTTTCAACTGTGTGGAGGATGGGCACAGCTAGCCCCACCCCCGACCATTGTTCAAGACTCAATCGTACTTTGTTCCTGTTTATGGTCGAGTAATATTCCATTGTATGGATATACCACATTTGTTTCTCCATTCATCTGTTGCACAGTGCCCTCCAGGTTCATCTATGTTGCTTCAAATGACAGGATTTCATTCTTTTGATGGCTGAATATTATTCAATTGTGTATAAATACACCACATTTTCTTTATCCATTCATCTATTGATGGGGATTTAGATGGATTTTATATCTCGGCTACTGCAAATAGTGCTGCAGTAAACATGGGCATGCTGATATGATTTCTCTTTGTTTGGATATATGTCCAGCAGTGGGATTGCTGGATCATATGGTATTCCTATTTTTAGATTTTTTAGAAACCTACATACTGTTTTCCAAAATGCCTGTACTAATTTACATTTGCACTAACAATATACAGGAGTTTCCCTTTCTCTACAGTCTCGCCAGCATCTGTTACTTTTTGTCTTTTTGGTAATAGCAGTATTAACTGGGATGAGATTATGCCTCATGGTTTTGATTTTCATTTCCCTGATGATTAGCAATGTTGAGTACTTTTAATATATCTGTTTGCCATTGAATGTCTTCTTTTGAGAAATGTCTATTCAGATCATTTGCCTATTTTAAGATCAGATTATTTGTTTTTTTCACTGTTGAGTTCTTTGAGTTTCTTATATATTCTGGTTAATAATCCCTTGTCACATGAATAGTTTGCAAACATTTTCTCCCATTCTGTAGGTTGCCTCTTCAATCTGTTGTGTCTTTCGCTGTTCAGAAGGTTTTAGCTTGACATAATTCGATTTGTCTATTTTTGCTTTAGCTGCCTGTGCTTTTGAGGTCCTACACAAAAGTTTTACCAAGACCAATGTCCTGAAGCATTTCCCCAATGTGTTTTTTCTAGAAGTTTCATAGTTTCAGGTTTGATATTTACGTCTTTGTTCTTGATGTCTTTGTCAAAAATGAGTTAGCTGTAAATGTATAGATTTACTTCTGGGTTTTCTATTCTGATACATTGGTCTATGTGGCTGTTTTTATGCCAGTACCGTGCTGTTTTAGTTATACCTGTGGAGTATATTTTGAAGTCAGATAATGTGATGTCTCCAGCTTTGTTCATTTTGCTCAGAATCACTGTGGCTATTCAAGGTCTTTTTTGGTTCCATATACATTTTAGAATTACTTTTTCTGTTTCTGTGAAGGATGACATTGGTATTTTGATAGGGATTGCATTGAATCTGTAGATTGCTTTGGGTAGTATGGACATTTTAACAATATTAATTCTTCCAATCCATGTACATGGGATATATTTCCGTTTTTTGTGTCCTCTTCAATATCCTTCATCGGTGTTTTATAGTTTTCATTGCAGAGATCTTTGACTTCTTTGTTTAATTAATTCTTAAGTATTCCATTTTTATAGCTATTGTAAATGGAATTGATGTCTTGATTCCTTTTTTCAGATTGTTTGCTGTTGGTATATATAAATGCTACTGATTTGTGAGTCCTGATTTTGTATCCTGCCTCTTTACTGAATTCATTTATCAGTTTCAAGTTTTTTTGGTGGGGTTGTTAAGTTTTTCTAAGTATAAGATTATGTCATCTGAAAACAAGGACAATTTGACTTATTTTTTTCCAATATAAATGCTCTTTATTTCTTTTTCTTGCCTAATTGCTCTAGCTAGGATTTCCAATACTATGTTGAACAAAAGTGGTGTACATGGGCATTCTTGTCTTGTTCCAGATCTTAAAGGAAAGACTTTCTATTTTTCTCCATTAAGTATAATGTTAGTGGTGGGTTTGTCATATATGGCCTTCATTTTTTTGAGGAATGTTCTTTTTATGCCTAATTTGTTGAGAGGTTTTTTATCGTGAAGAGATGCTGAACTTTGTCAAATGAGTTTTCCACATCTATTGAGATAATCATATGCTTTTCATCCTTCATTTGTTAATGTTATGTGTCACATTTGTCACATTTATAGATACGTGCATGTTGAACCATTATTGCATCCCTAGAATAAATTTAGCTTGCTCATAGTGAATAACCTGTTTGATATGCTGTTGGATTCAGTGTGCTAATATTTTGTGGAGGATTTTTGCATCAGTACTCATCAGAAATATTGTACTGTAATTTCATTTTTTGGGGTGGGGGGGGGCCTTGTCTGATTTTGATTTTTGTATGGGCCCAGGGTAATGCTAGGCTTATAGGATGAGTTAGGGAGAATTCCCTCATCTTCAATTTTTGGAAATATTTTGAGATAAATTGATATTAGTTTTTCTTTTAAAGTTTGGTAGAATTCAAAAATGAAGCTATTTGGTCCCTGGCCTTTTGTTGTTGGGAGGCTTTCTTATTGATCCAATGTCTTTACTTATTATTGGTCTATTTGGTTTTTCTGTTTCTTCATGCTTCAAACTTGGAACATAGACAAACTAACTTGTCTGCAGACCACCAAAATTTGTAACCAGACATTCCATGTAAAAGCTTCTGTGAATGGAAAATTTTAACTCAAGAATTCCAGCCACTGACATGACCATCAATTCCCCTCCCTCAAGTTACCTGTGACTGTTTTCCTTTATTGGGAGAGAAGGTGCACAAGAGTGAGCACCAGGCAGTCAAAATGAGTTTATGTTAATAAATTGGCTTCTGTTCTATAATTACTTCTGTGAGTCCAATTGCCATGGATCAGCCTCCTTAGGCAGTATCTTTGCTGAGTGTCAACAACATGAAATACTGTGAACCACAGGACTTTCCACAAGGTGGCCAGTAGAAGATATCAGCTGCTTCTCTAAAAGAGATCTTTATGAGGGCCTCTAACTGAAACAAGTGCTACATCAAATACCTCTTGAAAAACTCCTCAGCTCTAGGGCTGAGGAAAAGCAAGGACTGAGAGAAGACGCATAAATGGGGGCCGAGTGCCTCCACATGAGCACCTCACTCATGAATTGCCTGTATCTTCCCTGCCTGTTGTGTAGGCCCAGCAATGAACTTATTTTGTGTGTGCTGGGGAAGGACAGAAGGGCAAGGCAGACTTGGATATCACAGCAGGATCTGTTATGGGGCTTGTCTTCCTCTCATAGCAGCTCTGGGAAGTGGATGTCAGCATCTTCATTTTACAGACAAGAAGCTGAGGCATAGACATACATATTGCATGAACTAGACAAAGCCACAGAGCTAGTAAACAAAATTTAAAATTTGGTCCTGGGCAGCACATTCCCCAACTTCAAACCATGCTATAAGGCTACAGTAACCAAAGCAGTATGGTACTGGTACAAAAACGGAAACATAAACCAATGGAAGAGAATAAAGAACCCAGAAATGAAGCTTCACACCCACAGCCATCTGATCTTCAACAAAGTTGACAAAAATAAGCAAGGAGGAAAGAACTCTCTATTCAATAAATGGTGTTGGGATAACTGGCTAGCCATAAGCAGAAGATTGAAACTGGACCCCGTTCCTTACACCATATACAAAAATCAGCTCAAGATGGATTAAAGATTTAAATACAATACCTTAAACGATAAGAATCCTAGAAGAAAACCTTAAAAACACCATTCTGGACGTTGATCTTGGGAAAGAATTATTGGCTAAAAGTCCTCAATAGAAATTGCAACAAAACCAAAAATTGACAAGTAGGACCTAATTAAACTAAAGAGCTTCTGCACAGCAAAAGAAATTATCAACGGAGTAAACAGCCTACAGAATAGGTGAAAGTATTCTCAAACTATGCATTCAACAAATGTCTAATATCCAGAATCTACAAGGAACTTAAATAATTCAACAAGCAAAAAAAATTTAAGATGGGCAAAGGACATGAACATTTCTCTGTTTTTGTGTGTGTGTGTTTTGTTGTTGTTGTTGTTGTTTATTTGAGACAGGGTCTCACTCTGTCACCCAGGAAGGAGTGCAGTAGCAAAATTATGGCTCAGTGCAGCCTCAATCTCCTAGGCTCAAGTGATCCTCCCACTTCAGCCTCCTGAGCAGCTGGAACTACAGGTGTGCATCACCACACCCGGCTAACTTTTTTGTTTTTTGTAGAGACAGGGTTTCACCATGTTGCCTAGGCTAGCCTTGAACTGCTGGACTCAAGCAATCTGCCCTCCTCAGCCTCCCAAAGTGCTGGGATTACAGGCATGTGTCACCACACCTGGCTGACACTTCTCAAAAGAAGACATACAAGTGGCCAAAGAACATACGAAAAAATGCTCAACATCACTATCATTAGAGAAATGCAAATCAAAATCATAATGAGATACCATTTAACACCACTCAGAATGGCTGTTATTAAAAAGTTAAAAAAACAACAGATGCTGGCAAGGCTGCAGAGAAAAAGGAATGCTTATATGCTATTGGTGGGAATGTAAATTAGTCTAGCCACTGTGGAAAGTAGTCTAGATATTTCTCAAAGGACTTAAAACAGAGCTGGACATTTCTCAAAGAACTTAAAACAGAGCTACAATTTGACCCAGCAATCCCATTACTAGATATATATCCAAAAGAAAATAGATTATTATACCTAAAAGAAACATGCATTCATAAGTTCATTACCATGCTATTTACAACAGCAAAGACATGGAACCAACCCAGGTGCCCATCAGTAGTGTAATAGATAAAGAAAATGTGTACCAAAACAGAGATATAGATCAATGGAACAGAACAGAGCCCTCAGAAAGAACGCCATGTATCTACAAGTATCTGATCTTTGACAAACCTGAGAAAAACAAGCAATGGGGAAAGGATTCCCTATTTAATAAATGGTGCTGGGAAAACTGGCTAGCCATATGTAGAAAGCTGAAACTGGATCCCTTCCTTACATCTTATACAAAAATTAATTCAAGATGGATTAAAGACTTAAACGTTAGACCTAAAACCATAAAAACCCTAGAAGAAAACCTAGGCATTACCATTCAGGACATAGGCACAAGCAAGGACTTCATGTCTAAAACACCAAAAGCAATGGCAACAAAAGCCCAAATTGACAAATGAGATCTAATTAAACTAAAGAGCTTCTGCACAGCAAAAGAAACTACCATCAGAGTGAACAGGCAACCTACAAAATGGGAGAAAATTTTGCAACCTACTCATCTGACAAAGGGCTAATATCCAGAATCTACAATGAACTCAAACAAATTTACAGGAAAAAAACAAACAACCCCATCAAAAAGTGGGCGAAGGACATGAACAGACACTTCTCAAAAGAAGACATTTATGCAGCCAAAAAACACATGAAAAAATGCTCACCATCACTGGCCATCAGAGAAATGCAAATCAAAAGCACAATGAGATACCATCTCACACCAGTTAGAATGGCAATCATGAAAAAGTCAGGAAACAACAGGTGCTGGAGAGGATGTGGAGAAACAGGAACACTTTTACACTGTTGGTGGGACTGGAAACTAGTTCAACCATTGTGGAAGTCAGTGTGGTGATTCCTCAGGGATCTAGAGCTGAAAATACCATTTGACCCAGCCATCCCATTACTGGGTATATACCCAAAGGACTATAAATCATGCTGCTATACAGACACATGCACACGTATGTTTATTGCGGCACTATTCATGATAGCAAAGACTTGGAACCAACCCAAATGTCCAACAATGATAGACTGGATTAAGAAAATGCGGCACATATACACCATGGAATACTATGCAGCCATAAAAAATGATGAGTTCATGTCCTTTGTAGGGACATGGATGAAATTGGAAATCATCATTCTCAGTAAACTATCACAAGAACAAAAAACCAAACACAGCATATTCTCACTCATAGGTGGAAATTGAACAATGAGAACACATGGACACAGGAAGGGGAACATCACACTCTGGGGACTGTTGTGGGGTGGGGGGAGGGGGGAGGGATAGCTTTAGGAGATATACCTAATGCTAAATGACGAGTTAATGGGTGCAGCACACCAGCATGGCACATGTATACATATGTAACTAACCTGCACATAATGCACAGGTACCCTAAAGCTTAAAGTATAATAATAATAAAAAAAAAGAAAATGTGGTACATATACACCATAGAATACTACAGAGCCACAAAAAGCATAATGAAATCATGTCCTTTTCAGGAACATGGATGCAACTGGAGGCCATTATCCTAAGTGAATTAATGCAGGAACAGAAAACCAAATACCTCATGTTCTCACGTATAAGTGGGAGCTAAGCATTGAGTACACATGGAGATAAAGATGGTAAAAATACACACTGTGGACTACTAGAGAATGGATAAATTAAGTGGGGCAAGGGCTAAAAAATTACCTATTGGGTACTATGCTCATTACCTGAGTGATGGGATCATTCATACCCCAAACCTCAGCATCACGCAATATACCCATGTAACAAACTTGCACATTTACCTCCTAAATCGAAAATAAAAGTTGAAATTACAAAAAGAAGTTTGAGCCTGGGTCGTCCTAACTCCAAAGTTCACATTCTGCTCATGCTGGCCTGGGGACCGAGGCACCCTTCCCATTTGAATGACAGACCTCCTCCACCCCAACATTTGCTCCAAATAAGCAACGTTTGTGTTCTAGGAGGTCCAAGCTCATGCTCTGCATTCAGGAGGACACAAGCAGAGGCCCCCACCCTCCCCCTGCCCTGTGTGGGTCCATCCAGGCATGAGAATTGCTCCTTGGTATCCACTCTGTACTCAGAACCTCAGGCCTCTTCCTTATCAGGGACACAATCACAATGTCCCTGAGGCCTTCCTGGTGCCCACTGGAAGAGCCAGGACAATCAGACCTATGTGTCTGAGCCATGGCAAGCCCTGGTTCCTTTCAGAGCTGGGGCCTGGGGCAGCTGTGGTCTTATGGAGAGAACCTGCGCTGGGCATCAGAATTCCAGGGATGGAGTGCCCAGCCTGTCTGTCTCAAGATGTGTGAGCCCGCTCAGGCCACTCAATTCTCTGAGCTTGGTTTCTCAATGTGCAAAGTGGAATGCACAGTAATTGGGTCCTACCCAAGGACGCACATGCTGCTATGCTTCCAGGATAACTGGAGAAACTCAAAAAGGCAGAAAATTAAATACAGATGTGAGCTGACTCAAATTAAACTGATACTTTTCCAAAATTCAAGACAGATCTTTGTGCAGTTCACATTTGTTCTGGCATCAACTCATGCCAGAAGCCTTCATATGAAAGGCAACTAATGCTAGGAAGGACGGCAGCATTTTGTTCCCAAAGGCCAACTTCAATTCTGCCTGGCTGAATGACTTTCCTCATCTGTTGCATAGCAACCTCCCTTTCAGGTGCATGCTTTTCCTCAGCACTTCCTCTGTAATGTCTCTACAGTGAAATGTAAACAGGTTCAGGAAAGGAGGTTTAAAACACCATTTTATGTTTCCTGCTCCCAAATCTGTATCTCCTCTACTAACTTGGCCTATGATTTTTAGACCCATAATGCAACTGCCTATCTCCATTCTATAATTGGAAATCTCTCAGTACATTCAAAATTAACATGTCTCATATTGATATCTTATAATGTATCCTTCTCACAAACATTATGTATTCCTTCACTTGACTTTTTCAACTCAGTGAATACCACCGACATACATTCAGATTCCCAAACCAGAAATTTATGAGTCTTCCATCACTGCTTACTTTACCTGATCTCTTATCCCATATTAAAAATACCACAAAATCCTTAATATTCTACCTCAAATATATATCAACTTATCTCTATATCATCCTAGTTGAGGCCACTGGCATAAGAGTCTCTTAAGTGACCTCCCTACTTCAAATATTTCCCCTTCTACAATCAGTTCTCCACAGAGTACCTACAGCAATTGCTTTAAAGTGTAAATCATATTTACAAAGCAAATGGAAGGCAAAAAAAATAAGAGTTGCAATCCTAGTCTCTGATAAAACAGACTTTAAATCAACAAAGATCAAAAAAGACAAAGAAGGGCATTACATAATGGTAAACGGATCCATGCAACAAGAAGAGCTAACTATCCTAAATATATATGCACCCAATACAGGAGCACCCAGATTCATAAAACAAGTTCTTAGAGACCTACAAAGAGACCTAGACTCCCACGCAATAATAGTGGGAGACTTTAACACCCCACTGCCAATATTAGACAGATCAACGAGACAGAAAATTAACAAGGATATTCAGGACTTAAATTCAGCTCTGGACCAAGCAGACCTAATAGATATCTACAGAACTCTCCACCCCAAATCAACAGAATATACATTCTTCTCAGCACTACATAGCATTTGTTTTAAAATCGACCACATAATTGGAATTAAAACACTCCTCAGCAAATGCAAAAGAATGGAAATCAAAACAAACAGTCTCTCAGACCACAGTGCAATCAAATTAGAAATCGGGATTAAGAAACTCAATCAAAACTGCACAACTACATGGAAACTGAACAACCTGCTCCCAAATGACTACTGGGTAAATAACGAAACTAAGGCAGAAATAAATAAGTTCTTTGAAACCAATGAGAACAAAGAGACAATGTACCAGAATCTCTGGGACACAGCTAAAACAGTGTTAAGAGGGAAATTTATAGCACTAAATGCCCACAAGAGAAAGCAGGAAAGACCTAAAATTGACACCCTAACATCACAATTAAAAGAACTAGAGAAGCAAGAGCAAACAAATACAAAAGCTAGCAGAAGACAAGAAATAACTATCTTGTTACAGAGATACGAAAAACCCTCAAAAAAAATCAATAAATCCAGGAGCTGTTTTTTGGAAAAGATTAACAAAATAGACTGCTAGCCAGACTAATAAAGAGGAAAAGAGAGAAGAATCAAATAGACACAATAAAAATGATAAAGAGGATATCACCACTGATCCCACAGAAATACAAACTACCATCAGAGAGTACTACAAACACCTCTATGCAAATAAACTAGAAAATCTAGAAGAAATGGATAAATTCCTGGACACATACACCCTCCCAAGACTAAACCAGGAAGAAGTCGAATCCCTGAATAGACCAATAACAAGTTCTGAAATTAAGGCAGCAATTAATAGCCTACCAACCAAGAAAAAGCCCAGGACGAGGCAGATTCACAGACGAATTCTACCAGAGGTACAAAGAGGAGCTGGTACCATTCCTTCTGAAACTATTGCAAACAATAGAAAAAGAGGGACTCCTCCTAAACTCATTTTATGAGGACAGCATCATCCTGATACCAAAACCTGGCAGAGACACAACAAAAAAAGAAAATTTCAGGCCAATATCCCTGATGAACCTCGATGTGAAAATCCTCAATAAAATACTGGCAAGCTGAATCCAGCAGCACATCAAAAAGCTTATCCACCACGATCAAGTCGGCTTCATCCCTGGGATGCAAGGCTGATTCAACACACACAAATTAATAAACGTAATCTATCACATAAACAGAACCAATGACAAAAACCACATGATTATCTCAATAGAGACAAAAAAGACCTTCAATAAAATTCAACACCCCTTCATGCTAAAAACTCTCAATAAACTAGGTATTGATAGAACATATCTCAAAATAATAAGAGCTATTTATGACAAACCCACAGCCAATATTATACTGAATGGGCAAAAGCTGGCACGCTTTGACAACTGGCACAAGACAAGGATGCCCTCTCTCATCACTCCTATTCAACATAGTATTGGAAGTTCTGGCCAGGGCAATAAGGCAAGAGAAAGAAATAAAGGGTATTCAAATAGGAAGAGAGGAAGTCAAATTGTCTTCATTTGCAGATGACATGATTGTATATTTAGAAAACCCCATCGTGTTAGCCCAAAAATTCCTTAAGCTGATAAGCAACTTCAGCAAAGTCTCAGGATATAAAATCAATGTGCAAAAATTGCAAGAATTCCTATACACCAATAATAGACAAGCAGAGAGCCAAATCATGAGCAAACTCCCATTCACAATTGCTACAAACAGAATAAAATACCTAGGAATACAACTTACAAGGGACGTGGAGGAACTCTTCAGGGAGAACTACAAACCACTGCTCAAGGAAATAAGAGAAGACACAAACAAATGGAAAAACATTCCATGCTCATGGATAGGAAGAATCGATATCATGAAAATGGCCATACTGCCCAAAGTAATTTGTATACTCAATGCTATTCTCATCAAGCTACCATTTACTTTCTTCACAGAACTAGAAAAAACTACTTTAAATTTCATATGGAACCAAAAAAGAGCCTGCATTGCCAAGTCAATCCTAAGCAAAAAGAACAAAGCTGGAGGCATCATGCTACCTGACTTCAAACTATACTACAAGTCTACCGTAACTAAAACAGCATAGTACTGGTACCAAAACAGAGATATAGACCAATGGAACAGAACAGAGGCCTCAGAAATAACACCACACATCTACAACCATCTGATCTTCAACAAACCTGACAAAAACAAGCAATGGGGAAAGGATTCCCTGTTTAATAAATAGTGCTGGGAAAACTGGCTAGCCATATGCAGAAAACTGAAACTGGATCCCTTCCTTACACCTTATACAAAAATTAATTCAAGATGGATTAAAGACTTACATGTTAGACCTAAAACCATAAAAACCCTAGAAGAAAACTTAGGCAACACCATTCAGGACATAGGCATGGGCAAAGACTTCATGACTAAAACACCAAAAGCAATGGCAACAAAAGCCAAAATTGACAAATGGTATCTAATTAAACTAAAGAGCTCTGCACAGCAAAAGAAACTATCATCAAAGTGAACAGGCAACCTACAGAATGGGAGAAAATTTTTGCAATCTATCCATCTGACAAAGGTCTAATATCCAGAATCTATAAGGAAGTTAAACAAATTTACAAGAAAAAAACAAACGTAAGGATATGAACAGATACTTTTCAAAAGAAGACATTAATGCGGCCAACAAACATATTTTAAAAAAGCTCATCATCACTGGTCATTAGAGAAATGGAAATCAAAACCACAGTGAGGTACCTTGTCACACAAGTCAGAATGGCGATCATTAAAAAGTCAGGAAAAAACAGATGCTGGAGAGGATGTGGAGAAATAGAAACACTTTTACACTGTTGGTGGGAGTGTAAATTAGTTCAACCACTGTGAAAGACAGTGTGGCGATTCCTCAAGGATCTAGAACCGGAAATACTATTTGACTCAGCAATCTCATTACTGGGTATATACCCAAAAGATTATAAATCATTCTACTGTAATGACACATGCACACATATGTTTATTGTAGCACTATTTACAATAGCAAAGACTTGGAACCAACCCAAATGCCCATCACTGATAGACTGGATAAAGAAAATGTGGCACATATACACCATGGAATACTATGCAGCCATCAAAAAGAATGAGTTAATGTCTTTTGCAGGGACATGGATGAAGATGGAAACCATCATTCTCAGTAAACTATCCCAGGAACAGAAAACCAACACCATATGTTCACACTCATAAATGACAGATGAACAATGAGAACACATGGACACAGGGAGGGGAACATCACACACTGGAGCCTGTTGGAGGGTGGGGGCAAAGAGAGAGAGAGCATTAGGACAAATACGTGATGCATGCGGGGCTAAAACCTAGATGACAGGTTGATGGGTGCTGCAAACCACCATGGCATGAGTATACCTATGTAACAAACCTGCACCTTCTGCACAGTTATCCCAGAAATTAAAGTAAAATTTTAAAAAATGTAAATCGAATCATGTCATTTCCCTGCTTATATCTCCTATTGCCTTCCCATTGCAATTAGAATAAAAGTCAACTCCTAACCCTGGCCAAGCAATGGCTTTGGCAGGGCTTTAACCTTCTCTCCCTTCTGTTTTCTTCATCTCCATTCCTCACCATCACTTCATTTCAACTATTAATAACATTCTTCAATAAGAATTCTTGCTTCCTTAGGTCATGCAATTTGATAATATAAATATCTTTTTAAAACAGTGATATTTTTATTGACCTGTAACATGCAATTCTATATAGAATTCCTATGCTTGTTATAAAAATGCAACTTTGTTGACAAATAATCTATTGCCCTCGTTTCAACCAGAAAGCCTCATCTAAGTTCCCTTCCCCCATGTACAGGAATTCTGGATGTCCATTTTTCAATTCCTGTCCTGATCTGGCTCCTCATTATTATCCACATCGGCAGCCTCAGCCTATGCCACTTTTCCCATCTTTTTCCATTCTCCAGCTACTTTGAACTTCCTTCATTCTCACCTCAGCGCCTCTGTACTCTCATTTGTTTTGCCAGTAATATGCTTCTCCCCACTCTTCATCTGGCTCTTACACATCCTACAGAAATTGACTTAATATCATTTTCTCATAATGACCTTCCCTACCCATCTGGACCCTAAATTGGGGCTTTACTACAGCTAGCGTGACCATATATCCCAGTTTTCCTAGGACAGTACTGGTTTGTACCTGTTGCCTTAGCAAAATTACAAATAGCACCTTCATTTACTTTCAAAAGTGACACCACTTGGTCGATAAATTATATGATTAACTCTAAGTAGAGGTCCAATACATGCAGAGAAGTAGTAGAAATCAGGCAGAAGAGAGGAGTAAGAGGAATGACAGGAGGATGTAATAAAATTTTAAGTGTAGGAGGGGTGGAAAGATGCAGGAAGAGGAGAGATTATGAAGGATAATAAAGATTGAGAAGAGGAGATGAAGGACTAAATACAGAGAAAAGAGAAATGGGCAAGCTGAAGAGCAAGCAAAAGGACAGGGATGCAAAGAGAAATAATAGTTGAGATAAAGTCAAACTTCAACTGTAAGTGAATATATTAAGGATTCTCAACTCATTAGAGTGCAAACATAAAACATGATGTTATTTTTTCCATTGACTGTTCTCCATCTAAGAAAGTTGAAAACATGCCCTTTACACTTGCGTGGGTTGGCCACATCCTATTAGTTGGTGGTGATATTATTAGAATGATCTCATATAATTATTTACTTATAAATATAGTAAATATATGTGCCATGTAAGTCAGTCACATTTATTTTACAATTTGATTTTTGAACTTGATGTAAATCTCAGATCTCCTTGCCTACCTCAGGTCATGCTAGATCAGGCTGTGACTTCAAGATCATAACGCGTAAAGGAGATGAAGACGTCAAGGACTGTACATTCCCTCCCTTTGTTGTCCTCCCTTCTAGACACTTACTTTCCCCTCTGTGGTGTTGTGGGATATGGAAAGACAAAAAAAGGGACACGCAACTCTTTACTCAACTGGATGAATTTTCCAGTCCCACTCTCTTATTGATGTAACTTCTTCCTTAGACCACATTTGAGGCTTAACGAGAATGGGTTGTAATTATACTAATGCCTTATTGATGAGGGGCTCACCTCAATGTAACTTCCCTAAACATTGAATACCTTGCAAGATTTGGTCACCACTCCCCACTGTCCTCCAACTGGTGGCTTTCATATAGCATCGCTCTATTGTGTGTGCCTTTTAGCTATCCACCCACATACTGTGGCAGTACTAGAAAGACTATGGCCCTCAATCGCATCTTCTCTCAGTTATCAATGCTATGACAGTCCTATAAATCCTCTTTACCAGGCAATTCCCACAATGTCATCTTTCCCCATTCTCTTTTGTGCTACTCAACTAATATGGGATCAAATCAATAAGTACATAGGCTAATCAGACATATAACTGAGGAAAAAATATGTCTGCCATTCTCAGAGGAAATCTTTATTTTTATAGTAATATTCATTTCTAATTTAATTTTGTTGTGGTCAGAGAATATACTGTTATCAATCTTCTAATATCCATCAAATCTGTAGTGATGTACACTCTTTTATTCCTGTTACCAGAGTTTTCTCTTTCTTTGTTCCTTGGACATTCTCTCTAGGAATTTATAATTTTTATTAATCTTTTCAAATTATCTCTGATAAAATATATACTTTATATTCATCTCTGATAAAATACATATATATTTTTTGGATATGGAGTCTTGCTCTGTCACCCAGGCTGGAGTGCAATTGCACGATCTCGGCTCACTGCAACCTCCTCCTACCGGGTTCAAGCGATTCTCCTCTCTCAGCCTCCCTAGTAGCTGGGATTACAGGTGTACACCACCATGCCTGGCTAATTTTTGTATTTTTAGTAGAGAGGGGTTTTGCCACCTTGGCCAGGCTGATCTCGAATTCCTGACCATCACCTGCCTTGGCCTCCCAAAGTGCTGGGTGATTAACATCTTATTTACAAATATGTTATTTCATTTATAAATATTTGGAGGCATTTACAGATATTTCTAGATACTTCATGTTTATTTCTAATTAAATTTTGTTGTGGTCAGAGAACATACTCTGTAAGATTTCAAACTTTTGATATTTATGGATACATATTTTATGGTACAGAATATAATTTACTTTGATGAGCATTCCATGTGCCCTTGGAAATAATAGGAATTCTTCAGCAATTAGGAGTAGTGTCCTATAAAATGTCAATTACATTAATTTGGATGACAGTATTATAGAAATATTTTAAATCTTTACTGATTTTTTTTAGTTCTTCCATTAATTACCGAGAAAGGAGTGATAAAAATCATCAATTATGATTTTAGATATGTCTCTTTCTCCCTTCAGATCTGTCTGCATTTGTCTCATAAATTTTGAGGCTCTGTTTTTAGACACATATATATTTAGCATTACTATTTATTAATGTACTATCTTTATACCCCTATCTCATGTGATATTCTTTTTCTTGGTCTAGTTTGTCTGATATTTATATAGCCAAAACAGTATTCTTAGGTTTGTATTTTGCTTTTTCTTCATTTTATTTTCAATCTATTTAAGTTTTTATATGTAAATGCATCTCTTTTTGTTAGCAAATAGTTGGGCCTTGCTTTCTTATCCTATCTAATAATCTCTGCCTTTCTATTGGAGTGTTTAGTCTCTTTCTATTTAATGTAATTATAGATGCGATTCAGTCTGTCATTTGCTATTTGTTTTCTTTTTGTCTCATTTGTTTATTATTCCTCTGTCTCACATTCCTCACTTATTTGGGGATAATCAAACATTTTTAGTATTTTATTTCAATACCTCTATTGTCTTTTTTTTTCAAGGGCAATTCACATTTATTTCTTGATGATGCTGACTAAACATACTTCAAACACGGCAGAAGGTAAAGAGTCTGTTCTGTAGGTAAAGCTGTTTCTTGCCAACAGTGAACAGTGGTACATGAAAAGTAACTTGAGCATCGTCTTCAAGCTGAGGCCCCAACTCTGGGCAAACAGCTGGCGAGTGGACCTGGTCCTTCTGGCCTGGATGGGGGCCTCCAAGGAACTACTTTTTCTCATACTTTTGCTTGATGTGTTTCCATAGCTTCCCCTCGCTGATGTGCTGGTAGATCTCGTCCGCGCCCTGATGGAAGACTCGCTCGAAGAACAGGACGCCCACAGCGATGGTGAGGGCGAAGGTGGAAGTCCTGCGGAACAGCAGGGAGTACAGTTTCGCAGTCAACGTCGGCATCGCCATGTTTCTTCCTCTATTATCTTTTTAATAATAAATTTTGGTATTAATTTTAGGGGTTGCTCAAGGGTTACCATATGCATCTTTAACTTATCACAGCCTATTAACGTTAATATTTACAACTTCACATAAAACATAATACATTTACAATAGTAAAAATTCATTCACGTCTCTCAATTGTGTAGTTGTGAACATATATTTTATTTCTACATTCATTATAGACTCCACAATAGAATTTTTTTGCTTTAGTTTTCCTTTTTATAATTAAGAGAAAATAAAAGGTAATATTTTATGCTTACCTACATATTTAACATTTCTGCTGCTCTTTATTCCTCATTGTAGATAAAAATTTCCATTGAATCTCATTTTCCTTCAACCTAAAGAACTTCATTTAGCATTATTTGTAGTACTATTCTGCTGGTAACAACCTCTCTTAGTCTTCACTTCTCGCAAAAGATTTGTATTTCACATTGATTTTTCAAGTACATATATAATATATATATGATATAAAATGTTGGTGTAACAATTAACTTTTTCGTTTTGCACTTTACATATATTGAAGAAAAGTAAGGCAGCAGTATTGTTTTGGGAGTAATGTAAAAATTCTATTCTAGCTCTTGATTGCTAAATCTAAATCCTCCTTCCTCCTCTTTCATGTTTTTCTGACTTGGTACTAGGACTAAAAACCTAAGCATTAGTGCTTTCCAGATGCACAACAATAGGCCACCAAAACCAAGGGCCTCTATTATCCCTGAGGCAACCCTGGCCCCCCTGTTGTCATCCAATTAGGAGATAAGAAAGTAGCTTAGATTATCCAGGAGGCAGATGCAGAGAGGGAAAGGGATGGGGAAGGGGACTCACCCATCAGCTATTACACACATTGTTCTGCAGGGAACTGATATCACCTGCCTGGCGACTTGACTTAACATTTCTTTGTACCTCCACACCTTTCACAGAGGGTTGAGGAGCCCTAAGGAAATACAAAAGATTGGAAACACGGTGTCAACACTGCAGGACCAAGGTAAATTCACCTTAGAACAGACAGACCAGACTAGGAGGCAATGCAACATTTTCTGCCAGTTCTAAAGGATCATTTTATCCAGCTTCTTTCTGACCAGTCTGATCAGTCTGTCCTCAATCAGAAACAAATATTCAAGATCTTCTATGCTCTTGTTCAGTAGATTTAACGGATTTAAAAGAGCATATGCCTGCCATGCAGAACACGGGAATGACAGTGATGATGATGATGAAGCTGAAGATGATGATGAAACCGAGGAACTGGGGAGTGATGAAGATTATATTGATGAAGATGAGCAAGAATATTTGGAGATTCTGGCTAAGCAGGCAGGTGAAGATGGAGGTGATGAAGATTGGGAAGAAGGTGATGCTGAAGAGACTGCTCTGGAAAGCTATTCCACAATCATTGATGATGAAGATAACCCTGTTGATGAGTATCAGATATTTAAAGCTATCTTTCAAACTATTCAAAATCGTAATCCTGTGTGGTATCAGGCTCTGACTCACACAGTCTTAATGAAGAACAAAGAAAACAGTTACAAGACATAGCAACTCTGGCCAATCAAAGAAGAGCAGCCCATAAGTCCAAAATGATTGAGAAGCATGGAGGATACAAATTTAGTGCTTCAGTTGTGCCAAGTTCTTTGAATTTTGGAGGCCCAGCACCACGGAAGAATTGAGTTATCTCTTTCTTTCCTGCTGTGTGATTGCAGTGAAGAGCTTGCGTTCCTCCTAGTAGTGGCTCCAGAACTGGTTCATGTTATCTATTCTAAACTAATGATCAATAGATGGAAAAAACAAACAAACAAACAAACAAACACCAACAACCCCAGGAGATGGGACCTGATCATGCAACCTGGCACTGGAAAAGAAACCAGCGGGATTTGGGGGGTGGGGAGATCTTACCTTAGGTACCTTAGGGGGCATATTTTCTTTATTTTTTGAAGAAAGTAAGATCCTGACTCTGAAGCTTTAAAGTGACACTGTGGAAATCTGAAACAAGAGGGGATGTCATGAAGGCAGCTTTTCTTTTTCTGAGGAAAAAATAGGCATGGGCTACAGGACTATTTAAAATGTTTCATTTACAGTATAAAGCTCAAAAGTAGATGTAATGTTTACACCCGTGGGTATTTGTCCAATTTCTATCTCTTCCTCGCCATTGGGTGTCTATTCTTTATATGTACATAAAATAAGGTAATCTGATAGCCTTATTCAATCTTCATCATTTTCATTCATCGTTGTTCCTATGTAGATTATTGGACACTTACTGTAGCACTACATAACTGATTATACAAATCTGTAAATGAATTAGCACTTTCATATTAAAACAAGGCTGCTAGCCTATGTATAAAATAGCAAAATGTTTTCTGTTTATAAAAAGATGTAATGGGGTGGGGAGGCATGGGTAATTTCAAGTTATTAATTTAAAAATGAACTAGCAATTTTATACCTGGTGACTGTGTGACACTCACCTCTGATAGTGACTTGAATTTGGTATGTAAAAATGGGTTAGTGGTATTTCATTGCTGCTAAAAATGACGACTCACTCTGTGTCCTGTTTTTCTTAAAGCTGTCAGTGTACAAGTGGGTATTTTAATACCAGACCTTACTATAAAAAATAAGAAAGGTGGTATCTAGAGCATGTAAATTGGATATAAAGTTCTACTCTTAAAAAGTTCATCTAAGAGTATGGCTAAACATCTATATATGCAGTCTATTAAAAGAACTTAGTTCGGCTATTATGTCTTGATTTGATTGATTGCAGTTTTTTCCTAATTAAAACATTTTTTTCCTCACTGGCCTGCTTTTAATCCCATACCTAGAAGAGTACAAAATGCACACTTAAAAAAAATTGATATCTAACACTTACCTACTCCCCCTTCCCCATCTCTTCTACTCCTCTTGTTGATTGTGGTATCTAATCTTAACTAGATAGGCTGACGGCACACGGCTCCCTTCAAAAACCACTATTGATACCACTGCAAAAACAAGCCAGCAAAAAGACAGTGTAGAGAGGTTGGCTTGCTTCCCTCTCTTCCTAACTGCATGTTGAAAAATAAGCCTTTATTGATCTTAAACATCTGTCAGATGAGTCATACTTTGGGTTATTTTTTATATACGTGTATACACAAAATATTTCAAATTGAAAGCAACATCTTAATGGATTCAAAACTATTACAAGCTGTTGTCTAAAACAGATGAGAAAATTTATAACTGTAAAAACAAATGCACATACTGATATTTAAAATGCATAATTAAGAAAACCCATTGGTGTTGTGTTTTTCTTGTATACCAATAATTAAGCCACTACTGTCAGCACTGTTTGGTTTTCCATTTTAACACTGAAGAAGTGAAAGTATTTCCTATATTTGTGAACTTACTACTAAAATCTTGGCAAAAAAAGAAAAAAATTGTCTAAAATGTGTGGGTGAAAACTGTTAATCAAGTGTGTTTCTACTCCCCACCCCCAACCCCCTGAAAGTTGGACCCCAACTGTATACCCTAGGTTGCTTAAGGGGATTTCACTATTATATAAAGTCAGTAAAAATGAAGTGGTTGTATATATGCAACACTGTGTACAGAGGGGAGATAATGAATAGTATAAAAGAAACATTCTCACCTTCCTTTACCTTTTGTTCCCTAACACCTAGTCTTCTTTTTAAATGTTCAGACTTCACTGCCTTTTGAATTCATAATTGTAATTTTCACATTATTGTTAATGGAAAATCATATCTAATAAAGGTTTTAGTTATTCCCATGCAAAGTATGAAAAAAGAAAAAAGAAAAAAGGACAGAGAGCTCTATGCTAATGAAGGTGCTGGGTAAGAGTGGGTGGTGACTCTCGGGAGAAGAGGGAGAAAAATGGGCCTGCTAAGGAAGTTTAGTCAAAACATAGAAAATCTTAAAGGCACATGACACAGAGTTCTATGTTTATCCTATAGGTGATAGTCAAAAGAATTTTAACAGGGGTATGTTGTTACAAAGCAAATACTACCAGCACTTTAGGGAATGAACAAGAGTGGTGGATGCCTCTTCTTTCACATAGTGAATAGCATAAACTAAAAAGTTTCTCTTGGGAATATTTTGAATATTTTGTGGTGAAGTATCCATACCCTTTTCTGGGACACTAGGGTGTTATCTAATCCTCTCTCTTAGCAAAATACTCATGCTGGTATTTTAAATTCATTAGATAAAAATAAACCTACTAAATAGGAAACTTAAATTCAGGAGCCATGAAAATGTTATTCCCCTGACACAAATAAATATTACCAACTATGACCATTAAACAAGGTAATCTTGGTGCAAAGCTGCAGGATGGTGTTACAGGTTTCTCACGTTAATTTTTTTTTTTTTTTTTGAGACAAAGTTTCGCTCTTGTTGCCCAGGCTGAAGTGCAGTGGTGTGACCTTGGTTCACTGCAACCTCCGCCTCCTGGGTTCAAGCGATCCTCCTGCCTTAGCTTCCCAAGTAGCTGGGATTACAGGCACCTGCCATCATGCTCAGCTAATTTTTTGTATTTTTAGTAGAGACTGGGTTTCACCATGTTGGCCAGGCTGGTCTCGAACTCTTGACCTCAGGTGAGCCATCCCTCCTCAGCCTCCCAAAGTGCTGGGATTACAGACATGAGCCACTGCGCCTGGCCTGGTATTAAATTTTTTAATTCCTCATGAGCTGGTATTGTTAATACAAGCTGATAAAGTCTTTTTGTCAAGACTTTCAGTATTCAGAGAAACTGAAATGGAAAAGTGCCTCCCATCCTGAGACCACTTTACTGCACCAATCTTAACTTTGTCATAGGGTGATTCCAGTCCCCTTTCATGAGCATGTATTAGGAATACTTACTTTATTACCATTCCGCTGGGGCTCAACTTGTGTGATGGTACCATGTGATATGAGTATGATCTCACAAATGGATTTGTTTCGAGATGGCAGAGGAATGTAACTCTACCAAAGCCTATGGGAACAGAGAATTGATTTTCCAATGGTGGAGAAACTGTTGTGTAACAGACAGTTGAGGATTGATTATAGAGACTCTAAAGCAGGCTCTACCTGTCATGTGAAGGTGTAATTGGAAACTGACCACCAAAGAGAAATTTATTCACCCTGTTTTGACTATGCTTATATAAATATTTGACATGAGCCTGTGTGAGGTTTGTGTACAAGAGAAAATGTATATTGGAAAGTGGTAGCAATGCTGCAGGACAAAATTTCAAATACATAACTTACTGAGAGCTGAAAGTTACTTCTTAAAAACACAAGAGCGATATGTGCTCTCTCTTTCAAAGAAATCAAATAATATGAGGTACATAGAATAGCATTATGTGCAAGGAAAGACAACAATTAGTTAAATATGTGTGTGCAGTTACTAAAGATGAACTTAATTGTCCAATTCTAACTGTAATTAAGACAACTGAGAAGTGGCAAAAAAACAGCAAGTTCACCTGGGATGTGTTTGTCAGTTTGGACAATTTAATGTCAAAGTTAAATTATTGAGAAGTAAAATGGTAGCTAAATGAGGACAACCTGCTTACTGTGAGACTAGATTAAAAACCAGGAACTGGTTTCACAGCACCTGAGCATGGTGCATGAAACATAAAAAGAAAAGTAAAGAGTAGGGAAACTAACAGAGTTCAAGAGGCCTCCCATCAGTCTTTTTATTTAAGTTGCCTGTATTGCATCACCATGAATTCTAAGAAGGCAGGGTACGGGTGACATCCTGATACGAATTCAGGAAATGAAAGCAGGTGCCAATAAGGCTAAGTATCATAGAACACCCTAAAGAATAAATGGGGAAGAAACAAAAAGGAGAACAGGGAGGGAATAATGACTCTGCAAATGATTGAAACTACTAATAACTACAGAAAGTTACCCTTGTCTTTTCATACATGAAGTCCACCAATCATATCTGCAAATACCTAGTGCTGACATCTGGATGGGGGCATGGCAACACCTGAGGGCATGTCTATTTGAGTGGGTATGTGTGACATTTCAATGTGGATTATGACATTTGGGTCGCCATCTGCACCACCTGCAGTAGAACGAGAGTTATCCAATTATGTGGCATTACTGGTAAGAATCTGACAGTGTGAGGTTAGCATTTGTTCAGAGGATACAAGAACACCCTACTCCTATGTTACACTGCTTTATTGCCCCCTCTTAGGGCTTTCCTTGAAAAAGACATGCACACAAGGACCTGAAATATCATTCACTGGGCCAGTTCCCATGACCCCTCAGTGCAGAGCCCTCAGGTCAACTTGAATTGAAGCACAGGTTTAGGCACAAGAATGAAGCAGGGTATCTTTGCCTCTTTTATTCTACAGAAATCTTATCATCAGCTGACCCCTAGTAGGCAGGAATGACAGAGCCCAAAATCTCCAGTGAGAAGAAAGAGAGGCCAGTGTGTCAATGCCCAGCTTTCACAGTCAGCACCAGCTTATCTCATCACTTCAGTATCATAAGAAAGAGAAGAGCTTAGATGTGTCTTACATGTATGGGTGTCACTTAGCAATGCACAGTGGTACTCCTTACAGTGCTCCAGAATTTGACCTATCACATTGGTCTTCCTTCCTCTAAGGGAGTAGTGAGGAAGAAGCTTGAGAGAAAGAGGCTTTTCTTGAGCTGGAGATGAGTTGTAAGAGAAACCTGCCCCCATCCGAGTGACCTAAATCACTAATGCTTGGGTAGAAACTGATATGATCATAGAAAAAATTAGGTCATGTGTAAAAAAGGATTTTGCTGCTCAAATCTCAAGTGTGTCAAGTCTAAAAACTATAAATACTGAGGATTTTCAAGTTTTAATAACAGTGTAAATCAGCCACATTTTTTCCTTGACAATATATAGCTACATTTACAAATATAATAGAAGGATAGTGACTTCACAAATTTATTATATATTCATTGCTTTATAAAAATCAAGCACTATACGAAAATATAAAGGCAAAAGCAATATATTATACCAAATTGAAACACCAAGAATTAAGCAGTGTTAACACAGGATCAAAAACACATCAAAAGTAATGTTTCTACACTTCACTCTAAGTGGAATCCTAACAAATGTTCATATAACCTATAGGGAGCAGAGAGAGAGAGAGACAGAGACAGAGAGAAACAAAAAACAGAGGGATGCACAGAAAACAAAATGGCATACTTAAGCCTTAAAATAGGGACAGTTATTGTAAATAAAAATGGTTTAAATATACCAATTAAAAAGAGATTAGATCACCAAGAAATGATAGATGTTTAAGGTGATGGATCTGTGAATTACCCAAACATGTATACATGTATACCCAATGTATACATGTTTCAATATATGTTACCATTATACAATGTATACATGTATTGAAACATCACAGTGTACCCCATAAACATGTATAATTATTATGTGTTAATTATAAAAAAATTTTTTTAAATACTTGGCAAAAAAACAGATTGGCAGTATGAATTTTCAAAAAATCCAATGTATACTATCTACAAGAAATTTACATCATAGTACTTCCTGTACTATATTGAATAGAAGTGGAGAGAGTGGGAATCTTTACCTTGCACTGGATCTTACAGGAAAAGTTTTTCATTTTTCCCCATTGATTATGATATTAATTGTGGGTTTTTCATAAATGACCTTTATTTTGCTGAGAAACTTTCCTTTTATACTTAAACTGTTCAGCATTTTTATCAAGGAAGGATGTTGAACTTTGTCAAATGCTTTTTCTGTGTAAATTGAGATGATTTTTGTGTGCTTTTTATCTTTCATTCTGTTAATGTATCACATTGATTCATATGCATACTTTAAAACAGGCTTGCATGCCAAGGATAAATTCCATTTGGCCATTATCTTAGTCTTTTCTGTTGCTTATAACAGAATATCCAAAAGAGGGTACTTTATTTTAAAAAGGAATTTATTCTTATATTTATGGATGCTGAGAAGTCCAAGGTCAAGGGACTACAAATGGTAAGAACCCTCTTGCTGCTGGGGACACTGCAGAGTCCCGAGGCGGCTCAGGGCATTACATGGTGAGGTGGCAGAGCATGCTTGAGTCTCTTTCTCTTCTTATAAAGCCACCAGTTCCATTCCCATGATAACCCATTAGTCCATTAACTCATTAATCCATTAATCTATAAATGGATTAATCCATTCATGAAGGCAGAGATCTCATTACCTATTCACCTCTTAAAGGCTCTACTTCTCAATATTGTCACACTGGGGATTGAGTTTCAACATGAGTTTTGGAGAAGACATTCAAATCATAACAGTCATGATGTATAATCTTTTTGATGTGTTGTTGAACTTGGGTTTGCTAATATTTTATAGAAAATTTTTGTATCAATGTTTATCAGAGATATTGGCCTGAAGTTTTCTTTTTTTATGGTGTCTTTGTCTGGCTTAGGTATCATGGTGATGCTGGCCTCATAAAATATGTTTGGAAATAGTCCCTCTAGCTCTAGTTTTTGGAAGAGTTGAAGAAGTATTTGTATTAATTCTTCTTTGAATGTTTTGCAGAATTCAACGATAAAGTTATCTGTTCCTGGGCTTTTTTTTGCTGGGAGCTTTTAAGTTATTATACCACTTCAATCTATTTGTTATTGTTCTGTTCAGACTTTCTATTTCTTCCTGATTCAACCTTGGTAGGTTGTATTTTTTCAGGAATTTGTCCATTTTATCTAAATTATCCAGTCTGCAGGTGTATTGTTCATAATAGCCCCTTATGACCCCTTTCATTTCTGATTTTATTGATTTGACTCTTCTGCCTTTTCTTCTTAGTCTAGCTTTTTTTGAAAAAAATCACTCAGTTTTATTGATTTTTTCTTATTGTTTTTCTATTCTCTATTTGATTTACTTCTGTTCTGATCATTATTACTTACTTCTGCTAAAAAAGAAATACAAGGTATCCAAGTTGGAAAGAAGAAAAGTAAAATTATCTCCATTTGCAGATGACATAATCCTATATATAGAAAACCTCAAAGATTCCACACAAAAAAACTGTTAGAACTAATAAATCAATTCAGGAAAATTGCAGGATACAAAACAATCCCATTTATGGTAGCATTAAAAAACATTTAAGAGTAAATTTAACCAAGGAGATGAAAGACCTGCACATGGAAAACTATAAAACATTGAGGAGAGTAATTGAAGAAGATACAAATAAATGGAATGATAGTCCATTCTCATGAAATGGAAGAACTATTAGGTTGCTGCAAAAGTAATTGTGGGTTTTGCCATTTCTTTTGGTTACAGTAAAAACCACAAATAGTTTTGCACTAACCTGATAATATTGTTAAAATGCCCATGCTACCTAAAACAATATACAAATTCAATACACTCTCTATCAAAATTGCCATGGCATTCCTCCCAGCAATAGGAAAAATAATCCTAAAATTTGTGTGGAATCACAAAGACACTGAATAGCCAAAGGAATTCTGAGGAAGAAAAATAAAGTTGGAGGGATCACACTTCCTTATTTAAAATTATATTACAAAGCTACAGTAATCAAAACAGTATGGTAGTGTCATAAACAAACACATACAAAACAGTGGAACAAAATAGAGAGTCCCAAAATAAATCCACACATATACGGTCAACTAATTGTAGATAAGGGCACCAAGAGAACACAATGGGGGAAAAGATAGTCTCTTCAACAAATGGTGCTGGGAAAACTGGGTTTCCACGAGGAAAAAAATGAACTTGGACTGTTATCTTACACCATACACAAAACTCAACTCAAAATGGATAAAAAGACCTAAATGACAAAGGAACCAAAATACACATTACAGAAAGGACAGGCACTTCAATAATTGATGCTGGGAAAACTTGATGTGTTTATGTATAAGAACAAAACTAGACCCCTATCTCTCACCATATACACAAACCAACTCAAAATGGATTAAATACTTAAATCTAAGACCTAAAACTATAAAACTACTAAAAGAAAACATTGGGGGAACATTTTAGACTGTTGGTCTAGTCAAAGATTTTTTTAAGACCTCAAAAGCATAGGCAGCAAAAGTAAAAATAGACAAATAAGATTACATCAAGATAAACACCTTTTGCACAACAGAGGAAACCATCAACAAAGTGAAGATACAACCTGAATAATGGAAAAAATATTTGGAAACTATTCATCTGACAAGGGATTAATAACCAGAATATATAGGTGATATGGTTTGGCTGTGTCCCGCCACCAAATCTCAACTTGAATTGCATCTCCCAGAATGCCCATGTGTTATGGGAGGGACCCAAGGAGAGGTGATTGAATCATGGGAGCTGGTCTCTCCAGTGCTATTCTCGTGATAGTGAATAAGTCTCACGAGATCTGATGGGTTTATCAAAGGTTGTTTCTTCCTCATTTTCTCTTGCTGCCAACATATAAGAAGTGCCTTTCACCTCCCACCATGATTCTGAGGCTTCCCCAGCCATGTGGAACTGTAAATCCAATTAATCCTCTTTTTGTTCCCAGTTTTGGTTATGTCTTTATCAGTAGCATGAAAACGAACTAATACAATGGGTAACTCAAACAACTCATAGCAAAAAAAAAACAAATAATCCAATTTTAAAATGGGTAAAAGATCTGAATAGACATTTCTCAAAAGAAGACAAACAAATGACCAATGGATATAGAGAAAATACCCAATCACTAGGAAAATGCAAATCAAAATCACAATGAGATATCATCTCACTCCAGTTAAAATGGCTATTATAAAAAAGACAAGAATAACAAATGCTGGTAAGAATGCAGAGTAAGGGGAAAACTGGTACAGTGTTGCTGAGAAGGTAAATTTGTACAGCCACTATAGAAAAGTTCCTCAGAAAACTAAAAACAGAACTTCCATATGACTCAGAAATTCCACTGCAGGGTATATATCCAAGAGAAAGGAAATAAGTATACTTAAGAGATATCTGCACTCCCAGGTTTATCATGGTACAATTCACAATAACCAAGACATGGAATCAACTTCAGTGTCCATCAACAGATAAATGGATAAAGAAAATGTGGTACATGTATACAATGAAATATTATTCACCCATAAAAAAGTATTAAATCTTATCATTTGCAGCAACATAGATGGAACTGGAGGTCATTACCTCAAGTGAAATAAGCCGGGCACAGAAAGACAAATGCTGCATGTTCTCATTCATTTAAGAGTGAATACTGCATGTTCCCATGCCCATTTAATGGGAGCTTAAAAAGTGAATCTCATGGAAGCAGAGAGTAGAACCGTAATTACCAGAGGCCAGAAAAGGTAAGGGGGCAATGAAGCGAAATTGTTTTAGGGGTACAAAAATACAGTTAGATAGAAGGAATAAGTTATAGTATTCAATAGTACAGTAGAGAAGCTGTAGTTAACAATAATTTATTGTATATTTCAAAATAGCTAGAAGAATCACAATGCTCCCAACATAAAGACAACATAATGTTTGGTGACAGATATCCCAATTACCCTGATTTAATTATTACACATTGTATACAGGTATCAAAATATCACATGTACCCCCAAAATATGTACAACTATTATGTATCAATTTAAAAAGAAATAAAAATACAAAGACATAGTAGGATGAAAGTGAAGGATGGAAAGTGATGTATAATGCAAACATTAACGAATGAAAGCAGGGGCCGGGCGCAATGGCTCACGCCTGTAATCCCAGCACTTTGGGAGGCCAAGGCGAATGGATCACTTGAGATCAGGATCTCAAGAGCAGCCTGGCCAACATGGAGAAACCCCTTTTCTATTAAAAAAAAAAAAACTAGCCGGGCATCGTGGTAATCCCAGCTACTTGGGAGGCTGAGGCCGGAGAATCGCTTGAACCTGGGAGGTGGAGGTTGCAGTGAGCCACTGCACTCCAGCATGGACGACAGAATAAGACTCCGTCTCAAAACAAAAATGAAAGCAGGAGTATTGATATTAATATCAAATAAAGTAGAATTGAGAGCAAAGGAAATTACTGGAGACAGAGAGACACTGCGTAATGATAAAAGGTCAATCACCGAGATTTACAACGATTTACAGGAAACTACAATCCTAAATGTGTATGCATCAAACAAAAGAGCCTCAAAATATATGAAGGAAAAGCTGATAGAGCAGAAAGAAGAAATAGACACATTTAAATTTATACTAGGGGACTTCAACAGTGCACTCCCAGCAATTGATAAAGCTACTAAACAGTATATCTGGAAGGACATAAAAGAAATGAGCAATGCAATCAACCAATATGATATAATTGACACATATATATAGAAAGAGCACTCCAACTAACAACAGCAGAAAACACATTTTTTCAAGCACCAGTGGAACATTCAATAGGATACACTATGGGGAAAACTTCAACAACATTAAAACAATTGACATCATACGGAGTATGTTCTCTATCCATAAAGAAATGAAAATAGTAATCAATAACAGAAAAACAACAGAAAATCTACAGATGCTTGTGAATTAAGCAACATATTTCTACATAATCCATGAATCAAAGAAGTTTCTAAGAAAATTTTAAAAATACATAGAACAGAATGAGAATAAAAACAAAAAATATCAATATGTGTGGAATACTATAAAGCAAAGATGAAATGGAAATTTAGAGTACTACATGCTTACATTAGAAAGAAGAAAGACGTAAAATCAATGATCTAAGTTTCTATTCCAAGTAACTAGAAAAAGAAGAGTAAATTGAACCTAAAACATGCAGAAGGAAAGTAATAATAAAGACGAGAATAGAAAACAATAATATTGAATACAAGAAAATTATACAGAACATCAATGCAACAAAAGCTGGTTCTTTGAAAATATCAATAAAATTGATCAAACTTCAGTAAAGCTGACAAAAATAAAAACAGAAAAGATATAAATGACCAATATCAAGAATGAAATAAGACTATTACTACACACCCTGCAAGAATTAAAAGGATAATAGGGAACATGACAAATAACTTAATGCTTATAAAAGCTACAACTTAGAAGAAATGAACCAATTCCTTAAATACTACAAGATAACAAAATTCAATTGAGATGAAAGAAGTATATAACTATTAAATAAAATAATTTGTAATTTCAATGCTCCATAAAAAGAAACCTACAGGTCCAGGTGGCTTCACATGAGAATATAATCAAGTATTTAAACAATTAGTATTGATTTCACACAATATAAGATACAGATAATATAAGAATAGAAAACACTTCCAAACTAATTTAATGAGCCAAGTATTTTCCTTTAAGTTAAGGAATAAGACAAGGATGACCACTGCAGCCATTTCTATTCAACATAGTGTTAAAGTCCTATCCAGAACAATCAGGAAAAGGAAAAGAAAAAGTAAAAAGCATCCATACTGGAAATGAAGAAGTAAAATTATCTCTGTTTACAGATGACATGATCTTTCTTATATGCTGAAAACTCTAAAGATTCCACACACAAAAACTGTTAGCTCTAATAAACAAATCTAGGAAACTTGTAGGATACTAAAATCAACACACAAAAATAAATTGCATTTTATACAGTAACAATGAACAATTCAAAAAGAAAATTAAGAAAACAATTCCATTTTCAATACAATGAAAAAGAATACAATACTTAGGAATAAACCCAACCAAGGTAGCAAAAAGACTTATACACTGAAAACCATAATATATATATAATAATATATTGTATATAATATATTGTATATATATATTCTATATTATAATATTTATTATATATATATGGTACCGGCATAGACATATAGACCAATGAAATAGAATAGTGAGTCAAGAAATGAACCCTCATATATGTAGTTAAATGATCTTTGACAAGGGTGCCAAGATTACTCAATGGGGAAATGACAATCTTCAACACATGGTGCTGGGAAAACTGGACATCCATCTGCAAAAAAGTAAAATAGACCTTTTACACCATAAAAATTAATAAAATAGTTTGGAGATTTAAATGTAAGACCTAAAATTTAAAAACTCCTAGAAGTAAAGATAGAAAATCTTCATGACACTGGATTTGGCAAATAATTTCTGGTTATGACACCAAAAGCAAAAAATAGACAAATGGGACTACATCAAACAAATACGTTTGTGTATCAGAGGACAAAGTCAACACAGTGAAAAGGCAACATACAGAATGGGAGAAGATATTTGCAAAGTATATACCTAATAAGGGATTAATAAGCAGAATATATAAAAAATACTCTCCACAACAAAAAATTAAATAACTTGCTTAGCACGGTGGTTCATGCCTGTTATCCTATCTCAGCAGAGGCGGGAGGATCACTTGAGGTGAGGAGTTCAAGACCAGCCTGGGCAAAATAGTGAGAACCTGTTTCTAAAAAAAAAAAAAAATCAATTAGCCAGACATGGTGGCGTTCACCTGTAGTCCTCACTGTTCAGGAGGCTGAGGTGGGAGTATCACTGGAGCCCAGGAGGTTGAGGCTGCAGTGAGCTACGATTGCACTACTGCACTCCAGCCTGGGTGACAGAGCAAGACCCTATTTCTTAAAAGAAAAACACAAGTAACCCAATTGTAAAATGGACAAAAGACAGACATTTCCCCAAAGATTATATGCAAATGGCCAGCAAGCATATTGAAAGATGCTAAACATTGCTGATCATCAGACAAATGCAAATCAAAAACACAATTAGATATTACCTCATACCGATTAGGATGGCTGCTATCAAAAGAGAGAAAATAAGTGTCACTGGGGATGCGGAGAAATTGGAACCCTTGTGCACTGCTGGCGGGATTGTAAAATTGTGCAACTACTATGGAAAATAGTATGGCTGTTCCTCAAAAACTAAAAAATAGAACTACCATATGTTTCAGTATTTCCACTTCTGGGTATATATCCAAAAGAATTGAAATCGGGGTCTCAAAGACATGTTTGCACACCCATGTTCATAGCAATACTATTCACAATAGCTAACAGGTGGGAGAATTCAAAGTATCTATTGACAGATGAATGGATAAACAAAATGTTTTATTATTCAGATTTGAAAAATAATGGACTTTTATTAGCCACATGCTACAACATGAATGAACCTTGAAGACATTATGCTAAGTAAAATAAACAAGTTACAGAAAGACAAATACTGTATAATTCTGTTTATGAGGTATATCATGTAATTCTGTTTATATGAGGTATATCGCTTGAGCTTGGGAGGTTGAGGCTGCAATGAGCTGTGATCGCGCCAATGTACTCCTGCCTGGGTGACAGAGTGAAACACTATCTCAAAAACAAAACAAAACATCATGTTGTACTCTGTATATATATATATATATATATATATATATATATATATATATATATATACACACACAATTTTTGTCAACTGTACCTCAATAAAGCTGAAAGAGAAAGAATCATGGAAATAGAAAGTTATTTTTGCACAATAAACATGGTAATAATTAAACAAGGGAAGAATAATTAATGGATACTAAAATCAGTCGATGAAAAAAATTGACATTATGTACGTGTCTAATGCCCCAGGAGAAAGTGTAACCTGCCAAAGCTTGTCTTTAAGGCCTTTCTTCAATCTGGCCTCAGCCTACACTTGTTATTTTGGTCCCCTCTGGGCCCTCTAGTCCAGTCTTTCTGCATCATTCTCCTGCCCCTCTCCACACCAAATCAAACTTACTAAAATCACCTCCCACATGTGAGCCCTTTTGCAGCTTACTGCTCTGTCAGAGACAGGGAAGGTTGATGCCAGGCTCCAGGTTCAGAGGCCATCCCAGTCCTTCCCCTATCATCCTACTGCACCAGTCTCGCCCCCGCGAGGATATCCAACCACCCATTCAGGGTACCTACCCCAGGACTCTGCTGGGCACACATTATTTTGAAGATATTTGGGCTTTTAGGTGTCTTATCCTAGAAGTGCAGATATCACTTCTGTACACTGGCCAGAAATAGTCATATGACCCCAACACAACAAGAAAGTTGGCTGGGAAATGTAGGGGAGTGCATGAAAATTCAGTTTTTGCCAAATGGTGTATTTCCTCACCTACTTTCATAGGTGAGTACACTAAGACTCAGAGAGGCGAAGATACTTGCTCAAAGTCACACCACTGAAGAAACATGGGATTAGAATCTAGGATTCTCTGATGGTGAAATCCAAGTTCTTTCCACAATACCCTGCTGCCTTTGCCCTCCTAGAGCTCAGTGTCCAGCCCCTTTGTAATCCATACGTATTCCATTACTTAAGATTTTGTTTGCAAGCAATGATGTGCTGGTAAATGGTTAATAACTAGTTCTCTGATTTTAAAAATTCCCAATTGGTAGTCTGCCATTTTTCACAAAGTTAATAATCCCACCATGGCCAATTTCACTGAAGGCAAAGGTGGGACGAGGTACATACAATACACTGTCTCAAGCTGGTACAAACTGGCTTCACCACATGATTGGTCACAATCAATAAGAATTTTTCTTTGCCAATGTAAATAAAATGGATTTTGTTAGACAGATGTCAGAGGCTCACAGAACTGGAAGGAGACTGGAGAAAGTAACTTGAGAACTGGATAGGAGCATGAAACACAGGAACGGTCTGATAAGGATGCTGCTCTGGGGATAAAAATCACATAAGCCTTTTTTTTCACTCTTGTGTCAATCACTTAAGTTTCAAAGTCCAAGGAGAGGGCATGTAATTGACTAAGAATAGGTTGCATGCCTGTCCCGTGGCAATATTGGAACCAGAGAGGAATAATCTGATTTACTCCTTGTCAATAAGGGGAGGAAAACATCTAGACATGTCATTCCACAAAGACTACATATTGGTTTTCTTTTAATGCATAGCAAACAGCCACAGACTGAGTGGCTAAAACAACATCCATTTATTATCTGCAAGTTATTATAGGACAAAAGGTGTGGCATGCCTTGGCTAGGTTCTCTGTTCAAGCAAGATGGAAATCAAGGTGTCAGCAGGGCTGCCTTTCTTTCTGATGCCTTCCAGTCTCATTCAGATTATTGGCAGAACTCTTGTACTTGCAGCTATAGTTCTGAGGTCCTCATTTCTTTACTGGCTATCAGCTGGAGGCCTCATTAATCCCATAGAGGCCACTCATATTCTTTGCCATGTAGCATCTCCATCTTCAAATCTAGGAATGGAGAATTTCCATGCATAAATCCCTCTCAATCTTCAAATCTCTCTTCCCAAGATGAGTGCAGTACCCTCTAAAGTCTTACTTGAGTAGGTCAGGCCCACCTGATTTTAAGGTCAACTGATTTTGGATGTTAATTACATGTACAAAATCCTTTCACAACAGCATCTAGATTAGTGTTTTACTGAATAACTGCCAAAAAGTCTATGTACACCAGAGGGTAGGGATCTTGTCGGCCATCCTAAAATCCCATTTACTACAATTGGAAACTGTATTATCCTAAAAGGAAAATGGGTGCAATCAGGATACCAACAAGATAAATATTCACCACAGTTCATTTGGCTAACATATACACATATTTTTTTGTCATCCCACGCTGAAATTTCACAACAGTGAATGAGGCATTCTGTAGGATCACAGGTGGTGATAAGACAGAAATATTGTGTGTAGGGAAGGCAAATCCATACCTAGAATATTCACTTATTGCTGACAAATCATAAAGCCAACAAACCCCTCCATGATGTAATGGGCCCAATGTAATTAATTTACTGCCAGGTACTGGGCTGGTCCTCTTTGGATTGGTACATATCAGAAACTCAGGATAGTTTTGGAAATTTGCACACTCAGCAGTAGGGGTAGTCATATCAGCCTTTGTGAGCGCCTTTTGTTGAGGCCATACATAGCCTCTGTTCATGCCACCATATGACTTTGTATAGGTGCCCATCGAGCAAGCACAGGAATAGCTGAGAAAACAGTCTTCCTGACCTCCAATGAGTAGGTAATACTGCTCACCTGATTACTAAGAGCTTATTGGTGAGAATGCACATTTAACACTAAGTCTCATGCTTTGGATCAATCCCAAGAAGTCCACATACCACTTCCCTAGACCTCTTTTTTGGATATTTTCCCACATGTCCTTATTCAAAATCCCTGCTAAATTAGGATGAACAATTATCCCTGGATTTGGATCTGCATGCAACAGCTTATGAGACTTTTGGTTTTCTTGCTTTGGAAAGGAGTGAATGCACTTTTGTTTGTATGAAGAATAACTGCATCATGTTGCACAGTGACCTTTTCCCAAAGGGTGCAATGTCAAGAAGTGTGTGTAGTACCATGGAATACTATGCAGCCATAAAAAAGGATGAGTTCATGTCCTTTGCAGGGACATGGATGAAGCTGGAAACCATCATTCTCAGCAAACTATCACACGGATAGAAAACCAAACACTGCATGTTCTCACTCATAGGTAGGAGTTAAACAACGAGAACACATGGACACAGGGCGGGGAACATCACACACCAGGGCCTGTCAGGGGGTGGGGGACTGAGGGAGTGAGAGCATAAGGAGAAATACCTAATGTAAATGACGAGTTGATGGGTGCAGCAAACCAACATGGCATATGTATACCTATGTAAGAAACCTGCACATTGTGCACATGTACCCTAGAATTTAAAGTATAATTTTAAAAAATTCCTATAGAAATTAATTAAAAATAATAATAATAATTAAAAGGAAGTGAGCATTTGGTGATAAAAAAAGAAGTGTGTGTAGTACATGCTAGTCAGATGAATTTCAGTGAATATTTGTAAAAATAAAAGTACTTTTTAAATTTAAATTTTTATTCTGATATAATTGAAGACTTACAAAAAATGTTGCAAAACTAGTTAAAAAAAATTCCTGTCTACACTTAACCTAGATTCTTCAATGTTAACATTTTATCACATTTGTTTTATCCTCCCTGTCTTTTGTCTCTCCTTCTCTCTATGTATGTGCACACGCACACACACTTCCATAAATATTTGGAGACTAAATTACAAAGACACTCTCTTGCAGAAAAAAATAATATAATCAAAATAAGGCCACTAACATTAATATAATATTGTTGTCTAATCTAAATCTAAAGACTTTGTTCTGATTTTGCCAATTGTGCAAATTACACAAGAATTTCATGAGCAGGGAAGGGACAGAATCAAACCTATTCTGGGGTGTGGACAGAGCAGAATGGCCTACTGAAGCCTGGAGTAAGGTGCAGTCCACAGAGCTTCCACAGGCATTAGGCCTCCTCTGTCAGCCCCAAACCCCAAAGATGCAGCCCCAAACCCCAAAGATGCACCCTCTTCCTTCTTCAGGTTCCCTAAAACTCCCACGTGATCTTCCACACTCCTGGTGTTGCCACAACCACATTGTCCTCCTGATAAACTTTGCCTGGTACTGATCACCCAAGGCAGTAGCCCCAGGACTCTTGCACCTCTTCAGCACCTAACACGGCTTGGAGGATCCACAGAGCTACATCAATATTACACAGATGCGACTGATGTCCTGCGGACCTCAAGAGCTGTGGGCAGCCGTAGAGTTCATCTCTCATCTCCATCCCCATTTACAAATGAGCAACTAAAGCTCAGAGAACTAAGACTGTTAGGGGCAGAGGTGACAGGATGCCCTGTTGGCTGCCTCTTAGGCCTGGTGTCTTCCCCACACATCACACAGCTGTCTAAATTCCCCAGGCAAGTCATGATCTGTACACAGTATGAAGCTGGGAGTGTGGGTGGTGATGGGAGGGAGGTGATACCCCATGGAAGACCTGTGCCTACCTTGGGGACTTATGGAAAGATGGATTGTTCTTTTCCAAGGCTGCAAGGTGGAGTCCGTCCACCTGAATGTGGAGGCCGTGAACACACACCGGGAGAAGCCTGAGGTAGGTGGGGGACTCCATTACCCAAGCTGGCTGTGGACACAGCACATGGTGGAAGCACCTTCTCCACAGAAAGACTGCCCCAACCCCACCGAGCCTGGGTGTTTTGCACCAAAAGGTGGAAAAAACAGCACCCAGAAATGCAGGAACTACAGCCCAGACCTGAGGCATCATGGAGATGCAGGGCTGGTGCAATCCCTGCCAAAAAGGCCTCAGGCTGAGATTTCCTCCAGGCCTACCTGAGGGTCAGGATCCAGGCCTGGCTGAAAGAGGGGAGCCTGGCAATGAGGACAACAGGCAGGGGAGGCGTTGGGGCCCTGCACTGCTGTCTCCTTCCTATTAATCCTGGGCTCTCTCCTCAGAATGTGGACATCACTCAGGAACCTAAGGAAGCTGTGGACACCATCCCTACCCACTACCAAACCCTTCCCAGGAGGCCAAATTGCCTTTGCTCTTTTTTGTGCCCCAGGAGCTCCCGTCTCTGCCCTTGTCCACATGTCCAGATACCACCAAGCACCCAAGGAAGTCATGGCCTAGGCCTAATTTTGTCCTCAGTGGGAGAGCCTTGCTTCCAGCATAGAACTCAGCAGCTCAAGCCAAGTTCCTGCTCACAGTCACAGTCAAAGCCTGTGCATGGAGCTTTGTCTTACTTTGTAATTCTTGTTCTTGAGGTAACAAAGTCTTCTCTTTCTCCCTGCAGGAGAGAAGAGGCCATTGTGAGGCCTCCTTCACTGCCCATAAGATCCTGTCTCGAGGAGGCAGCCCCGGTCCTGTGCAAGTGGGAAGATTGTGAGGGCCTCCTAGAGGGACAGGATCCTGGGCAGCATTTCCAGAGATGGGGAGGAGTGCCTGTGAGCCCATCCCTTTATGAGCAATGTGGCTAGGGGTATATCTTCCTTCTCACAGAGGAGACTCTGGCATCTAACTCATAGTGTTCTCTACTCCTACTCCTGCTGCCCTCCTGGAGTTCTTTCACTTTCCACATGGGTTGTATAACCAACACCCTAGAATCACAGGCCATGGACCCCTTATCTCCAGAATAGTCACCTTCTGTCCCCTTCAACTACCTACTCTCTGGACCTTATCATCACCTGGAGCTCCACCTCCTCTGTGTTCTTAAGTGCAACTGTCTGAGCACCAATACCCTCTCTCACTATGCGACTTCTCGCAATGTCACTCCAAGACACCTAGCAGCATATCTATCACATGAGAGTCACTTAAGTGATATTTATTGAATAAACTATACTAGTTCTTGGGTCTCGTGTTCATTGATCCTGCCTTTGTATCCCAATCCAGTAGCTAGATCTTCCCACATTTCCACCTGCTGAAAGCTGATCTACCCTTCAAACTACAGCTGAGGTCCTGTCTCTCCCACATAAACATGTTGCTCGCTCCCCAAATATAGGGAAAAAAAGAAGCAGAGAGCACATCTAATTCACTTTGCAATTTCAATGTTTATTTCTGATACCAAAACTTGACAGCACACAAGGGGAAAAAAAGCAGTAGACAAGGAACAGCAAATAAATTTATCTTGCATGCCACTTTCAGTCAACAGGATGTGGCTCTCTAGATAGCTGTGTTTAGAAGGAATCTGAGGCTTCAGCCTCACACAGGGGAAAGACTACTGCGATTGATAGCAATATCTGTGAACATAAGAAAGAAGAAGTAAAAAAATCAATGATATATATCAAATAATAAGGAATATACATACCAAAGAGTGCTGCCCCATACTTTCCTCATCTCCCTACAATGAGTTTCCTAATACTTCTAGCTCATGCACATAAATACAACCCCATGGACCCTATATCCCCCAGAGACCCTAACTGCCCAATCCAAAGTGATGTACCTACCCAACATCTCACTCAACCCAGAAGAAACCAATGGCACCAAAGTTGGCAGCGAAGTTGGCACTGGCTGTACCACCAGGACCAATAATGGGACCGGCAAAGGTCTGAGGGAATCTGGAGCGGGCATTCTGGTGGTATCTGGCCCAGAAGGTAAATGGAATTCTGGACCAGGGATCTCCAAAATCTCCTTCCTCATCCCAGGTCAGCAGCTCAAACTCAATGTCATCCCAGCTCCAGGGCCCAGACACAGCCTCATCTCCAATTCCCATGCGGGTTCTTGCTTCAGCCCGGGCTTCGGCCTCAGCTGCAGCAGCATCCAGAGCATCCAAGGCCTCATCTGCAGCCTCCATGAACTGTGCAGTCCAGTCACGAGGGTCTCTTTTCTGAACCTGAGATGAGGAATAGAAAACAAAACAAAATCCATTTACAATAGCCAAGATATGGAATCAACCTACCTGTCCATCAGTGGATGAATGGATAAGGACAATGTGATACACACACACACAATGGAATACTATTCAGCCTTTAAAAAGAAGGAAATTCTGCCATTTGCAACAACATAGATGATGCTGGATGACATTATGCTAAGTGAAATAAGCCAGACACAGAAAGACAAATACTGCATGACCTCACTTATACATGGAATCTAAAAACGTCTAACTCATAGAAGCAGAGAGTAGAATGGTAGTTTCCAGGGCCTGGGGTCAGGAGGGATAGGGAGATATCGGTTAAAAGGTACAAAGTTTCATTTAGATAGGAAGAATATGTTCTGGAGATCAACCGTATAGCATGACGACTATAGTTAATAATAATGTGTCGTTTATTTAAAATTGCTAAAAGAGTACATTTTAAATGTTCTCATCACAAAAAAAATGTCAAGTATATGAGGCTATGGAGAGTTAACTAGCTTGATGTAATCATTCTGCAATGTACATGTATTATCAAAACATCATACTGTACCCCATAAATATGTATATTTTTTATTAGTCAGTTAAAAATAAATGAATGGGCCGGGTACGGTGGCTCACGCCTGTAATCCCAACACTTTGGGAGGCTGAGGCAGGCAGATCACTTGAGGTCAGGAGTTTGAGACCAGCCTGGCTAACATGGCAAAACCCTGTCTCTAATAGAAAAATAAAAATTTAGCCAGGCATGGTGGTGGCACGTGCCTGTAATCCCAGATACTTGGGAGGCTGAGGCACAAGAATCGCTTTAACCTGGGAGGCAGAGGTTGCAGTGAGCCAAGATTGCGCCACTGCACTCTAGCCTGGGCAACACAGCAAAACTCCATCTCGGGAGAAAACAAATAAATAAATAAATAAAACAAAATACTTAAAAATTACATTGTACACCACAAATATATACAATTTTTGTCAATTATAATTTAGTAAAGTTGGGAAAAAATAAAAATACTTTAAAAACCTAAAAAAAAACCCAAAACAAACTCATAATTGTATTAGCTAATATATTAACATATGTTAGCACCTAATACATGTTAAGTTTACCTAACAGCAACAACAAATACCACCAGCAATGCGGCACCTACCACCTGCCACACCTAGGATCTCATTCCTACCCTGGGCCTTTCCCAGCCAGCTATACTTCATCCCTTGACCTATCAATGCTGGAACAGTTCCTCCATTACCTCTGCAATGAATCTCAGCACTTTCATCTTGCTAGTCTCATGGTAGGAACGGAGGCCCCAGAGGAACTCATACTCCGGGGGGTTGCTGTTGGGCACTCGTCTGTAGTCCAGGTATCTGAAAGAGCAAAACAGTCTTTGTGTCTACCTACCCAGGCAGAATGGTAGTCCACTAATGAAAAATAATCTTACATTTTTTAACAGATTTCAGATAGCAACTCCCCCTTGGGCTCATTCCTGAACACCATCAGGGTATTTACCCCTTAATCATCAAGCCTTAAATTCCTGCACTAGAACGCTAAGCACTCACTAGAGATGCAGGCGAGGCTTGTATAGGGTCACAGAAAGGACAACATTTCCTTTCACTCCTTCTGCCTCAGCTCTAGCTCCAGATTCTTGTAATCTTGTCAGTGAGCCACAGAGGTCCATTGAAATGAGTACAATGCAGTGCAAAAGTGTCAGCCTGGCCCAGCCTTGGGAATGTCTACTGTGGGGATGGTGGATGGGCTTCACTTGCAAGACAACTGCTTAGAAAAGTAGAAAAATTAGAAAAATTCTGGCCGGGTGTGGTGGCTCACACCTGTAATCCCAGCACTTTGGGAGGCAGAGGTGGGTGGATTGCTTCAGGTCAGGAGTTTGAGACCAGCCTGGCCAACGTGGTGAAGCCCCATCTCTACTAAAAATACAAAAACAGCCGGGCACGGTGGCACGCACCTGAAGTTCCAGTTACTCGGGAGGCTGAGGCACAAGAATTGCTTGAACCTGGGAGGTGGAAGTTCAAGCGAGCCAAGATTGCACCACTGCACTCCAGCATGGGCAACAGAGTGAGACTCAGTCTCGAAAAAAACAAACAAAAGAATTCGCCCGGTACGGTCGCTCACGCCTGTAATCTCAGCACTTCTGGAGGCCAAGGCAGGCAGATCACCTGAAGTCGGGAGTTTGAGACCAGCCTAACATGGAGAAACACCGTCTCTACTAAGAAGACAAAATTAGGTGGGCGTGGTGGCACATGCCTGTAATCCCAGCTACTCAAGAGGCTGAGGCAGGAGAATAGCTTGAACCCAGGAGGCAGAGGTTGCGGTGAGCCGAGATCACGCCATTGCACTCCAGCCTGGGCAACAAGAGCGAAACTCCGTCTCAAAAAATAAAAAAATAAAAAATAAAGAATTTAACCATGAGGAGTATATGCAATAAATACTCCTGAGGACATAAGTGTTTCTGTATGCACAGAAACACATATGCACAAGTATAGTGTAAGAAACGAGCTTGAGAAGGGCTTTCTTTTATTTTTTTTGAGACAGGGTCTCACTCTGTTGCCCAGGTTGGAGTGCAGTGGCATGATCACAGCTCACTGCAGCCTCAACTTCCTGGGCTCAGATGATTCTCCCCTACCTCAGCCTCCCAAGTAGCTGGGACTACAGGTGCATGTCACCACGCCTGGCTAATTTTTGTATTTTTTTGTAGAGATGGGGTTTCGTTATGTTGCCCAGGCTGGTCTTGAACTCCTGGGCTCAAGCGATCTGCCCACCTGAGCCTCCCAAAGTACTGGGATTACAGGCATGAGCCATTGTATCCAGCCAGGAAGGGCTTTCTAAAGCTGACCAGCACACAGGCAGAATCATAAGAAGCAGGAAAAGCCCCTTAGGCATCACTTACTTCTGCTTTACAAACTCATAGGTGAGAAGTTTCCTTAGATCTCCAAGGAGGGGATGTCTCACCCTGAAGGTAAAAAAAGGAAACCCACAATCAGAGGCTATTACCATGCCCAAAGAGCTTTCCAGAACAGAGGTCAGAGATGAGAAAAGAGGCAGAGAGTTCAGAACTGTTTCCCCATCCACCCAGGTCACATCTTTGGGCTCTGAACATCCCCAAACCAAACCCTCCAGACCCCCAGGTTAATGCAATCCTGGGACCATCCACTGTTGCCAAAGGATGGCACAAACAGGCAAGAGATGAGAGAGCCCAATCATACCCAGGACGCAGTCCCATCTTGCGTAGTGCCTCCCAGAGGACAGCTGCAATGGGAGGCAAGGGGAGACAAGGGACGGAAAATAAGCATGGAAATCAGGCTGTGGCCAACCCCCAGCTGCAGGTCCAGCCACTCACCCTCACTGGCACGGTTGCCATTCATGAAGATGACACCCAGAATCACCAAGAGGAGACCGAGCTTGGGTGTGTCTTTGGTCCTAAGGGAATATAGAAAGAATATATTTTCAGTAGCCATTTGCATGAGAGACCCCAACCAGCTTGCCCATCTAGCCTCCCCAATATTCCTCAGCTAGGGGAGAATTATACCCCAGCTCTGCCCATGACCTGCTATGTGACCCTGAACCCTGGACCCTGATCTACGTGAAACTCCTAGAAAAAAAGCACCACTGAGAAAGGCCATGTTCCACCTTCTTTCCCATCTTACGTTCCCAGTATGCCAGCCAGGGACTCGGGGGTACTGATGAGAATATACAGGTGTTCTTCTTTGTCAATTTCTTTCAGTTGAATCCCAAATTTCTACAGGGGCAAGAAAACAGACTATGAAATTACAACATCTAGCATAAGCTACCCATAGGCAGACACTCATCTCCCTGAGACTTGCCCTAAACTCCCAGTAGGAACCCCATGAATCTTTGAAATCAAGACTTTCCCCATTATTCCTGTACCCCAGGGCTGCCTTCTCACCTTCTCTAGGACAAAGCATGCACGTTCAATGATTTCTGGATAAACATCAGTGTATTCACGGATGATATCTCTCAGCATTTCTGTAGGAGAGAGGAGGGAGCCATCTGAGCCGAGCGGGGGCCACAGAGCAGCAGTCCCTTTGCCAGCCCTGCTGGGGGTAGCACAGTCAAGGTCCTCAAGGGTGGAAAGAGCCAACCATGGAAAGGAGGGGATAGAAGGGGAAGGGTCATACAAGCAGAAGAATGCCGACAGAGCATGGAGTGAAGGGAAGGGCAGAGCTACAAGCAGAAGAATGCTGACAGAGCATGGAGTGAAGGGAAGGGCAGAGCTTGGGGAGGGGACACTGGATGCATACCTGAGCGCTTGATGGGCACCTTTGTGTAGTCCTTAAGCATCAAGTACTTGACCAACTTATTTGCCTGGGAGGGAAAAAGGAAATCATTAAACTTATAAAATATTTACAAAAAAACTTGGTTGAATTACAGATGAGAGGATGACAAAGAAAAGAGCAAGAGAGGGGAAAAGTGACTGGGGAGTTACAGCTCTTACTCTTTCCTGAAGAAGGGCCACATCTCGGGGCTGTGCAGCACCTGGGTTCTGTGAGGCACGCGAGTTGGGAGAAGGGCGCAGGTTAGGCGAGGGGCGCAGGTTCTGCCAGTCAGGTGGAATTGGCCAATCAGCGGGGATCCAGTCAGGTGGTAGTGGCCAGTCAGTGGGAAGTGGCCAATCAGGTGGCAGTGGCCAGTCGGGTGGTAGCGGCCAGTCAGGAGGACCTTGCCAGTCTGGAGGACCCTGCCAGCCCGGTGGGGTCTGCCATCCAGGTGGAGTCTGCCATCCAGGTGGATTCTGCCAGGCCAGTGGATTCGGCCAGACAACAGGGCCGGGCCAGACAATGGGGTTTGGCCAGATCACTGGGTTCTGCCAGATTACTGGGTTTGGCCAAATCACTGGGTTCTGCCAAGCGACTGGGTTCTGCCAGGCTGGTGGGGTCTGCCTAGCTGGAGGGCTCTGACGTGCTGGTGGGGTCTGCCTGGCTGTCTGGTTTTGCCAGCCTGAGGGGTTCTGCCAAGCCAATGGCGTCTGCCAGAGCACATTGGGGGGTGCGCCAGGTGGGTTCTGAGTGGTCACTGGAACTGGTGCAGACCTCCAGGTCCCTGCAGCCAGTGGGGCCCGCCTCTGATCCCCACTGCTGTTCTCTTCAACATTCAAGTTATTAATCTGCATCATCAGAGAGAAGTTCAGAATCACCAGTGGGTTCTGTGTCCTCACCTTATCTATTCCAGGAATGCCCTCTAAACCCTCACCTGTAGTGACAGCCTGACCCACTAGCCATTGGTCACCCTGAGTCCTGGGTTTGTCTTTCACTGTCTTCCAGGCAGGAGTTTCATCTCCGAGCCAGGCCAGGAGCAACCCAAAGATGGGGCCTGAGGCTTCTCCTCTTCCTATGTCCACCACTGGTTCTGCCTGTACCACCCTGAACAAATCACTCAAGTCACTTCACCTCTCTGGCACTTAATTTCCTTCTTTGTAAAATTGGCACTATGATCCCTACCTGGTAGGAGGTGCCTTTAAGGTTTAATGAGACAACCTGTGTGAATGTGCCTAGCTCAAGGCTTAACACATGGTGGTTACTAACATAACAAAATGTAAACTGAATTACATACAGGTTGTATATATTATTTGTGTCCATGTATTATCTCCCCATCAGTTTGTGAACATCCGGAGGACAGGAATAAACATTCTCTTCAAATGCCCTATAGCCTAGCTGAATACAGTTACATACATTGTTTTGTTTAGAACAAATGAACACCCTCAGAGAAGAAAGGAGACAGCCCCAAAGCAAAATGAAGTTAGCAGAGATCTCACCTTGCGGGTCCTCTTGCCCCGAATTATTGTCCGGGACTCCAGATTCTGAGCCTGGGAACCATCTGCTGATGTCTGTGCAGTTGCACCGTCAGGTTCAGAGATACCTGGGTCGGTCTCTATGTCAGCCTGGGAAGTGGCCATTTTGGCCTGATTTACATTCTGGGTCTGGGTATCAGCTGTTGGGGCCTTAGTGGTATCATTCCAAGCCTTGAAAGGGGTCTTAGGCCTGCTGTTGGCCAGGTCATTGGCATTGAGAGACTGAGAGAAATTGTAGGTGGCATTTGGGCCCACTTTAGTAGTGGCATTCTGGGCCTTGAAGGCCATCTCAGACTTGTTAGCAGCTAACTCACCAGTGGTTGCTGCCTGGGAAAAATCATAGGCAGCATTTGGACCCTTTGGGGTAGCATTTTGGGACTTAAAGGCTGCCTTGGGCTGCGTGTTGGGCACATCCTTGGCATTATGAGCCTGAGAGAAATCATAGACACCATTTGGGCCTTTTGTGGTGGCATTCTGGACTTTAAAGGCTGACTTAGGCCTAGCGGCAGCTGCTGAAACCTGAATGTCAGCCATCTCATTGGCAGTTGGGGGCTGTGAACTCTGGGGACTAGCAGCTGCGGTGGCCTGGTTAGTAGGTGGAGCCTCTGAGATCTGGATGGCCTCCATCAAGGTCTGCATAAGCAAGGCGCTGTCTTCTACGGAGGCCTCAGCCTGCAAACACAGGGGGGAAAAAATTAAATCTCTGGGCCTCTGAGGCAGGAGGTGGGGTGGGAATAGGGAGCCCGGGTGGCAGCGCAGCAGCGGAGCTGCAGGCGGGCGGTGGGTGCAAAAACAGGGGGGCTGAGGCAGAGATCTAGGGGGCCCGCGAGGGGCGATGGGGGACCAGGCGGGTACTAAACATGTGGCAGGGGTGAAGTAGGGCAAGGGCAAAATGAGGGGTGGGGCGGTATGCGGAAAGTGGGCACGAACAGGAGCCGGGGACGCTCCAAGAGGCGTGCAGTAGCAGCTCAGGACGGCAGGCGGATCGCGGAGTTGAGAATAAGGGGGGTCGCACAGAGTGGGGAATGCAGAAAGAGGGAGGGTGGAGGCAGGAGGCTGGGGGAGGGGGTGACAGACTGCTCTACAAGCGTCAGGATTCTGGAAAAAAAAAAAAATGGTTCCTTACCCACCCCGCATTCTCTGGGCAGATTGCCCTGACTACTAACAGGGTCTCCCCTCTCTCTGAGCAGGGACTGATGGCTGAAAAGAGACGCCCCTCCCCCCCTTCGATAAACGATGGGAATTCGAAAAGCCCACGGAGTCTAGTCACTAAATAGGGTCAAACCGGATCCCGGCGTTTGGGAGACCAAAGAGGCCCGCGGGGAGGGGTGACTGTCGGCTGGGGAAATGGTGGGGTGGGGAGTGGAGATCTCACCTGGAAGCCGAGGAGGCCCGCACCACAGTCCATTTTCTGAGCCATGGCTCCTGTCCCTCTGGCAAGAGCGGAGCCTGGGGGCTGTGGGAGAGGGGCAGGGCGTTATACTACAGAGGGCAAATACGAAGGACCTAATTGGGAGGGGGGTGACTGTGGTCTGACTGTGCGGGCGGATAAGGTGAATGTGAGGAGGAACGGATCGGAGCGGTAAAAGTGAATGGGCGTCCAGATGGAGGTTCTGAACCCCGAGAAGCTACTGACAGGGCGAAGCTTCAAATGGGGATCGGGAAGCAGATGAGTTCTGAATTCGGAGCGGGGGTGCGGTTGGGTTGGGATTCGCATTTGGGAAGTTGCATGGAGGTTTTGAGTCAGGAGGAATCATCTAACAGTACAGATCGAGGTCAAGGAATCTGAGGATTTCGAACGATGGGAGGGATCGGACAGGGGTTTTGAATCAGGAAGGATCGGGAGGGGCATTGAATTGGGGTTTGGGGGGTGGAAGGGGATTCAGAATCCAGGGTGAAGGGATCGGGATAAAAAAAAATGGGGGCCCGCACCAGGGGGCAGATGCCCAGTCTGGGGGCTAATTCTCACCTTGCCTCAGGCCCCAACCCCAACCCCCTCGCTGCCTCCCTTCTTCACGACTCAGAGGATCGGGATTGCTGGGCTCGGCTCTCAGCAGCCGCACTCTCTCCTTGTCCAGGAGAAAATGCCAGCGCGGCAGCTTGGGCGACCCCGCCTCTTCGCCTAATATACCACCCACCGCCTCAGGACGTTACGCGCATGCGCAAACACTGAAGAGCCAAAGTCAGTCCCGCCTGCTTTCCCAACAAAAGCTTCGTCCTGGAGACCATGATGCGCATGTGCGCTGGAAGGCGGTCCCGCCCCCTTTGCCAACACACCACCCCACCACCAACCAGGTCGACACTATACAACAGCACCTCCCCTTCCTCTACGCCCCCTCCCCCACAGATGCGCTGTGCCTCTTGGTCCCACCCCTTGCCCCACACACCGGCCCCCTACCTTTTCCGCAATGCGTCTCTATTCCGTCCCTCCCCTATTCAAGGCCCCTCCTGTCAGGCCGGCTTGCATCTCCACCCCCTTGTCCAGCATGCTTAGGTCTCTGTTTGGGGTCTCTAATTGCAACAAGTGTTAGACCTCTGCTGAGGAAACGGAATGGCCTGAGAGGATACACTATTGGAGCTAACAAAGTAGTAGTAGTAAGTCTGTGGCTGCCACGTGACTCCATGATTTCTCCCTCACCCCCTGCCCGCCCCCACAAGCTCCCAGACGCAGAAAGAACGTTAGTTTCTTCCCTTTCTTTCTGCAGCTCCGGTGATGGACTCATTTTGTGTGTGTTGGGGGAGGAAAGGAGGGAAGGGCACAGCTTGTACATCACAGCAGGATTTGTGCTGGGGCTTGTCTTCCTGTCACAGCAGCCCTGGGAAGTGGATGTCAGCACCCCTATTTTGCAGATCAGGAAGCTGAGGCACAGATACATTGCATGAACTAGACAAGGCCACAGAGCCAGGAAACAAAATGCAAAATTTGGGTCTGGGTCTTCCTGACTCCAAAGCCCACATTCTGCTCATGCTGGCCTGGGGACTAAGGGTACCCCTCCCTCCTCCATTTGAGCAACAGACCACGGCACCCCATTTGTACCAAACAAGCAAAGTTTGTGTTCTAGGAGGCCCAAGCTCATGCTCTGCATTCAGGAGGACACAAGCAGAGGCCCCCACCCTCCCCCTGCCCTGTGTGGGTCCATCCAGGCGTGGGAATTGCTCCTTGGGGTCCACTCTGTGCTCAGAACATCAGGCCTCTTCCTTATCAGGGATACAATCACACTGTCCCTGAGGCCTTCCTGGTGCCCACTGGAGCAGCCAGGACAATCAGACCTGTGTGTCTGAGCCATGGCAAGCCCTGGTTCCTTTCAGGGCTGGGGCCTGGGGCAGCTGTGGTTTTATGGAGAGAAACTGGGCTGGGCTTCAGAATTCCAGGAATGGAGTGCCCAGCCTGTCTGTCTCGAGCTGTGTGAGCCCGCACGGGTCACTCAATTCTCTGGGCCTGGTTTCTCAATGTGCAAAGTGGAATGCACAGCAAGTGGGTCCTACCCAAGGACACACACGCTGCTATGCTTCCAGGATAACTGGAGAAACTCAAAAAGGCAGAAAATTAAATACAGATGTGAGGTGACTCAAATTAAACTGGTACAGTTCCAAAATTCAAGACAGATCTTTGTGCAGTTCACATTTGTTCTGGCATCAACTCATGCCAGAAGCCTGAACATGAAAGGAAGCTAATGCTAGGAAGGACTGCAGCATTTGGTCCCCAAGGGCCAACATCAGTTCTGCCTGGCTGGATGACTTTCCTCATCTGTTGCATAGCAACCTCCTCTGTCAGCTGCCTGTTTTTCCTCAGCACTTCCTCTGTAAAGTGTCTGCAGTGAGACGTGATCAGACTCAGGAAAGGAGGTCAGAAACACCATTTTCTATGCTATCTGTTTCCATATCTGTATCTTCGGTCATGACTTGGCCTATGAATTCTAGATCCATAGTAACTACCTACCTCACTTCTCCAAATGGATATCTCTCAGTATTCTCTAAATTAACAGGTCCCAAACCGATTCCTTCATACGCCTCCTCCTTCCCACCAACACAGTGTTTCTCCTCTAGTTATGCCTTTCTCCCCCATTTAGAGTGTAAACCTCTTAGGGAGACAGATTTTTGTTTTATTCATTGTTGTTTCCCCAGCACCTAGAACCATGCCTGGCACATTTTTATATCCTCAATAAATATTTGTTAAATGAATGAATCGCACTCTCCATCCCATTGCTAAAGCAAGAAACCTGAGAGGCAATTTTTCCTGTGATCAATTCACTTATTTTTCCTCATTATACAAATAATGCACACTCATCACTATACATTCAAACACTGCCTAAATATTTTAGAAATTAAATAAACATCACTAAATCTCATCACCTTGGACAATTGCTTAGATTTGGTGCTACCTTTTCATACTTTACACACATATATGTTGTTACATAAATGATGTGTTATATATGCCAGACCTTAAATTGCATTCTTTTCCTTACTGCTTCCCACTTCCTTTCAATTCTACCTTCACCTGCCAAACACTTGTTTTTAACACCATTTGATATCCTTCCATACTCAAAAGTTGTTTTTTATTTTTACAAATTTAAGATTACATGAACTTTTATGTGTCTGAATTATCTTATTTGACAACAGTCTACCTGTGATTCGTTCTTTTAAATGACTGCATAATATTCCATGGTAAGAATGTACCACAATGTATTTAACCATTCCCCCATGGATGGAATCCATTTTAGTTTCAGGATTTTTGTGGGGAGCGTGGCAATACAACAACATTGCAATAAAAATACTTGTACATGTATTCTTATACTTTAATAATTAATGTTTGTCTTTATTTCCGTGACACCAGAAGCCCAGGAGTAAGACTGACATACTCTACAAGACTTTTCCTTTTTTTTTTTTTTTTTGCCAATCTTATGTGTATTTATTGGTATCTCCTTATGGTTTTAATTTATATTTCTGATAAGCAATGTGGTAGAACACATTTTTATACATTAATGAACATATTAGATTTATTTTGTAATATGCTTGTATATTTTACCTGTTTTTCATTTGGGTTGTCTGTCTTACTGACTTTTAGGAGTTCTTTATATAGCGTTATAGATCCTTACTGAAAACCCTTGGGGCCAGATGTATTTCGATTTTTAACATTTTAGTAAGGTCATATATATTCTTACTTAACAGTTCCAAGTGCAAAAGCCACAAAGGCCAGATATTCACTTCTTCACATGCCCTTGGCAGCTAAGAGAATGTGATCTAGGATTTACCAGTGTGGCAAGCTCCTGAAGACCATCCTCAGATTCAATGATTTGCTAGAAGGATTCGGAGAACTCAGAAAAAGTGTTATGGCTATTGTTTATTACAGTGAAAGGATACAGATTAAAATCAGCAAAAGTAAAAAGTGCATAGGGAAAAATTCAGGAGAGACCAGGCACGACTTTTCAGTTGTACTCTCCCAATGGAGTTGTATGGCCAGTGCTTAATTCCCCCAACAATGATGTGTGAAAACATGTATGAAATACTGTCAACCAGGGAAGTTCACCCAAGCCTTGGTGCCCAGAGTTGTTTTTGGGGTTCAGTCAGATAGGCATGGAGCACCTGTGTGGTTGACCTTAGTTATTCAGTCTCTAGTCCATGCAGAGGTTAAACTAGTATCTCTCAGCCCAAGGCTCACACCACAAATCACACTGTTAGCACAAACTATCCAGTGTGGGCCAAGGCCACAGTAAACAAAGACACTCTGATCAGGCAGGATACTTCCAAGGGCTTACAGATTATCTCCCAAGAGCTGGTCAAGAGCCAAAGCATTCTTTGCAAAAGACCTTTTTTTGGAAAGCATAGGGTTTGAACATTGCAGACCTGCTGAGTACAACCCTTTCACTGCAGTTACAACTTAGACCTAACACTTTGTTTCAAAGGAGTGATTCAAATATGCAGTGATGGAATTCACCACCATAGTTGTGGTGGTGGGAGCAGCAGCCACAAGAAAATCCAGTTTCTAGGGGCAGCATTAGTGGCAGGGCTAACATCCGGTGTCCACTGTTCAGTAGCGGCAGCAATGGTATCCAACCAGCTAATACATATGGCTTTTTTTTTTTTTTTTTTTTTTTTTGAGACAGAGTCTCACTCTTTCACTCAGGCTGGAGTGCAGTGGCATGATCTCAGCTCACTACAACCTCCACCTCCCAGGTTCAAGTGATTCTCCTGCTAGAGCCTCCCGAGTAACTGGGATTACAGGCACCCACCACCACGCCCGGATAATTTTTCTATTTTCAGGAGAGATGGGGTTTCACCATGTTGGCCAGGCTGGTGTAGAACTCCTGACCTCAGGTGATCCACCCACCTCAGCCTCCCAAAGTGTTAGGATTACAGGCATGAGCCACCATGCCCGGCCCTATGACATGATTTTTGAAATATAACTGATGCCCTACTGCTTTTAGGTAATATTTTATTAATTCTGCTTTTAAAAAACTTTTTAAACTTTTTATTTTGAAATAATTACAGATACACAGGGAATTGCGAGGATAGTACAGTGAGGTTCTATGTACCCTTTATCTGCTTCCCCAATGGTTACATCTGTGTAACTGCAGTACAAAATCAAAACCAAGACACTGACATTGGTACAATATGTGTATATAGTTCTATATCACCTTATCACATGTGGAAGTCTCTACAAACACCACAGCAATCAAGACACAGAACTATTTCATCACCACAAAGATTTCCCTCTTACTACCCCATTATAGTCACAACCAACCCTCCTCCACCGCCCCCATCCCTAACCCCTGGCAGCCACTAATGTGTTCTCCATCTCTATAATTTTATCATTTCAAGAGGTCATGAAAATGTAATCATACAATATGTCACATTTTGAGATTGGCTTTTTTCACACTCAGCATAATGCCTGTGAGATGCATCCCAGTTGTCTTGTGTATCAGAGTTTCTTGTTTTATTGTTGAGTACTATTACATGGTATAGAGGTGCTACAACAGTTGGTTTAACCATTCACCCACTGAAAGACATCTGGGTCATTTCCAGTTTTGGGCTACTGTGAATGAAGCTGCTACACACATTTGTGTACAAGTATCTGTGTGAACCTAAGTTCCCAATTCTCTGGGATAAGTACCCAAGAGTGCAATTGTTGGGGTATATAGTAAGTGCATGTTAGTTTTACAAGAAATTACCAAACTTTCCTAGAGTGATCATACCATTTGACATTCCCACCAGCTATGTGTGAAGGATACAGTTTCTCCAAATCCTTGCTAGCATCTGCTGGTGTCAGTATATTTTGGCCATAGGTGTGTAGTAATATCTTACTGTGGTTTTAATTTGCATTTCCCTAATGGCTAATGATGTTGAACATCTTTACATGTGCTTTTCTGCCATCCATATATCCTCTTTGATTAAATGCCTCTTCATGCCTTTTACCTATTTTTTAATTAAAAAAATTTTGTGGGTACATAGTAGGTATATATATTCATGGGGTACATGAGACGTTTTGATACAGGAATGCAATGTAAAATAAGCACATCACTGAGAATCCATCCCCTCAAGCATTTATCCTTTGAGTTACAAACAACCCAATTACACTATGTTACTTTAAAATGTACAATTAACTATAGTCACCCTATTGTGCTATCAAGTAGTAGGTCTTATCCATTGTTTCTAAGTATTTTTTGTACCCATTAACCATCCCCACCTCCTTCCCAGCCCCCATTACCCTTAATTGCATTGTTTTCTTTCTTTTCTCTTTTACTGTTGAATATTGAGAGTTCATGTATTTTATGTATGAGTCTTTTGTCAGATATATGGTTTGCAAATACTTTCTCCCAGATTGCAGAGACTTTTGCAGGGGAAATTTTGAAGAAATTCAATTTATTGGTTTTTTTTTTTCCTTTTATGGATTGTGGGTTTTATTTCATTTCTAAGAACTCTTCAACAAGCCCTAGTACCTCACAATTTTCTCCTACAATATCTTCTAAAAGTTTTATGGTTTTAATTTTTACATTGATGTCTGTCATCCATTTGAGATTAAGTTTTAATGAGGTGTGAAGTTTAAGCTGAAGTTCATTTGGCAGCGGGGAGGGGGCAGGGGGGCGGGTGTCAGAGCTATGGATATCCAGTCAGGCCAGTACAGGGTGATTAAAGGGTGATCCTTCTTCCTTTGAATTGTTTTTGTACCTTTGTCGAAAATCAGCTGGCATATTTGTGAGGCAATTTCTGAGTTCTCTGTTCTATTCTATTTTCTGTGTCTGTTCATCTATCAAATCCTACAGTCTTGATTATAATAGTCAGTAGTCTCAAATTTGAATAGAATGATTTCTCCCACTTTATCTTTCTTTTTCAAAATTATTTTATGTATTATTCTGGTTCTTTTGTCTTTCCATATATTTTGGGATAATCTTATTTATAGCTACAAAACATCTTGCAGGGATTTTGATAGGAACTGCACTTAAACTGTGTATCAATTTAGGGAAAATTAATATCATTTTTTACATTGATTCTTACAATCCATGAATGTGACGATATGTGCTTCTCCATTTATTTTGCTCTTCTTTAATTTCTTCACTAACGTTGTAGTTTTTAGTATAGAAATATTGCATATGTTTTGTCAATTTACACGTATTTCACCTTTTTTTTTTTTTTTTGAGTCATTGTATTCTCTTTTTTTTCTTCTTTGTTTTGAGACAGGGCCTTGTTCTGTTGCTGAGGCTGGAGTGCAATGGTGCGATCATGGCTTACTGCAGCCTTCAACTCTTGGGCTCAAGCGATCCTCCCACTTCAGCCTCCCAAGTAGCTGGGACCACAGGTGCGTGACACCATGCCCAGTTAATTATTTGAATTTTTGTAGAGATGTGGTCTCCCTATGTTGCCTAGGCTGGTTTCGAACTCCTGAGCTGAAGTGATTGCTCCCGCCTCAGCCTCCCAAAGTGCTGGGATTACAAGTGTGAGCCACTGTGCCCAGCCCAGTATTCTATTTTTAATTTCCACGTGCTCATTGCTAGGATATAGAAATAAAATTGATATTGGTAAGTTGACCTTGTACCCTGTGACCTGCTAAACTCACTTATTAGTTCTAGGAGATTTTTTCTTTTTTTTTGTAGATTTTGGGAATTTCTACATATACTATCATGACATCTGGAAATAGTGAGTTTTATTTCTTCCTTTCTGATCTGTATTGCTTTTCTTTCTTTACTGAGCTGGCTAGAATTTCCATTATTATTTTGCTTTTTGTTGTGCTTTGTTTTTTAAGAAGCATGCTTAGATTTACCTTTAATTTTTAATTTTTATGGATACATATTTGTTGTATATATTCATGGGTTACATGTGATACTTTGATACATGTATATGATGTATAATGATCTCATCAGGGTATGATCTTGTATAATGATCTCATCAGGGTAACTGAGATATCCATCACCTCAAACATTTATCATTTCTTTGTATTGGGAACGTTCCAAATCCACTCCCCTAGTTATTTTGAAACATACAATAAATGATTGTTAACTATAGTCACTGTATTGTGCTACTGACTACTAAGTCTTATTCCTACTATCTAACTGTATTTTTGTACCCCTTAAACAACCCCTCTTTAAGCTCCCCACCCCCCACCCTTCTCAGCCTCTGGTAATCATCACTCTACTCTCTACTTCCATGAAATCAAATTTTCCTTAGCTCCTGCATATAAGTGAGAATATGTAATATTTGTCTTTCTGTGTCTAGCTTATTTCACTTAATATAATGTCCTCCAGTTCCATCCATGTTGCTGCAAATGACAGGCTCTCCTTATTTTTATGGCTGAATAATATTTCATTGTGCATATATACCATATTTTCTTTATCCATTCATCCACTGATGGACCCTTAGGTTGATTCCCTATCTCGGCATTGTGAATAGTGCTACAATAAACACAAGAATCCAGTTATCTCTTTGATATATTGATTTTTCTTTCTTTTGGACCTATCTCTCACCATATACAAAAATCAAGTCAGAATGGGTTAAAGACTTAAATATAAGACCTATAACTATTAAAGTACTGGAAGAAAACATTAGGGAAGTGCCCCGGGATTGGTTTGGGCAAAGATTTTTTTAGTAAGACCTCAAAAGCACCTCAAACAAAGAAAAAATGAACAAATGGGATCACATCAAGCTAAAAAGCTTCTGCACAGCAAAGGAAACAATCAACAAAGTGAAGAGAAAACCTACAGGATGGGAGAAAATATTTGCAAACTATTCAACTGACAAGGAATTTAATAACCAGAATATATAAGGAACTCCAATAACTCAATAGAAACACACACACACATACACACTCCGCAAATACTCCAATTTAAAAATGGGTAAATGACCTGAATAGATAATTCTCAAAAGGCATACAAATGACCAAGGGAATATATTTTTAAAATGCTCACCATCACTAGTCATTAGAGAAATATAAATCAAAACCACAAAGAGATATAATTTCTCTCCAGTTAATAATGGCTATTACCAAAAAGACAAAAAGTAATGGATGTTGGCAAGGATGTGGAGAAAGAGGAACACTCATACATTTTTTTTGGAATGTAAATTAATACAGCCACTTTAGAAACAGTATAGAGGTTCCTCAAAAAACTAAAAACAGAACTGTCATATGATCCAGCAACCCAATACTATTTTGATAGCAGTGGTGAGTGCAAATACTTACCTTGTTCCTGATGGCAAGGAGAAATTCAGTCTCTCACCATTAAGTCTGATGCCAGGTGAAGGTTTAGTGCATATCTTAAAAAATCAAATTGAGGAAGTTACTCTCTATTAGTGGGTTGCTGACAGTTTTTAGCAAAAATGAACTGTTGGATTTTCTAAAATGCTTTTTCTTTGTCAATCAATATGATAATGGCTTTTATTCTTTAGCCTGTTGATATAATGGATTACATTGCTGGATTTATGGATGCTGAACCGTACATGGAATAAATTCCACTTGGTCATGGTGTATAACGTTTTCTACAACACTGGATTTGACTTACTAATATTCTGTTAAAGACTTTTGCGTCTATGTTCGTGAGACATATTAATGTGTAAGTTTCTTTCGTGTACTTTGGTTTCGGGATGAGGGTAAGACTGACTTCATAGAATTAATGGAAGTTGTTTCCTCTTATTTTCTGGATGAGATTGTGTAGAAATGCTGTTCATCCTTCTTTGAACAATTGTTAGAATTCTTAATTTCTTTTATAAGAACTTCCTTTGGCCATTATTTTAGGATAGGTAGGCTAGAAACAAATTCTTAGTTTTCCTTCTTCTGGAAATGTCTTGATTTACTCTTCATTACTAAAGGATATTTTATTTTCATTGGGTATTTTATTTTCATTGGGTATTTAATTCCAGGTTAATGAGTCTTTTCTTGCAGCACTTGAAAAATATTGTGGCCTCTATGGTATCTAATGAGAGAGCTTCTGTCTGTCATTGCTTTGGTATTCTCTATAGGTAAGGTGTCATTTTGCTCTGGTGGGTTTCAAGATTTTTTGTTCTGTCTTAAGCTTTCAGAAGTTTGAAAGTGGTTTCTTTGACCGTATCTTCTTGGGGGGTTGCTCAGCTTCTTGAATCACTCAATCTGTGGGATTGTCTCCCCCACCCCCAAATTTGGGACATTTTCAGCCATTGTATCTCTCAACACTTTTTCAGTACCTCTTCTCTCTCTCTTCTGTGATTACAATGACACATATTTAAATCTTTTGTAATAGTCCAACAAGTGCCTAAGGCTCTGTTTTTTGTTGTTGTTGTTTTGTTTTTCAGTATATTTTTCTCTGTCATTCAGACTGAATAATTTCTATTGTTCTATCTTCAAGTTCCCTGATTAATTCTTCTGTTATTTTTATTTTGCTGTTGAGTTCATCTACTGAGGTTTGTTTTTTAAAGTCCATGTATTAAAATTTTCAGTTTTAAAATTTCCTATTAATTTTTCTTTATATCTCTGATTTCTTTTAGAGATTTCCAATTTCTTTGCTAAGACATCCTTTTTTTCATTTGTTCTAAGCATGTTCACAATTGCTCACTGAAACATTTTTAGGACGGCTGTTTAAAAATCTTTGTCAGATGATTCTAATAACTGTGCCATCTTGATGTTGATGTGTGTTGACCGTCTTTTGTCACTCAAGTTGTGATTATTACAGTTCTCACTATGACAAGTGATTTTCAGTTGAATCCTGGATATTTTTGCATATTATGTTATGAAGATCTGGGTCTTATTTAAATCTTCTGTTTTACCACATGTAGGTGGAAGTCCAGGTTCCATACTCAGATTCCACTGATACCTGGGGTTGAGGAGCTTCCTGTCACCATGGGCTAAGTGACAGTTCCAGCTTTTACCAGTACCACTCTGCTTGGGAGAGACTGGGTGCCCAGTTACTTCTCTCCAAATGGCCTCCATTGAGACCACTGATAGACAGGTATCATTGTTACTGTTGGGTGGTGATAAAAACCTGACTCTTCATTAGGCTTCCTCTTGATACCACACCATTTGTTAGGGGAGAGGCACCTCATTATCACTCATTAGGGGTGGAAATCTAGGCTCCCCACATAGTCTCTACTAACTGAGGGGACTAGAATGTTCCCACTCCCCATTCATCTTACCACTCTATCAGGGAACTAGAGGTCTTATTACAGGCTGGCAAGGGTGGAAGTCTCTCTAGTTGGCCTTTGCTAGTAGGGGTAGAGGTATAGTCTTCTCTGGTATTTAGCTACAATAGAGCGGTCATTGTTTAAAAAATTTTGTCAGCCAGGTGCAGTGGCTCACGCCTGTAATCCCAGCACTTTGGGAGGCTGAGGCAGGCGGATCACCTGAGGTCACGAGTTAGAGACCAGCCTGGACAACATGGCAAAATCCCGTCTCTACTAAAAATACAAAAATTAGCCGGGCGTGGTGGCACGTGCCTGTAATTCCAGCTACTCAGGAGGCTGAGGCAGGAGAATCGCTTGAACCCGGGAGGCGGAGGTTGCAGTGAGCCAAGATCGCACCACTGCACTCCAGCCTGGACAACAAGAGTGAGACTCCGTCTCAAAAAAAAATAAAAGTAAAAAATAATTGCCTTACTAAGCTGTCTGTTCTTTAGGTGAAGAAAGAGTGGATTTACATTGAAGCTTTTTTTTTTTTTTTTGTCTGTGCCCTTTGGTGTTTCCAGTTTGCCAGTTTCTCTAGCATCTGGTCTAGGATGTATGCAGCAAAAAGAAAACACAGGGAACTTACCTCCATGTTGATTCCTTGGTTCCAAGTTCCCTAGAGAATACATCATCTTCTTTTCAACTTTCTGGGTCTTCTTATGTTTTGTTTATATATTTTTTCCAGAGATGAATAGGGAAAATACATCTACCCTGTTTACTACTTCTTTCTGGAAGTAGAAGTCCTCAATTCTAGTATTTTATTTTTTTAAAAATCTATTGTGATTTCTTAATGTACAATCACACTATAAGAAAAAGAAATAATTTGATCACTTCTTTTACAATATGAATAGCACTTATTTGGTGGTCTTCTCTGAGTTGCTAAAACATCAAGAGCAATACTGAGTAATAATCTAAATAAGTAACATCCCTTTCTTTTTCCTGAAGTGACTTTACCATTTTGCCTATCAGAATAATTATGGCTTTTTGATAAGTAGTTTTAAAAAATCATATTTAATAGCCTCTTTTTCTCCCTATTTTACTTTGGGTTATTCATAATGCCTCTCTCTGCCTTATTCCCCAGTCAAACCCATCACCTATTCCTGTTACCATTTTAAGTACATTTTTATTGCATTCTATTACCTTTTTCTCTCTTTTCCACTATCTTGTTAGATGGGAGCATGAAGAGTGGGAGAAATGAGAAAGAAGGTCAAGTAGGAAAGAAAGGAATTGAGGAGGAAGAGAGGGAAGAAGAAAAGAAGAAAGAATATAATAGGAATAAGAAAAGATGAATGAAAATAGCAGCTGGAAGTAAATGGAATTAGGAAGATAAGGAAAAATAAGATAATGGAGAAAGAACAGATACTAAGTTGAAGTAGAAAAAGCAAGAGGAGGCCAGGTGCAATGGTTCATGCCTGTAATCCCAGCACTTTGGGAGGCTGAGGCAGGTAGATCACCTGAGGTCAGGAGTTCGAGACCAGCCTGGCCAACATGGTGAAACCCCGTCTCTACTGAAAATACAAAAAATTAGCTGGTCATGGTGGCAAGTGCCTGTAATCCCAGCTACTCAGGAGGCTGAGGCAGGAATATCGCTTCTACCCAGGAGGCGGAGGTTGCAGTGAGCCAAGATCTTACCATTGCACTCCAGCCTGGGCAACGAGAGCGAAACTCCATCTCAAAAAAAAAAAGAAAAGAAAAGAAAAAGAAAAAGCAAGAGGAAAGAGAAGAGGATGTAAGGTGGAAGAGCATGAGAGGGAGGCAGGAGTAGATAGAGGGGTGGTATGGACAAAATGTTTGTGGCCCCACCAAATTCAGATGTTGAAACCTAAATCCTCAGTGTGACTGTATTGGAGATGGGGACTTTGGGAGGTAATAAGGTCATATGGGTAGAGCCCTCATAATGAGATTAATGACCTTATAAGAAGAGAAGGGAGAAAGCTTGCTTCCTCGGTCTGCTCTCCACCTTGTGAGGACACAACGAGAAGATGGCTATCTGCAAACCAGGAAAAAGAGGGCCCTCAACAGACAGCAGATCTGCCAGTGCCTTTGTCTTGGACTTCCCAGCCTCCAGAATGGTGAGAAGTATATTTCTATTGTTTAAGCCACCCAGTCTATGGTAGTCAGTTACAGCAGCCCGAACTGACTAAGACAAGAGGTTAAGGAATAGATAAGGAGGGATGAAAAATAAACAAGGAGAGGGATAAAAAAGAGGAAGGAGGGAGTAGAGGAAATAACCAGGGAGAAAAGAGAAGTATTTGAAGTAAGAGGGACAGGGACAGGAAGATGAAGAAATGAAGTAGAATCACACCTCACCAATGACAGTGATTTCGTTCTGCAGAGAAGTTGTCCTTTGCTCTCCTCAGATTCCCTGTTCTCTTTATGTTGGTACCCACCAAAATGCCAGAGGTCATTTCTCACATCTCACTCTGGCCTTGAGATAAGACCACCGTGGTTTTCTACTATAAGAGCCACATACCCCATGTTTTGAGTAGATAAATTTGTTTGAGATACTCAGTGTTTATCACCCACTTTCTGTTAATGATTATTCTGCAGGTATGGGTATTATCTGACAAACTCCGGTATGCAGGAAATGTAAGTTATTTTCTCTGCAACTCAACATAAATTATATGTCAAGTTCCCATTCTACTGAGTGGTGGAAACTTAATCTCCAGCAGTATGGAGTCCCCCTCTCACTCTCTGCTTTGGGGTTGTATTTAAGTTCTAGGGATGTTAAATAGTGTCAAAACATCAGGATGGGTAACATATGTTGGGTATCATGTATCCATGCTGGCATACATGTCATATTTGTTCATCAATGTCTGTCCAAGCAGGTAGCTGTTGAGTGAGCTTCCTTCTTTACTGTAAAGCTGCTTTGGGTCCAACTATCTCTTTGGGTATCATATATCACTCATATACATGGAAAACATTCTACTGTTCCTATGATATGCTGAGGTCTATTAACCTCCGTGAGGCTGTCTTTGTCTCACATATACTCCTGTAAATACCCTGAGCTGAGGGAAACCACATGAAGAGGCTCCAAATAATTATAGACACCACGCAGACAATTCTATTTTGTAGTCTTGTCCTCTCTGGCCTTAGCCAGAAGGTGAGACAAAAGAACACATTGCTTAAGGATCTTGCAAACCTACCTGGCATTTCTTCCCATCCCTAAAATATGGGGCTTATGGTTCCTCCTTTTTAAGGAACCCACAATATCTACTGACTCTTTGCTTCCCCATGCTTTTCTTCCACCACAGAATCAATGTGAGGCTGGAGGCACCAACAACCAGAAAAAAAACCTGGACAAACTAAAAATCAATCACTTTTTTGGACCTGTCAGAGAAATGAAATTTCAGGGCAAATCATCACCCTAAAATCTTGATGGATAGGCAAATCTGGAGTCACATATGCATAACTGGAACATCAGATGGAGAAGAGAAAGAGAATACAGCAGAAGAAATATCAAGTAATAATGGCTAAGAATTTTCCAAAATTAATGACAGACACCAAATTACAGATCCAGGAAGCTCAGAGAACACCAAATATCTTACTTATAATAGAATAAGAATAATAATTCTAGCAGCTTTCATCAGAAACCATGCAAGCAACAAGAGTAAAGTGAAATATTTAAAGTGTTAAAAGAAAAATGACTACCACCCTAGATTTCTACATATAGGAAAAGATCTTTCAAAAGTAAAGGAGAAGAAAAAAAAAGTAAAGGAGAAATAAAGACATTCTCAGATGAACAAAAACAGAATGAATTGATCACCAACAGACCTGCCCTGCAAGAAATATTAGAAGATTTTCTTCGGGCAGAAAGAAAATGATATAGGGCAGAAACTTGGAAGTACATAAAGAAAGGGAGAGCACTGGAGAAGGAATAAATGAAGCTTTCCTTCAAAGAGGAAATCAAATCTCCAATTACAGAATATTTGAGGATGCTGTAATTAAAGGAAATTTATGTATCTTTCCATTATAAAGGCAGCTACATGCAATTAACAAGAGAAATATCTTAAACATAAAGATACAGCAAAGATGAAAATAAATGGATGGAATAAGTTATTACATGCAAATAATAAAAAGATGATGTATTAATATCAGACATAGTACTTTAAAGCAAAATATAATAAAAACAAAATCATAGCATGAGATTATAACACCCCTAAGTAAAGGATAGAATAACCATATGAAATAATGGGTCCCTCTTGAAGCCTCTACATTGATAATATACACTGAGCCTCCAAACATAAAGCAATATGGTGCCTCAGAATAAACACTTTAGAATTCTTAAATCCCTCATCCATGTTTTCTAGACTTGAGTCAACTTGATTTTATCTTCTTTATTTATATATGTATAAGAATTTTAAAACATTTTAAAAGTATACCTAGTAAAGTGCTACACATTGTGATAAGTGCTGGAGAAATAATGATGGCAAAAATACATGTATTACCTGCTTTCAAGGATTAATGGATCTGAGTCCAGTCAGATTTCCACAATTTTAATAAAGTTGGCTGGATTTCTGGTGCCAATTTGCATCATAAGAGCAGGCAAAGTGACATCTTAGGATTATATCAAATGCGTTCCTATGGCTTCAGTATGTATTTAACAATAATGAATAACATCCAAACTCTGCTTGAACGACCATCCATGATTACTACATTCATAGAGTTCATCACTGCTAATGAATTTTGATGTTAATAAGATCTGAAGCTTGGCTAAAGGCTCTTCAATGCTCTTCACACATTTTCTCACCATCGCAGGCTTTCTTGGTGACTTGTAATCTCTTACAGACTTAAATAGATTACACCTTCCTTCATATTGCACAATTCCCTTCCAGTTAATTCCTCACCCCCATCACCACAGCAACTCACATTCCATTAATAAGCAGAAGGTTATCAGAAGAGACAAGGGGAGGAAGCCTGCAAGTAGAACCTCAATGCACAGTTTGGGGATATTTGTTTGATACTGCATCAGATGACCTTACCATGTGAGCTTCTGGTATCTTGTGACATAGAGTCCCTCTTTGATTTGCACTGGAAAATTTCAAGACATATCTGAATGCTCTCAGACACCTGGGATATGATTTAGTGCCATATGTGTCCTCAATGTTCAGCATCAATATAAACCTCATAAACCACTTAATTTGGGAATCATGGAACATTAACAACAATTAAAATAGATATATAGCTGGACTCAGAAAAGTCATATGAGTTCAGCTACATAGTATGACATTTCCTGATTTCATTTTATAAAAGAAAAATCATCTGAAAAACATTGGGAAAATGGTCCATACCAAGTCTAACATCACACACATACATGCACAGTTGTAATTAATATACTACATCTGAGATTCTTTTTGTATATAATGTTTTATCACAATTATCTTGGCATAACATTTTCTATGACATTAAAAAGTCTTTGCAAAATTCTTTATGATAACGTGTAATATCCCATCATATGAACTTACCTACTTGACCAAATAACAAAAATCTTGTTTCCATTTATTTTTGTTCACTAGATTATCATTGTGGTGATTTTCCCCCAACAAACCTCTGTGCATACCTCCAATTATTTCTTTATGGTATATTATTAGAAATGGAATTACTAGTTCAAACGGGTATGAACTATTTTAAGGCCGTTATTCAATAATACCAAATTGCTTTCTAGAAAGGTTTTTGTCAACACTAGCAATGCAGAAGACTTCTCACATACCCTTAACAGTGCTGAACATTTGCTTTGAAAATATCTTTGCCATTTTGACAGACAAAATGACATTTAATTGATTCAAACTGTATTTATTATTATTATTAATGATGGGAAGATACTCTCAGCGTTTCTTAATCATTTGTATTTTGCTGTGAGAATTCTTTGTACATTAAGGTTATTAACCTTGTATCTGTCACACTTGTTGCAAATGCTTTTTTTGGTTGGTGTCTTGCCTCTTAGTCTTATTTATGAATTCCTGATCTAGGAAAAAATGCAATCTATGACTTTCTTTTCCACTATCATTTTCTCCATTAAAAAAAATGCTGAGGATGTCCTTTGCTATTGAAAAGCCAAACAAATATTCCTTTTACTAGAAAACAATTCAGAAACGTATATTTAGAGCCTAAAAAATATCTATACTTTCTTAGTAATTTACCTTTGAAGACTATGCTTTAAATTGAAAGTGATAAAAAATCCGATTCAGATGTTTTTAATGGCAGAAGCATGCTTCTATTGTAATATTAAATGAGAAAAGATAATATAAATTTAGCAGGTTATTGAATGGAACTTTCACACTTTCCTCAGAATTTTGGTTAAAGCCATATAGCCTTTAAAAAGAAAAGAAAAGAAAAGAAAAGAAAAAGGTACCCAGTGCCTCCACATTCTAAAAAGAACATCCCAGGAGATCTGAACACAATCCTACGGGCCTTACATGGGGAGAGCATACTAGTCATGCTACTGGTATTCATTCCATTCCTTTTCAGCCCATATGTACTCAGAAAGCTAGAAAGAATTAGATAAGAATTTACAGTGTTGTGAGTCCTTGGCTTGGGGAAGAGTGTTTTCCTTTTTCTTGAGGAAGGAGAGGGGCATGCAACTCCCTCACCAAAGCCATGTGAGGAGGGATCCAAAGGAATCACTTACACAGATTGGGGGAGTCTGCATGGGATAAGAACAGAGTGGAGTATCACATTTTGTATATTCAACAGTTTCTCTCCAGGTTGAAATTTCTCATGATTACTCAGGTTTGATTTGTTCCTGAAGGCTTTTTTCCACTGACTGCATTTCTATGGCTTCAGTATGTGTTTAACAATAATGAATGACATTTGAACTCTGGTTGAAAGACCATCCACAAAGTCAACTGAATGTGAAAAGAAAAAAAAAAAAAGAAAGAAAGACCATCCATGATCACTACATTCATAGAGTTTATCTCTGCTAATGAATTATTTGATGTTAATAAGATCTGAAGCTTGGCCAAAGGCTCTTCAATGCTCTTCACACATTTTCTCACCATCATGGCCTTTTCGTGCTGATTTATAGTCTCTGAAATTGGTCTGAAGCTATGGTCATGTGACCCACACTATGGGTGTGGGTGTGGGTTTGTCCTATGTATGGTTTCATCCTCCCGTAGGATGTCTGAGATTAGAGCACAATTACTCTAACACTTACTATAGTCTTGGAAGCCCCCTGGCTGGGAACCAATCCTGTGAATATCTACCCCAAGCCTTAAACATCTATCCTTTGAAAGAAGGTTAATCTCCTTTTCTAACTTGTCTTTATGCTCAGAAGTTCCTTGTGGTTAGAGTCATGAGGAGTTATCCTTGTAATATATGGCCACATTCCCCTGTGACCCAAATTGTTCCTCAAATCCCTGATTTTGAATACATTTCTTATTCTCAGGCTTTTCTCATTTGATAAAAAAATTATAACTGTCACTCATTTGTGATACTTGGCAGTAGTGAGAAGGTCAAACAACTGTAAAAGAAAAGAAAATAATTATCTAACAGGTCTCCACCATATAACTTCCTAAGAGGCAAGCTGGAGACAGGATTTTGCCCTCCAACCTGACAAAAAACACTTAAAAATGGACATAAAATATGAAATAATGGTTTTTGAAGACACTGAACATTAGGCAATGAAGAAGAGTAATCCCTGAGAGATGAGGAAAAAAGAAGTGAGCACTTACTGCTTGAGAGGTTCCAGTTTGTGGAGCAACAAGGGAGAATGTAGTCAGAATCCAGGGGATTCCTTGAATTGGAGTGACAGAGATGAGAGACCAGAAAGACCAAGGTAGCTAGAGTTCACAGAGCAGAGTACCCAAAAAGAGAGAGTTACACAGGGAGAACACTGGAGATCTTTGAAGGATTGCCATTAAGTATTTGACAGAGTACTGATCAGTGAATTCATAAAAGGAAATTGCCTGAGGCTGGGGAAAGAGTCACCTGAAAGGATTAAAGGGAACAAGTGCCAGAAGCTCCAACAGGTCTGGGGACCATGCTGTTCTCACCAGCTAAAGTGGAAAACTTCCTAATTCATTGGCATGGGATACTCAGAGGGGTCTTGCCTCATCAGTCAGGGATAATTAGCTTTATGCAAAAAACTGCTGTGGTCCTGCCTAACAAATCATAAAAGCAAGACTCAAAAAGATCTAACTGTTTCCAAAGAAGTGCATTTCAGAACAAAGCTCAGGTAGCTTTGTAGGAATATAAAAATATCTAGCACCAAAAGAAAAAATTTCACCAAAATTTTACCGAAAGGTAAAATTTACATTGCCTGGCATCGAATTAAAAAAAAACCAGGCATACCAAGAAGCAGAAAAATAGGACCCATCTTGAGGAGAAAAATCAATCAATCCAAACTTACCCAGAACTTAAATATTTAATAGATGTTATAATTAGCAGATAAGCACATTAAAAGCCATTATAACTATTTCCATGTGTCCAAAAACTTAGAGGAAAGAATGGTCATGTTAAGTAAAAACATGAGATCTATTTAATAAGGTCCAAGTCATATATCTAGATATAAAAACTGTAATATTTGAGAAGAAAAAAATGCTAGATGATATTAATTACTAAAGATTAGTGAACTTGAAGACATAATGGAAAAGATTCTAAGTGAAATAAAATACATTTTAAAAGACAACAGAGCATAAGTCCCTTTGTTCATGCTGTTTCCTCTTCTGGAAACACTTTTACCCCATCCCATCCACAGATCCTTCAACCAATCAATTCTGAATCTGTCTTCTGGTTTCATCTCCATCATTACTTCCTCCCTGCTTTTACTTCCCTGATTAGGTAAAGCCCTCTTTTAACCTATTCACAGAACCATGTACTTCCCCTCCATAGCACTTACCAGAGTGACAACTTCACAAATATTTGAGTCTGCGATTACTGTCTTCTTCACAAGACAGTAGCTTCATGAGGGCAGAGACAATATGTCTATTTTTGCTTACCATGATATCCTCCAGCATCTCAAACTCTGCCAGTCATATCCCATCTGTATCTAGCACCATCGTGATTTTCATCTATTAATTATACTCCCTCTCGCAAATCTTCAACCTCTCCTTCTCTACTGGTGATATCCTACCAACATCTCCTTTTCCTTACTAAGAAACTGTTTTTTCTTACCATGTTCTCTCAGCTACAGATAGTGGTGGCTATGTGTCACAGTTCTTTCCCATGAGATGTATTTGGCAGTAACTGGATAGGATTTTTGGGAAAGCTCTGTATAAGGAGACTAATTCCACTGACAAGGTATTTTTGCCCTCTCCTCTTCCTCATTCTTTCTACCTGAAACATAGAAATGATGGCCAGAGTTGCAGCAGGCATCCTTCAACCAGAAGGTACCTGGAAGATGAGAGCTATATACCAAGGACCAAGGAACAAAAAAATATATAAGGGGACTGAGACATTGATAAAATTGTGGAGGTCCTGGGCTTGTTTCAGGTAAGGAAAAGATATCCCCTAATTATTTTAAGCAACTCATTTTTAGGTCCTTGTTACTCATATCCAAATGATATTCCAAATACCCATCCTAAAACATGACATGCCCCTACCCCAACTTCTCTCTCTCTCTCTCTCTCTCTCTCACACACACACACACACACACAGTCTAACACACTATCTCATTCACATGACTCTCTCTGACTCATGATCATGACTATGACTTATAAGTATTATCTCCACATATTGTCCCAGTTCTCCAAACTATCATATTCACACTTTACCTTTCAATCCTGCTGATATGGTTTGGCTCTGTGTCCCCACCCAAATCCCATCTCAAATTGTAATCCTCATAATCCCCACATGTCAAGGGAGGGACCCGGTGGGAGGTGACTGGATCATGGAGTCATTTTCCCTTACCCTGTTCTCATGATAGTGAGTGCTCATGAGATCTGATGGTTTTATAAGGCAGTTTTCCCTACTCTTGCTCACTCTCTTTCACCTGCTGCCATGCAAGATGTGCCTCTTCCCCTTCCACCAAGATTGTAAGTTTCCTGAGCCCTCCCAAGCCATGCAGAACTGTGAGTCAATTAAACCCTCTTTCTTTTTATTTTTTTATTTATTTTTTTTTTTTTGACAATGAAAGAAAGCAAGTTTATTTGAGCAACAGTGTACAGCCAAGTGACTGCTCCATAGACAGAGCAGGGCCACCCCAGAGGCAGATTGGTCCAGAGTAGCACTTGTGGATTGCTGGCTACCTATATTTATACCCATTCTTAATTATTTGCTAAATAAGGGATGGGTTATTCACAAACTTTATGGAAAAAGGGAAGAGAGTTCCCAGAATTATATAAGGTAACTTCCAGGTCATTGCCATGGCATTTGTAAACTGTCATGGTAGTGGTAGAAGTGTCTTACGCAAGTGCATTATAATTGCTGGTCCTACATGGCTTTGGCCAGTTTCTTTGCTACATATCATTTAGATAGACAGGGTCCTGACCAGTGCTCAGAAAACAAGTCCTGCTGATCGCCTACCTCAAAGCAAACCAAAACATTAATTGTGAAAATATTCTAGAAAGACAAGTTGGTAAGAAAGAAGATACTGTAAAGACTCAAACAGAAATGTAACATAACATATAAAGAATGAAATAAGAAAGGAAATATAGCAAAGATGCTAAATCGGTGTAAGTTAAGAGTTAAATGAACCCAGAGAACAAATGATAAAGTCCTTTAAAAAGCACTGTGATGGAAAGAATGGGGTGTGCCTGGTGGAAAGCCTGGCATAGATAATGTTTTGTTAGCTTTCCAGAAAGATTAAAAGATTATGCCCAACAAGGACTTCATGTCTAAAACACCAAAAGCAATGGCAACAAAAGCCAAAATTGACAAATGGGATCTAATTAAACTAAAGAGCTTCTGCACAGCAAAAGAAACTACCACCAGAGTGAACAGGCAACCTACAGAATGGGAGAAAATTTTTGCAACCTACTCATCTGACAAAGGGCTAATATCCAGAATCTACAATGAACTCAAACAAATTTACAAGAAAAAAACAAACAACCCCATCAAAAAGTGGGCGAAGGATATGAACAGACACTTTTCAAAGGAAGACATTTATGCAGCCAAAAAACACATTAAAAAAATGCTCATCATCACTGGCCATCAGAGAAATGCAAATCAAAACCACAATGAGATACCATCTCACACCAGTTAGAATGGCAATCATTAAAAAGTCAGGAAACAACAGATGCTGGAGAGGATGTGGAGAAATAGGAACACTTTTACACTGTTGGTGGCACTGGAAACTAGTTCAACCACTGTAGAAGTCGGTGTGGCGATTCCTCAGGGATCTAGAACTAGAAATACCATTTGACCCAGCCATCCCATTACTAGGTATATACTCAAAGGATTCCATAAATCATGCTGCTATAAAGACACATGCACATGTATGTTTATTGTGGCACTATTCACAATAGCAAAGACTTGGAACCAACCCAAATGTCCATCAATGATAGACTGGATTAAGACAATGTGGCACATATACACCATGGAATACTATGCAGCCATAAAAAATGATGAGTTCATGTCCTTTGTAGGGACATGGATGAAGCTGGACACCATCATTCTCAGCAAACTATTGCAAGGACAAAAAACCAAACACCGCATATTCTCACTCATAGGTGGGAACTGAACAATGAGAACACTTGGACACAGGAAGGGGAACATCACACACCAGGGCCTGTTGTGGGGTGGGGGAAGGGGGGAGGGATAGCATTAGGAGATATACCTAATGTAAATGACGAGTTAATGGGTGCAGCACACCAACATGGCACATGTATACATAAGTAACAAACCTGCACGTTGTGCACATGTACCCTATAACTTAGTATAATTAAAAAAAAAAAAAAGATTATGCCCAAAATATTCCCTTGAGAAGGGCAGGTGTAAAACGACTCTGGAAATCAGTAAGTAATGCAGCTTCAAAAAAAATAATTTTTAAAAAGGAGTCTCTTCTTGAGGAGAAATGGAGATCCAAAACAGATGTTCAAGCACATCAGAGGCCCCTACTGTTCTGCATCTGCAGAGGCAGAGTCTTATGCAGTCTGGGCTCCTGTTGTCACCGAGGCCATTAAGCCATCTCTGAGCACCTGCTGGGGGGCCACATACAGCCTGAACCCTCTCCGGGAGTGTGCTGCCAAGCACTGGAGAGGAGATTTAGTTTGGTTTTATTCTTATCATGATCATGTTTTATTAATTTATATCTTTCATTCCTCTATAACATGAGGTCCATTTGTCATCCATGAAATACCTTAAGCCAGATCTATACTGTTTTAACATACCATGTAATATTTGATAGGATTAAGAAAAGCCGTGCTTGCTTTGGCAGCACAAACACTAAAATTGGAACCGTGCAGAGATTAGCACATGGCCCCTGTACAGATGACACATAAATTCATGAAGCATAAGAAAGAAAAGAAAAACAGTAAATTAGTGAGTTAACAGTTAACTGGAAAAGATATCACTTTGAAGGCAATCCAATGTATTACCCTTCTACATATCAACCTTACCACCTGATTCTAAATTTAAATACTTGCTGTTTACCAACAGGAAATTACAACTCCATTTACATGTGTCTCTGGGGAAAGAGCATGCAAAGAATGACCACATCTTTATATACGCAAGGCAAATATCTGGAACAAAACAAAACAATTCTGGAATCCTGCATGACATTAATATTTTAGGAGTAGAGCACAAGATCCCCAAAGAACAACAACAAAAAAAACTTCACATTATAGAAAAAGAAATCACATACGCATCAATTTTGAGTAAGATAGAGCAATATATTTCAAACTACTTGTGCAAAACCAGTTGGTTTTTTGTTCACTTTAATTCGTTTCAACCAATACTTTTGTGAAATAAGAGTCTGTTTCTAGAAAAAATGATATTACAGTAAATTATAGAATACAAAATACAAGCCTCACTTTTTAAATTATTGATTCAACATAAATAAAATCACTCTAAAATTGCAGTAAAATTTGCCAAACACTTAGGCTCAGTTCATGGCAGACCAGATCACCAACCCACACTTGTCCAAGAACCATATTTTGAATACACTGAGATAAAGTGTCTAAAAATGGAGATCCTAGCCCAGCACGGTGGCTCACCCTCCTAGTCTCAGCTACTCAGGAGGCTGAGGCAGAAGGATCCCCTGACCCCAGGAGTTTAGGCTGCAGTGAGCTATGATAGCACCACTGCACCCCAGCCTGGGCGCCAGGGCAAGACTCCGTCTCTTTTTGTTTTGTTTCATTTTGAGACAGGGTCTCACTCTGTCACCCAGGCTGGAGTTCAGTGGCACGATCTCGGCTCACTGCAATCTCCGCCTCCTGGGTTCAAGCAATTCTCCCGCCTCAGCCTCCCAGGCACTGGGACCACAGGTACCCGCCACCACACCGGTCTAATTTTTGCATTATTTTTGTAGAGACAGGGTTTTACCATGTTGCCCAGGCTGATCTCAAACTCCTGAGCTCAAGCGATTCGCCTGCCTCGGCCTCCCAAACTGCTGGAATCACAGGCATAAGCCACCGCACCCGGCGGATACCCTGTCTCTTAAAAAAAAATTAAAAATGAAAAAAAATCATAAAAATGGAGATCTTCCAGGCCAAGGGCAGTGGTTCACACCTGCAATACCAGCACCCTAAACCCTCTTTCTTTTTAATAAATTGTCCAGTCTCAGGTATCTCTTTATAGCAGTGTGAAAATGGATTAATATGCCCACTAACATGTACACTGTCTCTATCACTCCCATTTCCACACATACTCTGTCCTATCCTGTACTATCATAAATAAAATGTCTTTAGACCAGAACAGATATGGTACCCACGACACCCACTGTCAAATACCACTAACTTAAATCAATCCCCATTATCATACACACCATCCCCATCATTCATATAGTCACACCCCAATTACTCAATCCCTACACTACACCATTACGCAGTGTCTAGCCACACCCACTATCATACACACAGTCCACATCTCCATTATCAAACTTGTATCATCCTCCAAATCTCCTTCCACACATTCTCATACCACCTCCATTTCATACATACTCACAACCAATAACCACATCAACTCTGCTCTCACTCACATATATTCCCCATTCCTCACTGGCACTCAGAAACTCTTTGCATTTTCCCATCATATACTTTATTCAACAACCCTATTCAGACACTCATGATTTTCCCACTCCAAATTATCACATTTTCATTGACTGTGATTACCCATGCTCACTGTATCCATCTGTCCTCACAAAGAGACACACTTCTCATTTTCCCCAGCACACATAGACACACAGACATACACCAGCCTTCTCACTTCCATCATGTACCTATCTTCCATAATGACATTACACCTGCCCCATTCCAACCTCCCTCTACATCAACATGTCCCATCCACATTTTCACACACACAATGATCCCAGTGTCCCATTATCCTGTCCTCTCCCTCCCCACTTTCTCACACAACCATATTCACACACATGCACAATTCTTGTCTTTCACATACACTGTGACCATAACTACAACTGTCACATACATTCTGATCTCTTCCTGTTACTGTCACTCACATTGCCTCTGTCTTCATGATCACAGTGATTTCATACCATCCTTACACTGTCCCCATTGACACCATTATCACACATACCTTGGCCACATACCTCCACTACCCCACTACCACACAATACTCTCTCCCTATCTCTCCATCAAACACATGACCCACATCACTTAGGATTTTACACTTGTGGTGCTCATTCCCTGATATCTCATTTTCCTTCTTTTATTTCCTCTCCTCTCCCTTCTTGTCCCCCACTCCTATCTTATTCTCTCATACACACACACACACAAACACACACACACACTTACTTTCCTGATATGTGGATCTTACATCAACCCAGATATAACAGAGAAGTTTCTCACTTGAAGCCTCACTGCAGAGTTCTAGTAGGTGTTAAGTGGAGAAATATACCATGCTCTAAAGGTACAATGTTTGATGTTCCCATTGGTAGAGAGTGGTGAATGGATTCCTTTTGGTACATCTGCCTTTAAGAAGCATTTCTTCATGTTTTGTTATAGCATTTAGATGGAGTTTTAAATATTCTATTGATATGTCATTAACATGATATTCTGTAATTGAGCTATTTGTACTACAGTCTTCCTAAAATATCCTAATACCTTTCGTGTCACAGCAAAATTATGATATTTTTGGTCCTGAAGAGATAGACAAGTTCAAGCACATGGCAATACTGAATACATCACTGAGCTATGTTAGAGGGAACACTTAATCTTTACTTCTCATGTTTCTAAGTGGAAGAACTTCAAATAGACTAACACTCCTGCTTTTCTGTCCACAGAAGAAGGAATGAGTTATGTGACTAGTATGTTTGGAAGAAACATCTGAGTATGCTTGTGTGATGGTTAATACTGAGTATCAACTTGATTGAATTGAAGGATACAAAGTATTGATCCTGGGTGTGTCTGTGAGGGTGTTGCCAAAAGAGATTAACATTTGAGTCAGCGGGCTGGGGAAGGCAGATATACCCTTCAACTGGTGGGCACAATCTAATCAGCTGCCAGCGAATATAAAGCAGGCAGAAAAACGTGAGAAGGAGAGACTGACCTAGCCTCCCAGCCTACATCTTTCTCTCGTGCTGGATGCTTCCTGCCCTTGAACATCAGACTCCAAGTTCTTCAGTTTTGGGACTCGGATTGGCTCTTCTTGCTCCTCAGCTTGCCGATAGCCTATTGTGAGACCTTGTGATCGTGTAAGTTAATACTTAATAAGCTCCCCTTTATTTTTATGTGTATATATAGTTCTGTCCCTCTAGAGAACCCTGACTAATACAGCTTGGCTTAGGCTCTTGCTCTCTGCCCTTCATCTACATGCTTACAGAAAACATATCATGCATCAAGTGGCCCACTTTTGGCCCAGAGTCTTGTGGTTTTTCACCATTGCTTATGGTGGTTTAGGTAAATCTGCTTAATTCTGGGGTCCAATATTAGGAAGTCCACATTAAAGCCATATTCTCTGAAGTGTTATCAGTAATAAAGATGATGTTTTGAGTTCCATTTATCGGATTCCTACATCTTTCAATTTCAATTGGTTCTGAACCTAGTCAGGAAAGATGAATGTTATTTATTGATCCCTCACAGCTCCACACAATGGATCAATGAAATCATATAAATTCTCTTTACTGGTGTTATCCATGTTTTACCACTAACAGGTTTCTAGGTGGAGTTTGTTTTTGATTAGCATTACCAGCAAACACTGATACAAATTAACATCAAGTCTAAACAAGGATATTGCATTGCCACTACCCCAGATTCCTCCTTTCCCTGAACTAGGAATTCAAATTCTGAATGGGTAGAGTTACCATGGTACAGTAGGTGAAAATTAATCAGGAGTAGAAAAACACCCTTTGATGAAAAAATTTAGAATTTAGTCTTATAGAATGCTCTTGTTAAAAACAGGTTATGTAGAATTACATCTAACAGTCATTTTAGCTCTTTCTTTTTTCTTTTTGCTAGCTAGCTTTGTGTTAGCTTTTGAGACCTTGCATATAAACTTAAATACTGTGCTTGTCTGCTCTCAGTGAAAGAACAATATTTCAGAGTGCAATTTGTGTCCAAGGTGACTAGGCCTAAATATTGGAATGTTCACAGTTTTATCCGGGGACAATCAGTGTTCTAAAGAAATGGCAACTTTTCGCTGGAAATAAGGCAGTGTGAAGATCAGAACTCACATGTGACCTCGTTTCCATAGTAACACCATTCATATCTGCACATAGTTGATATTCTAGCAGTACTGACTCAAATACATTCCAATCTACATCAAGGCCCACAAAGTGATCATTCATAAAAACAAACATTAAAAAGTTTCAGCAGTCAGAGAGAAATAAAACAAAGCTATTAGACAAGATATGTAAAAACTGACTAAAAAGTAATAAGAACACCTGAGGAAAATGCAGCATATACACACAAAAACTTTCTAGAGCTCAAAGCTTTAAAAACAAATTCTATATTAGTCTGTTCTCACACTGCTATAAGGAAATTCCTGAGACTGCATAATTTATAAAGAAAAGAGGTTTAATTAGTTTATGGTTCCACAGGCTGTATAGGAAGCTTGGCTGGGGAGGCCTCAGGAAACTCACAATCATGGCAGAAGGTGAAAGTGAAGCAGGCACATCTTACATGGCCAGAGCAGGAGGAAGAGAGAGAAGGGTGGAGGTGCTACACACTTTTAAACAACCAGATCTCGTGAGAACTCACTATCATGAGAACAGCAAGGGGGAAATCTGCCCTCTTGATCCAATTACCTCCCACCAGGCCTCTCTCCCAAATTAGGGATCACAATTCAACATGAGATTTAGGTGGGGACACAAATCCAAACTGTATCAAATTCCAATTAAACAATAAAATGAAAAATGATGTCAATGATGAGCCCTGAATTACTTGACTAGAAAATTAAGTGCAAGATTTATATCAAGGCACTGAGCAAAAAAACCCAAAAAGCAATAGATACAATGAGATACAAGACAAGGTATCTAGAGGATAGTGTCAATGAACCTAAAATGTGAATATGGGAGATGGATGGGGAGTTAAAGGAGAAAAGAAATAGAAGGAAGAAAGGCAATATTTAACTAAATGATAGAAGAAAATTTCCCTGAGCTAAAGAAAGGGCTACCTGAATTCCAGACAAGATTGAGTACCTGTTCATCCATCCATTCATCAATTTATGCATTCATACATTAATTTAATCAACTCATCTAATGAGGACTTATTACATAGCCAGCATTATTCTAGGCACTTGGGATATATCAGTGAACAAAACAGACAAAAATCCCTGTCTTTGTGGAGCTTACATTCTAAGATATACTCAGGATACCCTGATTAAATTCTTGAATTCAAGGAAACAAGAAAAAAAATTACAATCTTAAAGAGAAAGAGAAACAAAATTTAGAAATCTTCAATGATAAAAACTCTCAACAAATTAGGTATAAGAGGAATGTACCCAAAGGCAGTAAAGGCCGTATATCACAAGCCCATGGCTAACAACATACTCAATGTTGAAAAGTTGTAAGCTTTTCCTCTAAGATCATGAACAAGACAAGGATGCCCACTCTCACCATTTCTATTCATCATAGTACTGGAGGCCCTAACCAGAGCAATTAGTCAAGAAAAGGAAATAAAATGCATCCAAATTGGAAAGGAAGAAGTGAAATTATATCTGTTTGCAGATGACATAATCGTATATACAGAAAAACCTAAGGACTCCATAAAACAAACTATTAGAACTAATAAATGAATTAAGTTACATAATATACTATCAGCATAGAAAAATCAATAATATTTCTATGTACTAACAATAAATAATCCAAAAGGGAAATTAAGAAAATAATCCCATTTATAATAACATCAAAACCAATAAAATACTTAGGAATAAATTTAACCAAGGAGGTAAAAGATCTGTACACTGAAAACTACAAAACAATAATGGAAGAAATTGAAAAAGACACAAATAAATTGAAAAGTATTCTGTGTTCATGGATTGGAAGAATCAATATTGTCAAAATGTCCGTACTAACTAAAGCAATCTGCAGATTCAATAAAACCCCTATTAATAACTAAAAGCAATCTTGAATAAGAAGAACAAAGTCAGAGGCATCATACTTCCTGATTTCACATTACGTTACAAAGCTATAGTAATCAAAACAACATGGTACTGGCATAAAAACAGACACATAGACAAATAAATAAAATAGCCCAGAAACAAATCCATGCATATACAGTCAACTAATCTTTGACAAAGGCATCAAGAATACATAATGTGGAAAGGATAGTTTCTTCAACAAATGGTGTTGGAAAAACTGAATGTCCATTGCAGAAAAAAATGAAATTGGATCATTATCTTACACACACACACACACACACACACACTCTCTCTCTCTCTCTCTCACACCCCTCAACTCAAATTGGAAATTGGATTAGAGATTTAAATGCAAGTCCTAAAACATACAACTTCTAGAAGAAAACATCGGAAAAGGTCCTTCACATTGAACATGACAATGATTTTTTTGTTATTACACCAAAAAGGCAGGTAACAAAAGCAAACATAAACAAGTGGGACTACATCAAACTACAAAGTTTCTACACAGCAAGGGAAACAATCAACAAAATGAAAAGGCAACCCACAGATTAGGAGAAAATATACACAAACCATATATCTGATAAGGGGTTAATATACAAAATATATAAGGAACTCACATAGTTAACTCAGTAGTTAAAAAAAAACACACACAAATAACCCAATTTAAAAATGGGCAAAGGACCTGAATAGACATTTTTTCCAAGGAAGACATACAAATGCCCAACAGGTATATTGAAAGTGTTAAACATTTCTAATCTTCAAGGAAATGCAAATTAAAACCACAATGAGATAACATCTCACACTTGTTATGATAGTTATTATCAAAAAGTCAAATGATAACAAGTGTTGGCAAAAAGTGGCAAAAAGTGAACCTTTATACATTGTTGGTGAGAGTATAAAGTGGTACAGTCACTAGCAGAAACAGTATGGAGGTTCCCCCCCAAAATTAAGAATTGAACATATGATCCAGCAATTCCACTTCTGGGTGTATATCCAAAGGAGATAAAATCACTATCTTAAAGAAGCATCTGAACTCCCCTGTTCATTGCTGCATTTTTAGCAATAGTTACAATATGAAAACAATCTAAGTGTCTGCAACAGATGCATTAAGAAATTGTGTGTATACACACACACACATACATACACACACACAATGGAATATTGTTCACCCTTGATAAAGGAAATCCTGCCATTTGCAACAACACAGATGAACCTGGAGGACACTATGCTAAGTGATATAAGCCAAACACGGAAAGACAAATACTGCATCATCTCACTTATATGCTGAATCTTTAAAAAGTTGAACTCATAGAAACAGAGAGTGGATGGGTGGTTACCCAAGGTCAGCCAGTGTGTGGGGGAAGTGGAGAGATGGTCAAAGGATACAAACTTGTGGTTGTAAGATGAGTAAGTTCTGGAGATCTAATGTACAGCATGGTGAATATAGTTAGTAATAATGTATTACATACTTGAAATTCATTAAGAGAGTAGATCTTAAGTATTCCCACAAAAAAGGTAACTGTGAGTTGATGGATATGTTAATTAGCTTGACTGTAGAAATCATTTCCCAATGTATATTTATATCAAAATATCACTTTGAATATGTATACACCTTGAATACGTATAATTTTTGTCAACTATAACTCTGAGAGCTGAAAAGAGAGAAAATGTCACCTGCAATAGAAAAATTAAATTAGACAGATAGGACTTTCATCAGTAACAGTAAATTTCATGACCTCATTCACTAATTATCCCAGAAATGGCTTTACAGTTCTCAGAGAAGCTAAAATCAGTTTTTGACGCAGAACCTCTGTTTTCCTGGGAGACTATCTAACAGGGGCAACAGTACCCTTTTCTCGTACAACTAGGTTTGTGTTCGCTTTTCCATTTTTTCAAAACTAAACAATATGTTGTTTAAAAACATATATACAAGTGATAAAAATATACGAAAACCAAAGAAATTGTTAATACAAAAATCAGGGTAGTATTATCTCTAGGTGGAGGCGGACAGGAAGGTGTGATTGGATAGGGCACTAAAGTACTGATAATGTTCTATTTCTTGTCCTGGTCGGTGGGTCTGGAGGCATTATTTCATTTTTATTATTTTAAATGTAAATAGTAATTCATTCAACAAATAAATGTCTATCATGTATCAGGCACTATTTTAGGCACTGGAAAAACAGAAATAAATAAAATAGATAAAAATGTGTCCTTATGGAGCTCACAAAGTATCCAAGAAATAATAAAACTTTCCAGAGTCCAAGTACAAAAACATACAAACTGAAAGAGTCTACCTACCAGGTATCTAGGACAACAGATATACAAATATCCACACATCATCATGAAAGTTTAGAATATTAGGGATAAAGTGGAAATCCCAAAAGCTTTCAGGATTGAAAACAGCCCAGACTGGATCAAGAGAGAAGGCTCTACAAAGGGGATTTCTAGAAAATAAATATTCTGAATACTCTGACGTTTTTTAGCAGTTACACAAAAATAGACATATGATAGAGCTAACAGAAAAAATAAGGATATTTTGGGAGGCCAAGGCGAGCAGATCACTTGAGGTCAGGAGTTCGAAACCAGCCTGGCCAACATGGTGAACCCCCATCTCTACTAAAAATACAAAAAAATTAGCCAGATATGGTGGGCGCCTGTAATCCCAGCTGCCTGGAGGCTGAGGCAGGAAAATTGCTTGAACCCAGGAGGCAGAGGTTGCAGTGAGCCAAGATCGCACTATTGCACTATAGCCTGGGTGACAGGGCAAGACTCTGCCTCAAATATAAATATATAAAAATACACAGATAAAAGGGAATTATAACTCTAGAAATGATACAAATGTGTTCAAAACAGAAACATAGACACAATTCACTACCTGTCTCTTTAGTGAACAATGTTTGCACAATCACAATAGTATAAACATCATTAACCAGAAAGTATGCTATAGCTATACTAAAAGAATAGAGAAGGTAATTGAGGGAGAAAAAGTGAATTAAATCTTCATCTACCATAATGGGAAGTCAACAGCTAATATCTGAAATAGGTAACTCATGAAATAATGGTATTTAGATAAAAACCAAAAGAAGTAGATTTCAAAGTTGGCTAATTTGCATTCTAGCCTTCAAGTGTTCAAGTCTGGTGGTGAAAAAAAGTGAAGCTAATACTGCTATTTTTTGTTATTTCTTTTTTAAGCCATACATAGGTCTTGCTATAATATACAGTATATTTACTATAATAAAAAAATTCAAAATAAAATGTCTTTTAATTATAAAGGGAGCGAAGGGATATGATGAGAGTTGAGATGTACTAAAATTAATGAGGCCAATAGAATAGATCAAAAGATGGTGGAGCATATAAATGTGGAAACTGAAGCCCCGCCCCACTGTTTGCTTTTTATTCTTTTGCAACATGGGGGTGGGGTCCAAATTGCTCTTGAATTGTAGAAATAATCGAAGAGGAGCTTTACATTTGAGAAATGACCATGAGAAGACCTGGCAGCTCCATTCTCCCAGGTAGGGTGGGAATGGAATTATGAGTCAGAGACCTGGAAGACTGAAGACAAGAGAGGGAAGATTTATGCTGGGACACACTCAGCTTGCCACAAGAGGGCAGAACAAGAATGCTGTATCTCCTCTGGTCCCCCTCCTACCTTTCTTCTGCTGATTCTCAGCTTTGTCTTCCCTCAAAATGCCTAGGTTTCTGAGATTCTGCCTTGGGTCTTTTTTTTTTCTCACTCCACACCACCCTCTCCCGGGGCAATCTCATTGATACTTCAATTAAAACCACCACTTCTGTATTTGATGACTACCAAATTTCTATCTGATTTCTATCTGTAACCCTACTTGCTTCACAGCAGCAGAATGAATTCCGGACTACCTACTGAATAATTCCTCTTGGACACTGCAAAGGTCATTCTTTCCCCACAAACCTGCTCCTTATTCTGAGTTCTCCATGAATGGTTTTTGCAACTTGTTAACCATCCAAGGCAGAAAGACAACTGGGCATCATCCTTGATTCCTTCTTCTCCGTCAGTCCCCCTATATCTAGTCAGTGACCAAGTTCCAAATTTATTGCATATATGGTATTCTCATTTCATTCCCACTGCCTTAACCCAGATTTCAGTATCTACTTTATAAATAGCCTCCTAACTGGTCTCCCTGCACCCAGTTCTCTTTTCCAATCTATCCATCACACTCCTTTTTTTCTTTTCTTTTTGAGACGGAGTCTCACTCTGTCACTCAGGCTGGAGTGCAGTGGCGTGATCTCAGCTCACTGCAACCTCCCCCTCCCAGGTTCAAGCGATTCTCCTGCCTCAGCCTCCCAAGTAGCTGGGACTACAGATGTGCACCACCATGCCTGGCTAATTTTGTATTTGTAGTAGAGACAGGGTTTCACAGTGTTGGCCAGGATGGTCTGGAACTCCTGACCTCAAATGATCTGCCCGCCTCGGCCTTCCAAAGTGCTGGGATTACAGATGTGAGCCAATGCACCCGGCTATCCATCACACTCCTACCCACAGGATCTTTCTTTCTTTCTTTCTTTTTTGAGACAGAATCTCACTCTGTTGCCCAGGTTGGAGTGCAGTTGCATGATCTCAGCTCACTGCAACCTCTGCCTCCCAGGCAGTTCTTTGTTCATGGCTCCTTTCTCCAAATTCAAAGCCAGCAGCATAGCATCTTCTTCCCTCTCTGACCTCTCCTTTAGTCCTCACATTCTCTCTCTATAAGTCTGGTCCTCCTGCCTCTCTCTTATAAGGATCCTTGTGATTACATTGGGCCCACCCTAATAATCCAGTATTATCCCTGCATCTCAAAATCCTTAATTTGATCACATCTGCCGAAGTCCCTTTTACCATTTCAGGTAATATATATTCACAGGTTCTAGAGATTAAAATGCAGACAGTTTTGGGGGGCCATTTATTCAGCCTACCAACTTCAGGTTTTGCAAATTGTGGGCCGCATGATTCTGCAGAATACCATTCACATTATGACCATCAAAGATATCTGTGTTTATTATGACAATTTTCTAGCAAGTGGTAAGAAAGTCTTTTGAGGAAGAGGTATTATTTTACAATTCACACAAAGGTACCATATAAGCCAGCAGAAGCCCCATAATCTAAAGTGATTAATACTATCACAACACAAGTGTAACACATTCATTCCCCAACTGGGGTTGGAGAGGTCTATTATAGAGTGTTAAGATCCTTGCAGAACCAACAATAATATATTTCAATAACATATTTATTAGGTATGTACTACATGCCAGGCGCCATACTAGACACTTTATACCCTTTATCTAGAATCCTTACAACTTGGTACAGTATTATATCCTGACCTAAAAAAAAAATGAGCAAGGTGAGACTCAAAGAGATTTATTAATATAACTAAAGTCACACAGCTAGAAGGTGGTTAAGCTGGCAAATAAACCCAGTTATACCTGAAGGTAGATCCTGAATACTTTCTGGTGTAGCACACTGCCTCCTTGAAGTGAGAAGGTAGAAAATCAATTTATTAATATTTCTTATACCTTGAGTTTCTGAAAGTCACGCTTATTTTTGACTCAGTGCTAGAGTACTGCATATTCCTGAAGCAATTTCAAATTCAAGTTCCTCTGAATACTGGGTGATACACAAGCAACCTATAGCTAAATCCATCTGGGGAGAAAATCATGCCACATACCCTAGCTTCTCCACTTCCTTATAGGCTGAATTCTACTTTATTTTGGCTTGTTTGGTTATAATTCCTAGAATGACCTGACTCTGTTCCTGAAGCTCTCACCACATCTGTCCTCTCCATTCCTACTCAATCTTTTTAAGAACTGGGTAACTCTACCTTGTTCCTGATGGTGAAGCTATCCTGGCCAATCCCAGAGCCTGTGCTTTCCATCCCACTCCACGTTGTCTACACCACAGAAAGTGGTTAGGGTGAGCATTTGAGAACAGAATTTTGTTATTAATGAAATCTTTCAAGATTGGAAGTAATCCCTATTCAAAGGGATAATATAAATATGATAAAGTCTTTATAGTCCTTACTAAATTTGATAGAACCCAATGTAGAGTCTCTAATTCCAAAACTGACTGAAGGCTCCCAATACTCACTGAAGAGTGAATCCTGATTTCTGAAGGAATTTCTTAATAATGAATAAAGACTAACACATCCTTGAAGATTTACATATTGCCACTATAAACCCAGAACAATTAAACTCTCTAGGACTCAAACCCTGGCTCTTCCAGTGACTAGTATGTGATCTTGGGGAAGTTTTTCCACCTCATTTCTTTGGTTTCTTCATGTGTGTGTAAAACAACGAGGATTTCTACATTGTATGATTATTGTAAAAAAATGATTAAACAATGTAAAGTTCTTGTAGTGCTTGGCACACTGGCAGGCGTGTAATTATGTGGTAACTATTTTAACTTTTACAAAGAATCTTTTTTTCATTTTTACCAAGACGTGATTTTCTCATAAAGACTTTCCCACACACATTACATTAATAAGATTCCTGCCACTCTGTATTTTCTGATGCTGAGTAAGATTAAACTTCAGATTGAAGGCCTTTCCACACTCACTGCATTTAAGCGAACTCGCTATAGACTTGCCAATATCAAATAAGGCTGATATCCTGCTGAAAGCATACCCATAATTTTTTACGTACATAGAAGGTGATGCCTTTATGAATCCTCTGATAATGAATAAGACTTAGCCTCTAATTGAAGGCTTATTCATTACAGGTACAGAGTGTCTGTCCACTATGAATCTGCAGATGATGAACAAGGATTGATTTCTGTTTGGAGGTTTTTGTATATTCATTGTAAAAGATTATCTTTGATGACAAATAAAATTTGAGCTCTAGATTAAAAACATTTCCATATTCATTACACTGAAAGGATCTCTTTCCATCTCCGCTATAAATTTTCTAATGTTTTTGAAGGTCTGTTATCTCCAGATACCCTTTCCCACATTCATCATTGCATAAGGTTACTTTCCACTATGAATTCTCTCATGTTTAGTAAAGTCTGAGCTGGATCTGAAAGCCTTTCCACATGCATTATGAGCATAGGGTTGTTCTCCACTATGAATTCTCTCATGTTAAAAAAAACAGTCTGAGTTTGTCTTGAGGCCTTTCCCACAGTCAGTACACTCATAGGGATTCTGTCCAGTATAAACTTTTGCATGATTCAAAAAGCTTCATCACCCACTGCAATTTGTCCAGCATTGGGAAAGTTTTTCTACCCTATGAAATTTCTGGTGTTGAAAGAGAATCATGTCCTGCCTTTCCACATTCTTATGGCCATAACAAATCAATGAATTCTCAGGTGTGAGTCCTCAGATGGTAAGTAAGACTGGCATCATGATTAAAAATTTCTTTATATTCACTACATTCACAGCATTCATAGGGTTTCTCTTTATCATGAGTACTCTGAGGTACCTCCCTTGAACACTGACAAAGGGCTTTTTGACATTAATCACATACATAAGACTTTTCCCCATGAGAACCTCCCCAGTGTCTCACAAATTCTAAAACCTTTGCAAGAGTTATGGTCATGTGAATCATATCTCTGTGCTTTTTTTCCTAGAAGATTCCCATATATAATATGCATCTAGCTTGCCTTTCCTCAGTTAATTCACTCACAGCCTTTCTCTTCAGTAGTATAAGTGGCAGTACTGTGCCTGTAACAAATTTCCCTGCGTAAGGAATACATTCAACTCTTCCCTGCCAAGCTTTCCTGCAGCCATTCCTTTACCTATATGTCATCACATGCCAAGTCTTCTCCAAAGAAGAGACTCAGACCAATAGTCCTTGGATTCTGGATCCATAACATTCTTTGGAATTTCACTTTTTCTGAAATTTCCCTCTTTAGAGTAGAACTCACTCTAAATCATAATCTTATCACCTAAAATGATAGACTCACATACATAAATGGGCAAAGAACATGAGTAACAGTTCACAAAAAAGGAAATGCAAACAGATTAATAAATACATGAAATATTCCATTTTGTTAGTCATCAATTAATGTAAAGTGAAACAACCATGAGAGTTTATTTTTCCTTTCTCATTCCCACCAGCAGCTTATATGAATGCCTAACTGACTATTCTCCTTCCTGGTATGAATGTAAATTAGTACAATTTTCTGGAAAACAATTTTGCAGTATGTAATTAAAAACCAGAGAATAGTCATACCTTTTGACCCAATAATCACTCTTCAAGCAATCTATTCCAAACAAATAGTCAGATATCCAAACATCCATGTACAAAACTACTTATGGAAGCATTTATATTAGTGAAAAAATGAAAACACCTGAAAGGTCCAAGAATATGAAATTGATTAAGTAAATTGTGGTATATTTTAATGATGGGATATTATGTAGTCATCAGAACTATTGTCAAAGAATTGTTATCGACAAGTGGGAATTCTTAAAAGATAACTTTTAGAGAAGAAAGCAGGTGTTATGGGCTGAACTGTGTCCCCTCAAAATTCATACGGTGAAGTCCCAACCCCTAGTACCTCAGAACGTGACTACACTGGAGACAAGATCTTTAAAAAGGTAGTTAAATTAAAAATGACATCATTAGTGTCTAGTTAGGTAGTTAAATTAAAATGACATCATTAGAGTTCTAATCCAACATGCCTGGTGTCCTTATAAGAAGAGGAGATAAGCCCGGTGCGGGGGCTCATGCCTGTAATCCTAGCACTTTGGGAGGCCGAGGCGGGCAGATCATTTGAGGTCAGGAGTTTGAGACCAGCCTGGCCAACATGGTGAAAACCCGTCTCTACTAAAAACACAAAAATTAGCCGGGCATGGTGGTGGGCACCTGCAATCCCAGCTACTCAGGAGACTGAGGCAGGAGAATTGCAAAAATAAAATAAAAAGAAGAGGAGATAAAGACAGAGATATACAGAGAAGGAAAACCATGTGAGGACACAGGAAGGAGAAGACGGCCATCTACATGCCAAGGAGAGAGGCCTGAGAAGAAACCAACCCTGCCAGCACCTTGATCTCAGACGTCTAGCCTCCAGAATTGGGAAAAAATAAATTTCTATTGTTTAAGCCACCCAGACTGTGGTACACAGTCCTAGCAAATGATACAAAACTGTATATACTGAAAAGAAATATATCAATTACTGAATAGTATTTATCTCTAGTTAATAAAACTGTGGGTCACTTTTATTTCCTTCCTAATAAAGTTTTGTTGTTCTCTAAAATCTTCAAAATGAGCATGTCTCTACTTTTATAATGTAAAATACGTAAAAAAGGAAGATATCCATAACTAAACAGCTTAAAAAATAATACACAGAAAAACATAACTTTTACTTAATGAAAAGAAGCTGACAAAATAAGACAGAGAATCAGCTGAGAAATTAAGGCCTGCTGAGACCCAGTGATATGTCTCACTTTGGGGTGGCCTCCCAAATCAGGGAGAGAGGGACATGAAGAAACAAAGTGATATGAGGATGACTGGTTTATCTGGAGGACAATGCAGAGGCAATGAAAAGAGATTAAATTGAGTAGGGAAATGGGAAGATTATCTGAACAAAGGAGGTGTTGACTGTGTAGAACTAGGAGAGGAAAGCAAGGATTGGGAAGAACGTAGACGGTAAGAGATCTTCAGGAGACTGAAGAAGATGATGCAACAGAGGAGAGAGGAGTAACTGGGCATACACACAAATGAAAAATGAACTCTCCTGCCTGGTCTTAGGGCACCCACCAGATGAAAAGTTTGAGGGGGACAACAATAATAATAACTACCACAACCATTTAGTAAGCATGCACCAAACACAAACACTTCACTGAAATACATCATTGGTATTTCACACGGAAACCTTGAAAGTTTGCTATTATTATTCCAAGTTTGTGGATGAAGAAACTGATGGTCAAGAGAGGGAAGCTGACTTGCCCAACATTTTAGAGTTAATATGTAGGTGAACTGATATTCAGCTGAAGTGGGTCTGGCTCCAAAGCTCCTGTATTTGTCACCATGACAAGGTGCCTTGTGGGCATTCACCAATCCAAAATCTTCAACTATCCCACCACTATACAACTAAACTGTAAGTTCTCTAACCCCTACTTGTATCATTCTCCCTCCTCCTTTCATCTAAAAGGATTGCTTCCCGGGTCACTTTGTCCTTAGCTCTTTCCAAATTCAGCAGGGAATTCATCTAGGTCTTTTGAGGAAAATACTGCAGTTGAAAAGGAAATCAAACTTTATGGTTACAGTTGGATACTGAATGTCCCTGAATTCAGTTCTGAAAGGTACAAGGTGGGTGGTAGAAAGGGATACTTATTTATCAGGACGTCTTAGAAACAGGACAAGGACCTTGTGAAAAAAGCACAGAACTGTGTGTGCTTCCAAGAGACAGGGAGATAGATGGTCTTGACCTTGAGAGATAAAACTCAAGGAAGAAAATCACGAGTCATTTACCTGCTTCCTAAAAGAAAGAAGTTCCAGAACCCAGGAACAAAAACTGACACAGTGTAGGTTTCAGGGTTGGACAGAGCTGGGTTCAAAGCCCAATATTACCACTTACTTGCTATGTGACCTTGAGCAAGTATTTGTACTTTTCTGAGCATCAGATGTGTCCTCTATAAAACAGAAGAAACAAAACCCAAAAGATAATGAAGTTCTGAGCCTAAATCTAATCTCAAAGAAAATGTAGCAAGGAGTTATAAGAAATGTTTCTAGTTCTGATGATTGCCTGCCACATTATTTGGACCAATCATCAGGTTGAAAACAAATTTTAAAAATCTTGATGAAAGAAAAGTAGTAACACCTACTTAAAAACAATAAAATGGCAGTATGGAAACACTAGGGCAACATTCCTGGGAAATGGGGAACCTAGAGGTAAATAGAGCAGTGAAGCAACTTCTGTCCTAAGGGCATTTGTCTATTCCAAAAATTTCAGCTTTCATTTTGGCTGCCTTGAAAGGCAAAAGAGATAAGAGATTAAAACCCAGAGCTACACTAAGTGGGAAAACTAAGAGGAGACATTCCCAACAATGAGCTGGGACCTCAAAGGGCTACCCCCTAAAGGGGAGGGTGAATGGAAGCAGGCCAGTTTTGCAGCTCAGATTTGGATCACATAACTTGCCCTGGGAACCTTGAGCCTTGAATTAGATAAAGAAGCAAATCAGCAGGATCAGCTGACAACAGAAATGTTCACAAAAAGACTTTAAACAATAGGATTATCAAACACAAACTATAAGACGACTATGTTTACTATGCATAAAGAGATAAATAAAAAACTTGAAGATCTTACCAAGCAACAGGAAGCCATAACAAATGGCAGACCATAATTGAACCTAATCAAACATTTAGAAAAAAAATACAGTACTCAAAATTAAAAACTCAAGGGATAGCTTTAATTAGAAGATTAAGTAGAGAATTTAAATTTAAAGACAGGTAAGACGAAATTATCTGAGCTCAGCAGGAAGATACAAAAGGGCGGAAAGTACAAAAAAGAAGGTAAGAGACTCAAACTGCTCTCATTCATCAAGCAGTAGTCAGGGCTTGTAAGTGGTCACATTAAATCTTCACAACTACTTTACAAGGCACAAAATATAGAATTTCATTGGTAATAAAATCCTTTCAGCTTTTTCTCCATTTCTGCCAGCATAACGAGGACCCAGACATGTTTTTTATTTAAAACTAGCTAAGAAATTCCAGAGCCTAGCTTTACAAATGCAAATCTTCAGAATTAACAAAAGGAAACTCAGAAAGATATGAAGGCTCTGTGCCCGCTCCCCTGCTGCTGTGGAGGCGTGGAAACCATTTTGCTGCACAATAATTTCAAATAATCTGAATTTAAAAAGGCATTAAATTGAGAACTTTAACAAGAATGTAAATCTTGTTCCCCTTTGCAATATGGTGATTTGAGAATATTTGTAACTGTTACCAACTAGTTCTATTCTCTGTTAATACAAATCTTTCCTTGGAAGTATTGTCTAAATAAAGCCATTTTATGACTCCTACAACTTTAGAAATTAATGCCTGTTTCAGTGAAAATAACCTACAAAAGAGATGTGTAATTCTAATTAGGTATTTTACTTGGTAATTCATTAACCTGGTGTGGTAAGCAGAATAATGGTCCTCCCAAGATGTTCAAATCCCAACCCTTGTGAAGATGTTACCTTACATGGCAAATGGGCTTTGCAGATGTGACTGAGTTAAGATTCTGAGATGAAGAGATTATCCTGGATTATCTTGGTGAGCCCAGTGTAATTACTGGGATCCTTATAAGGAGGCAGGAGGATCAGAGTCAGAGGAGAGATGGCAACGGGAGCAGGTCAGAGTCAGAGAGCTGAAAATGCTTTGCTGTTATGTCTGAAGATGGAGAAAGGGAGCAGGAGCCAAGGAAGGTAGGTGGCCTTTAGAAACTGGAAAAAGCAAGAAGACAGATTATTTTCTAGCGGTCCCTAAGGGAAGGGTAGCCCTGCCAACACCTTGATTTTAGGACCACTAACCTCCAGAATTGTAACATTAAAAGTGTGTGGTTTAAACTACGTTTGTCATAATTTACTACAGCAGTAATAGGAAACTAATACATCTGGTAGTAAAGTTGTAGTTGCCATCTCTATACAGCAGTACCCCCTTATCTGTGGTTTCACTTTCTGCAGTTTCAGTTACCTGCAGTAAACTACAGTCCAAAAATATTAAATGGGAAATTCCAGAAATAAACAATTCATATATTCTAAATTGCACACTGTCCTGAATAGCATGATGAAATCTCTGGCTGTACCACCTGGGCCATGAATCCTCCCTTTGTCTAGCGTATCTGTGCTATAGATGCTCCCTGTCTATGAGTCATCTAGTAGCTGGCTAGGTTATCATCTCTCAACATCACAAGAAGGTAAGTATGGTGCAATAAGATATTTTGAGAGAAAAGAGAGAAAGAGACCACATTACCATAACTGTTATTACAGTCTATTGTTATAATCTTTCTATTTCATTATTAGTTATTGTTGTTAACTGTGCCTAATTTACAGGTACATTATGTATAGGAAAAAAACAGTGTATGTATAGGGTTCAGTACTGTCAACAGTTTCAGGCATCCACTGAAGGTCTTGGAATGTATCCCTGGAGGATAAGCGGGGACTACTTGTACTTGGAAACAGACTGGTACTAGGATTTATTCCGGCAAATTAGGCATAATCATTGACTGGCACTTTCTTCTTTACTCACAGGCCTGGATAAGCAAATGCAAGCCTGTGATTCTGCTGGATTTACTCTATAATAATTACTTTGAGATGCTGTATTTCTTTTAAATTAACAATGTCATGATTTCTATTTCAACAGTGAGAAAATGGAAACTCTGAGAAGTTAAGTGCAGTAACTTGCCTAAGGTCCATCCACAAAGAGCTAGGATTCAAATCCCTGTCAATCAGTTATCAAACCCAGTACTTTTCCACTGCATCTTGCTGCCTCTCAAACTGCTTGGGGTGTGATAAAGAGAAGGCAGAGTAACTGAATATATTCCTTAATACAAAGGATTCCACGTTTACAAGATTCCTTACTTTCCTTTGCTTTAGTGCTAGGTCACAGTAAACAGAATTTTGCTTTCTCTTTTTTTTGTTTGTTTGTTTTTGAGATGGAGTTTCACTCTTGTCGCCCAGGCTGGAGTGCAATGGCACCATCTCAGCTCACTGCAACCTCCACCTCCCGGGTTCAAGCAAATCTCCTACCTCAGCCTCCCGAGTAGCTGGGATTACAGGCACCTGCCACCATGCCTGGCTAATTTTTTGTATTTTTGGTAGAGACAGGGTTTCATCATGTTGGCCAGGCTGGTCTCAAACTCCTGACCTCAGGTGATGTGCCTGCCTTGGCCTCCCAAAGTGCTGGTATTAAAGGTGTGAGCCACTGCGCCCAGCCAGCATTTTGTTTTCTTAGTTTGACTTCCCATGTACCTCAATACTGAAACTGACATGCCCTGGATAAAAGGCCTGAGTGTGTTGACCAGTGGAAATAATACATTAGTATGATGTGTGTGTTTTTCTCTCTGTACCCGTATCTATGTTAGTCTCAGTAAATTAATTTGTATTTGTTTACCACCAAGTCTTGTTTCAACATTTCACAAATGCTCAGAACCAAATCCTGGACTGTGGTCAACTAACTGAAATCACCACTCTGTAGGCCCTTTTGTTAAGTTCTGTTGGAATTTCCAAATACTGGTAATTTCCTTTCTTTGATAAGTTGAAAAGCATTGACACATCCAACACAGCTCACTAGAGCGTGAGCCTCCTCAGGTGCTTAAATAAAATTGTTTCAGGCCGGGCGCAGTGCCTCACGTCTGTAATCCCAGCACTTTGGGAGGTCGAGGTGGGCAGATCACTTGAGGCCAGGAGTTTGAGACCAGCCTGGCCAACATGGCAAAACCCCATCTCTACTAAAAATATAAAAAGTTAAACAGGCGTGGTGTTGCGCACCTGTAGTCCCAGCTAGGCAGGGGAATTGCTTGAACCTCAGAGGCAGAGGTTGCAGTGAGCCGAGATCATGCCACTGCACTCCAGCCTGGGCGACAGAGCAAGACTCTGTCTAAAAAAAAAGAGATTATTTCAGAAAAGAAATTCTATTTTATTTTACATAGAAAGACATCAAATTCTGGCGGTATAAGGAAAAGGGAAAAAAATTATTCACAAATTACATAAATAAACCAAAAACACTTTGTGACATTTCATTTAGCTCTATAGTTATGGTTCATGTACTTTTAAGCATGTTTTATATAATATTTATATAAAACCCTAGCAAAATATATAAACAAATAATTGGACTTAGAGAGAGAGGTCAGCAAGGTGGATGGATTTAACAACAATATACCAGAATCAAGCATTCCTATACACCTGGCACAACCAATAACAAAATGTAATTTAGAAATATTCATGAGAGCAATAGGCACACAAAAATATATCTAGCAAACTATGAATTAGATACTTATAAAAAAACTTATAAAACTTTCTCAAAATAATGAAAAACACCTATATAAAGGGAGAGATGAACCACCTTCATTTTTGTAAAGATGCCAGTTCTGTCTCTAATCTATAAACAAAATGCAGCTCTAATCAAATCTCAATGTTTCTTACAGACCTTAAGATTTAAAGTAAGCTGACCTTAAACTCATATGAAAAGAACATATTTTTGAGGGAGAGGAATAAGAGGCCTTTCCCTACCAAATATTAAGATGCATTATAAAGCTACAGAAATAGACAAACGAACCAATGGAACAGAATAGAAAGCCTAGAAGCAGACACACATATATATAGGAAATTGGTATACGACTGAGATAACATTATAAATCTGTGCAGAAATAACAGAATAATTAATAGTCCTGGAACCACTCATTAATCATTCAGAAAAAAATTAAGTAAGATCCTTACATCCCTACATTCTTCTAATAGAATTTCTTTTCTACAAAAAGAAATTCCAAGTGGACCACAGAGCTAAATTGTGAAAAGGAAACTATAAAATTTTACATGAGAATTTATAGTAGAATATCTTTATGACATCAAGGTAAGGAAGAATTCCTTAAACGAGATGAAAAAAAAAACAGAAAAGATCTTAATCCCACTGGAAGCAAGAAAAAAAAAGAGAAAAAAAAGAAATAAAAAACAGAAAAAGTACAACATGAAGGAAAAGGAAGATAAATGTGACTATTAAAATATATACCTCCTGTGCAGGAAAGGGTTAACTCAAAAACCCCCAAACCCTGCAAATTCTCAGGAAAGTCCTGTCTCCAGGAGTGGCTGGCCCTTGCCCAATTCCTGGGAGATGAGTTCTCAAGCCACCGGCATATTTTGCTTCACGTTGTTTTCATATGCCTGAGGCCTTGGGCCATACAGTACCATTATGATCAGATAGTTTGTGCAAATGCTGTGATTTGTGGTAAGTGCCTGTTTTTGTGCTTTATGGGTGAGGGGAGGCTGTAGTCTCAGTAACTAAGGCTAGTCATGCAAGTGCTGCATTCTTATGTGACTGATTCCCAATTTTAAAAGCCCGGGACACCAAGGTTCAGGTATGCTTCCCTGGCTGACAACACTTCACATGCACCGTCACACATCCTAATAAATTGTAACCATGAGTATAACAGCTTTTGTAAGTTCTGTGAATCCTTCTAGCAAATCATCAAGCCTGAGGGTGGTCTTGGTTAAAATACACAATAAGCAGATGGAAAAGACAGGCCGCAGACTAGAAGATATTATAAACTGTAAAATCAACATAAATATCCATTGTATATAAATATATAACAACAAGTCTTGCAGGTATATAAAAAAGACCCAACACAATAGGAAGAGGATGTAAAGTGGCAAATCACAGAAGATGAAAAAAGAATGGCCAGTCAATATATGAAAAGATGTCAAATCCCCCTAGTTTATCTGAGACATTAAAGTTAGATACCATTTCACACCCATAATACTGACAAAAATTTAAAAGTCCAACAATACAAAGTGCTGAAAATATAGGGAGACAAATTGAAATTAAAGTGTCACAGCCACAATTTTTCAACATCTAGCTAACTGAAGATGTACATAACTTACTATACAGTAATTCCTCTTCTAGATACCTATTCTAGAGAAAATCTTGCACACGTACACAGGAAATTTGTACAAGAATGCTCATTTCAGCATTGTAATATTGAAAAAACTGGCAACAAGTAAATGTCCATATTTGGTATATGACATATCAGGAATGGAAAGATAAACACCACAAAATGTAATACTGATAAATGCAGGAGAAAGAGATAGGAGGAGGGTCCCCCGGAGAATCTCCGACTAGTTTGCCCACTGGGAGAATGGGGTGGAGCCATGGGAAGTTCACTCTTTGCAGTGGGGAGGAGCCTGGCCTCTTCATCTTCGGTTCCTGTGTGGTGGCCTGGCATTCAATCTGTGAGATGGGAGCCTGCTGCTGGCAGGATCCCCTTGCTGATTTTTTTTTTTCCTTTTCACCCAATAAATTCCATTCCCCTCACCCTTCAATGTATCCATGTTCCTAATCCTTCCTGGTCTTGTGACAAGAACCCAGTTCTAGCTGAACTAAGGAGCAAAATTCTGCAACAATACTATATAGCAGTTAAAAATGAACTCAATAAATCTAAAAACATGTTGATGAATAAGGAGTTAAATAACAGGTACAGTATGATAGCATTTATACAATATTTTAGAACGTAGAAAACAATACTATATGTATTTTAGGGGTATATGTCCAAAAACGTGACCCAAAAGGATACATACCAATCTCAGAATAATGGTTACTTTTACAGAGGAAACAAGGGAAATGGGATGAGAGTGAGCTGAAGGTGTATTTGTACACTTTATTTCTTTTTAACAAGACATTGAAATAAAGTGTGGTAAAATGTTTATTTTAATCTGGATAGTGAATCCCTGTTATTTTCTGATTCTTTTCTATAGGTTTGATGTATTTGATAATCAACATTTTAAACAGATACATATTTGTTTGTTTAAGAAGTTGTAATCATCCTGTTGCTGCTATAACAAATTATGACAAACTTAGTTGCTTAAAACAATACAAATGTATTTTCTTATAGTTGTGAAAGTCACTGATACGGTTTGGATCTCTGTTCCCACCCAAATCTCATGTTCAATTATAATCCCCAATGTTGGAGGTGGGGCCTGATGGGAGGTGGTTGGATCATAGAGTGGAGTTCTCATGAATGGTTTAGCACCATCCACTTGGTGCTGTTCTTGTGATAATGAGTGAATGAGTTATCACAAGATCTGGTTGTTTTAAAAGTGTATAGTACCTTCCCCCTCTCTCTCTTCCACCTGCTCCGGCCACGTAAGACATGCCTTCTGCCATGATTGTTAAGTTTTCTGAGGCCTCCCCAGAAGCAGAAGCTGCTATGTTTCCTGTACAGCCTGCAGAACTGTGAGCCAATTAAACCTCTTTTCTTTGTAAATTACCCAGTCTCAGGCATTTCTCTATACCAGTGCGAGAATGAACTAATATAGTCAGAAATGCAAAATCTGTTTCACTGGGCTAAAATTAAGGTGTCAATACAGAGCATTACTTCTGGAGGCTTTTGGGGAAAATCCAGTTCCCTGCAGTTTCTAGCTTCCACAGTCTACCTACATTCCTTGGCTCGTGGCTCCATCTTCCATCTTCAAAGTAGGCACTGCAGCATCTTCTCTTCTCTCTGATCTCTGCTTCCAACCTTGTATCTTCCCTTTCTGACTCCAAATCTCCTGCCTCCCTTATAAGGAACTTTGCGACTACATTGGGTAATACAGGATAATCTCCCCACCTTAATATCTATCCTTAACTTAATCATATCTGCAAAGTCTCTTTTCATCGTGTAAGGTCATATATTCACAAGTTTCAGGGATTAGAATGTGGACATCTTTGGAGGCCATTATTCAGCCTATGATAGTCCACTCTCTGGCCCCCAAAGATTCACATCGGGCCGGGCACGGTGGCTCATGCCTGTAATCCCAGCGCTTTGAGAGGCTGAGGTGTGTGGATCACTTGAGCTCAGGAATTCAAGACCAGCCTGGGCAACATGACAAAAACCCATCTCTACAAAAAGTACAAAAATTACCCGGGCGTGGTGGTATGCACCTGTAGTACCAGCTACTCGGGAGGCTGAGATGGGAAGATCACCTGAACTTGGGAGATAGAGGCTGCAGTGAGCCATGGTCACGCCACTGCACTCCAGCCTGGGTGACAGAGTGAGACCCTGTCTCCAAAACAAAACAAAACAAAACATTCACATCAGATCCACATAGAAAATATATTCATTTCATACCAAGATCTGAAAAGTCTCAACCCATTACAGGATCAAGTCCAAAATCTCATGTAAGTCTCATCAGCTCAAAAGTCTCAAATCTCATCATGTAAGTCATCTCATTTAGGTATGGGTGAGGCTCTAGATATAAAGGATCCTGGGGAAAAATTCACCTCCATCAGTGGACCTGTTAAACTGCAAAACGAATTATCTGCTCCCAAAATACAAAGGTGAAACAGGCATAGTTTGATAGTTACAGGCATTCCCATCCAAAATGGGAGAAAAACGAAAGAGAAAAAAAGAGCTACCAGTCCCAAGCAATTTTAAAATCTAACCAGTCATACTCCATTAGGCTAAAGGCCTAAAAATATCCTCTGTGGCTCAAGGGTCTACCCTCTGGACCCAGGCTCATTCCACCTTCAGAGTCATTCTTTTTCATAAAAGGTAGCATGTATTTACAGCTAAATTTTTTGTTTGTTTGTTTTGTTTTGTTGCTTGTTTTTGAGACAGAGTCTCACTCTGTCGCCAGGCTGGAGTGCAGTGGTGTGATCTTTGCTCACTGCAACCTCCGCCTCCTGGGTTCAAGCGATTCTCCTGCGTTCAAGCGATTCTCCTGCCTCAGCCTCCTGAGTAGCTGGGACTACAGGCACGCACCACCATGCCCAACTAATTTTTGTATTTTTGGTAGAGACGGGGTTTCACTGTGTTGGCCAGGATGGTCTCGATCTCTTGACCTCGTGTTCCTCCTGCCTCAACCTCCCAAAGCGCTGGGATTACAGGCATGTGCCACCACGCCCAGCCTACTGCTAAATATTTTTATCAGCCTGTCTTCTGCCTGTAGAATTTTAGAAGTCCAACAGCCTTCTTTCATTCCATTCTCTCTCTGTCCCTTTCAGTCCAAGCTGGTAGTGTTTCTGCTGCTACAACCTTCTAAAATGCCTTGTGGGTCTCTTGTGTATGTCTCAGTATTCACTCCATTAGACAAGGACTTCCTCCAGATATCTATCCTGGATAATTCCATCTCTATTCCTGGCTTAGAGGATTTATGAGATGCATGCCTAATCTCTTCACAAAGCCCTCTTCCAAGGCAGTAGCAAAAGGCTGTCCAGTCACACCTTTGTGTGTGACTGAGATCAGAGAGAAGAGAAGATGCTGCAGAGATCAGAGAGAAGAGAAGATGCCACACTGCCTGCTTTGGCTTTCTCTCCATAGTAAGCTTTCCTGACTGTGAATCTCCAAATTTTAACATCATTTGCAGTCTGGATAGGCTGAGAATTTCCCAAACTATCAAGTCCTAGTTCATTTTTGCTTAACAGTTCTTCCTTCAATTTCTCTCATTCTTGTCACATTTTAATGAGCATCGAGAAGAAGCTAGCCATACTTTTAACACTTTGCTTGGAAATCTCAGCTAAATATCCAAGCTTATTGCTTACAATGTCTGCTTACTACAAAACTGTAAGCCACATTCAGCTAAGCTTTCTGCCACTATATAGTAAGGATCTTCTTTTCTTCAGTTCTGGGGATTAGAATGTGAACATCTTTAGGGGGCCATTATTCAACTTACCATAGAAACAATTTGGGAACCTGGAAAGGGGCAGAGGGAGAAGTCACATGCTGGCTCATATCTAAGAGAGGAGCAATAAAATGTTCCTTATTTCCTTCTGTGCTGTCACCAGCAATACCTTTAAAGTCTACATATCTGCCTTCACATGAAGCTTTTTTAATGTCTGTATTTTTAACAAGCTGATACAGATTTTCTTTAGGATAATATAGGTTTTCTCTGATATGTGCCTCACTTCCTTCTGGGCCCTCACTATTAGAATGTTTAACATCTATGTTTCTACTAACAATTCAAAGAATTCAAAGAAATATAGGCTTTTTCTATCACACTTCTCAAAATTCTCCATCCTCAATCATTCTCAAAATTCTTCCACGTATTCTCAAAATTTTTCCATTCTCAACCATTACCCAATTCCAAAGCCACTTCCACATTTTTAGGTGCTTGGTACAGCAGCACTCTACTTCCAGGTACCAAAATCTGTGTTGGTTTCTTACTGCTAATATAAAAAAATTACCAAAAACTTAGTAGCTAAAACAATATGAATTTATCATCTTATAATTCTGGAGGTAAAAAGTCTAAAAATTTACTTCCCTGGTTTAAAATTAAGCTGTTAGTGAGGTTCGTTTCTTCTGGAGGCTCTAGGTGAGATGCTATTTACTGGTCCTTTCCATTTTCTAGAGGCTGTTTCCATTCCTGGGATCACAGTCCCTTCCTCCATCTTCAAAGCCATCAAGATAGCATCTTCTCTCCTCTCTGACCACTTGTCAGTCTTACATCTTCACTCTATAACTCTAATTCCCCTGTCTCCATCTTATAAGGACCCTTGTATCACATTGGGCCCATCCTAATAATCCAGGATAATCCCCTCATTTCAAAGTCTTAATCATATCTGCAAGTCCCTTGTAACATGTAAATTAACATACTGACAAGTTCTGGGGTTCAGAATGTGAACACCTTTAGGGGACATTATTGAGCTTACCACAAAAACAATCTGGGAACCTGGAAAGGGGCAGAATGAGAAGTCACACCCTGGCTCATGTCTAAGAAAGGAGAAGCAACAGTTAATGTGTTCAATTGACAACAAACATTGGCAACAAAGCCTTCTCCAAGAAAATAAAGCCCTCAAAAGGAGACTTATAAAAACTCTTTATAAGGCCAGAAGTTATTACTTCAAGCATGTTTAATAATGTGACACCTAGCTGGGTGTAGTGGCACATGCCTATAATCCCAGAACTCTGGGAGGCTGAGGCGGGTGGATCACTTGAACTCAGGAGTTAGAGACCAGCCTGGGCAACATGGTGAAACCCCATTTTTACCAAACATAAAAAAAAAAAAAAAATTAGCCAGCCATGGTGGTGCGCACCTGTGGTCCCAGCTACTCAGGGAGTTGAGGTGGGAGGATCGCTTGAGCCTCGGAGGTGGAGGATGCAGTGAGCCAAGACCACTCCACTGCACCCCAGCCTGGGTGTCAGAGTGATACCCCATCTTATAAATAATTAATTAATAAAGTGGTATCTAATATTGTTGGCACATTAAAAGAACGTCAAATCATACTCAAAATATAAAATCCACTAAGAATAAAGAGAAGTGATGTCTTTAAAGTGTCTACAGCTGTATGAGCTTCTGATAGCCTGACCTCATCTCATAGGAACACCATTAACATTTTGGGGCCTCTGCTCATTGCCTTTTCTCCCTTGGCCCACCTAACTTAGCAGGACTCAAGATTATATCATTTTACATAAAGAAGATATGCAATTGGAACTTAAAGCTATAGCAAGTATACTACATGTAGAAGGTGAGAAAAAAGACATGAGAAAGTGGAGCAAACCAAAGCATTCAAACAACAAAGTCCCCAAATCACAATGTTGAAAATAAAGCTTTTCCTACTACTAAAAACTGACTACCTCACCAACAAACCGGAAACTCTTCTATTAATGTGTCACATAGTACAGTGTTAAACTAAATAAACAAAGGCTCTTCAAATATATTACAAAACTAACAGGCTTGTAAGTTTTTATTTGCTCCTCCATGAATGAGGTAGAGAAGAAAACACCAAAAGTATCTGCACTGTTTGAGAATACATGTAAGTTCATTACAACATTATTACTAGGGTAACAAATCATCAATTAAGACAACCAATGAGAACTATAGGTTTTTCTTCTGAAGCTTTTCTCAGAGGACATGGCAACAGTTTCTAAAGTCTTTGGAATCTTGACTTTCTTCACAGAATTGGAAAAAACTACTTTCAAGTTCATATGGAACCAAAAAAGAGCCCGCATTGCCAATTCAATCCTAAGCCAAAAGAATAAAGCTGGAGGCATCACGCTACCTGACTTTAAACTATACTACAAGGCTACAGTAACCAAAACAGCACGGTACTGGTACCAAAACAGAGATATAGACCAATGGAACAGAACAGAGCCCTCAGAAATAATGCCACATATCTACAACTATCTGATCTTTGACAAACCTGACAAAAACAAGCAATGGGGAAAGGATTCCCTATTTAATAAATGGTGCTGGGAAAACTGGCTAGCCATATGTAGAAAGCTGAAACTGGATCCCTTCCTTACACCTTATACAAAAACTAATTCAAGATGGATTAAAGACTTACATGTTAGACCTAAAACCATAAAAACCCTAGAAGAAAACTTAGGCAATACCATTCAGGACATAGGCATGGGCAAGGACTTCATGTCTAAAACACCAAAAGCAATGGCAACAAAAGCCAAAATTGACAAATGGGATCTAATTAAACTAAAGAGCTTCTGCACAGCAAAAGAAACCACCATCAGAGTGAACAGGCACCCTACAGAATGGGAGAAAATTTTTGCAACCTACTCATCTGACAAAGGGCTAATATCCAGAATCTACAATGAACTCAAACAAATTTACAAGAAAAAAACAAACAACCCCATCAAAAAGTGGGCGAAGGATATGAACAGACACTTCTCAAAAGAAGACATTTATGCAGCCAAAACACACATGAAGAAATGCTCATCATCACTGGCCATCAGAGAAATGCAAATCAAAACCACAATGAGATACCATCTCACACCAGTTAGAATGGCGATCATTAAAAAGTCAGGAAACAACAGGTGCTGGAGAGGATGTGGAGAAATAGGAACACTTTTACACTGTTGGTGGCACTGTAAACTAGTTCAACCATTGTGGAAGTCAGTGTGGCAATTCCTCAGGGATCTAGAACTAGAAATACCATTTGACCCAGCCATCCCATTACTGGGTATATACTCAAAGGACTATAAATCATGCTGCTATAAAGACACATGCACATGTATGTTTATTGCAGCACTATTCACAATAGCAAAGACTTGGAACCAACCCAAATGTCCAACAATGATAGACTGGATTAAGAAAATGTGGCACATATACACCATGGAATACTATGCAGCCATAAAAAATGATGAGCTCATGTCCTTTGTAGGGACATGGATGAAATTGGAAATCATCATTCTCAGTAAACTATCGCAAGGACAAAAAACCAAACACCACATGTTCTCACTCATAGGTGGGAATTGAACAATGAGAACACATGGACACAGGAAGGGGAACATCACACTCTGGGGACCGTTGTGGGGTGGGGGAAGGGGGGAGGGATAGCATTAGGAGATATACCTAATGCTAAATGACGAGTTAATGGGTGCAGCACACCAACATGGCACATGTATACATATGTAACTAATCTACACGTTGTGCACATGTACCCTAAAACTTAAAATATAATAATAATAAAATTTAAAAAAAAAAGTCTTTGGAATCTTGAGCAGCGGTTCTCAAACTTTTTGTTTTGCAGAGCCTTTTATACTCCGAAAAAATTTTTTTGAGGACCCCAAAAGGCCTTGGTTCATGTGGGTTCTATCTATCCATATTTAGTGTATTAGAAATTTAAATATTTATTCACTTACTTTTAAATAATAACAAAACTCATTACATGTTAATATAAATAACCTATCTTATGAAGAATAACTGTATTTTCCAAAATAAAACAAATAGTGGGAAGAGTGGCACTGATTTACAATTCTGCAAATCTCTTTAATGTTTGACTTAATAGCTGACAACTAAATTCTCATATCTGATTCCTCACCCAATCTGTTATGATATCTCACAACAGAAAGTCTCTTTTTAAAATCCACTGTAACACTGCAAGATAATGAAATTTTGAAAGCGAATGTATTAGCGTTATTGAAAATAGTTTCAATCTTGAAAAGGCCTTGAAAGGGTCACATGGACACCCAGGGCTCCCTGGACCACATTTTGAGAACCATTGTCTTACAGGACTCCATTTGTTGACATGAAAAATTTGAAGGACAGATTTCTATTAACCAAGAAGACCACAGGTTGGTAACAGTTCTGTATATTCACACAAATCTCCATGCAGCAAAAGAAAACCAGATAAAAATATTTGCAGACATATTGATTTCTATATCAAATAAGATTCATGGAATTGGTTTTATAATACAAGATGGCATGTATCCCTTTGCAGCTATAGGCATGAAGACTCATTTTGTCAATTATGAGCCTTGAATTTTTAAGGCTAAGTTCTAAAATTTTATTAAGATTATAGAAAAAAATGCAAGCTTAAAGAACATATTTTTTTCTGGCAGAAATGGAGGAAGGCTGAATTTTATATAATAATAGAGACAGAAGCATACATATTTTCTTATAAAACAGTTTTCTCTTAGAACAAAAGAGCAGGTATGGAACAGGAAGGGAAGGACTTGTCATGGATCTGAAGCTGCTCATGCAGTTGACTACTCAAAGGTTTCTGCCTGGATCCATTTCTGTACACATAGGACAGGAGGATATTGCTTTTTAGTACACAGAAGACACATCTTCCTGGACACAAGGAATTCTGCTAATGTGGACACACTAGTAACTTTAAATATGTGGAGAATAAAAAGAAAAGGAGAAGCAGTGAGACTTGATAGATTGAGATAAATTTAAGTATTGAGAGTATAAGTATTTGGGATAAATGTTCGAATAGTAGTGAATCTGACTGGAATAAAATTAAGAAACACTCTGCTCTTCTAGAGAGCTCTGGCAGAGGAATGGCCATAAGAAACCTTCACATAAATAATCTCCAAAGTGGAAGAGGTTTGATTTTTTTAATTTTAAAATATCCACATTTAGGTTCTTAAGCCACTTATACTCTACAGAAATAGATCTCTCCCTGAGTGTCGCTCTGTGATGCTATTTGTCTTTTAAAATTTATATCTAGTGTATTGTTGTGCAGACTTTTGCTGAAACATGCTAAACACTATTCCATAGTCAGAAAAAAAAAGCAATTTGAAAGTGGTTTTACTTTGAAGTGATTTCTCCAAGTGTTTGCAAGCCAATTTCCTCCACTTCGTCAGCTTTATCGTCTGTGTGAGTTTTGTATCCTGACCACTGAGGTCAATGTATGCCACTGAGAAACCTCACCCAGATCTTAGGAAGAAATTCCTATTTTCATAAAGACATGATTTTTAGTTTACATTCTTCTCATCGGTCCTAAGTCTGCTTCAGCTCTGTATTAGTAAAGCAGAAAGTTATGTTCATAAATCCTTTTAAGAAAGCAGCTACTAATAAATTAAGAGATTTATTATTGTGCAGGATCTGGATTTTATGAAAAAATTTTAAAAAACAAAACAAGAGATGTACTAATTTGCCCAAATATTCCCTGGTACCTGAGTTAGTTAAATCAGAAATACTTTATTCCTATAATCTGCCAATAGGAAAGAAAAGAAATTTTTGTGATGGAATCACTGCATTCTTGGTGTAGATGCCTAAAGATTCTAATGCAGCATCTACATTTCTTTAAATATCAGCTTCACAAATGGCTATTGAATGGCTTGGGCCTGTTTCTTAAACTTCTCCAGAAAAAAAGTTAATTACTGACACTAAGAGTACACGGGGTTTCCTAAGCAACAATTTGTATTTTATTGATTCTTAACTATACAGAACCTCTTCATCTTTCTGGAACAAATATATGGAGTTAATTAGAGCCATTAGGCCAGGGTATTACAGCACTGAGACAGCGGAAAGTAGTAAACAGCCAATCCCTGGCCTGCAGCCAACAAAACTCATGGGATAGCAGGAATCACGTAACTTGAATCTAGTAAGTTAAATTCCTCAAAACCAACCTGCTAAGAGGGCTACAATTTTACTCCCATCTTTTCCTATAGTGAAATATCTACTGTTTGTAACTTTTGTTGATAGTGGTTACTTGGCTGGCATAAATAATTGAAATGTGAACACTAAGTGCTAGAAATGTCTTTGTGGTCATTTAAATGAACCAACTGACAATTGCATTTAATACTCTCATATTAGTTAAGAGCAGAGAAATACAGTGCAGAAGCAGCCTGGGCTCTAGTGCCAGGTTTCTTAGACTCGAATCTCAGCTTCACCATTTATTATGTGCAACCTTAGGAAATGTATTTAACCTCACCGTCTCTCATATGTGAAGTGGGGATAATAACAGTACCTACCTCTTATGTTTGTTTTGGGCCTCTCATGCGTTAATATAGGTAAGTACTTTGAAAGATGGCATATAATAAATGTTGTTTGACAGTTAACTTAAGCACTAAACTGTTACTCAATAACTTAAGGGCTTACAGGAAATTCTTGTCAAACAGCACTTGTAAACTGATGTGAAAGAAGAGCACAAAGGCTTCATTGTAAAAAACAAATAATGACATTAGAAATGTGTTCCCCCTTTAATAATGGGAGTCAGGAATCACTGCTATCATCCCTTTCATTCATTATACTGAAGGCCCTATCCAGAGGTGTGGGAGGAAGTAAGAGGAAGAAGGAAAAGGAGAAAGCAGAAGAGAGTAAGGATTAGAAATGAATAAAGGGAATTGTTAATATTTAGAGTTGATAAGATTCCCTACATAAAAAACTTATGAGAATCTTAACACTTTTTAAACTCTCAGCTGAACTTGCACTTCTGGGCAAGATGGAATAACAGGGACCATTTACCCAACTTGTTGAAAAATTAAAAAGCAAATTATTCTCACAACAATAGATATCAGGTAGTGAGGGCCAATAATCCTTGAGAAATGGTAAAGAAACAAGGTGACCCTATAAATGCCCCAGCGTACTTCCCTGAGAGAATTTTCAGATCATGCCACAGGCAAGGGTAATAACTGAGTCAGAACCTGGCAGATCCCCTGAGGTAAGGAGACAAAGCTCAGAGTCCAGTGAGAAGAAGGCAGCTAAAATCTGCAGGTAATAGTTAGCAGAATGGGGAAACAGTGCAGAAAAAGAACTCCTGAGATCTGCAAAGGCTCCATTGAGTATTCAACAGCGTATACATTGCCAGGCGCGGTGGCTCATACTTGTAATCCCAGCACTTTGGGAGGCCGAGGCGGGCGGATCACAAGATCAGGAGTTCGAGACCATCCTGGCTAACATGGTGAAACCCCCATCTCTACTAAAAATACAAAAAAAACTAGCCGGGCGTAGGTGGTGCATGCCTGTAGTCCCAGCTACTCGGGAGGCTGAGGCAGGAGAATGGCGTAAAACCCGGGAGGCAGAGGTTGCAGTGAGCTGAGATCGTGCCACTGCACTCCAGCCTGGGAGACAGAGCGAGACTCCATCTCAAAAAAAAAAAAAACAGAGTACACATTAGTGTATACAGAGGCAACTACCCAAGGCAGGGGAAAGAACCATTTGAAATCACTAGAAAGAACAGTTTTCATCACTTACACTGAGACAGGAACAGCACCTGTTACCAACAGCCAGCAAGGAATAATTTTCCGTAGACTGAGCACCACCCTGGTTCCACCTAATCAATCTTAAAAGCAAGACATAAAAGGATCAAACTGTTTCCATGTAGTTTTATCACATTCCAGAATAAAGCTCAAGAAATTTTTAGTTATATAAAAATATCTAGCATCCAACAAGGTAAAATCCACAAGGCTTGAATGTAAACAAACATCACCAGCAATGCAAAGAAGCTTGAAATTACAAAATAAAAAAAAAAAAAAATCAATAAATTGAAACCAACCAAGAATTGATGCAGATGTTAGAGTTACCAGACAAGGACATTTAAAAAGTTATGACATAATCTATTCATTTACAAAGTTAAGTAGAGGCATGGAAAACTGTAACAAAGACGCCCAAATTAAAATTTTAGAGATGTAAATAATAATATCTGAGCTTAAAAATACGACAAATTGGATAAATGACATATTAAACTATGGAAAAGGAAAGATTAAAGAATTTGAAAAAATGGAAATAAAAATCATCCAAAATGAAACAGAAAAGAATTTTTTTGAAGTATGAAAAATATCAGTGGACTGTTGAACAATGGCAAGCAACTTAATACACAGGTAAAGTCCCCAAAGCGGATGAGAGAAGTATTAATACTTTTCACCTGGCAGATCCCCTGAGGTAAGGAGATGAAGCTCAGAGTCCCGGGAGAGGAAGGCAGCTAAAATTCTTAGCCACTGTTTCTTCAAATGTTACTATTAATTGTGGGTTTTGCCATTATTTTAGCGATAATTTTAACTTCCAAATCAAAAAATATCAACAAATTTGGTGCAAAAGAAACATGAAGGAAACTACAAGGCTCATCACAATCAATCTGATTAAGAGATTTTTTTAAAAACTCTGGAAACAATCCAGGAAAAACAAAAAGACACATTAGTAACAAAGGAACAAAGAAACTAAATTAGTAGTACAGACAATTCCCAACTTATGATGGTTCAACTTATGATCTTTCAACTTTACGATGACACAAAAGCAATATACATTCCATAAAAAATATACTTTGAGTACCAATACAACCATTCTGCTTTTCACTTTCAGCACAGTATTCAATAAATTACATGAGATATTCATGTAATTTATTATAAAAGAAGCTCCGTGTTAGATGATTTTGCCGAACTGTAGGCTAATATTAAGTGTTCTAAGCATGTTTAAGGTAGGCTAAGCTAAGCTACAATGTTTGCTAGGATAAGTGTATTAAATGCACTTTCAACTTACAGTATTTTCAACTTAAACAGCTTTATTGGGATTTAACACCATTGTAAATCAAGGAGCATCTGTATAACCTTCCCACAACGAAATTTTAAAGAGTCAGACGACTTCACAAGCAAATTCTACCAACATTTAAAAAAGAAATAATACCAGTTCTACACAAACTTTTCCAGAAAATTCAAGAATAGCAAATACTTCCTAACTCATTCTATGAGGCCAGCATGATCCTGATACGAAAACCAGACAGACATTACAAGAAAGGAAATAATTTATACAACAAAAAATAAATAGATCAAAGTCCTAAATGGGAAAAATCAACTTTAAAGGTTTTAGAACATTTAGAAGAGCATTTTTATAGTCTCCAAATCAGAGAAATATTTCTTAAAGATACAAAGATCAATCATAAATAGACTGGTAGATTTGATCAAAATTTATATCAAAATTCATCACCTCTGTACTACAAAAGAAACCATTAAGGTAAAAAGACTAACTACGGACTGAGAGCAGATATTTGCAACACTAACAAGGAATCCATATCCAGAATATAAATGTAACTTCTACAAATCAATAAGAAAAAATAAAAAGTATCCATAGAAACAGTGTTTTCAACTATAAAAAAAAGGAAACAACCTAATATCCATTAACAAAAGAACACTGAAATAATTTTTTGAATACTCCACAAGGACAGGATGGACTCCAGTTCAAAATTTGGTTTAAATGTCAACACCAATGATACCAAACAAACACACACCAATATTCATAAAAAAGCTGATTACTCACATAATGAGGCTTTCTGCAGAGAGCAGGGGTGGCTCTCAGACACATCCAAAAATGGCTTGATAGAGCAAGGACAGAAGATTGGCTTGGGTTTTTATGGTGGTTAGGGGTGGGGCTGGAATGAGGATTCTCACCTGTGGTTTGAACTTTACACTGGTGGTAAGGAATGCAGCATCTTGGCTTTCTTATCTTGCCCAGATGTGGGACAGAGGGAGAAGAGGGAGAGATAAGACTTCAAAGCTGTCAGCAGTCAAACATTAAAAAATGGAGTGAGACTTTTAATTATGATTTTATACGGGATTATAAATAGATGCATGAGTTTTACATTCATCAATGAGTCTTACAAATACCATGATGAACAATAAAAAAGCAAGTTTGTAGAAGAATGCATATATTTCTACCATATAATGTTCAAAAAAGCAAAATAATTTCATATATTTCAAGTGATATTTATATAAGTAGGAAAATCAAAAGACATGCAGAGGAATGATAAATACTGAATTGAAGATAATGGCAACATGTAGAGGGAAAGGAGTAGGATGTGATTGGGGGTTCATACAGGGGGCTTCAATTGCATTGCGATTTTCTAAATGTATTGAGTTAGGCAATAAATGCAAAAGTGTTCATTGTTTTATTATTTACACTTTTCTGCATATTTTAATATTTCGTGATTTTATAAAGTAGAAGTCAGCTTTTAACACATATACTGTCCCTAGTTAAATATCTTTAAATATCCTGACGATGGTAAAGTCTCAAATCAAATAAATCTTAAATTACTTGGTGTTCTCCAGCTTCTGACAACCATAGAGAAAAAGTAGACACTTTACTAATATGAGTAACACTAATAAATGAAATGTAATAAAACAAGTTTTATCCTATATAGATTAAGAATCTTCAAACATAATTTAGTTACAAGTATTGAATTATTCAGATAAAAGTTACAAAATGATTAGCACAAAAAGTAATGACAGATGAAACCCTGTAGTACTTAATGTAAAAAAAATTGATTCAGCAACAGCACACTTACTAAGATTTTTTAAGAAATTAAAGGTACCTCACATTTGAGAAATATAGAAAAAACTAAATGTATGTGTGTGGGGTGGGAGAGACTGGTTGACTGACTTAGGGTATCAGAGAGCAATTCCACTACCTTATTCCTGTAGAAAAAAAAAAAACTAAATAAAGTAATTTCTACCACTTTTTACCTCCTGAAATCTAACCACAATATAATGCTTTAGTTTAATAAACATTTCAAAGGATTCACATATGGGATTTGTCAACTCAAACTTTTATTCTTCTTCTACTTTCTTACTAACTTTCATGAATTAAATGTAGCCCCAAACTACCATTTATAAGAAAATTGCATTACAAAACAGTTTTCCATTTAAAAAAAGAAAATGCCATAAATGGTAGTTAGGTACTTACGTTGGACTACATAAGATTGCTTGACCTATGTTGGTGCTGAAATTTTCCAATACTATTGTAGATAAAGACCACTAATAAAACAATGTGCTTTTATGAGAAATTAATAAAAGGGGGCTAACACTGAGATGCTAAGAACCTATCTTCCAGTGCTATATCCCTGGTAGTACTGCTGATTCTCCTACCTATCTCCTTGATATCCCATTTGACTCCCAGTATGAGTAGAACTTCCTAGTAATTCCTGAAGAGTGAAGGTGGGGAGGCATGCAGAAGTAGGGCTGCAGAGGTTTTGGCAGGTGAGGAAAAGAAGAGGTAAGAAGACACATTAAGGCTCGTGAGTAGCAGGGTCAAGACCAAGTTTCCAATCTTTCTTGTCTACCTTTTCCCTTCTCTTTCCCCTCCATGGAGCCTGGATGGGAAAAAAGAAGTGGAGTCAAAAAGATAAATATCACATGTTTGCATTCATATGTGGAAGCTAAAAAAAAAACTGAACTCATGGAGAGAGTAGAATGATGGTTACCAGAGGCTAAGAGTAGCAGAGAGGGAGAGATAAAGTGGGAGTGGTTAATGGGTACAAAAATACAGTTAGATAGAATGAATAAGATCTAGTATTCAGTAGCACAATAGGGTGACTATAGTTAACAATAATTTATCGCATATTTAAAAATAACTAAAGGAGATCGAGTGCAGTGGCTCATGCCTGTAATCCCAGGACTTTGGGAGGCCAAGGTGGGCAGATCCCTTGAGCGTAGGAGTTCGAGACCAGCCTGGGCAACATGGTGAAACCCCATCCCTACTAAAAATACAAAAATTAGCCAGGTGTGGTGGTGCGCGCCTATAGTCCCAGCTACTCAGGAGGCTGAGGTGGGAGGAACCTGAGCCCGGAAGGCGGAGCTGCAGTGAACCGCCTGCGCACCACTGCACTCCAGCCTGGGTGACAGAGTGAGATCTTCTTTCAAAAAAGTAAGAATAATAAAATAAAAATAAAATAACTAACAGAGTGGAATTGGAATGTTCCTAACACAAATGATAAACACTAACTTCATCATGACACATTATATGCTTGTATCAAAACATCCCATGTATGCCATAAATATATACAACTATTATATAGCCATAATAATTAGAAATAAAAATAATTTCTTTAAAAAGGAAAAAAGTGCAGAGTGCCTGTTTAGCCTGCAAAGTGGGAGAAGATGAAAAGGAAGTTACCCATAGAGCCCAGTGAGGATGTCCATTTATCTTTTGGAAACTCTGTATTTGGAAAATTTAAAGATTCATAGTACATTGCTTCCAATGCCCAAACAACAATATTGGGAACTTACTAATTCCTGAAATTTTCTTAATCATTAAAATTATTATGTATTTATTTATTTATAATTTAATTTAATTTCTGAGGCAGCAACTGACTCTGTCGCCCAGGCTGGAGTCCAGTGGTGAGATCACAGCTCACTGCAGCCTTCACTTCCTGGGCTCAAGTGATCCTCCCACCTCAGCCTCCTGAGTAGCTAGGACCACAGGTGCACACCACCATGCCTGACTAATTCTTTTATTTTTTTGTAGAGATGGGGTCTCCCTGTGTTGCCCAGGCTGGTCTTGAACTCCTGGGCTCAGGTAATCCACCTGCCTTGGCCTCCCCAAGTGCTGGGATTATAGGCTTAAGCCACTGCCTCCAGCCTAAAATTATTTTTAAATACATTTATTGCCAATATTTTTTGCAAGAGCTATGTCAGAAAACACTGTACTTGCATCTCAGTGTAACTTTGTTAGGAACATTTTGTTACTTTTTCAAGTCAAGATTGGGAATAACAGTTGCTTGATATGTAGTTATCATATATAAAACACCAAGAAGGCCGGGTGCAGTGGCTCACGCCTGTAATCCCAGCACTTTGGAAGGCCGAGGAAGGTGGATCATGAGGTCAAGAGATCAAGACCCTGGCCAACATGGTGAAACCCTGTCTCTACTAAAAATACAAAAATTAGCTGGGCGTGGTGGCACGCGCCTGTAGTCCCGGCTACTTGGGAAGCTGAGGCAGGAGAATCTCTTGAACCAGGGAAGCAGAGGTTGTAGTGAGCTGAGATCGTGCCACTGCACTCCAGCCTGGTGACAGAGTGAGACTCTGTCTCAGTAAATAAATAAATAAATATATAAAACACAAAGGAGACAGCATATGAAACCTTATTACAAATAGCTGTATCAGTTAAGAAATACATTTTTGCCTTAGGTGACAAATACATGATAGATCAGTTGGGGAAAATGGCTGTGCTTCACTCCTCACAAGCTGGGTCCTGGTACTTTAATCATCTCTCCTTACACCTGTACTTTGAACCACTCCCTCTCCCTAGGCTCCTTCCCACCAGTAGTTAAATCTATTTGAGTTTTTACCACCTTGAAAGTAATTTCTCCTCCAGATTTCTGCATCTTTCTCCAGGTACTACCTTTTTTTTTTTTCCTCTTTCCTCATCTCCTATAAACTTTAATTGGTATTGGTGTTATTTTGGAAATATCTCAAAAATATAGAATAATATAGAATATCCACCCAGAATTAACAATTGCTAACATTTTTAAAAATGTAGTCACACTTGCTTCATCTATTTTATGAAATAAACTAAACATTCTAGATAAAGATGAAGTACTCTTTAAACCCACCCCTAGCCATTATCCTTTCCTCTCCCCAGAGGCAACCAAATTTGATATGGTGTGCATCATTTCTATTCCTTCTTTATACATACATTTTCAAACACATCTGTATCTATGAGCAATATATAGTATTTTTGTATGTTTTAAGTTTATATAAATGGTATATTATGTGATTGTTCTGTAACTCACTTTTCTCAATCAGCATTATGTTTTTAAGATGACACTGATATATATTGATGTGATTTCTTCATTTTCACTGCCATATTAAATTGCACTGTATGAATAGATGATGACTGATGAGTTATTGATCATTCCCCTATTAATTTGGAACAGTTGGGGAATTTAGTTTATTTCCAGTTTTTCACAATATCACGTAATACCGCAATGTTTTCTTCCATGTCTCCTAGAATTGGAAATGTTGCAACAGAAGGAAATGCCCATCTACAATTTTACTAGATCCTTGACAATTAATTTCATTTGAATGTGATTGTATTTCTTTCCACCCACATCAGCCATATATGAAGACTACTGTTTCCCTACAACCACGCCAATACCAGGTATTGTCAAACAATAAAATTTTTACCTGATATGTTAAAAGTGACATTTCATTATTTTGATTTTCAGTCCCTTGTCCTTGTTATTAGTGCAATTGACCACATTTCAATGTATTTATTGGACTTCTGTATTTCCTTTTTTATAAATTACCTGTTCATAACTTTGCCCATTTTTCGGATTGGATGGTTTATCATTGATTTATAGGCATTCTTTATACATTCTGTTTCAACAACCCTTCCCTTCCCTGAGATAATAAACAGTCCCCTAATTTTTTTTTTTAAAAATTAAAGTTTTGCTTTTCATAATTGGGTTTATAATCTATAAAAAATTAATGGTTTGTTTTTGGTGTTGGTATTTTATTTTATTCTATATGGATAATCAATTGTCCCATCACCATGTATTGAATGATATACTCTGCTCTATTAATTTATGTTGACACCTCTTTCATTTACTAATTTCACATATATATACATATACACACACACACACACACATACACAAACACACTGGTCTATTTCTGTATTCTCTATTCTTTTCCATTTGTCAATTCCCATATCTACTCCATATCTACCCTGAGCTCCTCGCCACATTTGACACTATTTGAATACTTATTTTTCCTTGAAACATATTCTTCCCTTTGTTTCAGTTATACTTTTGCTGTCTTCAATTTTTCTCTGACTTTTCTTTCTCTGTCTTTAGGCCTCTCTTCCTCTGCTTAATACCTAACTGTATCCCCAAAAGTTCATCCTCAACTCTCCTTCCTTCTCTTTCTACATATTCTCTTTGGACATGTGCTGCCCAATGCAATAGCCACAAACCGCATTGGGTTACTGATAACGTGAAATGCAATAGTTCAAAGTGAGATGTGATACAAGTAGAAAAAATCCATATGATATTTAGAAGAGTTTTTTTTTTAATGTGGAATAGCTCTTAAGTATTTTTATACAGACTACATGTTAAAATGTTATTTTTGTTGTTTGGGTTTAATAAAATACTTTATTAAAATTAATTTCACCTGTTTTCTTTTTACTGTTTTTGGCAACATATCCACAAGAAAAATTTAAAAATACATATGTGAGCACCTCTAATTGTAGCTCCAAATTGTAAAGAACTGGGAAGATGTCACTCCTGCCCTTACAAGACCGAAAAGCTAGACAAAATGAAAATCAATAACTTTTTAAAAATCATCAGAGAACTGAGGCCACATGGGAAATCACCACTTGAACATTTGGAGAGACAGGAAGATCTAGCACTTATGATTTGTTTACATGGTAGAGAAACTGCTGGATACCATAAGCTGACATGTCCTGCAAGAAATGTCAAAAGAAGTTCTCCAGGCACAAAAAAAAAACAACATGTCAGAAACTTGAATCTTCATAAAGAAAGTCAGAGAAAAATAAATATAAGTAATATAAAACTTTTTATTTTTCTTAATCAATCTAGGAGGTAACTGTGTATAAAGTAAAAACACTACAATGTATGAAATGACTGTAGCATATAAGTAAGTGAAAGGGATGACAGCAATGTCAAAAAGAAAGCAAGGGAGAAACGGGGGATAACTCTTATAAGGTACCTACACTACACAGGAAGCAATACAATAGTATTTGAAAGACTTAGATTAAAAATGTGTACTGTGAAAACTAGGGTAACCACTAAAAAGTTAAGAAAAACAAGTATAAATGATATGCAAAGAGAGAGATAAAATGCTCAATTAAAGCCATATAAACACAATTCCAATCAAAATTTTAGCAAGCATTTTGTAGACATAGCTAAACTGAATCTAAAAAATATACATGAAAAGGCAAATGACCTAACAGCTATCACAACTCTGAAAAAGGAAAACCAAGTTAGAGGACTCATGTTATCCGATTTCAAGTCGCAGTGTAAGTCTATAGTAATCAAGGTGCCATAGTATTAGCAAAAGAAATGACACATAGATCAACAGAACAGAATAGGGAGGCCATAAATAGATCCACACAAATACAATCACAGATTTTTTTTGATACCGCAAAACCATTTATTATTGCCTGAGGATTGGGGCAAGGTGTGGGAGAGAGAAGCATTTCTTTTTTTCAGTTGACTTTTAAAAAATTGACTTTAGTTTTTAGATAAGCTTTAGGTTCACATAAAAACTGAGTCCAAGGTAGAGATTCCTCACATACTCTCTGCTCCCGTATATGCACAACCACCCTCACTATGAAAATCTCCCACCAGAAGGGTATGTATATTTGTTATAATTGATGGACCTATATTGACATATCGTTCTCACCTAAAGTTCATAGTTTACATTGGGGTTTACTCTCAGTGTTGTACATTCTATAGGTTTTCACAAATGTATAAACACATGTATCCACTATTATAGTACCATACAGAGTAGATTCACTGCCCTAAAAATCCCATGTGCTCCGTCTATTCATCCATTCCCAACCCCCAAACCCTGGAAGCCACTGATCTTTTTACTGTCTCCATAGTTTTGCCTTTTCCAGAATGTCAAATACTTGGAATCATACAGTATGTAGCCTTTTCTTTCTTTTTTTTTTCTTTGTTTTTTTGAGACAGGGACTCGCTCTGTTGTCCAGGCTGGGGTGCTGTGCAATCTCAGCTCACTGCAACCTCTGCCTCCCAGGCTAAAGCCATCCTCCCACCTCAGCCTCTGAGTAGCTGGGATATGCAGCCTTTTCAGACTGGCTTATTTTAAAACTCAGTAATATGCACATATGATTCCACCATATCTTTTCATGGCTTGAAAAGGCTTTTCATAGCCCTTTTTTGGCACTAAACTCCATCGTCTGGACGCACTACAATTTATCCATTCACCTACTAAAGGACATCTTGATTGTTTCTACATTTTGGCAATTAGGAATAAAGCTACTATAAACATTTATGTGCAGAGTTTTGTGTAGACATAAGTTTTCAACCCATTTGAGTAAATATCAAGGAACGCAATCGCTGGATCATATGGTAAGACTACATTTAGTTTTGTAAGAAACTGTCAAACTGTTTTCCAAAGTGGCTATACCATTTTGTATTCCCACCAGGAAAGAATGAGAGCTCCTGTCGCTTCATCTTTCCACCAGTATGTGATGTTCTTAGTGTTTTGGATTTGGAACATTCTAATAAATGTGTAGTGGTATCTTTTTTAACTTACAATTTCCTAATAACATATGCTGTTGAGCATCTTTGCACATGCTTATATATTATCTGTATATTTTCTTTGGTGAGGTGTCTTTGTTCAGGTCTTTTGCCTATTTTTTAATCAGTTTATTTCATTTAGTCAACTGATTTTTTTTTACATAAGCATAAAGGTAATTCAATGGAGAAGGACAATCTTTGCCAAAAAAAATGGTGCTGAAACAACTGGAATCCATGTGCAAAATAAAATTATGACACAAACCTCACACTTCACATGAAAATTAATTCAAAATGGATCACGAATCTAAATATAAAACAGAAAATTATAAAACTTCTAGAAGAAAACAGAAAACTTGCATGACCTTAGGCTTTAGCAATGAGGTTTTAGATACAACACCAAACTTATGGGAATTCTGGAATGGCTATGTGAGGAGCTCAGTGAAATCTCCTCCCCAAAGAGACATCTAATAAAACTGGTCAAAACAAGCAAAGCCAATCACCTAAAGTCTCTGGGGATTGATCAACGGCAACAAAATCTACAGAACTAAGTAAGAACAAGGAGAGTCTGCGGCATTTCAGCCAGGGGCTGCTCATTTCTCCCTACATTTCTGTGCTGTCAAAGAACTACATTAGCTGGCTCAGCTGTTTAGCAGTGGCATCAACTCCCAAAGCTTCAGTTCTAAAGAACTGTCATTATTTGTCCTGTCTGTTGGTTCCCCAGAAGACGCTACTTAAAAGGTTTATGTTTGATTCAGTGCAAAACCCATACTAAAAGCCCCTCCACAAATGATAACACTTGGAGCAAACAATAAACTAAATAAAAAGAATGAAAGGAAAAGCTGAGGAATAAGCTATCAATAGGGGATTTGAAGAGTTCTGATATTTTCTAGGGAATATAGAAGACCATCTGCATGTATAGGGCTGTGTGCATGCTCAGGAAACACCTGAGAAGGCCATAAACTCTCACTTCTAACTGACTTTTCGGCTCTTTGCAATCAGGAAGTGAAGGCTAATGTACGGTTGTAAACTGCCTGGCTAAGTGTTGCATGCCCCAAGATGTATACAGATCCCTTTGTTAAAGATGATGCAATTTATTGGTCCCAGGCATTTAAGGAAATCTTTATCCAATGATGGCTAAGCTACTGAGTAGATACTTTAGTGGTTACACATACAATAAATACACTTTGTTCTTTGCTTCTTCAGCCCTTCTCCTCTACGAAGTCAACCTCTTCTGCTCTCAGCTCATTTGAACAAGTATTCTATTTTGTGGAATAGTGTTGCCTGATTCTAGAATCACAAATACGGCCAAGTGAGATCTTTAAACTAAATTTGTTGTAATTTTGTCTTTTGACACATTGTTGCCCTTTAGAGCTCTCTCTGACCCAGAGACTCCCCACTGTGCTGCTGAGTAGCCATCACCTAAACATGTAAGTCAAGTCCCCTCTACAATCTCCCTCTCTGGAAATTCCATGGCCTCTTCCCCTTCAGAGTAGCAACTCCCAAGCCATGGCCTCTGGACAGGCTCCTACTGTGAGAGACTTCCCCAACATGCAAGCCTGTCAACACATCTCCCAATAAAGCTTGTGTGTGATACTGCCACCTCATAGACATATGTCTTTCTTTGATAAGCCCCTAAATCCTTCAAGCCCCCTACAAATATAAAGTAACAGATACGAAAAATTCATTAGAGGGGCTCAAGAGCAGATTTACACTGATAGAAAAAAATAGTCAGCAAGATAGTCCAATTCAGATCATCCAGTCTGAGGAACAGAAATTTTACACACACACACACACACACACACACACACACACACACAGGTTTCTGAGACTGTGTGTGTCTGTGCATATATATATATGTATATATACATATATGTACGTATATATACGTATATATATGTGTATATATACATACGTGTATATATGTATGTGTATATATATATATACAGACACACACACACACACACACACACACACAGAGACAATATAAACACAGCCTCAGAAACTTGTAAGAAATCATCTAGCAACCAAAATACATATAATGGGAATCAGAGAAGAAAATAGAAAAGAGGAAGAAGATATTTGAACAAATTACAGCTGAAAGCATCACAAATTTGATGAAAAAATGTTTACATACACATTCTAAAAAGCAAACAAACACCAAGTAGGAAAAATGAGAAGTATATACACATAGGCACATCATAATAAAAATACTGAAAGCCAAAAACAAGGAGAAAATCCCAAAGAGCAATAAGAGAAAAACAACTCTTCACAAACAAGAAAACAGAAGTTTAACAGTTGACTTCTCCTCAGAAGTCATGGCCAAAAAGCAGTGGGAAGACATATTCAAGTTACAGAAAGAAAAAAAACTGCAATCAAGAATTCTATATCTAATAAAGGAAGTAAAACTATCCTTCAAAAGTGAAGGAGAAAATGGGACATTATCAGATAAACAAAACTGAAAGAGATATCAAGTAGCTGGCAGATGCCCTATGAGCAATACTAAAGGAAGTCCTTCAGTCTGAAAGGAAAGGACACTAGATAGTAACGTGAAATCATAAGATGAAATAAAGTACACTGGTAAAGGTAACTACATAGGTAAATATTAAAAACAGTATAAATATAGTTGTTGCTTTTTTAAAATTTGCAATTCCTATGTTTTCCAGTCTGACTTAAAACATGACTACCACAATAATTATAAATCTACGTTGATGGACACACAGTGCAAAAAGACGTAATTTGTGACACTAACAACATAAAGAAGGTTACAGTGCTATTAAAGAAGCAAAGCTTTTGTATTCTAGGACAGTAAGTTCATATAAATCTGAACTAGATTCTCATCAATTGAGATGTTAATGGTAATCTCCAAAGAATGAACTAAAAAAAAAATACCAAAATATATAGCAAAGAAACAACAAGGGAATTGAAATGGCACAGTGGAAAATATTTAAGACAAATGAAAGCAGTAATGTAAGAATAGAAAAACAAAAGTGACATAAGACATAAGGAGGACAGATAACAAAACACACATGTAAATTCTACCTGAAGAGTAACTGCACTAAATGTGAATGGATTGAACTCTCCAATAAAGAGAGAGACTAGTTAAATCGACAAAAAAAGTTATGGCCCAACTATACATTATCTTCAAGAGAATGATTTTAGATTCAAAGGCACAAATAAGTTTAACGTAAAAGAATGGAAAAAGAGATACCATATAAACATTACCCAAAAAAGAGTAGGAGTGGTTATACTAATAGCAGACAAAATAGACTTTAAAACAAATATTGGTAAAACAGACAAAGAATAACATTTTGCAATCTTTAAGCTGCCAATCCATCACAAAAATATAACTATGATAAACTTACATTCATCTACCAACAGATTCCAAAAACTGACAGAACTGAAGAGAGAAATGAACAATTCAATAACATATTCTGGCTGCCTCAATATCCCACTTTCAATAACAGATAAAAACAATCAGACAGGAGATCAACAAGGAAAAAGAAGACTGCACCTAATAGACACTATAGAACACTTAACCCAGTAACAGATGAATACACATTCTTCTCAAATGCATATTAAATATTCTCATCGAAGATAGACCATATGTTAGATCATAAAACAAGTCTCCATAAAACGGACTGAAATAATAAAAAGTATCTTCACCAACCACAATGGAATTAAATTAGAAATCAGTAACAGAAAGATATTTTGTAAAGTAATTCAAAAGTAGAAATTAAACAACACACCTCTAAATAAGCCAAAGGTCAAATAAGAATCTACACAGGAAATGAGAGAGTTCTTTGAAATTAATGAAAACTTAAACACAACCTACCAAAACATATGAGATGCAGTGAAAGCAGTATTTTTTATTGATGAAAATTTATAGTTGTAATAACTATATTACAATATCCCTTATGAATATAAACACAATAATCCTCAACAAAATACTAGCAAACCAAATTCAGACACGTATAAAAAGAACTCCACACCATGACTGAGATCTATTCTAGAAATAAAAAGCTGGATAAATATATGAAAAACAAGAAAGATCTAAAACAATGACCCTAGCTTTTCATCTTAATTAACTATAAAAAGAAAACTAAACTCAAAGCAAACAGAAGGAAGGAAATAATACAAAGACCAAGGAGTAAATAAATGACATAGAGAATCGAAAAATAATAGAGAGCCATCAATGAAAATAAAAGTTGGTACTTCCAAAAGATCAACAAAATTGACAAACCCTTAACCAGAATGACAAGAAAAAGGATAGAAGACTCAAATTACTAGAATAAGAAATGAAAGAGGGAATATTACTTCCAATCTTATAAAAAAATGCTATAAATAAGTGTATGGCAAAAAATCAGATTAACTTAAATAAAACAAACTCCTAGAAAAACAAAAACTACTGAATCTGACTTAGGAAGAAATAGATAAGATAAAGAAACCTATAACAAGTGAAGACATTGAATTAGTAATCAAAACACTACCCACAAATAAAAGCCAAGGCCAAGACGGCTTCACTGCTAAATTCTACACAAACTCCTTAAAAGGAGGGAAGACGAGGGAACACTTCCTAACTTATTCTGTGAGGCCAGTATTGTTCTGATAGCAAAACCAGACAGAGGCATTACAAGAAAAGAAACCTACAGACCAATATCCCTTATGAATATAAGCACAATAATCCTCAACAAAATACAAGCAAACCAAATTCTGACACGTATTAAAAAGAACTCCACACCATGACTGAGATCTATTCCAGAAATAAAAAGCTGGATAAATATATGAAAAGCAGTGTAATACACTATACTAACAGCATAAAAAATGAAAACCACATGACCATCTCAATGGATATAGAAAAAGCCTTTGATTAAGCCCGATAACTTTTCATAAAAAAAACCCTTAAACTAGGAACAGAAGGAAATTTCTTCAACCTGATAATGGCATCTAGGAAAAAGTCACAGAAACACCATACTTAATAATTAAAGATCAGGCCCAGGCACAGTGGCTCACGCCTGTAATCCTAGCACTTTGGGAGGCCAAGGCGGGCAGGTTGCTTGAGTCCAGGTGTTTGAGACCAGCCTGGGCAACATGGCGAAACCCAGTCTCTACAAAAAATACAAAAACTATCCGGCAAGGTGGCATGTGCCTGTAGTCTCAGCTACTTGGGGGGCTGAGGCAGGAGGATCACTTGAACCCGGGAGGTCGAGGCTGCAGTGAGCAGAGATTGCACCACTGTACTCCAGCCTGGGTGACAGAGGGAGACCCTGTCTCTAATAATAATAATAATATCAATAAATAATTAATGATCAAAAGCTTTCCCTCTAAAATCACGAAAAAGACAAGGATGTCTACTCTCTCCACTTCAACAATGTACTGAAGATTCTAACAAGGGCAATTTTAAAAGAAAACACAATGAAAGGCACTTAAGTTATAAAGGAAGAAGTACAACTATCTCTATTTGTGGATGTCATGATCTCGAATGTAAAAATTCTAAGGAATCCACTAAAAACTACTAGAACTTATAAATGAGTTCAGCACAGCTGCAGGTTACAAGATCATAAACAAAAATCAATTGTAGTTCTACCTTGCAATGAAAAATCCAAAAATAAAATTAAGAAAACAAGTCTAAGCGAAATAAGCCAGGCACAAAAAGACAAACAGCACATGATCTCACTCATTTGTGGAATCTTAAAAAAGCTGATCTCATAGAAGTACAGATTAGAATAGTGGTTACCAGAGGCTGAGGAGAGTAGAGGGAAAAAGTGGGGTGGAAGAGAGGCAGAAAGACTAGTTAAAGGGTACAAAATTACAGTTAAATAGGAGCAACAAGTTCTGTTGTTCTATTGAACAGTAGAATGACTATAATTAACAATATTGCGTTATACATTTCAAAATAACTAGTTGAAGGATTTTGAGTGTTCTTACCACAAGGAAATGATAAATGTTTGAGGTGATAATATGCTAAATACCCTGATTTGATCACTGCACAATGTATACATCTATTGAAACATCACACTGTACCCCATAAATAAATAGAATTATTGTGTATCAATTAAACATAAAATAAAACTTAAAAAAGAAAACAAGTCCATTTACAGTAGCATAAAAGAAAAATTCAACACTTAGGAATAAATTTAGCCAAGGAGGTGAAAGACTTGTCAACAATACTGGGTATGGGGACCTTAATGTGTGGGACCACAACTTGTACACTGAAAACTACAAAATATTGCTGAAAGAAATTTAAGACCTTTAAAAATGGGAAAACACTTGGTTTCATTAATTGTAAGATTTAATATTGTTAAGATGGCAATACTCTCCAAACTGATCTATAGATTCACTGAAATTCCTATTGAAATTCTAAATACCTTCTGTGCAGAAACAGACAAGCTGACCCTAAAATTAATACTAAAATGGAAGTAACTCAAAATGGTCAAAACACCTTTTGAAAACGTGGAACAAAGTTGGAGGAGTCATACTTCCCAATATCAAAACTTACTACAAGGCTTCAGTTACTAAGATTCTAAGGTACTAGAATAATTGTAGACATATAGACTGATGAACAGAATTGAGAGTGTAGATATAAACCCTTATATTTATGGTGAATTGACTTTTGACAAGAGTGCCAAGTATAGTCTCTCAAACAATGGTGCCAGGACAACTGGATATCTATATGCAAATGAAACTGGACCCCTATCTCACACCACATACAAAAATAAACTCAAAAGAGATCAAAGATTTACATGTAGAAGCTAAAATTATAAAACTCACAGAAGAAAGCATAGGTGTAAATCACTGTGAACTTGATTAGGTAACAATTTTTATATAAGACACAAAAACACAAGCTATAAAAGAAAAATTAGACAGCTTGGACTTCACTAAAATGAAAAACTTTTGTACTCAAAAGACACTATCAAGAAAGTGAAAAGACAACCCATAAAATGGAAGACAACAATTGAAAATCATGTATCTGTTAGGGACCTAATACCCACAATACATAAAAAGTCATATGACTAAACAATTAAAAATATAAATAATGTAATTTAAAAAGAAGGGACTTGAATAGATATTTCTCTAAAGAAGATATACAAATAGCCGATAAGGACATGGAAATACGTTCAACATCATTAGTCATTAGGGAAATGCAAATAAGAACCTCAATCAGGTACTACTTGACACTGTGAAGAGGAAGAAGGGACCCCCATCCCAAACTTAGGTTAGACGTTGAGACTGGTTACACACACCAAGATGGTACAAGAAAGTTTAATACTTACCTAAATGAAGATTTTCTTGGTGGAGAAGGTCAGGCTTCCCAAGCAGGTAAGAAACGGCTTGACAGAACAAGGAAAGGAGACAAGCTTGGGTTTTCGTTGTGGTTAGGGCCCAGTGTAAGGCTTCCTATACACATGAAGGAGCTTCCATGGTTTGAATCTTTTCCTGACCCCCAAGGAGGGAGCAACCAGAGCTTCTTATCAATTTGTCCCGATGTGGGGCAGAGGGGAAGAAGGTGAAGCTTAAAAAAAAAGTCAGCAAACTTGAAAAAATAGAGTCAGAATCTTACAATTCACCCCTGATGTTTGTCTAATGACTGAAATGTGCCATGTTCATTTAATCAAATATACATTTGTTTAATGAAGCCAGTATGGTGCTCTGTAAGTCCTTCAGAATGAAGTCTGTAAAGAAAGTAAATGTTTTGTTGTATTCCTTCATTAAGCCCAGGACTGTATATTCTAAGAAATGAAATGAGTGCCTTCATCACTATCAATGATGCCTCAAATTCTGAAGGAAAATAAGGAGTCTCTTGGTGAGACCTTATGTTTGACCTTCACTATGTGAAGATAAATGTGTTAACTTGATTTACATTTTGGGTATCTGTGAGGTTAGAGATTCTCAGAGTTCTTTCCCCAAATGGGGCAACTCTTAGGCAGTGGCTCAAGAACCTGTAAAAATGTGCAGATGGGGCCAATTGTTGGCTAGGGCATACAGTGCTAAGGTGAATGCCTGAAGTTTGGCCAACTGTACTGACACCTGTGTTCCTGTCCTTATCAGAAGCATCATGGTTAAAGGATGAAACGCATAAGCTCTCCAGCAAACTCCATTGTATACAATGCTTGTGGTATCATCCATAAATTGTACAAACCATTGTTTTTCACTCCATTTGATCTCAAGGGGCTCTGCAGGTAGCCACAGGGTCTGGGAGAGGGGTGATGGGTCCCCCAACACCATGGTATTTAGCAAGGAACTAAAGACGGGAGGCTACCCCTTCCTCCAAGTGGTATATGACAGAAGACCCAGGTTTTTCTCCATCTTGTAGCAAAGAGGCCTCAGTAGCCATGCCCAGCTTGTAGTGCCATGGCTTCCATGACCGAAGGCACAATAGGCAGCTGGATATGGAGGGTCACAGGCTGAGGGATTGTGATAGCCTCTATTTCTAAGACAGTCCACTATGCAGCTAGCAATTGTCACTCTAATGGTGTATAAAACAGGTCCAAGGATGACAGTCTCTTGCCTCAGAAACCCTTGGCAACTTATGGCAATGATGGATGTTCCAGAGGGAGAAATGAGGAAGTTGCTAAAACCTCTATGGTGAAGCGCATCTGGGGTCACTAACGATATTGTCGTTAGTGACTAATTGTCATTAGTGTCATATTGCAATTTTGACAGATTCTAGAACCTCTTGTTGGAGGGGACCCCCATTCAAGATGAACTGATTTGTAAGAAATAGCGTAAATGGGCTTCAATAAAATTTATAAAAGAGGAATGTTTTGTCTCCAGAACACAAATGAACCTAAAAGAAGTTGTGGGTGCTGACAGGGTCAATAGCTGCTTTTCTGACAGTGTCAGAGACAGAATGGTCTTCAGTTTAGCAAATAATGTGTAGGTATTGAAAAGTGGTAGGGCCTTGCACTACGTGTGGCACAACAGCCATACCATTTTATGAGCAATTTTGTGAGTATCTGTATTTCCTGAATGAGTGTGTCAAATAAATCTCCTCAGGGAAGGATGTCATCAATGTAACATCACACCTGTACATCTAGAAAAAGCTCGGTACAGTTAAGATCTTGCCAGCAAAGATAGTGTACAATGGCAAAACTGTGGAGGTATCCCATGAGTAGCCAGGTACATGTTTATTGTGTCCCTTCAGAGGTGAAGGCAAACTGAGGCTGAAAGGCTGTTGAAATAGGCAGTGAATAGAACACATTAGCCAAATCTATAATAGCAAAATATTTACCAGTCACAGACCGGATGGAGTCAGTAATGTCAACAATATTGGGTATGGGGACCTTAATGTGTGGGACCACAACATTAGCGTTATGGTAATCCACCATTAGGTGCCATTCATTTGAAGTTTAAGAACAAGCCAAATTGGGTTGTTAATGGAGAAGACATGGGGATAATCACCCTTTCACCAAATAGGCCTTGTATCATGGGTTTCCATATTTGTAGACTTATTCTAATTTACAGTGGGCTGTATTAACCTATTTTAACTGGGGGTATAGTCCTTGGGATCTCACATTGTCAAACGGATTCACATGTGCCAAATACTTAATTTTATCACTCATTGGATCAGAGTGCTCATACCCACTATGGGATATTTTAAGGCAATGAATGGTACAAATGTGAGGAATTCAGGCAAGGCAATAGTTCTGATAGTTAATGTGAGGTATACTTGTTTATCTCTTTCCTGTTCAGGAACTCCCCTTAGATTACAGGAGGCACCTTGATTAAATATAGTGGGATCCTGACATAATAACCAATTTGAGCCCCAGTAGTAATTAAGGTCATGAAGTTTTGCCACCCACTGCATTTCAACACCAATCAGCACCCTTTTATCTTTTTGCTCTTTTAGTAAAATTTTTCCATAAATTCTGGATTCTAATTGGGTCAAATTGTGGATCTCCGTTTCTGTTTGTTTCCTCTGCCTCTCATATCTGTTTTTTTTTTTTCTTTCTTTTACAATCGTGTCACTTAGCAATGGAGATACATTCTGAGAAATGCCATGTGTCATTAGGTGATTTCATCACTGTTGTGCGAATATCACAGAGTGTACTTACACAAACCTAGATGGTATACACTACTACACACCTGTGTTATATGGTATGGACTATTGCTCCTAGACTACACACCAGTACAGCAGGTTACTGTACTGAATACTGTAGGCAATTTTAACACAATTTGTGTATCTGTGTATTTTTGTATCTGTGTATCTAAACCTACCTAAACATAGAAAAGGTACAGTAAAAATATGGTATAAAAGACAAAAATATGGCCAGGCGCGGTGGCTCACGCTTGTAATCCCAGCACTTTGGGAGGCACAGGCAGGCAGATCACTTGAGGCCAAGAGTTCGAGACCAGCCTGGCCAACATGGTGAAACCCCATCTCTATTAAAAATACAAAAATTAGCCGGGCATGGTAGCAGGCATCTGTAATCCCAGCTACTCGGGAGGGCGAGGCAGGAGAAATCACTTGAACCTGGGAGGAGGAGGTTACAGTGAGCAGAGATCGCACCATTGCATTCCAGCCTGGGCTACAAGAGTCAAACTCCATCTCAAAAAAAAAAAAAGACAAAATATGGTACACTTGTACTGGGCACTTACCATGAATAAAGCTTGCAGGACTGGAAGTTGTTCTGGGTGGGTCAGTGAATGAGTGGTGAGTGAATGTGAAGGCCTAGGACATTACTGTACACTAATGTGCACTTTAGTACACTTAGGCTACACTAAAATCATTTTTTAAACATTTCTTTCAATAATAAATTAAGCTTAGCTTTCTATAACTTTTTACTTATAAACTTTTTAAAATTTTGTAAAGCTTTTTGACTCTTTTGTAATGATGTTTAGCTTTTAAAACACAAACACATGGCCGGGCACAGTGGCTCACATCTGTAATCCCAGCACTTTGGGAAGCCGAGATGCGCGGATCACCTGAGGTCAGGAATTCGACACCAGCCTGACCAACATGGAGAAACCCCGTCTCTACTAAAAATACAAAATTAGCCGGGCATGGTGGCACACGCCTAAAATCCCAGAACTCCGGAGGCTGAGGCAGGAGAATCGCTTGAACCCGGGAGGCGGAGGTTACAGTGAGCCGAGATTGCACCGTTGCACTCCAACCTGGGCAACAAAAGCAAAACTCCATCTTAAAAAAAAAAAAAAATTATACAGCTATACAGAAATACTTTCTTTATATTATTATTCTATAAGCTTATTTGTTTAAAATTTTTTATTTCTTAAACTTTTTTCTTAAAAACTAAGATACACACAAATTAGCCTAACCCTACACAGTCAGGATCACCAATATCACTGTCTTCCACCTCCACATCTTGTCCCACCGGAAGTTCTTCAGGGGCAATAACACACATGGAGCTGTCATCTCCTATAACAATGCCTTCTCCTGGAATACCTCCTGAAGGACCTGTCTGTGGCTCTTTTATAGTTAACTTTTTTTTTAATAGGTAGAAAGACTACATTTTAAAATACTGATAAAAATTATGGTATAGTAAATACATAAACATGGTTGTTTTTCATCTTTTTTTTTTGAGACAGGGTCTCACTCTGTCACCCAGGCTGGAGTGCAGTGGCACAATCTTGGGTCACTGCAAGCTCTGCCCCCCAGGTTCAAGCGATTCTCATGCCTCAGCCTCCAGAGTACCTGGGACCACAGGCGTGCGTCACCACGCCCAGCTAATTTCTTTTTTTTTTTTTTTTTTTTTTTAAGAGAGAGGTTTTCACCCTGTTGGCCAGACTGGTCTCAAACTCCTGACTTCAAGTGATCTGCCTGCCTCGGCCTCCCAAAGTGCTGGGATTACAGGCGTGAGCCACCACACCTAGCTGTTTTTTTATCATTATCAAGTATTATGTACCATATATAATGGTACTTGTTCTAGTTTTATATGACTGGTACTACAGGCTTCTTTACACCAACATCACCATAAATACGTGAGTAACGCATTGCACTACAATGTTACAACAGCTATGACATCACTAGATGACAGGAATTTTTCGGCTCCATTATAGTCTTATGAGACCACCGTCCTCATATGTGATCTGTCATTGACCAAAACATCATAATGCTGTACATGACTGTACTTGTTTTTTTGTTGCTGTTGTTACTGGATATATTTCTGCGGGGTCCCTAACCTGCTCATATTTATAAATGTCTTCCTGCAGAAAGTCTCAAATCAGCACTGTCACTGTAAGGGGCCTCCCCAAAGGCAATGGTGGTCATATAAGATTAAAGGACTAGGAGCTTTATGGGTTTGAATTACCCCTTTCTCCATGCTACAGGGGTGCCACTAATGTTTTTCCCTATAATCCTGAAGATCAGGATCTTTGTTGCAACAGAAGCACAGGTGGTGGTGGCGGCAGTGGCAGCGGCAGCGGCGGCGGCGGTAGCAGCAGCGGCAGCGGCAGCAGCAGCAGCAACAGCCATAACAACGGAGGTATTTAAGGGTTCTAGTGAGTCATTTGTGCTTCGAAGTCCAGACCCCAGCAAGCCACATAATAGCTGTTTCTTTTCTCTTTTCTCTCTCTTTTTTTCACTCCCTGATGACTGCTCTCAAGAGCGACCACCCAATGGGCAGTCAGCTGTCAGGGTCAGAGCCTAATTGAGACACAAAACCAGCTAGTCATAGACATGGTTTTCCTCCTGAGCCTAGCATCAGTCACAGCTTTACGTTAAGACACACAAATAGGTCTGGGCTGAGACACATGATCCAGGGCTACTTTAAGGATCCCATACTACTGTTCCTCAATGTCCATTAAATTACCTAAACTTCCAAGTTAGCTAAATCTGTAAGAGAGGTTCTACAGGAGTCAACAATACAACACAGCACAGTACAACTAAAAAACTAGCTACCCTTGCAGGCTCAATGTTTATGCTTGCCATCAGAACCAATTAGTGAGCCAAAGCAATTAAGGAAAGATACTCCCTTCCCCCCATGATGGCTGTCATTATCTGAGCACCAAGCTCACTGTGCCAATTGTTCTTGCCATCCTGCAGAAGAAGGAGGGACCCCACCCAAATTTTGATTCCAGTGTTCAGATTGATAACACCTCACACACAAAGAGGGTATGAAAATGTTTACTACTTACTTACATAAACAATGCATTTCTGGGGACAGCAAGGCAAGTCTCCTAAGCAGGTTAGAAAAAGCAAGGAAAGGAAACTAAATTGAGTTTTTACTGTGGTTAAAGGATGAGGCAGGAGTGAGGGTTCTTACATTCAGGAAGACACTTGCATGGTTTGAATCTCTTGCTAGCTCCAAAGGATGAAGCACTCATGCTTTCTAATTAACTTGCCCAGTTGTGGAGCAGAAAATGAAGAGGGAGAGGTGAGGCTTAAAAGATGTCAGCAGTTAGCAGAACATGGTGGCTCACACCTGTAATCCCAGCACTTTGGGAGGCAGAGGCGGGTGGGTCACCTGAGGTCGGAAGTTCGAGACCAGCCTGACCAACATGGAGAAACCCCGTCTCTATTAAAAATACAAAATTAGCCAGGCATGGTGGCACATGCCTGTAATCCCAGCTACTCAGGAGGCTAAGGCAGGAGAATCGGTTAAACCCGGGAGGTGGAGGCTGTGGTGAGCTGAGATGGCACCATTGCACTCCAGCCTGGGCAACAAGAGTGAAAGTCTGCCTCAAAAAAAAAAAAAAAAAAAGATGTCAGCGGTTAAATATTATATTTTAAAAATTAAGTGAGATTCTTTATTATATATACTCACTAAGATGGTTGTAATTTAAAAAAAAAAAAAAAGGAAAACAACAAGTGTTAGCAAGGATGTGGAGAAATTGGAACCTTATACATTCCTGGTGGGAATTTAAGTGGTAGAGCCATTTTGGAAAAGAGTTTGGCAGTTCTTCAAAGAGTTAAGTATAGAGTTACTATCAATTTCACTCCTAGGCATATACCCCAGAGAAATGAGAAGAACATATGTTTGCACAAAAACGTATACCAGAAGTTCACAGCAGCATTATTCATAATAGCCAAAAAGTAGAAACAACTCATCTGTCCATCTACAATCTGATGAATGAATACATAAAAGGTGGTATACTCATACAATGGAATATCTTTCAGCCATGAAAAGGAATGGAAATACTAAGACATGCTATAATATGGATAAACTTTGAAAACACTATGCTAACTGGAAGAAGTGAGACACAGAAGGCCACATATTTCAAGACTCTAGTTATATGAAATGTTCAGAATAGGGAAATTCAGAGAGACAGAGAGTATATTAGTGGTTGCCATGGGCTGGGAGAATGGGGACACCATTTATAAAACTATTCCTTTCCATTTGCCCCTTTTCCTTAGCTTTACTAGACCACAGAGTAACCTCTAAATTGCCCATTATTTTAGGTACTTTCAAGCTCAAGGCTAAATGGCATATCCAGTCAGCTACTTTACATCGTCTAAATGACCAATGACCACTTGCTCTCTGGTCCCACTCACAGCTTTTTTTTGTCAAAATTCAGTTTTTTATTTATTTATTTATTTATTTATTTTTATTATTATACTTTAAGTTTTAGGGTACATGTGCACTTAATATGGTCTCTTCTAGGAAGCCTTCTCTGAGCCCTTAAGGTAGGTTAGAGGTCCTTCCTCTATGTCTCTACTGCCAGCACCACACCTTGGTCTCTCCTCTAGCATAGCACCGCTGTTGCAATGTCTATGTCTACCTCACTCAGTTGAAAACATGTTTAAGTCAATTACATGTTCTCATTATCCAGCTAGTCATCAGTATGTTTTTAGTTAATTGACTGATTAATTAATTAATGATCTGTCTTTTCTAAGACTTATCAATCCATCCTAAGGCTTGCAATCTATCTTCCCCCCACTGCTCTCCCATCACATCTGACGTTCTCAGACAGTGTATGTTTTCCTTTCTCACCTTCTCTGACTCCCCGCTTGTTCACTCATACTTCTTGCCTTTCAGGACTCTGGGAACATATTATTCTTATAATAAAGAAGACAAATAGAGAGAATGAAAAGTAGTAATCTACTCCCACTTCCCCTTTAATCTACTGTTTCACTGCTCTCCTTCCCACCTGGAATCTTTTCTTTGTGACCTCTAGAATCCCCCTTAAAAAATAAGCTTCCCCACATTCTTCAATGATTTCTAGAACACCCCTTCACCTCCTGGCCACATATGAGATGTGGTTCCTTCCTAAGCCTAGTGATTCTCCCACACTCACGGTCCCAAAATTCCCAACTGGTAAACCATAGCACTCCGGTAAACCACAAACCTGTGTTTAACATACTATTCATGCAGTATCTGTCAGATGGATAGCCTCAGGTGCAACATGCTGTAAAATGTAACAGGTATAGTATAATGTCCAATTGGTAATAAAGAGAGATGACATGTTTTCTGGAACAACTTTGCCTTGTGAGTATGTAAGGGGCTGTAATTATGGTATTAAACGGGTTGACACAAATAGCAGCCAAAGAATGAAGGGAGATGAAGAGCCACAATAAATATGCCACTATTTTTAATGTCATATCTTGAAAATTCAGATTCTTAACACGTATAAAGCAAAATAATAGTAAAAAATAAAGAAGCAGTGAACTAAAACACGAAATAGACATCTCCTAACTGTAACTATGCTTTAACATTAATGAAATAACTAAAAAATATGATCAGGTCCAAGAAGTACATTAAATACTAATTTTAATTAGAATTTGGATTATTTCATTATCAGATTTAAAATAAAAATCAACAACACATACATACAACATTTTACATCTTCATGTCTGTGGTAAATAGACTATTTTGTCAATCTTCTGAAAACTGAAAAACTTACACAATTATGTTCCCATCATAACCAACTACATATATGCCTTTCCTTGACTATATCAAGATTCCCCCCTACTTCTTCCAGTTTGCTGAATGGAACACTCTTCATTACTCTTCTACCTTCATACCTCATTTACTCACCAGTATCAAGCATTATCTTCCCTTTCCAAAGCATTTTGGGATGTCCTCTCTGTGCTCCTATAGCCCATTTGCCTATGCCCAGAGTATGCTCAGTGTCTAAAGAGTATGAACACAGTACTGTTCACTGCTCTTTAGACACTGCGTATTTGCTCATATCCACACTAGAATGAGTCTTCTCCAAGGACAGGAGACCAGTCAGGTTTACCCTCACATTCCCTGTGCCCAGCATAAGACCAGATACATGATAGTAAGCATTCTATAAATTTTGGCTGAATGAATGACTACATAAACAAATGAAAGCCATGTTTAGCGAATTTTCAATAAAATGCTGCAAGAGTCATTCCAATGTATTCACAATAGCAGGGAAAAGAGCACAACTAAAGATCAGGTAGCATGACTTTTAAAATAATAATCCCCTGAGTATTCCCATCTTAGTTTCTAAATACCAAGGTTCACTGAAAAATTACATAGTTCCTTGTAAAATGGCTAATTCCAGGGGTGGGGCAGGGAGTGTACATGATGAGCCTAAAATAGCTTATGCCAAAAAGCAAGGACGCCAACAAAGACTAACGAGATAATGTGAAAAAAAACATAGAAGTGAAAACAGAAGGGGCTCCTAATTTATAAGATGACACTGTTTAAGCATTAAAAAATGACCACAATGGGTTGATACACTTAAAATACATAAAAATCCATGAATTCTTAATGATATTAAAGAAAACAGTGGCGGTTGCTAAGAAACCAACTCATTACTATGAACACTGATAAATGAAAAAAAGCAGCAGCGGCAGCATCATTTATCTTGATTATTATGAAATATACTTCAGGACAAAAAATAGCTGATAAGGAAAAAGTCTTCTTTATAAAGTAATTCCAGTTAATAATGCAGAAAGATTGAAAGAATTAAATATCACCATTTTTCAACCTCTACAGAAATAATGAATCTAGGCAATTATCATCAATGGCTGCTAAAACCAACAGAAGAAAGGTTGGTGGGAAAAGCTACAATGGAGAGATCAGCCCGACAAACACCCTGAAATGACAAATCAATCCCAGCATCAATTAAAAAAAAGATAAAATTAGACATGATAAAATACAATAGAAAGTAAACAGCACTGCCTAAAATGAGTCTTTCTCTTAAAAAATAATCAAAATTGAATCTAATCAAGCCTCTAGCTCTAAATGTCAGTAAATAGGAAACACGAGGATGAGAAAACAAAATAAATGCCACCTCAAGGAAGCAATCATCTAAATCCAGATGAGACAGTCTATAGAACTAATGACGTAGTTTCTTGAATTAATCAACGATCTTTCAAAAAGGAGACTAAGGGGCCGGGCGCGGTGGCTCACGCCTGTAATTAATCCCAGCACTCTGGGAGGCAGAGGCGGGTGGATCACAAAGTCAGGAGGTCGAGACCATCCTGGCTAACACAGTGAAACCCCGTCTCTACTAAAAATACAAAAAATTAGCCAGGCATGGTGGCAGGGGCCTGTAGTCCCAGCTACTCGGGAGCCTGAGGCAGAAGAATGGCGTGAACCCGGCAGGCGGAGATTGCAGTGAGCAGAGATCGCGCCACTGCACTCTAGCCTGGGCGACAGAGCGAGACTCCGTCTCAAAAAAAAAATAAAATAAAATAAAATAAAAAGGGGACTATGCAAGGGCTTTATAAGGCTTAAGAGAAAAACATCCATTGGCAATAAATGGTCCTTGTTTGGATACTGACTTAACAAAGCTACTGTATAACTATAACTTTAAGACAATTCACCAGGCACAGAGCAAGACTCCGTCTCAAAAAAGAGAAAAAAGAAAGAAATTATTATTTATCTTACTAAGTATAATAATGACGTGGTGGTTACTTAATGCACCTATGAATTAGAGATACATACTGAGTTATTCACCTGTGTAATGACATATCTGGGATGTGGAAAAAAATGGGTGAGAATAGATAAAACAAAACTTGCCAGTTTTGGCAAAATGTTGTTAATTATTGAAGCTGGGGAATGGATACATTCATGTTTATTTTACTATTTTTTTTTCTAAGGCAGGGTCTCACTCTGTCGCCCAGGCTGGAGTGCACTGGTGCAATCACAGCTGTCTTCAGCCTCAAACTCCCCAGCTCAAGCGATCCTCCCCCCTCAGCCTCCCAAGTAGCTGGGACTACAAGCACATGCCACCATGTCCAGCTAATTTTTAAATTTTTTGTGGAGATGGGGTCTCACTTTGTTGCCCAGGCTGGTCTAAAACTCCTGGGCTCAAGTTGTCCTCCCACCTCGGCCTCCCAAAGTGCTGGGATTACAGGGGTGAGTCACCATGCACAGCCTATTTTACTATTTTCTACTTTGAATATATTTGAAAATGTATGTAACAAAAGAGAAAAGACACAGAAGCCAATGTGAATGTGAATGGGCTCCCACTTGACATGATTGGACAGTTGGAACAACAGAAGAAATAATGACTGCAATGGATTGAAAAGTACTAAATATATAAATATTCACAAGTTCAACAAAGGAGAGAAAATAACACCAATAAAATCCCCAAAAACTTAACAATACATTAATCTAGGTTGGATGATAGTTTTAAATACCAGCTTACAAAGGCTTATTGAGGAAAATAAATTTGAAAAGATTAGGTATTTGTTGATATTAGGGAATCATTAATTTTCCTTAGTGAGATAATGGTAATTAATTACTACAAAGTAATGCTAATATTAGGAGATGAATGCTGAGATATTTAAGGGTGACGTGCCATGATATCTGCTCCCTAAACTGATCTGTTAGATGGTATCTCAATCAGAATGCCAAGAAGAATGTTTGTAGAAATTGACTAGCTCTAAAACGTATAAGGAAAAAGACCAGGAATAACCAAGGCATTATTGAAGAAAAAGAACAAAAGTGTAAGACTCACATAACCATACATAAGGCATGTTGTGAAGTTACATTAATTAAGACAGTGGTATTCATACAAGGATAGACAAACCAAACTGAACAGAATTCAGAACTATATCAAATTATTGATTTATATATTTGAGTTAATGAAAAGGATGGCACTACAAAAGGGAAAGAATGATCTTTTCAATAAGTGGTTTGGGGTTGACTGAATGTCACTTCAACAACAAAAAAAGGGCCTTTACATATACCCATACTGACAATATACACAAAAATCAATTACAGATTATAAACATAAATATGAAAGGTTAAACAATAACACAGCCTAGGAAACTATCTTCATGGCCTTGGGAAATATAAAAGTTTCCTAATCAGTACAAAGAAGCACTAACCATAAATGAAAAAAAATAATGAACGGAATGATATTAGAATTCAGATATTCAGTTCATCAAAAGACACCATGAAGAGACTGAAGATACAAGCCACTGAGATTTGTAATACATATATCTGACAAAGCATTCACATCCTTAATATAGAAAGAGCTCCTATAAATCAATAAAAAAAAGTTAGCCCAGGAGAAAAAGTAGTCAAAAGATTTGAACAGGCACCTCATAAAAAATATCCAAAAGACTAACAAACTTATGGAAAGGTCCATCATCAGAGAAATGCGAAATAAAACCACAGTGAGATACCATTCATAACCATTAGAATAGCTACCAAGACAAAGGCAAGTGTTGGCTATATTCTAGAGCAACTTCCACTCTGAAAAATTTCTGGCCAGGTGCAGTGGCTCAGGCCTGTAATCCCAGCACTTTGGGAGGTGGAGGCTGGAGAATCACGAGGTCAGGAGTTCGAGACCAGCCTGGCCAACATGGTGAAACCCCATCTCTACTAAAAATACAAAAAATTAGCTGGGCGTAGTGGTGGTCACCTGTAATCCCAGCTACTCGGGAGGCTGAGGCAGAAGAATCACTTGAACCCGGGAGGCGAAGGTTGCAGTGAGCTGAGATCACGCCACTGCACTCCAACCTGGGCGACAGAGCAAGACTTTGTCTCAAAAAAAAAAAAAAATTATGTTAGGAGTCTTCTCGTACAATCACCTTGGAAAGCTGGCTGGCAGTATTTACTAAAATTAATCTTATACATAACCTGTGATTCAGCAATTCTACTCTTAGGTATATGTCCAACAGAAATGTGTGAATATATCACCAAAAGACATGTACTAGAATGCTCACAATACTATTTGCAAGCTGAAAATGAAAACAACAAAAATGTCATCTACAATAAAAGGATAACTACATTGTGGTACATTCATACAATGGAATAGCAATGAAAATAGAGGAATTACTACTACACTCAATAATATGGATGAATCTCAAAAACAAATCCTCAAGCCAAAAAATTAACACAAACTGTGTTACTTTTTAAAGTTTAAAAACAGACAAAATTATTATTATACAATGACAGAGGACAGGATTGTGATTAATTTGGAATAGTAACAAATAAGGGATACATTTAGGGGCTTTCAAAATTTCCCGATCTTGATGCTGGTTACACAGCCGAGTTCACTTTGTGAGAATGCTTTGAGCTGGCCGGGCGCGGTGGCTCACGCCTGTAATCCCAGCACTTTGGGAGGCCCAGGCGGGTGGATCACGAGGTCAGGAGTTCGAGACCAGCTTGGCCAACATGGTGAAACCCCGTCTCTACTAAAAGTAAAAAAGTTAGCCAGGCATGGTGGCATGTGCCTGTAATCCCAGCTACTCGGGAGCCTGAGGCAGGAGAGTCGTTGGAACCCAGGAGGTGGAGGTTGCAGTGAGCCAAGATTTCACCACTGCACTCCAGCCTGGGGGACAGAGCAAGACTCCATCAAAAAAAAAAAAAAAAAAAAAAAAAAAAGAAAAGAAAAGAAAATGCTTTGAGCTGTACACTTAGGACAATGTGCACTTTTCTGCATGTATTTACATTTACTTAAAATAATGCCTGCAAGTGTCAAATGGTTCAGCCAAAATAGATAAAAAAATAGATAGATGGATGGATAAATGGATGGATGGACGGATGGACGGATGGATGGATGGATGGATGCATGGAGAAAGAGAGTGAGTAATAGAGAGAGTGAGCTAATATGGCAAAGGTTAACAGTTGTTGAATCTAGGTCCAGAATATAAAAGTTTTCATTGTACTCTTCTTTCAACTTCTGCTTGTTTAATTTTTTATTTAAAAATATTCTGGTAAAAAGAGGCATTATTCATGCCTCTCAGAGCTTAATATTTATAATTAGGGAGTAATTCAAGCACCTGATATGATCTAAGTTGTGAAAGAAGCACAAAAAATAAAATTTCTATACCCGGATTGTCTTATAAAATAATAAAATATTCTGTATATTTTTTATTTCTCATTAAGAAACAGATAGAGAGAACCAGACCAGGACTGAGTGCCTGAAAAACCTTAACTCCATAAACTGTACCACAGTTTAGCAAGTTACTACATACCTCCTAGTCTTGGTTTTAGCATTAGTAAAATGACAATGATAATACTGACCTTAGAGAATAGTGTTGAACATTAGGGGGAAAGCCATATTTAAAAGTTTTATCTTTTATAAACAAGCACTGAATTCATTTCACTTTACCGTACCAAATATTTATGGACAACATATTATGAACACAAAGTGGTAAGAGCAGCGAGAGAGATAATCAAATATCCTGTAGGATAGCACACAATGCACCAGCAATCAACAAACTGAGGATGAGGTGAATATGGAGATAGTGATATGTCTTCCTAAAGAGGCTGACAAGTCGCCTAAATGGTAGCAAGAAGCTAGCCAGGAGGAAGAGAATATGAGAAATTAATGTGAATGGATCAGGTTATTTGAGTATGCAGAGCGTTGAATTAATGCTATGCAGAAAAGTGACCACTAGGGGAATGGGAAGGTGGCCGCGGGTTAGGAAACAGAGTGAACAAATGCAAAGACTATGACATAAATCCTGTTTTCCCATTAATATCTGCATAGTGTGTGCCCTCAGTTCCTTCAGGTTCCTGCTCAAATATCACCTTACCAGTGAAGCCTTCCTGCCCATCCTATCTAAAATAGTAGAACCCGTCCACATTACAACCTATTACATATTTATTTCTTTTTTTGTTTTTTTCTTTTTTATTTCTTCATGTATTTTTTTGTTTCGTTCATTTAACACCAGTGCCACTTGCCAATATATATTGTTTATATATTAAGTTATTGTCTGTCTCCCAGCTATAGTTTAAAAGACTTTGTTTTTGTTATCCACTGTTGTATCTCCAGTGCTGAGAACACTGTCTGGCAAATAAAAATTATTCAATAAAAAATTATTGAATGAATGGATGGATGCACAGTGGGTTGAAACAAGTGTGATATTTAAATGCTGTGTAATAATGATTTGAATAGAGTATAAAGAGACATCAGCAATACTCTTTCCTAAGTGTTTTGGTGTCACAAAAGCTCTGCCTCATTGTTTATTCTTAAATAAAAACTATACATGGCCTAGAAAAGATAATCACCCCTTAGTCTGGCAAGCATAACACACAGGAAGGAGTCCACTGCTTATTCAAAGAGAACTTTGGTTAAATTCCTCGTTAGATCCTGATAGAGCCTGGAAAACTCTGATTCTCAGCATAAATTTAATGATCATTTCGGTACTGTGATTATTATTTAATAACTAATGTTCTCACAAGATAAATTTGACATGGTAACAAATGTAATAGAAAAGTACATTTCACATTGCAACAAATAGATTGTGTAATACTTGCAAAGCTCTCAGAAAAAGTCTTCGTCTGCAAAATGTCAGCTTGCTGTTTAATGTTGCTATCAGAGACCAGAAAAGAAATTGCATAATAAACTCAACTCATATAAAGTAATAAATTTGTGACTGGATGCCATTCCTGTCAACCATTTCACTGCTAAGAGAAGTTTTACAGGGGATGGGAAAGCTTACGCTGAAGCTGAAACCAGGTTACAGGTATAATCCACTATGTTTGCCCCCCAAAATCTGAGGATTCAATTCTATGGCAACATAAAAAAATAAATGCAATGTGTAGAAGACTGAAACCTGTGCAATAGTATCTAAATGATGTGTAATTTTGTTTAGAGTTAAAAAAAAAAAAAAAAAAGAACATCATTTGGACAAGTGCCTATGCCTCTTAGGGCTCTAAGGTTTCTGCTTCTTTGCTTATACTTTAAAAGAACCAAAAAAAAAAAAAAAAAAAAGCCTTGACCTTGAAGTCACACCTACTGTTGCAAAGTACGTAATTTACTGGTCTCCGCGGGAGGGGAACAGGAAAGACCAAAGGCCAGCAGGGGGAGTAAAACAGAGGGTAGGAAGGGGCTCGCAAAGAGTCGCAGGTTAACAGGATGGGGGGCAGAAGGCGGAGGTGAGAGGTAGGAGGTAGGAGTGACCTGTGGTAGAGGGAATGACGCTGGCTCAGACCAGAGAAGAGGATACGGGATAAAGAGGAGAGGTGAAGCATGACCAGGAGTCAAGCGGTTAAAGGGACCACCAGAGTGAGGAGGTGAGGCAGGAGCGGGCCCCCCATCTCCGGAGGAGAAGGGAGGAGATAGCGAGGCGATCAGAACCACAGGCGTCAGAAGCATCCTTCATACAACGCACGCGGGGATGAATTCTCCTTTCCACCCCACGTTGAGGCACAAAAGGAGGTTTCCCTGGAGTGTATGGGGATTTATTTGTGAGAATTACCAAGTCCCCTTCTTTACACTCACCTTGACGAAGAAGGCAGCAACGATGGCGTGACCGGAAGTGCTGTCCTCTTTTGTTTGGCGGAAGCTTTAGCTTCTGCAGCCGCTACCCCCTCCTTCACTTCAGGCAACTTCCTGTGCCTCTCTAGCAAGCTCTGCAATGCTCTATCTCATTGACTCCCTCCCTAGATCAACACCTACGTTGTGATGTAAACCGGCAGGGAGAGAGAATCACTAACTTTTTACAAATCCTAATTCTTGTCGTGCCAGGAGCTGCAGTATCTCTGCCAAATCCCTCATGTACAATTCGCCACCTCTCCTTGTTGATTCGCCTTAGAAATATCTCCCTTCATCTTAGTCCCTTAACTCAGGCCTCATTTTCTCTGTCTTGGATGTCTACAGTTACATATTTACCAAACTGATTTACTGTTTTCTGGCACACCACTTTTAAAAAGTTCATTTGTATTAGCGGTATACTTCAATTTCAAGCTTTTTACAAAAATCTTCAATCTAAATCATTTTTGCTTTGAGATCGTATCCAGAGTTACATACCATATTCAAATATCCAAAGAATAAACGTGGACTCATTTAGAAAGCATTCTTGCATTATTTTACATACTCCCCAAGAAAAGGAAGAAAATGAAAACTGAAAAAAAATGTTTCAATAATAAAAATCCGTACTCTGGTTAAATACTTTCAGAACAAGTTTAGAACTGAATTATTTATTGCCACTACCTCCAGAAAGTTCTCCTGGCCCCCAAATCTGCGCCACAATTCTCACCACAGGGGAGGATCTCTTGTGGTTATTTTTAGTCAGTCCACAAGTATATACTGAGCACCTACCATGTCCCAAATACTATGCTACACCCAGAGACACTACACTAGGATCCCAGAGCCTAGAGCTAAAGATGACATTTAAACACTTAAGAGCCTAGCATAAAATACGTGTTTATCAATGTTTGTTAAATGAATAAATGACCAAAATGTGGTCAGAGCAAAGAAGGAAACTAGCAATAAGGTCGGTCCTTAGTTTTGCTGGTACTTTTACAATTTATTTCAACAATTTGACTCACGTTCCCCACTAAGCACTGCTTTAGCTGCATCCCACCAATCTTTATATTTTGTATTTTGATATTTTTGTATATTGATTCTAATTTAGTGCAAAATGATCTCTAATTTTACCTTTGTAGTTCCTCCTTTTTTTTTTTTTTTTGAGACAGGGTTTCACTCTGTTGTCCAGGCTGGAGTGCAGTGGCATGATAATAGTTCACTATAACCTCAAACTCCTAAGCTCAAGTGATCCTCCTGCTTCAGTCTCCCGAGTAGCTAGACTACAGAAGCACACCACCATGTCCAGCTAATCTTTTTTTATTTTTTGTAGAGATGGGGTCTTGCTTTGTTACCTAGGCTGGTCTTGAACTCTTGGGCTCAAGCAATTCTCCTGCCTCAGCCTCCCAAAGTGCCGGGATTACAGGCATGAGCCACTGTCTCCAGTGTGTACTTCCTCTTTGACCCATGGGTTCTTTAGAAATGCATGTTTAATTTCCAAGTATTTGGAGATTTTCCTGTTATTTTCCACTATTGTTTTTTTAATTCCATTATGATCAGCAAACTTACAATATATGATTTCAGTTCTTTTACATTTGTTAAATTTTGTCTTATGACTGAAGATATGGTCAATTTGGTGAATGTTCCATGTACACTTGAAAAGAATGTGAATATGCATTCTCCTGTTGTTGAGTGAAATGCTCTATAAATATCAGCTAGAGATAATTGATAATATTCAGTTATTCTGTATCCTTGGTTATTTACTATGTAAAATATTATATTAATTATTGAGAGAGGAGTGTTTATGTCCCTGATTATATTTGTGAATTTGTCTATTTGTTCTTTCAGCCTCTGAGATTTTGCTTTATATATGAGGGGTCTTCAAACTGTTCATGGAAATACATATTATAAAAAAAACTATGCCTGGATTTCAAAAATTTTTTGCACCAAAATAAACACTAACATGTCCGAACAGGATCTAGCTTGAAGCGCTATGAAGGATAGGACATCAGTTTGAACAGAGCGCCTGTGAGAGTAACATGAATTCTGCTACAATTGAAACAAGAAAAACCTCATATTTATGGTGAAGCTGGGTGGATGCATGGTGAAATCATTGATGTTTTATGAAAAGTTTACAGAGACAATGCCCAAAGAAATCAGCAGTTTATATATTTTTTTGTAGTTTTAGTAGAGATGGGGTTTCACCACATTGGCCAGGCTGTTCTCAAACTCCAAGCTTCAAGTGATCTTCCTGACTTAGCCTCCCAAAGTGCTGGGATTACGGGTGCACACATGTAATCCCAGCTACTCAGGAGGGTGAGGCACAAGAATCACTTGAACCCAGGAGGCAGAGGGTGCAGTGAGCCAAGATTGTGCCACTGCACTCCAGCCTGAGCAACAGAGAAAGACTCTCAACAAAAAAAAGAAAGAAAGAAAGAAAGAAAGAAAGAAAGAAAGAAAGAAAGAAAGAAAAAAGAAAAGAAAATTTAAAAAATGAAATCAGCAGTTTACAAATGGATAACCTGTTTTAAGAAGGGATGAAGGCCAGGTGTGGTGGCTCACATCTATAATCCCAGCACTTTGATAGGCCAAGGAGGGAAGATTGCTTGAACCTAGAAGTTTGAGACTAGCCTAGGCAACATAGTGAGACGCCATCTCTACAAAAAATTTTAAAACTAGCCAGGTGTGTTGGTGTGCACCTCTAATCCCAGCTACCCAGGAGGCTGAGGTGGGAGGATCACTTGAGCCAGGGAGGTCGAGGCTGCAGTGAGACATAATCACAAAAACTGCACTCCACCCTGTGCAGTGCCAGGGTGTCAGGTGACAGAGTGAGACCCTGTCTCAAAAAAAAAAAAAAAAAGAAGGAATGAGACAATGTTGAAGAGGAAGCTCACAGCAGCAGACTATCCACATAAATTTGTGAGGAAGAGATTCAACTTGTTTGTGCCCTAATTGAAGGGAACTGATGAGTAACAGCAGAAACAATAGCCAACACCATACACATCTCAACTGGTTCAGTTTACTCAATTCTGACTGAAAAAATAAAGTTGAGCTAACTGTCCACTCAATGGGTGCCAAAACCATTGTGCCCAGATCGGCAGCAGATAAAGAGGAGAGCTTTCAATGGAAATTTTACACAAGTGGGATCAAGATCCTGAAGCCTTTCTTCGAAGAATTATAACAGAAAATGAAACGTGGCTTTACCAGTAAGATCCTGAAAACAAAGCACAATCACAGTAATGGGTACAAAGAGGTGGCAGTGGTCTAGTCAAAGGAAAAGTAGACTGGTCAAGAGCAAAGGTAAAGGAAACAGTTTTTTGGTATACTTGAGGCATTTTGCTTGTTGACTTTCTGGAGGGCTAAAGAAAAGTAACATCTGTTTATTATGAGAGTGTTTTGAGGAAGTTAGCCAAAGCTTAAGCAGAAAAACACCCAGAAAAGCTTCACATAAACAGTGCTCCTGTTCAGTCCTCTAATCAAACAAAAGCAATTTTGAGAGAGTTTTGATGGGAAATCATTAGGCATCAACCATGCAGTCCTGATTTGGCTCTTTCAGTCTTCTTTTTGTTTCCTAATCTTAAAAAAATCTTTAAAAGGTGCTTGTTTCTCTTCGATTAATAATGTAAAAAACAAACAAACAAACAAACAAAAACCTACATTAACATGGTTAAATTTCCAGGCCCTTCAGTTCTTTAGATATGGACTAAATGGCTGGAATCTTTGCTTACAAAAGTGTTTTGAACTTGATGGAGCTAATGTTGAGAAATAAAGTTTATAGTTTTTATTTTTATCTTTTAATTATATTTTCCCACAAACTTTTTGAAGTCCCCTCGTATTTTGAAACTCTTTTGTTAGTGTACGCACATGTAGGAAGGTTATGTCTTCTTGGTGAATGGAACCTTTTTATTATTATATAATGCCCTTCTTTATTCCTGGGAATTATCTTTGCTCTGGAGTATAATTTGTCTGATATTAATATAACCACTCCAGCTTTCTTTTCTTTTCTTTTCTTTTTTTTTCTGAAGACAGGGTCTTACCTTGTTGCCCAGACTGGAGTGCAGTGTTGCAATCACAGCTCACTGCAGCCTCAAACTCCCAGGCTCAAGTGATCCTCTGGCCTCAGCTTCCTGAGTAGCTGGGACCACAGGTGTGCACCATGATGCCCAGCTAATTTGTTTTATTTTTTTTTGGTAGAGACAGGGGTTTGGCATGTTGCCAGGCTGGTCTCAAACTCCTGGGCTCAAGCTATTGGCCCTCCTCAGCCTCCTAAAGTGCTGGGATTGCAGACATGAGCCACTGCACCTGGCCCTCTATCTTTCTTTTGATTACTGCTTTCATGATATACCTTTCCATCTTTTTACTTTTAGGCTACTGATGTGAATTTCTTGTAAGCATACTTAGAAAACCTTTTTCTCCTCCAAGATTATGAACAGCTCTCCTGTTACGTCTAATGTATCAATGTTTGAATTTAAATATTTGATCCATTAGGAATTTATTCTAGATGACATATGAGGGAAAATCCCATTTTATATTTTTTTCTTCCAGGTGGTTTACTTTCTTTTTCCAAAAACATATTTTGACTGAATCTATTTTTTCCCTACTGATATGAGCAGCTAATGCAAATAACCTAAATTTATTTATCCTGCAGCTTTTTGTTTTGCCTTCCCTTTTACTGATTTCTTACTGAGTTTCACTCTACTTAATTTGAAGATATCCATTAATCTCAGCTTTTGTATGAATAAAAACACAGACTTCCAGAAAGGAAGTATCAGGTGTTCTACAGACCATCCGCACAGGGAAACAACCATAACTGCTAAAAATTATTTTTAAAACAACCATATAAAGTCTCAGAAAATTTCTCTAAAGGCATAGAACAAATGAAGAAACATTTATTCAAAAAATATAAATGTCAGTAAGAACAGTGAAAGTCTGCGGCACTTGAGCCATGACCTACTCAATCCCTCCCCCATCAAAATCAGCGTGATTAAAGCTATCATTTGGGTGGGTATGGCCAAGAAAATATAGCCTCCTCTTCCCCAGTCTCCTGGTTAAGGGCTATTATTTCTCCCTTGGGGTGAGCAGGCCACCAGTATTAGTATTTTTCATCACCTCCAGCTTTATGTTGCAGAGTCTAAATTCAAAGTGAGTGCAGCTGAGAGGCCCAGGGTGCCCTTCCTCTACCTAGCCACCATTTATAGGGTGGAAACTCTATGTCAGGAATGGCAGGCCAAAAATACTGGAGTTTTAATATCCCTCGTTCAAGTTTGCTCATAGAGTGCAGGTTCCACAGTGGCAGAGACAAGCCAAGAAGACCAGAGGGTGCTGCCTCTACCCAGTGCTCAACTCATAAAGTAGGGCTTTCACTCTGAGAGAAGCAGTCCACTGTTTCTACTCCAAGCCCCAGAGCAGTGGTGCAGTGATTTTGCCCAGGAGGGAGACTGGCCATAAGAAGAGAGCTTCAAAGCTCTCTGCAATAAAACTGAATTTATTTGGAACAGAGTGTGGTAAGTTCAAGCACAAGCACAATCTCAAAAACAATGAAGTTTTTAGTGGTGAGCATTGAGAACAGTCTGGTAGATCCATGAGAGAAGCAAAATAAACCACAAGCCAGGTAGTTTTCCAGGGAGGATCAGAGAAAGAGACAGCTAACAAGAGTCCTCCTAGAGTCAGAAGGAACTTCAGTTTGACTTCAAAAACTATTCCTGCAAAGGGGTCAAATTTAATGGATCAGACTGTTGAGTAATTTATGCCCAAGGGTGTTATCCAAAACAATAGAGCAAATCAGCCGGCAATTAGTGGAGCCTAATAGCAGGGAATGATACTAACAGAGGCAGACAGCGTAACAGATCATGAAAAAAGACAATATGTTTTACAAAAAAATGATGAGACATGCAAACAAACAGAAGTGTCTGACCCATGCACAGGAATTAGAAGGAGGCAACAGAAATTGCCGGTGGGATGGCCTAGATGTCAGATATAACAGAAAAAATGTTTAATCAGCCTTTATGCATACATACAAAGAACCATGGGAAACCACGCTTAAAGAAGGAAAGGAGGTATGTTGACAAATAGAGAATATTAGTAAAGATATAGAAATTATAAAACAGAAAAATTAAAATTTTGGAGTTGAAAAGTGTAAGTGAAAAATTCCTGGGAGGAGCTCAATAACAGACCTGGGCAGGCAGAAGGAAGAATCAACAAACTTGAAGATAAATCAATTAAGATTCACCAGTCTGAGGCACAGAGAGAAGAAGAAATGAAGAAAAATGAACAGAGCCCCAGAAAAAGGCAGCACACCATTATGCCCACAAATATACACATAACAGATGTACAATAAGGAGAGAGGAGAGAAAAGGGAGCAGGAAAAAAGTATTCAAAGAAATAATGACTGATAAAATTACAAAATGTGATTTTAAAAATTATATATCCAATAAGTTCAGTAAACTTCAAGTATGATAAACGCAAGAACCATACACAGAAAAATGCTGAAAGCCAAAGACAGAGATAATATTGAAAGGAAGAAGAGAAAAACAACTCATCAACTACAATGGAGCCCCACTAATATTACCAACTGACTTCTCTTTAGAAATAATGGAGACCACAAGATAGTGGGATGACGTATTCAAAGTGCTGAAAGAAAAAAAATGTCAACATAGAATCTTACATTCAGAAAAACTATCTTTTAAAATGAAGACAGCTGTCCACGGTGGTTCATGACTGTAATCCTAACATTTTGGGAGGCCAATGCAGGAGGACCGCTTAAGCCCAGGAGTTTGAGACCAGCCTGGGCAACATAGGGAGACCCCATGTCTATGAAAAACTTAAAAATTAGCCAGTGGCTAATTTAGTGGCACATGCCTGTGGTCCCACTTACTCAGGATGCTGAGGCCGGAGGATTGTTTGAGCCTGGGAGGTGAAGGCTGCAGTGAGCTGTGATTGCACCACTGCACTACAGCCTGGGTGACAGAGTGAGACCCTGTCTCAAAAAAATAATGATTAAAAAATAAAAAACTTACATGAAGGCAAAATAAATACATTCACAGATTTAAAAACTGTAAACACTTATTGCTGGTAGATAAATCTAACAATAAATGTAATAAAGAAACTTCTTCAGCCTAAAAGCACAGAGCGCACAGAATCCACACACACAAAGTAAATACTGGTAAAGGAAACTATATAATAATAAAAATGGCTATGTAAATCTATATTTTTTCTCTGTTCTCTTAACTCATTTAACAACAATTATATAAAAATGCGTACAATTTTATTGTTGGGACTATAACATTCATAAATACAATATAATTTCCAATAACATCACATGGGAGGGGATGGGAGCAAAGCTTATTGGAGTAAAGACACAGGTGGCAATTCAAATTCACATTAACAAATAGGAGTCAGAAATGATAAATTAAAAGGTTAATGTGACAAACACCATAAATATATAGTTGCTCACCTTTCATCTCTCAGCTTCTTTACAAGGCCCGAGAGTATGTACAGTAATAATCATAATAAAGTATTATTGGGTTTGTAATACATATGGATATGATATGTATACAAATAATACTACAAAAATCAGGAAGGGGGAACAGAGCTATATAGGAGTAACAATTCTATCAGAAATTCAGGAAAAAATGGCGCTGATTTTAAAATAAAGTTTTTGATTTCTTGTCTAGGCAGGAAAGAGGGAAAAGAGGAAGTAAGCCATTACTTTTTCCACAGCACCATGCTGCTTTTCGTGATCTGAGTCATAATCATAATCCATTAGCATCACTTACTTTCTGTAGCATCTATTGGTATTCTATGTGAATAATAAACTGGTAACAGTGAGATCAGGGTGGGTTTCAATGTTAAACTGGGAACATCTAAATACTTAGGCCCAATATTCTTGGACAAAAATACTCACTCTGTAATGACCATCTGTTGGGAAAAAAAAATGAATCTCTGAAATGGGACTACTTCTGGAAGATGGAGATTGATAGTAGGGGTGGCAGCAGTAAAATTACTCAGATTTATCCTGATTCTAGCATAAGTTTCCTCAAGGTCAAAACAAAAGAATAAGATAGCTTTCAATAAGACAGAGTAGTGAGGTAGCCTGCTAGGGGTGCTTGAAAATGTTAATATCTTGATCCAGATGGTGATTGCACAGATACAGAAATAATTGAGCTATACACACATGAGTAGTACATATTATTGCATATAAAATACCTCAATTAAAAAATTATTTATTGTTCTGTTATGGACAACATGGAATAAGAAGTAACAGATTTACCCTTATAACTGAAATAACCAAAATATGTTTCAGCTATAGGAAACAGTTTCCAAGACATTGGAGATCCAGAAATCCAGAAATGAAGGATAGTGAGCCCTGAATGATGGGGGTGGGGGAAATGAGGTGAGCCCAAAGACTGTCCCAATTTTTGCCTTGAAATATTTTCTGGGGTATGGTACATCAAGAAGATGGAGCTGAGCATCCAGGAAGACTGAGGTGAACAGACTTTGCAGGAGAAAGGATCAGAGAGGAGAGAGCTGTAGATAGCTAGATATCTACAGAGATTTTCCTCCAACATTCAACTGAGGACTGATGAGAGCATGCATGTGAGGAAAGTACCCAAGACCAGATAGAGAATCACCCAAAAAGATTAGACCTAACAGTGTCTGCGGTGAATGAAGGGGCAAAAATAATGGTGTTCTCACCAGCTACACTAGATAACCTCAAAATTCATGGAGCATTGGGTAGAGTGCACAGAAGGATAGCTTCAGTAGTGGAAAATAATTAGGCCTAAAATGAACACCATTTCAGTCCTGTAACAAAATTTAAAAGTATGAACCAAAAGGGTCAAACTAAATACCTTAACTATGTTTCAGAACTATGTTAAGAATATTTATGTAACTACAGAAACAGTCAGCACCAAACAAGGTACACTCTACAATGTCTATCTAATATCCAATTAAAAATTATGAACAATGAAAAAAAGCATAGAAATACGAGCTATATTGAGAGAAAAAACAAACAATTGAAATTGAGCCACGGCTAATAGAGACATTAGAATTGGCAGACAAGGACATTTAAGTAGACATTATAACTATGTTCCATATGTTCAAAAAGTTACGTAGAGACATGGAAGATATGAAAAATACCAAAATAGATATTCTGGAAGTGAAAACTAAAATTTTTAAGATGAAAAACATGATGATGGAAATTAACGGCAGATTAGATATGCAGAAGAACATTGTAGTGTACGTGACGGCATAGCAATGTAAACTATCCAAAATAAAACACAGGGACAAAATGAATTCTAAGAAATTAAAAGACCATCAGTGAAAAGTGGGACAACTTCAACTGACTAATAGATGGGTCATTGGAGTCTCTAAAAGATAGAGTGGGAGGAGATAGAAAAAAATTAAAGCAATAATAACTGAAAATTTCCAAATTTGATGAAAACTATAAATCTGCAGAACTAATAAGATAAATGAATCCCAAGAACAAGAAAAATGAAGAAAGCTACACCAATGCACATTATAATCACATTGCTTAAAATCAGTGAAAAAGAGAAAATCTTAGAGGCAGCTAGAGATAAGAAGCATGTTATATACCGAGGAATATAGATAACAATCACATTGAATTTCTCTCTTCTTTTTTTTTTTTTTTTTTTGAGACAGTCTCACTCTGTCACCCAGGCTGGAGTGCAGTGGCATGATCTCTGCTCACTGCAACCTCCATCTCCCAGGTTCAAGCGATTCTCCTGCCTCAGCTTCCCAAGTACAGGATTACAGGCGCCCACCACCACACCCGGCTAATTTTTGTATTTTTAGTAGAGACGGGATTTCATCATGTTGACCAGGCTGGTCCCGAACTCCTGACCTCAGGGGATCCACCCTCCTCGGCCTCCCAAAGTGCTGGGATTACAGACATGAGCCACCGCGCCCAGCCGACATTGGATTTCTAATTGGAAATAATGCAAACGAGAAGACAATGGAGAAACACCTTTAATATACTGAAAGAATAAAATGTCAAAGTAAAATTCTGTAGAGGATCTTTCAAAACGAAGGTAAAATAAAGACATTTCCCAGACATAGAAAAGTTGAAATAATCCATTACTAGCAGAACTGTACTACAAGAAATGTTAAAGTCTTTCATGCAGAAGGAAAATGATACTAGGTGGAAATATGTATCTACAGAAAGGAATTAAGAGGGCCAGAAATGGTAGTGAAAAGGATAAATATATTTTTTAAAATCCTCATTATTTAAAGCCTTTAAAATGAAATTTGACTAATCACTACAATAACAAAACAAAAAGTTACAAGTAATGAACTGACAAAGGAGATAAAATAGAATCAGAAAAATGCTTGACTAGGCCAGGCGCGGTGGCTCATGCTTGTAATCTCAGCACTTGCGGAGGCCGAGGCAGGCGGATCACGAGGTCAGGAGTTCGAGACCAGCCTGACCAACATGGGGAAACCCCCGTCTTTACTAAAAATACAAAAATTAGCCATGTGTGGTGGCACATGTCTGTGATCCAAGCTACTCGGGAGGCTGAGGCAGGAGAATCGCTTGAACCTTGGAGCAGAGGTTGCGGTGAGCTGAGATGGTGCCGTTGCACTCCAGGCTGGGCAACAAGAGCTAAACTCCGTCTCAGAAAAAAGAAAGAAAGAAAGAAAAAATGCTTGACTAATCAAAAGAAGACAGAAAACAGGGAAAAGGGAACAAAGAGCAGGTGGGACAAATAAAAAAATACTAGACTCAAACCAAATCATAGTAATAAATGACATTAAATGTAACAGGTCTGAACACCCCAATTTAAAGTCAGAGATTGGCAGACTGAATAAAAATGTAAGACACAACTATATGCTATCTATTGCACGTTAGTTTTAAAGCCACAAATATAATAAAACTAAAAGATGTGACAAAGATATGCCACGTTAACTTTAGTGCAAAGAAAGCCAGAGAGGCTAAATTTGGAGGAGACAGAGTACATTTTAGAGCCAAGAATATTACATGGATAAAGAAGGATATTTAATAGTTATAACTGGCCGGGCACAGTGGCTCACACCTGTAATCCCAGCACTTTGGGAGGCCGAGGCGTGCGGATCACCTGAGGTCAGGAGTTCGAGACCAACCGGGCCAACATGGTGAAACCCCATCTCTACTAAAAATACAAAAATTAACTGGGCATGGTGGCAGGCACCTGTAATCCCAGCTACTCAGGAGGCTGAGGCAGGAGAATCGCTTGAACCCGGGAGGTAGAAGTTGCAGTGAGCTGAGATCGCGTCATTGCACTCCAGCCTGGGGGACAAGAGCAAGACTTCGTCTCAAAAAAAAAAAAAAAGTTATAACTTAGTCAATTACATAAGCAGACATAATAATCATACATGCTTATGTACTTAATAAAAGAAATACATGGAGCAAACCCTGATAGAACTGCAAAGAGAAATATTCAAATCCACAAATACAGTAAGGGATTTTAATATTCTTCTCTCAATGTAAGCAGAAAAGTCAAAATGATATAAAGCAGATTTGAACAACACAATCAACCAACTAGACCTTACTGACATTTATAGAACACTCTAATCAACAATAGAATGTACATTCTTCTCAAATACATATGGAACATTTACCAAAATAGACCATATTCTGTGGAATAAAACATCTCCCTGTAAATTTTAAAGGATTCAAGCCATACAAAGTATATTTTTAGATAACAATGGAATTAACTAAGAAATCAATAGTGCATAAACTCTGGAAAATCCCTAAACATTTGGAAACTAAATAACAAACTTATAAATAACTCATGTATCATAGGATTAAATGAAAAGGGAAATTAAAAAGTATTTTTAAGCTGGGCACGGTGGTTCATGCCTGTAATCCCAGCACTTTGGGAGGCCAAGGCAGGCGGATCACGAGGTCAGGAGATCAAGACCATCCTGGCCAAAATGGTGAAACCTCGTCTCTACTAAAATAGAAAAAATTAGCTGGGCATGGTGGCAGCTACTCGGGAGGCTGAGGCAGGGGAATCGCTTGAACCAGGGAGGCGTAGGTTGCAGTGAGGCAAAATCGTGCCACTGCACTCCAGCCTGGCAACAGAGCAAGACTCTGGTCTGAAAAAAAAAAAAAAAGTATTTTTAGCCTAATGGAAGATGAAAATGCACTATATTAGAATTTGTGGGATGCTGTTAAAGAAGTACTTAGGAGGAAATTAATAGCAATGAATATCTACATTAGAAAAGAAGAAAGATTTCAAATCAATGACCTCATGTTCATCCTTAGAAACTTAAGAAAAAGTGAAAATCCCAAAGTAAGCAGGAAAAAAAGGGAATAATAAGAATCAAAGTGGAAACTAATGTAAGAGAAATGATAAAAAACAACAGAGAAAATCAATGAAACCAAAAGCTGGTTCTGCAAGATCAGTAAACTTGATTAACCTCTAATGAGAGCGAAAAAAAAAAAAAAGAAAGAAAGAAAGAAAAAAAAAAAACAGGCCAGGCACGCACGGTGGCTCATACCTGTAATCCCAGGACTTTGGGAGGCCGAGGTGGGTGGATCACCAGGTCAGGAGATCGAGACCATCCTGGCTAACGTGATGAAACCTCGTCTCTACTAAAAAATACAAAAAATTAGCCGGGCATGGTGGCACGCGCCTGTAGTCCCACCTACTCAGGAGGTTAAGGCAAGAGAATCACTTGAACCTGGGAAGTGGAGGTTGCAGTGAGCCGAGATCGTGCCACTGCACTCCAGTCTCGGCAACAAAGCAAGACTCCATCTCAAAAAAATAAAAATAAAAAACCCCACAAAATTGACTATTTCCATCTAAATGGGGCAGCAGCTAGCAGCTACTACTCAGTTTCGATTGATTGGTACCTCTAGGGAATGCAAATATCAAGTTACCAAATCTTCTGATTTTCAAGAGAAGTTTGAAGTTCCTAATTTTACATGAAATCTACTGAATTTTATCCATAAAATGTTGGCAATTGATGTAAAACTTTCAGCACTGTGATAACCAAACTCAACCTGTCTATAGTCCTCCAGTTAACAAACTCTATATTGAGTACTAGGTAGTTGTTAAATAAACATTGTAAACAGAAGTTGAGTTTGAGATATTTCATTTCTTAAAAAAGACTGCTACAATTAATTCTAGCTGTAATACTGAATTTTATGTAGTTATACAAGTTAACACACCTGTACCCTGTCTTATCTTGTCGTCACTCAGTGGTTCTCAATCTTGGCAGCACAAGTCATCTGGGGAGCTTTTAAAAATACTGAGGACTAGGTCACATCCCCAGAGATTCTGATTTGGCCTGGGGTGCAGCCAGGTTATTGGGATATGTTTTAAACTACTCAGGTGTTTCTAACTTGCAGCCACGGATAAGAAGCTTTGACATAGACTGAGATAATAATGAGTGATCAATAAGGTAAATTACCAATTTAATCTCAGGAAAAGGAGGGCATGATTTACTCAAAGGAAACTCAATTTTAAATACTTCTTTTTAACCCCAATATAAACTCTTTTAGGGTGGTATTTTCAACTTGTTCTCAAATATATTGTTTACACTCGTTTGATGATCACCACACATTCCCTAATTCATTCATCCATATATTCAATGCTTTGTACTCTGTATTAGATGCTAGGATTCCAGGATGATGAAGTATGATTCCCTGACTTTCAGGTACCGCAATCTAGTAAGTGGGAGTCAACATGTACACAAATCCTCTTCCTTGTTATACTATGCTATGTTCTTGGTCATCGCTCCTCACCATGTAGCTGGTTCTTATTTCCCCCTGCAATTTCTGCCATTATCATAAATAACCTCAAGATTTATTTGGATTATCCATCCAAATTTAGTCTCAACGTTCTTTGATGCCCACAACCCCAACAATTCCTATGCCCTTTACTATAGGTTCAATTTAATATAACTTGTTTCTCAAAATTCACCAGCAATGACTGTCTTTAAAATTTGATACCGTTCTATCGCTTTTATTTCTGCTATTTGGCACTCTCAGCCTATGTCCCCTTCTTCTTCATGTCCTCCCAGGAGTGTCATACTTTAGGTACATACTCTATTTCAAGGACAACTCCAATTGATTAGTTATGATTCCCTGAATCAATATGTTGAGAAAAAAAATTGAGGTCATATCTGAGATCAAAAAGTAGTGTCCGCCCATGGATATAGGAGGGGTATGGCAATATACTTGCTTTCCTAGTTTTAATGCTACATCTCGACCAGGCGCAGTGGCTCACGCCTGTAATCCCAGCACTTTGGGAGGCCAAGTCAGGTGGATGACCCGAGGTTGGGAGTTCAAGACCAGCCATGACTAGCATGGGGAAACCCCGTCTCTACTAAAAATACAAAATTAGCCGGGTGTGGTTGTGCATGCCTGTAGTCCCAGCTACTCAGGAGGCTGAGGCAGGAGAATTGCTTAAACCCGGGAGGCGGAAGTTGCGATGAGCCGAGATCACACCATTGCACTCCAGCCTGGGCAACAAGAGCAAAAAACTCCATCTCAAAAAAAAAAAAAAAAAAAAAGCTACATCTCCAGATCTCAGCATGTTCCAAACCTTTGAACTCTCACAGCATTTTGATAATGGAATTTATGTTATTATACATCTTATAGTAGCTATTTGTATGCCTACTTTATCCTTCTTACTTTTTGACAAACTCCTTGAAGACAAGAATAAAGGCTTACTTTTGTTTCCCCTGCATACTTAGGATGACACAAAATGACAATAGAAACTGCATTTATTGGGTGTCAGGCACTGTGATGAGGCACCTTAATAACAAAATTATCTCATTTAACTATCACAACTACCTTGTGAAACAGGCACTATCCCTACTCTTTTACAGATGAGGAAACATAGTTTCTAAGAGGTTAAATGACTTGCTTAAGGTCAATTAACTAATAAATAGTAAACTTTGGACTAGAACCTCGATCTGACATCAACGCCTACAGTCTTTACTTTGTCCTCAAAATTTGCAGAGCCGTAATAATGTTTCAAAGAATACAAAAACAAGCATTAATATAGTTTAATGTAGTTTAATTTCTTAAGCTGGATGGTGAGTACATGGGACTGCATTGCACCATTCTTTATACCTTTTTATGTCTTTAGTGTGCTACAATATTTTTAATATTACTGATCACAAGAATGTTAGATAACTGAATCCTATCTCTTGTTAAACGTATCAAGTCACTTTATAACACCCATAACGTATGTTCACTTCACTTTAACAATTTTATCAAGGATTATTCAGATACCAAATGCTCTTGTGTGATATACCATTGGCTACCATGTACACTATATATGCAAATTTGTATCTGAGGCAATTTAACAATATCGAGGTCTATATGAATGACAAGAATGAAACATCAAAGGGGTAGGATAGAATCCAAGAAATTTGAAACCTAATGAACTACATTGGGCACAGACTGAAGAAAAACTAGTAAAGAAAGGAGGAATGGGCTGTTATTATAGACCCCAGAAAAATGGTGCATGAAAATAAAAATTGAACATTAAATTCCTTTTGGTAGCAGTGATAAACATGTTAGGCTCCTTGACATAACTAGTAAGAATCACTTGTCTCTGACTCTTATTTGCTCACCAAGGAAGCTTCTTAATAAAATTTGTTTTCCTAGGCAGACAGGAAGAGAACATGTGAATGCAAAGATGCAAATCGTTAGCCCATTTGCAAACTAAAATTCTCATTTAGAATTGCCAGTCAGGTTTTGGTTCTAGAACAAAATGGAGAAGATGCACTTCTCCCTATTCTTCCCACTAAATATAGCTAAAAACCCTTACATAGTATATAAAACCTATATAAGAAGGTTTTGAAACATAGAGAGAAGAAACCTGACCAGCTAGGAACTTCAGAACATGAGGTGCAACACAGAAGTGAGACTGTTCATTTTCCTTTTGCCTTACATATCCAAGTCTGGGTACTGCAGAATCTAGAAACCCAGAAATGCTAAGGGCACAGAAAAAAAAAAGCCCAAGAAGAGCCTTGTCTTTCTAGCCAAAGGACCAGGAAAGGATCAGCATAACAATATAGAAAACTTTAGAAAATAACCACCCTACTCCAGCCAAATTTCATGGCAAAGAATGTGGCCTTACTCCACCTCTGGACTAACAAAGACCAAGTTGGGAGCTTAGACTTGCATTCTCACCTGGTTATAACAAAGCACTACTTCTCCCTCATTGGGGTGGTTTCAGAGGAGGATGAATGGGAGGCTGTGACATTCATCCCCACCTGGTAATAAGGAGGCATTCCCCCATGGTTTCAGTAGAGGCCATATTGGAAACAGTAATGAGGTACCCCCTACAACACAGAGACAGAGTAATTCAGTGTTGGCCTGGTGGGGATTCCTACCCTTTTCCCAGTAGTAATGAGGAACCCCTCCTTCTCTGGGTACCAAGGGAGGCTAAGTGGGGAATCTGGACTTCCATACTCACCTAGCAGTTATAGGGCAACACTCCTCCTTTCCCCACTGATATGGTATCAGAGAAGATCTGCTGAAACAAAAGATTTAAATAATATCCAGAGTCTCATAACATAAAAAACACCGAGGCTCACGCCTGTAATCCCAGCACTTTGGGAGGCCGAGGCAGGCTGATCATGAGGTCAGGAGCTCGAGACCAGCCTGGCCAACATGGTGAAACCCCACCTCTACTAAAGATACAAAAATTAGCCGGACGTAGTGGCAGCCACCTGTAATCCCAGCTGCTCGCAAGGCTGAGGCAGGAGAATTGCTTGAACCCAGGAATCGGAGGTTGCGGTGAGCTGAGATCACGCCATTGCATTCCAGCCTGGGCAACAGGGCGAGGCTCCGTCCCAAAAAGAAAAAAACACTGAGATGACACAGATGTTGGCATTATTGGACAAGTATTTTAAAGCAGCCATCATAAAAAGGTTTCAATGTGCATTTACAAACACGCTTGAAACAAATAAAAAATAGAAAGTCTCAGCAAAGAAATAGAAGACATAAAGAAAACTCAAAGATACATTTTAGAACTAAAAATATGAAAACCAAAATTTTAAAAAATCACTGGATGGACTCAAAAGCAGACTAGAGAAGACAGAAGATTGAATCAGTGAACTTGAAATAGAATAATAAAAATTACCTAATATGAACAAAGAGAGAACGTATACTGGGAAAAAAAGAACAGAACCTCAGGTACTTGATGGACTATTACAAAAGACCTAATATTCCTGCCATCATAGCCTCACAGAAAGCAAGAAAGAGAGTGGGAGCTGGAAGCATGTTTGAAGAAATACTAGTAGAAAAATTTTCAAATTTGGGGGGAAAATTCCTGAAAGCAGCAAGGGAGAAGTGATGCATTATCTACAAAGAGGAAGCAATTAGGTTGACAGTGGATTTTTCATCAGAAATCATGATGTCTAGAAGGAAGTGACAAAGCCTTTTTCCAGTGCTACAAGAAATGAGCTATTAATCTGGAAATCTATATCCAGTGAAAACATCTTTCAGAAAAGAAGAGGAAACCAAGATAGTCTGAGACTTAAAGAAACTAAGAGAATTTGTCACAAATAGATCTGCCCTGAATGAATGGTTAGAGAACATAAACAGAAAAGAATGATAAAGGAAGAAATCTTGGAACATCAGGAAGGAAGAAAGAACAATGAAAAGAGCAAAATTAGGGGTTAATACAACCCACTTTTCTTCTCTTTAGTTTTCCATATTATGTTTGACAATTGAAGTACAAGTTATAGCATTGTCTTGTATGGTTCATAAAGTATTTAGAAAAATATTAATGTTTAAGATGATTGTATCATAAATAGGGGAGGCAAAGGGAATTAAAGCCTAGAAAGTTTTCTACACTTCACTTGAACTGGTGAAATGAGGACATGGGTAAACTATAATAAGAAATGTATGTATAATGCAATAATATGTATAATACATAATGTAATATCTAAAGCAACAACTAAAAAATCTATACAAAGAAATACACCCCAAAATAATAGAGATAAATCAAAATGACAAAATGATAAAAATGCTATGAGTGAACATCCAGTCCGTGGACTCACTTTTTTCCCTGCTCCTTACTGCTAAGTACAACTATATACTATGTGACGAATGCAAGAAGCAATCAAAAAAGATCTCTGAAAGGTAGAAAGAAGAAGGCAAACTAGTAAGGGATCCCAGGGCTGTGGGAGCAACCTGTAGGAGTAGGGTGTCTCATGACTCCCCCAACTTAACAGAATAAGGCAACCCAGGCTTGACATTTCCCAGACACCAACCTAGCTACAACAGAAAGCCCAGGCAGGCTCATTTCTTCCCTGAATTGAACTTAAGTGCCATCATCAATACCAACAGAGCTAGATAGCAATGGCCAGGGGGATCTGCTGACAGTAAATGGCCAGGGAAAGTGCTGTCTTTTCTTCTCTGTTGGGCTATCCTTTATCACCAGAGATAGGCTGCAACAGTGTAGCAGGATCCAGCATATTCCCACCACAACAAGCAGCTCCACCCAGATGCCTATTCATTTCCAGGGCTGGGACACCCTAGACAAGGATTTTTAAAGGTGCCATCATAAAAATACTTCAACAAGAAATTTGAAATTCTCTTGAAACAAATGAAAAAACAGAAACTCTCAGTCAGAAATAATATAATATCTGAGTTAAGAAAACACTTCCTGGATAAGCTCTAGTGGAGAAGACAGAGGATAGACTTGGTGAAGTGAGGACATATCAATAGAATTTATCTAATCTGAACACGGAAATTGGCCAAAAACAAATAAAACGGTCTCAGGAACTTTTGAGAAGATAGGCTACCATTTACAAGAAACTCAATTCAAATTAAATGACATAGGTAGATTAAAGTGAAAGCATGGAAAAAGATATACACTGCAAACATCACCAAAAGGAAGTTCTATGACAAAAAAGCCAGTACAATTAATAAACCTCTTGATAGAAAAACAAAATAAAAAAGCACAAATCACCAATATCGGGAATGAAATGGGATACCACTGTAGAGCTTACATAATTAAAAAGATAATAAGTAATAGTATGGACAACTTTATGTTCATTCGTTTGATGGCATAGAAGAAAAAGACACATTCCTCAAAAAATCACAACTTACCAAAACCCAACCAAGATAAAATACATAATCTGACAATCCTATAACCATGAAAGATATTGAATTTTTAAATTGAAAGCTTCAGAAAAAGGAGTCTCCATGCGAAGATGGTTTAACTGGAGAAGTCTACCAAACGTTTAAAGAATAATTAAAACCAATATACACAATCTTTTCTAGAAAATAAAAGAGGAGGCAACACTTCCTGATCATTTTATGATTTAAGTATTATCCTAATTCCAAAACCAAACAAAAGCAGTACAAAAGGGGAAAACTACAGGTTATTATTATTATTATTATTATTTGAGACAGGGTTTCACTCTGTCACCCAGGCTGGACTGCAGTGGCACAATCACGGCTCACTGCAGTTTCCATCTCCCAGGCTTAACAGATCTTCCTGCCTTAGGCTCTCAAATAGCTGGAACCACAGGAGCACACCACCATGCCTGGCTAATTTTTTGTATTTTTGGAGAGACAGGGTTTTGCTATGTTAACCAGGCTGGTCTCAAACTCCTGGGCTCAAGTAATCCTCCGGCTTCAGTCTCCCAGAGTGCTGAGATTACAGGTGTGAGCCACCGTGCCCAGCCAGACCATTATTTTGAATGAACCTAGATGTTTTTTAAAAACCCAACAAAATATTAAAAATAGAACCCAAAGATGTATAAAAAGAATTAGAAACCATGATTAAGAGGGATTTTCTCACCACTCCAGCCCCAGCAGTAACACAAACTGTATAAATGCTTGACACATTCGTCACATTAATTAATTAATTAATTTTTACTGGACCATTCTCTCCATCCAGCAGTCCCGAAGTCAGGTAAAACTCAACATGACTAAAAATTCACTTACTGATTTATATGTTCCTCTGCCTGTCTAGCACAGTGCCTAGAACATAGTCAATATTACTACAAATAATATTTATTGAAAGAATAAATGTATCAGTTAAAGACAGATTACCACTATCCAACCACATAAGCCAAAACTGAGAGGCTATAGCGACAAATGACGTAGACTTTAGAGTCAAGTAGAGTTGCATTCAAATTCACCTCTCCCATTTACCAGATGTGTGAACATAAACAATGTTCTTAATATCTCTGAATTCTCAATGAATTTTTCCTCACCACCCGACTGCTTAGTCAATGTCATTTAGGTTCTTATGGGTTTTGTCTCTGTAGCACTTCACTTCCAGCACCAACAGCTATTTCAGTCAGGTTAAGCTAGATTAGGCCCTTGTAATAAAACATAACATTTTCTTGTTCAGTAGCTTAACACACCAATGTTTGTTTCTTGTTCACTGTACTTGTTTATCATGAATCAGAAGGGGTATGTGATCCACATTGAGCTCATTCAGGCACTCATAATGATGGAGACTATACTCTCTGAACTTTACCAGTTATAGGAGTAGGGAGAAGAAAGCATGGAGAAACACTCAACAATTCTTAATTGCTCCCAAAAGGAAGTGACCATTTTTAAAATTTCATTCATATTTCATTTACCAGAGAAAAGAACATTGCTACCTCTAACTTCAAGAGGACAAGAAAATGTGACATTCCCCTTTGTGCAGAATTTCCCAGATTCAAAATTGGTGAAGAGTGGTAATATCTATCACATATTTGTTTAAGAAACATTTAATAAATATTTGTCTTACATGGCATATCTGATTCATCAGCACATTCTGTCAGCTCTATCTTCAAATGTATCCTGAATCTGTACACTTCTCCTATCCTCTATTAACCTCTGTCACAGACTGGGTTCATTGGGATGCAGATAATGAGACAGAGTTAGGAGTGTCAAAATTTTATTTGGGACTGTATTAGTCAGAGTTTTTCAGAGAAACTGAACCAATATGAGATATATAAAGAGATTTATTACAGATGCTCCTCAACTTACCATGGGTTTACATCTAGATAAGCTCAGTGTAATTTAAAAATATTATAAGTAAAAAATGCATATAATATACCTAACCTACTGAGCATCACAGCTTAGCCCAGTCTACCCTAAGTGCACTCAGAACACTTACATTAGCATAAAGTTGGCCAAAATAATCTAACATAATACATATTCTATAATAAGGTGGTGGATATTTCATATAAGTTTGTTGAATACAGTACACTGTATAGTATTATTTGTTTACCATTGGGATTATTTGGCTGGCTGGGAACTGTGGCTCATTGCCACTGCCCAGCAACATGGGAGAGTATCATACTGCATATCACTAGCCCAGGAAAAGATAAAAAATTCAATTTTGAGGCAGGGTTTCGCTGTCACCCAGCTGGAGTGCAGTGGCATGATCATGGCTCACTGCAGCCTCAACTTTCTGGCCCCAAGTGATCCTTCCATCTCAGCCTCCTGAGTAGCTAGGACCACAGGTTCATGCCATCATGCCTGGCTAATTAAAAAAAATTTTTTTGTAGAGACGAGTTCCTGCTATGTTGCCCAGGCTGGTCTTGAGCTCCTAAACCAAGCTATCCTCCCATCTCTGCCTCCCAAAGTGTTAGAATTACAGGCATGAGACACTGCGCACATACAAAATTTCAAAATTTGAAGTATTTGAAGATCCTGAAGTAGCTAACAAGTGGAATTTGTCAGCTAACCACACTTTTCTCAGTTGGATGGCAAGTCCCACTTTAAAGGATTCCAGAGGTGCATCTCCATATGTGCCGCAGCATCATGATCTAAGCCACCATCATTTCTCATTTGAGTAATTGAGTAGCCTTTTACCTAATTTCCCTATCACTGTAGTCCCTCACCTTCCACTCTTGAGTCAGTACTCCTCACAACAGCCAGAGAAATCCTGTTCAAATGTAAGTTAATTTCCTACTTTGCTCAACAATCTCCAATGGCTCTCCACCTTGCTCAGATAAAAAACTTACTACAATGAACATCAAGGGCTCACATGATCAAATGACGGCATTTTCTATTTTTCCACAGGTCATATATCAACTTTTCAGAGAGACCTTGACTATCATACCAAAAATGGCACCCACTCTAATTCTCTATCACCATACCATGTTTATTTTACACGAAATCTTATCAGTACTAAACCTCATATAGATCTATTAATATATAAATATACACTAACATGAACATATGTAAAACAAAATGTAAAGTCTGAGAGAATACAAATTGTATCAGGTTTGTTCTCTGCCGCATCCCTACCTTCCAGAACAATGTGCAGTTTCTAGGAGTTGCTCAATAAATATTTGTTAAGGGACTTAGTCATTTCTTATGTTATCTTTTCTGACTAAAATGGAATCTCCATGAGGACCAGGACTTGGACAGTTTTAACTTTGGATCCTAGATCAATGCAATAATTATTTGTAGAATAAAGAAATGATGAATACTGAGTGCCCACAATGTACTAGGCCTCCTAATAGATGCTGGGCTATAGCAATAAGCAAAGAAGACTGGTATCTACCCTTAAAGATATTAAATAAATAAACAGTAACACAAACAAATGTATATTACAAATTAGAAAAGTGTATATAATGGGAAAAACCTAACACACTATCAGAGAATACACCCAGATTTTGCCGAAGGAGTTGGGAAAACATCCTAAAGAAAGTGATATTTATGCTGAGAACTTCAAGATGGGGAGGGGCTAGCAAGGTCAAGGAGGTGAAGAGAACAATGTTCTAGGCAGAAGGAATAGTATGTGCAAAGTGCCTGTGGCAGGAAAGAAAATGGAATGTTGATAAACTGGAAGAAGATCAGCATGTGTATATGCCAATGTCCTCCAGCCAAAGAGTGCCAGGAATGCACAAGTAGTTAAATAAGTTGGGTTTACTATTCATGGCAATAAAGGACAATGCATGTCAGGAAGAACAATGGTGTTTCAGAAAGATCATGATAGAAAGAATCTGTTATGGGATTTGGGATTTGATTGGGTGATTCTGGTATTTATGTCTATCTGGAGAACAACATGGTCTAGCCATCGGCAAGAGGCCATGCTACTAGCAACATGGAAGCTTAATTGTAAGTGTCATACCAGTGCCCAGATGTCAGGGACAAATTTTTCCCCATATGACTCAAAAGCAGAGAGATTTGGACACAACTGGCACAAGATCCTGGAGAGGTAGGCAGGGCCAGGCTATGCAGGGCCTGGAAGACCATGAAGACCATATTAGTGGAGTTGACTTTGATGCAAATTGCAAAGGGAAGCAGAGAACTTGCGCACTCTGATGAGGTTTAGTACTGATAAGTTTAAATCTATGTGTCAAGAATGGTAGAGGGCCTATGATTTTAACCTACTTGCAAGTTTACAAGTTCATTTGCCACAGATTGACATTCTGGCAGAAGACAGAAACCCTCTGGGTCAGAGGCAAAGGACTTTATTCCTTTCAACAAAAGTAGTTGCCAGAGCCTCCTGTTTGCACTGGCTCTGTATGCCCTCCAAGCCCCACGGGGGTGATGAAGGTGGACTTGCGTGGATGCTCACACTTGCTGAGAATTGTGTTACAAGAGAGGAACACTGAGCTTGGGAGATCCTATGTCTTTCTTGGGAGTGGGAGCAATCATGCTCTCTGTGGGGGGTGTTACCTCATCCCTCAAGCATCCCTGTTTGTTGCTCACTAAAAGAGAACTCTGAGAAATCTCCCAGGTAAAGAGTGGGGGACTTTGAATTATTGGTGTACTCCGCAAAAGCATAAAGGAATGCTCAGGGCTCCCAGCAGATTTCCTCTCCCAACACTGTGTCTTTAAAACATTAACATTTGGAGAACTGGCTCATTACCATGGAGAAAACTGACACTGAATCACTGGCCTACACTATATATGAATCATCCCTATCACTCCACAAACATGTTATGATCTCTCCCCTGTTAACCTCCACACCCCCTCTGGCTACCACCCCCCCACCCCACCACCCTATAAATGGAATGCGAGGAAGGGAACATACCCTGGAGTATCTCGGATGAGCAGAGCATGGACAGGGATGATGGCACTATGGTGAATGAAAAGAAGAGCTACCCAAACCCATAAGGAAGGCAGAGCAGGTAGAGGCAAAGAGGCTGGTGTCCTGGGCTGAGGACAGGAAAGAAGTCTAAACCTATGAACACTCCTGTCCCATGGAAGCATGAAAATGGCACACCAACAGGTGTTCTTAGTTTGAAGACAGGGTGTGTTTCTGGTGCAAACTGGACAATACCCAGAAGATAGGCACCAACTCTTCCAACCAACTTCCAAGCCTGACCCTTAGGGAAAACCTCACCCTGCATTTCCTAAGGGAGACAGATCTCCCTGATATATTGGTTGCCTTGGGGACTCAGGGCCATGACCCTGCTTCTAGGAACCACAGGTGCCTCACCGGGACCAACTTCTTCCCAGTTGGATTCATAACGGTCAGGTACTTTGTTGTGAACTGACTGAGATGATCTGCAGGTGGGTGGCCTAGTTGGACTTTATGGATGGATGAGACAATTCCTCTCCTACTAAAGAAAGAATAGCCCTGTTTAATCTGGTGTTCCATGATTCTGTCTCTTGTGATGTTGCCATGTGTTGATGATATCAACTTTACACTATTTCATAAGGTATTTCATAGTTTATATTTCATATGTAGCATTCACAAGTTGTTAACTGATCAAGTAATACCAATCATAGTCTCATTAATAATTTAATAGTGTCAATGAAGAGAGGCAGACTCTGTAAAATATTTGGAGAGATTTATTCTGAGCCAAATATGAGTGACCATGGCCCATGACACAGCCCTCAGGAAGTCCTAAGAACATGAGCCCAAGGTGGTCAGGATGCAGCTTGGTTTTATACATTTTAGGGAGACATGACACTTCAGTCAAATACATTTAAGAAATACATTGGTTCGGTCCAGAAAGGTGGGACAATTTGAACTAGCGGGAGGGGGCTTCCAGGTTACAGGTAGATTTAAAAATTTTCTGGTTGACAATTGGTTGAGTTTAATCTAAAGACCTGGGATCAATAGAAAGGAAATGTCTGGGTTAAGATAAAGAACTGTGGACACCAAAGTTCTTATTGTGCAGAGGAAGGCTTCAGAGAGAAAAGATTGTAAATGTTTATCAGACTTAAGGTCTGTGTTGATGTGAATGCCAGAGAGGTACAATGAGGCACGTCTGAACCGCACTTCCCATCATGGCCTGAACCAGTCCCTCAGGTTAAATTTTAAGTGTGCCCTGGCCTAGGAGGAAGTCCGTTCAGATGTTTTGGGGGTGGTGCTTAGAATTTTATTTTTGGTTTACATTCTCCTCCTTCTTGACAAGATTTGCCAGAGGCAACATCAATAGCCAGTAAATTTATTTGTTTATTTATTTATTTAGCCAGTAAATTTTTATTTTCTCTCATAGCGTTGCTGGGGTGGCAGGGCTGCCCTCCCTGGGTCCATCCTGTCCCTCGGTGGAAGTCCCTATGGCCAAGGACCTTAAGAGTAAAAAGACTTACAGCCAATTAATTGTTATAGGCCAGATAGGATGAACGTGGACAGGTATTTATTATCTCTTAAAATTATTATTATTTTAGGTAAAAAGCCAACAAACAAAAACCAAAGGCAAGGTTACAAAACTGACTGTAACTTTTATGCGTTGACCTACTATAAGTTTGGATTTAGTTACAGATTTGTAGCAATTAGCTATACAAATCATAAGCACTGCTCTGAAAAAAAAAGTTTTAATATATTTATCTTCTCAACTCATAACTGGGAGTATTATATCCAGGAAGCTTTATCACAAGGTATCTTTCTTGTGTCACAGATATTTTCTTTTAATTCTACAGGGAGCAAAAAATGCTTTATGGTTGGGGTGGATGCAAAAGTGACACATAATAGCTTAGAAGACAAAGTCCCTTGTTTTACCAGCTCTTTAGGCATCTTTGTATCTATCCTTGCTTTGGAGGGTCTGATCTTGACCTAATTTTATTCCTCAAAACCAGCCCTTACTATCTCTCACACCCACGTCTTCTGTGACGATCCCTGGGCCTGGGGGGATGGTGCTTGCATCGTTTTAGCAGTAGGGCATTTGCAGTGAAAAACAGATCAGACCCAGTGGGATGCCAAATGAGGGAGATTTGCATCTCTGGTCTTCAGAAAACCATGATTTGGGTTTCCTTGGAAGTAAAACAAGGAGAGATAATAACATTAATGTTTTGACAATCAAAGAATTTTTGTGTGTTTGAACAGAAAAAGGAACCTATTCCATTAGGGCACCAACTAAAGATATGAAGAAAAATTATAATCTAGTACTCTGTAGAGGATTATTGTAGCCAAGAAATAATTCATGATTCAATCTGCACTTAAAAAAAGAAAAGTTAGGGCTGAAATCTAGTATCAAGTGTTACGCTTTTCCTTGGAAACAATTTCTTTTACTCTAGCCCTCCTTTTCTATTAAAGAGAAATTATAGTAAGACCAATTTGTGTGCGAACTAGGTTTTAGGCTTATTATACTTGGCCTGATTATTTGCATAAAATGTAACAAGAATTGATTGGCCATATAAGCTCCTTTTAAGTTGGCTTTGCTGGAACTTTACCTAAAATATGCTATTTTAGTTAAAGTCTTGGTAAAATAACCAGTGTCTCCAATTGTTTTGTTTTAAAAGACTATTACTAAATTTATGCAAGTAACTATATTGTCATGAAATCACAACCCGAATTCTGGAGAACTCAGGTACAGAGAAAGGTAAATTTGCTTACAAAAACATACTTCACCCAAATAACTCAAAAGAAAACGATTTTTTTTTTATCCTTCTTTAACCAGAGCAGCAGCTTTCAAACAAGATGTTTGTTCACCTTGGAAATGCCATTCGCAAACCAAATAACTCATGGGAGCTGTCTATCAGGCACTGTAGAATCTAGCAGATCCTCACATAGTGAGAATTAGTCCTAGGGAAAAAAGAAGCTCTCTGCTTATAAGTTTCTCCTCCTTGTATCCCCAGGTAGCAAGATTCTATGTAAACCATTTTTTATTTTACTCTTTGGGGCACCATTATTTTCATTCAGCATAGGGGTAGCTTCAGTTAACATTTCATAGCAAGGCAGTAAATGTTCCTCAAGTGGAAATTCTCTAGTTCAGTCTTTGTCATTGGAAAGTACAGCCTTGTTGCATTAAGCCCCAATAAATACTTCATAAAGGGCTATAAAGTGGAGGATTTGTCTCAACTAGCACTCCACCCTTTAGGCTATATTTTGTGGGCTCAGGGAATCATACTACTTTTCATTTAGTGAGTCCAAGCAACAGTTCTCAAAGAGCAGATGTACATGTCTTCAGTTTTATAGTACTAGATAGGGGAAAAATCCCCCAGTTAGATACAATACTTATTTTCGTAAGACATTTAGGTAAAGGGGTTACAACTACTTTACATAAAGCCTGTGTAAACATCTTAAATTTCATAATTCTATTAACCTGTATGTTTTTGTGTTCTGATCCCAGGAACTTGTTTTACTATCCCCAGATCATTTTACTTTTTCTAGTGAAAAAGGATTTGTGTTCCCAGCAGGGAGTTGCATCTGTAAAACCCATGAGGTACAGTAAACTTGATAAGGCTTCTCAGACAGTTGTATGATTCTGCAGGAGGGGCACCCATGTAAAAGGGCTCCCCACTTAACCCCCAAATTTACCATGACCAGGGTAATAGGCACATTTGGTAGGAGGATATCCCAGTTATCATAAAGCTGGTCCCACATGGCTTGCATATGAAGCATACTAACTGCTTCATCTGGGGTTCTCCACTTGGTATTTTATAGGGAGAGCTGGGTAGTCCCCTCTCAGGGCAAACAGAGCTTACAGTGTCATTTATCCAGTCCACTAGGCTGGTTGTTCTCTCCTCCTGTGCATTGAAATCACATATACTCATTAGTGATGGTTCAATAGTGAGCTGTGGGTTCTGGGTCAGCCCAAACAAGCTTTTATTTTCTGTAGCATTTAAAATTAAGGATTGTGTCCTTAAGATGGTTATTTTTACCATCTATTATAGTAAAGGTTTCTCAAGAAGCTGATGATACCAATCTACAAAATGGAACAATTCCTTTACATTATACCCTCTGGTTTTACATTATACCCTTTAGTATAGTTACTTGGTTTTGCCCTTCCCCTACATTGACTATCATTTTGGTAATCAAAGGTCTCAGAATTAACTTTTGTTGCTCTGGCTTAATTTTTCCTTTTATCCATTTACTTTTATCTGTATAATTTTTCATTTATTTTAAAGCAACTCTTAAATAGTTTCTTAACTAGAAAAAAACCCTACATTTTATTTATTTATTTTTATTTTTACTTTTTTGAGAGGGAGTCTCACTCTGTGCCAGGCTGGAGTGCAGTGGCGTGGTCTCGGCTCACTGCAACCTCCACCTCCCGGGTTCAAGCGATTCTCCTGTCTCAGCCTCCCGAGTAGCTGGGACTACAGACGTGGGCCACCACGCCCAGCTAATTTTTGTATTCTTAGTAGAGACAGAGTTTCACCATGTTGGCCAGGATGGTGTCGATCTCTCGACCTCGTGATCTGCCCATCTCGGCCTCCCAAAGTGCTGGGATTACAGGTGTGAGCCACCGACCTACACTTTCTTTAGCAAAATCCATATCCTTGTGTTTTATAAACTTCACCAAAAACATTTTTATGACCCTACAATTTTAACTTTTAGTAACCTAAACTCTCAGTTGAAAAAAAAAAAAACCCTGAGATTACTTAATTTAACACAACATAACTTTAAGATTTTAAATCACTGGAGAGAGTTTTGAGATTAAATTTACCAAATTAATTTTACCAAAGATTATCAAAGTGATGTGAATTAAAAGGCATCTGAGCTAGTTTCTACCAGTCTAGTGAATACTCACTTTTTTTGTAAGTTACTTGATTAGAGCTCTTTCATATAGTTTGGTAGTGAAGTATCACTTTCACATGACACATATAAAGATAGAGATATAACAGGCATACAGAATTTAAAAAGGCAGATCCAAAATATATTTAATTTACCTATTAAAAAAAACTCTCCTTTACTTTAGATTTTAAAAGTTATAGGTGCCAATAAAAGGTGAAAGTTATCATCCAAGTCCTTTTTAAAAGAAAGAGGTGACCTTCTTAGATATCAATCTGAAAAATTTCAGACAGATTATAGAATTCAAAAATTAAAAATTTTGCTTTAAGCATAAGTCAACATTTTAAATAAAATCTTGTTTTAACCAATTATTTAGTTTTGTATTAGTGTATTTTTAATATCAAAGTTTAATTTTAGAAAAACTTTATTACAATTTTCCTTCATTAAAGCCAATTAATCACATAACATTTTTATAAATTCTCTTTTTTTAATGACCTTATTATGACTTAGATCATTCAAGACATATTTGAACTTTTTGTTTTGTCCTAAATATCCCTCTTCATTGAAAAACCCAGTCATTTTATTTTAGGACAAAATTTCACCTTACAGGATTATTTCTCATGTAAAATTATTTTCCTTTTTACCTTTCTTACCCAAAATACCTCTTTATAGCTATAATTCACAGTTCTAATTTACTGATGCCTTTTACCTTGTTTTATACTTCAGCTTTAAGTAACTCTGAATTAGGTAAAAAGATTCACCTTTTAATAAGAATACATTTTTTAAAAAATTTCTGATAATTTTTAAATTGGAAATTACCTAGACATTTAACTAATATCTACTATAATATAACCTTAGATTCTAAATTATATGACAAGTTTGTTTACAAGCATTTATTCCATTACATTTACCTGATTAATAGTTTACCTAGATTATTTATGAAAACTGTGATAGTCATCATTTAAAGTGAATTCTTTGTTAACCATTTTTATTACCTATGAATTTCATGTGTTTATCTAAAAATAAGGAAAATTATGGTTAAATATAAATTTTTTTTTTTTACCAATAACTCAGGATTTAGCTGTTTTCATTAAACCAACTATATTACATGTCTTATTTATCAAAAATTACACAAGTAAGATCCTTCTGTTTTGGGCTGGGTTTATAGTTTTATAATCCTTATGGCAAATCTTGACACTTTAGGTATTCTGCAGGAATAAATATGAAACCTTTTGATTAATACATGCAAACAAAAATGCCAACAATTCTTAAGACATTTTAAATATTATTTTACCAATAATTTTAAAGCCAGTTTATTTGTTAAGTCATGTGAGCTTAAAAAAGCATTTGACTGGGCTGGGCGCGGTGGCTCACGCCTCTAATCCCAGCACTTTGGGAGGCCGAGGTGGGTGGATCACAAGGGCAGGAGTTCAAGACCAGCCTGGCCAAGATGGTGAAACCCCATTTCTACTAAAAATACAAAAAAATTACCCAGGCATGGTGGTGGGCGCCTGTAATCCCAGTCATTCAGGAGGCTGAGGCAGAGAATTGCTTGAACCCGGGAGGCGGAGGTTGCAGTGAGCCAAGATCGTGCCACTACACTCCAGCCTGGGCGACAGAGCGAGACTCGTCTCAAAAAAAAAAAAAAAAAAAAAAAGGAAAAAACATTTGACTTAAAGTCTCTATTTTTTCTTATAAAAAATTTTCTGATTAAAAAATGTTTAAGCCAATTAATTAGAGCACTTTATATATTTTTAGTAGTGAAATATACACACAACACAAATACATATTAGGCATGCCAATAGAAGTACATTTTATTAGACTTCGGAAGTCTTTTTATTTTTTTTTGCGACAGAATCTTGCTCTGTGGCCCAGGCTAGAGTGCAGGGGTGCGAGCTCGGCTCACTGCAACGTCTACCACTCAGGTTTAAGCAATTATCGTGCCTCAGTCTCCCAAGGAGATAGGATTACAGGCATGTGTGGACCAACACACCCGGCTAATTTTTGTATTTTTAGTAGAGATGGGGTTTCATCATGTTGGCCAGGCTGTTCTCAAACTTCTGACTTCAGGTGATCTGCCTGCCTCAGCCTCCCAAAGTGTTGGGAGGTCAGGCATGAGCCACCACGCCTGACCTAAATTCTTGATAACCTGTTTCCTTACCCTAAGCAGTTGTCAGCTGAATAGCCCTAAATTTGCATATTAAAAGAAACAGCTCTTAGGTGAAAAATCAGATAGCAAAATTGACATCTCAAAGCACAGAGAGAAAAAGCCTGGTATGCTAGAGGGAAATAAAGCAAATTTCATTGCAAGTTAAGCATAAAAGTATAGAAATTTATCATAAGATTGTGTAAGGAGAGACATTTTATTTAGATAGGTAGTTCTAATTTTATTCTCCACCTTTTAATTGGACCTCCGAGCTCTGGGGAGAGTCCACACTGTATCCTGGGCCTCCTAAAAGAGAATTATAATGAGGCTAGTCCATGCTTTTACAGTGCACCTTTTTTTTTTAATTTTATTATTATTATACTTTAAGTTTTAGGGTACATGTGCACAACGTGCAGGTTTTTGTTTTTTTTTTAACAAAGACATTTCTCTAAGTGTCTAAACTACACTCTTTCTTATTTTAAGCATCCAAGAGTAGCCTCTGTTTTAGTAACTATTTTAGTTGAAAAAAGGTAACACAACACAAACAAGAAGTTTAATATCTGAAGGGAAACTTGTCTGTTTATACTCTTGGGATTTCATAAGGAAAAACAGAGGTTTCTCCCCAAAAAGGAGTCTGATGCCTTCTCTAGTTCCTTTAAAGGATCCCAGGTTGTTAGAAATTAAGAAAAACTCTCTCAAGAAGAACAAGGTCATAGGAAAGAAAACAAATAAAAAACATAAAGTCCTTTTAAATATATATATATATATGTACACACACACATACACACACACAAAGATCCTATAGCTTTTACTTCAGAATTCTAGCTATTAATACAAATTTACTGGCTTGCAAAACAAACAAACAAAAAACACACACACAGAAAAAAAACCCAGTTGGAGCCAAACAGTGTTTTTTCATTTCAGTAGAAAAGCAACAGCAGATCTAAAGCAGGCAGAAAAGAAAATAGAGAAAAAGAGAAGTTAGGAACTCTATAGTTTGCAGGTCAACCTTAGAGCTCTTTTTCTTTGATGTAATTGTTCACAAAAAGACCATAATATTTCCATTTTACACAAACTCTCACAAGTGGAGGCACCATAAAACCAATGGAGTGCCTGAAAGAGGGTTATTTCCCACCTTTTTTTCTTTAAAAGGAGGAACTGGCTGGGAGCTGCGGCTCACGCCTGTAATCCCAGCACTTTGGGAGGCTGAGGGAGGTGGATTGCCTGAGTTCAGGAGTTCAAGACCAGCCTGGCCAACATGGTGAAAACCTGTCTCTATTAAAAATACAAAAATTAGTTGGATGTGGTGGCACGCACTTGTAATCCCAGCTACTTGGGAGGCTGAGGCAGGAGAATCACTTGAACCCGGGAGGCAGAGGTTGCAGTTAGCCAAGATCATGCCACTGCCCTCCAGCCTGGGCAACAGAGTGAGACTCTGTCTCCAAAAAAAAAGGAGGAACTGAGCCATGGCCTCGGGTTTTAGTGGAGTGGATCAAAGTGTGCTGGTTGCAAGTGGGACGTCACAGTGTGTCACCACTGAGTCATTCCCAGTCTCTTATGTGTCTCAGTTTCCCTTTCTGGAGGCCTAGCACCTCTGGGAGGGCTCAAAGCACAGCAAAGGCCATCTCCTATATGTGCTTCCTGGAGGGGCCTTTTTAAGCTAATTTTGTTGAGAGCTCCTTATAGGGCTGCTGTATGTGGGATCAGGGGTTCAACACCCCAGACACTCCCAGTTGGCCCCCAGTCACCCAGGGGCACCTTTGGCTGGGAGGAACAAAATGCCCATTCTCTTCAGAACTGAGAAAACTCAGTCTCTCATTTACAAAAATGGCAGCTCAGTTCCTGACGCAAATGTGCACACAAGTCAAATCAAGATTAATTTGGGGAGATACAAGCAATGGAGAAGACCATTTAGGATGAACCTCCAAACAAGAATTTGGGTTCTAAACAACCACCTTCCTAGGAGAAAAAAATCCAGCTTAGAATAAATGAAGGACCATCAACCAAAGGGAGGTCCAAGGCTCAGAAGGACTTACCAGTTCCATCTGAAGGGAAGCTCAAAGTCTGGGAGGCTTTCAATGGGCCCTTGCTGGTACCTTAGCTCCGAGTTTGGGCTACTGCTATTTTGGGATCCTGAGGCTTCTCCTCTGAGGCCCCACGTGTTCAGGCGCCAAATTATTGTTGACAAAAAGAGTCAGACTCTGTAAAATATTTGAAGAGATTTATTCTGAGCCAAATATGAGTGACCATGGCCCATGAAACAGCCCTCAAGAGGTCCTAAGAACATGTGCTCAAGGTGGTCAGGATGCAGCTTGGTTTTATACGTTTTAGGGAGACATGACACTTCAGTCAAATACATTTAAGAAATACATTGGTTCAATCCAGAAAGGTGGGACAATTTGAACTAGGGGGAGGGGGCTTCCAGGTTACAGGTAGATTTAAAAATTTTCTGGTTGACAATTGGTTGAGTTTATCTAAAGATCTGGGATCAGTAGAAAGGAAATGTCTGGGTTAAGGTGGATACCAAAGTTCTTATTGTGCAGAGGAAGGCTTCAGGTAGCAGGCCTCAGAGAGAATAGATTGCAAATACTTCTTATCAGACTTAAGGTCTGTGTTGATGTGAATGCCAGAGAGGTATAATGAAGCCTGTCTGAACCCTACTTCCTGTCATGGCCTGAACTAGTCTTTCAAGTTAAATTTTAAGAGTGCTCTGGCCTAGGAGGAAGTCCATTCAGATATTTTGGTGGGGGGTGCTTAGAATTTTATTTTTGGTTTACAATGATTTTACTTAACATGTAAAGACTTACACCATGCCAGATACTTTGCTAAGTACTTAGCATTAATATTGACACAAGATTTTCTTCTCAGTCACTTTGCAAGCTGGGTAGCTTCGGCCAGTGGGACCTGACCTGGGCCTAGCTCAGCCAGGCCACCTGTGGCAGGAGATGGCCCACCCAGGCCGAGTCTGGCTTGTGCACTAGTTCCTGAGTTCTTGTCTGGTGCCCAAGAAGAATGAGGATGCGCTGACAATTGAAGAGTGAGTAAGGTGGGGAGTTTTACTGAGTGATGAAACAGCTTTCAGCAGAGAGGGTATGCAGGGGTGAACCCCGTATCCACAGGCAGGAAAGTCCCCTTAATATGGCTGAGTCCAGGGCTTTTACGGACTCAGATGGGGTAGTATTGGAAAAGGCAACATTCGATTGGTTAAAAGGCATAATTCAGCAACAATCAATCGGAAAAGGCCAGCGAACAGGAACAGAAGTTCTCTCTCTGGTTGCATGTTTCATATGCGACAGCAGTCTGGTCTTTCAGCCTTCAGGATGTGTTTGGCTTGAAGGTGGGGTTTCACTGGGGACCCACCCCTATCTGCCTAGGCATTTGGCTGCCTCCTGTCGCTATCAATATCTTATTTAAGTCTTAGAAAAAAAGTGTGAGGTTTTTTTCTTTTTCTTTTTCTTTTTTTTTCAATATCCACATTACTCATGAGGAAACTGAAGCCACAGATAAGTAAATCATGGCACACAGGTAGGATGTGGTACCAGGGCTAGCTTCATAGGACTGCAACCAAGATAGTCCCACAGGGCTCCATGCTCAGAATGGGTCCTTAGGCTTGAGGTTTAGTGTGGCTGTCTTGAAATTCTTAACTGTTTTTTTTCCTTGAATTTGTGCTTGGTAGGTGAGGTCTGATTAAACAATGCAGTGTTTGCTGAGGTTCTTGAGCCTCAGCTGTCATGTGGTCCAGCTCCCACCACCTCCTGGCCTCACTGGGACAGGTTCTCTGCTGCCCAATCACCCACCCACCCTCTCAGATTGCCCTTCCCTCTGCCACCCCAGCGACTGCTGCTGCACTTCGCCCACAGGAGAGGGCCTGAGTGTGGGTGCAGGGAGGGGAAGGGTGGGAATGCCAAGCCACAGGGCAGGGCTCTGGACACCTGGGAGGATCTCCACTCACCCTATGCATGTCCCCTTAACTGAGGCAGCACCACATTAAATTGCAACTACAAAAATTGTGAGAGGTCAAAAGAGAGACTGAATAAGAAAGGAAAGTCAGCTTTTGCTGCTTTTCTGACAAAGGACTCTACATATTCCTTTTTCAGGAGGCCCCTCATTATATTGCTTTACCTACATGGTAGAGAAGGGTCACAAATTCAGGACTGCATAACTCCAAAGCCTGCTATTTCTTTTTCTTTTCTGTTCTTTCCTTTAACAAAGATTTTTAAAAGGAATAGGTGATACATACACACTTGGTATAAAATTCCAAGGTTTCAAAACTATGCAAGCAATGGATTCTTCTCACCACCTTGCTGAACTATCCAGAACTTTACCCCAAAGGCCACCTTTCTTTTCCATTGGGCTCTTAGAGACATTTCCAGAGGTATATCACTGGTGTTCAAGCATATACATCATTCCAAACTCCTCTTTGTATATCAATGGTGAGTAGCAAATGGTGTGTGGACCCAGCATTTTTTCATCTCACAATGTGTCTTGGAGTACTTTCTGTGCTTAATAAGGGCAAAAGTTATAGAGTATTTGTCCTGCCATTGTTTTTAGTGCTTTAAACGCATTGAGCTAATCCTCCTCATAATACAATGAAGTAGGTTTTATCTTTATTTTATGTATGAGGGAACTAGAGCACATACAATTTAAATAATTTGCCAAAGGTTATGGGGCTAAAATCCTACAATCTTGTGCTGCTTTTTCCCTTAGGGAATATGCAGAATCCTAAACTTCTCTGGTGAGAGGACATAATTTTATATGCAAAACACCTGCTAAGAAGCAGCGAAGACATCAGCTCTTCAGAAAATTTCATGGGACTAGGGAAACAAAATTTGGAACTCAGACTTCCAAACCAGTCAGTGCCTAAGAAGTAAAGATCTTAGGAAGAAGAAGGAGAGACAGAAGTGAGATCCATATGGGGTGGTTTTCTTTCTGGAGGCGTTTGTTCACACTTAATCTACAGAGGACATGCCACTAAGAACCTCAGCAGATAGCACTTAAGTCTCAACAGATTTATCTGCCATCTCATGGCATTGCATGGCAAAATACTGAATTCAGAAGTCACCCAAAATGGGACCCTCAAAAAGCACCCCAGACTCACAGTTGGGGGTCCTGGAGAGCTGCAGCTTGGGAGGAAAAAAAAATCATAGATAGATGAAGCTTTATAAAGTCTGAAGCATCCCTATGTCAGCTAAGTCTCTGATTGGATGAATGTGATTGTCCCTACACTAGCAGCCTGCCAGAAGACAGGATGAATCTTCTAGGGAGGGGGATAACATCATGTAGAGCCCATAAACTTTTTCAATAACAATGCCCGACATTTAATTCAATTACCAGACTTATTAATAAATGAAACAGGAGAGTTCCCTGGCCCCCTCACGGGACTTGTGAGGGGTCATGGCTTAGCCTCGGAGAGCTGAAACCCCTTTCAGGAGGGGGAGCCCGCAGACAGGCAAGTGCAGGAGCCGGGGCAAGTGCTTTTTGGCTTCATCCCCAGGGTAGTGTTTAAGGGTGAGTTACAATTAATACTCTTTTAGCAGTTGCCAGCAACTATTAAACCAGTTTAACAGTTTAACAGTTGTTCAACAGTTTAACAAACAGTTTAACCAGTTTAACAGTTTAACAAACAGTTTAACCAGTTTAACAGTTAAACAAACAGTTTTACCAGTTTAACAGTTTAACCAACAGTTTAAACAGTTTAACAGTTTAACAAACAGTTTAAACAGTTTAACAGTTTAAAGTGTTAAACCAGCTGAGTGGAGAGTCAGGGTGACAGCCTTTTACACTCTGTGGTCTTGGTACCTGGGTCCTTGTTTGAGGTCCAGGAAGAATCAGGTCACACACGGACTTGAAGGGTGGTGAATGCGGGTGTTTTATTGAGTGATGGAGGTGGCTCTCAGCAGAAAGGCTGGGGAGCTGGAAAGGGGATGGAGTGGGAAGATGATCTTTCCCTGGAGTCTGGCCATCCCACAGCCAATCTCCTCTCCAACCATCCCCAGCCGAACTCCTCCAACTCCTCCAGGGATGGTTGGAGAGGAGATTGGCTGTGGGATGGCCACTCCTTCTCTTTTCTCCTTCCATGCTGTGTCATTCTGCTGCTCTTGTGCTCTTCCACTCTTCTGCTTGTGGAGCCTGGGGTTTGGGGTTTACATGGGTACAGGATAGGGGCATGGCAGGCCAGAGTGCTCTTGGAAAAGGCAACATTTGGGCACCAAAACGGGAATGCATGTTCTATTTAAGGCTGTGGGTTTCCAGACTTGAGGGTGGGGCCTTTGCTGGGGAACTGCCCTCTTGTACCCGGTATTTCCTTGCCTCCTGTCCATATCAGAACAGGTCAAGAGAATAAAAACACAAAGAAAAATACCCACAACCCTTCAATATTGGAGTTATCAGACATGGACAATGAAGTAATTATAATTGGTATGTTCAAATATGGATGACAAAATTTAAATTTCAACAGAAAACTGGAATTTAAAAATCAATCATATTGATCATACATTGAAAAATGGAGAACTGAAAATTTCAAACCCTGAAACTAAGAATTCATGTATTTGAATTTAACAGAATATTGGAAACAGCAGAAGAGAGCGGGAGGCAAAGACCAAGCAGAAAAGTTTACAGGTACGTGAAGTTTGTCCCTGAGACATCACAGATACACCATCTGTTAGAATGGGCAAGGACAGATGATAAAGTGGCAGCTAGTACCTTTGAAGCCCTCACTGTGTGCTGGACACTCATCTGGACTCTGTAATCATTATCCAGAGACAGAACGTAGGTGTCACCTTAGAGATGAGTGCATCTGGCCCTAGGACTTTTCAGACTTTTCTGGTTCCTGGTTAAAACTCTTAAAGATTTTTTAAAGAGTATTTATGGTGTTTACATATGTATAAAAATTTTTGCCATTTTAACCATTTTTAAGTGTATAATTCAGTGGCATTAATCACATTCACACTTTTTCTTCCCATAAATATATTTGAAAGGATAGAAATAACTAGTTTTCCATTTTCATTTGAGCTGGTATGAATAATTTAGAACCAACCTTTAGTAGCCCACTATAGGCATGTGCATAATTTATTGTATGCATTTTCAGTCACATCTTGGGTATTTTAGAGTGTTGAGGCAAAGATTAAGTAAGATTCTTCTCCCACTGACAAGCCTGCCAAATAATAGATGTGGTGTTTCAATAAATGAGGGAGTGAGATGTTCTGAATTCTACCAGGCAGAAAAGAGTTAAGAGGGTTTTTCGTCATAGATCATTTATTTTCTACTAAAGATTAAATTAAATGAAATAATATATTATCTACACGAATTTCTCGGAACTTTGATAGTAAATTTCTCTCCTTAGTGGATGAATTATTTCAAGATGAGAGCAGAGATGTCTTACACCTCCCAGCCATTTCCAGGGAAGCTCAGTCACCTTAGATGGGACAGAGAAAAAAAGAGGTTTGCCCCAATGTCAAACCCTGTGGACACAACCTGTTCACTGTTTCTATTCATTTAGGTGATACTTTTCTTTTCTTTTCTTTCTTTTTTTTGAGTCAGAGTGTCCCTCTGTCACCCAGGCTGGAGTGCAGTGGCGCGATCTCGGCTCACTGCAACCTCCACTTCCCTGGTTCAAGCAATTCCCCTGCCTCAGCCTCTCGAGTAGCTGGGATTGCAGGCACACGCCATGACGCCCAGCTAATTTTTTAATATTTTTAGTAGAGACAGGGTTTCACCATGTTGGCCAGACTGGTCTTGAACTCCTGACCTCAGGCAATCCGCCTCCCTCGGCCTCCTAAAGTGCTGGGATTACAGGCGTGAATCACTGCGCCCGGCCAACACCTTTCTTATTTACACGCCAAGATGATTGACACTCCACTACTTTTCTTTTCTCATTTTCAGATCTGAGTGGTTCACTTCATCTATTGCTAAACAGATTTTATAACTAATAGGTAAGCATGTAAATATTGACAAGATATAATCAGATTAATAAACAAGGGACATCCTTTGATCCGTTCTGCTTCCTTTGCTCTTACCTACATTATCTACTGTGAACAGAAATGTTTTCATCTTGCTGTGCTTTGATTTCCTATTTAGAAAGGTTAGTAAGTCTACAGTAGGTTCCAGAGGAAGCAAAAGGGTCACATATTGGGGCCGGGCGTGGTGGCTCACGCCTGTAATCCCAGCACTTTGGGAGGCCGAGGCGGGCGGATCACGAGGTCAGGAGATCGAGACCATCCTGGCTAACACGGTGAAACCCCGTCTCTACTAAAAATACAAAAAAATTAGCCGGGCGTGGTGGTGGGCGCCTGTGGTCCCAGCTACTTGGGAGACTGAGGCAGGAGAATTGCTTAAACCTGGGGGGCGGAGGTTGCAGTGAGCCAAGATCACGCCACTGCACTCTAGCCTGGGCAACAGAGTGAGGCCCTGTCTCAAAAAAAATAAGTAAAAATAAAATACATGGTAAGGGATCAACACAATAAATAACAGCTATTTGCCTCTATGAATGGCAATCTCTTGTTGGCATGAAGGGAAGTTGTGGAGCATAAGAAAGGCCTTCTAGGATCTTTCTTTGATGTTCTGGCAGGGCGTAAGCTGGGCTCTTCTGGAGCTCATGGAACCAAATGTTTGTCAGATTCGTTCCTTGCGATTATGGCCAGACCTGCCGGCAACATGACCAGCATGGCAGCACTTCTGAGTATGGTAAAATCGTCAAGCCTCACAGCCTCCCAGGAAGAGTGTTAGGCCTTCAGCTCCTGTGTCAGTGCACAACTGAGTTCCTGCAATCTTACTTATCATGTGTGAGTCGGCTCTACAGAATGGGCAGCAGGGATAGTATGGGGAAGCGTATTAGTTTGCTTGGGCTGCCATAATAGAATCCACAGACTGGCTGGCTTAAAAACAGTTTATTTTCTCACAGTTCTGGAGGCTGGAAGCCAAGATCAAGGTGCCAGCCTGGCTGATTTCCTCTGAGGTGTCCCTCCTTGGCTTGCAGATGATTCCCCTCTGTTACCTCTTCACAGGGTTGTCCCTCTGTGAATGTATGCCCCTGGTGTATCTCCTTGTATTTTAACCTCTGATTCTTATTACAAGAAAAAAAATATGAGGCCTTGTTGATCATTGGCTCTAAACTCATTTGAAGGTAGCTTTTAGAAGTACTAAAACCCTGGCCCATATCCAGAAATTTTGATTTCAGTAGTCTATTTCGTGATGGCTTTGGACATTAAAAAAAAAAATTTTGTTATAAATTCTATCAAGCAGATACATGACAAGCTATTATATGATAAAGAACCCACTGCTGGGCGCGGTGGCTCACACCTGTAATCCCAGTACTTTGGGAGGCTGAGGCGGGCAGATCACGAGGTCAGGAAATCAAGACCATCCTGGCTAACAAGGTGAAACCCCGTGTCTACTAAAAATACAAAAATTATCTGGGTGTGGTGGTGCATGCCTGTAATCCCAGCTACTCGGAAGGCTGAGGCAGAAGAAGTGCTTGAACCTGGGAGGCGGAGATTGCAGTGAGCCGAGATCACACCACTGCACTCCAGCCTGGCAACAGAGCAAGACTCCATCTCAAAAAAACAAAAAAAATAAATAAAGAACCCACATGTAGATCGCACCTTACCTCAACAATCATAAATTCTTTCTAAATCTTTTTTTTTTTTTTTTTGAGATGGAGTCTCCCTCTATTGCCCAGGCTGGAGTGCAATGGCACAATCTCTGCCCACTGCAACCTCCGCCTCCTGGGTTCAAGTGATTCTCCTGCCTCAGCCTCCCAAGTAGCTGGGACCACAGGCACGCACCACCACACCCAGCTAGGTTTTTTTTTTTTTTTTTTTTTTTAGTAGAGATGGGATTTCACCATGTTGACTAGGCTGGTCGTGAACTCCTGAACTTGTGATCCACCCACCTCGGCCTCCCAAAGTGCTGGGACTACAGGCATGAGCCACCACGACCGGCCTGTCAATATTATTTCTTTTACACCCATTAAGTTCCCCCACCACTCCAGCATAGCTTCAGGAAAATTCCAGACATATTAGTTAATCTATATATACTGCAGAATATATCTCTCAAAGGGAAAGACATTTAAAAAAATACTACTTTAAAATATGATACATACCATTATCATGCCTAAACAATAATGAATAGTTGCTTAATTCTTCAATATTATTCACAGATAATATTTCCTGTATTGTATCATTAATGTTTTCACGTAGTTTTTTTTAAACTCCAGATCCCATCTGGTCTCATGCAATTGGTTGATATGCCTGTTAATCCTTGGTAAAATCCCTTTCTTGTGAGAAATGAATCCTTTATTCTACAGTCTTCCACATGCTGGATTTTGCTAATTTCTTTTCATTGGTGTTGTTTAACACTCTCTTTTGTCCCCTGCCTTTCTTGTAAATTGGAAGTTATATCTATCTATTGGCTTCATAATTTGGCATGAATACTTCAGAGACAGTGTCACATTAGCCTTTCAGGAGTCACAAACTGTATGGTTGTCCCTCTTTTTGTAATGAGAGCAGATATTGGCCGTCTTTGCCTAGATCATTCGTGTCATTTGAGACTTAAAATTGAGATGTTTTAATTATATCTGTTTTTTTTTATTAGCTGGAATTCTTCAATAGTGAGAACTAACCTCATCTAATATTTGGTAACCAAGAGATACAATTCATACGCCAAACACAGGACAATTGTTTCACTATTTGCCTCTCTTTACCCAATTTGGCATAGTGAATTCATTCTCTAAAATTTTATAATGGTAGACATGTGGTCATTGCTCCTTTAGAGTTACTATGGACTAAAGATGTAATCATATTTGATGCATTTGAATGCATGTCAGTTATTATTCTTATTGACACTAAAATTTTCCCCATGTGATGCAAACTTCACATCTGAATCTGCCTACTAGAACACAGGGGCAATCACAAAGCAGGTGGTTAGTAAATGTGTACTCGAAGTATGTCATACGACTTAGTGAGATGTATTGGCATCATATTTAATTGTTTTATTATAACATTACATTACTGTGCCTGTCCTTCACCACATGTTTAAAACTGACATCACCACTTTGCTGTCTTTGGTGTTATTAAAGTATTACTGCATTTGGAGACTGCATAAGGCTCACTCTCCTTTACTGGATCTTTCTACTTAGTAGGGAACAAGTGACCTCAACTAGACTCATGGGTTTGTTATCTTTTGGCTTGCAAAATTCATTTCCTCACATTACCATTAATTCTCATTCACGCTGTTTGCTCTGTGCTAGTCTGTGCAGTCATCTGCTATTGCTGAGCCTTGCATAACTCAAATTTCCTCATTCCCTAGTACATTTCCTTCTTACCATAGAACGAGTGGTCTTATGGAAGTACAGTCAGCCCTCGGTATCCATGGGTTACGCAGCATTTGTGGGCTCAACCAACTGCACTTGAAAAAAAATAAAATTCTACCAAGTTCAAAAAAACAAAACTTGAATTTGCTACATGCTGAATACTATGTTGAATCCACATGAATGAGTGATGTTTTGGCATGTATTAGGTATTATAAGTAATCAGAAGGTACTTTAAAGTATAGGGGAGGATGTGTGTAGGTTATATGCAAATACTACGCACTTTATATCAGGGACTTGAACATCTGAGAATTTTGGTATTCATGGAGGGAGTCCTGGAACCGTTTCCCCATGGTTATGGAGGGACTACTGTAGTTGGTCAGTAAATCACCAAGTGTCTCTTCTCTGCTTTTCAATGATATTTTCCCCCAATTATGGGTATGCATTTTGAGAACTAATGAGTGTTTGGGTGTTGGGTGTTGGTCATATCAAAGACCCTTTGGTGATCAGCCTCTTTTTTCTAAAACTTCAATTTTCTGATTTTTGACATGAGGCTAGGAGTTTACTCTTCTGTGTCATTGTGAAACGAGCTCTACAAAAGATGCGAGCACATTATGAAGCATGCAAATTATGAGATATGTAAGACATTTGTACCCATGATTGCTTGGATATAGGTTGTCACATAAGAAGTGCTGGATTTAACGTAGGGGAATTACACAATCTCTTGCATTTACCCTATTACTCTGAGAAAACAGAACAATACTTTCTTCAGGGTTTGTCAGGATATATGCAGGGATTGGCTTGCCATCATGTTAACCTATAAAGATACTCTTTCCACCTTTTAACTCCAAAAGTAGGCTACTTTCTGGTGGGCTAGTCCAGCATTTGGCTATCAGGCAATTCTGTTCTTGAGGGTGTTTCACTAAATTTTATTGTAGCAGTTTTGGGTACCGGTAGAAATTGAAAAGGGCTGCATGACTAATAATCCCACTTGGGGAAATTTTTCATATTCTCCACGTTAATTGTGTGTGAATTAGTCTGAAAACAGCAGGGATTATAGAGTCAGCTTTGATTTTGTAGTTCCATTGTCACCTAGGATTGGAGGCATTAGATGAGTGTGGTGTGGACATTGCAGGCTATGGAGACTGCCTTACAATGGAGATGCATTTTTTTTGCTTTTAACCTCAAAACTGGACTATTTACTGGGTGGGATATTCCCATGCTTGGCTATTTCAGGCATTTCAGCCCTCGTTTAGACTGCTGTCCCACACTTTACTATAGTAGTGGTGGGTTTACTATAGTAGTGACGGGTTTAAAATGATGAAGCTGCTGAAATTAGTTATATAATTCTAGCCTCTGTGGTTCTTTATATTCTCCATGTATCCTTTTAGCTAGCACCCCAGGGTGTAGCTTTAGATGTGGATTCAAATAAGGTCTGATGCTGAGAGAAAGCTTCGACTCAGACACTAGGCCCCCTCAATGCAGTTGCTATGGGAGATGATGCATCCTGATCGTGTCGTTGTCATGGTAACTCATACACTTGACCCAGTCTCATTCAGACTTGACACACCAAAGGCAGCTTTTCCTGAGCTGCCAGCATCCTCTTCTTTGTCAGCTCAGTGAGAAAATAGAGCCAACAAAATTCTTTTCCCAAAGATACTCACTACCTTATAAGTTATTTGGCTCCATAATTGGGAGATGATTATGCAAATATGGAAATTTTATTATTGTTAGCAGGTGTGTGCACATGTGGAGTGCTTGCATGATGGGGGTGTACTGGATGGAGGACACCAATTGTTTCCCAAACTGTTGGAGGAGCACCCAGGTGATATATTATTCATGACTGGGATGAACTGAAATAAAGATAGTTAGTGCTTATTCGAGCACTTTCTATCTAGTAGATTCTACTCCTTGTTCTTTATAGGTAGCTTGATTAGCAGTAGCTTATTCTTCAGTGTACTGTATAATAAACCTAAAATAATAAACGTTTGAAATAACGGTGCCTGAATTGCAACAGACAGAAACAGAGAACAGACAACCTGATAGGTGAGAAATGGTATTTCAAAGTAGCTTTAATTTACATTTCTGTAATTATGAGTAGATTTGACCATCTTTTGATATAGTTCAGGGCCATTTGTGTGGGCTTGTTTTGTAAACTATTTGTTTAGGTCTTTTGCCAATTTATGTAATGGGTTTATGACCTTTTTTATTTGATTTTAAAGAGTGCTTTACATTTATTGAGGATATTAGCTTTTTTAAAATATATTTTGAAAATATTTTCTCCAAATTTATTATTTTTTATTTGTTTATTTCTCTGTTTTTGTTTTCATTTTTTGCTAGGCCAAAATGTGTCTTCTTCTTTATTCTGGAGGGGCTATTTATCAATTTTTATTTGATTGTGTCTGGATTTGGATTCCTTGATAGAAGTCCTTTCCACGCTCCCAGGTTATTACAGAATCTATCTGTATTCCCTTCTAGTATTAAAGAACTTCATTTTTTACATGAGGATCTCTAAACCACATGGAGATTATTCTTTCTACGAGTTATGGATCAAATTTTATCTTTTACCAAATGGCTACCCAATTGTCCTAACAGCATTCATTAAAAATGTTTTTCTGTTCCCTAGTTATATGTTGTCACATTTATTATATATGAATTTTCCATATGTGTATGGGTGTATTTCATACATTTCTATTCTGTTCATTGGAGTGCCAGTACCATACAATTTTAATTATTGAGACTTAATAGCATGTTTTATTCCTGGTTGGGTTAGTCTTTCCTCACTGCTATTATTTTTTCAGAGATTGTTGTAGCTGTTCCTGCATGGTGTTTCCCTCACCCTCAAGAGGAACTTTAGAATCAACTTGTCTTTCTCTAGAGAAAAGAAAACTTGCTGGCATATTTTTAATTAAGATTTCATTAAGTTTATAAACTAGCTGACATCTTAATAATGTTAACTTTCCTATATAAGAATTAGAGCATTCAGGAGTCTTTAAATCTTTCCTCACACAGGTTTTCCACATTATTTGTCACAGTTATTCCTAAGATTGTTATCTTCTTTATTGTTATTACAGAGATTTTTTCTTTCATTATATTTTGTTTCTTGTTATTGTTTATAAGTATGTAAAGTCATTGAATTTGTATTTTAATTTATATCCTTCTAAATTTTTCAAATCTTTTATTGTTTGTGTTAGTTTCATCTTTACACTTCTCAAGTTGGCCAAGTAAAATACCATATAATCTACAAATAGAATTACAATATGTTCGTAATTCTCATGCCTATACTTGTTTTTGTAGGGTTTGTTTTTTAATTGTGTTGGCTAATACCGCCAACAAATTGAATAGCTGAGAGACTGGGCAACTCTTTCCCTGCTTTTAACCTTAGCAGGAATGCCTCTTGTGTTTTCCATTAGAAATTTTAGTATTTACATTTGTAGTTATTCAGACATACAGTGGGTACTTCTTTATGTGCATGTGTGTATATATCATATACTTGTTATATACACACATACATAATATATATGAAGCATACATCATTTTATTGAGTATTTTTTCATTTTGTTTTGTTTTGTTTTGGTTTGTTGGAATGAACATTTATAAGGATTTATAAGGATTTCTGGAAATTTTCATATGCTTTTTCTTCTTAGACCTATCATAAGATGAATTACATTAATTGATTCCTTAATTATTGAATCACCCCTGATTACCTGGAATAAATCCTACTTGTTCCTGATGCATTATTTTCTTAATGTGGTGTTAGATTCTGTCCACTCATATTTAATTTAGGAGATTTGTATCAATATTCAAAATTGAAATTGATCTGTAACTTCTTTTGTTATACTGTCTCCATCAGGTTTTGGTATCAATGTTATATTTGCTTTATAATAGTAATTTGAATTTTTCTTTATTTTCTATGCTTTGGAAAATGTTGTGTAGCACTGAGAGTAATAACATATGTAGCGTTATGATTAGTTGGTGCTTAAATTTTGGTAAAATCACCCTGTGGAAATATTAAAGCCTGATACTTGTTTTTGAGGAAGTGGTTTAATAAATCTCTCGATTTCTTCTATTAAAATTGGTCCTTAAGAGTTTCATCACTATTGGTGTCAATTTTGATGAATTATTTTTTCCTAGGAAATCGTACTTATCCTTTGGGTTTTCAATTTATTGTGAAAAAACAGTCTTTTATTATTATTTTTTAAATTTTTTTCTGTTTTAATAGTTATTCCGTTTCATTTTTTATTTTGTGTATCTCTGTTTTCTCTTTTTTATTATATTAAGTAGTGGTTTTTATTATATTAAGTAGTAATAGTGGTTTATTATATTAAGTAATATATTAGGTATTAAGCATGATGTTAATTTATTTTAAGGAAAGAGAATTTTGATTAATTTAGTTCTATTGCTCTTCCATTTCTTGTCTCATTAGTGCTTCCTTTTATCTTTATTATTGCTTCCTTGTGTTTTCTTTTGGTTTACTTTGTTGACCTTTGCCTAACTTTAGGGTTGAAATACGTATCACACATATTATGCTACGTAGACTTTCTAATAACATTGTTTTGTTTTTTAAAACTGCAATTTTGGTTTGTATTTCCCCTTTCACTCAGGAGTTTTTATTTTATTTTGCTTTAAGTAGAGAGTTTTAAAATTTAACCTGGGAAAGACTTATTTTTTTAGCTATACATTATGACAAATGAATGCTGGCTGTGTTATTTCTACATTATTGAATTTGATGATACTTTCTTTGTGACCTGGAATATGGTAAAGTTTTATGAATATTCCTTGGGTGCTTGAGAAAGTATTTTTCAATTATCTAGTTGTAAAGTTTGATATATATCCAGAAGATCTACCTTATTGATTATGTGAAATAGGTCTTCTATATCCTTGCTTATTTTTTGTCCATTTGGCCTGTCTTGGACAGTTGTGTTATACTCTGTTATTGGCATGTTCCTGTATATTCCTCCCTGCATCTCCTATAATTTGTGCTTTATAAAAATATGCATGTGTTATCTTGTGCATAAATATTCATAACTGTTTTGCCTTCATTGGGAATTGTGACTTTCAGCATTTACAAAGACAAAAACAAAGTTTGGGGACTAGGGTGAAAGAATATGAAAACGTTTTAGATTTTGAGACAGAAAGAGAGCATTAAAAGAGAAGAAAAAGGAACAAGGAAAAGGAGAGCAAGAAAAAACTATTGCATCATTAATAAGTGGAAGTAAAAAGATTTAATTTAAATCTAAGTCAATTATGGCCAGGCACGGTGGCTCATGCCTGTAATCCCAGCTTATCACTCAGGATCCGGAGGTCCAGTTTGTCCCAGGTGGATTTCTTATGGGACATTTTAGGGGATGGAAAGGGAGGAACTTAGCATACAGGAATAGGGAGAGATGCCCTAATCTGGTGACTGGTACATAGCCAGAGGCAGAAGATTCTCTTGGCAGTCATATTCATTAATTCAATGAATATTCAAAGATGCCCTCTATGCCAAGCCATCTTTCACTTAATTCAGGTTTCTGCTTAAAAGGCATGGGCAGGTCTAGCCACAGCTTAAAATCCCTGTCAGTCTCATGGTCACACTGTTATAATATTCTTATTAACACTAAGTACTATCCCGCTTATATTCAATTCTTAAATTCTTTAAATTCTGCTAAAATGTAATACTCCAAAGGGGCATAGATTTTTGCCTGTTTTGTTTTTATTCTATGTACATCATCTAGAATACTACTGTCACATGGTACACTCTAAATAAATGTTTGCTACATTAATGTATCAATAATACCCACTTCATGCCTTCAGAGAATGAAACATCTGATGTAGAGGCAGGCACAGTAATATATTTTTTATAAGAAATAGATTAACGGTGATGTCACTACATTTCACTGCCTCATTTAACACTCAACATACATTTAATAAGCTTTGTTCTAGTCCCTGTGCTAGCCACTGTGGGTATTAAGAACACAGCACAGTCCGTGATCTCTACTAGTATTGGATCTAGTAGGAAGATTCCAATTATGTAGTTTACACTAGGTTATTATGTGTTTAGCATCAATAACAAAACAAGCAACAAAAACCCAGTAACAATGACTTAAACCAGTGGTTTAAGTCACAAAATCACCTGAGAAACTTTTTAAAAAGACTAAACTCCCTACAAAAAGGCAAAATTCTTATGGAGGGGAATTTGGCAAGATCTAGCATATATGAATACATGTTGGCCTATAAATCCCAATTCTCAAAATCAAAGAAACACTGGGGAAATATGAAAATGTTGCTGATTATGGAAGTATGTGTTATGGAAAAAATTGGGATGATTAAATAACCATTAATAGAGGACTTGACAAATAAAATAATTGAATATTATGCAATTATAAAAAATAACTATTTCTATATGTTGATTTGGAGCACTCTCCAGGATATATTGGTAAACAAAAAAAATCAAGTTGGAGAAAACTGCATAGTGTATTATTATTTAGCAAAAATGGTGAATAAATCCATATATGGAATTATAATCAACAAACTAGAAAAAAATGTACCCAGGGGAAAGAAGGTTCAGAGTGAGAGGGACAAGAATACAAGGGGGACTTTGCTCAAATGTGTTGTTTTGTAGGTTTGACTTTGGTACTATGTAAACTTTCCACATATTTATAAAAACTAATTAAATAATATAAAATAATTCCTATCAATGAAAAGCAAAATTGATTTTATTTTACATTTAGTTGGTGGCATTATCATACATAGAGAAACTATTTCAAATGGTTTATAAACATAGTCATTTGTTCTGTACATTCTATTCCTAGTGAGATACAACCTGAGGATCAAAAGAACCACACAAAATATTTAAACTGTTTTCAGAATTAGCATTTTTAATGGTAGTGTTGGCATGTTTTTCAGATATTGTCAGGTGTAAATTGGGGGATAATACTAATGAGTAATTTTGTTGGCATCATTGGGAGTCAGTACTTGTGGCTTCATAGAAAGGATATACCGAAGTAAAATTAATGACATAAAGTACGTATGCTGGAGCCCTAAATTTGAATGGGAATTATGAGTATAAACTCATGATGTATTTTGCTTAAATATGTATTTCTTAGTTCAGTACTCTACAAAGCACCAGAAACCATGATGAACCCAGTGGCATGCAGTTAAGCCTGATGATTTTACTCTCTAAAAAAGCATTTCTCACCAAAAAAAAAAAAAAAAAAAAAAAAAAATCAGTACATAATGAATGAGCTGATTTTGGGAAATGTATAAGGTGAGACTGGAACAACCTGATGTACAAGAAAACAGGAAGCTATCACAGACTACTGGGGTAATGTAAAAAGAATTCAAGAGCCAACCTGAAGAGCCTGAATGCCTAAAAATGGAACAGTTTGAGCATATATAAGAATAACAACTAAACAGACTTAAACACATTAAGTGTGTTTAAATATTGTGTTCATAATGACTCCAAAATATACTTTGTGGTCATCTCTAAAACTGATAGGGAATAAATTCATTATTTGAAAACCAGTAAATAAAAGGAAAGAATCAAATAATTAGCCTTCTATTTGCATATATACTATTTACTGTGTCACCAAATAGTAAATGAGGGGAAGATTCTTCTTAAAGACATATCTTAGCTAATAAATGTAGAAAGATAAATGGAACATCTTCATTCTACAATCTGTGATGAAATATTGGATCTAGCCAATAATCATCAATGTCTGCTAAAAAAGGAGATAACCAGACACTTCCCAGGTAGCTCTAACAACCAATTTACAGAGAAGACAGGACACAGAGGGACATGTTAAACAGTAACAAAGGAAGGATGTCAGCAAAAGCCAGACTGTAAGAAACTCTAGAGAATAAAGGACCCAAATTCTTCAACAAATAAATTGCAAGGAAAAAAAAACAGAGAAGGGGCAACTTATAGATTAAAAGAGATTCAACAAATTATAATGCATGAGAGTAAATTGAATCCTGAGTTGAAAATCAAATTTCAAAAATTAAATATTTATAAGCAATTGGACAATTTGAACTAGGAATGAGTATGTGAAGATATTTGGGAATTATAATTAATATTTTTTAGACAGGATCTGGCTCTATTGCCCAGGCTGGAGTGCAGTGGTACAATCTCGGCTCACTGCAACCTCCACCTTCTGGGCTTAAGCCATCCTCCCCAATCAGCCTCCCAAGTTGCTGGGACTACAGGCACATGCCACCACACCCAGCTAATTTTTGTATTTTTTGTAGACACGAGGTTCCATCATGTAGGCCAGGCTGGTCTTGAACTCCTGAGCTCAAGTGATCTACCCACCTCAGCCTCCCCAAGTGCTGGGATTATAGGCATGAGGCACCACACCCAGCCTGTAACTAATTTTTTACATGTGATAATATTATTGTTTATATTTTTTAAAGTGTCTGCATCTTTTACAGATACATACTGAAATAATCTTTTATTAAGTGATATGATGTTTAAGATTAGCTGCAAACTAATCTTTGGGTGGAGAGAAGTTGGTGAGGGTTTAGATAAAATTATATTGACCAAGAGTTATTAACTAATGAAGCTGTGTAAAATCTACATGCATTCTGTATAATATCTTGCCATGTATCTCACACTATTTATAACAGAAAGTTTTAAAAAGTGTACAGAGTCACAATATAGACTAATGAAATCAGAATTTCTAGATATGGGGCTAAGGCATTAGCACTTCTAAATGCTACCTTCAAATAAATTTACTGTGCAGTTAAAGTTTAGAGCAAACAGTATAAACAAACAGGACCTTAATTTTTTCCCCTCCCCATAAGAAGTCTGGAAGTATGCTTGCACTGGTTCAGTTGCTCAAATATGCCTGAAGGACACCACAGTTTCCATATTCCAGCTCGACTATTTTCATGAAGTTTACTCTGGGACCTCATGTTTGTTACAATGTGGCTGCAACAGCTCCAGGCATCTCTATCACATTCCAAGTACCACCATTCTCTCACATCTGTCCTTCTTATTAAGAAACAGCCTCTTTTACAGAAGTCCTAAAGTATTCTCTGTACACCTCATTGGGCAGAACTGGGTCACATGTTCACCCCTAGCTGTAGGGGAGGCTGGAAAAACCATCATATAACCAAGGAGAATAGGATAGCCATGCTTGGATTGGAGAATTTCTGAGCCTCCCCACCCTTGCCCCGAAACTGAACATATTCCTTCTTTGAACAAAATCAGTTTTTGTTATCACTGGGCATTAGTAGAAAACGCTGTTGGGTAAGCAATTAGCAAATCCAGTGAGAAGGGAGAAGCAGAGCTCTTAGAGTCAAAAATACAGTCAGGAGTAAGGACTGAATATGGACTGAAGGGAATAAACTCAAAGCGATTGAGCCACATACTGCATCCAGGCAATTTTTGTATTTGCTACCTTGTTCGGTCCTCACAACAGTTCTACAAACCAAGTAACTGGCATTATATCACTGTTATGCAGGAGGGACAAGAGGCTCATAGGGGAGGGGCTAGATGCTTTGCTCAGAATTCTAATTGGTGGTTCCACAGGGCATTCATTACTTTTTCTCTCTGCCATGGATCATAGCTACTTCTGTGGATACCAAGTTCACCATGAGAAATACCAGCAGGGAAAGGGAAAAGGTCAATTGTTTGCTCAGCACAATGCTAGGCATATTTCATGTTGGGAGGAGAATGTATTTTGATTTTGGCCCCCAGTCTGATGGTGGGAACTGTTGGCAGAGTTGAGGGCCCAAGGGTGGCCCAGAGCAGAACTTGCCCTTCATTGTAGCTACTGACAGGCTGCACACTCAGGTCATATGTGGTATCTTGGGTGCCACTAACTTAGTCAGGCATTGGTAGATATGTGGAGTCTAATACTTGTACATGGAAGTCTGTGAGGCTTGGCAATCTCACCACCCTCAGAGTTGGCTCCCATGCTGTCTGTATTGCCAGCAGCTTTGACTTCTTTGTCTTATGGAATGAATCTGATATACATTCATTCCCTAGCCACCTCCAAGCTCAGCTCAGATTCTGCTAGCAAATAAGTATTATTTTTCTCATGCCCCTAGTTTTCCTCCAGGCCTTGAATAGTGTGCCATCCATGGAGGCAAACAGTTCTTCCTGACTTAACATTTGGTCACTATGATGTTTTACTCCCCACGAAGATCTTGGGAAGCCACATTTCGTCTGGCTGCAATCATCATCCTTTAAGGTTAGGGCTTCCTCAAATATACCTCCTGACCTTCAAACCCTCACTCACTTCTTAAATGTGTCAAATTTATGCTTGTGGACCACCTACCCTCTCAGATCCTCTCAGACAAGAGTTCTTTTTAATTTAGCATGCATTGAAGAATGTGGTTGGGGATGGAGCATTCTGTCACCAACATCACTCAGGATCTAAGTCTTTGGATGTTTAAAAAATGTAATGACTGGGAGGCTGAGGTAGGTGTTCGAGACCAGCCTGATCAACATGGTGAAACCCCGTCTCTACTCAAAATACAAAATTAGCCGAGCGTGCTGGCACATGCCCGTAATCCCAGCTACTTGGGGAGCTGAGGCACGAGAATCACTTGAACCCGGGAGGTGGAGGTTGCAGTGAGCTGAGATTGTGCCATTGCATTCCAGCCTGGGTAACAAGAGCCAAACTCTGTCTCAAAAAAAAAAAAAAAAGTAATGATATGTTTTGTTTCACCATTCGTTTATACACTACCAAACTGGCAAAATAAATTAAGACAGTTTAGAAAGTGATAGAAGCATCAATTAAAGAAGAGACAAAAAAGAGATTCAAGGGTGGAGATCAAACACTAAAATTGAATCCAGGAACTGCCAGCTAAACCCACAGAAGCTACTTGGGGTATTTTTTGGTCACTTGCCGTGTGACAAAGTGTCCTTCTTTTGTGAATTTATTGGTTTGGCAAAAGGTCACTGTTACACTGCCATAGAACAAGTAAAAGAAGTCTCAGGAGGAGATAATTCATCTAAGTTTCTGTTAGAGAATAGAGGAGGCCCTTTACTCAATGCCCCAAATGTGAAAGAAGGGCTATAATTGCATATATTTTGTATATATATCTTACCACGTGAGAGACGTAACGACATGATTGTGTACAGCAGCCTGACTATGAACAAATCTTTTTCTGTACTTGTATGCCAAAACCAAGGCCAAGTTTCAATATTATCTGCTTGGACTTTGGAAAAAGTTCAGCAATCAAAGAGAGACACATCTTCTTTAGAGGGCTGAGAAATGTCTGCAAATTATGTTTATGCAAATTTAGTATTAGTGTTTAATATTAATCCAAGTAGAAAACAAGGGGCTTTGCAGAAATCCCTTTTGTTTGATGTCTGAGTCTTAAAGCCTGAAGCTTTTATCAACACTGATTTATAGAAAGAAATCATACAATTTTTAAAGGCTAAGTGTGGGAAAAGAGAATCTCTCTAGAATTTAGATAAATTTTCTCTAAAACAGTCTGGCATAGTCTAGTGCAGGACTGAACTGTGTGGGGGGCCAATATTCAGTATTTTACAGGATCTGTAGTGTAGCGTTGTAAGCTGTGTCTTCTGTATGTAAGTAGAGCTTTTGTTCCCTTCTGTTTGTTCTGATACATGGCATGTTCATTTAGCAGGTTCTTCTTTTCTTTTCCCTTTCCCTTGCTGATTTTGGTTATTTGCTGAACACACACACACACACACACACACACACACACACACACACACACACGAGGTGTTTTGAAAAAGCCTCTCCCAAATTCTAAGGTAAGTTCACTTTCCCCATTCTGTGGAAGTAACCAGTGGTGTCCCTGGGGAGAAGCCTTGGTTCAAATTCTCCTTCCTCTCAATGGCCAATGAGTAGATGCTGTAACTGAAAACTAGAAAAATAAAAAAAATGGCAATTGTCTTAACAGAAAATATAGAAAGAGTAATATTGGACATGAAAACAGGCACTGGAGCAACTCAAATGCTCAGGTTTTGACAGAACTTATGTGGTTGTTGGATAGTTTGTTTACAGCCCCATTTTACTAAAATGAGTATGTATACCGCAAAATGTTTATAAGTAAATGATAAAAAGGGCAAGTTCTTGCACTGCAATGAATCAAAATCATGATATTGTGAAAGGAGGGTCTATTTTGAGAGAGGATTTGTCTTTTGAGGACAGGAACAGAGGCTTTAGTGGATAGTAAAAGCACTGGCTGTTTTTCCTAGGTACTAGGGAAAGATGCTCAAAGTGAGCAATGTGGTCTACTACCTTCTATCCAGCCCAAACATTCCCCCTTTTTTCCTTTTCAGGTCTTTGCTGAAGTATAGAATAAGTTGGCCCCTTTCCTTAAATCTCCTCAGACTTGTCCCATAATGACCAGAGGAATAAAGAAGGAAAATTGGGAGAAAAATTGCCAAGAACAAATGGGTAGACACTGAGAAAGCCTGAAGTAGGAACCTCATAAAGTACTTACAGTATGCAACCAGATTTGAGAAGATTCCATATTATCTTGGCTGCTAGGAATTGGAGATGAAACTCTGAGGACAGTTAAATCAAACTGACCTGAATTAGAGGAAATAGGGGATCTCTGAAAGGAAACTGCCCTGAACATGGTTTTTATAAATAGTTGGATGCCCTAGGGAAACTAGTACTCTGTGAATGGCCCCAATTTGGAGTATTGGAGAACACCATCAGATATCAACAACTATAAAGAAATGTATCCAGGAAGTTAGAAAGAAATGTTACCACGAATTTGTATCTACTTTGTTAAAGAGACAGTCCAGTATCTCCAAGCACCTGGATGATCTGCTTCTCACTGAAATGCAAATAATTGGTTTCTAAAATCTATTTCCAAAAATTGTCTTTTTCTCTGAAGGTTTTTGTATTTATATATAAACAGTTCAGAATGTCTGGTAGGGAAATTGCTAAACAATTGGCTAATGAGAAAGACATTTAGGAGCCAGTTTTTGATGGGAAATCATCCAAATTGGATGGAGACAAAGAGTTCTGTCCTGGCTTGTGGTTTTGGCCTATCAGTGGAACACAGCCACAAAATACTACTGGTAAATCACTAAAATTACAAAACAATGAGATTGATGCAGCAGCAAAAATAATTGCTTATAAAGTGGCTTCCAGGGCAAAACTTACCAAGTACTGGATGGTTTGTATTTTGTATGAGGTTCAGTGCATAGAGCTCTTATGATAAAAATAAAACTCTTGCCATTGACATTCTAATGATTAAAAAACTGGGTCCAAGACGTATGAGGCACATCCGTGTGGATTAGGTTAGCTTATGTATGACAAAATAAAAATCCTCATTTCCCACATGGGTGCCCTGAAGACCTATGGGCAGTACAGCCAAAATACTGATGCTCCAACAAGACCAGTGTGGCTATCTCTGACAGGTTAGACACCCTGGAGGTACATGTACACACAAAGGGACAATGTAGAAGGATACATTGCCTTTACCTGAGCATGAATGAGCCCAGGGTGTTGTGCCAGCAGTCCCCACACCTATTCAACTAGCTCATGAGTATGAGGTTTGACAGCAAAGCAAACTGTCTCTCTCTCCAGGTATACTGCTGTGCCTAAGGCACTACCCACTTAATAAGACAGAAGGTTCTTTAGTTGTTGACAGTTATTTGCAGGTTATAAGGCCACTCTCTTGCCAATAAATGTAGCCACCTCAGAATCCATAATTGGTGTTTTCCTCAAGAAGTTGTTCAGAGAAGTATCCAGTGCCTCTGACCCCAAGTGTAGGTCATGATCTGAATTTAAAAATGACTTCCCACCTTTCCTATCAACCCAAGCATGAAAGAGACAAAGGTGACATCATCTCATTTCCCAGCCCAGGAGTCACTAATCCTTAGTTTTTACTCAATGACCAAAGGCCCCATTGCAAGCATTTATCTTCTCAATAGCCATACCCCTTATTGGGTTGTGACCCATATCACAAGTTTCATGGTGAACAAAACCAAGAGCTGTGTTTGTTAAGATGATGGAGTACAGTTAAGAGTCTAGCCAAGGCTGGGCACAGTGGCTCACGCCTGTAATCCCACCACTTTGGGGGGCTGAGATGGGAGGATTGCTTGAGCCTGGGAGGTTGAGGCTGCAGTGAGCCATGACTGCACCACTGCACTCCAGCCTGGGTGACAGAGTGAGACCCTGTCTTTTAAAAAAATAAAGAGTCTTGTAAACCTATGGTCCAAATCTCCTATAATTTGGCCATGCTTAACGTGATGGGACCTGATGGAATACAGTAAGTCCTCACTTAACATAGTCCACTGGTTCTTGGAAATTGTGACTTCAAGTGAAATAACATCTAACAAAATGAATTTTTCCCCTTATCAATGTCATAACTAAACAACATTGAACAATGTCATAACTAAACAACATTGAACAATGTCATAACTAAACAACATTGAACAAGGTCATAACAACATTGAACAATGTCATAACAACATTGAACAATGTCATAACAACATTGAACAATGTCATACATTGTGCATTGTTGTACGATGTACACCTGCTGTACATTGTTTTGCTTAATGTTGTAGTCTTCAAGAACCTATGGATAATGTTACATGAACTACTGCTATACAAATAAAGACGGCCTGAGCCTTTCATTTTCAAATCACAAGTGGGGAAGCAGAAGAGCTCCTTTATTGACTGGACTTGGACAGAGAAAACAAAGCCCACTGGGAAGAGCCTTAACATACGTTTTTTTCTCAAAATTAAAATTATTCCTTTAATACACACTTATGCATTGTTTGTAAATTCCTCACTTAAAACAGTAAGTGGTGAAGAGTTTTTAAGTTTTTAAGTGATAGAACATATTCAACTATTTGAGAAAGTAATAAAGCTAATTGAATAGCATTACATAATGACATTTAAACATTATTCAAAAGCATTTCAAATAACCGAAGAGTTTCAAATGGAGTATTTTATTCACATGTTAGTTATCATTTTAACACACACACAAACACTGACACACTCTGGTTTGCGTGGAACAAGGGTGGTCTAAATATCCTAAAAGAAAATGAAAAATTAAAGTACATTAATTTTTCATTACTGTAGGCAATTACGTCCACATCACTTACAAAGCTATTACTGATATTGTCCAAGGAAGCAGAGTGGTACAGAGGAAGGAAACTTGAGGGTAAATTCATCAGTGACATAACAGATCTCAACATGAGAAAGCTGACAAAACATGAATTTTTGCTGTGAAATTTCTCTTTGCAAAATATGAAGAAAAGTCAATCAATGGGCAGTAAATAAGAGTAGGTGGTGAACTTTTGCTGTCAATTCTCCTCACAGTATCTTGCAGAGGCATCAAGAAAATTGCTTAGTCCTTCTCTGGGACCAATTTCAGAACTTTTCCAATTGCAATGGTCTTACCCTCATCTCTTAAAGTAAAACGACCCATCTGAGGAAAATCTTTGAACGTCTCGAGGCAGATGGTTCCTGCTGTCCTTAAACGAGCAATGCATACTTGATCTTGTTTCACGAAGCGGGGTCGTGTCTTACTTTTTTCTCCTGATTTTTTGTCTACCAAGGAGATTAACGCTGTTATCTCAACTTCCTCAATACAAGTATGAATGTGCAGCACCGCATTATAACCTGGGCAGATGATGGATTTGTGCTCAATAATCACTATCTGAACATCAAACGTGCGTCCAGAATGGCAGAGGTTACTAGGATCACAAAGTATGAATCCTGGAAGAATCTCTTCTTCTTCAATTCCCTTCAGTCTGATTTTGAGGTTTTCACCTGGGGCTACAAAATCAGTTTCAGTATCATCAGAAAGTATTCCAAGAACTTCTACATTGTGCTTGTTTGGCATCATCACGAGCTGCTGGCCTTTAAAAATGGACCCGGATTCCAGCTTTCCCAGGACCACAGTGCCCATATCTTTGTACTTATCCACAATTGGCAGTCTTATTGGTCCATCAATTGATCTGTTGAAGTTTGGCAAGTTATCCAAATACGGAATAAATGGTAATCCAGTGTACCAAGGGCAGAAATCTGACTGCTCTTTAATATTTGCTCCGGTCAGTCCTGAGCAGGGCATAAAGTGAATGTCCTTTTTTGGACTGAAGCCTACTTTTTTCAAAAAGGGCACCAGTTTTTCTTTACATTCTTCATATCTCTCGATGCTCCAATTTACTGTGGGATCATCCATCTTATTAATAAGCACTATTAAATGTTTTACCCCTGCCGTTTTTGCCAACATCGCATGTTCTCTTGTCTGTCCACCTTTTTCAAATCCAGTTTCAAACTCTCCTTTCCTGGCAGAGATGACCAGCACAGCCAAATCAGCTTGAGAAGCACCACCAATCATATTTGGGACAAAACTCTTGTGGCCAGGGGCATCTAAAATTGTGAAATGTTTCCTTTCTGTTTCAAAATAGGCACGACCCACTTCGACTGTTTTACCCTTGTCTCGTTCCTCCTGATTTGTATCTAAGGCCCAGGACAAATACCAGGTTTCTCTGTTTTTTTCCTTAGCTTCTCTTTCATATTTCTCCAGTGTTCTTTTGTCAACCATTCCAGTCAAAAACATTATCTGTCCTCCGATGGTTGACTTGCCAGCGTCTACATGGCCAATGAATACTACATTTACGTGTTCTTTCTTAGGTGCACCTGAGGGTACGATCACAGATTTGGATTTTCTTATTTCCTCTTTTTCCTCCATCATTTCCTGGCCACTTTCTTCTGGGGGCCCTGAATCTCCCGAGGAACCACCCCCAGGCTCGGCTTCACTTACTTCTTTACTGTGCTCCCATGATTCTTCTAGGGCCATTTCCACCTCTCCATTTTCTACAACAGGTTCTGAAAGTTCCATGGTAACGGCTGAATTGGAACCTTCAAGCGACACTAACGGTTCCTCTCGGGAAGGTTCCACAGGTGCCCCCCGTCCCATCCTTTTACCTTGAGGGTATCCCGCGCCGGTGCAGGTTTCATCGTTGCTGCCGGAGCCGGCCGGGAGGGTGGGCGGCTGAGTCGGGCCCCGCAGGAAGGACGGCACGAACTCCGCGGCGTGTACGTTAGGCACGAAGGGCTTGGCGTTGACGTTGAGCTTACGGCTGAAAGCCGAGCTGAGGGGCTCGCGCTGGGCCTCGGCCACCGCAGAGGAGACTCCATCCCCGCTCGGGGCCGACCCCGGGGATTCCATGTCCACCTGGTCCCAGCAATCGGGCGCCGAGTCGCTGCTGCTGCTGCCCGAATCCATGGTCTCGGAACTTGCTGTGTGGCAGTGAGGGAGCGGGCTCAACAGGCCAGAAGAGCGGGCTCCGCCGGCGGGGTTAAGGCAGCAAGAGCGAAGGGCCAAGGGGTAGCGACACGAACCTTAGCTGCACCGCGGAGGCAGCTAAGCGCCGATGCTGCATTCGCAACTGCGGCGGCAGCAGCAGATATGGCGGCTCAACACTCTCCTCTTGTGTGTGAGCGGATCTCCTCCCCCAAACCCCAACCACTTCCGACTCCTCCACCCCCGACCCAACGCCGGGCGTGGATTGACCCCTCGCTGCTATCCGTACGCTTGGCTTCCTTACTTCTTCTTAGCCACGGGCTAAGTCCAAAAGTATTATTTTTTAAAACGAAAATTTCCATTCACTTTTTTGTTCACACAGTCTGGCAGAGCAATTTGACCACAATCTGATGATTAAACCTAGACAGGAACACATGGTATACAATTCTACCAAAAGATTCAAGTAAAAGTGATCATTTCTATTGAACAAATGGGAGGCAAGATAAGGGTTAACTATACAGAAATTCAGAAACCCAGCAACTGAAGGGAGAGGCAAGGAATGGGTAGGGAGGGACTCATGAAATATATGAGTCTGTAGCCGAACTTAGGAAATGCAACTTAAGATCACTCATTAATTTGAAATCCACAGGCCTTTTGATTTTCCCTTTCCAGTGGGCCCCCATAAGCCTGTAACTTCTGCTGATGGCTTCTATAGTTTAAGGATAGGGTTACAACTTCTTTTCATGTTAAGCACCCTGGCTGTCTGAGGGGAGAGAATTTCCAAGGAGATCCTTGTTCCAGTGAAGCTTCCAGTCACTTCATATGCAGATGCCTGCACAATGGCTGGCCTGCCATTCAATGGTGGATCACGTAGACAAGCACAGGACTCAGATCACTCTTGTTTTACCAACCAACTGAATTCTGGGTTTATCTGCACTACTCCCCAGCACCTCCCTAGTACATCCTGCATCCACAGGCCTCGGGTTTTCCTGCTTCATTCCGGGGGGCCTGGAATCCTACTCACTGCACTGGCTTTGCTCTAAGAAACAATCAGTGTCATGTTGAACCCCTCTACAGTTTATGGTAATGAGACAGGGCTGTAGGTGTCAGCCTAATTAAACCAATTAAGACTTCTGAGATGAACAAAGACCTTAAGACCCTAATCAAAAGAATCTCACTCTCAGAAAGTGTTAACAGTTGAGTCAAAGCCTCAGCGACCTTGTTTGTAAATTAATTTAGTGCAAACTGACATAGAAAATACAAACTTATTCTCTGAATCTGTTTTTAGTCTTCATGTACTCAAATCTGTCACCTTTTGCTTTTATGAATTCAGGTTTTGTGACATACCTAGAAAGACTATTCAGTCCAAACAATCTGCTTAGTACAAGATGGTGTCACATAGATGGATTTATTTTTTTATTTTGAGACAAAGTTTCACTTTTGTTGCCCAGGCTGGAGTGCAGTGGCATGATCTCAGCTCACTGCAACTTCTGCCTCCTGGGTTCAAGCAATTCTCCTGCCTCAGCTTCCTGAGTAGCTGGGATTACAGGCGTCCGCCACCAAGCTCAGCTAATTTTTCTTAATATATATTTTTAGTAGAGACAGGGTTTCACCATGTTGGCCAGACTGGTCTTGAACTCCTGACCTCAGGTGATCCACCTGCCTCGGCCTCCCAAAGTGCTGGGATTACAGGCATGAGCCACCACGCCTGGCCTCATAGTTGGATATTTAAATCCAACAACAAAGCAAAATATTATAAAACCAAGTACCTGATTATAACTTGAGAATTGTGTTCTCCAGACTTTAGGGGTAGGAAAAAAGACAGACTTGGACCCTTGATGTTTTCACTCTGGGGCTGCCACTATTATACTAGCTCTGTACTGTTTCCACACCTTCATTCTTTTTGCCTCCGGTTATGGATTAATTATTTACAGTGACATAAAGAGAATGTGCACACCTATTCACAATAAACAGGAAGAACTGAGAGGTAGAATGTGCAGAGAGACCCTCCACACAAGTGCTGGAGCCTTCTTGGACATTGTGTGAACCTAGAATGGACATTTCTGGGAGAACCTGTCAAGGTTTTGGCAGCCGTGTTCACATAAGGTAATTCATGCAAGGAAGCAGGAGACATCTGGGATTTTTCCTTCACCTGGGTCGAATGCATTGGTCATGAACATATTGGTATGACTGCTACTTAGTGATATCTCAGAGAACAGAGGATACTTCACTGTTAGAACGATAAAGGAGAAGTCAGAAATAGTCTGTGAATGTCCTCATAATCCATCATTCATGAGGTTCCAGGGGAGGCAGTTCAACGCAAGAGAGAGAAGCACTGACCAGATTGTGTCCAGAGAGATTGGCCTTGGACAAAAATCTTTTGGTTTGTGTGATGGGATGCTTGTCTCCAGTCTTTCTGCCTAAGAGTTCATCAGTAAATGAGAGAATTTTCCTCACCAAAGAGGAAAATTTAAAAAAGAGTGTAGGTGATATCCAACCATTGCTTAATTCAATCTTTTTCCTCCTTTAAAAATCTTTTTTATTGTAAAATATAGCACAAACACAGAAAGTCACATTAAAAATTATAGGTTATTGACTTATGAGAAAGGAAACACACTTGTAACAACCATCCAAGTCAAGAGAAATTTGCCAGCCAGCCCAGAAGGCTTCCTTGTGCCCTGTTCAATCACAAATGACTTCCTCCACCTCTCAATGTAACTGCTATTGTGACATTTATGGTAATAACCTATACGATTTTCCGTATAGTTTTATTACACAAATGTGTACACTCAGACACTACAGTTCAATTTGGCCTGCTTTTTTGATATTTCTTTTAAGTCTTTTTTATCTCTGGATACCCAACCTATCTTCCCCTTTTTCATGTCATTTATTTATTGAGGAAAGTGGATGATGTGACTGGTAGAGAGGTTTTTTTGTTTGTTTTTTTGTTTTTTTACATTCTCAGCTTTGCTGACTGTATGTCTATGGTAGAGTTTAGAATATTCCTTTGTTCTCTGTATTTCCTGTTTATCAATAATTAAATCTATGAGCTTGATCAGATTCAGGTGCAATTTTTTAACAAGAATACTTCAAGGGAATTTTGATTATTTCCATCAAGAGGCACATGAGGTCGGGTTGTGACTCTTTTTACAGTTAGCCACAATTATTGATACTTGTTTAGAGACATATCATTAGAGGTTGCAAAATTGTGATATTGCACTTCTGTCATTCTTTCTGTTTTTATTAACTGGAGTGCTGTTCCAAAAAATTTACCTTCAACAGTTTTGTTACTTTCAGATATAGATTGCAAAGGAAATGCAGGAAAAGTGCTTGATTCTTTCGTGTTATTTAGGAGCTTTAAAAAATAATGAGTTGGTTCCCTAGAATCCTACACACATGACAAATAAGGATTTTAAAAGGGATAATTGTGAATTATTGGATTTACATATATTTGAGGCATTTTGATAAATTTTGCTTACTATACTTATTGATGATCATTTGCCAGTGCCTCTTCTGGTTGAGTTCTGAACACTTTTGAGACTATGCTAGTAGTCCTTGATGGTTTATTTATTATATGGTTTGACAAGATGTACCAGACCAATTATACAAATGTTTGCCAAACCAGGAATACTGGTTCTCAATGATAACATGGAAAGATAGATAGAATTAGAAAATAAAATAATTACTCATTTGATTTATCCCACCTACACATATAGTTGTCTCAGTACCACCACCATCAATATGATTTAAAATAAACAGATTTTTTCTTTGCATAAATGCTCTCTCTATTCTCTGCCTGTATTTCATAGTTGAATTGTATCTATCTGATAGTCAATTTTATTGAGTGCTTCCTAAGCGTAGATCATATTTCAATTATTTTATATGGATTCTCTCATTTAATTTTCCCTATCATCCTTTGAAGAAGGTAATCTTATCACTGTTTTACAGATAAGAAAATAACATTCAGAGAGGCCAGGGATTACTCAACGTCACATAGCTAGTAAATAGCGGACTTGGAGTTCAAACACAGACAATATGATTCTAAGACCACACTGGCTTGTATCATCTATTATATATATATATAAAGAAAGGAATAGGGAGATTTGGCAGAGTTAAATCACAAATAGAGGAAGAAGGTTAAATCTTAGATTATCTGGAAAGAATGGAAATATAATAAATTTAAGAGAGAAAGGATAATTCACTGTAGTTCTTTCATGAGGATTTGTGTTTCTTTCCTGAAGTAGGAGACTGGAAATTGTGAAGGAAGACTAAAATAAGAAAAATGATGAATAGGGGAAGATTTATAATAGGCCCTTATGGTATGGGGGAGGTGGCTGATTTGGGAGTAATAAAATTATTTTTTAAAGAATTTAGGTAAACCAAAACAGCACTAGACTGGAGGACATAATATGTTTAGGTTTTGAGATTCCTCTCTTTCCCCATCTTACATCTAGCATCACTGAGCAACTTGGGGCACAAGCAGAGTCTTAAGTTTCATCCAGGTTTAGGTAACAGTGGTGTATGGTAGGCTGAAAGGAGGAGAACAGAAAAATATTGAGGAGCTAGTGAACATAGAGTTAAGAACACTGTGCCTTATATTGGTTCTCTTGGCGTATGTTCCAGCCCCATTCACAAATAAGCTTCTCTGTGCTGAGATGGCTAGAAAGCTTAAGCCTCCATTTCCTAGAGTTTTGCTGCTGGGATTCCAAATGTGTTTTACCTTCTGTCAATCTGATGCACCTTAGACAGATTCCACTTAAAGCCAATCTAAGTGTAGAGAAATGTGAGGTAAGGCAAGCATAACTTGGAGGTATAGACCTAGCTGGGAAAAATATCTCCCTTGGGCCAACACTTCTGGTGGAGTTTCCTGTTTCCAGGAGATCAACTAAGGTACTGTTTGCCAAGAACCTGCAGTTGCAGTGGAAGCCTCCTGATTCCCCAACTCTTCAACTGTGAAAGAGGCGGCAGCCCTACTTGAGAGTCAACTGTGCTGTATGATTGTGGTAATTATTCTGAGAGGTCGGGAAAAAACAAAACAAAACAAAACAAAACAACCTGTTGCTCTGAACCCTAGAAGTATACTATTTATAAACCCCTAACTCCCCATGTTAGTCCCTGTGCTAATTAACAGAGTACATTCTGTTAACATCAACCAAACACTGACTTGTACAAGTGTCACATGGCTGGGGTTCAAATGCAAGACTTACCATATGTAATCTTGTGTTTTGTTTAATTTTCTTAACCACTATCTGCCTCAATTTTCTGATCTAAGAGGTGAACCCACATTCATAGGTATGGCCCTGGGGTGCTAGATGCAAGGATGTGTGGAAGCTACAAAGAACCACAGAGATGGGAATTATATGTCACTTAAGAAACTTCATCATTTTCAAATACCAGTACCTACCACTACCACAGGAAAGTATGGGACAGAAATCTTAGCTAGGGCTGAAATGTCTGATATCCAAGCATGAGAATACCTTACCCAAATACAGCTCAAGTTTGAGGTTAAAAGGGAAAAATTGTATCTCCATTGTATTACTCTGTTCTCATGCTGCTAATAAAGACATGCCCAAAACTGGGTACTTTATAAAGGAAAGAAGTTTAATTGACTCACAGTTCTACACGCCTGGGGAGGCCTCACAATTATGGCAGAAGGTGAAGGGAAAGCAAGACACGTCTTACATGGTGGCAGGCAAGAGAAACAGCATGTGTAGTGAAAGTGCCCTTTATAAAACCATCAGCTCTTGTGAGATTTATTCACCATCACGAGAACAGCATGGGAAGATCCCACCCCCATGATTCAATTACCTCCTACTGGGTCCCTCCCATGACACATGGAGATTATTATAATTCAAGATGAGATTTGGGTGGGGACACAGAGCCAAACCATATTATCCATTCTGAGGCAGTCCCCAATTCTTGCAATGCCCACACCTTGATCTTGGACTTTCAGCTTCCAGAACTGTGAAAAACAAATTTTTGCTCTTTATAAATTATGTGGTCTCAGGTATTTTGTTATAGTAGTACTAATGGACTAAGTCACCAAGTAAACATGTGCATATATGTCTTACACATCCCAGAATTTGCATACAATAACACAGGAGAGCAAACTCCTAGATCCATGTTAGCAATCAGAAAATTGAAGTTTGAGGGAAAAAAAGGCTGGTCACAAAATATTCTTTGATGTGGCCAAGGCCCAAACACTTATTAGTCCTCAAAATGCACACCCATAATGGAAAATAAAAAACATAGAGATTAAGAAGCAGAGAAGAGGAACTTGGTGATTTATTGACAAACTACAATCATAGGAGCTCTGGTACTACAGTAAAGAGGAAGTATGTTAGGGAACAAGCTAATTTGAGCTGTACAAGTCGCTGGGAAGTAGAGCAATAGCAGGTGACTGCATAGACTAGCATAGAGCAAACAGCGTGAATGATAATTAATGGTAATGTGAAGAAATGAATTTTGCAAGCCAAAAGATAATCAAATCTATGAGCCTAGTGGAGGTCACTTGTTCCCTAATAAGTAGGAAGATCCAGTAAAGGAGAGTGAGTCTTAGTTTTTCTGTCTCCAAATGCAGTAATACCTGAATAATGCCAAAGACAGCAAAGTGGTAATGTCAGTTTTAAACATCTGGTGGAAGGACCAGAACAGTAATGTTATAATAAAACAATCAAGTATGATGTCGACATACCTCACTAAGTCATTTGATATACTTTGAACACACATTTGCTAAGCACCTGCTTTGTGACTGCCCCTGTGTTCTAGTAGGCAGATTCAGATGGGAAGTTTGCATCATGTGGGGAAAATTTTAGTGTCAATAAAAATAATAACTGACATGCATTCAAATACAATTGAATTTTGAGTGCATAGTTAGCTCTAAAGGAAAATATCATTTCCTCCATCATAAAATTCTAGGTCTTGAAAATTGCTAAGAGAATAGGTTATGGCTGGGCGTGGTGGCTCATGCCTATAATCCCAACACTTTGGGAGGCCGACGCGGGCAGATCACTTGAGGTCAGGAGTTCAAGACAAGCCTGGCTAACATAGTGAAACCCCGTCTCTACTAAAAATACAAAAATTAGCCAGCATGGCAGCATGCGCCTGTAATCTCAGCTACTCAGGAGGCTGAGGTAGGAGAAACACTTGAACCCGGGAAGCAGAGGTTGCAGTGAGCTGAGATCGCACCACTGCACTCCAGCCTGGGCGACACAGCAAGACTCCATCTCAAAAAAAAAAAAAAAAAAAAGACAATAGATTATAAGTATTTTCACCACAAAAAAATGATAAGTAGTGAGGTAATTCGTATGTTAATTAGCCCAATTTAGCCATTCCACAATGAATACATAATTAAAACAACATGTTGTACACAATACAACTTTTATTAGGCAATTAAAAATAAAGAAAAATATCTAAAAAATATTAGATGCTAGGGAATAAATTCATTATTTTGAAACTGGGTAAACAGAGGCAAAAATTGAAACAGTTAACTGTGTTTGGCATATAAACTATAATACTTGATTACCAAGTAGGGGATGAGAGAAGTTTCTTATCAGAGAAGATTTCTGTCTAACAAAGAAGGATAGACAGAAGTTAATAATCTTCACAGTAAGCCTCAAATGACACAAGTGATCTAGGCAATGACCACCAATATCTGCTCCCATTGCAAAGGACAGACAATCATTCACTATGCATCCCCTGATGGATTTATGCAACTCTGCCTCTGAGGTATTTTTGCTAAAATATCAAGCTAAATATGATGGAGACTCTAGATCTAACTCTGAATTTACTGGAAAGATAGGAAACAGGAGTGCGTTAAACAATGTCAATGAAAAGAAATCAGCAAAACCCAGCATGTGGGAGACATTATAGAATAAAGGACTCATTTCTCAAAAGAAAGAGAGGGAGAGAGTGGATTTTACCAAAGATTAACAGACATAACAACCAGTTACAATGCGTGAGACTAAATGGGGTCTGGAGTTGAAAAACTCAAAGGAAAAAATTAGCCTTTATGACACAATAAGAGAAATATTATCTGTGAATAAATATTGAAGATATTTGGCACTTCTTCATTATTGTTTAGGCATGATAATGGCATACATTATATTTTTAAGTAGTGTTTTTAAGTTGTCTTTTTCTCTGACAGATATATTCAGCAGTATATATGGGTTAACTGATAGGATGTCTGGAATTTCCATGAAGCTAAGCTGGAGGGGTGGGGGAAGTTAGTGGGTATAGATGAATAAGATTGACCAAGAGTTTATGACTGTTGAAGTGGAGCGTGATCTATATGTAGGTTCTTTATCACATAATAGCTTGTCATGTGTCTGCTTGACAGTGTTTAAAACAGAATGTTTTTTTAAAATGTCCAAAGCCATCACAATATAGACTGCTGAAATCAGAGTTTCTGGATATGGAGCCAGAGCATTAGTATTTCTAAAACTACCTTCAAATGAGTTTAAATTAAAGTTTAAAGCCAATGATCAACCTGGCCTCATTCTTTTAATTTCTGTGATAAGAAGGTTGAAAGTACACGTGTCCTGATTCAGCTGCTCAGAGACCCACAAAACATCAAGGCTTCCATACTGCTTCACCATTTTCAACAAGTTGACTCTATTGATTTCATGCTTGTCATAGCATGGCTCCAGGCATCTCTGTTACATTCCAAGTATCACCATTCTCTTCTTTCACATCTGTCCTTTTTAAGAAACAGTCTTTTTCTACAGAAGCCTCCCAGACACTCCCTGTACACCTCACTGGGCAGAACTGGGTCCCATATCCACTACTAGCTGCAAGGGAGGTTGAAAACCATCATTGGACAAAGGGGATTGTGATATCCATGATTAGAAGAATCTTAAGGGGGCCCCCCATGATTGGACAGATTGCTTCCTTGAACAAAATCAGTGTTTTTACCACCTGATATTGGTGGGAAAGGCTATTGGGTCAGCAATCAACAAAGCCAGTGAGAGAGGAGTAGAACTCCTAGAATCAAAAACACAGTCAGGAGCAAGGATTGAATATGGACTGAAGGGAATAAATTCATAGTAATTGAGCCACATACTGTGTTCAGGCAACCTTTTTTTTTAACCTGCTACATTGTTCAGTACTCACAACAGTTCTGCAAAGCAAGAATTTGGCATTATATCCATGTTATGTATGAGGGACTAGGAGCTCAAATAGGAGGGGCCACGTGGTTTACTCAGCATTCTGATTGGTGACTTCATGGGATATTAGTTTTTCCCTGTGCCACTGGTCATAACCACTTCTGAAGATTCCCAAAATCACCATGGGACACATCAACAGAGGAAGGGAAAGAGGTCTGTTGTTTGCTCAGCACAGTGTGAGGCATATTTCATGTAATGATTTGAACATATGTGACACGTATATTCTGTCTCTGGATAATGGAGTCCAGACAGTGTCCATCACACAGTGCTGGTATTGGTATTAGTTGCCATAGGTATTAGCTACCATGTTCACCATTATTTGTCCTTGCCCCTTCTATGCAGGTGGTGTATCTGTGATGTCTCAGGAACAAACTTTACACGTATGTGTGATTCCTGTTTGGCCTTTCCCTCTCCTTCTATTCTTCTGTTTCCAGTACTCAGTTAAACTCAAATATTGAGTTCTTAGTTTCAGGTTTAAAATTTTCATTTCTCCATGTTTCAGTGTATCCATTTGATTGATGTCTTAGTCCATTCGGTATAGCAGAATATCTGAGACTGGGTAATTTATAAAGAAAAGAGGCTTACTTAGCTCATGTCTCTGCAGGCTGGGAAGCTCAAGGGGCATGGTGCTGGAATCTGCTTGGCTTCTGGTGTGGGCTTTTATACTGTGTCATATCATAGGGAAGGTCAAAGGGGATGTCCTGGACACAAAATAAGTTCTCTGATGCCTGGGGACTTCTGAGAAATCTGTTGAGACTTTTAAGTGATGTCTGCTGAGCTTCTTAGTCACATGTTTTCTGTAGCTTAAGTGTGGACAAATGCCTTTAGGAAGAAAACCACCCCATATTGGTCTCACTTTTGTCTGCTTTTCTTTTTCCTGAGATCTTGACTTCTCAAATATTCACAAGTTTGGTTGTCTGAACTCTAAGTTTTGTTTCCATAGCCCCGTGAGTTTCCTGAAGAGCTGATGTCTTCTCTACCTCTTAGCTAATGTTTTGCATATGGAATGATGTCCTCTCACACAGGCAGTTTGGGATTCAGCAAATTATCTGAGGGAAAAAGCAGCACAAGATAGTTGAATTCCCCTCAGTGAGTTTCTCTAACCTCCAGATTCTTCCACTCTGATGTCCTGGACACAAAATAAGTTCTCTGATGCCTTCAAGTAAAATTTTCTTTTCTTTTCTTTTTATTTTTTTAGAGACAGAGCCTCTTTCTGTCACCCAGGCTGGAGCGCAGTGGTGCCATCTAAGCTCACTGCAACGTCCACCTCCTGGGTTCAAGTGATTCTCCTGTCTCAGCCTCCGGAGTAGCTGGGATTACAGGTGCCTGCCACCACTCCCAGCTAATTTTTTGTATTTTTAGTAGAGACAGGGTTTCACCATGTTGGCCAGGCTGCTCTCAAACTCCTGACCTCAAATGATCTTCCCGCCTTGGCCTCCCAAAGTGCTGGGATGACAGGCACGAGCCACCACACCTGGCCCATTTTTTTCTTTCATCGAGCTTTTTTACTTTTTCCCTGTAGTGAGTAGGATTGTAACAAGTTATTTCATCACAGTCGTGACTGGATGTGAAAGTGGCCCACACATAATTTTTTCTATTTCAAAAAAATAAATATTCAGTTAATCAACCAATCAGCAGCAGCTGCAACGGGTATTCATGGCCTGGTGGGCAGAATAACCCACTCTGCATCCCAAAATGAAGGAAACAGCATGTCTTATTTCCCTGCAGCTACAGCTAATCCCCAGAGGGCCAACTCACCCAGTGACCTTCACAGGCTGATTACAGGTGGGTGGTTCCACATGCACAGGTGATGCCAACAAGCCTCATTTCCTCTGGGCCCTCCCTTCAGTGGCAGAAAGTAATCCAAGGCCATTGTCTCCCTAGTCTTCATCCAAGGGAAAAGAACCGTCCAGACATAGTGAGACCTGACAGTTCCCTCCTGACCCCCTCTGGGCCTTGTGATGGAGTGTGGGGGTGGGGTGGCTCATTTTGCTCTGCCTCCAAGCTCAAACCTCTTGTAGTAGGGGGGAGAGCACATAGGCAAGCGGGTGCCAGGCTGGGGTGAGCACTTTTGAGCCCTGGCCCCGTGGCAGTGACTAGGGGTGTGTTACAATTAATGCTCTTTTAGCGGTTGCCGTCTGTGGATGGCTAAATGTTAACCAGCTCAGTGGGGAGTCAGGGTGACAGTCTGTTACACCCTGCCCTCTTTGTACCTGGGTATTTCTACAGTGTCCAGGAAGAATCAGGTCACAGGGACTTCAAGGAAGGTGAACGTGGAGACTTTATTAAGCGGTGGAAGTGGCTCTCAGCTGAAGGGGAGCTGAGAAGGTGATCTCCCCTGAAGCCTGGTCATCTCCGGGCTCCTCCCCAAAGTCCTGCCATCTGAAGTCAAGCCACATCTATTGTAGTCTCTGATGCTCAGTTGCCTCTTCTCCTCTAGACATTCGGCCCCTTGTTCTCTTCTCTCCTTCTCTGCTGCACTGCTCTGCTCTTCTGCCAGTGGAGTTTGGGGTTTTAATGGGTACAGGATAGGGGGCATGGCGAGCAAGGGTGGTTTTGGAAAAAGCAGCATTCGGGCGGGAAAACAGGGATAACCGTTCTCATTTAGGGCTGCGGTTTCCAGGCTTGAGGGTGGGGCCTTTGCTGGGGAACCGCCATCTTCTACCCAGTATTTCTCTGCCTCCTGTCTGTATCAATAGACTTGGCAGCAGAAGATCCAGGCCAGGTTATCTGTGGCCCTTCCACCCAATAGCAGAAAGCAACTAGGCCTGGCATTTTCCAGACATCTATTCTGCAACAGAAGGTGAACCAGTTGCAGAATCTCCCGACGCTTCCCCCAGTGGAAGAGAGATATCCAACGCTTCCCCCAGTAGAAGAGAGCCAGGTCTGTAGCTCCTGGCCCTCCAACCAGCAGCAGCAGATGGCCCAGGTACATACTTCCCTCTCCTGGGGAAACTGGTCGATATTGATTAGGAAGGCCAGTGGTACTAGATGACTGAAAAAGAGACCAGGGAAATAATCTATATTCTATGGATCCTGAATCCCACACCTCTTACATAATGTCACTGGGTGGCCCAGGAAAGCACCTTCTGCCTCTATAGGCAGCTCCCACAGCAATTCATCGGGAACTCAAGTGGGGTTAGTAAAACAATGAAGCCCAGAACTGCATTGAAAAGGCTCATTAAACGAAATGCCATTGGAACTACAGCCCATGAAAATATGCCAGAACCAACAGGCCAAACCTTAACAGAGCAACTTCGTGCAAAAATAGAAGCTATGAAAGGATTAAGGATCTCTTTGCAATATACAGGACACAATAAAAAAATCATTCATCATACCTAGAACTGGGAAATCACAACTCAAACAAGAAAAGTCAATCAACTGACACCAACAGAAATGAGTCAGATTTTGGGAGTATCACACAAAGATTTTAAAGTAGCCAATGTAAAATTACTTGAAGAAGTAAGTCTGGATTACCGTGAAGTAAATGAAAACAAGAAAATCCCTGGCAAGTTATAGAAATTATAGGAAAGGACCAAATGGAAATTATAAAACTAAAAAATATGATAAACAAAATTAATAACTTGCTGGACAGGCTCTACAGTAGAATGGAGATGATGGAAGATATAATCAGTGAACCTGATTATATCTGTGTTTCCCTGTTTTATATTTTATATAATCAGTGAACCTGATTATATCTTGTTTTTCCCTGTTTTTAGATTGAGTATATCCTATTAATCTGTATATAAGTACTGTACTCATGTACAGTAATGCAGCATAATCTGTACATTAGTACAGATTAATAGGATATACTCAATCTGAAAACAGGGAAAAACAAGTAAACAAAAATGGACAGAACTGTGGGATTAAAACAAAAGATCAAACATTTGAATCACCAGAGCTTCAGAAAGAGAGAATAAGTATTTGGGAGCTAAAGACAATACTCAAGTATTGCTGAGGAAACGGGAAGCTATTCTGACATGTAATGTGCTTGGAATTTGTCACACTCATCCTTCAAACAGAATAAAATTGGACAAAATTAAAAATCAATAATTTTTCTAGGTCCCAGCAGACAACCGAGTTGTCAGGACAAACCACCATCCTGAAATTTGAGAAGCAGGTGAATCCAGAGAGTCACAGCTAAGTAGATCTCAGCTAAGTAGATCACAGCTAAGATCCACTTAACAGGAACAGAAACTGGTTGAACCATAGCTGGTAGAAAATTTAAACTGTAATTTTGACAAATAGCTTGAGGTTGAGTGTGGATTAGTATGAGGGTGAATTAACTTTGGAGAGCTGCATTCTTGGAGATGCAGGATCCACACTATCATGGTCTTACCACTAGGAATCCCACCAGGTTCTGACAGTGATTTCAGAATGATACCTTTATGGTTTTGACAGGAAAGAATAGTCATTCTGGAATATGCCCAGAGCCTTTATCCCAGGCATTTGAGGCAAAGCAATTTTGGTTGAATAAGGGCTGGGTAAAAAAAGGCTGAGACCTACTGGGCTGCACTCCCAGTAAGTTAAGGCATTCTTAGTCACAGGATGAGATAGAGGTTGGCACAAGATACAGGTCTTAAAGACCTTGCTGATAAAACAGGTTGCAGTGAAGAAGCCAGCTAAAACCCACCAAAACCAAGATGGTGATGAGCGTGACCTCCGGTTGTCCTCACTGCTACACTCCCACCAGTGCCATAACAGTTTACAATGTCAGGAAGTTACCCTATATGATCTAAAAGGGGGAGCCATGAATAATCCACTCCTTGTTTACCATGTAATCAAGAAATAGCCATAAAAATTGGCAACACGCAGCCCTTGGGGCTGCTCTGCCTTTGGAGTAGCCATTCTTTTATTTCTTTACGGTTTGTTTGTTTGTTTTGAGAGAGAGTCGCCCAGGCTAGAGTGCAGTGGTGACTTCTAAGCTCACTGCAATGTCCACCTCCTGGGTTCAAGTGATTCTCCTGTCTCAGCCTCTCAAATAGCTGGGATTACAGGCGCCTGCCACCACGCCCGGCTAATTTTTTGTATTTTTAATGGAGATGGGGTTTCGCCATGTTGGCCAGGCTGGTCTTGAACTCCTGACCTCAGGTGATCCGCCCACCTCAGCCTCCCAAAGTGTTGGGATTACAGGTGTGAGCCACTGTGCCCAGACTTCTTTACTTTTTAAATAAACTTGCTTTCACTTTACTATATAGACTGTCCCCTAATTCTTTCTTGCATGAGATACAAGAACCTTCTCTTGTGGTCTGGATTGGGATCCCTTTCCAGTAACACCTTCTCCATAATAAAGGCTAAGTGTTCGTGGGGAATACTTTACAGAGCCTTGTCCAGAGCCATGGGGGAGGATATTGTTACTCAAACGGCCTCTAGCTTTACATTCTCACCTAAGGAGTGAATGAAGATATACCAGAAGACACTTGTGGGCCAGGTGTGGTGGCTCATGCCTGTAATCCCAGCACTTTGGGAGGCTGAGGCAGGAGGATCACTTAAGGCCAGGAGTTTGAGACCAGCCTGGGCAACATAGCGAAAGCCTGTCTCTGCAAAAAATACAGAAGAATTAGCTGGGCATGATGGCACACGCCTGTAGTCTCAGCTACTCCTTGGGAAGCTGAGGTGGGAGGATCACTTCGGTCCGGGAGGTTGAGGCTGCAGTGAACTGTGATCGCGCCACTGCACTCCAGCCTGGATGACAGAATGAGACCCTATCTCAAAAAAGAAGAAAAGAAAAGAAAAGAAAAGAAAAGAAAAGAAAAGAGAAGAAAAGAAAAAAACAAAAACAGAAGCCAGAGAAATAGGCTCACTAAAGCCACTGAGATTTAAATGGGATATTACAGAATGCCCTCTTTCCCCCCACATCTTTCCAACACAAGGCATCAGTAAAATAATATTAAATTATAGCTGAAAGAACTGCAACATAGAAAACTCTCTCAGAGAGGGAATACTTAGAGAAGCCCATAGTGCAAACAGGATACAAAAACAACTACACTGGAGGAAATTGCAGCCTTTGAATCCTAGTGCTACAGCAAACTTTAAACAAAGCCTAACTCCTAACCATATTAACATAAGTAAGATTATGCAAACTTCATAAGTAAGGTTATGCAAACACTTCATGCCAAATCTTTAAATAACAAAGATGGTGGTTACATATGTATATTGTAATACCTAGAGCAACCACTAAAAAAAGGTACAAGGTGAGCATAACAGGGTGACACAGTCAAAAATGATTTAATTGTACATTTAAAAATCAGTAAAACAGTATAATTGAATTGTTTGTAGCGTAAAGGACAAATGCTTGATGTGATGGGTATCCCATTAACCCTGATGTGATTACTATGTTTTGCATGCCTGTATCAAAATATCTCATGTAACCCATAAATAAATACACCTACTATGTATCCACAAAAATTTAAGAACAAGTGTGTTCAAAAAAATATACAAGGCGATATGCTCAAAAGTATTGCAGAACAGTGAAAATTGAATTTTAAAACATATTCGACTAGACCAAACAAATGCAAACAAAGAAACACAGGAATGAGAAACACAGGGAACAGAAAACAAATAATAAAATGGCAGACTGAGACCCTACCATATCAATATTTACTTTAAATGTAAATTGCCTAAATACACCAATTAAAGGCAGAGATTGGCAGAGTTAATTAATTAATTAATTACTTTTTTTTTTTTTGAGATGGAGTCTCTCTCTGTTGCCCAGGCTGGAGTGCAGTGGTGTGATCTTGGCTCACTGCAACCTCCACGTCTCGGGTTCAAGCGATTCTCCTGCCTCAGCCTCCTGAGTAGCTGGGACTACAGGCGCCCGCCACCACGCCTGCTAATTTTTTTTTTTTTGTATTTTTAGTAGAGACGGGGTTTCACCATCTCGACCAGGCTTGTCTTGAACTCCTGACCTCGTGATCCACCCACCTCGGCCTCCCAAACTGCTGGGATTACAGGCTTGAGCCACCGCGCCCGGCCAAGTGCAGATAATTTTTTAAAAGTGATTCACAATCTTAAAATCTAACCAGAATGAATTACGATTAGAATGCAATAAAACAGACAAAGAAGGGCACATTTTATTGCAAAAGAGTACAATTTCCAAGGGAGATATAACACTTATGATTACTGTGCACCAGCAACATATCACCAACATTCCTAAAGAAAAAGATACAGAACACTCAAGGAAAAACAGACACAAATTAGCAATACAGGATTTTAAATAGGCCCTCTCAGATCAAAGGGACGCAATTAATAAGAACATAGAACTACATAAATAACAAATAAGATAGGTCTGACTGCTCCATATTGTAATCTGCACCTGCACCAAGATCTCAGGCTTTAACTCTCATAAATGGGAAGTAGGTCATAAGGGCCAATGTTCCGGCAATAGTAACCGAACAAAGCCTGGGTGAAATCATGTTTAAAAATTCAAAAACAGGCTAGGCACGGTGGCTCACACCTGTAATCCCAGCACTTTGGGAGACCCAGGCAGGTGGATCACGAGGTCAGGAGTTCAAGACCAGCTTGGCCAAGATGGTGAAACCCGTCTCTACTAAAAATATGAAAATTAGTTGGGCATGGTGGCGGGCACCTATAATCCCAGCTACTCAGGAGGCTGAGGCAGAGAATTGCTTGAACCCGGGAGGTGGAGGTTGCAGTGAGCCAAGATTGTGCCACTGCACTCCAGCCTGGGCAACAGGCTCAAAAAAAAAAAAAAATTCAAAAACAAATACAGTACTCAGAGGACAGTGAGGATCTCTTAAGGGAAGGCAGGACCTGCAGATTAAACCTAGGACTTCAAACTGCTTTTACTCAGAATGCCTACCTGAAAAGAAACAGCTGTAAAACTAAGCTGTGCTTTGGTGACACCGCTAGAGATGAAAGCCATATCTCAGAGCTGACCAAAGGTGGTGATGTTGGTAAACCACCTCCTCACTTTTAGCTGAGACCCCAATGGCCATCACTTTTTGAGTCAGGAGGAGGAAATCATAAGTAAATCAGCTGTCACTTGTAGCCTGACTTTGCATCACCTGTGTGCAAATTATAAAATACATTAAACTGGATGGCAATGCAAATATCACAGATAGAGCTAGGGAATACAGTTAACCTAGGTGGAAACATATATCCTTAAAGGCATATAATTGTAAAGGAAGAACAGCTGAAAATTACTTAATCATCCATCTAGAGAAATTACAAAAATAACAACAAAATAAACACAAAGAAATACAAAGAATCATTAAAGACAGAAATAAATGAGAAAGAAACCAAATACTCAATACAGAGTTTTAACAAAGGGCTTCATCAGTCCTTCAAAAGTCTGTAAAAACTCAGCTGGGTGCAGTGGCTCACTCCTGTAATCCCAGTTCTTTGGGAGGCTGAGGCAGGCAGATCACTTGAGCACAGTTCAACATGGTGAAACCCCATCTCTGGTCAACCTGGTGAAACCCCATCTCTACTAAAAATACAAAAATTAGCCAGGTGTGGTGGTACATGCCTGTTGTCCCAGCTACATGGGAGGGTAAGATAGGAAAATCGCTTGTACTCCAGAAGCGGATGTTGCAGCGAGCTGAGATTGCGCCACTGCATTCCAGCCTGGGCAACAGGGCAAGACTCTGTCTCAAAAGCAAGAAGCAAAAAACAAAAAGTCTATAAAACTCATAAACCACGGGTGAGACTTGTGAAGATAAAAGAAATAAACACACAAATTGGTAATATCAGGAATCAAAACTGGGAGGCACACCGTTAGAGACCATCATGCCAATAAATCAAAAACTTAGAGGAATTGGACAAACGGTAAAATATTTAAAATACTGAAACTGAGAGAAGATGTAAAAACATGATTTGAAATGTAAATGTGAAATAGATGCAATCAGTAATTAAACAATTTTGACAAAAAATCTCTAGTCCCAGATGGTTCTGTCAATGTTTATGTGAGAGATCACTCCAATACTGCACAAGTTTTTCAGAGAATAGAGCTAGTGAGTACAATACCCCTTGTGTTTTACTAAGCGAACCTTGACATGGAAACTAGACAAGGATAATTTGAGAATGGCAAATTTCAAAGCAATTTGTCTCAGAAAAACATATGAAAATATCACATACAACTTACTTGTTAAAAAGGCTAGCAATATCTTTTAAAAAGATACTGTAAAAGCCAGAAGTCCTTTTTTAAAAAAAAGATAGTATATGATATGGTTTGGATGTGTGTCCCCATCCAAATCTCATGTTCAGTTCTAATCCATTGTGTGAAGATGGGGCCTGGTGGGAGGTGACTGGATTGTGGGGACCGAGTTCTCATAAATGGTGTAGCACCATCCCCTTGGTGCTTTTCTCCTGATAGTGAGTTATCAGGAGACCTGGTCCTTTAAGTGTGTAGCACCACCTCCTAATCTGTCTTCCTCCTGCTCCAGCCTTGTATAGAGGTGCCTGCTTCCTCTTGGCCTTGGGACATGATTGTAAGTTTTCTGAGGCGTCCCCAGAAACAGAAGCCCCTATGCTTCTTGTGCAGCCTGTAAAACCATGAGCCAGTTAAACCTCTTTCTTTTATAAATTACCCAGTCTCAGGTATTTCTTTATAGCAGTGTGAGAACAGACTAATACGCTATATTATGACCAAGTTATATTTATTCTAGCAAAGCAAGGTTGGTTTAACATTAGAAAAGAAATGAATGTAATTCACCACTTGAACAGATTAAAGGGAAGAACTAAACTAAATGTGACCACCTCAATAGATACAAGAAAATAATTTGGTAAAAGTCATCATTCATTCATGATGAAACAACCTGTGGAAAAGACGGAATCTATGAGCCTCTCCGAGAGAGTTTCAGATGCAGTGTTGCAGTTGACAGTCTTTGGAGGTATGTCACAACACCGGAATTCCTACTAGGAAGAGGTAATAAGTTTAAGTGCATGAAGACTAGAAGAAGATACTGCAAGCTAAATCCACCTAAAGTAAAGATAAAATTCAAGAAGCAAAGTTGAAAAGTGCTTGCCAATCATATCGCAGACAAAGGGTGGATTTCCCTAATAAGTAAATACCATCAGTGGATTCATTTTTTGAAAAAAGGAACTAAGCCTACTCTATTGTCATTGATAACGCTAGCTGCTGTAACAGATGAACTCCAACCTCTTAGTGGCCTAACACTATGAACATTTTTCTTGCCTACATTTTTCCAAAAGGAAACAGGACTGGGGAGGGTTGGCTCTTCTTTTTGAAAACAATCTAGGACCAGGCTGACAGAAGCTCTGCCATCTTCAACACCTGGCTCTATAAGTCGCTCTGGGTGTCAACATCTTTCCAGCAGATGGGGAAGAAAGAGTAGGAGGATCTCATAGGAGGTTTTTATGAATCATGCTTGGGAGAATTGCCACTCGGGCCCACCATCCATTGCCCAGGCCTCAGTCCACCAGCCACAGTTACCTGCCAGGAGGCTGGGAAACCCCAGGAGGAAAAGAAAACAGGTCTGGAGGACAGCTAGTCAGTCTCTGTATATGTATGCCTGAACAGTTCACAGAAAGAAAAACACAAAAAGCTCCCAAATGTATATAAAACTTCCCAGCCTCACTCCTAATAAGAGAAATGGGTTTCTGAAGCACAATAAAATACTGTCCAGGATCTATCCTATGGACAGATATGCAAATGTTTGAAACAGACTGATTTGGTGAGGATATGGGAAGAGTCACATTCCTGCATTGTTAGTATGGGTGTAACTTGATGTAACACCTAGAGAAGGCAATTTAGCAGTATCTGTCCACATTGTGTGTGCTTTACCCCCCTCCTCCAGAAATCCTGCTGCTATGAATTTGTCCTTTGGATGTACTTGCACTTGTATGGAATGATATAACATGTTAGTTTACTCGATGCGGTATTGTCTGTAATAGCCTAAGCCTGGGCAAACCCCTGTGTCAACAGGGCACCGGCTAAATAAAGAAAAGGATATATCCGTATCAAAGGATACCATGCAGGCATGGCATAGAGCAGAATGCTTTTACCTCTGTGGAGCTACACTGCATGGGTGCAAATCCTGGTTCTTCCCTCGTTTAGAAGTATTACCTACGGCAAGTAATGTCAATTGCATGTGCTCTTCACTCCTCATGCACAAAATGAGGAAAGCACCTACTTCCCTAGGTTTTGGTGAGGATGAGTTTAATTGATTTGAAGCATTTACAGCAATGGCATAGCAAGCACGCTATAACTTTTGCCTGTATTAAGCACAGAAAGTACTCCAGGATACATTCTTTTTCTTTTCTTTCTTTTTTTTTTTTTTTTGACGGAGTTTTGCTCTTGTTGCCCAGGATGGAGTGCAATGGCACGATCTCAGGTCACCACAACCTCTGCCTCCCGGGTTCAAGTGATTCTCCTGCCTCAGCCTCCCGAGTAGCTGGGATTGCAGGCGTGTGCCACCATGCAAGGCTAATTTTGTATTTTTAGTAGAGACGGGGTTTTTCCATGTTGGTCAGGTTGGTCTCGAACTCCCGACCTCAGATGATCCACCCACCTCGGACTCCCAAAGTGCTGGGATTACAGGCATGAGCCACCGCACTCAGCTCCAGGAGACATTCTGAGATGGAAAAAATGCCAGGTCAACACAGCGTTTGGTACACGCCTTAATACAGAAAGAGGAGTTTGGATGATGTATATGCCTGAATACCAGTGATGTTCCTCCAGAAGGGTATCTAAAAGCCTGGTGGGAAAGAGGAGTGGCCTTTGGGAATGAGTTCTGGATGGTTCAGCAATGGAGGTGAGAAGAATCCGTTGCCTGCACATAGTTTAGAAACTTTGGAATTTTACACCAAGTGTGCATGTATCACCTATTCCATTTCTTAATCTTTGCTAAAGGAAAGAACAGAAAAGAAAAAAAAAAATAACAGGCTTTGGAGCTATGCAAGCCTGAATTTGTGACCCTTCTCTACTAAGCAGGTCAAACGATATAAGGAGGGACCTCATATAACAGGAGCATGTGGGGTCCACTGTTCAGAAGCAGCAAAATCTCACTTTCTTTTCTGACTCAATCTCTGTTTTGACCTCTCAGGATTTTTGTAGTTGTAATTTAATGTGGTGCTGCCTCAGTTAAGGGGACACGCATAGGGTGAGTGGAGATCCTCCCAGGTGTCCAGAGCCCTGCCCTGTGGCTTGGCATTCCCACCCTGCCCCTCCCTGCACCCACACCCAGGCCTTCTCCTGAGGGTGAAGTGCAGCAGCAGTCGCTGGGTTGGCAGAGGGAAGGGGAGTCTGAGAGGGTGGGTGGGTGATTGGGCAGCAGAGAACCTGTCCCAGTGAGGCCTGGAGGTGGTGGAAGCTGGACCACATGATAGCTGAGGCTCCAGGACCCCAGCACACACTGCACCGTTTCATCACACCTCACCTACCAAGCACAAATTCAAGGAAAGAAATAGTTAAGAATTTCAAGACAGCCACACTAAACCGCAAGCCCAGGGACCCATTCTGAGCATGGAGCCGTGTGGGACCACTTTAGTTGCAGTTTCGTGAAACTGGCCGTGCTACCACATGTTACTTGTGTGCAATGACCTAACTTCTCTGTGGCCTCAGTTTCCTCATCAGTGATATAGATATTGAAAAAACCATATAGGGTTTTTGTAAGACTCAAATAACATACTACGTGCTAAGTACTTAGCAAAGCATGTGGCATGGTATAAGTCTCGACATGTCAAGTAAAATTATTGTAAGCCGGAAATAAAATTCTAAGGCTCCCAACCATCTGAGTGTTTCATAGGTAAACGTTGTAGCATTTTCATTTGCCCTTGTTCCACCTTCTCCCTGACCTGGTGGCGGCATTGCACCCAGCAGCCTGCATCCCACGTGTGGAACCCTGGTACCTGGTTCCGGAAGGAGAGAGCAGAGCTTATGCAAAAATCATGGTTTTCATTGGTTCTAACCCGTCCAGGGGCTTCCTGAAGGACAGAAGCAAAATGCTCCTCTCTGTTTGACCTAACAGGGAAGTCAGGGCAGAAAAAGCTTGGGCAGCTCCTGAAAACCTTATAAGGCAAATCAAAAAACGGCAACTGCGTGAGGCAGAAACTACAGTTGAAACCTATAGCAGATAACCCAAAACCTGGGGGATACGCTGGCGGACAGGCCATTTGGGAAATTAGATCATTCGGAAGCAGTCATGTACCCTGGGGATTGTCAAAAGCCAGGTGCGTGCCCAGGATTGGATGCATGCTCAGGAAAGACCCGAGAAGACCCTAAGCTTTCACCGGCTGATCTCTGGACTCAGTCTAAACAGGAAGTGACAGCCAAGACAGAGTTGTAAGTGGCCTGGCTGAGGTTTGAAGGAGTGCTGCAGCCCAGAGCGAATCCACAAAGGCTGACAGAGGAACTTTTTGCTTTTTTTTTTTTTATTAAGCTCTGGGCTGTCAAGGAAATTGCTGTCAAAATACAAGCAGAAAACAAACTAAAGGAACAGAGAGTTCAGTGGCCACATGTGACAACGAATGCAGGCTCTCCCAAAAGAGTTTGGAAAACCCTCTAGACAAATCAATGACTGCAGCTTTCAGAAATCAGCAACTGCAAATCCTGGAGAAGGTAGAGGATCTAATATTCAGTGTTACCACATTACCACAATCAAAGACCTAGTTTTCAGCAGCAACAAAAGAATCCAAAAGCCTACAAGGGAACTTGAAAGTATGGCCCATTCAAAGGAAAATTGCAAACTGACAACTCAATGGTAGTTTCTCAAAAAGAAGAGTGTTTCCTCCTGTTCATAGAGTTGGAGCTATAAAATGATATGAGGACAGAACATTCCATTGTGCTCAACATTATGAACACCATGGTGACCTTTGAGAGAGCCATTTCATTGGGATTTGGGGGAAAAGAATGAGTTGTAGGATGAATAGGTGATGAAGTAATGACAAGTGTGGAGAGCTCCAAGTTTCATTGTGAATGGAAGGAGATGAGGTAGTGGGTGCAGGGTAAAATGGAGAAGACGGAGGGTGCTTTGAGCGTTTGATTGTTGATTTTTACCATTATAAGGTTTTCATGACCAGTGCGTGATTTAGTGCTATTGGAAAGATATATTTGGAAGGGCAGGTTGAAGTTGACAGGGGCAATCAGGGGAGTAAATGGATGATGGATGCTATAAGATTCCTGGGAAGATAGGAGCAGTGAGATTCAAAGCACACATTGAAGGATCACCCGGAAAGAGCAGGAGGGATGTTCTGTCATAAATGGAGGAAAGGCAACAACTTGTACCTGTACATGCAGGTAGGTGTTTACAATTGCTGGTAGGAAATGGAGAGAGTCCTTCCTGAGGTCTTGGATTTTCTCAGGAAAATAGGAGGTGCGGCCAGCTTCTGAGAATGAGGGAAAGGAGATCAGGGGTTTCCAGAGTCGTACAGTTGTGTAATAAATGGTCATTACAGGTAGTTGGAGAGAGAGCTGGTTGGGAAAATACAGTAGACTAACTGACCCCCATATAGGGCTTGGTTGAGGTTGATGTCTACGATTGTCCGTGGTACTGGTCTCCGGACTCATCTGACTTTTCCCCAGTCTTCTGCTGTTTCTTGACTTCAGGCCTAAGTTCATCCGGTCTTTGGTAAGGGAACGTTTCTGGGTTGGATGACTGAGCAATGCTAGAGTACTCAGTTGAAGCATTAAATACAGGGGCGTGCACACATTTGCAGGTGAGGGGAGTGCACTGAGAGATAGATCTGCGTTTGAGGTGCTTGTGAAAACATCCAGGATGTACAGAAGGCAACTGGATGTTTCAGTGTGGTGCTCAGCAATTACTTTCAGACCAGGAATACACGTTTGTGAATCCTCTCAACAATCAGTCAGGCGAAGCCAGGAGCGTGAGTTAATTCACCCCAGGATGTAGGCAAGATAGCCTGTAAAGAGCTGGCCGAGGACCAAACCTAGGGAATAGTAACACTGAAGAACACAGGGAAACAGAAGTCCAGGAAGGAGATGGAGAGAGAAATCTCCGAGGAATAGGATAGTAACTAGGAGAAAAAGTAGTACCACAGACGTGAAGGAAGGAGGGAGGGTTATGCTGTGGAGATGTAAGGCCAGATCATAAGGGAGAGAGGAGTCCATTGGGATTCATTAGTTAGGACATCCTTGTTACCTTATGGACAGCTCGGGGTTGGGACAGCTCGGGGGCCCACGTGAATGAAGACAGACTACATGAAATTGAAGAGTGAGGAAGAGAAGTCCAGGGTACTTCATTTAAAAGGAAATGAGGAAGAGTTTGGTAGGTAGAGCGGAAGACAAAGGAAGGTTATTTAGGTTGAAGGATACTTGAATACATTTTTAGAATCAGGAGAAGGAGACCTTAGAAAGGGAGAAAGTGAAAATGCAGGAGTGACAAACTCCATTTTTATCATTCTAATCTCTTATTCTCAGAGCAACCCTCCAGGGAAGGTAGTAGTATCGCTGTGGCAGCGATGCAGAGTTGGCAGAGGTGAGACAACTGCAAGGGAGAATTTCAGTCACTCGCCTGTGGTCACACAGCTAGTAAGTGGGATCCGGGACTTGAACACAGTTATAACTCCAAAATGGTTGCACTCACCAGGGTAACTTGTCACAGATACCTTGAACCTTGTTCTTTCTTGGAAAAAAAAAAAAAAAAGAAATTGACATACTAGACTCAGTACATTGTTTAAACATTTACCTTCTTAAAGAATCCTCCCCGTACTCTAGTAAGTAATATGAGTTTCACCCTTCCTGGAGTGGCTGTTAATCCCAGGCACTCAGTTGAATGTTTCATATTCATTGTTATTTAATTCCCACAATGTCATGTCAAAGTAGAAGTAATTACCTCAAAGATGAGGAAATGAAGTTTCACAGCGGTCACAGCTCTTGCCAAACTACACGTTAACCATTGATTTCTGCTTCTCATCTCCCAAAAATACATCAGGTTATCAGTGCTTTTCAAAAGTCTCAACCAATTAGTGGACATGAATGTTACTCATGTACATTTGGAAATAAATAGAGGTAAGTGTACATAAAGTGGACGATAAATGGTAGTTTTGAAAAAAGACTTTGTTGGCATATAATCCACAGGCCATAATCTTCACCCATTTCAAGTGTACAATTCAGGTGTTTTTCTTTTCATTCTGCATATTCACAAGGTTCTGCAACCATCACCACAATCTCATTTTAGAACCTTATAATCACCTTGGAAAGAAGCCCCATACACATTAACAGTCACTTCCCACCCTGTTCTCCTTCTCCAAGCAAATGGAAATCAAATTTCTTAGTCCATAAGTTTACATATACTGGACGTTTTTCCAAATGGAATCACATAATATGTGGTCTTTTGTGATTTTCTTTCATGCAGCATCACGTGTTCTAGGCTCACGCATGTTATGGCATGTATCAGTATTTCATCCCTTTTTGTTGCCAAGCCACACTCCCCTGAATGGAGAAACTAAATTCCATCCGTCAGTTCATCAACTGATGGACGCCTGCGCCACTCGCAATCTTTGACCACTAGGAATAATGATACCGTGTATGTTTGTGTACAGGTTTTTGTTTGGACATAGAGTTTCATTTCTCTTTTGTAGAAAGCTAAGAGTGGACCTCCTGGGCCATATGGAAATTGTGTTTCTGGTACTGAGGAGCAGCCAAATTCTTTCAAACCAGGCTGCCCTATATGTTATAGTCCCACTAGCAGTGTATGAGGACTCCAATCTCTCCACATCCTTGTCAGCAGTTGTTATCGCCTGTCTTTTTTATTCTTGTCATCCTACTGAGTGTGAAGTGGTAGCTCATTGTGGTTTTGATTTGCATTTCCCTACTGGCTAATGATGATTGTGGGTGGCTTTTCGTGTGCCTATTGGCCATTTGTGTACTTTCTTTGGCAAAATGTCTATTCAGATTCTTTGCTCCTTTTTGAATTAGGTCATCATTTGACTGTTGATTCATCAGAGTCCTTTGTATATCCTGGATACATCTATGATCAGATGCATTTTCTACGGGTTGTCTAAAACTCCACGTTATCTACTTTTTTGTTTTGTTGCTTGTGCTTTGGTGTTGAATGCAGACACACACAAAAGCCTTTGCCTAAGGGAAGGTCACAACGTAAGACTTACGGAAGAGAAATGTAAGATTTAGTCTTATATTTCCTTATAAGAGTTTTATCACTGTAGCTCTTATATTTAGGTCTCTGATCTGCTTTGAGTTAATTTTTGTATGTAGTGTGAGGTAAGGTCCAATCCATTCTTTTGCGTCTGGCGGTCCCTCGTCATTTTGTGAAATTACTTTCTTTCTTTATTTTTCAATTGACAAGTAAACATTGTATATATTTATGGTGTACCTCAGGATGCTTGATATCTGTATATGTTGTGGAATGGCCAAATCAAACTAATTAACATATTCCACCCTTCACATATTTATCAGTTTTTTGTTTGTTTGTTTGTTTTTTGTGGGTAGAAACACCTAAAAGCTACTGTCTTACGAATTTTCAAATAACCAATCTATTGCTATTGAGTATAACCACTATGACTTACAATAGCTCCCTTGAACTTATTCCCCCTGTCTAACAGAAATTTTCTATCCATTGCCAACACTCCCTATGCCCCCCAACCCTTAACCTCCAGTAGCCACCATTTGTACTCTCTGCTTCTATGAGTTCCAATTTTGAGACTCCACATATAAGTGAGATCACTTGCTATTTGTCTCTCTGTGCCTGGCTTATTTCACTTGACCTCACATGCTCCAGGTTCATTCATGTTGCCACAAATGGCAGGATTTCTTTCCTTTTTAAGGAGGACTCATGTTCCTACCACGTACCCCACAACTCGGGGAGACAACGTGGCTCCGCCTGAGTTCCTCCTCCCGCCAGTAGGCTGAGACAGGCGTGCGGCTCGACATGTCTCTTTCTTCTGTCTTGCAGATAGCTCTCTTCCATTGCATTAGGTCCAATATCTTGGAAACCATTGTCATCTCGGTTATTTCGTTGCTTTGCGGGGGAAGGATCAATGTGGTGTTTTTTTCCTCCAATGTAGCCAGAAATGCAATCTCCTGAAACATAGTTTTTAATATCCCATACTTAGCAAGATCTTATTCAGGTTGGCAGAAAGAAAATGGGAAAGAGAATGTTCGTCAAAGTGTCTCTAGGCAAGATTTTCCAGTGTGCAAGAAGATATACTCAGGCAAGACGGTTTTTCCGGTGGACACCCTTGTGCCTGCATGTGATACTGGAAATACTTATTTTAGAGATGCGAGTCCTAAACAACTATCTCTGGGATGCCGGGAGCAAACTCCCTGGGTCTTCTAGAGGCAGGAATTTGCCACCTTGTGATGATGAGAGTTTATCTCAGAGACCATGCGGCTATAATTTGGTTTTCCCCAGCTGGTATCTGCAGCTCCCCCCGGCTGTTAACAATTTCTCCAATGTCCACTCCTGGGTCCGAAGTCACTGTTGCTTACATCTTTTACATCCTGACCCATGAGAACAGCCTTCGCTCACTTCAAGTCTACTATTTAAGTGAGAGACAGTGATGGCATCAACCCCACCAACCGCACACCTCACATTGGGAAGAGCATGCAGACTGTGATAGTGGCTCAGAGTCAAGTCTCAGGAATTGTGGTGGAGTCACAGAAACTGTGGTGCCATTCCCAGAAAAACCTTGATCCTGGTCATAATAGAGGAGGGGAAAGGTATTAGGGTAACTCATTGAGGCACTTACTGCGGAGTCCCAGGCAAAAGCGATAGGGTCTAGGTCCCTTTGGTCCAAATATCGGGGTATAATGACATAAGTTATATTAGGAACAGTGGATGACATTTCTTGACAATTTGACGCATCAGGGCATGGAGCTCTATATTCTCCTTCCAGCACTTCACTTAAAATGCTCAGCAAATTAAGATATATGTAATTCTGTCGCCGTTGTACAGATGAGGAAACCAAGGCCCAGAACGGTGTACTGACTTGTCTGACAGAGGGTGCCCTATCGCTGTGCTCCTGCAGGACCCTGTACTTTGCTGACCCGTGCCCCCGTCACACAGTTTTGAATGGAAAAGGCTATCTCTGTTCCTCACGCCATACATTGGGAGACGACAGTGTCTAGGGAAAGTTGGAACTTAATAAGGAACTGGAAGGCCTATGTTCTTCCCTCCTCCTACTTTTTTTGTAGCTGAATTGCTTTACGCTCAGTTTTTACATCAAAGAAATGTGGATGACGGCTCCTGAGATAGTGGTCCTGGAAGTACTGCCTACACCTCAGGCTGTGTGCAGTTAAGACAAAAGCTGCATTTGGATTTTTGCTCAAACAACAAGAAGACGAATAAAAAGGGCTCATATGCAGTAAGTGCTTATATAGGCTAGGCTCCATCATTCCTTCATGGGCATGCTCTCACTGAAGCCTCACAGAGAAGGTGAATGCAACTTTTAAAACTTGTTGCCATTTCAGGCAGGAACAAGTAGCAGAGTTGGGACACAAGCCCAGGTGGATATCCGTTCAAAGCCTCTGTCCTCAAAATAAGTGTTTTCCAAACTGTGATATGCAGGTTGTTTGTGGCCATAGACACAAGTATATTGGCACATGAAGAAACAACGTGGGGGCTCATGAAATAGCAGAACATCCAATCTACGGTCATTTCAGATTTTTATAGGAGGCCCGCGTCATGGTGGCGTGCACTGGGCAGCTGGCCACAGGATCTCGGCCAGGGATGAAGAGCTGCTTTTGATGTGAGGAGGAGATAGGGTGAAATGCGTAGAGAGTTGGATCCATGAAAACAGAGAGGGGCCAGGATGAATGGGGCAGAAGTGCCTGAGAGCTACTTTTTTCCCCAGTCCTTACTGACCATGGTATCCAATCACCCTGGCTTTCCAACTTCTTCCTGCCACCTGCCCTCTTGGCATCCATGGGCTTGGTCCTTCCATTATCAGCGTCTCAGTTTCTTTCTCCACCAATTGAGATTAACAATAGGTGTTCTGAAAGACTTTAGTGAGAAGTAAATAAAGGAACACACGTGAAGTATTTGTGAGAGAGAGAGAGTCCTTAGGTCTATTTCATATTTTTCATTTTCAAAGGCACATGTACAAATTATGTATCACACCTGTAATCTCAGCACTCTGGGAGGCCGAGGCAGTCGGGAAGCTTGAGCTAAGGAGTTCGAGACCAGCCTGGTTCACATGGCGAAACCCCGTCTCTACAAATAATACAAGAGATTAGCGGGCTGTGGTGGCACGTGCCTGTAATCCCAGCTACTTGGGAGGCTGAGGTGAAAGGATCACTTGAGCAGGGGAGGTGGGGGCTGTAGTGAGCCGAGATCGAGCCACTGCACTCCAGCCTGGGCACCAGAGCGAATATCTGTCTCAAAAAATAAAACAAAATAATAGAAATTATGTATAATAATAAACATTTTCATTACATCTATTTCTAGTTATATTTTATGACCAGTGATCTTGTCTTCCATTTGGTTTCATGCTGGGAATTTTCCTTTTTAAACACATTTCTAAGTCTTTCCTTGACGCTTGTCAGAAAGGAAATTCACCTTCTAGTCTGGAGTTCATCCTAAGATGTCATCTGAAGAGCCAGCATACAAACAAGCGGCCTTTGTGGATCGGTGCCAGATGCGCTCTTCCATTCTACTGAGAGGGGGGTGTTTCCATTCCCTTCCCTATGGTATTCTATGGAAGAGCTGAGCTACATTCTAAGAACCTCGCTTGAGCATCTTTACCCAACTCCACTTTTTGTCCATAGCCTTAAGTCCTTCTCACATTCTGTTTGACACATTCCAAACCCACTGTAAATGCTTGTGGAATGGATGAACAAGTGAACAACGGGCTTAAAAAGGAGAGGGGAAGGGACAGTCAGTGGCGTGGGGCTGAGGCAGTCCAGCATATGCAACTAGCAGGAAGTTAAAGATTTCTGGGGGGGGTCAGAAATACCGATGGTCCCGAAGTTAATAAGACTTCTACCCTGGGCTGTGTTTGCGTGGGCATGGCCAAGGTCGGCTCCAGGACTAACCAGCCAGCCCCCTTCTGACTGTCGTCTTCCCTCCGTACCTCCAGTCATTCATTTAGTCTGCTCTTGGTCTTGCTCAGAGATAGGAGTCAGTCACCTATTTTGTTTCCTTATTATGTCTTCAATCATACACAGCTGTACACAAAAAAATATGTGACCCGTTAAACACATCTGAGTGGCCACCATGTGGGAGAACCGAATGAAACATAACCAGCTCCCTAGGAGCCCACTGTGCCAGACTGTATGGCCACAAAAATATCTCCCATCTCTCGTGCTGTGATAAAAGTTGCCCCGTTCACACCGAGACCTGCGATTTAATCTCCCTCCCACGCTTGAATCTGAAAAGGCTGTGACTCACCTCTAATCAATAGAGTATGACACAGTTGACTCAACATGACTTCTGAGTCTTGCCTATGAGAGGTGATGCAACATTCACCTTGGATATGGAAAAGTGCCGCTTGGAGCCTGAGTCATGAGGTCGGAAGCCTGACTACTGGGAGGCCCACCCTGCTGTGAGGAAGCCAAAGGCCACGGAGTGGTAATACGGAGGCCCTCCACTCGCCAGGCCTAGTCTTCCAGTCCTCTCCATGCAGGCACCAGGGATGTCAGTGAATGAGCCTTCAGATGGTTCCAGTCCCCAGCCAGTCAGGTTTCTGCAGCTGAGGTCCCAGACTCATGTGAAGCAAGCCATATCCACTGTGCCCTTTCTGAATTCCTGCCTCTGAAATTCCATGCATATGATACAACGCTCGTCATTGTATGGACTCACTGTGGGGCTGTTTGTTACACAGCAAGAGGAACAGGAATGCAGGACACCCTCCCCTCCCCCCACCCCCACTCAAAGCCATTCCTCCTCCATAGAGTTAAACCCTAATCTGATGCTGGCTTAAATTATTTCACTGCCTAATTCATGGTTTTCCCATGTGTATGGACGCCCCTAAACAATGCGGTTTCATATTGTCTGGGTGCCTTGATAGGAGGAGTTTTGGGGGCCTGAAATTGAGAAAACAAGCATTCATGGATCAGGTAGTCAAGGCAAGGCACTGTGTTTACCCCAAGAACAAACACTCTGTTAGCTGTTAACATTCTTGAGGAAAGAGCAAGTTGAGGAATGGGGTTTAATCTACTCGATACCGGTTATACAGCGAGCAGGCGGCAGGTCCAGGATTCAAACACAGGTAGTGTGTCCCCAGAGGCCAAATGTGTAAACCCTCTGCTAATTCCCCTCATCAAAAGGTAGGGGACCCTGGGGAAGCTTTCTCTACTACAAAAGCCAGAGTCACCACCACCTTCTGAAATAATCTGAGACCAAGTACCTTCAAAAACCAAGCCTTGCCATACATAGCCAAGCCGGACTTTATAGACACACCAACACACATAGTTTCCTAGAAGGTATTTACTGATTTCTATATACTTAACACATGTACAAGACAGGTATTTCAAAAGATTAAAGAGGGCAGACAGTGCGCAGATGTCTTTCTCATTCCTGTGTGCACAGATGTCTTTCTCATTCCTGTATCCCCATCTCCTTACCCAGAGACACTTCCCAAACAACAAGCGAAATAGTAACAGCTTTCGCTGTTACAGGAAATAAAGAGTAATGAGGTATGTAACACGACCAAATCTTGAAATATATCATTTAAAAACCAGTAAATAGCATAACTCGAATCTAAGCAGTGAAAATATGAACGTCTACCTGAAACTCACAGGTGCGGGAGCCCACGCACACCATAATCAATGGAAGACGTCCTAGCACATGTTTACAAACTGGTTGTGTGTTGCCGTCCTACACACCAGAGGCAAAGCGCTGAAAACAACAAGCCTGTTCACAATAGCACCAGGAACGTACAGTACACAGGAATCATCTGCAGGTGATTTGTGACAACTGTAGGCAGAACAGTAAAAGCGAGAGATACAATGGATGGTTTGAAAAATCAGAGACACTCTTCTTCCTTACCGAATTGCAAGATTAACGTTGTACTACGCAGACAAAGGTGTGTTCAAGATTTGGATCGTAAGCGAGTTCACTGAAAACTAGCGGAGGGGAAGGGCAAATACTGGAAGGGAATCCCCGGTGTGACCAGGCCAGAAACACCTCTTTCACAGCATGGGATCTGTGCAGGTACTCGGACGCTCCCCGCAGGGCCGCCCGGGCCGGTTTCAGGCGGGCTTGCGGCCCCAATCACTGCTCCTGTTCGCGGGGACAGGCAGGGGCTGACTGGGAGGACGTCTTGTGGATGGCCTTGTGCTCCTCGGCGGCCTCCTCCCCCGGGTCGCCACCGCCGACCTCCTCGATGACCACGCTGCGCACGGTGCCCTCGTCCAGGCAGTGCGGGGCGACGCCGTACACGCGGGGGTCAGAGACAGCTGCGTGGAAACTCTGCACCCCGCACCTGCTGCAGAAGCTGTGCAGCGCCGGGTGCGTGTTGGACCGATAGGTGACGATGCTTTCTGCGCCCTGGAGCAGCGTGAAGCGCGAGGCCGGGACGAGGAAGTGGCGGTGCTGCTTCTTCCTGCACAGCCTGCAGCTGCAATCCACGACGCGCAGATCTGCAGGGGCCCAGACCGCAAAGCGGACCGCGCCGCAGTGGCAGCCCCCGGTGTGATGCACGAGGCCCGGGTACTCGAAGGTGTCCAGCAGGACCTTGGCGGCGCCCTCGCAGCTGAGGCCCCGCAGCTTCCTGAACGTCTCCCAGCGCTCCCGCTGTGCGCCCAGGTCCAGATCCTTGGGGGACGGGGCGGGCCCCGGCGGGTCCGGGGTTGGCGCGGAGGGCAGCAGGTCTCTGGGGCCCGCCTTCCGGACCCGCCGCCAGCGGCGCTTCCGTCGCCACCTACCCAGCCACCTCTTGGCCGCCGCGTGGCTCCCGACCCCGACTTGGACCCGGGGGCACTGCGCGCGGCTGGCGCCCGTGACCGCGATGGCCGCGCAGGCGGCGGGAGGATCCCCGGGCCGCTTTCGCCTCCGCCGCTGAGCAGTGGCGCGGTTCCTCACTCTGCCCATGGCGCCTGCAGCCTCCGGAGCGCGTGCCCACACCCCACCCTCATTTCCCCGTCAGTCGCTGAGCAGCCTCCTTGCCTGCGCCAGCAGGATTGGCCCCTTGTTGAATGCGATGTAAAGAGACCCTTCCCTTGACCCTATCACAACAGCCTTCGCTGGCCTGAAAGGCAGTCATGAGGCGTTCAGCAAACACCTGCCGGGCACCAGATACCCTCACCTGGGCGCTGGGATGTGGAGATGCATCAGGCTTTCCAAAGCACTCACATTCATTTAGGATCAGGTGTATGCAAATACAGTCCCCAACACCTTGGGACACTTTGCTCTGACAGAAATAAGAACCAGGGGCTCTGGGAACAGAGAGGAACGCCCACACACTGTAATTGGAGGGGCGTGTGGGAGGGGCACGGAAAGACTCTTCTAAAGTCTTCTTGGGGGCTTGATTCTTTTATTCGGCTGTAGCGTTTTATTTTTCTTGTAATTTTCGTTGCGATGAAGTCCTCTTTACCTAATGTTGACATACCTACTTCTGCTGTTTTAATTAATGTTTACCTGATGTGACTTTTCCCACCCGTTGTATCCTTTTCATTTACCCAGGGCGACCGAAGTGGAACTGAGTTTCATATAAACATGGGATAATCAGACCGTGTTTCTCACTGACTCTGCCAGTATCTACCTTTTCATACATGTTTCTAGTTCATTTCCATGATCTCTGGGCTAGTGTTTAGGTCCACAGATTTATTGTTTGTTTTCTTTTGTTTCCTCCGTGTCTCGGCTAACCGAGACCTCCTTTTTTTGCCCTTCTGTGGCTTACGTGTACACCTTGCAGGATTTATCCTGATTTCCGAAAGTGTTTTCGAGTGTTTGGCTTTGTAAAATTGTCTCAGTGGTTGCTCTGGGATTTTCAGTGTGCATATGTGACTTACCACAGGCTCCTGGTATCCAGTTCTCATCACTTCCATTGAAGTGTAGAAGCATCAGCCCCTTTTAGCCCCTCTGCCTTCCTGCTTGTAGACAACGTTGTCTGGAGTATCGGATGGTTTCATAGTTTTTGCTTTAATCGTCAAACATGACTTCCACAATTCACAAGGAAAACGGTGGCTTAGTGTTTGTCCCCTAAGGGTGTTTTTTCTACTGGTCTTGACTCCTTTCTGATAGATACTTCCAGAGGCCATCTTTTATTCTTTCCTCTTTTGTTTCAAGCACCTACTCTAGCCATTCTTTCACCGTGGGTCTGCTCGTGACAAAATGCTTTCCTTTACCTGAGAATGTCTTGATTTCCCCTTCGTCCATGAAGGATGGTATCACTGGATACAAAATTCACAGCTGACAGGACTTTTGTTCAACATCTGAAACTTTTCGGGACACTTCCTGATGACCGCCACTGGTCAGAGGAGACATTTGCCCTCATTAAAACTGGTGTTCTCCTATAATCAATGAACCACTTCGGTCTTGCTGCTTTCAGTGATTTTATCAGCTTCAAAAACTGACTATGATGTGTGTGTTGGTGTGAATCGCTTTGTGGTTGTCTTATCTGAAGTTTGCTCGTTTTCCAGAATCTATGGGTTTATGGTTTTCACTAAAATTTGGATATTTTCAGCCTTCTTTTCTTATACTCCTCTTTCAGTCCACTCTCTACTTTTGGTACTCCAGTCGTAGGGATATTGGAACTTTGTTATTGTCCTAACTTCGCTGAGGATCCATTCAGCTTTTAATCAGTCCACGATCTCTCTCTCTCGCTCAGGCACAGTCAGTCCTATTTTCTGTTTGTTTGTTTTGTTTCTTGAGGAAGAGTCTCGCTCTGTCACCTAGGTTGGAGTGCAATGGCGCAATCTCCGTTCACTGCAACCTCTGCCTCCCGGGTTCAAACGATTCTCCTGCCTCAGCCTCCCAAGTAGCTGGGATTACAGGCGCCCACCACCACGCCAAGCTAATTTTTGTATTTTTAGTAGAGACAGGGTTTCCCCACGTTGGCCCGCGGTGATCTGCCCGCCTTGGCCTCCCAAAGTGCTGGGATTACAGGTGTAAGCCACCATGCCCGGCCGTCAATCTTATTGATTGGGCCTCCATTACGATGATGGTATCTTTTGTCATCACAGGTCTCTTACCGAGTGCATCCAGCAATGTTTCCAAATTCTGTTATTGTTTTCGTTTTCTGTTCCATCATTTCTTTTTTATACATCTTCTACTCATTGCTGAGATTTTCCATTTTCTAGTCTGGTTCCAGACTATTTGCAATTACATAATGAAGCATTTTTATGATGGTTGCTGTAAAATGTTTGTCAGATAATGGCAACATCTGCGTCGTCTCTATGTTGGTACCACTGGATTCTATTTCCTCATTCAAGCTGTGTTATTCCTGGTTCTTCACATGGTGGGCTATGCTCTATGGCATACAATGTATTTTGCTTGTTACTTTAGGAGTCTCTGGACAGGAGACAAATATTTGATGTTAGAAGTCAGCTACTTTCTTTAGGTTTAGCATGTAGATTCTGGTGTCCATTTTTAGGTTCTGGGATTTTTAAAAAGTTTATTTTCAGAGCATTTGCGGTGCTATTTTTGTGTGTTTGGCTTACCTGCCGACACAGCAGCCCCAACTGCTCCCTACTGGTGGTATTTGAGAGGCAGAAAAAAACTAAAGTCCACACTTTATTCCAGGTTTCCTACTTACTTCCTACCTAATATCATTTTTTTTTTCTGTTCCAAGATACCATGCAGCCTACCACACTACATTTAATCATCATACTGCCTTAGGTTCCTCTTGGCTGGGACAACTTCTCAGACTTTGCTTGTTTCCATGACCTTGAGAGTTTTCAGGGTCACTAGTGAGGTATTTTCTAGAATATCTTTTTTTTTTTCTTTTTCTTTTTCTTTTTTTTTTTTTTTTTTTTTTGAGACAGGGTTCCTTGCTTCCCAAAGTACATGGGACTACAGGCATGCGCCACTATGCCCGGCTAATTTGTGACTTGTGTGTGTGTGTGTGTGTGTGTGTGTGTGTGTGTGTGTGTGTGTGTGTGTGTGTTTTGTAGAGACAAGGTTTTGCCATGTTGCCCAGGCTGGTCTTGAACTCCTGGACTCAAGTGATCTGCCTGCACCGGCCTCCCTAGAATATTTTTCAACTCAAGTTTTTCTAATGCTTGTCTCATGATTAGACTGATGTTGTGAGCTACCGGAGAATCACCACAAAGGTAAAGAGCTGTTTTCGTCTGATCGCATCAAGGGTACATAATATCAACATCAGTTTTGATTGTGTAAGTTGACCTTGGTCACCTGGCAGAAGCAGTGTTGGACAGGGTGCTCCCATGAAAAGTTGCTCTTTTAACCCCTGTCCACATGCTACTCTTTGGAAGGAAGTCATTAAGCGAAGTTCACACCTAACTGGTGCTAAGTTTTAAATCCTTTCTTTGAGGCAGAGTATCTACATACATTCTTTGGAATTCTCCTTCATGGCACAGCTATCTATGCTCCTGCATTTATTTCCTTATTCAATCGTTTATGTATATCATGATACTTTCACGGATATTTACTTGATACTTTAGATTATAATCCAATACTTTGCTATTTCTTTTTCATTATTATCATTCTTGCAGTTGTGGCCACTGGGTGCACGTTCAGTTCACCCCTAGGTCCCGTTGGTATGCTCCCATTATTTGGGGCTCCATTTTGTGTAATTCCTTGCTTTGTGGCTCATCCTGCACATTTCTGTCTTGCATATGTTCTAGGCTGGTCTGGCCTATTTACTAGCTCCTAGGATCAGCCAATTCTCCAAGGATTTCTGTTTCCTTTTATTAGAAAATGGTATCAGAGACCAACGTCTGGCAACTAGGTGTGCTCGTAGCTGCCAGAGTCTAGTGGTTCCTAGGCCCTCTCTGCTGAAGCAGAAAGGAAATACGTATGTATGTATACTAACCCACGTATGTACACATTTCTATAAATATTTTGATACATGACCATGAGGATCTATAATAAGCTGAATATGAGTTCCTACCCATGTCTGCAACTCTATTCCATTGCAGCACGAATCATTCTTGCCCCTGCCACATTACGATCTGCACCTCCCTCTCCAGCAGTGAAAAACCTGCCTCTCACCCTCCACCATCCATTTACTCATTGCAGTTCCAGTACACATGGAGAACGGTGTCAGATTTTTCAACCTGTGTCCATACCGGCAACAGGTTTGTCTAGTCGAGTATGCTGCATATGTACAATTGCCTTTGTCTTTAGCCTTACACACTTCTTTCATTTCCAAAGTTGCTTAGATCAGCACTTTGTACTTCACAGCCTTCAGTGAAGCTTTTCATTCATTGGTAAGGTTAGAACCTTTTGTCACATTCTGCATTTCAACCTGATAGTTCCCTACCTCCCTAATGATGTCTTAAAAGATTAAACACGTTAAGTTTCATTCTGTGTCCTGTCAGTTTCCACGGATTCTGACAAATGCTTTGTCTCATACAACCATCATTAGGGTATCTCACCCTGTCCTCACACAGAGACAGCTATTTTTATTTCCTCTTCTTCGGAGGACACGAACCCTATCATAAAGACTCCACCCTCATGACCTCATAACCTCAAACCCCATTACCTCCCAGAGGCCTCACTTGCAAATACCATCACACTGGGAGTCGGGACTTCAACACGTGAATTTGGGCGGGAAGCAAACATTCTGTCTATAACGCACATGATGGTTTCACTGCCCTAAAGCATTACCTGTGCTTTACCTACTCATGTCCTCCTGTAAAAGTCCCCTCCACATAGCTTGCCTCCTTCTACTCATCCTTTTGAATAAAGTTTCTCTTTACTAATCCTGGATTTGTATTTTGTTTGACAACACGTACGTTTTGAAGCAAACTGGGCAAACACTTAATAGCGAGAATGCTGGACCACCAGTGTGGCAAGACTATTGAGCCTTGTTAAGGACCAAGCAGACTCTCTTCCAAATTTGCTGGAAGATAGAGACTTCCCACTTTACATGAATGGACGTTCCTGTTCTGCATCCTTGGCAGCAGTTGGTTTGTCAGTTTGGGGGTCTTGGCCGTTCTGTTAGATGTGTAGTGTCATGTAATTATTATTTGAGTTTGCATTTATCTATCAATGCCAAATAACAGTAAACATTCTTTCACATGCTCATTTATCACTTCCAAATCTTTGGTGAGGTGTCTGCTCAGACCTTTAGCTCATTTTTAAATTGGGTTATTTGTGGTTGTTTGGTTTTTGAATGTCCACAGTTTTTTGAATATTTGGAATCAAGTCTTTTCTCAGATATCTCTTTGAAAATATTTTCTTTCAGTCCTTAGGTTATCTTTCTTCCTTAACAGTAATGTCTTCCACACAGCAGAAGTTTTAAGTTTTAACAAACTCCAAATAATTGCTTTTTGTTCACAGACTCTGTGGTAGGGTTTGTGACTAAAACCCCATCAGGAAACACAAAGACATGTTGATGTTTTTCCTGTGTTTTCTTCCCTGTGTTTTATATTTCTATATTTCTTTTTTTATTTTATATATATTGTTTGTTTGCTTGTTTTGTTTTGTTTTGAGACAGAGTCTCGTCCTATCGTCCAGGCTGGAGTGCAGTGGCGCGATCTCGGCTCACTGCAACCTCTGACTCCCAGGTTCAAGCGATTCTCCTGCCTCAGCCTCCCGAGAAGCTGGGATTACAGGCGTCTGCCACCATGCCCGGCTAATTTCTTTTTGTAGTTTTAGTAGAGACGGGGTTTCACTATGTTGGCCAGGTTGTTCTCGAATGATTGACCTCGTGATCCACCTGCCTCAGCCTCCCAAAGTGCTGGGATTACAGGCGTGAGCCACCGCGCCTGGCCTATAATTTATATTTTTATATTTCATGTGCTTTATAATTTGAATTTTACATACGGGACTTTGGTCCTTTTTGAGTTAATTTTTGTTAAAGTGTAAGTTCTTGGTCTAGGTTAATGTTTTTTCCATATGGGCCCGAAATCTCCCACCACCATTTACTGAAAAGGCTATCCTTTTCCCATTGTATTGTGCACGTGCCTTTGTCAAGGATCAGTTGAGAAATATTTCTGCAGTTCGATTATTGGGCTTGCTAGTCTGTTGCATTGAACTGTGTGTGTATTCTTAGTAAATGCCACCCTGTCTTGATTACTGTAGTTTTATAGTAGGTCTTAGAATCGCATCTTATGACTTTTGCAACTCCATTCTCCTTTTTTTAGAATGGCTTTTCTATTCTAGCACATTTGTGCTTCAGTACGAAATTTCGAGTCAATATGTTGATATCTACAAAGTGAATGCTGTAATTTTGATTGGGATTCTGATGTTACAATAGATCAGTCTCAGAGGATTTGAAATCTTCTAACAATTACAAATCTTCCAGTCCGTATATATGACATCTCTCTCCACTTATTCAGATCTTCTTTGTTTTTTCTTTCCTCATCAATATTTGTAGTCTCTGCAAGCAGATCCTATGCCTGACATTTAGATTTAGACCTAAGTACTTAATAGGTACTTAAGTTGCCCTTTAAAAAAATCAAATTCTCATTGTTCACTAGTCATATACAGCTAAACAGTCATCATCAATATATCGATTGTGTCCTGTGACCTTGAGAACCTCATTTATTAATTCAGCAGTTTGTTGCAATTCTTTGGAGTTTTCTACATAGATAACCATATCCCCTGTAAGCAAAAAGTCCCTCTTTCTTTATGTTGTTGTCTCTTCAGGTTTTACCTGGGCATTGGTAGCCTCTCTTAGCATATGGATCATATGGCTTTTAGAACTGCTTTTTGCCCTAGGCTTTACAATATACATATTTACCTATCCCAGTCCACCGTCCAGTAACAGTACATCACTTAATGTGCAGTGCAGCTACCTAACCCGACAGAATTCCCAATTAACCCCTCATGAACTTATCCGTATGCTATATAGTCACCAAATACATTGTCAGTATTATTTTAAACAAACCGTGTTCCTTTAGACCTTGCAAGAATAAGCAACAGAAAAGGTGCGATTTTACCTCCACTTGTTCCTTCACTGATTCTGGCCCTGCCTTTATGTAGATTCAAGTGTCTCATCTATCTTATTTTCCTTCTGCCTTTTAACATTTCTCCCAGAGCAGAGTTTCTGAAGGTTAATTTGCTTGATTTTAATTTGTCTGAGAAAGTCTTTGTTTCCTGTTCACTTGCTAATGATAATTTTGCAGGACATACAATTCTAGCTAGGTGATATTTTTCTTCACTCAACACTTTAGTATTTCAGTCTACGCTCTTCTTTTTTCGTGGGTTCTGACGAGAAGTTGGCCATAATTTTCTTCCATGTTCCTCTACCAGTAAGGTGTTTTTATTGAGGTTTTCAGACTTTCTCTTCCTCTTTAGTTTTCTGCAGTTTCACTATGTCTAGACGTGAGTTTGTGTTGTGTGTGTGTGTGTGTGTGTGTGTGTGTGTGTGTGTGTATTTGGTATATATGCTGCTTGATATATGCTGAGAGATTCCTGACTCTGTGCTTTGGTGTCTGTTATTAATTTTGACAGCGCTAGGCCCTTATTGCTTCCAACGTTTATTCTGCTCTGTTCTCTCTGTCTTCTTTCTCTGTCTGGGATTCAGATTAATAGGTCGAACCTTTTGCAATTTTCACACAGTAAGATGTTCAATTCCATTTCTTCCCCTCTTTTTCCTCTTTGCATTCCGTTTTGGAAAGTGTCTGTTGTCCTCTGACCTTTCAGCATGCTTTCCAATTCTTACCTTTGTTGTGCTGACTCTACTGATGAGCTTCTGGAAGACATTCGTCATTTCTGTTAGTGTTTTTGATTTCTAGTATTTCCTTTTAATTCTTTCTGAGAATTCCCATCTCTCTCTCCCTTTGTCCTCCCACTTGAATCTGAGGCTAACAGAGTGCTCCTGCTCAGGGAGAGCCTGTGTCTTGCAGCACGTTCAGTTGTAACCCGCCGTTATTTCCCTGGAGCCTGGTTGTAGTGGTGGTAAGGTGTAGGGGCAGGAAAGCATTCCACAGCTTTATGACTGGATCTCTGCCTTTCAATGGGACTGTGTCTCTGGGCTGTGACCTTGACAAGTGTTTCTCCAGTGGTATTACCCTCTCCCCATGTCCGTGGTCCTTTCCCTGGCTTCAGCATTCCCAAATAATACCTTTACACACTTGAGCCCTCTTGATTTGTTTTTCCCCCACAGGTGACACTGGAAGCCTGGAGGGGCAGACGATGGAGGAATACCCTTCCTGCACCTAAGATAAGGCTTTGGTCAAGTCTTTTGCTCTGAAGACTGGGCCTTTGTCTTGGAGAAGGCACTGGGAGTATTTGACAACGATTACTCTTCCTCTCTCCCAGCCAGAAAAACCACGGCGTCTTTTTCAGATCTTCACCATGAAAACCCATGTGTTGAGCCAAAGGCCATGAACATGTGGATGCCCCTGAGACTGCGGGCCCCCAGCGTATTCTCACACTAATGCCAGTCCACACACAGCCTCAAGCACTTCATCGTATTTACTACTGAAGCACTCCTACAGGCTTCTGTCTGCAGAAGCTGCTGATTCAGGTAAGCAGATCTCAGCTGTGACACTGGATTTGACAGTCTCTCAAGATTCCAGGGTGGTGTCTTGCTGTCCCCTCTTGGTTCTCTGATGAGTCCAAAAGATACCTGAATCCATTTTCCAGCATTTTCTTGTTGTAAGGATGGGATTGGTCATTTGTCTATTTACACATAGAGCTGAAAGTGGAAGTCTCATTTGTGGCCATTTTTGAAACATGTCACAATCAGAATAAGTCTATGGCTTGCAAATATCTTGCCAAGTCCTAGGAGAAGCCGATGACAGTTGAAAGTAGTTGTCGCAGGGAGCCAGCAGGAGAAGTAGGTGTGTGTGGTGGGGGTGGGAGGTTTTCAGAACCAAATGACTTCTGTTCTCATTGAATGCAAATTACTATTACATTGTTTAGTAATGTAATTACTAAAAGGTATGACTGTTTAACTCTTAAAATCCTATATATATATAATATATATATTATATTATATATAATATATAATATATATATATAATATATAATATATTATATATATTATATATTAAATATATATAATATATTATATATTATATATAATATATTATATGTAATATATTATATATTATATATAATATATTATATATAATATATTATATATATTATATATTATATATAATATATTATATATATATACGATTTGAGAAAATTAAATAATGGACAGTGCATTTTATGTAGAAATTGTCTAGAAATTTTGCATGAAGGAATGCACAGAAATTGTAAACATAATTTGAAGGTTAAATAAATGCCCTCAAATGCATACAATTTCTAAAACTGTTATTACCTCTTGCTTGCTGGTTGATGTCAGCTGTCAGTATTACCTCCTCACTAGGCATGCATTGCCTAGGATCACAGCAGCTTTACACACCAATTGGCCAGGGCGATGATGTTAAAATCGGCCTCTGCCAAATCATGAGGAGGCAATGACGTAGAAGGGGACCTTATCCCCATTTCACAAATGGAGAAACCAAGGCTAAAAGAGACTAAGTAACTTGCTGAAAGTCATACACTATGTAAGTGGTGGATCTGGGACAGTCTCCCAAGCTGTGTCTGACATCAGCACCCATGTCCTTTCTGGTATACTTCTCTGCCTATCCAAGGGTGGGCAGCATTTTGAATTGTCACACCTTTTTCGGATAATGGTGTTCTTTTTTTGTTTTCTTTTCATCTGGGCTTGGAAAAAAAGTACTCACAAATACACAAGTAGAGATGAATACAATCATCTGATACTTTTTAGAAAATAAAAACCCATAAGCCTCATTAAATTGACTTAGAAGCTGGAAACAAAGATAAAAATCTTCCAAATTTATTTACTGAAAGTAGCCTGATACCAAAATCTGGAAAAGACAGTACATGCACAAGGGACCCCAGGTGCGCACGGGCACACAGGCACGCACACACACACACACACACACACACACAAACACACACACTCACAGGCATGCACACGCAGAGAGAAATATGGATCTATATCACTTATGAAATCTATCACTAATAAATTTCATTTTGTGCCCCTAAAGTTTCAGTGGATAAATAGCAATGATATGTAGAAAACCTACCACACATCTGGTAGGTTTTTTACTCATGAGAAGATGATGTCATATTTAGAAATATATATGTACAACATGGTGACTACTGTGAATAGCAATGCATTGCATACTTGAAATTTGCTAAGAGAGTAGATCTCCAGTGTTCACACCATACACAAAAGGGTAACTGTGTGAGATGATGGATATGTTAATTAGCTTGATCTTGGTAATCATTTCACAGTGTATACACATATCGAAACATCACATTGTACTTCCTAAATATACGCAGTTTTATTTTTCAGTCATACCTCAGTAAACCTGGGAGAAATCTCATTTGCTGTAGAGGAACACTTCTCATCCAGGGGCATTTTGCCTCCCAGGGAACATCTGGCAATGTTTGGAGACATTTTTGTTTATCGTTACTGGGGAAAAGAGGAGGTGCTTCTGGCATCCAGTGGATCCAGGCTAGTGATGCTACTTAACTCCCTGAAAGCACAAGACGGCCACGCGCTATAATTATCTCGTCCAAAATGTCAATAGCATCAACGTTGACAAGCTCTGTCGTAGGGTATTTACATAACTCAGAAAAGCCAGAAACAAAATTTAACTCATGTGCAGTCCTGCCAGTGATCCATAACAATTGCTAAACATTTGATATGTGTGTGTGTTAAATTTTCTGCTACAGTTTTTTACCTCATAATCACCAAAAGACTATGGTTGGAGGAAACTATTTTATTTCAAAGGTTAATTCTTCCACCACATTCTACAAGTGTTTTTCAAATATTCCACATATTAGTCTGTGCTTAAGAACACATGTCCCTTAAGATTTGTAATTTCAGCTGACTTACATGGAGGGGTATTCTACTAGTATCAATCCACCATCACCTGTCTCCTGATTTTCACCTTTCTGAACAGAGGTATCATTTCCATATATTTGGTGAAAATAAAGAAAAGCAGTGCCTCATACCACAATGCATGTGATATACAAAGGGCTGCGTGTTTGACTAACTGCATCAAAGCAATCCCATTACCCCACCAGTGACTGGCTTTGAAATGGGCCTTTCCCAGTTGCCATCCATGAGATATGGGTGTTTGTTGGCTTACAGTCTTCGAAGAATATTTTCTCAGCTCTTAGAGATATAGAAGAGACACAAAAGATGGTACACACGCACGCACACACATATGGTTGCACACACACAGTCTAAAAGAATATCTAGGATTATAATTAACAAATGAATTTAGTGTGATATTGCTGGGTATAAGGTCAATATCACAAAATTCAATTGAATTTGTATATCCTGGCATTAAACATGTAAAGAGACAACTTTTAAATGTCATTTCTCATAGTATCAGAACACATCAAATGCCTAGGAACAAATCTAGCAAAGATTCCCAAGACCTCTGCCCGGAAGTCTACACAACATTTTCGAGAGAAATTAAAGAAGACCTAGGTAAATCAGAGCTATATCGCACTTATGGACTGGAAGACAATGTCATGAAAGTAAACCGAAGAGAGAATTCTAATGAAAATGATTTATAGATTCAATGTGACCCCAGTGAAATTCCCGGCTCTTTTTCTGAAAAGGGAAATAAATGGGCACGCCACTTCTAAGTTCTATAAGGATGTCCAAGATCCAAGAAAAGCCAAGGCCTTCTAAAGCAAGAACACTTTTTAGAACCCTCACAGCCAGATAGCAATACCAACCATAAAGGTATCATAATTAAGGAAGTGTGGTACGTGCACAGTAATAGACAAATAGACCAATAGAGCAAAGAGAGGGTCCCACAAACACAGGTGCACATACATACGTATATGGTCACGCTCATTTACAAAAAATGTGCCACCTCAATGCTCTGGAGGCAAGATGGTCTATTAAATAAGTGGAGCTGGACTAATTTGGATATCCATATGGAAAAAGATTAACATTGGCCCCTAAGTTACACCATACACAAAGATTAACTCCAGAGGTTATGGCTTGTACAAAATAATGCATAAGCATATCTGCATGACCTTGGGGGTGAGCAAAGATATCTGAAATAGGACACAGAGTCACTAACGATAAAGGAAAACATTGTTCATCTTTACGTTATCAAAAGGAAGGACCTCTGTTCATCAAAAGATGAATTTAGAGAATCAAAAGATAAATCTCATGATAGAAGAAAGATATTTGCAATATACATATGTATATACCACAAATGTCTGATGTACAGAATGTAATACCCCCTAAAATCAAGAGGGGAAAAGAATAATGCAACAAAACATTGGCAAAATATTTGAACAGCACCTTCACAAAACAGGACATCCAGCGGACTAATAGACAAACAGACAAACAGCTGCTCAACCTCAGTCACCAGGGAGAAGTCAGCTAAAGTCCCAATGAGATCTCCCCAAACACCTGACAGAAGAGCCAACACAAGCAACAACATGAAGCCTTGGTGAGGATGTGGAAGAGCCCTCTACGGCCGGCAAGAGTGTAAACAGGTACTTGCACTTTGGAAAACTGTTTGGCCATAGCTATGAAAGCTGAACATGTGCATTTTCTATAAGCCAGCAATTCTGTCTGTGTTAGTTGCCTATTCCTGCAAAACAAGCTGCCAAGCCTTAGTGGCTTGAAAACAGTGTGTATCTTCCAGCTTACAGTTCTGTAGGTCAGAGGCTTTGTTCTCTGCTCCATGTATCACAGGGTGAAATCAAGCTCAGCCAGGCAGTGTTTCTCTGCGGAGGCTCTGAGGAGGAATCCGATTCCCAGCTCATTCAGGTTATGGGCAGAATTCAGTCACGCTCTCAGCTCCTAGGCACCGCCTGCAGTTCCTTGCCATGTAGACCACCCCGTACACCCTCTCACACTTGAATGTCTCAGGAAGAGCCCAGGCCATTTTAAGAGCTCACCTGATTAGGTCTGGCCCACCCAGGATAACCTCCTTATGGGAAAGTCTCCTGATCGGGACCGTGATACATCTGCAACATCTATTTCCACAAATAATGTGACGTAATCACAGGAGGGATATCTCATCATATTCACAGGCTCTTCTCACACTCAGAGTGAGGGGGTTATACAAGGCCAAGGTTAGTTAGGGTCAACCTTGGAATTCTCCCCACCACAGTTTGCCCTCTGGCCCCCAGGGATCCATCTGTCTCACATACAAGATACTTTCACCCCATCCCAGATTTCTCATGATATTCCAGCATCACCTCAATTCCTGAAGTTCATCTAAATCTTATCAGTTCAAAGTCTTGACTCTCCTCATCTCCACCATCTAAATCAGGCACGGATGATGTTCCTGGGTGTGATCCACTCAGTACAACTCCGGGAACAGAGTCCCTCTCCAACTTTGGGTCGGTGACACTAAAGTGACAAGCTATCTTCCTCTAACACTCCCAAAATACAGTGATGGGAGAGGCATAGGGTAACAGCTGTAAACATTCTGGTTTGATGCCTGGGGAGGGGAAGAGGAAAGGTAGGAAGGTGTTAGCATTCTAAAGCAGACTGGAAATCCAACTGGGAAAACACCAGAATTCTCTGATAAAGTTTCAAAGCCTGGAACATCCTCGGCACCTCTCGGTCCTGCCTGTGGGCCCTTGGTTCTTCCTCCTGGGTCATGTTTCCTTCTTCATGAATGGTAGCAGGTGTGTGCAGCTGAGTAGTCGTATCAGCCTGCTCCCTGCCCTTAGCATCTTAGGGGTCCCACAGCCCGTCTCTCTTTTCCTTTGAGGCCAGTGGGTCTGGCATCCAGTGGATCCAGGATAGGGATGAGACTTAACCCCCTGAAAGAACAAGACAGCCTCCCACAAGAATTATCTGACCCCAAATGTCAATAGTCAATAATGCAGATGGTCCAGGCTGACAGTATTTCTGCTACCTGAAGTTTCTCAAGAACCTTGTGTGATTCATGTGGATTTTACTGGCATTCACTGTATTACACACAAGCCGCGTCGCCCATTTGTTCAAGATACTGCCTTCTTCATTTGCGGTTATTGCGGAGATGATGGAGAGACAGCACCCTTAAGCTTCCCAGAGGCCTGCTGATATAGTTGAGACAATCTCTGAGGCACATCTTTAGCTTCCTGAAAGGGGTTTTTTGTGGGACTGAATACTCTGGACTGTTGGCCTTACTGAGCTCTCAGCAAACGTTGAACCTTGAACAGCCACACTCTCTGAGTTCTCCCTAGGCCACACACTCAGAAGCATTCTCTTCATTTAGCGCCCCCAACCCCACCCCCACAGGGATTCCTCTAGCATGGCTCAGTCCAAGTCCCAAAGCCTCTGAACCAGGGAAGCCGATGTCGTAATTCTCAGTCCAGAGCTGAAGGTCTGAAAACCCACTGGGCCACTGGAATAAGTCCTGAAGTCCCGCCCCTCCCCCCCCCCCAACATCTACATAGCCTGAAAATTTCCCAAATCATCCCATCCCTGTTCCTTTTGTTTAACATCTCTTCCCACAATTTCTCTTTCACCTTTCACTTTCTATATTGGCATCAAGAAGTAAGCAGGCCACTCCTTCCGCAATTTGCTTGGAAGGGTCCTCAGCAATATAATAAATATAACTTCATAATTTTAAAGTTCAGCTTTCCCCCTTTCCCCATTACCGTGGAATACAATCCTGCCAAGCTCTCTGCCACTCTCTAGTGACATTCCCCCTTCCCATAGTTTCCAGCAACATGCTCCTCACTCCTTCTGCAGCCCTTACAGTGGGAAACTTTCAAGTTCACATTTGTACTAGAAGTCTGTACACCGTGATTTTGGCCTTCTCAGAGGCAATGTAGGGTCTCCCGAAAGTCCTCCTTATTGTTGGAGAGCTCCCAGCAGCAGATATTTTAAATTCCAGATTTGTACTGACTGTCTGCTCAAGGCAACCTTGGTTTCTCTCTTAGGCTCCCCAAATCCTGCCAACCTCCACCCACTGCCTCGGCCATATATCCAAGTTTGTCGTTTATATTTTTCTTCTTTCCACAAAACTGTGGGCAATAATCTTGTTAAACTTTCGGCCACTACCTAGCAGGGATCTCCCTTTCTCCAGTTTACAATGACGCGTTCCTCCCTCCTTCTGAACCCTCATCAGCAGTGTCCTGAAAAGTCAGACTTCTACTAACTGTCTGTCCATGGCAATGAAACCTTTCCCAAGGCGATTTAGGCATTCTATCTTGTGCACTTAAGAATTCTTCCAGCCTTCGCCAACTACCCAGTTCCAAAGCCACAGTCACACTTTTAGGTGTTTGCAGTGTGTGATGGTTAATTTTACGTGTCAACCTGACTGGACCAAGGAATACCTAGAGAACTGGTAAGGCATTACTTCTGGCTGTGTCTGTGAGGGTATTTTCAGAGGAGATTGTCATGTGAGTCAGTGGACTGAGTGGCCAACATTCGCCCTTGACAAAGGCAGGCATCATCCAGTCAGCCAGGGGCCTGGAGAGAACAAAAAAAGGAAAAGAAAGGATTTCTTCCCTTCCCCTTCCCCTTCTCCTTCCCCTTCCCCATCCTTTTCCCTTTCTCCTTCCCCTTCCCCTTCCCCTCTCTCTCTCTCTCTGTCTCACAGAGCTAAGACACTCTCCCTCTCCTGATCTTGAACATCACGACTTCAGACTCTCTGGCACTGGGACTCCAGGACTTACACCAGTGGCCCAATGGGTTCTCAAGCCTTCAGCTTCGGCCTGAGAATTAAAACACCAGCTTCCCTGCTTTTGAGGCTGCGGGACTTGGACTGAGCCAGCCTCCATCATCACGTGAGTCAATCCCCCTAATAAATCACCTCTTGTACATTTATATCTATCCTATTGGTTCTGTGTCTTTGGAGAACCCTGAATAATACACAGTGTAGCACCGCACATTCAGGTACCAAAACCTATACTGGTTTTCTGTTGGTGCAGAACACATTACTGCACTCTTAGCAGCTTAAACCAACACTCATTAGCTCACAGTCACGTAGGTCAGAAGTCTGTGCATTGCGTCACTGGCCTCTCAGCTCAGGGTCTCACAGGGTGGGATGCTGTTAGACTTGCTGTGTTCTTTTCTGGAGTATCTGGGGACGATGCCCTTGCTGACCCATCCATGTTGCAGCTGAATTCAGTGCCCTGCAGCTAGAGGACTGAGGTCCCCTTCTCTTGCTGGCTGTCAGCGGGGGGACAGCACTCATCTCCTAGAGGACACCTGCAGTTCCTTGTCATGTGCCCCCTCCAAACGCTTTCTCTGCTTCAAATCTCTCAGCAAAAACCTAGACCCTTGTAAATGCACATCCGATTAGGTCTGGCCCACCCCACATAATCTCCTTATCTTAAAGGGCAACTGATTGTGACCCTCATTCCATCTGCAAAATCTTCTTGCCCTAAAAGTAATATAAGTCTACTAAAAGCAGGCACCCTGTAGTCCCAGCTACTCGGGAGGCTGAGGTAGGAGAATGGCGTGAGCCTGGGAGGCTTAGCTTGCAGTGAGCTGAGATCGTGCCACTGCACTCCAGCCTGGGCGACAGAGCGAGACTCCGCCTCAAAAAAAAAAGTAATATAAGCATGGGAGTAATATCCTGTCATATGCACAGTTTCCACCCCAACTCAATGGAAGGGGACTCGAAAATTCAAGGGTCAATGGGAGTCATCATAGAATGCTGACTACCACACAATCCAAGAATATATGCAACAGAAATGCATAAGCATCTTCTCCATAAGTCATGAATGAAGACATTCTCAGCATCATCACTGATGTGAGTCAGAACCAGAAAACAATCTGAAGGACTCATCACAGTTGAATCGATCAATAGATTGTGGTATATTCATACAACAGACCATTATACAACAATAACACAAGCAAACATCTCTACATGCACCAGCATGGGTAGACCTCAAAATAAGAGTATTAAGCAGCAAAACAAGCCAGGCATAAAAATGTCCATGATTTATAATTCTGTTTGTGTAGGGTTTTAAAACAGACAAAAAAATAACCACACTGACAGAGATCAGAAACCTGGATACTTTCAGGGGTGATGACTAGATAGGGACATAATACAGGTTTCTGGGGTGCCACCAATGTTCTATATACTACTACACATCTAAAATCCCGAATGTTGTGTAAACCAATTATTTTTCCTGACTCGTTTGTCCATAAAACATGACCTGAGCTGATATGATGTTGTTTGTAGTCTTTTGGGGTCTTATCTTTCTGGGTAAAAATATTTACATTTCTCAGTGGAAATATTGTTTTATCGGGTTCAGCTCACTAGTCCAGACCCTGCCATGGTTCTTATGTAAAGTATGGTTTATGAATTCTAAAACATTTGGTCCCAAGACTTTCAGGTAAGGGATTGTGGATAGGTGGTATTAGAGGATTTTAACATAATTCTGCCAACCCAACACAGATTTAGTAGACAAGAGCTAAGAAAGACTGAACAGAGCTTATCGAAGACAGATTGAATTTTAGCCTGTTTTTTTCTTTTTTTTCCAGCAACATTTCAGATGATATGTTTTTTCTCCTTGGACCTATCAATATAATGGACTAACAATATATTTCTAAATATGACATCATCTTCTCATGAGTAAAAAACCTACCAGATGTGTGGTAGGTTTTCTACATATCATTGCTATTTATCCACTGAAACTTTAGGGGCACAAAATGAAATTTATTAGTGATAGATTTCATAAGTGATATAGATCCATATTTCTCTCTGCGTGTGCATGCCTGTGAGTGTGTGTGTTTGTGTGTGTGTGTGTGTGTGTGTGTGTGCGTGCCTGTGTGCCCGTGCGCACCTGGGGTCCCTTGTGCATGTACTGTCTTTTCCAGATTTTGGTATCAGGCTACTTTCAGTAAATAAATTTGGAAGATTTTTATCTTTGTTTCCAGCTTCTAAGTCAATTTAATGAGGCTTATGGGTTTTTATTTTCTAAAAAGTATCAGATGATTGTATTCATCTCTACTTGTGTATTTGTGAGTACTTTTTTTCCAAGCTCAGATGAAAAGAAAACAAAAAAAGAACACCATTATCCGAAAAAGGTGTGACAATTCAAAATGCTGCCCACCCTTGGATAGGCAGAGAAGTATACCAGAAAGGACATGGGTGCTGATGTCAGACACAGCTTGGGAGACTGTCCCAGATCCACCACTTACATAGTGTATGACTTTCAGCAAGTTACTTAGTCTCTTTTAGCCTTGGTTTCTCCATTTGTGAAATGGGGATAAGGTCCCCTTCTACGTCATTGCCTCCTCATGATTTGGCAGAGGCCGATTTTAACATCATCGCCCTGGCCAATTGGTGTGTAAAGCTGCTGTGATCCTAGGCAATGCATGCCTAGTGAGGAGGTAATACTGACAGCTGACATCAACCAGCAAGCAAGAGGTAATAACAGTTTTAGAAATTGTATGCATTTGAGGGCATTTATTTAACCTTCAAATTATGTTTACAATTTCTGTGCATTCCTTCATGCAAAATTTCTAGACAATTTCTACATAAAATGCACTGTCCATTATTTAATTTTCTCAAATCGTATATATATATAATATATATATTATATTATATATTATATATATAATATATTATATATAATATATAATATATATTATATATAATATATATAATATATAATATATAATATAATATATATATTATATATATATAATATATAATATATATTATATATAATATATATAATATATAATATATAATATAATATATATATTATATATATATAGGATTTTAAGAGTTAAACAGTCATACCTTTTAGTAATTACATTACTAAACAATGTAATAGTAATTTGCATTCAATGAGAACAGAAGTCATTTGGTTCTGAAAACCTCCCACCCCCACCACACACACCTACTTCTCCTGCTGGCTCCCTGCGACAACTACTTTCAACTGTCATCGGCTTCTCCTAGGACTTGGCAAGATATTTGCAAGCCATAGACTTATTCTGATTGTGACATGTTTCAAAAATGGCCACAAATGAGACTTCCACTTTCAGCTCTATGTGTAAATAGACAAATGACCAATCCCATCCTTACAACAAGAAAATGCTGGAAAATGGATTCAGGTATCTTTTGGACTCATCAGAGAACCAAGAGGGGACAGCAAGACACCACCCTGGAATCTTGAGAGACTGTCAAATCCAGTGTCACAGCTGAGATCTGCTTACCTGAATCAGCAGCTTCTGCAGACAGAAGCCTGTAGGAGTGCTTCAGTAGTAAATACGATGAAGTGCTTGAGGCTGTGTGTGGACTGGCATTAGTGTGAGAATACGCTGGGGGCCCGCAGTCTCAGGGGCATCCACATGTTCATGGCCTTTGGCTCAACACATGGGTTTTCATGGTGAAGATCTGAAAAAGACGCCGTGGTTTTTCTGGCTGGGAGAGAGGAAGAGTAATCGTTGTCAAATACTCCCAGTGCCTTCTCCAAGACAAAGGCCCAGTCTTCAGAGCAAAAGACTTGACCAAAGCCTTATCTTAGGTGCAGGAAGGGTATTCCTCCATCGTCTGCCCCTCCAGGCTTCCAGTGTCACCTGTGGGGGAAAAACAAATCAAGAGGGCTCAAGTGTGTAAAGGTATTATTTGGGAATGCTGAAGCCAGGGAAAGGACCACGGACATGGGGAGAGGGTAATACCACTGGAGAAACACTTGTCAAGGTCACAGCCCAGAGACACAGTCCCATTGAAAGGCAGAGATCCAGTCATAAAGCTGTGGAATGCTTTCCTGCCCCTACACCTTACCACCACTACAACCAGGCTCCAGGGAAATAACGGCGGGTTACAACTGAACGTGCTGCAAGACACAGGCTCTCCCTGAGCAGGAGCACTCTGTTAGCCTCAGATTCAAGTGGGAGGACAAAGGGAGAGAGAGATGGGAATTCTCAGAAAGAATTAAAAGGAAATACTAGAAATCAAAAACACTAACAGAAATGACGAATGTCTTCCAGAAGCTCATCAGTAGAGTCAGCACAACAAAGGTAAGAATTGGAAAGCATGCTGAAAGGTCAGAGGACAACAGACACTTTCCAAAACGGAATGCAAAGAGGAAAAAGAGGGGAAGAAATGGAATTGAACATCTTACTGTGTGAAAATTGCAAAAGGTTCGACCTATTAATCTGAATCCCAGACAGAGAAAGAAGACAGAGAGAACAGAGCAGAATAAACGTTGGAAGCAATAAGGGCCTAGCGCTGTCAAAATTAATAACAGACACCAAAGCACAGAGTCAGGAATCTCTCAGCATATATCAAGCAGCATATATACCAAATACACACACACACACACACACACACACACACACACACAACACAAACTCACGTCTAGACATAGTGAAACTGCAGAAAACTAAAGAGGAAGAGAAAGTCTGAAAACCTCAATAAAAACACCTTACTGGTAGAGGAACATGGAAGAAAATTATGGCCAACTTCTCGTCAGAACCCACGAAAAAAGAAGAGCGTAGACTGAAATACTAAAGTGTTGAGTGAAGAAAAATATCACCTAGCTAGAATTGTATGTCCTGCAAAATTATCATTAGCAAGTGAACAGGAAACAAAGACTTTCTCAGACAAATTAAAATCAAGCAAATTAACCTTCAGAAACTCTGCTCTGGGAGAAATGTTAAAAGGCAGAAGGAAAATAAGATAGATGAGACACTTGAATCTACATAAAGGCAGGGCCAGAATCAGTGAAGGAACAAGTGGAGGTAAAATCGCACCTTTTCTGTTGCTTATTCTTGCAAGGTCTAAAGGAACACGGTTTGTTTAAAATAATACTGACAATGTATTTGGTGACTATATAGCATACGGATAAGTTCATGAGGGGTTAATTGGGAATTCTGTCGGGTTAGGTAGCTGCACTGCACATTAAGTGATGTACTGTTACTGGACGGTGGACTGGGATAGGTAAATATGTATATTGTAAAGCCTAGGGCAAAAAGCAGTTCTAAAAGCCATATGATCCATATGCTAAGAGAGGCTACCAATGCCCAGGTAAAACCTGAAGAGACAACAACATAAAGAAAGAGGGACTTTTTGCTTACAGGGGATATGGTTATCTATGTAGAAAACTCCAAAGAATTGCAACAAACTGCTGAATTAATAAATGAGGTTCTCAAGGTCACAGGACACAATCGATATATTGATGATGACTGTTTAGCTGTATATGACTAGTGAACAATGAGAATTTGATTTTTTTAAAGGGCAACTTAAGTACCTATTAAGTACTTAGGTCTAAATCTAAATGTCAGGCATAGGATCTGCTTGCAGAGACTACAAATATTGATGAGGAAAGAAAAAACAAAGAAGATCTGAATAAGTGGAGAGAGATGTCATATATACGGACTGGAAGATTTGTAATTGTTAGAAGATTTCAAATCCTCTGAGACTGATCTATTGTAACATCAGAATCCCAATCAAAATTACAGCATTCACTTTGTAGATATCAACATATTGACTCGAAATTTCGTACTGAAGCACAAATGTGCTAGAATAGAAAAGCCATTCTAAAAAAAGGAGAATGGAGTTGCAAAAGTCATAAGATGCGATTCTAAGACCTACTATAAAACTACAGTAATCAAGACAGGGTGGCATTTACTAAGAATACACACACAGTTCAATGCAACAGACTAGCAAGCCCAATAATCGAACTGCAGAAATATTTCTCAACTGATCCTTGACAAAGGCACGTGCACAATACAATGGGAAAAGGATAGCCTTTTCAGTAAATGGTGGTGGGAGATTTCGGGCCCATATGGAAAAAACATTAACCTAGACCAAGAACTTACACTTTAACAAAAATTAACTCAAAAAGGACCAAAGTCCCGTATGTAAAATTCAAATTATAAAGCACATGAAATATAAAAATATAAATTATAGGCCAGGCGCGGTGGCTCACGCCTGTAATCCCAGCACTTTGGGAGGCTGAGGCAGGTGGATCACGAGGTCAATCATTCGAGAACAACCTGGCCAACATAGTGAAACCCCGTCTCTACTAAAACTACAAAAAGAAATTAGCCGGGCATGGTGGCAGACGCCTGTAATCCCAGCTTCTCGGGAGGCTGAGGCAGGAGAATCGCTTGAACCTGGGAGTCAGAGGTTGCAGTGAGCCGAGATCGCGCCACTGCACTCCAGCCTGGACGATAGGACGAGACTCTGTCTCAAAACAAAACAAAACAAGCAAACAAACAATATATATAAAATAAAAAAAGAAATATAGAAATATAAAACACAGGGAAGAAAACACAGGAAAAACATCAACATGTCTTTGTGTTTCCTGATGGGGTTTTAGTCACAAACCCTACCACAGAGTCTGTGAACAAAAAGCAATTATTTGGAGTTTGTTAAAACTTAAAACTTCTGCTGTGTGGAAGACATTACTGTTAAGGAAGAAAGATAACCTAAGGACTGAAAGAAAATATTTTCAAAGAGATATCTGAGAAAAGACTTGATTCCAAATATTCAAAAAACTGTGGACATTCAAAAACCAAACAACCACAAATAACCCAATTTAAAAATGAGCTAAAGGTCTGAGCAGACACCTCACCAAAGATTTGGAAGTGATAAATGAGCATGTGAAAGAATGTTTACTGTTATTTGGCATTGATAGATAAATGCAAACTCAAATAATAATTACATGACACTACACATCTAACAGAACGGCCAAGACCCCCAAACTGACAAACCAACTGCTGCCAAGGATGCAGAACAGGAACGTCCATTCATGTAAAGTGGGAAGTCTCTATCTTCCAGCAAATTTGGAAGAGAGTCTGCTTGGTCCTTAACAAGGCTCAATAGTCTTGCCACACTGGTGGTCCAGCATTCTCGCTATTAAGTGTTTGCCCAGTTTGCTTCAAAACGTACGTGTTGTCAAACAAAATACAAATCCAGGATTAGTAAAGAGAAACTTTATTCAAAAGGATGAGTAGAAGGAGGCAAGCTATGTGGAGGGGACTTTTACAGGAGGACATGAGTAGGTAAAGCACAGGTAATGCTTTAGGGCAGTGAAACCATCATGTGCGTTATAGACAGAATGTTTGCTTCCCGCCCAAATTCACGTGTTGAAGTCCCGACTCCCAGTGTGATGGTATTTGCAAGTGAGGCCTCTGGGAGGTAATGGGGTTTGAGGTTATGAGGTCATGAGGGTGGAGTCTTTATGATAGGGTTCGTGTCCTCCGAAGAAGAGGAAATAAAAATAGCTGTCTCTGTGTGAGGACAGGGTGAGATACCCTAATGATGGTTGTATGAGACAAAGCATTTGTCAGAATCCGTGGAAACTGACAGGACACAGAATGAAACTTAACGTGTTTAATCTTTTAAGACATCATTAGGGAGGTAGGGAACTATCAGGTTGAAATGCAGAATGTGACAAAAGGTTCTAACCTTACCAATGAATGAAAAGCTTCACTGAAGGCTGTGAAGTACAAAGTGCTGATCTAAGCAACTTTGGAAATGAAAGAAGTGTGTAAGGCTAAAGACAAAGGCAATTGTACATATGCAGCATACTCGACTAGACAAACCTGTTGCCGGTATGGACACAGGTTGAAAAATCTGACACCGTTCTCCATGTGTACTGGAACTGCAATGAGTAAATGGATGGTGGAGGGTGAGAGGCAGGTTTTTCACTGCTGGAGAGGGAGGTGCAGATCGTAATGTGGCAGGGGCAAGAATGATTCGTGCTGCAATGGAATAGAGTTGCAGACATGGGTAGGAACTCATATTCAGCTTATTATAGATCCTCATGGTCATGTATCAAAATATTTATAGAAATGTGTACATACGTGGGTTAGTATACATACATACGTATTTCCTTTCTGCTTCAGCAGAGAGGGCCTAGGAACCACTAGACTCTGGCAGCTACGAGCACACCTAGTTGCCAGACGTTGGTCTCTGATACCATTTTCTAATAAAAGGAAACAGAAATCCTTGGAGAATTGGCTGATCCTAGGAGCTAGTAAATAGGCCAGACCAGCCTAGAACATATGCAAGACAGAAATGTGCAGGATGAGCCACAAAGCAAGGAATTACACAAAATGGAGCCCCAAATAATGGGAGCATACCAACGGGACCTAGGGGTGAACTGAACGTGCACCCAGTGGCCACAACTGCAAGAATGATAATAATGAAAAAGAAATAGCAAAGTATTGGATTATAATCTAAAGTATCAAGTAAATATCCGTGAAAGTATCATGATATACATAAACGATTGAATAAGGAAATAAATGCAGGAGCATAGATAGCTGTGCCATGAAGGAGAATTCCAAAGAATGTATGTAGATACTCTGCCTCAAAGAAAGGATTTAAAACTTAGCACCAGTTAGGTGTGAACTTCGCTTAATGACTTCCTTCCAAAGAGTAGCATGTGGACAGGGGTTAAAAGAGCAACTTTTCATGGGAGCACCCTGTCCAACACTGCTTCTGCCAGGTGACCAAGGTCAACTTACACAATCAAAACTGATGTTGATATTATGTACCCTTGATGCGATCAGACGAAAACAGCTCTTTACCTTTGTGGTGATTCTCCGGTAGCTCACAACATCAGTCTAATCATGAGACAAGCATTAGAAAAACTTGAGTTGAAAAATATTCTAGGGAGGCCGGTGCAGGCAGATCACTTGAGTCCAGGAGTTCAAGACCAGCCTGGGCAACATGGCAAAACCTTGTCTCTACAAAACACACACACACACACACACACACACACACACACACACACACACACACACAAGTCACAAATTAGCCGGGCATAGTGGCGCATGCCTGTAGTCCCATGTACTTTGGGAAGCAAGGAACCCTGTCTCAAAAAAAAAAAAAAAAAGAAAAGAAAAAGAAAAAGAAAAAAAAAAAGATATTCTAGAAAATACCTCACTAGTGACCCTGAAAACTCTCAAGGTCATGGAAACAAGCAAAGTCTGAGAAGTTGTCCCAGCCAAGAGGAACCTAAGGCAGTATGATGATTAAATGTAGTGTGGTAGGCTGCATGGTATCTTGGAACAGAAAAAAAAAATGATATTAGGTAGGAAGTAAGTAGGAAACCTGGAATAAAGTGTGGACTTTAGTTTTTTTCTGCCTCTCAAATACCACCAGTAGGGAGCAGTTGGGGCTGCTGTGTCGGCAGGTAAGCCAAACACACAAAAATAGCACCGCAAATGCTCTGAAAATAAACTTTTTAAAAATCCCAGAACCTAAAAATGGACACCAGAATCTACATGCTAAACCTAAAGAAAGTAGCTGACTTCTAACATCAAATATTTGTCTCCTGTCCAGAGACTCCTAAAGTAACAAGCAAAATACATTGTATGCCATAGAGCATAGCCCACCATGTGAAGAACCAGGAATAACACAGCTTGAATGAGGAAATAGAATCCAGTGGTACCAACATAGAGACGACGCAGATGTTGCCATTATCTGACAAACATTTTACAGCAACCATCATAAAAATGCTTCATTATGTAATTGCAAATAGTCTGGAACCAGACTAGAAAATGGAAAATCTCAGCAATGAGTAGAAGATGTATAAAAAAGAAATGATGGAACAGAAAACGAAAACAATAACAGAATTTGGAAACATTGCTGGATGCACTCGGTAAGAGACCTGTGATGACAAAAGATACCATCATCGTAATGGAGGCCCAATCAATAAGATTGACGGCCGGGCATGGTGGCTTACACCTGTAATCCCAGCACTTTGGGAGGCCAAGGCGGGCAGATCACCGCGGGCCAACGTGGGGAAACCCTGTCTCTACTAAAAATACAAAAATTAGCTTGGCGTGGTGGTGGGCGCCTGTAATCCCAGCTACTTGGGAGGCTGAGGCAGGAGAATCGTTTGAACCCGGGAGGCAGAGGTTGCAGTGAACGGAGATTGCGCCATTGCACTCCAACCTAGGTGACAGAGCGAGACTCTTCCTCAAGAAACAAAACAAACAAACAGAAAATAGGACTGACTGTGCCTGAGCGAGAGAGAGAGATCGTGGACTGATTAAAAGCTGAATGGATCCTCAGCGAAGTTAGGACAATAACAAAGTTCCAATATCCCTACGACTGGAGTACCAAAAGTAGAGAGTGGACTGAAAGAGGAGTATAAGAAAAGAAGGCTGAAAATATCCAAATTTTAGTGAAAACCATAAACCCATAGATTCTGGAAAACGAGCAAACTTCAGATAAGACAACCACAAAGCGATTCACACCAACACACACATCATAGTCAGTTTTTGAAGCTGATAAAATCACTGAAAGCAGCAAGACCGAAGTGGTTCATTGATTATAGGAGAACACCAGTTTTAATGAGGGCAAATGTCTCCTCTGACCAGTGGCGGTCATCAGGAAGTGTCCCGAAAAGTTTCAGATGTTGAACAAAAGTCCTGTCAGCTGTGAATTTTGTATCCAGTGATACCATCCTTCATGGACGAAGGGGAAATCAAGACATTCTCAGGTAAAGGAAAGCATTTTGTCACGAGCAGACCCACGGTGAAAGAATGGCTAGAGTAGGTGCTTGAAACAAAAGAGGAAAGAATAAAAGATGGCCTCTGGAAGTATCTATCAGAAAGGAGTCAAGACCAGTAGAAAAAACACCCTTAGGGGACAAACACTAAGCCACCGTTTTCCTTGTGAATTGTGGAAGTCATGTTTGACGATTAAAGCAAAAACTATGAAACCATCCGATACTCCAGACAACGTTGTCTACAAGCAGGAAGGCAGAGGGGCTAAAAGGGGCTGATGCTTCTACACTTCAATGGAAGTGATGAGAACTGGATACCAGGAGCCTGTGGTAAGTCACATATGCACACTGAAAATCCCAGAGCAACCACTGAGACAATTTTACAAAGCCAAACACTCGAAAACACTTTCGGAAATCAGGATAAATCCTGCAAGGTGTACACGTAAGCCACAGAAGGGCAAAAAAAGGAGGTCTCGGTTAGCCGAGACACGGAGGAAACAAAAGAAAACAAACAATAAATCTGTGGACCTAAACACTAGCCCAGAGATCATGGAAATGAACTAGAAACATGTATGAAAAGGTAGATACTGGCAGAGTCAGTGAGAAACACGGTCTGATTATCCCATGTTTATATGAAACTCAGTTCCACTTCGGTCGCCCTGGGTAAATGAAAAGGATACAACGGGTGGGAAAAGTCACATCAGGTAAACATTAATTAAAACAGCAGAAGTAGGTATGTCAACATTAGGTAAAGAGGACTTCATCGCAACGAAAATTACAAGAAAAATAAAACGCTACAGCCGAATAAAAGAATCAAGCCCCCAAGAAGACTTTAGAAGAGTCTTTCCGTGCCCCTCCCACACGCCCCTCCAATTACAGTGTGTGGGCGTTCCTCTCTGTTCCCAGAGCCCCTGGTTCTTATTTCTGTCAGAGCAAAGTGTCCCAAGGTGTTGGGGACTGTATTTGCATACACCTGATCCTAAATGAATGTGAGTGCTTTGGAAAGCCTGATGCATCTCCACATCCCAGCGCCCAGGTGAGGGTATCTGGTGCCCGGCAGGTGTTTGCTGAACGCCTCATGACTGCCTTTCAGGCCAGCGAAGGCTGTTGTGATAGGGTCAAGGGAAGGGTCTCTTTACATCGCATTCAACAAGGGGCCAATCCTGCTGGCGCAGGCAAGGAGGCTGCTCAGCGACTGACGGGGAAATGAGGGTGGGGTGTGGGCACGCGCTCCGGAGGCTGCAGGCGCCATGGGCAGAGTGAGGAACCGCGCCACTGCTCAGCGGCGGAGGCGAAAGCGGCCCGGGGATCCTCCCGCCGCCTGCGCGGCCATCGCGGTCACGGGCGCCAGCCGCGCGCAGTGCCCCCGGGTCCAAGTCGGGGTCGGGAGCCACGCGGCGGCCAAGAGGTGGCTGGGTAGGTGGCGACGGAAGCGCCGCTGGCGGCGGGTCCGGAAGGCGGGCCCCAGAGACCTGCTGCCCTCCGCGCCAACCCCGGACCCGCCGGGGCCCGCCCCGTCCCCCAAGGATCTGGACCTGGGCGCACAGCGGGAGCGCTGGGAGACGTTCAGGAAGCTGCGGGGCCTCAGCTGCGAGGGCGCCGCCAAGGTCCTGCTGGACACCTTCGAGTACCCGGGCCTCGTGCATCACACCGGGGGCTGCCACTGCGGCGCGGTCCGCTTTGCGGTCTGGGCCCCTGCAGATCTGCGCGTCGTGGATTGCAGCTGCAGGCTGTGCAGGAAGAAGCAGCACCGCCACTTCCTCGTCCCGGCCTCGCGCTTCACGCTGCTCCAGGGCGCAGAAAGCATCGTCACCTATCGGTCCAACACGCACCCGGCGCTGCACAGCTTCTGCAGCAGGTGCGGGGTGCAGAGTTTCCACGCAGCTGTCTCTGACCCCCGCGTGTACGGCGTCGCCCCGCACTGCCTGGACGAGGGCACCGTGCGCAGCGTGGTCATCGAGGAGGTCGGCGGTGGCGACCCGGGGGAGGAGGCCGCCGAGGAGCACAAGGCCATCCACAAGACGTCCTCCCAGTCAGCCCCTGCCTGTCCCCGCGAACAGGAGCAGTGATTGGGGCCGCAAGCCCGCCTGAAACCGGCCCGGGCGGCCCTGCGGGGAGCGTCCGAGTACCTGCACAGATCCCATGCTGTGAAAGAGGTGTTTCTGGCCTGGTCACACCGGGGATTCCCTTCCAGTATTTGCCCTTCCCCTCCGCTAGTTTTCAGTGAACTCGCTTACGATCCAAATCTTGAACACACCTTTGTCTGCGTAGTACAACGTTAATCTTGCAATTCGGTAAGGAAGAAGAGTGTCTCTGATTTTTCAAACCATCCATTGTATCTCTCGCTTTTACTGTTCTGCCTACAGTTGTCACAAATCACCTGCAGATGATTCCTGTGTACTGTACGTTCCTGGTGCTATTGTGAACAGGCTTGTTGTTTTCAGCGCTTTGCCTCTGGTGTGTAGGACGGCAACACACAACCAGTTTGTAAACATGTGCTAGGACGTCTTCCATTGATTATGGTGTGCGTGGGCTCCCGCACCTGTGAGTTTCAGGTAGACGTTCATATTTTCACTGCTTAGATTCGAGTTATGCTATTTACTGGTTTTTAAATGATATATTTCAAGATTTGGTCGTGTTACATACCTCATTACTCTTTATTTCCTGTAACAGCGAAAGCTGTTACTATTTCGCTTGTTGTTTGGGAAGTGTCTCTGGGTAAGGAGATGGGGATACAGGAATGAGAAAGACATCTGTGCACACAGGAATGAGAAAGACATCTGCGCACTGTCTGCCCTCTTTAATCTTTTGAAATACCTGTCTTGTACATGTGTTAAGTATATAGAAATCAGTAAATACCTTCTAGGAAACTATGTGTGTTGGTGTGTCTATAAAGTCCGGCTTGGCTATGTATGGCAAGGCTTGGTTTTTGAAGGTACTTGGTCTCAGATTATTTCAGAAGGTGGTGGTGACTCTGGCTTTTGTAGTAGAGAAAGCTTCCCCAGGGTCCCCTACCTTTTGATGAGGGGAATTAGCAGAGGGTTTACACATTTGGCCTCTGGGGACACACTACCTGTGTTTGAATCCTGGACCTGCCGCCTGCTCGCTGTATAACCGGTATCGAGTAGATTAAACCCCATTCCTCAACTTGCTCTTTCCTCAAGAATGTTAACAGCTAACAGAGTGTTTGTTCTTGGGGTAAACACAGTGCCTTGCCTTGACTACCTGATCCATGAATGCTTGTTTTCTCAATTTCAGGCCCCCAAAACTCCTCCTATCAAGGCACCCAGACAATATGAAACCGCATTGTTTAGGGGCGTCCATACACATGGGAAAACCATGAATTAGGCAGTGAAATAATTTAAGCCAGCATCAGATTAGGGTTTAACTCTATGGAGGAGGAATGGCTTTGAGTGGGGGTGGGGGGAGGGGAGGGTGTCCTGCATTCCTGTTCCTCTTGCTGTGTAACAAACAGCCCCACAGTGAGTCCATACAATGACGAGCGTTGTATCATATGCATGGAATTTCAGAGGCAGGAATTCAGAAAGGGCACAGTGGATATGGCTTGCTTCACATGAGTCTGGGACCTCAGCTGCAGAAACCTGACTGGCTGGGGACTGGAACCATCTGAAGGCTCATTCACTGACATCCCTGGTGCCTGCATGGAGAGGACTGGAAGACTAGGCCTGGCGAGTGGAGGGCCTCCGTATTACCACTCCGTGGCCTTTGGCTTCCTCACAGCAGGGTGGGCCTCCCAGTAGTCAGGCTTCCGACCTCATGACTCAGGCTCCAAGCGGCACTTTTCCATATCCAAGGTGAATGTTGCATCACCTCTCATAGGCAAGACTCAGAAGTCATGTTGAGTCAACTGTGTCATACTCTATTGATTAGAGGTGAGTCACAGCCTTTTCAGATTCAAGCGTGGGAGGGAGATTAAATCGCAGGTCTCGGTGTGAACGGGGCAACTTTTATCACAGCACGAGAGATGGGAGATATTTTTGTGGCCATACAGTCTGGCACAGTGGGCTCCTAGGGAGCTGGTTATGTTTCATTCGGTTCTCCCACATGGTGGCCACTCAGATGTGTTTAACGGGTCACATATTTTTTTGTGTACAGCTGTGTATGATTGAAGACATAATAAGGAAACAAAATAGGTGACTGACTCCTATCTCTGAGCAAGACCAAGAGCAGACTAAATGAATGACTGGAGGTACGGAGGGAAGACGACAGTCAGAAGGGGGCTGGCTGGTTAGTCCTGGAGCCGACCTTGGCCATGCCCACGCAAACACAGCCCAGGGTAGAAGTCTTATTAACTTCGGGACCATCGGTATTTCTGACCCCCCCCAGAAATCTTTAACTTCCTGCTAGTTGCATATGCTGGACTGCCTCAGCCCCACGCCACTGACTGTCCCTTCCCCTCTCCTTTTTAAGCCCGTTGTTCACTTGTTCATCCATTCCACAAGCATTTACAGTGGGTTTGGAATGTGTCAAACAGAATGTGAGAAGGACTTAAGGCTATGGACAAAAAGTGGAGTTGGGTAAAGATGCTCAAGCGAGGTTCTTAGAATGTAGCTCAGCTCTTCCATAGAATACCATAGGGAAGGGAATGGAAACACCCCCCTCTCAGTAGAATGGAAGAGCGCATCTGGCACCGATCCACAAAGGCCGCTTGTTTGTATGCTGGCTCTTCAGATGACATCTTAGGATGAACTCCAGACTAGAAGGTGAATTTCCTTTCTGACAAGCGTCAAGGAAAGACTTAGAAATGTGTTTAAAAAGGAAAATTCCCAGCATGAAACCAAATGGAAGACAAGATCACTGGTCATAAAATATAACTAGAAATAGATGTAATGAAAATGTTTATTATTATACATAATTTCTATTATTTTGTTTTATTTTTTGAGACAGATATTCGCTCTGGTGCCCAGGCTGGAGTGCAGTGGCTCGATCTCGGCTCACTACAGCCCCCACCTCCCCTGCTCAAGTGATCCTTTCACCTCAGCCTCCCAAGTAGCTGGGATTACAGGCACGTGCCACCACAGCCCGCTAATCTCTTGTATTATTTGTAGAGACGGGGTTTCGCCATGTGAACCAGGCTGGTCTCGAACTCCTTAGCTCAAGCTTCCCGACTGCCTCGGCCTCCCAGAGTGCTGAGATTACAGGTGTGATACATAATTTGTACATGTGCCTTTGAAAATGAAAAATATGAAATAGACCTAAGGACTCTCTCTCTCTCACAAATACTTCACGTGTGTTCCTTTATTTACTTCTCACTAAAGTCTTTCAGAACACCTATTGTTAATCTCAATTGGTGGAGAAAGAAACTGAGACGCTGATAATGGAAGGACCAAGCCCATGGATGCCAAGAGGGCAGGTGGCAGGAAGAAGTTGGAAAGCCAGGGTGATTGGATACCATGGTCAGTAAGGACTGGGGAAAAAAGTAGCTCTCAGGCACTTCTGCCCCATTCATCCTGGCCCCTCTCTGTTTTCATGGATCCAACTCTCTACGCATTTCACCCTATCTCCTCCTCACATCAAAAGCAGCTCTTCATCCCTGGCCGAGATCCTGTGGCCAGCTGCCCAGTGCACGCCACCATGACGCGGGCCTCCTATAAAAATCTGAAATGACCGTAGATTGGATGTTCTGCTATTTCATGAGCCCCCACGTTGTTTCTTCATGTGCCAATATACTTGTGTCTATGGCCACAAACAACCTGCATATCACAGTTTGGAAAACACTTATTTTGAGGACAGAGGCTTTGAACGGATATCCACCTGGGCTTGTGTCCCAACTCTGCTACTTGTTCCTGCCTGAAATGGCAACAAGTTTTAAAAGTTGCATTCACCTTCTCTGTGAGGCTTCAGTGAGAGCATGCCCATGAAGGAATGATGGAGCCTAGCCTATATAAGCACTTACTGCATATGAGCCCTTTTTATTCGTCTTCTTGTTGTTTGAGCAAAAATCCAAATGCAGCTTTTGTCTTAACTGCACACAGCCTGAGGTGTAGGCAGTACTTCCAGGACCACTATCTCAGGAGCCGTCATCCACATTTCTTTGATGTAAAAACTGAGCGTAAAGCAATTCAGCTACAAAAAAAGTAGGAGGAGGGAAGAACATAGGCCTTCCAGTTCCTTATTAAGTTCCAACTTTCCCTAGACACTGTCGTCTCCCAATGTATGGCGTGAGGAACAGAGATAGCCTTTTCCATTCAAAACTGTGTGACGGGGGCACGGGTCAGCAAAGTACAGGGTCCTGCAGGAGCACAGCGATAGGGCACCCTCTGTCAGACAAGTCAGTACACCGTTCTGGGCCTTGGTTTCCTCATCTGTACAACGGCGACAGAATTACATATATCTTAATTTGCTGAGCATTTTAAGTGAAGTGCTGGAAGGAGAATATAGAGCTCCATGCCCTGATGCGTCAAATTGTCAAGAAATGTCATCCACTGTTCCTAATATAACTTATGTCATTATACCCCGATATTTGGACCAAAGGGACCTAGACCCTATCGCTTTTGCCTGGGACTCCGCAGTAAGTGCCTCAATGAGTTACCCTAATACCTTTCCCCTCCTCTATTATGACCAGGATCAAGGTTTTTCTGGGAATGGCACCACAGTTTCTGTGACTCCACCACAATTCCTGAGACTTGACTCTGAGCCACTATCACAGTCTGCATGCTCTTCCCAATGTGAGGTGTGCGGTTGGTGGGGTTGATGCCATCACTGTCTCTCACTTAAATAGTAGACTTGAAGTGAGCGAAGGCTGTTCTCATGGGTCAGGATGTAAAAGATGTAAGCAACAGTGACTTCGGACCCAGGAGTGGACATTGGAGAAATTGTTAACAGCCGGGGGGAGCTGCAGATACCAGCTGGGGAAAACCAAATTATAGCCGCATGGTCTCTGAGATAAACTCTCATCATCACAAGGTGGCAAATTCCTGCCTCTAGAAGACCCAGGGAGTTTGCTCCCGGCATCCCAGAGATAGTTGTTTAGGACTCGCATCTCTAAAATAAGTATTTCCAGTATCACATGCAGGCACAAGGGTGTCCACCGGAAAAACCGTCTTGCCTGAGTATATCTTCTTGCACACTGGAAAATCTTGCCTAGAGACACTTTGACGAACATTCTCTTTCCCATTTTCTTTCTGCCAACCTGAATAAGATCTTGCTAAGTATGGGATATTAAAAACTATGTTTCAGGAGATTGCATTTCTGGCTACATTGGAGGAAAAAAACACCACATTGATCCTTCCCCCGCAAAGCAACGAAATAACCGAGATGACAATGGTTTCCAAGATATTGGACCTAATGCAATGGAAGAGAGCTATCTGCAAGACAGAAGAAAGAGACATGTCGAGCCGCACGCCTGTCTCAGCCTACTGGCGGGAGGAGGAACTCAGGCGGAGCCACGTTGTCTCCCCGAGTTGTGGGGTACGTGGTAGGAACATGAGTCCTCCTTAAAAAGGAAAGAAATCCTGCCATTTGTGGCAACATGAATGAACCTGGAGCATGTGAGGTCAAGTGAAATAAGCCAGGCACAGAGAGACAAATAGCAAGTGATCTCACTTATATGTGGAGTCTCAAAATTGGAACTCATAGAAGCAGAGAGTACAAATGGTGGCTACTGGAGGTTAAGGGTTGGGGGGCATAGGGAGTGTTGGCAATGGATAGAAAATTTCTGTTAGACAGGGGGAATAAGTTCAAGGGAGCTATTGTAAGTCATAGTGGTTATACTCAATAGCAATAGATTGGTTATTTGAAAATTCGTAAGACAGTAGCTTTTAGGTGTTTCTACCCACAAAAAACAAACAAACAAACAAAAAACTGATAAATATGTGAAGGGTGGAATATGTTAATTAGTTTGATTTGGCCATTCCACAACATATACAGATATCAAGCATCCTGAGGTACACCATAAATATATACAATGTTTACTTGTCAATTGAAAAATAAAGAAAGAAAGTAATTTCACAAAATGACGAGGGACCGCCAGACGCAAAAGAATGGATTGGACCTTACCTCACACTACATACAAAAATTAACTCAAAGCAGATCAGAGACCTAAATATAAGAGCTACAGTGATAAAACTCTTATAAGGAAATATAAGACTAAATCTTACATTTCTCTTCCGTAAGTCTTACGTTGTGACCTTCCCTTAGGCAAAGGCTTTTGTGTGTGTCTGCATTCAACACCAAAGCACAAGCAACAAAACAAAAAAGTAGATAACGTGGAGTTTTAGACAACCCGTAGAAAATGCATCTGATCATAGATGTATCCAGGATATACAAAGGACTCTGATGAATCAACAGTCAAATGATGACCTAATTCAAAAAGGAGCAAAGAATCTGAATAGACATTTTGCCAAAGAAAGTACACAAATGGCCAATAGGCACACGAAAAGCCACCCACAATCATCATTAGCCAGTAGGGAAATGCAAATCAAAACCACAATGAGCTACCACTTCACACTCAGTAGGATGACAAGAATAAAAAAGACAGGCGATAACAACTGCTGACAAGGATGTGGAGAGATTGGAGTCCTCATACACTGCTAGTGGGACTATAACATATAGGGCAGCCTGGTTTGAAAGAATTTGGCTGCTCCTCAGTACCAGAAACACAATTTCCATATGGCCCAGGAGGTCCACTCTTAGCTTTCTACAAAAGAGAAATGAAACTCTATGTCCAAACAAAAACCTGTACACAAACATACACGGTATCATTATTCCTAGTGGTCAAAGATTGCGAGTGGCGCAGGCGTCCATCAGTTGATGAACTGACGGATGGAATTTAGTTTCTCCATTCAGGGGAGTGTGGCTTGGCAACAAAAAGGGATGAAATACTGATACATGCCATAACATGCGTGAGCCTAGAACACGTGATGCTGCATGAAAGAAAATCACAAAAGACCACATATTATGTGATTCCATTTGGAAAAACGTCCAGTATATGTAAACTTATGGACTAAGAAATTTGATTTCCATTTGCTTGGAGAAGGAGAACAGGGTGGGAAGTGACTGTTAATGTGTATGGGGCTTCTTTCCAAGGTGATTATAAGGTTCTAAAATGAGATTGTGGTGATGGTTGCAGAACCTTGTGAATATGCAGAATGAAAAGAAAAACACCTGAATTGTACACTTGAAATGGGTGAAGATTATGGCCTGTGGATTATATGCCAACAAAGTCTTTTTTCAAAACTACCATTTATCGTCCACTTTATGTACACTTACCTCTATTTATTTCCAAATGTACATGAGTAACATTCATGTCCACTAATTGGTTGAGACTTTTGAAAAGCACTGATAACCTGATGTATTTTTGGGAGATGAGAAGCAGAAATCAATGGTTAACGTGTAGTTTGGCAAGAGCTGTGACCGCTGTGAAACTTCATTTCCTCATCTTTGAGGTAATTACTTCTACTTTGACATGACATTGTGGGAATTAAATAACAATGAATATGAAACATTCAACTGAGTGCCTGGGATTAACAGCCACTCCAGGAAGGGTGAAACTCATATTACTTACTAGAGTACGGGGAGGATTCTTTAAGAAGGTAAATGTTTAAACAATGTACTGAGTCTAGTATGTCAATTTCTTTTTTTTTTTTTTTTCCAAGAAAGAACAAGGTTCAAGGTATCTGTGACAAGTTACCCTGGTGAGTGCAACCATTTTGGAGTTATAACTGTGTTCAAGTCCCGGATCCCACTTACTAGCTGTGTGACCACAGGCGAGTGACTGAAATTCTCCCTTGCAGTTGTCTCACCTCTGCCAACTCTGCATCGCTGCCACAGCGATACTACTACCTTCCCTGGAGGGTTGCTCTGAGAATAAGAGATTAGAATGATAAAAATGGAGTTTGTCACTCCTGCATTTTCACTTTCTCCCTTTCTAAGGTCTCCTTCTCCTGATTCTAAAAATGTATTCAAGTATCCTTCAACCTAAATAACCTTCCTTTGTCTTCCGCTCTACCTACCAAACTCTTCCTCATTTCCTTTTAAATGAAGTACCCTGGACTTCTCTTCCTCACTCTTCAATTTCATGTAGTCTGTCTTCATTCACGTGGGCCCCCGAGCTGTCCCAACCCCGAGCTGTCCATAAGGTAACAAGGATGTCCTAACTAATGAATCCCAATGGACTCCTCTCTCCCTTATGATCTGGCCTTACATCTCCACAGCATAACCCTCCCTCCTTCCTTCACGTCTGTGGTACTACTTTTTCTCCTAGTTACTATCCTATTCCTCGGAGATTTCTCTCTCCATCTCCTTCCTGGACTTCTGTTTCCCTGTGTTCTTCAGTGTTACTATTCCCTAGGTTTGGTCCTCGGCCAGCTCTTTACAGGCTATCTTGCCTACATCCTGGGGTGAATTAACTCACGCTCCTGGCTTCGCCTGACTGATTGTTGAGAGGATTCACAAACGTGTATTCCTGGTCTGAAAGTAATTGCTGAGCACCACACTGAAACATCCAGTTGCCTTCTGTACATCCTGGATGTTTTCACAAGCACCTCAAACGCAGATCTATCTCTCAGTGCACTCCCCTCACCTGCAAATGTGTGCACGCCCCTGTATTTAATGCTTCAACTGAGTACTCTAGCATTGCTCAGTCATCCAACCCAGAAACGTTCCCTTACCAAAGACCGGATGAACTTAGGCCTGAAGTCAAGAAACAGCAGAAGACTGGGGAAAAGTCAGATGAGTCCGGAGACCAGTACCACGGACAATCGTAGACATCAACCTCAACCAAGCCCTATATGGGGGTCAGTTAGTCTACTGTATTTTCCCAACCAGCTCTCTCTCCAACTACCTGTAATGACCATTTATTACACAACTGTACGACTCTGGAAACCCCTGATCTCCTTTCCCTCATTCTCAGAAGCTGGCCGCACCTCCTATTTTCCTGAGAAAATCCAAGACCTCAGGAAGGACTCTCTCCATTTCCTACCAGCAATTGTAAACACCTACCTGCATGTACAGGTACAAGTTGTTGCCTTTCCTCCATTTATGACAGAACATCCCTCCTGCTCTTTCCGGGTGATCCTTCAATGTGTGCTTTGAATCTCACTGCTCCTATCTTCCCAGGAATCTTATAGCATCCATCATCCATTTACTCCCCTGATTGCCCCTGTCAACTTCAACCTGCCCTTCCAAATATATCTTTCCAATAGCACTAAATCACGCACTGGTCATGAAAACCTTATAATGGTAAAAATCAACAATCAAACGCTCAAAGCACCCTCCGTCTTCTCCATTTTACCCTGCACCCACTACCTCATCTCCTTCCATTCACAATGAAACTTGGAGCTCTCCACACTTGTCATTACTTCATCACCTATTCATCCTACAACTCATTCTTTTCCCCCAAATCCCAATGAAATGGCTCTCTCAAAGGTCACCATGGTGTTCATAATGTTGAGCACAATGGAATGTTCTGTCCTCATATCATTTTATAGCTCCAACTCTATGAACAGGAGGAAACACTCTTCTTTTTGAGAAACTACCATTGAGTTGTCAGTTTGCAATTTTCCTTTGAATGGGCCATACTTTCAAGTTCCCTTGTAGGCTTTTGGATTCTTTTGTTGCTGCTGAAAACTAGGTCTTTGATTGTGGTAATGTGGTAACACTGAATATTAGATCCTCTACCTTCTCCAGGATTTGCAGTTGCTGATTTCTGAAAGCTGCAGTCATTGATTTGTCTAGAGGGTTTTCCAAACTCTTTTGGGAGAGCCTGCATTCGTTGTCACATGTGGCCACTGAACTCTCTGTTCCTTTAGTTTGTTTTCTGCTTGTATTTTGACAGCAATTTCCTTGACAGCCCAGAGCTTAATAAAAAAAAAAAAAGCAAAAAGTTCCTCTGTCAGCCTTTGTGGATTCGCTCTGGGCTGCAGCACTCCTTCAAACCTCAGCCAGGCCACTTACAACTCTGTCTTGGCTGTCACTTCCTGTTTAGACTGAGTCCAGAGATCAGCCGGTGAAAGCTTAGGGTCTTCTCGGGTCTTTCCTGAGCATGCATCCAATCCTGGGCACGCACCTGGCTTTTGACAATCCCCAGGGTACATGACTGCTTCCGAATGATCTAATTTCCCAAATGGCCTGTCCGCCAGCGTATCCCCCAGGTTTTGGGTTATCTGCTATAGGTTTCAACTGTAGTTTCTGCCTCACGCAGTTGCCGTTTTTTGATTTGCCTTATAAGGTTTTCAGGAGCTGCCCAAGCTTTTTCTGCCCTGACTTCCCTGTTAGGTCAAACAGAGAGGAGCATTTTGCTTCTGTCCTTCAGGAAGCCCCTGGACGGGTTAGAACCAATGAAAACCATGATTTTTGCATAAGCTCTGCTCTCTCCTTCCGGAACCAGGTACCAGGGTTCCACACGTGGGATGCAGGCTGCTGGGTGCAATGCCGCCACCAGGTCAGGGAGAAGGTGGAACAAGGGCAAATGAAAATGCTACAACGTTTACCTATGAAACACTCAGATGGTTGGGAGCCTTAGAATTTTATTTCCGGCTTACAATAATTTTACTTGACATGTCGAGACTTATACCATGCCACATGCTTTGCTAAGTACTTAGCACGTAGTATGTTATTTGAGTCTTACAAAAACCCTATATGGTTTTTTCAATATCTATATCACTGATGAGGAAACTGAGGCCACAGAGAAGTTAGGTCATTGCACACAAGTAACATGTGGTAGCACGGCCAGTTTCACGAAACTGCAACTAAAGTGGTCCCACACGGCTCCATGCTCAGAATGGGTCCCTGGGCTTGCGGTTTAGTGTGGCTGTCTTGAAATTCTTAACTATTTCTTTCCTTGAATTTGTGCTTGGTAGGTGAGGTGTGATGAAACGGTGCAGTGTGTGCTGGGGTCCTGGAGCCTCAGCTATCATGTGGTCCAGCTTCCACCACCTCCAGGCCTCACTGGGACAGGTTCTCTGCTGCCCAATCACCCACCCACCCTCTCAGACTCCCCTTCCCTCTGCCAACCCAGCGACTGCTGCTGCACTTCACCCTCAGGAGAAGGCCTGGGTGTGGGTGCAGGGAGGGGCAGGGTGGGAATGCCAAGCCACAGGGCAGGGCTCTGGACACCTGGGAGGATCTCCACTCACCCTATGCGTGTCCCCTTAACTGAGGCAGCACCACATTAAATTACAACTACAAAAATCCTGAGAGGTCAAAACAGAGATTGAGTCAGAAAAGAAAGTGAGATTTTGCTGCTTCTGAACAGTGGACCCCACATGCTCCTGTTATATGAGGTCCCTCCTTATATCGTTTGACCTGCTTAGTAGAGAAGGGTCACAAATTCAGGCTTGCATAGCTCCAAAGCCTGTTATTTTTTTTTTTCTTTTCTGTTCTTTCCTTTAGCAAAGATTAAGAAATGGAATAGGTGATACATGCACACTTGGTGTAAAATTCCAAAGTTTCTAAACTATGTGCAGGCAACGGATTCTTCTCACCTCCATTGCTGAACCATCCAGAACTCATTCCCAAAGGCCACTCCTCTTTCCCACCAGGCTTTTAGATACCCTTCTGGAGGAACATCACTGGTATTCAGGCATATACATCATCCAAACTCCTCTTTCTGTATTAAGGCGTGTACCAAACGCTGTGTTGACCTGGCATTTTTTCCATCTCAGAATGTCTCCTGGAGCTGAGTGCGGTGGCTCATGCCTGTAATCCCAGCACTTTGGGAGTCCGAGGTGGGTGGATCATCTGAGGTCGGGAGTTCGAGACCAACCTGACCAACATGGAAAAACCCCGTCTCTACTAAAAATACAAAATTAGCCTTGCATGGTGGCACACGCCTGCAATCCCAGCTACTCGGGAGGCTGAGGCAGGAGAATCACTTGAACCCGGGAGGCAGAGGTTGTGGTGACCTGAGATCGTGCCATTGCACTCCATCCTGGGCAACAAGAGCAAAACTCCGTCAAAAAAAAAAAAAAAGAAAGAAAAGAAAAAGAATGTATCCTGGAGTACTTTCTGTGCTTAATACAGGCAAAAGTTATAGCGTGCTTGCTATGCCATTGCTGTAAATGCTTCAAATCAATTAAACTCATCCTCACCAAAACCTAGGGAAGTAGGTGCTTTCCTCATTTTGTGCATGAGGAGTGAAGAGCACATGCAATTGACATTACTTGCCGTAGGTAATACTTCTAAACGAGGGAAGAACCAGGATTTGCACCCATGCAGTGTAGCTCCACAGAGGTAAAAGCATTCTGCTCTATGCCATGCCTGCATGGTATCCTTTGATACGGATATATCCTTTTCTTTATTTAGCCGGTGCCCTGTTGACACAGGGGTTTGCCCAGGCTTAGGCTATTACAGACAATACCGCATCGAGTAAACTAACATGTTATATCATTCCATACAAGTGCAAGTACATCCAAAGGACAAATTCATAGCAGCAGGATTTCTGGAGGAGGGGGGTAAAGCACACACAATGTGGACAGATACTGCTAAATTGCCTTCTCTAGGTGTTACATCAAGTTACACCCATACTAACAATGCAGGAATGTGACTCTTCCCATATCCTCACCAAATCAGTCTGTTTCAAACATTTGCATATCTGTCCATAGGATAGATCCTGGACAGTATTTTATTGTGCTTCAGAAACCCATTTCTCTTATTAGGAGTGAGGCTGGGAAGTTTTATATACATTTGGGAGCTTTTTGTGTTTTTCTTTCTGTGAACTGTTCAGGCATACATATACAGAGACTGACTAGCTGTCCTCCAGACCTGTTTTCTTTTCCTCCTGGGGTTTCCCAGCCTCCTGGCAGGTAACTGTGGCTGGTGGACTGAGGCCTGGGCAATGGATGGTGGGCCCGAGTGGCAATTCTCCCAAGCATGATTCATAAAAACCTCCTATGAGATCCTCCTACTCTTTCTTCCCCATCTGCTGGAAAGATGTTGACACCCAGAGCGACTTATAGAGCCAGGTGTTGAAGATGGCAGAGCTTCTGTCAGCCTGGTCCTAGATTGTTTTCAAAAAGAAGAGCCAACCCTCCCCAGTCCTGTTTCCTTTTGGAAAAATGTAGGCAAGAAAAATGTTCATAGTGTTAGGCCACTAAGAGGTTGGAGTTCATCTGTTACAGCAGCTAGCGTTATCAATGACAATAGAGTAGGCTTAGTTCCTTTTTTCAAAAAATGAATCCACTGATGGTATTTACTTATTAGGGAAATCCACCCTTTGTCTGCGATATGATTGGCAAGCACTTTTCAACTTTGCTTCTTGAATTTTATCTTTACTTTAGGTGGATTTAGCTTGCAGTATCTTCTTCTAGTCTTCATGCACTTAAACTTATTACCTCTTCCTAGTAGGAATTCCGGTGTTGTGACATACCTCCAAAGACTGTCAACTGCAACACTGCATCTGAAACTCTCTCGGAGAGGCTCATAGATTCCGTCTTTTCCACAGGTTGTTTCATCATGAATGAATGATGACTTTTACCAAATTATTTTCTTGTATCTATTGAGGTGGTCACATTTAGTTTAGTTCTTCCCTTTAATCTGTTCAAGTGGTGAATTACATTCATTTCTTTTCTAATGTTAAACCAACCTTGCTTTGCTAGAATAAATATAACTTGGTCATAATATAGCGTATTAGTCTGTTCTCACACTGCTATAAAGAAATACCTGAGACTGGGTAATTTATAAAAGAAAGAGGTTTAACTGGCTCATGGTTTTACAGGCTGCACAAGAAGCATAGGGGCTTCTGTTTCTGGGGACGCCTCAGAAAACTTACAATCATGTCCCAAGGCCAAGAGGAAGCAGGCACCTCTATACAAGGCTGGAGCAGGAGGAAGACAGATTAGGAGGTGGTGCTACACACTTAAAGGACCAGGTCTCCTGATAACTCACTATCAGGAGAAAAGCACCAAGGGGATGGTGCTACACCATTTATGAGAACTCGGTCCCCACAATCCAGTCACCTCCCACCAGGCCCCATCTTCACACAATGGATTAGAATTGAACATGAGACTTCAGTGGGCACAGACATCCAAATCACGTCATGTACTATCTTTTTTTTCAAAAATTTTTATACTTTTATAGTATCTTTTAAAATAAAATTGCTAGAGGCCAGGCGCCTCTCGCCTGTGATCCCAGCACTTTGGGAGGCCAAGGAGGGCAAATCACCTGAGGTCAGGAGTTTGAGACTAGCCTGACCATCATGGTGAAACCCCTTCTCTACTAAAAATACAAAAATTAACCCAGCATGGTGGCGCACGCCTGTAATCCCAGCTACTTGCGAGGCTGAGGCAAGAGAATTGCTTGAACCTGAGAGGCAGAGGTTGCAGTGAGCCAAGTTCGTGCCATTGCACTTCAGCCTAGGTAACATGAGGGAAACTCCATCTCAAAAAAAAAAAAAAAAACTAAAACTAAAAATAAAAAGATATTGCTAGCTTTTTAAACAAGTACCTTGCATGTGATATTTTCACGTATGTTTCTGAGACAGATTGCTTTGAAATTTGCCATTCTTAAATTATCCTTATCTAGTTTCTGTGTCAAGGTTCACTTGGTAAAACACAAGGGGTAGTGTACTCGCTAGCTCTATTCTCTGAAAAAGTTGTGCAGTATTGGAGTGATCTCTCACATTAAGCATTGACAGAACTCATTTATGAACCATCTGGAACTAGAGATTTTTTTGTCAAAAGTATTTAATTACTGATTGCATTTATTTCGCATTTACAGATGAAATCATGTTTTAACGTATTCTCTCAGGTTTCAGTATTTTAAGTTTTCAGTATTTTAAGTATTTTACTGTTTGTCCACTTCTTTTTTTTTTTCTTTTCTTTTCTTTTTTTTTCAGACGAATCTTGCTCTGTGGCTCAGGCTGGAGTGCAGTGGCATGATGTCAGCTCACTGCATCCTCCGCCTCCAGGGTTCAAGTGATTCTCCTGCCTCAGCCTCCATAGTAGATGGGATTACAGGTGCCCGCCACCACACTCAGCTAATCAGCTAATTTTTGTATTTTTAGTAGAAACGGAGTTTCACCATCTTGGCCAGGCTGGTCTTGAACTCCTGACCTCATGATCCACCAGCCTCGGCCTCCCAAAGTGGTGGGAGTACAGGCATGAGCCAGCTTGCCTGGTTTGTCCACTTCTAAATTTTCAATTTATTGGCATGAAGGTCTCTAGCGATGTGCCTCCCAGTATTGATTCTTGATATTACCAATTTGTGTCTTACTCCTTTTATCTTCATAAGTCTCACCCAAGGTTTATGAGTTTTACAGACCTTTTTTTTTTTTTGGAGATGCAGTTACTTGGAAACGTTTTAGAATTCCCCTTCCGGAATCGCTTGAACCCGGGAGGTGGAGGTTGTAGTAGTGAGCCGAGATCGCGCCACTGCACTCCAGCCTGGGCAACAGAGCCAGACTCCATCTCAAAAAAAAAAAAAAAAAAAAAAAAAGAATTCCCCTTCCATTTCTTTATAATACGTTTAGGTATATCACTTTGAATCTTTTTTTTTAAGTAACTACTCTAGATATATATATTTAACCACCATCTATAGGTATTGATATTTTATGCTTTTGCATGAAGTATAGAAAGTTCCATTTAGGTCTGTACACTTTCCTAGCTTTAAAAATATAATTGTCTCAAGTACTTTCTGACACGGATTGAACACTAAAACAAATGTTATAATTTTTGCTTGAACCGTCAAGCATGATCAAAGAAGCTCATGAAGAGAAGTGTAGCTTATATTATTTAATCCTATTTCCATTTATTCATTTTTTTCTTTTTTCCTTTCTTATGTTTCCAGCTTTTTTCAGTTATGCCTTTCTTTCTTTTTTAAGAGCTTCTTTTAGCCATTCTTTAAGTGTAGGTCTGCCAGTGACACGGTATCTTAGTTTTTCTTGTTCTGAGTATGTCGTTATTCTCCTTTCATTTCTGAAAGATAATATCTCCAGATACGAAATTTGCACTTGTCAACTTATTCTTCAAGAACACGAACAAATGTCATGTCACTTCCTTCTTTCCTCCATGCTTTGAAAGAGAAATCTGCCGTCACTAGAATTTATGTTCCCCTATAAGTAATGTATCATATTTGTGTGCTTTGTTTCTTGATTTTTTTTTGTCTTGAGGTTTCAGAAGTTTAAATATCATGTGCTTTAGCATGGATTACTTTGGATTACCAAATTTGGGGTTCACTTATTTCCTTGAATCTATACTTATATGTTTTGTTTTGTTTTGTTTTGCCAAATCTAGGGAGAAGTCAGCCATTTTAAAAAATAGTTTTTAAAGCAAATTACATTTTATATCTGAAGGCATAGCTATCTAGAGAGCCTCAAGATGACTGAAACTACTACAACAGGGTACCAACATGCTTTTTAAAAATAAACTTTATACTTTATCCCGGGTTTAAATTTACAGAATTACTATGATCCTCACATTTCAGTTTGGGAAACACTTATTTTGAAGAAAGAGGCTTTGAACTGACATTCATTTACTTTGATTTGTGCCTCAAATCTGTCACTTATTGTTATCTGAATTTGTAACGTGTTTAAAAACGTGCACTCATTGTCTCTGTGAGGCTTAAATGAGGCAATGCACCTTTAAAAAATAATACTGCATGTGAGCTCTTTTTATTTTTACTGTTGCTGTTAGAGCAAAAATTCAAAGGCAGCTTTTGTCTCAACTGTACACAGCTTGAGGTGTAGGCAGTACTTTGAGAACCACTATCTCAGGAGCCGTCCCCCACGTTTCCTTGACATTAAAACTAAGTAAAAAAGCAATTCAGAAGATAAGGTCTCATAGCTACAAAAAGGTAGGAGGAGAGAAGAATATAGGCCTCTTGGTTCTATTAAGTTCCTATTTTCTCTAGATCCTAACATCTCCCAATATACTGTGTGAGAAACAGAGATAGCTTTTTCCATTCAACACTACGTGACGGGGCACAGGTAGGCAAAGTACAGGATCCAGCAGGAGCACACAGATGGGGAGTCCATTGTCAAACAAGTCAATAAACCATTTGGGGTCTCGGTTTCCTTATCTATAAAATGGTTATAGAACTACATATCTTTTAATTTATTGAGTATTTTAAGTGAAGTGCTGGAAGAATACAGAGCTCCATGCCCTGATGTGTCAAATTGTCATCAAATGTCACATATTGTTACTAATGTAACTTATGTTATTATACCCAGATATTTGGACCAAAAAAAATCTAGACCTTATTGGTTCTGCTTGGGTCTCAGCAGTAAATCTGTCAGTGAGTTACCCCAATATCTTTCCCCTCCCCCATCGTGACCAGGAGATCAAGGTTTTTCTCTGAATGGCACAAGTTTCGAGATTCCTTCACAGTTTCTCAGACTTGGCTCTGAGACACTATCGCAGTCTTCATGCTCTTCCAAATGTAGGAAGCACGGGGAACAAGCATGAGGTGTGAGGTTGGGGTGGGGGGTTGATGTCATTCCTGTCTCTCACTTATAATAATAGATTTGAAGTGAATGAAATCTATTCTCATGGGTCAGGCTGTAAAAGATGTAACCAACATTGACTTCACACCCACGAGTGGACATTGGAGGAACTGTCAACAGCCCGAAGGAGTTGAAGGTACCCACTGGGGAAAGCCAAATTATGACAACATGGTCTCTGAGATAAACCCTCATCATTACAAGGTGGCAGATTCCTGCCTGTAGAAGGCCCTGAGAGCTTGCTGTCAGCATCAGAGAGATATCCCAGTTAGGATTGGCATGTCTACAAAAAGTGTTTCAGGATCACATGCAAGTACAACAGTGTCCAATAGAAAAAGAGTGACCGTCTTAACTTAGTATAACTTCTTGGGTATTCAAAAATCTTTTCTAGAAAATCTTTGATGAAGATTCTCTTTCCCATTTTCTTTTTCTTAGTCTGAATAGGATCGTGCTAAATATGGGATATTAAAAATTATGTTTCATGAGATTCTATTTCTGGTAAAGATGCAGAAAAGGCTACCAGATTTACCTTTCCCCCTGAAGCAATGAAATAAACTAGGCAGCATACATGAAACGAAAACTTCTAAGATATTGAACATAAAGCAGTGAAAGAGTAATCTGAAGAGGTGAGAAACAAAAACAAATTGAGTAACATGACTGCCTCAGTTTACTGTAGGAAAGGGTAACCCAGGCAGAGCTTGGTGGTCTCCCTGTGCGGAGTACATTGTAGGGGAGTCAAGGTGGCTCTAGTTTTCAAGGCAGAGTGTTAGAGAGGAGAGAGCTGCACAGAGCGAGAACTTTGGACCTTTGTAGAGATTTCCCTTTGAGTATTTAAGTAAGTGGTACAGAGGTTTGCATATAAGACTACTAGAGGTTAGGGAAAAAGCCATCTGAAAGGGTTAAATAGAATTAAGCTCACACAGGGTGGGGAATGTGACTCCCACCAGCTACAGTGGAAAAGCTCACAATTCACAGAGCATCAAGCAATGTACTCAAAAGGCTTTGCTTTGGGAATGGAAGAAAATTATTCCCAGAGTGAACATCACTCTGCTCATATCTAATCCAGCATAAAAATAAAACCTGAAATTATAAAATATTAATAGTTTCTAAATTTCTTAATCACATCTGAGAACAAAAAGGAAAACTACAGACATATAAAAATAGTTATTATTCAACTAATCAGAATTAACAATATCTGGTCAATATGAGAAGATAAGGTCTCATAGCTACAAAAAGGTAGGAGGAGAGAAGAATATAGGCCTCTTGGTTCTATTAAGTTCCTATTTTCTCTAGATCTTAACATCTCTCAATGTATTGTGTGAGAAACAGAGATAGCTTTTTCCATTCAACACTACGTGACAGGGGCACAGGTAGGCAAAGTACAGGATCCCGCAGGAGCACACAGATGGGGAGCCCAATGTCAAACAAGTCAATAAACCATTTGGGATCTCGGTTTTCTTATCTATAAAATGGTTCTTATCTATAAAAGCAAGCAGGAAAATACAACTGTTAATGCAGAGAAAATGCATTCAATGGAAACAAATTGAGAATGACACAAATGGTAGAATTACTAGACAAGGATATTAAAATGGTTATTATCACTATTCCATATGTTCGGGAAGCTTGAGGGAGAGATTGAGCATGTTTAATAGAATTTTTAAATACATGTCACTCAATTTGTTTCTCATCTCCTCAGATTACTCTCTTTCATTGCTTCATGTCCAATATCTTGGAAATTATTGTTTTATATTCCCAGTCCATGACTTCATATATTTTTTAAAAGTAATAGATTTAATTTTTTGGAGAAGTTTTAGGTGTACAGAGAAAAATGAGAAAAAGTACACAGAATTCCTATATATCTCTACCCTCACCCAATTTCCCTTATTTTTAATAACTTACATTAATATGGTACACTTGATGAATCAATATTAACACATTATTGTTAACTAAAGTCTATAGTTTACATTAGAGTTGACTCTTTGTGTTGTATCTTCTATGGCTTTTGACAAAAGTAGGATATTTGTTCACCTTTACACTATCGCATGAAATAACAATTTCACTGCCCTAAAAATTACCTACATTCCACCAATTCATCCCTTCTTCCCACCCTGGGAATCCTTTGAAAGCACTGGTCTTTTCACTGTCTCTACAGTTTTGCTCTTTCCAGAATGTCATATAGTTGGAATCATACAGTATGTAGCCTTTCCAGATCTTTTGACAATTTTCCAATCATGTTGTTATTTTCTTATTGTTGAGTTTTAAGAATTCTTTGTATATTTTTTATGCTAGCCCTTTGATACTATATTGCAAAAATATATTCCCAGTCTTTGACTTGTGTTTTCATTATCTTAACAGCATCTTTTTTTACAGAACAGAGCATTTTAATTTTAATGAAGTCCAGCTTAGCAATTTTCCCTTTTATGAACTGTGTTTTTGTGTTGTATCTAAGTCATCACCAAGCCAAGGTCACCTAAATTTTCTTCTATGCTATCTTCTAAGAGTTTTATAGGTTTGCATTTTATATTTATGTCTACTATCCATTTGGAGCTAATTTTTGTGAAAGGCATAATGTCTGTGTATAGGTTCATTTTTTCCCCAGGTGGATGTGCAGTTTTGAGCACCATTTGTTGAAAAGATCATAATTTCCCCATTGAATTGCCTTTCCTCCTTTGTGAAAGACGAGTTGACTATATTAGGGTGGGTCTATTTGTGGGCTCTCTACTCTGTTCCATTGATCTATTTTTCTATTCTTTTGCCAGTAACACACTGTCTTGGTTATTGTATCTTTATATAAGTCTTGAAGTAGGATAGTGTTAGTTCTCCAACTTTGTTCTTCTTTGGTACAGAGAACCCAGAATCAATCCACACAGCTACAGGGCACTCATTTTCAAAAAACATGCCAAGAACATACACTGGGGAAAAGACAGTCTCTTCCATAAGTGGTGCAGGGAAAACTGGATATTCACATGCAGAAGAGTGACACCAGACCACTATCTCTTGCCATATACAAAAATATAATCAAAATGGATTAAACGCTTAAATCTAAAACCTCAAACTATGAAAGTACTACAAGAAAACATTGGGGAAACTCTCCAGGACATTTCTCTGGGCAAAAATTTCTTGAATAATACCCAATAAGCACAGACAACCAAAGCAAAAATGAACAAATGGGATGACATCAAGTTAGAAAGCTTCTGTACAGCAATGAAAACAATCAACAAAGTGAAGAGCCAACCCACAGAATGGAATAGGAGATAATATTTGCAAATTACCCATCTGACAATGGATTAATAACCAGAATATATAATGAGCTCAAACAGATCTGTAGGAAAAAAATCTAATCTAAAAATGGACAAATGATCTGAATAGACATTTCTCAAAAGAAGACATGCAAATGGCAAACAGGCATAGGAAAAGGTGCTCAACATCACTGATCATCAGAGAAATGCAAATCAAAACCACAATGAGATATCATCTCACCCTAGTTAAAGTGGCTTTTATTCAAAACACAGGAAATAATGGATGCTGGCAAGGATGTAGAGCAAAGGGAACCCTTGTACACTGTTGGTTGGAATATACATTAGTACAGCCACTATGGAGAATAGTTTGGAGGTTCCTCAAAAAACTAAAAATAGAGCTACCTTATGAACCAGCAATCCCACTGCTGGATATATACCCAAAAGATAAGATATCAATATATCAAAGTGATTATCTGCACTCCTACTTTGTTGAAGCACTGTTCACAATAGCCAGGATTTGGAAGCAACCTTAGTGTCCATCAACAGACGAAAAGATAAAGAAAATGGAGTACGTATACACAATGAACTACTATTCAGCCATAAAAGAGAATGAGATTCTGTCATTTGAAACAACATGAATGGAACTAGAGGTCATTTTATTAAATGAAATAAATCAGGCATAGAAAGACAAACAACATATGTCCTCACTTATTTGTGGGATCTGAAAATCAAAACAATTGACCTCATGGAGACAGAGAGTAGAAGGATGGCTACCAGAGACTGTGAATGGTAGTAGGGTGGCATGGGGAGGTGGCAATTGTTAGTGGGTACAAAAAAGTAGTTAGGAAGAATGAATAAGACCTAGTATTTGATAGCACAAGAGGGTGACTATAGTCAATAATAATTTAATTGTACATTTAAAAATAGTTAAAAGAGTATAAAAGGATTGTTTGTAACACAAAGGGTAAATGCTTGAGGGGTTGGACACCCCATTTCCCACTATGTGATGATCATGCATTGCATGCCCATATCAAAATATCTCATGTATCCCATAAATATATAAGACTATTTTGTACATATTTGTACAAATTAAAAAATAAGAAAGGAGTATAATACAAAGAGTAGATGCGAACAACAGAAAACCAGTAGCAAGATGGGTGACTTAAACCAAAGCGTATCAATAGCATTACATATTAAATGATATAAATATCCCAATTAAAAGACTGGGATTGTCATAAGATTAAAAAAAAGGAAATACAATATGATGCCTACATAAATCCACTTAATTTATAAATGATATAAAAGGTTAAAAGTAATAGGATGGAAAATGTATATCATGCAATCAGTCATCAAAATAATGCTGGAGTGACTATATTAATTTCAAACAAAGTAGATGTCAGAGCAATGAATATTATCTGGGATAAGGAGAGTCATTTCATCATGATAAAGAGCTCAATTCTTCAAGGGGATATAATAATTCTAAATATGTACTTATTAACAGAACTCAAAATACATAAAGAACTGACTAATTGATTATACCGTAATCATAGACACGTCCACAATAATAATAGAGATGTCAACACCTCCTCTCAAAAAAACTGATAGAACAAGTGCAAAGAAATTCAGTAAGGATATAGAAGACTTGAACAACAGGTTCAACCAAACTAACCTATTGACATTTTTACAATGCTGAACCAAACAACTACAGAATACACGTTATTCTCAAGCATATATGGAATGTTTAAATAATAGGCCATAAACAAGTCTCAATAAATTAAAAAGTTTTGAAATAGCAGAAAGTATATTCTCTGACTGAAATGGAATTGAATTAGAAATCAATAACAAAAAGATATTCTGAAAATTTACATTGAAAACTAAACATCATACTTCTAAGTAACCCATGAGCCACAAGAACAAATCAAAAGGATAATCATAAATTATCTTGAAATGAATAACAATTTATCCAAAACATGTTTACATTTCTGGGATGCAGCTAGAGCAGTACTTAGATTAGAATTTACAGCACTCGATGTTATTTAAACAAAATCTCAAACTAATAACATCAAGTTCCATCTTAAGAAGCAATATAAAGGTCAAATAAAGGCTGGGTGCGGTGGCTGATGCCTGTAATCCCAGCACTTTGGGAGGCTGAGGCAGGCAGATCACTTGAGGTCAGGAGTTCGAGACTAGCCTGGCCAACATGGTGAAATCCCGTCTCTACTAAAAATACAAAAATTAGCCAGGCATGGTGGCAGGCGCCTGTAATCCCAGCTACTCGGGAGGCTGAGGCAGGAGAAGTGCTTGAACCCAGGAGGTGGAGGTTGCAATGAGCCGAGAGCACACCACTGCACTCCAGCCTGGGCAACAGAGTGAGACTTCATATCAAAAAAAAAAAAAAAATCAAATAAAACTCAGCTTAAGGAGAATAAAAAATAGCAAAAGTCAGATAAGAAATCAATGAAATAATAGAAAAACAATAGAGAAAACCATTTAACCAAAAGCTAGGTTTTTGAGAAGATAAAAATATTGATTCATCTTTAGCCAGATTGATCAGGAAAGTAAGAGAGAAGACAAAAATTATCAAGATCAGGAATGAGAAGTGTGATATCACCATAGATTCTACAGATATTAAAAAATAGAGGCCGGGCACGGTGGTTCACGCCTGTAATCCCAGCACTTTGGGAGGCCGAGGCGGGAGGATCACGAGGTCAGGAGTTTGAGACCAGCCTGACCAACATGGTGAAACCCCGTCTCTACTAAAAATACAAAAAATTATCTGGGCATGGTGGCGGGCGCCTGTAATCCCAGCTACTTGGGAGGCTGAGGCAGGAGAATCACTTGAACCCAGGAGGCAGAGGTTGCAGCGAGCTGAGATTACGCCATTGCACTCCAGCCCAGGCGACAGTGTGAGACTCTGTCTCAAAAAAAAAAAAAAAAAATAGGGAAACATTATTTAAAAAAACTATATGTCAACACATTTAATAACTTGAATAAAGTAGAGAAATTCATTGAAAGACAACAGCTAGTTGAGAAGAAATAGATAATCTGACTAGCTCTGTATCCATTTGTGGTGTGAGGCCTAAAATTAAGGTCCAATATTGTGTATTACCTTGATACGTGGTGAAATTGGAAGGATCTTGAATGGTAAATCCACAAGTTCCCTTCCCTCTCTGCTCCCATGGATAAGGTTCCCTAGGCAAGCAATCCTCCTTATTGAGCAGAACAGATGCAGTTCCTGCTCGTCTCTGAGTAGCAGGTCTTAGTTCTCTGTCAGGCTATAGAATTACTGAAACAAGCCAATCACATCCTCCCATGTGAACCTGGGGCACTTTAACAATACTACAAACTCTGCCTTTCACAGGCCCTGGTTTTCCACTTTATTTCTGAGTGCAACACTTCATATGTCACTGTATGGTGCATGGTATCCTCCTCTCTCAGGTTGTGAGTATACATTACTAATAAATTGCTAACAGTCTCATGTGTCCGGTGTCGTGTCATACGCCAGCCATTTGCCTAAACCTAGGCAGGAATCCCTCCCTCACTAATGGGATAAATAGGAGGTGATTAAAACACTCTTCAATACATTAAGCTTCTACTTTAAAACCTTCCACAAAGAAAATTAAAGGCCCAGATGGATTTACTTGTGGATTCTACTAATCATATAAGGAAGAAATAATGCCACCCACAGAATTTTTTTTCCAGAAAATTAAAGAAATGGAATATTTCCTGACTCATTGTACGAAGCCAGTATTACCTGGGGAAAAGGATAATGCATCATGACCAAAGAATGCAAAGGTAGTTTAACCTTAGAAAAACAAATCAATGTAATTCACAATATTAACAGATTTGTAAAATAGTCATTTTAATAGACGCAGAAACATCATTTGGCAAATCCAGCATTCATTCCTGGTAAAACTCTTACCAAACTAGAAACAGAAGCAATCTTCCTCAACTTGATAAGGAAATGGCATCTATGAAAAACCTACAGGTAACTTGAAATGTAGTGATGAAGACTGAGTACTTACCTCTTAAAATGAAAAAAAAGTGGGCAAATATGTTGTCCACCGCTTAATCTAACTAGTGCAATAATACAAGAAAAAATGTTAATAAAAGGGTCAGAAGAAAAACTTGGAAAGCGGTAAGTAAAACTGTCTCTTTTGTCTATGAAGATGTGATCATCTCTATAAAATAATCCTATAGAATCTGCAAAAAACCCCCTTGCTATATCTATAAAAATCACTTGCCGTTCTATATATTACTAACAAACAATTTGATATTTAAATAAAAATACCAGCATGATAACATTAAAAACATGAAATACTTAGGGATAAATCTCACAAAAGGTGGCAAAATCTATACACTGAAAATTGTACTGAGATATTTTTGAGGATGATCTAAATAAATGGATAGTTACGTCATATTTATGTGGAAGACTCGATTTTGTTAATCCCTGAACTGATCTGAAACACAGATTAAATAAATACTCCAACAGACTATTTTGTAGCTAATTCTAAATTTCAAATGAAATTACAAAGGATGCAAAATAGCCAAAATGACTTTTAAAAAGAACAAATTTGGACAATTTACAGTAGAAAGCTACACTAATAAAGATAGTATAGTAATGGTACCAATATGGGCAAAAATATAGGCAAAAAATGAATAGAATAGACATCAGCAATAGACCACACATGTATGTCCAATTGTATTTCAACAAAGGTGCAAAGGTAATTCAGTGCAAAAAGGATATCTCTTCAATAACTAGTGCTGGAAGAACCTGCTGTCTATACCCATGCAGCACATGCTATATAAAAATTAATTGGATCACACATGTAAATGTAAAATGCAAAGCTGTACACTTCTAGAAGAAAATATGGAAAAATCTTTGTGACCATACAGTAGGCAACAATTTCTTATATGAAACTCAAAAAACTTGATAAAAGAAAAGTGACAAATTGGAATTCATTAAAACTAAGAACTTCTGTCCTTCAAAAGACATCATTAAATGAAAGAAAGGGTAAGCCACAGAACTAGAGGAAGTATTAGAAAATCACATACCTAATAAAGGACTTGTATCTAGTATACATAAGAAACTATCAAAACTCAATAATAAGAGAACAAGCAATCCAATTTTTTAAATGGGAAAAAATGAACAGATGCTTTACTTAAGAAGATATATGAATGGCAAATGAGCACATAAAATGCTCAACATCATTAGTCATTAGGAAAATGGAAATTCCAACACAAAGACATACCATTCTACATTTATTAGAGTATCTCAAACTACAAATCCTGACCACATCAAGTGTTCCTGAGGATGTGAAGAAACAGGAGCTCTCAAACATTGTTTGTGAATTATAAAATGTTACAACCACTTTGGTAAAAGGTTTGGCAGTTTTTAAAAAAGTTATACCAATACCTATCATATAATCCAGACTTTACAACTCTGGGTATTTAGCCAAGAGTAATGAAAGTACCTATTTACCATGTGAACGAACATGTACATTTAAATACTCATACCAGCTTTATTTTAGTAGCTGCAAACTAGAAACATCAACAGATGAGGGAAATGTAGTACATCTGCACAATTAAATACTACTCAAAAATAAAATGAGTGAATTTTTGTTATGTGGAACAACATCATTACAATAATTATGGTGAGGAAAAGATGCCAGATAAAAGAGGACACACTGTTTGATTCCATTTATATGAAATTCTAGAAAATGCCAACCAATTTATACAAACAAAGAGCCCATAAGTGATTATCTGGGGCTGGGATCAGAGCAGGCTAGAAATAGAGGTGAGGGGTATAGACTACAAAGAACCATAAGGAAACTCTTGGTGATGATAGATGTCTTTATTACCTTTATTTTGGTGTTTTCACAGATGCATGCAAGCTTCAAAACTTCTCAAATTGACAACTTAAACATGTGAAGTTTACAGTATGTGAATTATATCTCAATAAAGGTATTAAAATATATTCCATTCAGTAAAAGTGCAAAATCTTTAGCTGTGCCTTCTCATCTAAGATTAGATGATGTTGGCAGATTATTTTGGCTCTATTTTATTTCCCATTCTATGGCCTGAAACATCTAGCTATGGTAGTATCTTTCCTCACACCTGTTATGTCAGGTACTGTACTAAGGTCTGAGATAAGTAGTAAGACAATGAGTAAGGTAGATAGTGAGAATGTTCTGGAGCTCACTGTCTATTGGAAGCAACATAAAGTAACACAAGAAACTGCAACAAGCTGTGATATAAATGTTTATTATGATAGGGGAATTTGGGATCTCCTGACAGTTGACAGGATGATGGTTTGGTAGTGGGGAAGATTCTGAAGCTTCATGGAGGTAGTGATTTGTAAGTTGTATCCTCAGAAGGACTCAGAAAGAGTTATCTGTTTAAGAGAAAGGGTAAGAATTGTCCTAGAAGAAGGAATAGGAACAACATGTATGATATCCTGGAAGCTAGAGCGAACATGAAGGAAAGATTTCTATTCAGACCTTAATAGAAGATTATACATTATATGTGTTTAGATGGCTGAACTTGCCTTTGGACTACAAGCCTATGAAAAGCAATAAACCTGTCTAATGTATTTGTGAATCCTGTGTGCCCAGGACAGTTTCAGACACATATTATATGTTTCATAAATGCTGACTGAATAAGCAAATCCTGCATAAAATTATCTGTTCAATAACTATATTTGAACAATATGTATGTGTCAGACAGTTTAATGGAAATCCTGTTAACATAAAGTTTAACCATAGCCGGGGACAGTGGCTTACACCTGTAATCCCAGGACTTTGGGAGGCCAAGACGCATGGATTACCTGAGGTCAGGAGTTCGAGACCAGCCTGGCCAACACGGTGAAATCCCATTTCTACTAAAAATACAAAAAAATTAGCTGGGTGTGGTAGCGCGTGCCTGTAATCCCAGATACTTGGGAGGCTGAGGCAGGAGAATCACTTGAGCCCAGGAGGTGGAGGTTGCAGTGAGCAGAGATCACACAATTGTACTCCAGCCTGGGTGACAGAGCAAGACTCCATCTCAAAAAAAATTTTTTTTAAACATGTATCTCTTCAGAAATAATTGAATCAATACTGAGATGGCCACCATCAACATATTTTCTATGCTTCCACGATTGGCACACAATGAGCACTCAGTACAAATGAATCCTATCCTGGTTAGGATTTTAATAATTCATCCAGAGAATTTTCAACCACAGTAGCTACACTCTTACCATTTCAGTGAACTGTCCTGTAAGGCAGTGATTTCAAAATCTAATTGACCACTTTAAAAATAGTAAGATAAAGTCTTTCTTATATTGGGTAGAAAATGTGAATTGATAAACTATTGAGAAACATTTCCATTAACAGCCAAAGCCAGCGCAAATAAATGTGAAAAATCACAAGGCTGCATCTCCAGGGGGCAAATTCTTGGGATTTAACACATTTCTACTTCAAATAATTGTTATAAATTTAAAATAGACTGCTCTAGTTTTAGGATGTTGTATGTAATTCCCCTAGTAACCACAAAGAAAATATCTACAAAATATACACAAATGGAAATCAGAAGGGAATCAAAATGCATCACTACAAAAAAAATTAATCAAACACACAAAAAGGCAGTAAGGACAGAAATGAGAAACCGGAAAGCTGTAAGACATACAAAAACAGGTAAACATGGAATTACTAAATCTTTCCCTATCAGTAATTACCTAAAATGTAAGTGGATCAAACTTGTCAAGGAAAAGACTTAGATTGGCAGGATGTATTAAAAAACAGGATCTATTCTCAAAGAACTTTAAAAAGAGTTACGGTTCAACTCATCAATCCCATTACTGGGAATATACCTGATATAGTTTGGATGTGTCCCTATCAAAGTCTCATATTGAAATGTAATCCACAGTGTTGGAGGTGGAGCCTGATGGGAGGTAATTGGATCATGGGGGTGGATCTCTTATGAATGGTTTGGTACCATCCCTCTTGGTACTGTACTCAAGATAGTGAGTGACTTCTTGTAAGATCTGGAGGCCTCCCCAGAAGCAGATGCCAGTGTTATGCTTCTTGTACAGCCTACAGAAAAATAAAATAAAACTCCTTTCGTTATAAATTACCCAGTCTTGGGTATTTCTTTATAGCAATGCAAGAACAGACTAATATAATATCCAAAGGAAAATAGATCATTATAGAAAAAAGTCACATGCCCTCATGTGTTCATCGCTGTGCTGTTCACAATAGCAAAGACGCAGAATCAACTCTGGGGCCCATCAATGTTGGACCAAACAAAGAAAATATGGTGCATATACACCATGAAATACTACACAGCCATAAAAAGAGTGAAATCATGTTTCATGTACTTTGCAGCAACATGAATGGAGCTGGAGGCCGTAATCCTAAGCACCTTAATGCAGGAACAGAAACCCAAATACTGCATGTTCTCATAAGTAAGAGCTAAACATTGAGCACACATGGACATAAATGTGAGAAAAGCAGACACCACAGACTACTAGAGGGAGAAGGCTAGAGGAAGACTGTGAGTTGAAAAACTACTTATTTGGGTACTATACTCACTAGCTAGGTGCAATATACCCATATAACAAACTTGTGCATGTACTCTCTGTATCTAAAAGAAAAACTGAAATTAAAAAACCCGTAAAACAGCCGGACCCAGTGGCTCACGCCTGTAATCCCAGCACTTTGGGAGGCTAAGGACAGGGGATCGCTTGAGTCTAGGAGTTCGAGACCATCTGGGGCAACATGGCAAATCCCCATCTCTAAAAAAAGAAAAAAAAATTAGCCAGGCATGGTGGCACGCACCTGTAGTCCCAGCTACTCAGGAGGCTTAGGTGGGAGGATTACTTGACTCCGGGGAGGGGGCGAGGTGGGTGGAGGTTGCAGTGAGCCGCGATTGCGCCATCTGGCCTGGGTGACAGAGCCAACGGGACCCTGTCTCAAAAAACAAACAAACCAAACACCATAAAACAAAAACTTAAAAATTGAATACAAAGGAAAAAAAAACCAGGATCTAACTATATACTGTCTACCAGAAACTCACTTTAAACCTAGGGCATGCATAGTTTAGAAGTGAAATGATCACAAAAGATATTCCATAAAAATAATAAGCAAGAATAATAAGCAAAAGAGAGTAGGAGAGGTAATATTGATATTGGACAAAATTACATTAATCAGACAAAACCTAACATTAGACAAAATTCAAAATGGATCAAAGATCTAAATGTTAAGTGCTAAAACTATAAAACTTGTAGAAGAAAACATAGGAGAAAAACTTCATGACAATAAATTTGGCAGTGATGTCTTAGATATGATACTAAGAGCACAGGCAACAAAGGAAAAAATAGATATATTGGACTTCATCAAAATTATAAACTTTTGCACATCACAAATACTATCAAGAAGCCAGGCACAGTGGCTCATGCCTGTAATTCCAGCACTTTGGGAGGCTGAGGCGGGTGGATCACTTCAGGTCAGGAGTTTGAGACCAGCCTAGCCAACATGGTGAAACCCCATCTCTACTAAAAATACAAAAATTAGCCAGGCATTGTGGTACATGCCTGTAATCCCAGCTACTCGGGAGGCTGAGGCAGGAGAATCGCTTGAACCTGGGAGGTGGAAGTTGCAGTGAGCCAAGATCGTGCCACTGTGCTCCAGCCTGGGCACCAGAGCAAGACTCTGTCTAAAACAACAACAACAACAACAACAACAACAACAAAAAAAACAAAAAACGAATACTATCAAGAGAATGAAAACAAAACCCATAAAATAGGGGAGAATATTTGTAAATCATATATCAGATAAGAGATTAATATCCAGACTACATAAAATACTCTTATAGTCAACAACAACAAATAACTCAGTCAAAAATAAGCGAAGTGCTTGAATAGACACTTCTCCAAAGAAGCTACACCAAAAAAAAAATACATGAAAAGATACTCAACATCACTAGTCATTAGGGAAGTGCAAATCAAAATCACAATGAGATATCACTTCATACTCATTAGGATGGCTATTATCAAAAACAAAAAGGGAAAATACGGAGTGTTGGTAAGGAAGTGGCTACTTTGTAACAGTGCCTCATTGCTGTTGGGAATATAAAATGGTGCAGTTGCTATGGAAAATATTATGGTGGTTCCTCAAACATTTAAACATAGAATTACCATGTTGCAGCTCTGGGCATATACCGCAAAGAATTGAAAACACAGACTTGTAAAAATCTTTGTATACCAATGTTCATAGCAGCATTTTTCACAATAGCCAAAAGGTAGAAACAATCCTAATGTCTGTGGATGGATGAATGAATAAACAAAATGATTTTACTCACCACTGCTTTTGCATCAACGCAAATGACAACACAATGGAAATGCGCAATAATGTTTTAGTATTTTAAGAAAATACATTTGACCAGATAGATCTCTTTATTTTTATCCACCCATGAGATTCTTAGAATAAAAATCAAATCAAATGTAGTTTATACATACAATAGAATATTATTCTGCCTTAGGAAGGAACGAAATTCTGATGCATACTACAACATGAATGAACCTTGAAAACATAATAAAATAAAGTAGTCACAAAAAAATAGAATGATTTACCTTATATGAGGCACCTAGAACAATCAAATTCATAGAGATAGAATATATCTCTATGATATATTCTTTTTTTATTTATTATTATTATACTTTAAGTTTTAGGGTACATGTGCACAATGTGAAGGTTAGTTACATATGTATACATGTGCCATGCTGGTGCGCTGCACCCACTAACTCGTCATTTAGCATTAGATATATCTCCCAATGCTATCCCTCCCCCCTCCCCCACCCCACAACAGGCCCCAGAGTGTGATGTTCCCCTTCCTGTGTCCATATGTTCTCATTGTTCAATTCCCACCTATGAGTGAGAATATGCGGTGTTTGGTTTTCTGTTCTTGCGATAGTTTACTGAGAATGATGATTTCCAATTTCATCCATGTCCCTACAAAGGACATGAACTCATCATTTTTTATGGCTGCATAGTATTCCATGGTGTATATGTGCCACATTTTCTTAATCCAGTCTATCATTGTTGGACATTTGGGTTGGTTCCAAGTCTTTGCTATTGTGAATAATGCCGCAATAAACATACACTTGCATGTGTCTTTATAGCAGCATGATTTATAGTCCTTTGGGTATATACCCAGTAATGGGATGGCTGGGTCAAATGGTATTTCTAGTTCTAGATCCCTGAGGAATCGCCACACTGACTTCCACAATGGTTGAACTAGTTTCCAGTCCCACCAACAGTGTAAAAGTGTTCCTATTTCTCCACATCCTCTCCAGCACCTGTTTCCTGACTTTTTAATGATTGCCATTCTAACTGGTGTGAGATGGTATCTCATTATGGTTTTGATTTGCATTTCTCTGATGGCCAGTGATGGTGAGCATTTTTTCATGTGTTTTTTGGCTGCATAAATGTCTTCTTTTGAGAAGTGTCTGTTCATGTCCTTCACCCACTTTTTGATGGGGTTGTTTGTTTTTTTCTTGTAAATTTGTTGGAGTTCATTGTAGATTCTGGATATTAGCCGTTTGTCAGATGAGTAGGTTGGGAAAATTTTCTCCCATTTTGTAGGTTGCCTGTTCACTCTGATGGTAGTTTCTTTTGCTGTGCAGAAGCTCTTTAGTTGAATTAGATCCCATTTGTCAATTTTGGCTTTTGTTGCCATTGCTCTTGGTGTTTTAGACATGAAGTCCTTGCCCATGCCTATGTCCTGAATGGTAATGCCTAGGTTTTCTTCTAGGGTTTTTATGGTTTCAGGTCTAACGTTTAAGGCTTTAATCCATCTTGAATTGATTTTTGTATAAGGTGTAAGGAAGGGATCCAGTTTCAGCTTTCTACATATGGCTAGCCAGTTTTCCCAGCACCATTTATTAAATAGGGAATCCTTTCCCCATTGCTTGTTTTTCTCAGATTTGTCAAAGATCAGATAGTTGTAGATATGCGGCGTTATTTCTGAGGGCTCTGTTCTGTTCCATTGATCTATATCTCTGTTTTGGTACCAGTACCATGCTGTTTTGGTTACTGTAGCCTTGTAGTATAGTTTGAAGTCAGGTAGTGTGATGCCTCCAGCTTTGTTCTTTTGGCTTAGGATTGACTTGGCGATGTGGGCTCTTTTTTGGTTCCATATGAATTTTAGTTTTTTCCAATTCTGTGAAGAAAGTCATTGGTAGCTTGATGGGGATGGCATTGAATCTGTAAGTTACCTTGGGCAGTATGGCCACTTTCACGATATTGATTCCTCCTACCCATGAGCATGGAATGTTCTTCCATTTGTTTGTATCCTCTTTTATTTCCTCGAGCAGTGGTTAGTAGTTCTCCTTGAAGAGGTCCTTCACATCCCTTGTAAGTTGGATTCCTAGGTATTTTATTCTCTTTGATGAAATTGTGAATGGAGTTCACTCATGATTTGGCTCTCTGTTTGTCTGTTGTTGGTGTATAAGAATGCTTGTGATTTTTGTACATTGATTTTGTATCCTGAGACTTTGCTGTAGTTGCTTATCAGCTTAAGGAGATTTTGGGCTGAGACAATGGGGTTTTCTAGATATACAATCATGTTGTCTGCAAACAGGGACAATTTGACTTCCTCTTTTCCTAATTGAATACCCTTTATTTCCTTCTCCTGCCTGATTGCCCTGGCCAGAACTTCCAACACTATGTTGAATAGGAGTGGTGAGAGAGGGCATCCCTGTCTTGTGCCAGTTTTCAAAGGGAATGCTTCCAGTTTTTGCCCATTCAGTATGATATTGGCTGTGGGTTTGTCATAGATAGCTCTTATTATTTTGAGATACGTCCCATCAATACCTAATTTATTGAGAGTTTTTAGCATGAAGCGTTGTTGAATTTTGTCAAAGGCCTTTTCTGCATCTATTGAGATAGTCATGTGATTTTTGTCTTTGGTTCTGTTTATATGCTGGATTACATTTATTGATTTGTGTATATTGAACCAGCCTTGCATCCCAGGGATGAAACCCACTTGATCATGGTGGATAAGCTCTTTGATGTGTTGCTGGTTTGCCAGTATTTTATTGAGGATTTTTGCATCAATGTTCATCAAGGATATTGGTCTAAAATTCTCTTTTTTGGTCGTGTCTCTGCCTAGCTTTGGTATCAGGATGATGCCGGCCTCATAAAATGAGTTAGGGAGGATTCCCTCTTTTTCTATTGATTGGAATAGTTTCAGAAGGAATGGTACCAGTTCCTCCTTGTACCTCTGGTAGAATTCGGCTGTGAATCCATCTGGTCCTGGACTCTTTTTGTTTGGTAAGCTATTGATTATTGCCTCAATTTCAGCTCCTGTTATTGGTCTATTCAGAGATTCAACTTCTTCCTGGTTTAGTCTTGGGAGAGTGTATGTGTCGAGGAATTTCTCCATTTCTTCGAGATTTTCTAGTTTATTTGCATAGGGGTGTTTGTAGTATTCTCTGATGGTAGTTTGTATTTCTGTGGGATCGGTGGTGATATCCCCTTTATCATTTTTTAATGTGTCTATTTGATTCTTCTCTCTTTTTTTCTTTATTAGTCTTGCTAGTGGTCTATCAATTTTGTTGATTCTTTCAAAAAACCAGCTCCAGGATTCATTAATTTTTTGAAAGTTTTTTTGTGTCTCTATTTCCTTCAGTTCTGCTCTGATTTTAGTTATTTCTTGCCTTCTGCTAGCTTTTGAATGTGTTTGCTCTTGCTTTTCTAGTTCTTTTAATTGTGATGTTAGGGTGTCAATTTTGGATCTTTCCTGCTTTCTCTTGTGGGCATTTGGTGCTATATGTTTCCCTCTACACACTGCTTTGAATACGTCCCAGAGATTCTGGTATGTTGTGTCTTTGTTCTCATTGGTTTCAAAGAACATCTTTATTTCTGCCTTCATTTCGTTATGTGCCTAGTAGTCATTCAGGAGCAGGTTGTTCAGTTTCCATGTAGTTGAGTGGTTTTGAGTGAGATTCTTAATCCTGAGTTCTAGTTTGATTGCACTGTGGTCTGAGAGACAGTTTGTTATAATTTCTGTTCTTTTACATTTGCTGAGGTGTGTTTTACTTCCAACTATGTGGTCAATTTTGGAATAGGCGTGGTGTAGTGCTGAAAAAAATGTGTATTCTGTTGATTTGGGGTGGAGAGTTCTGTAGATGTCTATTAGGTCCGCTTGGTGCACAGCTGAGATCAATTCCTGGGTATCCTTGTTGACTTTCTGTCTCATTGATCTGTCTAATTTTGACAGTGGGGTGTTAAAGTCTCCCATTATTAATGTGTGGGAGTCTAAGTCTCTTTGTAGGTCACTCAGGACTTGCTTTATGAATCTGGGTGCTTCTGTATTGGGTGCATATATATTTAGGATAGTTAGGTCTTCTTGTTGAATTAATCCCTTTACCATTATGTAATGGCCTTCTTTGTCTCTTTTGATCTTTGTTGGTTGAAAGTCTGTTTTATCAGAGACTAGGATTGCAACCCCTGCCTTTTTTTGTTTTCCATTTGCTTGGTAGATCTTCCTCCATCCTTTTATTTTGAGCCTCTGTGTGTCTCTGCACGTGAGATGGGCCTCCTGAATACAGCACACTGATGGGTCTTGACTCTTTATCCAATTTTCCAGTCTGTGTGTTTTAATTGGAGCATTTAGTCCATTTACATTTAAAGTTAATATTGTTATGTGTGAATTTGGTCCTGTCATTTTGATGTTAGCTGGTTATTTTGCTCATTATTTCATGCAGTTTCTTCCTAGTCTCGATGGTCTTTACATTTTGGCATGATTTTGCAGCAGCTGGTACCAGTTGTTCCTTTCCATGTTTAGTGCTTCCTTCAGGAGCTCTTTTAGGGCAGGCCTGGTGGTGACAAAATCTCTCAGCATTTGCTTGTCTGTAAAGGATTTTATTTCTCCTTCACTTATGAAGCTTACTTTGGCTGGATATGAAATTCTGGGTTGAGAATTCTTTTCTTTAAGAATGTTGAATATTGGCCCCCACTCTCTTCTGGCTTGTAGAGTTTCTGCTGAGAGATCAGCTGTTAGTCTGATGGGCTTCCCTTTGTGGGTAACCCGACCTTTCTCTCTGGCTGCCCTTAACATTTTTTCCTTCATTTCAACTTTGGTGAATCTGACAATTATGTGTCTTGGAGTTGCTCTTCTCGAGGAGTATCTTTGTGGTGTTCTCTGTATTTCCTGAATTTGAATGTTGGCCTGCCTTGCTAGATTGGGGAAGTTCTCCTGGATAATATCCTGCAGAGTGTTTTCCAACTTGGTTCCATTCTCCCCGTCACTTTCAGGTACTCCAATCAGACATAGATTTGGTCTTTTCACATAGTCCCATATTTCTTGGAGGCTTTGTTCGTTTTTTATTCTTTTTTCTCTAAACTTCCCTTCTCGCTTCATTTCATTCACTTCATCTTCCATCGCTGATACCCTTTCTTCCAGTTGATCACATCGGCTCCTGAGGCTTCTGCGTTCTTCACGTAGTTCTCGGGCCTTGGTTTTCAGCTCCATCAGCTCCTTTAAGCACTTCTCTGTATTGGTTATTCTAGTTATACATTCTTCTAAATTTTTTTCAAAGTTTTCAACTTCTTTGCCTTTGTTTTGAATGTCCTCTGGTAGCTTGGAGTAATCTGATCGTCTGAAGCCTTCTTCTCTCAGCTCGTCAAAGTCATTCTCCATCCAGCTTTGTTCCGTTGCTGGTGAGGAACTGCGTTCCTTTGGAGGAGGAGAGGCACTCTGCTTTTTAGAGTTTCCAGTTTTTCTGCTCTGTTTTTTCCCCATCTTTGTGGTTTCATCTACTTTTGGTCTTTGATGATGGTGATGTACAGATGGGTTTTTGGTGTGGATGTCCTTTCTGTTTGTTAGTTTTCCTTCTAACAGACAGGACCCTCAGCTGCAGGTCTGTTGGAGTACCCGGCCGTGTGAGGTGTCAGTCTGCCCCTGCTGGGGGTTGCCTCCCAGTTAGGCTGCTCGGGGGTCAGGGGTCAGGGACCCACTTGAGGAGGCAGTCTGTCCGTTCTCAGATCTCCAGCTGCGTGCTGGGAGAACCACTGCTCTCTTCAAAGCTGTCAGACAGGGACATTTAAGTCTGCAGAGGTTACTGCTGTCTTTTTTTTTGTCTGTGCCCTGCCCCCAGAGGTGGAGCCTACAGAGGCAGGCAGACCTCCTTGAGTTGTGGTGGGCTCCACCCAGTTCGAGCTTCTGGCTGCTTTGTTTACCTAAGCAAGCCTGGGCAATTGCGGGCACCCCTCCCCCAGCCTCGCTGCCGCCTTGCAGTTTGATCTCAGACTGCTGTGCTAGCAATCAGCGAGACTCCGTGGGCGTAGGACCCTCCAAGCCAGGTGCGGGATATAATCTCCTGGTGCGCGTTTTTTAAGCCCGTTGGAAAAGCGCAGTATTGGGGTGGGAGTGACCCGATTTTCCAGGTGCCATCTCTCACCCCTTTCTTTGACTAGGAAAGGGAACTCCCTGACCCCTTGCGCTTCCCGAGTGAGACACTGCCTCGCCCTGCTTCGGCTCGCGTAGGGTGCACGCACCCACTGACCTGCGCCCACTGTCTGGCACTCCCTAGTGAGATGAACCCGGTACCTCAGATGGAAATGCAGAAATCACCCGTCTTCTGCATGGCTCACACTGGGAGCTGTAGACCAGAGCTCTTCCTATTTGGCCATCTTGGCTCCTCCCCCCATCTCTATGATATAGTCTATCTTTATGATTCTGTTCTACCAGGAGCTGGGGTAATGGGGAGTTATAGGTTAATGGGAACAGAGCTTCAGTGTGGTTTGATAAAATATTCTGGGTATGGATAGAGATGATGGTGTACAACAAGAGAAGTGTAGGTAATGCCACTGAATTCTACACTTAACATGGTTAAAATGGGAAACTGTATGTTATGTATATTTTTCCACAATAAAAAATCAATTAAAAAGAATTATACAAACTAATTTAAAGTCACATTCATTGACAATAGCCCTGATATTATCCGAATAGTCTCTAAGTATTGTGCAGATATCAAGCTTATGATGGCAGATTCATGTTTTCCAAAAATTCTAATTTTTGTTCGAGTCCAGTTTTATCATTGGCAGTAAATGCTGTAAGTCGTTTTTGTTGAAACAAAGCTCCCTTTGTTTATCTTCAAGACATCTTTCACATACCCACGTCTGAATAACCACAGCTTGTCTGTCAGTGGTCCTTTCAAGAAAAATGTAATTCACAGGAGAAAATCCCAGCTAGTTAGGCTCAGCGGTCCCTAACCTTTTTGGCACCAGGGACTGGTTTCATGGAACACAATTTTTCCATGGATGGGGTTGTGAGGGGAGGATGGTGTCTGGATGAAACTCTTCCACTTCCTATCATCAGGCATTAGATTCTCATAAGGAGCACGCAACCTAAGTCCCTCACATGCTCAGTTAGCAATAAGATTCTTGCTCCTATGAGAATGTAACATAGCTGCTGACCTGACAGGAGGCTGAGCTCAGCCATAATACTTGCTTGCCCTCCACTCACCTCCTGCTGTGTGGCCCAGTTCCTAATAAGCCACATACCAGTACCAGTCCCCCACCTGGGAGCTGGGGACCCCTGGTTAAGCTAGCAACTCAAATAATCACACAATTTCTTTTCCTTGAGACAATCATCTGGCTTTGGTACTGAACAGAAGGTCTTTACCAGTACATTTTCACTTTTTTGTTCATCCTCAAGAATATTAAAAAGATGTGTACTCAAGGGTTGAGATTTGACTACATATATATGCATGTATGGGGTGTGTGTGTATGTTTCTTTTCATGTGGCAATGAGGAATTCGACAACTAGTACAGTAGTGTGGTGTAGTTTGATGCCACTGCCTTGATTTGTGCTGACCCTAGCGGTTTTACCCATCATTGCTTTTGTACCATTAGTGCAAATAACAACAATGGAAATGGCCAATCCTGTTTTAGTATTTTCAGAAAATAGTTTTGATCCTTCATTTTCATCCATTCATGAGATTCTTAGAATGAAAGTCAAATCACATCCTTCTGTTGTTTCAAACTCTTCCAGTGATTCCTCAATGCACTGAAAATGAAATACAATTCAAATGTCTTCACACTACTATGTGAACTGGCCACTCATTACCTTTCCAACTTCATCTCCTACAAGTCTTCCTCTCATCCAACATTCTCCAGCCAGCCTGAAATTCTTTTAGTCCCTAAAACATGCCAATCAAATCACTTCAGGACCATTATGCTTGCTGAAACATGGATCTCCCAAGTTTTCACATACTGGATCCTTATCATTCAGTGTCACATCTTTGGACAGGTCTTTAAAGGACATTCTATCTCAAGCAGCTCCTTTCATGCCTTCTCACATTCTATCCCGCTATCTGACTTCACTTTCTGCATAACATTTATCAATGTCTGAAATATATATATATATTTAAACTGTGTCTGTCTTTCTGCCCCTTAGAATGTATGCTACATGGGCATGGGGATCTTGTCTTTCTTGTTTGCTGCTGTATCTCAAGTGCATAGAATAATGTCTTGCATACAGTTGATACCTGAAATATATTGTTGAAAGAAAAAAATATGACTATTACAAATGTGTAGGTACTGTGGCAAATTCCAGTAGACTGTGAGATAGGTGACATTTCCACGCACTATAAAATAAGAAAGCTGACTCAAAGAGGGTGAGTGACTTGTCCAAGGTCAGAGTGAAGCAAAAGAAAGCATACTGTTTTATACTGGTTATTGTAAAGTAGAATAATGAATACACGTAATCACACCAGACATATTAGAAAGCGACAGCTACATCAGAGGCCCACACACAGGGATGCTTTGCTCAAAGTAGCAGCTTCCCTTTGTGTTCCTGTACACTAGGTGGGGTATACTAAAAGTTCCCAGAAATAGCAGTTACCTGGAAAGTGGGGAAGCCTGCCTCAGAGCTTTCACCTCTGGGACTCTCTAGTGGTGAAGAACCATGAAATATCAGAGAGACTTGCAGCTGTGTTTTCCTGGAAGTTGTCCCCTGATCAACTACTATATTGTATTTGGCAGATGATAATAATGTATGGGCAGGCAGAGCCACGGGCCAAGCCTGGCTTTTCTTGAAAGATGGGTTTTGAGACCTTGTCATGGACAAGTTCTGAACCCTTGCTACAGACTGGAGCTGCTGCAGCTGGTGTTCCATTACTCTTGGAGGAATGAGACCCTATGGCCCAACCCTAATCCTCATGCTTTTCCTAGGAAAGAATACACAGGGACCCAAACAGACCCGCCACAGGTTAGCAGAATCTTTATTTATTTATTTATTTATTGAGATGGAGTTTTGTTCTTGTTGCCCAGGCTGGAGTGCAGTGGCGTGATCTCGGCTCAGTGCAACCTCCGCCTCCTGGGTTCAAGCTATTCTCCTGCCTCAGCCTCTCGAGTAGCTGGGATTACAGTTGTCTGCCACCACGCCCCGGGGTAATTTTTTGTATTTTTAGCAGAGTCGGGGTTTCACCATGTTGGCCAGGCTGGTCTTGAACTCCTGACCTCAGGCGATCCACTCACCTCGGTCTCCCAAAGTGCTGGGATTACAGGCGCGACCCACCGCGTCCAGCCGCGGAGTCTTTAATACTGTTCTTTGTATAAGCCATCACCGATTTGCAGAGGAAGCAACCAGGACTCCTGGGGGATGATGAAGAAAAGGATTGTTACCATTGTTATAATTTCCTGTGTTGTCCTTTCATCTAAGGCACAAAACTGTTTTCTCTCTTGGGTGGCCTATACTAAGAGAGCTTATAAAAATGCGCTGTAAATTATTCATGTTAGCCCTAACAGGTTACGTTCTATTAGCTGGTAACAGTAATGATATTGCGCCCTCCAGTGGAACTTCGTAGGAACAAACATAGCTCTGTGTAGTTTTGAATCTTTTGCGGACACCAAAAGGCACGGATGAGAATCTGGGAGGAGGATCAGAAGTCAGCAGGCAGCGGATTCTTTTCTCCATATGGCACAGGAAGAAAGTCCTTGGCATCTGGTTGATATCTCACTTATGATACTTTCATCTATAGTAACAGTTTCAGATACCATATCCAGGCACAATAGGGTCCAACAGAATAAGAGTCGCTGGTTTTCCCTTTAGTGCAGTTTTTTTGTTTTTGTTTTTGTTTTTAAGAATAAGAAAACATTTCCCATAAACATCTTGCCCTCACAGTCTGTTCTCGCTTACCCTTCCCTAATAGTGAATGCGATCTTGATTCATTCAGGCTAATTAATCTTATCCTCTATCATTTTCCATTCCAGGAAAACGTAAATCCTTTTCATCCGTTTTAGCCTGACTTGAATTAATAGAAAAAGGATGTTGATGAATTACTCCTATATACCCCAGTATTCCCATACTAACTCCCTGATTTCACCTCTCAGATCTGTGGGCCTCACACTTCTGTGCAGTGGGGATCTGGGGCTTCAGGGCTGAGCAAGGCAAGCATGAACCCTGATTTCAGAGAATTCACAGTCTGCTGGGGGAGGCAGACAAGTAAATAATCTTCGACTGTGATGAATATGTTGTGTGACAGGCAGAATTCAGTGGGCTCTGACGGCATGTGGCAGGAAACTATAATCTTGTTTAGGGGGTACAGTCTCCCCAAGTGACTGACCAGTAAGTTCAGATGTGAAAAGTGAGTGGCAGTTAACTGAGTTGAAGGTGTGTGAAGAGTTGTCCAGACAGAGGAACAGCATGCATGATGAGGTCCTGTGGGCCAGATACAGCCTGGGGCATTCAAGGAACAGGTTTCTTACCTGGCCCCTGTAGCAGATCGCAAAGGATATGGGTTTACGTGTCTCACCCCACTTCAAAACTATTAGGGCACCATGTGCTTAGTTTAAGTTAAAGATCACAGGCACAGTGTCAGGCCACCTGGGTTCAAATCCCACCACACCCCTTTCTGGCAACATGACCTTCAACACATTATCTGAGATGCCTCAGCAAGTGCTTCTGCTTCTTCTATTGTGGAATTAGGAAAATAATATCAACTATCTCATGTCAGAGGATACCTCATAATGGTCTTGTAAGGACTAAGATAATTCATTTTAGGCATTTAAAACAGTGCCAAGTATATTATAAGTACTCAAAGATGGTGATGTTATTATTTGAATTTATGTGTACATAGGTTTGGAGCTAATTGGTTTGAAATCTGTGTTCAAAAGTTTCAGACATTACTGTTTACTTGGCATAGCATCACCAAGTTGGAATTCATTGTTCCAGCATGAAAATTACCTGAAACTCCTCTCTCTCTCTCTCTCTCTCTCTCTGTGTGTGTGTGTGTGTGTGTGTATACACATATGCTCCCATCCAGGCAGTCTGTGATGTATGATTAGAAAAAAAATTCTGAACTTTCTATGTTGACGTGACTTCAAACATAGAAATGTTACAAGGGGCCGGGCGCGGTGGCTCACACCTGCAATCCCAGCACTTTGGGAGGCCGAGGCGAGTGGATCACAAGGTCAGGAGTTCAAAACCAGCCTGGCCAACATGGTGAAACCCCATCTCTACTCAAAATACAAAAGTTAGCCGGGCATGGTGTCACACACCTGTAATCCCAGCTACTCCAGAGGCTGAGGCAGGAGAATGGCTTGAACCCAGGAGGCAGAGGTTGTGTTGAGCTGAGATCGCGCCACTGCACTCCAGGCTGGGTGATAGAGTGAGACTCCATCTCAAAATAGAAAAAGAAAAAGAAAAAAGAAATGTTACAAGGATAGTACAAGAAATTCACATTTACCCTTTACTCCTTCACTCAAATTCCTTAGTTGTTAACATTTTACCATCTGATTTATCATGTTATCTCTCCCTTTCTTGCTCCCTCTCTCTCTATACACACATATATACACACAAATAAGCACACATGTAACTTTTTTTTCTGAACCATTTGAGAATAAGTTGCAGACTTTATGTCTTACTCCTAAATAATTCATTATGGTTCCTAAGAATAAATATAGTTATCAAAATAAGAAAATTTGCATTGATGACAATATCTAGGTTACAGAGTTTAAATGAACTTCACCAATTTTTCTAATAATGCCTTTTATAGGATTTTTCTCCTAATGAAAGGTCCATTTCAGCATCATGCCTTGTAGTTTGGGCTACATCACGCCTGCTAGTTCGGGCTAATGATATTGTAGGGTGTCCTTCATTTGGGGCTTAGCTGATTGTTTTCTCATGATTCTATGTAAGTTAGACATATATGGCAGGAGCGCCACACGTCTTTCTCGTTACATCATAAAGGCCAGCATATGATATGGATTGTCCCAATATTGATTCTGGCAACCTGATCACGTGGTTAAAGTGGTGTCTGCCAGCTTACTCCAATGCAAATTATTTTTCCTTTGTAATTATTACCTGTTTTGTGGGAGAGGTGTTGAGAACGTGTAACTATCCCATTAATCACAAAGCTTCCATACACTAATTTTAGTATTCATTAATGACTCTTGTCCTAGACAATTATTACATGATAGTTATAAAATGGTGTTTTTCTAACAGCATCATTTCTTCTACATTTATTGGATGGGATTCTACTGTAACGAAGAGCTTTTCCTTTATTTACTTTTAGTACAGATTAATGGATTCTTATTTTATTCAATTTTTTTATAACTCATTGTTATAATTATTTATTCTAAAGCTCAAATTTCCTAGGTTTAAGCAATGTGAGCCCCATTCAAGCTGGTTCTATATCCTTTTGACAAGTCTATGTAATTTTTTGAGTGCTGCCTTACTTTCTGTCCCGTTAAGATGTTCCACATTAACCTATGCTTTCCATACTTTATCCCTGGAATCAATGGTTTGTCCAAGGACCCCTGGCTCCTTTCATTAAGAAATGATACTTAGAAACAATTATCTGGGTGTTAGATATTCTCATTGCAACTGAGATAAACAACACATTTTTATTATGTTCTCTGTTTCTTGCCTTACTATGTCCTGAAACTTTAAGTGTTTGAATAAAAATCTACTAGCTCCAGTATAATACTTAGAGAACTAGTAGAAGCTTGGTTTCCAATTTTTCTGGAGTGAGTAGAGCAGATCCTGGACAATTGGCTAAAATGGAAGGCAAAAAGAAGCACCTTCTTTCTTGTAGGTGAGTAGAGCAGATCCTGGACAACGGTCTAAAAACAAATACCTAAAATGCTTTAGATATTTGCTGTATGACTTACCACTGATTTCTGCTTGTATTTCAGGAGCAACTTTCCTTTGAGGGTAAGGGCTTATTTTGTCTAAAAAGCAACTTTTCATCACCTTTCTTAGCTGGAACCAGAAATGTAACCTAGAGAGAAAAAAAATAAAGATATTTAGATTGTAGTATGTCAAAACTTAGTGGTTTTAGTCTGGCTCTGGGACAATGGCATAGGCTTACTTTTCCCTGTTCCTTCCCTCTAAATACAACTAAATATCTTGAAAATAATTTAACAGATTCTCAAATATAGGAAGAAGGTAGACTGGAAAGGAGCCTCAGGACTTGAAGAAGACACCATAATGAGCTCCCCAGGTTTTCTTTATATCACTCGTGTATCCCAAACTGGGTGTCTGGGAGGTGTGCAACCCAGAAACTGCCAATAGGGTAGACCAAAAATAGATAAACAAATAAAGAAATGCAAAAGAAAAGCCTGCTTTCTCTGAACAAAGGTTCAGGAAAGGGAAAGCTTAGCAGGAACTTAGCAGGGAGATTCATATCCAGTGGCAGCAGCTGGCTGATCTGCCGGGAGTAGCTGCACCAGCAAAGCTGCAGGAGAGAAGACCAATCCATCCCCCACACCTACACCAGCCAGCAGCAATGACAGGATCAGACCTACCCACAGCAGTAACAGGGGGACCCAGGTAGGTTAACATACTCTCTGCCCCATACCAGGAGGCCAGAGATGAGCCTTTCTACCTGAAATGCTAATGCCAGCTGGCCCGGTGTCTTCCAGCACTCCACCCAACTGCAGAGGGCAGCCTAAGTCCAGTGTCTCCTGATCTTCTACCCATTGGTAGACCGCTACCTACATCCAGTGGGTCCTGGCCCTATACCGAATGGCTTAAGACAATCCAGGCCTGTTGTCTCCTGGCTCTTTACCCAGTGGCAGAAGGTGAATTGGGCTGGGGTCTCCTAACCTTCCACCCAGACTCATGGCTCCTGCTCCTCCACACAATGGCGGAAGGCAGCCCACTCCTGTCTGCACTGGCAGAGATAAAGTGGAAAGTTCGCTGGCTATGGGGGGCTGGAAAAAAAATCAGGGGAAACACTTTCTGCACCATTGCTTTGGATTCCCCATAACTCACTTTATGATACTTGGAAGGCAAAAGGAAGCACCTTCTTTTTTCCAGGTGGTACCAGCAGGAACTTAAGCAGAGACAGAAGAGTAATGAAAAAGTGAAGAAAGCTTAAGAGATACATAGAGCTATTGGGTACCAGCCTCAACACCACCAGTAGGGTACCCAAAGTCTGGTGGCGACAAAGGAATGATAAGAGACAGGTTAAGAGTTCATAAAGGTGGGAGCCAGGGGGCCAGTTGCAAAATGGAGGCTGCAAAAGGCCCAGAGTTCTAGTCTCCACACTATTTATTGAGTATGATCACTTAAATCTAAGAAGCAGATGTTCAGGGCGAAACAGTGAAAGGGAGGCAGTGCGTCATAGGCGTAATCTATAGCAATAGCGGTTTAAATGAATCTCCTTTGTGCTCAAACAGCATATCTTTAACTTATCAGAGAGTGGCTAGTGGGAGCGGCCTTAACTAGGAGCCTGCACATCTGGCCACATTCCAATGCTTCAAAGGAGTGTCTTTCTCCTTGAACACAATGTTTATGGATAAGAGACCAAGTCTCGCTCAGAGCATGGGAACATAATGGCGATAAGAAGGCTTTCCTCCTCAGAGGCCTCTTGTGGCTTTCCACAACTTATTGTTCCATGTTTTTATGGCCAGTTTATACAGGCACCCCATAAGACTTTTTCCCAACATAGAGCACCATCAAGCAATCCAATATATGACTTATGGGAGTTCCAGAAGAAAATTATCTCAACAAATAAAGGCTGTATATGAAAAGCTCAGAGCTAACATCATACTTAATGGTGAAAAAGTGAAGGCTTTTCCTCTAAGATCAGGGACAAGACAAGGATGCCCCTTTCACCACTTCTATTCATCATAGTACCAGCAGTCCTATTCAGAACAATTAATCAAAAAATAATAATAATAATTCAAGGGAGCTAAATCAGAAAGTAAAAAGTAAAATTGTCCCTTTTGCAGGTAATATGATCTTATATTTAGAAAACCCTAAAGATTCCTCTAAAAATTGTTAGAATAAATGTATTCAATAAAATTGCAGGATACAAATCAACATATAAAAATCAATTGCATTTCTATACACTAATAACGAATTATCTAAAAAGGAAACTAGGAAAACAAACTCATTTACAAGAACACCAAAAAGAATAAAATACATAGATAAAAACTTACTGAAGGAGGTGAAAGACTTGTATACAGAAAATTACAAAATATTGATGAAGAAAATTAAACAAGAAACAAGCAAATGGAAGTGTTCATGGATCTGAAGACTTAATAGTGTTAAAATATCCCTAATACCCAGAGTGATCTACAGATTCATTGTAAACCTATCAAAATCCTAATGGCATGTTTGTTTACGGGAATAGAAAAAATAATTCTAAACTTCGTCTGGAACCACAGAAGACCATAAATACCCAAATCAATCTGGAGAAGGAAAAACAAAATTGATTTCATAGTGTACTATAAAGCTACAGTAATCAAAATAGTATGGTACTGGCATAAAAACAGACATATAGGTCAGATGTGGACGCTCATGCCTGTAATCCCAGCACTTTGGGAGGCTAAGGTGGGGCGATCACTTGAGCCCACGAGTTCGAGACCAGCCTAGGCAACATAGGGAGACCCCATCTTTACAAAAAGTAAAAAAATTAGCCAGGTGTGGTGGCATGCACCTTTGGTCCCAGCTACCCTGGAGGCTGAGGTGGGAGGATAGCTTGAGCTTGGGAGGTGGAGACTGTAGTGAGCTGTGACTGTGCCACTGCACTTTAGTCTGGGCATCAGAGTGAGACCCTGTCTCAAAAATAAAACAAAACAAAATGAAACCCAAAACCAGACATATAAAAAACAGACAAATTAGCCAAAGGGACACAATAGAGACCCCGAAAATAATACCAGACTTATATGGTCAAGTGATCTTCAACAACGGTGCCAGGAATACACAATGGGAAAATGACGGTCTCATCAAAAAACAGTATTAGGAAAACTAGCTATCCACATGCAAAAGAATGAAATTGGATCTTATCTCACAATATGTACAAAAATAAACTCAAAATGAATTAAAGACTTAAACGTAAGACCCCAAACTTTAAGACTTCTAGAAGAAGTAGAAATCATAGCCAAAAAAAAAAAAAAAACCCAGGAAACAATCAACAGAGTGAAAAGGCAACCATAAAGGAATCAATCATCAAATCAATTTTTTAAAACAGGTATATCTCTACATATGTAGAAATTAACACACTACTAAGTAATAAATGGGTCAAAGAGAAGTCTCAAAATTAAAATTAAAATACATACAACTGATGAGAATAAAAGACAACATATCAATATATGTAGGATGCAACTAAAGAAATGCTGAGAAAATTTACAGCAGTGAATGAGAAAATGTTTTTAAAAATAACCTAAGGTCTCACATCAAGAAAGTAGAAAAACAAGAGAAAACTAAAATTTAAAATATGGACAGAAGGAAAGGAATAATAAAGACAAGAACACCGGCCAGGGGTGATGACTCACACCTGTAATCCCAGCACTTTGGGAAGCCAAGGCGGGTAGATCACCTGAGGTCAGGAATTCAAGACCAGCCTTGCAAACATGGTGAAACGCCGTCTCTACCAAAAATACAAAAATTAGCTGGGCATGGTGGTGAGCGCCTGTAATCCCAGCTACTTGGGAAACTGAGGCGGGAGAATCACTTGAACCTGGGAGGCAGAGGTTGCAGTGAGCCGAGATTACACCCACTGCACTCCAACCTGGGTGACAGAGGGAGATTCTGTCTCAAAAAAAAAAAATAATAATTAAAAAAGAAGACAAGAACACAAATTAATGAAATTGAAAACATGACAATAATAGAGAAAATCAATGAAACAAAAAGTTGGTTCTTCAAAAAAAAAAATCACCAACATTGATAAACCTTTAGCAGACTGAACGAAAGAAGAAAAAAATACACAAATCAACAGTATCAGTAATTAAATAGGAATATCACTACAGATCATGAAAATATTAAAATAATCAGAGTAGGCCAGGCACAGTGGCTCATGCCTGTAATCCCAGCACTTTGGGAGGCCGAGGAGGGCAGATCACCTGAGGTCGGGAGTTCGAGACCAGCCTGACCAACATGGAGAAACCCCGTCTCTACTAAAAATACAAAATTAGCCAGGCGTGGTGGCGCATGCCTGTAATCCCAGCTACTGGGAAGGCTGAGACAGCAGAATCGCTTGAACCCGGGAGGCGGGGGTTGCGTTGAGCTGAGATCGCGTCGTTGCACTCCAGTCTGGGCAACAAGAGTGAAACTCCGTCTCAATAAATAAATAAATAAATAAATAAATAAATAAATAAATAATAAAAAAAAATGACTAGAGTAACCACTTTGAAAACTATACAAAGAGTATAATTAATGGATATTATGATAATTAAATAATTTATGACAAATTCCTTGAAAAACACAAATTACCAACACTCACCAGTATGCAATTGATCATCTGAAGGGCCCTAACAATAAAAAAGAAGTAACTTTTACTATAAAAGCTCCTGATAAAAAAAAAATCTCCAAAGCCAGATTGCTTCAATTTCTTATAATAAATATTCACTGGAACATTATGAATCTTTAAAGGAAGAACTAATACCAATTTTACACAATTTCCTGGAGAAAACAGAAAAGGAAGAAAAGCTCCCAACACATTTTATGAAGCCAGTATTACCCTGATACTAAAACCATACAAAGTCAATGCGAAGAGAAAACTGTAGAGTAATATCTCTCATGAATTGAGATGCAAAGGTCCTCAACAAACACTAACCAAATGAACCCAAAAATATAAAAAAATTATGCCTATGATAAAGTGGGATTTATTCCAGGGTTTCGAGGCTCCTGGATCAACATTCAAAAGTCAGTCAGTGTAATTCAACACATCAAAGAGCGGAAAAAGGAAAATCCTATCAATAGTTACAGAGAGTTTGTCAAAAGCCCCAAATTCCAAAACTTTATAAAGAATATCTACAAGAAAACTGCTAATATACTTAATGATAAAGACTAAATGTTTTCCCCTAAGATTGGGAACAGGGCAAGGATTTATGATCTCACCACTTTTACTCAACATAATACCAGGTCCAGTTGGTGCAATAAAGCAAGATTTTTAAAAAGTTATACAAATTGGGGGAAAAATTAAATTATCTCTATTTGCAGATGACATGATTGTCTATGTATAAATTTCCAAGGAGTCTACCAAAAAGTCTTAGTATTAATACAAGAGAAAAATTCTAGTACTTAGTGTAAGTGAGTTTAGCCATGTCACAGGATAAAAGATCGACACATTAAAATTAATCCTATTTCTTTATAGTAATAGTGAACATGAGGAAAGCAAATTAAAAACAGTACCATTCACAATTACTGCAAAGAAAACAAGCTACTTAGTGCTATGGACTGAATTGTGTCCTCTCCCCACCAAATTTATCTGTTGAGGCCTTAACCCCCAATGTAAATATATTTAGAGATGAGGACTTTAGGGGATAATTAAGGTTAACTGAGTCATAATGATGGGTTTCTAATTTGATAGGATTAGTGGATTTATAGGAATAGGAAGGAATCTCTCTCTCTTTCTCTTTCTCTCACTCTCTTTCCCTGCTTTTCTCTGAGAAAGGTCATCTGAGCACAGAAAGAGAGCCCTCACCAGAACCTGACCATGCTGACACCATGATCTCTGATTTCCAGTCTCTAGAACTGTGAGAAAACAAATTTATATTGTTTAAGCCACCCAGGCTATGGGATTTTGTTATGGCAGCCCAAGTAGACTAAGAAACATAGGTATGAATTTAACAAAACATGAACAGTATTTGTGTGCTGAACACTATTACAATATAGTGATGAAAACAATCAAAGAAGAAGTAAATAAATGGTGAAGTACACTGTGTTAGTTGATTGGAAGGCTCAGTACAGTAAAGGCGTCAATTCTCCACAAACTGATCTATAGGTTTAATGTAGTTCCTATCTAAATCCCAGCAAAGTTCTTGCAGACATAGACAAGCTTATTCTAAAATTTGTATGGAAAGACACAGGTCCTAGAATAGCTTAAATAATCTTGAAAAACAACAAAAATTTGAGGAATTACCTATCTGATAATAAGGCTGTAGTCAAGACAGTGTGGTATTGGGGCAGGTATGGCTGCACAGATCAATGAAACACAATAGAGAATCCAGAAATAGACAGACACAAATATGCTCAACTGATTTTTGACAATGGTGGAAGAGCAATTCAGTGGAGAAAGGATAGCTTTTTCAATAAAATGGTGCTAAGGAAATTGGACATTCCTATGGGGAAAAAAACCAGAAAGTAAGAAAATAAAGGCTTGATCTAAACCTAACACCTTATATAAAAATTAGTTGAAAGTGGGCTGGGTGCAGTGGCTCATGCCTGTAATCCCAGCAATTTGAGAGGCTGAGGCGGGTGGATCACTTGAGCTCAGGAGTTTGAGACCAGCCTAGGCGATACGGTGAAACCCCATCTCTATAAAAAATACAAAAATTAGCAGGGCATGGTAGGGCGCATCTGTAATCCCAGCTACTCGGGTGGCTGAGGTGGGAGAATCATTTGAGCCCCAGAAGGCCGAGGTTGCAGTGAGCAGAGATTGGGCGACTGCCCTCCAGTCTGGGTGACAGAGCCAGACCCTGTCTCAAAAAAGTAATAATAATGATAATTAACTGAAAGTGAATCACATTAAAACTTTGAGAAAAAAAAAACATGAGAAAATCTGTGTGATTCAGAACCAAAAAGTTCTCAGACCATTGTGAAGAGGATGAAAAAATAAATACAGACTAAAAGAAAATATTTACAAGCCATATATCTAACAAAGAAATACTATTCAGAATACAAATAACTCTTAAACTCAACAGTAAAAATGTGAAATAAACAAATAAAAGCCAACAAAAACCCAATTAGAAAATGGGCAAAGACATACGGCTGCACAGATGGCATATAAATACTTGAAAAGATGCCCAACACCATTAGCAATGAGAGAGATGCAAATTAAAATCATAATGAGATATCACTACATACGTATCAGAATTGCTAAAATAAAAATCAGTGACAACACAAAATGCTGGGGAGGATATGGAGACATTGGATCACTCGTGCATTGCTGGTGAGAATGTATAATTGTACAGTCACTCTGAAAAATAGTTTGGCAGTTTCTTATAAAACAAGATATGCAATTATTATATGCTCTAGCAATCGCGTTCTTCATCTTAGCAAAATGAAGACTTATGTTCACACAGAAACCTGTACACAAATGTCTGTGGAATATTTATTTGTCATAGCTAAAAATCTGGGAGATATCCTTAAACAGGTAAATGTTTAAGCAAATTATAGTACACACACACCACTCAACAATAAAAAAGAATGAACTATCAATACACTCAACAACTTGGATGATACTCAGAGTATAATTCTGAGAGAAAAAAGCCAATTCAAAACAGTTACTTACTGTTTGATTTCATTTATATAAAATTTTGGAAATGACAAAATATTGGAAATGTTGGACAGATTTGTGGTACCGGTGTTACTGATTGTAATGATGGGACATGAACCTATAAAACCTACATATATATATATATATATATATAAAATATATATATAATATATATATATTATATATATATAAAATATATATATATATATGCACACATACATGCAATACACTTATCTCTATATCTGTATGTGTGTATTTGTTCTATATCACATATATATCACATATATATGTTTCACAGAACAAATACACACATACAGATGAATACATTTAAAACTGGGGAAATTCGAACAAAATTGGTCGATTTTATCAATAAAAATATACAAATATACAAGTTGTCTTACTATAGTTTGGCAAAATGGTTCTATTGGAGGAAACTGGATAAAGGGTACAAGAGATCTCTCTGTATTATATATTACAACAGTATGCATGTCTACAACTATTCAATAAAAATTTTGATAATAAATAATGTGTCATGATGTGCCCAGGTATGGTTCTAAATATCATACTCTGCTAAAAGGAACCGGAGGTCTTTGGAGAAATATGTGATTCCAGGGATCAGATGGCAAAAGTAAAAATTACAAAGAGATACTGGGGCATCTAGTTGTTCCAGGAAACAAGGAAGTGCTCAAAGATTAATGGAGAAATGCAAAAGGATACAGGAACCAGTTTGAAAGAAATCCCATGGGCCAAAATTGGGATAATTCGATTACTTACTTGATGATTGTAAATTATTAAATGAATAAAAATCCGTGAATCCAAAGTTATACCCAGAGAAAGAGAGAGAAAGATAGAAAAAGGGAGAATAATGTTTCATAATTGGAGATTTCTATTACTCCAACTCTTTATTCCGCAAAATGATAATTAAAGTAAAAGAATAAAGCATGTATCCTGCCTTTAAGGGAGAAAAAATAGTCCATCCACAGTTGATGAGAAAAAGCTCGTCTTTATGGGTGAATACCAGCTAATAAAAATAGAAGGGAATTTAGAATTAGAAAAGTATCATTTTGTAACGTAACAACAGTGAAATAATTGGTTCAGTCAAAGATTACTGACAGATTCTAAAACCACAAGGAAAAAAGCTGTAAAGGAACAAGATACTTACACTGTGTCAAAATAATATCCGTCAGATTGAGGTGGGAGACCAACAGGACTTGTTTTCTGGTCACAACCCTGCGGACCAAAACAGGATCTGCTCCAGACGGGATGAAGCAAAGAAACTAGCAGGAACCAGTAGATGGTGATGAGCGCAATCCCTAGCCGCCGTCACTACTCATTAGCATAAGACCCTCCCACCAGTGCCATCACAGTTTACGCTTGCCATGACAACAATCAAGAAGTTATCACCTCTTCCCTAGAAAGTTTTTTTTAAAATAAGTATTCTAGAGTGTTTTATTAATAATAGTGAGGTTTTTTTTAGTTATACTTTAAGTTCTAGGGTACATGTGCACAACATGCAGGTTTGTTACATATGTATGCATGTGCCATGTTGGTGTGCTGCACCCATTAACTCGTCATTTACATTAGGTATATCTCCTAATGCTATCCCTCCCCCCTCCCCCCACCCTACGAGAGGTCCCGGTGTGTGATGTTCCCTTTCCTGTGTCCAAGTGCTCTCATTGTTCAGTTCCCACCTATGAGAACATGCGGTGATTGGTTTTTTGTCCTTGCGATAGTTTGCTGAGAATGATGGTTTCCAACTTCATCCATGTCCCTACAAAGGACATGAACTCATCATTTTTTATGGCTGCATAGTATTCCATGGTGTATATATGCCACATTTTCTTAATCCAGTCCATCATTGATGGATATTTGGGTTGGTTCCAGGTCTTTGCTATTGTGAATAGTGCTGCAATAAATATACGTGTGCATGTGTCTTTATAGCAGCATGATTTATAGTCCTTTGGGTATATACCCAGTAATGGCATGGCTGGGTCAAATGGTATTTCTAGTTCTAGATCCTTGAGGAATCACCACACTGTCTTCCACAATGGTTGAACTAGTTTCCAGTCCCACCAACCATGTAAAATTTTTCCTATTTCTCCACATCCTCTCCAGCACTTGTTGTTTCCTGAATTTCTAATGATCACCATTCTAACTGGTGTGAGATGGTACCTCATTGTGGTTTTGATTTGCATTTCTCTGATGGCCAGTGATGATGAGCATTTTTTCATGTGTCTTTTGGCTGCATAAACATCTTCTTTTGAGAAGTGTCTGTTCATATCCTTTGCCCACTTTTTGATGGGGTTGTTTGTTTTTTTCTTGTAAATTCGATGGAGTTCATTGTAGATTCTGGATATTAGCCCTTTGTCAGATGAGTAGATTGCAAAAATTTTCTCCCATTCTGTAGGGTGCCTGTTCACTCTGATGATGGTTTCTTTTGCTGTGCAGAAGCTCTTTAGTTTAATTAGATCCCATTTGTCAATTTGGGCTTTTGTTGCCATTGCTCTTGGTGTTTTAGACATGAAGTCCTTGCCCATGCCTATGTCCTGAATGGTATTGCCTAAGTTTTCTTCTAGGGTTTTTATGGTTTTAGGTCTAACATTTAAGTCTTTAATCCATCTTGAATTAACTTTTGTATAAGGTGTAAGGAAGGGATCCAGTTTCAGCTTTCTACATATGGCTAGCCAGTTTTCCCAGCACCATTTATTAAATAGGGAATCATTTCCCCATTGCTTGTTTTTGTCAGGTTTGTCAAAGATCAGATGGTTGTAGATGTGTGGTATTATTTCTGAGGGCTCTGTTCTGTTCCATTGATCTATATCTCTGTTTTGGTACCAGTACCATGCTGTTTTGGTTACTGTAGCCTTGTAGTATAGTTTGAAGTCAGGTAGCGTGATGCCTCCAGTTTTGTTCTTTTAGCTTAGGATCGACTTGGCAATGCGTGCTCTTTTTTGGTTCCATATGAACTTGAAAGTAGTTTTTTCCAATTCTGTGAAGAAAGTCATTGGTAGCTTGATGGGGATGGCATTGAATCTATAAATTACCTTGGGAAGTACAGCCATTTTCACAATACTGATTCTTCCTACCCATGAGCATGGAATGGTCTTCCATTTGTTTGTGTCCGCTTTTATTTCGTTGAGCTGTGGTTTGTAGTTCTCCTTGAAGAGGTCCTTCAGATCCATTGTAAGTGGGATTCCTAGGTATTTTATTCTCTTTGAAGCAATTGTGAATGGGAGTTCACTCATGATTTGGCTCTCTGTTTGACTGTTATGTTGTATAAGAATGCTCGTGATTTTTGTACATTGATTTTGTATCCTGAGACTTTGCTAAAGTTGCTTATCAGCTTAAAGAGATTTTGGGCTGAGATGATGGGGTTTTGTAAATATACAATCTTGCCATCTGCAAACAGGGACAATTTGACTTCCTCTTTTCCTAATTGAATACCCTTTATTTCTTTCTCCTGCCAGATTGCCCTGGCCAGAACTTCCAACACTATGTTGAATAGGAGTGGTGAGAGAGGGCATCTTTGTCTTGTGCCGGTTTTCAAAGGGAATGCTTCCAGTTTTTGCCCATTCGGTATGATATTGGCTGTGGGTTTGTCATAGATAGCTCTTATTATTTTGAGATACGTCCCATCAATACCTAATTTATTGAGAGTTTTTAGCATGAAGGGTTGTTGAATTTTGTCAAAGGCCTTTTCTGCATCTATTGAGATAATCATGTGGTTTTTGTCTTTGGTTCTGTATATATGTTGGATTACATTTATTGATTTGCGTATGTTGAACCAGACTTGCATCCCAGGGATGAAGCCCATTTGATCATGGTGGATTAGCTTTTTGATGTGCTGCTGGATTCGGTTTGCCAGTATTTTATTGAGGATTTTTGCATCGATGTTAATCAAGGATATTGGTCTAAAATTCTCTTTTTTGGTTGTTTCTCTGCCAGGCTTTGGTATCAGGATGATGCTGGCCTCATAAAATGAGTTAGGGAGGATTCCCTCTTTTTCTATTGACTGGAATAGTTTCAGAAGGAATGGTAAGAGCTCCTCTTTGTACCTCTGGTAGAATTTGGCTGTGAATCAATCTGGTCCTGGACTTTTTTTGGTTGGTAAGCTATTAATTATTGCCTCAATTTCAGCTCCTGTTATTGGTCTATTCAGAGATTCAACTTCTTCCTGGTTTAGTCTTGGGAGGATGTATGTGTCATGGAATTTATCCATTTCTTCTAGATTGTCTAGTTTATTTGCATAGAGGTGTTTATAGTATTCTCTGATGGTAGTTTGTATTTCTGTTGGATCGGTGGTGATATCCCCTTTATCATTTTTTATTGCATCTATTTGGTTCTTCTCTCTTTTCTTCTTTATCAGTCTTGCTAACGGTCTATCAGTTTTGTTGATCCTTTCAAAAAACCAGCTGCTGGATTCATTGATTTTTTGAAAGTTTTTTTGTGTCTGTATCTCCTTCAGTTCTGCTCTGATCTTAGTTATTTCTTGCCTTCTGCTAGCATTTGAATGTGTTTGCTCTTGCTTCTCTAGTTCTTTTAATTGTGATGCTAGGGTGTCAATTTTAGATCTTTCCTGCTTTCTCTTGTGGGCATTTAGTGCTATAAATTTCCCTCTACACACTGCTTTAAATGTGTCCCAGAGATTCTGGTATGTTGTGTCTTTGTTCTCATTGGTTTCAAGGAACATCTTTATTTCTGCCTTCATTTCGTTATGTACCTAGTAGTCATTCAGGAGCAGGTTCTTCAGTTTCCATGTAGTTGAGCGGTTTTGAGTGAGTTTCTTACTTCTGAGTTCTAGTTTCATTGCACTGTAGACTGAGAGACAGTTTGTTATAATTTCTGTTCTTTTACATTTGCTGAGGAGTGCTTTACTTCCAACTATGTGGTCAGTTTTGGAATAAGTGCAATGTGGTGCTGGGAAGAATGTATATTCTGTTGATTTGGGGTGGAGAGTTCTGTAGATGTCTATTAGGTCCGCTTGGTGCAGAGCCGAGTTCAATTTCTGGATATCCTTGTTAACTTTCTGTCTCATTGATCTGTCTAATTTTGACAGTGGGGTGTTAAAGTCTCCCATTATTATTGTGTGGGCGTCTAAGTCTCTTTGTAGGTCTCTAAGGACTTGCTTTATGAATCTGGGTGCTCCTGTATTGGGTGCATATATATTTAGGATAGTTAGCTCCTCTTGTTGAATTGATGGCCTTCTTTGTCTCTTTTGATCTTTGTTGGTTGAAAGTCTGTTTTATCAGAGACTAGGATTGCAACCCCTGCCTTTTTTTGTTTTCCATTTGCTTGGTAGATCTTCCTCCATCCCTTTATTTTGAGCCTATGTGTGTCTCTGCATGTGAGATTGGTCTCCTGAATACTGTACCCTGATGGGTCCTGACTCTTTATCCAATTTGCCAGTCTGTGTCTTTTAATTGGAGCATTTAGTCCATTTACATTTAAGGTTTATATTGTTATGTGTGAATTTGATCCTGTCATTTTGATTTTAGCTGGTTATTTTGCTCGTTAGTTGGTGCAGTTTCTTCCTAGCCTTGATGGTCTTTACAATTTGGCATGTTTTTGCAGTGGCTGGTACCAGTTGTTCCTTTCCATGTTTAGTGCTTCCTTCAGGAGCTCTTGTAGGGAAGGCCTGGTGGTGATAAAATCTCTCAGCATTTGCTTGTCTGTAAAGTATTTTATTTCTCCTTCACTTATGAAGCTTACTTTGGCTGGATATGAAATTCTGGGTTGAAAATTATTTTCTTTAAGAATGTTGACTATTTGCCCCCACTCTCTTCTGGCTTGTGGAGTTTCTGCTGAGAGATCTGCTGTTAGTCTGATGGGCTTCCCTTTGAGGGTATCCCGACCTTTCTCTCTGGCTGCCCTTAACATTTTTTCCTCATTTCTACTTTGGTGAATCTGGCAATTATGTGTCTTGGAGTTGCTCTTCTCGAGGAGTATCTTTGTGGTGTTCTCTGTATTTCCTGAATTTGAATGTTGGTCTGCCTTGCTAGGTTGGGGAAGTTCTCCTGGATAATATCCTGCAGAGTGTTTTCCAACTTGGTTCCATTCTCCCCGTCACTTTCAGGTACACCAATCAGACGTAGATTTGGTCTTTTCACATAGTCCCATATTTCTTGGAGGCTTTGTTCGTTTTTTTTTTTTTTTACTCTTTTTTCTCTAAACTTCTTTTCTCACTTCATGTCATTCATTTGATCTTCAATCACTGATACCCTTTCTTCCAGTTGATCAAATAGGCCACTGAAGCTTGTGCATTTGTCACATAGTTCTCGTGTCATGGTTTTCAACTCCATCAGGTCATTTAAGGACTTCTCTACACTGGTTATTCTAGTTAGCCATTCGACTAATCTTTTTTCAAGGTTTTTAGCTTCTTTGCAATGGGTTCTAACTTCCTCCTTTAGCTCAGAGAGGTTTGATCGTCTGAAGCCTTCTTGTCTCAATTCGTCAAAGTCATTCTCTGTCCAGCTTTGTTCCATTGCTGGTGAGGAGCTGCATTCCTTTCGAGGGGGAGAGGCACTCGGATTTTTAGAATTTTCAGCTTTTCTGCTCTGTTTTTTCCCCATCTTTGTGGGTTTATCTACCTTTGGTCTTTGATGATGGTGACATACAGATGGGGTTTTGGTGTGGATGTCCTTTCTGTTTGTTAGTTTTCTTTCTAACAGTCAGGACCCTCAGCTGCAGGTCTGCTGGAGTTTGCTGGAGGTCCACTCCAGACCCTGTTTGCCTGGGTGTCAGCAGTGGAGGCTGCAGAACAGTGAATATTGCTGAACAGCAAATGTTGCTGCCTGATTGTTCCTCTGGAAGCTTCATCTCAGAGGGGTTCCTGGCTGTGTGAGGTGTCAGCCTGCCCCTACTGGGTGGTACCTCCCAGGTAGGCTACTCGGGGGTCAGGGACCCACTTGAGAAGGCAGTCTGTCCATTCTCAGATCTCAAACTCCCTGCTGGGAGAACCACTACTCTCTTCAAAGCTGTCAGACAGGGACATTTAAGTCTGCAGAAGTTTCTTCTGCCTTTTGTTCAGCTATGCCCTGCTCCCAGAGGTGGAGTCTACAGAGGCAGGCAGGCCTCCTTGAGCTTCAGTGGGCTCCACCCAGTTCGAGCTTCCTGGCCACTTTGTTTACCTACTCAAGCCTCAGCAATGGTGGGCACCCCTCCTCCAGCCTTGCTGCAGCCTTGCAGTTCGATCTCAGACTGCTGTGCTAGCAATGAGCCAGGCTCCGTGGGTATGGGACCCTCCGAGCCAAGCGCAGGATATAATCTCCTGGTGTGCCATTTGCTAAGACCATTGGAAAAGTGCAGTATTAGGGTGGGAGTGACCCGATTTTCCAGGTGCCATTTGTCACAGCTTCCCTTGGCTAGAAAAGGGAATTCCCTGACCCCTTGCATTTCCCAGGTGAGGTGATGCCTGGCCCTGCTTTGGCTCACACTAGGTGGACTGCACCCACTGTCCTGCACCCACTGTCTGACAAGCCCCAGTGAGACGAACCCGGTACCTCAGTTGGAAATGCAGAAATACCCTGTCTTCTGCATCACTCACACTGGGAGCTGTACACTGGAGCTGTTCCTATTCAGCCATCTTGGAACCGCCTCTCCCCCTAGAAAGTTTTAAATACCTCACCCCTCAATTTGCATTGACCTGCCCCTTAATTTGCAGGTAATTGAAAGAGGGTCCATGTAAGTATAAATACAGTTGCCAAGAGCATCATACTTTGCTGACTCTGGGTGCACTGCCTATGAGTTAGCTATGCTCTAAGGGGAGCAGTGTGTTCAATAGAAGATTGCTAGCTAATACTACCGGCTAACCCTTGAAATCCTTTCTGGGTGAAGCCAAGAACCCTTTTTGGTTAAGTCTTGATTTGGGGTTTGCTTGTCCTGCAACAAGATTACTTGCTTATTGCAAAGAAAGACCATGCTTTCATAATAGAAAAATATAGCAATTACCACTTTAGTGAAGAGATAACATTTAGTTTTATTACTACTGGAATAATTTGGTATCACAAACCTCTGATGTGGTGAAATATGAAGTATGCAATACCACCTATGAGACATAGTTGCCAAAACATGTAACTTGAATTTAATTAAGCCTTTAGATGTGACTTTTAGTTATATAGGAAATAGATAAGTGAGCAATCTAATGGCACAGGAAACAATCAGACAAAATCAGCAGATAACTGTCCTGGCCTATTAAAATAAATGTTGGTGAAGAGACTAAAAAGACATATCAACTGAATCTGATGTGTAAATATTAATTAGAGTGTGTTTAGGGAAGAATCTTTTTATAAAACACATTTAGGAAACAATTGGAGAAATTTAAACATCTACTGGGAGTTAGAAGATATTAGGAAATCATTAATGATTTGTAGATGTGAAAATGATATTGTGGCTGTATAACAAATTATATCTTGATCTTGTACCTAGAAAACCCTGAAGATTCTTCCAAAAGACTCCTAGACTTGATAAAGGACTTCAGTAAAGTTTCAGGTCACAAAATTAACATACAAAAATCAGTTGCACTTCTATACACCAACAGTGTTCAAGCTAAAAATAAAAACAAGAACTCAATCCCATCTACAATATTCACACACAAACAAATAAAACACCTAGAAATACATTTAAGCAAGGAAATAAAAGAGCTCTGCAAGGAAAACTACAAGACACTGCTGAAAGAAATTGTAGATGACACAAGCAAATGAAAAAACATCCCATGCTCATGGATTAGAAGAATTAATATCAGCAAGGTGCGGTGGTTCACGCCTGTAATCCCAGCATTTTGGGAGGCCGAGGCAGGCAGATCACCTAAGGTTGGGAGTTTGAGACCAGCCTAACCAACATGGAGAAACCCCATCTCTACAAGAAATACAAAATTAGCTGGGCGTGGTGGCACATGCCTGTAATCCCAGCTATTCAGGAGGCTGAGGCAGAAGAATCATTTGAACCTGGGAGGCGGAGGTTGCAGTGAGCCAAGATTGCGCCATTGCACTCCAGCCTGGGCAACAAGAGCAAAATTCTGTCTCAAAAAAGAAGAAGAAGAAAGAAGAAGAAGAAGAAGAAGAAGAAGAAGAAGAAGAAGAAGAAGAAGAAGAAGAAGAAGAAGAAGAAGAAGAAGAAGAAGAAGAAGAAGAAGAAGAAGAAGAAGAAGAAGAAGAAGAAGAAGAAGAAGAAGAAGAAGAAGAAGAAGAAGAACAAGAAGAAGAAGAAGAAGAAGAAGAAGAAGAAGAATTAATAATATGAAAATGACCATACTGCCCAAATTAATGTACAGATTCAATGTAATTTCTATCAAATTACCAATATCATTTTTCACAGAATTAGAAATAAATTCTAAAATTCATATGGAACCAAAAAAAGAGTAAATAGTCAAAGCAATCACAAGCAAAAAGACAAAAGCCAAAGGCATCACATTACTTAACTTCAAACTATAACTACAAGGCTATAGTAACTAAAACAGCATGATACTGATACAAAAATAGACACATCAATGGAACAGAACAGATAACTCAGAAGTGAAGCTACACAGCCATAACCAACTGATCTCCAACAAAGTTGACAAAAATAAACAACGGGGAAAGGACACCCTATTCAATAAATGGTGCTGGGAAAATTAGCACCATACGCAGAAGAATATGGACCCCTATCTCTCACCATACACAAAAATTAAGTCAAGATGGATTAAAGACCTAAACGTAATACCTGAAACTATAAAAATCATAGAAGGAAGCCTAGGAAAAACTTTTCAGGAGATTGGCCTAGGGAAAGAATTTATGACTGAGACCTGAAAAACAATGCAGGAAAAAGAAAAATAGACAAATTGGACTTAATTAAACTGCACAGCTTCTGCACAGCAAAAGAAGCAATCAACAGAGTAAACAGACAACCTACAGAATGGGAGAAAATATTCACAAACAATGCATCTGACAAAGGACTAATATCCAGAATCTATAAGGAACGAAACAAATCAACAAGAAAAAAAACATAACCCCATTAAAAAGTGGGCAAAGGACATGAACAGACATTTCTCAAAAGAAGACATACGAATGTCCAACAAACACTTGAAAAAATGCTCAGCATTGCTAATTATCAGAGAAATGTAAATTAAAATCACAAGGAGAGAGATACCATCTCACAGCAGTCAGAATGGCTATTATTAAAAAGCCAAAAACTAACAGATGTTGGCAAGGATGCAGAGAAAAGAAAACGTTTATATCGTGTTGGTGGGAATTAGTACGACTCCTGTGGAAAGCAGTATGGAGATCCTTAAAGAGTTAAAAATAGAACTACCATTTGACCTAGCAATCCCACTACTGGGTATCTACTCAAAGGAAAATAAATCGTTACATCAAAAAGACACCTGCACTGGTATGTTTATTGCAGTGCTATTCACAATAGCGAAGTCATGGACTTTGTGTCCATTAACAGATGATTGAATAAAGAAAAATATGCTATATATACACCATGGAATACTACACTGCCATAAAAAAGAATAACATCATGTATTTTGCAGCAACATAGATGGAGCTTGAGGCTATTATCCTAAATAAAATAACCCAAAAACAGAAAATCAAATTCTCATTCATAAGTGGAAGCTAAACAATGGGTACACATGCACACACAGAGGGAAATAATAGACACGGGGACTGCAAAAGCAGGGAGGGTGGGAGGGAAATGAGAGTTGAAAAAGTACCAACTGACTACGGTGTTTACCGTTTGGGAGATGGGTACACTAGAACCCCAAACCTTACCACTACACAACATATCCAAGTAACAAACCTGCACATGTAGCACCGAACTTACAAAAATAAGTAAATACATAATCTTGAGCTTCAAAAAAAGAGAAATTATATGTTTATTCTTAGGATGTGAGTGCTGAAATATTGAGACAACATGGCATTAATGTATGTATCTTACTTTAAATGTTTTTGAAAAAATGTATGCACATATGCATGCATATAGATACATGTAATTCCTATCGAATTACTGTTCTGTCTACAGTTGTCGCATATAGGTACATACAACAAAATGTTAAGAATCATTGAATCTAGGTTGTGGGTAGATGGATGCATCTCTGCTTAAAACCCATGTGTGTGGATGTTACTACTTAACTCACAAGAAGCAGCTTTCCTAAGACTGCTCACTGTTTTCCCAGGTACTTATTGCACCCCAGAAAAGAAGATCTGTGCTCATTTTGTGGGGTCTCTCCTCTGACTATGCCCAACGATCAACCAAATCAATCTTAAAAGAACAAAATATCCACTTCATATTCATGCCTGCCAGAGCTGTTAATTTGTTCTTGGCACAGACACAAAAATAAATGTACTGTTTCTTCTTTTATCTCTTGTCCTTAGAAGATGGATTTAAATGAGTAAATTTTTTTTTGCCTGTATTTTCTCTGGTTGGGTCCACCGATGTAACATAGTACTGTGGATCATCATCTTTACTACACTTAACTTTGGTACAACTACTTACACACCACACATTTTCTCCCCCCAAGGCTTTATGCATGACTCTGTCTCTTCTATAGTAGATGAATAATTCTTTTTTCTTAAGCTGATCTACCTGCTGTTGCATGCTAACTAAAAGATCTACAGTATTTTCAGTGGTTCAATATGTTAAGGTTAGGCTGATGATTTGAATCAACAATAGAAATTAACATTTAGGAGAAGGGGCAACTGATAGGCTCAGTCAGAATTTCGGGCCAGCAAAGGCTGTTGTGATAGGGTCAAGGGAAGGGTCCCTTTACATCACATTCAACAAGTGGCCAATCCTGCTGGCGCAGACAAGGAGGCTGCTCAGCAACTGACGGGAAAATGGGGGTAGCGGGCTGGGCACGCGCTCCGGAGGCTGCAGGCGCCATGGGCAGAGTGAGGAACCGCGCCACTGCTCAGCGGCGGAGGCGAAAGCGGCCCGGGGATCCTCCCGCCGCCTGCGCGGCCATCGCGGTCATGGGCGCCAGCCGCGCGCAGTGCCCCCGGGTCCAAGTCGGGGTCGGGAGCCACGCGGCGGCCAAGAGGTGGCTGGGAAAGTTGCGGCGGAAGCGCCGGTGGCGGCGGGCCCGGGAGGCGGGCTCCAGAGATCCGCTGCCCTCCGCGCCACTCCCGGACCCGCCGGCGCCCGCCGAGTCCCCTAAGGAGCTGGACCTGGGCGCACAGCGGGAGCGCTGGGAGACGTTCAGGAAACTGTGGGGCCTCAGCTGCGAGGGCGCCGCCAAGGTCCTGCTGGACACCTTCGAGTACCCGGGCCTCGTGCATCACACCGGGGGCTGCCACTGCGGCGCGGTCCGCTTTGCGGTCTGGGCCCCTGCAGATCTGCGCGTCGTGGATTGCAGCTGCAGGCTGTGCAGGAAGAAGCAGCACCGCCACTTCCTCGTCCCGGCCTCGCGCTTCACGCTGCTCCAGGGCGCAGAAAGCATCGTCACCTATCGGTCCAACACGCACCCGGCGCTGCACAGCTTCTGCAGCAGGTGCGGGGTGCAGAGTTTCCACGCAGCTGTCTCTGACCCCCGCGTGTACGGCGTCGCCCCGCACTGCCTGGACGAGGGCACCGTGCGCAGCGTGGTCATCGAGGAGGTCGGCGGTGGCGACCCGGGGGAGGAGGCCGCCGAGGAGCACAAGGCCATCCACAAGACGTCCTCCCAGTCAGCCCCTGCCTGTCCCCGCGAACAGGAGCAGTGATTGGGGCCGCAAGCCCGCCTGAAACCGGCCCGGGCGGCCCTGCGGGGAGCGTCCGAGTACCTGCACAGATCCCATGCTGTAAAAGAGGTGTTTCTGGCCTGGTCACACCGGGGATTCCCTTCCAGTATTTGCCCTTCCCCTCCGCTAGTTTTCAGTGAACTCGCTTACGATCCAAATCTTGAACACACCTTTGTCTGCGTAGTACAACGTTAATCTTGCAATTCGATAAGGAAGAAGAGTGTCTCTGATTTTTCAAACCATCCATTGTATCTCTCGCTTTTACTGTTCTGCCTACAGTTGTCACAAATCACCTGCAGATGATTCCTGTGTACTGTACGTTCCTGGTGCTATTGTGAACAGGCTTGTTGTTTTCAGCGCTTTGCGTCTGGTGTGTAGGACGGCAACACACAAACAGTTTGTAAACATGTGCTAGGACGTCTTCCATTCATTATCGTGTGTGTGCGACGTGTGTGTTTTAGATAGACATTCACGTTTGCACTACTTAGTCCAGTTATCTAGTGTTTTTTATATGATATGTTTTAAGATTCATTAGTATTACATACCTCATTGCTCTTATTAGACGAATGATGTTAGTATTTTCCTCAGTTTTGTTTTAGAAACTGTCTCTGGGAAAGGAGATGGGAGATAGGAATGAGAAACGTCTGTGTGCTGTATGCCCTCTTTAATCTTTCTAAATACCTATCTTATACATGTGTAAGTATTCAGAAATCAGTAAATATTTAATAATAGAAAAGTATGTATTTCTATGCTGTATATTACAAAACCAACTCTAATTTATATGTAATTCTTGGTATCTGAAATTTTTATCAAACAATCAGTGGTGGGTTCAATGATACATATCAGTATTATCATTTTATGGCTTCATAGAATTAAAAAATATGGATCTTTCATAATTTATGTAATCAACCTCCTCTGATGGATGTTTAGCTTTTTTCCAACTTTCAGTGTAATAATAATATTTCAAAGGAGCAAACTTCTAATAAATGTCTGCATTGTTCTACTACTTCGGTAAAAGGGCCTGGATACTCTTTCCATATGTCTTTTACTTGCTGTCTGTCTCTCCTCTGTACATGTTTCATTGGATGTTGAATTGTTTAACTTGACTTACCTTTTCAACGAAGGGAAAAGAGATCAATTAAGTAAGTTTGTGTTTCCATGTATATGAGAGATGACATGGCTATGCCTCACATAAGAGATGCTACCACCTTTCAATTCATACCTCTTCTTTTCCATCTTCCCCTACCCCTACCTAAAGGGAAGGTTTTTGTGACCTGGTTTCTCCAACATGTTGCTCTACTCCCCAAGATTCCTCCTTTGTTCTTTGGAATAGCTTGCCCCAGTCCTTCTCCACCTAGGGATTGAGTTGAGGTAGGGAGGGAGAGAGGAAGGGAGAACATGAACATGCATATATGCCTTAGGTGGTTCAGTCATATTGGTGGTCAGAAAATACCAAATTGCACTGAGTTACACCTATATTACACTCCATTGCATAGAATAGATCCAGAGGGATGGAAAAAAATGACTCAAGATGTCATGCTTCTGCCATGTCAGTGTTTCTGTCCAAAGAAATGTGTATATATAATTTCTCTCTTTTTCTGAGAATGACTTTTAAAGCGTGTTCTGATAATTTTTGCTTCTCTAAGCCATGTGCAAATCATTCATCAGTTTGGTTAAAGACTCATGTTCAAGAGTGCCAAGCACCCTTTTAACTTGGCATACAGTTTAAGCATGCTAGGCTGGTTTCTGTGTGTGAGAATGCAAGCAGAGGACTGTTGTGCTGGTGAGAAGGAATGGGAGGGGGGCTAAAACCTGAGAAAGAACAAGCTGTTGGGGAAGGGGATGACTGAGTAAGAACTGGAGAGAAAGAGAAGCAACGAGCAGCTTATATCCAGCAAGGAATATAGGGGAAAGCAAGAGGTGTTTAAGGGAGTCTTTGGGGGATTTTACCACAGGTTCCAGGAAGTCAGTGTTTTCCCCTTTATTTCCAAAGGAGGCTTTAAAGTTAATGTTACTTTATGTGTTAGCTGTCTTTTTTTCTATTGCACAGAAGTATATCTTACACTTCAAAATTGTGAATGAATGTTTGTGAGCCATTAGTGATCATGGACCCTGACAGTGGCCACTGTGCCATGCTTCAGGCATCTCTTACTTCAAGGAAAGAGCAAGGGCTGAAAACCCAACTCTTCTATGCACTACTGTCCAGCTTTGTAAAATCTGTCAAAATACAAAAAATTAGCCAGGTGTGGTGGCGGACGCCTGTAATCCCAGCTACTCAGGAGGCTGAGGCAGGAGAATTGCTTGAACCCGGGAGGCGGAGGTTGCAGTGAGCCGAGATTGCGCCATTGCACTCCAGCCTGGGTGAGAGAGCAGGACTCTGTCTCAAAAAAGAAAAAAATCTATAAAAGCCCACCCTCATCTTCATTGTGAGGATGAAATGAGGGCGTGTGTATAATCTGCTGGTACAGTGGCTAACGCCCAGCAGGCACTCAAGAATTTGCTATGATGGTTGCTCTTATTAGGTGACGACACTGATAAATAGAACCAAGGGTCATGATTGCACTCTATCCTAAGATTTAGATACTTTCATGGATACCCTCTCAGGTGCGATGTTTTTGGACACTTAAAGTGAGAGTTACATCAATCCAGTGACAGGGTAGAAGGAGTAATAGGAAGTAAATCCGTAGGGTGCTGCATGATCTTTCTCCTCTTAATGGATTTATCAGACAACATCCACTGTTTCTTCCCCATCCACATTCATCCAAGCTGTGACAGGGGAATCACCATAGATGGAACCTCATCCTCTCCCACCTCATACCCTATTCTCTGCCTAGCCTTCCTCCACTTTATGCCTCCTGGCTGCCCAGCACTGTTTTCCATGCTAAGATAGAACAGTGAACAAAAAACACAGTCTCTAGGTCCTTATCACTTCCATTTAGCGAATGAGAAAGCCTCCAAATACAGTGTGACTAGGAAAAAGTGGGGTGCTGTGGGAGCACAGAAAAGAGGCCAGTTAATAAGTTTATTCTTGGGCCAGTTAATAAACTTATTTGGACCTCAGTTTTAGTGTCCTCATCTCTAAAATTGTTATGATAATAACACTCATCTCCTAATCTTGTCCTCTCTCCAGGATGAGATACCCAGGAACCTAAAGAGACCGGCCATGTTCTAGGTGAAACCATTAGCTCTGTGTTCTGTGTTAGTCACAAGTCAGCATGGAGGGGAAGTATTACAGGACCCCTGGGAACCTGGTCTACCCTGGGGTCATAGGTAAGGAAATGGGAGGTGGGCGCAGGGCTGGTGCCATTTCCATCTTCTCATCTGTATCTTCACATCTACTGAAAAGGCTTCTTTTATTTATTAGGTGTTCTGCACTATGAGGACTTATAATTACATTGTTAGGAAACTAAAGTTAGTCCTCGCGGGCTATGCTATAGAAGGTGGTACCAGCAGTAGTATATCGCCCTCCAGTGGACGTTATAAGTGATGGCACATTGTTGGATGATTTTACTTTAACACTTGAGAAATTCATAGGGAATGGGATGACGCTTGCTTCCTCAGAATCTCTGGGAAAGAAGCCCAGTAGTTAGGATGCTTTCCTCTATAATAAGCATTCTAGGAATTACAACCAGGAAGAATAGAATCAAGAAGAGAAAGAGGCACTGTTTTTTTCTGTGTCCTTTCCGTGAAATAGGACATCTTTCATAAAATCATTGCTCCCAAATTTTATTTCCTTGCTAAATAAAATCCTCGACTATTTGAATATTAAGAATACAACCTACATCAGTGAATTTCCAGCATCTAGTCATGTCCGATCATGCAACTTTGACTGTGATATATGAATAGGAAATTGGCATGGATTCATTTTTTTCTAACTGTTTTTTATCCCCATCCTATGAACTGAGCCCTCCAGCTGTCATAGTGTCTTTCCTCACACTGGTATGGCAGGTACTGAAGTAGGCTCCTGGATATAGAAATGAGTAAGGCATCCTTGATCTCAGTCCTTGTGGAGCTCATGGTCTGTTGAGGAAGACAACAAAACAAGAAACTACAACAAACAGTGATAGGTGCTCATAGCAGTAGGGGAATTCAAGATGTTCTGACAGTATATATCAAGATGGAGGCAAGATATAGCCTTTCAAAAGAAGAGACACGCTATCTGAGATATAGCAAATAAATAGGAGTTAGGTGAAAAGCAGAACTAGAATTTTCCAGAGAGTGGAATAATATATATGAGGTCTTAGAAGCTGGAGAGAGTGTGACATACATGAAGATCAGACTTCTATCCTGGTCCCAGTACCAGATCATAAATTACATTTGTTTAATTTCTGTTTTCTGTGAGATATTTGAAGGCAAGGACACTGCCCAATTCTTTGTGAATCCCAAGTGCCCCGTACATCATTTGACATATCATTATCCAATAAATATCTGTGTATGCATAAGCTAAGAATACTCACTGTGCACCAGTTACTGAAGTAGAGCTTCTATTGGGGTTTTACAACTTCCAGAATTATACTTATTTAGAAAGCACATAACTTAAAATATAGCTATTTCCTGCCAATGGTGGGAAATTCTGAAAAAATGTATTTACGGTTTGAGTAAAAAGAAGTGGGGGAAACAATTAGCCAGTGTTTTTGAAAATTTTGAAGCATTCATTGCACATACACATTAATATGTCCATGCATTAACCTGTTTAAAAATGAATAAATAAAATTGATTAACTCTATTGTAGTTATGTGCTTGAATGCCTATTTACGTACATGCATGTACAAATATATATCCTTGAATATGCATGGAATATGCATTGAAGTTTGTAAAGAAACACATTCTAAGTAAACATTAGCTATATATTCTCACACATATGTACTCGTAGAAATGGGCTAGCTCCTCCACCCCTTCATCCCCTCCTCAGTTTGCCCTTTCCTGTTCCCTTCAAGGCCTTATATCCCATTTTCTCTAACCATCCCTTCTGATGTCACTTGCAATGCCCACTGCTCTGGAACCACTAGTCAGTGCTGGGAGACCAGGTCATTTGGTGTGCATGGGATGCGGCAGGAGTTGAAGGTATTGGCCAGATATATACTGGTAAATACCTAGCAAGCATCTCTCCAAGTGTAGTTCTAGCATAAATTTGGGGTTTTAACTTGTTTATGTTAACAAGTAAGAGTCATATAACAAAGAACCATATCAGAACTTCATTTATTCATCAAGAACTTCACTTATTCATCAATGACTCTAGTGACTTCTTTGGCAAACTGAACAATAGTCTTTAAATACAAAAATAATAGCTCCTCAATTTTCTATGCTATTCTATTCACAATGTAGTGGCTACAGACACAAAACGCATTAAAGTTTAATCAGCATTATTAACATTTTCTACATCATTTCATTAATTCTAGTCTATCAACATAACAACAAATGAAGGCCTGATTTCTGGGTGCTGTAAATTCCCCCACCATGGTTTACTTCAAGCTACCAATGTGAAGTCACTGAATACACACCTGAGACCAGATGAGCAGCGGCATACTATTCCACAACACTTCCACGGTACAGATGAAAAACACAAATCCCTTCAAGAACACAGAGAATAGTAAAACGTAATAAGAGAAATAGGAGCCCCATTCATTTTGAGTATTTTATCTTTGTTTGTTTTTTTCTTTTTTTTTGAGACGGAGTCTCGCTCTGTCGCCTAGGCTGGAGTGCAGTGGCAGGATCTCGGCTCACTGCAAGCTCCGCCTCCTGGGTTCATGCCATTCTCCTGTCTCAGCCTCCTGAGTAGCTGGGACTACAGGCGCCTGCCACCACGGCCAGCTAATTTTTTTGTATTTTTAGTAGAGACGGGGTTTCACTGTGTTAGCCGGGATGGTCTCGATCTCCTGACCTCGTGATCCGCCCTCCTGAGCCTCCCAAAGTGCTGGGATTACAGCTGTGAGCCACCGCGCCTGGCCTCTTTGTTGTTAATATAATTTATTTTATTGTAAGTTCATATAATTTAATTTTTAATCATCAGCTCTAGTGAGTTGGTATGAGCTGCCTACAGCAGACTGCTGGCTTCTCTCCACAGATTCATGTAACCCTGAGACAAAACCGAACCAGTCCATCACAAAGATGACCCTACCTTCTACGCTCCCCCTCCAACTGACTCCCAGGACTAAAATTACAACCCAGTTTCCCTAACATTACCTTTCCTTTAAATCTCAAGTCCCTTGCCCTAAATGTAAAGTTCTTAGTTTCCAGGAATCCCTGGCTCCAATCAGTCACCATCATCTTTGGGTATGTTTTACCAGGGCAGAAACTCTAGTATGCTTGGTGAACTGTTCTTCTCTGTGGTCTCAATTAACCCTTTTCTCTGCAGGAGCAGTTCTTTGACTTCATGGCAAAAGAATGTTAAAGGAGCCCTTGGTAATATTCTATTGCTTGGATTTGAATGAGGGAGGAATGGAGAGGAAAGAGAAAGAAGGAGGGAGGGTGGGAGAGGGAGAGAGAGAGAAGGAAGTAGGGAGAAAAGAAAGGAGGGAAGGAGAGAGAGAGAGAGAGAGAAAGGCTGGAAGTAGGCTGGATGTTACTATTCCTGACACCTGTAATCTTAGTATTTCTGGGCTTGAAATTCTTTTTTATGCAAATCCTTCTTTCTTTCTGAGTGAGAACTGTGCTTTTTAATAAAAATTCTGCAACTGTAAGGATTACATTAGATAGTACATGTGAAACGTTTAGAAAAGTAGCCCCAGGTATGTCTTAAGTACTGGAATCAGAGTGCCTAGGTCTGAATCATAACCTGTTCCTTTACTGGCTAGGTATTTCTAGGCAAGTTCATTAGCCTCTGAGTCTCAGGTTTCTTTATACGTAAATGGGGTATAAAACAGTATCTACCTTATATTGTTGCTGTATGCATTAAAATGGATGTTGAAACATAGTCATCTCTCATCTCAGGATATCTTGAATTCCCCTACTGCTATGAGCACCTATCACCTGTCATCCTAAAACTGATTATTTCTGACTCTAGTGGCTAGCACCTTACCAATCTACTGTGTTGCTAGACTGCATGTTTCCTGGTGCTAGCTAGACCATCACATTGTTAGATCAATATTTAATCTACTCTAAGGATTTCTGTTTGTCCTGTTTGTATGGATCAGGTTGTATTTAATTATTTTCCACTCCCATTTTCTGACCATAAAACTATAGATGAGTAATAATGCCTAATCTATACCAATAGCTCTGTGCTAATCTTTGATGTTCACATAATGTACCAGACTAATAATACTCTGATTCTACTGTGTACAGGAGTCATTTCTCATCTTCCTGGTAACCCTGAAAGGTGGATTTTATTATCTCTAACTTACACAAAGGCAAATAAGCTCAGAGGAGTGCAAGATCATGTCCAGAGTCACAAAACCAGTAAGTGATGATCAAGGGTATTTATGAATCTAGATTCCATTCCCTGCACTGTAGCTCAAACTGTCTTGAGTTCTACCAGTGTAAAAGGTCAAATCGCATTGTCTTCCCAACAAGGCTATATGATCATTGAAGGCAGAGAATGATTTAGCATTCCCTTGTACCTCTGGTACCCAATTTAATGTTAACCCCATAATAAGTATGCATAAAATACCTGGTGACTAGTTCATGAGGACTCAGTTTGTATTTAAAATTCAACATAATTTGACAAGGCTGAATCTGTAATGATATCACAGCTAGAGAAAGAATGTATTACTCAGACGTTCTCTCCATCAAAGTGTTTTTCTGCTCCCAGAAGCTGTGTGAGTTGGTGAAAGAGACTTGAAGCAATAGCTATTTAATCAGATATTTGTTCCCAAAATTCAAGAATCTTTATACTGTTTTACTTATATAATCGTATATTTAATTCAAAAATATCACTTGCTATTAATTACTTCCATAAGATAAATAAGAGGATATTATGTTGTTTGCTTTCATGTATTAAATTCATCTGCAATTTGCTAAACTCCTATCTCACAATAATTAATCCTCAAATACTGTTTAGTGAGCCTTGTTGCGCATTTGTTTGTTTGTTTTCTTTCTCTTTGAACTAGAATACCAGCTTTCATAGAGCAGGGACATTTACTCAAGGAACAGTCTCAGTTTTCTTCACTGCTAAATTCCCAGCACCTGGAGGGATAGCTAATCATATTAAGTGAATAATAACTACTTATTGCATGAGTAATCTAATCTATGAACCAGCCTTGGACACAAAGTCCATCCTAAACAGGGCTCCTTTCTGAATTCTGAGTACCATGGAAAGTGGCCAAGGTAAGCTTCAGGGAGTCCCAGAGTCTAGTAAAGCCAATACAACTAAGACTGCAGGCTTCTGGATTCAAGCAGATCTAGAGGCTTCTGTCTCTCTCACTTGCAAGTTGTGTAACATCAGCATTGCTTTAGAACCACTCTTAGCCTGCCACCTCCTCTGTATGGTTCTTATATAAAACTCACAAATGCTCTCATTCATTTACTTAAGAACCATTTATTGAATGTCCTCTATGTGCCTGGCACTGTCATGGGTGCTGGGAATAAAAAGAGGAATAAACAAGAATAAATACATTTCGTGGCCTCTGGAAGCTCACAGTTCAGTTAATAAGACATACACGTTACCACTGTTTACAGCACAATGGGATTAGGGCTAAAATCGACATATTATGGCTTGCTACTGGCAGATATAGTAAGGAAAGCTTTTGTTGTTCACATTCCAGTCTTTCTGCCAATAAAGCCTTATACCTTTAAAAGGCCTGAGACCTGCCTCTTGAATTGTCTGTGTATAAAATTTAATATGGCAGAGAGAACGAGAAATTATTTCTGGTTCAGCTGTATCCAAGTGTGGCTCAAAAATGCAAATGGAAACAGACACGGCAAAAGTCACAATGGAGCAAAATATATCTTCCTCTGTGGAGATTCTCATCAACGTTGGCATATGAGTAGTATTCATAGACCTCTAGGATGCAAGAAAGGATCTTCAAAATAAGCACCATCGCTTTGGAGCAGAAGCAGCTGAGGCCTGATTCAGCTCTGCACAAGAAAAATGTGCTGAGACTGCTCTGGTTGGATGTGGTTATGGAGTTTTTAAGGCACAGAGATGACTCAGATGGCATCCCTGTCCTCTGGGAGTTCACACTCTTAACAGTCAGAAACATAAACAGATAATCTCAAGGAGTGCATATTTTTCTTTCCCAGCCTACCCTGAGAGATTTTTATCAATTCCTACCTTCTCTGCTTTCTACAGATGAGCAAACAGGGTAGTTTCAGTAACTACCCTGTTCAGTAACTTGGGTAGTAGGTAATGGAGCAGGGGTTTGCATCCATATTTGTCTGTCTCCAAAGCCAGACCTCTGTCCACTCACTATGACAACAGTTCATGTATACTGTACTTGCTGAAATATACCTGCCCTTCCTGATGAGACACGTGTGATGTTTCCAATAGAGTTCATGCCTAAAAAATCTCAGCACTCAGCAGAAAAGAGCATCGCTGTAAAGTGCTAGGAAAGAGCTCAAAATTGCTGCTCTGAAGCCAACAGGCTGGGATCAACTATTTCACTTTATGGTGAGTCTGAAAGGAGAAGGAAGCATGATGGAAAGTGAAAGCAGAGCCAGGGGAAGTGCACCTTTAAGTTCCAAATGAAAACAGATGGCCTTGTTGTAGGCGTGAACTTGGAATAAACTGCACAGAGCATTGGAATCAGGCTGATCCAGTGATGAAAACTGACCACACTGCTATTTAGCTCTGTGTCCCTGACCAAGTTAAACTTTTGTACAGCTTGATCACACCCACACACCCTCAGCCTGGTTTTTAGAGGCCTTCCTCTGTGTTTCCAGTGACTCATCTTCTCAGCCCTGTCAGTATTTTCATCAAAATGTTTGGCAATTACATTTCTGTATAACTGTCTGCCCACTAGACTAAAAGCACTTTGTAGCCTTGGCTTGGTTCTTCTCCATGTCCAAAAAGCCCAGTCATGTTCTGTAAATGTTTATTGTGTGACCCACCCCTCAGTAAAGGATAGCTAGTGTTCTACCACCGCATTCAAACTTCATTTCAAGGGGGATTTGGGCTTTTCATCCACACCCTGGGTTTAGAACCCTCCAGACCTTCCACACCTAACGTATTTGCCTCTTGATGAATCTTGGTCAACTCATTATTATCGTATTCACTGATCTGGCCTTAGGGTGGCCATTGATGATTTACTAAAACTTTCTCAAATACAAACTGTGATACACAATGAGTCTTTAATAAATACTTATTGGAAGAAAAAAACTTGTTGAGTTAATACAAGCCTGCTAATTGTATTATTTTATGTCAGAGTTTAAATTCATAGACATCATTCTGACAGAATTAAATATGTGAATCCAATGACTGGTGAAACTGTCAACATAAGTGAACATTTTCACACTCACAAGGAGATGACTTTCCTGGTTTTCCTCATACTCCTGTGGTAACTCCTTTTTAATCTATTTGAATTTTCTTCTTCCTGGTAGTTGTCTTTTTGATGTGCCAGGCAAAGGCTTTTAATTCATCACTTACAGTCCCATTTTTATGTTCTGTGTATGCATTGGCCTTTACCCACTAGACCTCAGGAAATCTAGACTGAAATACAATAAGCATTATCGAGTATTTATTGAATTGATATTTTACTGTGCTACTCATAGCAACAGAAAACTATCTTCCAATCTGGGATTAGTACAATAGGTACCATAATTTGGCTATTGTGTATTAGATGTCAAGTAAAGTTTTCCATTGCATATGAGGTATTGAGGGAGCAGGGAATTCTGATTCATGTTCTCAGTGTCATCCCTCATCATAGCTAGCACAGTGCACACCACAGGACATAACTCAGGTTAACATTTCTCAGAACTCAGTCATGCATTCACCACTTTTAAGATTTTTTACTAGTATAGATACCATTGTGCTGATTTTTTTCTAATATTTTCAGTGAAACAGAATTACTTAAAATTGAAAGTAACTTAAAGTAACATATGTAACTATAAAAGTGGACAATCAGGGTAGGAAAGATAACTTCAAAAAGAAATACAATAAAATGTTTAAAAGGTTTTTTTTTTAATTTTTTATTGAAAAATTTCCTTAAATTACTTAAATCAATTTATTTCAATTAAATATTTTATTCTTCACCCTTTTTATTAAAATGAAATAAAAATGAAATAAATAATAGATTTCTATACTACTAAACACTTCATATGTATTATCTCATCCAATCCTCATAAAGCAACTCAGAATGCATAATACCATTTCCATTTTTCAAGATGAGAAAACTGAGACCAGAGAAGTTAGAAAAGATGCCCAAATCTGCTATGCCACAGATTTAGGATGGACACCCACAGTCATATGATGCCAAAGCCCACAGACTGCTGAGTAAGCAGTGTAGGCCGTTGTCAGCTTAATTATCCACCAACATTCTCTCCGACACACTTTATGGAATTTATGATCTCAACACTATCAGCCAACTTCTCATCCCTGAGACCTCTCCCTAGATCCTGTGGCAAAATGCTCAGGACACCCAATGAGATGAGGTATGGTGTTTTTTTCTTCCTGAAATGCAGTTATAATTTCTGTCTTTTAGGGGTGGGGAAATTTGTTTGTATGCTTTCTGAGAGAGAAAAAATTCATCGTTTACAATATCTTGCTGTCAGCCAAAGATTGTGTTCTGAGGAGGGTCCTTTATTGCAGAAATGGTTCCTGGTTGAAAGAATGCAAATCACAACCTTAGATTCTGCTTCTGTAAAAACAGATGACAGAAGGGGAGGACAGAAGGATGGCTTCTATTCTTGGGGAAACAAGAAGTCTGATAATGGATGAAAGATTTAAACAGTGAGAAAAAACTGCGCAATTGCCAACAGGGTAGGAAATCTGAGGGAAAGATCAGAGATCTTGAAAGGAAATGTTATGGTGATTTTCCATGGAGTGTGTAATATCAATGCTCTTCCCCAATCACCACACAAAGATCTTGATGTGGCTGTGATATACTACATGTTTACTGAAAAGTAAAACACATATACAACTATTAAAATTTTAATGTCCAAGTAGCACTAAAATTATTATGAACATCACCAGTTTTCTGTGTTCCACACTTTTGGAAGCTCTTACTTTCAGAAAAGAGAAAAGGCTTTGAAGTTAGACCTGGACTGGACAATTTCATTTCAAGGAGGGCAGAACAGGTAAGCAAACAGTTAACAATCTTGTTTATAATTACACATGTTACATTTCACAGCCTGAGATAATACCTTAGTTTTCGATTATGGCATCCTTTCCACAGTGCTGCAGAGCAGGACATGGCATTCCTGATAAGATAGCCATCTTCCTGGGAAAACCATTTTCTCCCGGACAATCTAAAAATTCAGCAGGACCCAGCACCCTTATAATGTGACAGGAGCCTCTAAGTCAGCACTAAAAGGAGTTTTCCTGAAGCCAAGACGCATGCAGTACACCTTCCTAACTTTTTAATGAGTGTAGAAAGACCAGACAGCTCAGAAAATGACAGTGACATCAGAAGCATCTTCTCTGGAAGTTCGGTGCCTCATCCAATGTGAAAGGCTTGGAAACTGTACCTGCCCCTTCTCTCACTGCTCTCTATGGCAGGTTGAATCCTCAGAGGGAGAGTAGCTCTCCACAGTATGAGTGACATTACTGGCAAAGAGAGAGATCAGCATACTGGAAGCAGCACAGGGCTTTGAGGCAGTCAGATTTGGGGCTGAAAAACTCCAGCGCTAACTAGCTGTGTTTTCTTGAGCAAGTTGCTTAACATCCACTTATTCCTTAAAGGAATGTGTATTGAGTGCTTGCCATATACCAGGTACTATTCTCTCTGTTAATTTCTCATCAGACAAATGGAGATAATAATAGTACCTACCTACTAAAGAAGCCCCCTACTGAGACCACATGGATTAAAGGGGCCCACCTCTGTTTTCCCAACATCCCCTGCTCTTGTAGCTTTCCTGCTTCCCACACATCAGTACTGTAATTATCTGTGTCCATTAGACTGTGGGTTCTTTGAGCCTGGGACCAAACTTGAATCATCATGTGTACTCACAGTACCTGGAAACTAGTGCCCTGAAGGTCTTCAGTAAACATTTATTCTGTGAAGAATATGGAACATTCTACACAGAGTTTACAATAAAGTTTAGATGTTATTGTACTGATTATATGTTAGTTGGTAATAATATCTTTTAAACAAGTGACTACAGGACATCTTTCAACTCCAATTTTCTTCACTAAGAGAAGGGTCTATGTCTTTCAACCCCATACTTCTCATAATTTCCAGAGCCAGTATATTCTTGAATTCTTGATTTCTTAATGTATCTGAGTGTATCTGTTAGTGTGATTTTCCTCCTGACGAGATTGAACTGAATAATTCACTGATTGCTTCCCACATGCAGGGTAATGGATGTATATAGGCATGCTAATTAGAATATTTTATTTTATAAGTAAAAGGTATAAGCATCATTCAGGCTTACATAGATATATTTGATGGTGTGAACCCAGGTATCAGTGGAATTGTCAAGTACAGGTAAGCACTCTTGTATTCACAAGAGATAGTTCTGATAGTTTTCCTCCAACTTCTGTAGCCACATCTTCTCTGTCTATTTCGCTTCTCTCCTGTTTCTCTATGTCCCTTCTTTGTGCTCCCCTGTTTCTGTAGATAGGACAAAGGCCATATTTCCTTGGTATTTACAGATCCGGCATACAGGTCACTGGTTGAAACCTAATAGGCATACTGACTATTTGTTGAATTAATTAATTAACCTTAGTAGTGACACTGATAGGAAAACAAGCTCCCTAACCCAATCTGGAATGAGAAAAACAAGTGCCACCACTATTAGTACCAATGTGTAGCTTTGTGTATCAGGTACCAGATTAACTCTTGTGGTGAGTTATGAGGTACTGAGGAAGAAGAACTTTGACTCCTTTTACTGAGACATTGCATATGGTATCTGTCACAGTGAATCAAAGTTGCTTTTCCCAGATCTTGGTCATTCACGTACCATCTTTAGGATTTTTAACATATCCAAATACCACCTGAATAATCATTCGATTAATATTTCCATTGAAACCATATAAACTTTAAATTTAAATACAGTTTAAAAGAAGCCCCACATCATGATCAAGAATGGAAAACTAATGTTTCATATCATAGATTATAACTAAAAATAAATACAATGAAAAACAAATAGTTGTAAAATTCTTTAAAAACTACAAAATAGCAGAGGTGCTATAGCTGATTACCACTATATGATAAAACTAATATATGTCTCCTTTTGAGAAATGAGAAAGAAATTGTTTTCTTTTCCTGCTGTATTCTAAGGAGGATCCCTATATTTTAGTGCTGGCTTTTGGTATTACAGCGCTCACAGAAAGGGTTCAGAGAGAGCAAAATTTCCATGTCTGAGGAAATGGATGGGGGAGGGGCTGTAGAGGCAATATGAAGTATTAGTAATTAACCAAAAATAAACAGAAACTCCTCTGTTCTGCCTAAAAATAGTGCAATTGCAGATTTCCAAACTCACCCTCCGGGAGCAATGAAATCCTGCATTTTCTCTGAAGGACAAGAGTTCATAAGTGGACATAAATAAACTATTGCTGCTACAGCTTGGGTTCAATCAATCCAATTGCAACGAGGCCCTAAGGTTTAACACTACTCTTACTGCTCTGCCTGGACAGGAATCTTGGGCACCCAAGCATACCTGCCATGCTTCAAGAAGAGCTATTCACATCAGTATGCCGGTAGCCACTGGGGTTTCAGTCCAGTATAGATCATGCGGGAAGGATCATTGTCCTTTCTATCTTATCCCTTTTGACCACACAACTAAGTCCTGGACCTATTTTATATTGATATACTTTGTGCTATGAGGACTTAAAATAGGTTGTAAAGGATTCACTTCTATTCCCACTGGACAACAGCTGATGATATCAGCAGTGAAGTTGTGACCTCCAGTGGGTATTGGAGGCAACTGTACCATTCTGGGTAGGTTATTTGGGAAGCCCGCGTCTTGGCTGACTTCTCTTCAGGGTGTCTGGGTTTCTTGAAGTCAGAAGATTTCTGTCTCTAGGAATTCCAGGAAATGAGCCCTCTGACATCAAAAAACACTTCGGTTAGAATGCTTTCTCTGCAATAAGACTTCCAGGCATCAATTCTAGGCACAACTGCTTCCAGTATAAAAAGAAGACTGCCTGAAACAAAGAAGAAATAAACTTTCATAATTCCTTTGCTCATCTCCCAAAACAAGTCTACCTCTCATCAAGTTCTGGGAAAAGTCCTGGATGGTGCATTCTATAGAGGATATAATAACTCTGTGGTGTGTCAACTTGGGTAGGCAAAATTACATTCCCCAGAATTAACTTTCTATTATGTTTCTTGATAAGTGGGCTACTAGAGATAATCTCTTGTGTGAATTAGAAGATGGAAGGGAAGTAGCAGCCATTCTATGGCATACACACTACTCCCAGTTATTTAAACACAAATATAGCTTCTGCTGCAAAGGGATTTTCCAGATGTACTAGAATACCCTAATCAGTTGACTTTGAGTTAGAGGAATTGTCCTGGGTGGGCCTGACTTAATCGGTTAGAAGGCCCTAAAAAGGGGCTTAGGCCTTCCTTGGGAAAAGAGACGCTTGTACTTGTAGAAACCGCTTCATCCCATACCTGAGGAGACTCTAGCCTACTCGTGATCTTTACTTCCTGACTGACTATTCTATGGACTTTGGACTTATATAGCCAGCCCCCACAATTATGTAAGCCAGTCACTTGAATGTGTATGTGTGTGTATATGTATATCTCCTGCTGGTTTTGTTTATTTGATTAAACCTTGAGTAATAGAAAAACCAATGTGTTTTCTTAATTAGAAAAAGAAAAGAAAAGAAAAAGGTCGTTTTCACCTGTATGTCTTTTTTTTTTTTTTTTTTTGAGATGGAGTCTTGCTCTGTTGCCTAGGCTGGAGTGCAGTGGCACGATCTTGGCTCACTGCAACCTCCACCTCCTGGGTTCAAGCAATTCTCCTGCCTCAGCCTCCCGAGTAGCTGGGATTACAGGCGCCTGCCACCATGCCCAGCTAATTTTTGTATTTTTAGTAGAGACGGGTTTCACCATCTTGGCCAGGCTGGTCTCGAACTACTGACCTCGTGATCTACCCGCCTCAGCCTCCCAAAGTGCTGGTATTACAGGTGTGAGCCACTGCTCCCAGCCCTGTATGTCTCTTTTTAAGAGTAAGGAAACCATTTCCAGAAGTCTCCTGCCCTCAAATTCTATTTCTAATTACATTTTTTAAGCCTGAGTAACATCTTGGTCCACTTCAGATATTAGTAATAAACTTTTACCATTTTCCATCCACCAAAAAGTCAACTCCTTTATTTATGCCTTTCAAACAGCTCTAACATATGTTGGATGATGAGGAAATGATGGGAACAAAGTTTTTGTATTGGTCTTTGTGACCCAAATGAGATAGATTTTCCCAAACCTGCTGGCTGGGTATCATGTTAGATTCTAAGATGCAAAAATGAACAAGCTTCATGCTGGGTTTGTGCTGTTTGCTAAGAGACAGAAAAGAAAAAAGAAGCTACAGCAAAGGGTATATGTGCTTTCTGAGATACAAGAAATACAGAGTGCTTTGAGACAGCACAGGATGGAAATCCCTGCTAGTTTACGCTGGCCTCTTGGAGGAAGAGATTTATCAGCTGAGACTTGAAGGAACAGTAAAAAGACAGCCAGGTGTAAAGGGAAGGGCAAGTTTTCCAGTTAGTTGGAACAGTAAAAAGACAGCCAGGTGTAAAGGGAAGGGCAAGTTTTCCAGTTAGTTGGAACAGTATATCTGAGGACCTGAACAAGTCAGAGAGAGCTTGGTTCACACGAAGAACAGATTTCTCTCCTAGCCGTGGCAATAATATATTGAGCTTATTTGCTAATACAGCATCCCTGCCTCTCCATATATACACTATATCATGAGAAACTTGTTTTATTCATTTGAATGTTGAATTTCCTAATCTAGGAATGGGAACTAGGGAGCTAGGGATGCAGGATCCTGGGACAGGATGGGGACTTTTTAATCTATACCTTTTGTTATTTGCTGATTTTAAAAAATTCTGTGAAAGTATTACATAATTAAAAATTAAATATGTAATGAACCAAATGGTAGCAAATCCCAAACATTACAAAATGCACATAAAATAGGGAAACATATCATCTGTAATGCCATCATTCAGAGATGTTCAGTCAACAATTTTTGTGTGTTTATATCTCTCTAAACTTCTAACTATGCATTTGCATGTGTACACACACATCTCTGTTTCAAAAGCTGCTTTTCTCATTTGACCTTAGAAGATGAATATAATTTTAATGTCAATATATGATTGCATCACCATTTCTAATATCTCCATGATACTCAATTTCATGGATATAGAATAATTCTTTTAACCATTGCCCACTTTGATAAATACTTAGGTTTTTTTCTGGTTGTCTATGGTTACAGTGCTAATTCAAAAGAGCAAGGTACAGAGTAGTTTGTACAGTGTGCTACCATTTAGGTAAAAATGGATTGGGAACCTATTGATCAATATACATATTCACTTGGAAAGTTACTGAATTCTTTACCAAGTGAATGTTAGAAACTATTTTTAGAATTTCACAAAAATTCAAATGAACATTTATTCCCACAAGAGTGTGCTATACTAGAAATAACCTATAAAACCCTTTTCACAGAGAAGACAATCCTCTTCAACCCCTCCACTCTTCTCCACCTCCAGTCCTTGACCACCAACCAGATAACTTTTTAAAAAAAACAGATTCTCCAACCTGTCCCTTTGCCATCCTCTGCCCTGTAACCTTCTGTACTTTTTTTTTTTCATGAATCACCTATCATTACCAATCATCACTCTAAGGGGGACAGCCCTCATCCGTGCACACACTATTCAGTGCCCAGGGCCTGAGTATTTTGAGGAACCCAAGAAGCAGTGTTGTATTTTGCATGTAGTAGAAATAATTAGGCCATTACACCCAGCATACAGGGAAACCCACCTTCTTTTCACGTCCTGCACCCCTACTTGCCTTACGAATAAATTTGGGACCCAATTTTCCTAATAGTCCCCTTATCAGTAACCTGACAACCATGACATTTTGTTTCCAGAAAAACAAACCTCCATTTTCTGGAGAATCACCTCCATTTTCCAGAAAGCCTCCTAGACTGCAGCCACTCTAGCATGCCAAGAAGACTCTTTTTTTGTGGTTTTAACCCCATCTATCCTAGGGTGGCCATTTATTTTAAGGTTGTGGCCAAAGAATGTCAAAGGAGCAGTTGGATTTAGGAGTGCGTGATATTCCATAGCAAGGATTTGATGGACTGGAGAGGGAAAAGGGAAGGAGAGAGAAGGGGAAGAAGGAAAGAGAATGGTTTAATAGCAGAAAGTGTTGTGTAAGGTTTTCTGGGGCCTGTTTTTAAAATCCTATCTGTATTTCCATATAAAAAGGACTTTCCGTCTTTTTTTTTTTCTTTTCACAAATGGAGAGGCAATAGTGTACTGTACTGGGTTAAAATAATGGGTACTAGGGCCATACCTATGCCTGGATTCAAATCTCAGCACCACCATTTACTAGCTGTTTAAGTTGACCGAGGTCCCTTGGTTTCCTCAAGCGTGATATTTAGAAAATAATAGTACCTGCATTATAAGTGTTGAAACGAACTAAATATGGCCTGAGAAGGACTCCATACTTCTAAATTTGAGTCCTTGTGGACAAACTGTAACCTAACTTAATAGGTAGACAAGATTGAAAACCTAAGTTAGGAGTATGCCCTGTAACAATAGCTGAGTCTTGGCAAATCCCAGCAGCCATACTTCAACTGCTTATAGACTGCTAAGTGTTCAAATTGTGTTCAATTAAGGCAAACGCGGAGCTGTAACCAATCCAGTTGTTTCTGTACTTCACTTCCGATTTCTGTATGACACTTCCCTTTTTTTTGCTATAAATCTTCTTCCACCATGTGGCTGCGCTGGAGTCTCTCTGAATCTGCTGTGATTCTGGGGACTGCCTGATTTGCGAATCATTCATTGCTCAATTAAACTCCTTTAAATTGAATTCAGCTGAAGTCTTTCTTTTAACATAAGGTTGCTGTGAGAGGCTGGGCACGGTGGCTGACGCCTGTAATACCAGCACTTTGGGAGGCCGAGGCGGGCGGATCACTTGAGGTCAGGTGTTAGAGACCAGCCTGGCCAACATGGCGAAACCCCGTCTCCACTAAAAATACAAAAATTAGCCAGGCGTGGTGGTGCATGCCTGTAATCCCAGCTACTTGGAGGCTAAGGCGGGAGAATCGCTTGAACCCGGGAGGCAGAGGTTGCAGTGAGCCGAGATCAGGCCGTTGCACTCCAGCCTGGGCGAGAGTGAGACTCCGTCCCAGAAAAAAAAAAAAAAGATTGCTGTCAGAATTAAGTCAGTGCATAACACTTAAAATAGTGCTGGCATATCTTAAGTATTCAATAAGTGTTTGTGTCAATATTTCTGTGTAAATCAATTCAGAGTCAATTGGTTTAAAATCAGTGTTCAAAGGTTTCAGACATCCCTGTTTGCTTGGCACAGTGCCTTCCGGATTGGAAACAACTATTTCCAGCGTTGAATTTTTATGAGACCCTCTTACTGTACCTTGAAGTTTTATGAGACCCTCTTACTGTACCATGTGTATGTCTGTGTGCATACCTATGTGTGTCCACCTAGTCTGCCTAAAATGAATGCACACGGTTAAATTAAAAAAAAATATTTCTGGGTTTCTGGCCTGGATCTGTCTGGTAGTTACACATTTTTTCAATAACATTTCCACACTCCAGTCTAATACTTGGAAAAGTAGTGAACCTTGGATTCCAAGTTCAGTGAAGTGGGGGTAGGTACTGGGAAACAGGACAGCATTTTTTTTTTTTTTTGAGATGGAGTCTTGCTCTGTCACCCAGGCTGGAGTGCAGTGGCACAATCTTGGCTCACTGCAGCCTCTGCCTCTCGAGTTCAAGTGATTCTCCTGTCTCAGCCTCCCGAGTAGCTGGGATTACAGGTGCCTACAACCACTCCCGGCCAATTTTTGTAGTTTTAGTAGGGACAACGTTTCCCAATGTTGGCCAGGCTGGTCTTGAACTGACTTCAGGTGATTCACCCATCTTGGCCTCCCAAAGTGCTGGGATTACAGGCATGAGCCACCGCCCCCAGCCAACATTGTTCTTTAAAAGTACATTTTATGCCTAACTACTGATTTCGGTTTGCATTTTTCCCTTTGGATACAAGAGATTATTTTGTTTAGAAAGCAAGCTTTCATGACTTTGTTCCAGTAAAAGAGAAACAGATAAAGATTTTAAATGCAATGTATCAAAAAGTAGTGGTCATCAGCATTATTCTCAAGGAAGCTATTGTGAAGAATGGAGGGTGAGGAGATGTCACAATGCTTAAAATTGTTTTAAAATTCTAGCTCAAGGACTTAGATACTGGGAAAGAAGTCATGTTACCCCCAAGAGAATCACAGGAAGGAGGAGGAGCTATCTGCTATAGACTTGTATAAGGAGATTATTTTTCAAATTAGCTTTTTATATTGAGAAAGTTAAATATGTATTTTTTAAAATTATTTAAAAGTGAGAAAATATTTCATTATGCTGCTAAGCACCATTTTTTGTCATGTAGTTAATTTCAGTGCAGTGGACCATTTTCCATTCCACTTTATGTATATAAAGATTCAGGTTTGAGTGACGACAATAATTTAATCATGTTAGAGTTGCTGATATATATTAATAGATATATTTATTCCTGAGATAATCATCTACCTCCAATACAATTTTTGCTGAAAAATACAAGCACCTCACAGGGCATAGCATCTCTGCAAAGTATTCTTCATTAAAGCTAAGAAGATCTCTGAAACCAACAAAATTGGGTTTTATCTTTCCAAATTTCCGTTGGTAAGGATGGAGTATGCAGCCTGATCAATAAATGAGAGACACTATAAGAGAGAATTGAGTACCTGACAGAGTTAAAACACTTGGGAAGCAGAGCTGTTCCATGTGTCCTACTCATCGAATGGGGTATATCCCTCAGAAAGAGAGCTCCTCAGAAACAGCTGTTACCTGGGAAAGAGGAGGTGGATGTTTTACCTGAAAGTTCTGTGCCATTCACAGCTAGAGAGAACTTAGAACCACAGAGTTCACCTCTAGTGTCATGAGTGATTAAAAATCCAAAAGAAATCTTATCTTTCTGGACAGAGGATTGGTAAAAGGGGCTCCTGGAAACCAGAGAATATGAAGATGAATTTTTTTTTTTTGAGACGGAGTCTTGCTCTGTCACCCAGGCTTGAGTGCAGTAGTGTAATCTCAGCTCACTGCAACCTCCGCCTCCTGGGTTCAAGCGATTCTCCTGCCTCAGCTTCCTGAGTAGCTGGGATTACAGGCGTGCACCACCATGCCTGGCTAATTTTTGTATTTTTAGTAGAGACGGGGTATCACCATGTTGGTCAGTCTGGTCTCGAACTCCTGACCTCATGATCCACCCACCTCAGCCTCCCAACGTACTGGGATTACAGGCGTGAGCCACCACGCCTGGCCGGAGAGGGAGAATCTTAAAGAGGAAAGAGCTTGAGAGGGGAATCTCCTAATGCTGTGAAGGAATATGCATAAATTTCAGGCTTTCTGTTAAGTCGTGCATTCACAGAATTTACCCAAAGCAGCATAGTAAAGTATTTTGAAGTTTCTATTTCATAAAGCGCCACTCAAGTCTCAAACTAAATACTGAGAGGTGTGTCTATGGGACAGCCAAAGCAGAATAGCAATTTCTTTGCAAACTGAACTGAAAATGGAATAATAATTCAAAGAAAGCGAGACAGAACATTTAGTCTGAATCTAGCCATGTTGGTCTAGCTAAGTCCAACCCAAAAAAATTCAGCACTCTCCAGAGGATATTAATAGGACTCAGATTCTAACAAGATATTATGCAAAATGCCAAGAATATAACCTAAACTTATACTAAATATCAAGAATATACTAAATATCAAGAAAAATTTGAAAAACCAATATAAAAAAAGACAACATATGCCAACCCTAAGATGACCCAGATTTGTCATCTGGGAAGTGCCAAATATTTTTTAAAAGCTGTAAAATCATTATGGCCATGTTCCATGGGGTGAAGGTATAGTAAGGATAAATGCTGCTGACATGAAATATAGAAATTCTGAGCAGAGAAATATAATTTTTAACAAAGCCAAATAGAAATTTTATAAATGAAACACACAGCATGTGAAATTTTAAAATTCACTGGATGAGCTCAATGGAAGAATGGGCAATGATAAATATAGGGTCAGTGACTTAAAATTAGATAAATAGAAATTATGCAATCTCATGAACACAGAGTAAAAATATTGATATAAAATAAGCAGCAACTCAGAAATTGTCATATTCATTGCACTCCCAAAAGGAGAGAAAAAAGATATTGGTGTAGAAAATATATTTGAAGAAATAATTGCTGAAACTTCTTGAATTAGGGGAAAGACAAAATTACAGATTCAAGAGGCTCATCTAATCTCAAAAATTATAAACTCAAAGCAAATTGTGCCCAGAAAAATCATAATCAAACTTCTAAAAACCAAAGATAGAGTAAAACCTTGAAAATGGCCAGTAAAAAGTAATACAATGCATACAAAGGGAAAACGATTCAAATAGCTGTGTGCTACACTTTAGAAACCATGTAGGCCAGAAGGTGGTGGAGCAGCATTTTTAAAGTGCTGAAAGAAAATAACTGTCAATGTGAAAAACAAGCAATGGGGAAAGGATTCTCTGTTTAATAAATAGTCCTGAGAGAACTGGCTAACCATATGCAGAAAGTTGAAACTGAACCCCTTCCTTACACCTTATACAAAAATCAAGATGGATGAAAGACTTAAATGTGAAACCCAAAGCTATAAAAACCCTAGAAGAAAACCTAGACAACATCATTCAGGACATAGGCAAAGGCAAAGATTTCTTGACGAAAATGCCCAAAGTAATTGCAACAAAAGCAAAAATTGACAAATGGGATCTAATTTAACTAGAGTTTCTGCACAGCAAAAGAATCTATCAACAGCATGAACAGACAACCTACAGAAAGGGAGAAAATTTTTGCAAACTATACATCTGACACAGGTCTAATATTCAGAGACTGCAAGGAATTTCAACAAATTTACAAAAAGAAAAACCAAACAATTCCATTAAAAAGTGGGCAAAAGACATGAAAAGACACTTCTCAAAAGAAGACATTCATGCGGCCAACAAACATAAGAAAAAAAGCTCAACATCACTGATCACTAGAGAAATGCAAATCAAAATCGCAATGAGATACCATCTTACGTCAGTCAGAATGGTGATTATTAAAAAGTCAACAAACAACAGATGCTGGTGAGGTTGCAGAGAAAAAGGAACCCTTTCACACTGTTATTGGGAGTGTAAATTAGTTCAACCATTGTAGTGTGGTAATTCCTCACACTACAGTGTGATAATTCCTCAAAGTGTGGTAATTCCTCAAAGATCTAGAAGCAGAAGTCCATTTGACCAGCAATCCCTATGGTATATACCCAAAGGTATATAAATCATTCTATGATAAAGATTCATGTACGTGTATGTTCATCGCAGCACTATTCACAATAGCAAAACATGGAATCAACCCAAATGTCCATCAATGATCGACTGGATAAAGAAAATGTGGTACATAGACACCATGGAATACCATGTAGCCATAAAATGAACTGTATCATGTCCTTTGCAGGGACATAGATGGAGCTGGAAGCCGTTATCCTCAGCAAACTAACATAAGAACAGAAAACCAAACACCGCATGTTCTCATCTATAAGTGAGAGCTGAATGATGAGGACACATGGACACACGGAGGAGAACAACACACACTGGGGCCAGTCGGGGCTTGGGGGGAGGGACAGCATCAGGAAGAATAGCTAATGGATGCTGGGCTTAATACCTAGGTGATGGCTTGATAGGTGCAGCAAACCATCATAGCACTTGTTTACCTATGTAACAAACCTGCACATCCTGCACATGTACCCTGGAACTCAGAATAAAAGTTGAAGAAAAAATTGAAGAAAAGTTGAAGAAAAAGATAATAACTGTCAATCTGGAATTCTACGTGCAGCAATATGTATATATGCTTAAGTAATGACAACGAAACAGTAACATTCTCAGATGAAAGGAACACTAATAGAGTTTGTTGCTGAAAACTCTAGGCTAAAGTAAATGTTAAAGGAAGATTTTTAGACTGAAGGAGCATGGTAAGAGAGGGAAACTGAACTTCAGCATAAAGAAAAATAAAAAGAAATGGTAAATGTCTGGATAAATAGACTATTTATTTCTCTTAAGTTTAAAAATATGTTTGACTGTAGAAAGTAAAACTTATAACATTGACTGATGGGATTATTAAAGTATGTAGATATAATGCATATGACAACTACACTATAAAAGGGATGATTTTACTTATAGCATTAACTAAAGTAGATTCTGAAAAGTAAAGTATATATATATAAAACCCCTAGAATAACCACTTAAAATGTAATACAGAGAGATAATTACAAAGCAAAGAGATAAATAGAATAACATATTAAAATATTCAAATAATCTAAAATAAGAAAGAAAAAGTTGAACAGAAAAACAAATAAATGGAGGGGGAAAACAGCAACAAGAAGCATACAATAAAGCAGTGGAGCCAAATCCAACATATCAGTAACTATAATAAATGTAAGTGGTCAAAGTACACCAATTAAAAAATAGTTTAGGTAAAGAAAAGAACACTCAACTGTACTCTATTTACAAGAAATCCTCTTTAAATATCATGGTGCAGATAGGTTAAAAATAAAGGATAAAGAACATATACTATGCAAAATCTAATCAAAAGAAAGAGAGCTAGAGTGGCTACAATAATATCAGACAAAGCAAATTCTGGAACAAGAACAATTATCAGACATATAAGGAACATTAAAACATAGTAGAAAATATATGTAAACAACAAATCAGACAAATGACTAAAATTCAGAAAATATTAAGAACTCTCAAAACTCAGCAGTATTAAACAGTCAAATTTGAAAATGTTAAAAACATGAACAGATATTTCACAGAAGAGGACATACAGCATATTGGCAAAGATGCAGAGAAACTGAATCAAAGATAGATGACTTGTAGGGTTGTTAAATCATACAACCATTCTGGAAAACTCAGTTTCTTATAAAACTAGACAGCCAATTACTAAATAATTCAGCAATTTCACTATTAGGCATATGCCAGAGAAATGGAAGAATGTTCACATAAAAGCCTCTACATGACTGTTCATAGAAATTTTACTCATAATAGCTCTCAACTGAATATAAACCAGTCATACTTCTAAGTTAGCCAAACCACGAAATAAAATGGAACAATAAAAATGAGTATACTATTGATAGACACAATTACTTGAGAATTATGCTGAATGTAAGAAGTTAATCCCAAAAGATCACATAGTGTTCTGCACCAAGTGGACCTAATAGACATCTACAGAACTCTCCACCCCAAATCAACAGAATATACATTCTTCTCAGCACTACGTCACACTTATTCCAAAACTGACCACATAGTTGGAAGTAAAGCACTCCTCAGCAAATGTAAAAGAACAGAAATTATAACAAACTGTCTCTCAGACCACAGTGCAATCAAACTACAACTCAGGATTAAGAAACTCACTCAAAACTGCCCAACTACATGGAAACTGAAGAACCTGCTCCTGAATGACTACTAGGTACCTAACGAAATGAAGGCAGAAATAAAGATGTTCTTTGAAACCAACGAGAACAAAGACACAACATACCAGAATCTCTGGGACACATTCAAAGCAGTGTGTAGAGGGAAATTTATAGCACTAAATGCCCACAAGAGAAAGCAGGAAAGATCCAAAATTGACACCCTAACATCACAATTAAAAGAACTAGAGAAGCAAGAGCAAACACATTCAAAAGCTAGCAGAAGGCAAGAAATAACTAAGATCAGAGCAGAGCTGAAGGAGATACAGACACAAAAAAACCCTTCAAAAAATCAATGAATCCAGGAGCTGGTTTTTTGAAAAGATCAACAAAATTGACAGACCACTAGCAAGACTAATAAAGAAGAAAAGAGAGAAGAATCCAATAGATGCAATAAAAAATGATAAAGGAGATATCACCACCGATCCCACAGAAATACAAACTACCATCAGAGAATACTATAAACACCTCTACGCAAATAAACTAGAAAATCTAGAAGAAATGGATACATTCCTGGACACATACACCCTCCCAAGACTAAACCAGGAAGAAGTTGAATCTCTGAATAGACCAATAACAGGCTCTGAAATTGAGGCAATAATTAATAGCTTACCAACCAAAAAAAGTCCAGGACCAGACAGATTCACAGCCGAATTCTACCAGAGGTACAAGGAGGAACTGGTACCATTCCTTCTGAAACTATTCCAATCAATAGAAAAAGAGGGAATCCTCCCTAACTCATTTTATGAGGTCAGCATCATCCTGATACCAAAGCTAGGCAGAGGCACAACAAAAAAAGAGAATTTTAGACCAATATCTCTGATGAACATCAATGCAAAAATCCTCAATAAAATACTGACAAACCAAATCCAGCAGCACATCAAAAAGCTTTTCCACCATGATCAAGTGGGCTTCACCCCTGGGATGCAAGGCTGGTTCAACACACGCAAATCAATAAACTTAATCCAGCATATAAACAGAACCAAAGACAAAAAACACATGATTATCTCAATAGATGTAGAAAAGGCCTTTGACATGGGAATGGGACTGGTGGCTTTATAAGAAGAGGAAGAGAGATCACAGCTAGCCTGCTTAGCTTCTCACCATATGATGCTCTGCCTTTCCTCAGGACTCTGCAGAGTACCCACCAGTAAGAAGGCCCTCACCAGATGTGACCCCTTGACCCTGGACTTCTCAGCCTCCATAACTGTAAGAAATAAATTACTTTTCATATAAATTACCCAGGTCCAGGTACTATGTATAAACAGCAGAAAATAGACTAAGACAGGCCACTTCCAAGTTTTGGCAATTATGAATAAAACTGATACAAATATTTGTGTACAAGTTTTTGTGTAAATATAATTTTCATCTCATTTGGAAGTTCAATTGCTGGATCATATGGTATGAATACGTGTGATTTTCTAAGAAATTGCCAAATTGAATTCTAAAGTAGCTGTACCATTTTTCCTTCCCACCAGCAATGAATGAGAGTTTCCATCACTCCACATCAAGCATTTGACAGTGTTTTGAATTTTAGTTATTCTGATAAGTTTATAATGGCTTTTTATCATCGTTTCAATTTGCAATTCCCTAAAGACATATGTCATTGAGCATCTTTTTATATGCTTATGTGCTATCTGCACATTTTGTTTGGTGAGGTATCTGTTCCTATATTTTGCCCATTTTTAAGTTGGTTGTTTAGTTTTTTATTGTTGAGTTTTAGGAGCTGTTTGTATATTTTGGATACTAGTTCTTTATTGGTTATGTGTTTTGCAAAGACTTTCTCCCAGCCTAGTCATTAAGAGTGTGTTTTGTAGAGCAGCCTTTATTTTCAGTAAAGCCTGAAATCAATTTTTTCTTTCAGAGATTGTAATTTTGGTATTATACCCAAAATATAATAGTCAAACCCAATGTCACCAAGATTTTCTCCCCTGCCAGCTTCTAGAAGTTTTATAATTTTGTGTTTTACATATTAACAATTACATGGGTTACTTTTGATAAAAGATGTAAGATCTATATCCAGATTCTTTTTTTGTGCATGTAGAACTGCATGCAAGCAGTTCATTTGTTGAGAAGTCTGTCCTTTCTCCATTGAATTGCCTTTCTTCTTTTGTAAAAGATGGGTTATCTATATTTGTATGAGTCTATTTCTAGGCTCTTTATTCTATTCTCTTGAACTATTTGCTTATTATTTTGCCAATACTAAACTATCTTGGCTCCTGTAGCTTTATAGTAAGTTTTGAAGTCGGGTAAGGTGAGTCCTCCAATTTTGTTCTCCTTCAATACTTTCATAGCTATTCTGATTTTTTGTCTTTCTATGTAAACTTTAGAATCAGTTTGTTAATATTGACAAAATAACTAACTGTGATTTTGATTGGAATTGCACTGAATCTATAGATCAAGTTGGGAAGAACTTGATTGCTCAACAATATTGTGTCTTCCTATTTATTTACATGGAGTATTTCCCCATCTGTTTAGTTCTTCTTTGAATTATTTCACCAGTGTTTTGTCATTTTCTTTATATATATCCTCTACATATTTTGGTAGATTTATACTTATTTTTTACTGAAAATGTAAATGGTATTGTATTTTAAATTTCAAATTCAAATATTTCATTGTGGGTATATAAGAAAGCAATGGACTTATGTATATTATAATTGTATCCCGTGACCTTGCTATAATTGCTTATTAGTTCCAAGACTTATTTTATTGCTTCTTGAGAATTTTCAACATACACAATTATGTCATCTGCAAACAGTTTGATTTCTTCCTTCCCAATTTGTATAACTTTTATTTCCTTTTCTTGTCTTATTGCATTGGCAAAATTTTCCAATAAAAATTTGAAAAAGTAGTGATAGTGGATATCCTTGTTTTGTTCTTGATCTTAGGGGGAAAACATCTAGTTCCTTGTGATTAACTATAATGCTAACTGTAGATTTTTTGTGTGTAGATATTCTTTTCCACGGTGAGGAAGTTCACCTCTATGCTTAGTTTGCTGGGTGTTTCTATTGCTAGTTGGTCTTAGATTTTGTCCAATGCTTATTCTCCATCTATTTATATGATCAAATCCTTTTTTTCTTTAGCCTCTCAATGTGATGGATCACATCAATTGATTTGCGAATGTTGGCCCAGCCTTGCATACCTGGAATAAATCCCACTTGGTTATGGGTGTATAATTATTTTTAAATATTATTGGAGTCGATTCACTAATATTTTATTGAGGATTTTTGCATCTATGTTCAGACTGGATATTGGCCTGTATTTCCATTTCTTGTAACATCCTTCATTTTAGTATTAGGGTAATGTTGGACTCTAGAATGAGTGAGGAAGTATTCACTTTGCTTCTATTTTAAAGAGAAGATTATAGAAAATTGGCATAATTTTTTCCCTTTAATGTTAGGTTAAATTCACCAGTGAACCCCTCTGGGCTTGCTGCACTTTGATTTGGGAAGATGATTAGAAACTTCATTCCAGATGGTTATTAATTATTGATTTCATTGCTTTAATAGGTGTAGGATTATTTATGTTTTCTATTTCTTCTTAAGTGAGTTTTGGTAGATTGTGTCTTTAGCAAAATTGGTGCATTTGCTCTTCAAGGAGAACTACAAACCACTGCTCAAAGAAATAAAAGAGGACACAAACAAACGGAAGAACATTCCATGCTCATGGATAGGAAGACTCAATATCGTGAAAATGGCCATACTGCCCAAGGTAATTTATAGATTCAATGCCATCCCCATCAAGCTACCAATGACTTTCTTCACCAAATTGGAAAAAACTACTTTCAAGTTCATATGGAACCAAAAAAGAGCACGCATTGCCAAGTCGGTCCTAAGCTAAAAGAACAAAGCTGGAGGCATCATGCTACCTGACTTCAAACTATTTTACAAGGCTACAGTAACCAAAACAGCATGGTACTGGTACCAAAACAGAGATATAGACCAATGAAACAGAACAGAGCCCTCAGAAATAATACCACACATCTACAACCATCTGATCTTTGACAAACCTGACAAAAACAAGCAATGGGGAAATGATTCCCTATTTAATAAATGGTGCTGGAAAAACTGGCTAGCCATATGTAGAAAGCTGAAACTGGATCCCTTCCTTACACCTTACACAAAAATTAATTCAAGATGGATGAAAGACTTACATGTTAGACCTAAAACCATAAAAACCCTACAAGAAAACCTAGGCAACACCATTCAGGACAGGCATGGGCAAGGACTTCATGTCTAAAACACCAAAAGCAATGGCAACAAAAGACAAAATTGACAAATGGGATCTAATTAAATTACAGAGCTTCTGCACAGCAAAAGAAACCACCATCAGAGTGAACAGGCAACCTACAGAATGGGAGAAAATTTTTGCAATCTACTCATCTGACAAAGGGCTAATATCCAGAATCTACAAAGAACTCAAACAAACTTGCAAGAAAAAAACAAACAACCCCATCAAAAAGTGGGCAAAGGATATGAACAGACACTTCTCAAAAGAAGACATTTATGCAGCCAACAGACACATGAAAAAATGCTCATCATCACTGGCCATCAGGGAAATGCAAATCAAAACCATAATGAGATACAATCTCACACCAGTTAGAACGGTGATCATTAAAAAGTCAGGAAACAACAGGTGCTGGAAAGGATGTGGAGAAATAGGAACACTTTTACACTGTTGGTGGGACTGGAAACTAGTTCAACCACGTGGAAGACAGTGTGGTGATTCCTCACGGATCTAGAACTAGAAATACCATTTGACCCAGCCATCCCATTACTGGGTATATACCTAAACGATTATAAGTCATGCTGCTATAAAGACATATGCACACGTATGTTTATTGCAGCACTATTCACAATAGCAAAGACTTGGAACCAACCCAAATGTCCATCAGTGATAGACTGGATTAAGAAAATATGGCATATATACACCATGGAATACTATGCAGCCATAAAAAATGATGAGTTCATGTCCTTTGTAGGGACATGGATGAAGCTGGAAACCATCATTCTGAGCAAAGTATCGCAAGGACAAAAAACCAAACACTGCATTTTCTCACTCATAGGTGGGAATTGAACAATGGGAACACTTGGACACAGGAAGGGGAATATCACACACCAGGGCCTGTCGTGGAGTGGGGGAAGGGGGGAGGGATAGCATTAGGAGATATACCTAATGTAAATGACGAGTTAATGGGTGCAGCACACCAGCATGGCACATGTATACATATGTAACAAACCTGCAGGTTGTGCACATGTACCCTAGAACTTAAAGTATAATAAAAAAAAGATTACATAGTGTAGTTTTCAATGTATATAACATTCATGAAATGAAAGATTACAGATGTGGAGGACAGATGTGTAGTTGCTAGTGCTTAGGGCTGATGCAGGGATGGGGAGGAGGTTAGTGTGGTTATGAAAGGGCACTGCTGGGATCTGTTCTGTATCTTGACTCTGATAGTAAATATATGAACTTATGAATCTACACATGTCATAAAAATATATAGAACCAAATGCACAGGCCAGGTGCAGTGGCTCACACCTGTAATCCCAGCACTTTGGGAGGCGGAGGCAGGCGAATCCCTTGAGGTCAGGAGTTCGAGACCAGCCTGGCCAACATGGTAAAACCCTATCTCCACTATTAAAAATTTGTATTAAATTTTAATACAAAAATTAGCCAGGCGTGGTGGCGAGTGCCTGTAATCCCAGCTACTCAGGAGGCTGAGGCAGGAGAATCACTTGAACCTGGGAGCCAGAGGTTGCAGTGAGCTGAGATGGCACCACTGCACTCCAGCCTGGGGGACAGAGAAAAAAACAAAACAAAAAAAGAAGCCAATGCACAAACATACACAAACAAATGAGTACAAACAAGCTGGGGAAATATGAATAAGATGCATGGATTGCATCAATGTCAATATCAATATTGTTATTTTGAACTTTTATTATAGTTTTGCAAGATGTTACCATTAAAATAAAACTTTGCAGTGCCATTAAAGTAAGGATTAGAGGAACGATGAAGGCAATAAATGCTCGTATTAGAAAAGGAAAAAGTTTTGAAATCAGTAATTGAAGCTTTCAACTGAGTAAACTAGAAAGAGTCAGAGCAAATTTAATGCAAAGCAAGTGAAAAAAGGAAATAACAAAGATTAAACTGGAAATCAATGAATTAGAAAAAAAAAAGCCATAACAAAAATCAGTGAAACTGTATGTTTCTTCTTTGAAAGTATTTTTTAAAAATTAACAATCTTTTAGGCCGGGTGCGGTGGTTCACGCCTGTAATCCCAGCACTTTGGGAGGTCGAGGTGGGCGGATCATGAGGTCAGGAGATCGAGACTATCCTGGCTAACACGGTGAAACCCCGTCTCTACTAAAAATACAAAAAAATTTAGCTGGGCGTGGTGGCAGGCGCCTGTAGTCCCAGCTACTCTGGAGGCTGAGGCAGGAGAATGGCATGAACCCGGGAGGCGGAGCTTGCAGTGAGCCAAGATCGCGCCACTGCACTCCAGCCTGGGCAACAGAGCGAGACTCCGTCTCAAAAAAAAAAAAAAATTAACAATATTTTAGCTGGATTGACCAAGAAATAAAGGGAAGAGATGCAAAGGACCAGAATCAGAAATGGAAGTGGGTACATCAATATTGACCTTAGAGAAATTAAAGGATTATAGAGGCTACTATGATAATCTTTATGGCAACAAATTTTAAAATGTATGAAATGGACACATTCCTAGGAAGACACAAATTGCTGAAAGTGACTTAGAAAGAAATAGAAAATAGGCTGGGCACGGTGGCTCACGCCTGTAATCCCAGCACTTTGGGAGGCCAAGGTGGGCAGTTCACAAGGTCAGGAGTTCGAGACCAGCCTGGCCAATATGGTGAAACCCTGCCTCTACTAAAAGTACAAAAATTAGCTGGGCATGTTGGTGCGTGCCTGTAGTCCCAGCTACTCAGGAGGCTGAGGCAGAAGAATCACTTGAACCCAGGAGGCGGAGGTTGCAGTGAGCTGAGATTGTGCCACTGCACTCCACCCTGTGTGACAGAGGGAGACTGCATCAAAAAAAAAAAAAAGAAAGAAAGAGAAAATAGAAATAGAAAATCAGAATAAACAAGTGAAGAAATCAAAGAAAGTAGTAATTAAAATACCTTCCCACAAAGAAAAGTACAGGACCAGGTAGTTTCACTGCTTAATTCTACCAAACATTTAAATAAGTAAAGATTTTTTTACATAATCTTTCAGAGAATAGAAGAGGAAACACTTCTCAACTGATTCTATGATGTCAAAATTACCCTGACACCAAAACCAGAGAAATACATTACAAGAAAACAACAAATACTTCTTATGAATATAGATTTAAAAGTAAATAAAAAAATTAGTAAGTGAAATCCAGCAATATTTAAAAGGGATTATGTGCCATGAACAACTGAGATTTGTACCAGGGATGTAAGGTTGGTTTATCATTAAAAAATTAATTAACATAATGCATTATATTAATAAAGAACAAAATCTACCTGAATATCTTGGTAGATACATAAAAAGCATTTGACAAAAATCCAACATTCATTCATAAGAAATACTCTGAATAAAATAGTAACAAAAGGGATGTTTTTCAACCTGATAAAGAGCATCTATGAGAAACCTACTGTTAACATCATAATTAATGGTAAAAATCTGAATGGTTTCCCTCAATGATCAGGAACAAGACAAGAATAGCAGCTCTCACCAATTCTATTCCACATTGTATTAGAGGTGCTATCCAGTGAAAGAAGGCAGGAAAAGCAAATAAAGGGTATCTGGATTACAAAGGAAGATGTTAAACTGACTTTATTTGTTGACAACATAATCTTGATGAAGAAAATGTTAAGACACACACACAGAAATATTAGAACTAATAGCTACATTTAGCAAAGTTGCAGGATAAAAGATCAGTTGTATTTCTATATATTACGAATGAACAAGCAAAAATGAGTTTTTGGAAAAGAAGGCCATTCACAACAGCATAAGAGAAAAATATTTAGGACTAAATTTACCAAAAGAAGTGCAAGACTTGCACATTGAACATTGTAAAACATTGCAATGAATTAAAGAAGATCTAAATTATTAGAAAGACTTTCTATATTCATGGATTCCAAGACACGATGCTGTTTGGCAATTTTCCCCAAATTGGTCTATGGATTCAACACAATCCCCATCAAAGTTCCAGCAGGACTTTTTGTAGAAAGTGACTATCCAATTAAAAATATGGAAAGCAAAAGATCTAGAATTGGCAAATCAATCTTTAAAAAGAAAAAATTGTTGGAGGGTTTCTACTACACAGTTTTAAAACTTTTATACATCTACAGTAATCAAAACACTGTATTAACTGGCATAAGGACAGACATATAGTTCAATGGAATATATTTGAAAGTTCAGAAATAACCCCTTATATTTATGATTAATTGATTTTTTAAACAAAGAAGCCAAAGCAATTCACTGGGATAAAGAGTAGCCTTCTCAACAAACAGTGCTGGACAGTTGAACATGCACTTGGAAAAAGACCACTTTAGACATTCACCTCACACTACACAAAAAATTAACTCTCAACAGATTGTATCTCTAAATGTAATAGCTAAAACTATAATGCTTTTAGAAGAAAAGGTAGAATCAAATCTTCATGACCTAAGGTTAGATAAAGATATCTTGCATACAACACTAAAAACACAATCTACAAAAGAGAAAAATGATATGTTGTGCTTCATCTACCCCATACTTCCAAACATCAAAAGACCATGAAGAAAAAAGAAGAGACAAGTCCCATACTAGTGAAAATACATGCAAACCATATCTAATAAGGGTTTGTATCCCAAACATATGAACAATTCTTACAACTAAATAGCAAAAGGTCAAATAAACCAATTAAAAATGATCAAAACACTGTAATAAAATTTTAACAATGAAGATGTACAAATACTACATCCAAAAAGCATATAAAAGAAGCTCATCTTTATTTATTAGGGAAATGCAAATCTAAACCATTTCACACCATTAGAATGACTGTAATCAAAGTGACAAACAATAAGGAGTGTTTATGAGCATGTGGAGAAACTGGAACCCTTAGGCATTGCGAGTGGGAATGTAAAATGATGGAGCCACTTTGGAAAAACAGTTTGGCAATTTCTTAAATGGCTAAACATAAATTTACCATATAACTGTACTCCCAGAAATTTAGTCAAGATAAATGAAAACATATGTTCCCTAAAGACCCATTCATGAAGGTATGTAACAGCATTATTCTTAATAGCTAAAACCTGAAAATTGCCCTAATGTCTGTAAATCTAAACATCTAAACATCACAGAGCATAGTCATACAAAATGCTATTGAGCAATAAAACAAACTAAGGACCAATACATGCTATGACATAGGTGAACCTCATAAACATTATGTTAATGAAAGAAGCCAGACACAGAAGATTACATAGTGTATTATTTAATTTGTATGCAGGGGCCTTAAAGGGCAAATTGATAAATGAAAATTTGTAAATTTCAGTGATTATCTGGGGCTGGAGGTAGAAATGGAGATTGACTGCAATGATGGGGGAGGGTTGGAAATGTTCTAAAATTGGATTTTGATGACACTTGCATAACTTTGTAAATTTACTAAAAATCATTGATTGGACACTTAAAATTGGTGAGTGTTATGATAAGTAAATCATACCTAGAAACTATTAAAAAAGAAACAAAATTAACCCAAAGAAGGCAGAAGGAAGGAAATAATAAAGAGCAGAAATTATTATAATTGATTGATAATCAATACAACCAAAAACTAGTTCTTTTTTTTTTTTCCTGCTATGTTGCCCAGGCTGGAATGCAAAGGCTATTCACAGATGAGATCTTAGAGCACTACAGCACTGAACTCTTGGGCTCAAGTGATCCTCCTGCCTCAGCCACCCAAGTAGGTGGGAATACAGGGGAACCACCATGCCTGGCTAAAAGCTGGGTCTTTGATAAATAAAATGGATAAACCTCTAGCCACACTGACCAATAACAAAATAGAGAAGACACCAAATGCCAATATCAGGAATGAAAGGTGTGATGTTACTACAGACCCTATAGGGATTATAAGGATAATAAACAAATATTATGATAAACTCTATTCCCAGATCAAAGATTCAATCCCATGATTATTTTAAGTGTGCATAAGACTTGCATAGCCAGCCCCCCACTTGGATTATTATCCCAATAGTTACAATTTATTACCTTTTCTTTTCTCACTAATAGGCTCTGCAAAGTTTATAATCTAATTTCCTTTTAAGACTTTCCACTAGCTCCTTACTCTAGGACTTTTCTCCAGATTCTCCAGCCGACTATCTGGTTAATTTAGAATAGCTTTTAACTTGAACCATTTCCACGTTTTAGTTACGTTTTGACAGGGAAATTTGTTTTCAACCTTTGTGAGACGGAGAAAGAATTATGTTTTCAGCTGTCTTTTCTTAAAATTATTTTTTAGTTTTTTTTGATTTTTAAAATTTCTTAAAAAAACTGGATACATATGCAGAACGTGCAGGTTTGTTACATAGGTATATGTGTGCCATGGTGGTTTGCTGCACCTATTGACACATCCTTTAAGTTCCCTCCCCTCGCCCTCCACCTCCTAACAGGCCCTGGTGTGTGTTGTCCCCTCTCTGTGTCCATGTATTCTTAATGTTCAACTGCCACTATGAGTGAGAACATGCAGTGGTTGGTTTTCTGCTCCTGTGTTACTTTGCTGAGGATGATGGCTTACAGCTTCATCCATGTCCCTGTAAAGGACATGAGCTCATTCCTTTTTATGGCTGCATAGTACTCCATGGTGTATATTTACCACATTTTCTTTATCTGGTCTATCACTGATGGGCATTTGGGTTGGTCCCATGTCTTTGCTATTGTAAATAGTGCTTCCATAAACATACATGTGCATGTGTCTTTATAGTAAAATGATTTATATTCCTTTAAGTATATACTCAGTAATGAAATTGCTGGGTCAAATGGTATTTCTGGTTCTAAATCCTTGAGGAATTGCCATACTGTCTTCCACAATGATTGAACTAATTTACATTCCCACCAACAGTGTAAAAACATTCCCATTTCTCCACAGCATCACCAGCATCTATTGTTTCCTGACATGTTAATTCAGGGATGACTTAAATGTCATGTTGGCCTGAGATGGTATCTCGTTGTGGTTTTGATTTGCATTTCTCTGATGATCAGTGATGTTGAGCTTTTTTTCATGTTTGTAGGCTGCATAAATTTCTTCTTTGGAGAAGTGTCTATTCATATCCTTTGCCCACTTTTTGATGGGGTTGTTTTTTTTCTTGTAAATTTGTTTAAGTTCCTTGTAAATTCTGGATATTAACTCTTTGTCAGATCGGTAGACTGCAAAATGTTTTTCCCATTCTGTAGGTTGCCTGTTCACTCTGGTGATAGTTTCTTTTGCTGTGCAGAAGCTCTTTAGTTTAATTAGATCCCATTTGTCAATTCTGGCTTTTATTGCAATTGCTTTTGTCATTTTTGTCATGAAGTCTTTGCCCATGCCTATGTCCTGAATGGTATTGCCTAGGTTTTCTTCTAGGGTTTTTATGGTTTTAGGTTTTAAATTTAAGTCTTTAATACATCTTGAATTAATTTTTGTGTAATGTGTAAGGAAGGGATCCAGATTCAGTTTTCTGCATATGGCTAGCCAGTTTTCCCAGCACTATTTACTGAATAGGAGATCATTTCCCCATTGCTATTTTTGGTCAGGTTTGTCGAAGATCAGATGGTGGTAGATGTGTGGTGTTATTTCTGAGATCTCTGTTCTGCTCCATTCGTCTATATGTCTATTTTGGTACCAGCACTATGTTGTTTTGGTTACTGTAGGCTTGTAGTATAGTTTGACGTCAGGCAGCGTGATGCCTCCAGCTTTATTCTTTTTGCTTAGGATCATCTTGGCTATATGGGACCTTGTTGATTCCATATGAAATTTAAAATAGTTTTTTCTAATTCTGTGAAGAATGTCAATGGTAGCTTGATGGGAATAGCATTGAATCTATAAATTACTTTGGGCAATATGGCCATTTTCATGATATTGATTCTTCCTATCAATGAAGATGGAATGATTTTCCATTTGTTTGTGTCCTCTCTTATTTCCTTGAGCAGTGGTTTGTAGTTCTCCTTGAAGAGGTCCTTCACGTCCCTTGTTAGCTGTATTCTTAGGTATTTTATTCTCTTTGTAGCAGTTGTGAACAGGAGTTCATTCAGGATTTGGCTCTCTGCTCACCTATTACTGGTGTAAATGAATGTTTGTGATTTTTGCACATTGATTTTGTATCCTGAGAGTTTGCTGAAGTTGCTTATCAGTTCAAAAAGTTTTGGGGCTGAGATGATGGGGTTTTATATATATAAAACCATGTCATCTGCAACCAGAGACAACTTGATTTCCTCTCTTCTTATTTTAATATTCTTTATTTCTTTCTCTTGCCTGATTGCCCTTGCCAGAACTTCCAATACAATGTTGAATAGGAGTGGTGAGAGACGGCATCCTTGTCTTGTACTGGTTTTCAAAGGGAATGCTTCCAGCTTTTGCTCATTCAATATGATATTGGCTGTGGGTTTGTCATAAATAGCTCTTATTATTTTGAGATATAGTCCATCAATACTTAGTTTATTGAGAGTTTTTAACATGAAGAAATGTTGAATTTTATCAAAGGCCTTTTCTGCATCTATTGAGATAATCATGTGGTTTTTGTCTTTGGTTCTGTTTATGTGATGAATTACATTTATTGATTTGCATATGCTGAAGGAGCCTTGCATCCCAGGAATGAAGCCAACTTGTTTGTGGTGGATAAGTTTTTTTATGTGCTGCTGGATTCAGTTTGCCAGTATCTTATTAAGGATTTTCACATCAATGTTCATCAGGGATATTGGCCTGAAGTTTTCTTTTTTTGTTGTGTCTTTTCCTGGTTTTGGTATCAGATTATGCTGGCTTCATAAAATGAGTTAGGGAGGAGTCTCTCCTTTTCAGTTGTTTGGAATAGTTTCAGAAGCAATGGTACCAATTCCTCTTTGTACTTCTGGTAGAATTCAGCTGTGAATCCATCTGGCCCCGGGCTTTTTTGGTTGGTAGGCTATTAAATGCTGCCTCAATTTCAGAGCTTGTTATTGGTCTATACAGGGATTCAACTTCTTCCTGGTTTAGTCTTGGTAGGGTGTATGTGTCCAGGAATTTATCTGTTTCTTCTAGATTTTCTAACTTATTTGTGTAGAGTTGTTTATAGTATTCTCCGATGGTAGTTTGTATTTCTGTGGAGTTAGTGGTGATATCCTCTTTATCATTTTTTTTTGTGTCTATTTGATTCTTTTCTCTCTTCTTATTAGTCTAGCTAGTGGTCTATCTATTTTGTTATTTTTTTCAAAAACTCAGCTCCTGGATTCGTTGATTTTTTAGAGAGTTTTTCGTATATCTACCTCCTTCAATTATTCTTTGATCTTAGTTATTTCTTGTCTTCTGCTAGCTTTTGGATTAGTTTGCTCTTGCCTCTCTAGCTCTTCTAATCGTGATGTTAGGGTGTCGATTTGAGATCTTTCTAGCTTTCTGATGTGGGCATTTAGTGCTGTAAATTTCTCTCTTAACACCGCTTTAGCTGTGTCCCAGAGATTCTGGTACGTTGTCTCTTTGTTCTCATTGGTTTCAAAGAACTTCTTGATTTCTGTCCTAATTTCATTAGTTACCCAGGAGTCACTTAGGAGCAGATTGTTCAATTTCCATGAAATTGTGTGGTTTCGAGTGAGTTTCTTAATCCTGAGTTCTAATTTAATTGCACTGTGGTCTGAGAGACTGATTTCAGTTCTTTTGCATTTGCTGAAAAGTGTTTTACTTCCAATTATGTGGTCAATTTTAGAATAAGTGCCATGTGGCACTGAGAAGAATGTATATTCTGTTGATTTGGTGTAGAGAGTTTTGTAGGCATCTACCAGGTCCACTTATCCAGAGCTGAGTTCAAGTCCTGAATATCCTTGTTAATTTTCTGTCTCATAGATCTGTCTAATATGACAGTGGGGTGTTAAAGTCTCCCACTATTATTCGGTGGGAATCTAAGTGTCTTTGTTGGTCTCTATGAACTTGTTTTATGAATCTGGGTGCTCTTGTATCAGGTGAATATATACTTAGAATAGTTAACTCTTCTTGTTGAATTGTTCCCTTTACCATTATGTAATGCCATTCTTTGTCTTTTTTGATCTATGCTGGTTTACAGTCTGTTCTGCCAGAAACTAGGATTGAAACCCTAGGTTTTTTTTTGTTTTTTGTTTTTTGTTTTGTTTTGCTTTCCATTTGGTTGGTAAATTTTCCTCCATCCCTTTATTTTGAGCATATGTGTGTCTTTGCAAGTGAAATGGGTCTCCTGAATATAGTACACTGATGTATCTTGACTATGCAATTTGCCAGTCTGTGTCTTTTAATTGGGGCATTTAGCCCATTTACATTTAAGGTTAGTATTGTTATGTGTGAATTTGATCCTGTCATCATGCTGTTATTTGGTTATTTTGCACACTAGTTGATGCAGTTTCTTCATAGTGTCATTGGTCTTTATATTTTGGTGTGTTTTTGCAGTGGCTGGTATCAACTATTCCTTTCCATATTTAGTGCTTCTTTCAGGAGCTCTTGCAGGGCAAACCTGGTGGTAATGAAATCCCTCAGCATTTGCTTGTCTGGAAAGGATTTTATTTCTTCTTTGCTTATGGAGCTTAGTTTGGCTGGATGTGAAATTCTGGGTTGAAATTTTTTTTTAAGAATGTTAAATATTGACCCTCAATCTTTTCTGGCTTGTAGAGTTACTGCTGAGAGGTTCACTGTTAGTCTGATGGACTTCCCTTTTTTAGATGACCTGGCCTTTCTCTCTGGCTGCCCTTAAGAGTTTTTCCTTCATTTCGACCTTGGAGAATCTGATAATTATGTGTCTTGGGGATTGATCTTCTCATGAAGTATCTTAATGGTGTTTTCTGTATTTCCTGAATTTGCATGTTGGTCTATCTTGCTAGGTTGGGGAAGTTCTCCTGGATAATATCCTGAAGTGTGTTTTCCAGCTTGCTTCCATTCTCTCCGTCTCCTTCTGTTACTCCAGTCAATCATAGGTTTGGTCTTTTTATGAAGTCCCATATTTCTTGGAGGCTTTGTTCATTCCTTTTCATTCTTTTTTCTCTAGTCTTGTCTGCATGTCTTATTTCAGTAAGGTGGTCTTCAAACTCTGATATCCTTTCTTATGCTTGGACCATTCAGCTATTGATACTTGTGTATGCTTCATGAAGTTCTCGTGTGTGGACCACCTGAGGTCAGGAGTTCAAGACCAGATTGGCCAACATGGTGAAACCCCATCTCTATTAAAAATACAAAAATTAGCTGGGCGTGGTGGCAGGCACCTGTAATCCTAGCTACTTGGTAGGCTGAGGCAGGAGAATCGCTTGAACCCGGGAGGCAAAGGTTGCAGTGAGCCGAGATCGTGCCATTGCACTCCAGCCTGGGCAACAAGAGTGAAACTCCGTCTCAAATAAATAAATAAATTAATTAATTAAATGATGTCTTTGGCCGGGCGGGGTGGCTCATACCTGTAATCCCAGCACTTTGGGAGGCTGAGGCAGGCGGATCACTTGAGGTCAGGAGTTTGAGACCAGCCTGCCCAACATGGTGAAACACCATCTCTACTAAAAATACAAAAATTAGCCAGGTGTGGTAGCAGGTACCTATAGTCCCAGCTACTTGGGAGGCTGAGGCAGGAGAATCACTTGAACCCAGGAGGCAGAGGTTGCAGTGAGCCAAGATCTCACCACTGCACTCCAGCTTGGATGACAGCAAGACTCAGTCTCAAAAATAATGATCTTTTAAAAATAAGTTTATTAGGTTGCATATTTAGGATAAACAGAATTTTCTCAGTGTTTAAACAATATTTGAGATATGTTGGCTAACATGAACACAGATTTTGAAGTATAAAAGGATTGAGTTCAAATCCCAGGTTGGAAGCTTCTCAGCTGTGTGATTGGGGGGCAGTTATCTACTATTTTCAGAACCTTAATTTTCTCATTATTGAAATGGGAATAAAGATACCTATCTCACAGGATCTTAATAATCAGCAGTAAGATCGTGTCCCATTTATTCCATCAGTGAGGGCAGTATTCCCAGTCTTGCGTTATGGGGTTGACCAAGCACATAACACTTAATACGGAACAAATAACATTGACAACAGTTTATTTTCACCTATATTCACAACCTGGGAAAGAAGACATCTCATGCCAAGCAGGGCCAAATGTGGTTGCATTTGGACAACCAGGAGCTGTTGGAAGCAGGCCATTTGGTATTAAGAAGGTGGAGTGCTCCCTGTTTCCCCTGGGAGGATTTGATTGGTTTGTTTAAAGAATTCCATGGACGGTCAGGGAATTGAAACCGGCTACTCAGGGATAAGCAGGAGCTATGCCTGGTCCACCTGATAAGAACCATTATTTGGCTATGGACTTCATTCATAGGAGCAGAGTAGGGAGGGAGATTCATGGTTAGGTCATTTGAAGCCCTCTAAATTTCACCAGATGTCAAGGCAGCACATAATATTGAGCCTTAACTTTAGGTCTTATACTGCAGATACATAAAGTGTGTCACACACAATTGGAATTTCTTTACAGGCAACTTGGCAATTGCACAAAACAGGCAAGTAAATTAAAAAAAAAGCCAAGGATGATTCCTTCTGAGGCATAGGTTGTTATTGGAAACAAGTAAAGCTAAAGAGAGCTCATAAACTAAACATCTATTTGGTGTCCTTTTCTAGAGTACATTCTTATAATTTGAACTCTAAACACAGGTCTCCATTTATTGGAAAAGATGGCCGTGAAATACATAGTCTGAATAAAACAAAAAGCAAAAGATATTTTCCTTCCAAATAGATTATAAAAGAGTAAGGCCTGAAACAGAACCTGTGGTCATAACCACTCTACCTTGGTGCCTGCTAATGAAGCATCCCTCTAGAATAGGCTGATTGTACAGGATGGACTTGAAGCTTTTACAAATGAACAGAGAATGCATCTATTTTACTGATCATATATTCTGAGGCAAAAATATACTCGTATGAGCTTTTTTTTTTTCTTTTTAAATCTCAAGCACCCATGAAATTCCTGGAACTACATGTGTACCCTCAGGGCAACTGGTCTGTGGAGTCTCTTTCAGTACACTGTATCCCACTAGTAAGTAAATAATCTCTCTCGATCTTGTTTGGTGTCCTTGGGGGAAAAAGGGCATCAGCCCCATCTTCCAGTGCTTTGAAGAAAGCTTCAGGGTGTGAATTATACCAGTCTGTAAGTACCATATATTGTACTTGCACCATGTACTAGACTCTGCTAAATGTGCCATCAGATTTTGCTTCTATCCTACCAAACTTGAAGTGTAGCTTTCATGATACCTGTTTAGTAGGAGCTGTGACTTAGAAAGGTTGGATAACTATGAGTTAAGTTGTGCCACTGAGAACCTTGTCAGCCTGTGGTTTTCTGCGCAAATTTAGTTTTTAAACATATCTTTAGGGAATGATCCACACAGAAATATGTTGGTAAAAATGGTACTTGTTGCTCATACAGAGTAGATTCCATTCAAGAGTTAGTTAAGGAGAATAGTAATGATCTTGTTTTATTGTTGAAAGCAGCTATTTTGTTACTATTGTGACTCTAAACAAACATTCTTTGAGCACCTATGAGCTAGGCACAGTATTAGGCACTCTCACATTGTGTTATTCCCATAAGCCTTAAGAGCAATTTTTTTCAGTGAAGTTATTCTTATTCTCACTTCACAGTGAAGAAATTTTGATGCTCAGTGGTTAATGGCTTCCCCTATGTCTTAGTTTGTTTGGGATGCTAAAATAAAATACCACAAACCAGGTAGCGTATAAACAGTAGAAATTTATTTCTCATAGTTCTGGAGGACGGGAAGCCCATGATCAAGGTACTAGCAGATTCAGTGTCTGGTGAGCAACCACTTCCTGGTTCATAGATGGCACCTTCTGCTTATGTCCTCATATGATGGAAGGAGTGAGGAGTCTTTCTGGGGCCTCTGTTATAACAGCACTAATCCCATTCATGAGGGCTCTGCTGTTGTGACCTAATCACCTCTTAAAGGCTCCACCTCTTAATACCATCACATTAAGAGTTGAGATTTCAACATATAAATTGGAGAGGGACACAAACATTCAGACTATAGGATCCTATTGTAGTAACATTCTGGAACTGGCTCTTGTAATTGTGTGCATTTACTCCTTAAAATTGTCTATAGTGGAGCATTTACACCATAGAAATCAGCAAACTCTACAAAGCATGTGCTTCCAGGCCCCATCTTCCACCCTTAATGGTTTTTAAACCTGTACTAGCCCACCACTACACATGTTCCAGCTCTAGTATTTTCTGTCTACTGACTCTGTGACCTTGGGTCAGTTGCTTATTCTCTGTGAGCCTCACTTTCGTAATATACAAAATCAGTAATTAATTGCATATATTGCCACTGTTGTTTTGTGGATTTAACAGTTTGTACTGCCTTGGTTGTTGGGTAGTCAGTTCCTCAAATATAGGTAACACTGTATAAATCATAGCTATTATATATTTTAATATTCTTAAGAAAAATCTATCATAAACAAGAGTTTGAGAAAGACATTGTGCATTAGTTGGTATGGTATGCTAAAACCCTCAGGAAGAGACTTTGTAGAATAAGAACACTTGAAGCATTCATTTGCCAAATATTTGTTAGAAACACTTTATAATGCATATCAGCAGTGTGCCACTTGCTAATCTCCTCCTTTTTGAGTTGGTCTAGAAAAGGCCAAGTAAGTATCCTTTTTCATGAAATATTAGAATGACTCCAGGGCTTTCTGATGGCTTTTGAATTAGAACAAAACAAAAAAATCAATTCTTAGTTTCTTATAGGAACAATTAATGATTAAAGACAAAATATCCTCAAAAGTCTAGATCCCAGTGTTATTTACCATAATGTTTTGAGTTGCTTTACACGTGAAGAGTTGATCTGAGCACCATGGTTTGCCAAAATTCTAGAAATATAACTGTTGTGTAAATTCTAAGTGCAATATTATATGTTGCAGCTTGCTTAAAACAGCAAATAATGGAAGAATTAATTTTTAAAAATATTTTTCTTATTTTCTACATGCATGTATGTGTGTGTGTTGGATATGTTTTATATGTGCAGATACAGTTATCTACAAAGTATGTTGGAATTTTAAAAAGTGTTGCAGAGGAGCTGCTAATATTATAAGCTGAACTTGCTGTGGCAAACACTTGTCTAATATCATCCCCATTCCCTACAAGATCTCCGGCAATAGATAAGAGTATCCACATTTTACAGAACTGAGCCTTAGGGATGTTAAGTGACTTGTCCTCAATCAGTGTGGTCTCCCTGAATCCAAAGGCTGCCCTGACTGCTCTGATGAATAGTCCTGACTCAGGTCACCTTTTCCCCAGGATCTGTGACTGCCCAGAAGATTCTAGGACAGAAGATAATTCTGTAAAGTGACCACTTACTGGTCTTAACTGTTACTCCACTCCTTGAAGGGACACAGGTTCCTTCTGTGTCCACCCACGTACAAAGTTTGCTTCAGCTTCAACAAGTTTGGGAGCTATGGCCTGGATCATGATTATATGAGGTTTAAGAACCCTGGATATGTACTGGGACAGTTCTATGGTTGCTCTTGGGTCTTATTCTAGGGCAGGGGTCCCCAACCCTTGGGCCACAGATGGGTATGGGTCCACAGCCTGTTAGGAATCAGGCCACACAGCAGGAGGTGCGCAGTGGGCCTGCAGAGCATTATGGCCTGAGCTTCACCTCCTGTCAGATCAGCAGGGCATTAGATTCTCATAGAAGCATGAACCCTATTGTGAACTGCATATGTGAGGGATTAAGGTTGTGTGCTCCTTATGAGAATCTAATGCCTGGCCATCTGAGGTGGAACAGTTTCATCCCGAAGCCATCCCCCTACCCTGCCACCCCACCACCTCTCCCTCCCCCAACTCCCTGCCCCGTGGAAAAATTGTTTTCTGGGAAACCAGGCTCTGGTGCCAAAAAGGTTGAGGACTGCTGTTCTAGGGAACCACACTGCTTTATCTATCATCTATCATCTAAGGTTTCAATAGTCAAATGACAGGGGCTTTCAAATTAACTGACAATAGACACATTAACAGGAGTAAAGACAATGTTTATTTCCATATGCACATGGGACCATTGAATAATGAGTAACTTGCTCAATAAGCCAGAGAGAGAGAGAGATTTATATACCCGATTTAACAAAGGAGAAGTTAGGGCTTCAATGTGAAAGTATGGAAGGTTCTATTGGTTTTTTTGATGCTAATGAAAATGAACAGTTTATCTCTTTCCTAGGCTGGAAATTTCCCTCTGGGGGGGTTTATGGCAGCTGCATTTGCACTTCTCAATGCTAAGGGGTCAGTCTTAATACAAATAGGAAACTCCCTCAGAATCAATTGTTCAATTGTGGTTGTATTTTCAGGAGGTTCTGCTTAAATTTAGGTAATATTCATTTCTGCTTCTGCTGTCTGTTCAGATATTTTCAGTTTAAAATAATCTTTATATCACTTTGGTGGGCTGAATTCCTTCACATCATTCTGAACCTATTTCCTCATCTGTCATGTAGAGACAACATCTGCCTTACAGAGTTACTCTGAAGATTTCAATGAATAATATAAATAAATTACCTGACACAGTGGAGAGTGGGTGCTGTAGGGCCTAAGGGAGAGCTTCCCCTTTGGCTCTCTGAGGGTTTGCTGAAAAATCAACTCACAGAAGGCAGATTAATTGGAGAAAAGGCATACAAATGGATTCAGCATGTATGCACAGGAGCTTTCAGAATGAAGACCCAAAGACACAAAGGAAATTGTCCATTTTGTCTATGTTTAAGTTCAACAAAGTATGAACAGCCATGTAGAAATATGATTGAACAAAAAGGGTATGAGCTAATGCGAATAGACTAAGAGGGGAAACTCAGCAAGGCCTGTCTGTCTAGATTCTTCTTGGCCTCTCTGAGCAGCATTCCTTCCTTCTGGGTATGTGGCAGTTCCCTCTCTAGAATGGGGGGGTCTTATGACCTACAGTCAAATAAAGGAGGCCAGATCACTTCTTTATGTCCAGTTTTTACATAGAAAGGCAGAGGGAAAGTTAGAGTTATATTTTTAGGCTTTATAGCTGGCTTTGAAGAAAAGGGGTTCTGGTTTCAATAAATCATATAGTTCCTTTCCTCTTTCTTTTACTGTGTATTCTATCCCTTGGCTTCAGTTACCAGTCCCAGATCCATTATTCCTTGGGCCAAACCTTGCCCTAAATCATTACCTGCCTCAAACTTCCTTGATTCAGCTACCCAGCTTACAAAAACAGAGAAAAGATTTTTGTGAACCAAAACGGAAAGGTCCTGGTCACAGTTTCAACTCGGAAAGCAATTTTCTCTTTATGTGAATCCCCACAACTTACCACCCCTCACTCTAGTTAAATCTTAAGGGCATTTACTGGGTACCCACCATGAGCCTGGCCCTGTGCTCTCCCTTGTCTCCCACATTTCCTGCAGACCAAAACTCAGTCTTAGCTTTTTCCCTCCCTCCCTTCCTCCCTTACCCCACAGCAGGCTCCAAACTCCATCTCCTCCCCCAGACTTTTGCGCAGGGAGGACAATTTCAATCTCTCCCTGAAGTCCCTATCTGCATTCTTATGCCCAGAAACCAGATCTCAAAGAGCCTTCCTCAGGATGCTCACTCCTTAATAGTTCTCAATAAAGTATAGATAGCAATTGTTTTTTGTTCTCAGAAAGATGAAAAGATATCCATCTTTCCTCTGCTCTAACAGAACTTGGTGTTGGGTGTATTGGCAGTGGGCCAGAGGGTCTGGGAATGACCTGTGGGATGAAGAGCTGCTTAAAGTGTAACCAGGAGGTGGTCTGAGAACCAAGGAGAGCTGGATCAATAAGAAAAAGGGGAAGGGGCCAGGTGGAATCACTTGGGAATAATAAAGTTAAGGATTGCCTATACTGCATCCCACGTTGGCTTTAGCATTAAAAAACAAGCTCCCTTTAGAGTCCTGGCCCTCCCTTACACTAGCTGTGTGACACTGGGCTGTTACGTAACTTACCTAGATCTTAATCTCATCTGTGGTAATGGGAAAATATTTTTTAGAAGAGCTATCATGAGGATTAAAAGAGAGAAGGTATATAAAATGTTAGTGCAACACACATTAGTAGCTTACTACTACTTGTACTGAATCTTAATTTCATTTAAAAATATTTAGTAACATTATTTTTTGTTCTTAGTTTTTAATCGTAGAGTTACGTTTCATTTCAAGTGATACCTTTTATTTCAAAGATACCACAGAAACATGTTAAGTAAATAAACATACAGACTGTGCACAGATAAAGCAAAAACCCTGAGTGACACTCAAATGAAAAAGCTCTAGGAAATGCTGCAGTAAATCATTACATGTACTGTAATATGTCAGCTACTGTGCATTACCAAAGATAATGAGTCAGACATCTTTGCCCTCACAGACTCTCAGCTGATTAGAAGAGTTTGCTTGGTATACAACCAACAAAATACATGGTGCCTACATCAATAGTATCTTCTGTATTATGTTCACATTGGGCGAATGCTTTCCCTATCAGTGTTTCTTACCAAAGAATAATTAATTTAAAATTCAGTGATACTTAACAGAATTTAGGCAGTGAACTGGATGTGATTTACAAAGACCAATGAAATATGGCTCTTACCCTCAAGGGTCTCACAGCCTAATGGGGGGAATAAACACATTCATTCAATCAATGAATATTTATTGAGTGAATACAATGTGGCTTGAATTGCTCTAGAATGAATACAAAACAACTAACTAGTGGCCAAGTCAGTTTTCAATTCTGGGTCTGTTGACTTGAACCTGCAAATATGTTTTTATTTATAGCCACCAAAATATTTCTCATGGCTCTTCTATCAATAAATCTACTTGAAAAGATCTGCTGAAGTCTTTAAAGAAACTGTTTCTGGGGCCTGCCAACAAGAGAAACTGAGGTGAGAAGCTCTGCCTAGCTGTGAGTAGCTCAGTTTCTGAGTTAGGCCTTTCACCTCCCCTTTCCCAGATAACAGCTGTTTTTGAGAAACTGCTCTCTTAGGATTGGTCCCCACTAAGATAGCAAAAGCATAGAGGTAACTGCCACCTTCACAGCCAAAAACATATGCTTTTCGTAGAAGGGCTCAATATTGTGACTCTCACTTTCTAACCTATCTGCTCCTTCCTAACACAAAAAATAGTCAAGAATAAGGACAACTGGCCTGTTGGTTTCAACACACTTTATTTGAGCTTTGACTGGGTGATCTGGCCTTTATGGGCATGTTGTGTGCCTGGATTTTTCAGATGTGAATCATTTGGGAAACAGGATGACTCTCTCACTGGGAATTATAAACGGCACTACATATAACATAAGTAAACTGTTGCCATAATGAATGGAAGCAGATCAGCTTTAATGTAAACATACCTAAGCGTTAAGTCCCAGCTCCACCACTTACAATCTTAGTCATTTAACCTCTCAGCATCACTGATGTCTAACTGAAGCCTTACTGAGAGAAAAAAATTCTTTATAGCACAGAAGAGATCATCAAGAAAGATCATGATTTGTCTGTTTTTCTTCCCCAACCGCAACTAGACTGTAAAAACCTTGAGGGTAGAAACTCTATATAATTTGTCTATGTGCCCTCCACAACTAGCACTGCCCTTAACATATACTTGGTGTCAGTATATCAAATACATTTTTGTCAATCTCTCCCTCTGAAAAATGATGCTATTCCATTTGGCAGGATAGCTTATATCCAACAGTTCTATATACGTGACTCTCTTGTTATATAGAAAAGTAAAAATTTTCTGTATTCAGACTTTTGACTTGGTTATTTATTTGAACTTTTGATTTAAAAGTGGCTAAGTGTGAGCCACATTTGTTTCTTTACTTTTCACCCTAGGCTGGGTGATAAAAAACACCCAATATTTAATGCACAAGAGAGGCAATGCAACAATATCATTACCCCAAATAAACGTCATTGAATTCATTGTGAAGGTGCAGATTTTATCAAAATAGTTGCATGGAGTAATGACAAAATGGACTATCCTCTTTTCTGGGTTGCTTTATGAAATTGTATGTATGCTGCTGGAATTGAGGCTCCAAATGTTTAAGTAGCTTGTCCAAGGTTACACAGCTATTAACTGGTGGGAATGTGACTGGAATGCAGATATGTATTAGGATAAAGCTCGAGATTACTATATCATGCAGAAGAAGAATAAAAAACACAGCAGACTGGGTGCAGTGGCTCATGCCTGTAATCCCAGCACTTTGGGAGGCTGAGGTAGGTGGATCACAAGGTCAAGAGATCGAGACCATCCTGGCCAATATGGTGAAACCTTGTCTCTACTAAAAAATACAAAAATTAGCTGAGCATGGTGGCATGCGCCTGTAGTCCCAGCTATTCGAGACGCTGAAGCAGGAGAATCGCTTGGGCCCAGGAGGCAGAGGTTGCTGTGAGCCGCAATTACACCACTGTACTCCAGCCTGGCAACAGAGTGAGACTCAGTCTTAAAAACAAACAAACAAACAAACAAAACCATCAAACGCTTTCCAGAGAACATAGTGTTTTTCAGCAGGTGAGTACCTGATCTAAGTTGTAAATGCTGTCTACCACTGAAAAATGCCATAACAAACAACAGCACTCAGTGAAGTAATTGGTTAGACAAGGCACAGTGGTAGTGTGCGAGCATAGGCTCGGGAGCCAGAAAAACTTGAATTCCAATCCCAAATACTATCTAATCTTTGGTTTACTCTTATATAATTGACATTAATACCAATATGTTATCAGAATTAAAGGAGATGAAGTGTTTAACACAGGGCCTGGCAAATAGATCATGCTCAACCAATGCTGGATTACTTCAGCCCTTCCCTTTCCTTTTGACTCTAGGCAATGTTAAGCATTAACTCATTTGACCATAGATTAAATTTCCATTACAAAACCAAGTTTTGTGGTTGTTTTTGTTTCTCTGCTTTTTGGTGAAGCTAAAAGATGGGGGTTAAAGTTCAAAGCAGTTAGCAAATAATACTTATGCAACATTAGTGAAATATTTAATAATTATTGCAAATCCAGGCATCAGAATGCCATCCCCTTGAAAATGATTGTACTCTTCCTTAAAAATTAAGCATTCTTTCCTAGTTATTCTAATACGTGAATATTAACATGGTTATGTAAAGCTCTACAAATAAAATTCCATTGGCATTTTGATTGGGATTTTATTCAATCAGTAAGTTATGGCCCTCGTGTTCTAGAAATAAGGTTTTGCCTGCTATTATCATTAAAAGGCTGGCTTACCTCATAACTTTTTTCCCATTTTAGCATGTCTTTCTCCTCTTTCCCCTTCCCTCTGATACAGGTACTTGCAAAGACACTGAATTAGAGGGGCATAATCGGTTGTGGAATTGAATTATTCCACAAAATGACACATAGATGAGACATAACTGTTCCTGATGATTGTGAGGGATCCTTGTGATATGGCTGGAACCTAGGAAAACTGTAATTCAACAGGGGCTTTGTGATGACTTCCTCATCATTCCAGTCACCACTACCATCATCCTAGCTCTGCAAAACTGTCTCTCCATTTGTTATTCAAATCTTCTTTCAGAATTCGCAATTTTTATCATTTTTAAAACTAGATCCTATTGTGAATGTCATCATTTCTCCCATTATGTTTTATATGTAAGGCTTTCTGATATGCATAAAAGCTATTGATATTTTAAATAGTTACCATTTATTCTATCCTTTTGTAAAATTCATTTATACCAAGACATTTTATGTTGTTTCTAATGTTTTCCAGGACTATATCCCTATCTTCTGCAAGCAATGATAACTTTGTCTTCTCCTTTTCAAAAGTTACAGAACTTATTTCTTTTTAACATCTCTTAACAGTAAAGATAATTTCTAAAGCAATATTAAATAATACTAGGGATAATGAACATATTTGTCTTGGTCTTGATTTTAATGAAATTTCCTCTGGTTGTATAAAACCATTCTGTGCTTTTTTTACAGGGAAAAAAATCACCTCAATATAGCCTACTAGAATTTACTTTAAGTATATATATTTTAAAAAATGAGAATAGGTGTTTAATTATTACTGAATACCTTTGGAACATCTATTGAGTGTATCAAATACTAATATCTTTACAATTCAGTCTTCAAATCCAATTAAAGCAAATATTTCAATTTATTCAAATCACCACTTAGTCTCACTCCATTTAATAATTCTTTTCATACAGGACCCACATTTCTTTCATATAATTTCTAAACATTATGTTTTTATGGCTAGTGTCAACAGCTAATTATTTATGGTATATTGAGAAATATCAATTTGTGAATATTTGTTGTGTACATAGACAATTTATTAGGCACTTTTTCTAAGACAGTTATTTTCACTGTCAACTGTCTTCCTTTTTCTAGACATACAATCGGCTTGCTTATAAATAATAAATATTTGTTTAACCAGTATCATGATGGTTAGTGTGTATTTTAATTTGGGGGGACCCTATACAGATGAGTTACTCTTCTTTTCCCCCTAAATCTTCTTTAGTGTTTACTTTTTTTTTTTTTGAGACAAGGTCTTTCTCTGTTGCCCAGGATGGAGTGCAGTGGTGTAATCAAGGTTCACTGCAGCCTTGTCCCCCTGGGCAAAAGCAATCCTCCCACCTCAGCCTCCTCAGTAGCTGGGACTACAGGTGCATGCCATCATGCCTGGTTAATTTTAAAATTTTTTGTAGAGATGGGGTCTCATTATGTTGCTCAGGCTGGTCTTGAACTCCTGGCCTCAAGTGATCTTCCCACATTGGCCTCCCAAAGTGCTGAGATTATAGGCATGAGCCACCATGCCTGGCCTGCTTTTTAACTTTTAAAATTATTATGCTTTTAGTCAGAAAAATGAACTAAAATATCTAAGGTGAAAATGAAAGAGTGTATACTTGCTAATATAAAATATACAAACATTCACCTACTATAGATGGAAAAATGACTGAACAGATGTTATGAGTGGTTGCTTGACTTTGGGTAATTTCCTTAATACATTTATGGCTTTACAGTTTCACAACTAAAAAATACTACTAGATACAGTTGAGACTTGAACAACATGGGCTTGAACTGCATGGGTTCACTTATATGCATATTTCTTTCAACCAAAAGCAGATAAAAAATACAGCATCTGGGAGATGCAAGAAACCTGTATATAAGGAGGGCCAACTGTTAATATATAAGCAGGTTCCATAAGGCTGACTGGGGGACTTGAGTATGTGTGGAGTGGGGTGGGTGGTGGTCCTGGAACCAATCCCCTGCATATACCAAGGGATGACTGCAACACTGAAAATTAGTCAAACAAAGAAAAAATATCTTTTCCAACCCAATAATCTGGTAGACTGAGAAAGAAAAAGCTTAATCTGTAATCTTTTCGGCTGCATATATCAATCATGCTATCAGACTTTACTTTGACCTTTGAACCATAATTAGACCTTAGTCCATTCCAGTTGGTTATAATAAACCTTCATCAAGTACCATCAAGTGAAATTTCAAGCTTTTACTTGTGCTTTTCACCCAGATAAGGCTGTGTGTGATGAACAGCAAATGAAAACTCTGTATCAGGAACCAAAATATGACAGTTTTCATTTCTATATGTTACCTCTAGCCCACCCACTGCCTGAAATGGGCTGCAACTGTGATAGTTTTCTTAGAACTCTCAATATATTAACTTGAAATATGGAAAGAACACAAGATCTGGAAAGACACACATGGATTCAAATCTATGCTTACCTATTTCTTAACCTTGGGGCAATTACTCAGTAAATCATATTTTCTTCATCCATAAAATTGGACCAAAAATAATTATTGTAGCAGCAATGTAATCAGGACCTGCAATGTAATCAGGACCTACAAATTATTCATGTTTATCATTATGACTCTTGATCATTATTGAGTAGAAGGAAAATATCGAGTAACATTAAACATCCATATTTGGAAAGGAAATAATTTTTCTACTTACAAATAAATAAGGGGTGTCTGGAAATGAAAACACATAAGGGACAAATCCATCCATTATGACGATTTTTCGTGGAACTACCTATAAACAAAGTCAGTATCTTTTTTTTTTTTTTTTTGCCTGATTTGTCCATTTTATACTGGTCTTGTGACTTGGTTTTGATAGAGACAGGAGGCAGCCAAGGCATCCTCGTGCCCAGCCTTGGCAAAACCTTGTCTTCAAACCTAAAACAGCCCGAAGTCTGAAAAACCAGACTGCCAGTCCCCAAGAATCTCCAACTGGCCTGTGAACTGGGAGAATGGGGTGGAGCCACAGAAGTTCACACCATTTGCAGAGGGGAGGAGCCTGGCCTCTTGAGTTCCTGTGTGGTGGGGCAGGAGTCAGTTAACAAGCTTCCTTCTCACTCTGCTGAAAGTTTTTCTTTTTTTCCTTTTTCACCCAATAAATTCCATTTCCCTCAGCCTTCAAAGTGTCTGCAAGCCCAATATTTCCTGGTTGTGACAAGAACCCGGATTTTCCTACATTTTTTGGCACCCAACATGGGGCTTGAGGAAGGGTGAGTATCATGCAAAACAAAAAACCTTTTTTCCTTTTGCTTCTAAGCCTTTTTTCTCCTCGGATCTCTTCTGAGGGTAGAGGAAATGGCACATCCCAGTGGCTGCAGGCATGTGCAGGATGGAGTGGGGAATGGTGGCCCCCCAACTCCCTTCACAGCCAGGGCTGGAATGCATGGCCCAAGGGTGCCCAACAGCAGGCTGGCCTGTGTTCCCCACCATGCATCTAGTGGATTCTCCTTCTTTTCCAGCTAGGGAGTCCAGCTTCATCCAACAGCAATTAAGCTTCTCTCCCTGGTGTTCCGGTGGTTAGGATTTGGCATTCTCACTGTTGTGGTGCGGATTCAATCCTGGCTTAGGGTATGAGTCCTTTCTGGTTTTATATCTGCATGACCTTTTGCTATTTGTTGATTCCCCTCCCCTCCACGAACCACCTTGGATTGTCCTTTCTCTGAGCCTTTAGCAAAGTTTGAAAGCCAGAAATATTGGCTGATTGGCATGGCTAAAGTCAGATAATAAGGGAGTTAAAATGATTTTCTTTCTTTCTTTTTTTTTTTTTTTTGAGACAGAGTTTTGCTCTTGTTGCCCAGGCTGGAGTGCATTGGTGCGATCTCAGCTCACTGCAACCCGGGTTCAAGCAATTCTCCTACCTCAGTCTCCAGAGTAGCTGGGATTACAGGCATGTGCCACCATGCCTGGCTAATTTTTGTATTTTTAGTAGAGATGGGGTTTCTCCATGTTGATCAGGCTGCTCTCAAACTCCTGACCTCAGGTAAGCCACCTGCCTTGGCATCCCAAAGTGCTGGGATTACAGGCGTGAGCCACCATGCCCAGCAATTTTTTTTTTTCGAGACACAGTCTCACTCTGCCACCCAGGCTGCAGTGCGATGGCATGATCTTGGCTCACTGCAATCTCCACCTCCTGGGCTCAAGCTATTCTCCTGCCTCAGCCTCCTGAGTAGTTGAGATTACAGGTGTGTGCCACCACACCTGGCTAATTTTTGTAATTTTAGTAGAGATGGGATTTCACCATGTTGGTCAGGCTGGTCTTGAACTCCTGATCTCATGTTCCACCCATCTCTGTCTCCCAAAGTGCTGGGATTGCAGGCATGAGCCACCGTGCCTGGCCTAAAATGGTTTTCTTAAGGAGTGCTCAGCTTCATTAAAAGTGCATATCCAAATTATGGTTATATTTAAAAGGCCTTTATGTTTTCTTTCCTTGGATCTCCTTTGCTGGAAAAAGGTTTTTTGTTCTCAGTCAGCTGAATTATTTTTCTTGATTTTGTCTTGCCACTCTCGATGCATGTATGAGGCAAGAGACCTCTATTTTTCTCATAAGAACCCCAGGAATTAAAAGTGGATAGATCCTTCTCCTCTGATGGAAGATTTTATGGCAACTGGATTTTCTTCTGCCTGTCTGTATAGTTATATATGTGTTGTATATGTGATATCTGTAAAAAGAACTCTAATTAATTTGGCCTAAAGGAAGATAAGCACTTGGATCAAATATTTTTTAAAGGTAAGATAAAAGTGGTACCTTTTAGTTCATGTGACTTTAATCTTTGAGAAATAAAAACAGCTATAAAGATTATTGGTAAAATGCAGATGTCATTAAAATATAAATAAGTGGACTAAATTATGCAGGTAAGATGAAAGGTTTGCTGAGTGTTTTAAGGTTATACACTGCTTTTTGGTTTTTGTTCAACTTGGTAATGCCTGTTCAACTTGGTAAGGCCTGGGGACATATGGAACTAACCATGCCCCTAATTCTACTGGAAGGAGTCAAATCTTGGCTGTACTTAGAAAATTAAAACAACTTACCAGGTTTTACATTAAAGTTAAAAATTGCTAGGAGTTACCATTATGAAATGTAATTGAAACTACTGAAAATAGATTTACATGCGAGGTGTATAAGAACATAAAATGTGTTTGTAATAAAAGGTTATAAGAAGGCATAAAAATGTAAATTCTTGCCTTGGGTTAAAGAATTGTTTTAAATTAGATATGATAAAGCTAAAGGTTCAAACAAGTGGAGGAAGGATTGTAAAAATCAATCTTGTAAAAGAAATTCTCTGTGTGAACATATTGATTAAATTCAAAAGGGTATTATATGGTTTTTCTGTAAATTGAGGATTAAAATAAAAGCAAAACAAGGTACTCCCAAGGCACTAATCTGCTCTTTAGCAAAATTTGTAAAGGTTTATAAAAGGTTGTTTTGCTTTTTAAACATTTCTGAGTCATTATTTTGGGAAACTAAATAATTTATGGTAATCTGGAATTCTATTTCATAACACCAAGTGTTTCAAACCTCTAACACATGTAATAGGCTTCCCAAAATCAAACTTCAGTTTCAAAATTGTCTTTCTTGACACCTAGCTTTTCAGATACTTCAGAAGGGCCCCTGGAATGTTCAGAGATGAGAGGTAAACAGGATTATTTGACAATTTTAGTTGCATGAAATTGCAAAATAATGTTCAATCTTCTTTAAGTTATATTTTGGAGAATAATACCAATATATGTTCCAAAATTGTATGGGATTCCAAAAATTCTAATATCTATTTATTTTTTATTTTATTTTTTGAGACAGAGTCTCATTCTGTCATCCAGGCTGGAGTGTATTGGCATGATCTTGGCTCAGCACAGCCTCCACTTCCTGGGATCAAGTGATTCTCCTGCCTCAGCCTCCCAAGTAGCTGGGATTACAGGCACATGCCACCATGCCTGGCTAAATTTTGTATTTTTAGTAGAGATGGGGTTTCACCATGTTGGGCGGGCTGGTCTCAAACTCCTAACCTCAAGTGATCTGCCTGCTTCAGCCTCCCAAAGTGCTGGGATTACAGGTGTGAGCCACTGTTCCCAGCCCAAAATTCTAATGTCTAAAGTATAATGCTATCAATCATAATTAAGTTTGTTATGTTAAGTTATTGTAAATGACAGAGATAACCAAACTTCTTTGTCAATTGTGTTTCTAACTGTAACTACCCTAGACATTTTGTTATTCACAGACAATTGTTGTCTTGTTTTAATCCTTTTCAAAAAATGGTTTATAATAAGCTATAGAACTTTGACAAGTGCTCTCAAATACAAGTTTCTGATAACTTTGGAGATTGTGACATTGGAATAAAGGAAAAACATACAGGGCTCATGAAGAGCTGAAATGTTCGTGAATATCAAGCAAAACAAGAGCCAACAGAATGAACTCAGGAAACTGACGCAACCTTTTTTATTTTTGCTTGGAATACTGCTGATCCTTGTTTTGTTTTTCAGAGTCAAGGAAACTTATTTTGAACTATTTATGGCCCTTAATAATTGAGTAAGGTATACTCCTGTGAACAAAATTTAAAGCATGTTTGTTTCTTTTGGCCTGGTTCCTCTAGAATTTAGAAGCTATCTGTGAGTATTCTTAACTCGTGTTAATCTAGCTGTTTGCATCAGTGCAATAAGAATCCATTTTCTTTTGCAACAGGATGCAGTTGAAGAAACTGGTTGCTTTACCAAGGCTTTGACTGGAAGGGTATGCTCCCCTTTAAGGAGTCAAGCTTGATTTGCAGAGCTGATAAAAGCCCCTCGGGGAAACTGGCCTCATACCCTCATCTACGCAGTCCCTGTACAGCGTTCCTTACTTGTGGTCAGTAAAGAATGTCACTTTCTAACAGGCCCAGGAGCTCCAAGTTTATCTTGGGACCTTAAGAGGAGAGGATCACCCAACTCACATGTATTTGAGGATAAAAACCCATGGCTGGGCTCAGCTTTAAAAGGTCTTATCTGAGATTCCTTATGGAACAGAGTTCCAGCAAAGCCAATCTAAAAGGCCTATGTAGAAATAGTTATTCTTGCTGCATTTTATGCAAATAATCAGGCTAAGTCTAAAACTAAAGTCTATTTTGCAAACGACTCAGTCCTATCATGATTTCTTTTAACAAAAATTAGGATTAGAGAGACAGAAATTTTGTTTCAAAACTTATCATACACTTGTCATTAAATTCTAGACTTATTAGTTGTTTTTAAGTTTTTGCCTACATTTTAGACTAACGCTGCTTGTTCCTGTGAACCAACTAGCAATCTCTGGCTGCAGCTCAGAAAGAACAAAAGAGATGGGTACTGTAGAAATCTGGATCAATATTCTTGTTCTGAGCAATTATCTTGCAAATCCTGCCAGGTATGGGAATAAATAGGGTGCCCATCAGCCAGAGGTTTCCTTTTTGGGAAAGTGAGACCAAGGTTGCTAACCAAAGCCAAGCATCATGTGCCCAAATCTTAACAAGCATAAGTATAGCCACAAGTTGTCTGGGCATGTCACGAGACATCCTCTTCTCTACCTTGTTTGAGGAGGACTCAATTCCACAGCTTCACCTTAGCATGCAGCTGATAATAAGGAATCCATGCAATCTCCCCAAGACACATTTTGGTCCCAACCTTATTCCAAGCTTTGGGTCAAAGCCCTAGGAAAGAAAATTGGATCTGAGGGATCCAGAGGCAGTTGATAACAGAGGTTAAAGGTACAGTGCAGGTGAGCTTGGCTAATTCCTGTTGATTAAGCCAAGCCTCCAGTTTCATGGATAAATGTCAAGCTGGTATGTATAGCATAAGTGAGGTCTAGTGAACTCCAAGGCTACTGACAGTAGCGGGGATAGAGGCACAGGTGAGAGTGGATAATTCCTATTCTCTAGGCCATCCCTGCTTCATAGGTGCAAGCTGCTTTGGCACTCATGGGTGGCAACCTGTTGTGGTCACTGGGACTCGGGGATACAAAGATGGAGGAAAGAAAGAGGAGTGCCTCACTTTCTCCCCCTCATGTACCCTGTGTATTTGCTGGGAAGAGAAGGGAACCAGGGATACCTGCTCCCCTCTTACTAGAAGAGTAGCCATCCATCTTCAGTCTGTACCCCTTTCAAATGCATCCCAAAACCCTGGGACTCCTTTGAAAAAAAACGCTTTCTTCTTTCTTTTCTCCTCCTCTGTCCTCTCTTCACCAATAGGTAATTGTGTCTCCATACTATGGGACACTCCCCTTGGATGCATCTTCCAAAATGGGGAAAGTTAATTTCCCAAACTTTAAACTGGTTGGCTTAGGGTTGGGCTCAAGGGAAGGGAACCCAGAAGTCTGACATGCCATCAAAAGGGTAAAAGTGTTTTTGCCAGTCCAGTTATTGGCTTCCCTCTCCCCATGCAAACTGGTAACAGGCCTCAGAATTCCTAAGCTGTCCTTACTCACCCTTGTTTCATTTTGATATGTTTTCTAATAACCTGGTTTGTCTTATCTCACCTTCAGGCCATCAAAGTCCAAATGGTCATGCAACAGGAGCCTCAGACCTCTCTCTGAGGGAGATCTGACTGCCATTTTCCCAAAACAGCACCCCCTCTCAGCAGGAAGCAGTTGAGATCAGTCTTCATCCTTATCTTTATTCTTACTCTAGGGACAGTTAGATGTACTTCTTTAGAAGGGGGAATGGTAGAGACAGGAGGCAGCCAAGGGCTGCCCAGCAAAACCCTGCCTTCAAGACTAAAACAGCCTAAAGGCTGAAAAACCGGACTGCTGGTCCCAAAGAAACTCCAACTGGCCTGCACACTGGGAGAAGAGTATGGTGTCATGGAATGTCACGCCATTCGCAGAGGAGCCCAGTCTCTTGAGTTCCTGTGTGGTGGGATGAGATCCAGTTAACAGGCTTCCCTCTCACTCTACTGAAAGTTTTTCTCTCTTTTTCCTTTCTTGACCAATAAATTCTGTTTCCCCTCACCTTTCAAAGTGTCTGCAAGCCTAATCTTTCCTGGTCATGTGAAAAGAACCCAGATTTTCCTACAACCTTTTGACTAATAAAATGTGGAATAAATGATATTTTGCTAATTCTGAGTATAGGCCTAAAGAATCCTTGCACACTTCTGCTTTCCCTCTTGGAATCTTACTCAGCTGACATTTGAAATCCTGGGTCAATTGGCTGGAGGATGACAGACCACATACAGAAGAGATGAGACATCTTATCTGGGGCCATCTTAAAAAAATCCAGCTCCCAGTCAATCTACCAGTTGATCACACAAATGTAAATGAATCCAGCAGAGATCAGAACTGGCTAGGTGAGCTAAGACTAAATTGCTCACCAGAGTAAGAAGAGTTAAATAAATCAATATAATTTTAAGCACTAAGTGTTGGTGTCATTTGTTTTGCAGCAATAACTAACTAATAAGAGAATGACTACAAAAAAGTTTTTAGGTTTAGTTGAAAGAAAATGAGGAAAATTACACCTGATGTGAAATTCTGGTTATGGTGGCTTGAAGAGTTTGGTTAATCCTTTTTGCCAAATACAAGAATAAGGCTGGACAAAATTGTCAAAAACAAGTGTTTTGGGGCTCTGAAAATATACTCAAGGTAAACAAATTATTAATAAGTGTTTAACCTTGAAAAACTGCTAGATCTGTGTGTAAAAGAATCTGTGTCCTTGCATGGGGCTTCTTCCATCCAGCCCACCCCTCAATCTCCTTAGATCCCAAGGTGAGAAGGATAGGTTTACAGTATGTGCCGACCAAAACAATTTAGCAGCTTTTCTCCCAGTGGGTGAATTCCATTTGGGTCAGATGGTGAAAAGCTGGGTTATTATTAGTTAAGAGTTGTATACTCATTAGGAATCAAATGGTAAAATCTGTCCATTTGGTTGCCTAAGTTTGAGGTTACAGTGGGGCAAGCAGAGGATCAGAGAGGAATTTAATAAAGAGATTTTGAAAATGAATGCACAACAGTAGGTCTTCATATATCCTGTGTGACTGGGAAAATATGCACATGTATGGGAGAGACCCAGGAGAGCTCAGAGAAAAGTAAAAGTGAAGGCAGGCTTGAGAATTGACTGAAATGTTTATTGTGCTCCCCAATCCACACACAGATTGATTGATGGATTGATTGGTCAGCTGAGTGTAGAAGCTTTACAGGCTTCAGGTTTTTTAAAACAATCTCTGGCCAAACCATTGCCTGATCACTAAGATATGCAGATACAGGGGTGACTAATAGGAATCCAGAATAAAAAATAAAAACAAGGATAAAAAAATTAAACAGAGACCTCAGTGGCTTCTTGCCATGAGATGACAAATTACAATGCTAAAGCCAGGCAACTCTCCAGAAAAAATTCATATAATTAAAACAAAATCTAGGGAGTGGAGCCAAGATGGCTGAATAGGAACAGCTCCAGTCTACAGCTCCCAGCGTGAGAGATGCAGAAGACGGGTGATTTCTGCATTTCCAACTGAGGTACTGGGTTCATCTCACTGGGGAGTGCCAGACGGTGTAGGACAGTGGGTGCAGCACACCGTGCATGATCACCCAGGAAGCACAAGGGGTCAGGGAATTCCCTTTCCTAGTCAAAGAAAGGGGAGACAGATGGCACCTGGAAAATCGGGTCACTCCCACCCTAATACTGTGCTTTTCCAACAGGCTTAACAAATGGCACACCAGGAGATTATATCCTGTGACTGGCTCAGAGGGTCCTACACCCACAGAGCCTCGCTCATTGCTAGCACAGCAGTCTGAGATCAAGCTGCAAGGTGGCAGCGAGGCTGGGGGAGGGGAGCCTGCCATTGCCCAGGCTTGAGTAGGTAAACAAAGCAGCCAGGAAGCTCGAAATGGGTGGAGCCCACCACACCTCAAGGAGGCCAGCCTGCCTCTGTAGGCTCCACCTCTGGGGGCAGGGCACAGACAAACAAAAGACAGCAATAACTTCTGCAGACTTAAATGTCCCTGTCTGACAGCTTTGAAGAGAGTAGTGTGTCTCCCAGCATGCAGCTAGAGATCTGAGAATGGACAGACTGCCTCCTCAAGTGGGTCCCTGACCCCTGAGTAGCCAAACTGGGAGGCACCCCCCAGTAGGGGCGGACTGACACCTCACACGACCAGGTACTCCTCTGAGACAAAACTTCCAGAGGAACGATCAGACAGCAACATTTGCAGTTCACCAATATCCACTGTTCTGCAGCCACCACTGCTGATACCCAGGCAAACAGCGTCTGGAGTGGACCTCCGGCAAACTCCAACAGACCTGTGGCTGAGGGTCCTTACTGTTAGAAGGAAAACTAACAAACAAAAAGGACATCCACACCAAAAACCCATCTGTACGTCACCAACAAAGACCAAAGGTAGATAAAACCACAAAGACGGGGAAAAAACAGAGCAGAAAAACCGGAAACTCTAAAAATCAGAGTGCCTCTCCTCCTCCAAAGGAACGCAGCTCCTCAATAGCAATGGAACAAAGCTGGATGGAAAATGACTTTGTCGAGTTGAGAGAAGAAGGCTTCAGAAGATCAAACTACTCTGAGCTAAAGGAGGAAGTTCGAACCAATGAGAAAGAAGTTAAAAATTTTGAAAACAAATTGGAAGAATGTATAACTAGAATAACCAATGCAGAGAAGTCCTTAAAGAACTTGATGGAGCTGAAAACCAAGGCACGAGAACTACGTGACGACTGCACAAGCCTCAGTAACCGATGTGATCAACTGGAAGAAAGGGTATCAGTGATGGAAGATGAAATGAATGAAATGAAGCGAGAAGAGAAGTTTAGAGAAAAAAGAATAAAAAGAAACAAAGCCTCCAAGAAATATGGGACTATGTGAAAAGACCAAATCTACATCTGATTAGTGTACCTGAAAGTGACGGGGAAAATGGAACGAAGTTGGAGAACACTCTGCAGGATATTATCCAGGAGAACTTCCCCAATATAGCAAGGCAGGCCAACATTCAAATTCAGGAAATACAGAGAACGTCACAAAGATACTCCTCGAGAAGAGCAACTCCAAGACACGTAATTGTCAGATTCACCAAACTTGAAATGAAGGAAAAAATGTTAAGGGCAGCCAGAGAGAAAGGTCGGGTTACCCTCAAAGGGAAGCCCATCAGACTAACAGCTGATCTCTTGGCAGAAAGTCTACAAGCCAGAATAGAGTGGGGGCCAATATTCAACATTCTTAAAGAAAAGAATTCTCAACCCAGAATTTCATATCCAGCCAAACTAAGCTCCATAAGTGGAGGAGAAATAAAATCCTTTACAGACAAGCAAATGCTGAGAGATATTGTGACCACCAGGCCTGCCCTAAAAGAGCTCCTGAAGGAAGCACTAAACATGGAAAGGAACAACCAGTACCAGCCACTGCAAAAACATGCCAAATTGTAAAGACCATAAAGGCTAGGAAGAAACTGCATCAACTAACGAGCAAAATAACCAGCTAATATCATAGTGACAAGATCAAATTCACACATAACAATACTAACCTTAAATGTAAATTGGCTAAATGCTCCAAAGAAAAGGCACAGACTGGCAATTTGGATAAAGAGTCCAGACACATCAGTGTGCTGTATTCAGGAAACCCATCTCATGTGCAGAGACACACATAGGCTCAAAATAAAGGGATGGAGGAAGATCTACCAAGCAAATGGAAAAGAAAAAAAGGCAGGGGTTGCAATCCTAGTCTCGGATAAAACAGACTTTCAACCAACAAAGATCAAAAGAGACAAAGAAGGCCATTATATAATGGTAAAGGGATAAATTCAACAAGAAGAACTAACTATCCTAAATATATATGCACCCAATACAGGAGCACCCAGATTCATAAAGCAAGTCCTTAGTGACCTACAAAGAGACTTAGACTCCCACACAATAATAATCAGAGACTTTAACTCCCCACTGTCAAGATTAGACAGATCAATGAGACAGAAAGTTAACAAGGATATCCAGGAATTGAACTCAGCTCTGCACCAATCAGACCTAATAGACATCTACAGAATTCTCCACCCCTAATCAACAGAATATACATTCTTTTCAGCACCACACCACACCTATCCCAAAATTGACCACATAGTTGGAAGTAAAACACTCCTCAGCAAATGTAAAAGAACAGAAATTATAACAAACTGTCTCTCAGAACACAGTGCAATCAAACTAGAACTCAGGATTAAGAGACTCACTCAAAACTGCTCAACTACATGGAAACTGAACAACCTGCTCCTGAATGACTACTAGGTACATAACGGAATGAAGGCAGAAATAAAAATGTTCTTTGAAACCAACGAGAACAAAGACACAACATACCAGAATCTCTGGGACACATTCAAAGCAGTGTGAAGAGGGAAATTTATAGCACTAAATGCCCACAAGAGAAAGCAGGAAAGATCTAAAATTGACTCCCTAACATCACAATTAAAAGAACTAGAAAAGCAAGAGCAAACACATTCAAAAGCTAGCAGAAGGCAAGAAATAACTAAGATCAGAGCAGAACTGAAGGAAATAGAGACACAAAAAACCCTTCAAAAAATCAATGAATCCAGGAGCTGGTTTTTTGAAAAGATCAACAAAATTGATAGACTGCTAGCAAGACTAATAAAGAAGAAAAGAGAGAAGAATCAAATAGATGCAATAAAAAATGACAAAGGGGATATCACCACCGATCCCACAGAAATACAAACTACCATCAGAGAATACTAGAAACACCTCTACCCAAATAAACTAGAAAATCTAGAAGAAATGGATAAATTCCTCAACACATACACCCTCCCAAGACTAAACCAGGAAGAAGTTGAATCTCTGAATAGACCAATAACAGGCTCTGAAATTGAGGCAATAATCAGCAGCTTACCAACCAAAAAAAGGCCAGGACTGGATGGATTCACAACCAAATTCTACCAAAGGTACAAGCTGGAGCTGGTACCATTCCTTCTGAAACTATTCCAATCAATAGAAAAAGAGGGAATCCTCCCTAACTCATTTTATGAAGTCAGCATCATCCTGATACCAAAGCCGGGCAGAGACACAACAAAAAAAGAGAATTTTAGACAAATATCCTTGATGAACATTGATGCAAAAATCCTCAATAAAATACTGGCAAATCGAATCCAGCAACACATCAAAAAGCTTATCCACCATGATCAAGTGGGCTTCATCCCTGGGATGCAAGGCTGGTTCAACATACGCAAATCAATAATGTAATCAAGCATATAAACAGAACCAAAGACAAAAACCACATGATTATCTCAATAGATGCAGAAAAGGCCTTTGACAAAATTCAACAACGTTTCATGCTAAAAACTCTCAATAAATTAGGTATTGATGGGACGTATCTCAAAATAATAAGAGCTATCTATGACAAACCCACAGTCAATATCATACTGAATAGACAAAAACTGGAAGCATTCCCTTTGAAAACTGGCACAAGACAGGGATGACCTCTCTCACCACTCCTATTCAACATAGTGTTGGAAGTTCTGGCCAGGGCAATCAGGCAGGAGAAGGAAATAAAGGGCATTCAATTAGGAAAACAGGAAGTTAAATTGTCCCTGTTTGCAGATGATATGATTGTATATCTAGAAAACCCCATCATCTCAGCCCAAAATCTTCTTAAGCTGATAAGCAACTTCAGCAAAGTCTCAGGATACAAAATCAATGTGCAAAAATCACAAGCATTCTTATATAACAATAACAGACAAACAGAGGCCAAATCATGAGTGAACTCCCATTCAAAATTGCTTCAAAGAGAATAAAATACCTAAGAATCCAACTTACAATGGATGTGAAGGACTTCTTCAAGGAGAACTACAAATCACTGCTCAAAGAAATAAAAGAGGATACAAACAAATGGAAGAACATTCCATGCTCATGGATCGGAAGAATCAATAATGTGAAAATGGCCATACTGCCCAAGGTAATTTATAGATTCAATGCCATCCCCATCAAGCTACCAATGACTTTCTTCACAGAACTGAAAAAAACTATTTTAAAGTTCATATGGAACCAAAAAAGAGCCTGCATTGCCAAGTCAATCCTAAGCCAAAAGAACAAAGCTGGAGGCATCATGCTACCTGATTTCAAACTATTCTACAAGGCTACAGTAACCAAAACAGCATGGTACTGGTACCAAAACAGAGTTATAGACCAGTAGAACAGAACAGAGCTCTCAGAAGTAATGCCGCATATCTACAACTATCTGATCTTTGACAAACCCGAGAAAAACAAGCAATGGGGAAAAGATTCCCTATTTAATAAATGGTGCCGGGAAAACTGGCTAGCCATATGTAGAAAGCTGAAACTGGATCCCTTCCTTACACCTTATACAAAAATTAATTCAAGATGGATTAAAGACTTACATGTTCCACCTAAAACCATAAAAACCCTAAAAGAAAACCTAGGCATTACCATTCAGGACATAGGCATGGGCAAGGACTTCATGTTTAAAACACCAAAAGCAATGGCAACAAAAGCCAAAATTGACAAATGGGATCTAATTAAACTAAAGAGCTTCTGCACAGCAAAAGAAACCACCATCAGAGTGAACAGGCAACCTACAGAATGGGAAAAAATTTTTGCAACCTAGTCATCTGACAAAGGGCTAATATCCAGAATCTACAATGAACTCAAACAAATTTACCAGAAAAAAACAAACAACCCCATGAAAAAGTGGGCAAAGGATATGAACAGACACTTCTCAAAAGAAGACATTTATGCAGCCAACAGACACATGAAAAAATGCTCATCATCACTGGCCATCAGAGAAATGCAAATCAAAACCACAATGAGATACCATCTCACACCATTTAGAATGGCAATCATTAAAAAGTCAGGAAACAACAGGTGCTGGAGAGGATGTGGAGAAATAGGAACACTTTTACACTGTTGGTGGGACTGGAAACTAGTTCAACCATTGTGGAAGTCAGTGTGGTGATTCCTCAGGGATCTAGAACTAGAAATACCATTTGACCCAGCCATCCCATTACTGGGTATATACCCAAAGGATTATAAATCATCCTGCTATAAAGACACATGCACACGTATGTTTATTGCAGCACTATTCGCAACAGCAAAGACTTGGAACCAACCCAAATGTCCAACAATGATAGACTGGATTAAGAAAATGTGGCACATATATACCATGGAATACTATGTAGCCATAAAAAATGATGAGTTCATGTCCTTTGTAGGGACATGGATGAAGTTGGAAACCATCGTTCTCAGCAAACTATCGCAAGGACAAAAAACCAAACACTGCATGTTCTCACTCATAGGTGGGAATTGAACAATGAGAACACATGAACACATGAAGGGGAACATCACACACCGGGGATGATTGTGGGGTGGCGGGAGGGGGGAGGGATAGCATTAGGAGATATACCTAATGCTAAATGACTAGTTAATGGGTGCAGCACACCAACATGACACATGTATACATATGTAACAAACCTGCGCCTTGTGCACATGTACCCTAAAACTTAAAGTATAATAATAATAAAATAAAATAAAATGTTTGAAGCTTGCAAAAAAAATAAGTAAAAAATAAAACAAAATCTAGAATTGCTATAAAACACTATCTAAAATATCTAGTTTACAAACAAAACTTATGACGCAACAAAATGGGAAAAAAACCCTGGCAATAGAAAGTTACTCTGAATGGGCTCACATGTTATATTGAGCAGACAAAGCATTTAAAGCGAGTATTATAAATATGTTAAAGGAATTAAATAAAACTATATCAAAATGATTAAAGGAATATATGATGATCATAGTCAGCTAGGTTTTATCCCTGGAATTCAGGGCTGCTTATTTTTTTTACTTTTTTTTTTGTATTTTTTGTAGAGATGGGGGTCTCACTATTTCACCCAGGCTTGTCTTGAACTCCTGTCCTCAAGCAATCCTCCCATTTCAACTTCCCAAAATGTTAGGATTACAGGCAGCATGAGCCACCATGCCCAGCCATTTAACAATCAAAAACCATCAATGTAATTTACCATATTAGCAAACTTTAATGAAAAATCATTTGATCATTTCCATTGAAGCAGAGAAAGCATTTGAGAAACCCCAACATCCATTCCTGATAAGCACTGGGAGAAAACTAGAAATGAAAGAAAATTTTCTCAACCTTATAAAGGATGTGTATAAATATGATGTTACAGCTAACATATTTAACAACAAAAAACTTTCTGAATGCAGTTGCTCACACATGTAATCCAAGTACTTTGCGGGCTGAGGCAGGAGGATCACTTGAGGCCAGGAGTTTGAGGCCAGCCTGGGCAACAGGGGAAGACCCCTGTCTCTACAAAAAATTAAAAAATTAGCCGGGCATGGTGTTGCATGCCTGTAGTCCTAGCTACTTGGGAGGCTGAGGTGGGAGGCTTGCTTGAACCCAGGAGGTGGAGGTTGCAGTGAGCTATGTGACAGAGCAAGACTCCGTCTCTAAGAAGCAAGAAAGAAGGAAGGAATGCAGGAAGGAAGGAAGAAAGGGAGGGAGTGAGGGAGGGAGGGAAGAAGGAAGGAAGGAAGGGGAGAGAGAGAGAAAGAGAAAGAAAGAAAGAAAGAGAAAGAAAGAAAGAAAGAAAGACAAAGGAAGGAAGAAAGAAAAAAGAAAGAAAGAGAAAAAGAGGAAAGAAGGAAGGAAGGGAGGAAGGAAGGTCTCCCCTTACACACACACACACACACACACACACACCATGAGGAATACAGAAATGTCTACACTCACCACATCCATTCCGCATTAGACTGGTGGTTCTAGGCAGTGAAGTCAGTAAGAAAACGAAAAGTAACAGAGTTTGGAAAAGAAGAAGTAGAACTCTCTTTATTCATAAATGATGTAATCGCTCATTTAGAAAATTAGATGAAATCTTCAAAAACCTATTGGAACTATAAGCACATTTATCAAGGTAGGGAACTACAAAGTCAAGATACAAAAATTGTGTTTCCATATATAAGCAATAAAAAAATTGAACATTGAAACTACATAATCATTTACAAGAGCGTAAAATATGAAGTACTTAAGGATAAATCTTACAAAACACATGAAAGATCTTGTATTAGTCCTTTTTCATACTGCTATAAAGAATTATCTGAGACTGGGTAATTTATGAATAAAAGAGGTTTAACTGACTCACAGTTCTGCAGGCTTAACAAGAAGCATGACGGGGAGGCCTCAGGAAACTTACAATCATGGTAGAAGTCGAAGAGGAAGCAAGGACCTTCTTCACATGGAGGCAGGAGAGAGAGAGTGAAGGAAGAAGTGCCACACACTTTTAAACAACCAGATCTCAAGAGAACTCACCTGCTATCAGAAGAACAACAAGGGAGAAATCGGCCTTCATGATCCAATCACCTCCCACCAGGTCCCTCCCCTGACCCATGGGTATTACAATTTGACATGAGATTTGGGTAGGAACACAGAGCCAAACCATATCAGACCAGTACACTGAGAACAACAAAATATGGTGGGGAAAAATTAATGAAGACCTAAGTAAATGAAGAGATATATCTTAACTGGTTCAAAGACTTGATGTTATTAAGGCATCATTTATTCCCAAATTGATGTATACATTCAATGTAATACCAGTCAATATCACAGCTGGCTTTTCTTGCAAAAATTGACAAGAAAATGCTATATGAAATATGAAATACGAAAATGAAAAGTACCTAAATTATTCAAAACAACTCTGAAAAAGAACGAAATTGAAGGACTACTACCACTTTATTTCAAATGTTTTTTTACAAAGCAACAGTAATCAAAACACCACAGTATTGATGTAAAGATTGATAAATAGATCAGTGGAACAAAATAGAAAGTGCAGACAAACCCAAACAGAAATGGACAACTTATTTTTTGTTTTTGCAAAGGTGCAAAAGACAGTGCAGAAATGGATAGACTTTCTTAAACAAAATAATTGGATATCCATATGCAAAAATTAAAGTTGGAGCCATATATCATACCATAAAACGCAACTCAGAATAGACCAAAGCTCTAACTGTAAAATCTAAATTTATAAAATTTCTAGAAGAAATGATGGGAGAAAATCTTCATGATGTTGGTTTATGTGAAGATATCTTAGATATGACATAAAAAGCACAATCCACAACATAACAAATTGTTAAATTTATTTCACCGATAGTAAAAAGTGCTCCTAGAAAAACAATGATAAAAGAATGGAAAAAAAGCCACATACTGGGTAAAAACTCTTTTCAAAGCATGTATCTGATAAAGTACATATATCTATAATATATAAAGAGCTCTCAAAATACAACAATAAAACAAACAACCAAATTAAAAATGGGCAAATGATTTGAACAGATGTCAAGTAAGCACATCAAAATATGCTCAACATCTTCAGTAATTGGGGGAATGCAAACTAAAACCCCAATGAGACACCACTACATACCTATTACAATGTCTACAATTTAAAAAGTCTGACCATACCAAGTGTTATAAGAATGTGGAAGAACTAGAACTCTCATATGCTCCCAGTTGAAATGTAAAATTGCACAGCCACTTTGGAAAACAGTTTTTTAGTTACTTAAAAAGCATATAAGTATCATATGGTCCAGCCAGTCCACTACTATGTATTTAACAAAGAGTAAAGAAAATATATATCTATGTGCTGTGGTTTGGATGAGGTTTGTTTGTCCCCAACAAAACTCATGTGGCAATTTGATTCTCAATGTGGCAGTGTTGAGAGGTGAGGCCTGGTGAGAGGTGTTTGGGTCATGGGGACAGATCCTTCATGAATGGCTTGGTGCCATTCTCATGGTACTGAGTTCTTGAAAGGCTGGATTTCTTCTCTGAGAATGGATTAGTTCCCATGAGAGTGTGTTGTTATAAAGCCAGGATGTCCCTCAGGTCCTCTGTTTTCACATGTGTCTGCTTCTCCTTTGGCCTTCTCCACCATGTTTTGACCGACACATGACCCTCACCAGAAGCCAAACAGATGCTGGCATCATGCTTCTTGTACTTCAGAGCCTGCAGAATTGTAAGCCAAATAAACATATTTTCTTTATAAATTACTCAGTCTCAGATATTCTTTTACAGCAACACAAAACAGATTAAGACACCATGTGAACAGTTTTACCTGAATGTCTATTGACACTTTATTTGTAATACCCCTAAACTGGAAACAGCGTAACTGCCCATTAACTGATGAATGGTTAGTTGTGGCATAGTCATACAATGGAATATTACTCAGTAATAAAAACAAAGGAACTATTGATACACACAATACGAATGAATCTCAGAATAATTATCTGAGTGAAAGAAGCCAGAAAAATACATAGTATAGCTGATGGCATTGATATAAAACTCTAGGAAATGCAAATTAATAAAAAAGAATAGAAGCCAGTTCAATGATTGCATGAGCATAAGAAGAAGTGAGCAGGGTATGAAGAATGAATGATAAAGGGTCAAAACAAAACTTTTAGGGGTGATAAATATATTCATTATCTTGAATGTAGGGATGGTTTTACAAGTCTATACATATGTCAAAACATCAAATTGTACACTTTTTTAAACACACATGGTTTATTATATGACAATTATACCACAATAAAGCTGTTAAAAATGGTCACAAGGGAACTTTTATTGATAACAAAAGTGTTCTTGAACTGCATAGTAATGATGTTTGTACAACTGTAAACATTTCCTATAAGTTGTCTCAATTTAGAGTTACAATGGGTGATCTTTTTGGTGTATTAACTATAATGTAGCAAAAAAGTTAAAAAATTACTAGATATATTTTCCCTTTCCTTGGTGATTTAGTAGGCCAGATTTTATGCTATGACTGGGTATGGGGGGTGGTGATAAGTCAGAGAACTGGTCTTATGAAAGGTAAGATAATTTGAAAAAGCTGTATGTAGAACAGGAGAGAGTACTTACTGAGGAAACACAGAAAGCTTTTCAGAGAGCACATAGGGCCCAGGTGAAGCACATAGTAAGTACTCCACAAATACCAACTAAAGGAGAAAATGATGCATAAACTTACTTATATAACTAATACTTATTGAGCACCCACCATGTAACAGGCGCTCTGTTACAGACATTGTTTAATTTCAATTAATTTCTGTTTCATTCACTTAGTATATGATATGGTTTGGCTGCATCCCCACCCAAATCTCATCTTGACTTGTAGCTCCCAGAATTCCCACACATTGTGGGATGGACCAAGTGGGAGGTAAGTGAATCATGGGGACAGGATTTTCCTGTGCTGTTCTTGTGATAGTGAATAAATCTCACGAGATCCGATGGTTTTATAAAGGGGAGTTTCCCTACACATGCTCTCCTGCCTGCTGCCATGTAAGACATTCCTTTGTTTCTCCTTTGCCTTCTGCCATAATTGTGAGGCCTCCCCAGCCAAATGGAGCTGCAAGTCCATTAAACCTCTTTCCTTTATAAATTACCCAGTCTCAGGTACATCTTTATTAGCAGTGTGAGAGCAGACTAATATAGTATACTACAATGTTCACTTTTTAAAACCTCAATGGCTGTTCTAGTATTAATTACTGTGTAAAGTGAACATCTCTATTTAGGTATCTGCCTTTGAGCATTTTATCTTAATGTATTAGTTTGTTCAAATATATAATCCCACAGGTATGTATTATAATCCAATAACCTAACCAGTCTCTCTCCTAGAAATCCATTGGTTTTGATTCCACAAAAATGTCAATCCTTTAGCTGTAACTTTTCATCCACCCCTAACTTTTCCAGGATGAACAGGAAAGAGGTGTTGAATAATTGTATATGTTAGCACCCCCACTTCCTGTCACCACTAACCATTTGTTCCCAGCAAAAACACGATTCCTTTAAGATCTCTGGACCTCACACTTCTGTGCAGTGGGGATTTGGGGCCTCAGGGTTGGGAAGGGCAGACAAGGACCCTGATTTCAGGGGTTTCATCATCTTCTGGGGGAGGCATACAACAAGTAAAGAATCTTCAACCCTGATGAATGTGCAGTGTGATAGAATTCAGTGGGCTCTAATGGCATGTGGCAGGAAACTATAACCTTGTTTAGGGGGGACATTCTCCCCAAGTGAGTGGCCAGTAATTTCAGGTGTGAAGGCTGAGTGGCAGTTAGCTGAGTAGAAGGTGGTTGGCAGCTGACTGGAAGCTGAGTGGAAGGTGGGTGATGAATTGTCCAGGCAGAGGAACAGCATGTATGCATGAGGTCCTGTGGGCCTGAGAGAGCATGGAGCATTCAAGGAACATACTTCTTCCCTGGCCCCAGTAGCAGATCACAGAGGATATTGGCTTACCTGGCTCACCCCCTTCAAAACTATGAGGGCACCATCTGCTTAGTGTGACTAAGTTAAAGAGCATGGGCACAGGATCAGACTACCTGGATTCAAATCCCACCGCACCCCTTGCTGGCAATATGACTTTCAGTGCATGACCTGAGATGCCTCAGCAAGTGTTTCTGCTTCTTCTGTTGTGGAATTAGGAAAATGATGTCAACTCTCTCTTGTCAGAGGATACCTCATAATTGTCCTGTGAGGATTAAGTTAGGTGTCAGGCAAAAACAGAGACCTTCAAGCAGTTTTTCTCTACAAGTTGTCTCCTGATCAATTATATACTCTCCTTAGCCGATTTAAGCTTTAAATATATGGGCAAGCAAAGCCCAGGAAATGTAGCCAGTACCGCTGTATTAAAGAGAATGACATTATTATTAAAAGAGAGTATTTGTGTAAAGAAAGGATAAAGATGTAGTTTTGAAAATTGGCTTGAATAGAAAACAGTAACAAATAATGGCTGGGCATGGTGGCTCACACCTGTAATTCCAGCACTTTGGGAGGCTGAGGCAGGCAGATCACTTGAGGCCAGGAGTTTGAGACCAGCCTGGCCAATCTCTACAAAACTCCATCTCTACAAAAAATACAACAACAACAACAACAAAAAGAAAACAGTAGCAAATATTAACCCAATATAGATATTAATCCAACTATATCGATAACCACTTTAAATGTCAGTGGTCTAAACTCATCAGTTAAAAGACAGAGTGGGCCAGGCATGGTGGCTCACACCTATAATCCCAGCACTTTGGGAGGCCAAGGTGGATGGATCACCTGAGGTCAGGAGTTCTAGACCAGCCTGATCAACATGGTGAAACCCCATCTCTACTAAAAATACAAAAATTAGCCAGGTGTGATGGTGTGTGCCTGTAATCCCAGCTACTCAGGAGGCTGAGGCAGGAGAATCACTTGAACCCAGAAGGCAGAGGTTGCACTGAGCCAAGATAATGCCACTGCACTCCAGCCTGGATGACAAAGCGACACTCCATCTCAAAAAAGAAAAAGAGAGAGTGGATCAAAATTAGGACACAACAATATGTTATCTATAAGAAATCCACTTTAAATATAAAGACATGAATAGAATAAAAGCAAAATGATGGATAACAATGTACTATGCTAACACTAATTAATAAAAAGCCAAGCTTACTACATAAATTGCAAACAAAACAGAATTCAGAGCAAGGAAAATTATCAAAGATAAAGAAAATGCATTCCATATTGATAAAGGGGTCAATTCTCCAGAAGACAACAATTCTTAATGTGTATATACCTAACAACAGAGCATCAAAATATGTGAGACAAAAACCGATAGAAGTACAAGGAGAAATAGATGAGTCCACTATTGTAGTTGGAGACTTTTAGATTTGGAGAGAATGTAATTGACAATTTCAGCAGGCAAAAAAATTGGTAAGGACATAGTTGAACTGAACAGAACAATCAACTGGATCTGACAGACATTTATAGAAAACATCAAAAAATGGCAATTTACACATTCTTCTCAAGCACACATGGAATATTCACCAAGTCAGATCAACTTATTTGCCATAAATCACAACTTAGCATATTTAAATGAAAAGAAATCACGCAAAGACCACAATGGTATCAAAATAAAAATCAATAACAGAAAGATATCTGGAAAATCCCCAAATACCTGAAGGTTAAACAACACACTTCTAAATAATACACGGGTCAAGGAAGACATATCAAGATAAATTTTAAAATATTTTGAACTAAATAAAATGAAAGCCCAACAAAATTTGTATAATGCAGTGAAAGCAGTGCTTATGGGAAAATTCACAGCATTGAATACATATATTAGAAAATAAGAGAGATCTAAAATCAATGATCTAAGTTTCTACCGTAAGAAATTAGAAAAATAAGAGCAAATTAAATCTAAACTAAAAAGAAAAATAATAAAAACTTAAGAGTAGAAATCAATATAACTGAAAACAGTAAATCAATAGAAATAATCAACAAAACCAAAACCTGTTTTTTTGTTGAAAGGTTAATGAAATTGATAAACCCCTAGTAAGGATAACAAGAATAAAAGAGAAGACACAAATTACTAATGCCAGAAATGAAATAGGGGCCTTATTACTGATCTCAGTAACACCAAAGGGAAAATTAGGAATATTATGAACAAGTCTAGTCCACAAATTTGATAATGTAGATCAAAGAGACCAATTTTTCTTACTTTTTTTGAAAATTATACTTTAATTCCTAGGGTACATGTGCACAATGTGCAGGTTTGTTACATAGGTATACATGTGCCATGTTGGTGTGCTGCAACCATTAACTCGTCATTTACATTAGGTATATCTCCTAATGCTATCCCTCCCTCCTCCCCCCACCCCACGACAGACCCCGGTGTGTGATGTTCCCCTTCCTGTGTCCAAGTGTTCTCACTGTTCAGTTCCCACCTATGAGAACATGCGGTGATTGATTTTTTGTCGTTGCGATAGTTTGCTGAGAATGATGGTTTCCAGCTTCATCCATGTCCCTACAAAGGACATGAACTCATCATTTTTTATGGCTGCATAGTATTCCATGGTGTATATGGGCCACATTTTCTTAATCCAGTCTATCATTGATGGACATTTGGGTTGGTTCCAAGTCTTTGCTGTTGTGAATAGTGCCGCAATAAGCATACGTGTGCATGTGTCTTTATACCAGCAAGCTTTATAATCCTTTGGGTATATACCCAGTAATGGGATGGCTGGGTCAAATGGTATTTCTAGTTCTAGATCCCTGAGGAATCGCCACACTGACTTCCACAATGGTTGAACTAGTTTACAGTGCCACCAACAGTGTAAAAGTGTTCCTATTTCTCCACATCCTCTCCAGCACCTGTTGTTTCCTGACTTTTTCATGATCACCATTCTAACTGGTGTGAGATGGTATCTCATTGTGGTTTTGATTTGCATTTCTCTGATGGCCAGTGATGATGAGCATTTTTTCATGTGTCTGTTGGCTGCATAAATGTCTTCTTTTGAGAAGTGTCTGTTCATATCCTTACCCACTTGTTGATGGGGTTGTTTGTTTTTTTCTTGTAAGTTTGTCTGAGTTCTTTGTAGATTCTGGATGTTAGCCCATTGTCAGATGAGTAGATTGCAAAAATTATTTCCTACTCTATAGGTTGCCTGTTCACTCTGATGGTGGTTTCTTTTGCTGTGCAGAAGCTCTTTAGTTTAATTAGATCCCATTTGTCAATTTTGGCTTATGTTGTTTTAGACATGAAGTCCTTCCCCATGCCTATGCCCTGAATGGTACTGCCTAGGTTTTCTTCTAGGGTTTTTATGGTTTTAGGTCTAACATGTAAGTCTTTCATCCATCTTGAATTAATTTTTGTATAAGGTGTAAGGAAGGGATCCAGTTTCAGCTTTCTACATATGGCTAGCCAGTTTTCCCAGCACCATTTATTAAATAGGGAATCCTTTCCCCATTTCTCGTTTTTGTCAGGTTTGTCAAAGATCAGATGGTTGTAGATGTGTGGTATTCTTTCTGATGGCTCTGTTCCATTCCATTGATCTATATCTCTGTTTTGGTACCAGTACCATGCTGTTTTGGTTACTGTAGCCTTGTAAAATAGTTTGAAGTCAGGTAGCATGATGCCTCCAGCTTTGTTTTTTTGGCTTAGGATTGTCCTGGCAATGCAGGCTCTTTTTTGATTCCATATGAACTTTAAAGTAGTTTTTTCCAATTCTGTGAAGAAAGCCATTGGTAGATGGATGAGGGTGGCATTGAATCTGTAAATTACCTTGGGCAGTATGGCCATTTTCACGATATTGATTCTTCCTATCCATGAGCATGGAATGTTCTTCCATTTGTTTGTGTCCTCTTTCATTTTGTTGAGCAGTGGTTTGTAGTTCTCCTTGAAGAGCAAATGCACCAATTTTTCTAAAGGCACAATCTACCAAAACCCACTTAAGAAGAAATAGAAAACATAAATAGTCCTACACCTATTAAAGCAATGAAATCAATAATTAATAATCATCTGGAATGAAGTTTCAAATAATCTTCCCAAATCAAAGTTCAGCAAGCCCAGATGGGTTCACTGGTGAATTTAACCTAACATTAAAGGGAAAAAATTATGCCAATTTTCTATAATCTTCTTTATAAAATAGAAGCAAAGTGAATACTTCCTCACTCATTCTAGAGTCCAACATTACCCTAATACTAAAATGAAGGATGTTACAAGAAATGGAAATACAGGCCAATATCCACTCTGAACATAGATGCAAAAATCCTCAATAAAATATTAGTGAATTGACTCCAATAATATTTAGAAATAATTATACACCTATAACCAAGTGGGATTTATTCCAGGTATGCAAGGCTGGGACAACATTTGCAAATCAATTGATGTGATTCATCACATTGAGAGGCTAAAGAAAAAAGGGATGTGATCATATAAGTAGACGGAGAATAAGCATTTGACAAAATCTAAGACCAACTAGCAATAGAAACACACAGCAAACTAAGCATAAAGGTGAACTTCCTCACTGTGGAAAAGAATATCTACACACAAAAAATCTACAGTTAGCATTATAGTTAATCACAAGAAACTAGATGTTTTCCCCCTAAGATCAAGAAAAAAAAGAAGGATGTTCACTATCACTACTCTTTTTTGAATTTTGATTGGAAAATTTTGCCAATGCAATAAGACAAGAAAAGGAAATAAAAGTTATACAAACTGGGAAGTAAGAAATCAAACTGTCTGCTTGCAGATGACATAATTGTGTATGTTGAAAATTCGAAAGAAGCAATAAAATAAGTCTTGGAACTAATAAGCAATTATAACGAGGTCATGGGATACAAGTATAATATACATAAGTCAAACTGCTTAAAACACTGGTGAAATAATTCAAAGAAGAACTAAACAGATGGGGAAATATTCCATGTAAATAAATAGGAAGACACAATATTGTCGAGCAATCAAGTTCTTCCCAACTTGATCTATAGATTCAATGCATTTCCAATCAAAATCGCAGTTAGTTACTTTGTCAATATTAACAAACTGATTCTAAAGTTTACATAGAAAGACAAAAAATCAGAATAGCTATGAAAGTATTGAAGAAGAACAAAATTGGAGGACTCACATTACCCAACCTCAAAACTCACTATAAAGCTACAGGAGCCAAGATAGTTTAGTATTGGCAAAAGAATAAGTAAATAGATCAAGAGAATAGAATAGAGAGCCCAGAAATAGACTCATACAAATACAGATAACCCATCTTTTACAAAAGAAGAAAGGCAATTCAATGGAGAAAGGACAGACTTCTCAACAAATGAACTGCTTGCATGCAGTTCTACATGCACAAAAAAAGAATCTAGATATAGATCTTATATCTTTTATCAAAAGATCTTTTATCAAAAGATCTTACATCTTTTATCAATTACCCATGTAATTGTTAATATGTAAAACACAAAATTATAAAACTTCTAGAAGCTGGCAGGGGAGAAAATCTTGGTGATCTTCGGTTTGACTATTATATTTTGGATATAATACCAAAATTACAATCTCTGAAAGAAAAAATTGATTTCAGGCTTTATTGAAAATAAAAGCTGCACTACAAAACACACTCTTAATGACCAGGCTGGGAGAAAATCTTTGCAAAACACATAACCAATAAAGGACTAGTATCCAAAATATACAAACAGCTCCTAAAACTCAACAATAAAAAACTAAACAACCAACTTAAAAACGGGCAAAATATAGGAACAGATACCTCACCAAACAAAATGTACAGATAGCACATAAGCATATAAAAAGATGCTCAATGACATACGTCTTTAGGGAATTGCAAACTGAAACGATGATAAAAAGCTTTCATAAACTTATCAGAATGACTAAAATTCAAAACACTGTCAAATGCTTGATGTGGAGTGATGGAAACTCTCATTCATTGCTGGTGGGAAGGAAAAATGGTACAGCTACTTTAGAATTCAATTTGGCAATTTCTTAGAAAATTACACATATTCATACCATATGATCAGCAATTGAACCCCCAAATGAGATGAAAATTATATTTACACAAAAACTTGTACACAAATATTTGTACCAGTTTTATTCATAATTGCCAAAACTTGGAAGTGGCCTGTCTTAGTCTATTTTCTGCTGTTTATACATAATACCTGGACCTGGGTAATTTATGTGAAAACTAATTTATTTCTTACAGTTATGGAGGCTGAGAAGTCCAAGGTCAAGGGGTCACATCTGGTGAGGGCCTTCTTACTGGTGGGTACTCTGCAGAGTCCTGAGGCAAGGCAGAGTATCATATGGTGAGAAAGCTGAGCAGGCTAACTATGATCTCTCTTCCTCTTCTTATAAAGCCACCAGTCCCAATCCCATGATAACCCATCAATGCATTAAGCCATGAATGAATTAAGTCATTCATGATGGCAAAGTCTTCATGACCCAATCACTTTTTTTTTTTTTTTTTTTTTAGGCAGAGTCCTGCACTGTCGCCTGGGCTGGAGTGCAATGGCACAATTTTGGCTCATTGCAACCTTTGTCTCCTAGGTTCATGCAATTCTCCTGCCTCAGCCCCCCACGTAGCTGAGACTACAAGTGCATACCACCACACTCGGCTAATTCTTTGTATTTTTAGTAGAGACGGGGTTTCACTATGTTGACCATACTGGTCTTGAGCTCCTGACGTCATGATCTGCCCATTTTGGCCTCACAAAGTGCTGGGAATATAGGTGTGAGCCACCACGCCTGGCCCCAATCACTTCTTAAAGCCTCCCCACTAGTACTAGTACTGCCAAACGGAGGATTAAATTTCAACATTTAAGTTTGGGAAGTGACAAATATTCAAACCATAGTACAGCCAAAATATACTTCAATAAGTCAATGAAGAAACAAACTGTGGTACCTCTATGCAATGACATTTTATTCAAGGATAAGAAATGAGCTATCTGGCCACAAAAACATTGAGGAAACTTAAATATATATTGCGAAGTTAAAGAAGCCATTCTGGGGAGGAGCTAAGATGGCCGAATAGGAACAGCTCCGGTCTACAGCTCCCAGTGTGAGCGACGCAGAAGACGGGTGATTTCTGCATTTACATCTGAGGTACCGGGTTCATCTCACTAGGGAGTGCCAGACAGTAGGCGCAGGTCAGTGGGTGCGCACACCGTGCACGAGCCAAAGAAGGGTGAGACATTGCCTCACTCGGGAAGCACAAGGGGTCAGGGAGTTCCCTTTCCTAATCAAAGAAAGTGGTGACAGATGGCACCTGGAAAATCGGGTCACTCCCACCCCAATACTGTGCTTTTCCGACGGGTTTAAAAAACAGCGCACCAGGAGATTATATCCCGCACATGGCTCAGAGGGTCCTATGTGCACGGAGTCTCACTGATTGCTAGCACAGCAGTCTGAGATCAAACTGCAAGGCGGCAGCGCGGCTGGGGGAGGGGTGGCCGCCATTGCCCACGCTTGCTTAGGTAAACAAAGCAGTGGGGAAGCTCGAACTGGGTGGAGCCCACCACAGCTCAAGGAGGCCTGCCTGCCTCTGTAGGCTCCACCTCTGGGGGCAGGGCACAGACAAACAAAAAGACAGCAGTAACCTCCGCAGACTTAAATGTCCCTGTCTGACAGCTTTGAAGAGAGCAGTGGTTCTCCCAGCACACAGCTGGAGATCTGAGAACGGGCAGACTGCCTCCTCAAGTGGGTCCCTGACCCCTGACCCCTCAGCAGCCTAACTGGGAGGCAACCCCCAGCAGGGGCAGACTGATACCTCACATGGCCGGGTACTCCAACAGACCTGCAGATGAGGGCCCTGTCTGTTAGAAGGAAAGCTAACAAACAGACATCCACATCAAAAACCCACCTGTACATCACCATCATCAAAGACAAAAAGTAGATAAAACCACAAAGATGGGGAAAAAACAGAGCAGAAAAACTGGAAACTCTAAAAAGCAGAGCGCCTCTCCTCCTCCAAAGGAACGCAGTTCCTCACCAGCAACAGAACAAAGCTGGACAGAGAATGACTTTGACGAGCTGAGAGAAGAAGGCTTCAGATGATCAAATTACTCCAAGCTACGTACGGGAGGACATTCAAACCAAAGGCAACGAAGTTGAAAACGTTGAAAAAATTTAAAAGAATGTATAACTAGAATAACCAACACAGAGAAGTGCCTAAAGGAGATGCTGGAGCTGAAAACCAAGGCTCGAGAACTACGTGAAGAATGCAGAAGACTCAGGAGCTGATGCGATCACTGGAAGAAAGGGTATCAGTGATGGAAGATGAAATGAATGAAATGAAGCGAGAAGGGAAGTTTAGAGAAAAAAGAATAAAAAGAAACGAACAAAGCCTCCAAGAAATATGGGACTATGTGAAAAGACCAAATCTATGTCTGACTGGTGTACCTGAAAGTGATGGGGAGAATGGAACCAAGTTGGAAAACACTCTGCAGGATATTATCCAGGAGAACTTCCCCAATCTAGCAAGGCAGGCCAACATTCAGATTGAGGAAATACAGAGAACGCCACAAAGATACTCCTCGAGAAGAGCAACTCCAAGACACATAATTGTCAGATTCACCAAAGTTGAAATGAAGGAAAAAATGTTAAGGGCAGCCAGAGAGAAAGGTCGGGATACCCTCAAAGGGAAGCCCATCAGACTAAGAGCGGATCTCTTGGCAGAAACTCTACAAGCCAGAAGAGAGTGGGGGCCAATTTTCAACATTCTTAAAGAAAAGAATTTTCAACCCAGAATTTCATATCCAGCCAAACTGAGCTTCATAAGTGAAGGAGAAATAAAATCCTTTACAGACAAGCAAATGCTGAGAGAATTTGTCACCACCAGGCCTGCCCTAAAAGAGCTCCTGAAGGAAGCGCTAAACATGGAAAGGAACAACCGGTATCAGCCACTGCAAAATCATGCCAAAATGTAAAGACTATCAAGACTAGGAAGAAACTGCATCAACTAACGAGCAAAATAACCAGCTAATATGATAATGACAGGATCAAATTCACACATAACAATATTAACTTTAAATGTAAATGGACTAAATGCTCCAATTAAAAGACACAGACTGGCAAATTGGATAAAGAGTCAAGACCCATCAGTGTGCTGTATTCAGGAAACCCATCTCACGTGCAGAGACACACAGAGGCTCAAAATAAAAGGATGGAGGAAGATCTACCAAGCAAATGGAAAACAAAAAAAGGCAGGGGTGGCAATCCTAGTCTCTGATAAAACAGACTTTCAACCAACAAAGATCAAAAGAGACAAAGAAGGCCATTACATAATGGTAAAAGGATCAATTCAACAAGAAGAGCTAACTATCCTAAATATATATGCACCCAATACAGGAGCACCCAGATTCATAAAGCAAGTCCTGAGTGACGTACAAAGAGAGTTAGACTCCCACACATTAATAATGGGAGACTTTAACACCCCACTGTCAACATTAGACAGACCAATGAGACAGAAAGTCAACAAGAATACCCAGGAATTGAACTCACCTCTGCACCAAGCAGACCTAATAGACATCTACAGAACTCTCCACCCCAAATCAATAGAATATACATTTTTTTCAGTACCACACCACACCTATTCCAAAATTGACCACATACGTGGAAGTAATGCTCTCCCCAGCAAATGTAAAAGAACAGAAATTATAACAAACTATCTCTCAGACCACAGTGCAATCAAACTAGAACTCAGGATTAAGAATCTCACTCAAAACCACTCAACTACATGGAAACTGAACAACCTGCTCCTGAATGACTACTGGGTACATGAAAAAATGAAGGCAGAAATAAAGATGTTCTTTGAAACCAATGAGAACAAACACACAACATACCAGAATCTTTGGGACGTATTCAAAGCAGTGTGTAGAGGGAAACATATAGCACCAAATGCCCACAAGAGAAAGTAGGAAAGATCCAAAATTGACATCCTAACATCACCATTAAAAGAACTAGAAAAGCAAGAGCAAACACATTCAAAAGCTAGCAGAAGGCAAGAAATAACTAAAATCAGAGCAGAACCAAAGGAAATAGAGACACAAAAAACCCTTCAAAAAATTAATGAATCCAGGAGCTGGTTTTTTGAAAGCATCAACAAAATTGATAGACTGCTAGCAAGACTAATAAAGAAAAAAAGAGAGAAGAATCAAATAGGCGCAATAAAAAATGATAAAGGGGATATCACCACCGATCCCACAGAAATACAAACTACCATCAGAGAATACTACAAACACCTCTACACAAATAAACTAGAAAATCTAGAAGAAATGGATAAATTCCTCGACACATACACTCTCCCAAGACTAAACCAGGAAGAAGTTGAATCTCTGAATAGACCAATAACAGGATCTGAAATTGTGGCAATAATCAATAGCTTACCAACGAAAGAGTCCAGGACCAGATGGATTCACAGCCGAATTCTATCAGAGGTACAAGGAGGAACTGGTACCATTCCGTCTGAAACTATTCCAATCAATAGAAAAAGAGGGAATCCTCCCTAACTCATTTTATGAGGCCAGCATCATCCTGATACCAAAGCCTGGCAGAGACACAACCAAAAAAGAGAATTTTAGACCAATATCCTTGATGAACATTGATGCAAAAATCCTCAATAAAATACGGGCAAACCGAATCCAGCAGCACATCAAAAAGCTTATCCACCATGATCAAGTGGGCTTCATCCCTGGGATGCAAGGCTGGTTCAATATATGCAAATCAATAAATGTAATCCAGCATATAAACAGAACCAAAGACAAAAACCACAGGATTATCTCAATAGATGTAGAAAAGGCCTTTGACAAAATTCAACAATCCTTCGTGCTAAAAACTCTCAATAAATTAGATATTGATGGGACGTATCTCAAAATAATAAGAGCTATCTATGACAAACCCACAGCCAATATCATACTGAATGGGCAAAAACTGGAAGCATTCCCTTTGAAAACTGGCACAAGACAAGGATGACCTCTCTCACCACTCCTATTCAACATAGTGTTGGAAGTTCTGGCCAGGGCAATCAGGCAGGAGAAGGAAATAAAGGGCATTCAATTAGGAAAAGAGGAAGTCAAATTGTCCCTGTTTGCAGACGATATGATTGTATATCTAGAAAACCCCATTGTCTCAGCCCAAAATCTCCTTAAGCTGATAAGCAACTTCAGCAAAGTCTCAGGATACAAAGTCAGTGTACAAAAATCACAAGCATTCTTATACACCAACAACAGACAAACAGCCAAATCATGAGTGAACTCCCATTCACAATTGCTTCAAAGAGAATAAAATACCTAGGAATCCAACTTACAAGGGATGTGAAGGACCTCTTCAAGGAGAACTACAAACCACTGCTCAACGAAATAAAAGAGGATAGAAACAAATGGAAGAACATTCCATGCTCATGGGTAGGAAGAATCAATATCGTGAAAATGGCCATACTGCCCAAGGTAATTTATAGATTCAATGCCATCCCCATCAAGCTACCAATGACTTTCTTCACAGAATTGGAAAAAACTACTGTAAAGTTCATATGGAACCAAAAAAGAGTCCGCATTGCCAAGTCAATCCTGAGCCAAAAGAACAAAGCTGGAGGCATCACACTACCTGACTTCAAGCTATACTACAAGGCTACAGTAAGCAAAACAGCACAGTACTGGTACCAAAACAGAGATATAGATCAATGGAACAGAACAGAGCCCTCAGAAATAATGCCGCATATCTACAACTATCTGATCTTTGACAACCCTGAGAAAAACAAGCAATGGGGAAAGGATTCCCTACTTAATAAATGGTGCTGGGAAAACTGGCTAGCCATATGTAGAAAGCTGAAACGGGATCTCTTCCTTACACCTTATACAAAAATCAATTCAAGATGGATTAAAGACTTAAACGTTAGACCTAAAACCATAAAAACCCTAGAAGAAAATTTAGGCATTACCATTCAGGACATAGGCATGGGCAAGGACTTCATGTCTAAAACACCAAAAGCAATGGCAACAAAAGCCCAAATTGACAAATGGAATCTAATTCAACTAAAGAGCTTCTGCACAGCAAAAGAAACTACCATCAGAGTGAACAGGCAACCTACAAAATGGGAGAAAATTTTCGCAACCTACTCATCTGACAAAGGGCTAATATCCAGAATCTACAATGAACTCCATCGAATTTACAAGAAAAAAACAAACAACCCCATCAAAAAGTGGGCGAAGGACATGAACAGACACTTCTCAAAAGAAGACATTTATGCAACCAAAAAACACATGAAAAAATGCTCACCATCACTGGCCATCAGAGAAATGCAAATCAAAACCACAATGACATACCATCTCACGCCAGTTAGAATGGTGATCATGAAAAAGTCAGGAAACAACAGGTGCTGGAGAGGATGTGGAGAAATAGGAACACTTTTACACTGTTGGTGGCACTGGAAACTAGTTCAACCATTGTGGAAGTCAGTGTGGCGATTCCTCAGGGATCTAGAACTAGAAATACCATTTGACCCAGCCATCCCATTACTGGGTATATACCCAAAGGATTATAAATCATGCTGCTATAAAGACACATGCACGCGTATGTTTATTGCGGCATTATTCACAATAGCAAAGACTTGGAACCAACCCAAATGTCCAACAATGATAGACTGGATTAAGAAAATGTGGCACATATACACCATGGAATACTATGCAGCCATAAAAATGATGAGTTCATGTCCTTTGTAGGGACATGGATGAAACTGGAAATCATCATTCTCAGTAAACTATCGCAAGAACAAAAAACCAAACACCGCATATTCTCTCTCATAGGTGGGAATTGAACAATGAGAACACATGGACACAGGAAGGGGAACATCACATTCTGGGGACTGTTGTGGGGTGGGGGGAGGGGAGAGGGATAGCATTGGGAGATATACCTAATGCTAGATGACGAGTTAGTGGGTGCAGCGCACCAGCATGGCACATGTATACATATGTAACTAACCTGCACATTCTGCACATGTACCCTAAAACTTAAAGTATAATAATAAAAAATAAATGAATAAATAAATAAATAAATAAATAAATAAAAGAAGCCATTCTGGGCTCGGTGCGGTGGCTCATGCCTGCAATCCCAGCACTTTGGGAGGCCATGGTGGGTGGAACACAAGGTTAGGAGATCAAGACCATTCTGGCTAACATGGTGAAACCCCGTCTCTACTAAAAATACAAAAAATTAGCCGGGCTTGGTGGCACATGCTTGTAGTCCCAGGTACTCAGGAGGCTGAGGCAGGAAAATCGCTTGAACTGGGGAAGTGGAAGTTGCAGTGAGACGAGACCGCACCACTGCACTCCAGCCTGGGCGACAGAGCGAGACTCCATCTGACAAAAAAAAAAAAAAAAAAAAGAAGAAGCAGCCAGTCTGAAAAGATTTATATATGGCGTGATTCCAACTATAGGACATGATATGGAAAGAGCAAAACGTTCAGTAGTTGTCTGAAGTTTGTAGGGAAAGAGGGAGGGGTGAATAGGTGGAGTATAGGGGATTTTAGGGCAGTGAAACTATGCTGTATGATACTGTAATAATGAATACCTGTAATATATTTGTCAAAATCCATAGAAGTGTAGAATACAAAGAGCAAACCGTAATATAATCTGTGAAATTTAGTTAATAATGATGTGTCAATATTGGCTTATCAATTGTGATAAGTGTACCACACTAATGCAAGTGTTAATAATGGAGGAGGAGAGTGTGGGGGGGTATTTGGAAATTCACTGTACTTTCCACTCATTTTTCTGTAAGCCTAAAACCCTTCTAAAAATCCTCTATTAATTTTGAAATTAAAAATTAATTGGCTTTACTACAATATCTATTTTTGAGATATTTGGTGTTGGTGAAGTAAACTTTCATGCATTCCACAAATTATGAGTGCCTGCTATATTCCTGCACCATTCTCTCTGTTCCTAGGTTTTTTCATATAAAAAATGGGGACAATAATAGCAACCATCTCATAAGTGATGAGAAGCACTTTAGACCATTTGAGTTAGCATTCCCTTCTCTGTTCTTAGTGTTCACTGTGTTTACTTCTGTTATGGTTCTCCTGATAACCCAGTAATTATCTGTTCATCTGTGTATTTTCATTAATCTGAGAAGTCATTGATATATGTGATAGAGCCTGTGTCACATGTGACTTTAAAATTTGGCATACAGCCTAGAACCTGGTGTCTAGCAGGTGCTCAATAAATACTTATTGTATGAATGTGGATGATTCCTATTCTGATCATTGCCCAATAAAACATAGCTATTATTTTATGAGCTATTTATTAGTTGGAAAAATTCATGATAAATTAATGAATACAGGCTACTGCTGTCCTCAGATTATCTTTACTTGGAGAATGTTTTTGTAGTTGATCATTGCTGTTTTCAGGAACTTCTAGTACCAGTACATTCTGGACTTCCTGGACTTTTTTTTTTTTCCAGATGGAGTTTTGCTCTTGTTGCCCAGGCTGGAGTGCAATGGCACGATCTCGGTTCACCACAACCTCTGCCTCCTGGGTTCATGCGATTCTCCTGCCTCAGCCTCCCCGAGTACCTGGGATTATAGGCATGTGCCACCACGCCCGGCTAATTTTGTATTTTTAGTAGAAATGGGGTTTCTCCATGTTGGTCAGGCTGGTCTCAAACTCCCGACCTCAGGTGTTCTGCCTGCCTTGGCCTCCCAAAGTGCTGGTATTACAGGCGTGAGCCACCGCGCCCGGCCTACAGTTCCTTTTTAAAGTCCCTTTTCATTGATGTGTTATGCCTCCAAGAGGAGATCATGAAATCCCTGATGATGAAAGGCCATGTTTCATTGATCATGGTATGTTCAGGGTACAGATTACTTCTGGAAATACGGTGTGCATAATCGAGTGTTTGATGTTTTAATAAATTAATATATTATAGACTGCAGACAGGAAAAGCAATGGATGCTACTTTTATCGCAACGTTTATATGGCTTTTTTTTTTTTACAAAAAGCTGTACATATTTAATGTACACAACATCATGTGTTAAGAGACGAGTATACACCCATGAAATGATCACAACATCATCACTCTCAATGCCATAATCTTATCTTTCACCTCTGAAAGTTTCCTCCTGCCCTCTTTGTTTTTTTATTTTCCTTTTTGTGGTGAGAGCACTTAATGAAGATTTACCCTCTCAGCAAACTTGAGTATAAAATCATAGGTTCTGTATTATACACTAGACCTACAGATGTTATTTATTACACATAACTGAAACTTTGTATCGCTTAACCAACACCCCACCTGCATTTCTCCCTTCCCTCAGCCCCTGGCCACTACCATTCTACTATCTGCTTCTATATGGTTAACAATTTTAGATTTCACATACAGTAAAACTGAGATCATGCAGTATTTGTCTTTCTGTGATCTGACTTATTTCACTTAGCCTAATGTCCTCCAGGTACACAAACAGCAGGATTTCCTTCTTTTATAAGGCTGAATAGTATTTCATCATCAACAGACACTGAGGTTGTTTCCATATCTTGGCTACTGTGAATAATGTTGCAACAAACATGGGAATACACTCATCTCTTGGAGATCCAGATTTCGATTCCTGTGATTTCGATTCCTATGCAATTTTCTTAACACCATGTATCAAAGAGACCATCCTTCCACATAGTGTAGTCTTGGCACCCAGTAGATTTATTTTTGAGCTCTCTATTCTGTTCCATTGTTCTATATGACTACTTTTATAACAGTACCATACTGTTTTGATTACTGCAGCTTTGTGACACATTATGGAATCAGGGAGTGTGATAACTCCAGCTCTGTACTTGTTCAAAATTGTTTGGCTATTCAGGGTCTTCTGAATTTTAGGATTGTTTATTCTGTACAAAAATGCCATAGAGATTTTGATAGAGATTGCATTGAATCTTCAGATATTTTGGGAAGTATGGACATTTAATAATATCAATTCTTCTCAATACATGATCATGAGATGTTTCCATTTATTTCTGCTTTTTAAAAATTATTTGTCAATGTTTTGTAGTTTTCAGTGTACAACCCTTTTACCTCCTTTACCTACATTTATTTGTTTTTATTTATTTATTTATTTTTGAGATGGAGTTTCACTCTTGTTGCCCAGGCTGGAGTGCAATGGCACAATCTTGGCTCACCACAACCTCTGCCTCCCAGGTTCAAGCAATTCTCCTGCCTCAGCTTCCCTGAGTAGCTGGGATTACAGGCATGGGCCACCATGCCCAGCTAACTTTGTGTTTTTAGTAGAAACGGGGTTTCTCCATGTTGGTCAGGCTGGTCTCGAACTCCCAACCTCAGGTGATCTGCCCGTCTCAGTCCCCCAAAGTGCTGGGATTACAGGCATGAGCCACCATGCCCAGCCACCTGCATTTATTTCTAAGTATTTTATTTGTTGTGCAATTGTGAGTCAAATTGTTTCCTGAAATCAGCTTTACAGATAGGTCATTGTTGGTTTATACAAATGTAACCACGGATTTTGGTATCTGTGAGGGTCCCAAAACCAATTCCCCATGAATACTGAGGAATGACTGTATTATGTTAAATAGGAGAGCCAAGAGTGGGCATCTTTGTCTTGCTTCTCATCTTAGGAGTAAATCTTTCAGCTTTTCATCATTGAGCATCATGTTAATTGTGGGATTTTCCTCTATGGCCTTTATTATATTGAGGTAAGTTCTTTCTAAACCTAATTTGTTGAAAATATTTAGCATAAAGAGGTGTCTAATTTTGTCAAATGTTTTTTGTGAATCTGTTGAGATGACCATGTAATTTTCATCCTTCATTCTATTCATGTGGTTTATCACACTGATTAATTCGCATATGTGGAACGATTCTTGTATCACAGGCATAACTCCTATGTGGTCATGGTGTATGAGTCTTTAAATGCATTTTTGTATTTGGCTTGCTAATAATATTTTGAGGCTTTTTGCATCTATATTCATCAGGGATATTAGTCTGTAGTTTTCTTTTCTTCTGGTGTCTTACTCTGGCTTTTGTATCAGGGTGATGCTGGCCTCATAGAATTAGTTTGTAAGTATTCCCTATTCTGTTGTTTAGAAGACTTTCAGTAAGATTGGTATTAATTTTTTTAATGTTTCACAGAATTTATCTATGAAGCCACCTGGTCCTGTATTTTTCTTTGTTGGGACATTTTTGATTATTCTTTTAATGTCATTATTTGTTTTTTGGTATGTCTGGGCTTTATATTTTTTATTGATGCAGTCTCAGTGGGTCCTATGTTTCTAGGAATTTTTCAATTTCTTCTGAGTTATCCAATTTATTAACATTTAAATGTTCATAATAGTTCCTATAGCTCTCCCTACCCCCAGCCATGGGATGTCTCTTCTTTCATCTCTGATTGTATTATTTGAATATTTTCTTTTTTGTTATTAGTCTAGCTAAGGGTTTGTCCATTTTATTTATCTTTTCAAAAAACTCTTCGGTTTTTAAAATTTTATTAAATTGTTTTTCTATTCTCTATTTCATTTACTTCTGCTATAACCTTCATTATTACTTCCTTCTGCTAACTTTGACTTGCTTGTTCTTCTTTATCTAGTTCCTTGAGGGAGAAAGTTAGTTTACTGGAGCTCTTTCCTTTTTTTTCTTCTTTTAATAAACCATTTATTGTTATAAACTTCCTTCTTAGTGCTGATTTGGCTGCATGTTATGTTTCACTGTGTTGTGTTTTGGTTTTCCTTTGTCTCAATATATTTTCTAATTTCATCTTCAATTTCTTCTTTGACATAATAATTGTTTCAAAGCGTGTTATTTAATTTCCATGCACTTGTGAGCTTCCTCATTTTCTTTTTATTACTGATTTCTAGTTTCATTCAGTTGTGATCAGAAAAGATACTTAGATTGATCTCAACCTTCTTAAATTTGTTAAGACTTGATATGAGATTCTACTATGAGATATCTTGGAGAATGTTCCATGTGCATTTGAGAAGAATGATTATTTTTGCTGCTGTTGGGTGGAATGTTCCTTATATGTGTGTTGGGTCTATTTTGTCTATAACATTGTTCAGTTCTATATTTCCTTGTTGATCTTCCATCTGGAGGAGAAAGAGGTTCTGATGTTCTAGTGTCCAGTAGGGTGACGATAGTTAACGATAATATATTCTATATTGTAAAATAGCTAGAGGAGAGTATTTTGAATGTTCTCAATACAAAAAATAATCAATATTTGGTATGATGTATTTGCTAATTATCCTGATTTAATCATTACACAATGTATACATATATCAAGACATCACATTGCACCCCATAAGTGTGTACAATTATTAAATGCCAACTAAAAATAAAATAAAACTTTAAAAAGAAAATCTTATGTCACTTCTAAAAATACAAACACTTAGTATTATGTGCTAGTGTAAGAATTTTAGAAATTAATTTAATAAAATATAAAAATATAAGTTTAGATACTAAGATTGAAATATAAATAATAAATCATTATTTTTCCTTTCATTAATAATTATATAAATGCTATGCTAAGTAAGTTTTATAACTGTCTTTTAAATGTTGTACCACTCAATTCATCTTGGTCACTATCAGTTGCCTGTTTGCGATTCTGGAAGCACAAACTTGTGAAAAAGAACAAGCTTTTCAAGTTTGACAGACTGAGCCTGGGCTTTAATCCTAATACCTGCAATCAGTTGCTATCCAACCTTATAAAATATAAAAACCCTAACTACTTTTCATTGCAGAGGATGAAATTAACATGGAAAGCAACTAGCATACTGCCTAACAAACAGCAAGCATTCAAAAGTACCAGCTGCTATTATTGTTCAATAAATCAGCTGAATAACATTAATGTTTTCAGATTTGAGCTTTACACTACATTTTTTACACGGTACCTCAAATGTTTGAATCCCTGTTTTGCAGGTGAGAACACTTAGTCTCATAGACATTAAGTGGCTTATTTTCTTGAGGTTTCGACTTTCTAATTTCTCACCTCAACTCCCAGCCTGCATCCCTTTCTAATTCCAGACACAGAAAATTCCTCCAGGTCCTCTGAACTTAACAAGCCTCCTCTCACCTCCATAGCCACTCCCTCCTTCAAACACACACATGCTGGGTAATTTTCTATTTGTTAATCAAGCTTTACTTTCTTTACCATCTTAAGTTTTCTGTATCCCCTTATTTTCTGTCTCTGTGCACCAGAATGGAATGTTGATAAGAGGAGGTTATCCATCTGTTGTACTCACTGCTGTATCTCCAGAACCTGTAAGGCCTATATTGAGCAATCAATAAATAGTTGTTGAATTAATTACCAAACCCTTGAACCAGTCTTGCATACATAGTTTGGCACATATGGGACTCCCATTTGAACTCTGGTAAACATGGAAATCAGACAAGTTAATCTTACTGGGAAGGCTCAGTATCTAGAGAGGCCAATACACCCAAAGCTACTAGAGTCAGGGCAGAATGGAATTCTGCCTCCCTCTCTCTCTTACTAAAATAGTAGTATGACCTTGGGCCAGGCATGGTGTCTCAGGCCTGTAATCCCAGCACTTTGGGAGGCTAAGGCAGGCAGATCACCTGAGGTCAGGAGTTCGAGACCAGCCTGGCCAACATGGTGAAAGGCCGTCTCTACTAAAAATACAAAAAAGTTAGCCTGGTGTGGTGGTGGGTGCCTGTAATCCCAGCTACTCGGGAGGCTGAGGCAGCAGAATCACTTGAACTCAGGAGACAGAGGTTGAAGTGAGCTGAGATTGCACCATTGCACTCCAGCGCCTGGGCAACAAGAACAAGACTCTGTCTCAAAAAAAGAAAAAAAAAGTTGTATGACCTTGGGCACGCTTCCCTACTTCTCTGAGTCTCAGTTTCCTTCTCTCATTAATTATCCTCACGACATATTTGAAATTATTAATACTTTCATTCATTCATTCAGCAAACATTTATTGAATGTCTCCTATCTACAGACACCATTTCAGGCATTGGGGATAAGTTGGCAAATAAGTCACAACTATCAGCTCTCAGTCTAATGAAGTACACAGACAAGTAACTATTTATGGAACAGTGGATTTGCGGCTATGATAGGGGAAATATGGGGTTCTGGTAGCAGGGGTTGTAGGAGTAGTTGCTGTTCTTCACTTAATCTTTTTTGTTTCAAACAGTGAAGTCCTGCCAGTCATCAAGGCCTAAGGCCTGCCTGCTTCTGGAATCATTCCCCCATATTGGTACTTTCTCAAGCTCTGTGATTCTGCAGATCTTACTTTTGCTTGACAAGGCTATAAGTGTAAACTTGAAATTTTTCCTAGAGGTAAAACTTATTCACTGTCAAGGGTATTTGATAATAACAAAAATGGTGATAAAATAGCTCCCACTTATTTTCAATTGGTCTTATGGATTCTGATTTTATTAATTGGGTCACAACCCGTTATTATTATGATTATTACTCATTCTCATGTTCAAATGGTCAAATTACCAAAATTACTTTTGTGCCATGAACAGTGCTAAATGCTTTCAATACCTTATTTTATGTTTTTATTTTTAAATTTTATTTATTTATTTTTTTGAGACGGAGTTTCACTCATGTTGCCCAGGCTGGAGTGCAGTGGCATGATCTTGGCTCACTGCAACCTCCGGTTCCCGGGTTCAAGCGATTTTCCTGCCTTAGCCGCCCACGTAGCTGGGATTACAGGCATGCTCCACCATGCCAGGCTAATTTTGTATTTTTAGTAGAGAGAGGGTTTCACCATGTTGGCCAGGCTGGTCTCAAACTCCTGACCTCAGGTGATCCGCTCACCTTGGCCTCCCAAAGTGCTGGGATTACAGGCATGAGACACCACGCCTGGCCCAATACCTTATTTTAAACCTCGCAACATACCTAGACAAAAATCCTATTTTTATGTGCATTTACACACTGGGTAAATAGAATTAAGGAAAGTTTGGAGGGTTTCAAAGTCATATTGTCAGTAGAGACAGGTGATTCAGAGTGCAGACTTGCTTGTAAAAAGCATTGTACACTAAAATAAACTGAGGCTTTTTAGAGAAATGTCTGACTCAAGGGCTGGAACAGGGAAAGTACAAACAGGCAGGAACATCTTGTTGCACTAGAAAGTAAAGAAAGTGTTCCAGCTAAGATGGATATATGACAAAAAGGTACAGGAAGTTTCAAGGCACTTCAACTAGCCAAATGCTGGCCAATTTGAGTATCAAAATAAATTTTGATGGTAATCTATCATTACCCAGTGATTAAGTATATACCCATGAACCTATAATGATATAAGTAAATACATAAATAAGTAAATAAATGAAGAAGTTGGGTGTGATGGTTAATATTGACTGTGAACTTGATTGGATTGAATGATGCTAAGTATTGTTCCTGGGTCTGTCTGTGAGGGTGTTGCCAAAGGAGATTAACATTTGAGTCAGTGGGCTGGGAAAGGCAGACCCACTCTCAATCTGGGTGGGCACCGTATAATCAACTGCCAGTATGACTATAATAAAACAGGCAGGAGAAGATGGAAGAGCAGACTTCCTGAGTCTTCTGGCCTTCATCTTTCTCCCCTGTTGGTGCTTCCTGCCCTGGAACATCAAACTCCAAGTTCTTCAGCTTTTGGACTCTTGGACTTACACCACTGGTTTGCCAGGTTCTCTCCCGTCTTTGGCCACAGACTGAAGGCTGCACTGTTGGCTTCCCTACTTTTGAGGTTTTGGGATTCAGACTGATCCACCACTGGCTTCCTCAACTTGCAGACCGCCTATCATGGGACTTTACATTGTGATCGTGTGAATCAATTCTCCTTAATAAACTCCCTTTCATATAGGCATATATCCTATTACTTCCATCCCTCTAGAGAACTCTGACAAATACAATGGGAAAACTCTTCATGACAGTACAATGCCAACTTATTAAATGTTGAAAGGCTCTCATGACTCCTGTGTTCATTGCAGCACTATTCAAAACAGTTAAGATATGGAATAAAACTAAATGTCCCTCAGCAGGTGAATGAATCAAGAAAAGGTAGGAGATAACGGAATTCTATTGAGCCTTAAAAAAGAAGGAAATCCTGCCTGAGCATGATGATGCATGCCAGTACTCCCAGCACTTTGGGAGGCTGAGGTGGGAGGATGGCTTGAGCCCAGGAATTCGAGAACAGCCTGGGTGACATAGTGAAACCCTGTCTCCACAAAAAAATAAAAATTAATGTGGCATAGTGGCACATGCCTTTGGTCCCAGCTACTCAGGAGGTTGAGTTGGGACAATCCCTTGGGTCCCAGAGGTCAAGGATACGGTGAGCCATGATCGCATCACTGCACTGCAGCCTGGGTGACAAAGTGAAACCCTGTCTCTAAAAAACAAAAACAAAAGACATCCTGTCATTTGCGACAACCTGGATGACATTGTGTAAACGGAAGTAACCCAGGCAGGGAAATACAAAGACCGCATGATCTTATTTATGTGAGGAATCTAAAAAGGTTGAACTCGTGGAAGGAGAGAGTAGAATCCTAGCTACCAGGAAATTGAGAGGAGGTGGTTGGTGAGCAGTTCATCAAGGATCCAAATTTTCAGTTAGATAGGAGGAATAAGTTCAAGAGACCCACTGTACGTTATGGTGACTATGGTTAATAACACTGTATTGTATTCTTGAAAATCACTGAGAGTAGATTTTGTGTTCTCCCCACAAGAAATAATAAGTATGAGAGGTAATATATATGTTAAGGAGCTCATTTTAGCCATTCCACAATGTATACATATTTCAAAACATCATGTTATACATGATTCATATATATGATTTTTATTTGTTGATTAAATAAATAAATATATTTTTAAGTAGGAAAAGAAAGTGTTATTATAGAAAGACATCATTTTCCAACAGTTATGCATTAGTGGACTCAGGCAGAAGTATTAGTGGATGACAAGACAGGATATGTCCACAGTATCCAAGTATCTCACCACAGAATACTTCAATTTCAAAGAAAATATAGTAACTTTACTTGACATAACCTGCTGAATACAACATTAATTAAGTGATTAAATTTGACATTACCAGTTATGGAATAAATAAGTACTTTGCCAACAGATGTAATGCATTGAGAAGAAAATACTATCATTTTGTGCTATTCCAGACAAAAATGTATAAATTGAATCTAATCATGAGGATAGAAAACCAGGCAAACCGAAATTAAAGGACACTCTAGTAAATAGCCCACACATTAAAGAACTGTTTTGGTCATGAAAGACAAAGAAAATCTGAGGACTTGTTCAAAACTAAAGAAGACTATAGTGAGTTAAAATTATAAAAAATAAAAATAAAAAAGACTAAAGTGAAGTAACAACTACATAAAACACATGACACTAGAGGGATCATAGATCAGAAAATTAGAAAACTCTGTAAATGACATTATTGGGATAACTGGTCACTTTTGAATAAAATTTGTACATGAGATAGATAATAGTATTGTTTCAATGTTAATAAAGATAACATTTTGATAATTATACTGTTTATGTAAGACAATGTCCTTATTCTCAGGAAATAACACTGAAGCATTTAGGAGTAAAAGAACATGTCTCTAGCTCACTCTCAAATGGTTTAGAATACATATATGAAAATGTGTCTGTGCTTATGCATCTGTGTATTGAGAGAGACAGAGACAGAGAGCAAGTGTAAAAATATGTCAAATGTTAACTGTGGAGGTATTAGGGAGAAGTACAAAAGGAGGTTCTTTGTCTCATTCTTGCAACTTTTTTTGTAAGCAAGTTTGAAATTATCTCAGAAAAAAAGTACCTCCCCCAAGGAAAGTAATGTGAGCTCTGAATAACAACTAGAATAAATTTGTGGCTACTTCATTTATCAGCTGTGTGATAGCAGAAACATTATGAATAATTTCTGAATTCAAAGTTTTTGATCTGTAAGAAAGGATAATCATTGAGCTTGCCTATGTCCTAGGGCCATGGTAAGGATTAAACGAGATGATGCACATGTTTTCAGCAATATTTGGACAGGGCGAATACACATTAAAAGTTAACTCTCATTGATTTTTAAATTCTTTCTTGTTTATAGAGGACAACATTTGATTAGACAGTTCTGGTTCCAAGGACTCAGGTCTAACCATGTCTCTGAGGTGCCTACCAGAGGTAAGATTCTAAGTTTTGAGAGTCATATAATTAATTACTCAACAAAGGATACCTTTCATCCTTATTAAAATTATTGGCCCAAACATTTCTGATCTTAATATCTAGTCTCTTACCATTCCACTTAGCTGCCTATGTGTGTTCCTGGAGCCAAATATCCTCACTCTAACATCTAGAGTGTACTAAGGTGCCTAGGCTTCTATATGAGCTAAATATATATGTTCAGTGGGAATTTAATTATTTTCAGCCTTCCTTCTGACTAGCCCAATGTACCATAGTAAAATATCTGCCATTCATTTAGAGGCTACAATATACCATGCACAACAATCCTAGGGAGCAGCTTTTAAATCTCTCTCTCTTTTCAAAGTGAATACACAGGCTCAGAAAGGTGCAGAGACTTTCCCAGAGTTACAGAGCCAATAAGAGGTGGTACATGGAATGCCTCATTGCAATACCCATGGCCTTGCTGCATAACTGAACTATATTCAGTTCTAACACTGTACACTATTATTAGGCACTATCTTTTCAACTAGACTCTAATCTCAGTGAAGGTAGACAGCACAATTTAGCTCTCATGGATACTCCAGTACTTTCTTCACTCCTAAGCACACAGTAGGTACCCAAGGAATATCTGTTGTCCCTTTAATGTGGAAAGAGAGTTTGCTTTTAAACATTTCTGAAAGCCTCCATAACCAAGTTAAATAAGGTTATTATTTAAATGTACTGTAAAAACTCTGAGCAGAGATGTGATTTTATAAAACTGTGACAAACTGAACAAGGTACTTTAGTTGTTTACATAGGTGGCAAAGCTATAATGAGTATCAAACCTCTAATGAGCAGCAAAGTAGAGATTCTAAACAATGAGCAGGATGGTGGGAACCTCTATTGAGGAGATAGACAGTGGTGGTTAGGGATGCGGACATAATGGGTTCCAGGGTTTTATCAATATTTGATTTCACTGTTTTGGGTTGTGGTTACACAGGTTTTCACTTTATAATTATTCATTATTTATCTTTGTATATCCGTTTTATGCACTTTAAGCTGAAACCAAGAAAAAAGAATAAGATTGATTCCAGGTCAAAGAAACACTAAGATTTGAATAAAGGTATTAATATGGCTACATGAAGAATGTATCAGTCAGGAGGGGGTTTGTCAGTCATCCGTGAAAGGAAATTCTGGAAATACCCACATAGGCATTGTGTGGGAAAAACAAGTCTCTACATGATTTCTGGTCCCACTGTCAAAGCATTACCTAGTATGAGATGGAAATATTGAATGATGCTAGTCTCATACCATTAACAGACAAAAATGTATCCATGCAAGATGTCAGCTCTTTCCCATCTTAATTACCTTAAACCAATTAATAACCTTAATCAAACTGATTAATTACCCTAATCTATTTCTTTTCATTTTGTAACATTTATGTTCCAGAAATCAGCTCATTTTCAGGTTCATACACACACACACACACACACACACACACACACACACACACACAAGCACACACATCCAATCACACCAGGGCACTGATGTGTTTCAGTGGACATTGTGATTGACTCCCCAACATCCATTCTGTCTCCTGTTTATCTAAGCCAGTCAATATTCTTGAAATTCACTGGTTTTGAAATGGGCACGTGACCTAATTCAGTCCCATACGTTGGAGTTGACTGTGGGGATATCTTCTGGGAAGTACTATGTCATGGGTCTTGTCTCTTTGAAAAGGCACATTGGAAGATATATTCCTTTCTGTCTGTAAACATTACCATGCCCAGATCAGAGACCTAAAAGTGCTTCAGCCGTCTTGAGACCAGCATGTTAAGGACACTGAGAGTGGCGAAGAAGAGAGGAAAAAAATCTGAACTCTTCATGGCATCCTAGAGCCAGAGTTCCCCATGTATGGAATCCACCTACTTTTGACTTCCAGTCTGGTTTGGAAATAGACCAAATATTTAATGAAGAATAACTAACTACGGGCACGATTGAGGGCCCTAAAGATACTACAGCAAATAAAGCAGAGAACTGTGTCTACCCTCATGGAACTCATATTTCCATGTAATTATACAAACAGTAAATAAAATGAATAATTACATCCTACTGTATGTCAGAAGATTATAACAGCATGGAAAAAATTAGAGGAAGTTAAGAAAGATCTGTAGGAAACAACAGCTAGGGGGAGGAGCCAAGATGGCCGAATAGGAACAGCTCTGGTCTACAGCTCCCAGCGTGAGCGACGCAGAAGACAGGTGATTTCTGCATTTCCATCTGAGGTCCCAGGTTCATCTCACAAGGGAGTGCCAAACAATGGGCGCAGGTCAGTGCGCGCACTGTGAGCGAGCCGAAGAGGGCGAGGTATTGCCTCACATGGGAAGTGCAAGGGGTCACGGAGTTCTCTTTCCTAGTCAAAGAACGGGTTGACAGATGGCACCTGGAAAATCGGGTCACTCCCACCCCAATACTGCGCTTTTCCAATGGGCTTAAAAAATGGCGCACCAGGAGATTATATCCCGCACATGGCTTGGAGGGTCCTATGCCCACGGAGTCTCGCCGATTGCTAGCACAGCAGTCTGAGATCAAACTGCAAGGTGGCAGCGAGGCTGGGAGAGGGGCGGCTGCCATTGCCCAGGCTTGCTTAGGTAAACAAAGCAGTGGGGAAGCTCGAACTGGGTGGAGCCCACCACAGCTCAAGGAGGCCTGCCAGCCTCTGTAGGCTCCACCTCTGGGGGCAGGGCACAGACAAACAAAAAGACAGCAGTAACCTCCGCAGACTTAAATGTCCCTGTCTGACAGCTTTGAAGAGAGCAGTGGTTCTCCCAGCATGCAGCTGGAGATCTGAGAACGGGCAGATTGCCTCCTCAAGTGGGTCCCTGACCCCTGACCCCTCAGCAGCCTAACTGGGAGGCACCCCCCAGCAGGGGCAGACTGACCCCTCACATGGCCGGGTACTAAAACAGACCTGCAGCTGAGGGTCCTGTCTGTTAGAAGGAAAACTAACAAACAGAAAGGACATCCACATCAAATACCCATCTGTACATCACTATCATCAAAGACCAAAAGTACATAAAACCACAAAGATGGGGAAAAAACAGAGCAGAAAAACTGGAAACCCTAAAAAGCAGAGCGCCACTCCTCCTCCAAAGGAACGCAGTTCCTCACTAGCAACGGAACAAAGCTGGACGGAGAATGACTTTGATGAGCTGAGAGAAGAAGGCTTCAGACGATCAAATTACTCCAAGCTACGGGAGGACATTCAAACCAAAGGCAACGAAGTTGAAAACTTCGAAAAAAATTTAGAAGAATGTATAACTAGAATAACCAATGCAGAGAAGTGCTTAAAGGAGCTGATGGAGCTGAAAACCAAGGCTCGAGAACTACGTGAAGAATGCAGAAGCCTCAGGAGCCGATGTGACCAATTGGAAGAAAGAGTATCAACGATGGAAGATGAAATGAATGAAATGAAGCGAGAAGGGAAGTTTAGAGAAAAAAGAATAAAAAGAAAAGAACAAACCCTCCAAGAAATATGGGACTATGTGAAAAGACCAAATCTATGTCTGATTGGTGTACCTGAAAGTGACGGGGAGAATGGAACCAAGTTGGAAAACACTCTGCAGGATATTATCCAGGAGAACTTCCCCAATCTAGCAAGGCAGGCCAACATTCAGATTCAGGAAATACGGAGAACGCCACAAAGATACTCCTCGAGAAGAGCAACTCCAAGACACATAATTGTCAGATTCACCAAACTTGAAATGAAGGAAAAAATGTTAAGGGCAACCAGAGAGAAAGGTCGGGTTACCCTCAAAGGGAAGCCCATCAGACTAAGAGCGGATCTCTTGGCAGAAACTCTACAAGCCAGAAGAGAGTGGGGGCCAATTTTCAACATTCTTAAAGAAAAGAATTTTCAACCCAGAATTTCATATCCAGCCAAACTAAGCTTCATAAGTGAAGGAGAAATAAAATCCTTTACAGACAAGCAAATGCTGACAGATTTTGTCACCACCAGGTCTGCCCTAAAAGAGCTCCTGAAGGAAGCACTAAACATGGAAAGGAACAACCAGTACCAGCCACTGCAAAATCATGCCAAAATGTAAAGACCATCGAGACTAGGAAGAAACTGCATCAAATAATGAGCAAAATAACCAGCTAACATCATAATGACAGGATCAAATTCACACATAAGAATATTAACTTTAAATGTAAATGGACTAAATGCTCCAATTAAAAGACACAGACTGCCAAATTAGATAAAGAGTCAAGACCCATCAGTGTGCTGTATTCAGGAAACCCATCTCATGTGCAGAGAGACACATAGGCTCAAAATAAAAGGATGGAGGAAGATCTACCAAGCAAATGGAAAACAAAAAAAGGCAGGGGTTGCAATCCTAGTCTCTGATAAAACAGACTTTAAACCAACAAAGATGAAAAGAGACAAAGAAGGCCATTACATAATGGTAAAGGGATCAATTCAACAAGAGGAGCTAACTATCCTAAATATATATGCACCCAATACAGGAGCACCCAGATTCATAAAGCAAGTCCTGAGTGACCTACAAAGAGACTTAGACTCCCACATATTAATAATGGGAGACTTTAACACCCCACTGTCAACATTAGACAGATCAACGAGACAGAAAGTCAACAAGGATACCCAGGAATTGAACTCAGCTCTGCACCAAGTGGACCTAATAGACATCTACAGAACTCTTCACCCCAAATCAACAGAATATGCATTTTTTTCAGCACCACACCACACCTATTCCAAAATTGACCACATAGTTGGAAGTAAAGCTCTCCTCAGCAAATGTAAAAGAACAGAAATTATAACAAACTATCTCTCAGACCACAGTGCAATCAAACTAGAACTCAGGATTAAGAATCTCACCCAAAACCGCTCAACTACATGGAAACTGAACAACCTGCTCCTGAATGACTACTGGGTACATGAAAAAATGAAGGCAGAAATATAGATGTTCTTTGAAAGCAATGAGAACAAAGACACAACATACCAGAATCTCTGGGAGGCATTCAAAGCAGTGTGTAGAGGGAAATTTATAGCACTAAATGCCCACAAGAGAAAGTAGGAAAGATCCAGAATTGACACCCTAACATCACAATTAAAAGAACTTGAAAAGCAAGAGCAAACACATTCAAACGCTAGCAGAAGGCAAGAAATAACTAAAATCAGAGCAGAACTGAAGGAAATACAGACACAAAAAACCCTTCAAAAAATTAATGAATCCAGGAGCTGGTTTTTTGAAAGGATCAACAAAATTGATAAACCACTAGCAAGACTAATAAAGAAAAAAAGAGAGAAGAATCAAATAGACGCAATAAAAAATGATAAAGGGGATATCACCACCAATCCCACAGAAATACAAACTACCATCAGAGAATACTACAAACACCTCTATGCAAATAAACTAGAAAATCTAGAAGAAATTGATAAATTCCTCGACACATACACCCTCCCAAGACTAAACCAGGAAGAAGTTGAATCTCTGAATAGACCAATAACAGGATCTGAAATTGTGGCAATAATCAGCAGCTTACCAACCAAGAAGAGTCCAGGACCAGATGGATTTACAGCCGAATTCTACCAGAGGTACAAGGAGGAACTGGTACCATTCCTTCTGAAACTATTCCAATCAATAGAAAAAGAGGGAATCCTCCCTAACTCATTTTATGAGGCCAGCATCATCCTGATACCAAAGCTGGGCAGAGACACAACCACATAAGAGAATTTTAGGCCAATATCCTTGATGAACATTGATGCAAAAATCCTCAATAAAATACTGCAAACCGAATCCAGCAGCACATCAATAAGCTTATCCACCATGATCAAGTGGGCTTCATCCCTGGGATGCAAGGCTGGTTCAATATATGCAAATCAATAAATGTAATCCAGCATATAAACAGAACCAAAGACGAAAACCACATGGTTATCTCAATAGATGCAGAAAAGGCCTTTGACAAAATTCAACAACTCTTCATGCTAAAAACTCTCAATAAATTAGGTATTGATGGGACGTATTTCAAAACAATAGGAGCTATCTATGACAAACCCACAGCCATTATCATACTGAATGGGCAAAAACTAGAAGCATTCGCTTTGAAAACTGGCACAAGACAGAGATGCCCTCTCTCACCACTCCTATTCAACATAGAGTTGGAAGTTCTGGCCACAGCAATTAGGCAGGAGAAGGAAATAAAGTGTATTTAATTAGGAAAAGAGGAAGTCAAATTGTCCCTGTTTGCAGACGACATGATTGTATATCTAGAAAACCCCATTGTCTCAGCCCAAAATCTCCTTAAGCTGATAAGCAACTTCAGCAAAGTCTCAGGATACAAAATCAATGTACAAAAATCACAATCATTCTTATACACCAACAACAGACAAACAGAGAGTCAAATCATGAGTGAACTCCCATTCACAATTGCTTCAAAGAGAATGAAATACCTAGGGATCCAACTTACAAGGGACGTGAAGGACCTCTTCAAGGAGAACTACAAACCACTGCTCAATGAAATAAAAGAGGACACAAACAAATGGAAGAACATTCCATGCTCATGGGTAGGAAGAATCAATATCGTGAAAATGGCCATACTGGCCAAGGTAATTTACAGATTCCATGCCATCCCCATCAAGCTACCAATGACTTTCTTCACAGAATTGGAAAAAACTACTTTAAAATTCATATGGAACCAAAGAAGAGTCCGCATTGCCAAGTCAATCCTGAGCCAAAAGAACAAAGCTGGAGGCATGACACTACCTGACTTCAAACTATACTACAAAGCTACAGTAACCAATACAGCATGGTACTGGTACCAAAACAGAGATATAGATCAATGGAACAGAACAGAGTCCTCAGAAAGAACGCTGCATATCTACACCTATCTGATCTTTGACAAACCTGAGAAAAACAAGAAATGGGAAAACGATTCCCTATTTAAAAAATGGTGCTGGGAAAACTGGCTAGCCATATGTAGAAAGCTGAAAATGGATCCCTTCCTTACGCCTTATACAAAAATCAATTCAAGATGGATTAAAGACTTAAACGTTAGACCTAAAACCCTAAAAACCCTAGAAGAATACCTAGGCATTACCATTCAGGACATAGGCATGGGCAAGAACTTCATGTCTAAAACACCAAAAGCAATGGCAACAAAAGCCCAAATTGACAAATGGGATCTAAATAAACTAAAGAGCTTCTGCACAGCAAAAGAAACCACCATCAGAGTGAACAGGCAACCTACAGAATGGGAAAAAATTTTTGCAACCTACTCATCTGACAAAGGGCTAATATCCAGAATCTACAATGAACTCAAACAAATTTACACGAAAAAACCAAACAACCCCATCAAAAAGTGGGCGAAGGACATGAACAGATACTTCTCAAAAGAAGACATTTATGCAGCCAAAAAAACACATGAAAACATGCTCACCATCACTGGCCATCAGAGAAATGCAAATCAAAACCACAATGACATACCATCTCACATCAGTTAGAAGGGCAATCATTAAAAAGTCAGGAAACAATAGGTGCTGGAGAGGATGTGGAGAAATAGGAACACTTTTACACTGTTGGTGGGACTGGAAACTAGTTCAACCATTGTGGAAGTCAGTGTGGCGATTCCTCAGGGATCTAGAACTAGAAATACCATTTGACCCAGCCATCCCATTACTGGATATATACCCAAAGGACTATAAATCATGCTGCTATAAAGACACATGCACGCGTATGTTTATTGCGGCATTATTCACAATAGCAAAGACTTGGAACCAACCCAAATGTCCAACAATGATAGACTGGATTAAGAAAATGTAGCACATACACACCATGGAATACTATGCAGCCATAAAAAATGATGAGTTCATGTCCTTTGTAGGGACATGGATGAAACTGGAAATCATCATTCTCAGTAAACTATCGCAAGAACTAACAACCAAACACCGCATATTCTCACTCATAGGTGGGAATTGAACAATGAGAACACATGGACACAGGAAGGGGAACATCACACTCTGGAGACTGTTGTGGGGTGGGGGGAAGGGGGGAGGGATAGCATTGGGAGATATACCTAATGCTAGATGACGAGTTAGTGGGTGCAGCGCACCAGCATGGCACATGTATACATATGTAACTAACCTGCACATTGTGCACATGTACCCTAAAACTTAAAGTATAATAATAATACATAAATAAATAAGATACAGCTAAAACTTAAAAAAAAAAAAACAATAAAAAATTAAAAAAAAAAGAAAGATCTGGAAGGTTGAGAAGTTGGATAGGGCTGGACGTTGCAGAGGATAGGGCTCCCTCACAATGTGATATTTCAGCAAAATCTAATGAAGTTGATGGAACGAGCTATTAAGTATGTGGAGGAAGAATAACAGGCAGAGAGTACAGCCAGTAAAAAGTCTTTAGTTGAAAGTATGATTTTTATAGGTAGGGTTGATGTAGTGGGATCTAGTGGGGGAGTTGTTGGATTTTAGAGAAGTAACAGAGTATCAGATCACATAGGAACTTGAAGCCCATGCAAATGGTTTGATATTTTTTTCTCTCTCAATGAGATGGAGAACAATGACAGAGGAGTGGCATGATCCAACATAGGTTTCAAAAGGATACCTCTGGCTGCTGGGATGAGACTAATCATTAGAAACAAAGGTACAGGGAGATGAACCAGTAAAAATGTTATTGCCATCCAGGCAAGAAATTGTAGTGGCTTACAATGAAGTGGTAGGGGGGCAAAATTGCTCACATTCTCAATATATTTAGAATGCAGGCCCAACAGTATTTCTGGATGAATTTAATGCCAAGATTGACACCACTGTTTCTAAGCGAGCATCTGAAAAGATAATGTTAACTTTAACTGAGATGAGAAAGAATGAAAGTAGATGAAATCAGGGGAATGAAATAAATCCAATTTTTACACAGTTAAAATCAAAATGTTTATTTAACATGCATGTGTACTTGCCAGGTGGGTAATTGGAAATAGACTGTGGAATCTAGGTCAGCTATCTAAACTGGACAGTGATGAGAGTGTAGATCACATAAGACACCACAATACTGGAAAAGATCACCAAGGTAATGAGTGTAGGCAGAGAAGAGAGAGAGACCAAGGATTGACTTCTGAGGCACTTCAATGTCAAGAGGTCATGAGGAAAGGAAGAGAATCAGCCAAGGGGACTCAGGAGTTACAGCTAATGAGGTCACAGAAAAACCAAGAGAGTATTTTACTGGAACTCAGCAAAGAAAGGACTTCCGAGTAGAGGGAGTTATCAACTCTATCAAATTTTTTTTTTTTTTGAAACAGAGTTTCGCTCTTGCTGCCCAGGCTGGAATGCAATGGCATAGTCTCAGCTCACAGCAACCTCCACCTCCCGGGTTCAAGTGATTCTCCTACCTCAGCCTCCAGAGTAGCTGGGATTACAGGCGTCCGCCAACACGCCCAGCTAATTTTTGTATTTTTAGTAGAGACAGGGTTTCGTCATGTTGCCCAGGCTGGCCTCGAAATCCTGACCTCAGGTGATCCACCTGCCTCGGCCTCCCAAAGTGCTGGGATTACAGGTATGAGCCACTGCGCCTGGCCTAACTCTATCCAAAAGTATAAATAGGTCAGTTAAGGAGAAGACTGTGAAATAGCCACTCGATTTAGAAATATTGGTGTCATAATTTCTGTTCTTTTACATTTGCTGAGGAGTGCTTTACTTCCAACTATGTGGTCAATTTTGGAATAAGTGCGGTGTGGTGCTGAGAAGAATGTACATTCTGTTGATCTGGGATGGAGAGTTCTGTAGATGCCTATTAGGTCCGCTTGGTGCAGAGCTGAGTTCAATTCCTGGGTATCCTTGTTAACTTTCTGTCTCATTGATCTGTCTAATATTGACAGTGGGGTGTTAAAGTCTCCCATCATTATTGTGTGGGAGTCTAAGTCTCTTTGTAGATCTCTAAGGACTTGCTTTATGAATCTGGGTGCTCCTGTATTGGGTGCATATATATTTAGGATAGTTAGCTCTTCTTGTTGAATTGATCCTTTTGCCATTATGTAATGGCCTTGTCTCTTCTGATCTTTGTTGGTTTAAAGTCTGTTTTATCAGAGACTAGGATTGCAACCCCTGCTTTTTTTTCATTTTCCATTTGCTTGGTAGATCTTCCTCCATCCCTTTATTTTGAGCCTCTATGTGTCTCTGCACGTGAGATGGGTCTCCTGTATATAGCACACAGATAGGTCTTGACTGTTTATCCAATTTGCCAGTCTGTGTCTTTTAATTGGAGCATTTAACCCATTTACGTTTAAGGTTAATATTGTTATGTGTGAATTTGATCCTATCATTATGATGTTAGCTGGTTATTTTGTTTGTTAGTTGATGCAGTTTCTCCCTAGCATAGATGGTCTTTACAATTTGGCATGTTTTTGCAGTGGCTGGTACTGGTTGTTCCTTTCCATGTTTAGTGCTTCCTTCAGGAGCTCTTGTAAGGGAGGCCTGGTGGTGACAAAATCTCTCTGTCATGGTTACCTTGAGAAGAACAGTTTCTGTTTAGTGGAAGCTGCGTAGGCCTGGCTGAAGTATCATTAAGAGAGAATAGAAAGAGAGATATTGGACACAGTATTGGACCGTAGATGACACTCTGTGGGAAGCTTGCAATAGGGGAACAGATAAATAGCACTAAGCAAGTAAAAGGAGTGAAGTAAACAGGTTTTTGGTGCTTGCATTTTTTTAACAAGGGAAAAATAACACCAGTGTGTATGCTGACAGGAATAACATAGTAGAGCGAGAAAAAGTCATGTCATGAGGGTGTTACAAATGCTGTGAGATTATGAACTTGCTTTTTGAATTAGCCAGTCTAAGTAAGATTTTTCTGTCATGTGTAAGCAAAAAAACTGTCACGGAGTGAGCAATTGGCTTGATATGTCTAACTTTTCTGTTGTATGCCAATTGTGGAGGCATAATTTTAATATTGCTCTCTTTCATATATTTTGAATAATAAATTATGTGGTCACAATAATTGGATAGGAAGACTGGTTCTACAACCATAGATTCCAATCCTGGGCCTGCCACTTATAAGATGTCATCTAGGATAAATTACTTAGCCTCTGTGTCTCATATGAAATGTCTTCCTATGAACATAGGGATAACAAAGGTACTTATGGTGTGTTGCTGAATCAAATGAGGTAAAGCGTTTAAAGAGCTTATAGAAGAACTTGCTATGTGGTAAAATTTCATAAATATTAAAAGTCTGCATGCCACCTGATAAAAATTCCCTTTTGTAGTAAAAAACATAAACTTCCTGATTAACCGTTTTTGCCTACTAACACATATAACCTTAAAATTAATTAATAAACATGCAACTAACAAAGTAAAATTATTCACAGCTCCATTTTATAGGTATGAAACCAGGGAAATAGATCATTTAACTAAGATACAAAGGGAATTAAAATATAATGGTTAATTTACAAAGTGTGTCAAGACGCTTGGTGTTATGGTTAATTTTATGTGTCAGCATGACTGGGCCATGGGGTGCCCAGACATTTGAGCAAACATGATCCTGGGTGTGTCTGTGAGAACGACAACTTGATTTCAGCCTTGTAAAGCCCTAGGCAGAGAACACAGTTGATCCACGGCAGACTTATGGAAACTGGGAAGTGATAAATGTGTGCTGTTTTAAGCCACTAAGTGTGTGGTAATTTTTTATGCAGCAATAGAAAACGAATATACAGGTATTTAAGTTATTACTATATGAAATCTATTGTGGCTAAAATGATGCACTGCGTTATCTAAACCACTGCAGAAGATGAAGAATCATTTTTGGCTCAGCCATAACCTACGTAGCTCTAAGGTGCAAATTAAAGTAGGTATAGCTAAACGCACAGTGGTGAGAATGCTAAATATTGTGTAGGGAAGACTGATTACAATGTAGCTGTGAGAACAGGCAGCTTCAAGTGTGACAGCAACAATGGAGGACACTTCCAGGTAAGACGGTGTCATTCTCAGTGTGAAGGGCTCAGATGCTGGGGCTGCCCCTTCTGTCCCTGCCCTTTAAATGAGGCAGAGATTTCAGTTCCAGGATTCTCCTGTGGGGCCACAACAGACAAGCAAAGCCAGGGGAGTGGCAGGCAGTGGCTTTGAATTAAACTAAATAACTTATTATAGAAAACTCGTATGATAGACATTCTTTGAGGCTTTAGAGTCTCCAACACCAGCTAGCTCTGTGACTCAATCAGCATTCCAGGATTCTAATTTATAAGAGATGTGTGTGTGTGTGTGTGTGTGTACGTGCATGTGTGGGTGTGTGAGTGTAAAACACCTCCCGGATAAATAACTGTGACAAATCTTTACAGACCACTGGCAGTGGGGTTAAGATATGCCTGCATGATTTTCTGCATGAGACACCTGCAAAGTTCCTAAATGTTCCTATCAAACCCAGAGCCTACCACAATGCATGAAACATGGGGACTTTGTTTTAACCTAGCTCCCATTGGTCAATAGCTTTTAGTACCAGTGTATTGCTGAATTCCTGGCTTCATAATTGATGCCTTTCTAATAATCTCTCAGTTTCTGAAATGTCCTCACAGTGGGATTAATTTAGAAATTCCCCTAGGCTTTACAAGTAAAAAGTGATTGATTAAAAATAAATTAACTGGGGAGATTAATGAATGAATATAAGATTGCTAATCCAATTATTTAAATGTTTGGGTGAAAGGCATAAACATGCCGGAATATGAAATCACGCCTCTGAACTCACAAATAACAGCATTTTCAAGCACAGACATGCATGTTCATAGTCACAAGGATTCATTCCTCCAGATGTGAGTCCTGCTCCTATTTCCTCTACTCTTGCTCCATCAAATTTTTTATCTCCTCTCCCTCTTTTCCCCTCTTTCACTGGAAATACGCCCTGTGCAGAGTATAGCTAAGAATTTACATTCTTTTTGTTTGTTTTGTTTTCCTAGGAGTTGGTTATGAATAAGAACCAATTTTTTTTTTTGAGATGGAGTTTAGCTCTTGTTGCCCAGGCTGGAGTGCAGTAGCATGATCTCGGCTCCTGCAACCTCCACTTTCCAGTTTCAAGCAATTCTCCTGCCTCAGCCTCCCCAGTAGCTGGGACTATAGGCACTCGCCACCACAGCTGGCCAATTTTTGTATTTTGTATTTTTGGTAGAGACGGGGTTTCACCATGTTGGCCAGGCTGGTCTCGAACTTCTGACATTGTGATCTGCCCACCTCGGCCTCCCAAAGTGCTGGGATTACAGGCATGAGCCACGGCGCCTGGCTAAGAACCAGTTTTTACTTGGTCTTTACATATGCTCTATCAATCAGTTACACTACATAAACATATAGGCATTGCAGAAGGTTTACTGAATGAATACATTTCATACTGAAACACTGATAGCAAAAACACCCACTTCCAAATTGGAGGCAGTACACTGGTTGCTTTCCACATAGGAAAGTGGCTTTTGTGTATCAAGAGCCATGCAAAGTCTTCTAGAAGCTGGTAGGTGTCGCAGGACTAGAAAGCAGATTCATTTGTCCATGGGCCTCTACACAGTGAATAGCATACTTTTCAGCACACAAAAAGGGGTAAATCAACATTACTTAACTTATTCATATATATACCTTTTCAAATCTGCCACCCTCAAATATAATGTTGTAAACTAAATATTTCACAGGAAAAGAAAAATAGCATTTGTCATGAGTCAACCTCTAAAATAGAGGGATGACGTAACAGCAGTATGAAATTTTAAAATTTATATTAGTGGCTTTCAGAGACACAGGGATTTCTTTCCAAGACTGTGTAAAATGTGGGGATACTGCTGACCAGTGTAGGCAATGGATTGTGATGCATGCCTCTTAAATCCCAGCTCTGCACTTCCTAGCCATGTGAACAGGGACAAGTAATCTACCCCTCTGAGCCTAAATTTCCTCATCTGTGAAACTGGAAGAAAGAAACTTATGTCACAGGGATTTTAAGAAAACTATCAGTAAGATATGTCAAGCACCTCATACATGGTGGGCCCTGAAACAGCAATTATTATATATTCTGATATTGTAGTTAAGAGAAACCGCATTCCCCCAATATAATTTCTTAATTAGAATTTTGTGAATCCTACACAAAGAGAAGTTCATCTGACACAAAAATCAAAGATGCTTCCTTCTGAGATGTAGGCTGGTAGTAAAAGCTAATTGATCAAAGCTAAAGCGAAAGAATCTAAGAATGTGATAGCTTTCACTTGTAGGATATACTATTGTAGTGTAGGAAAACTGCTAACAGAACTATTGATTTTCAAACTTGCCTTGAAATAGATAACCTGGAAAAGATTGAAAAAAGGAAATATTTTTTCCCATCTTGCACTCCCAGAGAATGTCTGGCCCAGAGCCCATGGTCAGAAACACTCTATCATGTGGTAATCTCTCCAGAACTGGCTGATTTCATTGGTGGTATATTATGTTTTACTATGGAACAGGGAATGCAGCCATCTTCCTGATCACAATTTTGATACCAAACATCACGTGTATGTGCCATGTTGTCTTTCTCTAATGATTAGGTGAAGTTTTAGTACAGCGTGGTGACCTTGGAAAGCCTGTTCTGCTTCTGACAAAAGTGGCCTGAGCCTGTGGGTACACAGTGTTATTGGTAAGTAAACTATCTTCCCTTGTGGGCTAGCCTGATGTCTTTGTGGAGGGGAAGGCATCCTTCCAAGACCGGAATTCTCTCACGCAGGGACTAGCTGTGCATAAAAGATCCTCCTCCAGATCCAGCTTCAACAGGACCTTGAAGCAGCTGTAAGTACCAATCATTTTATCCCTTCACAAGGACTTGAAACAAACTCCATTCTTCTGCCTCTGCAGAAATTAGTGTTGAAATTTCCAGCACTTGACCGAAGGAGCAGGAGAACAACTTCTAGGATGAGGAGCTTCTGAAAGTGTTAGGAGGTGGGAGGAAAATGTTGCAGAGATGTGTGCATGAGAAACGGGGAGGGGAGCAGAGAGAACTCCAGGGGCAAGTTAAGTGGTGGGGCTCTGCCTATACTGCCATCTTTGTGGGGTGTTCTCATCAATGAGCCTGGAAGATTCCACCTCATTCAGATACCTCCTAGCTGTCAGATACTGGCCAAGTTACATAAGGCCTTAAATCTCAATCTTCTCCCTTGTGAAAATGGGAATGACAACATTGCCTTTGAAGGGCTTTTATTAGGGTTAAATGAAAAAGGTACATGCAGTGCCTAGTGCAGCCCATCCATAGTTACGTGTCCTACTACACAACAATAGCTTCCACTTTATTTTCAACTTTTTCATAACATCGTTCTGCTTTCATAGCATTTAATTATATAATCATGTTTCTTTCTGAAAGCCACTGTCTTATGAAAATAAAATACAATATGTAAATCATAGTACAAGTCCTGCCCAGATAAAACCAAAACCATTTAGGTGATGAATGACTGAGATCTGAAAACAGCACCTCAAGTCATGCTCTGTAGTAGGAACTGTGCTACCCTGTGAAGAGGCCATGGAAAATGAATCAGACTTCTGGCCCTCAGGTATCTCACGGCTGCCCAGCTGTGTTTCTATGGCATCTGGTACCTACATGGTGCAGAAACAAATGGCAGCTACTGGAATAGCTGGAGATTGCAAAGAGAATGTTTTCCCTATCAGTGTCATTTTCAAAAGATTAATTAATTCAAACACTATTCACTATAGCCCTTTTGGTTGTATCAGAGAGTGTGGATGGTGGGTTCACAAAGACCAACAAAACATGGCCCTTTCCCTCACAAGTCTCCCATCTAGCACAGGACACAAACACATTCATTACATCCATAGATATTTTCTGAGTGACTCCAGTGTATGCTCAGCAGAGATCTGGGCTGCTTGCAAGATACAAAGATCCCTACCATCAGGAGCTAATACTCTAGCAGAAGCCATCATCGGCTAAGAGAGAGAACCGCAATAAACATCACTAAGTAATTACATAGTCTGTTAGATGCAAAATGCTATAACAGAAAGGAAACTTCGGCCAAGGAAAAGGGGATCAGAAGTATCAGCAACAGGGTGGCAAGGAAGAGTGGGTTTAACAATCTATCATAAGGTGGCCTTGGTAGGCCTCATCCAGAAGGTGAGAAGTGATCAAGGCCTCAAGGTGGGTGAGGAGGTTATCTCTGTAGACATGGCAGAGGAGCATTCCAAACAGAGGGAATGGCTAGAGCAAAGGCCCTGAGGAGGGAAGGAGCCTGCCTGACACAACCCAGAAGCTGCAGAGTCCAGGTCTGCTAGAGATGTGTGGCTCATGGGGACTGGTAGGGACAAAGTCAAAGAGGAAATGGGCCAGATGTTGTAGGGCCTCATAGGTTTTGGAAGCATTTAACATTTTACTCTGATGCATAAACACAGGGCCACTAGAAAGGGTTTGGTTTCTGAATTAGAAGTCTCTGCAAGGTAGGGTAAAGGGAAAAGGAAGGTGACATCAGTGAGACAGGATCAGGTAGTGAGCAAAGAAGTGGGAGAAATCAAGGCATGCTGCATCATTACGAGAGAGGCAGGACTCGCCTGGACTTCACAATTCCATGGATCACTGGGGCCACATCCATGACCTGTGCACATCTATACCATTACTCACAAAATCATAAAAGTAGCAGTTCTGTATGCATCCCGTCATTTGTCCAGGAAACAAACAAAACAATAAGGGAGGTTATTTTGTATTCCATTCATTTTGTATTTAAGACCTTTCTAGGGAACTAGCTAGTATAGACCCAAAATAAAACCACCTTTGTATTTAAACAAGAGTGTCCTAGGTACATGAAGGAAGAAAACATTAGGGAACATACGAAGGTTGATGTGAAAGACACAACTTACCCCACCTTCCCTGGTCCTAGGTTCATTCATATTTCATTTAATATCACTATTAAATAGTTAACAGGTAAAATAACAACTATCCTTTGTGATCCATGTAGATCCTGTCATCATTTCTCATTCAATCAATATGTTTTAAATCCCTATTGGACAACAGATCCCAGGCACTGTGTTGACTCAGAGGGGAACAGACATGTTTCAGGCTGGTTCCTAGTCCTACAGTTCCTCACGAGCTTGCAGACAGATCATTACAGAACTCCTAAATTAGAGCTATGACAGAATTAAAGTCAAGGAAGCCTGGAAAAACAGAGGGGAGTACCTTAATCCCAGTGTAAAGGTTGGGCCAGCACATGGTCAGGAAACCTTTCTTGGGAGAGGTGAGGTTCTGAGTAGGTAGTCCTATTATCCCCCTTTACGCCTGAGAAATATTAAGGTCAAAGATATTAACTCGCCTAAGGCTGCATAGCTACTGAGAGAGCAGGATTTAAATTTTAGTTCATTTGCATTTTAAAACACCATATTTTTTTCTCATGGACTACTACCAAAATCACTTCCTCTGGCTCTGCATCCTTTAAGTATTCTGAAAGCTTCTCAGGTATGTTGCAGTCCCTTTCCTGATAGCTGGGTCCAGCTGTGAGTAGAGTCAACCTCTGAGAAGGTCTTTAACATTCCTGACCCCAGGTAATAGCTGTTTCTGGAGAGCTCCTCTCTTAGGACTGTACTCCACTTAAGACTCAGTTAGAAATGTCAGCCGGCATGGCTTTCTCACTAAGTAAAGCACCCAACTTCCCTGAGGATGCTTCTACTATTCCTGTCAATTGCCCATCTGCCTGCCCCTTCCTAATTCTGAAAAAAAGGCAGAAATGTGTATCCTAGACTTGTTGGTTTCAGGGTAGATCCTCTCCGCTTTTATTCTAGGGATTCTGGAAATTTACATGGAAGCTCCATTATCTTGCGTGCCTGGATTTTCCAGGCAGAAAAAAGCTAGAAAGGAGGAAGGCCACACCAAAAGGAATGACATGCACTGTCTATGTCAGCAACTCTTAACGTAAGGGAAACATGCCATAGTGAATGCAAGACGATTACCCTTGGACTCAAGACAGACCAGGGTGTGGATCCCAGCTCCACCACTTCCCGGCTTGCTCACTTTAACCCATCTCAGCCTGTTAATCTGTTAAAGGGGATTTTGATACCTTTCAGGTTTGTTTATACAAAAATATTAAGTGCATGTAAGAAAGCAGACCATCCATAAATCAACATCATGGCCTAGTGTGATGACAGCATAGAATGTCTTCTTTTCTGTATCACTTCATTGCATTTTATCTTGCAGGGGAAATCAAAGCTTCAAATCGTAAAGTAACATGTGGAGGCGACACAAATATTATTTGCTGGGAGTGAGAGAGGTACTCACATGCTCTTTTCACTTATTGTCCAGAAGAAGAACATCATGATGGAAGATACCTTTCACTGGAGTCAGTGACTCTTAGCTACTGAATACCTTACCCAATAGGTCAATGCTGAATGTTATCAATGAAGTCCATAACAAACCATAGCTGTGGATAATAATAATCCTTCTTATAAGACATGTTGATGTTGTGAGTGTGCAGGGTATGGAGACACGAAGCCTTGAGCTCAAATACAAACTCCACTCTAAATCCTCATTTTCTCATCTATAAAATGGACATATGAACTGCCTCCCTCCCTAAGAGTTAATGGGATAACAGTTAAATAGGATGCAGGGAATAACACAGGGACTGTCACAGGCACTGTACTCAACACATGTTAGATATCTTAACCTCATCCCTTTCTTTCTGACTCCAGAGAAAGTGAAATGCCAGCATCTTTAAGTAGACGTTACATTTCTACAACGAACAACCTTTTTTTTCTCTGATTGCTTTTGGTTGATTTTGATGGATGGTGTCAATGGTTGGAGCTGCTAGTTTTTAATGCATAACAAAGCACCCCCAAATTTTATGCTTTACACAACAGTAAATTATTCTGTTAACAATTCTTCAGGTCAGTAATTTCAGCTGATCTCATCTGAGTGGTTTTTTTTTTTTTTTTTTTTTTTTTGCTGTTCATGGCTAGGCTTAGTTATGCATCTTCAGCTAGCGCCCTGTTATGACCTAAGTAGTTCTGCTAGGGGCCGAATGGTCTAGGATGGCCTCACCCATATGTTGGGCAATGGGTTCACTGTCAGCTGGGGTGAAAGGGAAGAATCTGCCACAGGTATCTCATCATCCAGCTAGCCCCACCTTCTTCACATTGCTGTCACAATGTTTTAAGCGCAAAATGAGAGGGGACACCCCAGTGTGAAAGCACTTTTCAATTCTCTGCTGGCTTCTGTTCACATTTGTTATTGTCCCACTGGACACCACAAATTACATGGCCAAGACCAGATACAACAACAATGTGGAAGGAGATATAGGCTTCCACGAACAAATTGCAGTTTCACTTTAACAGTCTACTACTACAGTGATTCCTAAATTACACTCTTCATCATTGGAGAAATACTTAAATATGCAAAACCAGACAGTGGAATGCTGTTCTCTTAAAAAGGATTTTTACTCTTGTTACAAGTCTTAGCTTTTCTTGACCTATTACTATAATATTATAGATGAATAATAAAGTTATTAGGCTGTTCTTGCATTGTTATAAAGAAATACCTGAGACTGGGTAATTTATAAAGAAAAGAGGTTTAATTGGCTCATGGTTCTGCAGGCTTTACGGGAAGCATGGTGCCAACAGCTGCTCAGCTTCTGGAGTGGCCTCAGGAAGCTTACAATGGTGGCAGAAGGCAGAGAGGGAGAAGGTGCGTCACATGGTGAAAGCATGAGCAAGACAGGGGAAGATGCCACGCACTTTTAAGTGACCAGATCTTATGAGCACTCACTATCACACAGACAGCACCAAGCCATGAGGGATCCGCCCTCATGATCCAAACATCTCCCACCAGGTCCCACTTCCACCATTGGGGATTACAATTTAACATGAGATTTGGGCGAGGACAAGTATCCAAACTATGTCAGCTGTGAAAGTTTGGGGAAAAGGTAATTAAAACATTGCCTTGCTATTGTATTAAGCCTGTTTTAAGTTGTGGGTCTCCATATCCAGACTTTCCCAGTAGGGTTTCGGTCTGTGCCTCTTTCCATGTTATAATGTCCTATTCCTCTTCCCTGCCACAAGTATGCCCCCAGAAGGGACCTATTGCAGAGGCACGGTGTGATGTAGAACTGATACTGATGGAATAGACTAGAAAATGGCACCTCATTCTTGTGAGACAAAGGAGATAGTACCTGGCAATTGTGAAGCAGCCCTGCCCTGTGGCCGGAGCCTGGATTGGCCCCTCCCACCCCCAGACACCACACCAGTCTGCTAGCTTTGCTAGAGTGACTCGTGATTTATTCAAATCATGTTTCAAAGCTCTGAGAAGTTCAAACATTTTGTACTACCAAGTCCTAAATATTTTTTAGGATCCCTTGGTATTTTATTTGTTTTGTGGTGGTTGATAGTGCCAAGTTGGATGTCATCATTTCCCATTTAAATTCCTACATGATTATTGCTGGTATGCATGAAAGCTTCTGATATTTTAAATCATAATATTTTATTTTTTTATTTACAGGGATTTATTTTTACATTTTTTCTTAGCTGTTTCCCAAGAAGATATCCACATCATCTACAAATAATGACAACTTTGTGTTTTTACCAACATATATCAGATTTTTTTCTCTTTACAACTCATTCCACTAGAAAGAAATTGTAAGACAATACTTAATAACATTTTTGATAGTAGGCAGACTTGTCTTGCTCCTGATTGTAATGCAGTTTTCCCTAGTTGTTTAACATCATTTGTGTGTTTGTGAATTTGAGAACCCTGAGAAATATTGCCTGTTAAGTATACTTTCTTAGTTTTTTGTTTGTTTGTTTGTTTTTTGAGATGGAGTTTCGCTCCTGTTACCCAGGCTGGAGGGCAATGGCGCGATCTCGGCTCACTGCAACCTCCGCCTCCCGGGTTCAAGCGATTCTCCTGCCTCAGCCTCCCGAGTAGCTGGGATTACAGGCATGTGCCACCACGCCTGGCTAACTTTGTATTTTTAGTAGAGACTGGGTTTCTCCACGTTGGTCAGGCTGGTCCGGAACTCCCGACCTCAGGTGATCTGCCCGCCTTGGCCTCCGAAAGTGTTGGGATTACAGGCGTGAGCCACGGCGCCCAGCCTCTTAGTTTGTTTTTAATCCCAAGTGTTGAATTCCTTCAAATGCTCTTCCATTGTCCATCCATCTTTAAAATATGGTCAGGAGCGGTAGTGTCTCTATCGAGGTCACTCTTTTTATGTCTGTATTTTATAATTTTGTTAATATATGACCCGCAGCGTTTTGTCATATTACGGTCTAGGTTAGTGCAGATATTGCTTGTGCTTGGGAACAGGATCATTTTTATTTGTGATTCTGGGTATAAGTGGAGTTGAGCAGATCCTGGGAAAGTGAACTAAACTGTTATTTGAAAATTGGACTGTATGTCTCACGACTACTCTCCATTTCCATATGAGTCCATTTCCCCTAGATAAAGGAAATATTTCATCAACAAACGAAGGAGGCTTTCATGATCCCCCCTTGGCTGATGCCAACAGAGTGCCAGTAAGAGAGAGACAAAGGTGCAACCAAAATCAGGGGACCTCAGGGTTCTTCTCTCTACGGCTACTATGAGATGAGGAAACACCAAGAATAAATAAGAAGAAAGAAGGCTCCAGGTTGTTAAATTTTTGGCGATGGGATGCCATTTCCTGGCCAAGAGGACAGGAGGACCAGAGAGAGAGGTGAGAGAGCAGCAAGTGACCTTGCGGGAGTCTCACGGCGGGAGTCTTTTAAAAATCAAAGTGTACCCAGAGTGTGATGTTCCCCTTCCTGTGTCCATGTGTTCTCATTATTCAATTCCCACCTACGAGTGAGAACATGCGGTGTTTGGTTTTTTGTTCTTGCGATAGTTTACTGAGAATGATGATTTCCAATTTCATCCATGTCCCTACAAAGGACATGAATTCATCATTTTTTATGGCTGCATAGTATTCCATGGTGTATATGGGCCACATTTTCTTAATCCAGTCTATCATTGTTGGACATTTGGGTTGGTTCCAAGTCTTTGCTATTGTGAATAGTGCCGCAATAAACATACGTGTGCATGTGTCTTTATAGCAGCATGATTTATAGCCCTTTGGGTATATACCCAGTAATGGGATGGCTGGGTCAAATGGTATTTCTAGTTCTAGATCCCTGAGGAATCGCCACACTGACTTCCACAATGGTTGAACTAGTTTCCAGTCCCACCAACAGTGTAAAAGTGTTCCTATTTCTCCACATCCTCTCCAGCACCTGTTGTTTCCTGACTTTTTAATGATTGCCATTCTAACTGGTGTGAGATGGTACCTCATTGTGGTTTTGATTTGCATTTCTCTGATGGCCAGTGATGGTGAGCACGTTTTCATGTGTTTTTTGGCTGCATAAATGTCTTCTTTTGAGAAGTGTCTGTTCATGTCCTTCGCCCACTTTTTGATGGGGTTGTTTGTTTTTTTCTTGTAAGTTTGTTTGAGTTCATTGTAGATTCTGGATATTAGCCCTTTGTCAGATGAGTAGGTTGCAAAAATTTTCTCCCATTTTGTAGGTTGCCTGTTCACTCTGATGGTAGTTTCTTTTGCTGTGCAGAAGCTCTTTAGTTGAATTAGATTCCATTTGTCAATTTTGGCTTTTGTTGCCATTGCTTTTGGTGTTTTAGACATGAAGTCCTTGCCCATGCCTATGTCCTGAATGGTAATGCCTAGGTTTTCTTCTAGGGTTTTTATGGTTTTAGGTCTAACGTTTGAGTCTTTAATGAGGGATAGCATTGGGAGATATACCTAATGCTAGATGACGAGTTAGTGGGTGCAGCGCACCAGCATGGCACATGTATACATATGTAACTAACCTGCACATTGTGCACATGTACCCTAAAACTTAAAGTATAATAATAATAATAAATGTTTCTTGCCATAAAAAAATAAAAAATAAAATAAATAAAAATAAATAAAAATCAAAGTGTGGAATAGGAGGGGATCTCCACGTGAATGGTTTCCCAACCCCCAAGTGGTGCTTATCAAAGAGAAAGACAAGGGTGGAGTGTGTGGAGAATGAGAGAATGTCTTGGGCTTTAACGCAGGAATACTAGATGGGTGGTGCTCTGGTCTTTAAGGTGTACTGCATCGAAGTGCAAATGGCTGCAACAAGGAGGCGAGAAGTGTACCCATGAGGAAACTGAGACACAAAGGGGTCAGGCAGGTTGTGAACAGGGGTTTAAGAAAAGCGTTAAATTACTAGCTGCGCCAGGATGCTCGGCAAGGTGGGAACCTGTTGAAGAAATAAAACTGCATCATGTGACTCAGCAAGGATGCGCGGCTATTCTGCCAAGAATCCCGTGGGTCGTTTTGACAACACCGGGGCCCAGGTCCCATGAGTAAGCCAGAATGGTTCATCGTGGGGGAGGATGATGACGACGATGCCCTTGCCTCTGTCGTGTGTAAAACGGCTGCGTGTGGGTTTCGTGCAGCGCGGTGGGGAGGGAGAGGAGAAACGTCCTGCCGCGCTACAGTCGCGTTTGGGTCAAAGGCACACGTGGAGGCAGTCGGCCAAAGTCACAATGCGGTGTATTTCACAGTGCGCGAACGACGTTCTCGGCCCCCAGGGGTGCGGGGCGCCTGCGCAGTGGGCCCGAGGCGTCGCGCGCTGCGGGAGCCAGGAGACCCCCGCCCCCGCCCCTCGCCCTCCGCCGCGAACGCGCACGTGAACGGGAGCGCGGACGCGTCCGTTAATGCGCCTCACCTCGCTCAAACCCTACCCGGCGGCGGAGGGAGGGAGACGCGCCCCCGACAAGCGAGTGGGGTCTGTGGACAGTCGCGGGCTCGCGGGCGGCGGCACCTCCTCCACTCCGGCGGGCCCGGGTTCGGCCGGCCGCCCATCGGACTGGCCGACTGGCTGACGCGCCTCGCTGCCCCCGCCTCCGCCTGCGCCCCGCCCAGCTTCATCTCTCCCTCCGCTCCCCGGGCTCGCGGGCAGACGGAGGCGCCTCTCTTTCCCCGCCCCTCGCCTCGGCCCTTTCTCTTCCCAGCACCTCGGCTGTTCCCCGGCGGCGGCAGCGGCAGCGGCGGCCCACACAGCAGCGAGAGGCGAGAGGAGGCTGCCTCGAGGAGGCTGCCTCGAGGATGAAGTGCAAACCCAACCAGACGCGGACCTACGACCCCGAGGGGTTCAAGAAGCGGGCGGCGTGCCTGTGCTTCCGGAGCGAACGCGAGGACGAGGTCCTGTTAGTGAGTAGCAGCCGGTACCCGGACCGCTGGATCGTGCCGGGCGGGGGCATGGAGCCCGAGGAGGAGCCGGGCGGTGCGGCGGTCCGAGAGGTGTACGAAGAAGCGGGAGTCAAGGGGAAGTTAGGCCGGCTCCTGGGCGTCTTCGAACAGAACCAGGATCGCAAGCACAGAACGTACGTGTATGTACTGACTGTCACGGAGCTGCTGGAGGATTGGGAAGATTCGGTTAGCATTGGGAGGAAGCGAGAGTGGTTCAAAGTCGAAGATGCCATCAAGGTTCTCCAGTGCCACAAGCCCGTGCACGCCGAATATCTGGAGAAACTAAAGCTGGGCGGTTCCCCAACCAATGGAAACTCCATGGCCCCATCCTCGCCAGATAGCGATCCCTAGTATGTACCGCTTGCGCTCGCGCAGACTTCTATTTGTCTGCCTCGCTTAAAATGCGTCCCGCCTGGAGCACCTCTCGTGCCATGTGCGGTCTCACGGGGAGGAGGGAGGCTTCTTTTGTTTCCTTGGCAGACCCTCTGAATCACGCTTGCAAACTGTCTCAGTTGCCAGGCCCTGTTTTCAAGACAGTTTGCACGTTTTTCAGATGCTTTCAAAATCGCTTCTTGGTTACACTGTAAAATGTTTCGGGGAAGCCTATGCGGCTTGGGGTTTTAGGTGCCTTAACTGTTCACCCTGCTTTTGGGAGGTGTGTGTGGGGGGCGAGGGGTGGGTGGGGATTGTGTGTGGAGTGTGTGTCTGCCTGTGCGCCCTGTGATGTTTTTGGTTCTTTTATATTTCACACATATTCGTGGGTGAGCGTGCGTGCGCATTTTTGATACCAGCCTTGTGGTTTGTTTGGTAGTGGAGGCCTTTAAAGTCTGACCAGCTTGGTTGTGTGGCATCTTTTAGTATTCTTTTTCCCCTTTAGTTTTCTCCTTCACAGCGTTCGCCCTTGTTGTCAGGGAGGCCTTCTGTGGTGGGAGTTGGTTTAAAAGATCAGTTTTGAATTTTTTTAAAAATTGGGAAATCCTACATGTTGTGCTCTTTCTGCACTCTACAGTCACTTTAGCTTCTGAAATGGGATCTCATTTGCCCCTTTCAGAAATTTCTTTTTCTGTTTCTATATGTAGATCATTTGGTTTTCAAAAAATTTTCACAAGTGGTAATTTTTCACTGCTGACTTCAAATGGCTATTTCCCATGTAGATTAACCTTATTGAATAGATGCTGCGGAGGATCTGCTAGCCAAACACATCTTATCAGAAAAACCGTATTCACAGAATTTGATTTCCCATACTCAACTTCCAACTCCCATTGCCCCTTACTGGATACCATAGAAGAACCATGGTTCTCTGGATTTAAGTTCGTTTTTGAAAGTGGTCTCCCTCCCATATTTGAATGTAGTGACATTCCGCTTAAACCTCCCTGACTCCCAGTAACCACAGGAATGGAATCTTTTATGGTGATTACATCCCAACTGAGTTAGCTCTAGTGATGTTCAGCTGGTACAGAATTGTCAAACTATTAGGATTCCTGAACAATCTCTCTTAACGATAGAGAATAATTGTTTTGTCTCACAGGACACCCTATTCTAGGTGCAGGTGACCAGCATCTACATCAAGAACTTAACGTTGCCTGTAATCCAAAAACCTCCTACTCATTATTTTGCTCTCCTGTCTTTTAATACCATAGAAAAGTTCCTTTTGAAACCGTCTCTGCTGTTTTTTTTTTTTGCTGCCCCCTTGTGTGCTTTTTGTATTTTACCCTTCAAAACACTGAAATATTTTTCTCTATTTGGAGTACATTGTAATTTCACAAATAATATTTTTTATGCTGCTAAACAGTGAGTGCCGTTGCACTTTCTAAAGAAATATGGTGCCACTGTTTTGAAAAGAAATATTACAACAACACATTTAAGTATAGGTAAACAAAGTACAAATCTGTTTCTCAAAATATTTTCTGCACTAATGCTATCAAAGGAAAGAGTAAACTAGAAATTGTGGCTTTTTAAAACTTACAACAGTTTTATTATCTGAATTACATGGTCTGATCAAATACGGAGTATTTTTCTATTTTTCTCTTAACAAAGTGATACATGTTGAATATATATATTTGAACCACATATTTTAAAAAATATTTTGTAACTTTTAATTCCAGGGGTACAAGTGCAGATTTGTTCCGCAGGTAAACTTATGTCATGGTTATTTGTTGTACAGATTATTTCATCATCATGAAGCACATATTTTAAATTCCAAACAATTTGACTTAATTATTCAGTCTAAAATGGATCTTAAGATTTTCCTCAATAACCTAATTATTACAGAAGGTTCTTGTTTCTACATTAATATTGACCTAGGAGGTATACTAGATTGTATTTTATGGATATTTTTGTAGATGAAATGTGTTCCACATGAAACACTGTCACGATTACTTTGGAGACTTAACTCGTACTTTCTATCATTAGAAGTAATTATGCATCATCTTATTTGGTTCTTAAGTTATGTATCTGACAAAGTAAAAATTAATGTACAGCATTCATAGTAACCCTCTCTTAAGAATTGTTAGCTTATAAATATGTCGTGGTTTTTCCTTTTCTTTTTTTTTTTCCAGAAACACTTAGAATATGTAGTGTTACTTTTCAAGGCGTACTGTTAAATTAAGTAGTTTTTGTAAAATATTCTCTGGAACTTAGTCTCATCAGAATAGTTAAGAGCGCCAAGGAGATTCTTTTTTTCTCTTCAAAACTAAGTCAAGAGTTTCAAGTTAAAAGCATTAGTACAGAAAATGTTTTGAAAAACTGAGATTTGTACTTTGTTTACCTATACTTAAATGTGTTATAAGATTTGTTTTCGGAACAGTGGCACCACATTTCTTTAGAACAGAGGTAGTATATAGAAAATTTCTGCCACTTCAGTGCTCCAAAATTTGATGTATAGTTGAGATTTTTTTCCTTCTAAGAGTAGTAGAGTTCACTTGTACATTATTTCTTTTGTGATAGCAGAAAAATGTACACCTAAATTTTACAGCCCTGTCTTGATAAAGAAAGGAAAAAGAGTACACAGACAATTGAGGTTTGCAGACATGAATCAGATTTATTTTCTGCATGTTTTATAAATAGCTTACATTTTCAGCTGGTCAAGTGTTTTATTCTTGTGAATATATAAAGAGGAAACATTAATATAGATGCATATACTGGAAACAATTGGTGCTGTGTCTATAATATATACAGTTTTTCTCAAGAAGTATGTGTGTGTTTAGATACAAAATCTGTTGACTACACTTTAAAGAAACAAACTAAAGGGAAGAAACTCGAAAATAATTTTGTTGCTTTATTTGCATAGATTCATTTGCAACAATTGATGTAAAGGTTTTAAATTCTTTCTGTGATTTCATTTCAGAAGGTTAGTATAAGAATGCCAATTTGTTTACAGTTAGAAAATGTGTATTTGCCTGGCAGAGCTTTCACCTCTAGAATTCCCTTGTGGGGGAGCCACCAGGTACTCTCTGAAAGACTTTAAACAATATTTTCCTGGTAGTGGTCTCTTGATAAGATAGCTATTAATACTAATGGTATTTAGCAGATTTTAAATATGTTTGGGCAAACAGCACTATAAGAAGTGGAAGTTACTATGCTGACTGTGCTAAAACATAACACTTTTATAAGAATAAGAGAGCATGGGCTGGGCATGGTGGCTCACACCTGTAATCCCAGTACTTTGGGAGGTCGAGGTGGGCAGATCACTTGAGGTCAGGAGTTGGAGACCAGCCTGGCCAATATGGCGAAACCCCAACTCTACTTCTAATTATTAATGAAGTAAAACTACAAAAATCAGCCAGGCATGGTGGCACGTGCCTGTAATACCTTCTATTTGGGAGGTTGAAGCAGGACAATCTCGTGAAACCAGGAGGCAGAGGTTGCAGTGAGCCAAGATCACTCCAGCCTGGGCGACAGAGTGAGACTACGTCTCAAAAAAAAAAAAAAAGAGTGAGCGCATGATGTGATAGAAACTACATTGGGGGTTTGAAGTCAGACAGATCTAGTTCCAGTTCTTCCTCACTGAAACTTAAGCCAAGTTATCTAACTATCTGACGCTCAGTTTAAAAAAAAAATCTGTTGTTGGAGATAGTAAAAATAGACACTTTACAAACATCTCCAATGAGAAGCCTTTCCTGACCACCTGGGTTAAGAAACCCTCTTCTGTGTCATGGTTCGCAGAGTTTATTGTACTTAATCTGTTTTCTTGGCCATGTGGTCACTGGACTGAAAACTCTTTCGTGGGTGGGAATCAGCCTGAATTATTTCCATGAGTCTAGAGTCTGTAACATGGAATTTAGGATATTTTATGTCTTAAATGGTCACTCCTCTTTTACAAAACTTCTGATATCGCTGCTTTCCTGACTTTTTTACATCATGGTATACATTGGCTTATAACCCCTCAGTTGCTGATCCAGACTCATTGATTGCATCTGCATTAGATAATTCTGTGGAAGTGAAGTGCTTGATGCAAAGTGATTGATGTACATAATAAGCTCTTGGTACATTTGTCAGTTGGAGGAATTATTAACATAAGCCTGCTAATTGTGTGTTGGTTTGTTTTTCCAGATGAACAGCAAAGATGTTCAGTATTGTGCTGAAAGAAACATTGATGTGAACCCAGTGATCAGTGGAATTGTCAAGTACAGGTGAGCACTTCTGTGTTCCCAAGAAGACAGCTCATCTGGTTTCTTCCTGCATCTTGGGACACTCCTTCCCTGTCTATACCACTGACTCTTGCTCTGGTTGTTGTACTCTTATACGTGAATAGACTCTTAATTCAGCACCTATAGCCTTTTGTTGTGCTTTTTTGATGTGTCTGCCTTCATTAGACTATGATGTCTTTGAGAGCAAAGACTATTTTTCCTTACTCTTTGCATATTCTGCATCTGAGACACTACTTGAAATATGGTTGGCATCACTGAAGGTTCTTTGATTCAATTAATATTTTGTAATCACCGTGTGGCAAAACATTCCCCTTCCAATCTGGTGCTAGTAGAGTATATGCTATCTAGGCACCATGTGTGTGGCTTTTGTGTATCAGGTGTTTCAGAAATATTTCAAGACAGTTGTAAGATGTTTGAGGACAAGAATTATTACTCCTATTTCTATGTCATACCACACAGTAGCTGCACAGTTTTAAGATTATGCCATCACCTAGGGTAATGTTTTGTAGAATCAGTCCTTCGTGTAACAACTCTAGTGTTTTTGTACTGTTGATGATTTGCTTAAATTTTATTCAAAAACTATCACTTGCTATAAAGGTAATTGTAAAAATAAATACAGTGGACGCAAAATAATGTTGTGAGTTTTTATAAAAATAAATTTTAAAATGATATATAAGACATTTTTTTGCAATGCCTGCCCTAACCACTTCTTACATGTCATCTTAACATCTCTTTGAGGAAACACTGTTTCCTCATTTTACAGATTTAACATACTGTATTATTTGATGCCAGAGCCAACAGGCTATATCATAGGCAGTTTCCAAACTTAATTATGCCATTTAGTTTGTCTAGATTTCTTTTGCCTCTCTCACTGATCCATTTGGCTGTAGTTTTCATCCCTTTTCCAGTACACACAGCTAGCTCCTCATCCTACCTGGTTTCTGCATATGAGAATGCAGAGGGCTGAGAGAGGGCAAAATTGTTGTCATTTAGAAAAGGCATTTAGGAAAGAGGCTGCTATTAGAGGGGAACACAAAGTGAAGGTTTTTTTAAAAAAGAGGACTTGCATCAGCTGCCTCCAGAACAATTTTAAGAAAATAACAAAGATGTTTAGAAGAAATCTTACGGAGTTTGCCATGGGATGTGTGATATCAGCAGTCTTCAGCTCCTTACAAATTACCAAAAGTGGTTCTAATATGCTAGTTTGTTTGATTTTTTCTTTTATATTATAAAGCAATTGCATCGATAAAAGCTTGGACTCCATTTTAGTGTGACACTCTTCCTCATGATACCAGTGAAATGTATTGATTGTGTCCCCAGTTGTTACATAATTTGAAATAAAAATATAACTTCTTGATTTATTGTTTTTTAAGATGTGATATGGTACTGTGGTTATGTTGTTTTAAAAAATGATTATCTTTTAGAGAAGTATACTGAAAAATGTACAGGTGAAATGATATGTTACTGGTATTCGCTTCAAAATCATCTGAGTGTGGGGTAATTGAGTACATAGATGAAACAAGATTGGCCATAAATTGGTAATTGCTGAAGCTGTGTGATGGATGTTTGAGAGTTCATTATACTATTCTCTATACTTTTGTATATGTTTGAAATTTTCCATAATAAAAATTGAAAAAAGTATTCTTCAGAGTTTACTTGTAGGCCCCCTCTCTCCTAGACTTAAGTGCAGAAGGCTGATCAGAAGACAGATCCACAGCCCAGAAAGATTGATTCCTCCTCTCCGAAAACCTAGCTTTTGTTCTTGAGCTAAACTTGTTTGCAGACTGCTCTTCCGTTAGTGTGAATTTTTCCTTGCAAAGCCCCCAGTTCTACATGCCAAAGGACTTTATCCCCTTCAGTATGTCACACATTACCGGAAAACTTTAAACCCTAGTGGTGGACATAAGTTTAGGTTCCAGTTGGGACACTCATTCTACTATTTACCTTTTTAAAAAAGGGCACTGAATTTGTTTTTTCTGACTACAAAATTAATTCATCTCAATTTCAGAAAATTTTTAAAATTCCAAAATAATAAATAAAAAATGAATAAGATCTAGTATTTGATAGCACAACAGGGTGACTATGGTCAATAATTTCATTGTACGTTAAAAAATGACTAAAAGTATAATTGGATTGCATGTAACACAGGATAAATGCTTGTGGTGATGGATGCACCTTTTATCCTGATGTGATTATTACACATTGTATGCCTTTATCAATATCCCATATACCCCATACATATATATACCTACTATGTACTCAAAAAAATTAAAAATAAAAATTTAAATAATTACATGTAAAAAAATCACACGATTCCTCTACACAGATAACCAAGTTTAAATATATATAATTTCCAGTCTTTCTATTTACAAATATATATAATTCAAACAAGGATAGCACAGGTGTGCCTCATCCAGAATATTTCCAAATAATCCATGATCTTTTTATTGTTAAGTATATGCCATACAGGCATCTCGCTATTCCTTAGAATTTTTTAGGCTAATGCGCAGGGCCATAATGGAATTTGTACTGCTTCTGCCTTGCATAAGTATAAAAAGCATAGCAGAAAACTTGGGTCTGAAATTTAGACCAAGCTCTAGTCACCAAGACTTAGTGCAGGGTGGAATAGGCCTGTTTTGTGTTTGCTTTTGTTTCCTAATTCCCACACAGACTTTTTACTTACCAAGCACTGAGGCTGGGGACAAGCCATCAATTCAGAGGGGGTGCTCTTGTAATAAATCATACAATTGCAGTGTATTGGCTAAAAGTAGGCCTTTTATTAGTTTACCTGTTTTCCAGAAAGTTGTCTTTGTCTTCTCTGGCTTCTCAGCAAGCCACCATATCACTGCCTCTCTGCAGGCTCTGACCCTCATGAAGTTGCTGCTCCTCTGGGCACAGTGGTATCCAAGTGGTAAATAACTCTGGACTCAAAAGGGAATCCTGCTCTCCCTCTTCTACCTTCTTACCCCATAATGTGCCCACACCCTTCCCTAATTTCTTACAGCACCATCAGAGACTAGGCCGTGACTTTTAATGAGATTTTACTGAAGATTACCAGATAATGTGAGGGAAATGTAATACAAAAAATACAATTTACAACTACTGCACAGTGTATACTTGAAGGGTCAGACACTTTGTAGGTTTTGTTGCTAGACTAGTCCTCTGACCCACGCTGACTCCAAATGGCCTAGAGAAATCCCTCCATCCTCCAACCCCTACCACTACCAAAAACTGAGAGTCTGCAATTTCAAATTATGGACACTGATATTCCCATACCTGAGGAGAGGGGAAAGTTGTTCCCTCAACTCAGTCTCCAAATAGCACTTGAGATGTCTCAAATTTCTATTCCCAGAATTAAGGCTATAAACCTGAAATCAGTGAAATGAATCAAAAGACTGGAATGTGGTGGGTTGGGAATGGAAATTCAGTTTTATCTTACTCAAAAGCTCATGTTCTTTAGATGAAGATGATGACAACAGCTTATAATGAATTCAGTGGTCCTCCTTTATACCGGATGGTAAACATGGAGAACCAAAAAGCCCATCCACGGTCCAAGAAGATCCATTAACACTGTGACCTGTGTAAGTCTTCACAGCAATGTGAAGAAGCAGGCCAAGACCTCTGGGAGTTTAGACTTTGGGGCTAGTGCTGAGGGGATAGAGGGCTCAGGGCAGAGTTGGTAACAATTATTTTTCTTTTATCTACTCACTCAAACTTAGACCTCATTTCTTGGGTGTTAAAAGAAGACTATGTAGGTAGACTGCAAAGTCATTCTTAGCAGATGGTTCCAGTGGTGGCATGATGCACCCTAGTGGACATTTAAGGAGTTAGCTCAGTCCTAATGTATTTTTAAAGAAAAATTTATTACACTATTTTCACATAAATTATTTGAGCTCAAAGTCACATGGGGGCAGGGGAGGTTCTGTTAGCTCCATTTCAGATGAGAAAATTGAGTCTCAGCAAGGTTAGGTAAAATGATACAGGTCACGCTTCCAATACAGAACAAAGTTGGGATTAGATAACCAGGTATGCAGAATGCTGTTGCCATTCTGCCATTAAAAATGGCTGCTCTTGGGCGAACGCGGTCACTCACGCCTGTAATCCCAGCACTTTGGGAGGCCGAGGAGGACGGATCACGAGGTCACGAGATCGAGACCATCCTGGCTAACACGGTGAAACCCCGTCTCTACTAAAAATAGAAAAAATTAGCCGGGCGTGGTGGCAGGCGCCTGTAGTCCCAGCTACTCTGGAGGCTGAGGCAGGAGAATGGCGTGAACCCGGGAGGCGGAGCTTGCAGTGAGCCAAGGCACTCCAGCCTGGGCGACAGATGAAGACTCTGTCTCAAAAAAAAAAAAAAAAAATGCTGCTCTTGCCACAAAAACAGAAAAGAAAGCGCAACTCTGTGAGATGATGTATATGTTGATTTGCTTCATTATAGTAGCTGTTTCACTATCTATATGTATCCCATAACATGTATACCTTAAATATACACAAAATCTATTTTTAAAAGTTTACTATTACATTTGATTTAGAGCAAGGAAACCTTTCCCAGAAACACTTGCTGTCCAAGACTATTTACATTGACCTTTTTCTAATTCTGAATTAAATCTTAGTACTTAATATATGAAGAAGGGGCCTTCATCATGTTTCAATCAGTAAAATTTTGAGTTATTTAAGCTGTATTTTTCCATCTAGGTTTAACCTGGTAGATAAATAGTCAAGTATTTGCACTGATCTAGTGCCTCCATCCTTACAACTGTGCTTTAGCTGTGATAAAGCTATTCAGAACTTTAGGCCAAGAATTCTGCTACCTCAGGGTATGTGGGTTGAGCAAATCAGAAATAGCTCCTGTCTTTATGGAACTCTCAGTGTATTGAGGAGACATTATACATTCCAACAAAATGTACTAAGTATTTTTTATGATAGTGGGGATTCAGTCGGCTCTGCTAGCTCATAGTACAGGGAACTAATCTATATGAGGCTAGGAAGAAGAGAAAAAGTTTCTTGGAGGAAATGCCATGTAATTTGACATCTAAAGGATAAATAGGATTTAGCCAGTAAAAGTAGTGAAAGGGTATTCCACAGAGAAGGAAGAATAAATGTGAGGTTCTGGAAGACAGATAAAATATGGTGCTTCGGGGAACAAGAACTTGTTCATTATGTCTAGAATGTAGTGTAAGGGTATAAAAGAAAAGAAAGGATCTTCTGGAGATGAAACTGATGGGGTAAGAAAAATCTAGATTATAGAGAGTCTGATGTGACTTGTTCAGGGATTTGAGGAAAGGAGACATGACCTCAATCCGAAGAGTAGAAAATTGTTTGCTAAAGGGCTAAGAAGAGGCTGTGGTAATAGTCCGGGTGAGAAATGATGGTGACCTGAACTAGGGTATTGACTATGTTGAAAGAAGTAGATACATTCAAGAAATATGTGAGCCAGGCACAGTGGCTCATGCCTGTAATCCCAACAATTTGGGAGGCTGAGGCAGGAGGATTGCTTAAGCCCAGGAGTTTGAGGCTGCAGTGAGCTATGATTGTGTCACTGCACTCTAGTTTTGGTGACCAAGCAAGGCTTTGTCTCAAAAAAAAAAGATGTAAATATGTGGCATTTAAAGGAGTATAAGTTGATTAATTGGATGTTGGAGTTGAGAGAGAGGTGTGGATATCATGGATATATTTTTAGAATATTTGGCTGGAGCAACTGAGTTGATGGTGTGCCATTCCCTTAGATGGAACCTAATAGAGGAAAAATATAAAAGCACCTACTTTCTGCTCCAAAAGTGAAGCGGTACTTTTAAGTCAGGAATCCTGTACTTCTTCCCCCTATGCAGGCCTGAGAAGAATGTGAGGTTAATTTTATAAATGTGAATTTCTGGTACCCAAGGGGCATTAACTTGGAGATGTTCAAAAGGCCGGAGATACCCTGATGTGCAGCCTAGGAAAGAAGAATGAGCCGGAGATGTAGATTTTGGAGTCATCAGTGCATGGGCAGTAGGTGAAGAGGATATAAATGAGATCATCCAGTAGAGAGTGTAGAGAGAGGACAGTGAAGATCTCTTTGAGTAGTATCAACATTTAAGGACTTCCAGATGGTTATGTAACTGAGTATTTCATATTTCTAAGAAAAAGAGAATGAGTTATTATTTTTTATTTTGGTTACTCCTTTTCTGTTTTTTCCTTTTCTCCCTGTTCCCCACTTCCTGCTTAGCCCTTTAGAAATTCAATTATAACCTTTTACCTCCACTTCACTAGACACTTCCTACAAGGCAATTTCATCTAACTATGTGCTTAGAAGCTCCAGTGTGGAACTCTCTCCCACAAGGAGACTGCCAAAAGGACAACAGTCAATTTACAGCCCAAAGTATGCCTGCTACAAAACTCTCCCGCCTGGAGAGCTTCAACCACCTTTACAACCTAGTTCTGTCCATGAAGAAGCCAACTCGACTGCCTGGTAGATGAAGCAACAAAGTGAGCACGCAGACACCCACCTGTTTGCTTCCTCCCCTGCATGCCATTTATTCTAGGCCCCCTTTTAAAAGCATGCACTTTCTGCTCCAAAAGTGAAGCGGTGCTTTTAAGGAAGGAAGTCTGTACTTCTTCCCCTAAGCTAGGTTTTGAATAAAAGGTCACTTTCTTTATACCAGACCTCGCTCTTGTTAATTGGACTATGCAAGTGGCAAGCAACTGAACCTGCATTTTGGTTACAGTTTTGGTGGCCCATATGGGGAAGTTCTGTGTGCCCTAGGCGATCCAAGCCTGTCAGCCTGGTTTCATCACTGGGTCAGGCGTGGGGTCGCCTGTGAGTGCCAGCTGCTCTTGGCTAGCAGACCCGTGACAGGACCATTAGGGAACTTCACAGCAGCTGCCAGAAAGGCTTTTGTTCTTGGTGAACCTCCCTTTCACCTCCCAGCATGATGTCTGCTGCTTTCAATCCTTCACGGGTACAAAGAAAGTGACCTCTGAAGAAGCCAGCAAACTCTGGAATTGAGTGAGTGAGTTAGAGTGCACCTGACCACCTTCTGCCTCTCTTGGGGTGCTGCGGGGCCCTGCTTTATTTAGACTTGGCTGATAGTGACACCATTTCATCATTTTATACATTTACATTTGTTTGTATGTGCAACACCAAAGGACCATTTGCTGGGCTTGGACTCAGCTGCCTGTGGAGCCATTTGGAACTGGGGCGGGGGATTCAGGACCTCACCCAATCCCTTGATTGGTGATTCATTCGGAAGCATGCTGTTTGTTTCCATGTGTAAATGTATGACTTTGTGTATGGGCCCTGATCACTTTACTCTCTACCTCCAGTTTCACCCTTCTGACTATCTGGGAGAGCCTCCCACTTGGGGTACTGAGGCTCTCTTTAATGGAAGATAAATGAGAATGGTGGGGGTAGTGACCCTGCACTGTGTGATGGCTGGAAGGCTCCCAAGTTTCCTTTCAGTCACTTTACCTCCTTTCTTTCTCATTCCCCACTCGTAAAACCTTCTTCCCCTCCTTTCTTTCTCATGCCCCACTTGTAAAACCTGGCTTCTGTGTGGAGGCCTGCCAGGCTATATCTTTCTCTTCTTTTCTGCCTGCTTTAAATCTGCTGTTACTAAGCTGCTGGTACTGAGATAGGACTCATTATTTGTGGACTAACTAGAACGTAAACATTGGAAACTCACTTGAAACTGAAGGGGAAAAGGGTAAAATGTTTCTTTTTAAAAAAAAGCCACCACAGGGAGTGCTTTACCAAAATTTAAGTTCACAGCTTTTACTGGATTATGTATTGGGGCAAACAAAATTTAGCCATGTAAACAAGTTCCAATCTCATGAAAGAATAGCTTAGCAGTGTGAATTTCACCATAAAGTGGTGAGTTTGTATATTTTTTTTGACAGAGACTAATTTTAGTTCAGTGGTAACTTCTAAATCTGAGTTATTGACAAAATGCCCATATGTTTAAGGTTCTTACTTAAACACCTAATGTTTACAGGCTTTAAAATGGTTAACAGGGAAATAACTTTAAATAATGACCACCTTTGTGTAATATCTCAATTTTCAGAAGTAATCTAAATAAACTGTTAGAAATGGGAAAATTGGGTACATATAAATGACATAAATGCTTGTAAGTAGACTTATGTATACTTTAAAATCTTAGAATTGTTTTGGATGCTTATTGGATGTCTGGGTCATTTCCAATTAAAAAGGGGTTGCTGTGTGGGAAACATGTTCCAAAAATTGTGGAATGTTCTCATCTATAAACTGCTAATATCGATACACAGTTCAGGACTTCTTGCTTCCTAGGTTTATATAAAATGTACCAAAGAACATGGGCTCTTATTGTGTCCAGAATTGTTTCCTTCCGGTGGGTTCTTGGTCTCGCTAACTTCAAGAATGAAGCTGTGGACCCTCGCGGTGAGTGTTACAGTTCTTAAAGATGGTGTGTCCGGAGTTTGTTCCTTCCAATGCCCAGACTTCAGGGTTGATTCCCTCCTCAAGCAGGGGACAACAAATGGGTAACTTGTTCCCCATATTCATGTAGATAATAGCTCCAGCTTTGGCTAATATATCCCTCCCTAATAAGGGTGTGGGACATCCAGGCATAACAAGAAAGGCATGTGAAAAGAGCAAAGTCTCCCAATTACAACTGAGGAGGTGGGAGAAATACTTGGTTACAGGCTGTCCCGGGATTCCTCAGTGGTAACGGACCTTAAGGACAGTTGTCCAGGACAGGAGATTAACACTGAGAAAGCCACACCAGTGTCCAGGAGGAAGTCAATTTCCTGGCCCTCAACGGTTATACATACCCGGGGCTCAGTGAGAGCGATGATATGAGCTGAGCTGGTGCCTACCCCGGGCACCCTCAGTCCTGTTGTTGGATCATCTGGTTGGGGGCTTCTGTCTCAGAGAACCTTTGTCCTCTGGGGCAGTGTGCCGTCCAGTGATTGCCTCAGCATAGTGGACATGGGTGAGGGGGAAACTTGTTTCTCATAGGACAATCTTTTTTAAAGTGTCCTTGTAAACCACACTGATAACAAGCCCTACCGGGCAATTGGCCTGCTCCATTTTCTGTCCTCTCTGAACCACCAAGGTTTGTTTGTCTGAGGGCCGTGACTAAGGCTGCGGCCTTTCTCTGATCTCGCTTTTCCTTTTGGGCCTGTTCCTGTTGGTCCCTATTATAGAACACCAAGGTTGCCAGGTTTAATAATGCCTCCAGATTTTGTTCAGGGCCCAGGGCTCACTTTTGGAGCTTTCTCCTGATATCCACGGCTGATTGGGTAATAAACTTATCCTTTAGGAACAATTGACCCTCAAGTGAGTTGGGTGACAGAGGAGTATATTTTCTTAAGGCCTCCAGTAGCCACTTGAGGAAGGCAGAGGATTTTCTTCCTTTCCCTGAGTTATGGTGGACATCATTGAATAATTCTTGGGCTTTTTCCTAATTCTCCTTAGTCCTTCTAGAACACAAGTCAGCAGATGTTTATTACCCCAGTCCCCATGATCTGAGTCGAGGTCCCAGTGGGGATCCATACTGGGGACGGCTTGCTGACTGGTAGGCAATTTGTCCCTTTCTTCGGCTGTCATTCTATCATTTACTTGACTAAGATACCAGGTATCTCCAAACTCCCAGGCTGCAGCTAAAGCCACATTCTTTTCATTAAAGGCCAGGGTTTGATCTAACAATAGCATGACATCTCTCCAAGTGAGATCAAAGGTTTGCCCTAGACCCTGTAGGACATCTGTATACCTATCAGGATCATCTGAAAGCTTCCCCAGGTCTGCCTTGATCTGCTTTAAATCAGAGAGGGACAAGGGGACATGTACCTGGGTTGGGCCAAATTCCCCTCCCCCTATAGCTTGAAGGGGACATAACCGATAGCCTGGGGGTGTTTGTGGTCCTTTGGAGATTTCTTTGCTTCTTTCCTTCTGGGCAGGGGAGATTAGAGGAGGCTCATTAATAGGAAGGGGAGCTACAGGGAGGCTAGGATATGGGGGTAAGCTGAGAGGTCCTCCTGTGGGATGTAAATTGCAAGCTTTGCATAGTTGTGCATTCTCCTTCAATGAAAAGAAAGCTTGGACATAAGTTCACTCCATTTGCCTTCCCTCTTACAGAAAAGGTCAAGCTGCAGGATAGTATTGTAATTTGTACTTCCCTCAGGTGGCCATTTTTCCCCATCAGAGAGAGAATATTGGGACCAGGCCATAGTGCAGAAAAAAATTAGCTGCCTCTTTTTCAGGGTTTGCGGGTCAAATTGGTCCCAATGGCTTAGGATGCATTTCAAGGGTGAGCCTGTTGATGCCTGAGTGTTTCCCATCTGAAAGACAAAACCACCCCCGGTTTTGGTTTGTTTGTTTCTCCCCCTGCCCAAGAACCCGCAACAGTCCCTGGACCCTACTGATGGGAATAGTTGCGCTCACCGATGCAGCAGCAGAAACACCTCTTTCCCAAGAACCCACAGTGGTCCCTGGACTCTGCTGATCAGAATAGTTGTGCTCACTGACGCAGCAGCAGAAACACTAGTTTTCCTCTTAGACCACAAGGAGGACCAAGGAAGGTCGGATTTAGTGGCCCTTACCGATGCATTCTCGAAAACCTGCACCCTTGCCTGTCCTGCTAGACCACAAAGAGGACCGAGAAATATCAGATTTAGTGGCCCTTATCGACGCATTCTCGAAAACCTGTTAGAGTCCTAAGCATTCTCCTGTTAGTATTGGGACTTTACCCCATCCTATAAAGATGTTATGTCCCAAAAATGAAGTGGAGGGCCATATCCTGAGGGATGGGAGGGATCTCCAGAGTTGGAAGAGGACAAAGGCTTGCATCAGCCCTTGTCCTCATTTATATGAATAGGAAGGATACAATTTCTGAGGCTCCCCATATCTTAGCTTCAGGAATAGCTTTTGTTAGGCCTGCTAGTCTGAGGAGGGATCCTAAAATTCCAGATAAGATAGTCCCCCGCTCCGACGGGGCTTTGGGCAAAAATTATGTCTTTCTAATTGGTGAGCCTGGGTGCCTAAAGAAGGTAACAGAGTCCTGGAGTTTATACTAGAAATCATTCTTACAGGAGAAACTAGAAAAGCACCAGACACAGGGAGTGGTTTTTAGAAGCGGGACTAGCCTCGGAGAAGAGAGGTGAGATGAAGTTTGTCTGACAAGCATTAGGACCCAGGAGGCAAGGGTCAGGATAGATAGGATAGATGGGCGAGTCTCACTTGGGCGACATGACTTTGAGAGTTCTGCTCATGGCCACAGGGTGAACCAACTTGTTGTTGGGACCCCGGAGCTGAATGGCTTTCCTCTTCTGTCGACCCTTGGCTCAGCCCAGCAGTACAGGAAAAGTGGAAGCTGGTTCCAGGCAAACCAATGCTCCCAACTCCAAAGAGTCAGGGATTGTTAGAGAACCCTTTCCCAGAAACCCTGACACCTGTGTCTTTAGTCCGGTGGCCATGCTAGTCGCTTTTAACTGGCCGACAGGTGCCTGGTCTTTAGCCCTCGAATTCTAAGGTAAAATAGGACAGAATAGCAAGTGAAAGGGGTCCGATGGTACTCACTGCTTGGTGATAGTTGATAGTCCCATCTGGGTCGCCAAAATGTGTCTGGAATTGGTTCCTTCCGGTGGGTTCTTGGTCTCGCTGACTTCCAAGAATGAAGCCGCGGACCCTCGCGGTGAGTGTTACAGTTCTTAAAGATGGTGTGCCTGGAGTTTGTTCCTTCTGGTGTTCAGATGTGTCTGGAGTTTCTTCCTTCTGGTGGGTTCGTAGTCTTGCTGACTTCAGGAGTGAGGCCGCAGACCTTCGCAGTGAGTGTTAACAGCTCTTAAAAGTGGTGCGTCCGGAGTTGTTTGTTCCTCCCGGTGGATTCGTGGTCTTGCTGGCTTCAGGAGTGTAGCTGCAGACCTTTGTGGTGAGTGTTACAGCTCATAAAGGAAGTGCGGACCCAAAGAGTGAGCAGCAGCAAGATTTGTTGTGAAGAGCGAAAGAACAAAGCTTCCACAGCATGGAAGGGAACCCAAGCAGGTTGCCGCTGCTGGCTCGGGTGGCCAGCTTTTATTCTCTTATTTGGCCCCGTCCACGACCTGCTGATTGGTCCATTTTACAGAGCGCTGATTGGTCCGTTTTTACAGAGTGCTGATTGGTGCGTTTACAAACCTTTAGCTAGACACAGAGCACTGATTGGTGCATTTTTACAGGTACTGATTGGTGCATTTACAAACCTTTAGACACAGAGCACTGATTGGTGCATTTTTACAGAGTGCTGACTGGTGTGTTTACAAACCTTTAGCTAGACACAGAGCGCTGATTGGTGTGTTTCTACAGAGTGCTGATTGGTGCATTTACAAACCTTTAGCTAGATACAGAGTGCTGATTGGTGTGTTTTTACAGAGTGCTGATTGGTGCATTCACAAACCTTTAGCTAGACAGAAAAGTTCTCCAAGTCCCCACTTGACCCAGGAAGTCCAGCTGGCTTCACCTCTCATTACTGAGAAAAATAATTTTGACTAATTCAAAAGTTATCTAAAAGTTAATTCAAATTATGGAGTTGAAGAGATTATACATGTAACTTTCTGTATTGCTTTTTAAGTCCTTGTGCTGTTAAGACAGAGCTTTGACTCTTGGGTCTAAAAAGGGTACATGATAATGTCATGTCTAGCCTTAATTCTTGTGAGAAGCTAAAATCCTTTGCAAGCTCATAAATGATTGCTCTAGGTCCTTCTGGAAAGGTCAGTGGCATGTGGCCCATCCCATAGCTCAGTAGGCTTTGCCTTTCACAGTGACAGCCTAGGTGCTTAGGGAATAGGTCCATTCTGGTTTGTTATTTGTGTGACTTTTGGCCATTTATTGATTCTTTTTCCCTTTATGGACAGCTTCTGATTTCCTGTCTTGAAATTTCCCTTTCCCTGAGCTTTTGAAAATCACTTGCCATCTTTTCGAAAATGCCCCATGCACCTAAGGTTAGTTAAGTCATACCCTTGGTTAAGGCTTATTGATTTCATGTAGGAGGTTACCTTTATTTAAAAAAAATTAAAAGTCAGAAATATTGGCCCTTTGTCCTAGCTGAAATCTGGTAATAAAAGATTTAAATATATATACATATGTTTTGAGAGCTTTGTAGTTAGAAATTAACTTAAAGGTGATATTTGGGTTATATGTGTACCTATATTGTTTTAAAACCCTTGCTTGCCCTCTAAAATCTTCTCAGTCAATGGAATTCTGTCTGATTCTTCATTTACTCCTGTCTAATCCTTCTTCCTCTTGTATCTAATATTTTATCTCCCTACCAGATCTGCTTCTGTCTGTGTATGTATATGTGTTGTATGTGTAATGCTTATATAAAAGAGCTCTAATTAATTGGCTTAAAAATAAGTGCTTAAATCAAATACTTTTCTAGAAAAATAAAAACTGTAATGCCTTTTAGTTCACAAGACTGTAGTAATCTTTGGTAAATAAGCCTAGTTTTAAAGGTTATTGATAAAAGAAAACTGTCTTCAACGTTTAGACGTTTGGTCTAAATTAGGCAGGTCAGATACTGTTTTCTAGATGCCTTAAGGTCATAAGCTGCTTCTATGACTTTTAATAATTACTTAACTTGTCTGTTTACAGCCAATTAGATTCTCTAGTTAAGGCCTGGGGACATAGAGTTAGCCAGTTTCCCTGGCTAGGCTGGGAAGAGTCAGACATTGTCTGCAGCTCTGTCTTTGTCCTTGGCTCCATAATCTGATTGATACATGGTTAAAATTGCTTACTTACCGCGTTTTTCACCAAAAATAAAAGTTGCTGAGAGTTAACATTGTAACAAGTAACTGAGACTACTGAAGAAACAGCTTTATGTGCAAGGTGTATAAGGAAGGTAGAATGTATTTTTAGTAAAAGGTTATAAGAAGGCATGTAATTATGGTTTTTGTTAAAGGAAATGCAATTTTGTCTAGTTCAGAGGTTTTTAAGGATTGTCCTAAGCTAAAAGAATAATAGGACAAAACTGAGAGCTTAAGCAAGTTGTAAAAGATTTGTGAGAGATTGATCTTGTAAAGGAAGTTCCGTGGGTATGAGCAAGTTGGCTAAAATTTGAAGGAGGCTATTTAGTTTTTCCAAAAATTAAACATTAAAAAAAAAGCACACTGATGCAGGGCCAGAATCTGGGCCCATGTGTTGGAATTACAAGGTCTTCTTAGAGTATTGATCTGCTCTTTAACAGAAAATTGTAAAGTGTTATGAAAGGCTTATGGAAATTTTACATTATGGTCAAACTAATTAAGATTGGACAGATTTGTTTATAAGGTTTTATTAAGAATTGGGTTTAACATTAATAGCACACTAAATGCAAAGGTGAAATTTGGCTTTCTCTTTTGAACAGGATTTTCGTGTGATATTAAAAGATAATGAAAGATTTTTATTTGCCTTTTGAATAATGATAGAAAAAAGAAGGGAGAGAAAAGAGATTCAGTTGTCCTCATGCTGTCTTTTTGGGTTTTGTTTGGAAAGCTGAGTCTGCCCTCTATCAATGAGTAAAGATTTTAGCCTTTAAAAAACTTTTGAGTTATCTTGGTTAAATAAATAGCTTATAGTGACCTGGGAATCTATTTTGTAATATCAGGTGTTTAAAGCTTTGATATTAGATAAACTTTCCAAAGTCAAGTTCTAAATTAAGCTTTTTTTTGACCTGGTTAACTCTTTTATTAGGTCCCCTGAAGTCCAAAAGAGATATATTTGGCTTACTTGGTATATTAAAGCCATACAGGAAGCACTGTTACATATAAAATGGTGTTTAACTTTCTTTCTTTGGGTTATATTCATGTAAATATGTTATTGGTATGTTTTCCAGAATTGTATAAGATCCCCATAATTCTGATATATCTCAATATATGTTATCAGTAATAATTAAGATTGCTATGTTAAATTATTGCATGCCACAGAGATGACCAGATTTCCTTGTCAATTGTGTCTTTATCTGTGAGTGTTCTGAGACTTCTATCATCCATAATTGTTATTTTATTTTGATTCTCTTCAAAGGCCATTTTATAATCAGCTGTAGGATTCTGACAGGTATTCTTGAATGCAGGTTTCTATTAACTTTGGGGATTGTGACACTCGAATGGACAAAAAAAACTTCCAAGACTCCCATAGGGAGCTAATATGTTCTGGAATATTGAGCAGAACGGGAGTTAATTGCATAGACTGAACTAATGGAAGACTAATCTTTTTATGACTTTTTGTTTGAAGCATTGCTAATTCTTTTGTTTCTCAGAGTCCAGAAACCTTTTTTTCTTTTGAGCTATTTACAGCTTTTAACAATTGGGTAAAGTACACTCGTGTGAGAAAAATATGGAGCATATTTCTCTCTACCTGATTTCTCCAGAACTTGAAAACTATTTGTAAGTATACTTAGTTTATAGCAGTATAGTTATTTTTACATAAACTCAATAAGATTCTGTTCTCTTTTGTAACAGGACACCACTGGAGACACTGGTTATTTTAGCAAGGCTTTAACTGGATTGCCATACTTTCAGATATGAACAGATGGCTTCAACAAATCAAAGTTGACTTATAGAGCCAATTAAAGCCCCTTGGGAAAAACTGGCCTGATACCTTGTCCATGCAGTCCCTGTACAGGGTTTCCTGACTTGTGCTAAGTAAAGAAGGTCACTTTTTGACAGGCTCAGGAGCCCCAGGTTACCTTGGGACTTCAAAAGGAAAGGGATTCACTCAATCCATGCAGTTATTTGCAGGCACCAATAAATCTGTGGCTGGGCTCGAAGCTTTAAAAGGTTTAATCCAAGATTCCGTATAAATAAAAATTCCAGCAAAGCCAAGTTGCAAAGGAACTTATATGGCAAATAATTATTCTTGCTGTACTTGATGCAAATAATTAGGACAAGCAAAATAAGACTAAACCTTATTTTCCAAATAAATTTATCCTACTATGATTTGTCTTTAGTAAAAATGGGGACTGGAGAGAGAAAAATTATGTTTCAGAAAAAACTATAGTACACCTGTGTTAGATTCTAGTCTTGTCCATTGTTTTTGAGTTTTTATTATTTTCTGCAATTTGGACTAAATTCTGAATTCTTTCTGGGCTACAAGTCCCTAAACAAACACTTTGAATTTTTTCTTCCATTTTCCTGATCCGAACTCAATGAAATCGCTACTACATTGTTCCTTGTAACACAGGCAAGAAAAACATGTCAGGCTGCCACAACTTTCCTCCTCTGTAACTAAAGATGCTGTGAGTCTAACATCTGGAAAATTGTGCCCAACATTAACCTTTATTTTTCTTCTGTTTCCATAGACATGCCTCTTATCAAAAATCTGTTTGCCTTCATCACATACAGAGGCCTAGCCCATCTGCAGTGCTACCTCCTGGATAGAACACAGCTATTTAACTAAACTAATCCATTCTCATGGACTAGACAGGGCTTATGGCCACCTTCATGAGTGTTCATAACTCTTCCTGTAACCTTTTAAATACATATTTAGCCATCCTGTCATTATATCCAGTTACAATTGGCAGTGGGGAACCTGAATGATAATTAAGAGTAGCTGCTGTATATACATCCCTGATAATTTGGGAAAAATGTCTCTAGCTTTGCAAGACATGCACCAACAACTCAAACCTATGTCTGACATAATATTGTCAATAGACCAGTGGTCAGTATTCTGGTTCAGGTCAAGACCATCTTGGTAGAAAAAGCTGCTTGTAACATTGGCCTTGATTGCAGGGATAGGCATATTCCTCTGTTGTGGAGTTTACTGCAGTTGCACACTCTGTATGGAAATGCAAGACAGGCTTTCCCAAAGACTCTTCAAACTTCACACCGTAATGTTCCAACAAACATCATCTGTAAGTCTGGGTACTTGTGAATATTTCCAACTCCAAGTAGATCAGTTTCATTTTGACAAACAATGACTATGCCCTTTCTCAGCAGGAAGTAGCCAGAGTGAATGTGGCACCCAAATCCCATAGAAGTAAAACGGAACCTGACAGTGGGAAATTATAATTGAGTATACTCATATTTCTAAGAAAAAGAAAATGAGTTATTATTATTATTTTCTCTTATTTTATCAATTTCCCCATTCCCCACTTCTTACGTAGCCCTTTAGAAATGCAGTTATAACCTTTTATCTCCCCTACATCAGACGCTCCCTACAGGGCAAGTTCATCTAACCATGTTCTTAGAAGCTCCAGAGCAGAATTCTCTCCCACCAGGAGACTGCCTTGAGGGACAACAGTCAATTTACAACCCTTAGTATGCCTGCTATGACACTCTCTCCCACCTGGAAAGTTTCGGCCACCTTTACAATCTCGTTCTGCTCACAAAGGCACCAGTTCACTGCCTGGTAGATAAGGCACCAAAGTGAGCATGCAGACCCCTACCTGTTTGCTTCCTCCCCTGCGTGCCATTCATGCTGGGTCCCTTTTTAAAAGTGTCAATTTTCTGCTCCAAAAGTGAATTTGTACCTCTATGGCAGGAAGCCTGTATTTCTTCCCCTAAGCTAGCTTTGGAATAAAAAGTCACTTTCTTTATACCAGACCTTGCTCTTGTTAATTGGACTCTGCAAATGGCAGTGTCTGAACCTGCATTTTTGTTATAGTTATATGAGGATCTTGGTGAACCCATTTCCCAGAGAAACACCATTATTTCGTGACAGCTATGTATATACGCACACATGCATGCACATGCACACACACAAAGTCTTTAGAAATTGTCATAAGGGCATATAACAAATGAAGAAGTATTTAAGAAAATTACTAAATCTTGGCAAAAATGGTTAGAATCTGTGACATTTGAGCTACAAGCTGTTCTATCTCCCCCAGCCCCATGTGACAAGCTCTACTCTAGACCTCTACTACATGTGCTACATGTGGATATGACCAAGAAGATGGGGGCCTCTATCCCCCAAGTTCCTAGTCCATAGTTTGACCCAGGAGGAGAAAGCCACCAGTGTCTTATCCCTCCACAGCGCCATTTTGCAGAAGTCCTAGTCGAGGCAGGCAAGTCTGGGCTAGAGGACTAGCTCCTACTTGTAGGGTGAGGCCTCTGCCTCAGCTGTGATAGGCTAAGACTAGTGGGTTCCCAATCTCCTATGTGCCAGTGTATTTGTAAGGTAAAGTTTCTACATGGAGACTGGCAAGCTGAAATGACCAGAGGCTACCATCTCTCCTCAGTGTCCACTAATAGAGTAAGGTGTTACTGGAGAAGTGGTCTACTATACCCACACCCAGCTCAGGTACACTTGTCCAGAGTTTCTATATATGTAGAAAGGCAGGGCATAAAGCATAGCATCTCTGCCTGAAGGGACTGAATTTATGGGGAACAAAATCTGGAGAAGTTAATGCCTGAAAGCATTGTTGAAAACAGTGAGTATCTTAATGGTGAGCAATTAAGAGGGGCTTGGTGGTTCCATGCTACTAGTAGCAACAAGGGAACAACACTATAAAACAGTTTAAACTAAGAGACATCTAAAGACCACTCCACCCAACAGCAATAAAATATATATCCCCTTCAAGTACATGTAACTTTCTGCAAAATAGATCATATGCTAGGCCATAAACATGCATCAATAGATTTAAAAATACTGAAATCATACAAATTATATTCTCTAACCAAAGTGGAATTTAGAAATCAATGACAGAAAGAAACATGTGAAACTCACAAATATGTAGAAATTAAACAACACATTCCTGTGGGTCAAATAAGAAGTCACAGTGGAAATTAAAGAATATTTCGAGATGGATGTAATCAAAACACCAAAGCAAGAAGCAGCTAAAGCAGTACTTACTGGGTAATTCATTTAAATCTCCACAAAAAAAGAGCAAACAAAACAAGATAAGCAGGATAGGAATACTAAATATTCAAATGAAAATAAATAGAGAATAGAAGAACAATAGAGAAAATTAACAACATTAAAAGTTCGCCCTTTAAAATGATCAGCAACTTGGATTGTATCCAGAATATTAAAAAATGCTTAAAAATCAATAATAAGGCAAATAATGTGATTAAAAGCTACGTAAGGGATTTGAATAGATTCCTCCAAGGAAATATGTAAGTGGACAATAGGCGCTTGAAAAGATGCTTAACTAATAATAAAAGATTAGTTACTGGGGAAATACAAATTAAAACCACAACGAGAAACCACTTATCACCCACTAGAATGCCTATAATCAAAAAGACTAAAAGTAAGACTTAGTAAGGATGTGGAGAAGCCTGAGTCCTCATACATTACTGGGGAGAATATAAGATATCGCTACCACTTTGGAAAATAGTTTGGCAGTCCTTTAGAATGTTAAGCAAGCTTACCATATGACCCAACAATTCTACTGTGAGGTATCCACCCAAGAGAAATGAAAATGTTTCACAAAAAGGCATGTATATGAATAATCATAGCAGCGTTATTCACTATAGCCAAAAGTGGAAACAATTCAAATGTCCATAGACTATGACTATATAAAGAAAATGTAGTATACCCATACAATGGGATATTATTTAGCAATAAAAAGGAATGAAATACTGATAGATGCTATAACATGGGTGAACATTGAAAACATTATGCTAAGTGAAAGAAGCCAGACACAGTACATTACATACTGTGTAATACTTGTTTTATATGTAATACCTAATATAGGCAGATCTAGAGCATCAGAAAGTAGAGTAATGCTTGCCTATGGCTAGGGGAAAGGGGAATGAGGATTGACTTCTAATGGGTACAAGATTTCTTTTGGTGATGATGAACATGTTCAAAATTAGATTATGATGATGTTTGCACAACTTTGTAAATACTCTAACAGCCATTGAATTGTACACATTAAACTGGTGAAGTTTATGGTATGTAACTATATATATATATATATTTTTTTTTAATTTACCTGTGTCTAGAAGCAAGTTCAGATGTAATTATACCTTAATAAAGCTGTTAACAAAAAACATTTCTGTGATGAGCAGAGGGAGAATTGCATACAAAGGAGTTATCAAAAGCAGTCCTCAAAATAAAGAGAATTGAGGATATACAATATTTTAAGGAGGGAGTTGTGAAGAATATGGAGTATTATAGTGGTGGTGGCAGAAAATATCATTGATGAAAACTGTCTCAATAGAGTGGCAGAGTGGTAAAGCAGATGGCAGTGGGCTGAGGAATAAGTGGGACATAAGGATCTGGATTTAATGAGTAAATAATTCTTTCAAATAATTTAATTAACTATTGAAGGAGAGGCAAGAAATAGGATGGTAGCTAAAGAGAAAGGTCACATTGAAGGAGAGTTTTAAGGTTTTCTAGGTGTCAGAGACTTGGGCACCTTTATTTGTTAATGGGGAGGAACCCTTACAGAGGGAAAGCCTTGAAGGTATAGGAAGATGTAGTAATCAGTGGAAAAAGAGCCTGAGAGGGTGGAAGGACTTGGGATGTGAAGCACAGTGAAGCAATTTATCTTAGATGGTAGAAAATTACCCCTTCCACTGTACCAGGAGGGAAGGAGAAAAAACTGGATAGGTATAAGGAAGGTTGGTAGATTTGTATTATGAAACTAAGGTATGTTACACCTGAGATATTCATTTCCCTTGGAGAGGTAATAGAGTTATCTAGTGAGTATGAGGTGAGAAAGTGTGAGTAATATAAGAGGTTAAGAGAAAGTGAGGGCAGTATTGACGTAGCTCTGTGGAGAATAGGAAATTGCTGACTGAGGAAACAGCAAGAGGACAGCAGGTGAGGAGTGGGGCTGGAAAACATCTGTGTGGTGATAAATGGCTACAGACCCATAGAAGCTCTATTTAACATGACCCTGTTTCTTACAGCTCAATGCCAAACTAAACAAAACTTGACTGCTTCCATTCCAAAAGCACACCTCTCTTTGAATATGTTTATTTGGATTTTATACTCTTCTTACTTAAAGAAGCTCACAATCCACATATTCAAAGTTTGTCTCATGATTAGTCCTAATTGCCAGTGAATGGTATGTGTATGTGTCTGATGCCAATGGGCAATGAGATGGAGAGCAATGTCGATGGGGGTATATAGGGAGAAGTCCTGAAGGAAAGGAGAACAAACTTGGAGCTATTAGGTCTTATCATGACTTTCAGTGTCGGGGCCACATCCTCAACAGGACAATCTGTGGTTCCAGTGCTCTGAAGCTTCTGCTGCACTCCCCTGGCTGCAGGAAACTGACTGACCCTTGTTGAGGACTACATTGAATGATCAGATACCTAAAGATTAGCTGTTCCAATTAGGCCGTGCTACCATCTCTGCTACTGTCACTGTTTAGTTGGAGAGTCAGACAAGTACTTCAAGGAGCTGTAGGATTCAACAGTGCAGTTTCACTTTAAAGATAATTCGAAGCTAGACGACATGCCATGGCTTCCAAAATCAGGATTTTGGAAGAGACTATAGTGGCATAGTTACAACTAATTAACAATTTTCATATCTTGTGAAATTTGCAGTGAACTCTGAAATAGGTATTCCTAATATATTTAGCAAACATTTAGCAGTTGCTATATACCAGGTACTCTACTCTACTATTTAATATATTAAGCAACTGAATTGTCATAAAAGCCCCGTGAGGTCAGAACTACTATTTAATATGCCATTTTATAGATAAGAAAACTAAGAAGCTAAAATTTCCTCACTCTCCTACAGCAAATAAAGGGTAGCACTGTTTCAAATCCAAGCAATCCAACTCCAGAGGCTGTGTTCTCAACCATTGTGCTATGTTATAAATTTTACTGTTGTTTTTTAATCTTATCAATAATGTTGGGTGAATGGACTCTTCAACACATAGAAAATTTCCCAAGGTCATAGAGCTCATGTACAACAGAGCCAGGATTTTAACTTAGTTTTCTTATTCCACAATTATCTTGTCCCATTTCATGCCAAGTATGAAGCATTAAACATTGTAATTATTTATTCATCTAAATCTGAACCTGTGACCTTGCAAAGCCTCCCACTCCTAATACTTTCCCTCCTCCTGGGGTCCTTGGTGAATTGTCATTCACCAAGTTACTCAGAACATGGCAGTAACTAAAGACACATCTCACTATATCAATACTCTATTGCCATACCTTCCTGTTTAACTTTAAGATGAAAATCCACTGTGAATCCTGCAGTTGCCTAAAGTACTTATCTGACTCACTCACTAAACTGTGATTGTGACCAAGAGGGTGACATGGCTTATTTGATTATGGGGAGGAGCCAGTAGACAGGAAGAGGATGGAGACATAGGAAGATGTGGTGATCAATGGAACAAGAGCCTGAAAGGGTAAAAAGACTTGGGAGTGCCTATCCTACCTGTGTACCACACTGTACCTGGTATATACTTCTACTGTGTAGCCTGCCACAATCCTTGTAGTTATTTGTTTCCAGGGTTCCCCTACTAGACCATGAGTTCTTTGAAGGAAAGAACCCTGTTTTATCCATTTGAATCTCAAGTTCCTAGTGTGGTGTCAAGCATCATTTATTATGACTTCCGAATGGGTTAAGTTTGCATAAACTCATTGGTATAATAAAATATATTAAACACTCACTGTTGTATACAAGGGATTGGGCTGGAGAAGCTGCTTTTATAAAAATTGCTTTTTCTGTGACTCACCAAAATTTCTGTGTGCTCCAAATGTTCCCAGGGGAGTATATAACACATATACAGCCCTTTGTAGTTCTCAAAAACATGTCTACATGTATTATGACATCTAATCCTCACGCTGACTCTGAGAAGTAGTTGTCCTATTCTGTAAAATGGGGAAACCAAGAATCAGAGAGGTTAAGCAGCTTTTCCACAAACAAAGGTCAAAAATGGTTGAAAATATACCATTCGGTGATATACACACACACACACACACGCACACACGCACACAGTGTGTCTCACTATGGTCAGTACTAGTGTAGAGGCAACAAAAAGAGGAGGAGGAAAGGTTTTAGTTTTAGTTTTTTTGGTTTTTGGCTTATTCGTTTGTTTGTTTTCATTCAGGATACTACTATTTCTGGGCCATGAAGTCCAGAACTTTTTGGAGTCTTATGTGGGGCATGTTTATAATTGGTCTTTTTATTATTTTTATTTTTTTATTATTATACTTTAAGTTCTAGGGTACATGTACACAACGTGCAGGTTTGTTACATATGTACACATGTGCCATGTTGGTGTGCTGCACCCATTAACTCGTCATTTACATTAGGTATATCTCCTAATGCTATCCCTCCCCCCTCCCCCCACCCCATGACAGGCCCCAGTGTGTGATGTTCCCCTTCCTATGTCCAAGTGTTCTCATTGTTCAATTCCCACCTATGAGTGAGAACATGCAGTGTTTGGCTTTTCGTCCTTGTGATAGTTTGCTGAGAATGATGGTTTCCAGCTTCATCCATGTCCCTACAAAGGACATGAACTCATCCTTTTTTATGGCTGCATAGTATTCCAAGGTGTATAGGTGCCACATTTTCTTAATTCAGTCTATCACTGATGGACATTTGGGTTGGTTCCAAGTCTTTGCTATTGTGAGTAGTGCCGCAATAAACGTGTGTGCATGTGTCTTTATAGCAGCATGATTTATAATCCTTTGGGTATATACCCAGTAATGGGATAGCTGGGTCAAATGGTATTTCTAGTTCTAGATCCTTGAGGAATCGCCACACTGTCTTCCACAAAAACCTTGGCTGGGTGTGGTGGCTTACACTTGTAATCCCAGCACTTTGGGAAGCTGGGGCAGGAGGATTGCTTGAACCCAGGAGTTCGAGACCAGCCTGGGCAACATAGTGAGACTCTTATCCCTACAAAAATAAAAAATTAGCCTGGAGTGTTGGTGCATGCCTATAGTCCCAGCTACCTGGGAGGCTGAGGTGGAAGGATCACTTGAGCTCTGTAGGTCGAGGCTGCAGTGAGCTGTGGTCACACCACTGCGCTCCAGCCTTGGTGACAAAGCAAGACTGTGTCTCATAAAAACTGATTTGTACTTACAAGAAAATGGTAATGGTTTAGTATATGCTTTTGAGCAGGATTTTTGTAACACTCCAAGTCCAGTTTACATTGATATGAATAGTCAATTGGATGGTGTTTCAGAGCAGGACATTCTGGGATCTTTATGAAAATCCATATTATACTGTTAATTTGATTGGATTTTGAAAGGGCTTTAAGTTAAAATTACCTTTAGAAGTGGGTGTAACAAAATAAAAATTAATTAATACTCAAGGTTGAAGTGAATCAGTTGGCATCTGACAAGTCTGCAGAAAAGAAAAACATTTAGTGTCTAGGCTGTGCTCAGAATTCTATACAGCATCAGGGCCCAGTAGTTAGAACTCAGAGGAGCTGTACTTAAACCAATAGATATGGAGTATCTTTCTGACTTTCCCATAGATCATAAAATGTACCAGATTTCAAAAACGTATATGAAGCAAACAGAGCCATTGAAAATCTAAGTGGTGGCAGTCAAGTAAAACGAATGAGGTTTGGGAGTCCACATTACCATGAATGAAAACTGGCTCAACCATTTACTATCCATGTGATCTCAGCCAAGTTACCTTACCTCCCTGATCTGCAGTTTTCTAATCTAATGTTGAGGATCATAATAGTACCTAGTTCATAAGCATTATCTCCTCTGAGAATTCTTTCATGGCTACCTAGATTAAGGGGCCCTCATCTATTTCCCAAGGTCCTCCATGCTTATTTCTGTCATAGCTCTCCTCACAATTTCATGTAGGCGCAATTCTACATGTAGGCAGAATCTTTCTATCTACAGGTCTGTCTGTCCGTCCACTAGAACACGAAGTCTTTGAGGCCTGAAGCCCAGCTTGAGTCATCTCTGTATCCCCAGAACCTAACACAGTGCCCAGTATTTATTGAATGAATTATTACATTTGCTACTTGCTCAATAAAGTATTGCTATCATTGTGTCAGTTTTGCCCTTATTGGAAAATATATGTGAACAATGAATTGACATAGGACACATCTGTATTAGAAATTCTCTTCACTTGAGATTTTTATATTCTTTACTCCATGTTCCCATTTTTGGAAGTTTCTATTCCTGACTTCTTGGCTTCATAAAGAACTTTGGTCAATCTGTTACTCCTTTTCCTTCAGATCTGATCTTACAGTAAAACTGCATTAGCACTTTGGGAGGCTGAGGCGGGTGGATCATGAGGTCAAGAGATCAAGACCAGCCTGGCCAACATGGTGAAACCCCGTCTCTACTAAAAATACAAAAATTAGCCGGGCGTGGTGGCAGGCGCCTGTAGTCCCAGCTACTCAGGAGGCTGAGGCAGGAGAATCGCTTGAACCCGGGAGGCAGAGGTTGCAGTGAGCTGAGATCGCGCCACTGCACTCCAGCCTGGTGACAGAGAGAGACTCCTTCTCAAAAAAAAAAAAAAAAAAAAAACTGCATTAGATAATTCACTGAGGGTTTCTCTGATAAACAGTGATTGATGTATGGATAAGTCCCATAAAAATGGTATTTGTTTGGATGCGTAGTTGAATGAATAGAAGCCTGTCTGAATTATTTTATTTTGAGAAGGGATATCATTCACTATTACCTGGGAAGAGCCAAGGATGTGAACCCAATGACCAGTTGCATTGTCAAGTATAGGTGAGTGATTTCATACTCACAAGGACATAGTTTTCCTGAATTTTCTTTTTAATTTGTTGGTCATTCCTGTTTCTATTTTACTAACTACTTTTGTTTTCTTCGTCCCTTCCTCCATGCTATTTGCACAGATTGCTAATTTAGCACCTATAGCACTTTTCTGTGCTTTTCCAATACACGTCTGTCTCCCACACCTGACTATAAGATCCTGAAGGAAAAGAACCAGGTTTCATTGGTCTTTGTAAATCCAGCATCAAGGACACTGCCTGGATCATGCTAGGCACCACTAAATTTTTATTTCTTATACTCTTTATTTTAAAATAATTTAGGATTCACAAGAAGTTGCAAACATAGTTCAGGGTTAGGACTTCTGGAATGGTAGTGTGAGGAGCTTGGCAAATCCTTTCCCCTAGAAAAACATATTTGAAACTAGACAAAGTCTTTGGAGATTGATCGAAGGGCTTGTAATGAATTGAGAAACTTTTATTCAATAAAATCTACTGAAACTCAGTAGGTATAGCAGAAAGCTCTGGCATTTGAGCCAAAGGGGCTGCCCCAGAACCCCGCAATACCATTTTTGTATTGCTGAATAACTATTTCAGATTTAGTAGCTGAGTGGCAGCAGCTGAGTGGCAGTTCCCATCTCCTCTGCAACATGAATGTTGCAGAAAAGCTCTTCGTTTGGTTCAGCAGTCCATTGGCAGTACTCAATGTCTCCAGGTGCCTGTGTTGGGAAAACATAATTACAGACAAAATCTGCCAACCCAGAAAACCTGCCCACAAAAGTAGAAAAGAAGGAAAACAGTTTTATTATTGAATAGGCATTAAACCAGAATGTGATGTGCATCACAAGCAATCTGCTAAAGAGATTGGAAAGATAGAAAGAAATATCATCTTTTTATATAGCCCAGGCAGATACAACCTATTACATACATGTTCCCAAGATAGACTAGTCTTCATATGAGAGGACTTAATAGCACCGTTTGTTACACATAGTTCATTTTAAATTCACCTGGTAATTGGGGGTGGCCATTTGCCTTTGCTAATTGCCTTTACCCAAAGAAATTGTAAAACTTCTCATAATTCCATGACACATAGGTGGCTGTAATTTGAAGCCAGACACCTACATTAAACTCCCAAGGAGATAGGGATGCTATATTCTTTGATATTTACATTTCAAAGAGATGTCACCCAGGTTCTTGAGAAAGACATTTCTGTGTTTTAAAGCTGGCAAAAGGCTTATCTAGCTTTATTAAAAGACAAAATTACGACAAATTTAGTTATAGGTCTAATTTGCTTTTATCTGCGATTCATGAATTTGGGAAGCATCCATTCTACAAATAATGAGATCTCCCACTGGGCGATGGCAGAACAGTAGGTATTGAAGGGTGGGAACAAGGAAGTAGAACAATAGAAAAAAACTGGATGGGTTAACAACAGGTTACTTTGGGTTAATTTTTTAAAAGGGTTAAAGCAGAGGATACTTCCTTATTATTATGCTGACACAGGTAGACTAGAATCTCCTGTTTTCAGGAAAAACTGGTCTGTTTTAGAATCTGTTTGCTTCGTTAAAGTTTTAGTTTGATGATGTGGCATTTAACACGAGAGACTCTATTTTGTTTTTTTCTTGAATGTTGGAACCTAGTGCAGGAGCTCAGTCCAAAACAATGGCTTCCTGTAATTTTTAACAGCTTAAAAAATATTTACATATCTCTTGAAGGAGCAGAAAAAGGATTCATAACTAAACGTCGTCTAAAGTATATGCTCTAAGGAAAGGGATGGAGGGGGTCTCTTTCCCTTTTTGTGCCATGAAAAGTTTAATTTTCTCCACTTTTTGGATTTGCATTTACTTTCATACTTGTGGAAAATCTACACTGGGCAAGTGGTGGGAGCCAAGTAGCCACACTAGCCTACACACTCACCCCCACCTTCCACTCCATAATGAAAAGGTTTTGCCCAGGGAGAGGGGGGTACGCCAAGAAGTATTGCTGGTCCTTCCTGAGGGGGTTAACGTTATTTGAATCAGAGCTTGGAGGGTCCAGGGCACTTTTGAACACAATAGATAATATAGTTTGGATATACGTCCCCACCAAATCTCATGTTGAAGTGTCATCCACAATGTTGGAGGTGGGGCCTGGTGGATGGTGTTTAGATCATGGCGATGTATCCTTCAGGAATGGCTTAGCAACATCCCCCTGGTGATGAGTGAGTTCATGTGAGATCTGGTTGTTTAAAAGTGTGTGGCACCTTCCACTCTCTCTTTCTTGCTACTACTCTGGCCATATTGCTTAACCGCTCCTGCTTCACCTTCTACCATGAATAAAAGCTTCCTGAGGCGTTCCCAGAAGCCAAGCAGATGCCGGCACCATGCTTGTGTAGCCTGCAGAACCATAAGCCAGTTAAACCTCTTTTCTTTTTAAGTTACCCAGTCTCAGGTATTTAAAGCAAAACATGAATGGCCTAATACAATAGAGCAATCAGCTAACAATCAGAATGTGATACCAATAGAGGCAGATCAGCCTGAAATCTAAAAGGGAGTTCGGTGATAGAAATAGCCAAAGAGGACCCTGCCAAATCACACTCATACCAGACAGGGCACCTGCCTGAGTCAGCACATTCTTGGAAATGACTAGAATGAGAACTTACGAGCTAGGAGCTACAACCTCCTGGCTGATTGAGGGGCTAATTCATAAGCTGTGAAGGCGGTCTCCAAACCACACACTGGCTCAGAGACCTTAAGCATAACTTCTGGCCAATCAGCGGCTGACTACTAAGCTATGCTGACCCAGGGACAACTGCTAGTCAGCAAGGCTTACAATTAAAAAAATAAATAAAAGAAAAATCTGAACAGGAGACACTAGAGCTGTACTGTGCAGAAGAAATAGACTGCACAGAATTAGTCCACCCAAGTTACTAGACAAATAAACAATAACAACCAGCCCCAGAAGGAGTTCAATATCAAGTTATTATATTATCTAAAATGTCAATTTTTTTTATTATACTTTTAGGGTACATGTGCACAACGTGCAGGTTTGTTACATATGTATACATATGCCACGTTGGTGTGCTGCACCCATTAACTCGTCATTTAACATTAGGTATATCTCCTAATGCTATACCTCCCCCCTCCCCCCACCCCACGACAGGCCCCGGTGTATGATGTTCCCCTTCCTGTGTCCATGTGTTCTCATTGTTCAATTCCCGCCTACGAGTGAGAACATGTGGTGTTTGGTTTTTTGTCCTTGCGATAGTTTGCTGAGAATGATGGTTTCCAGCTTCATCCATGTCCCTACAAAGGACATGAACTCATCATTTTTTATGGCTGCATAGTATTCCATGGTGTATATGTACCACATTTTCTTAATCCAGTCTATCATTGTTGGACATTTGGGTTGGTTCCAAGTCTTTGCTATTGTGAATAGTACTGCAATAAACATACGTGTGCATGTGTCTTTATAGCAGCATGTTTTATAATCCTTTGGGTATATACCCAGTAATGGGATGGCTGGGTCAAATGGTATTTCTAGTTCTAGATCCCTGAGGAATTGCCACACTGACTTCCACAATGGTTGAACTAGTTTACAGTCCCACCAACAGTGTAAAAACTGTTCTTATTTCTCCACATCCTCTCCAGCACCTGTTGTTTCCTGTAAAATGTCAATTTTTAAACAAAAAGTTAAGAGATATGCAAAGAAACAGGAAAAGTATGACTCATATACAGGGAAGAAAACAGACAATAGAAGATGTCTTTGAGTGGGACAGATGTTAGCAGGTAAATACTATATCTATTATGAATATGTTCAGAGAACTGAAGGAAACTATGTTTTAAAAATCATAGGAAAGTATAATGACAGTGAATCACTGAATAGAAAGTATCAATCAATAAATAGGAATTCTATAAAAAGAATCAAATACAAAACCTAAAGTTAAAAAGTACAATATCTTAAATTGACATGGCTCCAAGAAATGGAGGAACAGCAGGGTCCTTGGTCTTGTGCTGATGTAAATAAATGACAGGGGCACACGTGGAGTGGTTTTAAGGAGCGGAGAGTTTAATAGGCAAGAAAGAAGGAAGAAGCTCCCCCATACAAAGACAGATGGAGGGGGACTCCAAGCAGAGAGAGAAAACCCCTTGTGCAGCAGAAAAGTAGCCGGTTATATTGGGAGGCTGGAGGAGGCGGTGTCTGATTTGCATAAGGCCCAGGGGATTGGTTTGACCAGATGTGTCATTTACATAGCCCAAGAAAAACCTGGCCTTCCCACCCTAGCCTTTTAATATGCAAATGTGGGCCGCCAAGATGTCCTGCACACGCGGAGTTATCTGGAGGCGGCCATGACACTTGGTGACATGGGGATGAGGGTGGGAATTGCCATATTGGATGGACCTAGTTTATAATCGCCTGCATTTGCATATCAATACTTGTCTGCCTGGTTTTTTCAAGCCGCCTTTCTGTTAAGAAATGTTTCAGGAGCTGTTTCTATTTTTAAAAAAAAAAAGCCTCACTGATAACTCCTTTTACCTTCTCTATCTGCCTAAAATTATTCCTTAATAACTTTATTATTCCCCCCTCAAGAGAAGTAAACCTAACTGTTGTTAAGGGGTGTTAGACGATGATTCTTCCTGGCTACTTCCTGCTGAAAAGGGGCATCATGTGGGGGAAAAGCAATTGGACCTTCTCATGAGGTTGAGCTACGGGTTCTCAGAAGAATGGCCTGTCCATGTGTGGTTCTGCTAGCACCATTTGGAGTTTGATTGCTTCTAGGTGAAAAGAGATAAATTTTACAAGATGGTTTAAAATATAGTGTTAGAATATGAGTATTAGGATTACCACCGTTAGTGGGGGTCCTATAGACCATTACTGAGTTTGATAAGTGAATGGATTGCAATACCCATTTGTCTCCACTAGATGTCGCCGTACATTACCAGAAACGTTCATATAAAGCTAACGTTTTCCTTGAGAAGAGCATACATTTTCCCCCTTAACTTGCCATTAGAGAATAACTTTAGGCTTAGACCATTTTTATAACTTGCAATAAAATTTGGAGAAATATATTACTGGGTGGCTAAAATAATTTTAGTGTTAATCTTGACAATCCTTTCCTTTAATTATTAAAATTTTTTCATGACTTTCACATACTCTCTTACAACATACTTAAACTTTCTGACTTGTTCTAAACATGCTTTCTTTAAACAACCAGTCACTTCCTTTTAGGACAAGAATTTACCATACAAGATCCTTCCTTATGTAAAATCTCTGTTTTTCATATCCTTTTCATAGCTTAGAGTGCATCCTATCACCAACCTTCAGTAAAAAGTCCTATTAAACTTAATGATAGTAAAACTTCCATGCTTGCTTCTTATCCATAACTACTACTCCTGCTATAAGCAAAGCAACCTTGACTAGATCTTTCCTGCAATTATTAATCCTGTTATAAGGATGAGAATCAGGCAAAATATTACAGCAATTAGAATTTTACAACCAGAATTCCACATTGTGGGTGCCACAGTGTACAGTTCTACTGCAAATAGTAGCGTGACTATAACAATTCCCACAGGAGTGGCATAGTAAATAATTTCTGTTTAAAATTTTACTTGCCAAGATATAACATTTTCCTTTGGGGATCTACAAAGTTACAAATGCAATCCCATGTATAATTAAAATTTCCTTGCAAATATGCATTAAAAAGAAGTTCTAATATTTGGTGGCAAATTTTGAGAGGAAAGGGGAGAAATAATAAACAGTATCTGGTGAGGTAGGAGGGGGACTGAGTAAGATGAGTAGCCCTCACTCAGTTACTTATCTTTTGTGATTTTCAGCTTAAGATAGTCTATTTCTCCACATTGATATTCAGGACGTTCCTCTGGACTGTCAGGGGTTGCTCCCTCAGCTCTTTAGGCTTTGACTTGACTGTGATGTATCCAAGAGTTGATTCCTGTAACCTTTACTGCCGAGGGGGTTGAGTTGAAAGAAGAGTGTAGGGCCTTTCCCAGCTTGGCTTAGGGAAGGAGACAGAGATGAGAGTTTTCATTAATACCAAATTTCCTGGGTTAAATAAAGGTGGTTCTATTTCCTGGGGTTGGGCTTCTGCTAGTTGTGTTAATTCTTGTTGGAAGTGAGCTCGAGAGGTTACGTGCTTAACCAATTTAGAGGTTTTCCTGCCTGAAAATAATCTTTGAATACATTAATAAGTCTTAATACTTTCCTAAGTGAAAAGCGTGGTGAAGGATTTTAAGGACTTTTCATTGGCTGGAAGCTGGCAAATGGAGTTTGCCATCCTCTGACTCTAGCCATCCTGAGGGATGAAAAGCATGCACTCGACAAGTGGCCTATTCTATCTCTGCAGGGGAATACTGAGGTTTAGTTTTTCTTATGGAGCCTTCCTAGATTAGGAGGGGCTTGAAGTGTGTTGATGCCTTGAGGCTTCCTTGCCTCTGATTTAGCTGCTTGGTCAGCTAATCTATCTCCTTTGACTACCTTATTTGTTTCCTTTTGATGTTCCTTACAATGCATCCCTGCTATTTCTCGTGGAAGAAAAACTGAGGATAATAACCTAATTTCCTGGTGATATTTTTATAGTAGATCCATGAGTGGTAAGAAAATGTCTGTCCTTTTAAATGGCAGCATGAGCATGGAGAACCAGGAAAGCATACTTGGAATCAGTGTAAATGTTAGCTGTCTTTCCCTTGCTTAATTCAAGTGCTCTTGTAAGAGCTATTAGCTCAGCTAATTGAGTGCTTGTGTCTGGGGAGAGACGTTATTTAGAGCTACTACTACTTATCCTGCCTTATGTACTTCTTGCTTTACTGGCTGTTTACTAGCTAAGAGCTCCCCCTAGAGGACAGTGATCCTGCCACATGTGGAGTGTAAACACTTAAATTATTTCCTAGGATTAATTTAGTAGAGCTGTCATAACAATGGTTTGGAAGCCTGTGTAAATAGGTCCTCCTAACTACAACTAAGGTTGAGAAAAACATTGGATTAGAGTTTTTCCTGAGATGCCCCTTACGGTCATGTTATGGGAAGAGGGGAGGCCTAGATTAGAGAGGATAAAAGAGAGAGAAAAGAGGATCTAGTGTTTAAAGGAGGTCTACTTTCCTTCCTTTATTTTCCAGAATCACCCAGGGCTCTTGTGCTATAATGGCAGTTTGAACCGCTGGAGCTGAGATTTGAGCCCCAGGACCCATCAGTCCTGCTGGATCATCTGTGAGACTGGTCCTGAACCCAGTGACTTCCATCTCTGGGGGCAGTTCCATCTCCAGTGGTTTCCGCCACAGGCTGGACAGGGTTGAGATGGCTTCATCTTGCTGCCTGGGCATTCCTTCCTAAAATGCTCTAGCCTGCCACACCGATAGCAACTAGCGGATGCACCTTGGGGATGCTGGACTTTGCAAGCCTGCAAATCTGCTACCAGAGCCTCTGTCCTTCTCCTGAGCTTTTTCTCTTGCTTTTGGGCCTCCTCTTGGTCCCTGTTGTAAAAGACTGAAGTGGCTATTCTCAGGAGGTTTTCTAAGGTGCTATTTGGTCCTATAAATTGCTTCTGTAGCTCCCTTCTGATATCGGGAGCTGCCTGTGTAATAAACTTGTCCTTTAGAATGAGGTGTCCCTCGACTGAATCAGGGGATAGGAGGTGTGTTTTATTAGTGCCTCTCTCAGCCTTTCCATAAAGGCTACAGGATTCTCATCTGGCTTTTGGTCTATCATAGACAGTTTAGAGTAATTGAGAGGTTTGGCCCTGGTTTTCTGTAGGCCCTCTAATATACACCTTAAAAAGTGCTTCTTTTTCCATTCATCTCCTGAGTTATTGGGGTCCCAATCAGGGTTGTGTACTGGGAACTGCTTCCCTCCCGATTGGGAATAGTGTTTCTGTTATTTCTTCACTTTCCCTATCTATCTGCCTTCTTCCTTTTTGGTGTATTATAGGCGATATTTTGCTCATTTCCGAAATTCTCTGCTTCTTGCAGAGGTGCTTGCTTTTCAGCTGCCATGAGGGTCTGGTTTAGGAGCAACATAACATCCCTCCATGTGAGGTCAAACACCTGAATTAAATTTTGGAAAGCTTCTATATACCTATCAGCGTCGTCAGAAAATCAGCCTAAGTTTCCCTTTATTTGCCTAAGGTCCTATAATGAGAAGGGAACTTGAAGGGGCCCCAAATAAGGGGGATCCTCAGGTAGTTCCCCTGGAAATTGCTTCTCTAACTTTGGGGAACTATTCTCTTTGGGCCTGCCTGATATGATTGCTAAAAGGGCTTGGTTGACCTTAAAACCCTTGCAAAGGTTTAGTAAAAATGCCATGCCTTTGTGCAAAAGAAAATGAGTCGCTTTTCTCTTCAAAGTCCCGAGGTTAAGGAAGTTCCAGTGCTTCAGAGTGCATTCCAGAGGGGTGCAAGCTGAAGATAATCTGTTACCCATCTAGAAAGAGAGGCGAGAATAAAAGTGTCCTTTTAGTTTCCTTCCTTTCTGTATGACCCAGGGTGGAGAAGACGTGGAGCATCCTCCTATTTTCCCTCCATGGTTCCTGGGTCCTGGCACCCTGTTAAACGTGCCACCCATGGTTGTAGGTGTGGTCCTCCAAGCCATGAGACCAGATGAACTAAGTGATGGGACTAACCACGCTTTACCCATGCAACCTTAGCTTATCCACCTTGTGTGATCCCCTTTGACTTCCTAAACCTGTGTGATCTGCCTGGCTCCCTGAAAAATGGATCTCTGGAGAGACTGTGTCATCTTTGGGCAAGTCTCCTTTAACGGAGGCAACGTGCTAGATTGCCTGCTATTATGGTCCATGCTAAAGCATTTACCTTCAGAAAAATAGTTCTGGTTTACTTCCAAACTTAAAATCCCCTTACTAATTAAGTACGGTCTGAATCAGAGACAGAATAGGTCCCTTAAAGGAATATAGGAAACGAATGGCCATTTTCCTGCTTATGGGACAATATCAAGACTAAAATTTGACTATAGAAGACATTTTACTTCTTAGCTGCTAAAGGCAGAACTTTCCTGTTCACAGAAGTAGCTGAGAGCCTGATTTCTAGTGGTGCAAAAGGAAGCTCAGTGTTACTGTAAAAAATGTGCCTCATGAAGAGGATTTCTATTTTCACTAGGTGGTGATGTTGGCTTAGAAATACCATGAGCTCACCAGAGCTGCTGATCTTTCCTAACAGACCTGTTTCCCTGAACTGTAAAAATTCCTGCACATTTGACACACAGAGACAGTAAGAGACCCTGGATAGAGAAAGAAGGAAAGTTTGGTGACGGGATAGCAGGAAAAGAGCCTTGAGATTAAAGGACAGATTTGAGGTTGAGGTTCACTCCATACTCACCACTCCGATAAATGAATTCTTGCCCAATACACCAAAATGATACTACCTCAATGAATGTAGGAACGCCAGGGTCCTTGGTCTCACGCTGATGTAGATAAATGGACACACGTGGAGTGGTTTTAAAGAGTAGAGAGTTTAATAGGCAGGAAAGAAGGAAGAAGCTCCACCATACAGAGACAGAGGGAGGGGGGCTCCAAACGGAAAGAGAAAACCCCATGTGTGGCGGAAAAGTACTTGGTTATATTGGGAGACTAGAGGAGGTGGTGTTTGATTTGCATAGGGCCCAGGGGATTGGTTTGACCAGGTGTGTCATTTATGTAGCCCGTGAAAAACCTGGCCCTCCCACCATAGTCTTTTAATATGCAAATGTGGGCGGCCATGATAGCCTGTACATGCAGAGTTATCTGGAGGTGGCCATGACACTTGGCACATGTGGTGACAAGGAGAAGAGGGCGGGAATGGCCATATTGGTTGGACCTAGTTTCTAATCACCAGCATTCGCATGTCAGTGCTTGCTGGCCTGGTTTTTGCAAGTCGCCTTTCTGTTAGAAAAGAAGTGTTTCAGGAGCTGTTTCTATTAAAAGAAAAAGCCTTACCGAGAACTCCTTTAACCCTCTCTATCTGCCTAAAACTATTTCTTAATAACACCCGTATTTTTTTTTTTTTTTGAGACAGAGCTTTGCTCTGTCGCCCAGACTGGAGTGCAGTGGTGCAATCTCGGCTCACTGCAACCTTCACCTCCCAGGTTCAGTCAATTCTCCTGCCTCAGTCTCCCTAGTAGCTGGGATTACAGATGCATGCCACCACACCCAGCTAATTTTTGTGTTTTTAGTAGAGATGGGGTTTCACCATGTTGGCCAGGCTGGTCTTGAACTCCTGACCTCAAGTGAACCGCCCGCCTTGGCCTCCCAAAGTGCTGGGATTACAGGCATGAGCCACCATGCTCGGCCAATAACTCCTGTATTAAAATGAACTCACGAGTGGTGCTGAATAGTAGATCTGAGCTGGCAGAAGAATCAGCAAACTTAGATGTAACAGATTTTGCAATCTGAAGTTTAAACCAGAAATAAACCTCTTGGCCAAGGGGACCCCAGAGCAACCTGAAAAACTAAATTACAGGCCATGATGGGAAGGGAGGTCAGACATGCCTCATTATAACCCCTCCCTTTTGGAGTTTAGGCAAAACCGGCCAGAATTAATAAAATAGAGATATTAAGACTGACAGAACAGACTCTTTGGCAATAAGATACCAAATATCAACCTGACTCTGGTATAGCGTCACATGAAAGATAGTAGACCCTGAAGAAAATAAAAATATTTTACCCTAAAATGTTTTTTTTTGACATGTTTTGAAATGGCCCTGCAAAGCCATCTTTGGTGGAGGAAATTTTGCATGTGTAGAGAATCCCCATTAATACAGCTAGGCCTTTCCTGAATCTAGGAAAGATTAAGAGTCTGACACCTATTTTAAGGTTTGAAAAGAGACATTTACCATCTATTCCCTCTGAAGCCTGCTACCTGGGGACTTCATATACATAATAAGAACCTTGGTTTCCACAACTCCCCTTATCTTAACTCAATCATTTCTTTCTTTTCTTTTTTTTTTTTTTTTACTGATGTCAAGTCTTCAGCTTAACTCTTTCAACCAACTGCCGATCAGAAAATCTTTGAATCCATTTATGACCTGTAAGCTGTCCCCCTCAGTTTGAGATGTCCTGCTTTTCTGGGCTAAACCAATGTATACCTTATGTCTTTGCCTGTAACTTCTGTCTCTCTAAAATGTATAAAACCAAACCATAACCTGACTGCCTCAGGTGTACTTTCTCAGGACCTCCTGAGACTGTTCCCTGGGCCATGGTGACACATTGGCTCAGAATAAACTTATTGAAATATTTAACAGAGTTTTCTTTTTGGTCAAAAATTAGTCAAAAAGTACACTATTTTTAACTTTGCAATAATTGATATTTTATTGATTTCATTTTGCATCATGGCTGCATAAAGGCATTTGTAAAAAGCATTGGTGATATTCTCCTGATACAATGGAATTCCATCATCAACTTATTTTACAACTTCTTTCAATTGGTTTATAACTAGATCAACTGTTGATTTCTTAAATGAATGCCAAAAACTCTTTACATAATCCCTGAAGGAGTGAGAATTTCTTTAAACTTTTATTTAAAGTTTAGGGGTACATGTGCAGGTTTGTTACATAGGTAAACTTGTGTCCTGGGGGTTTGTTTTACAGATTATTTTATCACCCAGCTATTAAGCCTAGTACCCATTTGTTATTTTTCCTGATCCTCTCCCTTCTTCCACCCTCCATCGTCTACCCTCCAATAGGCCCCTCTGTGTGTTGTTCCCCTCTATGTGTCCATGTGTTTTCATCATTTAGCTCCCACTTATAAGTGAGAACACGTGGTATTTGGTCTTCTGTTCCTGTTTTGGATTGCCAAGAATAATGGTCTCCAGTTCCATCCATGTCCCTGCAAGGGACATGATCTCGTTCTTTATACTGGATGCATAGTATTCCATGGTATATATGTACCACATTTTCTTTATCCAGTCTATCATTGATGGGCATTTAGGTTGATTCCATGTCTTTGCTATTGTGAACAATGCTGCAATGAACATACATGTGCATGTGTCTTTATAATAGAATAATTTATATTCCTTTGGGTATATACCCAGTAATGGGATTGCTGGGTCAAATGGTATTTCTGTCTTTAGGTCTCTGAGGAATTTCCACAATGGTTGAACTGATTTACACTCCCACCAACAGTGTATAAGCATTCCTTTTTCTCCACCACCTCACCAGCATCCTTTTTTTTTTTTTAAACTAAAAAAGTACACTTAAATAAAAACTCACAAGAGGTGCTCAACAGCAGATCAGAGCTGGCAGAAGAAAGAATCAGTAAACTTAAAGATATAACAATAGATTTTGCAATCTGAAGAACAGACAGAAACAAGAATAAAGATAAAAGAGCATCAGAGAAATATGGGACACATGATAAACTCTTGATATTTGCAAGAGAAGAAGATCATATATAAGGTATCCTGCAATAAGAATAATAGGTGACTTTTCATCACAAATCATGGAAGACAGAAGGCAGTGGAATGACATATTCAAAGTGTTTAAGGAAAAAAAGCAACTAATAGTCTTATATACAACAAAATTATTTTTCAAAAGTGAAGGCAAAATACATACCCTGAAAAACAACAACAAAAAAGCTGAGATAATTTCATTGCCATCTGTGGTAGACAGAATATGGTCCACCAAAGATGTCCATGTCCTAATCCCAGTAACCTATGATTACAGAGGTTGGAGTGATGGACTTGAGGAAGGTTAGAAGGGGTCATGAGCCAAGGAATGCAGGTGATGTTTCGAAGCTGGAAAGGCAACAAAGCAAGTTTTCCTGTAGAGCCTCCAAAGACAGTACAGCCCTACTAACATTTTGATTTTGGCATAGTAAGATGAATGGACTTCTGACTTCCAGAACAATAAGATAATACATTTGTGTTGTTTTAAGCCACTAAGTTTGTGATAATTTGTTACAGAAGCCATAGGAAACTAACATACTAGCAGAGCTGTGCTGCTAGTATTTCCTATTCACAGGAAATACTAGAGAAAGTTCTTCAGGCTGAAAGAAAGGGACACTATAGAATAATTTAAATCTAAACATCAAAACAAAGAATCCTATTAAAAATAATTATGTAGATAAGTATAAAAGATTGTATCATTCCTTGTTTGTAAACTGAGTTAAGAACATATCGCGGCCAGGCGTGGTGGTTCATGCCTGTAATCTCAGCACTTTGGGAGGCCGAGGCAGGCAGATCACGAGGTCAGGAGATCAAGACCATCCTGGCCAACATGGTGAAACCCTGTCTCTACTTAAAATACAAAAATTAGCTGGGCGTGGTGACGCTTGCCTGTAGTCCCAGCTATTCGGGAGGCTGAGGCAGGAGAATTGCTTGAACCTGGGAAGTGGAGGTTGCAGTAAGCCGAGATTGCACCACTGCACTCCAGCCTGGTGACAGAGTGAGACTCCGTCAAAAAAAAAAAAAAAAGAACATATTGCATAAAAATCTATAAAATTATATACTTGACATATTACATATAGAAATACAATATATTTGACAATAACAGAACAAAAAAGGAGGTCAGACATGAAATATATTGGAGTAAAGAGATATCACCACACAATAACCTGACTTCATCAGGAGAAATACACAAAGACAGAAATGGTAAATAAGGTTAATATAAAAATGGTATAAATATATTTTTTTCTCCTTTATTCTCTTACCTTCTTTAAAAGACACACAATTATGTAAAGCAATAATTGTAATACTATATTGTTTTTTGTAATATGAATAGATGTAGTATATACAATATCGCAAAGGGGGTGGGAGGTACAGAAGCTATAAAGGAACTAAGATTTTCTATCTTATTGGAATTATTTGAAGTAGTTTAACTTGACATATAATCCATAAGTCAAAGCAACAACCAGGAAAATTGCTAAAAAATGTAGTGAAAACCATTAAAGAAATGAAAAAGTTACTCTAGAAAATAACTACTTAATATAAGACAGAAAAAAGGACTAGAGGAACACAAAAGACACAAAATATATAGAAACCAAAAGCACAATTGTAAACATAAATCAAAGCATATCAATAATAATATTAAATGTGAATCAATTAAACTATCCAATCAAAAGGCAGAGATTGTCTGATAGAAAAACAAGATCCAATCCTACTTATGGTGTCTACAAAAGACATACTTTGCTTTCAAAGATACAAATAGGTTGAAACTAAAAAGGCGGAAACCGATGTTGTGCGAAAACAGCCATAAGAGATCTGGAGGGGCTATGCTAATATCAGACAAAATAGTTTTTTGGTCAAAAATGTTGATAGCGATAAAAAGAGATATTTTATAATGATAAAATATCAATCCATTGGGAAAATATAACAATTATAAATGTGCATGCATATAACAGAAGAATCCCAAAATACATGAGGCAAAAGAAATGACATAATTGAAGAAATAAATATATGATTTAAAAAAATAGTTGAGAATTCCAATATCACACATTGAATAATGAATAAAATATCTAGGCAAAAGAACGGAGGTATAGAAAACTTGAATAATAATAATATAAACCAACTAAACTTAACACATATCTGTAAATCAATTTACAGCACAATAGAAGAATATACACTCTTCCTAAGTGCATGTATGAAACATTCTCTAGGAGAGTATATAAGCAAGGCCTTAAAATAACCCACAATAAACTTAGAATTATTGAAATTATATACATATGTCCTTCAACCACAGTAGAGTGAGATTAGAAATCAGTAGTAAAAGGAAAATTTGTAAATTCAAAAATATGTGGAAATTAATGTGCTCCTAAACAACCAGTGGGTTTTAGAATAAATCAAAAGGGAAATTAGAAAAGATGTTGAGATGAATGAAAATAAAAAAACATACCAAACTTATGTGATGCACCTTAAGCGTGTTTGGAAGGAAAATAATTTCTATAAAATGCTAAAAAAGTTCTCAAATCAGTAACCCAACCTTTAACCTTAATAAAGTAGGAAAAGAAGAGCAAACTAAACCAAAAGCAAACAGAAGGAAAGAAAAAATGAACATTAGACTTCAAATAAACTAAATAGAAAATAACAAAACCAAAAGTTATTTCTTAAATCTGATCAACAAATTGACAAGCCTTTGGCTAGAATGACCAACAAAAAAGGAAGACATAAATTAGTAACATTAGGACTGAAAGAGAAGATAACACAAACAAACTTATATAAATTAATAGTATCATAAGGAAACCTATAAACAAGTATATGCCAACAAATTATATAACTTAAATAGATAAATTCCTACCAAGACACAAATTACCAATACTAGCACAAGAAGAAATAGAAAATCTGAATAAACCTATAACAAATAAAAAGATTAAATTAGTAATTTCAAACCCCCCCCCCCCCCGCCGCCACACAAAAACACCCAGGTCTAGATGGATTTACTGGTGAATCCTAATTAACATTTAAATATGAATTAATATCAATCCTTCACAAACTCTTTGATAAAGTAAAGGAAGAAGTAAATTTGTCAAAGGGGCCAAGATAATTTTGTGGGGGAAAAGATAGTGTTTTCAAAAATGATGCAGGGACAACTGGATATTCACATGCAAAAGAATGGATATTGTATTACTCAGAGTTCTCCAGAGAGACAGAACCAGTAGAATGTATGGAAGGAAATTTATTAGGGGGAATCTGCTACCACAATCACAGAAGTGGTGAAGTCCCACGATAGGTAGTCTGCAAGCTGAAGAACCAGACAGGCTGGTAGCAGGACTCAAAGCCCGATCAATAGCTGTATACCAGGTAGCAGAAGGTGTGTTAATTTGCTCAAGTAATGAAACATCTGGTACAGCGGCTGCAATTGGAATCACCACTTGATGAAGTATTATGATAATTAACTGTCATTCTCCAACATCCATCTGTCTTCTGCACAAGCCAAATAGGAGAGTTGAATAGGGATGTGGTGGGAATTACCACCCCTCCATCGTTCAAGTCCTCGATGGTGGCATTAATCTCTGCAGTCCCTCCAGAGATGCAGTAGTGTTTTTGATTTACTATTTTTCTAGGTAGAAGCAACTCTAATGGCTTCCATTTAGCTTTTCCCACCATATTAACTCTCACCCCACAGGTTAGGGGACCAATGTGGGGATTCTGCCAGATACTAAGCATGTCTATTTAATTATGCATTCTGGAACTACGGAAATAACCACAAAATGGGTTTGGGGACCCACTGGACACATTGCAAGTCAGACCTGAGCTAAAACTCCATTAATCACCTGATCTCCATAAGCTCCTACTCTAACTAGAGGGCAACAATGATGTTTCAGGTCTCCTGGAATCAATTTCAGTTCAGAACCAGTGTCTGGCAGTTCCCAAAGGTCTGATTATTTCCCTTTCCCCAATGCATAGTTACCTTGGTAAAAGGTCTTTGGGCAAAAATGGAACAAAGATGAACAAAATATAAATTTTTGATAATATACTGGGGTCCTTCCACAAGGGGAGCTGACCTCCCCTTTGTTCAAGTTCTTGGTTTGTAAATTGGCTCAAGTCTGGAAATTGATTTGGGGTCATGATTCTCTGCTTTATGATTCAAGTTAGACTTTTGTTCACTTGACCTGGAAGTTTCTGCTTCTACAGATCACATAAGAATGTAGTAGGCTTTCTATCTATTTCACTTCTAGGAACATCATGATTAACTAGCCAACACCATAGATCTACATGAGTCAGACTATTCTGATTATTGCTTTGCCTCTGCTGTCCATTACGATAACCATGTCCACCTTGCCTTTGGTGGTTGAGTGCTGTCAGTTGGCAGGGGTCCAGTTATTCTCATTGCATTTAGGTTTCCAATTGAGTTACAGCAGTTCATACTGTGATGTCTGGTATACAGAGAAGAGCAATCACAGAGTTCTTCAAAGATGCTGGTGCTCCCCTTACAAATCTATTTTCACTTTAGTGAAAAGTATATCATCTGGACCCTCCAAGTTTGGGTGAGTAGGTCTTATGTGACAAATCCATTCTAGCATTCCAATCTCCAAGCCTTTGAATCCCTTCCTCTACCATAAATCAAGGGAGATCTGGCATTTCCAGCTCACTCATAATAGGCCATCTTTTCAGCTGCATTTTAGCCAACAAGCCAAAGTATTAGCACTCTTTTTTAATGTCTCAAGCTGCAACATTAAATGCATAATCTCTGGTTAGTGGGCCCATATTAACAAATTTGACCTGATCCAACTTCATGTTTTTTCCACCATTATGCTACACCCTTAATGTCCATTCCTGCATATGTTCCCCAGATTTCTGCCTGTATAAATCAGAAAACTGAAGTAGTTATTGTGGAGTGTAGCACACCTCCTCATGGGTCACACTTTGTGTCTCACCTTTAGGGGCCTGATGAGACTTGAATCTAGTTATAGATCTAGAAGCAAAAAGGGGTGGTAAAGGTGGATCCTCAGAAGAATCAGCCTGTCAACTCCTTCAGGGGAGGCCATTACTGTTTCCTCAGGCAATGCAGAATTAAACTCTTGAGACAGAGATAGAAAGGCCACTACCACTGTGGATGAGGGTAGGAACGCTGCTACCACTGGGGATGAGAAGCTTCTTCCTTTTGCTAAAAAGACATCAAATTTTAGGAACTTGGGCAGAACAAGATGGCCAAATTGAACCCTTCAGTGCTCATCATCCCAAAGAAACACCACATTGAACAACTATCCATGCAAGAAGGCACCTTCACAAGAACCAAGAAATCAGGTGAGCAATCACAGTACCTGTTTTAAGTATAATATCAAGGAAAGAGGCATTGAATTGGGTAGGAAAGACAGTCTTGCATTGCCCATATCACCCCTCCCCCAACCCTAGGCAGCACAGCATGGAGTAAGAATCTGTGTGCTTGGAGGAGGGAAAGTTAAAGTGAGTTCGGGACTTTGCATTGAAACTCAGTGCTACCCTGGCACAGTGGAACACAATATAGGGCAGAGTGCTGTTGGTGCCCAAAGAGGGAGCATTTAGACCAGTCCTAAGACAGAGGGAAATTCCCTGCCCCAGTGGGAGAAAAGTCTCATTGGCTGTACTGCTGGATGACTGAAGTAGCCTGGGGCCAGGAACAAATTTGAGTGGCTGTCAGGCCACAAGTACTATAGTCCTTGAGCAAGCCCTGGTGCTTCACTGAGGCAGTAGACTTGGGGTGTAACTCAGAGTGACATCGCCTGTGACAGGCAAGGGAGTACTTGGGTACTTCCCCATCTCCAGGTAATGCAGCTGCAGGAGAGACTCTTTCTGCTTGGGGGAAGAGAGGGAATAGTAAAGAAAACTTTGTCTTGCAACTTGGGTGTTAACTTAGTCATAGTACAATAAAGTGCAAGGCAGATTCCTGAAGCCCCTGGTTATAGGTCTTTACTCCTAGGTGGCATTTCTAGATCCACCCTGGGCCAGAAGGGAATCCATTACCCTGGTGAGACAGACTCAGTCCTGGCAGGATTCACTGCCTGCTGACAAAAGTGATCATGGGAAGTGGAGCAAGATGACAGAATAGAAGGCCCCAATGATCATCCCCCGCTACAAGGACACTAATTTAACAATTATCTACACAAAGAAACACCTTCAGCAAAACCAAAAATCAGGTGATCACTCACAGTACCTGGTTTCAACTTCATATTGCTAAAAGAGACACTGAAGAGGTAGAAAAACAGTCTTGAAACACCAGTGCCACCCACTCCTGTCCCCCAGCAGTGGCAGTGTCGTGTGGAGAGTATTTCTGTGCACTGAGGAGAGGGGGTGTGCAACAGTTGTGAGGCAATGAACTCAATGCTGCCCTGTTATAGCAGAAAGCAAAACGGGACCAAACTTGCTGATGTCCACTCACGGAGGGAGCATTTAAACCAGCCCTAGCTAGAGGGGAATCAATGAACCCGGCAGTCAGAACTTGAATTCCCACAAGCCTCACCAAAACGGATTAAAGGACCCCCCAACCCCTACAGCAGGGTCCTAAGTAAACTTGAAAGAGTCTAGGCCACAAGGACTGCAACTCCTAGTCAAGTCCTAGTTTTGTACTGGGCCCAGAGCCAGTATTCTGGGGCTGGGCATGTGACCTACTGAGACACCAGCCAGGGTGGCTAAGGGAGTTCTGGCACCACCCCTCTCCTAAAGGCAGGCTGCATAGCTCCCAGATCCAAAAGAGACCCCTTCCTTCCACCTGAGGAGAGGAGAGAGAAGAGTGGGGAGGACGTTGTCTTGCACCTTGGATACCAGCTCGGCCACAGCATGATAGGGCACCAGTCAGAGTTGTGAGGCCCCCATTCCAGGCCCTAGCTCCAAGACAACATTTCTAGGCACACCCTGGGCCAGAAGGGAACCCACTGCCTTGAAGGGAAGAATCTAGTCCTGGCAGAACGCATCACCTGCTAACTGAAGAGCCCTTGGGCCCTGAATAAGCAGCAGTGATGCCCAGATAGTATGCCATGGGCCTTGAGTGAGACTCTGAGACTTTCTGGCTTCAGGTGAGACTCAACACATTCTTAGCTGTGGTAGCTATGGGGCAAAACTCCTGCTTGAGAAAAGTGGAGAGAAAAGTAAAGGGAACTTTGTCTTACGCCTTAGGTACCAGCTTGGCCACAGTGGGATAGAGCACTAAGCAAGCTCTTGACATCCCTGATTGCAGGACTTGGCTCTTGGGCAGCATTTCTGGACCTGCCCTTGGCCAGAGGGGAACCCACTGGTCTGAACGGTGAGTTCCAGGCCAGGCAACATTCACCACAAGCTGAATGGAGAGCCCTTGGGCCTTAAGGGAACACCAGCGATAGTCTGGCACTACTCTCTGTGGGCCTGTGGTGGTGGTGGCCACAGAGTGAGGCTGTTCTGCCTTTGGAAAAGGGAGGAAGAGTGGGAAGAACTGCATCTTGTGGTTTGAGTGCCAGCTCAGCTGCAGCACAATAGATCACCAGATAGATTTCTAAGGATTTTGGCTCTTGTCCCTGGCTCCCAGATGGCACCTCTGGACCTGCCTGAGGCCTGGGGGAATTCACTGCCCTAAAGGGAAGAACACAGGTCTGGCTGGCTTTGCTACCTGCTGACTGTAGAGCCCCAGAGCCTTGAGCAAACAAAGGCAGTAGCCAGGGAGTGGTTACAGCAGGCCTTGGGCAAGACCCAGTGCTGTGCTGGCTTCAGGTCTGACCCAGCACAGTCCTAGTGGTGGCGGCCACAGGGCTACTTGTATCACCCTGGTAACCTCACTTATTAATTGTAGCAGCTTTTTAAAAAAGGATCCTTTGGACTAAAAATAGAACTATTATTGACCTAGCAATCCCACTACTGGGCATATATCCAAAAGAAAATAAATGCCTCAAAGAGACACCTGCACTCATACTGCAGCACTGTCCACCATAGCAAAGTCATAGAATCAACCTAAGTGTCCATCAACAGTTGATTGCATACAGAAAATGTGGTATATATACACCATGGAATACTATGCATCCATAAAAAAGAATAAAATATTGTCTTTTGCAGCAACATGGATGGAGCTGGAGGCATTATCCTAAGTGAAATAACTCAGAAACAAAAATCAGTTACTGTATATTCTCACTTATAAGTGGGAGCTAATCAACAGGTACACACAAACATACAGAGGGAAATAATAGACGCTGGGGACTCCGAAACGGGGAAGTGGGGAGGAGGGTTGAAAAATTATCTGTTGGGTACAGTGTTCACTGATATAGTTCGGATGTCCCCATCCAAATCTCACGTTGAAATGTAATCCCCAGTGTTGGAGGTGGGGCCTGGTGGGAAGTCTTTGGATCATGAGGCAAATCCCTCATGAATGGCTTGAGCCATTCCCTTGGTAATAAATGAGCTCTTGCTGTTAGTTCACACAGGATCTGGTCATTTAAAAGTGTGTGGAACCTCCCCTGCCAACTGTCTCTCTCTTTCTCTTGTTCTTGCCATGTGATGTGCCTGCTTCCTGTTTTCCTTCTGCCATGATTGAAAGCTTCCTGAGGCCTCCTCAGAAGCAGATGCTACTATGCTTCCTGTACAACCTGCAGAACCATGGGCCAATTAAACCTCTTTTCTTTTAAATTACCCAGTATCGGGTATTTCTGTATAGCAGTTGAAGAACAGCCTAATACATATATGTCTATGTAACAAACCTGCACCTGTACTCCTTGAATCGATAAAAATTAAAGACTTAAATAAGATTCTTTGATAGTTTTCAGTAGAAAACCTTGTAATCTTTCACTATCGGAAGTTTTTTTTTTTGTTATGTATGTCTTTAATTTTCTTTTTTTTCTTTCTTTCTTTTTTTTTTTACCATATTGCTCTGCCTAGGACTTCCAGTACTATGTTAAATAGGAGTAGTGAATGAGGACATCATTTCTTTGTTACTGATTTTAGAGGAAAAGTATAAGCATTCCATTATTAAGTATGAAGTCACCTATAGGTTTTTGTATATGCTATTTATCAGGCTGAGGAAATTCCCTTCCATTTATTGTTTACTGATGACCATTATTCATGATGAATAGGTGTTTCATTTTGTCGAAAGTTTTGTCTGCATCAATTGATCTAATCATGTAATTTTTCTTCTTTATTCTGTTAATATGGATTACATTGATTGAGTTTCTGATATTGAAGCAGCCTTGAATATCTGAATCCTAGTTGATTACAGTGCATCACTATTTTTAGATATTGATGGATTCTATTTTATAATATTTTTGAGGAAATTTGCATCTATGTTCCTGAAGGAAAACGGCTCATAGTTTTCTTACTTTGTAATATCTTTGTCTAGTTTTGTATCAGGGTAATTCTGTGTTGTTAAAATGAGGTTGAAAATGTTCACTCCACTTCTATTTTCTTGAATTGATTATGTAAAAATGTTATTTCTTTATATATTTTGTAGAATTTGTCAGTGAAGCCATCTCTGTTTAGAGATTTATTTTTATGAAGATTTTAAACTACAAATTTAATATTATTATTAGTCACAGGACTGTCTAGATATCGATTTCAAATACTACATTCCAATGGGTGAGTTAGCTTTTTTGATAACCAGCTATTACAGACTTCTCAAGCTATAAGGACACCTGAACAATCTCCTCAAAATATTGTGGATATGTGTTTTGTTTCACACAGTAGTTTTTTGGTTATCAAATTAAGAACCCTCGTCAAGGGCTGTACCACCCTGAACATGCCCAATCTCATCAAATTAAGAACCATTAACATTTGTCTTGATACTTGCTTGAAATCAGAAATCTCATCTAAAATATATAGGTCTCTTTTTCTGGAACTCCATCTTCGCCCAGCCATGTCAGAAATTAGGTAAAGGGAAAGCCACTTTTTGAACAGAGTATTGGAATCAAAATATAATTCCTAATTGTTAGGAATACCTAGACAATATAATATTTTCTAAATATCATTGATAATCATAAATATCATAACAGCTAATTTTTTGGATCACTGTAATGTATTCTGTGTTAAGAAATTTGGAGTTTTGCTGTGTAAAGTCTAGCATCCTCTTCTGGAACTTCTTGTTCTCCAAAAAGTTTGAGGAAAAGCCTAATATGTGAAGAAAGTAAGCACAGAGATATCATTCTACATACAGCTCTTAAACTGTGTAAAAATATTCTACAGGCCAGTAATAAGTTTAAAGTGGATATTTAATGTGATTTAAACATTGTTATTCCACAAATTAAGCTTTTATAAAAAAATACAATCACTGGCAAAATTGAATGCCATAGCTTTGGTGCTCTTATTTTTAAAATAATAATTTTGCCACATATAAATATAACTAAAGTGCATGTGATACTTAACAAAAATTAAATTGATGCTGTCAAAGGAATAAGAAGAGTATAAAATGGGTAACTTTTTGAAAGCAATTATGTACTTTCATATTCTAAATTATGCAGAAAGATAAAATATTATCCAAATTTATGTGATTCTTTATACAGAAAGATTTTTATTGTTTGGACATAAAGGTATGGCTTCTTTCTTTTCCTCAAAATATTATATTTTAGTTTCTAAAAAAGTCCCTTTAAAGTAGAAAAACAATAAAAGGCTGATGTTTTTCATTCTTAAAGGTGCATTTCAACTTTTGATGGTGTCCATGTATTCTTTGTGAAAAATAAGTTAAGTAGCATACTTATGCTTTCTTCTTTCTCTCTTCTTACCAAGTTGTGGTTTTGTTGGTATATTACTTTTTGTCTTATCAAAGTATAAAACATTGGCATATATTTTAGTAATTGTCTTAGTATGCTCAGGATGCAATAACAGGCATATTATAAACAACAAAAAATTATTTCTCACAGTTCTGGAGGCTGCAAAGTTCAAGAGCAAGGCACAGACAGATTCAGTGTCTAGTGAGGGCCTGCTACCTGGTGGACACAACCATCTTGCTATGCTCTCACATGGCAAAGGGGCAAGACAACCTTCTGGGAGCTCTTTTATTAGGTTACAAATCCCACTAATGAGGGCTAATCACCTCCCAACAGCCCCATCTTCTAATATCACATTGGTGATTAGGTTTTGAACATATGAATTTTGGGAAAATACAAACATTGAGATCATAGCATTCAATCCCTGTCCCTGCCAAATTCATGTCATTCTCACATGTAAAATACATTCATTACACCTCAATAGCTCCCAAAGTCTTAACTCATTCCAGTAACAACTCAAAATATCCAAAATCTTTCCTAAATATTGTCTAAATCAGATATGGGTGAGATTAAAGGTTCAATTAATCCCAAGGCAAATTGCTCTCCAGCTGTCAGCCTATAAAATCAAACAAGTTATGTGCTTCCAAAATACAATCGTAGGATAGGCATGGGATAGATATTCCTATTGTAAAAGGGAGAAATAGGAAAAACAAAGAGCTAATGAACCCCAAGTAAGTCTAAAACCTTAGTACTCTATCTTTGACTTGAGGGTCTGTCCTCCAGGCCCACTGGGTTGGGGGTCCCACCTCCACAGACTTGCTGGCATGAATTGGGCCTTCAATGTTCAGGGCATCCCTGCCCCCAGGAGTTTGAGCAGCCCCACCCCCACAGCTTTGCAATGTGTAGCCTACACTGCAGCTCTCACAGGTTAGAGTAGGGTGCCTGCAGCTCTCCCAGGCTGTAATCACAAGCTGGTAGCTCTACTAGTCTGAGATCAGAGTGGGGGCCTCACCTCCTCAACTCCACTAGGCATTGTCCTGGTGGGGACTGTCTGCAGTGGCCCTGACCTCACAGCAGCCTTCTGCCTGGGTTGTATGCTCTAACTTCCAGGTGGCTCCATCCTTTGAAATCCATTTGCAGGCAATCATACCCCCACAGCTCAATTATACTGTATGCCAGCAAAGATGGCACCAAGTGGGTGCCACCAGGAGTTACTGCCTATGCCCTCTGGAGGAGTGGCCACTGTAGCCCATACTGTACCTGGATCCACTGGAGCCACACCTGGGATGACCAAGGTGCACTGAGCCAGAATGCAGAGAGCAGATCCTTGAGGCAGTGTTGGGCAGCAAGCACTAAGGCCCATGGATGCCTCAGCTCCTTCTTCAAAATCTTACTGCCTGCAAGGCCCTAGAACTATGGGCCTGTGAAGGGAGGGCCAGCACATCTCTGAAATGCCTTTGGGGTCATTCTTCCATTATCTTGATGAATAGCACCAGGCTGATCCATACTAATCTCCTTATCAAATAGTTGGTTGGCCACACACATTGATGTTCTCATGATGTTCAAGCATTCAAGAGAAGACATACCAAACCACCAATACTTAACTCAGAAATTTCATCAGCCAAATATTCTATTTCATTGCTTGTAAGGTCTACTTTCTAACAAACACTAGGACAGGAATAAAATTTAGCCACATCCTTCCCCCCTTTATAACAAGGATCACCTTTCCTTCAGTTTCCAACAGTATGTTACTCATTTCCATCTGAGTCTCATCAGAATGGCCTTTACCATCCATATTTCGACCAACATTTTGTTCACGACCACTTAGATATTCTCTAAGAAGACTGAGGCTTTCTCTACAGCTCTCCTATTCTTCAGAGACCTCACCAGCGTCACCATTTAAGGCCCTTTTATGGCAATGTAGGCTTTTCCTAGCATCTACCTCAAAAATTTTCCAGTCTCTACCTGTTACCCAGTTCTGAAGGTGCTTCCATATTTTAAGTACTTGTTAGAGCAGCACCTCCATTTCTTGGTACCATTTTTTGTCTTAGTCCATATTTTAATTCTGCTATAACAAAATGCCATAAACCAGGAAGCTTATAAACAATAGATATCAACGTCTCACAGTTCTGGAAGCTGGAAATTCCAAGATTAAGATGCTGCCAGATTTAGTGTCTGGTGAGGGCCCATTTACTGGTTCATAAATACAGCCTTCTCACTGTGTCTTCACATGGTGGAAGAGGAAACACATCTCTCTGGGGCCTCTTTTATAAGGGCACTAATCCCATTCATGAGGACTCTGACTTTAGCCTGCAGTGGCAAGGCTTGCTGAGAAACTCAAGTTCCCACCACTGGGATGGGCGATTCCCCTCTCTGGCTAGGGTGGTCCAAATGCTCCCTTCATGGGTGGATGCCAGCTGAGCTCAGCACAGCTTTGCTCTCCACTGTGACAGGGCAGCACTGAGTTCAATATCAAGTCCCCCAGTTGCTGTGCTGTCCCTCCTCCAAGTGCACAGATTCTCTCTCCATGTGAAATGGCTCCTGCTGGGGGATGGGGGAGGGGTGGCATAAGCAATTCAAGATTGTCTTCCTTACCCTCTTCAGTGCCTCTTTCAGTGATGTGAAGTTAAAATCAGGTACTGTGATTGCTCACCTTATTTTTGGTTCTTATAATGGTGCTTTTTTTGTGTGTATAGTTGCTTGTTAAAATTTGGTGTTCCTGTGGAAGGGAGGAATGATCAGTGGAGGCTTCTATTCTTACTCTGCTCCTGTGTATGTCTTTTGACTCCTCAGTTAAATTTGTTCTTAAGCATTTTACTCTTTTTGATGTTATTGTAAATTGAAGTGTTTTCTTGATTTCTTTATTTTTTCCCATTGTTAGTCTATGGAAATGTAAATGATTTTTGTATGCTCCAACTTTGTTGTATTGGTTTATTAGTTGGAATCTTATTTTGTGGAATCTTCAGGGTTTTTAACACATAATATTGTGTTTTCTATGCAGGGAGATAATTTTACTTCTTCCTTTCAAATTTGAATTGTTTTTGTTTGTCTTACCTAATTGCTGTAGCTAGAATTTCCAGTACTATGTTGAATAGAGGTGGATTAACCAGGCGTTCTTATCTTGTTCCTATCTTAAAGGAAGAGCTTTCAGTCTTTCACCATTGAATGTGATGTTAGCTGTGGGCTTTTCACAAATAGTCTTTACCTTGTTGAGGAGGTCTCCTTCTATTTCCAGTTTATTGAGTGTTTTTATCATGAAAGGGTGTTGAGTGTTTTTATCATGAAAGAGTGTTGAATGTTTTTCAAATGCTTTTTTTCTGTATTAATTCAGATGATCATGTGGTTCCATTTCTTCATGCTATTAATGTGGTATATTACATTAATATATTTTTGTATGTTCAACCATCCTTTTATTCTGGGAACAAATCCCACATGGTCACAGTGTATAATCCTTTTAACAAGCTGCTGAAATTGGTTTACTAGTGTTTTTTTTGAGAATTTCTGTATGTTTATCCCTCCAAACCTCATGTTGAAATTTGATCCCCAATTTTGGAGGTGGGACCTAATAGGAGGTGCTTGGGTCATGAAGGCGGATCCCTCATGAACAGATTAATGCTCTTGGTTGGGGTCGGGGTGAGTGAGTTCTCACTCTTGTATTTCTCATGAGAGCTGGTTGTTAAAAGAGGCTGGCACCTTCCTCCCTTCTCTCTTTTTCCCTCTCTTGCCATGTGATCTCTGTATATGCTGGTTCCCCTTGGCCTTCCACCATGAGTGGAAGCAATCTGCAGCCCTCACCAAAACTAGATGCTGGTTCCATGCTTCTTGTATAGCCTGCAGAACTGTGAGCCAAATAAACTTCTTTTCTTTATAAATTACCAAGCCTCAGGTGTTCCCTTATAGCAATACTAAATGGACTAAGACAATTTATAAGAGATATTAGTTTGTAGTTTTCTTTCCTTGTTGTGTCTTTGTCTCTATTTGTATCAGCCTCATAGAATGAGTTAGGAAGTGTTTCTTTCTCTTCAGCTTTATGGAAGAGCTTGAGAAGGACTGATGTTAATTCCAAGAGGGTCAAAACACATGAGTGCCTTGCATCAGTGCTTCAGATATCTCCCAGACAGATGTGAACACACACACATACAATTTGCAAATAAGACATGCCCTATTCCCTCCTTTTAAGTGGGGGTGTAACTGGGAACCAGGGTGCTGCCTGCTTAAGGTAAGACCACTGCCATACTGAAGAGGGGATGGAGCAGGGGTGAAAAGTACCAAAAGACATTTCTATCCTTTCAAAAATGTTTTTTTCTTAATTTGATGTTAGCTTGGTAGCTGTAAATCTTTCACTGTTTTCAAGAGCTCCTACAAATTTAGGGGTTTTTTTGGGTGTTTTTGTGGGAGTATGAGGGCTTAGAGCTTCCTAGTCTGCCATTTTTTACACCTTTTGCTTTTTAACTAAATTTATTTTGTAAGAAAATGATATCACACCTGAAAACGCAGGACCAGAATTATGGATGTTTGTAGAAATAAATTTCTTTAAAATTATGGTTTTTACTTTGCAAATTATACATATATATATATATATATATATATATACACATATATACACTCACAATCCACTTATAAGGTAATTAGTACTTCATGTTTTCTCATTTATTTATTAATCTCAACAAGCTTTCAACGTAAGTGCTACAATTCTTATTTTTAAAATTGGGAAAACTGAGTCTCAGAAAAATTGATGAACTTTCCTGTCATCATATGGCTACTACTCAGATCAAAGATGCAAACCCAGGGCTAGTTGATACTGAAGACCATGGGGCTGCATGGTAGTGGTCCCTGCTGTAATAATGCCTTAGCAACTTTCCCTGAGTTCTTTTCCTTCGGTTAGTGTTACCCTATCTGCTGTTTTGAACATATCTCCTGATGGTTCCATCTAGATCCTAAGTCCAGTAATCTTCTTATGATCCCATGGCACATTGCCTTGTATAACCAACATAGAAACTTGGTTTCTATCTGGCCCTTAGGTTTTTAAGTCCTTTTGAAACATAAAAGCTAACCTCAATGAGAGGGACACCTTCTTGTAGGGATTAAATGATGCCAAGCACAGAAAGTACCCAATATAGTGCCTATCACAGAAAAAGCACTCAGTAAGTATTTACTATATTTTTGTTCTGTTATTAGAGTGGGAGATCATTAAATGGAGCTATCCTCATGACTATACATAGTTCTGTGGTTTGAACAACAAATTTCTGTTCCTCACCTGAGGTGTTTTTGTCCCATTTTCCTGCAATATAATGGAAATCTCAGCTCTCTCGTAATTCAAGTCACACATTCAGGAGAAGATAGCAAAATAAATAAATAAATAAATAAATAAATAAATAAATAAATAAAATAAAATACAATAAAAAGGATGACAGGTGTGCTGACTCCTAGTTTGATCCTCTTTCCTCTTTTGATTGACTCATCAGACAATACCCATTGTTTCTTCTCCATTAATCTTTTCCTTTCCCTAGTCAAGCTAGCAACTTGGAAGTCTCCCTAAATGGACCCCCTTCCTTCACCTCTCTATATATCTCCCAACTCTTCCTTCACCTCTCTATCTAGCTCCCATCTCCTACCTCTCTATCCATTCCAGGTGGTCAGACCAGTGGATTATATTTCCTTATTTCTCACCATGACACCATACTCCATATCTCATTCTTTCTGTAGCCATACTAAATCATGTCAGGTTCCCTGAAACCCACACTGCTCCTTCTCACCTTCACTGCCTCTCCTCTCACTGGGGACACTCACTTATCTGCTTATTCTGGCTTAATTCTGTTCATAGGACTACTAATCCTTTGCAGGTTTTGTTTATATTTGTAATTACTTATTGCTTATCTAATTTGTTACAAGTCATTATTTTCCTATTTTGCAGAAAATGAAGCTCAGAGAGGTTTAGAAATCTTCCTAAGTTAGATTTGTATAATTCAGTGAACTAACCTTTTCCAAATAATCAATCATGAGGTTACAAGATCATGCATGGGTAAAGAATACATTCAAAGTACAAGATAGCCTAATGAATTTAAGGGTATAAAAATTTCATTGATATGGTTTGATTACACATTGTAACTAACTTTTAAGAAACTACCACTTCTCAAGTTTCGATGCAGTATCCAAAAAGAATACCTGCAATTATCAGAAAAGGCTACTAAAATACAATTCTTTTCAACTAAAAAGAATAAGGAAAAGGAACCTCCTAAAGTTCACAGAAGTAAAAAGTGAAAGATTTATGAGTATAACCTAGCCTTTTTGAACTCTTAGACTTCCAATAAGATTATCTTTGCCATGTGGTTATCAGTGATTTGTAAATATAATATGACTTCTGTGAGACGGTTGTACTTGAGATATTTATGAAGAGGAATTAATGGCTAAGCTGGGCACTAAAAGATCAATAAGAAATGGCCATGTGAAGGGGTAACTCGGAAGAGATGAGGCAGCAAGATTCCCTTCTTATCATGGGGATAGGACTCTCCTTGGATCTTGTTCCCCAGCTCCTTGAACAACTAAAGTCCCTAGTAGTGGCAGAGTTTCATAGAGGTGGTAAAATGCCCCACAAATCTCAGTATGGCCTCTATACCTTCCCTCTCTGGGTAGCCTGTCTGCTGTTCTAGGGTAAGCTTCCCACACACCTCATTCCCATCTACCTGTAAACGGAAAGACTTAACTTGTGGTTGTTTTGGCTTGTGGTGTGCCTGAACTCAGGCTGACTGAGAGCATGGTGGTGCCTTTAGCATGTGGAGGAGGGGAAAATTCCTTTGGGAACTGTAAGCCTTGTCTAAGAAGTCCCAGTGGTTTTACAGCCAATGGAACCTACCTGAGCTTTCACTAAGATTTCTCTGGATTTGCTGAGTGTCTATGTGACACAAGATGGGAGTGTCATGTAACACAACTGATAATTGTAATATTTTTCATTTATTGAATATCTACACAGTGCCAGTACTTTACATATATTTCCTTATTTAAGCCTCACAACTTCCTGGTGAGGTATGTCTTATTTCTTCCTCATTACAGAGATGGAGAATATGAGGGTCAGAATTGTTAAGGGAGGTCAATATCTCACAGAGTGTTTGTTGAATTTGGCATTTCAAAGTCAGGCACTGGAGTCAAGCTACATGCTAGGATCTCTGTGATCATGAGCAAGTCACTTAATCTCTGATCCTCATATTCTTCACCTATATAATGAGGATAATTGTACATCATAAAATTGTTGTAAGGATTACGTATGGGATTGCACATAAATTGCTTTCAAGAGTATTGGGCACATATTGAGCACTGTATAAAATTTAGCTCTCAAGATTCTTAGTGTCATTATTGTTAATAACTCAGTTATTTCTCACAGAATTAGCTACCAGTTAATACTCTCATAGGCTATCAGACACCACGTTTTCCCTGTTGTCAGACTGTCACATCCTCAGGTCAACATCCAATTTGCACTAAATACACTGGTCTTTTGTATGCGCTGTCTGGATGGCATGGACAGTACTTGATTATTTTTCATCCTACATTCTGAGTAGTGCACTATAGTACTAGCAGTAAACATTTATGGAGAGACTAGTATACCAACACTAATGTCTAATGATAACCCTTTGAGGTAGGTTTTGTTTTCCTCATCTGATTCAAACCGGTTTAGAAGCATAGATTATCTCACTGATCACAAAACCAAAAAGATATAGCACAGGATATATCTGACTCCAAAGCCTTTCTGCTCAAACTGCCTTCAGTTTCAGTAATGTACAGTGTCATTCAGGCTGACTTCCCAGCTGAACTATAGGCTCAGTGGAGGCAGTGTCTGCAAGCATGACTCATGTACTCATTCAAGTCCTCAGATAAGTGGAAGCTAAGACAAGATTAAATGGGCAAGAATCTGTTTTTGCCTTACCCAGCTTCTTTTATATTTTTTCTTACAGGCATTTCCCTAATCAATTTCTTCTGCACTTGATTGATTAATTTGTATTCAAAAATGATCATGAAAACAGTTTGGAAATTTCTTACAAAACTAAATATGCAATTATCATACAACCCAGCAGTTGAACACTTAGGCATTCATCCCAAAGAAATGAAACCTTCATGTTCACATAAAAGCCTGTAGACAGATGTTCATCACAGGTATGACTCCATTTATATAATATTCCTAGGGTTAAGGACAAAGGTGTTGTGAAAGGAAGTGGGTATTGTTTTAAAAGGGCAACACAGGCCGGGCACGGTGGCTCACACCTGTAATCCCAGCACCTTGGGAGGCCGAGGTGGGTGAATCATGAGGTCAAGAGATCGAGACCATCCTGGCCAACATAGTGAAACCCTGTCTCTACTAAAAATACAAACATTAGCCAGGCGTGGTGGTGCGCGCCTGTGGTCCCAGCTACTTGGGAGGCTGAGGCAGGAGAATCACTTGAACCTGGGAGGCGGAGGTGCAGTGAGCCGCTCGGCTCATCTTGCAGTGAGCTGAGATCGTGCCACTGCACTCCAGCCTGGTGACAGAGCGAGACTCCATCTCAATAAATAAATAAATAAATAATAAATAAAGGGCAACACAAAGGATCCTTGTGCTGATGGAACTGTTCTATATCTTGACTGTGGTGGGTACATGAACCTACACGTGATAAAATTTCATGGAACTAAACACACACACACACACACACACACATAAGAATGTAAGTAAACCTGTAATAAAATAAGTGCAGTATATCAATGTCAATATACTGGTTGTGATATTATACCATAGTTCTTCACGTTGATACCATTGTGAAGAAACTGGATAAAAGGTACACTGGATTTCTCTGGATTATTCTTACAACTGAATGTGTATCTACAATGATTTCAAAATAAAATGTTTAAAAAAATTGATTTTATATGACATGACTGAATTTGTAATGAGATTTTGTGACCATAAGATTCCTTAACAGAGCCTCTCCCTGACACAGGGTGAGAAATGGGAGAAAACTAATAGCCTTGGTAATTGTTAAGCTATTTCATACTTCTGAACAAACTAGATATAGGAAATCTGTCTGTTGTAAGAGGAAAAGCACAGTATTTAAAAATAGATCTCTGTTCTTGGGCAACTTGGATTGTCCCTGCCACTTACTAGTTATGCAGCGTTAGGATAGTTGTTTTCAGCTCTCTATGCCTCTATGAAACATTGACAACTCAGCATTATACATTTTAAGATTCATGGATTAATGTGTGCAATTGTCTTAGAATTGTTCATGACACATGGAAAGTACTCAATCTACATTAATCTGTTTTTGTAGGTCAGCATGTCTCAATAACTCTTTCATTTTCAAAACACTCAGTATGGCAACAGCATCTCTAGTACAACTACAATGTATCCTCCAAATGCCCATCACTTCAATCTCCCCAAATATTTGAGTTGTGACTATACCATGACTTCTGGTGAAAGTATATAATATTCCGGCCTTTACACATTTTGAAGTGAGAGAAAAATCAGCAGGAGGGGGGGAGCCAAGATGGCCGAATAGGAACAGCTCCAGTCTACAGCTCCCAGTGTGAGCGACGCAGAGGATGGGTGATTTCTGCATTTCCATCTGAGGCACCGGGTTCATCTCACTAGGGAGTGCCAGACAGTGGGCGCAGGTCAGTGGGTGCAGCGCACCATGTGCGAGCCGAAGCAGGGCGAGGCATTGCCTCACTCAGGAAGCGCAAGGGGTCAGGGAGTTCCCTTTCCTAGTCAAAGAAAGGGGTGACAGACGGCACCTGGAAAATCAGGTCACTCCCACCCCAATACTGCGCTTTTCCGACGGGCTTAAAAAACGGCGCACCAGGAGATTATATCCCACACCTGGCTCGGAGGGTCCTACGCCCACAGAGTCTCGCTGATTGCTAGCACAGCAGTCTGAGATCAAACTGCAAGGCGGCAGCGAGGCTGGGGAAGGGGCGCCCGCCATTGCCCAGGCTTGCTTAGGTAAACAGGGCGGCCAGGAAACTCCAACTGGGTGGAGCCCACCAGAGCTCAAGGAGGCCTGCCTGCCTCTGTAGGCTCCACTTCTGGGGGCAGGGCACAGACAAACAAAAAGACAGCAGTAACCTCTGCAGACTTAAATGTCCCTGTCTGACAGCTTTGAAGAGAGCAGTGGTTCTCCCAGCACGCAGCTGGAGATCTGAGAATGCGCAGACTGCCTCCTCAAGTGTGTCCCTGACCCCTGACCCCTGAGCAGCCTAACTGGGAGCCACCCCCAGTAGGGGCAGACTGACACCTCACACGGCCGGGTACTCCTCTGAGACAAAACTTCCAGAGGAACGATCAGACAGCAGCATTCGCGGTTCAGGAAAATCCGCTGTTCTGCAGCCACTGAAGCTGGTACCCAGGCAACCAGGGTCTGGAGTGGACCTCTAGCAAACTCCAACAGACCTGCAGCTGAGGGTCCTGTCTGTTAGAAGGAAAACTAACAAACAGAAAGGACATCCACACCAAAAACCCATCTGTACATCACTATCATCAAAGACCAAAGTAGATAAAACCACAAAGATGGGGAAAAAACAGAGCAGAAAAACTGGAAACTGTAAAAAGCAGAGCGCCTCTTCTCCTCCAAAGGAACGCAGTTCCTCACCAGCATCGGAAGAAAGCTAGACGGAGAATGACTTTGACGAGTTGAGAGAAGAAGGCTTCAGACGATCAAACTACTCCGAGCTATAGGAGGACATTCAAACCAAAGGCAAAGAAGTTGAAAACTTTGAAAAAAATTTAGACGAATGTATAACTAGAATAACCAATACAGAGAAGTGCTTAAAGGAGCTGATGGAGCTGAAAGCCAAGGCTTGAGAACTACGTGAAGAATGCAGAAGCCTCAGGAGCTGATGCGATCAACTGGAAGAAAGGGTATCAGCGATGGAAGATGAAATGAATGAAATGAAGCGAGAAGGGAAGTTTAGAGAAAAAAGAATAAAAAGAAACGAACAAAGCCTCCAAGAAATATGGGACTATGTGAAAAGACCAAATCTATGTCTGACTGGTGTACCTGAAAGTGATGGGGAGAATGGAACCAAGTTGGAAAACACTCTGCAGGATATTATCCAGGAGAACTTCCCCAATCTAGCAAGGCAGGCCAACATTCAGATTCAGGAAATACAGAGAATGCCACAAAGATACTCCTCGAGAAGAGCAACTCCAAGACACATAATTGTCAGATTCACCAAAGTTGAAATGAAGGAAAAAATATTAAGGTAAGCCAGAGAGAAAGGTCGGGTTACCCACAAAGGGAAGCCCATCAGACTAACAGCGGATCTCTTGGCAGAAACTCTACAAGCCAGAAGAGAGTGGGGGCCAATATTCAACATTCTTAAAGAAAAGAATTTTCAACCCAGAATTTCATATCCAGCCAAAGTAAGCTTCATAAGTGAAGGAGAAATAAAATACTTTACAGACAAGCAAATGCTGAGAGATTTTGTCACCACCAGGCCTGCCTTACAAGAGCTCCTGAAGGAAGCACTAAACATGGAAAGGAACAACTGGTACCAGCCACTGCAAAATCATGCCAAATTGTAAAGACCATCGAGGCTAGGAAGAAACTGCATCAACTAACGAGCAAAATAACCAGCTAACATCATAATGACAGGATCAAATTCACACATAACAATATTAACTTTAAATGTAAATGGACTAAATGCTCCAATTAAAAGACAGACTGGCAAATTGGATAAAGAGTCAAGACCCATCAGTGTGTTATATTCAGGAAACCCATCTCACGTGCAGAGACACACAGAGGCTCAAAATAAAAGGATGGAGGAAGATCTACCAAGCAAATGGAAAACAAAAAAAGGCAGGGGTTGCAATCCTAGTCTCTGATAAAACAGACTTTCAACCAGCAAAGATCAAAAGAGACAAAGAAGGCCATTACATAATGGTAAAGGGATCAATTCAACAAGAAGAGCTAACTATCCTAAATATATATGCACCCAATACAGGAGCACCCAGATTCATAAAGCAAGTCCTGAGTGACCTACAAAGAGACTTAGACTCCCACACATTAATAATAGGAGACTTTAACACCCCACTGTCAACATTAGACAGATCAACGAGACAGAAAGTCAACAATACCCAGGACTTGAACTCAGCTGTGCACCAAGTGGACCTAATAGACATCTACAGAACTCTCCCCCAAATCAACAGAATATACATTTTTTTCAGCACCACACCACACCTATTCCAAAATTGACCACATAGTTGGAAGTAAAGCTCTCCTCAGCAAATGTAAAAGATCAGAAATTATAACAAACTGTCTCTCAGACCACAGTGCAATCAAACTAGAACTCAGGATTAAGAAACTCACTCAAAATCGCTCAACTATGTGGAAACTGAACAACCTGCTCCTGAATGACTACTGGGCACATAACGAAATGAAGGCAGAAATAAAGATGTTCTTTGAAACCAAAGAGAACAAAGACACAACATACCAGAATCTCTGGGACACATTCAAAGCAGTGTGTAGAGGGAAATTTATAGCAGTAAATGCCCACAAGAGAAAGCAGGAAAGATCCAAAATTGACACCCTAACATCACAATTAAAAGAACTAGAAAAGCAAGAGCAAACACATTCAAAAGCTAGCAGAAGGCAAGAAATAACTAAAATCAGAGCAGAACTGAAGGAAATGGAGACACAAAAAACCCTTCAAAAAATTAATGAATACTGGAGCTGGTTTTTTGAAAGGATCAACAAAATTGATAGACTGCTAGCAAGACTAATAAAGAAGAAAAGAGGGAAGAATCAAATAGATGCAATAAAAAATGATAAAGGGGATATCACCACTGATCCCACAGAAATACACACTACCATCAGAGAATACTACAAACACCTCTATGCAAATAAACTAGAAAATCTAGAAGAAATGGATAAATTCCTCGACACATACACCCTCCCAAGACTAAACCAGGAAGAAGTTGAATTTCTGAATAGACCAATAACAGGCTCTTAAATTGTGGCAATAATCAATAGCTTACCAACCAAAAAGAGTCCAGGACCAGATGGATTCACAGCCGAATTGTACCAGAGGTACAAGGAGGAACTGGTACCATTCCTTCTGAAACTATTCCAATCAATAGAAAAAGAGGGAATCCTCCCTAACTCATTTTATGAGGCCAGCATCATCCTGATACCAAAGCCGGGCAGAGACACCACCAAAAAAGAGAATTTTAGACCAATAGCCTCAATGAACATTGATGCAAAAATCCTCAATATAATACTGGCAAACTGAATCCAGCAGCACATCAAAAAGCTTATCCACCATGATCAAGTGGGCTTCATCCCTGGGATGCAAGGCTGGTTCAATATACACAAAACAATAAATGTAATCCAGCATATAAACAGAACCAAAGACAAAAACCACATGATTATCTCAATAGATGCAGAAAAGGCCTTTGACAAAATTCAACAACTCTTCATGCTAAAAACTCTCAATAAATTAGGTATTGATGGGACGTATCTCAAAATAATAAGAGCTATCTATGACAAACCCACAGCCAATATCATACTGAATGGGCAAAAACTGGAAGCATTCCCTTTGAAAACTGGCACAAGACAGGGATGCCCTCTCTCACCACTCCTATTCAACATAGTGTTGGAAGTTCTGGCCAGGGCAATCAGGCAGGAGAAGGAAATAAAGGGTATTCAATTAGGAAAAGAGGAAGTCAAATTGTGCCTTTTTGCAGATGACATGATTGTATATCTAGAAAACCCCATCGTCTCAGCCCAAAATCTCCTTAAGCTGATAAGCAACTTCAGCAAAGTCTCAGGATACAAAATCAATATACAAAAATCACAAGCATTCTTATACACCAATAACAGACAAACAGAGAGCCAAATCATGAGGGAACTCCCATTCACAATTGCTTCAAAGGGAATAAAATACCTAGGAATCCAACTTACAAGGGATGTGAAGGACTTCTTCAAGGAGAACTACAAATCACTGCTCAATGAAATAAAAGAGGATACAAACAAATGGAAGAACATTCCATGCTCATGGGTAGGAAGAATCAATATCATGAAAATGGCCATACTGCCCAAGGTAATTTATAGATTCAATGCCATCCCCATCAAGCTACCAATGACTTTCTTCACAGAATTGGAAAAAACTACTTTAAAGTTCATATGGAACCAAAAAAGAGCCCGCATCGCCAAGTCAATCCTAAGCCAAAAGAACAAAGCTAGAGGCATCACGCTACCTGACTTCAAACTATACTACAAGGCTACAGTAAGCAAAACAGCATGGTACTGGTACCAAAACAGAGATATAGATCAATGGAACAGAACAGAGCCCTCAGAAAGAACGCCACATATCTACAACTATCTGATCTTTGACAAACCTGAGAAAAACAAGCAATGGGGAAAGGATTCCCTATTTAATAAATGGTGCTGGGAAAACTGGCTAGCCATATGTAGAAAGCTGAAACTGGATCCCTTCCTTACACCTTATACAAAAATCAATTCAAGATGGATTAAAGACTTAAACGTTAGACCTAAAACCATAAGAACCCTAGAAGAAAACCTAGGCATTACCATTCAGGACATAGGCATGCACAAGGACTTCATGTCTAAAACACCAAAAGCAATGGCAACAAAAGCCAAAATTGACAAATGGGATCTAATTAAACTAAAGAGCTTCTTCGCAGCAAAAGAAACTACCATCAGAGTGAACAGGCAACCTACAAAATGGGAGAAAATTTTCACAGCCTACTCATCTGACAAACGGCTAATATCCAGAATCTACAATGAACTCAAACAAATTTACAAGAAAAAAACAAACAACCCCATCAAAAAGTGGGCAAAGGACATGAACAGACACTTCTCAAAAGAAGACATTTATGCAGCCAAAAAACATATGAAAAAATGCTCACCATCACTGGCCATCAGAGAAATGCAAATCAAAACCACAATGAGATACCATCTCACACCAGTTAGAATGGCAATCATTAAAAAGTCAGGAAACAACAGGTGCTGGAGAGGATGTGGAGAAATAGGAACACTTTTACACTGTTGGTGCGACTGTAAACTAGTTCAACCTTTGTGGAAGTCAGTGTGGCGATTCCTCAGGGATCTAGAACTAGAAATACCATTTGACCCAGCCATCCCATTGCTGGGTATATACCCAAAGGACTATAAATCATGCTGCTATAAAGACACATGCACACGTATGTTTATTGCGGCACTATTCACAATAGCAAAGACCTGGAACCAACCCAAATGTCCAACAATGATAGACTGGATTAAGAAAATGTGGCACATATACACCATGGAATACTATGCAGCCATAAAAAATGATGAGTTCATGTCCTTTGTAGGGACATGGATGAAATTGGAAATCATCATTCTCAGTAAACTTTTGCAAGAACAAAAAACCAAACACCTATATTCTCACTCATAGGTGGGAATTGAACAATGAGAACACATGGACACAGGAAGGGCAACATCACACTCTGGGGACTGTTGTGGGGTGGGGGGATGGGGGAGGGATAGCTTTAGGAGATATACCTAATGCTAAATGACGAGTTAATGGGTGCAACACACCAGCATGGCACATGTATACATATGTAACTAACCTGCATATTGTGCACATGTACCCGAAAACTTAAAGTATAATAATAATAAAAAAAATCAGCAGGAAATAAGCCATTTCCATTCAGACACACATGGTGGAAAAAGTGAGGCAACTAGGAGAACTTGGATATAAGAAAAATAATATTGTAATCAAAGGAATAACTACAAAATCAGAGCAGATGTATGAAAATCACATTTAAAGATAAGATGGGCTCCTGGATGAAAACAAGAAATAGACTTGACTAAAGATATTACCATAGGTACTTCTCAAACTTTTATGTACATATACATCTCATGGAAGTCTTTGTTAAAATATAGATTTTAATTCAAGTAAGAATATGGTAGGGCCTGAGGTTTTACATTTTTAAGAAGTTCCTAAATGATACCTATGCTGCTGGTTCATGAACCAAACTTTGATTAGCAAGAAGGACCAAAATGGCTTGAGGATCTTCAGTCATATTTAGGGTTAAGACTATATATTATATTTAACTAAAGTGATCAAGAGATATAAAAATGGTAAAATAACTAGCCTATGATTTTGTCTTTCTAAATGTTAGTACTTCTGTATAAAATATGTTAATAATATTTCTCGTTGATCAAGTGGGGATTTGTTTTCTAAATGAAGAAATCTGCCTTTGAAATTCTGTAATGTGTGTAAATCAGTTGGAAGTTAATTGAATTGAAATCAAGGAAAAGTCACGGACAGTAATTGTTTGTGATGAATCCTCCCAAAAGATAATAATTGAGCTACAAAATTATAAACATTCATGTCCATTGATAAAATTAGAAGACATTCTGTCTCTGGAATGTGTATGTGAGTTTGTGTGAGTGCCTGGGGCCAGTTTATATATATGACTAGATATGTTTTTATAAGTGTTCTGTATTTCCTATTTTGGTATATGGTGGAACCATAAATTTTCAATATAATATTCCAAGACCATTGGTTCCTTGGCTTACAAGTTTAGGCAAAATTTAACTAAATTGTTATAAATTGGATTATACGAAGAGCCACCAGATTCATTTTTGGACCTCTGCTCAAATTCCATTTGGGATTCAAAAATCCTTTTTATAGAAGAAAAAAAAGTATAGTAAACCTCCTTGGCTAGAGCCACCCAGTGTGGTAGCAAGAGAGAAATAATCAATAAGAGGAAGGTAGAATAAAAAAATTGTTCATTAGTAGTTTTTGCAATAAGGCTTATGTTCAGAGCAGGTAATAAGGAAAAAAAAGAGAAAATGGTTTAGGTTGTTTCAAACATTTTTGACTCTCAGATATCACTTCTGGGAAAAGAAATGAGGATGACCAAAAAGACAGAAAACAAACAGCCCGGAGTGGCAAGGTGACCCCTTGCTAAAGTCCCAGATGATAGGATGTTAAGAATAAAATTGTTTAAATTTAAGGAATATATTTTTACTGGTGTTATTGTAAAATAAGACAGTGCATATAAAGGATGCGGTCTATAGGGCATAAATTCGTGTAATTTAATATAATTCTACATAATCACTATGTGAATAGTTCTAAGAGGTCATCAGTACTTCATTTCTTAGTGGCCAATTAATTAAATTTATACTTAGATTTGAGAATAGCTAAAACAAGAAAGCAGTTTACTTATGAGAAAACTGAAGAGTAGAGATGTTAAGTAAGAAGTAAATATCTCCCATCAAAGAAAAGCCCAAGACTTGATGCCTTCACTGGTGAATTCTACCAGACATTTAAAGAAGAACTAATACCAATTCTACTCAAACTCTTTGAAAAAACCGAAGAGAAGGGAGTACTCTTAAACTCATTCTATAAGGTCAGCATTACCCTGATACCAAAACCAAAAATCAAATAATTTGATTTCAAAATGGGCAAAAGATCTGGATAGACATTTCTTAAAAGAAGACATACAAATGGCCAACAGGTATATGAAAAATTGCTCAACATCACTAATCCTCAGTGAAATGCAAATCATAACCACAATGAGATATCATCTCACCTCAGTTAAAATGCCCTTTTTCTGAAAGACAGGCAATAATGGATGCTGGTGAGGATGTGGAGAAAGAGGAACCCTCATAGACTGTTGATGGGGATGTAAATTAGTATAGCCACTATGGAAAACAGTATGGAGGTTCCTCAGAAAACGTAAAATAGAGCTATCATATGATCCAACAATTCCACTACTGGTTATATCTCCAAAGGAAATGAAATTAGTATGTCAAAGAGGTATCTGCACTCCCATGTTTATTGCAGCACTATTCACAATAGCCAAAATACAGAATCAACCTAAGTGCCCATCAGTGGATGAATGGTTAAAGAAAATGTGGTATATATACAAAATGGAATATTATTCAGCCATAGACAGAATGAAATCTTATCATTTGCAGCACCATGGGTGGAACTGGAGGTCATTATGTTAAGTGAAATAAGCATAGAAGGACTAGTATTATATGTTCTTATTCATATGTGGAAGTTAAAAGGTGGATTTCACGAAGATGGAGAGCAAATTGGTGGTTACCAGTGGCCAGGAAGGGTAGAAAGGAATGGGGGATAAAGAGAGATGATTAATGGGTACAAATATACAGTGATTGACAGAAGAAATAAAGCCTAGTGTTCGACAGATCAGTAGGGTGACTATAGTCAATAATCTAGTATACATTTCAAAATTGCTAGAAGAAAATAATTTGAACAATCCTAGCATAAAGAAAAGGTGAATATTTAAGGTGATGGATATCTCAATTACCCTGATTTAATCTTTATACATAATATGAATGTATCAAAATATCACATGTACCCTAAAATTGTACATCTTTATGTATCCATTGAAAAAGAAGTTAATAGTGATTAGAGAAAAATGTTAACTTATAAGCTGTTCAAACTGCTTGGTAATATTATGAACCACATTTTTAACAATTCTGTTGAGTTGCAATTTACATATAATAAATGATACACATTTTGAGTATACAATTTGATGAATTTTGATATATGAAGCCATCACCATCATCAAGATAATAAACATATCCATCATACCCAATATGTTCTTCATGCCCTTTTATAGTCTTTTCCTCCCACCTTCCCTGCCCCTTCATTTGCAGGTAACAATTAATATGCTTTATGACACTATAGTTTGCATTTTCTAAAATTTTATGTAAATAGAATCATATAGTATGTACTCTGTCTTGTTTCTTTCACTCAGCAGAATCATTTTGAGATTCTTTTATGTTTTTGCATGTATCAGTAGTTCAATACATTTAATTACTGAGTAGTATTTCATTTTAAGAATATACGAGTTTGTTTATCCATTTGCCATTGATAAACATTTGGATTGCTTTTAACTTTTGGCTATTTCAAATAAAGCTGCTATTAGAATAATCATGAACAAATCTTTGCATGGGCAGATGCTTTTATATTTCTGGATAATCACCTATGTAAATAATTTTTACAAAATGACCAAATTATTTTCCAAAGTGGTTGTATAATTCTACATTCCCACTAGCAGTATATGAGAGTTCCAATTATCCCATATCCTTGTCACACTTAGTATGGCCACTTGTTAATTTTAGTCATCCTAGTGGGTGTGTAGCGCTATCTCATTGTGATTTTAATTAGAATTTCCCTAATGACTTAAAGATGTTGAATCATCTTTTCTTGTGGTCATCTGTTGTCTCTATATCTTACCTGGCAAAGTGTTTGATGAACTACTTTTCAAAGTAAAACTGCATGATATGTCCCTGCAGAGCATATAATATTGAGTATATAATATTCTGTCAAGTACAGTTTTTTATTTTGACACAATTAAGGCCTCAATAAATGAGTAATTCCTATTTATTATGGAAAATCATATTATTATATTGAATCCAGTATCTGCAGAATGACTCCATATCACTCAATCTTGTGTGGGTAGTAATGGAAACATTTCTGTCACTGATTCATGATCTATTTAAACCAGGATTTCTCAATTTGGGTACTATAGACGTTTTGGGCCAGATAATTCTTTATTGTGGGATTTAGCAGCACCCCTGGCTCCTCTACCTACTAGATACTAGTAGGAAAATCCCAGTTGTGACAATCAAAAATATTTCCAGCTGTTACCAAATGTCCCTGAAGGGGGAGGGCAAAATTTTCCCTGATTGGGAATCACTAATTTAAACAAACCACTCTGAATTTTCCAGCAACGGCTATTCTCTTTGTTAGAAATATCTTCTGCTGCATCTCTAGTTAAGCCTTTCTCATATTACAAAATTTAGGGACATATATCTTCCTTTAGGCTGTCTTTACTGATCCACCAGACAAGGGAAAATACCCACTTTCTGTGATTCTTCATCCCAGTATCTATCTCTGTATAACATTGATCAAACTGTGTTGTCATTGTGTACCTGTCTTTTTCTCTCTCTATTCCTGTGAGCTTTTTGTCTGTTTTATCACTGTTCCTGTAACACCTGGTGCAGCAAGTGTTGAAGGAAGGAGTTAAGATACTTTCCATTTGTGTCCTTTGCTGACATGTGAACTACAGCTGGAAAGAATACACCATTTGCATTACTTTACATGGTGAATTGAGGCTCTAATACAGTTTCAAATGACTCATGATCTTGGACAGAAAATATAAAAAGGAAAATTAAGTCATAAAAACAACTCTACCTTTACTACTATAGTAAATACAATTATGTTGATTATAAATAGAATTGCAATAGTGAAATTACTGTAATCTGTGTGACCAGATTTGAAGTTTCCCTTGACTTGGAAGCTTCCATTAATGGGAAATAGCATTATGCCATATCTTCAAAATATATAGCCCATAGTTATACTACAAATTAGCTGTAGTCCAGAGAGAAGCTAAAATCACAGTTGTCAGAAAAAAATCCTTGGGGTTTATGGATTTGGTACTGTTGATGGCTGTTGTGAGACCTTGGTTCTTGTCTTCTTAGTTTAAAATAATTTAAACAAGAGACACACAGAAGAGGAGACACAAGATAGAGAAATTTATTGCAAAGGAAAAATAATATTTTGAAAGTTAAGTGCAGAATAGAGAGTACACCCTGAGACAGAGAGAATTCAGGGTGGGCTGCTCATAAGGATGAGACAGTGCTGATTACTACTGGGGAAACTCCCTTTCTGGGAGTCTTACATGATTATTCATAAGGAAGTGGGAAGACATGTTACTAGTAAGCATGTTCTGGGTGGTCCTCTGAATGTATATGCACAGTAGCTGTACATGCTTGTTCATAGGTCACATGTCTCATTAGCATCTTAAATCTCCACCCAGGGGTGTATTTATTTACTATTATAATGAACAAAGGGTCAGTTTGAGGACAGGCAAAATCAAAATGCACATCCTCTCTAGACGGGAAAGTCCCTACTGGAGATAGCTTTGCTTGAATGAACTTAACTACAATGCGAATGCTGGGGCTTATTGTGTTGACTGTATGGTCGCCATGGTTGCTGCATCCCGAGGACATGGTCACTTCCTTGACCACCTATCCTGCCTCAATTCCCCACCTAAGAGATTTTAGGGCCCATAATCATATGGGAGGTTGAGGGGCTAGGTAATTTTTTCTGAAACTGCTTCCTGCTCAGTGCAACATTGTCCCTGCCTAGCTGGGCCCTAAAGTCTCTTCTTGCCTGATCTAATGGAGTGTAAGCCATGTCATTCATGGGACCAGTGGACAAGAAATGAGATAGCTCATTAGCAGCTAAAGGTTGGAAGCTTTGCAAAACCATCATGTGGTCCTGGAATTGCTGTAAGCTAGAGAGCAAGAAATCAGTTAGAATTTTAAACAAAGTTAGCCCAAAAGTTAAGGCTAAAAGTATGGTAATAATTGCCACTTATATTAAGGGAAGCAGGGCAGATAATAGCCATTGCTTCTAAGTTTCCACAGAAGTTCCTAAAGATTCAATTTTGTCTGCCTGGAAAATAATATTTTTAATATTTTCTTGGACCAGACCAGACAGGTTGATATAAAAATGGCATTTTTCTCTTAGATACAAAAATATTCTTCCTTATTTAGCTGTGAGGAGATCTAAGGCTCTTTGATTCTGTAGGACTATAGCACCAGGGAGTCTAGCTGTTGTTGAAGCCTAGTTAGGTCCTTTGCTGTTTGTTGGAGGGCCGCTGCAGTCTCCTGAGACAGTTTATGCTGGCTTCCCAAGGCTCCAACTCCCATAGCTGACCCTGCTAATCCCAACAGAGAGGATAGGACTAAACCTAAGGGAATAAGGGGTTCTGCTTGAAACATATATTGAAATCCAGGAGGCCATGGGTGTCCCTAAGAGCAAAGCTGGACCATGGTGGGGTCCAGGGAGTCCCCTTGAATCCCCATAAAACTGAAGCCCTAGGAGGTAATGAGCATTTGCCATGCACCATCCTAAGTCTCACCGACACTGGACATCTCCAGGCACGACCAAGATGGCCCCTGCTGCCAGCTGGGGAGCTGGAATGTCTCCCCAACAAGCCTTTCTGTACCTCACTGGTTTGCCAGTTATAATACCTGGAATTCACCGGTGAAATCCCCGCAACTGGGCGTCCACATGACTGAGCATCTTTTGTTCAGCAAAGAAAGTCTATTGAAGGACAATCTGAAGGAGTCTGAAAATGCATAAAGCCTGGAGGAATGGGGTACTGTTAATGTGCTCCTGAAAATGGAGAAAATTTTGTAAACAGAAAACTCGATCAGCAAATAAACGTCCACTAGGTGGCAGTCTCAAGTACTGCTGGAGGGACAACAAACGAGCTGAGTTTGAAATGTGGCCTGAAAGATGTAAAACTAAGCAGCAAAATAACGCAAATATTGAATGTTGACAGCAACCCATGTGGTTAGTATAATTATGACTAGTACAGAAGCAACATTCAAAAGGAGAGCAGCACATATATTCATATAAGCAATACAGACAACTTAAAAACTTTTCTCACATATATTCATATAAGCAATACAGACAACTTAAAAACTTTTCTCCCAGAACTTCACTGAAACAATGCTGGAAAAAGCAGTGATGGTGATGCGGGAGTAGGGCAAGGAACTGCTGGATAGAGAAGGGCGGAGTCCCTGGTGAGGGCTCCACCCTCAGGCCTGTGCCCACGGACCTAAATGAGGGTACCTGAATTTAATCAGACACAGGAAAAGTGTGTCCAGGATTATGGGTGTACACTATATTAAAGAGGGATGGAAACAAGAAAACTAGTACCTTGAGCAGAGGGGAATACATGGTTTTTAGTAACAGCATGGGAAATTTCCTGATTACATGGAACAATTCAGAAACATCAACAGAAGTCAAAAGTACAGAATCAAGTTGTACTGAAGGAAACATTGTCTTTCTAGACTTTCAAGATAAACATTTTAGCATCAGGCCATAACATCCGTGTTAGAACTGGAGAAAAAATTACAGGAGGTGATGAAAAGGTTGAAGGAGAGGATTATTACCCCAGCCAAGCAAAACGATATAGCTTTTCAAGGGTAAAAAGGACAGCTGCATTTCTAACCTGAAACTAGGAAAATTAGGTAGATCTAAGAAAGAAATGTGGCATAAATAAAAACTGTTTATAATTTGAAGGATGGCTGTTAAGGGAAGAGATTTTGGAATTAAAAATAAAAACATCCTGCAACTTTACTAAGAGCAAATCAATATTTTAAGAAAATCTTGTTCTAACACAGGGGATTAGATTTTAAAATTCTGCATCAGTGCATTTCTAAACATCAAAGCTCAATCCTTAGAAAGACCAATAAAAATTTTCCTTTCAATCATAGCCAACCTGATCACACAGAAAATTCCTTTTATAAACTTTCTTTTCATAAGCCTATTATAATGTGCTTAGACAATTTATAACATGTTTAGATTTTCTGCTTTCTCCTATACTTCCTCTTTCTTAAATAATCAGTCACTTTAGGACAAAAATTTACCACAAGAGATTATTTCTTATACAAAATTATTCTCTTTTCTCTTCAATCTATCTTACCAAAATATACATCCTACTCTCCTCATATACTTGCATACAGACTGTATTTCTCGTCTGTTTAATCACACACATTAATTAAAATGTTAACTCTTAGTAACCCTAATCTTCAGTGAAAACCTGGGACTTAAGCAATTTTTAACTGCCAATCATGTACCAACAATCCATGAATACACATTTTACAATTTCCAGAAACATAGGCTAACAGAATATCCTTTTAATATGGAACAGGACATATTTACCAACAGACTCAAATGACTTTTGTTTCTTTCAAATAAGAAGCCAAAAGCATATGAGCCTGAACTCGTATTCAGTAACCAATGTCTCAGAATTACATCTTATCTGGAAATGATCTAATTCAATTGAATGAACGTCCTCCCAAGTAAACATATTATGAAACATAACCATTTTCAAAAGTTCATTTACAAACTTTTATCCCATTTACATCCATTCAATTCATTCACTCTTAACAATTACATCTAGAAGACTTCATGAGACACTAGAAAAATCTAGCCACTAGCGTAAACAAAATTTTCTGTCAACAATTTTACATTACTGTATGCCAGATAAGTATAAAAGAACCCTAAATTTAAATATATACGTATTTTTCTAATGACTCAGAAGACATAGCCATTGCCACCAAACCAACAATATTAGACCAGTCCCATCCACCAAAAGATGGCTGTCACATGAACTTGAAAAGCATTTGCGTTTATTTGCTTAATTTACGAGTATTCATTTATTTATAAGCCAATTTGGTTCTGTAGACAATATACAGATATATACATATACACACACACACAAAGAAAATACAGACAGACAAAAAAGATCTTGTAGCTTTAATCCTAAGCCTGTAGCTATGAGTCAGGTAAAACTCATAGTTTAAAGAACAGTTAGATTCAAACTATTTCTCTGTAAATGGAATAAACTGACATTTGTCTGTCCCACATGGCTGATGCCTTTACCGAATTTTAGAGAACAGGGCAACAAATTTACATTTCAAAGCACAGAAAATTTAGGCTTTTTCAAGTAGTTTGGGTGTTTTAGAGGAAGACTGAAATGGATACCAAGGTAACATAAAATCATGGGAATTTATCACAGAATTTTACAAGAAAACATACAGATGAGTCTAGAGAAAATGTAATCCCTTCAAAATCAAAGAGTAGAAGAGGAAGGAGGGAGTGAAAGATAAAGCAGAGGTGGGAAAAAAGGTGCAGAAGACAGGCCGAGTGGCAGGCAAGGGGAAGCTAGTGGAAGAAGGTTCTTCCAGAGCGGGCTTCTTTTTTCCAGCTTTAGTTTCAATCTGACAAGCACTTCTCTCTGTTTCATTAAGGCACTCACTCAATTGGGAATTATTTTCCCTAAGAGGCAATGGTAGCCCCTTGATTCCATTTAGAACTTTCAAAGTACCAGTTGAAAAAAAGGTTTCCCATTGTCTCTGGAATGTTCCATGTTTTCTTTCTTCTAATTGTGCCTGCACATAGTCAGGTTTTGGAATTTCAAAGAAGCCCCATTTGGCCAATAAAGTTAAAGATTGTCCTGCATAATTTTTGTCCAGAGACCTAGCCAATTACAGTTCCCTGGACCATAATTTTTGCTCGTAAATCAAGCTGGAGTGCCAGAAGGCAGCTGATCAAGGAAAAACTTAAAATATGGGTTACCCATTGCACTGACATGACGAATGCCTCCCTGTCATTGCCTGTAGCATGAGCATCCCCAGAAAACCTTATAGACCAGCTGAGTTGGGCTGGGAAGGACCCCCTATTGAGGCGGGAAATTAAAGAAAAAGAAAATTAAAAAGAAAGAGAAATAAGTTGTCCTGTATTAGGCGACTTGTCCCAGAGGCAGCAACAGGCACAGCCCAGACCCAGGAAAAGTCTTGATAGTATTATCTAATGTGCTCTGGAGACTCTCCCAGCACTCCCTCAACGTAAGGAGAAGAAAAACAAATTTTCCTTTGTTTTATGAAATGAGTTTATAGATTCTTGTTCTCTGTAACTAGTGACTTCAAGTACTCTGTTTTATCTAAGAGGTACAATGAAGATCATGAGAAGCCTGAGCAGGCCTGAACTACAGCTGCTTGGGCACCATAGTGAAGGTTATGGGATAAGCCCATGCCCAGGCAAACCTAGATAACGAACATCTGGGTTGCTTGGCAATGGTCATGTGCAATCCTGCCTTTGTTCTGCCTCTGTATCCCTGCTTTCATGCCACTGTGAGCTTGCTTCCAGCTAGCCCACCCCCTTTTGTAAAGTGTGTATAAAAGTCAGGTACTGTCTTTGTTCTGGGCCCAGTCTTTTGGATGTGAGTCAGCTGGGCCTGAGTGCACTCAATAAAGATTCTGCTGTTTCAACCCGAGGTCTCTCTTGTCCTCCCGAGTCCCACAACACTCTAAACCTGGGGTGACTGGGAGGACCACCTCTGGGATCCACATGGAGGGAACTGGCTGAGACTTGGAAGGCCCCCCACTAAGCCTGGGGCCAACAGGGAATGCCCCCTCCAGAGTCCAGATAGGGGGAACTGGCTGGGAAGGCCACTCTCCCAAGCCTCCCATGCCCCATCCCAGCCAGGAGACAAAAGGAAGGTCTCCTCTGGGGTCTGGATGGAGGGAACCTACAGGAAAGGAATAAAGTCTCTGAGACCTTAAACAAGGGGTAGGAGGTCCGAATTTGAGAGAAATTACCCTAGCCTATCCCTGAAGCCCTGGCACCAGTAAGAAGACAACTGACCTCAGGAGGCTCTTGCAGGCACTTATACCTTGTCTCAGATGGCACTGGGAGTAGTTGGGGATGGCTTCAAATCCTGTTTCTGACACTAAGAATGTAAACAAAAGTTCTCTGAAAAGGAATGTGGAGGAAAGACTTAACAGTTTGCAAACAGACACAGCCTTCTGTGTAAAACGAAAGTGTATTCCAGAGAACAAAGAGATGGTTTGGCTTTCATAGAGAAAGTTCCTACTCAGGTTCCCAGTCAGGACCTTTTATACAAATGAAGGATTCAGACTTGCTTGGTTTTGATTGGTGAACACAGCTGAGCTCTGACTGGTTGATACAACTGAGCGCTCATTGGCTAAGGCAGGTGGGCTCTGATTGGTTAGTTCAGGTGAGCTCTGAAAGCCCCAAAGGTAAACAAAGGCGTGAGTTTTCCAGGAAACTCAAGAGTACCTGTGTGATCTCTAGTCAGCAAATGGCCGCTTGGCTGTATTTTAAATTTAGGTCCTGTTAGCCACTCAAAATCCATCTTGAAGGACTGGCTGTTTTAGGTTCACGTTTGTTTGCACACTTCACAAATGAAAATATGTTACTGACAAGCACATAAAAAAGACAAACCTCATTTGTTATTAAGGAAATGCAAACTAAAACCCCAATGTGCTACCATTACACAGTTAGAATGTGAAAATTTATAAACACAAACGATATTAAGGCTTGACAAGGATGTAAGGGAACAGGAACCCTCACATAGTGGTGGTGGGAGTGTAAAATGATACCACCACTTTGAAAAATATTTGGAGGTTTCTTAGAAAATTAAACATATTCCTATTATGTTTATCTCCTAGGTCATTCATCACCTAGGTATTCACTCATGAAAAGGAAAAGCATATGTCCTTACAAATACATACAGAAATATTCATAGTAGTTTGTAATAGTCAAAAATTAAACAGAACCCAAATGTCCTTCAACAGGTAAATGATTAAATAAATCTTGGTATATACATATAATGCCACTCATTGATTAAAACGGTATAATGTATTGACATATGCAACAACATGGATGTATCTCAAAGTAAGTATCCTGAGTGAAAGAAGCCAGAGCATAAAAGTATACATACTGTATGATTCCATTTATATAAAACTTTAGAAAATGCAAATTAATCTGTAGTGACAGACTGCTGATAATTGATTGCCTACGAACAGGGTAAGGGTATAGGAAAAGAGGAAGGGATTACAGTTAAGCAGGAGAAAACTTTTGGAGTTTGATGAATATATTGATTATCTTGATTGTGGTGATGGTTCATGGTTTTCATATATATACATATATCAAAACATATCAAATTTGTGTACTTTAAATATATGTGGCATATTATATCTCAAATTATACTTAATAAATCTCAAGATTTTTTAGTAGAAATGGATAAGCTGGCTCTAAAATTTTTATTGAATTATAAAAGAGCTGAAATTGCCAGAACAACCTTGAAAAGGAAGAAACTGTTTTTTTGACTTATTGTAAAGTAACAGTTATCAAAATAGTGTGCTACTGACTCTTTGAAATTCAATGTAATATAATAGAGTCCAGAAATGTCAGCACATATATGGTCAATTGATTTTCAACAAAAGTACAAAGACAATTCAGTGGGAAAAAGTTAATCTTTTCAATAAATGGTCCTGGAACCAGTGGTTATCCACATCCAAAAATAAAATATGAATGTTGATCTATACCTTGAGTGATATCTAAAAATTAACTCAACCTAGATCATAAAACTAAATATGAGAGCTAAATATATAAAAATTTGAGAAAAATGTAGAACAAAAGCTTTGTGACCTTGAATTAGAAAAATATTTCTTAGATACGACACCAAAAGCCTGATTTATAAAACAGGACTTCATTAAAATTAAAAATTTCTGTTCTTCAAAAGGCACTATAAAAATAAGAAGATAAGCAATAGAGTGAGAAAAGATATTTGCAAGTCACATATCTAACAGAAGACTTGTATCCAGAATATATAAAGAACTCTCAGAACTCAAAGTAAGAAAACGAACAACCCAATAAATAATTGCCAGAGTATTTACAAAGTAGCATGTGAAAAGATATTCAACATCATTAGCCATTGGGAAAATTCATATAAAAAACATGAGAGGCCAGGTGTGGTGGCTCACCCCTGTAATCCCAGCACTTTGGGAGGCCAAGGTGGCGGATCACTTGAGGTCAGGAGTTTGAGACCAGCCTGGCCAACATGGCGAAACCCTCTCTCTACTAAAAAAAACAAAAATTAGCTAGGCATGGTGGTGGGCGCCTGTAATCCGAGCTACTTGGGTGGCTGAGGCAGGAGAATTGCTTGAATCCAGGAGGCGGAGGTTGCAGTGAGCTGAGATCATGCCACTGCAGCTTGGTCAACAGAGTGAGACTCCATCTCAAACACACACACACACACACACACACACACACACCCACACCACCACCACAACAACAAAACCACCATGAGATACTGCTACACACCTATTAGAATGTCTAAAAAATTTTTTTTAAAATTATACTTTAAGTTCTAGGGTACATGTGCTCAACATGCAGGTTTGTTACGTATGTATACATGTGCCATGTTGGTTTGCTGCACCCATAACTCGTCATTCACATTAGGTATTTCTCCTAATGCTATCCCTCCCCCATCCCCCCATCCCACAACAGGCCCCAGTGTGTGATGTTCCCCACCCTGTGTCCAAGTGTTCTCATTGTTCAATTCCCACCTATGAGTGAGAACATGCGGTGTTTGGTTTTCTGTCCTTGTGATAGTTTGCTGAGAATGATGGTTTCCAGCTTCATCTGTGTCCCTACAAAGGACATGAACTCATCCTTTTTTATGGCTGCATAGTATTCCATGGTGTATATGTGCCACATTTTCTTAATCTAGTCTATCATTGATGGTAGAGTGTCTAAAATTTTAATGTCTGCCCCCATCAATTGTTGGCAAGGCTGTGGAGGAATTGGACTCATACACTGCCAGTGGGAATATAAAACTCTACATACAGTTTGAAAAACAACTTGGCCGTTTCTTAAAAAGTTAAACAAATACTTACCATGACCCAGCTATTTCACTATTAGGTATTTACTCAAGAGGAAAGAAAACTTGTCTATACAAGTATCTGTACATGAATGTTCATGGAAGCTTTATTTGTAATAGCCCAAACATGAAAACAAATCAAATATCCATTAATGTGTTTGGATAAATAAAAATTGTGGACTATCCATACAATGGAAGGAAGGAAAGAAGAAGGGGAAGCGGGAAGAGAGGGAGGGAAAGATGGAGGGAGAAAGAGAAGAGGGAAAGATGGAGGGAGAGAGAGAAGAGGCAAAGATAATGAGAAAGCAAGTAAAAAGGAAAGAAAGGGAAAGACACAAAGAAAGAAAATTTTAAGAAATCCTAAAGGTTTCTTATGAATGCCTGTGGTTTGGGGAACACTATCCTTATTTAAGGTGTGTACTGAAAACTGTACTACTTACTATACAAAAATGCTGTAGAAAGAGGAATTGGAATAATCCTCTCTCAATTCCTTACAGCTGAATATCAGAATGCATCTGGTAACTGATAAAAAAAGCCACACACATATTGCCTATACAGGTAGTGTCTATAGAATAATGGTGCCTATACAACGATCCTCAAATTGAAAGGCAGATATTTTTTCATATGTGTCACAACAGATTAATTAATTCAACAACTATTCAGTGACTCCTACCATATTTTAGGCATTATTTTAGATTCTGTTTTTTGTAATGACCAAGATAGCATGTTCCCTGCCCTCAAGAAGCTCACATTCTGTTTGGGAAGGCAGTCACACAACCTGAGAAGCTCAATAAAAGTCTGTATCTGATGAATTTGATGGCATTTGCAATATAGTGTATTGATGTGAAAATGGAACACAGGAGAGGAGAAGAAAGTGAAATTGACTGGAAATGAGTGGTCATAGAAAAAACAGAACACCGGGAGAGTGGGCTCTTTGTGTGTGTGTGAACATGCTCCTTGAACTTGACAATTCCACTGACTTCTTAGCTCATGTCCTCGATTTTGCCAGTATAAGACCAAATGATATAGAATCCTTTTACCTATAAAATAAAATAATGTAATTAGCTGGCTTCTATTAATCTAACAAGGCATTTATTCAACAAATATTTCTTGACGGCCTATTTAGCATCAATAACACTGTGTTTGGGAAGCCTTCAGTGCCATGTCCAGTGCAGGTCCACTGTGAGGCCAAATCTGAGACTGAGGGAGTAACAGAAGTTGCCAGTTACACTATGAAGTAAGATATTGGGAAAACACTGGCTCTTGATGGTTCTGAAAAAAGGGTAAAAGGCCACGCCCTCTCTGAGTGAAGAAAATTTAAGTAGGGAAATATCTTGGGTTTACACACTTCTTACATATTATTTCCAACACATATTTTGTATATTAGTTGTTATTCTTTATTAAGCATGTAGCTTATACTATTACCATTAAGCCAAGAAATACTTCTTTCTGCCTACCAAGGCCTAGGGCCCCTAGGTTCTGGGGACAGACGGAAAATCCAGGCTCTGTCCAAGTCCTCAAAGTTCTCATAGTCTAGTGGGAAGATGGTTATACAGAAATATAATTTCCAAAATTGTGTAATGAGGGCTTTGGCAAGGGTAAGAACAAGAGGCTCTGGGAACACGGAGGAAGGACCCTAAACCACAGCCAGAAGGGTGGGTAGACAGGATTATCCTAGGCTCCTCTCGGAAGTTGTGAGTATAAAGTAGATACTATTATCCCCAATTTGCAGGTGTGGAAACTGAGGATCGGAGAGACTATGAACCTTACTTAAGGTCACACAGCAAGGCAGAGGTGGGGCAAATTTCAAGCCTAGGCTTGTCCAACCCCAGTGTCTCATGCAGTTTGCATTACCCTAAGCTCACTCTTATGGCAATGTCATCTGTTTTTATTACCAGCCACCAGCTACACTTCCTGGCACTCTGCTTGCTAGAAATTTTTTTTTTAAGTACTAAAAACAGTTTTAGGATCAGCCATATAATTTGTGAAGTACAGTGAAAAATGAAAATGAGGGACAACTGGTTCAAAAATCATTAAGCATTTAAGATGGCAACAACACATCATTAAAGCAAGCAGGGGCCTGTGCAACTGCACAGGTCACGTGCCCATAAAACCAGCACTGTTCAGTATAGTAGCTGATTGTGGCAACTTCCAGGGAAAGGCAGCTGAAGGATTTTCGGGTGTTTTCATGTTCCCCACAGAGGAACCCTGGGGTGAAAGCTGTGCTCAGCTGTGAGGAGTGCAGGGCTCTGAAATGGGCCTTTCACCCCCACCTCTTTCCCAGTTCACAGCTGTTTCTGGGGATTGGACACCACTTAGACATGGAGACACAAAGGGAAGCTACACACAGGGCACACAAATTCCCAGGAAAGGCCTGTAATGTTGCTGTTACTTTCTAAACCTGCTTCTGCTTCTAGGTAGATAAGTCTTTCCTACACAATCAATTATAATCTCCAGCTATGAATATTTTCACGAGTGAAATGAGTTAATGTGGTTGGGCTAGAATTGTTCACCTTCCATATGAAGTTTAGGTTGATAGAGTAACTTTACACAATACAAAACCAACACCATTTCTCATAATAAATTGCAGATGAACATGCCCAAACCATTACCTTCACACTTGGCAAAACAGTAGTACTCTGTGCAGGGGCATATCATGCAATTTACTTCACAAAAGAAGTTAATAACCTCGCAAGGGGGCCATGACAGAGTCCACAGTTCAATGTGTCTTTCCTTCATATTTTATGTAACCTCTGTTCCTCAACGTCTTCATCTATAAAATGGGCTCAATATGAACATCTACTTCCTAAGGTTGTTCTGTGAATTAAACGAGTTAGTGTATGTATAAACGTTAAAACAGTACTTAACACATACAAGCATACTATGATTTTTACCTGTTATATCTGCATGCCAGGTATTATATAAAGGCAACTTGCAGTCAATAATGTTAATCCTTGATGTATTCCATTCATTCATTAAAATGAATATTTTAAACAAGTTAAGATACAAATAACGCTGGGAGAAAAACTACTGTTCTCAGAAGCATTCATGTAACGACTGCGAGTATAAATTTGTTAAATTCCTAGAGTTTGTACCTCTGAGGCTCAATCCTTTGTTTTTTTTTACATTTTTGCGCAGTGGCCTCTGGTATTGGTAAAAATGTTGCTCAATAGCTTGTGGAAATGCCTTCATATTTTAAAGTACTAAGTACAATAAAGAATGTCCCTCTCCATTTTTGAAACAGCCAGTTTGATTTTGAAAGTATTGTTGTTTAGGAAAGACCAGTAACCTGTTAAGGGGCTGTCAGAAATATCTGGACACATGATCATAATCCTAATCAGAGTAAGAACCATCTGTACTGGGCACTCACGATGTGCAAGACACTGTTGGAAGCACTTAATATGCACCATCCATTTTAATCCTTACAATAATCTTGGAGACGTACACTCTTACTGTGCCCAATTGACAAATGCAGAAGCTTTGGATCCCAGGTTAACTAACTTGCACTGGGTCACACAGTGATTCAATAGGAACACCAGAATTCAAACCCAGGAATTCTGACTCTGGAGCCAAGCTCTATTAGCTATGAGATTTTGAAAATCACAAAATTGCTCTGAGCCTCAATTTCCACATCTGTGAAATGGGAATAAATGTAGGCCCTCCAATACTGGGAGGTTGTGACTTGCTGCATTGGAACTGTCTACTTTTTGTCTTAGTCTTTGGATATCTAGAATTACTCAAGAAAAAGAAATATAACAAAGTGAGAGCTTTTAAAATATGTGTTCTTTCCTTAGGAAGGACCCTGAGAATACGGCCTTGCAAGCCCTAGAAACAGCCTTGAAGAATGAGGGTACCTGAAACACTTTCTATAAAAGTGGCAGGATGTTGGGACCTGGTGGGCACACAGGTCCCACTTATCCCCCATGGACTCTTAGCTTTGTGGTGTGAATAAAGCATGAGCAGGGCCTGAACAGGACCCTCCAAATTGTGACCAGGGCCCTTTTTGGTCAGGACTATGCTTGTACTGTTCACATACCAGAATAGCAAAGGAGAGGAGAAATATGAGAAAGGAGGGAAAGGGAGTTTCTTTTGCTGGTTTGCTTTATATTTTTTCACTCTGTTCTTTTAATGTAGTCTCTCCTATTATGTTTCTACAACTTAAATTTTCAAAAAACAGCGGAGTTTAATTTAAAAAAATAGTTATATGGTCAATGTGGAACTTGTAGATTATAGAAGACCATATCACCAGTTATTAAAAAAAAGATATACACCTTGTTCACAGCATGGTGTATGCCCATGTAGTTCTCTCCAAATGTCTACACACACACACACACCCTCACATATCTGCTCAAACTCAGTTACAATTATTTTTGTTACAGTAACATTATCGATTAACACGTATTTCCACTGAATGTCTGACCATTTTCCCATCAATTATTAGCCCCAAATCACCCTCCCACATTCTCCCCACCCCCAAAGACCTCAGGAGCCCGTTCCCCACACATAAACATTTTTTTATCCTTTAGAATCTAAGATATTCCCCTCTCAAGCTTCTGACTCCTGCTGTTCCCCATTTCCTGACTCTGGATCTTCCTCCCAGCTTCCCTACTCCCATCTGGGTTATCGTCTCCCTACCTCTCATCCCAAACTTCATCATTCCCTGCTCCTTTCCTGACCCTGGATGTCTCCATCACCCCTCCTTTTCTCCAGCCACCTGGGTTAGACCCTGGCCCCTTTTCTTGCCCAAGTTGCAAATCACCTCTGCTAAGAGGGTATATAGACCTAAGTGGGAACTTCCTGCACAGAACTCCATTTCAGCCAGTGGGAATAAATTATTGCTAGGACAGTATTTTATTTCTTCTCTCGTCCAAAGAGTCAGCTAGTATGTTAACAACTTTCTTTAACCCTCCAAATATGATATAGGATTAACGATTTTTCGAACCGCAATAAAAAAACACACCTCTACATTTTGTTTAAACAAAACAATTTATTTTACTAATTAAAACATTTCATAACAGAAAAGCAACTTGGAAAACAGAAATCTCAGCTCAAGGGCAAAGGCAAACTCTTGAGGAAGAAGGTGGCCCAGAATCAAAGGCCAACAGCAGGTTAAGTGCTAGGTGGTGGAGTCATGGGGAGGAGAGGCTTCTAAACTACTCAGGATGTTGGTTAACGGCTGGAACTTTGGGAGACCTCGCAGCTAACTACAGGGCAGGCAGCCCATTCACAAAGTGGGTAAATGTTGATTCCTTCTGTGGGTCTTAGAGGATGCTTATAGAGGGTCACGGCTCAGGCGGTGTTGCGGGGTGAGCTGTGCTCTCTATTTCTGCCTGCTCTTCTGGAGGGACAGGGCTCAGAGCATAAAACTCAGGCATCAAAGCATACCTAAGGCTTTCAGGGCTAGGAGTGGAGATAGATCTCAGGCCCAAAAACTCAGGGGAAGGGGATGAGGGGCTTAGGCCAGGAGACCTACTCGGGGAGGAGGAGTTGGAAGCATAGGAGGAGGAGGAGCTCTCATCCCACTGCTGAGGGATGGGAAGGAAGAACCTCCCAGGGGGTGAGGGTGAGGAGGCACGCATACGGACTGCATGCCAAACAGGCGGGGAAGCACGGCTTGGGACCTCAGGATCAGGAGAGCCTGATCTGCTCTGAAAGGCAAGCCTTTCTGAGCCAGTCCCACAGGAAGGATTCTCATCAGCTGACCCAGACAGAGAGCGGCGGCTGAGAAGGGCTGATCTTTGCTGGGTGGAACGGCTCCGGAGGCCAGTGCCTGGCGTCGTGCTGGTGCTGCGATGACCGGCGTCTGACCTTGCTGTGCGGACGCGAAGGGCAGGGCCTGGCGCAGAATCGCGGCCTCGGCGGGCAGAGCCTGGCGCAGAATCGCGGCCTCGGGGGGCAGAGACTGGCGCAGAATCGCGGCCTCGGCGGGCAGGGCCTGGCGCAGAATCGCAGCCTCGGCGGGCAGGGCCTGGCACAGATGCACGGCCTCGGCGGGCAGGGCCTGGCGCAGATTCAGGGCTTAGACGAGCAGGGTCTAGATGAGTGGCGCGGTGTGGAAAAGCAGGGCCTGGCTGGGCGGTGCAGCCTCGGATGACAGGGCCTGGACCAGATGCACGTCTGCGGAGAGCAGAAGCTACCAGGGTGATGCGGCTTCGGGTAGCAGGCCTTGCCTCAGATGCGTGGCTTAGGAGTGCAGGGCCTGGCTGGGTTGCCTGACTCGACGTAGAAGCCCCGGAACAGGGATAGCTGCTGGGCCGGAACCCTGGAGAAGATGGCGGCAAAGGCTCAGGAAACAGACGCCGCCCTGGAGGCTTCTGAGCCGGGGCAGCCTGGTTGCGGCAGGGCTGCTTCCTACGACGGCTGTTCCCGGGGCTCTTGGTCTGGGCCAGGTGCTCGTCGGCGTGGCCAGTGGCCTTCTGGGGCCCCACAGCGGCCTGGCTGCCCCCCTCGGGCACCACACACCCAAAAACTTCGTGAGGACTGCGGCAGTCCTGGCGGTCAGAATGCCTCTCCGTCAGCACAGCAGCTATGATTGGCAGCCCCGAGGCCTCATCGGTGATGAAAATGGCGGCGGAGGTGGCGGCTGCAGCGGAAGAACCGGCTGTGCTGCTGCTTAGGGCGGCGCCGCCCGAGGGAGATGCTTGGCTGGAGACTGTGGTGACGGAAGCAGCAGGATCTTGATTCCCGGTCCCGCAGGCATCCCCGGAGGCAAGGGCGGTTTCGTTGTTCAGCCCTCCCTGCCCCTCGTCCTGCTGGTGCTTCTGCTCCTTCTCCATGTCTGACTGAGTGGCCATAACGCCAGGTTCTCCCCCAGAGAGCAAGAGCGCAGCTGCTACTTCTGCCGGAGGAGAGCGCGAACTGGTAGAGCAAGAAGGTGGGTGGAGCCCAGCCAGTCCTCGACTCTGATTGGCGAGCTGGACGTCAGATGACTCCTCTCTCTTCCCGGGAGCCGTCCAATCCGGAGCCGTGCAACCCAGAGCCAGGCGCCTATCGTCAACCCGGAGTGTGTGCTCCAGCCCTCTGGGGTCGACCCTGGTTGCTGGGTCAGTAGTGTGAATCTCCTCTCCTCACACGGGGCCCCTAAGACACGTGTTTGTGTGTGTCCGTCCCTAAGACACGTGTGTGTGTATATGTGTGTGTGTGTGTGTGTTCCACATGAACGATTTGAGTCACCCCAAATCGTGGCTGAGGCTTAAGTGGTCATTTGAAAGAAATGCCACACTGGCCGGCAGGTTATATCTCCTGGCCAGGTGTCCCTCCTCGCACCCGGTCAGGACAATGAAACCAGGCATGACGCCCGAAGGGACCACCCTGGAACTCCTCCAGGCATCTAGATGACCCCATGTGGGGTCTGGTGGGTTTTAGGGTTATACAGAGGCCTGAAGGCGAGAAAAGGGAAGGGGCCCACACCGTCTTGCCTCCGGATGTTCAGCACTGCTGCTTCCCCCAGGTCCCACACACCTCAGGTCCCACACACCAGAGGGGGATTTAGAACTGTGCCTTTTCCCCCAAGGCACAGTTAGGGATTGCCTAAGGTTAAGGGTGACACCGTCCTTAAATATTTTATGGGCTGCGTAGTAATCCGCTGATGAACATATATTAATTTATTTAGTGTGGTCTCTAGCTCCTAATTAATATAAATATGCTGTAATGTATAGACTTGAAGTTTAATATTTGGCCACTCATTTTTAGTCATTATTTATTACAAAAGGTGTCATGTTCAGTACTCAAAACAGAAAAGCAAATGTAAGAAAACTACACCTAAGTCCTCAGGCACCCATGGGAAAGTGCTGGAAATTTTTACTTAGACTTTGGTAGAAAGGCCCTATTCATACATATTTCATAGTTTTTTAAATTTTTTATTTTATGAAATGGAATAGTTTCTCCATAGATACTGCATTGTAACCTGCTTTGGGTTCCAGAAAGCACATTTTCTATGTCAGTAAACAAATTTCTACGAGGCCACTTTAAATTACAAAATACTCCATTTATAAAAGAAGTTTACATTTTCAAACATTCCCATATTGGCCACCGTTTATGCTGTTTCCAACATTTTACATCATTGTGAGACACATCCTTCTCATTAAAAATTGTTCATATCCTTAAATGTGTCATTGTGGATAAATTCCCAGAAGAGAAAATTCTTGGTACAAGTCTATGAACATTTGTAATTATTTTAATTACTTAATTAATTTATTTATTTATTTTTGAGGTGGGGTCTGGCTCTGTCACCCAGGCTCGAGTGCAGTGGCATGATCTCGGCCCACTGCAACTTCTGCCTCCCGGGTTCAAGCAATTCTCCTGCCTCAGCCTCCCGAATAGCTGGGACTACAGGCGCGTGCCACCCATGGCCGGCTAATTTTTTGTATTTTTAGTAGAGGCAGGGTTTCACCATGTCGGCCAGGCTGGTCTCAAACTCCTGACCTCAGGCGATCTGCCCGCCTCGGCCTCCCAAAGTGCTGGGATTACAGGCGTGAGCCACTGCGCCCAGCCACATTTGTAATTCTTTGATTAAAAATATTGGCAAACTAGTCTCCTGAATGTCACTGTTATAACATTTTGAGCACAATAAAATCGGATATTTAATGGAATTGGTGAACAATTGGGCTGAAATGCAACACAAAAATAGAATGGAATGGTATTTGGAGTGTTAAATAATATAGTATGGAAAATGGATTTGAAATGGTATGCAGGATGGGATGAAATGGAGACTGCAATGGAAACTGGAATAAAATGGGGAGTAGAATACGGGTTTGAACAGGATGTGGAATGGAATATTGGAAATTTAATGGAATTTAATTGGAAAATGGAATGGAACAGAAAATGGAAAGAAATATCTAATGTCATATGGAATAAAATAAAAATATATGAGAAAAGGAATGAGTGCAATACAGTATGAAATAAAATATTAAAGAAAATAAAAGGAAATCAAAATTGGAAGGAATATAGAACGGAACAAAATGTGCAATGGCCTGAAATAAATGGACTATGAAATAAACAGTATAGATTTTTAAATACCGGAATAGAATGAAATTTAGAATGAAATATAGAATACAGTTTATGAAGGATAGAATAGGAATTCAATAAGAATGGAATATGGAAAACAAAATATTGATAAAATACAGGATAGACATAAGTGAAGAAGAAAAATGAACAGAATATGTCTGCTCATCATTATTCCACAATTTAGTGTCATGAAACAACATCCATTTTAACATTCCCATGGATTTTGTAGAGCTAGAATTCAGACGGTACATAGTGGGGATGGATTGTCTGTGTTCCTCGATGTCTGGGACTTCTGCTGGAAACTTGAACGGCTGTGAGATCATGAGGGAAGGACAGCAGTAAATGATGAATCCTATATTTTTATGGATGATGGTGCCACTTACCGAAACAGGGAAAACTTGCTCAGTTGAAAAGATCAGGAAGATGGTGGGAATCAGTGATTCTGTTATGACCATGTTAACCACTGTTCCCTGTATAGTTGAAATTTTGGGGTATGAACCCCACTTATAGCTATTCTCTTTGTTCTGTAGGCCAACTTTCACCAGTTTTATGGATCCACTTTTCCACTTGGGAGTCATTTCAATCTATTCCCTGAGAGTTTTCCTCCTTTCTTGAATCTCCGTGGGCCTTAGTCGTGGTCCCTGACTTAGTAATAATTAAAATGCTATCTACCCTTGCTCTCTTTAAAGGAATATATATGTCTTCTACTTATTGTTTTGCTATCCTCCAAGATCTCAAACTTTAAAGAAGCCCCTCTTTTTAACTCCATTGTTGTCTTCAATATCCTCACCTTTCTCTTTGCCTCTGTTCCATTTAAAAGTATATATGTATCTATGTACTCATTAAAAAAATCTGAAAGTGTGGTTTTTCGTTCTTTTCATACTTCATCTTCTGAATGGTTTCAATGAGCATATATCACTCTTGTACTAAGCAAATATAGCTACTGTATTTCTGAAAAGAATTATGTTTAAACAGGTTTTAAGCTATTATAACAAAACAAGCTCTCATATATACTACTGGATAGAATTATAAATTCATAGCACCTTCCAAGATGAAAATTTGATGATATGATGATACCTATAAAAAGTCTTATATGAAATGCATAATTCCTCTCCAGGCATTAATTCTAAAAAATATACTCATATCTTTACAGTGTTATATGCTCAAAGGTGATTATTATAGTGTCAATTATTTTTAAAAATCTGAAACAACCCAATTTCCAGTAGAATGCTAGATGCCTAGAGAATAAACTTATATAGGATGTTACAGGATGTTTTTGAAAAATTTTTAATGCCATAGGAAAATGGCTACGAGATTAAAAAAAAAACCATGATGTACTGTATCTACTGATCTATATTTACATCTGTTTATTTTTACATCTACCTAGTTATTAAAATTTTGTTCACCATAGTACAGTTGTTCTCAGCTAGGGGAATTTTGCCCTGCAGGGGAAATTTTAAAATGTCTGAAGAGTGCCATAATTGGGGAGGAGGAGTTCTACCAGCATTTAGTATATAGCCATCAAGGATGCTGCTCAACCCCTTCAATGCACAGGAGAGCCTCCAACAACACAGAATTATCTGGTCCAAAATGCCAGTTGTGTGAAGTTTGGCAAACCTTGCAGTATGGAATTTAGATAATTTAGAAAAGTTTAAGATAATTTAAATCACAAGCAATTTTACCAGTGACTGATAACTATGTTTAAAAGTCTGATATATGTACATATTAAATATTCTGATATTTTTGTATTTTATAATCAACAGTATATTTTTGAAATAAACTAAGCCATTTAAAAAATTCATTATTCCTGAATAAGCCACAAATATTTTTCACATATTAAGCATACTACTCATTGCTTAATAATTTATTGTTTGTTTGTTTTTTGAGACAGTCTCGTTCTATGGCCCAGGCTGGAGTGCAGTGATGTGATCTCGGCTCACTGCAACCTCCGCCTCCTGGGTTCAAGTGATTCTCCTGCCTCAGCCTCCCAAGTAGCTGGGATTACAGGTGTGTACCACCATACCCAGCTAATTTTTGTAATTTTAGTAGAGACATGGTTTCACTATGTTGGCCAGGCTTATCTGGAACTCCTGACCTCAAGTGATCACCTGCCTCTGCCAGTGCTGAGATTACAGGTGTGATTTTTTTTTTAAAATGAGACCAAGTCTCACTCCGTAGCCTAGGCTGGAGTACAGTGGTGTGATCTCAGCTTACTGTAGCCTCCCCCTCTCAAGTGACTCTCCTGCCTCAGCCACCCGAGTAGTTGGGATTACAGGCGTGTGCGACCATGCCCAGCTAAATTTGTGTATTTTTGGTAAAGATGGGGTTTCACCATGTTGGCCAGGCTGATCTTGAATGCCTGAGCTCAAGTGATCTGTCTGCCTTGGCCTCCCAAAGTGCTGGGATTACAGGCATGAGCCACCAGGCCTGGCCTGATTGCTAAGAATTTATAAAATTTAAGATCTGTAATTTCAGCTCATTTAGATGGAGGAATATTCCACAATTATCAATCCAACAGAGATGTTCAAACTTCTAATAAAATTAATGTCTAAATATTTACGTATGTGGTTAAAATAAAGAAAATTTGATTTATAACACAGTGTAGCGGATATATATATAGTAGTGTGATTGACTAACCAGGTCATAGTAATCTCACTACCACTCCAGTGACTGGTTTGGGAATAGTCATTTCCCAGTTGCAGTCAATAAGATATGGATGCTTGTGTTTTAAGGTTTTGGGGGGAAAGGTTTCTCAGCTCTTGAAAAAATAAAAGACACAACATGTTTTTTACACTTAAAAATTAAAGAATATATATCAAATATTAGAATAAATGAATTTGGTGTAATCAGTGGACATAAGGTCAATATTACACAATGGAATTGTATTTCCACATATTAGCAGTAAAAAGTATAAAGAGGAAATTTTAAAATTGCCATTTCCTATAGCATCAGAAAATATCAAATAGCTAGGAACAAATCTAATAAAAAAATTCATAAGACCTTTGTCCAGAAATCAACATGACATTTCTTAAATAAAGAAGCCCTACGTTAATCAGAGATATGTCATGTTTGTAGATTAGAATATTATGAAAATTAAATCAGAGAAAATTCTCATCCAAACAGTCTATGTATTCAATGCAATACAAATCAAAATCTCAACAGATAATTTGAAAATGTAAACCAGCAAACTGATTCTAAAATATGAATGGATATCAAAGATCTAAGAACAGCCAAAGCCATCTAGAAGAATTTGAAGAACTTTCACAGTCAGAAAAGCCATAATTAAGATAGTATGATTTGTGTACAGTAACATTTTGTTACGCAGGAATAGATAAATAAAGATATATATGTTTAGATAAAGATAGATAAATAGACCAATAGGACAAGAAGAGAGTCCACAAACAGACACACACATATGATCACCTTATTTACAACAAAGATACCAATGCAGTACTCAGGGAGAAAGATAATCATTTAAGTAAGTGGAACTGGACAAATTGGATATCCAGCCATATAGAAAAAAATAACTTTGGCTCCTAACTTATGCCATACACAAAATGAATTCAAAAAGATAAAGCTTCTAGAAAATAAGATACAATCATATCTTGATGACCTTGGGGTAAATTATATCTAAAACACAACACAAAAACCACTAACGATAAAGGAAAACATTAACTACAAATAAACACGCATGCACGCACACATTCAGAAAATGTTTTATGTACAGAATAAAATAAAGAATAAAAGTAAATGCAGTTAAACACTGGCACAATATTTCAACAGGTACTTCACAAAATAGGATATTAAACTGACAAATAACAAAGACTTCCCAAAATAAGTCATCAGAGATATGCAAATTAAAATCACAAGAAGACATCAGCAAACATCTACCAGAATAGCTAGAATGACTACCAATATAAAGAGCAGGGGAGGCTATAGAGGAACTGAAACTCTAACTGCCGGTAGGAGTGTAAATTAGTACCCTTGGAAAACTATTTGGGAGTACCTATTAAAGCTGAATTTATGCATTTTCTATAACCCAGAAATTCCATCTATGTTACTTTTCTATCCCTGAGTAACAAATCACCACAAATTTAATGGCTTTAAACAATGGCCATTTATTTAAGCTCCCAGTTCTATAGGTTTACAAGTACTCTGTTCAAGTCTCACAGGGTGAAGTCAGCCTGTTCTATTGGTCAGTGAGTCTGTGTTTCTTTCTGGAGACTGAGGAGGAATATATTTCCAAACTCATTCAGGTAATTGGCAGAATTCAGTTCAATTTTTAGCTCCTAGAGGCCTCATGCAGTTCTTTGCCACATAGAGCTCTACATATTCCTTCGCACACTTCCAGTCTCCCAGGAAGGGCTCAGGCCATCTTAAGGGCTCACTTACTTAGGTCTGGCCCACACAGGTCAACCTCCTTATTTCGAGGTTCACTGATCTGGGAGCATAATTCATCTGCAAAATCTCTTTCCCCATATTGTGTAACATTATCATAGGAGTGGTATCTCATCATATTCACAGGCTGCTCTTATACTCAAGAGAAGTTCATATAAGACCAGAGGTCATTAGAGGTCATCTTAGAATTCTGCCTGCCTCAGCCTGCCCTCTGGCCCTCAGTGATCCAGTATTTCCCACGTATAAAATACATTCAATCCATCCCACAGTCTCCAAATTTCTTTGTATTATGGCATCAGCTCAATTCCAAAAGCTCATCTGAATTTCATCATCTGAATCATGAACGGATGAGATTCCTGGGTATGATCCTATCCAGTAAAACTCCTAGGGCAAAATCCCTCTCCAACTGTGGACCATCAGCACTAAAGTGACAAGCTATCTTCCCCCAACACCACCACATACAATGATGGGACGGGCATAGGATAACATCTATAAACATTCTATTTTATACAGGAGAAAACAGAAGGCAGAAAAGAGGAGTTCCAAAGCAGTTTGGATATCCAGCTGACGTCTACTACCAGTCTGTCCAAGGGAATTTAGGCTTTCCCTGTCATGCATCTCAAAATTCTTCCAGCCTTTGCTTACTATCCAGTTCCAAAGCCACATCTACATTTTAAGGTGTTTACAGTGACTACACCTCACATCCAGGTATCAAAATCTATAGTGGTTTCTGTTGGTGTTAAACACATTGCTACAGTCTTAGCAGCTTACACCAACACTCATTTATTAGCTCACAGTTGTGTAGGTCAGAGGTCTGTGCACCATGTGACTGGTTTCCCTGCTCAAGGTCTCACAGGGTGAGATGCTCTTGGACTTCCTGTGTTCCTTTCTGGATCTCTGGGGAAGAAGCCCTTGCAGACTCATCTATGTTGCCAGCTGAGTCCAGTGCCCTGTAGCTGTAGTACTGAGGTCCCTCCATTCTTTTGCTGGCTGTCAACAAGGGGCAGCAACTCATCACCTAGAGGACTCCTGCAGTTCCTTGTCACGTGGCCCCCTCCAAATGCTCTCTCATGCTTCGAATCTCTCAGCAAAAACCTGGGCCCTTGTAAGTGCTCACCTGATTAGGTCTGCCTCACCTACTTTAAGGGCAACTGATTTGTGACCTTAATTATATCTGCAAGATCCTTTTTGCCATATGAAGTAATATAATCATAAAAGTAAGATCTCATCATATTTACAGGTTCCACCTACACCCAATGGGAAGAGATTATACCAAGACAAGAGTCATTGGAGATCACCTTAGAATTCTGCTTACCACACAAGTATATATCCAACAGAGATACATAAACCTGTTTTTCAAAAGACATAAGGATGTTCACAGTGGCATTATTGGAAATAGTCACAAACTAGAAACAACCTAAATATATATCAACAGTTGAATGAATAAATTGTGGTATATTAATACAATGGAATACTGTTCAGGAACGAAACAAGCAAATATCCCTACATGCAACAAAGTGTACAGATCTTAAAAGCATTCATATTGAGCAAAAGAAACCAGGCATAAAAATATACATAATTTATAATTCCATTTGTATAAAGTATAAAAAGCCGGCAAAACAATTCTATAGTAACATAGGTTAGAATAGTGCTTAAATTTCAGGGGTAATGACTAGGTAGGGGTATAACATAAGTTTCTGGGGTGCCAGTAATGTTCTATATTTTGGTCTTACTGGTTGTTACATGCATGTGTTCACTTTGTAAAAAGTCATCAACTTGTTGTCCCTTATGATTTGCACAATCTTCTATCTAAATGTTGTATTTCAATGATAAAAAAGATAACAGAAAGAAAAAAATTGTATGAAAGGCAAGAAGAGTTGACGGAAATATGATTCAGACTCACAATCCCTTGTGCACAAGTCTAACATTCAAAATGCTTTGAAAAACATACTTTTCCTGACTCATTTATCCATAAAACCTGATTTGAACTGACATGATGCTATTTGTAATCTTTAGATCTTGGAGTGAACATTTGTATGTTTCACTACAGAAATATCATTGTATTAGATTCCACAGTATTACTACAGGCCTTGACATAGATATTATGTATGTATGGGAGACAAATTCTGAACCATTTGGTCCCAAGAGTTTCACAGAAGCGATTGTGGATGTGTAGTAGTCGAGGATTTTAGTAGACAAGAACTTAGAACGACTGCAGAGTGCATCAGATTGATTGAATTTATTGAATTCTTTGTTCAGCACCTCAGATGATAGGATTTTTCTCCTTTGACCTATTGATATAATGGGTTAATTAAAATATTTCTTAATATTACACCATGCTCTCATGACTAGAAAACTACCAGGATATGATGGATTTTTATATACTGTGGAGGGTTAATTAAAATATTTCCTAATATTACATCATGCTCTCATGACTAGGAAACTACCAGGATATGATAGATTTTTATATACAGTTTAATTTTATGGACCCAAATTTTATTAATAAAAAATTAAATATAAGTTAATAAGTGAGAGAGATCCACATCTTTCTTTGTGTGTAGTGAACTATCTTTGCCAGGTTTTGGAATCAGAGTTTAGACTTCCTTCATTAAACAAATTTGGAAGATCTCTGTCTTTGCTTCTAGCTTCTAAACTTTTTTATTGGCTTAGGGATTTGTGATTCTTGAAAAGAACTGAAAGATCGTATTCAACTCTCCTTGTACTTTTATCAGTAATTTTGGTTCCCAATCCTAGTGGAAGAGTAACACCATTTTTTCTGATAAAGGCATGGCTATTCAAAAATGTGTAGAGGGAGAGAGGTATACATAACAGCAGATGGATTTGTGAGACTGTGCCAGTCAACCACTTACTTAGTGCATGACTTTCAGCAAGTTACCTAATCTTTTAAGCTTTAGTGTCTTCATCAGGGAAATGGGAATATAGTCCCTTCCCTTGCATTGTTTCCTCTAAATTTTGTGAAGTACAATTTAAAAATTATTACTTAAGCCAATTAATGTTCAAACAGTAGCATTTGGATCAAGAGTAAAATGTGCACGTTAATTTATAAACAGTCACAACTAACATTAACAAGTAAGTGGTAATAACTGTTTTAGGAATTGTATGTATTTTTGAGCATTTATTTAATCTTGAAATTAAACTTGGTATTTCTACGTATTTTTCTATGTAGAATTTATATAGATTATTTCTACATAAAATGCATCACTTATTCTTTAATTTTCTCAAAATAATATACATACATGATCTTAAAAGTTCTTAAAGAATAACACTAGCCTTTAATGAAACCAGAAATCATTTGAATCTAAATCCATACTCGCCCCCACTCCTGCTCTGGCTCCCTGAGAAAACTTCTTTCAACTATTTTTTCTGCTTCTCAGGCATTTACCATGATATTTCTAAATCATAGGCTTATAGTGATTGTAGTATATTGCAAAAATGGTCACAAGCGAGACTTCTGGTTTCAGCTCTTTCATGTAAAGAAGCTGGAAATTGTCACCCCACCCCCTTCTTCCAACAAGAAAAAGATGAACAAACTGAATCAATGGCTTTAAAAAAATACTTATCAGAGAAATGAGGCTGCAGGGTAAGCCACTACTCTGAAAGACAGATCCAGGGCGTCACTTAAATGGCAAATTTGCTGAATTGCTTCCGGCTGAATGCGGACTAGCATGAGAGTAAGGGGGCCTCTACATGTTCATGGTCTTTACCTTTAGGAAAATGTTGCCTTGTCCAGGAAGTGAGGGGTGACGCCGTACACCCGGTGTCAGACAGCTGTGTGGCAACTCTTCACCCCACACCTGCTGCAGAAACTACGCAGCGCCGGTGTGTGTTGGGTCGGTGATAATGCTTTGATGCTCTCTGCGCCCTGGAGGAGCGTGAAGCCGGAGGTTGCTAAGTGGAAGTGCAGGTGCTGCTGCTTCTTGCACAAACTGCAGTTGTAATCCAGGATTCACGGGCCTGTAGGGGCTCAGACTTCAAATTGAACCGCGCCTCGGCGGCAGCCACAGGTGTAATACACGAGGCCCAGGTACCAGAAGGTGTCCAGCAGGGCCTTGGCGGCGCCCTAGCAGCTGAGGTCCAGCCGCTGCGCGCCCAGGTTCATCTCATTAGTGGACGCCGCGGGCCCGCGAGTTCGGAGCAGCGCGTGTATCTGTGGGTCTTTGGGGCTGGCCTCGCTAGCCTACCAGCTTCCTTTCGGTGATGCTCTTTGCTACCGCCAGGCTCCTGACCCCAGCTTGGACAGCAGGCCGCCGAGCGCCCCTGACGCCCGTTACCGAGATGGCTGCGCAGAAGGTACAGCAGGGGTGGGGGAGGGGAGCAAGCAGAGGAGGGATCCCTGGGTTGCTCTTGGCTGCGTGGTTGGGTGGCGGTTCTCCTTCTTACTCGGCCCATGGCATCCTCAGCCATGAACATAAATCCGGCCAAGTCGTGGCCCCGCAGCGTGGGCTGCGCGGTTGGGTGTTTGGGGGGAGGGGAGTTTCCGGTTCTAAGAACTTACTGGGCTGCTTCTTAGTCTGCACTACCAAGATTGGCCACTTGTTGAAAATGGGTCCGGGAGACCCTTCCCTTTATCTCAAAATGACAGCTTTACTGGTGTAACATGTTGGTAAACTGTATTTGCAGCCCCTTCTCCCAAGAGGTATTTTTACATTGTCCACACATAGGTATGGAGATTGCCTATGCTGCCGTCCTTGTGTGCGTTGGCATTACATACCAGGGTTTCCGTGCTCATGCTGTTACATACCTGCCCTGTAACCATGGAAATGACTCCGAAGTTCTCTGGTTCCCAGTAATCTCATATTTTAAAAAAGGGAATAATATATCCCAGATGCAATGGGGAGTTTATTTATTTGAAATATTTAATACAGCAGAGAGGAACTGGATATATTATATATATGTATATATATACATATTATTTCTAAACTTTTTTTTCAATAAGTTTTCAGTTTTCGTTGGATGTATTTTTAGTTTTTGTGCCAAGATTCAGGAAGTGTTCTGGTTGCTGGGTGGGTAAAAGCCAACATAACTCGATCCTTTTCCTCAAGCATCTCACAGTCTTGTGTGGTAGCCAGACACACAGAAAAATTACATGAAAGGGCTTCAAGTGAAGAATTGTAAGTCGTTTAGGAGTATGATGAGAATGCATAGAGAGACACAAAGAGAAAAGCTGCAGACTGAGATGGACTGGGGATGAATGGTTAAAGAAGAAACAGGAAACTTGAGAGAGCTGTCTCCTTGTAAGTGTGAGGCTCATCTGTTTTTGACAATTCCACTAATCTTTGGGTTCACATTCTTGGTTCTTTCAGGGTAACCCAGAATGACATCTATGCCTTTCATCTGTAAAATAACAACAACAGTGGGCTCTGGGAACACAGACTAAGACTCCTTAACCACAGCCATAGGTAGGTGGGCAGGATCAGCATAGGCTCCTCTCAGAGGACGTGATTGTGAAGCAGATACTATTATTATCTCAATTTACAGAAGAGTCGTCTGAGAGCCAGAGAGTTTATGTAACTTACCCAAGGTCTCATAGCAAGGCAGAGGTGGAAACCGTTTTCAACTCCAGGTCTGTCTGGCCCCAGTGTCTCATGCAGTTTTCATTACCTTGAGCTCACCCTTAGTGACAATGTCATTCATTTTTATTCTCAACCGCATCTTCCAGGCATTGCTTGCCTCGGGATTGTTTTAAAAAAATTGCTGAATACAGTGAAGAAACGTATTGGAAGACATCTTCCAAGGAAAAACCCTAAATACTGATGCTTTATTGGAAACAATGACTTAAGTGATAGGACCAGGATTAGAATGCAGGTGTGTCGTATCTGACTCCGAAGCCTATGTCATTTTCACTGCATGTGTTAGTACATAATATTAAATCCTCTTTTGTTTTTTCTTCTCTGTAGTGATGCTGAAAATTGACTAGGATTGGGCAAGATTTTTTTTTTTGAGGCGGAGTCTCACTTTGTTGCCCAGGCTGGAGTGCAGTGGCACGATCTTGGCTCATTGCAACCTCCACCTTCCGGATTCAAGCAATCGATCCTTGTACCTCAGCCTCCCAACTTGCTGGGATTACAGGAATCCACCAGCATGCCGGGCTAATTTTTGTATTTTTAGTAGAGACGGGGTTTCGCCATGTTGGCCAGGCTGGTCTCAAACTCCTGACCTCAGGTAATCTGCCGGCCTTGGCCTCCCAAAGGAGGGATTACAGGTGTGAGCCACCATGCCTGGCCTAAGATTTTTGTTTTAAGTAGAGTTTTAGAATGATATTTTAGTTCTCAGAATTTATTTTTCCTACCTCAGCTACACTCTAGTTTCTTTGTAAAAATATATAAATGTTCTTTATTTGACATATATAAATTAATGGTAACAACTATCATTTACTCATCCACTGTATATGCTTATAGTACCTTTGAAATAAGTAGTATTATGATCCCCATTTTATGTGATAATAATTGCTAACTTTAATAACGATTTAACATTTGCATAGTGCTATTCTATCAGGTTTCATCACAATTTAATCCTTCCAGAAGCTCTAAGAGAAATGAATTATTACAAAGCTTATTTTTCAAATGAGAGAACTGAGGCATAGAGAGGGTCAGAAAATTTCTTATGGTCACACTAGAAGTTAGTAATGAAGCTGATATGAACCCAGGCAACCTGACCCTGAAGTCTTGTGTTTCTCTCTCCCATTTACTGACTCATACGTGCACTATGAGTCAATTCACTACATGGAGGAGGACATAGGAGCTTGGCCAGGCCCCTCTGCTATGAAATTGGCAGCAGAGATTCAAATCCAGGTATGTGTGATTCTAAATCACACATAATCTACTCCCCTTGTTCCTTTCCCTCAAAATGATTGCCCCTTCTATTCTATTTCATTGACACTGTACAGTGAGAAGGTGTTTGTTAAACACCTACAGTACAGTGAGGCTTAGAGAGGAAAATCAGAGAAATAGTTCTGCCCTGAAAGCTCTCACAATCTGGTGGGAGAGACAAACACATAGGTAATTTTATTAGAGTGTTGTAAATGTTATGGTAAAGGAAGACTTTTTGGAAGAGATGGCACTTCAGTTATGTGTAAATGGATAAGCAGATGGTTTAAGAGATACGGGGGTAATTCAGACAAAAAAGAATTGTGTGAGCAATGGCTCAGAGGTTAGAAATAGAATGGTGTATGGGTGAAGTGGAGCTGCAAACACACGTGTTAAATGTGAATGGAAATGGTGTAGGGAGATGATTTTAATGAGATTAGCAAGAGTAAGATTATGAGGAACCTTGAATGCCATGCTAAGGACTCAAAGACATATATCATGTCACCTCTGTTGTAACCTTCCTTCCCAATTCCTATTCTTGGCATCTCAGAACTTCCAGAGGCTTGATAGAACAGAATATAAGAGAATTATATTTTTGGTTCCTAGGGGGTAGGGTGAGGAAGGCATCCAGAAGGAGTGAGCCAGCAGACAGGAGAGGGTACAGGTAGGGACTACATAATGGAAGGGTTTATATCAGTGTGTCAGAGAAAGAAGATTCAAGAAAGAGATTGGTGATTTACTGAAATCCTCATTGCTGGCTTCATCCTTATTCTGAAGATCCTACGATGCCTGGAGAAATTCTAGGCCTCACATCTGGTGAGTATGAAAGGAGTATGTGTGTGTACATATGTAAGATAGAATGAACCTGAAGCTAAGTCTGATTTCTAGATCTAGATTGGTGTAGAGTGAAGAATAATTGGCTATAGTGGCATAGGAACCAGACGATGGGGTGGGGGAGAGCTAACTTACATTTAACATATCTATATCTATAGTTTTCTCATTAAGAGCATGAGACTAAAGATAAGTCCAGTGTTCAGAAGGGAATTGTCAGTATTTGTTTCCATCCCTGACCAACCAACCATCTTTTGACTTATGCATTCTTTTAGTAGATATAGTAAGTCTTGGTTGTGCTCTGATCTGGAAGCCAGTCTTAATTTTTTCAAGTAAAGATACATAAATTTATGCAAATCATAAGTGTACAAGCTGATGGTTTTTCTTTTTTTCTTTTTTTAATTTTTGTGGGTACATATTAGGTATATATATTTATGGGGTACATGAGGTATTTTGATACAGGAATACAATGCATTGTATTCAAATCAGGGAAAATAGGGTATCCCTCACCTTAGGCATTTACCCTTTATTTGTGTTCCAATCCTATTATACTCTTTTAGTTATTTAAAAATGTATAATAGTTGACTATAGTCATCCTGTACTATCAAATCTAGATATTATTCATTCTGTCTATGATTTTGTCCCTATTTACCATCAGCACTCACTCATTCCCACCCACTACCCATCTCAGCCTCTGGTAACCATCATTCTACTCTCTATTTCACAATTGTTTAAGTTTTTAGCTCCCATAAATAAGCAAGAACATGCAAAGTTTGTCTTTCTGTGCCTGGCTTATTTTACTTCACATAATGACCTCCAGTTCTATCCATGGTGCAAATGACAGGATCTCATTCTTTTTTATGGCTGAATAGTACTCCATTGTGTATATGTACCACATTTTCTTTATCCATTCATCTGTTCATGGACACTTAGGTTGCTTCCAGATCTTGGTTACTGTGAATAGTGTAGCAATAAATATGGGAGTACAGATATCTCCTTGATATACTAATTTCCTTTCTTTGGGGTATATATCTAGCAGTGGGATTGCTGGATCATATGATAGTTCTATTTTTAGTTTATTGAGGAACTTCCACACTGTTCATTATAGTGGTTGTACTAATTTACATTCCCACTAACAGTGTATGGTGGTTCTTTTTTCTCCAGATCCTCGCCAGCATTTGTTATTGGCTATCTTTTGGGGAAAAAAAGCCATTTTAACTGAGATGAGATGATATCTCATTGTAGTTTTGATTTGCATATATCTGATAATCAGTGATGTTGGGCAACTTTTCCTATGCCTGTTTGCCATTTGTATGTGTTCTTTTGAGAAATGTCTATTCAGATCTTTTGCCCATTTTTCATTGGATTATTAGACTTTTTGCCATTGAAGGGTTTGAGCTCCTTATATATTCTGGTTATTAAGCTCTTGGCAGATGGATGGTTTGCAAATATTTTCTCCCATTCTGTGGGTTGTCTCTTCACTTTGTTGATTGTTTCCTTTGCTTTGCAGAAGCTTTTGAACTTGATGTGATCCCATGTGTCCATTTTTGCTTTGGTTGCCTGTGCTCGTGGGGTATTATTCCAGAAATCTTTGCCAGTCCAATGTCCTGGGCAGTTTCCCCAATGTTTTCTTTCAGTAGTTTCATAGTCCAAGGTCTCAGTTTTAAGTCTGTGATTCACGTTGATTTGATTATTGTATATGGTGAAAGATAGGGGTCTAGTTTTATTCTTCTCCATATGGATAGTCAGTTTTCCTGGCATCACTTATTGAAGAGACTGTCCTTTCTTCAATGTATACTATGACACCTTTGTTGAAAATGAGTTCACTGTAGATGGATGGAGTTATATCTGGGTTCTCCCTTTTGTTCCATTTGTCTGTCTGTTTTTATGTCAGTACCATGCTCTTTTGGCTACTATATCTCTGTAGTATAATTTGAAGTCAGGTAATATAATTCTTCGAGTTTTGTTCTTTTTTTCTCAGGATAGCTTTGGCTAATTGGGGTCTTTAGTGATTCCACATAAATTTTAGGATTTTTTTTCTGTTTCTGTGAAGAATGTCATTGGTATTTTGATAGGGATTGCATTGACTCTATAGATTGCTTTGGGTACTGTGAACATTTTAACCTCATTGATTTTTTAATGGACATTGTCCATTTTATGGACATGGAAGATATTTCCATTTTTTTGTGTTCTATTTCTTTCATCAATGTTTTATTGTTTTTATTGTAGAGCTCTTTCACTTCTTTGGTCAAGTTAATTCCTATGTATTTAATTTTATTTGCAGTTATTGTAAATGCGATTACTTTTAAAATTTCTTTTTCTGATTGTTTGCTGTTGGCATATATGAGTGCTACAGATTTTTGTATATTGATACTGTTTCTTACAAGTTTACTGAATTTGTCAGTTTTAACAGGTCTTGGAAGTCTTTAGGTGGAGTCTTTAGGTGTGTCCAAATATAAGATCATATCATCTGTAAACAAGGATAATTTGATTTCTTCCTTTCCAATTTGGATGCCCTTTATTTCTTTCTCTTGTCTGATTGCATTAGATAGGACTTCTGGCACAGTGTTGAAAGTGGGCATCCTTTATCATGTTCCAGTTCTTAGAAGAAAGGCTTTTGCTTTTTCTTTATTCAGTGTGATACTAGCTGTGGGTCTGTTGTATATGGCTTTTATTGTGTTGGGGTATGTTCCTTCTATCCTCAATTTTTTGAGGGTTTATATCATGAAGGAATGTAGAATTATACCAAATGCGTTTTCAGCATCAAATGAAATGATCATATAGATTTTGTCCTTCATTCTGTTGATATGATGTATCCCATTGATTTGATTTGTGTGTGTTGAGTCATCCTTGCATCCCTGGGATAAATATCATTTAGTCATGATAAATGATATTTTTAATGTGTTGTTGAATTTGGTTTGCTAGCATTTTGTTGAGGATTTTTATATAAATATTCATCAGAGATACTGGCTTATAGTTTTCTTTCTTTTGATGAGTCATTGTCTGGTTTTGGTATCAGGGTAATACTGACTTCATAGAATGAGTTTGGAAATATTCCCTGCTCCTCTATTTTCAGGATAGGTTGAGTAGAATTGGTATTCTATTCTTCTTTAAATGCTTTATCTCATTACTTGTTATTGGTCTGTTCCGATTTTAGATTTCTTCATGGTTCAATCTTGAAAGGTTGTATGTGTCTAGGAATTTATCCATTTCTGCTACATTTACTAATTTTTTGGCATATAATTTATCATAGTAGCCTATAATGATCCTCTGAATTTCTGAGGTATTGGTTATAATGTCTCCTTTTTCATCTCTAATTTTATTTATTTGGGTCCTCTCTCTTTTATTCTTAGTCTGGCTGAAAGTTTTTTGATTTTGCTTGTCTTTTCAAGAAGGCAACTTTTTGTTGATCTTTCATATGTTTTTTATTTCAATTTCATTTATTTCTGCTCTGATTTTTATTTCTTCTAATTTTGGGTTTTGCTTGCTCTTTTTTAGTTCTTTAAGATGCATCATTACGTTGGTGATTTGAAATTTTTCTAGTTTTTTGATGTAGGCACTTATAGCTACAAACTTTCTTCTTAGTACTTCTTTCACTGTATATCACAGGTTTTGCTGTGAGATATGATCTCATCCCAGTTGAAATGGCTATTGTCTTTTATTTTTAACTTTTATTTTAGGTTCATTGGTACCTGTGCAGGTTTGTTATATAGGTGAACTCATGTCATGGGGGTTTTGTGTACAGATTATTTCATCACCCAGGTACTAAGCACAGTACCTAATAATTATTTTTTCTGATCCTCTTTCCTCCCACCTTCCTCCCTCAAGTAGGGCCCAGTGTCTGTTGTTCCCTTTTATGTCAATTTGTTCTCATTATTTAGCTCTCACTTATAAGCAAGAACATATGGTATTTGGTTTTCTGTTCTTGCGTTAGTTTGCTAAGGATAATGGCCTCCAGATCCATCAATTGTTCCTGCAAAGGGCATGATATCATTCTTTTTGATGGCTGCATAGTATTCCATGGTATATGTGTACCACGCTTTCTTTATCCAGTCTACTGTTGATGGGTATTTAGGTTGATTTGATGTCTTTGCTATTGTGAATAGTGCTGCAGTGAACATACACATACATGTGTCTTCATGGTAGAAAAATTTATATTCCTTTGGGTATATACTCAGTAATTGGATTGTTGAATCAAATGATAGTTCTGTTTTAGTTCTTTGAGGAATTGCCACACTGTCTTTCACAGTGGTTTCACTAATTTGGACTCCCACCAGCAGTGTAGAAGTGTCCCTTTTTCTCTGCAACTTACCAGCATCTGTTATTTTTTGACTTTTCAATAATGGCCATTCTGACTGGTGTGAGATGATATCTCATGTGGTTTTGATTTGCATTTCTCTAACAATCAGTGATACTGAGTGTTTTTATTTATGCTTGTTGGCTGCATGAAAGTCTTCTTTTGAGAACTGTCTGTTCATGTCCTTTGCCCACTTTTTAATGAGGTTTTTTTCTTATAAATTTACGTTCCTTATAGATTCTGGATATTAGACCTTTGTCAGATGCATAGTTTGCAAACATCTTGTCCTATTCTGTAGGTTATTTGTTCACTCTGTTGATAGTTTCTTTTGCTGTACATAAGGTCATCAGCTTAATTAGAACTCATTTGTCAATTTTTCTTTTGTTGCAATTGCTTTTGGTGTCTTAGTCATGAAATCTTTGCCAGTTCCTATCCAGGATGGTATTCCTAGCTATTTTCCAGGGTTTTTATAGTTTGGGGTTTTACATTTAAGTGTTTAGTCCATCTTGAATTGATTTTTATATATGGTGTAAGGAAGGGGTCCAGTTTCAATCTTCTGCATATAGCTAGCCAGTTATCCCAGCACCATGTGTTGAATAGGAAGTCCTTTCCCCATTGCTTGTTTTTGTCAGTTTTACTGAAGATTAGATGGTTGTAGGTGTGCAGCATTATTTCTGGAATCTCTGTTCTGTTCCATTGGTCTATGTGTCTGTCTGTTTTTGTACCAGTACCATGCCGTTTTGATTACTGTAGCCCTGTAGTATAGTTTGAAGTTGGATAATGTGATGCCTCCAGCTTTGTTCTTTTTGGTTAGGATTGCCTTGGCTATTCAGGCTCTGTTTTGGGTTCCATATGAATTTTAAAATAGTTTATTCTAGTTCTGTTAAGAATGTTGTTGATAGTTTGATAGGAATAGCATTGAATCTATAAATTTCTTTGGACAGTATGGCCTAAAGTTGCTATTATGAAAAAGATGAAAGATAATGAATGCTGGCAAGGATGCAGATAAAAGGAAATACCCATTGATATGGTTTGGCTCTGTGTCCCCACCCAAATCTCACCTCGAATTGTAATCCCCATAATCCCCATGTGTTAAGGGCGTGACCAGGTGGAGGTAATCGGATCATGGGGCTGTTTCTGCCATGCTGTTCTCATGATAGTGAGTGAGGCTCACAAGATCTGATGGTTTCTGTAAGCGTCTAGCATTTTCCCTGCTTGCACTCACTCCATCCTGCTGCCCTGTGAAGAAGGTGCCTGCTGCTCCTTTGCCTTCTGCCATGATTGTAAGTTTCCTGAGCCTCCCCAGCAATTCAGAACTGTGAGTCAATTAAACCTCTTTCCTTTATAAATTACCCAGTCTCTGGCAGTTCCTTATAGCATCATGGGAATGGACTAATACAGTAAATTGGTACCAAGGTAGTGGGGCACTGCTATAAGGATACCCAAAAATGTGGAAGTGACTTTGGAACTGGGTAACAGGCAGAGGTTGAAACAGTTTGGAGGGCTCAAAAGAAGACAGGAAAATGTGGGAAAGTTTAGAACTTCCTAGAGACTTGTAGGGTTCAGAAGACAGGAAGATGTAGGAAAGGACAACAAAGTCCAAGCTGAGGTGGTCTCAGATGGAGATGAGGAACTTGTTGGGAACTGGAGCAAAGATGACTCTTCCTATGCTTTAGCAAAGAGGGCGGTGGCATTTTGCACCTGCCCTAGAGATCTGTGGAACTTTGAGATGGATGATTTAGGGTATCTGGCAGAACAAATTTCTAAGTTGCAAAGCATTCAAGAGGAAGCAGAGCATAAAAGTTTGGAAAATTTGTAGCCTAACTATGCAATAGAAAAGAAAAACCCATTTTCTGGGGAGAAATTCAAGCTCACTGCAGAAATTTGCATAAGTAACCAGGAGCCAAAGGTTAATCACCAAGACAATGGGGAAAATGTCTCCAGGGCATATCAGAGAACTTCAGGGCAGCCCCTCCCATCACAGGCCCAGAGGCCTAGGAGGGAAAATGGTTTCCTGGGCCGGTCCCACTGCCCCCCTGCCCTATGCAGCTTCATGACATGGTGTCCTGTGTCCCAGCTGCTTCAGCTCCAACCATGGCTAAAAGCAGCCAAGGTAAAGCTCAGGTCATTGCTTCAGAGGGTGCAAGCCCCAAGCCTTGGCAGGTTCCACATGGTGTTGAGCCCATGGGTGCACAAAAGTCAAGAATTAAGGTTTGGGAACCTCTGCCTAGACTTCAGAGGATATATGGAAACACCTGGATGTCTAGGCAGAAGTTTGCTGGAGGAGTGAATCCCTCATGGCGAACCTCTGGTAGGGCAGTGCAGAAGGCAAATGTGGGGTCAGAACCCCCCCCACAGAGTCCCCACTGGGGCACTGCCTAGTGGATCTGTGAGAAGAGGGTCACTGTCCTCCAGACCCCTGAATGGTAGATCCACCAACAGCTTGTACTGTGCAGTTAGAAAAGTGGCAGACACTCAACATCAGCCCACAAAAGCAGCTGGGAGTGGGGCTGTACCCTGCAGAGCCACGGGCAGAACTGCCCAAGACCACAGGAGCCACCTTACATCAGCTTGACCTGCATGTGAGACATGGAGTCAAAGGAGATCATTTTGGAACTTTAAGGTTTAATGACTGCCCTGTTAGATTTTGGACTTGCATGGGGCCTGTTGCCCCTTTGTTTTGACCTATGTCTCCCATTTGGAACAGGTGTATTTACTCAATGCCTGTACCTCCATTGTATCTAGGAAGTAACTAACATGCTTTTGATTTTACAGATTCATAGGCAGAAGAGATTTGCCTTGTCTTAGATGAGACTTTGGACTGTGGACTTCTGTGTTAATGCTGAAATAAGATTTTTGGGGAGTGTTGGGAAGGCATGATTGGTTTTGAAATATGAAAAGACATGATATTTGGGAGGTGTCAGAGGGGGCGGTGGAATGATATGGTTTGGCTCTATGTCCCCACCCAAATCTCACCTTGAATTGTAATTATCATAATCCCCACATGTCAAGGGTGTGATCACACAGAGATAATCGGATCATGGAGGCAGTTTCCCCATGCTGTTGTTATGATAGTGAGTGAGTCTCATGAGATCTGATCGTTTTATAAGTGTCTGGCATTTCCTCTGCTTGCACTCACTCTGTTCTGCCCCCCCGTGAAGAAAGTGCCCACTTCTCCTTTGCCTTCTGCCATGATTGTAAGTTTCCTGAAACCTCCCCAGCAATGCAGAACTGTGAGTCAGTTAAACCTCTTTTCTTTATAAATTACCCAGTCTTGGGCAGTTCTTTATAGCAGCATGAGAACGGACTAAAACACTCAAATACTGTTAGTGGGAATGTAAATTTGTACAACCACTGGGATGAACAATTTGGTAGTTCCTCAAAAAGATGAAAATAGAACTATCATTTTATCCAGCAATCTCTCCGCTGGGTATATATCCCAAAGTAGAGAAATCAGTATATCAAAGAGATATCTGGATTCCCACATTTAATGCAGCACTATTCACAATAGTCAAGATTTGGAAGCAACCTAAGTGCCCCTCAACAAATGAATGAATAAAAAATATGGAATCTCCATATAATGTAATATTACTTAGCTAGGAAACAGAAAGAAATTCTGTCATTTGTAGCAACATAAGTGAAACTTGAGGTCATTATGTTAAGTGAAATAAGCCATGTGCAGAAAAGCAAATATTACATGTTCTCACTTATATATGGGACCTTAAAAAGTAGATGTCATAGACATAGAGAGTAGAATAGTGTATACTACAGGCTGGGAAGGGTAGAAGAGAGGGGGATGAAGAGAAGTGGGTTAATAGATACAAACATATTGTTATATAGAAGGAATACATTCTATTATTTGATAGTATAGCAGAGAGATTATAGTTAATGATGATTTGTTATACATTTCAAAATAGCTAGAAGAGAACTGTAATGTCCCTAACACAAGGAAAAGATAAATGTTAGAGATGATGGATATCCCAGTTACCCTGATTTAATTATGCATCATATACATATATCAAAATATCACATGTACCCCTAAAATATGTAATATGTACAACTATTGTATATCAATTCCATTTATTTTAATTTTTAAAACTTGTGTACACTTTTTTAAATTAAAAAATAATTTCAACTTTTATTTTAGATTCAGAGGGTACATGTACTGGTTTCTTACATGGATGTATTGTGTGATGCTGAGGTTTGGGGTATGACTGATCCCATCACCCAGATATTGAGCATAGTATGTAATAGTCTTTCATCCCTTCGCCTCCTTCCCCCCGACTACTTCTCCCTGAGTGCTTGCCAGTGTCTATTGTTGCCATCTTTATGTCCGTGTGTATTCAGTGTTTAGCTTCCACTTATAAGTGAGAAAATGTGGTATTTGGTTTTCTGTTCCTGTGTTAATTCACTTAGGATAATGGCCACCAGCTGCATCCATGCTGCTGCAAAATACATGATAGTGTTCTTTTGTATGGCTCCCTAGTATTCCAGGTGTATGTGTACCACATTTTCTTTATCCAGTCCACTGCTGATGGGCACCTAAGCTGATTCCATGTCTTTGCTAGTGTGAATAGCGCTGCAATGAACATACCAGTGCATGTGTCTTTCTGGTAGAATGATTTATTTTGGATATATACTCAGCAATGTGATTGATGGGTTGAATGGTAGTTCTAAGTTCTTTGAGAAATCTCTAAACTGCCTTACACAGTGGCTGAACTAATTTACATTCCCACTAACAGTGTGTAAGCATTCCCTTTTCTCCACAGCATTGCTAGCATCTGTTGTTTTTGACTTTTTAGTAATAGCCATTCTGGCTGATTGTGGTTTTGATTTGCATTTCCCTGATGATTAGTGATATGGAGCAATGGAGTTATTTATGTTTTGTTTATTAAATTGTTTAAGTTCCTTATAGATTCTGGAGATTAGACCCTTGTTGGATGCACAGTTTGCAAATATTTTCATACCTTCTGTAGGCTGTCTCTTTACTCTGTTGATAGTTTCTTTTGCTGTGCAGAAACTCTTTAGTTTAATTAGGTCCCACTTGTCAATTTTTGTTTTTGTTCCCATGGCTTTTGAGGATTTAGTCATAAATTCTTTCCCAAGGCTAATATCCAGAATGATGTTTCCTAGGTTTTCTTCTATGATTATAATAGTTTTGAGGTCTTACATTTAAATCTTTAATGCATCTTGAGTTAATTTTTGTATATGGTGAAAGGTAGGAGTCCACTTTCATTTTTCTGCATATAGCTATACAGTATCCAAGCACCATTTATTGAATCAGGAGTCTTTTCCTCATTGCTTATTTTTGCCAACTTTGCTGAAAATCAAATGGCTATTGGTGTGTGGCTTTATTTCTGGGTTCTTTATTCTGTTTCATTGGTTTATGTGCTGTTCTTGTACCAGTGCCATGCTCTTTTGGTTACTCTAGCCCTATAACAGTTTGAAGTCAGATAATGTGATGCCCACAGCTTTGCTCTTTTTTCTTAGCTTTGGCTATTTGGGCTCTTTTTTTTGGTTCCGTATGAATTTTAGAATGGTGTTTTCTAATTCTGTGAAAAAAAATGGCTTTCATAACTTGACAGGAATAGCGTTGAATCTGTAGATTGCTTTGAGCAGTATTATGGTTATTTTAATGATAATGATTCTTCCACTCCATGAGCATCAGTGTTTTTCTATTTGTTTGTGTCACCTATGATTTCTTTCAGCAGCATTTTGTAGTTATCCTTGTAGAGATCTTTTGCTTTCTTGGTGAGCTGTATTCCTTGGTATTTTATTTTTTGTGGCTATTGTAAATTCAATTGTATTCTTGATTTGGCTCACAGCTTGAATGGTCTTGATGTATAGAAATGCTACTGATTTTTGTGCACTGATTTTGTATCTGGAAACATTACTGAAGTCACTTATCAGTTCTAGGAGCCTTTTGGTGGAGTCTTTAGGGTTTTCTAGGTATAGAATCATGTTATCAGTGAAGAGAGATAGTTTGAATTCTTCTTTTCTTATTTGGATGGCTTTTATTTCTTTCTCTTGCTTGTTTGCTGTGGCTAGGACTTCCAGTACTATACTGAATAGGAGTGGTAAGAGTGGGCATCCTTGTCTTGTTCAAGTTACTAAGGGGAATGCTTCCAGCTTTAGCCCATTCAGTATGATATTTGGTGTGGGTATGGCATAGATGGCTCTTATTATTTTGCAGTATGTTGCTTTGATGTCTAATATGTTGTTTTGGGTTTTTATCATGAAGGGATGTTGGATTTTATCAAAAGCTTTTTCTCCATCTGTTGAGATGATCATATGATTTTTGTTTTTAATTCTGTTTATGTGGTGAATCACATTTATTGATTTGCATATGTTGATCCAACCTTGCATCCCAGGAATGAAGCCTAGTTGATCATGGTGAATTGGATTTTTGATATGCTGCTGAATTTGGTTTGCTAGTATTTTGTTAAGGATTTTTGCATTTGTGTTTATCAGGGATATTTTGGTTTGTAGTTTTCTTTTTTCATTGTTTTTTTTTTTTTTGCCAGGTTTTGGTATCATGGTATGCTGGCTTTGTAGAATGAGTTAAGGAGGAAGTGAGGAGCTTGAGAGAGATATCTCTTTAAAAATCATGAAAAAGAACAGAGTATAGTGGCTGACACATGGCAGACATGCAATAAGAAACTGCTGTTTAAAAATTTTTAATAGTGGTGAGATACACATGACATCTACCATCTTAAACATTTTAAAGTGTACAGTTCAATAGTTTTACGTATATTTCCATTGTTATGCAATCAGTTTCCAGGAATTTTTCATCTTGCAAAACGTAAACTCTATACCCATTAAACAACACCTCATTTCTCATTTCTCCCTCAGCCCCGACAAACACCTTTCTACTTTTTGTTTCTATGAGTTTGACTATTCTGGTTGCCTCATATAAGTGGAATCATACAGTATTTCACTTTTTGTGATTGGCTTGTTTCATTTAGCATAATATCTTCAAATTTCATCCATGTTATAACATGTCAGAATTTCTGTCCTTTTAATGGCTGATAATATTTCCTTGAATGTATATACCACATTTTGTTTATCCATTAATTCACTGAAAGAAACTTGGGTTGCTTCTACCTCCTGACTATTGTGAATAATGCTGCTATAAACATGGGTGTGCAAATCTCTAAGACCATGCTTGAAATTCTTTTTTTCAAAACTTATATATATTTAAGGCATACAACATGTTTTGATATAAATATATTGTTAAGTTATTACTGTGTTCAAGTTGTTTAACATATCTATCCTAGTCTCTCAAAGTTACCTTTTGTGTATTGGGGTAAGAACACCTAAAATCTACTCTCTTAGCAAATTGCCAGTATGCACTACAGTATTATTAACTATAATCATTATGCTGTATGTTAGATCTCTAGACTTATTCATCCTAAGTAACTGCAACTTTGTGCCCTTTAAACTACATCTCCCAGTTCCTCCCTCCACCCCTACCCCTGCCTCTGGTAACCACTTTTCTACTCTGTTTCTATGTATTCAGTCTTTAAACAAGTTTTTTTTAAGATGAAAGAGAGATTATTCTGCTTTACATCCTTTGGGATACATACCCAGAAGTAAAATTGCAGGATCATATGGTAATTCCGTTCTTAAAATGAACTGCCATGTTGTTTTCCACAGCAGCTTCACCATTTTACATTCCCACCAAAAGTGTACAAGATTTCAGATTTTTAAAAATAATCTTGTCAACACATATTGTTTTCTGTTTGTTTTTTGTTTTGTATTAGCCATTCTAATGTATGTAAGGTGCTGTCTCATCATGGTTTTGATTTACATTTTTCTGATACAAAAAGATGTTGAGCATATTTCATGTGTTTATTGCCCATTTGTATATCATCTTTAGGGAAATGTCTATTGAAGTCCTTTGCCTATTTTTCACTTGGATTGCTTTTTGTTGTTGAGTTGTAGAAGTTCTTTTTAAACCCCTTATCAGATATATGATTTGCAAATATATTCGCCCATTCTATGGATTGTCTTTTAATTTATTATATTTTTTCATGCACAGAAGTTTTAAATTTTAATGTAGTCCGATTTCTCTGTTTTTTTTTTAATTTTTTAATTTTTTTTTTTTTTTTGAGACGGAGTCTCCCAGGTTCACGCCATTCTCCTGCCTCAGCCTCTGGAGTAGCTGGGACTACAGGTACCAGCCACCACGCCCAGCTAATTTTTTGTATTTTTAGTAGAGACGGGGTTTCACTGTGTTAGCCAGGATGGTCTCGATCTCCTGACCTCGTGATCCACCTGCCTCGGCCTCCCAAAGTGCTGGGATTACAGGCGTGAGCCACCGTGCCTGGCCAGTTTATCTGTTTTTTACTTTTGTTGCCTGTGCTTTTGATGTCATATGTAAGAAGTCATTGACAAATTCAATGTCATAAAATTTTCCCCTATGTCTTCTTCTGTGAGTTTTAGTTGTTTTTCTTGTTTAGTTTTTTGATATATTTTCAACTAATTTTTGTATGTGAGTTAAGGCAAGGGTTCAACTTCATTCTTTTGCATGTGGATATGAAGTTGTCCAGACGCTATTTGTTGAAGAGAGAAAGTTATTAAGTATTTCATTATTTTTGAAATAATAAACAAATATTTATTTTTGAAACAAATAAAATTGTTTTCTCAATTTCCTTTTCAGATTATTCATTGTTAGTATGTAGAAATGCAACTGGATTTTGTGTGTTGATTGTGTGTGGATTTTGTATCCTGCAACTTTGCTGAATTCGTTTATTATAACAGCTTTTTTTGGTGTGGACTCTATAGGGTTTTCTACATATGAAATCATGCTATCTGTGAATAGAAGTAATTTTACTTCTCTTTTTCCAATTTGTATGCCCTTTATTTCTTTTTTGCTTAATTCTTATGGCCAGGACCTCAAGAATTATATTGAATAGAAATGGTGAAACTAAGAAACCTTGTTTTGTTTCTGATATTAGAAGAAAAGATTTCAATCTTCCACCATTTAGTATGATGTTAGCTGTGGGCTTTGCATATATGGTCTTTATTATGTTAGGAAATTTCCTTCTATTTCTAGTTTGTTGAGAGTTTTTTCCATGAAAAGTTACTGAATTTTGTCAAATGCTTTTTCTACATCAACTGAGATGATCATGTGGGGTTTTTTTCCTTCAGTCTGTTAATGTGATATATTACTTTGATTTTTGCATGTTGAACTATTTTTGCATTCCAAGAAAAATATCCCTCTGGGTCATGGTGTATAATCTTTTTAATGTACTGATGAAATCTCTTTTCTAGTATTTTGTTGAGAATTTTTGCATTAATGTTCATCCGAGATATTGTGCAGTAGTTCTTTCTGATGGTAGTGCCTTTGTCTGGCTTTAGTATCAGGATAATGCTGGTCTCAGAATGACTGTAGAAGTGTTCCTCCTTTAATTTTTATGGAAGAGTTTCAGAAGGAATGGTACTAATTCTTCTTTTAGCTGTTTGGTAGAATTCAGCAGTGAAGCATTCCGGTCCAGGGGTTTTGGTTATTTATTACTGATGTAATCCCCTTACTAGTTATAAGTCTGTTCAAATTTTCTACTTCTTCTGGATTCAGTTCTGGCAATTTGTCTGTTTCTAGGAATTTATCCATTTCATTTAGGTCATCATAGTGGTGTGCAATTATACTATGTCTTAATAATGCTTTTTAATTCTGCAAAATCATTTGTAATGTCCTTTCATTTCTGCTTTTAGTTATTTGAGTTATTAGTTATTTAGTTATTTGTCTCTTTTCTTCTTAATCTAGCTAAATATACGTCAGTCACATAGATCTTTTCAAAGAACCAACTATTGGCGTCATTGTTTTTCCCTACTTTTTATATTCTCTATGTTAATGATTTCTGCTCTAATATTTATTTTTATTTATTTCTGCTAGCTTTGGTTAAGCTTGTTATTTTTCTAGTTCTTTAAGGTGTAAGGTTAGGTTATAGATGAGATATCTTTTTTCTTTTTTAATGTTAGCATTTACAGGTATATTTTCCCTCTTAGCACTACTAAGATAAAACTGAATTTCCATACCCAACCCACCCCATTCTAGCTCTTTGATTATTTTAATTGATTTCAAGTTTGTAGCCTTAATTCTGGGAATATAAATTTGAGAGACCACAAGTGCTATTTGGAGATTTGGTTGAGAGAGCAGCTTTCCCCCCTCCACGGGTATGGGAATCAGTGTCTATAATTTGAAAATGCAGATTCTAGGTTTTTGGTAGTAATAGGGGTTAGAAGATGGAGGGATTTAGCTTCTCCAATAAAAATTCAAATAGACCCACAAAAACCTCATCTAAACTTTAAAAAATACCCTTTAAAACCAGAAGCTTTGGAAGGAATAAGACTCATAGTTCTAGACTATATAAAAAGGGGTCTGATTATTCTCTGTACATACCCATGTAATACTCCAATTCTTCCTGTAAGAAATGCAAATGATAGAGCATGGAGGTTTGTACAGGGTGTGAGAGCAATTAACAATATAATCATTCCTCACCATCTGGTAGTTCTAAAGCCCCATACATTTTTGACTGCTATCCTTACCTAATGTGAATCATTACTGTGATTAAGTTATATAGTGCATTATTTAGTATTCCTATGGATAAAGACATTCAATTTCTCTTTGCCTTCACTTGGGAAGACAAACAACACATTTGGAAACTCATGCCTTAGGGATACACTGAATGCCCAACTTACTTTTAAAAAATATTAGAAGCAGATCTCTCAGATATTGACTTCCTTAAGAAATCCATTTTAATACAATACATAGATGATTTGCTTCTCAGTTCAGAGGATAAAGAAGCCTCTATAGAAGATGGGATTCACTTATTACAACAATTAGCCTTAAAGGAATGCAAGGTGTCAAAGGAAAAACTTCAGTTTTGTCAAAAACAGGTAAGATATTTGGGTCATCTAATATCAAGGGAAGGTCTTTTTATCTACCAGGATAGAATAAAAGAAATATTGGCCTTCCTATCCCCCAAACTAAGAAACAACCAAGAGGATTTGGGGGACTGGCAGTATACTGTAGAAATTGGATTCCAAGCTTAAAAAAAAACAACTCAACATCTATATACTCTTTTAAAGAAACACAAGCCAGATCCCCTGGAATGGACTGAGGAAAATTCGTTAACTTTGGAAGAGATTACAAAGAGCCTTATAAATACCCCAGCATCTATATTCCATTTCATTGTTTGTCCATAAAAATAAGGGAAATGCTTTAGGTGTTATGTCACAAAAACACTGAGACCAAAATAGACTTACAGGATACTGTAGTCAGCAAGTGGATGCCATGGCTAAAAGATTGCCACACTGCCTGAAGAGAGTAACTGCCACTGCTCTTTTAGTAAAAAAACAAAAAAAACCCTGAAAAAATGGCGATGGGATTCCCCTCACTGTCTTCATTCCATATTCTGTGGAAGCACTTCTAAATTCAAACCACACTCAACATTATTCTGTCAGCAGACTAGCTTTTTATGTAGTTCTTCTTTTTGTACCTCACCTTACAAGCTCTAGGTGCAATAATATAAACCCTGCCACCCTTCTGCCTCTACCTTCAGATGAGATGCTGCATGATTGCGTAATCTTAACTGACAAGCTTATCTCTTCTAGAACACTCCTGCAGGAGACTACCCTTACTAACACTGATGTTGTTTGGTTTATAGATGGACCTTAGTTAAAAGATGAATCTGGGACTTACTGTGCAGGCTATACAGGAGTATATTTAACTGAAGAAATGGAAAGTGCTTCCCTTCCAGAAGCCACCTCAGCTCAACAAGTAGAATTGATAGCATTAATCAGGGCCTGTCAATTGGTGAAAAAAAATGCTAATATTCATACAAACAGCAGATATTCTTTTAGAGTAGCTAATAATTTTGGAATGCTATGGAAGCAAAGAGGATTTTTAACTTCTAGTCAGCCCATAAAAAATTGATATCTTATTTCACAATGATTAGAAGCCATATTATTACCCAAATCACTGGCCATTATTAAAATTCTAGGTCATTCCAAATCAGATACTCCAGAAAGCAAAGGAAATCAGCTAGCTGATAAGGTAACACTAAGAGATGCTCTAAATGCATCTAAACAAGAAAAGCAATTTATATTAACTTTAAAATAAGCACCCCAAAAAAGAGAATAACTTTTTTTAAAAGCACCTGAATTTGACATAAAATGAACTAAATCTAGAGCTCCAAAATCCAAACAGGAAAGTTGGAAAACAAAAGGAGGAACATACTCTCCCAAAGATTAGATACGGTAGGGGTCAAAAAACTTGCCTATACTTCCTGCTGAATTGTGGTCATCATTTTTACCTATGTACGTGATTTCACTCATTGGAGCCCTGATAAAGTGGTTGCTTGTGGAAAATAATATTTTTGGAAACTTTCTCTGACTATAGGTCATGAGGCATACAATCGCTGCCATATCTGCCCAAAATAGAATCCAGGAAAACTTTTACACAGTTCCCAAGGACATTTTCCTTTATTTGTAGGCCCCTTTGAAGTATGGCAATGAAATTTTATTTAGCTGCCACTATCACAAGGATACAATTCTGTTCTACTGATGATTTGCATGTTTTCTTGTTGAATAGAAGCATTTTCCATTCAGAAAAGAAATGGACTTAGTAGCAAGTAAAATTCTCTTAGAAAAAATTATTCCAACGTGGGGAGTTCCTATGGAATTTCAGAGCAACAGAGGCACTCACTTCACTGGACAGATAATTCAATCAATATGTAAAATTTGACCCATCCTCAAGCACTTTTATTGTGCATATCATTTCCAACCATCTGGACTGGTGGAATGTACAAATGGAATAATTAAGACTCAATTGGCAAAAATAACAGAAGTTCTTAAGATTCCATGGCTGAATGCACTTTCCTTGGTTTTGCTTAACCTAAGATCAGCCCCTTTTGGAAAACAACAGTTATCCCTATTTGAAATAACAACTGGAAGACCTATGAGTCTACCCCAGGACATTGTAACTCCATAATTGCAAGGGGAGACATATTTATTGTTCTAACCTTATTAATTAACTAAAAAATTATAATCTAGTGAAAGATTATTTTTATAGTGGGCTCCTAGGAAATAAAGAATTCAAGACCCACAATTTTTAACCAGGAGATTTTGTCTACTGGAAATGGCATCTTTTTAAAAAAATTTTGTGGGTACATAGTAGATATACATACTTATGGGGTACCTGAGATGTTTTGATCCAGACATGCAATATACAATAAGCACATCATGGAGAATGGGGTATCCATCCCCTCAAGCATTTATCCTTTGAGTAACAAACTATCCAAGTATACTCTTTAAGATTTTAAAATGTACAATTAATATTGACTATAGTCACCCTATTGTGCTATCAAATAGTAGGTCTTCTACTTTCTTTCTATTTTTTGTACCCATAAACCATCCCCACCCCCATACCCTCACTACCCTTCCCGGCCTCCAGTAACCATCCTTCTACTGTCTATCTCCATGAGTTCAATTGTTTTGATTTTTAGATCCCACAAATAAGTGAGAACATGTGATGTTGGTCTTTCTGGGTCTGGCTTATTTAATTTATCACAATGATCTCCAGTTCTATCCAGGTTATTGCAAATCACTGGATCTCATTCTTTTTTATGGCTGAATATTACTCCATTGAGTATATGTACCACATCTTTATCCATTCATCTGTTGACGAACACTTGGGTTGCTTCCAAATCTTAGCAATTGTAAAGTGCTGCAACAAATATAGGAGTGCAGGTATCTCTTCCATATACTGATTTCCTTTCTTTTGGGTATATACCAGCAGTGGGATTGCTGGATCATATGGTACCTCAATTTTTGTTTTTGAGGTACCTCCAAACCATTGTCCATAGTGGTTGTACTAATTTACATTCCCACCAACAGTGTACAAAGGTTCCCTTTTCTCCACATCCTTGCCAGCTTTTGTTATTGCCTGTCTTTTGTATATAAGTCATTGTAACTGTGGTGAGATGATATCTGATTGTCGTTTTGATTCGCAGTTCTCTGATGATCAGTGATGTTGGGCACCTTTTCATATGCCTGTTTGCCATTTGTATGTCTTTTGAGAAGTGTCTATTCAAATCTTTTCCCCATTTTATGATAGGATTATTAGTTTTTTTTTTCCATTAGAGTTGTTTGAGCTCATTATATGTTCTGGTTAGTAATCCCTTGTGAGATGGGTAGTTTGCAAATATTTTCTCCCACTCGGCAGGTTGTCTTTTAACATTGTTGATTGTATCATTTGATGTGCAGAAGCTTTTTAACTTGATGTGATCCTATTTGTCCATTTTTGCTTTAGTTGCCTGTGCTTGTGGGGTATTGTTCAAGAAATTTTTGCCCAGACCAATATCTTGGAGATTTTTCCCAATGTTTTCTTGTAGTAGTTTCACAGTTTCAGGTCTTAGATTTAAGTCTTCAATCCATCTTAACTTGATTTTTGTATATGGAGAGAGAGAGAGATAGGGTCTAGTTTCATTCTTGTGCATATGGATATCCAGTTTTCCCAGAACCATTTATTGAAGAGACTGTGTTTTCCCCAGTGTATGTTCTTGACACCTTTATCAAAACTGAGTTCATTGTAGGTGTGTGGACTTGTTTCTGGGTTCTCTATTCTGTTCCATTGGTCTATGTGTCTGTCTTTATGCTAGTACCATGCTTTTTTGGTTACTGTATCTCTGTAGTATAATTTGAAGTAAGGTAATGTGCTTCCTCCAGTTTTGTTCTTTTTGCTTAGGATAGCTTTGGCTATTCTGGGTCTTTTATGGTTCCACATAAATTTTAGGAATGCTCTTTCTATTCCTGTGAAGAATGTCATGGGTAGTTTGGTAGGGATTGCATTGAGTCTGTAGATTGCTTTAGTGGCATGGACAATATTAATTCTTCCAATAACAATATTGATTTTTCCAATCTATGAACATGAAATATTTTTCCATTTTCTGGTGATTTCTTCAATTTCTTTCATCAGTGTTTTATACTTTTCTTTAAAGAGATCTTTCTTTTCTCTGTTTAATTCCTAGCTTTTTAATTTTATGTGTGGCTATTGTGGCTATGGGCATATGGAAATGCTACTGATTTTGCATGTTGATATTGTATCCTACAACTTTACTGAATTTGTTTATCAGTTCTAATAGTTTTCTTGTGGAGTATTTAGGTATTTCCAAATATAAGCTCATATAATCTGTAAACAAAGATAATTTGATTTTTTTTTTCTTTTCAACCATGTGCCCTTTATTTCTCTTGTCTGATTGCTCTAGGTAGGACTTCCAGTACTATGCTGAATAACAGCAGTGACACTGAGCATCCTTGTTGTGTTCCAGATCTTAGAGGAAAGGCTTTCAGTTTTTCCTCATTCAGTATGATACTAGCTGTGGGTCTTTCATATATGGCTTTTACTATGTTGATATATGTTCCTTCTATAACCAGTTTTTTAAGGGTTTTTATCATGAAGGGATGCTGGATTTTATCAAATGCTTTTTCAGCATCAATTGAAATGATCATATGGTTTTTGTCCTTCATTCTGTTGATATGATGGATCGCACTGATTGATTTGCATATGTTGAACCATCCTTGCGTCCCAGGAATAAATCCCACTTGATCATGATGAATGATCTTTCTAATGTTTGTTGAATTCAGTTTGCTAGTATTTTGTTGAGATTTTTGCATCAATATTCCTCAGAGATGATGTCCTGTAGTTTTCTTTTTTTGATGTGTCTTTGTCTGGTTTTGGTATCAGGGTAATACTGGCTTCGTGGAATGAGTTTGGAAGTGTTCCTTCATCTTCTATTTTCCAGAAAAGTTTAAGTAGGATTTGTATTAATGTTGGATTCAGCAGTCAAGCCAGCAGCTCCTGGATTTTTCTTTTCTGGGAGACTTTTTATTACAGCTTTGATCTCATTACTTGTTATTTGTCTGTTCAGGTTTTGGATTTTTTCCTGGTTCAATCTTGGTAGGTTGTATGTATCTAGGAATTTGTCCATTTCTTCTAGATTTTCCAATTTATTGGTATATAGTTGTTCATAGTAGCCACTAATGATCCTTTAATTTCTGTAGTATCAGTTATAATGTCTTCTTTTTCATTTTTCATTTTATTTATTAGTATATTCTTTCTTTCTTTGTCTGGCTAAAGATTTGCTAATTTTGTTTAACTTTCCAGAAAACCAACTTTTGTTTCATTGATCTTTTGTCTTGTTTTCTTCATTTCAATTTCATTTATTGCTGCTCAGACCTTTTGATTTATTTTCTTCCATTAATTTTGGGCTTGGTTTGCTCTGGCTTTCTAGATTTTCTAAGATGTATCGTTTTCTCATTTGAAGGTTTTCTTCTTTTTTGATGTGGCCCTTATAGCTATGAACTTCCCTTTTCTACTGCTTTTGCTGTATCCCATAGGTTTTGGTATGTTGTATTTCCATTAACATTTGTTTCCAGATATTTTTCAATTTCCTTCTTAATTTCTTTATTGACCCATTAGTCATTGAGGAGCATATTGTTTAATTTCCATGTATTTGTATAGTTTCCAAAATTTCTCTATTATTAATTTCTAGTTTTATTCAATTGTGGTAAGATGCTTGATATTTTTCAATTTTTTGAATGTTTTAAGACTTGTTTTGTGACCTATCATATGGCTCATTCTTGAGAATATTCCATGTTCTGAGGAAAAGAAGGTGTATTCCCCAGCTCTTGGATGAAATGTTCTATAAATATATATTAGATCTGCAGCTCTTGGATAAAATGTCTTGTAAATATATATTGTATACATTTGGTCTATAGTGCAGATTAAGTCTGATGTTTCTTTGTTGATTTTCTGTCTGGAAGATCTGTTTAATGCTGAAAGTGGGGTGCTGAAGACTCCAGCTATGATTACATTGGGGCTGAACTCTCTCTTTAGCTCTAATAGATTTTCCTTTATATATCTGGATGCTCCAGTGTTGGGGGCATATATATTTAAGACTGTCATATTCTCTAGCTGAACTGACCCCTTTATCATTACACGCTGACCTTCTTTGTCTTTTCTAATAGTTTTTGTCTTGAAATCTATTTTGCCTGATATAAATATAGCTATTCCTGCTCTTGTTTTCCATTGGCATGGAATATCTTTTTCTCTCCCTTTATTTTCAGTCTATATGTGTTTTTATAGGTGAAGTATGTTTTTTGAGGATAACAGATCAATGGGTCTTGTTTTTCATCCATTCAACCAGTCTATGTCTTTTGATGTGAGAGTTTAGTCCATTTATATTCAATGTTATTATTGATAAGTAAAGACGTCTGCCATTTTGATATTTGTTTTCTGGCCTTTTCTTCCTTCTTTCCTTCCTGTCTTCCTCTAGTGAAGGTGATTTTCTCTGGTGATACGATTTAGTTTCTTGCTTTTTATTTTTGGTGTATCCATTGTATGTTTTTTGGTTTGAGATTACCATGAGGCTTGCAAATACTATCTTATAACCCATTATTTTAACCTGATAAAAACTTAACACTATTTGCATAAACAATCAAACATAAACTAATAAAACTTTACACCTTAACTTTGTTCCTCTGCTGTTTAACTTTTTGCTGTTTCTATTTATATCTTATTGTACTTCCTATGTCTTGAAAAACTTTGTTGTAGTTATTTTAATTGGTTTATTGTTTAGTCTTTCTACTTGGGATAAGAGTAGTTTACACACCATAGTTACAATGTTATAATATTCTGTGTTTTTCTGTGTACTTACTGTTACCAATGAGTTTTGTAGCTTCAGGTGATTATTGCTCATTAATATTCTTTTCTTTCTGATTCAAGTCCTTGCTTTAGCATTTCTTATAGGACATGTCTGATGTTCATGAAATCCCTCAGCTTTTGTTTGTCCAGGAAATTCTTTATTTCTCCTTCATGTTTCAAAGATATTTTTGTCAGATATACTATTCTAGGGTAAAATATTTTTTTCTTCAGCGCTTTAAATATGGCATGTCACTCTCTCCTGGCCTATAAGGTTTCCACTGAAAAGTCTGCTGTCAGATGTATTTGAGCTCTGTTGTATGTTACTTGTTTCCTTTCTCTTGCTTCTTTTACGATTCTTTCTTTTTTCCTTGACCTTTGGGATTTTGATTGTTAAATGCCTTAAGGTAGTCTTCTTTGGGTTACATCTGCTTGGTGTTCTATAACCTTCTTGTACTTGGATATTGATATGTTTCCCTAGGTTTGGGAAGTTTAATCTCTTTGAATAAACTTTCTACCCCTATTTCTCTACCTCTTCTGTAGGGCCAATATCTCTTAGATTTTCCCTTTTGATGCTATTTTCTAGATTTTGTAGGCATGCTTCATTGTTTTTTATTCTTTTTTCTTTTGTCTCCTCTATGTATTTTCAAACAGCCTATCTTCAAGCTCATTAATTCTTTCTTCTGCTTGATCCATTCTGTTAAAGGATTATAATGCATTTTTCAGTATGACAATGGCATTTTTTTCAGCTCCAGAATTTCTGCTTCTTTTTAATTATTTCAATGTCTTTGTCAAATGTATCAGATAGAATTCTGAATTAATTCTTTGTGTTATCTGAATTTCTCGAAGTTTCCTCCAAACAGCCATTTTGAATTATCTTCCTGAAACGTCACATATCTCTTTTTCTCTAGGACTGGTCCCTGGTGCCTTATTTAGTTCGTTTGGTGAGATCATGTTTTCCTGGATGGTGTTGATGCTAGTAAAATAAAGGTTCTTCAGTGTCTGGGCATTGAAGAGTAGGTATTTATCATAGTCTTCACCGTCTGGGCTTATTTGTAGCCATCCTTCTTGGGAAGGCTTTCTAGATATTTGAAAGGACTTGGGATTGTGATCTAACCTGTATCTGCTTTAGTGGGGCATGCCAAGCCCAATAACACTGTGGTTCTTACAGACTCATAGAAGTATCACTTTGATGGTTTTGCACAAGATCCAAGTGAATTCTCTGGATTACCAGGCAGAGACTCCTATTCTCTTCTGTTAATTTCTCCCAAACATACAGAGTCTCTCTCTGTCTGTTCTGTGCCACTTAAAGCTGGGGGTGGAGTGACCCAGGCACCCTGTGGCCACTACTACCACTAGGACTGTACTGGGTGAGACCTGAAGCCAGCAAAGTTCTGGGTCTTGCTCAAGGCCTGCTGTAACCACTCCCTGACTACTGCCTCTGTTCATTCAAGGCCCTGGGGCTCTACAATCAGCAGGTAGCAAAGCCAGCCAGGCGTGTGGTGTGTCCTTCCCTTCAGGACATAAAAGTCCCCCAGGCTTTGGGAGGGTCCATAAGTGATGTCAGGGAGTCAGAGACTAGAGTCAAAAACCTTAGACATCTACCTGGTATTCTATTATATTGCAGCTGAGCTGGCACTTCAACCGCAAGACGCAATTCTTCCCTTTCTTCCCTCAGAGGAGCCTTACCCTGTAGCCACCACCACCCCCGGCCATGAGGAGTACTGCCAGACTACCACTGATGTCCCCCTAAGGCCCGTGGTCTTGTAAGTCAGCATGTTGTGAATGCTGCCTGGCCTGGAACTCACCCTTCAGGGAAGTGAGCTACATTCTGGCTCAGGGCAGGTCCAGAAATGCCATTTAAGCATCAAGTCCTGGAATCAGGGACATCAAGAGCCGACTTGGTGCTCTACCCCACTGTGGCTGTGCTGGTACCTGGAGCCAGCAGATGTCAGAGGCTCACCCAAGGCCTTTGATGTGGTACCTGGGTATCACTACTGGTTATTCATGGCCCAAGGTCTCTTCAGTTAGTAGGTGATGAATGCTGCCAGGACTGGGTCCTTTTCTTCAAGGCAGTGGGTTCTTTACTGGCCCAGGTTATGTCTATAAATGTTCTCCAGGAGCTAGGGTCTGCAATGGGGGCCTCACAGCTCTGACTGGTGCCCTTTACTGCTGTGGCTGAGCTGGTATCCCAGATGTAAGACAAAGTCCTACCCACGCTTCCCTCTCCTCTTCTCGAATGAAGAAAGGAGTCTGTTTTGTAGCCATGACTGTGCATCTTGGGGGTAGGGGAGGGATGATATCAGCACTTCTTGGCTGCCCTAACTCCTCGTGTCTCAGTAGGTCGAGTCCCCCCACCCCTACTGACTAGTCCACTGTTTTTGACCCTAGTTCAGCCCTAGGACTGGCCTCTCCCCTAAGAGTTTCACTCCTTATGGCCTAGAGTGCTTGTCACATTTACTTGGAGACACAGAGTGGTGTAGCCCTTGGTGGTGAGGTCTGTAGGCATTCAAGTTCAGACTTCTGGAATGGGTGATTCCCCTCTGGCTAGGGCTGGCTTAAATGCTCCCTCCGTGGAGAAGCATCAGCTCTATTTGGTCTAATTTTCCATTCTGCTGTAACAGGACAGTACTGAATTCAATGCCTCAAAACTGTTGTGTTGTTTCTCTTCCAGCACCCAGAGAAGCTCTGCACCACTCTGTCATTGCTGGGGTAGGGGAGGGGTAGTGTTGGCGATTCAGGACTGCTTTTTCTATCTCTTCAGTGCCTCTTTCAGTGATACGAAGTTAAAACAAGGTACTATATGTACTCACCTGATTTTCGATTCTTATGAAGGTGGTTTTTTTTTTTTTTTCCTGTGTAAATAGTTGTTAGCCTTGTGTCCTTGCTGGTGGTGGTGGGTAAGGTGGGGGAGCAATCAGGCAGCTTTCTATCCAGCCATCTTGCTCCACCTTCTCCCCAGCATTTTTTTTAATTACTTCTAAAAAAAAAAAGGGATACATGTGCAGAACATGCAGATTTGTTACAAAGGTATATGTGTGCCATGGTGGTTTGCTGCACCAGTTGACCCGTCCTCTAAATTCCCTCCCTTTGCCCCCTGCCCCCCAGCAGGCCCTCGTGTGTCCCCTGTCTGTGTCCGTATGTTCTCAATGTTCAAGTCCCACTTATAAGCGAGAACATATGCTGTTTCGTTTTCTGTTACTGAGTTAGTTTGCTGAGGATGATGGCTTCCAGCTTCATCCATGTCCCTGCAAAAGATATGATCTCATTCCTTTTTATGGCTGCAGAGTATTCCATGGTGTATGTGTACCACATTTTCTTTAGTCTATCATTGATGGGCATTTGGGTTGGTTCCATGTCTTTGCTATTGTAAATAGTGCTGCAATAAACATACGTGTGCATGTGACTTTATAGTAGAATGATTTTTATTCCTTTGGATATATACCCATTAATGGGATTGTTGGGTCAAATGGTATTTCCGGTTCTAGACCCTTGAGGAATTGCCATACTGTCTTCCACAATGGTTGAACTAATTTACATTCCCACCAACAGTGTAAAAGCGTTCCAATTTCTCCACAGCCTTGCAGCATCTATTGTTTCTTGACTTTTTAATAATTGCCATTCTGACTGGCGTGAGATGGTATGTCATTGTGGTTTTGATTTGCATTTCTCTGATGATCAGTGAAGTTGAGCTTTTTTTCATATGTTTCTTGGCCACGTAAATGTCTTCTTTTGAGAAGTGTCTGTTCATATCATTTGCTCACTTTTTGATGGGGTTGTTTTTTTCTTGCTAATATGTTTAAGTTCCTTGTAAATTCTGGCTATTAGAACTTTGTCAGATCGGTAGACTGCCAAAATTTTCTCATTCTGTAGGTTGCCTGTTCACTCTGATGATAATTTCTTTTGCTGTGCAGCAGCTCTTTAGTTTAATTAAATCCCATTTTCAAATTTGGCTTTTGTTGCCATTGCTTTTGGTGTTTTTGTCATGAAGTCTTTGCACACGCCTATGTCCTGAATGACATTGCCTAGGTTTTCTTCTAGGGTTTTTATGGTTTTGGGTTTTACATTTAAGTCTAAATCCATCTTGAGTTAATTTTTGAATAAGGTGTAAGGAAGGGGTCCAGGTTCAGTTTTCTGCATATGGCTAGCCAGTTTTCCCAGCACCATTTACTGAATAGGACATCCTTTCCCCATTGCTTGTTTTTGTCAGGTTTGTTGAAGATCAGATGGTTGTAGATGTGTGGTATTATTTCTGAGGTCTCTGTTCTGCTCCATTGGTCTATATGTCTGTTTTGATACCAGTACCATGCCATTTTGGTTTCCATAGCCTTGTAGTATAGTTTGAAGTCAGGCAGCGTGATGTCTCCAGCTTTGTTCTTTTTGCTTAGGATTGTCTTGTCTATACAGGGTCTTCTTTGATTTGATATGAAATTTAAAATAGTTTTTTCTAATCCTGTGAAGAATGTCAATGGTAGTTTGGGAATAACACTGAATCTGTAAATTACTTTGGGCTGTATGGCCATTTTCACGATATTGATTCTTCCTGTCCATGAGGATGGAATGTTTTCCCATTTGTTTGTGTTCTCTCTTATTTCCTTGAGCAGTGGTTTGTAGTTCTCCTTGAAGAGGTCCTTCACATCCCTTGTTAGCTGTATTCTTAGGTATTTTATTCTCTTTGTAGTGATTGTGAATCAGAGTTCATTCATGATTTGGCGCTCTGCTTGCCTATTGTTGGTATAAAGGAAGGCTTGTGATTTTTCCACATTGATTTTGTATCCTGTGACTTTGCTCAAGTTGCTTATCAGTTCAAGAAGTTTTTGGGCCAAGATGATTGGGTTTTATTAATATAAAATCATTTGGATTTTATATTATATATATATATAATATAAATTCATCTGGAAACAGAAACATCTTGACTTCCTCTCTTCCTATTTGAATACCCTTTATTTCTTTCTCTTGCCTGATTGCCCTTGCCAGAACTTGCAATATAGTGTGGAATAGGAGTGGTGAGAGATGGCATCCTTGTCTTGTACCAGTTTTCAAAGGGAATGCTTCCAGCTTTTGCCCATTCAATATGATATTGGCTGTGACTTGTCATAAATGGCTCTTATTATTTTGAGATATGTTCCATCAGTACCTAGTTTACTGAGAGTTTTTAACATGAAGGAATGTCGACTTTTATCAAAGGCCTTTTCTACATCTATTGAGATAATCATGTAGTTTTTCTCTTTGGTTCTATTTGTGTGATGGATTATGTTTATTGATTTGCATATGTTGAACCAGCCTTGCATCCCAGGGGTAAAGCTGACTTGATCGTGGTGGATAAGCTTTTTGATGTGCTGCTGGATTCAGTTTGCCAGTGTTTTATTGAGTATTTTCACATCAATGTTCATCAGGGATATTGACCTGAAGTTTTCATTTTTTGTTGTCTCTTCCCAGTTTTTGTATCAGGATGAAGCTGGCTTCATAAAATGAGTTAGGGAGGAGTCCCTCCTTTTCAATTGTTTGGAATAATTTCAGAAGGAATGGTACCAGCACCTTTATGTATTTCTGGTAGAATTCAGCTGTGAATCCGTCTATCTAGTCCTGGGCTTTTTTTTTTTTCAGGTTGGTAGGTTATTAATTACTGCCTCAGTTTCAGAGCTTGTTATTGGTCTATACAGGGATTCAGCTTCTTCTTGGTTTAGTCTCAGTAGGGTGTATGCATCCAGGAATTTATCCATTTCTTCTAGATTTTCTAGTTTATTTGTGTAGAAGTGTTTATAGTATTCTCTGATGGTAGTTTATATTTCTGTGGGGTCAGTGGTGATATCCCCTTAATCATTTTTTAATGTATCTATTTGATTCTTCTCTCTCTTCTTATTAGTCTAGCTAGTGGTCTATCTATTTTGTTAATTTTTTCAGAAAACCAGCTCCTGGATTCATTGAATTTTTTTTTGGAGGGTTTTTTGTGTGTCTGTTTCCTTCAATTCTTCTCTGCTCTTAGTTATTTCTTGTCTTCTGCTAGCTTTTGGATTAGTTTGCTCTTGCCTCTCTAGCTCTTTTAATTGTGATGTTAGGGTGCTGATTTGAGATCTTTCTAGCTTTCTGATATGGGCATTTAGTGCTATAAATTTCCCTCTTAACACTGCTTTAGCTGTGCCCCAGAGATTCTGGTACATTGTCTCTTTGTTCTCATTGGTTTCAAAGAACTTCTTGATTTTTGCCTTAATTTTATTATTTACCCAGGAGTCATTCAGGAGCAGGTTGTTCAATCTCCATGAAATTGTGTGATTTTGAGTGAGTTTCTTAATCCTGAGTTCTAATTTGATTGCACTGTGGTCTGAGAGACTGTTTGTTATGATTTCCGTTCTTTTGCATTTGCTGAGGAGTGTTTTTCTTCCAATTATGTGGGTGATTTTAGAATAAGTGCCATGTGGCACTGAGAATAATGTACAATCTACTGATTTGGGGTGGAGATTTCTGTAGACATCTACTAGGTCCACTTGATCCAGAGCTGAGTTCAAGTCCTGAATATCCTTGTTAATTTTCTGTCTTGTTGATCTGTCTAATACTGACAGTGGGGTGTCAAAGTCTCCCACTATTATTGTGTGGGATTCCTAGTCTCTTTGTTGGTCTCCAAGAACTTGTTTTATGAATCTGGGTGCTCCTGTGTTGGGTGCATATATATTGAGAATAGTTAGCTCTTCTTGTTGAATTGTTCCCTTTACCATTATGTAATGCTGTTCTTTGTCTTTTTTGATCTTTGCTGGTTTAAAGTCTGTTTTGTCAGAGACTAGGACTGCAACCCCTGCTTTTTCTTTTTTTGCTTTCCATTTACTTGGTAAATTTTCCTCCATCCCTTTATTTTGAGCCTGTGTGTGTCTTTGCATGTAAGATGGGTCTCCTGAATATAGCACACCCATGGGTCTTGACTGCATATCCAATTTTTCAGTCTGTGTATTTTAATTGTGGCATTTAACCCATTTACATTTAAAGTTAGTATTCTTATGTGTGAATTTGATCCTGTCATCATGATGCTGTATGGTTATTTTGCACACCTAGTTGATGCAGTTTCTTTGTAGTGTCATTGGTCTTTATATTTTGGTATGTTTTTGCAGTGGCTGGTACAGGTGTTTCCTTTCAATATTTAGTGCTCCTTTCAGGAGCTTTTGCAGGGCAGGCCTGGTAGTAACAATATCCATCAGCATTTGCTTGTCTGGAAAGGATTTTACTTCTCCTTTGCTTACAAAGCTTAGCTTGGCTGGATATGAGATTCTGGGTCGGAAATTCTTTTCTTTAAGAGTGTTGAATATTGGCCCCCAGTCTCTTCTGGCTTGTAGAGTTTCTGGTGAGAGTTCTGCTGTTAGTCTGATGGGCTTTCCTTTGTAGGTGACCTGGTCTTTCTCTCTCGCTGCCCTTAACATTTTTTTCTTCATTTCAACCTTGGAGAATCTGATGATTATTTGTCTTGGGTTGATCTTCTTGTTGAGTATCTTAATGGTGTTCTCTGTATTTCCTGAATTTGCATGTTGGCCTGTCTTGCTAGGTTGGGGAAGTTCTGGATAGTATCTTGAAGTGTATTTTCCAGCTTGTTTACATTCTCCCTGTCTGTTTCTGGTACTCCAATCAATTGTAGGTTTGGTGTTTTATGAAGTCCTATATTTCCTGGAGGCTTTGTTCATTCCTTTTCATTTTTTTTTTCTCAAGTCTTGTCTGCATGGCTTATTTCAGTAAGGTGGTCTTCACACTCTTATATCCTTTCTTCCACTCTGTTGATTCAGCTGTTAATACTTGTGTATGCTTCCCGAAGTTCTCATGCTGTGTTTTTCAGCTCCATCAGGTCGTTTATCTTCCTCTCTAAACTGGTTATTATAGTTAGCAATTCCTCTAACCTTTTATTTTTTTTTAGATGGAGTCTCGCTCTCACCCAGGCTGGAGTGGGGTGGCGCGATCTCGGCTCACTGCAAGCTCCGCCTCCCAGGTTCACGCCATTCTCCTGCCTCAGCCTCCTGAGTAGCTGGGACTACAGGTGCCTGTCACCATGCCCAGCTAGTTTTTTTTTTTTTTTGTATTTTTAGTGGAGACGGGGTTTCACTGTGTTAGCCAGGATGGTCTTGATCTCCTGACCTCGTGATCCGCCCGCCTCGACCTCCCAGAGTGCTGGGCTTACAAGCGTGAGCCACCGTGCCCAGCCTATTCCTCTAACCTTTTACCAATGTTCTTAGCTTCTCTGCATTGGGTTAGAACATGTTCCTTTAGCTCATCTTTGTTTTTTGTTACCCATCTTCTAAAGCCTACTTCTGTCAATTCGTCCATCTGATCCTCTGTCCAGTTCTGTGCCCTTGATGGACAGATATTGAGACCACTTGGAAGAGAAAAGGCACTCTGGCCTTTTGGGCTTTCAGCAGTTTTTCACTGATTCTTTCTCATGTTCATGAGTTTGTCTAGCTTTGCTCTTTGCTCTGACCCTTGGATGGGGTTTTTATGGGGGCTTTTTGTTGCTGTTGTCGATGCTGTTGTTGTTGCTTTCCACTTGTTTGTTTTTCGGTCAATGGTCAGGTCCCTCTTCTGTAGGGCTGCTGCCGTTTGCTGGGGGTTCAGTTCAGGCCCTATTCATCTGATTCACTCCCACACCTGGAGATGTCACTCAAGGAGGCTGGAGAACAGCACAGATGGCATGGGTGCCTGCTTCTTTTTCTGGGACCTCTGACCTCAAGGGGCACCAACCTGATGCCGGTAGGATCACTCCTGTATAGGGTGTCTGACAACCTCGTTGGAGGGTCTCACCCAGTTGGGTGGCATGGGGGACAGGACCCATGTAATGAAGCACTTTGTCCTTTGGTGGAGGGGGGTGTGCCTCACTGGGGGAAAATCCACTCATCTGGGCTGCCCATATTCCTCAGAACTACCAGGAGGAAAGGCTAAGTCTGTTGGTCCACAGAGACTGGGCCTACCTCTCCCCCTAGGGACTTAGGCCCAGGGAGATCTGGGTTCTGTCCCTGAGCCTCTGACTAGAGTTATTGGAGTTCCTGCAGGGAAGCCACACCCAATGAGGAAGGATGGGTCAGATTCAGGCCTGAAGAGGTCCTCTGGCCTCAGACTACCACAGCCTGTGTGTTGGGCTGTGGGGGACAAGTCTTGGGACTAAGCCATCCAGCCTCCCTGGCTCCAGCAGGGGAAAAGCTCAGCCTGGGGCTACAGAGATGGGTGCTGCCCTTCCCCTGCCCAGGGAGCTTAGTATGTTAGGCAGTTGCGAGTCCCACTGATGGCTGCTGCCCCACCCCCAAAGAGCTCAAAGGGCTTAGATAGCAGGCAGCAGCAGCCAGTGCTCGTCGCCCCTCCCCCCAGGAGTTCCGTAGGCTTAAGCAGATTCTAGCTGAGAGGCTGTAAGAATGTGTGTGTTCTGGGGTTGGGATGCTAGGCCCTGGTGGCATGGATTCATGAGTGGGATATTCCGATCCATGGGTTGCACAGTTACTTGGGAAAAGTACGGTTTCCCCGGCTGGGTAGCACGCTCACCTACCACCTCTCTTGGCTGCGGGGAGGGGGATCCCCTTCCCTGTGTGGCTCTTGTGGCTCTCAGGTGGGCCGCTGCACCACATTGATCTTCCTTCTCCGTGGGTCACACCAGCCTTCTAGTCAGTTTTGATGATAGAACCTGGATACCTTGGTTGCCGGTAAAGGATTCACATGCTTATTATGTGTTTTGTTTGTTTGTTTGTTTTTGTTGTTGTTGTTGTTTTCCATGGGAGCCTCAGAACACACTGCTTCTAGTAGGCAATCTTGGCCCCGCCCCCTCCCCAGCATCTTTGAAAAGACTCTTTCCAACCAAAATGGAGGGCCCCTTACCAAGTGCTTCTTAGTAACCCTTGTGCTGTTAAATTAGAAGGAATAGACACAAAGATCCACATTTCTCTTCTAAAGAATGTTCCATCTCCTGAGTAGACTGTTTTCCCAGAAAGTGACCTCCAACTTAAAATAAGTTGATGCCAGTTCAAGAAGAGATGACATCTGATTTAGACAGCTAAAACACAAGACTCTGGGTTAGGCCTCTATCTAAATGAATACTTAATATACAATTATTAATAGATGGGGAACATCTTCCTTTACAAACTCCCACTAAACTTCTTTCCTTTTGTCCTTGTTTCTCCCATGTTGGCACTACTATCACCAGCTGTTGCTTATGAAGCAAATCTCTTTCTGCAATGAGCCCAGGATTATGTAATAGATAACAAAAAGGTGCTTGACGGGTGTGTAGTCTCATGCCCCTTTCCAGTATTTCTAGCCTTCTGTGGTGAGTATCTCCTCCCTTCGGACAAGAGTGGATAAAACGTCAGAAATATATCCATCTTTCTCAAAACCAGTCATTGGTGCTTGACACTAGTGTAATTAAGAACAATGTTCATCATTGGCCTGTTAGTACTTTGCAGAAAAAGGGCATGGGAAAAGCTTCTCAGTAAAAAATTTAGTTCATTAGCTTTAACGCTGCCACTACCCCAACTGATGTATGAAACAGTAACACTGCCCCACTTAAAACCTAAGACAATACTATTTCAGGATGGTATAACAAATTTGGGATGGTTTTATCTGGTTTAACCCCTCCTTTGGTCAGCTCAGCCAGCCTGACCCTTTATGTTGGGAACAGAGAAATCATACTAAAGACACCTGGCCCAGTAGCACTAGAGATATGGAATGGATACCCAAAGAATATTGTATCGACAACATTATGTTAAAAAGTACTGATTGACGTAACACTGAATAGGCACAATGACCATGTATTTATTAGTTAGCTCCAAATAGAATGTCTTGGCTATGTGGCACTAACCTATGGCCATGGTTACCCCCAGGAAGGTTAGGACAATGTTCCCTTGGTTATGGTTGGGTGCAAGGTTAAGTAGTTCATACCTTGTCAAAACCTTCAAATTTTCCTCATTTACAATCTTGTTGGATTTGTTGTGTCCTATTGGTATGACCATTTAGCTTCCATCTTCACACCACAACTAGGTATTGAGCATGTCATTTTGCCATGTAGAGACCCTAACCAATTATACACAAAAAGCACTAAATGATAGCTGCATGGGTATTTTGTTATTAAATAATGAAATTACTCTTGTGAGAAATGGTATATTATAGAACTCTATGGCTTTAAGCATATTCAGTGCTGCCCAAGGGGGAACCTGCACTATCATAAAAACTGAACGTTGTATCTATATCCCAGATGAATCAAATAACATCACTAAATTAAACGATGGCATGAAAACCCAACTAACCAACCTTTCAGATCCAAAACCCTCTCCAAGCAATTGGCTAAGCAGCTTGTTTGGATTTTGGGGAATTTGGTGGCAAAATCTGTTATTTATCCTGGGAATTATAATCATATGTTGTGTTTTGTCCTGTTTTTGTCTACACTGCTGTTATGGCATTTGTTTGCAATGGAGTCAATGCATGACTAAAAAGATTAGAATAATGATTGCCCAAAGAACTGCATTAATTGAAGATATATCTGTTTAGCCTAACACAGGTCACAAAATCACTTTTTTCATGTTTCTTTAAATTTGGCCTATACTCCATCAACTTTATGGCTTGTCCAATTTCCCTTTGCCATGGCACATGACATTCTAGGAAAGAACCTTCCTAGTGACATGGGACTATACTCCTGAACATAAAAGGAGGCAAAGCTATTGTTTTGCTCATCTATGATGCTTTCTTTGAAATATCTTTTTTTTTCACATAATCTTGCTCCTTCTAATCTTTGAAAGATATTGATTAAAAAGGGGGAAATGTGAAAAATGAATCAGATTTAAAAGCCATTGGAATTTTAAAAAAGCCATTGGAACCCTCAAAACATTTTAAGCCTTGAGCGAGATGTGACTGTAATCTGAGTCACATAGCATGATTATAACTCTACTTCACAGATTATAGCTTAACTCTTGTCCTCATTGTTATTGTTCTGTAAATGACTAGGAAAGACCAGAGACAAGACCTCCCCCTCCAATCACTGAACTTTATTACAGATTAACTGCTTCCTTTATTGTCCTGTACCTAACTCAGACAAGATGGCACCTGAATAGGAACCCCATGACAGTTTCATCTTCACTGTGGAATGTTAAATATACCTTTCATGAAATAAAAGGACCTCCTTAACTAATCAGATCATTGTAACTGTGCCTTAAGCTTTACATAGAAAGATACTGAAATTCTGTGAAACTTTCCTGAACTTTGTTTATATAAACGATCCCAAACTTCTACACTTTGGAATACTGACTTCCATTCTTTGGAGCTTGTGCTTTCCTGGGCAGCCTGTCCTCAACTTTTGCTCATGAATAAAACTCTCTTTAAACTAGATTCTCATGTTTTTGATTATTTTAGATTGATGAGCCCTATTTTCATATTTATAAAAGACAAATAAAGAAAAGGTCTCTATTATCTGATTCATGTTCTACCCCTAAGTTTTCTTCTTTCTCATGGTCTCCAGTCCTCCTCCTGTTAATGTTTTTAGAGACCATTTATTATTATTATTATTATACTTTAAGTTCTAGGGTACATGTGCACAACGTGCAGGTTTTTTACATAGGTATACATGTGCCATGTTGGTTTGCTGCACCCATCAACTCATTATTTACATTAGATATTTCTCCTACTGCTATCCCTCCCCTAGCCCCCCACCCCCCGACAGGCCCTGGTGTGTGATGTTCCCTGCCCTGTGTCCATGTGTTCTCATTGTTCAACTCCCACTTATGAGTGAGAACATGCAGTGTTTGGTTTTCTGTCCTTCTGATAGTTTGCTTAGAATGATGGTTTACAGCTTCATCCATGTCCCTGCAAAGGACATGAAATCATCCTTTTTTATGGCTGCATAATATTCCATGGTGTATATGTGCCACATTTTCTTAATCCAGTCTTTCATTGATGGACATTCGGGTTGGTTCCAAGTCTTTGCTATTGTGAATAGTGCCACAAAAAACATATGTGTACATGTGTCTTTATAGTAGCATGATTTATAATCCTTTGGGTATATACCCAGTAATGGGATTGCTGGGTCAAATGGTATTTCAAGTTCTAGATCCTTGAGGAATCGCCACACTGTCTTCCACAATGGTTGAACTAATTTACACTCCCACCAACAGTGTAAAAGCATTCCTATTTCTCCACATCCTCTCCAGCATCTGTTGTTTCCTGACTTTTTGATGATCGCCATTGTAACTGGTGTGAGATGGTATCTTACTGTGGTTTTGATTTGCATTTTTCTGATGACCAGTGAAGATGAGCATTTTTTCATATGTCTGCTGGCTGCATAAATGTCTTCTTTTGAGAAGTGTCTGTTCATATCCTTCACCCACTTTTTGATGGGGTTGTTTTTTTCTTGTAAATTTGTTTAAGTTCTTTGTAGATTCTGAATATTAGCCCTTTGTCAGATGGGTAGATTGCAAAAATTTTCTCCCATTCTGTAGGTTGCCTGTTCACTCTGATGATAGTTTCTTTTGCTGTGCAGAAGCTCTTTAGTTTAATTAGATCCCATTTGTCTATTTTGGATTTTGTTGCTATTGCCTTTCTTAAAACCTAGAAAATAATCTTGGATCTATATTTCTTTTGACATATATCCTCTTGGTGTTACCACTTTATTATTGAGGGCCTTGTTGGGGAGTTTCTCTGGGGAATGTGTGGGAGAGGGGAAGTTTGGAATTTGGCAGATTTTCTTCAGAGTTGTTTGATATGCAGGTGCCTCTTTTTCTAGGAGTGGCTGTGGGGCTGTGATCTCTCCTAGAACCTCAGAGGCATGAAGCTAGAATATCTTCCCCTTCAAGGAGAATAAGCCAAGGTGAGCTCATTTTTTTTTCTTTCTGGTCTGCCATCTGCTCTGCCTCACTGGCTCAAACAAGTTCTGAGATCATGATATGGGAAGTACAAGATTCCTTTGGGTTCAGATTGTAAGTACTTTCCTTTTCTCTAGCTTCAGGAACAGTTCTTTCTCTGGTTTCTATGGTGGCCCTAACTCAGAGTCATCGCATCTCCTAAGGAGGTTCTGTGACTGGAAATACCAACCCCTGGAACTGGTGGGTGAACCCTTGAAGCATCGATAGGGATGGAGGGTATATTCTGGGAGGGGATTCTGAGGATGGGAGTATCTTTGGATATATTAACATTTAAATTTATTTTTATTTAATAATATTGTTCAGTACCCAGAGGATTCATTTTTGGAGTTAATTTAATTTTAAAAATATTAAGTACAGGCCATGTGTAGATGAGACAAAAACCGTAGGGAAGACATGAGTTACTAAAGTGATAGAAATGATGCTTAACATATTTTGTATTGAGAACTGAGCTAGTCACTGTGAGGACAGACACAGAAAATTGAGTCCAATTTCTAGTCCTCAAATCCCTCACTTGCCTAACAGAATTTATATAGCACTTGATGCACTAAAATCACAAACAAGACACATACAGCACATACAGAAAAATCATCTACTAATTCCAGATTGGATGGGATCTTTTTCCAATTAGTGTCAATGCTAAAATTAATTTTAATTCAACAAATAGCCTACCATATTTCATTCAGTGTGATATCTACTGGATATAGAAAAGGCAATGAAATGGAATATTTCCCCACAAACATTTCAGAATCTAGACAGGGAGCAAACACAAACAAAAGTACACTAAAGGAGTATAGGTTCTCAATTTGAAGTTTGTGTAGAGTAAAATGTTGAGCAGGGAGGGGAAAAATAGAAGAGACAGCAAAGTAGATTGAGAATGAATGGCTAAATGAGGAGGAGGAAAATGAGATATCCCTCATTATAAATGTGAAAGGCCTAAACAGACTTAGTAATTCTATGGATCACTGGGTTCACATCTATGGTTTTCACCCAAAGGGAATGGTTCTGTCATGGTGCCCTTGTGCCTTGTTTGTATCCACATTGGCAAAGGCTTGAACCACACCTAACCTGGGTTTTAGAAGAGTGCCTTATGATCCTCCTGGAACACAAGAGAATGGGAAGCCTATAAGAAGCTGCTGTAAGGCGATCTCTTACCTTCCTAGTTCCCCGGGAGGCTGTCATGAGACAGTTTCCCATCTACTTCCTGGTTCTGAGGAGGTAATAGGCTTTCTGTCCCATCCTCTTCAAAATAGGGCTGCAAGATATAGAATCACTTAACTGCTATCTAGATTTAGCTCCTCAGTAACAAAGTACTGTACAAGTTGTGTTGTAGTCTCCTAGTCCCTTTTGGTGTCATCCTTTTTGGTGTGTGAGACAAGGATCACAGGGATCTGGCACCTTTGGCTAATCTTTCTTTCACTGTCTATGTAAGTACTAAACTGCCTAAATCTAAAAGCAGCTTGTTGAATTTTTACTAGTCAAATCAGTCAGGCCTTGGCTTTGCCTTATTATTACTTGTGAGCCTGACAAATTTTGTGTCAATGTGAAGCCAGTAAATTTATAGTGTCCTTTTAGAAAACATGGAGCTGCACAGTCCTGGTTAAGTGAAAAGATAAATTCCTTGGCATCTGGTTGCACATGCTTTTGCCTATGTGGTGGGCAAAAGGTGAAGGAGGGTCCTCCTATTAAGGGATTACATAGGCCATATTAGGAAGGATAAGACTCCCAGGATCTGGTAACATAGCCCTTGCCTAAGAGGTAGGTGAGGGAGGAGAAGTAAGGGTCCTCGCACAGGGTCTGTATGAGCCCTGTTAAGGGACAGGACTCCCAGGGATCCCATAGTGTTACCATGTTACCTGCTGATAAACATTTGGAAGTCAAGTGGCTAGAAGTAAGATTGAAACCAGCTGTTCAATTGATGCTTTGATGTTATTAAGAGTACATTTGTTGAAGCCCAGTGAATGGCCATTTACAACCACAAAAAAGTAAGTGCAAAGATGCACTTACTGGTGTAAGTTGCTCACCCTGTGCCACCCTATTCCCCTATTCTCTGAGCTTCCAGCTACCCTGTAACTCTGGAGGTGCCTCTTGTTCTATGTTTCTGTGAAAAAAAAGATGCCTAGTAGAGTTTGGGCAAAACTTGCTATGGAGACAGAAAAAAAGTAACTTGAGTGAGGCTTGAGAAGATCCATTGTGTATATAGTTGTAAAAATGTGTAATTGGTTTAAAATAGGTTACATACTTGAATCTTGAATGTTTATACGGTGTTAGGAAATTCCTCTGATGTCCAAAGTTTTCACTGTATAAATGATGTCTTGTTGGTTGACAAAGGTTTCATTATCAGCAGGCTTGGCTGCCCAGCTACGGGAAAAACTGATAAGCTCCCCCAAAATTCAAGGCCTGCTTTTCAAATAAAATTTCTTGAAACAATGTAGGTAGCTTCACAACACTGAATCCCTCTGGCATCATAGAAAAACTGCTGTGTTTTGCAAGCTAAATAACAGTATGTTCCTGATAGAAAAACTATAACTCCTACAAAATTTGGCCATTTGTATATAATAAAAGAGGCCACACTATAGGGGACTTTGGCCTTACCCTGACAGATTGACTCCATTCCAATTTTTAATCCTCTCTTCCTGGAGGCCTATAAAGTCACAGTGCCTTTTTGGAAAAAAAGACAGCTGTGACCCCACAAGCTGGGTAGCCAGGTATGGAACATTGGTGAGTGGTAGCGCAGACCTGGTTACTGAAGCGTTTGGCAATAAAGGGGGACAAGTGGTCCTTGACCATCATCCCTGAGACCCCTGATGACTTGCATTGATAGTTATAGATAAGAGATAGGGACTCCATAAAGCCAAAAAGAAGTATTCCATGGTTATTATCCACCCTTCTGTCCCATTGGGAAAGCAAAACTGTTTCCCTCTAATCCCTGGCCATAACCGCAGATAACGTGCCCTGATAATCAAGCGCAGTCAGTTACTCATACATGTGCCGTGGTCCACTCTTACAATGAGCTAGAAATTAGGTAAATTGGAGAAAGCTTTGAACAGATTCCAATAAGAGTACAGGGGCTTGGCTTATCCGACTAGCAGATGAGATAGCCATTCCAGTTTTTATAAATGAGAAGGAATGGAAATCACTCAGTCATATAAAGACTGGCCCCATGCTCCAAGCCAGCCTGGCCACATACACTTCAGCTAATAACATTGACATAGAAGAGTATGTCAAGACCAGTGAGGAATTGTTGCAGTAGGTCTTTACATTCATAATGAAACAGTGACCAACCTGAGATGAGTTTCTGTATTTGATAAACACCTGTGGGTGAGAGCAGGGGCAGCTATAACTTCCCTTAGAGCTAAAGTAACCTGAGCCTGGATTTATAGTGGAGAACAAGAGTTCTTAGGTGATGAGATAGTCATACAGGGTCAGATTCACTGGTTTGTTCAGTTGGCACCACCAGGCTATCAGCGGCAATAAAAATCTTCTCTTGTGTCCCAGACATAGCCTCCAGAAAACTCCTCAGCTCCTGGGAAACAAAATGCTACAGAACACAGGACTAGGAAAATGTCCTTCAGGCTAAGGAGGAGAAAAAGAAACCAACTGAAGATCCAGACAATAGTACCTTGTAGACCTGGCTATTATACCAGGGTCCCCCAAGAGATTGATAATATTCCCATGAGAGAAGTTCTCTCTTACTATCAGGCCACAAGAGGACCACAAAATTTAAAGATCCTGGCTGTAGGAGGGAATAATCCTTAGCTAGCTTTGGTGTTTACTGTGGACAAACAGGAGGAGCACCAAAAGGACCTAGAATCCTTGATGAAATTTGTGCTGTTCAAGCTAGTGTTGACCCAACACCTTCAACACTACCTCTTAACCCAGGTCCTGCCCCGCTTCAAGAAAAGAACAACTAGGGCAGAGGCCAAGGTCCCTGCTTCTCTAAGTGGGACTGGAGGCCTTATACACTGGTCAAGGTGTGTTACTGACTTGACAGCAACCAAGGTTGCCAAACCTTTTCAACTCTTCTGAACACTGGGATACAAGCCATTGTGATGCTGGCTAGCTAGCATCCATAGTCATGGCTAGTGTGGCAGGTGGAATGATGCTGTCCCCCTCAAAATGTTCACATCCTAATCCCCAGAAACTATGAATATGTTACATGGGAAAAGGAACTTAGTAGATGTGATTATGTTACAAATTTTGAGGTGGGAAAATAATGCTGGATTATCCACGCTGGCCCAGTGTAATCACAAGAGGCATTATAATTCTTATAAGAGGGAGTCAGAAAGTCAGAGAGGAGAGAAAATACTATGCTGCTGGCTTTGAAGATGGAGTTAGGGGCCACAAGCCAAGGAATGCAGGTGGCCTCTAGAAGATTGAAAAGGCAAGGACATAGATTATCCCCAGAAGCCTCCAGAAGAAATGCAGCCCTACAAACACCTTAATTTTAGGCTTCTGATCTCCAGAATTGTAATAAAACAAATGTATATATTTTTTGAGCCACTGAGTTTGTACTAATTTGTTGTAGCAGCAATAGGAAATTAACATAGCCTCAAAATTACTTTAACTAGATTTGGAAATCTCAGATTGGACAATGAACTTATAAAATCTTACATATGGGTCCTTTCAGACCAATATACACTCAAGTGGTTGTAACATTTCATGGTTGCAATGGATATTCCCTGTGGGGAAATGACACAATTAGAACAGTGCTAGTAGTGTGAGTGTACAACCAGAAGCCTGCTAGACTTCCAGACTTCCCCAGTCTAGTCATGTAGTAACTTCAAAGCAATAAAGATATTGGGGTGGGAAATGGATGTCACTATACTAACCAAGGACTAATGGAGGCAGAAGTGACTAAAGAAACTACGTAATTTTATACCCGTCCTGTGAATCTGTACAGACTTACCACTCAGGCCAGTCAGTTCTGAAAAGCCCTTTGAGCTACAAGTGTCAGTAATTGACAATTACACAGACTGGAGCTTATGACAAAACAATGTGGTCACTAGGTGATATGGTTTCGCTGTGTCCCTACCCAAATCTCATCTTGAATTTCCACGTGTTGTGGGAGGGACGGGAGGTAACTGAATCATGGGGGCAAGTCTTTCCCATGCTGTTCCATGATAGTGAATAAATTTCACAAGACATGACAGTTTTATAAAGAGGAGTTCCCCTGAACAAGTTCTCTTTTTGCCTGCTGCCATCCATGCAAGATGTGACTTGCTCCTCCTTGACTTCTGCCATGATTATGAGGCCTCCCCAGTCATGTGGAACTGTGAGTCCATTGAAACCTCTTTCTTTCATAAATTGCCCAATCTCAGGTATGTGTTTACCAGCAGCATGAGAACAGACTAATACACTAGGCAATGGTGCTTCCTGGGGTTTTGGACACAGCACTTGGCTGGCATGACCACCTGGCATAGTCCATTTGTCAGCCTATTACTGGTTGTTATTGGTTGCTGGTGGACTCTGAGAGACTAACAAAGCAGCAGCAGGTGTTGTGACACCCCGACATTTGTACTGTGAGGTGGGTCAGAAAGGAGAACATCAACAAAGTAGATGTTGCCCAATGTCTTCGTTTGTGCTGTTACAACAAAATACCATAGACTGGGTAATTCATAAGGAATAGAAATTTATTCTCTCACAGTTCTGGAGGCTGGAAAGTCCAACATCAAGGTGGTAGCATATTTGGTTGTCTGGTAAGTGTTGCATCCTCTGAAGGGGAGGAACCCTATGTCTTCATGTGGCAAAAGGTGGAAGTGCAAAAAAGGGATGGGCTCCCTCCATCTAGCTCTTTTATAATGGCACCTAATCCTATAACAGCTCTACCCTCATGACTCAATCACCACCCAAAGGCCACATCTCCCAATACTGTTGCATTGCAGATTAAGTTTTAATATGAAATTTGAAGGGGACAAAAATATTCAAACTATAGCACCCAACAAGCCTCCATTATTAAGTGGAAGTTGTATATCCGGGAAAAAGTAAGCTTGGCATTATGGAGCCTCACAGTTACATGAAATATTGGCTGGTCGTGTTTTAGATGAGGCTGTCTTAGATGTGGGGTCTCTGCCAGCACCTTCAACTTCTTGAGTGCTTTAGTACACTGAGGTTCCTGAGGACACCTGGGCCTGGTTTACAGATGGATCAGCTAAGTTCAAAACCAGTGAGATGTGCTGGGCCACTGCTGCATTGCATCTCCAAATAAAACTGTGTACTGTAACTGCTCATGGAAAAGGGATGTCTGTTTAGTGATATATTTTCATGGTGTTTTCCCTGGAAAACATCCCCCAAAATGCACCCTGTTATATTTTTCATTGACTTATGAGCAGGAGTCAAGAGTCTGGCAGTGTAGTAACTGGCAGTAGGATGACTGGATGATCAAGTCTCAGTCCCGGCAGAGACAAACAACATAGCAGCAAATTGCACAGGACCACAACCTCTGTTAATGACTAACAGGGATGCCCACGACAAAGGACCCATTGAAGATGAACATCAATGGCAACAGCAAGATGATCAAATCTGTACTGCCCATAAAAGGACACCTGGGTAGGGCATCCACCTGAATATAACATCACATGGGGTACAGTAATCTATTTACAATTCAGGACTGGGCCAAAATAAAAACAAGACCTAGTGATTCCAGAACATGAGACTTGAAGCCTGGCAGATGTGTTCAGACTGAAAGCTATACAACCAAGTGGCAAAGGGAGCTTTGGGACACATAGCCAGAGGTACCAGACCTGGCCAATCCTGGAAAATATGTACATCCTATCCTCCTCTTGAGGATACCACTGGACATTGACTTTCATAGACAACTTTTCAGGCATGGCATTGCTATTCTTATCAACTTAGCAAATGGGGGCCATACTATTCAGTGACTCTAAGATGGACTATGTTACATATTTGGATTCCCTGAACACATCTGGTCAGACACTGGTACTGCCTTTATAGCAAAAAGTAACAAACAGTGGGCAGCCATATAGATATTCTCTGGATATTTTATGCCCCATATCATTTCCAGGCAGCAGGTGCCACTGAAAGATAAAGTGGACTCTTAAGGGAGAAAATGAAAAAGACAACTGGTTAACCAAGGCTCAGATCCCAATGGAGCACACACTTAAGACAGGCAGTTTGGGCTCTAAATGTGGTAATTCTTCAGAAAGGTAACTCCTATTTAAATAAAATGTTTAATTATGAGGCTGAAGAGTAGGAAAGGAAGTCCAGGCTGGCAGTAAGAAAATACAAACCATAATTTTCTCCTCTCACTCTACTTTTTCACTCCTACACCTACTCCTGGGAAATCAAGCTACTAGAACTTGTAAGCTGTGGGGGTGGGAGACTAACCTAATGCTTCTTTTGCCATCTGGCTATATTTGGGCAATTATGGACATTGATGGTACTGATCATAAATATGAAATGACCACTCCTAAGGTGATCTTGGCATGACCCACATGTCAGGGAGTGTGAGATAATCTAGATGGTACAAGAAATACAAAGAAGAAACTTCCAAACCACATAGGGATGAGGTCAGAGATATGGAGTGGGTAAGACATTGAGAAGACTGGAAAAACAGTGAAGTGACTGCTGCAGAAACAAGTCACATCAGTCTTGTGGCTGTGGAAAGAGAACAACCATGAATGGTGGGGAGAAAACACCGTTGACCCTGAATGGTCACGAGTTGGAAGGGAGACCATTAATCTCTCTCTCAGCTCTTGTTCACAGGGCATCTGGCCAATTTCATGTTCCCACCATTCTCAACTTAATTTCTGGCCAAGAAGAAATCCCAATCTAAGAATTCTCAGAAACCTCCTAACATCCACTGACTCCAGAAATAGCCTCCACTTGAAACAATAATAAGATTAATATTTTGTACACTGATATGATTCCCTTTAGCCTCATCTTGTTATTGTTGGGCTCTTTTCTGTGCTTTTATATATTTAACTGCCTTGACTACAAGTGACTGAAATCTATCCTGCAGATGGGTTCAGTCATCCTACTATGAGTTATAGTCATGATCACTCTACTTCAATGTTGCCTAAGACAAACAGAACAGATTTGGTATAATCAGTACAAGTAATTGGGACATCTGATAGGGTCATATAATAAAGAGTCTGACTCCAGAATTATGAAAAATAAATGTCTGTTGTTAAAACAACCCAGTCTATGGTATTTTATCAGAGCAGTCTGAGTGGACAAAGACAGAAGTCTACTAAAGTTATGTTTGATCTGTATAAGCAGAAAACTTTAGGTCAAATTAATAAACGTGTAACCTGAATCATAAAAAGAGTGTCATAGCTCCTCAATCAATTCTCAGATATGAGCCAGTTCACAGACACAGAAACTCTTGAATTGAAAAGGAGGCCAGATCCCCTTGAGGAAGGACCCTGAAACACTGCCAAAAATGAATATTATTAATCTGTCTCCCAACCTTTCCCAAAGGAACCTACAGCCTTATGCCAGGGTAACTCTGCATAGGAGAAAAGAAAATAATCAGACCTTTCAGGGACTACTATTGGCTCTGACACTAATTTCAGGAGGCCTAAAACATCATTGTCAGAGTAAGGTTGTATGGAGGTCAGGTGAACAATGGAGTTTTAGCTCAGGTCCACCTCACAGTGGGCCCAGTGGGTCCCTGAGTCCATCCTATGATTATTTTCCCATTTTAAGAATGAATAATTAGTGTAGATATACTCAGCAACTGGCAGAATCCCAAAGAATGACTTTTGCAGTAAGGGCTATTATGGTTGAAAAGGACAAGTGGAAGCTGCTAGATCTTCCTCTACCTAGGTGATATGGTTTGGCTATGCCCCCACCCAAATCTCATCTTGAATTGTAGTTCCCATAATCCCCACATATCATGGGAGGGACCTGGTGGGAAGTGATTGGATCATGGGGGTGGTTCCCCCATGCTGTTCTCGTGATAGTTCTCACAAGATCTGATGGTTTTATAAGCATCTGGCATATCCCCTGCTGGCACTTCTGTCTCCTGCCACCATGTGAGGAAGGGCGTGTTTGCTTCCCCTTCTGCCATGATTGTAAGTTTCCTGAGGCCTCCCCAGCCATGTGGAACTGAACAATTAAACTTCTTTCCTTTATAAATTACCCAGCCTTGGGCAGTTCACGCTTGGGCAGCATGAGAATGGACTAATACACTAGGAAAATAGTAAACCAAAAGCAATATCATGTTCCTGGAAGGATTGCAGAGATTAGTGCCACCATTAAGGACTTGAAAAAATGCAGGGGTGGTGATTCTCACCACATCCCAATTCAACTCAAATATCTTACCTGTGCAGAAGACAGATGGAATTTGGAGAATGGCAGTGGATTATCATAAGCTTAATCAGGTGGTGACTCCAATTGCAGCTGCTGTTTCAGTGTGGTTTCATTGTTTGAGCAAATTAACACATCTCATCTGATATGCAGCTATTGATCTGGCACATGCCTTTTTCTTCATACCTGTCTGTAAGGCCCACCAGAAGCAGTTTTCTTTCAGCTGTCAAGGCCAGGAATATACCTTCACTGTCCTACATCAGGGGTATATCAACTGTCCTACCCTATGTCATAATTTAGTTTGTGGGGAACTTGATCATCTTTCTCTTCTACAAGAAATCACACTGGTACATTACATTGACTATATTATGCTGATTGGACCTAGTGCATGAGAAGTAGCAACCACTCTAGACTTATTGGTAACACATTAATATGCCAGGGGCTGTGAAATAAATCTGACAAAAATTCAGGGGCCTTCTTTAGTGAAATTTCTAGGGGTCCAGTGGTGTGGAACATGTCAAGATATCCCTTCTAAGGTGAAGGATAAGTTGTTGCATCTGGCCCCTCCAGCAATGAAAAAAGAGGAACATAGAGAAGATGTAGGTCAAATAATAGAAAGTTATGGTATGTAGGATGAATGTCTACACATCTAGTGTACAACATGAGGACTATAGTTAATAATATTGTATCATATACTGGTAATTTGTGAAGAAAGTAGATTTTAGGTACCTTTATTACAACAACAACAAAATTGAGATGATGGGCATGTTAATTTGCTTGACTGTGGAACTCAGGGTTCTACAACAAGTCGAGGCTGCTCTGCAAGCTACTCTGCCACTTGGGCCATGTGATCCAGCAGATCCAATGGTGCTTGAAGTGACAGTGGCAGATAGAGATGCTGTTTGGAGCCTGATATGGTTTGGCTGTGTCCCCACCCAAATATCATCTTGTATTCCCATGTGTTGTGGAAAGGACCCAGTAGGAGGTAACTGAATCATGGGGACAGGTCTTTCCCATGCTGTTCCCATGATAGTGAGTAAGTCTCACGAGATCTGATGGTTTTTAAAATGGAAGTCTCCCTTCACAAGCTCTCTTCTCTTGTCTGCCACCATGTGAGATGTGCCTTTCACCTTCCACCACGATTTTGAGGCCTCCCCAGTCACATGGAATTGTAAGTCCAATAAACCTCTGTCTTTTGTAAATTGCCCAGTCTTGGGTATGTCTTTATCAGCAGCATGAAAATGGACTACTACAGAGCCCTTGGCAGGCCCCTATAGGTGAATCACAGTGCAGGCCCTTAGGATTTTGGAGAGGATCCCTGCCATGCTCTGCATATAACTGCTCTCCTTTTGAGAAATAGCTCTTGGCCTGCTACCGGGCCTTAGTAGAGACTGAACAATTAACCATGGGCCCCCAAGTTACCATGGGACCTGAACTGCTATTCATAAAATGAGTGTTATTTGATCCACTAGGTCATCAAGTTGGGTGTGCACAGCAGCACTCCATGAAGTGGAAGTGGTTTGTTTGTTTGTGTGTGTGTGTGTGTGTGTGTGTAAATAACATTATGCCCAAGCAGGCCCTGGAGACACAAATACCCTATGATTAGTTGGCAGAGGAAGAGAAGGCTCAGACCTGGTTTACAGATGATTATGCGTGATATGCAGGCATCACCCAAAAATGGACAGCTGTAGTGCTACGTCCCCGTCCTGGAACATCCCTGAAGGACATTAGTGAAGGAAAATTACCCGGCGGGCAGAACTACAAGGAATACAACTTTTTGCTCACTTTTCTTGGAAGGAGAAATGTCCAGACATGGGATTACATCCTGATGCACAGGCCGTAGCCAGTGCTTTCATCAGATGGTCAGGGACTTGGAGGGAATGTGATTGGAAAACTGGTGATAAGCAAAGTTGGGAAACAGCTATGTGGATAGATTTCTCTGAGTGAAAAATGTTAAGATATTTCATCTCACGTGAATGCTCACAAAGGGTGACCTTAGTATAGAAGGATCTTCATAATCAAGTGGATAGGATGACCTGTTCTGTGGATACCAGTCAGCCTTTTTTCCCAGTAACTCCATCATCATGCAATGGGCTTGTGAACAAAGTGGCCATGGCAGCAGGGATAGAGGTTATGCACAGGCTCAGCAACATGGATTTCCACTCACCAAGGCTGACCTGGCTACAGCTGCTGCTGAGTGCCCAAACTACCAGCATCAGAGACCAACACCAAGTTGCCAATATGGCACTATTTCCTAGGGTGATCAGCTGTCTACCTGATGGCAGGTCGGTTACATTGGACTACTTCTGTGTTAGACTATTTTTTGTTGTTGTTTACAACAGAATACCTGAAACTTGGTAATATATAAAGAAATTTATTTCTTACAGTTATGGAGGCTGAGAAGTTCAAGGTCAAGGGGTTGCATATGGTGCAAGCCTTCTTGCTGGTGAGGACTCTTGTAGAGGTTATTTTTACATGCCTAAGGTGGTGCAGGGCAACACATGTTGAGGCAGCTGAGGAGTGTGCTCACATGGAGCTCAGGTCTCTCTTCCCCTTCTTATAAAGCTGCCAGTTTCACTCTCATGATAACCTATTAATCCATTAATCCATGAATGAATAATTAATCCATTCATGAGGGCTCTGTCTTTTAAAGGCCCCATCTCTCAGTACTGCCACATTGGGGATTAAGTTTCAACATTAATTTTGGAGAGACATTGAAACCATAGCAACTTCCATTATGAAAAGGCAGAATTTTATTCTTACTGGAATAGACATTTACTCTGGAAACTGGTTTGTCTTCACTACCTACAGTCCTTCTGCAAAACTACCATCCGTGGACTTAAAGGATGCCTTATTCACTGTCATGGCATTCCATACAGTATTGCTTCTAATCAAGAAACTAAGTTCACAGCAAATGCAGTGCTGAAATGAGCTCACGCTCATGAAATTCACTGCTCTTACCAAGTTCCCCATCATCTTGAAGTACCTGGCTTGACAGAACAGTGGAGTGACCTTTTGAAGATTGCATGCTAAGTGACAATACCTTGCAGGGCTAGAGGAATGTTCTCCAGGAGGATATATATGCACTGAATCAGTGTCCAATATATGGTGCTGTTTCTCCAATAGCCAGGATTCACAGGTCCAGTAATCAAGGAAGGGAAATGGGAGTGACACCACTCAGTAAACAAGCCTTGTGACCTACTAGCAAAATTTTTGCTTCCTTTCCCCACAACCTTATACTCTGCTGGCCTAGAGGTCTTATGCCCAAAGGGAGGAATGCTTCCACCAGAAGATACAATTATTCCATTGATCTGGAAGTTAAGATTGCCACCTGGCCACTTTGGGATCCTCATGACTTTGAATCAACAAGTAAAGAAAGGACTTACTCTGATAGCTGGAGTAATTCTGACTACTAAGGAAATCAGATTGCTATTCCTCAAAGGAGATAAGGAAGAGTATGTCTGCAATATAGGAGGATCCGCCAGGGCATCTCTTAGTATTACCATGTCTTGTAATTAAAATCAATGGTAAACTTCAACAACCTAATTGAAGTAAGACTACTAATGTCCTTAGGAATGAAGGTTTGGGTCACCCTACCAAATAAAGAACTATGACCAGGTGAGGTGTTTGCTGAAGGCAAAGGAAATACATAATCAGTAGTGGAAGAAGGTAATTATAAATACCAGCTACTACTATGTGACCAGTTACAGAAATGAAGACGGCAATCACTATGAGTATTTCCACCTTATTTTGTTATATGTTTGTGTTTGCATGCGTGTGTGCATGTGTGTGTGTGTGTGTAGCAAATATCTTTTTCTTCTTTATCTTATCTCCTTTTCATGTAACACAAGATGCATGAACTTGTTATCATAGTATTTAACTTATGAGCTATCAAAGAGATTAAATGCAAAGACTTTGCATCTTCTCCTGGGGAAAAGGTTATTCACTTTCCATTGCATGCAGGAGAGTTGTATCATGTTAAGTAGAAAGTATGGCCTTGTTATTGTCTTTTTGAGGGGATAAAGTATGGTTTAAGATGTGTATGGTTGCCAATTTGACGAGGGGTGGACTTGTGATGGTTAATGTTATATGTCAACTTGGAGGGTGTTTTGGGGTGAGATTAATATTTAAATCAGTGAACTTTGACTAAGCAGATGGCTCTCCACAATATGAATGGGCCTCAGCCAATCAACTGAAGGCCCGAATAGAATAAAATGGCTGACCTCCCTGAGCAAGGGGGAATACTCTAACAGACTGCCTTTGGACTTCATCTGTACCATGAACTCTCCTGGGTCTCAAGGCTGCTAGTCCACATAGCAAATTTGGGACTCACCCCAGCCTCCATAATTTCATGAACCAAGTCCTTATAATCTGCTTCTATATATGTATACACATCCTATTGGTTCTGTTTCCCTGGAGAACCCTAATACACGTGGTAGCCCTGTAATCTTAGGGTAGTTACTGAATATAAAATAGAGGACAAAATGTATGCCTCCATTTAACCATCATAATTGTTGTCTTGACTAAATTCCCCATAGTTATAGCATCCATTGCCCTAAAATATTGTATAGTGGGCATGGACTCTCAGACTCATTAAATAATAAATCAAAATTAGATTGAGTCTTTGGCATTTACAAACTGACTTGAAGAAATGGGCCTCCATGAAAAACTCCCCCACAATGTACAGAGCTAAGAGAGCCCAGTGTCAATTAGACATTGACAAGACAATGGCTCTTAGCTCAAGGCAGAGCCTTCAAAGGATTGCAACCCATTTTACAAGGCCTATTTAGAGAAGAGGGAGGGTGATTATATCCAATGCTTCTCCATTTAACAGCTTAATTTGGCCCGTTCCTAAACTTGGAAAGAATGAATGAGACTTCTTGATGAATTACCACAGCCTTTATGCTGTGGTCCCAGTAATTAGACCCCCTAATTATGATTACAATGGAAATTATTGACTCCAATCAGCAACTGATAAATGTTTTGCTATTGTATATTTGGCTAATACATTCTGTTTAGTGTGTATTTCAATAGCCTCTCAGCCCGTTTTCCTTCCCTTCCAAAGTGAAATGGTACACCTTTACCTGGCTACTTAGAGGGTACCTCAACAGCTCTGCTATCTCACACAGTCTTTGCAGGCAAGACCTTAACTGCATCTAACTTGCTCCAGGAGCACAGATATGACACCACATTGATGGCATCCTTTTCTAAGAGAATTCTTTAGAAAACTCATTCAGGACATACAAATATTCTAAGAAGGAGCTCACAAAAAGGGGATGGACCATTGCCCCACACAGGGCACAAAGCCTTGCCACCTTGTTTAAATTCCTGAATATTGGTAAACTGAGGGCATTCCATGCCTGTCAACATTAAAGCTTGCCCAACATATTTAGGCCTTTGTGGGTTCTGGAGGCAACATTTTCCTCACTTACAAATTTTACTTTGGCCCATTTATGCCATTACTTGCAAAATAGGCCCACCTTGAGTGGGACCCCCTCCCAGCAAAATATTCTAGAATTTTTTCAACCATATTAGTGCCATGCCCACCCTGAGACTTCTTCACTGTAGAGGCTTTAGCATCCTCCTCTAATGCCTCTCGGAGTCCTTGTACCATCCATGATGGCCATGAGTTGTCCATGACCTTCTGATGCAAGAAACTGCCTTCGTAGGTCTTATGCTGTATATTGTTAGAGTGGCAACTGCTGGATACATACTGGGGTCTTGTGGAAATAGAGGCTTTCATAGGCACTCAGCTCATGACCTTCCATTTCCAGCTAATTATGCCCTGGGTCTTGGAAGCAGCACCCTACAAACTAATCACAGCCACCAAAGTCTCTTTGTTGCAGGAAGGAACCAAACCTGGGCCCTCTGGCATATCACACTTACAGGTGGAGATGGCCTCCCCTGTCCTCAGTCCTTTGCCAGATGCCATGGTGCTGGATGAGGCTACCCCTCTACCAGACCCTTTGGCTACTTGGGGACCCCTGTAGAATCAACTGAATGAAGAATAATGGGAGTTTGTCCACTTTATGGATACACTGTCATAATCACACATAATGGAGCTCAGTGGATTGTTGCTGTTTTTTTTTTTATCCCTTAGTTAGGATGTCTCTGATAAAGAACTGGACCCAAGGATCAGTACAATTGGCCAAACTTCAGGCTATTATCTTAGCAGTGGATGCCTGGGTCACTAATTGACCCCCTCTGTAAGTATTTAGACCCTTAGGTTATTGCCAATTATATGGTTGTCTGGTTTGGACAATGGCAGCAACAGAAATTCCTTATCCAGTGTCTTTTTTGGGGTATGGAACTCTGGGAATCTCTTGCCTCACAGATACCAAAATATAAGTCAATACCATACATGCCTTTACATATAATAAAACTATAATACAAGGCCTCATTAAGACACTCGTTACTGCCGTTAGAGTTCCAGATGCCATTTATTGCCACCAAGACATTCATTTCACTTCCCAGAATACACAATGCTGAGCTCTAGAATGAGACAGTTGATGGAACTTTCATCTTTCTTACAGGTATCAGGCTACAGACCTCATAGAGCACCATAATGGATTATTTAAATCTGTTTGAATTCAACTACAAAAACGTAGTACATTTTATTTCTCGAACATCAGGAGTAAATTGTAATAAGGAAGCTGTCTTTTTTTTTTTTTTGGATGTTTGCTGACAGCATCTAAGCCTCACCTCAGTTCTCCTTAAGCCCTGCATTTGGACAAGCTAATGAAATTCCTGGGTGCTCTCTCCTTTGTTGTTGAAAGGAGTTTCAAACCATGCAAGTCCCCAGCTGCACATTGGAACCCTCACCCCAGCACCCCTAACCACCATAAAAACTGTAAGCTAGTCTCCTTTCCTAGCTCTATCAAGACATTTTCAGATCAGCTTTGGAAGCCTGCCTTGCTCTCCCAAAAGAGCCTCATTATGCGAGTAATAAACCTTTGAATACCCTGTTGATGTATATACAGCATTATCGCTCTTGATATCTAAACCAAATTTTGCATGGGGTCCATTCTGTATCTTTAGAGTGGCCACAACAGGTGGCTTATGTTTGTAAAAAGAATCCTTAGGTGGATATATGAAAGGAGAGTGGAGTTGTAGGGGAATGGCTCCTCCATGATGGCCTGGCACCCTTGCATATATCCATGTAGGCTTGAACTGCAGCTAATCTGAGTTTTGGTTAATTGTTTTGTGATCCTCCCAGAACACAAGAAGATCAGAGGCTGTAAGGAGCTGCTATAAGGCCTTCTCCCAGTCACTTCCCTCTCTCTCCTGAGAGGCTGTCTTGAATGAATTTCTCATCACTTACCAGATTCTGATGAGGTATGGAGCTTTCCTTCCTGTGCCTTTTAGAATAGAGCTGCGGAATATATAGCCACTCAGCCGCAGTATAGATTTGGCTCCTCAGCCAGGGAGTATCCCTCAACTTGCATTATAGTCATCTAGCCCCTTTTGTTTCTTTGTTGTCTTTTAGGGTATATGAGACAAGGACCTGGGGAGTTGGCCTCTTTGGTTCATTCTTTGTACTGTTTATGTAAGTACTAAACTGTCTCAATCTAAAAGTGGTTCCTTGTATTTTTACCAGTCAAATCAGTCAGGCTTTAGCCTTGTCTATATGAGCTTGTTACCATATAATCCTAATAATCCTAATTGCTGTCTATGTTTTTTACCTGTAAATTAAAATAATTAGGATACTTGTGTTCATTCAAAGGTTCTTACATTAAATAAATACTGAAGGATTACCATGTTCTTAAATCATTTGTATTTGGGAAGCTTTAAGCCTTCAGTGAATTATCAAATGCAGCTGTGGGCCAATTTAGCACCTAAGGGAATATCACACAGTCCTTTATGAAGCTAAGAAGTCAGGAATATATTGGTACTGGAAAATCCTGAAAAATAAAGGCATGGTTTATAGATGAAATATTCTTCCCAATAAAGGGAAACTTAAAAGAGAAACTTGATCAGAGATCACAGTCTTACGGTATCTCATTTTTCATATTTTCAGGTAAACAAATACCTGGCAAAATAATAGCTATGTGTTTTTCACAAGTAGGAGGTGTGGCAACCATTTATATAATAAACATGTTAGGAACATCTGTGGGATGCCATATTCCAGGCTCTGTGCCCGACTCAGGACACAGAGACAACCCAGTCTGGCTCTCAAAGCTAGTGGACCTCAGAATTAAGAAGACAGAGACATTCAGGCTAATAAGTATACTTTTGATAAGAACTATGACAAAACAGGGCTGGGCATGGTAGCTCACACCTGTAATCCCAGCACTTTGGGAGGCCAAGCCAAGTAGATGGCTAGAGCCCCAGAGTTTGAGACCAGCCTGGGCAACATGGCGAGACTCCATCTCTACAAAAACTGAAAAAATAGCCAAGTGTGGTGGTACACATCTGTAGTCCCAGTTACTCTAGAGGCTAAGGCAGGGGGATCTCTCGAGCCCAGGAATTTGAGGCTGCAATGAGCTATGATCATGCCACTGCACTCCTGTTAGGGCAACAGAGCAAGAGCCCATCTGTATGAAAAAAGAACTATTTCAAAAAATATCAAGAAGGGCTTCTCAGAAGCAGTGATTTACAAAAGTAGGGACTGTAATTACCGCAAATTTACAGATGAGAAAATTGAAAATTAGAGAGGTAAACTAATCTGGCAGAGGCCATACAGCCTCTGGTCAAGACAGTTTTGAGCTATAGCTTGTTGGATTCCGAATCACTAAATTGTTTTAATTTACATCCACCAAACTACAGCTTCCCTGGCTCTGCTTGCCTCTAAACTTAAAAAAAAATCTGCTGGCCGGGCGCGGTGTCTCACGCCTGTAATCCCAGCACTTTGGGAGGCCGAGACGGGCAGATCACGAGGTCAGGAGATTGAGACCATCCTGGCTAACACCGTGAAACCCCGTCTCTACTAAAAATACAAAAAATTAGCCGGGCGTGGTGGTGGGCGCCTGTAGTCCCAGCTACTTGGGAGGCTGAGGCAGGAGAATGGTGTGAACCCGGGAGGCGGAGCTTGCAGTGAGCCAAGATCGTGCCACTGCACTCTAGCCTGGGTGACAGAGCAAGACTCCATCTCAAAAAAAAAAAAAATCTGCTACAATCAGAGTAGACTCAAATTAGAAAACAATTTCCAGGGAAAACTTGATGAAAGTTTTTCTGGTATATCATGGTGCCTTCTCACAGGGGAATCTTGGAACTGAAAGCTCTGTCCAGCTATGACTGGTAAAGGGCTCTAAGGTAAACTTTTCACCTCCCCTTTTCCCAGTAACAGTTGGTTCTGGGGAGTTGCTTGCTCTTGGGATTGGAACACACTTAAAGAACAGAAGTAGAAGGGGCAGCTTCAGCTTCAGTACTTCACACTTAGGAAGGAATTCATCTTCCCTAGGAGGGACCTTTAATACTCTTCTCACTTTCTGCCTGTTCCTTCTTGACTCACAAAAACATCAGGACAGACACCATGTTTGTTGATGTAAGCACAGCCTTTACAGAATTTTAGCCTTTGCAGAAATTTAAGCACAGTCCAGAACTGAAGGAGTATCTGCAATCTGTGAAATGCAAAATGGTCCACTGAAGTCAGGAATGTTAACTGCTTAATTTCCTTTTTTACCTACCTTCAAATATAACTTTAAACTTAATTATGTGCAGCTAACAAGTTTACAGCTATTGTTCCCTTAAAAACTATTCAAAAAGTGGCTTATGTAGATTTTTATAAAATTCCATAAACTTTCTCCTTGGAGACTCCACCTCTTTGATTTTTCACATTTGTATGAACTGGTATGTAGGTGTTATCAAAACCCCTGCTCAACAGCATATAAGAATCCATTCTTATTTTCTAGTATGAATAAATAAGAATCTAGCTTTTCCTATTTCAATGGGCCAAATTAAAAGAAAAAACTGCTAACATTGGTCTACAGCAAGGGAACTGCTAGCCACTCCAGGGTATTTCTCCCTTCTCTTTTTGGGCATTTGACCCCTTGGGCCAGAAGCGGTATGCCACAGCCAACCTTTTTTAAACAATCTAAATATTTTCCTTTTTTTCTACCTTATATATTAGGCTTAATAAGAATAACTCCAGTAATTATTTTTATAAACTTTATTACGGAAAATGCCAAACATACAAAAATAGAGATGAACATATATAATGAACCATCATTTTAGCCATCACCCAGCTTCAACAATTATCAAGGCCAATTTCGTTTCATCAATATTTCCAATGCACTTAACATCCAGACTTATTATTTTGAAGCAAATTCCAAGAATCATATCATATCAGCCACAGATGTTTGAGAATGTAGATGAGGACCCTTCTTTCTAACATAATGATAAAACCATTATTCTAATACCAAATACCCCACCAATGTTCAAATTACCCCGATTGTCTCATAAATGTATTCGTTTTACAGTTCGGTCAAATCACAATTCAAATAAGATCCAATTAACAATTGGTTAATATGTCTCTTAAGTCTCTTTAAATCTATAGGTTCATCCTCCATCTTTCATCCTTGCAAGTTATTTACAGAAGAAACTAGGTCATGTGTCCTGTAGTTTCTTATAGTCTGGATTCTGCTGATCTCATCTCCATGGTGTAAAATAATGTTTCTCTGCCCTATTTTCTAAAGATTAGGAATTATTTCTAGGGGCATGGTCAAATTTAGGTTCAATGTTTGGGCAAATATTTTAAGAGACGGAGTCTCATTATATTGCTCAGGCTAGACTAAAGCTCCTGGGCTCAAGCTATTCTTCTGCCTCAGCCTCCTGAGGCAGACGCGTAACACTGTGCCTGGCTTTGCAAATATATTTTACAGATAGTGTAGTATACTGCCATCTGGAGGCACACATCTGGGATGACACAGACATAGGAGTAAGAATTTTTGCTTTCTAGTATCTCACAGCTGCCTTGAAGCAGTTGTGTGACACTTGATAAACAAAAGTCACATATATGCTAGACAGATTAGAAAGGGATTGTTTAACCATTCAGTATCATTACAAAATATGAACTACTGAAACAAATCTTCAGTGATGTCTACCATATTCTAAGCAATATCTTATATGCTAGATATATAAAAAAGACTAAGGAAACAAGTTCCTGGCATTCAAGGGCGTATACTCTGCCGGGAAATACAGACACATAAGAGCACAAAAAAGGCCACAGGTGCCAAGTTAGAATTATGTACAGATACAGCGGTAGTGCAACAACCTGGAGAATAGTCATTGTAATAAACAGGGAAGAAGTGTCCAAAAGCATAGGATGAGCTGTGTCCTTGGAGTGTGAAAGAGCTCATCTGTGCTTCACAATTCCATTCATCCATCCATTCACATACTTGATTCTTTCAAAGTAAATCTGAACAACATCTATGCCATTCACCTAAAAAGAAAAATTCTTATTAATAGGGTTTTATTGGTTCATCCATTCCTCTAATCAACAAATACTTATTGAGCACCTACTATGGCTCATCAACCATTTTGAATTGGAAAAGCCTTCAGTGAATTATCGAATGCAGTTTCACTGTGAGGCCAGATGAGAGCCTGAGGGAATAACAGATTGTCCCAGGTACATTATGAAGCTCAGAAATCGGGAATACACTTGTAGACATTTCTAATCTGTGGATCAAAGACAAATGTCTCCAAATTTCAGGCACTGTTCTAGGCTCTGAGGATATGGGGGAGGATTCAGTCTGGGTCCTAGTCCTCAAAAAGTCCATATTCTAATAGGCCAACAGTCATTCAGAAAGATGATTGCAATACAAGAATGATGCTGAGAATATTTGTTTTGACTGATGCTTCCACAAAAGGAACTCTGAAAAATAAAACTCTGGCCAGCTGTTAGTGCTGTAAGCTCTAATCTCCCTTTTCCCAGTCAACAACTATGGAGGGAGGACATGCTTTTTCTTACAATTGAACTCCACTTAAAGGCAAGTGAGACAAGGAGCAGCTCCAGCATCAGAGCCCTTTAAACCATCTATCCCACAAGGGCCCTCTAATGTTGCTGTTTCTTTACAAGCTCTTACACATACACACTTCAATTTTTATCAATTTTCTACAGGACTTAAAAATATTTATGGCCACCTTTCACCCCTTTCAGGGTTACTTCTTTCAAAGGTGACCTGATCAACAGAACATAGGTTTCTTAGAAAATATGTTAACCATCCAGAGCAAATTCTGTATCAAGCAACCAAACTTACCTTTACTCCAACATGTCGTCTTCAAATTTTTTTTAGAATAAGAAAAAGTAGGCACTTGTCCATTGGGGGACAGGGACGAGGGGGAAAATCAGTCTTTTTTTTTTTTTTTTTTTTTTGAGACGGTCGCCCAGGCTGGAGTGCAGTGGCACGATCTCGGCTCGCTGCAACCTCCGCCTCCCGGGATCAAGCGATTCTCCTACCTCAGCCTCCCGAGTAGCTGGGATTACAGGCGCACACCACGATGCCCAGCTAGTTTTTGTATTTTTAGTAGAGACGGGGTTTCACCATGCTGGCCAGGCTGATCTTGATCTCCTAACCTCGTTATCTGCCCGCCTCGGCCTTCCAAAGTGCTGGGATTACAGGCGTGAGCCACCGCGCCCGGTCCCCCAGCCCCCACCCATACTCTCTTCAAAAACTAGACATTTCCTCAACTGTCATGGGAGATGAAATCCAGAAGAGGAACCTAGAATTTACATAGCGAAACCCAAAATTTCTTAATAGAAAGTGCGTAACAGTGACCCATAGAACAAGACTCCATCTCAAAAAAAAAAGTTAAGGGACCCCAATACCTGTCAATAATGTTTAAGAGATATGACATAGTCTAGGTTGCTCTAGAAATTAGGAATGATCTTTTCATTCGAATACCCTCTTCACAAAATAGGTTTTCCTTCTACCTAATGTCAGACATGGCTGGGGGAACAGCGGAAGGTCCAGAAGAGAGATTTAGCTATTCTAGATGGGATTCCTGACTTCAAGCAAGTACTGAGGCAAACGTGAGAGCTTTTAATTTGGCACCCAGAAAAGGTGGTACTGTGAGACAAAACAATTACTCTCTATCATTGAGAGATTGTTCAGGAATCCTAATAGTTTGACAATTCTGTACCAGCTGAACATCGCTAGAGCTAACTCTGTTGGGATGTAATCACCACAAAAGATTCCATTCCTGTGGTTACTGGGAGTCAGGGAGGTTAAGCGGAATGTCACTACATTCAAATATGGAATGGAAACCACTTTCTTTCAAAAACAAACTTAAATCCAGAGAACCATGGTTCTTCTATGGTATCCAGTAAGGGGCAATGGGAGTTGGAAGTTGAGTATGGGAAATCAAATTCTGTGAATACAGTTTTTCTGATCAGATGCGTTTGGCTAGCAGATCCCCAGCAGCATCTATTCAGTAAGGTTAATCTACATGGGAAATAGCGATTTAAAGTCAGCAGTGAAAAATTACTTGTGAAAATTTTTTGAAAACCAAATGACCTACATAGAAATAGAAAAAGAAATTTCTGAAAGGGGCAAATGAGATACCACTTCAGAGGCTAGAGCGACTGTCGAGTGCAGAAAGAGCACAAGATGTAGGATTTCCTAATGTTTTTACGAATTCAAAACTGATTTTTTAAACCAACTCCCACCACAGAAGGCCTCCCTGACAACAAGGGCGAACGCTGTGAAGGAGAAAACAACTCAAGGGAAAAAAATACTAAAAGATGCCACACAACCAAGCTGGTCAGACTTTAAAGGCCTCCACTACCAAACAAACCACAAGGCTGGTATCAAAAATGTGCACGCACCCACGAATATGTGTGAAATATAAAAGAACCAAAAACATCACAGGGCGCACAGGCAGACACACACACTCCCCGCCCACCCCTCGCCCCCCACCCCCCCCCCCCCCGCCCAAAAGCAGGGTGAACAGTTACAGCACCTAAAACCCCAAGCGGCATAGGCTTCTCCGAAACATTTTACAGGGTAACCAAGAAGCGATTTTGAAAGCAACTGAAAAACGTGCCAACTGAAAACAGGGCCTGGCAACAGTTTGCAAGCGTGATTCAGAGGGTCTGCCAAGGAAACAAAAGCCTCCCTCCTGCCCATGAGACCGCACATGGTACGAGAGGTGCTCCAGGCGGGATGCATTTTAAGCAAGGCAGACAAACAGAAGTCTGTGCGGGCGCAAGCGGTACATACTAGGGATCGCTATCTGGCGAGGATGGGGCCATGGAGTTTCCATTGGTTGGGGAACCGCCCAGCTTTAGTTTCTCCAGATATTCGGCGTGCACGGGCTTGTGGCACTGGAGAACCTTGATGGCATCTTCGACTTTGAACCACTCTCGCTTCCTCCCAATGCTAACCGAATCTTCCCAATCCTCCAGCAGCTCCGTGACAGTCAGTACATACACGTACGTTCTGTGCTTGGGGTCCTGGTTCTGTTCGAAGACGCCCAGGAGCCGGCCTAACTTCCCCTTGACTCCCGCCTCTTCGTACACCTCTCGGACCGCCGCACCGCCCGGCTCCTCCTCGGGCTCCATGCCCCCGCCCGGCACGATCCAGCGGTCCGGGTACCGGCTGCTACTCACTAACAGGACCTCGTCCTCGCGCTCGCTCCGGAAGCACAGGCACGCCGCCCGCTTCTTGAACCCCTCGGGGTCGTAGGTCCGTGTCTGGTTGGGTTTGCACTTCATCCTCGAGGCAGCCTCCTCTCGCCTCTCGCTGCTGTGTGGGCCGCCGACGCAGCTGCTGCCGCTGCCGGGCAGCAGCCGAGGTGCTGGGAAGAGAAAGGGCCGAGGAGAGGGGCGGGGAGAGAGAGGCGCCTCCGTCTGCCGTCTGCCCCCGAGCCCGGGGAGCGGAGGGAGAGATGAAGCTGGGCGGGGCACGGGCGGAGGCGGGGGCAAGCGAGGCGTGTCAGTCAGCCAGTCCGCCAGTCCGATGGGCGGCCGGCCGAACCCGGGCCCGCCGGAGTGGAGGAGGCGCTGCTGCCCGCGAGCCCGCGACTCTCCACAGAGCCCACCCGCTTCTGCGAGGTGAAGCGCATTCTCGGGCGCGTCCGCGCTCCCGTTCACGTGCGCGTTCGCAGGGGAGGGCGTGGGCTGAGGGGCGAGGAACCGGGGCGAGGGGCCAGGGGCGGGGGTCTCCTGGCTCCCGCAGCGCGCAACGCCTGGGGCCCACTGCGCAGGCGCTTCGCACTCCTGGGGCCAGGAACCTCCTTGGCGCACAGCGAAATTCACCGCATTGTGACTTTGGCCAAGACTGCCTCCATGTGTGCCTTTGACCCAAACTCACTGTGGCACGGCAGGACGTTTCTCCTCTCACTCCCCACTGCGCTGCAGGAAACCCACAGGCAGTTGTTTCACACAAGACAGGGGCAAAGGCAGCGTCGTCATCATCCTCCCCCACTATCAACCATTCTGGCTTACTCATGGGACCTGGGCCCTAGTGTTGTCTGCACAACCCACGGGATTCTTGGCACAGTAGCCGGGCATCTTTGCTGAGTCACATGATGCAGTTTTATTTCTTCAACAGGTTCCCACCTTGCAGAGCATCTTGGCGCAGCCAGTAATTTAACGCTTTTCTTAAACCCCTGTTCACAACCTGCCTGACCTCCCTGCACCTCAGTTTCCTCATGGGTACACTCCTCGCCTCCGTGTTGCAGCCATTTGCACTTCGATGCAGTACACCTTAAAGACCAGAGCACCACCCATCTAGTAGTCCTGCGTTAAAGCCCAGAGACGTTCTCCTATTCTCCACACACTCCACCCTTCTCTATCTTTCTCTTTGATAAGCACCACTTGGTGTTTGGGAAACCATGCACATGGAGATCCCGTCCTATTTCACAATTTTATTTTATTTTATTTTTTGAGATGGAGTCTCACTCTGTCGCTCTGTCGCCCAGGCTGGAGTGCCGTGGCACGATCTTAGCTCACTGCAACCTTCGCCTCCTGGGTTCAAGCGATCCTCCTGCCTCAGCCTCCTGAGTAGCTGGGATTACAGGCGGGTGCCATCACGCCTGGCTAATTTTTGTAGCTTTAGAAGAGACGGGTTTCACCATGTTGGTCAGGCTGCTCTTGAACTCCTAACCTCGCGATCCGCCCACCTCGGCCTCCCAAAGTGTACTATTAACCACCACAAAACAAATAAAATACTAAGGGGTCCTAAAAATGTGGTTAGGACTTAGTAGTACAAAATGGTTGAACTTCTACTCAGAGCTTTGAAACATGATTTGAATGAATCACGAGACACTCTAGCAAAACTAGCAGACTAGTGGGGTGTCTGGGTTCGAGAGGGGCCAATCCAGGCTCCGGCCACAGGGCAGGGCTGCTTCACAATTGCCAGGTACTGTCTCCTTTGTCTCACAAGAAAGAGGTGCCATTTTCTAGTCTATTCCATCAGTATCAGTTCTACATCACACCGTGCCTCTGCAATAGGTCCCTTCCGGGGGCATACTTGTGGCAGGGAAGAGGAATAGGACATTATAACATGGAAAGAGGCACAGACTGAAACCCTACTGGAAAAGTCTGGATATGGAGACCCACAACTTAAAACAGGCTTAATACAATAGCAAGGGAATTTTTTAATTACCTTTTCCCCAAACTTTCACAGCTGACATAGTTTGGATACTTGTCCTTGCCCAAATCTCATGTTAAATTGTAATCCCCAATGGTGGAAGTGGGGCCTGGTGGGAGATGTTTGGATCATGAGGGCGGATCCCTCATGGCTTGGTGCTGTCTGTGTGATAGTGAGTGCTCACAAGATCTGGTGACTTAAAAGCAAGTGGCACCTTCCCCTGTCTTGCTCATGCTTTCGCTATGTGATGCATCTACTCCCCCTCTGCCTTCTGCCACCATTGTAAGCTTCCTGAGGCGACCCCAGAAGCTGAGCAACTGTTGGCACCATGCTTCCTGTAAAACCTGCAGAACCATGAGCCAATTAAACCTCTTTTCTTTGTAAATTACCCAGTCTCAGGTATTTCTTTATAGCAATGTGAGAATGGCCTAATAACTTTATTATTCATCTATAATATAGTAACAAGGCAAGAAAAGCTAAGACTTTTGTAACGATAGTAAAAATCCTTTTTAAGAGAACAGCATTCCTCTGTCTGGTTTTGCATATTTAAGTATTTCTCCAATGATGAGCAGTGTAATTCAGGAATCACTGTAGTAGTAGATTGTTACAGTGAAACTGCAATTTGTTCGTGGAAGCCTGTATCTCCTTCCACACTGTCATTGTTTCTGGTCTTGGCCATGTAATTTGTTGTGTCCAGTGGGACAATAACAAATGTGAACAGAAGTCAGCAGAGAACTGAAAGGTGCTTGCACACTGGGGTATCCTCTCTCTTTTCGCTCTTGAAACATTGTGACAGCAATGTGAGGAAGGCTGGCCAGGCTAGCTGGATGATGAGATACCTGTGGCAGATTCTTCCCTTTCACCCCAGCTGACAGTGAAACCGTTGCCCAACATATGGGTGAGGCCATCCTAGACCATTCGCCCACAAGCAGAACTACTTAGGTCATAAGAGAGCACTAGCTGAAGATGCATAACTAAGCCTAGCCATGAACAGCAAAAAAAAAAAAAAAAAAGCAAACAAACAAACAAGAAAACCCACTCAGATGGGACCAGCTGAAATTATTGACCTGCAGAATTGTGAGTAAAATAGTTTACTGTTTAAAGCATAAAATTTGGCAGCGCTTTGTTATGCATTAAAAACTAGCTGCTCCAACCATTGACATGATACATAAAAATCAACCAAAAACAATCAGAGAAAGACAAGATTGTTCGCTGTAGAAATGTAACATCTACTTAAAAATGCTGGCATTTCACTTTCCCTGGAGTCAGAAAGGGATGAAGTTAAGACATCTAACGTGTTGAGTACAGTCCCTGTGAGAGGTCCTGTGTTACGCCCTGCATTCTATTTAACTGTTATCTCATTAACTCATAGGGAGGGAGGCAGTTCATAAGTCCATTTTACAGAAGAGAAAATGAGGACTTAGAGTGGATTTTGTATTCGAGTTTAAGGCTTCATGTCTCCATACCCTGCACACTCAAAAAATCAACATGTCTTAAGAGAAGGATTCTTCTTATCCACAGCTATGGTTGTTGCGGCCTTTGTTGATGACATTCAGCATTGACTTCTTGGGTAAGGTATTCAGTAGTTAAGATTCAATGACTCCAGTGAAAGGTATGTTTCCATCGTGATGTTCTTCTTCTGGACAATAAGTGAAAAGAGCATGTGAGTACCTCTCTCACTCCCAGCAAATAATTGTTGTGTCACCTCCACATGTTTCTTCACGATTCGAGGCTTTGATTTCCCCTGCAAGACAAAATGCAATGAAGTGATACAGAAAAAAAGAAATTCTATGCTGTCATCACACTAGACCATGATGTTGATTTATGGATGGTCTGCTTTCTTATATGCACTTAATATTTTTGTACAAGCAAACCTGAAAAGTGTCAAAATCCCCTTTAACAGATTAACAGGCTGAGATGGGTTAAAGTGAGCAAGCCGGGAAGTGGTGGAGCTGGGATCCACACCCTGGTCTGTCTGAGTCCAGATGTAATCATCTTGCATTCACTATGGCATGTTTCCCTTATGTTAAGGGTTGCTGACATAGACAGTGCATGTCATTCCTTTTGGTATGGTCTTCCTCCTTTCTAGCTTTTTTCTGCCTGGAAGATCCAGGCACCCAAGAGAATGGAGCTTCCATGTAAATTTGCAGAATCCCTAGGATGAAAGCGGAGAGGATCTACCCTGAAACCAACAAGTCTAGGATGCACATCTCTGCCTTTTTTTCAGAATTAGGAAGGGGCAGGCAGATGGGCAATTGACAGGAATAGTAGAAGCATCCTCGGGGAAGTTGGCTACTTTACTTAGTGAGAAAGCAATGGAAAGTGACATTTGTAACTGAGTTTTAAGTGAAGTACAGTCCTAAGAGAGGAGCTCTGAAAAACAGCTGTTACCTGAGATTGGGAATGTTAAAGACCTTCTCAGAGCCTGACTGTACTCACAGCTGGACCTAGCTATCAGAAGAGGGACTGCAACATACCTGAGAAACTTTCAGAATACTTAACGGAAGCAGAGTCAGGGGAAGTGATTTTGATAGTAGTCCATGAGAAAAAAATACGGTGTTTTAAAATGCAAATGAACTAAAATTTAAATCCTGCTCTCTCAGTAGCTATGCAGCCTTAGGCGAGTTAATATCTTTGACCTTAGTATTTCTCAGGTGTAAAGAGGGATAATTACCTACTCAGAACTTCACCTCTCCCAAGAAAGCTTTCCTGACCATGTGCTGGCCCTTCCTTTACATTGGGATTAAAGTACCCCCCCCCGTTTTTCCAGGCTTTCTTGACTTTAATTCTGTCATAGCTCTAATTAAGAACCTCTGTAATGATCTGTCTGCAAGCTTGTGAGAAATTTGAGGACTGGGAACCAGCCTGAAACATGTCTGTTCCCCTCTGAGTCAACACAGTGCCTGGGATCTGGTGTCCAGTAGGGATTTAAAGCATATTGATTGAATGAGAAATGATGACAGGATCTACATGGATCACAAAGGATAGTTGTTATTTTACCTGTTAACTATTTAATAGCGAAATTAAATGAAATATGAATTAACCTAGGACCAGGGAAGGTGGGGTAAGTTGTGTCTTTCACATCAACCTTCATATGTTCCCCAATTTTTTCTTCCTTCATGTACCTAGGACACTCTTGTTCAAACACAAAGGTGGTTTTATTTTGGGTCTATACTAGCTAGTTCCCTAGAAAGGTCTTAAATACAAAATGAATGGAATACAAAATAACCTCCCTCATTGTTTTTTTTCCCGGACAAATGACAGGATGCATACAGAACTGCTACTTTTGTGATGTTGCAAGTAATGGTATAGATGTGCACAAATCATGGATGTGGTCCCAGTGATCCATGGAAATGTGAAGTCCAGGTGAGCACCGCCTCTCTCATAAAGATGCAGCACACCTTGATTTCTCCCACTTCTTTGCTCAGTACCTGATCCTGCCTCACTGCTGTCACCCTCCTTTTCCCTTTTCTCTACACTGCGGAGACTTCTAATTCAGACACCAAACCCTTTCTAGTGTCCCTGTGTTTATGTATCAGAGTAAAATGTTAAATGCTTCCAAAACATACGAGGCCCTACAACATCTGGCCAATTTCCTCCTCAAAGTTGCCCCTACTACTCCCCATGGGCCACACATCTCTAGTGGACCTGGACTCTGCAGCTTCTGGGTTGTGTCAGGCAGGCTCCTTCCCTCCTCAGGGCCTTTGCTCTAGCCATTCCCTCTGCTTGGATTGTTCCTGTCCCTTGTCTACAAGGATAACTTCCTCACTCACCTTGAGGCCTTGATCACTTCTCACCTTCTAGATGAGGCCTACCCAGGCCACCTTATGATGGACTGCTAAACCCACTCTTCCTTGCCACCCTGTCGCTGATACCCCAGATCCTCTTTTCCTTGGCCCAAGTGTCCTTTCTATTATAGTATTTTGCATCTAACAGACTATTTAATTACTTATTGATGATTATTGCTGTTCTCTCTCCAGCTATAATGGCTCCTGCTAGAGTATTAGCTCCTGATGGTAGGGATCTTTGTCTCTTGCTCACTGGTATATCTCAAGCAGCCCAGATCTCATCTCTGGTGAGCATACATTGGAGTCACTCAGAAAATACCTGTGGATGTAATGAATGTGTTTGTGTCCTGTGCTAGATGGGAGACTTGTGAGAGAAAGGGCCATGTGTTGTTGGTCTTTGTAAACCTACCATCCACACTCTCTGATACAACCAGAAGGGCAGTACTGAATAGTCGTTGAATTAATTAATCTTTTGAAAATGACACTTATAGGGAAAACATTCTCTTTGCATTCTGCAGCTTTTCCAGTGGTTGCCATTTGTTTCGGCACCATATAGGTACCAGATGCCATAGGCAGAATCTGGCACCATATAGGTACCAAATGCCATAGAAAGGCAGCCATGGGATACCTGAAGGCCAGAAGTCTGATTCATTTTCCGTGGCATCTTCACAGGGTAGCACAGTTCCTACCACACAGCATGACTTGTGGTGGTGTTTTCAGATCTTGGTCATTCATTGCCTAAATTGTTTTGGTTTTATCTGGACAGGACATATACTATGATTTACATATTGCATTTTATTTTCACAAGACAGTGGCTTTCAGAAAGAAACACAATTATATAATTAAACACAAAGCAGAACGATTTACAAAAAAGTTGAAAACAAAGTGGAAGCTATTGTTTTGTAATAGGATACATAACAATGGATGGGCTATAGTAGGCACTTCATGTACCTTTTTTATTTAACCCTAATGAAAACCCTTCAATCACAATGTTGTCATTCCCATTTTCAAAAGAGAGAAGATTGAGATCTAAGGCCTTATGTAACTTGGCCAGTATCTGACAGCTAGGAGGTATCTGAATGAGGTGGAATCTTCCAGGCTCATTGATGAGAACACTCCACAAAGATGGCCGTATAGGCAGACCCCCACCGCTTAACTTGCCCCTGGAGTTCTCTCTGCTCCCCTCCCCGTTTCTCATGCACACATCTCTGCAACATTTTCCTCCCATCTCCTAATACTTTCAGAAGCTCCTCGTCTTAGAGGTTGTTCTCCTGCTCCTTTGGTCAAGTGCTGGAAAATTCAACACTAATTTCTGCAGAGGTAGAGGAATGGAGTTTGTTTCAAGTCCTTGTGAAGGGATAGAATGATTGGTACTTACAGCTGCTTCAAGGTCTTGATGAGGCTGGATCTGGAGGAGGGTCTTTTATGCAAGCTAGTCCCTGCATGAGAGGATTCCGGTCTTGGAAGGATGCCTTCCCCTCCACAAAGACATCTGGCCAGCCCACAAGGAAGATAGTTTACTTATCAATGACACTGTGTACCCACAGGCTCAGGCCAGTTTCGTCAGAAGCAGAACAGGCTTTCCAAGGTCACCAAGCTGTTCTAAACTTCACCGATTCATTAGAGAAAGGCAACAAGACAGAGGCATGTTTGGTATCAAAATTGTGATCAGGAAGATGGCTGCATTCCCTGTTCCATGGTAAAACATCTCATACCACCAATGAACTCAGCCAGTTCTAGAGAGATTTCCACCATGATAGAACGTTTCTGACTGTGGGCTCAGGGCCAGCCATTCTCTGGGAGTGCAAGATGGAAAAATATGAGGCTTCCCTTTCCTCTTTTCAATCTTTTTCCAGGTTATTTATTTCGCGGCAAGTTTGAAAATCAGTAGTTCTGTTAGGAGTTTTCCTACACTACAATAGTATATCCTATGAGTGAATAGCCATCACAATCTTAGATTCTTTCCCTTTAGCTTTGATCAAATAGCTTTTACTACCAAGCTACATCGCAGAAGGAAGCATCCTTGATTTTTGTGTCAGATGAACTTCTCATTGTGTAGAATTCACAAAATTCTAATAAAGAAATTATATTGTGGGAAAATGGTATTGCTTTACTGCAATATCAGAATATATAATAATTGCTTTTTCAGGGCCCACTATGTATCAGGTGTTTTATATATCTTACTGATAGTTTTCTTAAAATCCCTGTGACGTACGAATCTTTCTTCCAGTTTCACAGATGAGGAAATTTAGGCTCAGAAGGATAGATTACTTGTCCCTGTTCACACAGCTCGGAGGTGCAGAGCTGGGATTTAAGAGGCATGCATCACAATCCATTGCCTACATTGGTCAGCGGTATTCCTACATTTTACATAGTCTTGGAAAGAAATCCCTGTGTCTCTGAAAGTCACTAATGTAAATTTTAAAATTCCATACTGCTGTTATGTCATCCTTCTATTTTAGAGTTTGACTTATGACAAACGGTATTTTTCCTTTCCTGTGAAATATTTAGTTTAGTTTACAACAATATATTTAGGGTTGGCAGCTTTGAAAATGTGTATATATGAATAAGTTAAATAATGTTGATTTACCCCTTTTTGTGTGCTGAAAACTGCTATGTACTGTGTAGAGGCCCATGAACTAATGAATTTGCTTTCTCTCCCTGTGACACCTACCAGCTTCTAGAATACTTTGCATGGCTCCTGATACACAAAAGCCACACATAGCGTACCTATGTGGAAAGTAACCAGTGTACAGCCTCCAGTTTGGAAGTGGGTGTTTTTGCTATCAGTGTTTCAGTATGAAATGTATTCGTTCAGCAAACCCTCTGCAATGCCTGTGTGTCTCATGCAGTGTACCTGACTGATAGAGCATATGTAAAGACCAAGTAAAAACTGGCCCTTATTCATAACCATCTCCTAGGAAAACAAAGCAATAAAAGAATGTAAATTCTCAATTATAGTCTGCACAGGGTGTATTTGCTGTGAAAGAGGGGAAAAGAGGGAGAGGATACAAGAAATTTGACGGAGAAAGAGTAGAGGAAATAGGAGCAGGACTCACATCTGGCAGACTGAATCCTTGTGACTATGAATATGCATGTCTGTGCTTGAAAATGCTGTTATTTGTGGGTTCAGAGGCTTGATTTCATATTCCTGCATGTTTGTGCCTTTCACCTAAACACTTAAATAATTGGATTAGCAATCTTATATTCATTCATTAATCTCTCCAGTTAATTTATTTTTAAACAATCACTTGTAAAACCTAGGGGAATTTCTAAATTAATCCCACTGTGAGGACATTTCAGAAACTGAGAGATTATTAGAAAGGCCAACATCAATTATGAAGCCAGGAATTCAGCAATACACGGGTACTAGAAGCTATTGACAAATGGGAGCTAGGTTAAAAGAAAGTCCCCATGTTTCATGCACTGTGGTAGGCTGTGGGTTTGTCAGGGACATTCAGGAACTTTGCAGGTGTCTCATGCAGAAAATCATGCGGGCATATCCTAACCCCACTGCCAGTGGTCTGTAAAGATTTGTCACAGTTATTTATCCAGGAGGTGTTTTACACTCACACACCCACACATGCATGCACACACACACACACACACCTCTTATAAATTAGAATCCTGGAACACTGATTGAATCACAGAGCTAGCTGGTGTTAGAGACTCTAAAGCCTCAAGGAATGTCTATCATACGTGTTTTCCATAATAAGTTATTTAGTTTAATTCAGAGCCACTGCCTGCCATTCCTCTGGCTTTGCTTGTCTGTTTTGGCCCCGCAAGAGAACCCTGAAATTGAAGTCTCTGCCTCATTTAAAAGGCAGGGACAGAAGGGGCAGCCCCAGCATCTGAGCCCTTCACACTGAGAATGACACCATCTTACCTGGAAGTGTCCTCCATTGTTGCTGTCACACTTGAAGCTGCCTGTTCTCACAGCTATATTGCAATCAGTCTTCACTACATAACATTTAGCATTCTTGGCCCTTGGCGTTTAGCTATACCTACTTTAATTTGCACCTTAGAGCTATATAGGTTATGGCTGAGCCAGATATTAGTCTTCATCCTCCGCAGTGGTTTAGACAACGCAGTGCATCACTTTAACCACAACAGATTCCATATAGTAATAACTTAAATACCTGTATATTAGTTTCCTATTGCTTCATTAAAAATTACCACCCACTTAGTGGCTTAAAGCAGCATACATTTATCATTTCACAGTTTCCATAAGTCTGCCATGGATCAACTGTGTTCTCCGTTTAGGACCTTGCAAGGCTGAAATCAACTTGTCACTCTCACAGACACACCCAGGATTATGTTTGCTCAAATGTCTGGGCACCCCGTGGCTCAGTCATGTTGACACATAAAATTAACCATAACACCAAGCGTCTTGACACAGCTTGTAAATTAACCATTATATTTTAATTCCCTTTTTATCTTAAATGATCTATTTCCCTGTTTTCATACCTATAAAATGGAGCTGTGAATAATTTTACTTTGTTAGTTTCATGTTTATTAATTTTAAGGTTATATGTGTGAATAGGCAAAACAGTTAATCAGGCAGTTGATGTTCTTTACTGCAAAAGGGAACTTTTACCATGTGGCATGCAGACTTTTAATAGTTATGAAATTTTTACCACATAGCAAGTTCTTCTACAAGCTCTTTAAATGCTTTACCTCATTTGATTCCTAAGTACCTTTATTATCCCTATGTTCATAGGAAGACATTTTGTATAACACACAGAAGCTAAGTAATTTATCCTAAATGACATCTTTTAAGTGGCAGGCCCAGGATTGGAATCTATGACTGTAGAACCAGTCTTCCTATCCAATTATTGTGACCATATAATTTATCATTCAAACACGTCAAAGAGAGAAATATTAAAATTATGCCTCCACAATTGGCATAAGACAAAAAGTCAGACATATCAAGCCAATTGCTCACTACATGACAGTTTTGTTTTTTTTTGTTTTGTTTTTTTTTTGCTTACACCTAACAGAAAAATCTTACTTAGACTGGCTAAATCAAAAAGCAAGTTCATAATCTCACAGCATTTGTAACATCCTCATGACATGACTTTTTCTTCCTCTACTATGTTGTTCCTGTCAACATACATACTGGTGTTATTTTTGCCATGTTAAAAAAAATGCAAACACCAAAAACCTGTTTACCTCACTCCTTTTACTTGCTTAGTGCCATTTATCTGTTCCCCAATTGCAAGCTTCCCACAGAGCGTTGTCTATGGTCACTGTGTCCCATTTCTCTCCTCCTATTCTGTCTTAATCATACTTCAGCCAGGCCTACGCACCTTCCACTAAACAAACTGTTCTTGTCAAGGTAACCATGACACCAATATTTCTAAATCGAATGGCTATTTCGCAGTCTTCTCCTTAATTTACCTATTTATACTTTTGGATAGAGTTAGTGTGGGCGGTGGCTTGCTCCTGTAATCTCAGCACTTTAGGAGGCCAAGGAGAGGGATCACCTGAGGTCAGGAGTTCAAGACCAGCCTGGCCAACATGGGAAAACCCTGTCTCTACTAAAAATACAAAAATTAGCTGGGTGTGGTGGCACAGGCCTGTAATCCCAGCTACTCAGGAGGCTGAGGCAGGAAAATCACTTGAACCCAGGAGGTGGAGGTTGCAGTGAGTGGAGACTGCGCCATTGCACTCTAGCCTGGGCAATAAGAGCGAAACCCTGTCTCAAATATGTATATATATATATGAGACATATATTGGATAGAGTTGATCAATCCCTCTACCCGGAAGTCCTTTCTTTCCTGAATTCTAGTACAATACTCTCTTGGTTTTTCTGTGACCTCATTAGCTGTAACTCCTGAGTCTCCTTGGCTGATTCTCCTCCTTTCCTCGTGATCTCTTGACATTGAAGTGCCTCAGAAGTCAATCCTTGGTCTCCTTCTCTTCTCTGCCTACACTCATTACCTTGGTGATCTTATCCAGTAGTGTGGTGTCCTATGTGATCTACACTCTCATCTCTGTCCAGTTTAGATAGCTGACCTAAACTCCACAGTCTGTTTCCAATTGCCCACTTGGCAAGTCCACATGCATGTTAAACAAACATTTTGATTTTAACTGTGTAAAAATTGGATATCTTATTTCATTCCCCTGATTTCATCTACTTTCATTCTTCCTCATTTCAGTTAAAGTTAACCTTATCTTTTTAGATGCTCACTTAGAAACAGTGGTGTCAATCTTGGCATTAAATTTATCCGGAAATACTGTTGGGCCTGCATTCTAAATATATTGAGAATGTGAGCAATTCTGTCCCCCTCCACTGTACCACTTCATTGTAAGCCACTACAATTTCTTGCCTGGATTATGGCAATAACATTTTTACTGGTTCATTTCCCTATACCTTTGTTTCTAATGATTAGTCTCATCCCAGCAGCCAGAGGTATCCTTTTGAAACCTGGGTCAGATTATGCCACTCCTCTGTCATTGTTCTCGGTCTAATTGAGAGAAAAAAAATATCAAAGCATTGGCATGGGCTGCAAGTTCCTATGTGATTTGATATTCTGTTACTTCTCTAAAATCCAACAACTCCCCCACTAGATCCCACTACATCATCCGTACCTATGATAGTCATACTTTCAACTAAAGGCTTTTTACTGGCTGTTCTCTCTGCCTGAAATATTCTTCCTCCACATATTTAATGGTTCATTTCATCAACTTCATTAGATTTTGCTCAAATGTCACATTGAGAGAGAGCCCTATCCTCTCCAACTTCTCAGCCCTATCCAACTTCTCTGCCTTCCAGATCTTTAACTTCCTCTAACTTTTTCCATACCATTATAATCTTATGACATACAATTGGATGTAATTGTTTTATTTACTGTTTGTATAATTACATGAAAATATGAGTTCCATGAGACCAGACACAGTTGTCTGCTTTGTTTGCTGTAGTATCTTTAGAGCCCACATGGTACCTGGCAGTTAGTTATTCTTCATTAAATATTTGGTCTATTTCCAAAATAGACCTGAAATCAAAAGTAGGTGGATTCCATGCAAGGAGAACTCCAGCTCAAGGATGCCTTGAAGGGTTCAGATTTTTTTCCTCTCTTCTGTGCCACTCTCAATGCCCTTAACGTACTGGTCTCAATGTGGCTGAAGCACTTTTAGGTCTCTGATTTTGACATGGTAATGTTTACAGACAGAAAGGAATATATCTTCCAATGTGCCCTTTCAAAGAGGCAAGACCTGTGACATAGTATTTTCCAGAAGATATCCCCACAATCAACTCCAACATATGGGACTGAATTAGGTCACATGCCTGTTTCAAAACCAGTGAATGTCAAGAATATTGGAATTGCCATGACTGGCTTAGATAAACAGAAGACAGAATGGATGTTGGGGAGTCAATGACAATGTCCACTGAAATACATCAGTGCCCTGGTGTGATTGGATGTGTGTGTGTGTGTGTGTGTGTGTGTGTGTGTGTCTATGAGCCTGAAAAAGAGGTAATTTCTGGTACACAAGTGTTACAAAATGAAAAGAAATGCATTAAGGTTATTAATCGGTTTAATTAAGGTAATTAAGATGGGGAAAGAGCTGACATCTTGCATAGATACATTTTGTCTGTTAATGGTATGAGGCTAGCATCATTCAATATTTCCATCTCATACTAGGTAATGCTTTGACAGTGGGACCAGAAATCATGTAGAGACTTGTTTTTCCCACACAATGCCTATATGGGTGTTTCCAGTATTTCCTTTCATGGATGACTGACAAACCCCCTCCTGACTGATACATTCTTCATGTGGCCATATTAATACCTTTATTCAAATCTTGGTGTTTCTTTGACCTGGAATCAATCTTATTCTTTTTTCTTGGTTTCAGCTTAAAGTGCATAAAACGGATATACAAAGATAAATAATGAATAGTTATAAAGCGAAAGCCTGTGTAACCACAACCCAAAACAGTGAAATGAAATATTGATAAAACGCTAGAACCCCTTATGTCCCTTTCCCTGCCACAACTGTCTGTTTCCTCAATGGACGTTCCTACCATCCTGCTCATTGTTTAGAATCTCTACTTTGCTGCTTATTATAGCTTTCCCACCTGTGTAAACAACTCTAAACTATCTTGTTTAGTTTGTAGCAATTTTTACAGAATCATATTTCTGCTCAGAGTTTTTAGAGTACACTTAAAGAGTAACCTTATTTAACTTGGTTATAGAGGCTTTTAGAAATATTTAAAAGCAAGCCCTCTTTTCCACATTAAAGAGACAACAGATATTCCTTGGATACCTACTGTGTGCTTAGGCGTGAAGAAGGTACCGGCGTATCCATGAGCACTAAATTTTGCTGTCTACCTTCACTGAGATTAGAATCTAGTTGAGAAGATAGTGCCTAATAATAGTGTACAGTGTTAGAACTGAATACAGCTCAGTTATGCAGCAAGGCCCTGGGTATTGCAGTGAGGCATTTCATGTACCACCTCTTATTGGCTCTGTGACTCTGAGAAAGTCTCTCCACCCCTCTGAGCCTGTGTATTCACTTTGAAAAAGGAGATAGATATAAAATCTGCTCCCCAGAATTTTTGTGCATGGTATATTTAGGCTCCAAATGAATGGCAGATATTTTTACTATGGTACATTGGGCTAGTCAGAAGGATGGCTGAAAATAGTTACATTCCCACTGAACATACAGGTAGCACATATAGAAGCCTAGGGACCTTAGTACACACTAAATGTTAAAGTGAGGATATTTGGCTCCAGGAAAACACATAGGCAGCTAAGTGGAATGGTAAGAGACTAGATATTAAGATCAGAAATGTTTGGGCCAATAATTTTAATAAGGATGAAAGGTATCCTTTGTTGAGTAATTAATTATATGAGTCTCAAAACTTAGGATCTTATCTCTGGTAGGCACCTCAGAGACATGGTTAGATCTGAGTCCTTGGAACCAGAACTGTCTAATCAAATGTTGTCCTCTAAAAACCAAAAGGAATAAAAAAACAATGTGAGTTAACTTTTATTGTGTACTCGCCCTGTCCGAGATATTGCTGAAAACATATGTGCATCATCTCGTTTAATCCTTACCATGGCCCTAGGAGGTAGGTAAGCTCAATGATTATCCTTTCTTACAGGTCAAAAACTTTGAATTCAGAAATATGTATTTATTGTGGAATGGCTAAATCAAGCTCATTAACATGTACATTATTACCTCTCATACTTAACATTTCTTGTGGGGAAAACACAAAATCTACTCTCAGTGATTTTCGAGAATACAATACAGTGTTATTAACCATAGTCACCATAACGTACAGTGGGTCTCTTGAACTTATTCCTCCTATCTAACTGAAAATTTGGATCCTTGATGAACCGCTCACCAACCACCTCCTCTCAATTTCCTTGTAGCTAGGATTCTACTCTCTCCTTCCACGAGTTCAACCTTTTTAGATTCCACACATAAATAAGATCCTGCAGTCTTTGTATTTCCCTGCCTGGGTTACTTCCATTAACAAAATGTCATCCAGGTTGTCGCAAATGACAGGATGTCTTTTGTTTTTGTTTTTTAGAGACAGGGTCTCTCTCTGTCACCCAGGCTGCAGCGCAGTGATGTGATCATGGCTCACTGCATCCTTGACCTCTGGGACCCAAGAGATTGTCCCAACTCAACCTCCTGAGTAGCTGGGACCACAGGCATGTGCCACCATGCCATATGAATTTTTATTTTTTTGTAGAGACAGGATCTCACTATGTGGCCCAGGCTGGTCTCAAATTCCTGGGCTCAAGCAATCCTCCCGCCTCAGCCTCCCAAAGTGCTGGGAGTACTGGCATGCATCATCATGCTCAGGCAGGATTTCCTTCTTTTTTAAGGCTCAATAGAATTCCATTATCTCCTACATTTTCTTGATTCATTCATCTATTGTTGGACACTTAGTTTGATTCCATATCTTAACTGTTTTCAATAGTACTGCGATGAACACGGGAGTGACAAGAGCCTTTCAACACTTAATAAGTTGGCATTGTACTGTCATGAAGAGCTTTCCCATTGTATTAGTCACAGTTCTCTAGAGGGACGGAACTAATAGGATATATGCCTATATGAAAGGGAGTTTATAAGGAGAATTGACTCACACGATCACAATGTAAAGTCCCATGATGGGCCGTCTGCAAGTTGAGGAGCAAGGAGGCCACTGGTGGATCAGTCTGAGTCCCAAAACCTCAAAGGTAGGGAAGCCGACAATGCAGCCTTCAGTCTGTGGCCAAAGGCAGGAGAGCCCCTGGCAGACGACTGGTGTAAGATGATAGGTGTAAGTCCAAGAGTCCAAAAGCTGAAGAACTTGGAGTTTGATGTTCCAGGGCAGGAAGCTTCCAACACGAGAGAAAGATGAAGGCCGGAAGACTCACCAAGTCTGCTCTTCCATCTTCTTCTGCCTGCTTTATTATAGCCATACTGGCAGCTGACTAGATGGTGCCCACCCAGATTGAGGGTGGGTCTGCGTTTCCCAGCCCACTGACTCAAATGTTAATCTCCTTTGGCAACACCCTCACAGACACACTCAGGAACAATACTTTGCATCCTTCAATCCAATCAAGTTCACACTCAATATTAACCATCACACACATCTTCCTCATTTATTAGCTTATTTATGTATTTACTTACATCATTATGGGCTCATGGGTATATATTTAATCACTGGGTAATAACAGATTATCATCAAAATTTATTTTGATATTCAAATTGGCCCAGATTGGGCTAGTTGAAGCTCCTTGAAACTTCCTGCATGTTATTGTCCTATCTTTATCTTAGCTGGAACACTTTCTTTACTTTCTAGTGCAACAAGATGTTCCTGGCTGTTTGTACTTTCCCTGTTCCAGCCTTTGAGTCAGACATTTCTCTAAAGCGCCTCTGTTTGTTTTAGTGTGGAATGATTTTTACAAGCAAGTCTGCACTCTGAATCACCTGTCTCTACTGACAATATGACTTTGAAACCCTCCAAACTTTCCTTAATTCTATTTACCCAATATGTAAATGCACATAAAAATAGGATTTTTGTTTAGGTATGTTGTGAGGTTTAAAATAAGTTATTGAAAACATTTAGCAAAGAATGTGGCACAAAAGTAATTTTTGTAATTTGACCATTTGAACATTAGAATGAGTAATAATAATAATAATAATAATAATAATAGGTTGTGACCCAGTGAATAAAACCAGAATCCATAAGGCCATTTGAAAATAAGTGTTAGCTATTTTATCATCATTTTGTTACTATCAAATACTCTTGTCAGTGAATAAGTTTTGCCCTGTGAAAAATTTCAAGTTGACACTTATAGCCTTGTCAAGCCAAAGTAAGATCCACAGAATCACAGAGCTTGTGAAAGTACAAATATGGAGGAATGATTCCAGAAGCAGGCAGGCCTTAGGCCTTGATGACTGGTGAGACTTCACCAGTATTCATGAGGAAACAAAAAAGATTAAGCGAAGAGCAGCAACTACTCCTACAACCCCTGCCACCAGAACCATGTATTTCCCCTATCATAGCAGCACATCCACTGTTCTATAAACAATTATTTGTGTCCTCCATTAGACTGAGAGCTGATAGATGTGACTTATTTACCAACTTACCCCAATGCCTGAAATGGTGCCTGTCAGATAAGAGACATTCAATAAATGTTTGCTGAAGGGATGAACGAAAGTATTGAATAATTTCAAATATCTCATGAGGATAATTAATGAGAGAAGGAAACTGAGACCCAGAGAAGTAAGGAAGCATGCCCAAGGTTATACAACTATTATAGTAAGAGAGAGTGAGGTAGAATTCCATCCTGATCTGACTCTAGTAGCTTTGGGTGTATTGGTCTCTCTGGATGCTGAGCCTTCCCAGTAAGATTAACTTGTCCAATTTCCATGTTTCCCAGAGTTCAAATGGGAGTCCCATATGTGCCAAACTATGTATGCAAGACTGTTTCAAGGGTTCAGTAATTAATTCAACAACTATTTATTGATCACTTACTATAGGCCTTATAGGTTCCGGAGATATATCAGTGAGTACAACAGATGGATAACCTCCTCTCATTGATATTCCATTCTGGTGCACAAAGACAGAAAATAAGGGGATACAGAAAACTTAAGATGGTAAAGAAAGTAAAGCTTGATTAACAAATAGAAAATTATACAGCATGTGTGTGTTTGGAGGAGAGAGTTGATATGGAGGTGAGAGGAGGGTTGCTAAGTTCAGAGGACCTGGAGGAGTTTGCTGTGTCTGGAGTTAGAATGGGATATAGGCTGGGAGTTGAAGTGAGAAATTAGAAAGTAGAATCCACAAGAAAATGAGCCACTTAACTTTGAGACTTAGTGTTTTTACTCGGAAAACAAGGATTCAGACATCTGAGATCATGTGTAAAAATGTAGTGTAAAGCTCAAATCTGAAAACATTAATGTTATTCAGCTCATTTCTTGAACAATAATAGCAGCTGGTACTTTTGAATGCTTGCTGTTTGTTAGGCCATATGCTAGTTGCTTTCCATGTTAATTTCATCCGCTGCAATGAAAAGTAGTTAGGGTTTTTATATTTTATACGGTTGGATAGCAGTAGATTCCAGGTATTAGGATTGAAGCCCATGTCCAGTCTGTCAAATTTCAAAACCCTTGTTCTTTTTCACAACTTTGTGCTTCCAGAATTGTAAACAGGCAACTGGTAGTGACCAAGATGAGTTGAGTGGTCAACATTTACAAGGCAGTTATAAAAATTACTTTGCATAGCATTTATAGAATTCTTTTTTTTTGAGGTGCACTTTTTAAAACAAAAATTATTATTATACTTTAAGTTTTAGGGTACATGGGCACAACGTGCAGGTTTGTTACATATGTATACATGTGCCACGTTGGTGTGCTGCACCCATTAACTCGTCATTTAGCATTAGGTATATCTCCTAATGCTATCCCTCCCCCCTCCCCCCACCCCACAACAGTCCCCAGTGTGTGATGTTGCCCTTCCTGTGTCCATGTGTTCTCATTGTTCAATTCCCACCTATGAGTGAGAACATGTGGTGTTTGGTTTTTTGTCCTTGCGATAGTTTGCTGAGAATGATGGTTTCCAGCTTCATTCATGTCCCTACAAAGGACATGAACTCATCATTATTTATGGCTGCATAGTATTTCATGGTGTATATGTGCGACATTTTCTTAATCCAGTCTATCATTGTTGGACATTTGGCTTGGTTCCAAGTCTTTGCTATTGTGAATAGTGCCGCAATAAACATACATGTGCATGTGTCTTTATAGCAGCATGATTTATAATCCTTTGGGTATATACCCAGTAATGGGATGGCTTGGTCAAATGGTATTTCTAGTTCTAGATCCCTGAGGAATCACCACACTGACTTCCACAAGGGTTGAACTAGTTTCCAGTCCCACCAACAGTGTAAAAGTGTTCCTATTTCTCCACATCCTCTCCAGCACCTGTTGTTTCCTGACTTTTTAATGATCGCCATTCTAACTGGTGTGAGATGGTATCTCATTATGGTTTTGATTTGCATTTCTCTGATGGCCAGTGATGATGAGCATTTTTTCATGTCTTTTGGCTGCATAAATGTCTTCTTTTGAGAAGCGTCTGTTCATATCCTTCACCCACTTTTTGATGGGGCTGTTTGTTTTTTTCTTGTAAATTTGTTTGAGTTCATTGTAGATTCTGGATATTAGCCCTTTGTCAGATGAGTAGGTTGCAAAAATTTTCTCCCATTCTGTAGGTTGCCTGTTCACTCTGATGGTAGTTTCTTTTGCTGTGCAGGAGCTCTTTAGTTTAATTAGATCCCATTTGTCAATTTTGGCTTTTGTTGCCATTGCTTTTGGTGTTTTAGACATGAAGTCCTTGTCCATGCCTATGTCCTGAATGGTAATGCCTAGGTTTTCTTCTAGGGTTTTTATGGTTTTACGTCTAACATTTAAGTCTTTAATCCATCTTGAATTAATTTTTGTATAAGGTGTAAGGAAGGGATCCAGTTTTAGCTTTCTACATATGGCTAGCCAGTTTTCCCAGCACCATTTATTAAATAGGGAATTGTCTCCCCATTTCTTGTTTTTGTCAGGTTTGTCAAAGATCAGATAGTTGTAGATATGCGGCATTATTTCTGAGGGCTCTGTTCTGTTCCATTGGTCTATATCTCTGTTTTGGTACCAGTACCATGCTGTTTTGGTTACTGTAGCCTTGTAGTATAGTTTGAAGTCAGGTAGCATGATGCCCCCAGCTTTGTTCTTTTGGCTTAGGATTGACTTGGCTATGTGGGCTCTTTTTTGGTTCCATATGAACTTTAAAGTAGATTTTTCCAATTCTGTGAAGAGAGTCATTGGTAGTTTGATGGGGATGGCATTGAATCTATAAATTACCTTGGGCAGTATGGCCATTTTCATGATATTGATTCTTCCTACCCATGAGCATGGAATGTTCTTCCATTTGTTTGTAGGCAGATACTTAAATAAAAAGAGATATTCACTTTAGCAGTAATTAATACTACAAAAGCCATTGGGGTCTTACAAGGTGAACATTGTAGTATAGTAAGTGAATGAAGCAAAAATTAGTGATTGAAATTAAACATTGTCTCTAACAGAGTGCCTGTTACATGGTGGGTGCTCAATAAATATTAGTTGTATAAGTAACTTTATGCATTATTTTCTCCTTTAATTGGTATTTTGGAGTACTTAATATGTGCTTTACCTGGGCCATGTGTGCTGCCTGAAAAGCTTTCCATGTTTCTTCAGTAAGTACTCTCTCTCATTCTGCACACAGCCTTTTCAAAATCTCTCATCAGACCAATCCTCTCACCTTTTATCTCTCACCATACCCGTTCACAGCATAAAATCCTGCCTACCAAATCACCAAGGAAAGGGAAAATATCTAGTAATTTTTAAATTGTTTTACTACATTATAGTTAATATACCAAAAGGATCATCCATTGTAACCCTAAATTGAGATAACTTATTAGGAAATGTTTACAGTTGCATAAACATCACAACAATCCAGTTCAAGAATGCTTTTGTTATCCATAAATTTTCCCTCATGGCCATTTTTAACAGTTTTTTTGTGATATAATTGTCATATAATAAGTCTTGTGTGTTAAAATTGTACAATTTGAAGTTTTGACATATGTATAGATTTGTAAAACCATCCCTATATTCAAGACAATTAATGTATTCATTACCCCTAAAAGTTTTTCTTTTGACCCTTTGTAATTCATACTTAACACTCTGCCCACCACTCCTTAAACCCATGCAACCATTGAACTGACTTCTGTTATTTTCTTATTAATTTGCACTTCCTAGAGTTTTATGGAAATGGAATCAGATACACTATGTATTTATTTCTTGCTTCTTTCACTCAGATAATTATTCTGAGATTTATCCATATCGCATGTGTCAATACCTCCTTCCTTCTTATTACTAATATTCCATCGTATGACTATGCCACAACTAACCATTCATCAGTTAATGGGCAGTTATGTTATTTCCAGTTTAGGGGTATCACAAATAAAGCTTCAATAGACTTTCAGGTGAAACTTTTTACTTGGTGTCTTAATCTGTTTCATGTTGCTATGAAAGAATACCTGAGACTGAGTAATTTATAAAGAAAAGAGGGGAGGAGGGCAAGATGGCCGACTGGATGCAGCCAGGTGGAATGGCTCCCACTTAGGGACCCAGATGATTGGTGTGCTCCTAACAGATCTTCAGAGGGAAGGCACTGAGAGTGGATGGAGGGAAGACACCGAAGCTGGGCTGAAGAGGGAGAAAGCTGGGAACCCTACGTGGGGCTACCCCTCACTGGGACTCATTCCTGGCCCACAATGGCTTGAGGGGAATTGGGTGAGTTGAACTGGCAAAGAGCAACCCACTTTCACCACGGGCCTCTGGAACCCAGCAGGAGGAGACCCTTCAACCACCAGAGAAACTAGAGTTAGCAGGGAAAGCTAATAGAGAAGTGGTAGGGGCAGCAAACTAGATGACGTGGAGCTCACACGGTTTGGTGCAAAAGTGTCTGTAGCAGAGCATGGCCAGAGATGGCCATTACCCTAAGCTTGAATTGCTTCCTATAGGAGACTCTAGACCTAGGGGAGCTGTCAGACCTGAACTCTGCAGGGTGGTCTTGCCCATCAGTCAAGGCTGGTCCGACCTGAGCACCCCTTGGTTTGCTGGCCTCTCCTGGGACCCCAGCCTGGTCATTCCTGCTTGCGTGCAGTCTCAGGTGCTATGGGGGCCCACACAATAGCTTCTGTGCTGGTGGACCATGACTGACTGGTGGAGAGCTCCAACTCCAGCAGGGCAGCCCCTACAGACACACAACAGCCCACCTACTCCCTCCCCATACAGCAGCTTCCCCCATGACCACAGCAACTCCCCACATCACTTTGCTGGCACCTGTTTGCATGGGTGAGTTTTGCTTTTCTTGTCTGGCTAATGTGCAGGAGTACAGTCCAGCCCCCCACCCCTGGCCAAAGAGCCAGCTAGCCCTTCCCCCACCAGCACCCCACCCTTGTGCTAACACTGCACAGAGAAGAGCAGATCATCTCCCACCCTGAGTGATCACTCCTGCTTGCAGGGTACAAAGAAAGCATCCAGACCGGTGCCTGCCAGCGCCCCACTGCTGAGCCAACACCACCTTCAGCACACTGCTCACGCAGTTGCCAGCAGTAGCTCCCTGTCCCCTCCCTAGCTGCCTTGCTTCTGCCACTGTATTGAATGCCTGCAGGGAGGCAGGTACCCTGGCACCTGCTAGAACTCTGCCACAGCTACTGCACCTTGCGTCCCAGTGCAGTGTATTCCTAATCTCAAGGAGCCAGAGAACAAAGTCAGGACCCAATCCAAGTCCCCCAGAATTAGAGTACGCAGTCCAGGATTTGAGAACTGTGCATTGGTCCCATCAAATCTTTCAGAAACCAAGCCAGTCAGCTGAATCCACCTCATACTACAATCAAACCCTCAGAGTCATCAAGTAGGATAAAAGAAGAAAAAAAAAAACCCACCAAAGGCCAGCAACCTTAAAGATTGAAGGTAGATAAGCCCACAAAGATGAGAAAGAATCAGTGCAAGAACCCTGGAAACTTAAAAAGCCAGAATGCCTTCTTTCCTCCAAATGACCACATCACCTCTCCAGCAAAAGCTTTGAACTGGGCTGAGATAGCTGAAATCGCAGAAATAGAATTCAAAATACGAATAGAAATGAAGGCCATTGAGCAATAGGGGTACATTGAAACCCAATCCAAGGAAGCTAAAAATTATGATAAAACAGGAGCCGACAGACAAAATAGACAGTATAGAAAAGAACATATCCAACCTGATAGAGCTGAAAGGCACACTACAAGAATTTCATAAAGCAATCACAAGTATTAATAGCAGAATAGACCAAGCAAAGAAAAGAATCTCAGAGCTTGATGACTGGCTTTATGAAATAAGATAGTCAGGGCCAGGTGTGGTGGCTCATGCCTCTAATCCCAGGACTTTGGGAGGCCGAGGTGGGTAGATCACTTGAGGCCAGGAGTTTGAGACGAGCCTTGCCAACATGGTGAAACCCTGTCTCTACCAAAAATACAAAAAGTAGCTGGGCATGGTGGTACATGCCTATAATCCCAGCTGCTTGGGAGGCTGAGGCATGAGAATTGCTTGAACCTGGGAGGAAGAGGTTGCAGTGAGCCACTGCACTCCAGCCTGACTGAGAGTGAGACTCTGTTTGAAAAAATAAATAATAAAATTTAAAAAATGAAATAAGACAAGAATAGAGAAGAAAGAATGAAAAGGAATGAACAAAATCTCTGCGATACATGGGATTATGTAAACAGACTAAATCTATACTGATCTGTGTCCCTGAAAAAATGGAATCAACTTCGAAAACATATTTCATGATATCATCCGTGAGAACCTCCCTTAGCTAAAGAGATTGACATTCAAACTCAGGAAATGCAGAGAAGCCCAGTAAAATATTTCAAAAGAAGACTATCCCCATGACACATAATCATCAGATTCTCAAAGGTCAAAATAAAAAATGTACAAGCCAGAAGAGATTCAGGCCAATATTCAACAATCTTAAAGAAAATATATTCCAACCCAGAATTTCATAGCCAGCCAGACTATGCTTTATAAGTGAAGAAAAAATAAGATCATGTTTAGACAAATGCTGAGGGCATTTGTTACCACCAGACCTGCCTTACAAGAGCTCCTGAAGGAAGCATTAAATATGGAAAGGAAAGACCATTACTAGCCACTACAAAAAACTGAGGTACACAGACCAGTGACACTGTAAAGCAACCACATAAACAAGTCTGCAAAGTAACCAGCTAACATCATGATAGGATCAAATTTACACATATCAATACTAACCTTAAATTTAAATGGGCTAACTGCTCCAATTAAGATGCTCCAGAGTGGCAAGGTAGATAAAGAACCAAGACCCATTGGTATACTGTCTTCAAGACACCCATCTCACATGCAATGACACACATAGGCTCAAAATAAAGGCATGGAGAAAAAAATCTACCAAGCAATGGAAAACAGAAAAAAAGTGAGGATTAGTTTCAGTCCTAGTTTCAGTCAAAACAGAGTTTAAAACAACAAAATCAGAAACAGAGAAAGGCATTACCTAATGGTAAAGGGTTCAGTTCAACAAGAATATCTAACTATCCTAAATATATATGCACCCAACACAGGAGCACCTAGATTTGTAAAGCAATTTACTACAGACCTTCAAAGAGACAAACTCCCACACAGTAATACTCGGAGACTTTAACACCCCACTGACAATATTACACAGATCATCAAGACTGAAAATTAAAGATATTCAGAACCCTGAATTCAGCCCTAGGTCAAATGGACCTGATAGATATCTAAAGAATTCTGCACATGAAAACAACAGAATATATATTCCTTTCATCACCGCATGGTGCATACTCTAAAATCCCAATCACATAATTGGAAATAAAATACTCTTCAGCAAATTAAAAAAAAACTGAAATCATAACAATCTCTTGGACCACAATGCAGTTAAATTAGAAATGAAGACTAAGAAATTCACTGAAAACCATACAATTACATGGAAATTGAATAACTTGCTTCTGAATGACTTTTGGGTAATAATGAAAGTAAGGCAGCAATAAAGATGTTCTTTGAAACTAATGAGAACAAAGATACAACATACCAGAATCTTTGGGACACAACTAAGGCAGTGTTAAGAGAGGAATTTATAGCACTAAGTGCCCACATCAAAAAGTTAGATCTGAAGTTAACATCACAACTAAAAGAACTACAGAACCAAGATCAAACAAATCCCAAAGCTAGGAGATGACAAGAAATAACCAAAATGAGAGCTGAATTGACAGATATTAAGACATGAAAAACCATTCAAAAGATCAAATCCAGGAGCTGTTTTTTTTTGAAAAAATTAATAAAATAGACCACTAGCTAGACTAATAAGAGAGAAGATTCAAATAAACACAATCAGAAATGACAACAGGGATATTTCCATTGACCCCACAGAAAAACAGTGAACCACTAGAGTATATTATGAACACCTCTATGCACATAAAGTAAAAAATCTAGAAGAAATGGGTAAATTCCTGGACACATACACCCTCCCAAGACTGAACCTGGAAGAAATTGAATTTCTGAATAGACCAAAAATGAGCTCTAAAATTGAAGCAGTAATAAATTGCCTACCAACCAAAAAAAAGCCCAGGACCAGATAGATTAACAGCCAAATTCTACCAGATGTACAAAGAAGAGCTGATACCATTCCTACTGTAAGTATTCAGGAAAAAAAAATATGAGAAGGAGAGACTTCTCCTCAACTCATTCTATGAAGCCAGCATCATCCTGATACCAAAACCTGGCAGAGACACAACAAAAAAAGAAAACTTCAGGCCAATATCCTTGGTGAACATTTATGCAAATATTCTCAAGAAAAACTGGCAAATCGAATCCAGCAGCACATCAAAAAGCTTATCCACTATAATCAAGTAGGTTTTATCCTGGGATGCAAGGTTGGTTCACCATATGCAAATCAATGAATGTGATTCATCACATAAACAGAACTAAAGATAAAAAAATCACATGATTACTAAATAGATGCAGAAAAGTCTTTTGATAAAATTCACCCCTTAATGTTAAAAGCTCTCAATAGACTAGGTATTGAAGGAATATACCTCAAAATAATAAGAGACATCTATGACAAACCCACAGCCAGCATTATATACTGAATGGGCCTAAGCTGTAAGCATTCCCCTTGAAAACTGACACAAGGCAAAGATGCCCTCACTCACCACTTCTATTCAACATAGTATTGGAAATCCTGGCAAGGGCAACCAGAGAAAAAATAAAGCACATCCAAATAGGAAGAGAGGAAGTCAAACTATCCCAGTTTGCAGATGACATGATCCTATATCTAGAAAACTCCACAGTTTCAGCCCAAAGCTTCATAAGCTGATAAACAACTTCAGCAAAGTCTCAGGATACCAAATCAATGTGCAAACATCACTAACATTACTATACACAAACAACAGTCAAGCTGAGGAGTGCAGCTCAGGAATGCAGTTCCATTCACAATTGTCACAGAAATAATAAAATAACTGGAAATATAGCTAACCAGGGAGGTAAAAGATCTGTACAAGGAGAACTACAAAACACTCCTCAAATAAATCACAGATGACACAAATGGAAAAACATTCCATGCTCCTTTTTAAAATGGCCATACTGTCCAAAGTAATTTATAGATTCAATGCTATTCCTATTAAACAAGCATGGACAGTTTTCACAGAAGTAGAAAAAACTATTTTAACATTCATACGGAACTAAAAGGATCCTGAATAGCCAAGGCAATCCTAAGCAAAAAGAACGAAGTTGGAGGTGTCATGCTACCTGAATTCAAACTATCCTACAGGGCTACAGTAACCAAAACAGCAGGGTATAGGTATAAAAACAGATTCATAGACAAACGGAACAGAATAGAGAACCCAGAAATAAGGCCTCATAGGTACAACTATCTGATCTTCAACAAAGCTGACAAAAATAAGCAATGGGGAAAGGATTCCCTATTTAATAAATGGTGCTGGGATAGCTGGCTAGCCATATGCAGAGGATTGAAACTGGACTCCTTTCTTATACAACATACAAAATTTAATTGAAGATTGATTAAAGACTTAAATGTAAAACACAAACCTATAAAAACCCTGGAAGACGACCTAGGCAATACCATTCTAGACACAGGAACAGGCAGAAATTTATTGAGGAAGATGCCAAAAGCAATTGCAACAAGAGCAAAGATTGACAAATGGTATCTAATTAAATTAAAGAGCTTTCGCACAGCAAAGGAAACTGACAATAGAGTGAACAACCTACAGATTGAGAGAAAATTTTTGCAAAGTATGCATCTGACAAAAGTCTAATATCTAGAATCTATAAGGAATTTAAACAAATTTACAAGAAAAAAACAAGAAAAATCTGTCCCCACAACCCAAACACCTCCCACCAGTCCCTACCTCTCAACACTGCCACACTGAGGATCAAATTGCAACATGAGTTTTGGTGGGGACATACAAACCTTATCCAAACCATAGCACATGGACATATATATTTTTTATTCTTTGGTAAATACATAGTAGTAGAATGGCTGGACCATATGATAGGTATATGTTTAGCTTTTTAAGTAACTAAAACACTGTTTTGCAAAGTGGTTGTACAATTTTACATTTCAACTGGCAGTGTATGAGAGTTCCAGTTCCTCCACATTCTCATAAAACTTGGTATGGTCAGCTTTTTAAAATTGTAGACCTTGTAATAGGTATGTAGTGGTTTCTTATTTGGGTTTTAATTTGCATTTTCCCAAATGATATTGAGCATATTTTCCTGTGCTTACTTGACATGTTTTCAAATCCTTTGCCCATTTTTAATTTGGTTGTTTATTATTGTTGAGTTTTGATAACTCTTTATATATTATAGATATAAGTTCTTTATCAGATATATGCTTTGAAAAGATTTTTTTGCAGTCTGTGACTTTTCCTTCTATTACTGTTTTTGAGGAACAATTTTTAACATCGTTGAAATCAAATTTAACAATTTTTTATGTTGGGCATTGTGTTGCAGATTGTACTTTTGTGTCACATCTAAGATCCATGGGCCATTCATCCCCTTCACCCCAAGTGACAGTGATCCCATTGTGCAACATATGGGTGAGGCCATCCTAGACTATTAGGGCCCCAGAAGAACTAAATAGGTCATAAGAGGGAACTATCCTTAGATGCGTAAGTAAGCTTAGCCAAGAACAGCAGAACAACTGAGATGAGCCCAGCTGGAATTTTTTTTAATTTTAAATTTTTGTTAGGGGCCAGGTGTGGTGGGCCATGCCTGTAATCCCAGCACTTTGGGAAGCCTAGGTGGGTGGATCACCTGAGGTCAGGAGTTCAGGAGCTTGAGACCAGTCTAGCCAACGTGGCGAAACCCTGTCTGTACTAAAAAATACAAAAATTAGTTGGGTGTGGTGGCACACACCTGTAGTCCCAGCTACTTGGGAGGCTGAGGCAAGAGAATTGTTGAACCCAGGAGGCAGAGGGTTGCAGTGTGCCGAGATCATACAACTGCACTCCAGCCTGGGCGACAGATGAGACTCTGTCTTAAAAAAAAAAAAAGAAAGAAAAAAAATTGTGGTTTTTATATTTATAGAGTACATGGTATATACAGCTCATAGTAATCATATCAGGGTAAATGGGGCGTCCTTCACCTCAAGCATTTATCCATTCTTTGTGTTACAAACAATCCAATTATACTCTTTTAGTTATTTTTAAATGTACAATAAATTGTTGACTTTAGTCATTCTATTTTGGTATAAAATAGTAGATCTTATTCATTCTAAGTATGTTTTTGTGCCCATTAACCACCCCCACAACTTCACCCCTACCAACTACCCATCTCAGTCTCTGGTAACCATCATTCTACCTCCTATCTCCATGAGTTTGATTGTTTTAATTTTTAGCTCTCACAGATAAGTGAAAACATGCCAAGTTTGTCTTTCTGTGCCTGGCTTATTTCGCTTCATAGAATGATCTCCATTTTCATCCATGTTGTTGTAAATCATAGGATCTCATTTTTTAATGGCTGAATAGTACTCCACTGTGTATATGCACCACATTTTCTGTATCCATTCACCTGTTGATGGACACTTAGATTGCTTCTAAATCTTGGCTATCGTTAATAGTGCTGCAATAAACATGCAGGTGCAGATATCTCTTCCATATACTGATTTGCTTCCTTTGGATACCTAGCAGTGGTATTGCTAGAACATATGGTAACTCTGTCTTTAGTCTTTTGAGGAATCTCCAAACTGTTCTCCATAATGGTTGTATGACTTTAAATTCCCAGCAACAGTGTATGAGGTTTGTTATTGTGTTGTTTGAGCTCTTAATATATTCTGGTTATTAATCTGTTGTCATATGGATAGTTTGAAAATATTTTCTCCCATTCTGTGGATTGTCTCCTTAATTTTTTTGTAGTTTCTTTTGCTGTGCAGAATAATTTTAACTTGATGTGATCCCATGTGTCCATTTTGGCTTTGGTTGCCTGTGCTTGTGGGTTATTACTCAAGAAATGTTTGCCCAGACTGATGTCCTGGAGAGTTTCCCAATGTTCTCTTGTAGTAGTTTCATAGTTTGAGTTCTTAGATTTAGGACTTTATTTTGATTTGATTTTTGTATATGGTGAGAGATAGAGGTCTAGTTTCATTCTTCTGCATATGGATATCCAGTTTTCCCAGTACCATTTATTGAAGAGAATGTCTTTTCTCTTCAATGATCCTTTGAATTTCCATGGTATCAGTTGTAATATTTCATTTTTCATCTCTGATTTTATTGATTTAAGTCTTCTCTCTTTTTTATTAGTTACTTTGAATAAATTTGTGTTAATTTTATCTTCTCAAAGAGGCAACTTTTTGCTTCATTGATCTTTTGTATTCTTTTCTTCATTTCAATTCATTTATTTCTGCTCTGGTCTTTATTATTTCTTTTCTTCTAGTAACTTTGGATTTGATTGGTTCTTGCTGCTCTAGCTCTTTAAGGTGCATTGTTAGGTTGTTTATTTGAAGTTGTTTTATCTTAAGTAGGCACTTTTAACTATAAACTTTCATCTTAATATTTATTTTCCTGTATCCCATAGGTTTTGGTATATTGTGTTTCCATTATCATTTGTTTCAATCACTATTTTTTTTTTCGAGGTGGAGTTTTGCTCTTTTTGTTAAGGCTGGAGTGCAATGGTGCGATCTTGGCCCACTGCAACCTCCACCTCCCAGGTTCAAGTGATTCTCCTGCCTCAGCCTCCCAAGTAGCTGGGATTACAGGCATGCACTACCATACCCAGCTAATTTTTTATTTTTAGGGTAAGAGACGGGGTTTCATTATGTTGGTCAGGCTGGTCTCCAACTCCTGACCTCTGGTGATACACCCACCTTGGCCTCCCAAAATGCTGGGATTAGAGGCATAAGCTGCTGCGCCTGACTCAATTTTCTTCTTAATTTTTTCATTGACCCACTGGTCATTCAGGAACATATTGCTTAATGTCCAAATGTCTGTATAGTTTTCAAAATTCCTTCTGTTATTTGTTTCTAGTTTTATTCCATTATGGTCAGAGAAGATACTTGATATCATTTCATTTTTTTTTTCAATTTTTAAGTCTTGTTTTGTGACCTAGCATATGGTTTATCCTTGAGAATGATCCATTCACTGAGGAGAAGAATGTGTATTCTGTAGCCATTGTTTGAAATGTTCTGTAAATATCTATTAGGTACATTTATTAGGTCTGTAGTGCAGATTAATGCTGATGTTTCTTTGGTTTTCGGTCTAGATGGTCTGTTCAATGCTCAAAGTGGGATGTTGAAGTATCTACCTATTATCATGATGGGGTATCTCTCTCTCTTTAGCTCTAATAATATTAACTTTATATATCTGGGTGCTCCAGTGCTAGGTGCATATATATTTACAATTTTTATTCCCTCTTGCTGAATTGAGCAACTTATGATTATTATACAATTGTCTTCTTTGTCTTTTTTATAGTTTCTATATTGAAACTATTTTCTCTGATATAAGTATAGCTACTCTTGCTTGTTTTTTTGGTATCCATTGGCATGGAATATCTTTTTCCATTCCATTAACTGCTGTTTATGTGTATATTTATAGGTAAAGTATGTTTCATATAGGCAAGTGGTCACTGGGTATAGTTTTTTAAAATCCATTCAGCCTCTCTATGTCTTTCTATTGGAGAGTTTAGTCCATTTATATTCAGTGTTATTATTGATTTGTAAGGACTTTCTTCCACCATTTTATTGTTTTCTGATTGTTTCGTGGTCTTCTCTTCCTCCTTTCCTTCCTTCCTACCTATCTTTCTTTTAATGAAGGTGATTTTCTTTAGTGATATGGTTTAATTTTTTGCTTTTCATGTTTTCTGGATCTGTGGTATGCATTCTGATTTCAGGTTACCATGAGGCTTGCAAATAATATAACCCATCATTTTAAACTGATGACAACTTAACACTCATTGCATAAACTAACTAAAAAAGAGAAAACTAATACAACTCTACACTTTAACTTCATCCCCTTGCTTTTTAACTTTTCGTTGTTTCTATTTATATCATATTGTACTGTGTATGTCTTGAAAAGTTGTTGTGGTTATTTTTGATGTTCATCTTTTAGTCATTTTACTCAAGATAAGAGTAGTTGACATGCCACAATTACAGTGCTATAAGATTCTGTGTTTTTATGTGAACTTACTATTAACAGTGAGTTTTGTACTTTCAGATGATTTCTTTTTGCTCATTAACTTCCTTTTCTTTCAGATTGAAGAACTCTGTCTAGCATTTCCTGTAGGACACGTATAGTGTTGATAAAATCCCTCAGCTTTTGTTAGTCTGGGAAAGTCTTTATTTCTCTTTCATGTTGAAGGATATTTTCACTGGACATACTATTCTAGGTTAAATTTTTTTCCTTTAGCACTTTATATCATGCTGTCTTGGCCTGTAAGGTTTCCACTGAATAGTCTGCTGCCAGACCTATTGGAGCTCCATTTTATGTTATTTGCTTCTTTTTTCTTAGTGTTTTTAGTATTCTTTCTTTATCCTTGATCTTTGGGAGTTTGATTATTAAATGTCTTTAGGTAGTCTTATTTTGGTTGAATCTGTTTGGTGTTCTACAACGTTCTCGTACTTGAATATTGGTATCTTTCTCTAGTTTAGGAAGTTCTCTTATATTATCTCTTTGAATAATCTTTCTACCCGTATCTCTCTGTCTACCTCCTCTTTAAGGCAAATAACTCTCTTAAATTTGCCCTTCTGAGGCTTTCTAGCTACTGCATTCATTTTTAATTCTTTTCTTTGTTTGTCTCCTCTCACTGTGTTTTTGTTTGTTTGTTTGTTTGTTTTTAGATGGAGTCTCGCTCTGTCACCAGGCTGGAGTGTACTGGCACGATCTTGGCTCACTGCAACCTCTGCCTCCTGGGTTCAAGCAATTCTCATGCCTCACCCTCCCAAGTGGCTGGGATTACAGGCATATGCCACCACACCCAGCTAATTTTTGCATTTTTAGTAGAGATGGGGTTTCACCATGTTGACCAGGATGGTCTCGATCTCCTGACCTCATGATCTGCCTGCCTCAGCCTCCCAAAGTGCTGTGATTACAGGTATGAGCCACTGTGCCCGGCCTTACTGTGTATTTTCAAATAGCCTGTTTTTAAGATCATGAGTTATTTCTTCTGCTTAATCAGTTCTGCTGTTAAGAGGCTCTGATGCATTCTTCCATATGTTTCAATGTGGGACACACACTCCATTGGCAGCCCCGGCTGGTATCTCAGTAGGTTGTGTTCCATCCAAGTCTGCTGGTCCAACACAGTACAAGGACTTGTCCAGGAATTGCAGTCCTTGTGGCCTAGACTGCCTTTCAAGTTTATGGCCTATTTCAACTTCAGAATTTTTGCTTGATTTTTAAAAATTATTTCCATCTCTTTGTTAAATTTATCTGATAGGATTCTGAGAACCTTCTCTGTGTTATCTTGAATTTCTTTGAGTTTCCTCAAAACAGCTATTTTGAATTCTCTGAAAGCTCCCACATCTCTCCAGGATTTGTTTCTGGTGGCTTAGTTCCCTTGGTTAGATCCTCTTTTCTTGGATAGTTTTATGCTTGTGGATGTTCATCAGTGTCTGGGCCTTGAGGAGTTAGGTATTTACTGTAGTGTTCATAGTCTGGGCTTCTTTGTACCCATCCTTCTTTTGGGAAGCCTTCCCAGGCATTCTAAGGGACTCGGGTGTTGTAATCTAAGTTTGGGTCATTGCAGCCATATTTTCATTAGGGACACCACAAACTTGGGAGCACTGCTTTTTCAGAGTCATAGCGTTCCCTCCTTGGTTGTCTTGGATAAGACCCAGAAAAATACTCTGGAATACCAGGCAGAGACTCTTGCTCGCTCTCTCTCTCTCTACTTTCCCCCAAACAAAGTCTCTCTCTCTATGCTGAGCTGCACCCCTGTGGCCACCACAATTGGGACTGAGGTGGGTCAGACCTGAAGGCAGCACAGCAACGGGTCTTGCCCAAGGCTCACGTTAATCTTTACCTGTTGCCTCCTATGTTCAGTTAAGGCCCTATGGCTCTACAGTCAGTAGGTGGTGGAGCAAGCCTGGCTTGTATCTTTTTCTTCAGTGTGGCAAGTTCCCTCAGTGCCTGGGCCAGTCCAGAAGTGCCATCTGGGAGCCAGGGACTAGAGTTGGACACCTTAAGAATCTACCTGGTGCTCTATCCTACTGTGGCTGAAGTGGCATGCATGGCACAAGTCATAGTCCTTCCCACTCTTCCCTCCCCTTTCTACATGCAGTTGAGTCTCTTCCTGTGGCCACCACTGTCCCAGGCCCACAGCGAGTACTGCTTAGCTACTGCCAATATTCATTCAAGGCCCAAGAGCTCTTCAGTCAGCTTGAAGTAAATGCTGCCAGGCCTGGGACTCTCCCTTCAGGGCAGTGGACTGCCCTCTGGCCCAGGGCAGGTCCAGAAATGCCATCCAAGAGCCAAGCCTGGAAGTGGCGATCCCAAGAGCTCACTTGGTACTCTACCCCACTGTGGCTGAGCTGGTACCTAAGGTGTAAGCCAAAATCTTCTTCAAACTTCACTCTACTTTCTCAAACGGAAGGAGTCTCTCTCCCTAGCCACAACAGATAGGAATGTGCTGGGTCACACCTGAAGCTAGCATGTCCCTGAATGTCACCCAAGGCTAAGTACTTCCTGGGTGCTGCTGCTGCTGATTTAGGGCCTGAGGGCTCTTCAGCAGGTGATGACTCCTGCCAGGACTGGTTCCTTCTAGCCCGGGGTGTGTCTATAAATGTCGTCCCAGAGCTAAGGCCTCAGGACTCTCCCTGGTGCCTTCTTCTACTGTGGCTGACTTGGTAACCAAGTTGCAAGACAAGATTCTCTTTACTTTTTCCTCTCTTCTCCTTAAGAGGACGGAAGGAGACTCTCCTAGTGCTGTGAGCTGTACTGCCTGAGGCTGGGGAGATGGTGGGACATGTACTCTATTGGCAGCCGCAGCTGGTATCTCAGTAGGCTGTGTGCCCCCCAAGTCTACTAGTCCAGCCTAGCACAAGGACTTGTCCAGGAATTGCAGTCCTGGTGGTCTAGCCTGCCTTTCAGGTTTATTTAGCACCACAGAGCCCTTTAGCCCATAGTGGCAGGGCATGCCAGAACTCGGGTTCTGACCACTGGGATGGGTGATACCCCTCTAGCTAGGACTGGTCTAAATGTTCCCTCCCTGGGTGTCAGCTGAGTTCTTCATGGTGTGTGTTGCACTGTGACAGGACAGCATGGAGTTCCAATGCAAAGTCTCACAATCACTGTGCTCTCCCTCCCCCACATGCACAGATTCTCTCTCCGCATCAGGTGGCTGCTGCCAGGGTGTGGGAGGGGGTGGCATCGGCAATTCAAGATTGTCTTCCTACCCACCTCGTTGCCCCTTTTGGTGATATGAAGTTAAAACCAGGTCCTGTGATCACTCACCTGATTTTTGGCTCTCATAAAGGTGCCCATTTGTGTGGATAGTTGGTCAATTTGCTGTTCCTATTTGGAGGACAACTGGTTGAGGCATCATTTGATCATCGTGCGCTGCCTCCTCCTAAGCTGGAATTGACTTGAACAATGGTGAACAAAATAATTCATTGTTGCTTAAAGTACAAAACTTCGGGGTGTTTTGATATGCATTAAAAAATGGCTGCTCCAACTATTAACAGCCATCCATCAAAATCCAACCAAAGAGAGAGAGAGAAAAGATTCTTCCTTGTGGAAACGTAACGTCTACTTAAAGATGTTGACATTTAACTTTTCCTGGAGTCAGAAAGAAAGGGATGAGGTTAAGACATCTAACATTTGTTGAGTACAGTCCCTGTGAGAGGCTCTGTGTTATGCCCTGTGTCCTATTTAACTGTTATCCCATTAACTCTTAGAGAGGGAGGCAGTTAATAAGTCCATTTTATAGAAGAGAAAATGAGGACTCAGAGTGGAGTTTGTATTTGAGTTCAAGGCTTCCTGTCTCCATAGCCTGCATGCCCACAACATCACTGTATCTTTTTTTTTTCTTTTTAAAATTTTTTATTTTTTTAAATTTTTGTGGGTACATAGTAGGTGTATATATTTATGTGCTACATGAGATGTTTTGATACAGGCATGCAATCCCTCAAGCATTTATCCTTTATGTTTCAAACAATCCAATAATACTCTTTTAGTTATTTTTAAATGTACAATTAAATTGTTTTGATTATAGTCCCTATGTTGTTCTATCAAATATTAGATCTTATTCATTCTTTCTAACTATATTTTTTGTGCCCATTAACCATACCCACCTCCCCACCACACCTCACTACCCTTCTCACCCTCTGGTAACCATTCTTGTATTCTCTAACTCCATGAGTTCAGTTATTTTTATTTTTAGGTCCCACACGTAAGTGAGAATATGTGATGTTTGTCTTTCTGTGCCTGGCTTATTTCACTTAACATAATGACCTCCAGTCCCATCCATGCAGTTACAAATGACAGGATCTCATGCTTTTTTATAGCCAAATAGTACTCCATTGTGTATAGGTACCACATTTTCTTTATCCATTCATCTATTTTTTTTATTATACTTTAAGTTCTAGGGTACATGTGCACAATGTGCAGTTTTGTTACATATGTATACATGTGTCATGTTGGTGGGCTGCACCCATTAACTCATCATTTACATTAGGTATTTCTCCTAATGCTATCCCTCCCCCCCCTCCTCCCCCCACCCCATGACAGGCCCCGGTGTGTGATCTTCCCCACCCTGTGTCCAAATGTTCTCATTGTTCAATTCCCACCTATGAGTGAGAACATGCGGTGTTTGGTTTACTGTCCTTGTGATAGTTTACTCAGAATGATGGTTCCAGCTTCATCCATGTCCCTACAAAGAACATGAACTCATCCTTTTTTATGGCTGCATAGTATTCCATGGTGTATATGTGCCACATTTTCTTAATCCAGTCTATCACTGATGGACATTTGGGTTGGTTCCAAGTCTTTGCTATTGTGAATAGTGCCGCAATAAACATACGTATGCATGTGTCTTTATAGCAGCATGATTTATAATCCTTTGGGTATATACCCAGTAATGGAATCGCTGGGTCAAATGGTATTTCTATTTCTAGATCCTTGAGGAATCACCACACTGTCTTCCACAATGGTTGAACTAGTTTACAGTCCCACCAACAGTGTAAAAGTGTTCCTATTTCTCCACATCCTCTCTAGCACCTGTTGTTTCCTGACTTTTTAATGATCGCCATTATAACTGGTGTGAGATGGTATCTCATTGTGGTTTTGATTTGCATTTCTCTGATGGCCAGTGAACATCACCATATCTTGTCAGAAGGATTCTTCTTATCCACAGCTGTTGTTTGTTATGGCCTTCGTTGATGACATTCAGCATTGACCTTTTGGATAAGGTATTCAGTAGCTAAGATTCACTGACTCCAGAGAAAGGTACTTTCCATCATGTTTTTCTTCTGAACAAAATGTGAAAAGAACATGTGAGTACCTCTCTCACTCCCAGCAAATAATAGTTGTGTCACCTCCAAATGTTACTTCATGATTTGAAGCTTTCATTTCCCCTGCAAGATAAAATGCAATGAAGTGATACAGAAAAGAAGACATTCTATGCTGTCATCATACTAGGCCATGATGGTGATTTATGGATGGTCTGCTTTCTTTGTGCACTTAATATTTTTGTACCAAAAAACATGAAAAGTATCAAAATCCCCTTTTAACAGATTAACAGGCTGAGATGGGTTACAGTGAGCAAGCCAGGAAGTGGTGGAGCTGGGATCCACACCCTGGTCTGTCTGAGTCCAGATGTAATCATCTTGTGTTTACTATGGCATGTTTCCCTTATGTTAAGAGTTGCTGACATAGACAGTGCATGTCATTCCTTTTGGTATGGTCTTCCTCCTTTCTAGTTTTTTTCTACCTGGAAGATCCAGGCACTCAAGAGAATGGAGCTTCCATGTACATTTCCAGAATCCCTAGCATAAAAGCTTAGAGGATCTACCCTGAAACCAACAAGTCTAGGATACATATTTCTGCCTTTTTTTTCAGAGGTAGGAAGGGGCAGGCAGATGGAAAATTTACAGGAACAGTAGAATTATCCTCAGGGAAGTTGGGTGCTTTACTTAGTGAGAAAGCCATGGAAGGTGACATTTCTAACTGTGTTTTAATTGGGGTACAGTCCTAAGAGAGGAGCTCTGCAGAAACAGCTGTTACCTGGGGTTGGGAATGTTAAAGACCTTCTAAGAGCTTGATGGTAATCACAGCTGGGTAAAACCCAGCTATCAGGAGAGGGACTGCAACGTACCTGAGAAACCTTCAGAATACTTAAGGGAAGCAGAGCCAGGGGAAGTGATTTTGGTAGTAGTCCATGAGAAAAGAAATGATGTTTTGAAATGCACATGAACTAAAATTTAAATCCTGCTCTCTCAGTAGCTATGCAGCCTTAGGCAAGTTAATATCTTTGACCTTAATATTTCTCAGATGTAAAGAAGGATAATAACACTACCTACTCAGAACCTCACCTCTCCCAAGAAAGCTTTCCTGACCATGTGCTGGCCCTTCCTTTATATTGGGATTGAGGTACCACCCTCTGTTTTTCCAGGCTTCCTTGACTTTAATTCTGTTTTAGCTCTAATTAAGGAGCTTTGAAATGATTTTTCCGCAAGCTTGTGAGAAATTTGAGGACTGGGAACCAGCCTGAAACATGTCTGTTGCCCTCTGAGTCAACACAGTGCCTGGGATCTGGTGTCCAGCAGGGATTTAAAACATATTGATTGAATGAGAAATGATGACAGGATCTACATGGATCACAAAGGATAGTTGTTATTTTACCTGTTAACTATTTAATAGCGATATTAAATAAAATACAAATGAAACTAGGACCGGGGAAGGCAGGGTAAGTTGTGTCTTTCACATCAACCTTCGTACGTTCCCTAATGTTTTCTTCCTTCATGGACCTAGGACACTCTTGTTCAAACACAAAGGCGGTTTCATTTTGGGTCTATACTAGCTAGTTCCCTAGAAAGGTCTTAAATACAAAATGAATGGAATACAAAATAACCTCCCTCATTGTTTTGTTTGTTTGTTTCCTGGACAAATGACAGAATGCACACAGAACTGCTACTTTTGTGATTTTGTGAGTAATGGTATAGATGTGCACAGGTCATGGATGTGGCCCCAGTGATCCGTGGAATTGTCAAGTCCAGGCGAGTGCTGCCTCTCTCATAATGATGGAGCATGCCTTGATTTCTCCCACTTCTTTGCTCACTGCCTGATCCTGTCTCACTGATGTCACCTTCCTTTTCCCTTTACCCTACCTTGCAGAGACTTCTAATTCAGAAACCAAACCCTTTCTAGTGGCCCTGTGTTTATGCATCAGAGTAAAATGTTAAATGCTTCCAAAACCTACAAGGCCCTACAACATCTGGCCCATTTCCTCTTTGACTTTGTCCCTACCAGTCCCCATGAGCCACACATCTCTAGCAGACCTGGACTCTGCAGCTTCTGGGTTATGTCAGGCAGGCTCCTTCCCTCCTCAAGGCCTTTGCTCTAGCCATTCCCTCTGCTTGGAATGCTCCTTTCCCATATCTACAATGATAACTTGCTCACTCACCTTGAGGCCTTGATCACTTCTCACCTTCTAGATGAGGCCTACCCAGGCCACCTTATGATGGACTGCTAAACCCACGCTTCCTTGCCACCCTGTTGCTGATACCCCAGATCCTCTTTTCCTTGGCCCAAGTTTCCTTTCTGTTATAGTATTTTGCATCTAACAGACTATGTAATTACTTAGTGATGATTATTGCTGTTCTCTTTCCTAGCCAATGATGGCTCCTGCTAGAGTATTAGCTCCTGATGGTAGGGATCTTTGTCTCTTGCTCACTGGTATATCCCAAGCAGCCCAGATCTCTGCTGAGCATACACTGGAGTCACTCAGAAAATACCTGTGGATGTAATGAATGTGTTTGTGTCCTGTGCTAGATGGGAGACTTGTGAGGGAAAGGGCCATGTTTTGTTGGTCTTTGTGAACCCACCATCCACACTCTCTGATACAACCAGAAGGGCACTACTGAATAGTCATTGAATTAATTAATCTTTTGAAAATGACACTTATAGGGAAAACATTCTCTTTGTAGTCTGCAGCTATTCCAGTAGTTGCCATTTGTGTCGGCACCACATAGGTACCAGATGCCACAGAAACACAGCTGGGCAGCCGTGAGATACCTAAGGGCAGAAGTCTCATTCATTTTCCATGACCTCTTTACAGAGTAGCACAGTTCCTACTACACAGCATGACTTGAGGTGGTGTTTTCAGCTCTCTGGTTTTATCTGGGTAGACATGTACTGTGATTTACATATTGTATTTTATTTTCATATGATAGTGGCTTTCAGAAAGAAACACGATTATATAATTAAACACAATGCAAGCAGAATGATGTTATGAAAGAGTTGAAAATAAAGTGGACGCTATTGTTGTGTAATAGGACACATAATTATGGATGGGCTACACTAGGCACTTCATGTACCTTTTTCATTTAACCCTAATGAAAACCCTTCAAATGCAACGTTGTCATTCCCATTTTCACAAGGGAGAAGATTGAGATCTAAGGCATTATGTAACTTGCCCAGTATCTGACCACTAGGAAGTAGCTGAATGAGTGGAATCTTCCAGGCTTATTGATGAGAACACCCCACAAAGACGGCAGTATAGGCAGACCCCCACTGCTTAACTTGCCCCTGGAGTTCTCTCTGCTCCCCTCCCCGTTTCTCATGCACACATCTCTGCAACATTTTCCTCCCATCTCCTAACACTTTCAGAAGCTCCTCATCTTAAAGGTTGTTCTCCTGCTCCTTTGGCCAAATGCTGGAAAATTCAACACTAATTTCTGCAGAGGCAGAGGAATGGAGTTTGTTTCAAGTCCTTGTGAAGGGATAAAATGATTGGTGCTTACAGCTGCTTCAAGGTCTTGATGAGGCTGGATCTGGAGGAGGGTCTTTTATGCAAGCTAGTCCCTGCATGAGAGAATTCCAGTCTTGGAAGGATGCCTTCCCCTCCACAAAGACATCCGGCCAGCCCACGAGGAAGATAGTTTACTTATCAATGACACTGTGTACCCACAGGCTAGAACAGGCTTTCCAGGGTCACCAAGCTGTTCTAAAACTCCACAAATTCATGAGATGAAGATAGCAAGGCATATACATGTATCAAAATTGTTATCAGGAAATGGCTGCATTCCCTGTTCCACACTAAAACATCTCATACTGCCAATGAACTCAGCCAGTTCTGGAGAGATTTCCACCATCAACGAGTGTTTCTGACTGTGGGCTCTGGGCCAGCCATTCTCTGGGAGTACAAGATGGGAAAAATATGAGGTTTCCCTTTCCCTTTTTCCATCTTTTTCCATGTTATTTATTTTGAGGCAAGTTTGAAAATCAGTGGTTGTGTTAGTAGTTTTCCTAAACTACAATAGATATGCTCTGAGGGAACACCCATGACACTCTGAGATTCTTTCACTTTAGCTTTGATCAAATGGCTTTTACTACCAGCCTACATCTCAGAAGGGTGATTTTTGCATCCGATGAACTTCTTATTGTGTGGAATTACTAAAATTCTAATAAAGAAATTATATTGGCTGAAGGCGGTTTCTCTTAACTAAAATATCAGAATACATAATAATTGCTGTTTCAGGGCCCACCATGTATCAGGTGCTTGACATATCTTACTGATAGTTTTCATAAATTCCCTGTTACATAAGTTTCTTTCTTCCAGTTTCACAGATGAGGAAATTTAAGTTCAGAAGGATAGACTACTTGCCCCTGTTCACACAGCTGGGAAGTGCAGAGCTGGGATTTAAGAGGCATGCATCACAGGCCATTGCCTACATTGGTCATTGTCCCCACATTTTACACAGTCTTGTAAAGAAATCCCTGTGTCTCTGAAAGCCACTAATGTACATTTTAAAATTCCATACTGCTGTTACATCATCCGTCTATTTTAGAGTTTGACTCGTGACAAATGGTATTTTTCCTTTCCTGTGAAATATTTAGTTTACATTATATTTGGGGGTGGCAGATTTGAAAAGGTATATATATATGACTAAGTTAAGTAATGTTGATTTACCCCTTTTTGTGTGCTGAAAACCATGCTATGCACTGTGTAGAGGCCCATGGACAAATGAATCTGCTTTCTATCCCTGTGACATCTACCAGCTTCTAGAAGACTTTGCATGGCTCCTGATACACAAAAGCCACACATAGGATACCTATGTGGAAAGCAACTAGTGTACTGCCTCCAGTTTGAAAGTGGGTGTTTTCGCTATCACTGTTTCATTATGAAATGCATTCATTTAGTAAACCCTCTGCAATGCCTGTATGTTTCATGCAGTGTAACTGACTGATAGAGCATATGTAAAGACCAAGTAAAAACTGGTTCTTGTTCTTAACCGTCTCCTAGGAAAACAAACAAACAGAAGAATGTAAATTCTCATTCGTAGGCTTTACAGGGCATATTTGCAGTAGAAAGAGAGAAAAGAAGGAGAGGAGACAAAAAAATTTGAGGGAGAAAGAGTAGAGGAATTAGGAGCAGGATTCACATCTGGAGGACTGAATCCTTGTGATTATGAACTTGCATGTCTGTGCTTGAAAATGCCGCTGTTTGTGGGTCCAGAGGCTTGATTTCATATTCCTGCATGTTTATGCTTTTCACCCAAACACTTAAATAATTGGATTAACAGTCTTATATTCATTCATTAATCTCTCCAGTTAATTCATTTTTAAATCAATCAGTTTTTACTTGTAAAGTGTAGGGGAATTTCTTTTTTATTATTATACTTTAAATTCTGGGGTACATGTACACAATGTGGAGGTTTGTTATATAGGTATACATGTGCCATGGTAGTTTGCTGCACCCATCAACCTGTCATCTACATTAGGTATTTCTCCTAATGCTATCCCTCCCCTAGTCCCCCACCCCCTGACAGGCCCCGTTGTGTGATGTTCTCCTCCCTGTGTCCATGTGTTCTCATTGTTCAACTCCCACTTATGAGTGAGAACAAGCGGTGTTTGGTTTTCTGTTCTTGTGTTAGTTTGCTGAGAATGATGGTTTCCAGCTTCATCCATGTCCCTGCAAAGGACATGAACTCCTCCTTGTTTATGGCTGCATAGTATTCCATGGTGTATATGTGCCACATTTTCTTAATCCAGTCTATCACTGTTGGACATTTGGGTTGGTTCCAGGTCTTTGCTATTGTGAATAGTGCCGCAGTAAACATACGTGTGCATGTGTCTTTATAGCAGCATGATTTATAATCCTTTGGGTATATACCCAGTAATGGGATGGCTGGGTCAAATGGTATTTCAAGTTCTAGATCCCTGAGGAATCACCACACTGACTTCCACAAGGGTTGAACTAGTTTAGAGTCCCACAAACAGTGTAAAAGTGTTCCTATTTCTCCACATCCTCTCCAGCACCTGTTGTTTCCTGACTTTTTAATGATTGCCATTCTAACTGGTGTGAGATGGTATCTCATTGTGGTTTTGATTTGCATTTCTCTGATGGTCAGTGATGGTGAGCATTTTTTCATGTGTTTTTTGGCTGCATAAATGTCTTCTTTTGAGAAGTGTCTGTTCATGTCCTTCACCCACTTTTTGATGGGGTTGTTTGTTTTTTTCTTGTAAATTTGTTTGAGTTCATTGTAGATTCTGGATATTAGCCCTTTGTCAGATGAGTAGGTTGCAAAAATTTTCTCCCATTTTGTAGGTTGCCTATTCACTCTGATGGTAGTTTCTTTTGCTGTGCAGAAGCTCTTTAGTTGAATTAGATCCCATTTGTCAATGTTGGCTTTTGTTGCCATTGCTTTTAGTGTTTTAGACATGAAGTCCTTGCCCGTGCCTATGTCCTGAATGGTAATGCCTAGGTTTTCTTCTAGGGTTTTTATGGTTTTAGGTCTAACGTTTAAGTCTTTAATCCATCTTGAATTGATTTTTGTATAAGGTGTAAGGAAGGGATCCAGTTTCAGCTTTCTACATATGGCTAGCCAGTTTTTCCAGCACCATTTATTAAATAGGGAATCCTTTCCCCATTGCTTGTTTTTCTCAGGTTTGTCAAAGATCAGATAGTTGTAGATATGCGGCGTTATTTCTGAGGGCTCTGTTCTCTTCCATTGATCTATATCTCTGTTTAGGTACCAGTACCATGCTGTTTTGGTTACTGTAGCCTTGTAGTATAGTTTGAAGTCAGGTAGCATGATGCCTCCAGCTTCGTTCTTTTGGCTTAGGATTGACTTGGCTATGCGGGCTCTTTTTTGGTTCCATATGAACTTTAAAGTAGTTTTTTCCAATTCTGTGAAGAAAGTCATTGGTAGCTTGATGGGGATGGCATTGAATCTATAAACTACCTTGGGCAGTATGGCCATTTTCACGATATTGATTCTTCCTACCCATAAGCATGGACATGTATACATATGTAACTAACCTTCACATTGTGCACATGTACCCTAAAACTTAAAATATAATAATAATAATAAAATTTAAAAAATCAAAAAAATAAAAAAAAGTAGAGAGAAAGAGAGGTAGAATTCCATCCTGGCCTGAAGTGTTGGTTGTACTCTTCTCTCTGGATGATGGGCCTTCCCCAAAAGATTAACTTGTCCAATTTCCATGTTTCCAAGAGTTTAAGTGGAAGCCCCATATGCATCCAACTGTGTATCCAAGACTAGTACAAAGGTCAGGTAATTAATTCAACAAATATTTATTGATCAATTTCAGCCTCTGGGAATATAGCAGGGAGCACAACAGACAGATAGCTTACTCTCATCAATATTTTATTCTAGTGTATAGCAACAGAAAATAAAAGAACACAGAAAACGTAAGATGGTGAAGAATGTAAAGCTTTATTAACAACCAGAGACTTCTCTAGCATGTGTGTGTATGAAGGAGAGAATGGATACAGAGGTGTGAGAGAGCTTGTTCAGTCAGGGAAACTGGCTGGTGGCCGAATGGGATATAGGCTGGGGATTGAAGTGGGAAATTAGAATGTAGAAGCCGTAAGAAATTGAGCCACTTAACATTTTTGAGACTAAGACTTATTTCCAGGAAAATACGTATTCAAACATCAAGAAAATATGTGGGAAATGTTGTCTAACGCTCAAATCTAAGAACATTAATGTTATGTACATCTATTGAACAATAATGCCAATAATAATAACTGGTATTTTTGAGTGTTTGCTTTTTGTTAGGCACTGTGCTTGTTGCTTTATATGTTTATTTCATCCATGCAATGAAGAGTAGTGAAGATTTTTATATTTTATAAGGTTGGATAGTGGTAGATTGTAGATACTAGTATTAAAGCTCAACTCTGTATCATTTCAAAAGAGGCTGTTTTTTTGTTTGCTTGTTTGTTTGTGCTTTCCAGAGTTTCACTCAGGCAAGTGGTAGTCAGTCACCAAGATGAATTGAGTGGTACACAAAGTTCAAAAAGGCAATTATGAAGATTAAATGACACAGCACTTACAGAGTGCTTAGTAAAAGGAAATAAATTATACTGATCATTTCTATTTCAGTTTTTAATTTTTAGAATTTTATACTTTTTATATTTTATTATATTAAGTTTATGAACTATTTGCCATGACACATAATGGGGTTTTTTCACCTTTTAAATAGTGTTATAACATTTCCTTTTAAGTGAGTTTGAGTTAAAGATGAGATAATATAATGAAATTAGAATAAAATGAAATAGTTCTCTGGGGGTGGGGGGATGATAAAATATAAATTGTTAAGAAACATCAAAATGGATTTATGTGTATCATGAAAATTCTAAAATATTACATTAATGATTGAGATGCTTTTGAAAATTCTGCCTAAGTCAGGCTTTTTGATGAGAAGTTTGCCAGTTACCATGTGGGCTATTATACAAAACTTTCATCAGTGAGATTTTCCCAGAAAACTTCACAGTTGCTTAATAGTTTGCTCAGAAGTTGATGCTCAAAAGCTACACAAATGGTGCCTACAAAAATAGCATGCATTATATGAAGTTCCTATTGGAAGTGTATGTTTTTCCTATCTGTGGTCTCTATAAAATATTAATTTTTATGGTAGCAAAGGCTCAGTTATGCCCACCTTATTTCCAGAAGTGTTCTGTATGCTGGATATAAAAAGATCAATGAAGCATGATCTATTACAGTTGTGAATTTCACAATACTGTGTCAGAGGCAGATACATAAGTGAAAAAGAACAAAATAGGAACTGCAGATTCTTAAATATAAATCTGTACAGACTACAGTGGGAGTCCAAAGGAGAGACACAGGGGAAGTAGACTAGAGAAATGGACAGAGAAGTCATGGCCTGAGATGTAGGATAAGAACAGGAGAGCTCTCCTGTTAATGTGAGAGTGCTTGCCTGTGACAATTACTTGCATCTTTGAGTTTATATCCATGATTATGTCAATGTAAGCCAGAATAGCATGTCTTTCCCCTGTAAATTAATATAACTTAATTCTCAGACATTTATTCAGAAGTTCTTCCAACCAAAAAAGAAAACTGTTTGAGGACCTATGTTAAAAAAATCAATCATTTTTTATTTGTTAAGTTTTCAGAGACTTGCCAAATGAAGTTCACTTATGAAGTTAAATCAGAGGCTAGAAGATATGCAGTCAGTAAATAAGCATATGAAAATATGCTCAATATAATTTGTCATCAGATAATTGCAAATTAAAACCATAATGAAATACTGTTACATGCTTATTAGAATGGCTAAAACACGTACACAAAAAAACCTGACAATATAATATGCTGGCAGGGATGTGGAGAAAAAACAGTCTCATTCATTGCAGTGGGAATGCAAAATGGTACAGACACTTTGAAAGAGAGTTTGACAGTTTCTTACACAGCTAGACATAGTCTTACTATAAGTCCCAGAAACCACTCTTTTAGGTATTTTAACCTATTAACTTGAAAACTCATGTTCAAATAAAAATCTACAAACAAATGTTTATTGTAGCTTTGCTTATAAATGCCAACAACTGGAAGCAACCAGGATGTTCTTCAATCGGTGAATGGTTAAAGAAACTGTGGTACATCCATACAACAGAATGTTGTTGAGTGATAAGAATGAGATATCAAATCATTAAAAGACATAGAAGTACCTTATATGCATGCTGCTAAGTGAAAGAAGTCAGTCTAAAAAGGCTACATATTGAATGATTCCAATTATATGACATAAGATAGAGGCAAAACTATAGAGACAGTAAAATGATCAGTGGGTGCCAGGGGTTTGGAGATGAGAGGGAGTAATGAGTAGATGGAGCAAAGAGGATTTTTAGGGCAGTGAATTTATTCTGTATAATACTACAATGGTGGGTATATAACATTATGTATTTATAAAAACTCATATAACTTTACTTCACAAAGAATAAACCTTAAGGTATGTAAATTTAAAACAAAATTTCTTAGGTCAGAAAGTTCCGCAAAGGAATGCAGACTGTGACAAGATAATGTAAATGTATTACAAGTGCTTGAAAAAAAAATCCATGGAAGTGGAGGGGGAAGATGCTTACTTAAATAACTCTGGAAATAAGTGAAGTCTATAAGAATAAAGGCAAAAGTAACTACTCATAACCACTGTATTTGATAAAGTTGTATCTCCTATGAGGTATGGGTTAATCATGCTAATACTGTTATACATGTATGGAGGTAGAAACCAGGTTTCCTGACCGTAGGAATGTAAATTTATAGATAAGAAAGGGGAGGAGGCTAGAGTCATTCGTGTAACAATGGGTTAGAGTTGGAGATATCAATATGAACTTATGTTTAGCCTAATATAGATACAGATAATTTTATATAAAATATTTATAGATATTGGTATATACGTGGGTTAGTAGCCACACATATATTTTTTTCTGTTTGCTGAGGCCTTAAAGAAATGACACTAAAGTAGAAAAGAGCACACCTAGCACCCAGCTCTTGTTTTCTAATACTATTTTCCAATAAAAGGAATCAGGGCTCCTTTGAGAAATGGATGATTCTAGGACTGGTGCGGTATATATATATGATGAGCATGGAACATTTTGTGGAACCAGAAAATAAGGGAATGCTATTATACAAGCAAAACAACAAACAAAAAAGTCTACCACATAGATGGGGGTTTGTTAAAGAAGCATAGGAACCAACTGAAAGAGCTCCCAATGACAAAAGCTATAACAATTTGAACAACAAAATAAAGTAACATTAGATTATAATGCAATGTGTAAAGTAAATACCCAGGAGTCTATACTGATATAAATAAATGATTGAATGAATGAAGAGAAGGGAAAAATCTCCCATGTAGAAGATTTCCAAATAATTTATGTAGATAAAGAGAAGGAACATAACTCCCCAGTTCTTAAGTGTGAAGTATGGGATGCACATTGTCACTTCCTTCAAAGAGTACGATATAGAAATGGGGGAGTTTTACAGTGGAGAAACCTGACAAATACTATCTCAGCAAGGTCATCAAGGCCAACATCAATAATCATAAATCATATGAATAGTATGTATCATCGATATGATGTGATTAACATGCCACTTTACCTTTATGGCTTTCTCTCAGTTACCCACAACCTGGTATTATCATGAGATCATCATCAAACTCTAATCATAAGGAATCTTACAAAATAACTGACCATTACTCCTCGAAACTGTGAAGGCTATCAAAACAAGCAAAGTCTGAGAAATTACCACAGACAAGAGGAACCTAAAAAGACATGACAACCAAAAATAATGTGGTATTCTAGAACAAAAAAAGAACATTAGGTTAAAAAATAAGGAAATATAAATAAACTATGGACTTAATTAATCATAATGTATTTATATTGGTTCATTAACTGTGACAAATGAAACATGCCAATAAAGGATTTTAAAGATAAGGGAAAGTGTGTGTAAGGTGCATGGAAATTCCGCTATCTTCTCAATTTTTCTGTAAACCTAGAGCCCTTCTAAAATATACAGTATAATAAAAATACAACTTTTTTATAGTTTGTGGGGTGCTGTGAAAGTAGTAGAGGGAAATTATAACATGAAATCTGTGTTTCAGGAAAGAATAAATATCTACATTCAAAATCTAGGCTTTTACCTTAGAAAAGTTAATAAAATAAAATAAAATGAATAATTTGAGCCTAAAGCAAGTAGAATTGAAGAAATAATTAAAAATGGAGCAGAAATCAATGAAATTGAAAACAGAAAGATAATAAGAAAAAAAGACACCAAAACCTGTTTTTTTAAAAATGCAAATAAAAGTGATAAGCCTCTATCTAACCAAGAAAGTAGAAAAACAAATTGCCAATACCAGAAATGAAAGAGGGGTTATAACTACTGAGTCCATGGTCACTAAAATGATATTAAAAAGATACTGTAAATAACTCTGTGCCAACAAATTTGATACCTTAGATGTAGTAGATGGAATTCCTAAAGATCTCAAAAAACTTATAAGCAAGTATAGCCAAGTCTGTCACATTATTTATTTTCCATTTGTTTATTCTAGTTCTTGTTCTTTGTTCTTTGAAATTTCCTTTTTACCTTTGTGTGGGTAATTTGAACAGTTTTTAGAATTTCTTCTTGATTTATTCTTAGTGTTTTGAGCATATCCCATGGTATAGTTTTCCTAGTGGTCGCCGTTGGCATTAAAATGTACATGTGACTTGGCCAGGCGCAGTGGCTCATGCCTCTAATCCCAGCACTTTGAGAGGCCTAGGTGGATGGATCACTTAAGGTCAGGAGTTCGACAGCAGCCTGGCCAACATGGTGAAACCCAATCTCTACTAAAGATACAAAAATTAGCCGGGTTTGGTGGCACATGCCTATAATCCCAGCTACTTGGGAGGCTGAGGCAGGAGAATCGCTTGAACTCGGGAGGCAGAGGTTGCAGTAAGCTGAGATCCCGCCACTGCACTGCAGCCTGGGCAACAGAGTGAGACTCTGTCTTAAAAAAAAATGTACATGTGACTTATCCCAGCCAAGTAGTATCAAAGTTTGACCACTTTGGGTGGGATGTGTAAGCCTCACTTCCATTTATGCTTTACTCACTTTAAAATACCATTGTCTTGAGCACCAGATGGTGTTATAATTTTTGTTTCAATCATATTATCAGCTAAAGTAATAAGTAAAGGATATACTGTTGTATATACTCATATTTGTGCTCTTTTTATCATTCCTTCTTTCTTCCTCATCCTCCACTATTCTTTTTTTTTTTTTATCATTTCCTATCTTTTTGAATAATTTCCTTTAGCCAGTTTTTAAGGATAGGTCTGCTACCAACAAATGCTTATGGTTTTCTGTCATCTGAGGTTGTCTTCATTTCTCTTTTATTCTTTTTGTTTTACCTTTTAAAAAATTTATATATATTAGTTGTACATATTTTGAGGTACATGTGATACTTTGATGCCTGTTTACAATGTGTAATGATCAAGTCAGGGTAATTGGGATATACATCATCTAAACCATTTATCTTTCCTTTGTGTTGGGATTGTTTCACCAGATACAGAATTCATGATTAAGAGCTCATTTCTTTTAGCACTTGAAAAACGTAGCACTTCCTTCTAGCCTCCATGTTTTCCAATGAAAATTCATCTGTTATTCAAATTGGTATATTACCCCACAGTTATGCATCATGGGCAATGACATGTAGGTAATATGTCATTTTCTCTCTGGCAGCTTTGAAGATTTTTTTCTTTGTGTTTAAATTTCAGAAGTTTAATTATAATGTTCTCTGGCATAGATTTCCTTTCATTTATCTATTGGTTGTTCACTCAGTTTCTTGAATTCATAGGTTTGTATCTTTCACAAAATTTGAGATGTTTTCATTCATTACTTTCTTTAATATTCCCTCCCACAATCTCTCTACTCTCTTTCCAGAACTTGTATGATACAAAAGTTCTCTCTTGTGTTATTGTCCCACAGGCCCATGAAACTCTTCATTTTTCTCAGTCCATTTTATTTTCATTGTTCAAATTGAGTAAATTCTATTGATTTGTCCTCAAGTTTATTGATTCTATTTGCTCTCATCTCTACTTTACTATTAAGTCCATCTAGAAAGTTTTTCTTTAGCTTCAATTGTTATAATTTTCAATTCTACAATTTCTTCTGGTTCTTTTTTATGACTTTCATTTGCTGGGATTTTTTTTTTTCATTTTAAAAGAGAATCTATACAATGTCTGCCTTAAAATCTTTTTCAGATAATTCCAACTTATGATTTATGTTGGTATTGGCTTCTGTTTATTGTCTTTTCTCATTCATATTGTGAATTTACTGGTTCTTAATGTGACAAGTGATTTTTAAAAATTGAATCATGGACATTTTTATTACTATGTTAGGGGACTAATGATCTTACCTAAATCTTCTATTGTAATGGAGTCACCTTGTTTTGGTTTAGCATGTAAGTTCTGGCCTACTTTTCCGGGCTTTCATTGTAATGAAAAGTTTTATGAGTCCTCGAAATGATATTCTGGTGTGATTCCGGCTTCTGCTGCTGCCAAGGCTCCTAACCAATCCATGCTGGTGACTTCTGCATGAGTAGGAGGCACACACCTGTGCTATCTTCTGTCACTGGATGACCTTCTATACGTGGGAGGGTGGACAGAGGTGACAACTAGCTGTGATTTGTGCCACCTAATTTAGTCTCATAATGAGTCTCATTATGAGTCTCATTATGAGACTAAATGAGGGTACAAATGAGTTGTGAGTTTGGTGATTCACCTACTTCCTGGGCCTCACTGATATCAGGGATGGAGTGAAAGGGAATGCTTACCAGCTCTGACTTGTACTGTCTTATTAAGTCTCATTGATGCACGTAGGGGTAGAAACTCCTCTGTCTGCTGAGGAATTTCTACCCACTGACACTGTAAGGGAGAAATTGTGAAACCTAGCGATGACTAGCTCCACTTTTCACTACCTTGTTAAGTCACATTGCTGTTGGGTGAAGGTGGAGGTTCAGCTTGCTACTGGACCCTGCTGACTCCTCCCTGACAGGAGAATTAGAGTACCACTTTTTTTCTACCGGATAGGGAACAGAAGATCAGCTACCCACTCTACCTCACTACACTACATGGGCAGGAAGATAGGAGCATCATCTGCTTCTTCCCAGCGGGACATACAAAATAAGGTTTTCACTGTGTCGCACTAACACTGTCCAAGTAGGGAAATCAGATCATCACTAACTGCTTCCACTGGGCAGATAATAAAAGATAAGCCCCTTTTTGGCCCTGTTAACACAGCTGAGTGGGGAATTAGAACACTGACATCTGATTCTGTGGGGATGGAGGTGGGATGAAATAGAAGATCAACTTATTTCTCAGTCTCACTGAAACCACAGGCAGAGGTGGTGGTTTGGTGGGGTATGGTTTTTCCATTGGCGTTTACCTGGAGTAGAGTGGGAATTGCCAGAAAGTTTGATATTATTAGGCCATCGTTTCTGGTCCTTTGCCTAGGGAAAACAGTCTTTTCTTGGAGCTTTATTTGTATCTGTTGGCAGTTCTAGGTTGCAGGCTTCTGCAGCACTCTGTACTGGACATATGTAAGGAAATAAGGAAACCCAGGGAATTCATTTCTGTGTTGTTCTTTGAGTTCTAAACTCCCTGTGCTGTTTATCATCTTTCCACTATTCTGAGTCTTCCAGACTTGTTTTTTTTTGTTATGTCCAGGGTCTTTTAGTTATAAGAGAAAGGGGTTCCTCTGTCTTAGCCAAATTCAGTGTATTTAACTTTTTTATTTATTTATTTATTTATTTATTTACTTTTTATTGATCATTCTTGGGTGTTTCTCACAGAGGGGGATTTGGCAGGGTCATAGGACAATAGTGGAGGGAAGGTGAGCAGATAAACAAGTGAACAAAGGTCTCTGGTTTTCCTAGGCAGAGGACCCTGCGGCCTTCCGCAGTGTTTGTGTCCCTGGGTACTTGAGATTAGGGAGTGGTGACGACTCTTAACGAGCATGCTGCCTTCAAGCATCTGTTTAACAAAGCACATCTTGCACCGCCCTTAATCCATTTAACCCTGAGTGGACACAGCACATGTTTCAGAGAGCACAGGGTTGGGGGTAAGGTCACAGATCAACAGGATCCCAAGGCAGAAGAATTTTTCTTAGTATAGAACAAAATGAAAAGTCTCCCATGTCTACTTCTTTCTACACAGACACGGCAACCATCCGATTTCTCAATCTTTTCCCCACCTTTCCCCCGTTTCTATTCCACAAAGCCGCGATTGTCATCCTGGCCCGTTCTCAATGAGCTGTTGGGCACACCTCCCAGACGGGGTGGCTGGCCGGGCGGGGGGCTGACCCCCCTACCTCCCTCCCGGACGGGGCGGCTGGCCGGGCAGAGGGGCTCCTCACTTCCCAGTAGGGGCTGCTGGGCAGAGGCGCCCCTCACCTCCCGGACGGGGTGGCTGGCCGGGCGGGGGGCTGACCCCCCCACCTCCCTCCCAGACGGGGCGGCTGGCCGGGCAGGGGGGTGACCCCCCCACCTCCCTCCCGGATGGGGCGGCTGGCTGGGCGGGGGCTGACCCCCCCACCTCCCTCCCGGACGGGGTGGCTGCCGGGCGGAGACGCTCCTCACTTCCCAGACGGGGTGGCTGTCGGGCGGAGAGGCTCCTCACTTCTCAGACGGGGCGGCTGCTGGGCAGAGGGGCTCCTCACTTCTCAGACGGGGCGGTTGCCAGGCAGAGGGTCTCCTCACTTCTCAGACGGGGTGGCCAGGCAGAGACGCTCCTCACCTCCCAGACGGGGTCGCGGCCGGGCAGAGGCGCTCCTCACATCCCAGACGGGGCGGCAGGGCAGAGGCACTCCCCACATCTCAGACGATGGGCAGCCCGACTCTTCACTTCCTAGATGGGATGGCGGCCGGGAAGAGGCGCTCCTCACTTCCTAGATGGGATGGCGGCCGGACGGAGACGCTCCTCACTTCCCAGACTGGGCAGCCAGTCAGAGGGGCTCCTCACATCCCAGACGATGGGCGGCCAGGCAGAGACGCTCCTCACTTTCCAGACAGGGTGGCGGCCGGGCAGAGGATGCAATCTCGGCACTTTGGGAGGCCAAGGAAGGCGGCTGGGAGGTGGAGGTTGTAGCGAGCCGAGATCATGCCACTGCACTCCAGCCAGGGCACCATTGAGCACTGAGTGAAGGAGACTCCGTCTGCAATCCCAGCACCTCGGGAGGCCAAGGCTGGCGGATCACTCGCGGTCAGGAGCTGGAGACCGGCCAGGCCAACACAGCGAAACCCCGTCTCCACCAAAAAAAATACGAAAACCAGTCAGGCGTGTCAGCGCGTGCCTGCAATCGCAGGCACTAGGCAGGCTGAGGCAGGAGAATCAGGCAGGGAGGTTGCAGTGAGCCGAGATGGCAGCAGTACAGTCCAGCTTCGGCTCGGCATGAGAGGGAGACCGTGGAAACAGAGGGAGAGGGAGACCGTGGGGAGACGGGAGAGGGAGAGGGAGACTGTGGGGAGACGGGGGAGACCGTGGGGAGACGGGAGAGGGAGAGGGAGAGCTGGATTTCAAAGCTTCATCCATGCTGAGCTGCAAGGGGAATGGACAGAACTGGAAACTGGGGCAGACTGGAGTTGCCAGCCTAGGCTGGGCTGTGAGCTCCATGGAGCAGATGCCGGGCCATCCTGCCCCGGCTCCTATTTAACTTTCTAAAACAAATGTAATTTGTAGTTTTGAAAGTCAGGATAGTGACTACTCTTGAGGGAATAGTAACTGGTAAGGGGCATGAGGAGGTGGTTCAGGAGTGATGGTAAAGTACTGTTTCTTGATATGGGCAATGATTATACAGGTTTGTTCAATTTATGAGAGTTTATTTAACTTCATTCTTATGATTTATACACTTTTAAACATAGATGCCGTTTTTCAATGAAAAGTTTTAATGATGATGATGTAGGTATATTATTTGAAGTAAAATTATATGTACTTCCTATTATCAAGCTAAAATAACAGTTTACAAAGTATATGGCATTTCTACACATTTAAAAAAGATATTTATGATTGTGTTTATATATATGTGTGTCATACATAGAGAAAAGTATGAAGGGTACGCTACAAAATGTTGGCAGTGGTCATCTCTGATCAGTGGCACTTTAGGTTTTTTCTCTTCCTAATATATTTTATTATGTTCTGAATTTATTGCCATGGGCAGGAAATGCTTATTTTTTATTTCTCTTATTTTTAAATGAGATTGAATTTGTAAGCTAACAATGTTTTATCATAGTGGTAGAATATACTGTGTTTTCAATAAAGACTGGCTAAATTAATGAGTTTATGCCTCACTCACACATTCAAAGAATATATCAAATGCCCACTATGTGTCATACACTCTGGTTTCAGAAATAAATTAGAGTCCTTGCTCTCAAGAAGATTACTGTATACAAAAATTCAACTTCTTTTGCTATGTTTTTATGCAAATTTAACCTATAGTTGTATAGAAATCTAATATGATTGTTTTATTGAGATATAATTCACACACCAAAATATTGACTCTGCTAAAGGGTACAATTCAGTGCATTTCAGTATTTTCACAATGTTGTTCAAACATCACCATTGTTTAATTCCAAAACATTTTTATCACCCTGGAAAGATACTCTATGCCCGTTAGGAGTCACTCCCCATTCCAATCCCCAGACCTTGACAACTATTGTTCTACTTTCTGCCTCTATGAATTTGCTTATTCTAGACATTTTATATAAATGGAATTGTACATTATATGTCCCTTTGAGTTTGACTTCTTTTATTTAGCATATTGTTTAAAAGGGCCATCTATAGTGTAGCATGCATTAAGGGGAGTACTTCATTCCTTTTTATGGCACAATCATGTTCCATTGTATGGTAATAAAGACTGCCCATTTTTGATGTTTCAGCTTTAAAGCATAAACCCTCCTCTTTTCCCTTCTGCCTCAAATCTGGGAAAGTTGATAGGAAAGCCTGGGTGCTCCCTTCTGTGATACTGGAGGGAAGTTCAAACTATACATAGGAACCCTCACCTTGACCCTATCCTCTAAACACCAGTTTCCTTCCCTGCATTCTCAAGCCATTTTCAGACCTGCTTGGGAGCCACACTGCTGTCTCAAGCAAGCCTCATATGCATAGTAAACTTTTTCATACCCTGTTGGTATGAAATATCCTCTTGGTTGGTATGTAGTTTCTGCAGACCAAATTTTGGGTGAAGATCTATCTACCTCTGCAAGGGTCCACAAGTGATGCAGTAAGGAGGATGTCTAGATTATGACCACCATCTTGGGGATCTTTATTGTCTTTCTTTGACTTGCTAACTGGGTCTTCTGCCTGAAAACCAGCAGGCACTTAAGAGCCACTACTTGCAGGCTAGCACAATCTTTGAGCTGAGCTTCTTTGTGCTACATTTGCTGAGTTGTACTGAAGCCTCCTTTATAGATTTAATATACCTAAGTCTGAGTTTAGATAATTCACAGGAGTATGGGACTGGTATCTTCCTTAATGTGGCCCTGTGTCATGTGCCTTGGCTCAGGTTAACTGTGTCTTAGAATGAATAACGTGTTTTAATTTCAGCATAAGCTCTTAATGACTCTAGGCTGAGGGAACCACCTGGGCCCTGTGACAGATTAATTGTATGTCTCAACCAGCATTACCCCCCATTGTATAGAGTGCTCAGGGGAAAGACTTATATCCTCTGTGATATATTGAGCTATTGAATGATGGCTTATGAATGAGAAATCATTAGAAAGTGAAAAAGCAGCCAATAGAGGGGAAAAACCAGTCATATGTGACATGTGGAGGTCCACACTCCTAAAAGCAGGTGGCTCACTAGGATCCTTCAAAATGCCTTTGCTTCTACTGCCTATGCCTCTGTCATAAGAATGATACTGATCTTGAGGGTTATAGGGAGAAACACCCATGGCAACTGTATGGCATACCAAGGGGTTAATTCAAATCTGACTGAAGTCCAGGGTCCTTAAACCCTATAAAACCACCATTGCTGTGGGGGAGGCTAACCCTAATAATACTGATTTGAGGTTCTCTAGAGGAAGTAATTCATAAAGATAAATAGGGTAGAGAGAACTCTCCTTCTTCCAAAGGATATCCGATAATCACCCACGGGGGGCGGGGGGTCGGGGGCAGGGAAGAGAGAGAGAGAGAGAGAAAGAGAAAAGTAAAAGAAAACTGGACATAGGGGGAGGCAAAAGAAAAAAAAACCTGAAATGGCCATAATTTGACACAATTGGGAATACATTTACCTAATTTATAAAACAAAAAGATAAAAGGGGGCTGATTTGACTTATACACTTTACAACATAGGTTCTGAATAAATTTAACAACTGCTTATTTGCACCAATTAGCAAATCTTTGTGTCATCAATACTGTGGCCCAAATGGCTGCTACTATGCTTGGGGATCTCTCGAAATTTAAACAAGGTATATCTCATAGCCTTAGGGAAGTGACTGAACATAAAATAAAAGACAGATAGCAATGCCTCATCTTACCCATTGTAACTGTTACCTTGCTTAATTACCCATATGTAATGGTTAATACTGAGTGACAACTTGACTGGATTGAAGGATGCAAAGTATTGATCCTGGGTGTGTCTGTGAGGGTGTTGCCAAAGGAGATTAACATTTGAGTCAGTGGACTGGGAAAGGCAAACCCACCCTTAATCTGGGTGGGCACCATCTAATCAGCTGCCAGCTTGACTAAAATATAAAGCAGGCAGAAAAATGTGAAAAGACTAGACTGGCTTAGCCTCCCAGCCTACATCTTTCTCCTGTGCTGGATGCTTCCTGCCCTCAAACATCAGACTCTAAGTTATTCAGCTTTGGGATTCAGACTGGCTTCCTTGCTCCTCAGCTTGCAGACCACCTATTGTGGGACCTTGTGATCATGTGATTTCTACTTAATAAACTCCCCTTTATATATATATTTTATATATAGTATTTATTTATATATATTTTATATATATTTATTTATATATATTTTATATATATATTTATATATATTTTATATATATATTTATATATATTTTATATATATATTTATATATATTTTATATATATATTTATATATATTTTATATATATATTTATTTATATATATTTTATATATATATTTATTTATATATATTTTATATATATATTTATTTATATATATTTTATATATATATTTATTTATATATATTTATATATGGGTTCTAGAGGAACAGAACTAATAGGATATATATTATTAATATGTATTATTAATTATATTAATTAATATATATTAATAATATATATCCTATATATAAGATATATATGTTTTAGGTCAGAGCGCCCATGCCCACTATGAAGTATTTTAGGTAATGGGTAATTTGTCTCTCTAGAGTACCCTAATACACCATGTGTAATAGCACCCATTACCTATATAATATATATATATTAGTTTTGTCTCTCTAGAGTACCCTAATACACCATGTGTAATAGCACCCATTACCTAAAATACTTCACAGTGGGCATGGATGCTCTGACCTAAAGAGTAATAAATTAAAATTAAGTCAAGTCTTTGGCACTTACAATTCAGCTTAAAATATTGGTTCCCATGAACCTTCCCTCTAGTCAATTCATCCCAATGTATGTTAAAATAGGGCCTTCAAGGATTGAGACCTGTTGTACAAGATCTATTTTTTTAAATGAGGTAGCTGTACATTTAATGAGAAAAAACTGTAGCCAAGACTTAATTTTAAGTGAAAGTTAAGTTTACGATTGATAAACATCTTGTAATTCTACTAACACATTCATAAATATATTATGTTTTGGTATATGGTTAAGTCTACACACTAATTTGTTTTACTTCTGCATCGTCCTGGTTATCTATTGCTGCATAAACAACTGCAAGACCTATTTATAGAATAGGTGATTATCTCCACTGTTTCTTCACTTAACAATCCGATCTGGCCTGTTATTAAACTTGGAAAGAATGAATGGCACTTCACCCTGAATTATCATCACTCTTTAATGCTGTAGTCCCACTGATTAAGGCCCCCGTAACTAATATGTTTAAGATTATTGACTCCATCCAATCAGCAACTGGTTAATATTTTGTTGTTGTAGATTTGACTAATATGTTCTGTTCAGTGCCTATTTCAACAGCGTCTCAGCCCATTTGCCTTCACCTCCAAAAACACACAATGGATATCCTACCCTATCCATGGGATATCCAAACAGCTTTGCCATCGAAAACAATTTGCGTGTGTGTGTGTGTGTGTGTGTGTGTGTGTGTGTGTGTGTGTAACATGAAATAGAAAATATATAATTATAATTAAAATAAAATTTTATAGCTATAAATACAAAATAGAAAAATAGATGTATATACACACATATATATACATGTTTACGTATACATACACAAATATACATATATGCATATATATACATGCATCTTCATACACATACACACACACATATACATATACACACAGTGTGAGAATGAGGAAGAGAGAGGTAAATCTGTTTTAAGAAATTGGCTCACATGAATACGAGGCTGGCAAACCCCAAATCTGCAGGGCAGGGCAGCGGGCTGGAAACTCAGGCAAGTTTTCATGTTGCAATTTTGAGGTAGAACTGCTTATTTTTTGGAAACCCTCAGGTGTTGCTCTTAAGGGCTTCTACTGATTGGATGAAGCCCATTCACATTATGAAGGATAATCTGGTTCACATAAAGTCAGCTGATTGTAAATGCTAATTACATCTACAAATAAATTCACAGCAGCTTCTAGACTAGTGTTTGACCAAATAACTGAGCACTATAGCCTAGTCAAACTGCCACATAAAATTAACCATCAGAGCGCCCTATAACAAAAGGCTCTAGAATCTGCAAAAATCACAATACTATAGGCACTGTTGTTAGTGCCCCCCAGGAACTCCTTCACTGTAGAGACTTTAAGCAACCTCCTCTCATGTGTCTTGGAGTCTCAGGACCACCCATGATGGCCATAAGTTGCCCATGGGTGACTAACGCAAGAAACTACCCTCCTAAGCCCCATGCTATATCCCAGAGTGGCAGTTGCTGGCAGCATACAAGTGTCTCCTGAAAATAGAGGCTCTCTCGGGTGCTGAACCAGTGACTTCCTGTACTTAGCTGCCTATTATTTGTTGGATTGTGAAAGCAATATCCTGAAAACTCATTATTCCACCAAGATTTCCTTATTACAGAATGGAGTCAAACCTGAAATCTCTGGCATGTCCTACCTGCAGGCAGTGATAGCCTTCCCTGTCCTTAGTCCTTTGCCAGATGCCATGGTGCTTGAGGAGGTCACCCTTTTTCTGGCCCATTTGGATACCTGGTTGCCATTAACCGAGCATATAGCAAGAAGATTTCATACATTTTATGGATTGCATTAACACCATTGCAAGTGACGGAGGTCAGTGGAGTGTTGCTGCTTTTTATCCCTTTACTGTGGCACCCCTGATAAAAGATGAGACCTAGTGGTCAACAAAATTGGCTGAACCCTATCTGTACATTTCTACAGATGCTTGAGTCATTGCCAGTAGTCTCGACAGCTGGTCTGGCTAATGACAGCAACAGCAATTCCCAATAATTGTTTATCTCAAGATACCCAAAATACAAATAATTGTTACATATATTTCTGTCCACAAGAAAGCCACAATGCAAAGTTTCACCAAGACACTTATTATCCCCTTCAGAGGTACAGAAATCACTGGTAGTAACCAAGGCATTAAAATTACTTTTCAAAACACACAGTGCTGGCCTGTTGAGCATGGAATTCAATGAAACGTTCACCTCCCTTACCAGCCTCAGACTGCAGTCCTCATAGAGTGTCATAATGGCTTATTTAAATTCAAGTTCAATTCAATACAAAATGGCACATTTCAGTCACAAGTCAAGTTAGAAGGGGAAACAAAATAAAATTTAATAAAAGTCTGACGTCATTTTTGTAAAAAGAGAGCATTTAATATAAAGAATTGTTAAATTGATATGGATGAATTAAGAATGCATAAAGAGAATACTAAAGTATCATGGAGGTAACAATTACAAGAATCTGCTATTACCTCTGGGACTGGAAGAACAAAATGGGGAGGTTAGAATAAATAAAACTTAGAGGCTTACAGGAGGAGCCCCACAGATTTGCAACTGAGACCTCTGAGAAGGGGGTACTGACTGGCTGGTGCTAGTGTCTCTGATGGTGCAATAAGCTGATTCAATGAGTGTTAGAAAAACTGCAAACTGAAATCAGTTGCTGTCCCCGAAATGAGTGGCCTGACAACTCTGGGTTTTACTGACAGCAACAGGAAGCAGTCAAGAAGGAGCAGGTCCTGTCTTCCTTCAGCTTCCAGTCTCTCTCCAACACTCCCTATTGACAAAGCTTAACAAGGAACCATTGGCATCAACAGAAAAACGGTTTTCTGAATCTGAGGCCCAGCATCTCAAAGCAGAGAACAGAAGGGTAGATTTGGAGCTGAAGGAGAATAGCTTAATTACTGGCTCTTAATAATTACTACCTATTAAGTTTACTTTTTAATTCTGACTCCATTTTTGGATGTTTGACTGCCGACAGCTTTAACCACACTTCTTTTTCCCCTCCTGCTCCACACACATCTGGGCTTGCTGACAAGAGTCTGTGCCTTCTTCTCTTTGGTGATGGCAAGAAGTTCAAACCATGCCCTGGAATCCTCACCCAGTCCCTACCCTCTAACCAGCATAGAAACCCCAAGCCAGTCTTTTATCCCTGCTCTCTCATGTCATTTTCAAACCTTCTTGATAGTCACTCTGCTTTCCCCAAGAAAGTTAAATTATGTGAATAATAAATCATTCTATATTCTCCTGATGCATGTGTGGTGTCACCACTCACAACATCTAAACCAAATTTTGAGTGAAGATCCATCTGGTGCTTCAGAGCATCCACAAGAGTACAGAGATAACACATTTTGTTTATCCTTTCATCAGCTAATGGACATTTAGGTTGTTTCACCAGTTGACTATCATGAATAAGGCTGCTATAAACATTCATGTACAAGTTTTCATGTGGACATACGCCTTCAGTTTTCTTGAGTATAAATCTAGGAGTGGAATTGCTGGGTCATATGGCAACTCTATGTTTAACTTTTGAGGAACAGCTAAGCTGTTTTTCCGAAGTGCCTGCAGCAGTTTTCATTCCCACCAGGAATGTATGAGGGTTCTAATTTCTTGACCTCCTTACCAACGTTTGTTACTGTCTGACTTTTAAATTATAGCCCTCTTACTGGATGTGAAATAGTACTTTTTGTTATTTTGATTTTCATTTGCATAATTATTAAAAATAGCATCTCTCCATGTGCTTATTTGACATTTGTATAACTTTGTTGGAAACCTGCCTATTCAGATGTTTTGCCCATTTTTAATTGGGTTATTTGTATTTTTATTATTTAGTTGTAAGGGATCTTTATTCTGGATACTAGATCATTATTGGATATATAACTTGCAAATATTTTCATATTTTGTAAGTTATCTTTTCACTTTCTTAATAGTGTCCTTTAAAGCCAAAACATTTTCAATTTTGATGACTTTCAATTTAATTATCTTTTTCTTTTGTTACTTGTGCTTTTGGTGTCATATCTAAGAAATTATGGTTTAATTCAAGGTCATGAAGATTTCAACCTGTTTTCTTCTAAGAGTTTTACAGTTTTACCTCTTATATTTAAGTCTTTGATCCATTTGAGTTTTTAAAATATAGTGTGGAGTAGAAGTCTAATTTTATTCCTTTGCATGTGGGTGTTCCAGAAGTATTTGTTGAAAAGACAACATTAACATTAGCACCCTTGTCAAAAATCAATTGACCAGAAATGTGAGGGTTTCTTGTTGGACTTTAATTTTATTCCACTGATCTATATGTATATCTGTAGTCCAGAACTTCATAGTCTTGATTACAGTACCTTTGGGGTAAGATTTGAAATTGAGAAGTGTGTGTCCTTCAAGTTTGTTCTTCATATTTAAGATCCTTTTGGGTATTCAAGTTTCATTAATATTGAATACCAAGTACTTGGATATTCAATTCCATAGGGACTTCAGAATCAGCTTCTCAGTCTCTGCAAAATCTCAGCTGGAATTTGGTATGTATTGTGTCAAATCTGTAGATAAATTTGGGGAGTATTGGCATCTAAAAATACTGTCTCAAAATCCACAAACATGGAACGTCATTTCATTTATTTAGGTTTTATTTAATATCTTTCAATTAAGTTTTGTGGTTTTCAGTGTGTAAACCTTACACTTCCCATGCTACATTTATTCTTAAGTATTTTATTCTTTGTGAGTCTATTATATATGGAATTGTCTTTTATTATTATTTTCAAACTTTTCATTCCTACTGGATGGAAAAACAACCATTTTTTGTGTGTGTATTGACCTCCTGTCCTGCAATCTTGCTGAACTCTTTTATTGGCTCTAATAGTTTTTGTGTGAATTTTTTAGTATTATTTCTATAAAATGTCATGTCATCTGCATACATGTATAATTATAATTATATAATTTATATATGTAGATACCTTTTTCTCCCATGCCTAATTTCTCCAGTTAGAACCTCCAGTATAACAGAATAGGGGTCACAAAGGCAGACATCCTTGTCACGTTCCTCATCTTAGGGGAAGATTTTCAGTCTTTTTGCAAAAACATGTTGTTTTCTGTGGGTTTTTCACAGGTGACCAGAGAACATACTTTATATGAGTGCAGTATTTTTTATATTATTGGGACTTGTTTTGTTGTCTAACATATGATCTATCCTGGAGAATGTTCCCTGTGCACTTGAGAACAATGTGTATTCTTCTGTTTTTGAGTAGAGTATTTCCTAGATGTCTGTTACATCTAGTTTGTTTTTTAGTGTTATTCATATCTTCTATTTCCTTGTTGATCTTCCATCTAGTTGTTCTATTCATTATTGAAAGTAGAGTATTGAAGTATTCACTATTATTTTTAAACTGTCTATTTATCTCTTAAATTCTGTCAGTTTTTCTTCATGTATTCCGGGGCTCTGCTATATGATGCTTATATGCTTATAATTGTTATAGGTTCTTGATAAATTGATAATTTTATCTTTATAAAATGTTTTTCATTGCTGTTAGTAACATTTTTGTTTTAAAGTCGGTTTTATCTTTTATTAGCATAGGCACTCCAGTTCCCTTTGGCTACTATTGGAATGGTATATCTTTTTCTATCCTTATAGTATCCACTTCTTTTTGTCTTTGAAGAACTTGAAGAGACAAACCTCTTTAGGCTTTCTTTAATACCTTTAATATCAAGTTTGTTCTTTAGGTTTAAGATCCTTTTTGGTATTCAAGGTCCCTTAAATATCCGTAGGGATTTTAGAATCACCTTGTCAGTCTCTGCAAAATCCCAGCTGAAATTTGATATGAATTTGGCAGAATAAAGTGTGTCTCTTGTAGATGGAATGTAATTGGAAAATATTTTTTAAGTCATTCTGCCAGCTCTGCCTGTAAACTGGAGTGCTTAATTCATTTATATTGCATGTAATTTCCGATAAGGTAAAATTTATGTCTGCTTCTTTTGCCATTTTTTAATATCTTATGTTTTTATTTCCCTTTATTGCTCCATTACTGCCTTCTTTAGTGTTATTTTCTAACTTACCATTTAAATTCACTTGTCATTTGTTTTACTATATTTTAAAACTTAATTTCTTAGTAATTGCTCTGGTAATTAAAATTAACAAATTAAAAATTTATGGCATTGTAGTTTGTTAATATCAATAAAATTACAATGGTTTACAAGGACATTGTTTCTATATTGCTCCATTCTCTTCACCCTCCTTTGGTCTGTTATTATCATTCAAATTACATCTTAACAAACTGTATGCGGATCAACACAGATTTATAATTATTGCTCTGTGCAGTTGTCTTTCAAATTAGATAGGAGAAAAGAGAATTATAATAAAAATATATTTATACTGTGTTTTACATTATACTACATATATTTCTTTTATTATTCTTGTAGGTTAAGTTTGCTAGCAACATTTCTTCCCATTTTTCTTTATATGAGAGTGTCTTAATTTCTCCTTTATTTTTCAAGGATAGTTTTGCTGGCTATAGGATTCTTATTTGATATTATTTTTCTTTCAGAACTTTTAATATGTCATTAAAAGTGACATATGTTATGATATATTAAAAGTCTATTCTCCATGGTTTGTGGTAAGAAATCAGCTAGTATTTTTATTGAGGATTCCTTGTACATGATGCGTTGCTACTCTCCTGCTGCTTTCAAGAGTCTGTTTTTGTCTTTGACTTTCAACAGTTTCATTATGATGTGACTAACTGATACCTTTGATTGATCCTACTTGGAGGTTTTTGAGCTTCATAGATGTGTAGGTTGATTTCTTTCATCAAATTTGGGAAGTTTTGGCAATTTTTTCTTCAAATGTTGTTTCTGTCCCTGTGTTTCTCTGCTATGATTTTTCCATTAAGCTTATGTTGATGTGCTGGATAGTGTAGACGGTTCTGGTCATTTTTTTCTCATTCTGGTTTTTTTTCTTTCTGGTTCTTGGACTGGATAATTTCAAGTTTGCTGATTCTTCTGCCTGCCCAAATCTGCTGTTGTACTTCTCTAGTAAATTTTTTTTATTATTATTATACTTTAAGTTTTAGGGTACATGTGCACAATGTGCAGGTTAGTTACATATGTATACATGTGACATGCTGGTGCGCTGCACCCACTAACTCATCATCTAGCATTAGGTATATCTCCCAATGGTATCCCTCCCCCCTCCCCCCACCCCACAACAGTACCCAGAGTGTGATGTTCCCCTTCCTGTGTCCATGTGTTCTCATTGTTCAATTCCCACCTATGAGTGAGAATATGCGGTGTTTGGTTTTTTGTTCTTGCGATAGTTTACTGAGAATGATGATTTCCAATTTCATCCATGTCCCTACAAAGGACATGAACTTATCATTTTTTGTGGCTGCATAGTATTCCATGGTGTATATGTGCCACATTTTCTTAATCCAGTCTATCATTGTTGGACATGTGGGTTGGTTCCAAGTCTTTGCTATTGTGAATAGTGCCGCAATAAACATACTTGTGCATGTGTCTTTATAGCAGCATGATTTATAATCCTTTGGGTATATACCCAGTAATGGGATGGCTGGGTCAAATGGCATTTCAAGTTCTAGATCCCTGAGGAATCGCCACACTGACTTCCACATGGTTGAACTAGTTTAGAGTCCCACCAACAGTGTAAAAGTGTTCCTATTTCTCCACATCCTCTCCAGCATCTGTTGTTTCCTGACTTTTTAATGATTGCCATTCTAACTGGTGTGAGATGGTATCTCATTGTGGTTTTGATTTGCATTTCTCTGATGGCCAGTGATGGTGAGCATTTTTTCATGTGTTTTTTGGCTGCATAAATGTCTTCTTTTGAGGAGTGTCTGTTCATGTCCTTCACCCACTTTTTGATGAGGTTGTTTTTTTCTTGTAAATTTGTTTGAGTTCATTGTAGATTCTGGATATTAGCCCTTTGTCAGATGAGTAGGTTGCGAAAATTTTCTCCCATTTTGTAGGTTGCCTGTTCACTCTGATGGTAGTTTCTTTTGCTGTGCAGAAGTTCTTTAGTTTAATTAGATCCCATTTGTCAATTTTGTCTTTTGTTGCCATTGCTTTTGGTGTTTTAGACATGAAGCCCTTGCCCGTGCCTATGTCCTGAATGGTAATGCCTAGGTTTTCTTCTAGGGTTTTTATGGTTTTAGGTCTAACATTTAAGTCTTTAATCCATCTTGAATTGATTTTTGTATAAGGTGTAAGGAAGGGATCCAGTTTCAGCTTTCTACATATGGCTAGCCAGTTTTCCCAGCACCATTTATTAAATAGGGAATCCTTTCCCCATTGCTTGTTTTTCTCAGGTTTGTCAAAGATCAGATAGTTGTAGATATGCGGCATTATTTCTGAGGGCTCTGTTCTGTTCCATTGATCTATATCTCTGTTTTGGTACCAGTACCATGCTGTTTTGGTTACTGTAGCCTTGTAGTATAGTTTGAAGTCAGGTAGCATGATGCCTCCAGCTTTGTTCTTTTGGCTTAGGATTGACTTGGCTATGCGGGCTCTTTTTTGGTTCCATATGAACTTTAAAGTAGTTTTTTCCAATTCTGTGAAGAAAGGCATTGGTAGCTTGATGGGGATGGCATTGAATCTATAAGTTACCTTGGGCAGTATGGCCATTTTCACGATATTGATTCTTCCTACCCATGAGCATGGAATGTTCTTCCATTTGTTTGTATCCTCTTTAATTTCATTGAGCAGTGGTTTGTAGTTCTCCTTGAAGAGGTCCTTCACGTCCCTTGTAAGTTGGATTCCTAGGTATTTGATTCTCTTTGAAGCAATTGTGAATGGGAGTTCACTCATGATTTGGCTCTCTGTTTGTCTGTTATTGGTGTATAAGAATGCTTGTGATTTTTGTACATTGATTTTGTATCCTGAGACTTTGCTGAAGTTGCTTATCAGCTTAAGGAGATTTTGGGCTGAGACAATGGGGTTTTCTAGATATACAATCATGTCATCTGCAAACAGGGACAATTTGACTTCCTCTTTTCCTAATTGAATACCCTTTATTTCCTTCTCCTGCCTAATTGCCCTGGCCAGAACTTCCAACACTATGTTGAATAGGAGTGGTGAGAGAGGGCATCCCTGTCTTGTGCCAGTTTTCAAAGGGAATGCTTCCAGTTTTTGCCCATTCAGTATGATATTGGCTGTGGGTTTGTCATAGATAGCTCTTATTATTTTGAGATACGTCCCATCAATACCTAATTTATTGAGAGTTTTTAGCATGAAGCGTTGTTGAATTTTGTCAAAGGCCTTTTCTGCATCTATTGAGATAATCATGTGGTTTTTGTCTTTGGTTCTGTTTATATGCTGGATTACATTTATTGATTTGTGTATATTGAACCAGCCTTGCATCCCAGGGATGAAGCCCATTTGATCATGGTGGATAAGCTTTTTGATGTGCTGCTGGATTTGGTTTGCCAGTATTTTATTGAAGATTTTTGCATCAGTGTTCATCAAGGATATTGGTCTAAAATTCTCTTTTTTAGTTGTGTCTCTGCCCGGCTTTGGTATCAGAATGATGCTGGCCTCATAAAATGAGTTAGGGAGGATTCCCTCTTTTTCTATTGATTGGAATAGTTTCAGAAGGAATGGTACCAGTTCCTCCTTGTACCTCTGGTAGAATTTGGCTGTGAATCCATCTGGTCCTGGACTCTTTTTGGTTGGTAAGCTATTCATTATTGCCACAATTTCAGCTCCTGTTAGTGGTCTATTCAGAGATTCAACTTCTTCCTGGTTTAGTCTTGGGAGAGTGTATGTGTCAAGGAATTTATCCATTTCCTCTAGATTTTCTAGTTTATTTGCATAGAGGTGTTTATAGTATTCTCTGATGGTAGTTTGTATTTCTGTGGGATTGGTGGTGATATCCCCTTTATCATTTTTTATTGCATCTATTTGATTCTTATCTCTTTTTTTCTTTATTAGTCTTGCTAGCGGTCTATGAATTTTGTTGATCCTTTCAAAAAACCAGCTCCTGGATTCATAAATTTTTTGAAGGGTTTTTTGTGTCTGTATTTCCTTCAGTTCTGCTCTGATTTTAGTTATTTCTTGCCTTCTGCTAGCTTTTGAATGTGTTTGCTCTTGCTTTTCTAGTTCTTTTAATTGTGATGTTAGGGTGTGAATCTTGGATCTTTCCTGCTTTCTCTTGTGGGCATTTACTGCTATGAATTTCCCTCTACACACTGCTTTGAATGTATCCCAGAGATTCTGGTATGTTGTGTCTGTGTTCTCATTGGTTTCAAAGAACATCTTTATTTCTGCCTTCATTTCGTTATGTACCCAGTAGTCATTCAGGAGCAGATTGTTCAGTTTCCACGTAGTTGAGCAGTTTTGAGTGAGTTTCTTAATCCTGAGTTCTAGTTTGATTGCACCGTGGTCTGAGAGATAGTTAGTTATAATTTCTGTTCTTTTACATTTGCTGAGGAGAGCTTTACTTCCAACTATGTGGAAGTAATTTTGGAATAGATGTGGTGTGGTGCTGAAAAAAATGTATATTCTGTTGATTTGGGGTGGAGAGTTCTGTAGATGTCTATTAGGTCCGCTTGGTGCACAGCTGAGTTCAATTCCTGGGTATCCTTGTTAACTTTCTGTCTCGTTGATCTGTCTAATGTTGACAGTGGGGTGTTAAAGTCTCCCATTATTAATGTGTGGGAGTCTAAGTCTCTTTGTAGGTCACTCAGGACTTGCTTTATGAATCTGGGTGCTCCTGTATTGGGTGCATATATATTTAGGATAGTTAGCTCTTCTTGTTGAATTGATCCCTTTACCATTATGTAATGGCCTTCTTTGTCTCTTTTGATCTTTGTTGGTTGAAAGTCTGTTTTATCAGAGACTAGGATTGCAACCCCTGCCTTTTTTTGTTTTCCATTTGCTTGGTAGATCTTCCTCCATCCTTTTATTTTGAGCCTGTGTGTGTCTCTGCATGTGAGATCGGTTTCCTGAATACAACACACTGATGGGTCTTGACTCTTTATCCAATTTGCCAGTCTGTGTCTTTTAATTGGAGCATTTAGTCCATTTACATTTAAAGTTAATATTGTTATGTGTGAATTTGAACCTGTCATTATGAAGTTAGCTGGTTATTTTGCTCGTTAGTTGATGCAGTTTCTTCCTAGTCTCGATGGCCTTTACATTTTGGCATGATTTTGCAGTGGCTGGTACCGGTTGTTCCTTTCCATGTTTAGTGCTTCCTTCAGGAGCTCTTTTAGGGCAGGCCTGGTGGTGACAAAATCTCTCAGCATTTGCTTGTCTGTAAAGGATTTTATTTCTCCTTCACTTATGAAGCTTACTTTGGCTGGATATGAAATTCTGGGTTGAAAATTCTTTTCTTTAAGAATGTTGAATATTGGCCCCCACTCTCTTCTGGCTTGTAGAGTTTCTGCTGAGAGATCCACTGTTAGTCTGATGGGCTTCCCTTTGTGGGTAACCCGACCTTTCTCTCTGGCTGCCCTTAACATTTTTTCCTTCATTTCCACTTCGGTGAATCTGACAATTATGTGTCTTGGAGTTGCTCTTCTCGAGGAGTATCTTTGTGGTGTTCTCTGTATTTCCTGAATCTGAACGTTGGCCTGCCTTGCTAGATTGGGGAAGTTCTCCTGGATAATATCCTGCAGAGTGTTTTCCAACTTGGTTCTATTCTCCCCATCACTTTCAGGTACACCAATCAGACATAGATTTGGTCTTTTCACAATCTCCCATATTTCTTGGAGGCTTTGTTCATTTCTTTTTATCTTTTTTTCTCTAAACTTCCCTTCTTGCTTCATTTCATTCATTTCAACTTCCATCACTGATACCCTTTCTTCCAGTTTATCACATCGGCTCCTGAGGCTTCTGCATTCTTCACTTAGTTCTCGTGCCTTGGCTTTCAGCTCCGTCAGATCCTTTAAGCACTTCTCTGTGTTGGTTATTCTAGTTATACATTCGTCTAAGTTTTTTTCAAAGTTTTTAACTTCTTTGCCTTTGGTTTGAATTTCCTCCTGTAGCTCGTAGTTTGATCATCTGAAGCCTTCTTCTCTCAACTTGTCAAAGTCATTCTCCGTCCAGCTTTGTTCCATTGCTGGTGAGGAACTGCGATCCTTTGGAGGAGGAGACGTGCTCTGCTTTTTAGAGTTTCCAATTTTTCTGCTCTGTTTTTTCCCCATCTTTGTGGTTTTATCTACTTTTGGTCTTTGATGATAGTGATGTACAGATGGGTTTTTGGTGTGGCTGTCCTTCTGTTTGTTAGTTTTCCTTCTAACAGACAGGACCCTCAGCTGCAGGTCTGTTGGAGTTTGCTAGAGGTCCACAGGTCCACTCCAGACCCTGGTTGCCTGGATACCAGCTTCAGTGGCTGCAGAACAGTGGTTTTTCGTGAACCACGAATGCTGCTGTCTGATCGTTCCTCTGGAATTTTTGTCTCAGAGGAGTACCCGGCAGTATGAGGTGTCAGTCTGCCCCTACTGGGGGGTGCCTCCCAGTTAGGCTGCTCAGGGGTCAGGGGTCAGGAACCCACTCGAGGAGGCAGTCTGCCTGTTCTCAGATCTCCAGCTGTGCGCTGGGAGAACCACTGCTCCCTTCAAAGCTGTCAGACAGGGACATTTAAGTCTGCAGAGGTTACTGCTGTCTTTTTGTTTGTCTGTGCCCTGCCCCCAGAGGTGGAGCCTACGGAGGCAGGCAGGCCTCCTTGAGCTGTGGTGGGCTCCACCCCGTTAGAGCTTTCCAGCTGCTTTGTTTACCAAAGCGCCCCTCCCCCAGCCTCGCTGTCACCTTGCAGTTTGATCTCAGACTGCTGTGCTAGCAATCAGCGAGACTCCGTGGGCATAGGACCCTCTGAGCCAGTTGCAGGATATAATCTCCTGGTGCGCCGTTTTTTAAGCCCGTCGGAAAAGCGCAGTATTGGGGTGGGAGTGACCCGATTTTCCAGGTGCCATCTGTCACCCCGTTCTTTGACTAGGAAAGGGAACTCCCTGACCCCTTGCGCTTCCCGAGTGAGGCAATGCCTTGCCCTGCTTTGGCTCACGCACAGTGCGCTGCACCCACTGACCTGCGCCCACTGTCTGGCACTCCCTAGTGAGATGAACCCAGTACCTCAGATGGAAATGCAGAAATCACCTTCTCTAGTAAATTTTTAAATTTTAGTTACTGTAATTTTCAACTTCAGAATTTATATTTGTTATTTTAAAATATAATTTCCATATCTTTATTGATAATGATTATTTGGTAATAAATCATTCCTATACTTTCCTTTGGTTTTTACAGACATGGTTTCCTTTACTTATTTGAATATATTTATAATAGCTTATTTGGAGTCTCTGTCTAATGAGACCAACATCTGGGTTTCAGGGATAGTCACTATTGGCTGCCTTTTTTCCTGTGTATGGCTGAGACTTTTATGTTTCTTTGCATGTCTTATAATTTTTTGTTCAAAACTGCACCTTTAAAATTATATAATGTGGAAATATTGGGAATAGGGCATATTAAAACACCATAAAATGTACTATTATTGAGATTCTGTTATTTTTCCTGAATAAATACTCTCCAGATTGCTGCAAGCTTTTGGTTTATTCCAACATTCTGAAAATGCTAATTATGATACTTTTTGTTGGTGTTCTCATTGCTTTTATAAAGGATAAATTTTTTCAGAGGTCTTTACTCTGCCAATTTCAGTGACATTTTTGGAATCGGATGTTTTTCCTAGGTGAAACGTGATGGAGGATAATTTCTAACATCCCAAGTTGACCAAAGTATTATACAGGCTCAGAAATGGTAACTGAAAAATGGAATTTGGGGTTAATGAGTTTTTAGAAAACGTCCTTTGAAAACTGGCACAAGACAGGGATGCCCTCTCTCACCGCTCCTATTCAACATAGTGTTGGAAGTTCTGGCCAGGGCAATTAGGCAGGAGAAGGAAATAAAGGGTATTCAATTAGGAAAAGAGGAAGTCAAATTGTCCCTGTTTGCAGATGACATGATTGTATATCTAGAAAACCCCATTGTCTCAGCCCAAAATCTCCTTAAGCTGATAAGCAACTTCAGCAAAGTCTCAGGATACAAAATCAATGTACAAAAATCACAAGCATTCTTATACACCAATAACAGACAAACAGAGAGCCAAATCATGAGTGAACTCCCATTCACAATTGCTTAAAAGAGAATAAAATACCTGGGAATCCAACTTACAAGGGATGTGAAGGACCTCTTCAAGGAGAACTACAAACCACTGCTCAATGAAATTAAAGAGGATACAAACAAATGGAAGAACATTCCATGCTCATGGGTAGGAAGAATCAATATCGTGAAAATGGCCATACTGCCCAAGGTAACTTATAGATTCCATGCCATCCCCATCAAGCTACCAATGCCTTTCTTCACAGAATTGGAAAAAACTACTTTAAAGTTCATATGGAACCAAAAAAGAGCCCGCATCGCCAAGTCAATCCTAAGCCAAAAGAACAAAGCTGGAGGCATCACACTACCTGACTTCAAACTATACTACAAGGCTACAGTAACCAAAACAGCATGGTACTGGTACCAAAACAGAGATATAGATCAATGGAACAGAACAGAGCCCTCAGAAATAACGCCGCATATCTACAACTATCTGATCTTTGACAAACCTGAGAAAAACAAGCAATGGGGAAAGGATTCCCTATTTAATAAATGGTGCTGGGAAAACTGGCTAGCCATATGTAGAAAGCTGAAACTGGATCCCTTCCTTACACCTTATACAAAAATCAATTCAAGATGGATTAAAGACTTAAACGTTAGACCTAAAACCATAAGAACCCTAGAAGAAAACCTAGGCAATACCATTCAGGACATAGGCATGGGCAAGGACTTCATGTCTAAAACACCAAAAGCAATGGCAACAAAAGACAAAATTGACAAATGGGATCTAAATAAACTCAAGAACTTCTGCACAGCAAAAGAAACTACCATCAGAGTGAACAGGCAACCTACAAAATGGGAGAAAATTTTTGCAACCTACTCATCTGACAAAGGGCTAATATCCAGAATCTACAATGAACTCAAACAAATTTACAATTAAAAAACAAACAACCCCATCAAAAAGTGGGTGAAGGACATGAACAGACACTTCTCAAAAGAAGACATTTATGCAGCCAAAAAACACATGAAAAAATGCTCACCATCACTGGCCATCAGAGAAATGCACATCAAAACCACAATGAGATACCATCTCACACCAGTTAGAATGGCAATCATTAAAAAGTCAGGAAACAACAGATGCTGGAGAGGATGTGGAGAAATAGGAACACTTTTACACTGTTGGTGGGACTCTAAACTAGTTCAACCCTTCTGGAAGTCAGTGTGGGGATTCCTCAGGGATCTAGAAGTAGAAATACCATTTGACCCAGCCATCCCATTACTGGGTATATACCCAAAGGACTATAAATCATGCCGCTATAAAGACACATGCACACGTATGTTTACTGTGGCACTATTCACAATAGCAAAGACCTGGAACCAACCCAAATTTCCCACAATGATAGACTGGATTAAGAAAATGTGGCACATATACACCGTGGAATACTATGCAGCCATAAAAAATGATGAGTTCATGTCCTTTGTAGGGACATGGATGAAATTGGAAATCATCATTCTCAGTAAACTCTCCCAAGAACAAAAAACCAAATACCACGTATTCTCACTCATGGGTGGGAATTGAACAATGAGAACACATGGACACAGGAAGGGGAACATCACACTCTGGGGACTGTTTTGGGGTGGGGGGTGGGGGGAGGGGGGAGGGATAGCTTTAGGAGGTATACCTAATGCTAAATGATGAGTTAATGGGTGCAGCACACCAGCATGGCACATATACGTATATACATATGTAACTAACCTGCACATTGTGTACATGTACCCTAAAACTTAAAGTATAATAATAATAAAATTAAATTTAAAAAAAAACAATGAATTTGAAAAAAAAAGACAGACTGGGAAAATAAGGCTTATTTAGGATTAAGAAGAATTGAAGCACATTTTGTGTTCTACAGTACCCCTAAATGTCCACCTTCCATTCCATAAATAGATTTTTGAGGCATGTGGAATGTTGGAGACAAAGAGATGGTAGTCTTCTATGAAAAGCATTATGAAGTTCAGAACAAGGATAGAATTTAACATCCTTGTTTTCGAAAAGATTAAGAGTCTGAGTCTGTGCTTATTAAGATGCATAAAATGTGCTGTTAAATCATTTTTGTAGTATGATAATTTCTAAGTTTATATGCATCATGATATAATTATAGTAAAATGTAATTAATGACAGGAGAGCAGAAACTTGTGTTGGTCTGTAATGTATAAATCAGTTACCTAACGATGAATAGTTATCAGCTTCAACACTTTGCCAGTTATACTGTATTTTACTGTGAAATAAACAATGTCCATATTGCTTTTTGCTTTATCAAAAAAAAAGAAAATTTTCGTTCATATTTATAAAGAGGCTCACAAGCAGAGGCAGCCTCTTTTTTGGTACTTGATACTATTTCGCCTGAAAGTGCTAAATGGAACTCTTATTGCAAAGGACAGCATCCTAAATGAGCTATATTCCTGATGCAAGAGGCTCACGTTCTGGACACTTTTGAGACAGAAATCTGCTGCCAGCTAACTGCAGGAATTCTTCTAGAAATTCTGAAGAAGCCTAAGCCATACCATTTGGATTTTCCAACAGATTCAATAAAACTGTCTATGAATATTCCACTTCCTAAAATATCCATTTCTCCACTGCTAGTGCCACTTGCCACAGCATATCTGTGAATAATGTATTCAATGATTTACACCCTAATATTATAATTTTTATTAGCATAAAACACCTAATAAATGAGTTCAAAATCTTGGTTGTGTTTCCAATATGGAAAACACAGAAAAGGCATAAATTCTCATAAACTCGAATAGATTCCTGCACTAATGGTCATAGCATCCTGTACTCCCCATATCAGAAAGCACTCATCACAGTTTGTTATAATATCTTGTAAGCCCCATGATGGCTGGGTCTATGTCTGTTTCACTCAGTCCAGTTTCCATAGAGCCTCTTATATATTGGTGTAAAGAGAGACACCATCACAGTTGCACAACTCAGCTGTTAGGATGAAGGTAATAGCAGTAATAGCAGATGGAAAAACTTTGTCAACATCAATTTTCTTTTCATCTACCACAAGTAAAGCTGAATGAAAATGCACAATTTTTTTTTTTTTACTTGGAATGTCACTGGATTGCATGTGGTGAAGGCTCTGTTTTAATGTCCCAAATATAACCAAGATTTCATTCAGGCTCAGAAAATAAAATATTATCTGTAAATGGAATTTGGGAACAGAGCATTTCTGGGAAGGGTTCTCTTGTTGCAAAAGACACACATATAGGAAGGGACAACCCCTGTATTCCTGCTCAAGGAAACAGACCCAGATAGGATTATTAATTACATGAGATTCAAAGCTCTCATGGCACTCTGTACTTCCTCTACCACAACCCTAGTCTTCCTGTGTTGTAAACAAGCAGTTCTTTGTCTGAATCACCCATTAGTCCCAGACCTGCCAAAGGTCAAGGAATATGTTTCCTTCACCATTGTGTCCCCAGCTCTGAGTACAGTGCCTGGTACATGGCATGCATAAAATGAACAGAGTATGTCTAGAAAGACAATGGATAATGAGGTGGTGTGGGCTGTGGTAGGAAATATGGAAATAAAATAGGCTGGAATAAAGAAATTGAAGCATAAATTAGGAAGTGGAAGAAAGAGGTATTAGTCTGGATGATTCCTAAGGTATTAGCTTTTGTCATTGGGTACCATAACAGGCCTGGGGGCAAAGGGGATAAAATGGCAGATATTTCCTGACCAAAGAAGAAAAGTACAGTGGACTAGAAACCAGACACTTGTGTTCTTTTTCACCTTGCACTCTGTTCTACCTAATATCCTTGCTATCAGAACTGTCTGAAACATACTTTTCCACTAATGAAGTGGAGATAATATGCTGAGTTAGATGTGTATATGTGAAATGGCTTTCTAAACACTAGAGTTGTGTCCAGTCATGACAATGGCTACATTTGAATTTTGGCTCTAAAAACAACGCCATCATAATACTAATTGAGTCCTTTTGATATTTTAGTACTATGCTTGGTGCTTTAATGCTTTATCTCCTTTAATTTTCTCAAGAATGTGTGAGTTATGATTTTTAGAATGTAGAAAGTCACATAGCAATAGGTGCACATGTGTGATTCAAACAAAAGTCCTAAAATTTCAAAGCCTTTTCCTTCAAAATAAGTGCTTCCAAAAAATGTGGCAGGCAGATAACTTTGGTAATTGAAATGACTTTATTGCAACATAGATAAATTCTTCACTCACAAAATGACAGCAAATCCACCTATCTTTAATTGTTGAATTAATTAAACTTTTGTTTTGACACTTAGAGAAAAATAAATCCAAAATGATGTGTGGGAGAGTTACTGAAGAATATCATTATAGAATGAATCCCATTACATAACATCAGTTTTATTTATTTCAATGGCATATGTCAAAAATACAAATAATTAGATAGAATAATACAAGAAAATCCCTTGTACCAACTACCAAGTTATAACATACATCATCGACTCCTGGTGGCTCTTGTTCCAACTATTAGACTTCTAGATCCTAACTTTCTTCCCTACTGGATAATTCTCAACCCAATAAAAGAGTGTCATATCATTTCATATAAATACAATTTTATTAAAAATGGACCTACTCCCCCCAAAAAGAAAGATGTATCGAGTAATTCTTGATTTCTTATTGGGTTCTGATCACTGGACTAGGAGTCAGAGGTAAAAATGGAGCAAAATTGTGGTGACTGTCCTTAGTGAGCCTTCAGTCATGTTGATATGAATCTGCCTAACGATACTATATATGGCAAAACAAAATCCCACTTGGCTTCCCTAAGTGACTTCAGGTCAAACAAAAACTTTGTCACTTCTTACATGCTTTGTATCACTGGAGGGCAAGTCTGTCTAGCATTCAGCGCATGCTTGCTCAAGTGCAAATAAAACTAATAAAACTTACCTCCCAGGGTGATAGTGAGCATAAGTGCTAGAACATAGTAGAAAGATGGTAGCTGCTATTGTACTCAACACTGAACCAAAGGCCTGAACTTCATGGAGCTGATATTTTATTATAAGGATACAAGGAAACACAGGTACACAAATAAAAATATGATAAACAAGATCAGGCAACAAATGAAAGTGAACTCTGAGGAATAGAAAACAAATGAGGTGAACTCTACTATTGGCCCAACGTATGGCTTTTAGAGCTTTTCCAGGCCATGGCAGGGAGGGAAAACTCAGGTGGAGTACAGCAGATGCCCTCACTTGAGGAGATAGGACTGATATGGAAGACAAAATTAGCAAAAGTTCACAGAACAGAGTACCAGAGAAGAGACTGCTGCACAGAGAAAGAACTCTGGAGATCTGTGAGGAGTCTCCTTTTAGTATGCAGCAGTACTTATTGTCACGTGTGTGTGGAAAATAACCAGGGCTAAGGAAAGAATCATCAGAGATTAGAGGGAACACTGCCTGACTCTCACACATGACCATGAATTGTGCCTCTTTGTACCACTAACATAGCAAAACCTAATATTTCACAAAGCAATGGATAAAATATTCAGAAAAGACTAGCAATAGTAGTGGAGAATAATTAGTTCTGCACTAAACGCAGGTCTGATCTCTCCTTAAAAAACTCAAAGACCCAAAAGGATAAAAAGATTTCCAAGCATTTTAACTTCATTCCAGAATGAAACTGAAGAAAATGCATAAAAATATTAGCATCTGGTACCCAATAAGGTAAAATTTACAATGCCTGGCATTCAATCAAAGTTTACTAGGCATACAAAGAAGTAGGAAGTGATAACTTAATTAGTTATAACATAATTAATTATTAATTAAAATCAACATACACCTGACACAGATGTTAGAATTATCAAAAGAGACATTTAAAATTATTATAAATGTATTCTAAAGGTTCAAAAAGTTAATTAGAAATGTGAAATATATAAAAAACACAAACTTATGGAGATGTAAATCACAATGTCAGAGATAAAAAATACACTGGGAGAAATTAATGACAAATTAGACATTGTGGAGAAAAATTACTGAACCTGAAGTCGTGCAACTATAAAGCATTGAAAATGAAACGCAGAAAAAAGAACTAAGAAGCCAAATGTATATAAAATTGAAGTTCCCCACAAGAAAGTAGAGGGATGGTACAGAGTAAACTACTTGAAGAGATAATGGCTTAAATTTTTCTATATATTATGAAAAATACAAACCTGCACATCCAAAAAGCCCAGCAAATCCCAAGAACATGAAATGTGAAGAAAACTATACCAGACAGTAGCACAATTAAATTCTTAAAGCCAATGCCAAAGAGAAAACCTTGAAAGTAGCCAGAGGGCAAAAATTATTATGTGTATAGGAACAAAAATTAGAATGACAGATTTTGCTTCAGGAAAAAGGCAAGCAAGAAGACAGTAAAGCAATAATTATTTAGTATTGAAAGAAAATGAATCAATTTAAAATTCTATATTCATCTAAAACATATTCCATAAATGGAGGCAAATTAATGACTTTTAAGTCACATAAAATGTGAAATAATTCATCACAAGCACTTAGAAATGCTAAAAATCCTTACTAGAAGAACAGAGGTTCAAAATACATGAAGGAAAAACAAATCCACAGATATAGTAAGATATTTCAATACTTTTCTCTCATTAACAAGTAGACAAAACATTGGTAAGGATTTAGAAGTTGAAGACTTAGACAACTTAACAAACTTGACATAGCATAAAGCACTGCGCCTAATAGTAGTAAAGCGTACATTCGCATACATTCTCATGAAATACTTATGGAACATTTACCGTGATTGAATACATTCTGGGCCTTAAACAAGTATCATTAATTTTAAAATAGATTTAAGTCATACAAAAATATGTTTTCTTACCCTAATAAAATTAAACTGGAAATAAATAACAGAATTTATCTGGAAAATCTCAAAATGTTAGAAACTATGTAACAGCATCTGAAAAACTACAGATCAAAGAAAAAATAAACAGGAAATTAAGGAGTATTTTAAAGTAAATAAAAAGCACAAAATTTTTAAGATGCTGCTAAATCAGTACTTAAAAATATATCATATCAGGCTGGGCATGTTGGCTCACGCCTGTAATCCCAGCACTTTGGGAGGCCGAGGCAGGCGGATCACGAGGTCAAGAGATTGAGACCATCCTGGCCAACATGGTGAAAACCCGTCTCTACTAAAAAATACAAAAACTAGCTGGGCATGGTGGTGCTCGCCTGTAATCCCAGCTACTCAGGAGGCTGAGGCAGGAGAATCGCTTGAACCTGGGAGGCAGAGGTTGCATTGAGCCCAGATCGTGCCACTGCACTCCAGCCTGGTGACAGAGAGAGACTCCATCTCAAACAAACAAACAAACAAACAAACAAATATATATATATATATATATATATATAACTAGCTGCCTATATTTTAAAAGAAAAAGGACTAAAACCAATTACTTTAACTTCTACCTTAAGAAGCAAGAAAAATAAAAGCAAATAAAATTCAAAATAAGAAATAATAAAGATAGCAGAAATCAATGAAATAGAAAACAGAAAATGCTAAAGATAGGATCAGTGAAACCAAATGCTGGTTGTTTGAGAAGATTGGCAATATTGATAAATTTTCTCACCAGACAGATCAGGAAAATAGGACAGAGAAGACACAAATTACCAATACCGGGACTAAGAGAGATGACATCACAGATATCATCTTACAGATATTAAAAGAAAAATAAGGCAATATTATAAACAACTTTGTGTTAATATATATGGCAACTCACATAAAATGTACATGTTACTTGAAAGATACAGACTACCAAAACACACTCAAGAGTAAGTAGATCGCCTGATTAGGATTATATTTGTTTAACAAATTCTATTTGAAAATAAAAACCTTCTTATAGCAGCCAAAAAACACATGAAAAAATGCTCATGATCACTGGCCATCAGAGAAATGCAAATCAAAACCACAATGAGATACCATCTCACACCAGTTAGAATGGCAATCATTAAAAAGTCAAGAAACAACAGGTGCTGGAGAGGATGTGGAGAAATAGGAACACTTTTACACTGTTGGTGGGACTGTAAACTAGTTCAACCCTTCTGGAAGTCAGTGTGGGGATTCCTCAGGGATCTAGAACTAGAAATACCAATTGACCCAGCCATCCCATTACTCGGTATATACCCAAAGGACTATAAATCATGCTGCTATAAAGACACATGCACACGTATGTTCATTGCGGCACTATTCACAATAGCAAAGACTTGGAACCAACCCAAATATCCAACAATGATAGACTGGATTAAGAAAATGTGGCACATATACACCATGGAATACTATGCAGCCACAAAAAAATGATGAGTTCATGTCCTTTGTAGGGACATGGATGAAATTGGAAATCATCATTCTCAGTAAACTCTCTCAAGAACAAAAAACCAAACACCACATATTCTCACTCATAGGTGGGAATTGAACAATGAGAACACATGGACACAGGAAGGGGAACATCACACTCTGGGGACTGTTGTGGGGTGGAGGGAGGCGGGAGGGATAGCATTGGGAGATATACCTAATGCTAAATGACGAGTTAGTGGGTGCAGCACACCAGCATGGCACATGTATACATACGTAACTAACCTGCACAATGTGCACATGTACCCTAAAACTTAAAGTATAATAATAATAATAATAATAAAAGAAAACTCTAAGCCCAGGTGACTTAACTGGTGAAATTTGAAAAACATTTTACAAAGAAATAATGCCAAGTATATACAAATTACTCCGGAAAATTGAGGAGCGAATACTTCTCAACTATGTCTATGAGATCAGCATACTCTTATACCAAAACAAAGCAAAGACAGTACAAAGACAAAACAAAACTACAAACCAGTATCTTTCATGGATATTGGTGCAAATGTTCTAACCAAACTTTTGAGAAAACAAATACAATTATATATAAAATGGATAATATATCATGTCTATGTGGAGTTTATCCTGGAAATGCAAACACAGTTTGACAATAAGAAAATCAATGTAATTCACAATACTAACAAACTACAAAAGGAAAACCATATAATCATCTCAATAGATTCAGAAAAAGCATTTGACAAAATCCATTATCCATCATATTAAAAACTCTCAGCAAACTAGTGATAAAACGAAACTTCTCCAAACTGAAAAAGATCGTCTGTGAAAAACGCACAGCTAAGATCATTTGTAATGATGAAAGACTGAATGCTTTTCCTATAAGATCAGAAGCAATAAAAGAAACTGATAGAATCTGTGCAAACACTGCTATGAATAATAAGTGAGTTTAGCAAGGCTATAGGATATAAGATCAATATAAAAATGAAGTACAATTCTAGATAATGGTAAACTGAAAATCGAATGTTAAAAATGTATAATAGCATCAAAAATATAAAATAATTTCAGTTGAATCTGACAAAAGATGTGCAAGACCTATACACTGAAACCTATAAAAGATTGTAGAGAGATATTAAAGATGTAAATAAATGGTGGAGAGCCGTGGTGTTCATGAATGAGAAGACTCAGTGTTTCTGAGCTGTTAATTCTTACTAATTTTTTTCCAGTTTTATTGAAGTATTATTGAAAAATAAAAATTGTGTATATATGAGGTGTATAATGTGATGTTTTGATATAAGTATACATTGTGAAATGATTAACAGAATCAAGCTAACATCCATCACCTTAAGCAGTTACCATTTTGTGTGTGTTGGGGGTCGGGGGAGGGTGAGGAAACTTGAGATCTACTGTTTTAGCAAATTTCAAATATACAATACCTTATTATTAAATATAGTCACCATGCTGTACATTAGGTCTCCAGAACTTAGCCACTTTATAATTGCAATTTTGTGCCCTTTGGCCAACATCTCCCTATTTCCCACACATCCTTACCTGTACTAACCACCCTTCTACCTCAGATTCTATTGGTCTGACTTTTTAGATTCCACATACAAGTTAGACCATGCAGTGTTTATCTCTCTGTGTCTGGCTTATTTCATTTAGGAAAAGGTTCTCCAGGTTCATTCATAATGTCATAAATGGCAGGATTTTCTTTTTTTTAAGGCTGGATAATATTCCCTTATATATACATATATACTACAATTCCTTTATTCATTCATCTGTTGGTGGACGGTTTGGTTGTTTCCATATCTTGGTAACTGTGAATAATGCTGCAGTGAACACAAGTGCATATATATCTTTGTGATAGTGATTTTATTCCCTTGGGATATATACTTAGAACTGGGATTGCTAGATTATATGGTTTTATTTTTAATTTTTTGAGGAAGCTCCTTACTGTTTTCCACAATGACTGTATCAACTTACATTCCCACTGACAATGTACAAGGGTTCCCTATTCTCCACATCCATGTTAATACTTCTTGTCTCTTGTATTTTTTTTAATAGCCAGTTCTAACAAGTGTGAGGTGATCTCCAATTGCAGTTTGCATTTGTACTTCCCTGGTGAGCAGTGATTTTGAGAACCTTTTCCTGTACCCGTTGGGCATTTGTATGTCTTCTTTGAAAAAAATAGCTATCTGGAATTTTTGCCCATTTTAAAATATGGTTATTTGGGAATTGTTTTGCTATTGAGTTGTATGAGTTTCTTATGTATTTTGGAGATTAACCCCTTATCTAATATATAGATTATAAATATTTTCTCCCAATTCATAGGTTGCCTTTCCATTTTGTTGATTGTTTCCTTTTCTGTGCAGAAGCTTTTCATTTAATGTAGTCTAATTTATTTATTTTTTCTTTCATTGCCTGTGCTTTGGTATCATATCCAAAAATAATTGTCAACACCAATGTAAAGAAGTTTTTTCCCTACATTTTTTTTCTAGGAGTTTTATGGCTTCAAATATTACATTTAAGTCTTTAATCAATTTTGAGTTAATTTTTGTTTATGGTGTAGGACAAGGATCCAATTTCATTCTTTTGCATATAGATATGTAATTTCTCTAAAATCACATTTTGAAAAGAATATCCTTTCCCCATTGTGTATTCTTGGTGCTCTTGCCAGAGATTAGTTGACCATATACCTGCGAGTTTATTTCTGGGATCTAAATCCTGTTTCATTAGTCTCTATATATGTTTTTATGCCAGTACTATACTGTTTTGATTACTATAGCTCTGTAACACAGTTTGAAATTAGGGCATGTAATATGCCCAGCTTTGTTCTTCTTTCTCAAGATTGCTTTGGCTATTTGAGGTATTTTGTGGTTCAATGACTTCATACAAATTTTAGGATATTTTTATACTGTTGTGAAAATGCCATTGGAGTTTTGATAGGGATTGCATTGAATTTGTAGATCGCTTTGGTTGCTATGGACATTTTAACAATATTAATTTCTTCAATCCAGGAACATGGGATATCTTTTTATTAACTGTGTATTCTTCAATTTCTTTCATCAATGTCACACTTTTCAGTGTATAGATATTTCACCTCCTTGATTAAATTATTCGCTAAGTATTTTATTCTTTTTGATGCTTTTGTAAATGATATTGTTTTTTAAATTTCCTTTTCAGATGTTTATTTTTTAAAATGCTACTAATTTTTGTATGTTTACATTGTATCCTGAAACTTTACTGAATTTATTAGTTCTAACAGATTTTTTGGTGAAATATTTAAAGGTATAAATAGAGATTATTTTACTGTTTCCTTCATGATTTAGATCCCTTATATTTCCTTTTCCTGCCTAATTTCTCTGGTTAGGACTTCCAGTACTATGTTGAATAGAAGTGAGAAAAGTGGGGACCCTTTTCTTCTTCCTGATCTTAGAGAAAGAGCTTTCAGCTTTTTTTTTCTTTTATTATTATACTTTAAGTTTTAGGGTGCATGTGCACATTCTGCAGGTTAGTTACATATGTATACATGTGCCATGCTGGTGCGCTTCACCCACTAACTCGTCATCTAGCATTAGGTATATCTCCCAATGCTATCCCTCCCCCCTCCCCCCACACCACAACAGTCCCCAGAGTGTGATATTCCCCTTCCTGTGTCCATGTGATCTCATTGTTCAATTCCCACCTATAAGTGAGAATATGCGGTGTTTGGTTTTTTGTTCTTAAGAGAGTTTACTGAGAATGATGATTTCCAATTTCATCCATGTCCCTACAAAGGACATGAGCTCATTGTTTTTTATGGCTGCATAGTATTCCATGGTGTATATGTGCCACATTTTCTTAATCCAGTCTATCATTGTTGGACATTTGGGTTGGTTCCAAGTCTTTGCTATTGTGAATAGTGCCGCAATAAACATACGTGTGCATGTGTCTTTATAGCAGCATGATTTATAGTCCTTTGGGTATATACCCAGCAATGGGATGGCTTGGTCAAATGGTATTTCTAGTTCTAGATCCCTGAGGAATCGCCACACTGACTTCCACAAAGGTTGAACTAGTTTACAGTCCCACCAACAGTGTAAAAGCGTTCCTATTTCTCCACATCCTCTCCAGCACCTGTTGTTTTCTGACTTTTTAATGATTGCCATTCTAACTGGTGTGAGATGGTATCTCATTGTTGTTTTGATTTGCATTTCTCTGATGGCCAGTGATGATGAGCATTTTTTCGTGTGTGTTTTGGCTGCATAAATGTCTTCTTTTGAGAAGTGTCTGTTCATGTCCTTTGTCCATTTTTTGATGGGGTTGTTTGTTTTTTTTCTTGTAAATTTGTTTGAGTTCATTGTAGATTCTGGATATTACCCCTTTGTCAGATGAGTAGGTTGCAAAAATTTTCTCCCATTTTGTAGGTTGCCTGTTCACTCTGATGGTAGTTTCTTTTGCTGTACAGAAGCTCTTGAGTTTAATTAGATCCCATTTGTCAATTTTGTCTTTTGTTGCCATTGCTTTTGGTGTTTTAGACATGAAGTCCTTGCCCATGCCTATGTCCTGAATGGTATTGCCTAGGTTTTCTTCTAGGGTTTTTATGGTTTTAGGTCTAACGTTTAAGTCTTTAATCCATCTTGAATTGATTTTTGTATAAGGTGTAAGGAAGGGATCCAGTTTCAGCTTTCTACATATGGCTAGCCAGTTTTCCCAGCACCATTTATTAAATAGGGAATCCTTTCCCCATTGCTTGTTTTTCTCAGGTTTGTCAAAGATCAGATAGTTGTAGATATGCGGCGTTATTTCTGAGGGCTCTGTTCTGTTCCATTGATCTATATCTCTGTTTTGGTACCAGTACCATGCTGTTTTGGTTACTGTAGCCTTGTAGTATAGTTTGAAGTCAGGTAGCATGATGCCTCCAGCTTTGTTCTTTTGGTTTAGGATTGACTTGGCGATGCGGGCTCTTTTTTGGTTCCATATGAACTTTAAAGTAGTTTTTTCCAATTCTGTGAAGAAAGTCATTGGTAGCTTGATGGGGATGGCATTGAATCTGTAAATTATCTTGGGCAGTATGGCCATTTTCCCGATATTGATTCTTCCTACCCATGAGCATGGAATGTTCTTCCATTTGTTTGTATCCTCTTTTATTTCATTGAGCAGTGGTTTGTAGTTCTCCTTGAAGAGGTCCTTCACATCCCTTGTAAGTTGGATTCCTAGGTATTTTATTCTCTTTTAAGCAATTGTGAATGGGAGTTCCCTCATGATTTGGCTCTCTGTTTGTCTGTTATTGGTGTATAAGAATGCTTGTGATTTTTGTATATTGATTTTGTATCCTGAGACTTTGCTGAAGTTGCTTATCAGCTTAAGGAGATTTTGGGCTGAGACTATGGGGTTTTCTAGATATACAATCATGTCATCTGCAAAAAGGCACAATTTGACTTCCTCTTTTCCTAATTGAATACCCTTTATTTCCTTCTCCTGCCTGATTGCCCTGGCCAGAACTTCCAACACTATGTTGAATAGGAGTGGTGAGAGAGGGCATCCCTGTCTTGTGCCAGTTTTCAAAGGGAATGCTTCCAGTTTTTGCCCATTCAGTATGATATTGGCTGTGGGTTTGTCATAGATAGCTCTTATTATTTTGAGATACGTCCCATCAATACCTAATTTATTGAGAGTTTTTAGCATGAAGAGTTGTTGAATTTTGTCAAAGGCCTTTTCTGCATCTATTGAGATAATCATGTGGTTTTTGTCTTTGGTTCTGTTTATATGCTGGATTACATTTATTGTTTTGTGTATATTGAACCAGCCTTGCATCCCAGGGATGAAGCCCACTTGATCATTGTGGATAAGCTTTTTGATGTGCTGCTGGATTCAGTTTGCCAGTATTATATTGAGGATTTTTGCATCAATGTTCATTGAGGCTATTGGTCTAAAATTCTCTTTTTTGGTGGTGTCTCTGCCCGGCTTTGGTATCAGGATGATGCTAGCCTCATAAAATGAGTTAGGGAGGATTCCCTCTTTTTCTATTGATTGGAATAGTTTCAGAAGGAATGGTACCAGTTCCTCCTTGTACCTCTGGTACAATTCGGCTGTGAATCCATCTGGTCCTGGACTCTTTTTGGTTGGTAAGCTATTGATTATTGCCACAATTTAAGAGCCTGTTATTGGTCTATTCAGAAATTCAACTTCTTCCTGGTTTAGTCTTGGGAGGGTGTATGTGTCGAGGAATTTATCCATTTCTTCTAGATTTTCTAGTTTATTTGTGTAGAGGTGTTTGTAATATTCTCTGATGGTAGTTTATGTTAGCTGTGAGCTTGTCATAGATGGTCTTTATTATGTTGAGTAAATTTCCATTTATACCTAATTTGTTGGGAATTTTTATTATGAAAAGATGTTGAATCTCGTCAGATGCTTTTCCTGCATCTACTCATGATTATATAATTTTTATCCTTCATTCTGTTAATGTAGTGTATCCCATTTACTGATTTGCATAAGTTGAAACACGCTTGCATCCCAGGCATAAATCCTGCTTGGTCATGATGTGTAATCCTTTAAATGTGCTGTTGAATTCACTTTGCTGGTATTTTGCTGAGAACTTTTACACATATATTGATCAGGGATATTATCCTATAATTTTCCTATAATCTCCTATCTGCCTTTGGTATGGAGTAATGTTGGCCTTGTAAAATGAGTGGAAGTGTTTCCCCCTCTTCAATTTTTTCGATGAGTTTGAAAAAGATTGGCCATTAATTCTTCTTTAGATGCTTGGTAGAAGTCACCTTTAAAGCCATCTGATACTGGGCTTTTCTTTGTTGGAAGATTTTCAATTATTGGTCAAATATCTTTACTCATTATTGGTCTCTTAAATCTTTGTTTTCTTCATGATTCAGTCTTGGTTGATTGTATGTTTCTAGGAATTTATTCATTTCTTCTAGGTTTACCAATTTGTTAGCATATATTTTTTTACAGTATTACCTTGTGATCCTTTGTATTGCTGTGGTATTAGTTATATATGTCTTCTCTTTCATTTATAACTTGATTTGAGTCCTCCCTCTTTTTTCCTCAAGTCTAGCTAAAAGTTTTGTCAAGTTTGTTTATCTTTTCAAAAAACCCAGCTCAGTCTTGTTTATCTTTTCTGTTGGGTTTCTAGTCTCTTTTTCATTTATCTTTGCTCTAATCTTTATTTCCTTCCTTCTCTTGAGTTTGGTCTCAGTTTGTTCTTCTTTTTATAGTTCCTTGAGGTATATGGTTAGGTTTTTTTTTATTTGAAATATTCTTCTTAATTTAGGCATTCCCTCTTAGAACTGCTTTTGATATGTCCCATACATGTTACTATGTTGCAATAAATTTTCTTTGTTCAAAAATCCTTTTTGATTTCTTCTTTGGCCCATTGGTTGTTCCAGAGTATTTTGTTTAATTTCCATGTATTTGTGAATTTCCAAAATTACTTCTGTTACTGATCTCTGGTTTTATAGCTGTGGTCAGAAAAGGTATTTGAGAGGATTTAAATCTTCTCAAATTTGTTAAGACTTGTTTTATGGATGACCATATGGTCTATCCTGAAGAACTGACCATGTGCACTTCAGAAGAATGTATATTCCTCTGTTGTTTGATGGAATGTCTATTTATGTCTGCTCAGTCCATTTGGTCTGTATCATCATTCAAATACACTGTTTCCTTATTGGCTTTTCTGTACCGATAGTCTATCCATTGTTGATAATGGGTATTAAAGTACCCTACTACTATTTTACTGCTATCTACTTCTCCCTTTAGTTCTGTCAATATTTGCCTGTATATTTAGGAGCTCCAATATTGGGTGCATGTATATTTACAATCATTATATTCTTTTAATTCATTGGCCACTTTATATGCTGACCTTTTTCTCTCTTATGACAGATTTTGACTGAATGTCTATTTTATCTCTTATAAGATAATCATCCCTGCTTTCTTTTGGTTACCATTTATATGAAATATCTTTTTCCATACTTTAACTTTTGGACTATGTGTATCCTAAAGGCTAAAGTGAGTCTCTCGTGGGCAGCATATTGCCGGATCTCGTGTTTTGTATTTGTTCAGCCAACCTGTGTCTTTTGATTGGATAATTCATTTATTTTTAAAGTAATTTTTGAGATAAGAGGGACTTCAAGATAGCTGACTAGAGGCATTTTGTACTCACCTGCTCCACTAAGAAGTATCAAAACAATATTAGTGTGTTCTCACACTGCTAATACAGACATACTTGAGACTGGGTAATTTATAAAGGAAAGAAGTTTAATAGACTCACAGTTCCACATGGCTAGGGAGGCCTCACGATCATGGCTGTAGGCGAATAAGAAGCAAAGCCATGTCTTACATGGTGGTAGGCAAGAGAGCATGTGCAGGGATACTCCCATTTATAAAACTATCAGAACTCATGAGACTTATTCACTACCAGGAGAACAGTATGGGGGAAACTGCGCCCCCACCCATGATTATATTATCTCCACCTGGCCCTGTCCTTCACACGTGGGGATTATTACAATTCAAGGTGAGATTTTGCTGGGGACAAAGCCAAACCATAACACTAGATAATCACACTTCAAATAGATCATCAAAAGGAGAACACTGTAATTCAATAAAAAAAAGTAACAGGAAATATCTAAAATAAGGAAGGAGAAGGAAGCAAGGCAGCCTGCTTGGCTGGGATAAGCTGGGAGCCAAGAGAAAATCCCCAGTCCTCACCTATCAATAACAATTTTGAACGTAAATGGATTTCCACCATGAACTTCTGTAATCCTAGCCACGAAAGAGCCACTAGATTCTTGCAGGCCCTGAAACTAACATAAGGAGTTGCCAGGAGATTGTGTAATGGCACTGCTCTATGGAGGGAGCACCCGCTGGATCCCACACACTTCCTGAGACCTAAACAGCTACAGAAAAGTGCCATTTTTAGATTCCTGTCCCCAACAGACTGCACACCATACTGAGGTCCAATAGTGTTGGGGATGAGATGCAAGAGAAGAGCAGGTTGCTGCTACTGGAGCTGAGGCATGAGTGGTACAGATGCCATAGCAGGTGCTGAGGCATGACAGTCATGCACATTCCCTACCTGCTGGTGGCCCTACCCCAGCCTGGCCACTGCTACCCCCTCAGCATTCTGCTGGTGGCCTAGGTATAGCCCAGCCCCTATCTACTATGGCTGGCACCTGTACTTAGCAAAGAGGACAAGCCCTCACAACCCAGAGCACACAGTCCAGGGCCAGGGGATTACCCAGCCCCATCCACCATCATCAGCACCTGAACACTTCCCAGTTGGGCCTATCCACTGAGCTACTACAACTAAGCTGACACATACCTGCTTATGCCACCTGTGGGTCTGAAGACTTGCCCATCCAGCCAATCACAAACACAACCAACACCAACATGCACAAACTAGCTCATAGAGGGTTGTCTTGCCACTGTCACTGCCATCACCTATACCATACCAGCTGCCCAGGGACTCAAGAACCCACCAACTCACCCTGCCTACAACTGGCACTATCTCGATCCAAGTAAGCCACCTGGAAGCCCAAGAATGGCCCTGCCTGGACCCACTGACACCACTGCCAGGGTACACTGCCCTGGGGCCCAAAGACAGGCATGCTCAGCTCACTGCTACCACCACTATGGCCTGAAGACTGACCTACATGGCATCCCAGTCCCAGAGCCTCCACTAATAACTTCACCCTAAGCCACCAAAAAAAAAATCACAGATACCATTAATGCTGTTGACAGCTGAAGAAATCATACAGAGACTACACTACTGCATGCACTCAGAATCAAAGCCAATGTGCCCTACCTAACTGACATCACAAATACATATTTAAGAAAATGTTCTCCCTATGAAAGCAAATTCATAAAATGGGAAAAAGTGACTGTTACACCATATGTGCAGATATCAACATAAGGACACATGAAACACAAAATGCAAGGAAATATGGCATCTCCAGAGGAACACAATGATTCTTCAAAAACAGATCCCAATCAAAAAGAAATTCACGACCACTGATGTAGTTTGCATGTTTGTTTCTTCCAATTCTCATGTTAAAATGTGATCTCCAATGGTGGAGGTGGGGCCCAGTGGGAGGAGTTTGGGTCATAGGGAGGCTTGGTGCCTTCCCTGTGGTAGTGAGTTCTCACTATATTAGTAATCATGAGATCTGATTGATTAAAATAACCTGACATCTCTCTTGCTTCCTCTCTCACCATGTGGTATACTAGCTCCTCTTCACCTTCCACCATGAGTAAAAGCTTCCTGAGGCTTCTCCAGACGTTGAGCAGATGCTGGTGCCATGCTTGTACAGCCTGCAGAATCATGAGTCAAATAAATCTCTTTTTACATTTTAAATTGGCCAGGCTTAGGTATTCCTAAGGCTTGTTGTGAGGCCTCAGGAAGGGAAGGGGAGCCGGCATGTTACACAGCGAGAGAAGGAGCAAGATAGAGATGGAGGGGTGCCATGTTCTTTTAAACAACTAGCTCTTGCATGAAATAATAGAGTGAGAACTCACTCAGTACCATACGGATGGCACCAAGACATTAATGAGGGATCCACTTCCAGGACCCAAACACCTTTCACTAGGCCCCACCTCCACTTTGAGGATCACATTTCAATATGAGATTTGGAGCAGACAAACATCCAAACTGTATCAATAATATTCCATTGTGTATATATACAATATTTTATGTATTCATTTATCTGTTGATGGACACTTAATATGATTCCATAGCTTGGCTATTATGAATATAGCTGCAATAAACATGGTGGTGCAGATATCCCTGTAATATACTAATTTCCTTTTTTTTTGTTTGATAAACACCCAGTAGTGGGATTACTTGATCATGTGGTAGTTCTATTTTTTTTTTTTGAGAAAATCCTACACCGTTTTCCATAATGGTTGTACTAATTTACGTTCCCACCAACAGTGTATAATAAGTCCCTTTTCTCTGCATTCTTGCCAGCATTTATTTTTTGTCATTTTGATATAGCCCTTCTAACTGGGGTGAGATGATATCTCATTATGGTTGTGATTTGCATTTTCCTGATGTGGAGCATTTTTCACATATTTATTAGCCATTTCTGGTCTTTTGAGAAATGGCTGTCCAGTTTCTTTGCCCACTTTTTAAGTGGATTATTTGTTTGTTTGTTGTTTAGTTTTTAGAGTTCCTTCTATATCTTGACTATTAGTCCCTTATCAGAGGAATCATTTGTAAATACTTTCTCCCATTGCATAACTTGTCTCCTCACTGTGTTTATTTTTTTCCCTTTCCTGTGCAGAAGCTTTTTTTTTCATTTAATATAACCCCATTTGTCTATTTTTATTTTAGTAGACTGTGCTTTTTAAGTCTTAGCCATAAAATTTTTACCTAACCAATGTCTTTAAGTGTTTCCCACATGTTTTCTCCTAGTAGTTTTATAGTTTTGAGTATTGCACTTAAGTTTTAATTCAAGTTGAGTTGATATTTGTACATGGTGCAAGAAAGAAGCCTAGTTTCATTCTTTCCATTTATTGAGGAGTATGCCCTTTCCCCAATGTGTGTTCTTGACACTTTCATCAAAAGTCAGTTATCTGTAAATACATAAATTCATTTCTGGTTTCTCAAATTCCTGACCTTAGGTGATCCACCTGGCTCAGCCTCCCAAAGTGCTGAGATTATAGGCATGAGCCACTACACCCAGCATCATTTCTGGTTTCTCTATTCTGTTCCACTGCTCTATGTGTCTGTTTTTATACCAATACCATGCTGTTTTGGTAACTATAGCTTTGTAGTATGTTTTGAATTCAGGTAGTGTGATGCCTCCAGATTTGTTCTTTTCATTTCAGATTGTTTTGGCTATTTAGGTTATTTTGTGGTTCCATATCAATTTTATGATTTTTTTTATTTCTGTGAGGAATGTCATTGGTATTTTGATAAAGATTGCACTGAGTGTGTAGATTTCTTTGGGCAGTGTGGTCATTTTAACTATATTAATTATTGTGATTCATGAGCATGGAATGTCCTTCCATTTGTTTGTGTCCTCTTTAATTTGTCTCATGTTTTGTAGTTTTCATTGTAGAGCTCTTTGACTTCCTTGATTAGTTTTCTTCCTAGGTACTTTTTTTGTACCTATTGTAATCAAATTGGTTTCTTGATTTCTTTTTCAATCAGTTTGTTATTGGTGTGTAGAAATGCTACTAGGGCTGGGCATGGTGGCTTATGCCTATAGTTCTAGCACTTTGGGAGGCCAAGGCGGATCACTTGAGCCCAGGAGTTCAAGATCAGCATGGGCAACATAAGTGAGACTCGGTCTCTTAAAAAAATAAATAAAAAACACTACTGATTTTTGTATATTGGTTTTGTATCCTGCAATTTTACTGAATTCATTTATCATTTCCAAGAACGTTTTGGTGAAATCTCTAGGTTTCCCTATATATAAGATCATATCATCTGTAACCAGGGACCATGGGACTTCTGCATTTCCAACTTGGATGCCTTTTATTTCATCCTCCTGCCTAATTTCTAGGACTTCCAGTACTATGTTGAATAAGAGTGGTGAACATGTTCATCATTGTCTTGTTCTAGTTCTTAATTCTGCAAGCTTTTCCCCATAAGTGTGATGTTACTTGTGGGTTTGTCATATTGGTCTTTATTATGCTGAAGTGTTTCTTCTATGCCTATTGAGAGTTTTTATTATGATGCAATGTTGGATTTTATCATATGCTTTTACTTGCATCTATTGAGACTATCATTTGAGTTTCGTCCTTTGTTCTGTTGATATGATGTATCATGTTTATTGATTTGAGTACATTGAGTCATCCTTGCATTCTTGGAATAAATCCCACTTTATCATAATGTTATCATTTTGTTTTGCTAGTATTGTGTTGAGAATTTTTGTATATATGTTCATCATGAACACTGACCTATAGTTTTCTTTTTTTGTTGTGTCCTTGTGTAGTTTGGTATTATGGTAATGCTGGCCTCACAGAGTGCGTTAGGAAGAATTTCCTCCTCTTTAAATTTTCGGAAGAGTTTGAGAAGAATTGGTGTTATTTTCTCTTTAAAAGTTTGGTAGAATTTAGCAGTGAAGTCATTCGGTCCTGGACTTTTCTATATTGGCAGTCTCTTATTACTGATTTCATTGTGTTACTCATTATTGCCCTGTTCAGGTTTTCTGTCTCTTTCTGGTTCAATCTTCGTAGTTTATATGTGTCCAGGAATTTATTCATTTCCTTCAGGTTTTCCAATATTTTTAGCATATAGTTGTTCATAATAGTCTAATTATCCTTTGAATGTCTGTGGTATCAACTGTAATTTCTTGTTTTTATTTTGTATTTTATTTATTTGGGTCTTCTCTCTTTTCCTTGGTTTGTGTCACTCACACTTTATCAATTTTATCTTTCCAAAAAGCCAACTTTTCACTTTGCTGATCTTTTATAGTTTTTCTTTAGTTACTATTTTGTTTAGTTCTGCTCTGATCCTTATTTTTTTGCATCCTACTAATTTTTAGACTGGTTTGTTCTTGCTTTTTTGGTTTCTTGAGATATCTTATTAGGTTGTTTATTTGAAATCATTCTATTTTTGATGTAGGCATTTATTGCTATAAACATCCCTCTTAGCACTGATTTTTCTGTATGCCATAGGTTTTGGTATGTTTTGTTTCTATTTTAATTTGTTTTTTTAAAAAGTTTCTTGATTTCCTTCTTAATTTCTTAATTGACCCAGGTCATTCTGGAGCATGTTTAATTTTCATATATTTCTCCAGTTTCCAAAGTTCCTCTTATTACTGATTTCTAGTTTTATTTCATTATGGTCCAAGAAGACACTTGATATAATTTCAAATTTTAAAAATTTGTTGAGACTTGTTTTGTGTCCTAACATATGATCTATCCCAGAGTGTTCCATATGCTTATGAGAAGAATGTGTATTCTGCATCTTTTGGATGAAATGTTTTGTAGATGTTCATTTGGTATATGGTGCAGATTAAGTCCAATGTTTCTGTGTTGATTTTCTGCCTAAATGATCTCTCCAATGCTGAAATTCAGGTGTTGAAATCTCCAACTATTATTGTATTGGAGTCTCTCTGTCTCTTTAGCTCTATTAATATTTGCTTTATATATCTGGGTGCTCCGGTGTTGGGTGCACATATATTTAGAATTGTTATATCCTCTTGTTGAATCATTCCCTTTTTCATTATGTAATGACCTTCCTTGTCTCTCTCTCTTTTTTTTTTTTTTTGACTTAGTATCTATTTTGTCTTATATAACTATAGCTACTTATGCAAGTTTTGGTTTTCATTCATGTGGTGTATTTTTGTCATTTATTCACTTTCAGTTTGTGTGTGCCTTTACAGGTGAAGTGAGTTACTTGTAGACAGCATGTAGTTGGGACTTGTGTTGGTTTTTTTTTCCATTCAATTACTCTATGTCTTTTAGGTGGGGAATTTAAGCCATTTGCATTCAAATGCTCCAGTCATTTTTTGAATTATTTTATGATTATTTTGTGTGTCATTTGTTTCTTTGTTCTTCTTTTTTATTCAGATAGGATCTCACTTTATCACCCAGGCTGGAGTGCAGTGATGTGATCATTGTTCACTGCAGCCTCATCTTCTCGGGCTCAAGTAATCTTCCTACCTCAGCCTCCCAAGTAGCTAAGACTACAGGCATGCACAACCATGCTTGGCTAATTTTTTAATTTTATTTATTTATTTATTTTTGGTAGAGATTAGGTCTCACTATGTTGCCCAGACTGGTCTCAAACTCCTGGGCTAAAGCAATCCTCCTGCCTCTGCCTTTCAAAATGCTGGGAATACAGGCATGAGCCACTGCACCCAGGTTGGTGGGTTTTTTTTTTTTTTGTGGTGATAATGTTTAATTCCTTTCTCTGTCTCCTTTATGTATCTGCTGTACCACTGAGTTGTATACTTTTGTATGTTTTCATGATGGTGGAGATCATTTTTTCGCTTCCAGATGTAGGACTCCTTTAAGCATTTTTTTATAGGTTCAGTCTGCTGGTGATGAATTCCCTTGGTTTTTTCTTGTCTGGGAAACACTTTATTTCCTCCTCATTTCTTGGCCGAGTTTTTTGTTGTTGTCGTTGTTTGTTTGTTAGTTTTCTTCAGCACTTTGAATATATCAACCCACTCTCTCCTGTCCTGTGAGGTTTCAACTTAGGTATCTTCTGTTAGCCTGATGAGGATTCCCTTATCTATGACTTGACACTTTTCTCTTGCTGTTTTTCGAATTCTCTCTTTGTTTTTAACCTTTGACAGTTTGACTGTGCTGTGCCTTGAAGATCTTATTGGGTTGATGACTCTAATGTGTCTTGAAGAACTTTTTGGGTTGAATCTATTTAGGATCTTTGAATTTCCCATATCTGGATGTCTATATCTCTTGTAAGATTTGGGGGATATTTTCAGTTATTATTTTATTAAATTGGTTTTCTATGCCTTTTCTTATCCCTTCTCCTTCTGGAACTCTAAAAATTTGAATATTTATTTCTCTTATGGTGTCCCATAAAAGTCCCATAGGCTTTCTTCATCCTTTTTTATTCTTCTTTGCTTTTTTGGTCAGATGTGGATATTTCAAAAGATAAGTTTTCATGTTCAGAAAGTCTTCTGCCTGATGTGGTCTATTGTTGAAGCACTTGATTATATTTTTAATTTGTTTCATTAAATTCTTCAGTTCCAAGATTTCTGTTTGGTATTTTTTATGATATCCATCTCTTTGTTGATTTCTCATTGAAATCATGAATTGCTTTCCTGATTTCTTTGTATTATTTGTGTTCTCTTGCATCTGACTAAGTTTAAGATCATTTATTTTGATTTCGCTTTCAGGCATTTTATAGATTCCTTTTCTTTGGACCTGATACTGGAGAATTATTGTGTTCCTTTGGAGATGTCATATTTCATTGAATTTTATGTTTCTTGCATCCTTACATTAATAGCTGCATGTCTGGTGTAAGAGTCACTTTATTCAACTTTATGAATTGGCTTTTTTAGGGAAAATATTTTCTTTACATATATCTATAGTGTTGATTTGGTACAGTGATTTGAATTTGATTCTTGGTACACACAGTACTGTAGTATCCATGTGATTCTTCAGCTGTAATCAATATCAGTGGTGTCTGTGGATTCATTAATGGCTTAGGCTGCAGTTGTTAGTGGAGGATGTAGTAAGGCTTTTCTGTGTATGTTAACACCACTGGGCTGGTCCTCAAGCATAAGTGGTGGTGGTGGTGGGCTGGGTGTGCTAGTAGTCAGGGCCCTAATCAGTGCATGCGGGCACTAGTAGTGGTTGTGGGAAGCCCAGGTGGGCTGGCCCCCAGATCAAGCTCTATGCTTGGGCACTGACAATAGCAGTTGCAGGTCAAGCAGGTGGGTCTTCTGGTTTCTGGGCCACATGTGTGGTGCCACCTGTGATAGTAGTGTGAGTAGGCCAGTCCTTGGGCCCCAAGTCAATGCATACAGGCACCAGTGGTAGCTGTGGTGGGCCACGTGAGCTGGTCCCCAGTTTCCTGAATGGTGCATGTGGGTGGTGGTCGTGACAGTAATCTGGGTGGGCTTGTTCATGGACTCCTAGGAGTCCCATGTACATACCAGCAGCAGCAACGGTGTTAGGTGCACAGGCAACGGTGGTGGCAAGCAGGGTGGGCCTGTCTTCAAACCCCTGTTTGGCTCATGGAGGATGCAGAAGTGACAGCAGGCAAGGCAATCCATTGATTAGTCTGGTGGGGGCTGGGCTCTCAAAATTGCACTTTGCTGCAGTTGCTTGGGTCTCAGGGGATGTATAAGACCCAGTGTGATTTCCCTTTCTGGAACAATGCACTCTGGAACATGGACTCCAAGCAGCTCCCTCTACTATGCTCAGGGCCTGTGAGGGCAGAGGGACTCTTCTGTGGCTAAAATTGCTGATGTCTACAGTAGGAAAATAAATACTGGGGATCTCTCACTTACCTTTTCTTTGCAATGGGGAATCTCTCCTGTCTCTGAGCCAATCCTCTCTTGGCTGGCTGCTTCACTTCTTTCTCCTTCCATGCCTTGGAAAGTTCCTGTCACTTCCCTGCTTAATTACAGTGTTCTCTCTTAGATGTCCTATTTGACACGTGATTATCTACTAGCTGTTTTGGTCCTTTATGGAGGATGAGAGTGCTGGGCACCTTTTACTCAGCCATCTTCCACATATGGGTACCGTGCTACACATTCTTGCTCCTACCATGAAGGTATTCCTTCATACAGGCACGGTTCTAGCCACCCTTGCCCACAACTAACTCCTCAATGCCACCAGATGTAGTCTCATGGTTCAACTCCATCATTAATCTGTCACATATTTAATTTTTTTAAATTAAGTTCTATTAAGCCACTCCTCTTTCATAGACAGGAGTTCCATAGATACCTATATAATGCAGTCTTCCCTATGTGTAGTGCTGGAACTTATATTTGGATTTGGAATATATATTCTTCTTATAGGGACAATAGTTACATTATGGTTTTTCCCATAGTTGTCATATGTTCTGTGTGTCTGTATGTGTGCCCCTACCCCCCCATTCAAGAGACTCTAGATGAACTTAGGCAATTGTCCATGTTCTAGGAGATGAACTGATATAGCTTCTTCACTACCTACAGTATTTCAGAGACCCATTTCAGACTCCACCTCCAACTCTTAGACCCTGCATTCTACCCCCAATTGTTTCTGAATTACTTTCTTATTGCTACTGTAACTTTACATTTCTGGAGGTCATGAGTCAGAAGTGATCTTACTGGACAAAAATTAATGCATCAGCAAAGATGTGTTCTTTATGGAGGTTCTAGGGGAGAACTCACTCCCTTTTTCATTTTCTAGAGTCATCCTGCATTCTTTGGCTCATGGCCCATTCTCTATATGTAAAGGCAGCAGCATGTCATCTTCAAGTCTACCTCTTCTCTGACCTCTGCTTCTGTGGTCTCCCTCTCTGACCCTGCTTCTTCCCTCTTACAAGAACCCACGTGATTACATTGGGCCTACCTGGATAATCCATCTCAAGAGCCTCAACTTAGTCATACCTCCAAAGTCTCTTTTGCCATGTAAAGTACATATTCACAGATTGCAGGGATTAGGATGTGGGCACTTTTGGGGGAGGGACATCATTCAGCCTACCACAAAGATTCACATTTGTCCTACATGTAAAATATATTCATTCCATACCAAGTTCTCTAAAAGTCTGAACCCATAATTGCATCAACTCAAAATCTTATGGCAATCTAGGCTTTTTCTATTATGGTGCTCAAAATTCTTCCATCCTCTATCTATTGGCTAATTTGAAAGCCACTTCCACATTTGTTGTATTTATTACAGCAACACCCCACTTCTGTTACTAAAATCAGTATTAGTTTCCTATTGTGCTGTAACAAATAATCACAAATTTAGGGATTAAAACAAAACACTTATTATATTTCTGAAAGTCAGGAGTCACAGATGGTCTTACTAGGCAAAAATCAAGGTGTAGGTAAGGCTGCATTCCTTCTGGAGGCTCTAGGGAAAGATGTAATCCCTTGACTTTTCCATCTTTGAGAGGTAGCCTATATTATTTTTAGCTCATAGGCCCTTCCTCTATATTCAAAGCCAACAGAGTAGTATCTTCAAATTTATCTCTTCTTTGACTTCTGCTACCATGGTCTTCTTCTCTGACTCCAAATATTAATCCCCTTGCCTTCCTCTTGTGATTACACTGGGACTACCTGGATAACCCAGAATAACCTCCCAATCTCAAGATCTTTAACTTAATCACAATGTAAAGTCCCTGCTGCCATTTCAGGAAATATGTTCACAGATTTTGGGGATTAGGACATGGATATCTTTGAGGGTTAATCATTCAGCCTACTGGAGGTCCTCAATTACATTCTCCCACTTTTATGTCCTGAGTCTTCAAACTGATCATTAGCAGAACTATTTGGGACCAATATAGTATTGCTGTTGAACATTGCACCTCAGATTCTCCTAATATTAATGCTCTGCAGCAAATAGTATAATCTGCAAAATCCACTGAATTCTTCCCAGACTCAGCTGTGGCTTCCAATACCCTAGCCTGTGGGTATTGTCTAGAAAGGGAGTTTGAAGAGGGTTGGTGGTAGGTAAAATAATTAGGCTGGGGATCCCTTCCTAAGAAAGCAAACATTTCTGAGAAGCATAGGGATGAGAGCACAGATGATAGTCACCCTACACTGAGAGAATTAAGGAACTCTTTAATGGAGACAAAGATTACAGGCTACAAGAGGAATGAAATATTGAGGTAAAGAAGGGGCAGAGAGAGGAAATAAATTCTGGGAAGAGGGAACAGCATGTGAAGAGATGCAGAGATGAAAGAGTGTGGCTGATTCAGGAATCCTACAAACTATTTCAGTATGGCTGAAGGGAGAAAAAGTAAGATAGGTTGGAATGAGATGGAAAATAAGGGGATAGCATCCACTGGTCTAACTGGAATGGAGAGAAAGACAGGAAGAATGTCAAATATGTAATACATATTGGGCAATATGCTAGTTGATTTATATACATTTTCTTCACTAAATCTTCACCATTAACCTGAGTGAACATTTTTATAGAATTATAAAATTGGATGGTGTTAGGTAGCAGACTTGAAATTCCAGCCCAGCTCTGCTTAACATCAAAGACCATGGTCTTTTCACAGTTAGTGCTTCCCAAAATGTGGTATGCAAACCATGGATGGAGCCTAAGGAATTGTTGTGGCATACAGACGTTTTTGTTGCTGTTATTTTTTAATTGTAATATATTTGTTTATTATTTTTAAAGCAAGATTTCATCTACATGTAGGCCTTTTTGGGGAAATAAACAAGAGCATTTCCGAGCATATCCCAAGGGGAAAATGCCATAAATTCCCCTCTAAACATTACTCTTTTTTTTCTGATGTTTCTCAGTAAGCAACAGCTACCTATCAGAATCCTCCATGCCTTGACATTCCATGCCCCCACAAAGCAGCTCCAAGTCTCTCCTCTCTCCCCACCACTTACTAAATGTGTTTTCCTCATTTTACTAATGTCTCTGTGCCTCAGTTTCCTCATCTATACATTGAATATAATGATAGGAACTACCACATGTATTGTGATTATGACTAAATGAGTTAAAGCTCATAGAACAGTGCTTGAGATATGGGAAACACCATAGAAGTATATTTTTTAAAAATCTTCAATAGACAAATAAATCTCTTTCATAAATATCTTCTTTTGGGTGTCTACCACCCCATGTCTGGGTTTAAAGCCTTCATCACCTGCCAGCCATCTGCTGTAACTCCAGTTGTCCCTCCAACCTCCCACCACTAGCCATCAATCCTCATATTGTTTCATAAATAGGACAATCTGGCTTCTTTCTCAGATTTATTACATTCTTCCCATAAATTACCAACTTTGCACCAAAAACCTTCCTCAAAAAACCACAATTCTTGTTAAATGGCAGGAAGTTGTAAATAACAGTTATCTCTTCATCTCAAAAATACTTAAAAACCAAAGTTGTTTGTTACAAGGGTTAGTTTCAGCGAAGAAAATTAACCCTATAGAGAATGGCAGGGAATAACAAAATGCCAAAGAAGACAACTAAGCATGTAAGCAAGTTGGCTTTGCCAAAAGCAGATGAGTTCTGAAGTAGATGATGAGACTTAACAATATAGAGCAAGACAGTTTATTACTCACAGTACAGCAGACAGCAGGAGCATAAGTATGAGAGGACTAATTTCCCTTCCCTCAAGTCCCATAAGTCCCAGATGGTGGCTTCACACATAGTGTGTTATGGCACAGCTGACAAACCAAAGAGCAAGGGCTCTGCCCCTTTTGTAACAAACAAGTTAGTTCCCTTTCCCAGGGAATGAGCAGTCACACAAATAGTTAAGCTAAGGTCACCTCTGCCTATTTAATTGCCTATGTGACTAGCTACAGAAACTGCTCTGTATTGAGGGACAGTTGAGCATTGTAGTTTGGACATGCAGAGACACTTGGGGCTTACAGTGGACTGCCTTTTCCAACAGTTAGAAAATCCATGTACAGAATTGTACACAAGGGGTAAAAACAAGAGTCAGTTTTTACTGACTCTTGCACAGAATTTGGTCACTTAATATGGAGAGAAGCATGCACAGAATTTGGTCACTTGATATGGAGAGAAGTCTCAGGAATTGGGAGCACCTGCAATTTTTTTTTTTTTTTTGAGACAGAGTTTCGCTCTTGTCACCCAGGCTGGAGTGCAACCTCCACCTCCCAGGTTCAAGCAATTCTCCTGCCTCAACCTCCCGAGTAGCTGAGATTACAGGCATGCACCACCACGCCCGGCTAATTTTGTATTTTTAGTAGAGACGGGGTTTCTCCATGTTGAGGCTGGCCTCAAACTCCTGACCTCAGGTGATCCGCCTGCCTCAGCCTCCCAAAGTGCTGGGATTACAGGCGTGAGCCACCACACCCGGCCTGCAATTGTTAAAAGGTAGGATGAAAATTGTAAGAAGCTGTAACAGAGAGAAAAGGAAGAGTAAAGAGTGGGAATTGCTAGAGTATAAGTTGGGGAGTTCCCATATTGTAGGACTCTGGAGCTTTAGAATAAAATAAGTCCTAGGATCAAATTATGGCTCTCCCATATCTATGCAAGAGAATAACAATGCATACATTGAGGAAACAATGTGAAGATGAAATAACACACATAAGACACAATAATATGTAAGATCGCCTGTATTTCTTGTTAATATCAGCTTTCCAAATTTTGCTATTTTTGTTTTCATTGTAATTATTTTTATGGAAAGTAATCCTCTTATATACATAAAAATATGCATACAATGAAATGACTGTCTTCCTATGACAAAAACCCTTGAGTTAATACAAAAAGGACTGAAGTATAAAAAAATGCTGCTTAAGTCATGAGGTATATAGATAATTTTGCTGGTGTCTGTGTAGGTTGATGAAGAAAAATGAGTGAGAACTCTAACCCTCCAACACAAAACAGGTGTCTACAAGATGTTGTACAGTGCCTGATACACAAAGATGTCATATATTGTTACCTACATAGATAGGATCTACTGTACTACTCCAATTAGAAAATTGGAAAGAGGGCTATTACAATCAGTGTTATTATAAAATTTAATTATTTAATTTAGCATCCATTGATGTCTATTAGATTTCAGGAAGTATCCTGAAAGCTTGATATGCAAAGACCAATCACTCAAGGCCCTCTCAAAGATCAAATATCTTAGTGAAAGAAACAATCATACGAGCATATGGGTCTTAGAGGATAAGTTACTTATTAAAGGCCACAGAACTAGTAGTGGTAGTAATAAGTTGTCCACTCTAGTTTGCCCAGTCTGTAGTCCCATGCAATTGTTTTAAGCCAAACTTTCTCTTATACCATTCTCCAATTTAACTTACTTCCCTTCCCTTGGCTCTCTTTGCCCATAAATTATTAAAATATGCACAATAAGTTAATAGACTTGGACCAGGAAACAACTTCCAGGAAAGATTGCTGGGAGCCTCCCTGTATTTTCCTGATGCTTCCCCAGAGAATAACTCTGGAAGTGAAGCTCTCCTCATCTGTTGAGTGGGGCAGGGCTCTAAGGCAGGGTTTTCACCTCCCTTTCCTAGCTAACAGTTGTTCCAAAAGAACTGCTGTCTCTTAAGTCATTGACTCCATTTAAAGGGCAATGATAGAAGGGACAATACCAGCCCCCAAGCTCTTCAAATTATGTAAATCCTCCATTATCTTCAGAGGGGGCCTCTAATGCTGCTGTCACAGTCTAAGCTACCTAATCCTTTCTGATGTATAAAAATGTCAGATAGTTGTACTTCACGCTGGTTGGTTTCAGTATAGATCTTCAGAACTCTTAAGTTAGTCTTTTGAGGGATAGTACCACTTTGAGAATTCCTGGATTTCCCAAGTATCCTTCTATGTTGGGGGAAGGTGGTTCTGTCATCAGAAATGACATCCACATTTCAACAACTGTAACATAAGCAATATTTCCAAGGGGAATGGAAAAAGACCTACCTTTGGAGTCCAACAGGTCTGGATGTGAATCCAAATTCCATTTAACTACCTACATTACTTAACTCATCACAGCTTATTTCTTCAACTGTATAAGAGGAATTGTAATATATATCTCTCAGGTCTTTGGGAAATAACAAAGGTAGTCAGGCACACAGCTGATAGGCAATGTAGGTCAGCATCGAATTGGTATGTTTATGTGATTCCTCTATATTGTTAAGCTCCTCATGGCATGGACCTTGTGTGAATCATCTCTGTGTTCTTCAAACCCCTAGCACAACATTTAAAACACAGTGTCAATGAATTCTTATGGAGCACAGTTGACCAGGCCTCAGAATTTTAGTATGAAAAACAAATGAGCATTTCAACTCTGATGTTTTACAGTTCTGTGAAAACTGTTCATATGCCCAATGTAGATATTGATATATGTCATACATAAATTAAAATGTCGCTGAGTTGTGATTCTTGCCATGATGCTTTTCTTCTGTGCTGTTGGGCTATATGGCACTAGGACATGACTGCAGCACTTCCAGTACTAGATCCAGATGGGGCAATACACAGAAGCTGAATTATTTGGTCTCTTCGTGCAATCTACCCATGTAACAAACAGGCACATTTACCCCCTGGACCTAAAATAAAAGTAGGGAAAAATCCTATGGTAAATTCCTAAGATTTTGTGTTACCTTGACATCCATTTTTGGTCTCCCTTTAACACACAGGAACTCCTTTTAAAAACTTCAATTATCTCTCTGTGTGTGCTTTGAGATATAAATTTGCTACCCGGTTTTCTCTGAAACTCATGCCTCTGGTCATGTGGGACTGGTAAACTTTACCCTTTTCCATTTACAAAGGCACAGTTTGAATTCAACTGTCCTTTTAAACTAGTGAGTTTCACAGCCTCACAGCTAAAATTTTAAAATCAATGCTATAACATATTTGTGTCTTTCTGTAATTTTATGTATACATGCTTGCATGTCTATGTTTATATATTATCTATATAACATTAAATTGACTCATTAAAAAAAGATTTGTCTTTTACCTCTTTTTTTTTAAGAGCAGAGAAATAGATCCAAGGAGAACTACAGCAAATATCGCCTCAGGGTGCATTGCTCAGCACTGGGCTACACTTCCAATCATAAATCAGTCAAGGAAAGTTCTTTTTTTTTTTCTTTTTATTTATTTATTTATTTATTTTTTTATTATTATACTTTAAGTTTTAGGGTACATGTGCACAACGTGCAGGTTTGTTACATATGTATACATGTGCCATGTTGGTGTGCTGCACCCATTAACTCGTCATTTAGCATTAGGTATATCTCCTAATGCTATCCCTCCCACCTCCCCCCACCCCACAACAGTCCCCAGTGTGTGATGTTCCCCTTCCTGTGTCCATGTGTTCTCATTGTTCAGTTCCCACCTATGAGTGAGAACATGTGGTGTTTGGTTTTTTGTCCTTGCGATAGTTTGCTGAGAATGATGGTTTCCAGCTTCATCCATGTCCCTACAAAGGACATGAACTCATCGTTTTTTCTGGCTGCATAGTATTCCATGGTGTATATGTGCCACATTTTCTTAATCCAGTCTATCATTGTTGGACATTTGGGTTGGTTCCAGGTCTTTGCTATTGTGAATAGTGCCGCAATAAACATACGTGTGCATGTGTCTTTATAGCAGCATGATTTCTAATCCTTTGGGTATATACCCAGTAATGGGATGGCTGGGTCAAATGGTATTTCTAGTTCTAGATCCCTGAGGAATCGCCACACTGTCTTCCACAGTGGTTGAACTAGTTTACAGTCCCACCAACAGTGTAAAAGTGTTCCTGTTTCTCCACATCCTCTCCAGCACCTGTTGTTTCCTGACTTTTTAATGATTGCCATTCTAACTGGTGTGAGATGGTATCTCATTGTGGTTTTGATTTGCATTTCTCTGATGGCCAGTGATGGTGAGCATTTTTTCATGTGTTTTTTGGCTGCATAAATGTCTTCTGAAAAACAAGCAATGGGGAAAGGATTCCCTATTTAATAAATGGTGCTGGGAAAACTGGCTAGCCATATGTAGAAAGCTGAAACTGGATCCCTTCCTTACACCTTATACAAAAATCAGTTCAAGATTGATTAAAGACTTAAACGTTATACCTAAAACCATAAAAACCCTAGAAGAAAACCTAGGCATTACCATTCAGGACATAGGCATGCGCAAGGACTTCATGTCTAAAACACCAAAAGCAATGGCAACAAAAGACAAAATTGACAAATGGGATCTAATTAAACTAAAGAGCTTCTGCACAGCAAAAGAAACTACCATCAGAGTGAACAGGCAACCTACAAAATGGGAGAAAATTTTTGCAGCCTACTCATCTGACAAAGGGGTAATATCCAGAATCTACAATGAACTCAAACAAATTTACAAGAAAAAAACAAACAACCCCATCCAAAAGTGGGTGAAGGACATGAACAGACACTTCTCAGTCAAGGAAAGTTCTTCGAGAAAGGAGGCATATTGTGTGAGGTGGGGAGTGTGATTATGCAAGTGCTTAATGAGTGGCTGATTACTGGGTCCAGCAAGATAATGCAGAGTAAAAACAGTCCAATGGTGAGTTCACAGATTTCAAGAATGAGGGAAAGCCAGCATGAAATTTGCCTGCCATTTACCTGTTTAATGGCATCAGTATAAAATAGTCCAATATTTAGTAATAGTTAAAGCCTTGCAAATGGGAATGGAATGGGCATTGACTATGATTGTTTCCATGGCTGGCCAAATATTTATCTTCTGACTGATTTTTTTTTCTGTAACTATGATAAGTTTTTTTATTCTGAAGTTTTAAAGACTCTTTGCAAATATCCTCCTTGGTTTTATAGTTCAAACTTAGAGGACAAATGTATTTACTGGGGATCTTAATCTTGTACTCCTGTCCACCATGAACACCCATTGGATACCTTTTACATACTGGAGATTTCTCCTAGGCTTCAACATTTGGACATGTTCATATAAGAAGCTTACCTATGAGATAATCGTGGCTTCAGATCACAAGTGTAAGGACCAAATAAACTAGTGTCCACTTGTCATATAAATCCTAAGAGACATGGAGATGCTGCTGTAATCCTTACTTATCTGAAATAGGACAGATTTGAGACATGCTGATCAGTGACTCACAGATAGCTAATGTTACTGAACATTTACCATGATACAAACACTTTCTCAAATGTTTTAATCACGTTATTCCTTTTAATCAACAATACATGGTACCTATTAGTTTAGGTATAGGTATTATATTCAATTTTATGGATTAAGACAGTGATAGAGAGGTTCCGTGACATGCTGACAGTCACTCAGCACACAAGTAGTGGAAGCAGGGTTTTTATCCAGGCAGTCTCCCTCCAGAGCCCAGACATGTAACTACTGTGACACTGCTTTCACTCCAATGGCTAAGACAGGGGAGATGCTCCAATTCTTTTCTTATTTTGGGGAAGTTACTGTGACCCAGTGCAAAGGGCATAGAAAATGTAAATACAAATGTGCCTTCTGATTTTCTCTGAAGATGAATGAAAGAAAATATGCTTAGCACCTGGCATTTATGTAGAAGCCCAAAAGAAAAAAGTGACACAACTTTTTTTCATGTTATGTAAGAGTAGTAATAACCAAAGCATAGGAAGATAAACGTTCAGAGTATTTCGCAACTGTCTTATCAGATCACCTCCTATGTATCTGGGTATCTGGATAGGGTTTCCTCTGAAAAAGAAGAATGGTTCCCTATAAAATATTCTTGATGAAGATGGGTTTTGAGGCCTAAAATGAAGGCACTGTAGAACTCCCCCCTTCTTAGACTGAGATAAGGGAAAAGTTTTCCAACACTCTCTTTTGGGCTGGTAGTAAGTTTGGTTATGATTCTGAGCTGGAAATGCTTATAGAAAATTCTGGTGGTGGGGGTGGTAAACTGCTGCTGGCCATTTGGAGGCAGGCCAGGAGCCAGGCAGGAAATTAGCATAGTAAGGGATTTCAGAATGCATCTGAAGTCTATGCTTGGTTCTAAGTCCTAGTGTTTGTGTTACACTTCTCTCCCACAGTTTAAGAAGTTTCAGTAAAATCTCAGTAAATATTACAGCTTGGTTTTTGCTGTGTGATATGGTTTGGCTGTGTCTCCACCCAAATCTCGTCTTGAATTGTAGCTCTCATAATTCCCACATGTTGTGGGAGGGACCTGGTGGGAGATAATTGAATTATGGGGGCAGTTTCCCCTATACTGTTCTCATGGCAGTGAGTAAGTCTCACAAGATCTGATGGTTTTATAAGGGGTTTCCCTTTTGACTTGGCTCTCATTTTCTCTTTTGCCTGCCACCATGTAAGACATGCCTTTTGCCTTCTGCCATGATTGTGAGGCCTCCCCAGCCATGTGGAACTGTGAGTCCATTAAACCTCTTCTTCTTTAGAAATTACCCAGTCTTGGGTATATCTTTATCAGAAGTGTTCAAAGTGGACTAATACACTGGGAAATTAGGGAAAGCCCCAAGTCCATGCCTGGAGTAAAGAGGTAGAGGTAAGACAGCAGGATTCCCTCCACTGAAGTCTGAGTGCTAATGGCTGAGGCAGTCCCCAGCCTAGAACCAAAGTTCCCTGAGGAGGAATATCATGAGGGACAGTGGAGGGTTCAGTGGCAAAGATCGAGTGATGTGGCAGCAGGACAAAAAGTCCAGACTAGACAGAAGGACCCTGAGGAACTTTTCCACATCACAGGAAAAACAGCAGCAGAACCACTTCTATAAAACCTGATTCATCAAGCCAAATTATAAAAAGGACAACCCATCTCATTGATCAGGAAGATGGCTTGGTTTTCTTGTTTTTGTTATTTTAACAAGGGAAAAATTACCATCAGTACAGAAAAACTCTTGCACAGAGGCTAAAAACTATGTAACCTTTTAGTTTTGTTTTGTTTTTGCTCTGTTAATCCCAAACCTAGTTGGTAGATCATGGAAAAAGAGATGAAGTATTTAAATAAAGAGTAGATCCAGGTATTCAGGGTAGTAAGGAATGATAATACTCAGAATTTCAATTAAGGTCACTGGCTCTGGGGACAAACATTTCTATGGTAAAAAGTATGGCTCTGCCATTAACCAGCTGAGTAGTCTAGTGATTGTTGCTAAACCTCTGGGAGCCTTTATTCATCTGTAGACAAAAGCTGATGGTGGCACCTATGCAAAAATGTTTAACTAGTGTAGATGTGTTGAAAGGGTCACTCTCATAAACTGCTGGTAGTACTGTGGAGTGATTCAATCTTCACGAAAATCAAGTTGTATCAAAGATTAAATATGCACGACCACCAAATCAATCATGTACCTTCAACAATTTATTCCAGAGGACATAAATGGACATGTGTACAAACATGCAAGTAAAAGATTATTCACTCATGAATCTTCATTGGCATGAAAAAAATCTTAAGTGTACATTAAATCTTATCTTAAAGTTCATTAACTTTCTCTGGGATGCATTTTCTGACTACATTTAAATAAAGCTATTTTCCTTTCTTCCCAGGAAGGTATGTGGCCCTTCCTGAGGTGTGTTCTAAGTTGGTCTCCTAGGGTCCTGAAGGGGACTCCTGGATGGTCTGTGGAAGGTGTTCTACCTAGAGGTGAGAGGGTTGTGGAACAGGGACCTTGGGTTCTAGGGTGTGTGGGTCTCCCTAAACTCTAACACAGGGGTCCCTAATGCCCGGACCACAGACCAGTACCAGTCAGTGGCCTGTCAGAAATGGGGCTGCACAGCAGGAGGTGAGCAGCGGGTGAGCCAGCATTACCACCTGAGCTTTGCCTCCTGTCAGATCAGTGGTGGCAGTAGATTCTCAAAGGAGCGTGAACCCTATTGTGAACTGTGCATGCGAGGTATCTAAGTTGCATGCTCGTTATGAGAATCTAACTAATGCCTAATGATCTGAGGTAGAACAGTTTCACTGGTTCCTGGTGCCAGAAAGGTCGGTGACCACTGCTCTAACACACACACCCGTCAGCCAGTACCTCACTGCAATTTCACTGCCTCAGTGGCTCCACATCATTGCCTGTGCACTGGCTGTGTATGTCCCCCGAGGAAATGTCCCTTCTAGACAAAATGTTTGGAAAGGTTTTCATGGGCTCCTCTACTCCTGTATAGCAGCCCCATGCTTGTTTGCCTCCTCCTTCACAGGAATCCCTCCATTTAGGGTTAAAAACCGCTCCTCTCTCCATTTTCCTGTATCTTCCTCCCTCTTCTTTCCTCATCCTCCCTATTTTTTCATTTCTGGACCCTTCTTCTAAGATGTTATAAGTTTCTGAAAGGAACTCAATGTCCAGCTTCTTTATCTCTGCCATAATTCTGGATGTAAAGTAAGATTGAAGAGAAGGAGTGGGGAGATGAAGGGTTAGATAAAGAAGAGATGGAAAAAAGGGAGAGAGAAGAGAGAAGAAGTGGATGAGAAGAAGAGAGAAAAGGAAGAGAGGAGAAGGAGGAAAGGAGGGAAGAAAGAGGAGGGAAGGAAAAGAATATGAAGAAGGGAAAGAAAGGAAAAGGGAAGGGAAGAGTTGAAGGACAGTGGAGGGAGAAAAGAAAAGGAGAAGGCGGAAAGAAGCATGGGGAAGGATTAGAGGTGGAGAAGGAGAACATTGGGAAGCAGAGGAGAAGGAGCAGAAACAGCAGGTGATGGAAGAGGAATAAGAGCAGAGGAAGGATTTCATGTAGAGGGGGATAAAGAGAAAAAAGGAATTCGTATGTCTGAGGATCCCAGGGACAGCTTTCCCAGGTGAGAGCTGGGTTCAACTATTCTGTGTTTCCCCCATAGGCAGCCTCTTATGGGGGTGGCTCCTGCCCACCTCTGCTGCTTATGCTGCAGTTACTGGTGTTGCTTGGAAGCTGCCTCCAGGACGTCCTTCACCTTTCTGTTCTCCTCAAACCACTTTCTGGAGGGCCAGCCAGAAGGATTTTGGAATCATCATTCCATCCCTCAACTCCTCCCTTCAGCTTCCCTTCATTGTGCTGTGGAAGAAGAGCTCTTCGCTGAATGCAGAGTGGATGTTTCCATAGAACAGCTGGCTCATTTGACTCCGCAAGTCCTCCTACTTTACCTGTCGGTTTATCATCAGCTTCTCTTTGGAAGTAAGCAAGGCAGGGTGGGGGCCTCTTACCTCTGACCTCACTTTCCTATCCCTTGCATTGCATCAGAAAGATCCTCTGTGTCTCTATGGGGAGAGGAACCAAGGAGGCCCTGTGAGAGCTCACAGGAATAATTGGGATTGTGGTTCTTTGTCTCCATTTCCAACCTCCAGAGTTCCTATCACACAGATTGGGCCCCTATTAAGACAAACCTGCATCTATTCATCCTGTTGGCCTTGGCACATAGCAAGGGGCCTGGCATAATTGCCACATATTTGTAGGAACTGAACAGAATCTGCAGGTGCCAGAGCAATCTGTCTGTACCTGCTGCTGTTTCTGTCTTCCACAAACTGACAAAAAAGAGGAACTCTTTAAGTGTCTATCAGAAATGAGTAATTTGTTCTGTGATTATTTATTTTACACACAACACAACACATACATACAAATATACAACAAAGGTGGTCTTCTAAGAAAAGTCTAGGGTGCTCATTTTTTTGTCTCTATCTTTGGATGATTTTTCTTTGCTCTCATCAATGGTGAAGGGATGTTAGATGTATTTATGGATATATAGTTGGATGAGTAAATGGCTGGATGACTACATGGAGAGATGATAAACACATGCTTGAATGAATGGATGAGTGGTCATACAGTTGGATAGATGAAGAAATGAATGAGTCAAAGGATGTATGGATGAATAAATAAATCCATACATTTATGGATGGATGATGGCATTAATTTTTGGATGGATAAATGGACAGATAAAGAGTTTTATAGATGACTGTATTGATAGTGGGTAGACAAAGGATGGATGATGAAATGAATGCATGGATGAATGAATGGATAGGTGGTTGGGTTAATTGTTGGTTGGATGAATGGATAAGTGGGTAGATAGTTGTATGGATGAATGGTTAGTTGCAAAGAGTGGAGGAATGGAAGACTGGAGGGATTGGATGGGCAGAGAGAAGAAGGGATGGAATACTGGGTCAACATATGGCTGCTAGGATGACTGGAGGGTTGAATGGATAAAGAGATAGTTAATTGAACTAAATACTGCTACTCTTAAGTTCCTACCTGGTTTTGGCCTGGCTGGATCTCTATGTCTTTTCTCTATTTCTTACCCTGGTTTTGTCTTGCTATTTTTCTCAGAGAGTAGGGATTAAAAAATAATAATTGTTCATTTTGCTAGAAATTGATTCAGTTCATTTATTCCATAAACACTTATTCAGTTCCTATACTACATGTCAGACTTTGGGCTTGGGTTGGTTAAAAACTCAATCGAAAAAAACCCTGGGGAGTGTTATTTTCCATTAGGGAATCAACAGACTGGTGAGGGGAGATACTAAGTTCATTACCATACAAGTAACTATGTCGTTATTTATGAAAATTATATCTATCAGTGAGTGAAGTGTTCCAGTTAATGGCAAATTCAAAGGCTTTGAAATGTGTCTAGCAAATGTCTGGGAATATTGAGGAAACTAGCAGCATGACTGGGTGGTCTCAGCCAAGAAAAGTGGTAAAAAAGGAAATAAATGGAGAGGGGCTAGATAAACATCCTGGTTGCAGCTCATTGACAGGACATCTGTGTTTACTATGAGTAAGGTGGGAGGTAGGGAGAGGTTTTTACTGTAAAAGAGATGTGACTTAATTTACGTTTCAACAAGATTCATCTGTCTACTACAGAGAACTTAGCTTTTTTTTTATTATTATTATACTTTAAGTTCTGGGTTACATGTGCAGAACGTGCAGTTTTGTCACATAGGTATACACATGCCTTGGTGGTTTGCTGCACCCATCAACCCATCACCTACATTAGGTATTTCTCCTAATGTTATCCCTCCCCTAGCCCCCCACCCCAACAGGCCCGGGTGTGTGATGTTCCCCTCCCTGTGTCCATGTGTTCTCATTGTTCAACTCCCACTTATGAGTGAGAACATGCGGTGTTTGGTTTTCTTTTCCTGTGTTAGTTTGCTGAGAATGATAGTTTCCAGCTTCATCCATGTCCCTGCAAAGGGCATGAACTCATCCTTTTTTATGGCTGCATAGTATTTCATGGTGTATATGTGCCACATTTTCTTAATCTTTAGCTTTCATTGTATGGTTAGGGCAGAAGCACAGAGAAAGGGAGAGCATGGCTATTAGATGCCTTGCTTTTTCCTCAAGACCACCTCTAGGCTCAGCTGTTTTGCATTCACTGGAACAAAAAAAAAAACCAGTGACCCTTCCAAACCTTAGGGACCACACCCTATCCTGCCTCCACAACTCCAATTTTGGGGAAGGGACTTCTCTGATGTCACATGAAAGGTCTTGTGCAGACCCAGGAGTGGCCTAAATTTCTTCCTTTTATCTCATCTTCTTCACCTAGTGAAGGTCACTCTGAAACCAGACCTTTCACTTTTGTGTGCCCATGTCCCTACAAGTGCTCAAAGGCTCTGGCATTTACAAATGGTAGTGTGAATATGGTGCAGAATAAACCTGGTTTTATACAAACCTTAAATTATGTAGGAGAGATATGATAACAAAGATGTAAATATATCAAGTCAGGTGAGGATAAGGGCTATAAAGAAAAAAATAACAAGCAAGGAAAAGGGAATGGGACGTGACCAGATGTGGAGGGGCAGGTACTATTTTGTAGTTGGGAAGATAAGTTAAGATCTCTATAAGCAAGCGAAGTTTCAGCTGAGAGCCAGATTACTAGAGGCAATGAGAAGATATCTAGATTATCATGGGCAAAGAGCACTACAGGCAGGGGAAACATAATAAAAAGTCCTTGAAGACCAATAAAGAAGAAAACAGAGAAGAATAAAATAAACACAATCAGAAATGATGAAGGGAATATTACTACTGACCCCACAGAAATTAAAATAGCCATCAGAAACTACTACAAACACCACTGTGCATACAAACTAGAAAACCTAGAAGAGATAGATAAATTCCTTTCAAGACTGAACAAGAAAGAAATGGATTCCCTGAACAGACAAATAATGAGCTCTGAAATTGAATCAGTAATAAATAGACTACCAACAAATAAAGCCCAGGACATGATAGATTCACAGCCAAATTCTATCAGATGCCGAAAGAAAAGCTGGTACCATTTCTACTGAAACGCTTCCAAAAATTGAGGAGGAGAGACTCCTCCTGAACTCATTCTATGAGGCCAGCGTCATCCTGAATATCAAAACCTGGCAAAGACACAACAACAACAACAAAAACTTCAGGCCATTATCCTGACTAACATCTATGAAAAAATCCTCAACAAATTACTTGCAAACAGAATGCAGCAGCACATCAAAAAACTCATCCACTACGATCAAGTAGGCTTCATCCCTGGGATGCAAGGTTGTCCAACATATGCGAATCAATACATGTGATTCATCACATAAACAAAACTAAAGCCAAAAACCACATGATTACTAAATAGGTGCAGAAAAGGCTCTTGATAAAATTCAACACCTCTTCATGTTAAAAACTCTCAATAGACTAGGTATTGAAGGAACATACCTCAAAATAATAAGAGCCATCTAAGACAAATCAACAGGCAATATCATACTGAATGGGCAAATGCTGAAAGCATTCCCCTTGAAAACTGGCATAAGAGAAGGATGGACTCTCTCACCACTCCTATGCAGCATAGTATTGGAAGTCCTAGACAGAGTGATCAGGCAAGAGAAAGAAATAAAGGGCATCCAAAAAGGAAGAGAGGAAGTCAAATTATCCTTGTTTGCAGGCTACATGACCCTATATCTAGAAAACATTATAGTCTCAGCCCAAAAGCTCCTTCAGCTGATAAGCTCCTTCAACTTCAGCAAAGTTTCAGGATACAAAATCAATGTACAAAAATCACTAGCATTACTATACACCAGCAGCAACCAAGCTGAGAGCCAAATAAGGAAGGCCATCACATTCACAATTGTCATACAAAGAATAAAATAACTAGGAATATAGCTAACAAGGGAGGTGAAAGATCTCTGCAGTGAGAACTACAAAACACTTCTCAAATAAATCAGAGAAGACAAACAAATGGAAAAGCATCCCATGCTCATAGGTAGGAAGAATCAATATCATTAAAATGGCCTTACTGCCTAAAGCAATTTATAGATTAAATGCAATTCCTATCAAACTACCAATGACATTCTTCACAGAACTAGAAAAAAACTGTTTTAAAATTCGTATAGAACCAAAACAAAGCCCGAATAGCCAAGGCAATCCTAAGCAAAAAGAACAAAGCTGTAGGCATCATGTTACCCAACGTCAAACTATACTACAGGGGGCCAGGCACTGTGGCTCATGCCTGTAATCCCAGCACTTTGGGAGGCTGAGGAGGGCGGATCACCTGAGGTCAGGAGTTCGAGAACAGCCTGGCCAACATGGTGAAACCCCATTTCTACTAAAAGTACAAAATTAGCCGGAAGCAGCAGTGCTTGCCTGTAATCCCAGCTACTGAGGAGGCTGAGACATGAGAATTGCTTGAACCTGGGAGGTGGAAGTTGCAGTGAACCAAGGTCATGCCACTGCACTCCAGCCTGGGTGACAGAGCCAGACTCCATCTCTAAAAAACAAAACAAAACAACAAACAAACTATACTACAGGGCTACAGTGACCAAAACAGGATGGTGCTGGTGGGGGAAAAAAAAAAAAAAAAAAAAAAAAAAACAGGCACATAGACCAATGAAACAGAATAGAGAGCCCAGAAATAAGGCTGCACACCTACGTCCATCTGATCTTCAACAAAACTGACACAAACAAGCAATGCAGAAAAGTTTCACTATTCAATAAATAGTGCCGTGATAACTGGCTAGCCATATGTAGAAAATTGAAGCTGGACACCTTCCTTACACCACATTAAACAATCACTTCAAGATGGATTAAAGACTTAAATGTAAACCCCAAAACTATAAAAACCCTGGAAGGCAACCAGGGCAATACCATACCGGACATAAGAATGGGCAAAAGTTTCATGAGAAACCAAAAACAAATGCAACAAAAGCAAAAATTGATAAGTGGGGTCTAATTAATCTTAGTTTATTTTGCTGTGCAAAATCTCTTATCAACAGAGTAAACAGACAACCTACAGAATAGTAGAAAAATTTTGCAAACTGCTTCTGACAAAGGTCTAATATCCAGTGCCTATAAGAAACTTAAATTTACAAGAGAAAGACAACCTCATTAAAAAGTGGGCAAAGGACATGAACAGACACTTCCAAAAGAAGACAAACATATGGAAAAAAAGCTCAATATCACTGATCATTCGAGAAATGCAAATCAAAACCACAATGAGATACCATCTCACACCAGTCAGAATGGCTATTAATAAAAAAAAAACAGATGCTGCCATGGTTGTGGAGAAAAGGGAACACTTATACACTATCAGTGGGAGTGTAAATTTCAACCATCGTAGAAAGCAGTATGGCAATTCCTCAATGAGCTGAAAACAGAACTATCATTCGACCCAGCAATACCATTATTGGGTATATACCCAGAGGAATATATATCATTCTACCATAAAGACATGGTGTATGTTCATTGCAGCATTATTCACAATAGCAAAGATGTGGAATCAGCCTAAATGCCCATCAGTGACAGATAGGATAAAGAAAATGTGTTACATATACACTATGGAATACTATGCAGCCATAGAAAATAACAAGATCATGTCTTTTGCAGAAACATGAATGGAGCTAGAGGCCATTATTTTTAGCAAACTAACACAGGAACAGAAAACCAAATACACACGTTCTCACTTATAAGTGTGAGCTAAGTGATGAGAACTCATGAACGCAAAGAAGGGAACAACAGACACTGGAGTCTACTTGAGAGTGGAGGGTGGGAGGAGGGAGAGGAGCAGAAAAGATAACTATTCGGTTCTGAGCTTAGTACCTGGTTGATGAAATAATTCATATAACCAACCCCTTTGACATGAGTTTACCTATGTAATAAACTTGCACGTGTAACAACCGAACCTAAAAGTTTTTTTAAAAGCCCTTGAGGTGGGAGTGTGCTCTGTCAGTGTTTTGTTGTCATCAAAGTGGGAGGAGGGTGAGAGGTAGAAGTTGAAGTTAAATATATGGCAGGGTACCCAAGTGGGCTTTGGGGGCCATATTGAAAAATCTAATTATCTGGAATCCAGAGCTTAGGGAGGGCAGGGGGATTTAGGGTTCAGACATATAATGGGACTTCACTGTGTTCTTCTTGCATCACTTACATGAATCTACTTCCTTCTGTTTGGACTCCCAGAGGGCACAAGTCTCTCTCACCTCTTCACTGGCTTTTTGTTTCGCTGGGCCAGAGAAGGGAAAGGCAGCTATTGAGTTAGCAAAGCACTCAACTCTCCACTCCCTCTCAAAATGTAACAGGCACCTCCAGATTCCACAGATGAAGATGAAAAGTCATCAAAGCCCAGGCCTTTCTCTCTGAGCTAAGCCAGCCAGCTTAGTCCCTAAGCTCACATTGAAAAAACCTGTTACTATAACTCAGTTAAGCAGATCCTCAATCTTCATATCCAGATTTTCTGCTGTAAGGAAAAGAGAGATTGAGCCAGATCTCTAAAGCAGGTGGAGATGGAGTGAGTGCTGGCACGGGGTCTATCCTGCTTTCATTCAACATGCATTATTGAGCGTCTGCTGTGTCACAAAACATGTGCAGAACCCTTGTGGGCTTCTGTTATGGGTGACAGAATAAAAACAGTAAACAGAGAAACAGATTGCAATATTTGACATCATGTTGGGAGGTGGTAACTATGTGGTAAAAAAATAAATGAAACAACACAAGGCATAGGGAGACAGAAGTGGAAGGTGTTTCTTTAAGTACAGAAAGAGTTTCCTAAGCCACAAATAAGGGAGATGAGCAAACTCTATGGCTTTCAAGGAGGGAGGGTGTTGGGACCTTTCCAGGTGGAGGGAACAGCTAACGCAAGCACCCCTGAGCTAGGGATGTGGGAAGTACATGTTTCAGGGAACAAGGAGGATATACAGTGAGCTAGAGGAGAGTAGCAATATGTAAGGTAGAGTGAAAGGAGATCATACAGGGCCTTGTGAACCGAGAGAGGGTTTCTGAAATTTTCTGTGGGTGTTGTTAGAAACCAATGGACATCTTTCTGTAGCCCCACCATATTAAAATCCCCTAGTGGATCCTGGGGAAAACATGACCAATCTGTGACTACGGGATTGGCTTCATTAGACAAAAGGAAAAAAAATGCTGCCACCTGCATGTCAAATGGCAGTTTGCAAGCCCTCCAGTGAAGGAAAGCACACTGCCCTTTAGAGGATTTTGCTCCAGTCTTCTCTCAGTTTTCTCACAGGTTTCCTAGTTTCAATTACTTGGACTGAGAAGCATTTCTCATGCTGCCTCTCTGACTCCATGATCATCGGCACAAAGCCGGGAAACACAAACTTGAGGAAAATTATCCCAACTATTCCTGCACCCTGCTGCCAACTCCTCCAATGACCTCCTGTTGTCAAGCACCCAGGTATTTCTGTAAGCCAGGGTTCTGCCTGTGGAATACAGACCTTATGATTTGCTTCTAGGATGGGATATTTTTAAGTATGGAAACTCTCTACCAATAACTTGGAGAAAAAAAAATTTAAAGCATGGAAATATAAGGAAAATTCTACTTTCCATCTATAAAAAATACTGAGGCCTTAAAATGCTTTTTTCTTTTTTTTTTATTCTTAAACACATTTATTGAACATTCATATGTGTACATATTTGTTAGGTACATATCTAGGAGTAGAATTGCTGAGTATTGGTGTATGCATCTGTCTGCTTTAATAGATACTGCCAAATAGTTTTCTAAAGTGGTTATATCAATTTATACTCCAGCAAGTAGCCTATAAGAATACCAATTATTTCATATCCAGTAGTTTCCATTTGTTGTCACCAAAATTGTTATCATTTCTCTCTCTCTCTCTTTTTTTTTTTTTTTTTTTTGTTGAGATGGAGTCTTCCTCTGTTGCCCAGACTGGAGTGCAGTGTGATCTCAGCTCACTGCAACCTCCACCTCCTGGGTTCAAGTGATTCTCCTGCCTCAGCCACCGGAGTATCTGGTACTACAGGCATGTGCCACCATGTCCAGCTAATTTTTTGTATTTTTGGTAGAGACAGAGTTTCACCGTGTTAGGCAGGATGGTCTCGATCTCCTGACCTGGTGATCCGCCCGCCTCGGCCTCCCAAAGTGCTGGGATTACAGGCATGAGCCACCATGCCTGGCTTTTTTCTCTTTTTTATTTTAGTCATTTTGGCATGTACAGTGATATCACATTGTGGTTATAATTTGCATTTTCCTTATGTCTCATAGAGCTGAGAATCTTTTCATATGACTTTGACCATCAGGATACCCTTCTTTTGCAAAGTGCCAGCAGAACATTTTATCTTATTTGATGACCTTTGAATTAGAAGTAAAACATACTTGCTGTAACAAGTGAAACTATACACTGATATGTAAGGAAAGGGCTAATAATCTTTCTTTTTCTAATATTACTCTCATTTTCTAATATTACTTCTCCTGGGGTTTCAAAGGAATTCTTTTTTTTAATCTTATTATTATTATACTATAAGTTTTAGGGTACATGTGCACAACGTGCAGGTTTGTTACATATGTATACATGTGCCATGTTGGTGTGCTGCACCCATTAACTCATCATTTAGCATTAGGTATATCTCCTAATGCTATCCCTCCCACCTCCCCCCACCCCACAACAGTCCCCAGTGTGTGATGTTCCCCTTCCTGTGTCCATGTGTTCTCATTGTTCAGTTCCCACCTATGAGTGAGAACATGTGGTGTTTGGTTTTTTGTCCTTGCAATAGTTTGCTGAGAATGATGGTTTCCAGCTTCATCCATGTCCCTACAAAGGACATGAACTCATCGTTTTTTCTGGCTGCATAGTATTCCATGGTGTATATGTGCCACATTTTCTTAATCCAGTCTATCATTGTTGGACATTTGGGTTGGTTCCAGGTCTTTGCTATTGTGAATAGTGCCGCAATAAACATACGTGTGCATGTGTCTTTATAGCAGCATGATTTCTAATCCTTTGGGTATATACCCAGTAATGGGATGGCTGGGTCAAATGGTATTTCTAGTTCTAGATCCCTGAGGAATCGCCACACTGTCTTCCACAGTGTTTGAACTAGTTTACAGTCCCACCAACAGTGTAAAAGTGTTCCTATTTCTCCACATCCTCTCCAGCACCTGTTGTTTCCTGACTTTTTAATGATTGCCATTCTAACTGGTGTGAGATGGTATCTCATTGTGGTTTTGATTTGCATTTCTCTGATGGCCAGTGATGATGAGCATTTTTTCATGTGTTTTTTGACTGCATAAATGTCTTCTTTTGAGAAGTGTCTGTCCATATCCTTTGCCCACTTTTTGATGGGGTTGTTTGTTTTTTTCTTGTAAATTTGTTTGAGTTCATTGTAGATTCTGGATATTACCCCTTTGTCAGATGAGTAGGTTGCAAAAATTTTCTCCCATTTTGTAGGTTGCCTGTTCACTCTGATGGTGGTTTCTTTTGCTGTGCAGAAGCTCTTTAGTTGAATTAGATCCCATTTGTCAATTTTGACGTTTGTTGCCATTGCTTTCGGTGTTTTAGACATGAAGTCCTTGTCCATGCCTATGTCCTGAATGGTATTGCCTAGGTTTTCTTCTAGGGTTCTTATGGTTTTAGGTCTAACGTTTAAGTCTTTAATCCATCTTGAATTAATTTTTGTATAAGGTGTAAGGAAGGGATCCAGTTTCAGCTTTCTACATATGGCTAGCCAGTTTTCCCAGCACCATTTATTAAATAGGGAATCCTTTCCCCATTGCTTGTTTTTCTCAGGTTTGTCAAAGATCAGATAGTTGTAGATATGTGGCGTTCTTTCTGAGGACTCTGTTCTGTTCCATTGGTCTATATCTCTGTTTTGGTACCAGTACCAAAATGCTTATTTCTTAGGCAGGATCCACAGTTACCTCTAAGGGAGGAACTAGGCATCTTCATCCCTACATCTGCCAAAGGCCAAGCTCACAGAACCCACAAACAGCCTGAGTTACAAGCTTAGGCTTTGGAGTTTTGAAGTCACTAACTAGATTATATTACCTTTGAGCCAGAGAGGACTCTCTAAGGTGCTAATAGTAACTTTGAACACTACTACCCCGAGGCGTTTTGTTTCCCTGAGATGGTTAGGGTGGTTCCTGTGGTTGCTGTCCTGTGGTCTCTCTACCTAATTTTTGCCCAGGCAGCAGGCCTAATCTTTTTGATGGTCTTATCTTTTCTGGACATTAATTTTCTTAAAAAAATGCACTACTCTCTAAAACAAAATGCACTACTCTTTAATTCCATAGAGAAAATATCATAATCTAAAAATAAAAGAAAAAAGGTTTATCAAGAATGTCAGGCTTGATTAAGAGATACTTAAAGGACCCTTGCAACATAAGGAAACTGTTTGAAAAAAGTTCCACTTCTAAAAGCTATTGTGAGGACAAAAGAGGAATCTAGGTATGGGCTGAATGCGAGATGATGAAATTGGAGAATTATTGTTAGTTTTTCAGGTATGGTAGTGGTATGATGATTTTTTTTGAGAAAAATGTCTTTTTATTTAAGACATACATGCTAAAATATTTCAGAGGAAATCGAAAGAATGTCTATGGTTATTTGCTTTTAAATACTTAAAATAGATGTAGCAAATATGGTAAAGTTAACAAGACTGAAATCTAGGTAATAGATAGGGATTACGAGAAAATGGTGGTGGCAGGAACATAGTTGGCTAGTCTCTATTAATCTCTACATAAAAACAGGCAGAGCAACTACATAACAAAACCAAAAATCCATCAACAATGTTTATAACAAAACATCATGATGAATTATTCTCGCAGATCTTAAAATCCAAGTAGATGAAGACAAAGCACCAACAGCCACAGAAACACACAGGTATCTGTGTGAGTAAAAGGAGAAATTAATGGCATACAATCTGATGGACCTAAGACAGGAGAACAACAAAATAACCAGCATGTTTCATGACTCATCTTGGTGAAAGTTCCATTGAGCACTTGTAAAAATGTTAATACTGCTGTTGTTGATCAGAGTCTTCTATAAATCTCAATTACTTGTCTTTCATTTTCTTGATAATAGCCATCCTTACAGGTATGAGATGATATCTCATTGTGGTCTTGATTGCACTTCCTTGCTGATTAGTGATATAGAGCAATTTTTTTTATACTTACTGGCCATTTGTATGTCTTCTTAGGAGAAATGTCCATTCAAGTACTTAACTCATTTTTCAAATTATGTAATTCATTTTTTGTTATTGAGTTATATGAATTTCATATATATTTTGGAGATTAACACCTTTTCAGATATATGGTTTGCAGATATTTTCTCCCATTCTATAGGCTGCTTTTTCAATCTGTTGATTGTTTATTTTACTGTGCAGAAGCTTTTTAGTTTGATGTAATCCCACTTGTTTATTTTTGTTTTGTTTTGTTTTTACCAATACAGCCACTATAAAAAACAGTATGGATGCTTCTCAAAAATTAAAAATAGTGCTACCATGTGACCCAGCAATCACATTTCTGAGTATATATAAAAAATTGAAATTAGGATCTCAAAGAGCTACTATTTACATATTCATTGGAGCACTATTCATTTATAATAGCTAAGATGTGGAAAGAACTTAAATGTCCAATGACAGAAGAATGGATAGAGAACATGTTTTATATATATATATATACACACACTATTCAACCTTATGCAAAAAGGAAATTCTGCAATATGCAACAACATGGGCTAACCTTGAGGACTTATGCTAAGTGAAATAAGCCAGTTACAAACAGACTAGTACTGCAGGATTTCACTAACATGAAGTATATATACAAAGCTAGAGGGAGGAGGTAATGGGGAGTTGTTGACCAATAGGCATAGAGTTTCAGTTAAATAAAATGAATAAACTTTAGAGATCTGCTTTACATCATTGTGCCTATAGTCAACAATAATATATTGTACACTTAAAACTTGTTAAGGGTATAGATCTCATGATAAGTGTTATTACCACAATAAAATAAAATAAATATATTATGACTTGCAAGAAACACTAAGGAATAAAAAGATAAAATGAAATGAATATTTTAGCTCCTTAAAAGTAGTTTGGCTAACTGTAGAGCTATTGGATAACAATCATTTTCTCTCTAAATTCTTTAGACATTGTTCCATGGTCTTCTGGCATTCAGTTTGACCAAGACATCTGCTGCCATCTGATTTTTTTTTTCATTTTAGATATATTGTAACTTCTGCTTGCGTGCATTTAAAATTTTTCTTTATTCTTTATATGTTAAAAAAAAAACCCATATCAGGCCGGGCATGGTGGCATAATCCCACCACGCCTGTAATCCCAATAGTTTGGGAGGCTGAGGCAGGTGGACAGCTTGAGCCCAGGAGTTCAAGACCAGCATGGGCAACATAATGAAACCTCATCTCTACAAAAAGTTTAAAACTTAGCCACGTGTGGTGCTGACACGTGCCTTGTAGTCCCAGCTACTTGAGAGGTTGAAGTGGGAGGATCACCTGAGCCCAGGAGGTTGAAGCTGCAATGAGCTGTGATCCTGCCACTGCACTCCAGCCTGGATGACAGAGTGATACTCTGTCTCAAAAGAAAAAATACCCATATCAGAATACTTGTATATTTAGAGATTTTTTCCATAATTGCTGAAAGCTTCCAATCTAAAGACAGTCCTCTGTCTGGTTCAGGGAAATTTTCCTTTAATTTTTTTTTTTTTAGTTGCCTACCCTCTGTTCTGCTTTCCTTTTCAGAGTTAGTGCTATGCATAATTGTTTCCCTCCAGTGTACTCTCTGTGTCCCTTACTGTTTTTCTAATCTCATTTCTTTCATTTTTGTTTTCTGATTTCTAAGTGAATTCTGAAGCATTTCAGATGAAATTTTAAGATTAAGAGATTATCGGCTCTTCATTGCTTCCATTGCATTTTAAATTTTATAATTATGTTTTTATTTGAAATCAGTATTTCCTGCCTTCTTCATAGATGCAACAGCCTCTCAAAGCTTGTGTTAAAAACAAGTAAGAGATTATTTTAAATTTCCGCCTGTTTCTTGAATTAACATCTTTCACAAAGAAATGTTTACTTTTATTCCCATTGGTTCCCATGTTGGTCCTGCCAAATTACCAATCATTTTCTCTTTTTGCGCATCCTTACAAAATATGGTTCAGTATGGGGAATTAAGATGGACTTTGATTTATTGGAGTCCCTATTCAAATATTTCAATACCAGATAATGAGAGAAGGAGTAAATATGGGTTTGCTGTGTTTTTACTCTTCCCAGCTGCTTACTCACTGTAGAGGGGGCAGCCTAGAGATACTTAGAGCCTGCCCTCTCCTTTAATCATTAGGGTTCATGCTCCAGCTTTTCAAGCCAATGAGAAGCTGCACTGACTCCTGAGGTGGCAATTTCTTACCCTAATGTACATCCCAAAGCTGACAAGAGACTCGAGGTTTAGCTTCACCCATTCTCTCATGCCTTTCCTCAGTTCTACCCTGCAGCCTTCCACGCTGGTGTAGGTTCCTTACACTTGTTTTCCTAAGTGGATTGGTCTTTCCCCAGCTGGCTAGATCCACCCTTAGGTCTCAGCTGCTCATTAACCTGAAGAAATTTGCTCTGGCCAGTGGGTAACACCCTGCACTTGTTTCCAGAGCTGAAGTGGATTTTTACATTTCTTTGATAATTTCAGGGGCTAGTTCAAAGGGAAAAGGAATTAACTATATTTGGCTTAAGGTGGAATGTTGCATCCAAACTTTGAAAGAATTCCTTTTGTACTTTCCAACTGATAACATAGCAAAGTAATTAATTTTTATTAGCTTATCTTTTATCTAGCCAATCTACTTATTTTAATAGTGTTTAAACTGCTTTTTCTAGGAATATAATCATATCATATGTAAATAATAATTATATGTCCATTTTTCTAGGGGTTATAACTCTTATTTCTGCTTCATGCTGCATTATAATGACCAGAACTTTCACACTATTACATTCCAATGACTTTGTTAACTCTCTTATTTTTCTGAAACTGCCCCCAGTACTTTATAATTAAGTACATTTTTTGGTTATTTGTTTCACAATTAAGTGTAACATCAGAAGCTTTGTTGAGAAGATTGTTTTCCCCTATTCATACATTTTATTATTTTAAGAAGAATCCTTTGCTAAAGAGTTTTATCAAACTATATCAGCATCTGTTAAGAAAATTATTTTTAATATACCCCATGGATAGCAATTACTGTAATTCTATCTCTGTGTCTCTTGGATAAATCTCAGTTGGTCATGAGGAATTATACTTTTCATATAATCAGTAGTTACATTAAGAATTTCATATCAATATTCTAAAAATATCAGTTAGACACTCTTAGTTAATTATTGTCTTAGTCGGTTTTCTGCTGATATAACAGAATACCACAGACTAGGTAGTTAAAAAAAAAAAAAAAAAGAACTCTGTTTGGCTCACAGTTCCGGAAGCTATGGCACCAGCATCTAGTGAGGCTCATCTTATGGCAGAAGACAAGTCTTTTCTTACATTGCTAATAAAGACATACCTGAGATTGAGTAATTTATAAAGGAAAGAGGTTTAATTGACTCACAGTTCTGCATGGCTGGGGAGGCCTCACAATCATGGCAGAAGCTGAATGAGGTGGAAAGTCACACCTTATAGGGTGGCAGGCAAGAGCAAGTGTTTGCAGGGGAACTCCCCTTTATAAAACCATCAGATCTCATGAGACTTACTATCATGAGAACAGCAGGGAAAAAAACTCATGCCCATGATTCAGTTACCTCCCACTGGGTCCCTCCCATGACATGTGGGGATTATTACAATTCCAGGTGAGATTTGATTGGGGACAGAGAGCCAAACTGTATCATTTCATCCCTGGCCCCTCCCAAATCTCATGTCCTCACATTTCAAAACCAATCATGCCTTCCCAACATTTCCCCAAAGTCTTAACTCATTTCAGCATTAAAAGTCCACCGTCCAAAGTCTCATCTGAGACAAGGCAAGTCCCTTCCACCTATGAGCCTGTAAAATCAAAAGCAAGTTAGATACTTCTTAAATAAAATGGGGTACAGACTTTAGGTAAATTCACCTGTTCCAAATGGGAGAAATTGGCCAGAATGAAGTGGCTACAGGCCCCATGCAAGTCCGAAATCCAATAGGACAGTCATTCAACCTTAAAGTTCCAAAAGGATCTCCTTTGATTCCATATCTCACACCCAGGTCATGCTGATGCAAGAGGTGGGCTGCCACAGCCTTGGGCAGCTCCACTCCTGTGGCATTGCAGGGTATAGCTTCCCTCTTGGCTGCTTTCACAGGCTGGTGTTGAGTGTCTGTGGCTTTTCCAGTTGCATGGTACAAGCTGTCAGTGAATCTACCATTCTGGGGTCTGGATGATGGCAACTCTCTTTTCACAGCTCCACTAGGCAGTGGCCCAGTAGGGACTCTGTGTGGGGGCTATGACCCCACATTTCCCTTCCACACTGCCCTAGCAGAGGTTCTCCATGAGGACCCTGCCCCTACAGCATGCTTCTGCCTGGACATTCAGGTGTTTTCATACATCCTCTGAAATGTAGGTGGAGGTTCCCAAACCTCAATTCTTGACTTCTGTGCACTCACAGTCCCACCACCATGTGTAAACTGCCAAGGCTTGGGGCTTGCATTCTCTGAAGCATTGGCCCCTTTTAGCCATGGCTGGAACTGAAACAGCTGGGATGCAGGGCACCATGTTCAGAGGCTGCATAGCGCAGGGGAGCCCTAGGCCTGGCTCATGAAACCGTTTTTCCCTCCTAGACCTCAGGCCTGTGATGAGAGGGGCTGCCACAAAGGTCTCCGACATGCCCTGGAGGCATTTTCCCCATTGTCTTGGTGACTAGCATTTGGCTCCTTGTTACATATGCAAATTTCTGCAGGTGGTTTGAATTTCTCCCCAGAAAATGGGTTTTTCTTTTCCATTGCATTGTTAGGCTGCACATTTTCCAAATGCTCTGCTTCCTCTTGAATGCTTTGCTGCTTAGAAATTTCTTTCCCCAGATACCCTAAATCATCTCTCTCAAGTTCAAAGTTCCACAGATCTCTAGGGCAGGGGCAAAATGCCGCCAGTCTCTTTGCATAGCAAGACTGACCTTTACTCCAGTTCCCAACAAGTTCCCCATCTCCACCTGAGACCACCTCAGCCTGGACCTTATTGTCCATATCACTACCAGCATTTTGGTCAAAGTCATTCAACAAGTCTCTAGGAAGTTCCAAACTTTCTCACATCTTCCTGTCTTCTGAGCCCTCCAAGTCTCTAGGAAGTTCCAAACTTTCCCACATTTTCCTATCTTCTGAGTCCTCCAAACTGTTCCAACCTCAGCCTATTACCCAGTTCCAAAGTCGCTTCCACATTTTTGGGTATCTTTACAGCAGCATCCCACTTTCCAGTACCAATTTACTGTATCAGTCTGTTCTCACTCTGGTAATAAAGACATACCCAAAACTGGGTAATTTATAGAGGAAAGAGGTATCATTGACTCACAGTTCCACATAGCTGGGGAGGCCTCACAATCATGGCAGAAGGTGAATGAGGAGCAAAGTCACATCTTACATGGTGGCAGGCAAGAGCAAGTGTTTGCAGGGGAACTTCCCTTTATAAAACCATAAGATCTCATGAGACTTATTCAATATCACGAGAATAGCATGGGAAAATCCTGCCTCCATGATTCAGTTACCTCCCACCAGGTCTGTCCCATGACACATAGGGATTATTACAATTCTACAATTCCAGGTGAGATCTGGGTGGGAACATAGAGCCAAACCATATCATATAGTATCTCCAATTGTACCTCCAATTGTAGTCATTTCTTTACCCTAAGATTTACTTTGTCTGATTTTGATAAAGCCACACTTAACTTTTTTGATTAATGTTTGCATGAGATATATTTTCTTCCTTCTCCTTTTAATCTACCTAATTCATTACACTTGAAATCAGTGTGTTGTAGACAACATAGAGGTGTATTTTTAAAAATCTACTCTACCAATCTTTGTATTGTATTTGTTGTACTTGACCTTTTTTTATTTTTTATTTTTTGAGATGGAATCTCACTCTGTCGCCCAGGCTGGAGTGCAGTGGCGCAATCTCAGCTCACTGCAACCCCGCCTCCTGGGTTCACGCCATTCTCCTGCCTCAGCCTCCCGAGTAGTTGGGGCTACAGGCGCCTGCCACAATGCCTGGCTAATTTTTTATATTTTTAGTAGAGACGGGGTTTCACCGTGTTAGCCAGGATGGTCTCGATCTCCTGACCTCGTGATCTGCCCGCCTCGGCCTCCCAAAGTGCTGGGATTACAGGCGTGAGCCACCGTGCCCGGCCGCTGTACTTGACTATTTATGTTTAATATAGTTATTAATACGTTAAGGCTTAAGTGTTCCATGTTATTATTTTTTTCTATTTAATTCCTTTGTTTCTAATTTTTTGGTTCCTTTGTGCTGTCTTCCTCTAGACTACATGAACAGTTTATAGACCTCTATTTTTATTTATAATATTTGAGTATATTGATTCCTATTTTCTTACTATTTACCTTATGTATTGCCATATGCACTTGAGTTACATGTGCATCATATCACAGCCTACTAGTATTGATATTTTACCACTTCTGGTAAAGTATAGAAACCTTACATCTTTTATGTCACATTAACCTCCCCACTTTCCAAATACAATTGTGATAAGTATTTGCAGTACATACACTGAGCACCACATTAGATGATGTTATAATTTTTGCTTCAACCATAAAATATTATTAAAGAAATTGATTAGAGGAAGTATAGTCTATTATTTTTACTTCTGTTTTTACCAATTCCACCATCATCCTTTTATTTATATATATATATTTCAATTTGGAATGGCTGCTTTAGCTACTCTTAAAGGATAGTTCTTATAAGTAACTAGAGTCTGTTAGTTTGCCTTTGAGAGTTTCTTTCTTTTCTAGTTATTCCTGAAGGATAGTCACTGGGTAGACTATTCTTTTCTTTCAATACTTAAAAATGTTATTCTCCTTCATTCTGGCTGCCATAATTTCATATAAGAAACCCATTGTCTTTTGAATTATTGTTCCTTTATAGGTAATGCCATTTATCTCTAGCTGTTTTTAATTATTTTGTCTTAGCTTTCAGAAGGTTAATTAAGATGCATCATGGTGTGACTTTCTCTGAGTTTAGCTTATTTGGGTTTCACTCAATTTCTTTTATTTATTTATTTATTATTATTATACTTTAAGTTTTAGGGTACATGTGCGCAACGTGCAGGTTAGTTACATATGTATACATGTGCCATGCTGGTGCACTGCACCCACTAACTCGTCATCTAGCATTAGGTATATCTCCCAATGCTATCCCTCCCCCCTCCCCCCACCCCACAACAGTCCCCAGAGTGTGATGTTCCCCTTCCTGTGTCCATGTGTTCTCATTGTTCAATTCCCACCTATGAGTGAGAATACGTGGTGTTTGGTTTTTTGTTCTTGGGAGAGTTTACTGAGAATGATGATTTCCAATTTCATCCATGTCCCTACAAAGGACATGAACTCATCATTTTTTATGGCTGCATAGTATTCCATGGTGTATATGTGCCACATTTTCTTAATCCAGTCTATCATTGTTGGACATTTGGCTTGGTTCCAAGTCTTTGCTATTGTGAATAATGCCGCAATAAACATACGTGTACGTGTGTCTTTATAGCAGCATGATTTATAGTCCTTTGGGTATATACCCAGTAATGGGATGGCTGGGTCAAATGGTATTTCTAGTTCTAGATCCCTGAGGAATCGCCACACTGACTTCCACAAGGGTTGAACTAGTTTACAGTCCCACCAACAGTGTAAAAGTGTTCCTATTTCTCCACATCCTCTGCAGCACCTGTTGTTTCCTGACTTTTTAATGATTGCCATTCTAACTGGTGTGAGATGGTATCTCATTGTGGTTTTGATTTGCATTTCTCTGATGGCCAGTGATGGTGAGCATTTTTTCATGTGTTTTTTAGCTGCATAAATGTCTTCTTTTGAGAAGTGTCTGTTCATGTCCTTCGCCCACTTTTTGATGGGGTTGTTTGTTTTTTTCTTGTAAATTTGTTTGAGTTCATTGTAGATTCTGGATATTAGCCGTTTGTCAGATGAGTAGGTTGCGAAAATTTTCTCCCATTTTGTAGGTTGCCTGTTCACTCTGATGGTAGTTTCTTTTGCTGTGCAGAAGCTCTTTAGTTGAATTAGATCCCATTTGTCAATTTTGACTTTTGTTGCCATTGCTTTTGGTGTTTTAGACATGAAGTCCTTGCCCATGCCTATGTCCTGAATGGTAATGCCTAGGTTTTCTTCTAGGGTTTTTATGGTATTAGGTCTAACGTTTAAGTCTTTAATCCATCTTGATAAACCCACAGCCAATACCATACTGAATGGGCAAAAACTGGAAGCATTCCCTTTGAAAACTGGCACAAGACAGGGATGCCCTCTCTCACCACTCCTATTCAACATAGTGTTGGAAGTTCTGGCCAGGGCAATCAGGCAGGAGAAGGAAATAAAGGGTATTCAATTAGGAAAAGAGGAAGTCAAATTGTCCCTGTTTGCAGACGACATGATTGTATATCTAGAAAACCCCATTGTCTCAGCGCAAAATCTCCTTAAGCGGATAAGCAACTTCAGCAAAGTGTCAGGATACAAAATCAATGTACAAAAATCACAAGCATTCTTATACACCAACAACAGACAAACAGAGAGCCAAATCATGAGTGAACTCCCATTCACAATTGCTTCAAAGAGAATCAAATACCTAGGAATCCACCTTACAAGGGACGTGAAGGACCTCTTCAAGGAGAACTACAAACCACTGCTCAATGAAATAAAAGAGGATACAAACAAATGGAAGAACATTCCATGCTCATGGGTAGGAAGAATCAATATCGTGAAAATGGCCATACTGCCCAAGGTAATTTACAGATTTAATGCCATCCCCATCAAGCTACCAATAACTTTCTTCACAAAATTGGAAAAAACTACTTTAAAGTTCATATGGAACCAAAAAAGAGCCCGCATTGCCAAGTCAATCCTAAGCCAAAAGAACAAAGCTGGAGGCATCATGCTACCTGACTTCAAACTATACTACAAGGCTACAGTAACCAAAACAGCATGGTACTGGTACCAAAACAGAGATATAGATCAATGGAACAGAACAGAGCCCTCAGAAATAACGCCGCATATCTACAACTATCTGATCTTTGACAAACCTGAGAAAAACAAGCAATGGGGAAAGGATTCCCTATTTAATAAATGGTGCTGGGAAAACTGGCTAGCCATATGTAGAAAGCTGAAACTGGATCCCTTCCTTACACCTTATACACTCAATTTCTTTAGTTTTCTTTTTTAAAAAACTCCTATTTTAGGTTTGGTGGTACATGTGCAAGTTTGTTACATAGGTAAACTCATGTCTGGGGGTGTGTTGTACAGATTATTTCATCACCCAGGTACAAGGCTTAGTACCTAATAGTTACTTTTCTGCTCCTCTATCTCCTCCCACCCTCAAGTAGACCCCAGTGTCTGTTGTTCCCTTCTTTGTGATCATGAGTTCTCATCATTTAGCTCACACTTATAAGTGAGAATATGCAGTACTTGGTTTTCTGTTCCTGTGTTAGTTTGCTAAGAATAATAGCCTCCAACTCCATCCATGTTCCTGCAAAGGACCTGATCTCATTTTTTTATGGCTGCATAGTATTCCATGGTGTATATGTACCACATTTTCTTTATCTTATCTGTCACTGATGGGCACTTATGTTGATTCCATGTCTTTGCTATTGTGAATAATGCTGCAGTGGACATACACGTGCCTGTATCTTTATGGTGGAATGATTTGTATTTCTCTGGGTATATACCTAGTAATGGGATTGCTGGGTCGAATGATAGTTCTGTTTTTAGCTCTTTGAGGAATTGCCATACTGCTTTCCATAATAGTTGAAATTTACACTCCCATCAACAGTGTATAAGTGTCCCTTTTTCTCCACAACCTTGCTACCATTACTTTTTGACTCTTTTTTTTTTTTTTTTGAGACAGAGTCTCGCTCTGTTGCCCAGTCTGGAGTGCAGTGGCGCGATCTCCACTCACTGCAAGCTCTGCCCCCCTGATTCATGCCATTCTTCTGCCTCAGTCTCCTGAGTAGCTGGGACTACAGGTGCCTGCCACCACGCCTGGCTAATTTTTTTGTATTTTTAATAGAGATGGGGTTTCACAGTGTTCACCAGGATGGTCTCGATCTCCTGACCTTGTGATCTGCCCACCTCAGCCTCCCAAAGTGCTGGGATTATAGGCGTGAGTCACCACACCCGACCTACTTTTTGACTTTTTAATAATAGCCATTCTGACTGGTGTGAGATGGTATCTCACTGTGGTTTTGATTTGCATTTCTCTAATGATCAATGACATTGAGCTTTTTTTCATATGCTTGTTGGCTGCATGTAGGTCTTCTTTTGAGAAGTGTCTATTCATGTCCTTTGCCCATTTTTAAATTTTTTTTTTGTTTTTCCCTTGTAAATTTCTTTAAGTTCCTTATAGATTCTGGATATTAGACCTTTGTCAGATGCATAGTTTGCAAAAATTTTCTTCCATTCTGTAGGTTGTCTGTTTACTCTGTTGATAGTTTCTTTTGCTATGTAGTAGCTCTTAAGTTTAATTAGATCCCATTTGTCAATTAAAACCAATAACTATAAAAACCCTGCGAGACAACCTAGGCAACCATTCTGAACATAGGAATGGGCAAAGATTTCATGACAAAGATCCCAAGAGCATTTTTTCATATACATATTGTCCATTTGTGTATATGCTTTTGAGAAATGTCTATTGAGATCTTTTACGCATTTTAAAACTTTTTTTTTTTTTTTGCTACAGAGTTCTTTGAAATCCTTATCTATTCTGGTTATAAATCCATGTAAGATGGAAAGCTTGAAAATATTTTCAATTCCATGATTTATCTCTTTGTTTCCTTTGCTGTGCAGAAGCTTTTTAGCTTGATAATATTCCATTTGTCTATTTTTACTTCAGTTGCCTGTGCTTTTGAGGTCTTACACAAAATATCATTGCCCAGACCAATGTTCTGAAGGATTTTTCCAAAGTTTTTTTTATTAGTTTCATATTTTCAGGTCTTAGATTTAAATATTTAATTTATTTTGAGTTGATTTTTTACGTAATAAGAGACAGGAGGTCTAGTTTCATTCTTCTGCCTATGGTCATCTAGTTTTCCTCACATCACTTATTGAAGAGACTGTCCTATCTCTCAATGTATGCACTTGGTGCCTTTGTTGAAAATGAGTTGGCTGTAAATGTGTGGATTTATTTCTGGATTCTCTATTCTGTTCCATTGGTCTGTGTCTCTGTTTTTGTTGTTGTTGTTTTGTGTTTTTTGTTTGTTTTTTGCCAGTACCATGCTAATTTGGTTATTACAGCTTTGTAGTATATTATGAAGTCAGGTAGTGTGATGCCTCCAGCTTTGTTCTTTTTGTTCAGGATTGCTTTGGCTATTCGAGGTCTCTTGCAATTCCATGTGTATTTTAGTATCTTTTTCTATTTATGAAGAATGTCATTGGTATTTTTATAGTGATTGCACTGAGTATGTAAATTGCTTTTAGTGCTATAGTCATTTTAATAACCTTAATTCTTCCAAGCCATGAGTATGGAATATCTTTCCAGTTTGTAGTGTGCTCTCCAATTTTTTCATCAGTGTTTTATACCTTTACTTGTATAAATCTTCCACTTCTTTGGTTAAATTGATAACTAGGTATTTTGTATTCTTTGTGGCTACTGTATGTGAGTTTCCTTTCTTAATTCTTTTTCAGATGTTTCCTGTTGGTGTATATAAATGCCATGGAGTGTGTGTGTTGATTTTGAGAATACAATTATTAACCAATTATTTCTGTATATTGACCTTGTATCTGATAACCTTTCTAAAGGCAATACTTAGAAAAATTCTATGGCAGCACAAACCTTGCAGGCCAGGAGGAGGGAATGGAATGATATTTTTAAAATATCTAAAGAAAAAAACTGCCAATGAAGAATACTTTACCTGGCAACACTGTCCTTCAGAAATGAAGAAGATATAAAGACTTTCCCAAACAAACAAAAGGTAAGGGAGCTCGTCACCACTAGTCCTGCCTTAGAAGAAATGCTAAAGTAGTTCTTTACTGAAATGAATGGATGCTAATTAACAACATACAAACATGTAAATGCATAAAACTCACTTATATAGGTAAATATATAGTCAAAGTCAGAATTCTCTATTATTTTAATGATGATGAGTAAATCACTTTCAGTTCTAGTATAATAGTTAATAAACAAACATTAAGTCCAGGCGCAGTGGCTCATATCTGTAATACCAGCACTTCGAGAGGCACAAGTGGATGGATCACTTGATGCCAGGAGTTCGAGACCAGCCTGGCCAACAAGGTGAAACCCCATCTTTACCAAAAATACAAAAATTAGCCAGGGGTGGTGGCACACGCCTGTATTCCCAGTTACTCAGGAGGCTGAGACATGAGAATTGTTTGAACCTGGGAGGCAGAAGTTGTAGTGAGCTGAGTTCCACCACTGTACTCCAGCCTGGGTGATAGAGTGAGACTCTGTCTCAAAAAAAAAAAAACACCCAAACATGAACGTTAAAAATAATAACTATGATAATTTGTTATTGGGTATATAATATAGAAAAGACATAAATTGTAACATCAATAACCTAAAATGTGATAAAGAAGAAGTAAAAATATAGAGATTTTGTATGTGATATAAATTAAGTTGTTAACCACTTAAAATGGGATGTTATAGCTGTAAGATATTTAATATAAACCTGATAGCAATCACATAAAAAAACCTGTAGTGGATACCGAAAAAGATAAAGAGAAAGGAATCAAACCATACTACCACAAAGTCATCAAATCACAAAGGAAGAAAGAAAGAAAGTAACAAAGGAACTACAAAACAGTCAGAAAACAATGAATAAAATGTCAATAGTAAGTTGTTTACGTCTAATAGCTATTTAAATGTCAATGGATTAAGTTATTCAATCAAAAGACACTGAATGATGAATGGATAAAAAACAGGATACAAAAATATACTATGTACAAGATACTCAATTTAGCTTTAGAGACACACATAGGCTGAAAGAGAAGGGATAGAAAAACATACTCCATGCAATTGGTACCTAAAAGAGATCAGAGGTGGGTATAATTATGCCAGAAAAAAATAGCCTTTTTATTCAAAAAGTGTCACAAGAGACAAGATAGTTATATAATAATAAAGGGAAAATTCATCAAATGATATAAAAATTTAAAATACTTATGCACCTAACATTAGAGCATCTACATTTATAAAGCAAATATTGGCATAATTGAAATGAGAAGTAAATAGAAATATAATAATAGCAGGGGACTTTAATACTGCACTCTCCACAATGACTAGGCAGTTCAGACAAAAAATCAAGAAGGAAATAATGCTATAGATCGAATGAACCAGAGATATACACAAAACATTTCATCTAACAGCAGCAAAATATACATTTTTCTAAAGCAAACATGAAATGTTCTCAGGATACATCATACAACAGGCCACAAAGCAACTCATATTAAATTCAAGAAGATTAAAATCATATCAGGTATATTTTCTGACCGCAATGCTATAAAACTATAAATCAATAACAGGAGGAATTTGGAAAAATCCCAAATACATGAAAATTAAACACCTTTGAACAGCCAGTGGGCCAAATAAGAATTCAAAGAGAAAATCAAACAATATCTTAAGACAATTGAAAATAGAAACACAACATACAAAAACTTATGGGATACAACAATAGCAATTCTAAGAGGAAAATCTGTAGCTATAAACCATTACAATAAGAAAAAAGATCCCCAGTGAACAAATTAATGTTATACCTCAAAGAACTATAAAAAAAGAATAAACTAACCTCAACATCTACAAAGTGAATAAAATAATGTCAATTAGAGCAAAAATAAATAGAGTAGGCACTAAAAAACAATAGACAAGATGAATGAAATTAAGAGTTGGTTTTTGGAAAATATTTTTATTTTGTAATGATTTCTGCTTTTCTTTTTTCCTTTTCTGAGACAGGGCCTCATCATGTTTCCCAAGCTGACCTTGAACTCCTGGCTTCAAGTTGTCCTCCTGCCTAGGCCTTCCAAAGTGCTAGGATTATGGGTGTGAGCCACCATGCCCAGCCAAAGATTTTTTAGAATGGCAAACCTTTAGTGATAATAAAATAATTTAGTAAAGTTGCAAGATACAAAATCAACATATAAAAACTCTTACTCTTGTAAGAGTGATGTGATAAAAACATTAAGATAAAAATTCATACTACCCAAAGCAATATACAGATTCAAGAAGAATAAACTGGAGGCATGACACTGATTTCAAACTTTATTTCAAATCCATAGCATTCAAAATGTATGGTCCTGGCATAAAAACAGACACATAGATAATTGGAACAGAACTGAGAGCCTGGAAATAAACCCACATATATGTGATCAACTAATATTTGACAAGCATGCCAAAAATACACATTGGGGAAAGGACAGTCTCTTCAATAAATGGTGTTGGGAAAACTGCATATCCACATGTAAAAGAATGAAATTGGTCTCCTATTACAAAAATTAACTTGAAATGAATTAAAGACCTTAACGTAGGACCTGAAACCATAAAACTTTTGAAAGATAACATAGTGGTAAAGCTCCTTGACATTGGTCTTGACAATGATTTTTTGAATATGACACCAAAAGCACAGGCAACAAAAGCAAAACTAAACTACATAGCAAAGAAACCAAGTAACAAAATGAAAAGTCTACAGAATGTGAGAAAATATTTGTCAATCACATGTATAATAAGTTAATTTCCAAAATACATAAGGAATCCATACAACTCAATACCAAAAAGGAACAAATAATCCAAATAAAAATGGGCAAAGTACCTGATATGGTTTGGCTGTGTCCCCACCCAAATCTCATCTTGAGATTGTAAGTCTATTAAACTTCTTTCTTGTGTAAATTGCCCAGTCTCGGGTATGTCTTTATCAGCAGCATGAAAATGGACTAATACAGTAAATTGGTACCAGTAGAGTGGAGCACTGCTGAAAAAATGCCCCAAATGTGGAAGCAACTTTGGAATTGGGTAACAGGCAGAGGTTGGAACCGTTTGAAGGGCTCAGAAGAAGACAGGAAAATGTGGGAACGGTTGGAACTCCCTAGAGACTTGTAGAATGGCTTTGACCAAAATGCTTTTAATGATATGGACAATGAAATCCAAGCTGAGGTGGTCTCAGATGGAGATGAGGAACTTGTTGGGAATGGGAGCAAAGGTGACTCTTGTTATGTCTTAGCAAAGAGCCCTACAGATTAGTGGAACTTTGAACTTGAGAGAGATTAACTTGAGAGAGATGAACTTGAGAGAGGTGGAAGAAATTTCTAAGCAGCAAAGCATTCAAGAGGTGACTTGGGTGCTGTTGAAGGCATTCAGTTTTATAAAGGAAGCAGTGCATAAAAGTTTGAAAAATTTGTACCCAGACAATGTAATAGAAAAGAAAATCCCATTTTCTAGGGAGAAATTCAAGCCCTCTGCAGAAATTTGCATAAGTAATGAGCTGAATATTAATTCCCAAGACAATGGGGAAAATGTCTCCAAGACATGTCAGAGGTCTTCATGGCAGCCCCTCCCATCACAGGCTTGGAGGCCTAGAAGAAAAAAGTGGTTTAGTGGGCTGGGGCCAGGGTCCCCATGCTGTGTGCAGCCTGGGAACTTGGTGCCCTGCGTCCCAGCTGCTCCAGCCGTGGATGAAAGGGGCCAACATAGAGCTTGGGCCATGGCTTCAGAGGGTGCAAGCCCAAAGCCTTGGCCGCTTCCATGTGGTGTTAAGCCTGCGAGTTAACAGAAGTCAAGAATTAGTATTTGGGAACCTCCACCTAGATTTCAGAAGATGTATGGAAACTCCTGGATGTCCAGGCAGAAGTTTGCTGCAGGGGCAGGGCCCTCATGGAGAACATCTGCTATGGCAGTGGGGAAGAGATATGTGGGGTTGGAGCCCCCACACAGAGTCCCTACTGGGGCACTGCCTAGTGGAGCTGTGAGAAGAGGGCCACCATTCTCCAGTCCCCAGAATGGTAGATCCACTGACAACTTGCAATGTGTACCTAGAAAAGCCGCAGACACTCAACACTAGCACATGAAAGCAGCTGGGAGGGAGGCTGTACCCTGCAGAGCCACAGGGGCAGAGCTGCCCAAGACCATGGGATCCCACATCTTCCATCAGCGTGACCTGGATGCAAGACATGAAGTCAAAGGAAATCATTCAGGAGCTTTAAGATTTGACTGCCCTGCTGGATTTTGGACTTGCATGGGGCCTGTAGTCCCTTTGTTTGGCCAGTGTCTCACATTTGGAATGGCTGTATTTATCCAATGCCTGTACCCCCAATGTATCTAGGAAGTAACTAACTTGCTTTTGATTTTACAGGCTCATAGGCAGAAGGGACTTGCCTTGTCTCAGATGAGACTTCGGGCTGTGGATTTTTGAGTTAATGCTGAAATAAATTAAGACTTTGGGGGACGGTTGGGAAGGCATGATTGGTTTTGAAATGTGAGGACATGAGATTTGGGAGGGGCCGGGGTGGAGTGATATGGTGTGGCTGTGTCCCCACTCAACCCTCATCTTGAATTCCCATGTGTTATGGGAGGGACCCAGTGGGAGGTAATTGAATCATTGGAGCAGCTCCTTCCTGTGTTGTTCTCATGATAGTCAATAAGTCTCATGAGAGCTGATGGTTTTTACAAAGGGGAGTTTCTTTGCACAAGCCCTCTTCTCTTACCTGCCACCATGTGAGACATGCCTTTCACCTTCTGCTGCAGTTGTGTGGCCTCCCCAGCCAAGTGGAACTGTAAGTTAATTAAACCTCTTTCTTTTGTATATTGCCCAGTCTTGGGGATGTCTTTATCAGCAGCATGAAAATGGACTAATAAAGTAGTCCATAATAATAATTTGGGAATAATCATTTTCCCAAAGAAGACATACAAACAGGGACATGGCTAATAGGTACATGAAAAATGCTCAACATCACTAATCATCAGGGAAATGCAAATCAAAACCACAATGAGATATCACCTCTCACTTCTTAAGATGATTATTGAAAAGACAATACATAACAAATGCTGGTGAGGATGTGGAAAAAAGTGAAACTTTGTGCAATATTGGTGGAAATGTAAATTGATACAGCTATTATGGAAAACAGTATGAAAGTTTCAAAAAAATTAAAAATAGAACTACCAGTTGACCCAGCAATCCTACTTCTGGATATATGAGGAAATGAAATCACTATCTTGAAGTGATTTCTGCACCCTTATGTTCATTGCAGCATTATTCACAGTAGCTAGGACATGAAAACATGTATATATAGTAGTCCCTTGGTATCCGTAAGGGATTGGTTCCAGGACCACCTATGGATACCCAAATCCATGGATGCTCAAGTCTCTCATATAAAACAGCATAATATTTGCATATAACCTATCCACATCTACCTATATATCAATAGTTTAAATCATCTCTAAATTATTTATAAAACTTGTAATACCTAACACAATGCAAATGCTGTGTAAATGGCTGTTATACTATATTGTTTAGGGAATGACAAGAAAAATAGTGTACACATTAAGTACACATATAATTTTTTCATATATTTTAAATCCCTACTCAGTTGAATAAATGAAAGTGAAGCATATGGATATGGGTGGCCAACAGTACACACACAAGAACACACACATGCACACTCACACACATACTGGAATATTATTCAGCCATTAAAATAAGGAAATCCCTTCACCTGAGAAGACATGAATGAACCTTGCAGGCATTATGCTGAGTGAAATGAGTCACACAGAGAAAGAGAAGTACAGTATGATCTCACATATATATGGAATCTAAAATAGTCAAACTCATGCAAACAGAGAGTAGAATGGTAGTTGCCAGGGGTTGGAGGGGTAGAGAAAATGGAGAGATATTGGTCAACAAGTACAAACTTTAGGTTATAAGATTAATAAGTTTTAGAGTTCTAATGTACAGAATGGTGACTATAGTTGATAACAATGTATTGTATACTTGAAATTTGCTGAAAGGGTAGATCTTAAGTGTTCTCACTAGACACACACACATACACACACACAAAGGTGACTACGTGAGGTGGTGGATGTGTTAACTCGCTTGACTGTTGATATGGTTTGGATGTTTGTTCCCATCAAATCTCATGTTGAAATGTCACCCCCAGTGTTGGAGGTGGGGCCTGGTGGAAGGTGTTTTGATCATGGGTGCAGATTCCTCACAAATGGCATAGCACCATTCCCCTGGTGATGATTGAGTTCTTACTCTTGTGGTTCACATGAGATCTGATTGTTTAAAAGAGTGTGGCACTTACACCTCCCACTCCTGCTATTGCCATGTGACACATGTCCTTCTTCACCTTCCACCATGATTGGAAGCTTCTTGAAACCCTCACCAGAAGCAGATGCCAGCAACATGTTTCCTGTATCACCTGCAGAACCATGAGCCAAGAAAAACCACTTTTCTTGATAAATTTACTAGTCTCAGGTATTTTTTTATAGCAACGCAAAAAGGACTAACACAGAAAATTGGTACTGTGTTACCAATAGGAGTGGGGTATGGCTATAAAGATACCTGAAAATGTGGAAGTGGCTTTGCAGTTGCATAACAGGCAGAGGCTGGAAGAGTTTGAAGGTCTCAGAAGAAGGCAAGAAGAAGAGGGAAAGTTTGGAACTTCTTAGAGACTTAAGTGGTTGTGACCAAAATGCTGATAGAAATATGGACAGTTAAGGCCAGGCTGATGAGCTCTCAGATGGAAAAGAGGAAGGTATTGGCAACTGGAGCAAAGGTCACCCTGTTATATCATAGCAAAGGACTTGGCTGCATTGTGTCCATGCTGTAGGAATTTGTGGAAGTTTGAACTTGATGATGAAGCATATCTGGTGGAAGAAATTTCTAAGTAGCAAAGAATTCAAAATGTGACCTGGCTGCTTTGAGCAGCCTATGCTCAGATGTGGGAACAAAGAAAGGACTTAAAGTTGGAACTCATATTTAAAAGGTAAGCAGAATGTAAAAGTTTGGAAAATTTGCAGTCTGGCCCAGTGGTAGAGAAAGAATCCATCAGGCTGTGGTGCAACCACTTGCTAAAGAGATTAGCATGACTAAAAGGGAGCCAAGTGCTAATATCCAAGATAATGGGAAAAAGGCCTCAAAGGCACTTCAGAAATCTTTGATGCAGCCCCTCCCATCACAGGCCCAGAGACCTAGGAGAAGGAATGGTTTCAGGAGCCAGGCACAGGGAACCGCTGAATTGCTTAGCCTTAGGACACTGTTTCCCACATCCCAGCCTCTCTGGCTTGACTTGTGGTTCAAAGGGCTGTAGGTACAGCTCAGGCTACTGCTCCAGAGGGCATAAGCCATAAGCTTTGGTGGCTTCCATGTTGTGTTAAGTCTTCAGGTGCACAGAGTGCCAGAGTGAAGGAGGCTTGGCAGCTCCCACCTAGATTAGAGAGGATTATGAGGAAGCCTGGGTGCCCAGGCAGAAGCCTGCTGCAAGAGATGGCCCCCTACAGAGGGTAGTGCCAAGGGGAAATGTGGGTTTGGAGCCCTCACACAGACTCCCCACCAGGGCACTGCCTAGTGGAGCTGTGGGAAGAGGGCTGCTGCCCTCCAGACCCAAGAATGGTAGAACTATCAGCAGCTTGCAACCTCAGCATGGAAAAGCTGAAGACACTCATCTCCTACTAGTGAGAGCAGCCATGAGGGCTACACCCTTCAAAGCCACAGGAGCAGAGCTGCCCAAGGCCTCAGGAGTCTACTCCTTACACCAGTGTGCCTTAGTTATGGGACATGGAGTCAAGGGAGATTGTTTTGGAGCTGTAAGATTTAGTGACTGTCCTGCTGGGTTTCAGACTTATGTGATGCCTATTGCCTCTTTCTTTTGGCCAATTTCTCCCTTTTGAAATGGGAATGTATACCCAATGCCTATATTACTATTGTATCTTGCGAGTAAATAACTTGTTTTTTATCTCACAGGCTCATACGTGAAAGGAACTCATCTCCAGATGAGACTTTGGACGTGGAACTTGGGACTTGGGACTTTTGAAGTAATGCTGGAATGGGTTAAGTCTTTGGGGGACTATTATGAAGGCATGATTGTATTTTGCAATGTGAGAAAGACTTAAAATTTGGGGGTCTAGGAATGTAATAATATGGTTTGGTTGTTTGTCCCCTTCAAATCTCATGTTGAAATATCATCCCGTGTTGGAGGTGGGGCCTGGTGGAAGGTGTTTGGATCATGGGGATAGATCCCTCATGAATGGTTTAGTGCCATCCCCTTGGTGATGAGTGAGTTCTCATTATTGCAGTTCGTGTGACATCTGGTTGTTTAAAAGAGTGTGGCGCCTCCCCCAGCCCCCACTCCTGCTCTCACCCTGGGCCATGCCTACTCCTTCATTTTCTACTATGATTGGAAGCTTCCTAAGGTCCTCACAAGCAGCAGATACTGCCACCACACTTCCTGTACAGCCTGCAGAACCATCAGCCCAAATAAACCATTTTCTTTATAAATTACCCAGTCTCAGGTATTCCTTTAGAGCAACACAAAACAGACTAACACAATTGTGATAATCATTTCACAATATATACATATATCGAATCATCACATTACATACCTTAAATATATATAATTTTGTCAATTATACCTCAATACAGCTGAAAAAAATCTAACAATTTGCAGATGCTTTTCTATTTTTTATGTACACAATCGTATCATTTGCAAATACTGATGTTAGTTTTGTCTTTTCAACACTTTCCCCTTGTATTTATTTTTAATGTATTATTTCTTTTCCTTGGATCTCCAATACAATGCTAAATATGAACAATGACAGAATCCTTGTGTTGTTCCTGACCTCAAGAGGAAATATTTAAATATTTATCCAAAAGTGTTATGTGTGTTGTATTGTTCTGTGTGTATTTTGCATTTTAACAAATATACTTTAAATTTTTTATATGCTAAAGGATTTTATTATTAAAGTGTATTTTGAGTCCATAAGGATCTGGGCCTATTCCACAGGGGTACGAATAATGGTGGTGATCCAAGAATCCTCGGAATTATTTCACTTACAGATTATATTGTTTGGTGTTTTGCAAATTTGAGATATTCATTACACAAAATTCCAGCAGTATAGAAAGTAAAAAAAAAAAAAAAAAATGAAGGAATGCAGCGATTATTCCAAAGCCCCCTCTCACCTGGAAGTAACCAGTAATAACACCTTGTAATTTCCATTTTTATTTCCCAAATCTCTGTCTACATATATACCTACAGAGGAATGGAGCAGAAAAGAAGAGGGAGAGAAAAGTTATAATATTAGGAGCAAAGTATAAATGTTATTTTTGAAATATTATTCACGTTAAATGTTTGCAACATGCACATGGCAAAAAATCAAAATGTAAAAAGAATAGTGAGTGAATACAAGACTTCTTTTACTATCTTGTCCCCCAACTTCTTCCTTCTTGTAGGCATCTATGGCTCATCCATTTTTACACATCCTTCTCTTGAAATTACCAGCATTTGCAAGGATTTGCAAACACAAATTCTCCATTTTTCTGCTTTTATTAGACAGAGATGATAACATACTTACACACAATTCTGCACGTTTTCCTTTCTCTTAGTAATATATCCATCTAGCCCTCTCATATTAATAACACCTTGTCAGCTGTAGAGTGATTTCTGAATTTTCTCTTCCCTTCCCATTTTCCCTGAAACAATAGACTCTCATTCAAAAATATTCTCTTTCAATTAACATCATAGTTTTGAGATTTAACTATGAAGATACTTGTAAATATGCTCAATTCTGTTTAATCGCTGAATAAGTTTTCATTTAAAATATCCATAGAATAATTTTTATCTGTATTTCTACTGATGAGATTTTTAGCTTGTCTTAGCCTATGTTACCACTAAAAACAGACCATGAAACAATGTGTTTGTAGGTAGTTTGTTTCAAAGTCAGTTATGAGGAAAAAGAATGAGGGTCTAGGGAGCATTAAAAAGGGCAGTATACAGAAGTAGCATCCCAACATCAATGAATATTTGAACATTTTATTTAATTTGCATGTTTTGTTCCACTCAATACTGCCTAATCTCCAATGTGCCTGTTCCATTGTGCATTACCTCCAACTGAAAGTGTTCTCATTGCTCACCATGTTCAAGATGACACAGGTTGTCAAATTTTTAATAATTTTTAGTCACTTGGTATTAAATATGAAATCCCAGATGGAGAATATGAGGAGCCAGAATTAGAACCTTAAAATCCACACATTCTCCTTTAAAATCTACACATTGATGAGCAGCTGCATGCCACAATGTGGCTCCCCTACTCCTCTTTCATAGACCTCCATGTCTTCACCTGTGCTTTTTTCTCTATTGGAAGCATCTTTGCAGATTTTAAAAACATTTTTAATAAACAAATAGTAACAGTATATATTACATATTTGTGGGGTACAATTTGGTGTTTTGATATATGTTTACATTGTTGAATAATTAAGCTAATTAACAAACCCATCACCTCACGTATTATTTTTGTGGTAAAAACATTTAAAATATGATCTTTTAGCAATTTTATAATATGCAATGCATTATTATTTATTATAGTCACCATTCTGTGCTAGATTACTAGAGCTTATTCCTCCTTTCTAACTGAAATTTTGTACCCTTTGATCAACAACTCCCCTTTCCCTCTCCACCCTCTCCCCTAGCCTTTTTAACCACATTCTATTCTCTATTCCTATAAAATCGACTTGTTTAGATTCCACAGATGAGTGACATTATGTGGTGTTTGTTTTTCTGTGTCTGGCTTATTTTACTTAGAATAATGTTCTACAATTCCATTCATGTTGTCCTCTAGATTGACCCATTTGCCACAAATGACAGGATTTCATTCTGTTTTATGGCTGAATAGTATTCCACTGTGTTTGTGTGTGTATATATATATATCTCCCATGTTTTCTTTATTCATTCAATAACAGACACCTAGATTGCTTCCATATCTTATCTATTGTGAATAATCCTGCAATGAACATGGGAGTGCACATATCTCTTTGACATGCTAATTTCATTTCCTTTGGATATATACCCAGAAATCAGATTGATGGATCACATGGTAGTTCTACTTTCAATTTTTTGAGGAACCGTCGTACTGTTTTTCATAATGGCTGTACAAATTTACATTTCCACCAACAATGTGTAAGAGTTCCCTTTTCTCTGCATCTTCACCAGCATTTTTTTTTTTGTCTTTTTAAAAGTGGCCATTTTAAAAATAGCCGTTCTAACTGGGCTGAGGTGATATTTCATTGTGGTTTTGATTTGCATTTCTCTGATGATTAGTGATGTTGAGCATTTTTTCAACATATTTTTGGCCATTTATATGTCTTTTTTGAGAAATGGTCTTTTGCCCTTTTTTAATTGGGTTTGTTCTTTTCATGCTATTGATTTGTATGAGATTCTTACCTGTTGTATGTATTAGCCCTTTATTAGATGTATGGTTTGCAAATATTTTCTCCCAACTCATGGGTTGTCTTTTTACTCTATTAATTGTTTTCTTTGCTGTGCAGAAGCTTTTTATTGATGCCATCCCATTTGTTTATTTTTGGTTTTGTTGCTTGTGCTTTTGGAGTCATATCTAAGAAATCTTTCCCAGACCAATGTTGTGCAGCTTTTCTTCTATGTTTTCTTACTAGTAATTGTTTTATAGTTTTCAGTACAGAAATCTTTAACTTTCCTGGTTAAATTTACTCCTAACTACTTTATTTTTTACTTTTTGATTCTATTGTGAATGAGATTGACTTCTTAGTTTTTTCCCATAGTTAATTGTTAGTGTAAAGAAATACTACTGAGTTTGTCTATTGATTTTGTATCCTGCCTGTTTTACTGAATTCCTGATCACTTCTAACAGTTTTTTGGTGGAGCCTTTAAAGTTTTCTCTACATAAGATTATGTCATCAGCAAACAGAGACAGTTTCACTTCTTCCTTTCTTATTTGGATGCCTTTTATTTCTTTTTCTTAATTGTTCTGGCTAGAACTGCCAGTACTATGTTAAGTAGAAATGGTGAGCGTGGGCACTTTTGTCCTCTTTCTGGTCTTACAGGGAAAACTTTCAACTTTTCATGATTAAATATGACATTAGCAGTGGGCTTTTTATATATATGACCTTTATTGTGTGAAGGTACGTTCCTTCTATGCATAATTTCTTGAGAGTATTTCTCATGAAAGCGTGTTGAATCTTGTTCAAATGCTTTATCTGCATCTATTGAGATGATTATATAGATTTTTTCCTTTATCTTGTTAATATGGTGTATCACAATTATTGATTTGCATATGTTGAACCATCCTTGCATCACAGATGTTAAGTCCCACTTGATAATGGTGAATGACAACTTAAAGCCTATTTTGTATCATATAAGCACATAACCACTCCTGCTCTCTTTTGCTTAAAATTTGCCTGAAATATCTTTTTTCATTCCTTCACTTTCAGTCTATGTGTATTCTCAAGGCTAAAGTGAGTCTCTTGTAGGCAGCATCTTGTTTTTTTTAAAAAATTATTCAGCTACTCTTTGTCTTTTCATTGGATAATTTAATCCACTTACATTTAAAGTAATTATTGATAGGTATCTTCAAGTTCACTAGTTCTTTCTTCTGCATGATTGAGTCTGCTGCTGAAACTATTGCATCTTTTCAGTCCTGTCATTGTATGCTTCAGCTCCAGGATTTCTGTTTTATTCTTTTTATGGCTTTTTATTTCTTTATGACACTTCTCATTTTGTTGATGAATTGTTTTCCTGATTCCATTTAGTTGTCTATCTGGGTTTTCACACATCTCATTGAGATTCTTTAGGATAATTATTTTGAATTCTTTTTCAGATAATTTGCATATATTTATTAATTTGGGGTTGATTATTGGAACTTCATAAGTTTCCTTTGGTGGTGTCAAGTTTGCCTTATTCTTTGTTACCATATAGCTTTGTGTTAGTATCTGCACATTTGGAGGCCCAAACCCCTCCTTCGGTCTTTACAGACTGGTTTGGCAAGGTAAAATCTTCTGTTACGTCTCTGGGCTGATGGGATAGCCTCCAGGATTGCACTGAGGGGGGTAGAATCCAAGTCCCATGGCTAATGCTATGTTCACAGTAAACACCACAGTTGGTAGGTCTCTTACCAGGGGCTGTAGCAGGTGTGGGTTTTGTCTGGCCCCTGAGTGGACTGAACTGTGTCTAAGACTTTGATCTATGAAGCTGGTGCTGGGATAAATGTTGGCTTCAGGGTTGGCAAATGTTGGGCCTACTTCCAAATGTGCTGACTGGTGTGGCTTTCTCCAGGTCTCTGAGAGGTTTCTGTTGGATCACCGAATGGGTCACTGGACTAACCATACTGCCCCGGTCTGTGGCTAAGATGGGCTGAAACTGAGACCCAGATTGGATCAGGATCCACAGCCAAAACTGAGATCTATAGGCCTGTCTTCAGGGTCATGGATAGGTGTGTGTCCTGGTGATATCCTGGGTAAGCAAACTTGCTGTCAAGCTGCAGATGAGAAAGCCTGGACCCAATTTATTGGGCCATTTTAAGATCCACAAAATGGGACAAAGGTCAGACCATCTGCCTACAGAGGCACTGTTGGAGAAGCCTCCCCTCGGGTCCCCAGGTGGGCAGAACTGCTCTTAGTCCAGAGATGAGAAATGCTGGGACTGAGATCCAGGGTAATTTGAGGATCTGCTGTGAGACAGAAGTTGGCAATCCTGCCACAGAGAATCAGACAGGTATGTCTCCTGGGGGTACCATAGCTGGACAGAACTGCTTCTGAACTACAGCTGGGAGGGGCTGGAAAGAAGCTTCAGGGCTACTTCAGAATCTTCCATGGGACCAATATTGGCAAGCCTGACCCAGTGGCACTAGTGGATGAGACTCCCAGCAGATCCCTCTCCAGCTAGGATTGTTCACAAACCACAGCTGAAAGGAGCTATAGCTGAGATTCAGGGTTTTCAGGCTTTGCTGTGAGGTGAAGGCTTGCAAGCTTTTCATAGTGGCACAGATGGGCTAGTCTCCCAGCAGTTTTCAGCATGAGCAGGATAACTCTGAGGCTGTGGCAGAGAGGGGCTGGAGTCCCACAGGACCCCTTCAGAATCTGCTGTGGGACAGAGGCTGGCAAGCCCAAACTGGTGGCACCAATGGGAAAGTGTCCCTCTGGATCCTTGTTATAGCATACCAAGCTGGAACCACATCTGAGGAGGACTAGAATTAAGCTACAGGATAACTTTCAGGTCCACTGTCGAGACCAGTGTTTGGGGAAGATGGGTTTGTCTGCCAGGGCACTAGTGTGCATGATTTCTCCTGGACCCCTTGTTGGATGGTTTTGGTACCAGGCTCAAGGCCACATGGGGCTGTAACCAAGCTCCTTGGGAAACACGATTGTTTTGGGGTCTGAAGTTGGGATCACAGTCATGGGGATCTTCCACCTGGGTGCAGGTCTGCACTGGCCAAATGACCTTCCTAGGTCTTGGACACCACTGAGGAGTTACACCTTCTACCTGAATCCCAAGGTTCCCACAAAGAGACTTTTGTCCATGGATGGGTGCAGAATTTGTGTTGTGAGAGGATACAAAGGGGTGACTACCTATTCTGCCATCTGCGTGACATCACTCCATCTGCACAGGTTTTATCTTTCCATTCTCAGATCCAGTATTTCCTTATCCAGTAATCTCTCCCTCACACAGCTATCCCACCTCCACTCACCCCACTGTCCACCAGGTTCTGGACCTCAGACCTTTCTTCTGCCACTTAAAATAATAAAACATTTGCATAACTAATAAAAATAAAATCATCTTTCACTAGAAAACAATAGAATGTTATGGAGAGTAAAAATGGGACAAATAAGTGAAGAGATAGTTCAAGTTAATAGGCTAAAATGTTATATATTTTAAAGATGCCTATTCTGAAATTTTTATAGTAAAAACAATCCCATAACAAATTCTGTATTCTTGGTGTGTGGAAATTGATAAGCCACTTCTAAAATTTACATAAAATTTAATGTCCAAGCAAATGAAGCTTCATTTGAGAAAGGACAAGGTGTGAAGTCAGACTCATTTGTATGTGAAACACTTGGTTAATGATCATTGTAGCACTGCAGACCATGGGAAATTGTCTTTTTCATAATTATTCTTGGAAAAACTGGGCCTTTCCGTCCCATCATAAAAACACTCCTTCTGCATGGACCTAAATTTGAAAGAGAAAGCATACACTGTTTGAAATATAGGACTGTATATGCATATTTTATATGCATATTTATATATTATTCACATTTTGTATATGCATAATGTGTCTCAGTGATAAAGATGATGAGAAAATATGTGATACGTTGTGGTAATATTTTTGAAAGTGTAGATGAATTAGCAAATGCTTGAAAAATATAACAAACTTGGCTCAAGACAATATGAAAATCAAGAATAGACCTATAGTTATTAAAAGAAACAAATGGGTCATTTAAAAAAGTTTCCCCAAAGAATTAAAACCAAAAATGAAATCCTCTAAGCTCATCAAATATTAAATAAGAAAATGATCCCAATCTTATACAAAGTCTTCTAAGGAATATATGAGAAAAAAAGAACATTTTCCTATTTATATCATGTAGTAAAATTTTGAAAGTGAATATGATGATGGACACAAAAATAAACGACAATAAGAGATCAATCACACTCATGGAAATAGATGGAAAATCCTCAAGAAAATATTAGCAAAGTAAATTCAACAATGTATGAACAAAGTAACATATCAAGACCAAGACGGTCTATCATTAAGAAATAAATTAGTGTCCTCCACCATATTAATCCAAAGCATGGAAATCATATCATTATTTCAGTACATGTAGTAAAAAAGTGTCCAATAAACTCAAACTGCATTCATAATAAAACTTTTCAGATATCTATGAAGAGAAAGAAAGTTTCTTAACTGAAGGACATCTTTAATAACTTTAATAAATGTCCACTAAATTTTGAAATATTGAAAGCTTTCTTTTTTGAGATTGAGAAATAGTTTCCCTTGATTCTATTGGAGATCTTAATTTACTCAGTAAGGCAAGAATAATAAAAGTGTAAGAATTACAAATGAAGAAACAAATCTGTCATTATTGATAGGTGATTTGATTATGGACTAGAAAACCCAAAATAACTTATACATAAATTGTTAGACAAAAGTATCACTACTAGATGATATATGTATATGCATATACATACATCAACACACACATATAAGATTTACAAACCAATATATTGGCAAAAGAGTGACAGAGAATGAGTAAGTTAAAATATACTAATAATAATGCCATCAGAAATCAGCATGGGTCTAATCAAAAGATAGGAACTACATAGGTTAAACAGGATAAGTTTAATACAAATAATTCAACTATGATCAACTCTGAGATTTATGGAACCTTGATATGACACCATAGGGCTAGGGGAAAGTACGCAAGGAAGGAAACAGTTGGAAGGATCTCTCATGGCATAAGTTGTAGTTCAGTCCACTGGTTTGGTAGAGAAGTTGTCTGGTTAGCCAGGCTGGTGCTGGTTTACAGTCCCTGGAAAAGCAGAAGGCAACCTTCCAGAGTGCAGGCAGGGAGGTGATGATCAGCAGCTGGGTGGCTTGGGTGTATGTGGGTGGGTAGATAGGGTGGGACCCCTCCAGGCAGCAGGTGCCCTGTACTGCACACGAGATGTGTGGAAGGTTTGCAGAGGGCTTGCAGCTCAGTGTGGACCCTTCAGGCCACAAGGGGGCCGTGTGCTAGGGCCTGCACAGGGAATCAGAGCTCTGGGCCAGGAGAGAAGCCTTCACGTGCACAGGCCCAGGTGAGAGGCCTTGGAGTGTGGGAGTGTTGAGAGGAATTGCGCTGTTGCTCCTGTGGATAGGAAGCCTCCGGGGCCCTGGTTTCTGTATTAAGACGACTGTGGACAGATCATTGCCAGATGGAGGCTGCATGGTCACAGAGGGACCTTGAGTTCTGGGCCAGTGGTTGTGGCATAGCTCCAACTGATCGCCTTGCCCACACCACTCACTCACCCTGCCTCTGCTGGAAATGGAAGGAATGCCTCTTTTCCCTTCAGTGTTCCTCCACCATCCTCTACTGAAAAAGCTCACTTTCATCATGCTCACTTGAAAGGAGAAATGCTTAATGGAATTACGTTGTTTATCAAACAGCATATATGGAAGGATTCAGTCTAAGCAGAGAGGCAATAAATTGATAATGGATGAAAGTACATAGAATAAATCTTACACAGTAAAGACCTACATGGAAAAGAAACCTGTAACATTTTTAAAGAGATACTCCTGTTATAGTTTGACTTGTGCCCCTCCCAACCACCTTTCATACGTTGAAGTTGTAACACCTAGTACCTCAGAATATGGCCTTATTTGGAGATGGAGTCATTGAAGGTATAATTAGCAAGACGAAGTCATTAAGATGGATCCTACTCCAGTACGACCAGTGTCCTCATTAAAAGGTGAAATTTGGTCACAGAGACAGACACACATAGAGGAAAGGCCCCATGAAGAGACATGCGAAGAAAATAGCCAACTACAAGCCAAAGAGAGAGGTCTCAGACAGATCCTTCCCTCATAGCCCTTAGAAGGAACCAAGTCTGCTGGCACCTTGATTTTGGACTTCTAGCCTCCAGAACTGTGAGACAATATATTTGTGTTGTTTAAGCCAACCAACTGTGGTACTTTGTTACGGCAGCCATAGCAAATGAATGGATTCTGGTACTGAGAAGTGGGGTGCTGCTGTAACAAATACCTAGAAATATGCACATGACGTTGGGTTGCAAACTAATACAGATAGTAATAAATGATAACTTCAATTAATAGAGAAATGTACTTTGTTCACTGACTGTGAAACTTCATGTTGTAATAGTGTCAGTTCTCTCTGAATCATTTTAAAGATTCGATGTGACCACAAACAAAATCCCAAGCAATCGTTTTCGTGTGGCATTTGACAAGGTGATTCCAACTATGATACAGTGATGTGCAGGTCAAGAATTCCAAAGATTAAGAAAAAGGTAGGAGGAGTTTTACTAGTACAGGCAGTCCTCGCTTTGCACCTACTGGAGGACCATGAAATGACCATGCAAATTGAAACCATACCATGTGATCTCAATAACCATAGGAAAAGTTATGCTTGTTCTTTGATCTTTAAATATTTTTGTCAAAATGTTAAAACTCTCTTACTTTCGGTTATACACGTATAAGAAAATTTAAAAATTTGTAAAGCTAAGTGTCATTTAAAACATCAGACAGAGAATTAAAGTCTCAAATATCTATGGAGATCCTTTAATATGAAGGTTTTTTGCTATGTTCATAGCATCACTTCAAAATACTCTGAAGCTGGAAACAATAGAAATATTCCTCATTGTTAGAACTAGTTAAGATATTTTGGAATGTTCATAGAACGAAATATATGCAGCAATAAAGTAAAGAAATTATGGCTACTAGCATCAAGATAAATGACCCTCATTAGAGTGAGCAAAAGTTGCAAATCAAAAGAAGTAAACAGTATAATTGCATGTTAAAAAGTTTAATAGTAGGCAAAATGATAGTGTTTAGGGGTGCAAATGAAGATTGTAGAAAGTATCAATGAAAGCAAAGTAGAGAGTTTTACAAAAGTCAGGAAAGGGGTACATTTAGATTTGATTGAATGGGATGTGTTCAGGAAGGGACATACTAGCAGTTTGTAAATTACAGGAAGTATTCTGTTCTTTAGGTAGTGGTGTGTGCCCCATAGTTACTGTTTTAAGTGTGCATATAATTTATATGTTATGTTACTGATACATATTTAATAATATGTTTAAAATAAAAATGAAGACAGACTTAGAAGGAGCAGCCAGTGTGAATAGACCTCAGGAAGCACCTGGGAGGCTGTAATGTTCTATTTCTTGACACACACACCCTTGTGTATATATATTAACATACACATGTGTAATACACTCCTTTATATTTCATGATAAAAATCTCCTGATACCCATATGCTTGTTTCTTGTATGTTTTCTTCTACAAATCATGAGAGAGCCTGTGAAATGTTCGAAAAACAATGTAGGCTTTAGCACAACAAAATGAATTGGAAGAATTTTCAATATCCTTTCTTCAGTTTGGGCTTTTGTTGTTGTCCCTGTTCTGCTCAGCAAACTAAAACATGGTGTTGAGTCTGAAACTTCCAGATAAGGCTGGGAGAACCAGCAAAAGGAAAAACTAGAGCTAGAAAGATGGGGATAAAGTCAGAGAAATGAACACAGACATGGTACATGCCAGCAATGCATCACCTTTTGATCAAGGTCCCTTATGCAGACTAAGGGTGGCAAAGGCACCTTATAGAAAAGCCTGGACTGCTCATTACATTGCAGCCTGCACGGCAAGAAGCTCAACTGGTGATTGCCAGGGATTCCTTTCTGGAACTACTAGCTCATCACATCTTCCTGGAAGCATGACCTACATGACCTGGTGATGTCGCTGCTGCTTCCCATATAGTAAACCTGATTGCCCAGACACTCCCAAAGAAGGATCAGTGGGAGGAGTCTGTGTTCTCTTGCTTGTAGAATGAAGCAATCTCACCTAATCACTCGGTTCTCGGTTGGTGTGGTGGGCTCCATGGAAAATTTACTGTTTCAGGGAGTTTTGTTGAATGAGCCTTTGCCCATCTACCATCCTTGTGTGTCTTGAACGACTGCTGTTCTAGAGATTATTGTCATGTTTCGCCACTTTCATGAGGTGAGAGTATTACCCCAAGCCTCAGCCTCACTGCCAACCCACCTCTCCTTCTTGCTAAGGTGGGAGCACACCCAAGGTTCCTGAAATGGTTAATATTAGTGTCACCTTGACTGGGTTGAGGGATGCCTCCGTGCCTGGTGATGCATTGTCTCTGGGTGTGCCTGTGAGGGTGTAGCCAGAGGCGATTGATGTGAATCAGTGGACTGGGAGGGGAAGAGCCCCCTTAATGTGGGTGGTTATCATCCAATCAGCTGCTGGTGCAGTTAGAACAAATCAAGCAGAAGAAGGGGACTTCCTATCTCTCAATCTCTCTCTCTCTCTCTCCCCCCCACATTTGGGAATGGGATACCATTTTCTCCTCCTTACCTTGGACAGCCATCTCCAGGATCCTTGGCCTTTGGACTCTGGGACTTGCACTAGCAGCCTCCCAGGAGATCTCAAGCCTTTAGCCTCAGACTGGGGACTGCATATTAGCTTCCCTGGGTTTGAAGTGTTTGGGCTTGGACTGAGCTATGCTGTCGGCTTTTCCTATTCCCCAGATTGGGACTTCATCTCTGTAATCGTGTGAGCCCATTCTCCCTAATAAACTCCCTGCTACATATATACATATATACCTTATTGGTCCTGTCTTTGTCCCTCTGGAGAACCCTGACTACTGCATTTCTCTAGGGCGCAGCTCACCCTCAGCTTTGGGATATGGCCCTCTGGAATCCTTCAAATTTTGAGACTGGGGCAGCTCCAGCTTCCCTTTTAAATATTGGAAGTAAATACTTAAATGATTCTTTTAGCTCCACATATTTTATTGCTTCTTTCCAGAAGGACATGTGCTTGCTTGAGATGCGGTAGATGTGGCCTGGGTGATCTGGAGGTGTAGAGGTTGTGGGTGGATGAGCATAAGAACATACTTGTCCCTGTTACTCTGTGATCCTGTGCCCTAGGGCTGTACTTTTTCCTTCCGCTTAGCTTTTTGGGCAGTGCTGATTAGAATGCAGGATGAATTTACATAGTGGGCTGCTCTGACTGGAATGGTTTAATACAGAAATGAGTGGGGAGTGTGGATGTGGGGGTGGAAAGAGACATGAATCTAATTTTCCAGATGAATCTGCATCCTTTATGCAATAGAGCTCTGCTTGCGTCTGAATAGTTGTCTTGACAACGCCACAATGAGTAAATCGATTTAAGAAAAAGACTGCTATGACAGTGGGGTCAACTTAGGAGCAGAGAAGGAACACACACAGTGTTTTAATAGCTGGAGAGTGCAGAAACTAAGGGACTGTGGCTCCAGGAAACACACACTCAATTGCAACCTCATGCTTTCCACCCAGAGCCTCAGTGTCATATGTGTTATTCCACTGACCTTCCCACTCACCTTCAGTGTCATATTTCACAATGAAAATGCCTTTCACCTGCTTGGCTGGTTCCACTCATTTCTCATCATTCCCAGATCCTCTGGGGAAAAGAAGCCAGGGATTTTGAAGAAGACTTCTATGTGAATTCATGTGGGTGAAGGATTACCCAGGTGCCGAGGCAAGAGACTGAAGGCACAAACTGTTTCAGTATAATAAAGAAAATAGTTAGAATAAGAATAGTTATAATACAAATTAGATATAGAGATGAACATGGACATTATCAATCATTAGTATAGACATTATTAATCCTTAGCTTTTAATATTATTCTTTGTCGTATTACTAATATAATCAAGGAATAACCGGTGGGTATAGGGTCAGGTGCTGAAGGGACATTGTGAGAAGTGACCAAGAAGGCAAGAGGTGAGCCCTCTGTCATGCCCGCATAAGGGCCTCTTGAGGGCTCCTTGGTCAAGCTGTAATGCCAGTGTCTAGGAAGGCACCAGTTACTTAGCAGACCGCGAAAGGGAGTCTCCCTTTCCTTGGAGGAGTCAGGGAATGCTCTGCTCCACAAGCTTCTTGTGGCAGGCTGGATATTATCCAGGCCTGCCCGCAGTCGTCTGGAGGCCTTAAACCCCTCCCTGTGGTGCTGTGCTTCAGTGGTCACACTCCTTGTCCACTTGCATGTTCCTCCCATACTCCTGGTTCCTCTTTGAAGTTCTTAGAAGATAGCGGTAGAAGAAATAGTGAAAGTCTTAAAGTCTTTGATCTTTCTGATAAGTGCATAGAAGAAAACGCTGACGTATGCTGCCTTCCCTCTCTGCTTTGGCTACCTAAAAGGGAAGGGCCCCCTGTCCCATGATCATGTGACTTGCTTGACCTTATCAATCACTTGGACGACTCACCCTCCTTACCCTGCCCTCTTGTCTTGTATGCAATAAATATCAGCGTGCCCAGCCATTTGGGGCCACTACCGGTCTCCATGTCTTGGTGGTAGTGGTCCCCCAGGCCCAGCTGTTTTCTCTTTATCTCTTTTGTCTCGTGTCTTTATTTCTTATGATCTCTCGTCTCCGCACATGGGGAGAACACCTGCTAAGCCCCATAGGGCTGGACCCTACAAATTCAAAATCCCAGTGGCCTCACATTCCCATGGAATCCAGCTGAGGGTCAAAGTCAGGTGGAGAGGAGCCTCATGACCCCCTCATGGCCCTTTGCTCTTTCCTCTGGGGTGCAGCAAACAATATGTTTAGAACAGCAGAGGCTGCTGAGCCTAAGACTGAGAGGACGGCCAAAGGCTGGGAGACTGCTAAGCCTGTGGTCATGGCCAGAGACCAGGGAAGAGACAAAACTGAAAGATAGGATGCTAGGCCCTGACATTCATGCCATGGTCATTATCTGCCATAATATAAGCGCTTGCTGAAAAATATTCAGATGGCAAAATGGGTGTAGAATGATGTATATCTCCTCATATTCTTCTGACCCTACACACCCCTGCAAGAGCTGTGACTGCTATGCACACTCCAGCCTATGCTCCCTGTAGAGATAGATATTTAGATGAGGAAGTATAGACACACGAGAACATATTTTGCTTTTCATTTTCCTTGTATAAGTTTATGTTCTACCCTACACGTAAGGACGGTCCTGTAGCAGGCTCCTTCCATATCAGGAACATTGACAGTATCTCTGCAAAGTCTCGCCCAAACAGAGGCCTCTGCTCTGTGTGGCCCCTGCTCAATGGTGGCCAGGCATAGCCCTGGCTGCTCTGCTCATCCCTGCACAGAACTGAACTTCAAGGGACACTCCCCCCTGTCAACCCTAGGGAGCTCCTGATAGAATATAGACTACCCTTTCCTTCACAAAGTATATTCAAGTCAGTCACTTCACTGGTCACTGAAAAGGATGTGGAGGACTCCTGCCATCCCTCACATGCCTGATTTACAACGATCTCTTACGGGAAAGGAGGAATCCCTTTGACCTGGAAGACTGGATTCTAGGAAACACTAACCTGTAGCCCAGAAAAACCTGCAGACCAGTAGGCTTGTTCTTCTCTCCCTCTAGCTGGGCCTGAGAGTGGCCAGGAGAGGAAGTTTACCAGCCTGTTAACCAGGCACATGATGCCTGGGAGCTAGTCCTCCTGACATCGCCCATGATGTCTGAACTACGGGGTTCAGAATGCTTCCAGGTTGGTGAATACACCTATGAGCCAGGAGGGTGGCACACCCCAACTCTATGGGGACAGAAGCTCCTTCACTCAGGATCCTTCCAGACCTCACCCTATGTATCCCTTCAAGGGCCGTTCATCTATATCCTTCATTATATAATAAGTTGGTAAATGTAACAAGTTTTTCCTGAGTTCTTTCCTGAGTTCTGTGAGTTCTCCTAGCAAATTATCAAAGCCAAGAGTCATAGGAACCCTGAATGATAGCCAGTTAGAAGTACAGGTGAAAACCTGGGGCTTAAGATTGGCTTCTGGGGTGGGAGGCAGTCTTGTGGGACTGCACCCTTAAAGTGCGGGATCTATGCTAACTCCAGTTAGTGATAGAATTGAACTGAATTGTAGGACATCCAGCCGGTGTCTGCAGATAATAGGAAAACTTGTTAATGTGTGAAAAATCCCCTCATTTGGTGACCAGAACTGTTCTGTGTTGAGCGTGTGTAGTATAAGGCAGGTTTTGACCATCTTTGACCAGGCTTGACCAGTCTGACCTGGCCATGACCAGCAGTGACCAGCCTTGACTGGCCGTTTCTGGCATGAGCCTGTTGCCTTCTGCCTGACTGAGTGCCAAGGACTCGGGGGCTGTGCAGCGCTGGGGTGTAGGTGGAGGGGAGCAGAGTAGGAGAGAGAAAAGCCCTATGGGAATACTCGAGGAGCGGGTGTCCCCAGGAGATCTCACTGGTGGGTTTATACCAGAAGGGCCTTGGGAATCATTTTCTCTTGCAGATGGGGAAATAGGTCCTGGGAATGTGTACGCAACTGTCAGAGCAGGTGACAGAGGAGAGGGGGTAGGAATGCCTGCCTGTCAGCCAAAAAGTCAGTCTCAAGGCACTGTTTTGTGCTTTGTTGTCCAGCTATGAAAGGCATCTCTCAAGACCTTGGGCTTGGGCCCCAAGAGTTAGTGTGGTAGCCAGGGCTCAGGAAGGCTACAACTTGGCACCGTGTCCTTTGAGGAACAAATCCTATGCACAGTGAAATAAATATAACAGATGAGTATTTTGGAGGCAAATTCACTTGATATGAATTTTACCACTTTTACCAATTTTTTTCTACTTTAAGTTCTGGGATATATGTGCAGAACGTGCAGGTTTGTTACATAGGTATACATGTGCCATGGTGGTTTGCTGCACCTATCAACCCATCTTCTAGGTTTTAAGCCCCACATACATTAGGTATTTGTCCTAATGCTCTCCCTCCCCTTGCCCCCCACCCCTGGCAGGCTCCGGTGTGTGTTGTTTCCCTCCCTGTGTCCACGTGTTCTCATTGTTCAGCTTCCACTTATGAGTGAAAACATGTACTGTTTGATTTTCTGTTCCTGTGTTAGTTTGCTGAGAATGATGACTTCTATTTTTAAGTATACAATTTGGTGAAATTTAACACCTTGACAGTGTTGTACAGCCACCTATCTAGTTCCAGAGCTTTTTTATCACCTCCAAAGGGAACTCAGTACCCATTAGGATGTCCCTTCCCATTTCCCCCTCTTCAGTCCCTGGAAGCTACTAATCTACTTCCTGAACTCTATGGATTTGCCCTTCTGGACATTCCATATAAATGGGGTTATACAGTATGTGCCTTTAGTGTCTTGTTCCTTTTACTTTAGATGTTTTCAAGGTTCATCCATGTTATAACATACATCAGTACTTCATTCCTGTGTTCCTTCTGATTGAATACACTTAATATTTACCATTTAAACCATCTTAATTATACAGTTCTATGGCATTAACCACATTTACAGTGGTTGTGTAACCATCACCACCATCCATCTCCAGAACTTTTTTCATCATCCCCAACAGGAACTCTGTATTCACTAAACACTACTTCCTATTCCTCTCTCCTCCAGTCCCTGGAAACTACCTCTCTACTTGAGGTTCCAGTGAATTGATTACTCTAGGTAGCTCAGATAAGTGGAAGAGTACAGCATTCGTCCTTCTGTGCCTAGGTTATTTCTCTTTGCATAATGACTCACGTTTCATCCATGTTGCAGTATGTATCAGAATTCCTTTTGTTTTTAAGGCAGAATAATATTATATACCACATTTTGTTTATCTACTTGTCCATTGGTGGACACTCATGTTGCCTCCAATTTTTGGCTATTGTGAATACTGCTGCTGTGCATATGGGTGCTTTTAGTTCTTTTGAGTCTATACCCATATATACCCATCCCTGCTTTTAGTTCTTTGGAGTGTATGCCCATATAACTGACAGGTTTGCATAATTCATCTCACTGAATCCTGGACAACCTGGGAAAGTTTTCTTCTATGCTGGTGTTAAAGACAAAGAATGTAATGCTAAGAGAGACCATGACCCAAGTCTGTGACCCAGGATCATAGGGTGACTGCAGGAGTTAGCTGGGTTCCAAACTAAAATATTGCTGAGTTTTTGTGTTTGTCCATTTTGTGTTGCTGTAAAAGAATACCTGGGGCTGGGTAATTTATCAAGGAAAAAGGTTCATTTAGCTCATGGTTTTGCAGATTACACAAAAAGCATGGCGCCAGCATCTCTGTCTGGTGAGGCCTACGGAAGCTTTTACTCATTGTGGAAGGCAAGGGGAGCCAGCGTGTCACATGAGGAGAAAGACAGCAAGAGAGTAGGGGATGATCTCAGACTCTTTTTAACAACTAGATCTCTTGTGAACTCATTACCACGCAGAGGGCACCAACCCATTCAGGAGGGATCCTCCCCCATGACCCAAACCCTCCTGCCAGGGGCCACCTCCAACTTTGGGGATCACATTTCAACATGAGATTTGGTGGGGGCAAATAGCCAAACCATATTAGTTCTCATCATTTTCATAGTATATTATTAGGCCCTCTTGATTTCAAGTTCCAATGTGTGGTCAGCATTTCAATTGATATTTACATATATTTAGATATTAATTAGCATATTTAATACATAAAGTTTTGTTTACCAAGTGTTCCATATTTTATCTTTTATGATATTCACAAAGTTTCATGTTGTACCGATATTCCTGTTTTCTGTAGTTCCACTCCTACCTGAGGAACAGCCATTTTAACAATGCTACTTTGGAGGTTTTCTCGGATGAGAAAAGAAAATATCTGGCCTGATATTGCAGGGGTGAAGGGAAGAGTCAGACTCTCAGTTAATCAGGGGTGAAGGGAAGAGTCAGACTCTCAGTTAATCTTGCCTAGATCTGGCCAATGTTTGTGGTAAAACATTTTTATTTCCTTCAATATGATATTATGAACTATGAGAACTTTCTTGCTGGACTAGTCTCTGATGAAGGTGAGACAGTTTGTTCCACAGTCTCCATGGCATCTGAACCCTAACCCATCATTTAATTTAGTTTGGGAAAACTCTAAGTATGTGATTACCAAAAAGCATTGAGAAACCTAAGTAAACATATCATAAAACATTCTTGTGGAAAGTTCATTTATAAACCTTTATCTCATTTACATCTGTTTTATTCATTTAATTTTAACAATTATGTTTAGGCAATTTTAGGAGACATTAGAAAAACCTAGTCATCATCACAAGTTAAATTTTTTATTAACTGTTTTTTATATTACTGTACATTAGGCAAGTATCGTAAAAGCAAGAACCTTGCCATTAAGCACATGTATATTTTTTTGTTAGCTCAGAAGACAGTTATTTTTATTAAACCAACAATAACAACATAGTTTTATTTACCAAAAGATTTATTCAAGTCACATAAATTTGAAAAAATATTTGGTCTTATTTAATTAATTTCTGAGTACTCATTCAGGTTAATGTGGTACCACGTGTAAATAATATGCAAATATACATATGACCATATACATATATGTAGACACAACATATAACATTCACATGTACACATGTATGTACCTAATAGCCAAAGAGATCAAGGAGTTTAGTGCAAAAGAGAGTCGTAGAGCTTCAGACTTGAATCTGTCCACTTAAAACTCTTGGGGTTCCATGAGGAAAATCAAAGCTTCCTCCCCTAAAGAGAAACTCATGTTGCCTTTTCTGTTTTAATTAAAGGATCCCAGGCAGTTAGAATTGTTTTTAGGTCCCCTCCTGTGGCATTGAAAGTTGCAAGGGGAAGGAGGGACACACGGAATAGAAGGAGAAGCAGACAGAGGGAGCAAATATGGTTAGCAGAGGTTTAAAAAGACAGGAATTCAGTTGACTGAGAAGGTTTTACAGAGCGAATAGAAGCCTTAAACAATATATATATATATATATGTGTACATACATAACCTAAATATCAGTTTGAATTAAGTCAGCTTTTGACTATAGAGCTCTTAAAAAAAACTTTTAAAATCTCTTGTTAAAAGATTTTAGCTGGGATAAACAGCTGACATTTCTGTTTTTACTTTTTTTTCTAGAGATACCTTCCCAAGTGAAAGCAATAAGCCTTAACCAAAGCTGTGACTTAACCAAGGATTCACAAGGCATCTCCAAACATGTAAGTGGGTACCCGCAAAATTAAAAGTCACACAAATATAAAACGAACAGGGACTGGTTTCCTGAGGAGAAATCAAACCCAAGCGAAGGCTGTGAAAGTGTGGAATTGGAACTACTGTGCAACAAGGTTGAGCAGCGTTCATTATTAATCCTGCAGGGAATCCAAAGCAGGCAGTTTGAGCTCACAAAGATTTTAAATTTGTTTAGGTTAGGTTTTTGCTCTTAATTGTGTCAAGATAATTTCTAGGGCTGGCCATGACACTATTGCATGTCTTTCTTTGAATTTGATCTTCCCATCAATTGTTTAGAATGAGAGATCTCAAAAGACTTTTTATTTATTTATTTATTTATTTATTTTATTATACTTTAAGTTCTAGGATACGTGTGCAGAACGTGCAGGTCCGTTACATAGGTATACATGTGCCATGGTGGTTTGCTGAACCCATCAACCCGTCATCTTCAAAGGTATTTCTCGTAATGCTATCCCTCCCCTTGCCCCCCACCCCCTGACTGGCCCTGTTTTGTGATGTTCCCCTCCCTGTGTCCATGTGTTCTTATTGTTCAACTCCCACTTATGAGTGAGAACATGCAGTGTTTGGTTTTCTGTTCCTGTGTTAGTTTGCTGAGAATGATGGTTTCCAGCTTCATCCATGTCCCTGCAAAGGGCATGAACTCATCCTTTTTTATGGCTGCATAGTATTCCATGGTGTATATGTGCCACATTTTCTTTATCCAGTCTATCATTGACGGGCATTTGGGTTGGTTCCAAGCCTTTGCTATTGTAAATAGTGTTGCAATAAACATACATGTGCATGGGTCTTTAAGGTAGAATGATTTATAATCCTTTGGGTATATACCCAGTAATGGGATTGCTGGGTCAAGAAAAAATTTCAGGAATCTAATTTAAAAGATTCACCTTCTGGTCATTGAATTTCCAATGCTGTACTCATTCCAATAGTGACTCAATCCAATAGCTTCTTCATGGAAAGCCCAGCATGTAATATTCCAGGTTTAAAAAAAGATGTTCCCTGGAGAGAAGCAAACCCAAAGACCCCCTCCCCAAAAAATTCTCCCTGGAATAGGTTTAATTTTATGAGTACTCATTCGAGTTAATGTGGTACCACGTGTAGGTAATATGCAAATATATGTATGACCACATACATATATGTAGACAACATATATTCACATGTACACATGTGTGTACTTAATAGCCAAAGAGATCAAGGAGATAGCAGAGGACTCTTGTTACCACAGATTGTCGAGGATGGTGTTTGCCTTTGGCAACCCAAAATTTGTGGGGGAGGGTGCCACTCACAGACCTTTTAATCTGTGACACTGCATAGGCCTGCCTGGGATTGGGCTTTCCCAGCACTAACTAGGCAACAAGGGTTAGGATGACAAAAGTCGTGTAGGAATGGAACTTTTTAAGACAAACTCTCCTGAGAGCTGACAGCTTGACATATTCGAAGCAAAATGTCTTGGTTTTGCAGCCTTTTTGAGACTGGCCACCCAATGGGACTCGAAAATTATGCTGCCTGGATGGCACAGACCAAGAGAGTCCTTCCACTTGGTCACAAGTCAAGCTTTCAAGGACATCAAACAAGATGAGAGAGAACCTAAAATGATACTCCTCTTCATGACAGAAGGACACCCAAAGACAAAGGAAAAGACTATTTCTGGTAGAAAAGGGACCAAACACTATGAATATTCAAACCACAAAGTACCAAAAAGTATACCAGAGTCACTAGAACAAGATGAGTTAAACAAATCCTTTCCTCCTATTAATCAAGACTTTGGAGAAGAAAAACAAATAACAATATTTACCATCCACTTGACCAGATTCCACAGAAAGACAGAGACCTGGAGCCTGACTGGTAAGAAATCCTTACCCTTTTGATGGCTCATCAGGACCTGGATTCACTTGGCTGTGGGTCAGGAGAGCAGAGCCTGCTCACAGCCTCAAACTGTAGGAACCAAGGGAAAGTGTCCCCTTCGCCCTCGGAAGGTTCGCTAAAAAATCAACTCACAAATGACAGATTAATTGCAGCAAAGGCATAGAAACTTTACTGATGTGTACACAGGGAACATCACAGCATGATGACCCAACCACCCAATGACCTGAGGAAGCTTATATACCATCCTGAGATTACAGCAAAAACGTTGGCTTAGGGAATGGCCACAAGCAGGTGATAGTGGTAAAACAGGTTATAGTGGCAAGACAGGTTATGGGAGGGAGGGAAGAGGAGGCTGGCTAGCAAGGGTGGTCTTGTTAGGTAGAAGAACTCTCACAGGTAGGTAGCAGCCCTCAGAGTAAATAGATGGTAAATGTTGCTTTCCAGTCATTAAGGCATCAGAATCTTAGTTCCTTTCTCCTAGGTCCAGACAAGGGAAGGCTTGGCTGAGTTCATGCAAATTTTCTACACATGCAAGTTTCCCCCACAAAAGACAGCTTTGCAGGGCTACTTCTTCTTGCTGGCTGTCTTTATATAATCTCCAATTATATCAAAGAAATATATTTTGGGGGCTGGGCGCGGTGGCTCATACCTGTAATCCCAGCACTTTGGGAGGCCGAGGCAGGTGAATCATGAGGTCAGGAGATCAAGACCATACTGGCTAACACAGTGAAACCCCATCTCTACTAAAAATACAAAAAATTAGCCAAGTGTGGTGGCATGTGCCTGTAGTCCCAGCTACTCAGGAGGCTGAGGCAGGAGAATTGCTTGAACCTGGGAGGAGGAGGTTGCAGTGAGCTGAGATCGCGCCACTGCACTCCAGCCTGGGTGACAGAGCAAGACTCTGTCTCAAAAAAAAAAGAAATATATTTTGGGGCAAAATTTTTTTCCTTCCTTATGATATTCTGAATTATGGGAACTTTCCTGCTGAACTAATGTTTTTCAGTGAAGGTCCATGGGGACAAGAATTTGCCATCCATCAGGGGGCGACAGAGGCAGCCATTTGGTTCATTGAGATGCATTGCAATTTTAGTGTTGGATGTGTACTTGCCCTAAGTCCCATAACAAAGCTTTGATATAATAATCACACCTTTTTACTGCATTTCAATATCCATAAATATTAATAAGTCATCTGAACAATTATCTGTTTCCTGTACTAATTGTTAATTGTATAAACAAAGTTGTTTTAAATATTTATATAGATTGTCAGGATGTGGACTGTGACATTTTATCAGTTAACTGTATTGACTGATCATGTACACATCAGTGTCTAAACCTAAAATATCTTGCAACGGGTCTATATATATATACACGTAAACATACACACACACACTCACATATATACACACACACGGGTAAGAATACAACAAGGTAATATACTCTCCATTCAATTCTTATGAAATTTTAATGATCAATTTTCTTTCAATTTGGCTTTCACTCAGCATTTCTCTACTAATTATCCCAAATATGGACTCGGTATTCAGCTACTATTTTCTTGCTTTATAAATTGAGGGTTATTCTCACAGATGATTTGCCAAGTAACTTTTTTTTTGTCTTTTGAATAATGACATTATGAAATTTTCATAATATGAAATTTCATGATCCTTTAAGGATTTAGCTGCACAAAGTCTTAGAAAATGTGGTAAGAGTGGGCTTTGGGTGAATGGGTTGAAAGAATATGTATGCAATCCCCCAGATACCCTAGAGTCTGCTGTGTCCCCAAGAGAGCAGACTAGATGGCAGGCAACTGGGGTGGACTGGAAGGGAGAGGGCAGCAGGCAGGAGCACTCGGTGTCAGGGGGCTATGGTCAGCACTGTGGTCCTTGTTCTAAGGCCAGTGGGAAACCATTGGCAAAGTTAAGTCAGGAGAGTGACATGACAAAATTTGTGTTTGTAAAGGAGTATTTAACCACTATCAGGTTGAAATCACCAGAGGTGGGTGGGTGGGTCTGTGCTGCTCCTGGTGGGCTACACTGAGGAGAAGCACAGCATCAGCCCGGGGTGTTCCTGTGGTGAATGATGGGTCTGCATCTGCTCAGGAGAAGATGGTGGGAAGCTCCAGCTTGGAGTCACCTCTGCTCTTTAGATCTGCCAAGGTTGTGAAATGAAGGGATGATCTGAAGAACAGTTTCAGAAAAAGAAAACTGGATCTGAATAGAAAGAGACATTTGTCTCAGTCCAGGCAGTGAGTGAAGTGGGTCTGAAGATTGGATTATGTAACTGAGATAGGCCCCAAGAAGATTTTCATCTTACTGGTGAAAGGGCCTTCAAGACAGTGGGAAAAATTCCCGCTAAATTGATTAAATCCATTCCAATGCTCCTTCCAGAAAAAAAGTAACCAGAAGGCTATTCTGTGATGCGTTCAGAAAGAAAACCTGTTTGTGACTATTTTGACTGATTTTTAAAAACTTGCCAACAGAACTGTGGTGTCAAAGATCTAACTGATGATACAGTAAATTTTTAAAATTCACTTATCCTTTCAGGTCTCAATGAAGCCCTTAGTACTTTAGCTAAACAATATAATCCCTACTAAGCTTCAAGAGACCCCAGGAAATAGCTTCCCTGGCTGAATGCCTCTCAAAAACCATGCAAAAAGAAAAAGAGGCTAAAGCAGAAATGAGGAAAAGACTACTAAACTTGTGGCCTTACATATTCAACAACTCAAAGCCTCAAATCAGCAAGCCCCACAAAATAGACAGAAAGCAGTAGCCTTGTCTACTTTAAAGGGCATGATTTGCTTTTCCTGTAAGGGTCCTGAATATATAAAATGAGATTGGGAAAAATACAAACAATGGCTTCAGAAATACCCAAGTAAGGCAAGGAACCCCTCCTACTCGTGAGAAATTGTAAGAAGTTTTTGTTGGATAAAACTGAGGACTCTCTGGGGGAAATGAGGGGGATTTTTTCCTTTCCTAACTAAGTAGGAGAAGGTGGTCTTAAAATCAACAGCAAATTGATCCAAGCTCTAGTCAACACTGGAGCTCTGCTCTTGGTGCTTACCCTCAACTCCTTTTCAAACCCCCCTCAGAGTAATCAAACAATTGAAATAGTGAGGGTCACTAACCAAACTATGACCGCCTTTAAGTCTGAGTCAGTTTCTTATCAATTAGGGCCCCTTGCCGGCCAACACAGTTTGCTGTTGTCCTCTCTGCCCCAATCCACCTGATAGTGAGAGACGTTCTCAAAGACACCAAGCCCACATTTCTTTCACCCAGAGGGGAGATATCGTCTTAGAAGTCTCCCCAGCCAAGGTTTCAGCCTCCAGTGTCACTCATATCTCCTCCCTGCTAGTTTCTAGCTATGCAGTTGTCACTGAACACCCAATTCTAAAACAACTGCCTGAAACTCTTTAGGTGAAAGTGGATGCAGTTGTTGGCCTGTTCCATTCAGCATCACTTATTTCTATACAGATAGACACTAACAGTCCTCTTCCAAATTTAAAACAATGTCCCCTCAATTCTGAAACTTAGGCTGATATAGAATCTATAGTCAGCGGTTTCATTTTCCACGGACTCATAGTCCTCTACACCACTCCTTGTAACACATCCGTTCTGCCAGTCTGTAAGCCTAATATGAAGGGACGGAGATGCATCCAGGATCTTAGAGCTATCCACAACATTGTCTGTCCCTGATACCCTGTTGTACTTAATCCACAACCACTCTTACCCACGATTCTTCCTGACACTCACTGTTTCTCCACTATTGATCTCTGCGGCACCTTCTTCAGTCCTCCTGTCGGCCCCAAAAGTCAGTTTCTTTTTGCCTTTGCTTGGAAAGGCTAACAATTTACATGGATGGTGCTTTCCCAAGGATACACCAAAAGCCCTTCCCACCTTTCCCAGATTCTGCAGGCTGACCTAAAAGAAATAACCTTCCCAGATAATTTGACTCCATTACAATACATTGATGACTTGCTTTTATGCTCCCTCTCTCAAAAGGCTTGCCACACTGACACTCGCCTCTTACTTCACCAGCTAGCCCTTAAGGCACACAAGGCTCTAAGACAAATGACATTTTTGCTGGGACTCCATCAAGCTCCTTGGGCATCAAGAGTAAACACTGACTTCACCTGCTTTCAAGGCATATATTCTTTTCCCTTGCCCAATACTAAAAGGTAACTTAGGGGTTTCTGGGGACTTGTGGTCTGCCATAGAGCTTGGATCCCTAATTTCTCCTTGATGACACAACCTTGATATACTCTGCCTGAGGCTTCTTCTCAGAAGTTTTTTGTACCTTCCAAAAAACTTTTCTCCAGACTCTCAAGGTCTCAAAAGATGTCCACAGATGGCAAAAAAAAAAAAAAGAAAAAAAGAAAAAATGGGCAAAACAGGGTTATACCTACAAATCATAATCTCAGTTATGGAAGAGGCTTAACATTCATCCTGTCCTTCCAGAAAATTTACAAAGGGCCACTCATACCTTTAAACATAACCTCACCCATTGGAGCCTTTACAAAATAATCCAGTGGGGAAAACAGTACAATTGGGGTCTTCTCCCAGTGGTTGCTTCTCAAATCTATAAATGTTGCAAAATCTGTTCTTTGTATAATGCTGGGAAGCTCCCAAAGGCTGCCCCCAAAGAATTCCCCTTGCCAAATGGCCCTTTTGCAAGCTGGCAACTTGATTTTATCTAAGTACCCCTCCTCACTTGGGTGCAAGTATGTACTTGAGATGATAGGTATGTATTCCCATTGGGTAGAGGCCTTTGCTTACAAACAAATCATGGCCGTATTAGCCAAAATTCTTTTTGAAAGAATTATCCCCACTTGGGAAGTTCCTACTGAACTCCACAGTGATTGAGGAACATAGTTTACTAGCCAAGCATTAGAATGAGTTTGTGATGTCTGGCCTATTCTGTAACACTTCCATCCACCTACTGCCCACAGTCTTCTGGGCTTGTAGAATGAATCAATGGAATAATAAAGAGCCCATTGCCTGAGATTACAAACACTCTTAATCTGTCGTGGCCTAGGGCTTTCCGTCTAGCTCTACTGATCCTGCTGTCTACCCCCTCTGGAAAACACCACCTCTCCCATTTTGAGATTGTCGCAGGCCATCCCATGCATTTAACTGAGGGAATGTTTTACCCTACTCAGTTACAAGGAGACCTCCTGACCTACTGCCAAGGACTCATTCAGGCTCTAACAACTCGCCATAAACTGGTTGTGGAATCCTTCTATGGTCGTCCATCAAAAGATGAACTCTGATATCATGAACTCTAGCTAGGAGACTTCATTTACTAGAAAAGACGCCAGCTAAAAAACTTCCTCAAGCCCCGCAGCAAAGGTCCATTCCTGGTACTCCTGACTCAACTATGTGTTGCTAAGTTACAGGTCATTGACTGCTGGATCCACATATCCCACCTACAAAAGGCACATGCAGACGTCTGGAATTCAGCCCCAATACCTGATACCAAATGCAAGATGCCTGGAGCTCCAACACCAGGATGAGAAGAAGCCCACGGCTACAGGAAACTGCTTCCCCTGAGACTCCAGACCAGGCCTATATCCAGATGAAAGCTTACACTCCCCACATAGTGCTCATTACACTCATTGCTTTAGAGGTTTTCAGAGTTGTTATTAGCTTATGAAAGCAGGACACATACCTTTGCTTTGCTTATTTAAATCTAATATACCCAGTCCTTTTGCATACCTCACAATTCTGTTAAAGATAGAAGTGTAGAATCTTATGTATAGCAGACATTTTATGTCACACGAAAGGAATTCCATGTATTCCTATATTTAGATATCTGTAGACCTTCCTCGCCCAACCCTATTCAGGGTCCCTAAAACTCTTTCCTCTAGAATACATGATCCCCACTCCAGAAGGCATTGCCACTCGGCCTTTTGTCAGCCGGACATTTTACTACCCTTTTAGAAGGGCAATAATCCTATTGAATTAAGGCTCCACCCTTACAACCTCATTTAACCTTAATTACCTTCTTCCGGGCTCTACCTCCAAGTCACATTGGGGGTTAGGGCTTCAACATATAAATGCTGGGGATACACAATTCAGTCCATAGCGAACAGCAATGGAACACCATTTGTGTTCCCCTCACACATGCAGCTATTCACTACTTCTCACTACAGCATATTTGAGTGCCTACTTTAAAAACAGAGTGAATTACCTGCCTCAGCCTGACTTATGTTTCCTGCTGGCCATAGCACTGGCACCAGTTGTACAACTGGCAATGGCCCTGACCCCTGCACACTCCATGGCATTAGTACCCCTATTCCCTGAAATCCTGGCTTGGACTTTGTCCTGATTTTCTCTCAGGACCTCTTTGCACACTGAACTGTAGGACCAGAAGTCAACGTGAATAATTTTGTCCACAAACCCCAAAATGTACACGGTTTTGGGTTCAGTGTGGTCATGAGGGCCCCACAGAAATTTGTAGCATATAGGATCCCTGTTGGGCATCTGCCTCAAATTCAGATATTGTTGCTGCAAAACATCTTCAACGAAAAGCTTTCTGGGACTTTCAGAAATGATGTGCTTCCCCTCAGCATCTTCAACTCTCTCAGCATATTCCAGATGTCCTCTTCAGGAGCAAAGTTGCCCTCCATGAAAACTAGGTCTAGAATAACAGTTTGGAGCAAGCCCCAGTCTTTACTCACTCAGTCCCTCAGCAGAGGAAAGTTCTACTTTGTTGATGAGGATGTCACATTGCTTCCTGGCATCTGTGTTCGCCTCATTCAACTCAAGGCCAAAGAGTACTCTAGGCTCTCAGAGGCTTTGCTGAGGACCTCAGGGAAGTGATCCATTTGCTGTTGGATGATATGCTTCAGCATTTCTGCCTTTTGTGTGGGTTCCTTCTTCTGGTTCTCGAGCAGCAGGAACACCTCCAACTCAGCCACATTACTGCTCAAGAGGTCCCTGGGCCTGAACTCAGAAAGGGGTGGGGCCCTTGCTTTTCCTCGTGGCTGCTTGCTCCCTCACCTGAGCTGTTCCCTGAGGGAGGTAAGGTGGCAGTGGAGGTGAAACGGGGATTCCAAGGACATGGAGGAGCATTGAGTGTCCCACCAGCAGGTTTCCCCTTAGCAGCCTGTGATCTGATAACAGGAGAGTGGGGAGAAGGCCTCCTCCTCAGCCTCAAGAGCCTGGTTCTCACCTCAGGCCTGGCAGTGTTTCTTGTGGGCTCTGCTTCAACTCTTCTGAGCCCCAAGCTCGACTCTGCTCAGGGGCCTTGATAAGAATGTGGGCAGGAGGGCAGGACATGGGGCCCCAGAGGAGGAGCAGGGAGGAAGGAGGAGGATGGAGTGAGGGACACGTGAGGGGCCTCAGCAAGCAATCTCTCCCATGGATTGAAGGAAGGCTGTCTCTGCCATTTGTGCTTTAGAATACTGACCCATGCTTTGGTCCTTCTGTTCACTCTATTCCCTGAGACCCTAGAGGATAGAGTGAACTAGCTCCTCAGTAGCAAGCAGTCATTCTCTGGGCTTCCCAGCCTTGAGAGAGGAGCATCAGATGGTGGCACATTCAGCCTGTATTCAGGGGTCATCGCCTTGGCAGTTGGAAGGGCCTGTCTTGCTCAATCTGAGGCTGTCCCCGTCAAACCCCCACACTCTCCACCCTCAACAGAGAAAGCTCAAGTTTATCCTCCAACCACAAACTCCCAAATACCAGCAGTAGAATTAGGAGAGAATTTAAAACCATCTCTCCCTACTTCCTGTGGAGGGGTGGGAATATCCAGGAGGACTGGGGTGGATTTATCCTTCCGGGGTGCACCTCAGTCTCATGAGTCATGGCTACCTAAATCCCTCATGCTCCTGGACACTGAGACTGTACTTGGCAGGATCCATGAAACACCTGAGCTCTATTCCTGGGTGCTGAAAGTGCTCACAGTGAGAAATGCCCTGCATACATTGTTGGCCTATACCCTGAGACCCGAGACCCCAAGAAGGAGGTGGAGGGATGCCTCAGGCTCAATGAAGCCATTCCCAGGAGCTGCTAAGGCTCAGGGATTACAGCAGGGATGGGACTCTGTGGAGTCCACCATGTGATGGGGTGAGTGGTGCCCTCCATTCTCGCTCAGGGTCTTCACTTTGACTCCAGGCAGGGCCTGCACTCCCTGCCATCTGCCAACCTGAGGACTGTCCCCTCAGACTAAGGCTCTCACTTCCTATTATCTCTGAGAAGAGAGTGAGGGTGGGGGACTCCCAGAGTGAACAGCAGGGGCCAGACTGTGCTGGTTCTCTTCTAATCTGAGGTGGTGGTCTCCTCAATTCTCAATAAGGGTTCTTACCTCAACTTAAAGGGAGGGCCTTAGCTCCATCCAATCTGCTGACCTAGGATCAACCCCTTCAAATCAAGCCCTCAACTCTTTGAGAGTCTAGAAGAAGAAGCGACAGGGTTCTTAGCTAAACAGCCCTGCCAGGGTCTCTGAGACTGAGGGCAGGGCTGGAGTTGTGCAGAGATCCCTTTGGTCAGGCATGGGAGGCCCCCTTAGTTCTTCTATTGTACCTTGTGGTAAAAGATTACATTGTCCAAGGAAATGCCTAGAGAAAAATCCTTGCCCAGAGAGAGGTCTGGCCGTGGCTCCTGGGAGGCAGTCTCTAAGCCCTTGGGATGTCTTGCCTGATCATCGTGTCCATGTTTATCTGGAAACCTTGGGCCGCACTGGATAGGCTGTGCTGAAAATGACTTATGATGGCAGCCTTGGGTCACATGGTATTCGCTTGGCCTCCAGAGGTGCTAATGCTCGAAGTTAGTTGTGTGGGTGGTCAACCACGTCAACCCGACTCAGTCTCAATAAAAACAATGGGCACAAAGGCTCAGGTGAGCTTCTGGAGTTAGCAATACTCCATGTGTACTGTCATACCTAGAAGTTAGTGCTGTCTGGGACTCAACACAGAGAGGAACGCTGGAAGCTCTGTGCCTGGAACTCCCTGGGCTCTGCCCTGTGTGCCTCTTCTCCTGGCTGATTTTAATCTGTATCCTTTCACTGTAATAATCCATAACCATGAGTATGCCAGCTTTCTGTGAGTTCTGTGAGTCCTTCTAGCACATTATCAAACCTGAGGTGGGGCTTGGGGACACCCGAATTTGCAGTTGGTGTCAGATGTGAGGGTGGTCTTGGGGGCTGCTGAACTTTGCAGGTCTCCACCTTGACTCCTGGTAGGATCTGAGATTCCTTCCTCTGTTGACCTGATGCCTTTGCTGTCAGGCCCCACCGCAGAGAAAACACCGAGGAGGAAGTGATCATGCCTGTCTTCCAGTAACCTCTACCCTGGGCCTCTGAGAGCAGATAGCACAGGTGAGGGTCTCTGCACCTTCTGGTTTGCTTGGTCTCCTCCATCCTCCCTCAGACTCCTCAGCTAGACTTCTAGGAGGACCTGGGTCTCCTCTTTCTGCTCACTTGAGGTCAACCCCTTAGATCCAGTCTGAGCCACACAGAGAGCCTCTTTAGGAGAAAGCCAGTGGAGGCCTCAGTGAGATAGCCCTACTGGGGGCCTTGCATGGCTGACCACAGAAGTCAGATTTTGTGGGACCCCCTCTGTTCTGGGGTGGGTTGTGCCTTTCATCTTCATCCAGGGTCTGTGCCTTGGTACCTGGCAGGGAATGGGTGGCCTCCCTTCTGCTGAACTGAGTCCTCCACCACCACTTACCCAAGGCCTCACCATCCTGAGACACCTGCAGGGAAGCAAGGAAACATTTCATCTTGTTAGCCCTTCCCAGGCCTTCCAGAGCCGACAGCAGGGGTGGGACTCTGGCATCCTCTCTGCTCCAGAGCGACTGATCCCCTGAATACTCACTCGGGGTCCTCACCGTGATTCCTGGAATGGAATAGACTTTCTCTTTTCTACTAATCTGAGTCCTGACCCCTCAGACCATGGCTCTCACCTCCAGGAGACCTCTGATGGGGAAGTTGAGGAATCTCATCCTGCCTGGGGTCTCCAGGGGATGACAGCAGGGGCCAGCCAGACTCCAGGGCCCACTCTATCTGGCTTTAGTACAACATGGGTCCTCATGCTGTGGTCAACCCCTTGGCTGCAATCAGGGCCTGGGATCCATTGCTGATCTGAGGCTTCTGTTCCGAAAACCAACACCCTTACCTCCCAGTCTCCTGAGGAGGAGTGAGGATGCACTGCCAGAGTCAGTTGGCCTCCCCTTCCTGGGATCTTCCAGGGCTGACAGCAGGGCTGGTGGTGACGGAGCTCTATAGAGCCTCATTTGTTCTGAAGGTAAGAAAGTTTTCTGCAGGAATGAGTTCTGCTGCTTCTTCAGAATGCAGTCAGACTTGTTCTGTCTCTTTTCCTTTCCCTTCCCCTATAGCATGTGTGTGTGTGTGTGTGTGTGTGTGTGACATTTTCATGTATACAGGGTTTGATTTCTGGACCTGCTATCCTTTTCCATTAATCAATTTATCAGTTCCTAATCCAGAACCATACTGCTTAACTGTTGCATTAACTTTGCTATCACTTAAGCCAATTCCCTGTTCATTATCTGCTTTTCTTCAATCCAATCTTGGTTTTACAGCTGTTACATTGCTGTGTATTTATCCAGTTCACCTTTAAGTTCAATTATAATCCTAAACATTTTCTCATATCTCATGCAGGTTTTATTAGAATATGACATATTCATGTGTTCAGAATTTTCATGACCTTCATTAAAGTTTTTCATTTTCTTTTGTTTAACAATGGAACCATTTTTCCTAAGTTTATTTCTAGATATATTATTATTTATAATTACTGTTTAGAATGCACTCTTTTTTTTTACTATATTCTAATTTGTGATAGGCTGCATGTAGAAAACTGTAAACTTTTGTATATTTATTTGATGTAATTCCCACTCAATAAACTCTTCTATTTTACTTTTGATATTTTTCCATTGATTCTCCTACATTTTACTCCTCTTGGTGGATGATGAAATTTTCTGAAAATGGTGATAAAATTTTGCTCTTCTATTCATTATTCATATCTATTCTTTTTGTTTTTGTCTTAGATAATTTGATAGAATGTGCAGTAAAGTCTTGACTGAAGTGGTGATATCAGGCATCTAGGTTGCTTGCCTGATAATTATTAATGAGAAATTTCATTAAGATTGAATGTTGAATTTTCAAAATGACCTTTTTTTAATTGATCCAGGTGGCATTCCCTTCTCCACCCAAAGGCATGGGCCTGGTGTTTCTGCACATCTTCTCAACAAATGACATTTACAGCTCTGTTTGAGGATATTTGCAAAGTTGTTCCAGGTCAGGAAGCATATTTGCTTACATTCCAGTGTAATAATGCTTGAGTCTCCTGCCCAACCCAGAGACATTGCAAGGAGATTATAGCTAATGTCTCTCTCTCGGTCAGAGGGCAGATTTGTTTTCTAACTAGAATAATAATGATAATGGCTTCTTCCATGGCAACATTGGATCAGGTATGTTAGCTGTGCCCTTATAAGACTGGGAAATTCCTAAGCTCAGAATTCCTCAGCTGTGTCACAGACCACTAGGTAGGACTTGGGGAACCACAGTAACTGATGTAAACATGAAGCTCATGTGGCCTGCCATGTAATGCATAATAAAGTGTCCAAATCCATTTGGACTCAAGGCCTCCTTACTGGCCATACCTATGGAAATGTGGTAACCCAGCCTAACAGCTTCTTGAGTACTTCACTCAAACATTTATAGATGTCAGAATTCTGGGGTAAAGAACAATTTTGTAGAGTCCGTCAGCGATAAACCACTTAAGAAAGGTGAAGAAAGAGGGCTGGGCACGGTGGCTCACACCTGTAATCCCAGCACTTTGGGAGGCCAAGGCGGGCAGATCATGAGGTCAGGAGATCGAGACCATCCTGGCTAACACGGTGAAACCCCATCTCTACTAAAAATACAAAAACTTAGCCAGGCATGGTGGTGGGTGCCTGTAGTCCCAGCTACTCGGGAGGCTGAGGCAGAAGAATGGCGTGAAGCCAGGAGGCGGAGGTTGCAGTGAGCCGAGATCGAGCCACTGCACTCCAGGCTGAGCGAGTCTCAAAAAAAAAAAAAAGAGAGTGAAGAAAGAGAGTTATATGAAAATCAGAGCAAAATGAAATGAAATTTGAGGCAGGGTGAACACATTTAGCAATAAAAGCATTTTTTGTTGTTTTTCTTTCAACTTATTTTATATTCGGGGGTACCCATGGAGGTTTGTTACACAGCTATATTGTGTGCTGCTAAGGTTTTGGATATGATTGAACTTGTCACCCAGGTAGTGAGGATAGTTCCCAAAGGGTAGTTTTTTCACCCTTGCCCCTCTCCCACCCTCCCCATTCTTATAGTCCCCAGTGTCTACTGTTTCCATTAATGTTCATGTGCACCCAATGTTAAGCTCCCACTTGTAAGTGAAAACATGTGATAATTGGTTTCCTGTTCCTGCACTGGTTTGTTCAGGGGAATGGCCTCCAGCTGCATCCATGTTCCTGCAAAGGACACGATCTCATTCTTTTTTATGGCTGTGTCTTATTCTATGGTGTATATGTAGCATATTTTCTTAATCCAGTCCACAATTGGTGGGCATTTAGGTTGATTTCATGTCTTTGCTGTTGTGAATAGCACTGCAATGAACATACGGGTGCATGTGTGCTTTTTTGTTTTTTTGTTTTTTGGTAGAATGATTCATTTTCCTTTGGGTATATCCTCAGTAATGGAACTGTTGGGTCAAAAGATAGTTGTATTTGTATTTCTTTGAAAATGAAAGCAATTTTAGAAACTGCTGCAGGCAACTGGAAGGAATAAAACCAGTTCAACAGCCACTCGATATGCTGTGCAAAAGTAGTGGTCATGTTGGGGATGTGGGGCAAAGAATGGAGGACTGCCTTCAGTGCAAGGAGCAATTCAGGTTATGGTATGACTCCTGGTTTGCATGTTTTCCATGTTTCAGGGCAAGGGACTTCCAGTGTATATATCCACCTCTGATGCCACACTCTAAGCCCTGTTCATAGCCTGGGAGACATAGCAGAATGTCTTCTCCACAAAAAGTACAAAAATTAGCCAGGTGTGGTGCTGCACGCCTGTAGTCCCAGGTACTTGGGAGGCTGAGAGGTGGGAGGATTGCTTGAGCCTGGGAGGTTGAGGCTGCAGTGAGCCATGATCACGCCACTGCACCCCAGCCTGGGGAACAGAGAGAGACCCTGTCTCAAAAAAAAAAAAAGATAGCCCTGTTCAGTTCCCAGGTAAAGGAAGATTTCCAGATACTGGAGGATAACAACCTTCCAGGGGACAGTTGTCCTCACTCTCTCCTCCCTGGAATTTGTTCATATTCACACCCTTCATCCATTTTCAGAGAACAGCTGACATCAGCAAGGAAAGTTTGTTTCTGCCTTCTCTCAGTTCATAGTCGTCATAGAGTGGGTCTTGACCCATGCCACACATTGCCTACTCCCAAAAGCAGGATTTGCAAAACAACTTGGGCAGTGGGATATGGGCAGAAGGGTGAAGAAGGGATGAGCAGGAGGGATAAAGTCAGCAAGTGCCTTGAGGACTGCATTCCTGTCATGTTGGTATCACCTGGCATTTTTACAAGCTTAGGATCAGCTAGTTTCCTGAACCCACTCAGGGATGCTGAGGTAGCTCTCCTACCACTCCCTCAGAAGGACAGAGCTTCCTCACTTCCACAGATGGCCCAAGACATCACAAGACAGTGAATAGCATTAAGCAGTGTGTGTGTTGTGAGGGATTAACGTCTTAGAGGTCAGCTGTAAGCCTGACCTAGTGGGAGGAACAGAGAACACAGGAGTGCCCCAGGCAGCCCAAGGTTAACCTCAAGGCAATCTCAGACTACCAGAATCCTTACAGCAAGTCATTCTGAACACTCAGAGCCCAACCTGCTTGTGCCATTCGCTCATGTGAAGGACAACAGGACAGATGGAAGTTCCTGTGTGGATGAAGAACAGGTGATGTTGTAAGAGCAGTTCTCTAGGCAGGCTGGTGGGAGAGGAAGATGTGTTCAGAAAGAGGAATGTCTAATTAGAGACTTCTAGCCCACATCTTGTCTAGTGAACGAACTTGAAACATCTGTGGAAGATGGAAGAGGCACAAGGGGATTACCTGAACCCTGTGAGGGGAGCTCTGAAGGTCAGGTGCTTTGACATAAGACAATCGGATTGACTGAACAGTGTGGCTTGGAAAGATCAAATGTTCAAACGGCCTTGCCTGGAGCCACAGACACTTCGTTTCAGTAGAAATGATTAATATGGGGTTTATATGGCTTTTTTCCTTTAGTTTTTCTTTCAGCATTGTTTTAAAGCAATACAAATTTAATCATGGAAAGTTGACAAAACATAGAAAAGTCTTAGGCAACTTGTTTGACAAGGAGAGCAGCACATGTTGTTCAGTGTCATTGTGAGGTGGTTTATTTATCCACTCCACTGTTGTTGGACAATTGGGTTATTGCCAGTTTATGACCATTATGAATAATGCTGCTATGAATACCCCTTTACATGTCCTTTCCTGAACATACACCCTCATTGCTGTTGGGTATATAACTAGGAGTTGAACTACTGAGTCATAGGATATGCACTTGCTCAGTTTTTAATAGCTACAGGGGAAAGGTTTTCTCACGTGGTTGTACCAACTTCTACTTTGACTAGCTTTGTGAGAAAGTCCTGGCTGCTCTACATTTTCTATAATGCAAGGTGTTTCTCTTTGATGTCATTTTAGCCATTCTGGTGTTTGTGTAATGGTTTCACATTGTAGTTTTATTTCACAGTTCCATAATGATTAATGAATCAATGATTAGTATCTTTTCTTATGATGAATTGATGATAATGTCTTTCCATATCACTAATGATTAATGATTAGTGTGTTTATATGTTTACTGTCTATTTCATGATGTCAGAATTTAAGGTTAAATTCAGAATGCCACTGGATTCTCCATCTTCAATATGAACCCTGGAATTGACACAAGACCATCATAGCCCCAGTAACTTGGCCACCCTGATATGCTCAGAGACAACTTATTGTCTAATGCTCTAGCCACATTAGTATTCAAGTTGCTACAGTTAAGGTAGTAAGATTGCCCAAATACCAAATCAGAAAGCTAATTAGAGAGTCATACTTCTACTCTTTTAATATTCACCCTTCTACAGCTGTGGGCCACCCAGTGTCCCCGTGCTGCCCCCTATCTGTACCCAAACAGCACTTGTTATCCCCTGTTTTCCCTCAACCTTATCCCCACCATACACACGGAAGTTTCATGTCCTACATATCCTATTATGTCTGCTCTATCATTGGTTGTCTGAAGACAAGTCCCCCTTCCTGGACCCCCACCTGGCCCCTTTTGCCCAAGGCCGAAAGTATCCACTTCCATTCCCTAAACTACTCCACTGCTTTCTGCCATCACTCTTTAAGTACCTTAAATGCTCTCACGCCATCTGCACGAGACAGCCCATGGGTGAACTTGGTCCATGGTCCTTTGAGTCCAGTACTCTTACATAAAACTAGTAAGCTGTTGTTTCCAGATATTTTATTGGCATAATTCTTTTATCCACCTGAATAATTTCTTTAAGAAAGGGTAGCAATCATTTTGGTCTGCATAATCCCCAGTCCATGAAGACTAGGATGGCAGAGGAGCTGTAATTGAGCAGGGGGCTGTGAGCCTAGGCTCTGGCCCACTCAGCACCTCTTCTTCCTTCTCAGCATAGTGAGCTTGGACACTCACCCCCACAATCCTAGGGCTTCCTTATAAACTCTTTGCAATGTCCTCTGTCAGGAGAGCCTTCCTCAGATGCAGGCCTCCCCATCGTGTTTCTACACAGGCATCTGTGCACAGACTGCAATTTTGTGCTTGGCTTTCAAAACAAAAACAAAAACAAAAATATTGTGTTGACTGGATGGGTGAGCCCCTGTTGAGTAAATTACAAGAGATTTTAAATGTGTAGCTGTGTCCATACTGGGGAGAGATGAATATTTGAGTGTGAATATATAGTGATAAATTGCTGTGAAATACGGCTTCGTCATCCATTTCTTTGACTGCTCCTTCATGGGACTTTAAATAATTCAAAACCACAGAAGTACGTCCATGGTTTTTCATGATTGTCGTATGTCTGTTGGCATGATAAAGAAACATCATGACTGTTTTAATACAAAATGCTCTTAGAAACTGGGTCTTCATTAAGATAGAGGTAAGTGGCTAAATATTGGACATATTATTTTAAGTGTGTGTTTCTGAGTGTGTATTTTGCAGAAATGACCACTTTCAGTTTGTGAGATAATAAGCATATGATGGGACTTGACATACTGTTTTAGGTTCCATGCTTTATTAAGTAATCCTTTCTATTATTACCCACAAAGAGCAAAAGTTCTCCTGACCCCTGTAACATTTCAGGATGAGAGTTGGAATGATTCGTCACTCACCACTAATTGTGCCATCTTAGGTGAAAGAGTGGGAGGGTGGAAGATGGAACAGTGCTGGATTCAGGATGGCTGCAGACCAGCAGAGGTACCTTATCTCCTGGTATTTACAAGCACCTGGGATCTCATTTCTCCTGGGAATTTCTCAGTTTCCAAGAGAGGATCCTCCAGGAGAGAGAAAAACTAAGCAGCTGGGCAGAGCTACCAAAATGCCACAGTAAGGAAGCTGCTCAATTTAAGTGAGAATGAAACTGCAATTAGGTGTGACTTTTCACAGAACAACTGAGTGTTTGTATTTTGGGGTTAACATGTTTAAAACCAATGGAAAGTTTAAATAAGAAAAAATGGTGAAAATATAGTATTATATGGAAATAATTCTAACAAGATTTATTCCCTTGTAAGAGATTTACTTACTTGCTCTTGTTAATGTGTTATTTTTGTTGTTTGATATTATTATCATAGTAAAATTTCATGCACTTTGTGGGTATGGGCATCACAGAATGTAAAATTGGGCAGTTGGGCAAATGATGTTTTCTCCATTTGGTTGTGTGCACATAAGTTACAACACTACTTTTTGAGGAATATTAACAGAATGGCTCTGGGTAATTTCTGGTGTTTCCTGTTTTTGCTTAAATTGGAAAAGAGGCTGACATACAGAAGATTTGATTGAGTATTCATTGGAATAGACTCAGAGCAAGGTGACACTGGACCATTGGGAGTTTTGCAACTATCTTTTTTTTTTTTTGATTAATATTTTTATTTAGAAAGAATGACATTTTTTACCCCATCCTCAGATTCAGGACTCAATCACGCAACATATATTTATTTAAGAATCAATTTTTTCAATGTTCTTTTCCAAGCTCTGTGGATGATACAAAGATGAAACAAGCAACTATCTTGTTGGTCATTTTTCTGCGGAGGGAATGGAATTTTTAGTTTGGATGTTACATCACTGTTGGTGATAATTTTTATTGTGTTGTTAATAATAATTACTGTTTTCTTTAGGCAACTATAGCACAGAATGGAAGAAAGCCCAGAGCGAATCACATGAGCGTAAGAACCAGGATTAGAAGTCTAAAAAAACTACAGAGACTTTTAGTCAAGAATGCAGGAAAATATATTTTAGGAAGAGAAAGCTTGAAGACACAGAAGTAAACAAGTAGACGGGATCTCTACCCTCATGAAGCTTTCAATTTAGCTGGCAAAGCAGGCATTAAGTTAGTCTCAGCAAGTAAAATTGGGATTCACATACACAATGAAGTACAGAAAGCTATGGGAGAATATCACAAGGTCTTGACCTACTGTAGGGGAGATCAGATCGGGGGTTGCGGTGGGGGGAGCTTGTTCGAGTCAGTGGTGATTAAGTTGAAATTGGAAGGGTGAACATGAATTAGCCAGGCAAGGAACAGTGGGAGAAGTTGGGAGGTGTCCCTCAGACTGAGAGAATAACTCTTTGGAAGGCTTTGAGTGAGGAAGGAGCTGGGACTATTGGAGTCAAAACAAATAGCAATGCTTCTAAGTGTGATTACAGCATAGTAAGCAGGAGGGAGACCAGTGCAAGATGACTCATAGGAGCATTGAAAATGTAATAGCCCATGCTAAGTGAGATTGAAATGCAAGAATTGTTGTGGTATATTGTGCTGGAAGGGATTAAATGAGTCAGGGATATGTACATGCTGCAGTTGATAAACTATGTGTGAACAGAAGCCCCTCCAGACGAGTACATTCATTCCATGCCAAAGACCAGAGGACACACCATTTACTGAAGCCATAAAGAATGCACTGCTAAAGGAGATACTAGAATCTCTAAGAAGTTCAACAGTGACTCTCCTCTTTTGTACTATATGTAGGAACTGAGTATAGGAGATGCTGCTGAAGATCTTGGCTTGTTGCAGGATTTGGGAACATAAGACTCTGAAACAATAGTGATGTGGCAGCTCTTAACCACCAGAAGCCAAGGGTTCACGTTGTCATAATGATACGCAAGTTAACAAAGACAGCCAAGGAGGTTGGAGGTGTTGAGAGTCATGGAGATGATTAATAGAACATGGTGCCCCTATGCAAAAGTAGAGAGACAGATGATAAGGATACTACTTTGCTTGTACCAGCTAAAAAAAAAAAAATTAAGTATAAATGACCAAGGGGTCTGAGGGAAGTTGCTCAAATAAAAAAAGCACAAATTCTTGTACAATTTCTAGACCTAAGGCAGTTTTTACACTCTTTAACCCTCTCCAACAGTGCAGCTGCCATGACACTGCAGATCTCCAGGTGTCCACATCAACTGAGACCCTATACCCAATAGGAGGTGAGAAAATACAAATAGCAGACATAACATCCTTACTAGTTGTGCAGCAAGTATTGACACATTGAACCTTTATAACTGGTAAAAACTAAAATAGGAGTGCTCTTAACTATATAAATACTATATGTATGAAAAAGCTATAGGAATCACTATACTTAAATTTTGAAACCATTATAACTACAGTTGCCACTAACATTCACTAGTACAACAAAGATCTTGTCAGTTAATGAGACTAGAAATAAAAGTTTGGATTTTTTTTCCTATTTAAGTAATCTGAAAGAATCAACGATTAAAATTTCAGAACTAATAAGTTATGTTTAACTAATTGAACAATTCTGTGGAATGATACAGAAAAGTCTGTATCATTCCACAAATATCAAGTGTTGTCCCATACACTGCCAATAGTCCCAAATCCATAAATTATCTTCATATGGGCATATACATGCAAGAACTACAGGAAAAAACATAAAACATCACTGAAGGCTATAAAGAAAAGGTACGGGCTGGGTGTGGTGGTTCACATCTGTAATCCCAGCACTTTGGGAGACTGAGGCGAGTGGATCTCTTGAGGCCAGGAGTTCAAGACCAGCCTGGCCAACATGGCAAAACCCTGTCTCTACTAAAAATACAAAAATTAGATGGTTGTGGTGGTGCACGCCTATAATCCCAACTACTACTCGGGAGGCTGATGCAGGAGAATCGCTTGGACCTGGGAGGCAGAGGTTGCAGTGAGCCGAGATCATGTCACTGCACTCCAGCCTGGGCGACAGACCAAGACTCTGTATCAAAAAAAAAAAAAAAAGGTACATTAAGTGAGAGATACACCATGTTCCTTGATGTGATAGATGGGTATTGCAAATGAATCCGTAAATTCAAGGCCATCCCAAATAATATCCCAACAGTTTAAGAAAATAGATTTAAAAAAAGAAGCCTAACAAGATGATTTAAAAATTTATCTGTCATAAAATATAGACAAGACGACATGGTAATTTGAAGAAATGTTAAACAATGTGGGTAGTTTGACAATAAGGTATCTAGTGAATTTTTAAAAGGAATGATAATGGTATACTAATTCATGACTGGATGAATGGAAATGAAGAGAGACTCTGGAAGCAGACACATCAAATATGGGAATTTGTATTCAAGAAACAAGCCATTGTAAGCCAGTGGGGAAAAGGTGGAATATTTTTTTTTAAATGGTGTTGGGAAAATAGGTTATCTACTTGGGGAAAGAGTTATGGAGGAGGCTATAACTATTATTTCTGAGAGCATTCACTTACAAAAAAAAAAAGATAGATAAATACCTAAATGAGAAATCAAAGCTATAAACATTTTAGAAAATAAATACGACACTAATTTTATTACCTAAAGGTAGAGAAGGATTTCTTGAAGATAAAAGTAATTATAAAAAAGATTGATAAATTTGACAGCATAAGATTTTAAATGTCTTACAAGTAAAGATAATGAGAAAAATTGGAAGAAAATATTTGAAATGTAGAAAAGAGGCAAAGATAAACATATGGAATATGTAAGGATTTTATGCAAACTCGTGAAGTCAATGAAAGCAATAGTAAAATGTCTAGAGATACGCACAGAGTATGTGCAAAAACATTAATTGTAATTATAAGTAAATGTACAAGACTAACACCAGTAATATCTTAAAACTCAAAATCAAGGTCGTGATGACTCCTGGGCCCAAGATAAGTGAAAAATCATGAGCAGAAGGTTAAAAAAAAATGGAGCTCTCTAACTGCAATAGTCCTCCCCGAAGCACTGTGCAAAAAAATCTCTAGAACTCATGGTTTCTACACTGGAAAAGTGACATTGAGGTGGATATTCAGCTTGCCCACAAACTTGGGTTCCTTCACAAGAAAACCATTCCTGCCTCACTCCATGAGAAGAATCACAAGTGCCTGTAGGGTGAAAACTCCTGAGGATAGCTAGAGAAAGGATGAAGATGTGGCTAGCACCACCCTGCACATGAAACTTAGTGCCTCTTCTTTATTGCAGCCAAAAGAGACATCAAATCAGAGAGGCTGTTTAGCAGCACCACACAGTAGGTGGCACTCTACAGAGATCCTTTGGGCCACAGACTTGTAGCCAGCCTTCTCACAAAGCCAGGGTATGTTCTTCGTGAAGTCCCGTCCAGGACAGGCAGTGCTCCAAATTTTCCAACAGCCTTAGCAACCCCAGGCTTAGGGAGACATCTAGTGCCAAAAAGGAGGCAGCAATCTCAAGCTAAGGAAACTCAATAGTCAATTGACACAAAACCTCTAGACAGACATACCCTAGCAAAAGCAAACCAAGCCAGACAGTGAAGACAGGAATAAACAACTATTCCTTCAATGCAAAGACATAGGCATATGTCCATCAGAAACATGAGCAAACAGGGAACCATGACCTCCTCAAATGGTCAAGACAAGGAGCCAGCTAATGACCCTAATGAGATAATGCTGTGTGAGCTCTCGGCTCATGAATTCAATGTAGCAGTTTTGGGGAAACTCAGTAAACTCAAAGCACAGAAAAGCGATAAATGAATCTATCAGAGAATTTTAACAAAGATATTTAAATAATTAAAAGACCCAAATTCTGGAACAGAAATACAATAGCCAAAATGAAAAACACATGGAGGGTCTCAACAGCAGAAGTGATCAAGCTGAAGAGCAAATTAGTGAGCATGAAAACAGGATATGTGGAAAATACACATTTATAGGAAAGAAAAAAATGTCAAAAGTGAAGAATGCATATGAGTTCAGAATAGCCTCAAAAAAGAAAATCTGAGAGTCATAGGCCTTTAAGGGGGAGTTGAGAAAGAGCAAGGGGTAGAAAGTTTATTCAAAGAGACAATAATAGAAAACTTTTCAAACATAGAGAAACATATAAATATCCAGGTACAGGAAGGTCAAGTATCACCAAACAGGTTCAACCAAAGGAAGCCTATACCAAGGCATATGATAAGAAAAATCTCAAAGGTCAAGGACAAAGAGAGGATCCTAAAAGCAGCAAAAGAAGCAAATAACATATGAAGGAGTTCTGATTTCTCTGACAATGGACTTCTCATCAGAAACCCTTTAGGCCAAGAGGGAGAGGGATGACATATTCCACGTACCAAAGGGAAAAAAAAAATATTGTGCCCAGAAAAGCTATCCTTCGAACATGAAGAAAAGATAAAGACTGTTCAGGAAAAACAAGAATTGAGGGAATTCATCACCACCAGACCTGTGTTACAAGAAATACTAAAGGGAGTTTTCAATTAGCCAGAAAAAGATGCTAATGTGCAAGAAAAAATCATCTGAGGCTATAAAACTCAATGATAAAAGTAAGTACACAGGCAAATTCAGAATACTCTAATGCTGTAATTGTGGCATGTAAATGGACCTTACTTTTAGTGTAAAGACTAAAAACTCAAATTTATCAAAACTGATGTTGACTACTATACTTTATTAAGAAGTATATGATATAAAAAGATGATAATTGAGGCAACAGCGTAATTGTGGGTGGATGGAGTTAAAGTGTAAAATTGTTTAGTTGTTGCTTTGTTTGTTTGCTTCTTTTCCTTATGATAAAAGTTATCATCAGTTCAAAATAGCTTGCTATAGAGTTTTTTTTTGTAAGCCTCATGGTAACCACAAGCAGAAATTCTATAATAGAAACACTTAAAATGAAAAGAAAGGAATTAAAACATGCCACCAGTGAAAAACACCTAACCATAAAGGAAGACATTAAAAAAGAAGAAAGGATGAGAGGAGTTAAAAAAAAAACAACCAGAAAACAAGTAATAAAATGGCACTAGGAGGTCCTTACTTATCAATAATTACATTGAATGTAAATGGACTGAATTCTCCAATTAAAAGACATAGAGTGACTGAATAGATAAAAACCAGCACCTAATTATATGCTTAATGTTACTTCACCTATAAAGACATACATAGACTGGAAGTGTAGAGACAGAAAAAAGATATTACATTAAAATAGAAACCCAAAAAGAGCAGTAGTAACTATGCTGCTCTCAGATAAAATACACATCAAGTAAAAAACAGTAAAAAGTGACAAAGAAGTTTGTTATATAAGGATGAAGTGGTCAGTTCAGCAAGAAGATGTAACAATTATAAATATATATGCATTCAATGCCAGAGCACTCAAATATATAAAGTAAATATTAATAAATATAAAGGAAGAGAGAGATTGAAATCCAATAGTAGTTGGGGACTTCAACACCCGACTTTCAGTGTTGGACAGATCATCCAGACAGAAAATTGACAAGGAAACATCAGAGTTAAACTGCACTCTAGACCAAATGTATCTAACTGTCTTTTACAGAACATTTCATCCAACTGTTACAGAATTCACATTCTTCTCATCAGCACATGAAACATTCTCAAAGAAAGACTGTATTATAGTCCAAAAAACAAGTTTCAGTAAGTGCAACAACATTAAAATCCTATCAAGCACCTTTTCTGACCAAAACACTATGAAAATGGAAATCAAAAACAGGAGGAATTTGAAAAATGTACAAATACATGGAAATTAAATTACATGCTCTGGAACAAACAAAAGGTCAATGAAGAAATTAAAAGAAAATTAAAAAAATTTCTTGAAACAAATAAAATTGGAAACATAATATATCAAAAGCTATGATAAGCATCAGAAGCAACACTAATAGGAAAGTTTATAGCAATAAATGCTTACATCAAAAAAGTAGAAAGACTTCAAATTAACAAATGAATAATGGACTTCAAAGAACTAGGAAAGCAAGAACCAACCAAACTCCAAATTACTAGAAGGAAAAGAATAATATAAAGATCAGAGCAAAACATAAATAAAATTGAGACGAAAAAAACCCCCAGAAGATCAATAAAACAAAAAGCTAGTCTTTTGAAAAGATAAACAAAATTGACAAACCTCTAGCTAGACTAAGAAAGAGAGAAGGACGAGAATAAGATGGCCAAATAGAACCCTATAGTGATTGTCCCCTGCCACAGGAACACCAATTACATGACTGTTCATGCAAGACAACACCATCATAAGAACCAAAAAAAATCAGGTTAGTGATTACAGCACCTGGTTTAACATAATATTGGTTGGTGCAAAAATTATCACGGTTTTCGCCATTGCTTTTAATGGTAAAAACCACAATTACTTTTGCACCAATCTAATATCAAGGAATGTGGTTTTAAGAAGGTAAGAAACATAGTTTTGCATTGGATACACCACCCATCCTCCAAGCCCCTGCAGCATCGTGCAGAGAGATAATCTATACTTGGAAGAAAAAGAGTGAAGTGATTGTGGAACTTTGCTTTGGAATTCAGTTCTGCTCTGTCACAGTGGAACACAAAACGGCAGAATTCTGCTGGTGCCCACAGAAAAAGCAACTAGACCAGCCACAGCCAGAGGCTAATTCTTAGCCCCAGTGGAAGGAACTCAAATTCTGGCTGGCTCCCCAACTCGCTGACTAAAGCGGCCTGGGTCTCAGAATAAATTTGAGAGGCAGTCAGGCCACAAGGATGCAGTCCTTGGGCAAGCCCTGTTGCTGCACTAGGCTCAGAGGCAGTGGACTTGGGTTGCGCATCACCCAGTGAGACACCAGTTGTGGTGGCCATGGGAGTACCTGTCTGCCCTCCCCAAACTCCAGGCAGTGCAGCTTGAGAAGAGTTTCCTTCTGCTTTGGGAAAGCAGAGGGAAGAGTCCCGAGGACGTTGTCTTGCAGGTCCAGTGCCAGTTCAGCCACTGTAATATTCCTGAAGAAATTTAAAAGATTTCTGAAGCCCCTGATTCCAGGCCATAGATCATATATTAATAGCATTTCTAGACCTACTCTGGACCAGAAGGGAATCTGCTGCCCTGTTGGGACAGACCCAGTCCTGGTAGGATTCACAAACTGCTGACTAAAGAGCCCTTGAGACTTGAATAAACATCAGTGGTAGCCGGGTAGTAGTTGCCACAGGCCTTGAGTGAGACCCAGCACTTTACTGGCTTCAGGTGTGACTCAGTGCAGTGCCAGCAGCGGTGGCCACAGGAGTGCTTTCATCACTCTTCCCCCTACTCCAGGGAGCCCAGCATGGAGAGAGACTCTTGATGAGAGAAAGAGAGGGAAGAGAGGGAGAGATTTTGTTTGATAGCCCAGGGAATTCTCTCTGATCTTACCCAGGCCCACCAAGAGGGTGCTGCTAGGAGTCTGCAAGAGTCACAGGGTTACCGGGTTTGGGGAGCCCCCTAGTGGTAATATGACTGCAATGACTACAGGCTTAGATTACCACATTCAATTCTCTTTGAATACCTGGAATGCCTTCTCAAGAGAAATGGGTGCAAATAAGCCCAGACTGCTGAGATTGGAATGAATACCTAACTACATAATGCCCAGACATCAACAAATATCCAAAAGCATCAAGAACATTCAGGAAAATATGACCTCACCAGACTAATTAAATAAGCCTTCGGTGATCCATCCCAGAGTGATGGAGATATGTGAACATTCAAGCAGAGAATTCAAAATAGCTGTTTTCAGAAAGTTCAATAAAATGTAAAGACCACACAGAGAATGATTTCAGAATTCTATAAAAGAAAATTAACAAAGAGATTGAAATAATTAAGACAATCAAGCAGAAATGACAGAGCTGAAAAATTCAACTGACAAACTGAAATATGCGTTAGAATCTCTCAACAACAGAATTGATCAAGCAAAGGAAAGGGTGAATGAGAAGAGAGGTTATATGAAAAACACACTCGGAGGAGGAAAATATACAAAATAATAAAACATGTCTACAAGATCTAGAATAGTCACAAAATAGCCAATCTAAGAGTCATTGGCATTAAAGAGGAGATAAAGAGGAAAATCAGGGTAAAAAGTTTACTCAAAGAAATAGTAACAGAGAACTTTTCAAACCTAGAGCAAGACATAAATATCCAGGTATGATAAAATCATAGCATACCAAGCAGATCCAACCAAAATAAGACTCGCTCAAGGTATTTAATAATCAAACTCTCAAAAGTCAAAGAAAGATCCTAAAAGCAGTAAGAGAAAAGAAACAAATAACCTATAAAGGAGCTCCAATATGTCTGGCAGCAGAATTCTGAGCTAAAACATTACAGGCCGGGAGGGAGCAGGATGACATATTCAAAGTGCTGAAGAAAAAATCCTTTCACCCTAGGATATTATATCCAGCAAAAAAATCCTTCAAATATGAAAGAGAAATGACTTTTTCAGACAAACAAAAGCTGAGAGATTGTGTCATCACCAGGCCTGTACTACAAGAAATGCTGAAGAGAGTTCTTAAGCCTGCAAGAAAAGGACATTAATGAACAAGAAATCATCTGAAGGTGTAAAACATGCTGCTAATAGTAAGTACAAAGACAAATACAGAAAAATCTAACACTGTAATTGCAATGTATATACTACTTATATTTTGAGTAGAAAGATTAAAAGGCAAACCTAGCAAAAATAATTACCATGTCAACTTTTTAAGAGATAGGTAGTATAAATAAATATAAATAGAGACAACAAACAGTTAAAAGGTGGGCCTGGGAGATGGAGTTACAGTGTAGGGTTTTTTAGTTTTATCTGTTTTGTTCTTTTTTGTAATCAGAGAGAATTAGTCATCAGTTTAAAATAATGGATTATAAGATGTTATTTGCAAATCTCATGGTAACCACAAATTAAAATCCCACAACAGATACACAAAAAATAGAAGGCAAAAAATTAAAACATACTACCAGAGAAAATGATTTCTCCCCTTTTGAAGACAGAAAGGAAGAAAGAAAAAAGAACAACAAAGCCAAACCACAAATTAGTAGAAAAATAATGAAGATCAGAGCCAAAGAAAATATATGACACCAAAAATATGATACAAAAGATCAATGAAACAAACAGTTGGTTTTTTTTTGAAAAGACAAGCAAAACTGAGAAACCTTTAGCCAGACAGACTAAGAAAAAAAACAGAGATTACCCAAATAAAATCAGCGATGAAAAGGAGACATTACTGCTGATGCCACGGAAATTCAAGTCATTTGAGAGTATTATGAACAACTATATGCCAACAATTTGGAAAACCTAGAAAAAATGGATAAATTCCTAGAAACAAACAAAACAATTCAATCCCAAGATTGAACCAGGAGGAAATTGAAAATCTGAATAGACTAATAACAAGTAATGATACAGAAGCTGTAATAAAACATCTCCCATCAAAGAAAAGCCCATGACCTGATGGCTTCACCTTTGAATTCTACCAGACATTTAAGAAAGAACTAATAACAATCCTCCACAATCTATTCCAAAAAATCAAGGAGAATCAAATACTACCAAATTCATTGTACAAGGCCAATATTACCCTGAAAACAAAACCAGAAGAAGACACAATAGAAAAACAAAACTATGTGCCAATATCTCTGATAAATGTAGATACAAAAATCCTCAACAAAGTACTAGCAAACTGAATTCAACAATGTATTAAAAAGATGATTCATCATGATAAAGTGGGGTGTAGCCCAGCAACACAAAGATGTTTCAACATACACAAATCAGTAAATGTTATCAGTTAACATTTACTGATATATCATCACAACAGAATGAAAGACAAAAACCATATGATCATTTTGATTGATGCTAAAAAAATGTGTTCAATGAAATTCAATGGTCCTTCATGGTAAAACCTCTCAACAAACTGGGTGTAGAAGGAACATACCCCAAAACAATGAAGACCGTATGTAACAAACCCACAGCTAACATCAAACTGAATGGGGAAAAACTGAAAGCCATTCCTCTAAGATCTGGGACGAGACAAAGATATCCACATTCACCACTTTTATTCAACATACTACTGGAAGTCCTTCCTTTCAAGAACAATTAGGCCAGAGAAAGAAATGAAGGAAATCTACATTGAAAAGGAAGAAGTCAAATTGTCCTTGTTTGCACATAACATAATGTATTTAGAAAAGACTAAACAGCTAACCAAAAAACTGATGGACTGATAAATTCAGTAAAGTTGCAGGATACAAAATCAAAATTAAAAAACCAATAGCATTTTAATATATCAACAACATACTATCTGATAAAGAAGTCAAGAAAGCATACCCATTTATAATAGCAACAAAACAATACATAGGAATAACTTTAACCAAAGAGAGGAAAGAGCTCTACAATGAAAACTACAAAACACTGATGAAATAAATTGAAGAGGACACAAAAAATAGAAAGATATCCCATGTTCATGAACTGAAAGAAAGCATTGTTAAACTTTGGACATACAACCCAAGCAATATGGATGGATATGCAATGCAATCCTTATGAAAATACAAATGACATTCTTCACAGAAGTAGAAAAAAAAACCAGTCCTAAAATGAGGATGTAACCACGAAAAACCGCGAGTAGCAAAAACAATTCTCAGCAAAAAAAGAAAACCGGAGGCATCACACTACCTGCCACAAAACTGTGGTAACTAAACAGCATGGTCCTGGCATAAAAACAGAAACATAGACCAATGGAACATTATAGAGAACCCAGAAGTGAATCCACACATTTGCAGCCAACTTATTTTTGACAAAGGTGCCAACAGACATTGAGGAAAGGACAGTCTCTTCAATAAGGGCTGCTGGAAAAACTGGACATCCATATGCAGAATAATGAAACTAGATTTCTGTCTCTCACCATATTCACAAATCAAATCAATATGGATGAAAGGATTACATCTAAGACCTGAGACTAATTACTAGAATAAATCATTGAGGAAATGCTTCAGGACACTGGCCTGGGCAAATTTTTTTTTTCATAAGACCACGAAAGGACAGGCAACCAAAGCAGAAATAGACACATGGGATTATATCAAGCTAAAAGCTTCTGCGTGGCAAAGGAAATAAACAATGGAGTGAGGAAAAAATCTAAAGAGTGGGAGAAAATATTTACAAACAGGCCATCCAACAGGGATTAGTAACAATATATGAGGCACTCAAATAACTCAACAGTAAAGGGCCGAATAATCTGATTTTAAAAGGGGAAAATGATGTTAATAGATATTTCTCAAAAAAAAAAAAAAAGAGAAATGGCCATGAGGTACATTTAAAAATGCTCCACATTACTAATTGTCAGGGAACTACACATCAAACCCACAATGAAATATCATCTCAACCCAGTTAAAATGACTGTTAACAAAGAGATAGAAATAACAAATGTTGTTGAGGATGTGGAGGAAAGGGAATTTTCATACACTGTTGGTAGGAGTGTAAATTCGTTCAGCCTTTATGGAAAACAATATGGAGGTTCCTCAACAAAATAAAAAGAACACATGATCAAGCAATCCCACTTCTGGGAATATGTCCACAGGGAAATTGTTATGTTAAAGAGATAGCTACACTTCTCTGTTTATTGCATCACTGTTCACAATAGTCAAGATGGGCAATCAACCTAAGTGCCCATCAGTGGATGAATGGGTAAAGGAAATGTAGCATATGGACACAATGGAATAATATTCAGCCATATAACAAATGAAATCCTGTCATTTGTGGCAACATGGATGAGTCTGGAAGTCAGAGAGTATGTTAAGTGAAATAAGCCATGCACAGAAACACAAATATCATGTGTTCTCACTCAAATGTGGGAGCTAAAAATTGATCTCATGAAGGCAGAAAGTAGAATGATGACTACCAGAGGTTTGGAAGGGTAGGGGAAAAAGGGATGAAGACAGGCTGTGTTTGGGCACAAAAATACAGCTACAAAAAAAGAATAATTTCTAGTGTTTAATAGCCCAGTAGGGTGACTACAGTTAGCAATAATGTACTGTATATTTCAAAATCACTAGAAGAGAAGATTTGGAATGTTCCTAACAGAAAGAAATGATAAATATTTGAGGTGATTGATATTTCAATTACCCTGATATGATTATTACACATTGCATGTATCAAATTGTCACATGTATCCCACAAATATGTACATTATATCTCAATGAAACATGCACAAAGAGGCATGTATAAGAATATTCACTGCAGCCTTGTTTGTAAAAAGTGGAAATTTCAAAATGTTCTAGGTGTCTATCCATTGAAGAATAATATGTGGTTGTTTAAAGAATGTGATATTTCTACAAATTGTCTTAAATTATTCTCCAGGACACATTGTTCAGTGAAACAAAGCAAATTTTTCAATGATATGTTATGTTGGTCTGTGCATTCTGAAAAGTGGATGCCAAGATAGGATTAAAGGTCATTTGCGCTCCCTGTAGGAGTTCTGTGACACACATACTCCTGGCCACCACTGTCCACTACTTATACAACACAGATCAACTTCTTTACTGAGATTTGGGGGACAGCTCCATAATTGTTTCTGTGGGCCTTTCTTCCTGAGGGGAAAATCAGAAGAGATGTTACTGCAGTAGATCTCAGGGCCATAACTGGTATTCATCCTCTTCCTCCTTCACTATTCATTTAAATTCCCTGCATCAACAGCTATCATTTTGAAAGACCTTGCTGGCTTACCTGATGGTATGATCAAAATTTTTATTCCTGAGGAAGGTGAACCCTTGATAATTATATGCTTCTCAGTTCAGGATGATTGTACATGTTCATTCACAGTTACAATGGGAAGAAAGTGTTAGGAGGCACCAAAATGAATCACTCAGGCTTCACACATATTTCTCCCTGCCCTCATTGTGTTGTGGTAACCTTATCCTCTCCTCCTGATCAGGAGCCATTACCCTGCCAGTATGGTGACTCCTCTGTGCACCTGCTAGCTTCTGAGTACCAGTCCAAAATGACAACAGAAGGTGTAGGGGAGTTATAACTTGTAGTTCAATGGGGGCATTTTCTGAGTTGCCCCAAGAAAAGTGAAACCAGAAAGTCTCTTTGGAGCCAAGACCTCCAACAGTGCAGAACAGAGTTGTGAGTACAAAATCCATAATGGGTGATCAGGAGTGATGGTAAGTGGGACCACTCTTGCCTCTACCACTAGGTTCCTGGACCCGTGTGTCCTCACTGAGGAAAAGTTGCCTTATAAGTTTTCTGATTTAATAAATACACTGGTTCCTGAAAGATGGCAACCCATTTTCCCAGAGTGTTTCCTCTGAGTTGTGCTTCAGTTGTGCATTGAGATTATTCTAGTATTCTCTGAGAATGTCTGTCTCTGGATTTTGTAACATGTGATATGTCCAGTGAATCCCATGGTCACTTCTGTACCTATTTTTCCATATAATGGGCCCCTTAATCAGGTGCTATGCCATGAGAAATCCCATGCTCGTGTATTCAGGTATTCCATAAGTTCCCAAGTAGTTCTGCTGAGTGAAGTGCTGTAGGCAAGGAAGGAAATCCATACCTGGGATAGGGACTGATCCCTGTGAAGGTAAACTGGACTGGCCATGACAAGGAATAGTGTAATATTGGATACTCAGAGTTGGTTCCAGTTGCTTACAAGTTGAACACCCAGAGGCAGTAGACAATAGATTGGCCTTGGTAAATGGAAGTCCATACCATTGGATCCATATGAAGCCTCCATCTCTGCCAGTGTGGCGACTTCATTCATGTGCCCATTGCTAGTTTTGCAATAGCCTACAACATGGGCTGACTAATGTCAACTGGTTGAATGGTTTTATTTACTTGCTTTTCAGTTCCTCTTCCATGGTGTAGACTTTGTGATGAATGTTAATGTGTATTACAAAAATCATCACACTTTGTGTCCATTCCAACATGTCTAAACACATGCCTCTACCTCAGACCTCCTTGTCTCTGATTTTCCAATCATTTTCTTTCTAGGCCCCAAACTAGACAGCTAAGATATTGGCCACTCCCCATAAATCTGTATAGATTTTTACTTCAGGTTATTTCTCCTTCTACATTGGGTGGCTGGCCAAATGCCTTACTCAAAGCTCTGCACATTGGTAAGATTTTCCCTTTTTTGGCCACTCCTGAATGTGACTCTAATGGAGCCAATTTCCATTTCTGGTAACCACCTGTATGTTGGGTTAGGATATCTGTAAACCAAGCTTGGCATTTTCTATCCATTTTCAGTTGATCATTCAGGATTCTCCACACAGCTACAGGTGTCAACTGGAACAGTGGAAATTATGCAACTTTGGTGGGTGTCATAGAGGTCTGGGCCACCGGCTATGTAACTTACTCATGGCATATATCTCTGCTTGGGCTCTATCCTTGATATTCAGTTTCCAACTTCTGATGAACTGCTGCCTGACTCATCTAACTTTATGATTTTGTTTGTCTGAGAAACCTCAGCTCATAATGCAAATGCATGGTCACTTGGTATCTCGTATATGTTCTGTCTCTATCTGGGTCCAGAAACATATCAAGAGCTGTTTATTAAAGGGTAAATAACTATCTGCTGAACTCTCTGCTGTGGATGGCATGGCCCTACCCCAGAAACCCAGGGGCTTACATTAGAGCTTGCCATAAGCATTATACTGCCAATTTTCACACCACTGACTACTACAAACTCTTTGTTATGTTGGCACTTATGGCTGAAGAGGCAGGGCTAATTGCACCATTGTGTGGACCTGCTACAGTACTTTTTCCTACTCCAGGTTCTACCAAAACTAAGCATTATTCCTCATCTATAGATGTGAGGGCTGGTATATTTCTAGTTGTCCAATATGTTGCCTTCAGAACCTACTGTGGCCTACAAGTTGCTGTGCTTCCTCCTTTGGTGGTGGGGGAACCAAGACATGACAATTTTTCTCATACTTTGGAAGTGACATCCTGACATGCCCCAGTGATTGTTAATTTTAGGTGTCAATTTGACTGGATTAAGAAATACCTAGAAACTTCATGAAGGATTATTTTGGGGTGTGTCTGAGAGGGCATTTCCAGAGAAGATTAGCATTTGTGTCTGAGTGGACTACGCAGAGATCTGCCCTCAATGTGAGCAGGCACCATCCAAATAGCTGGGGCCCAGAGAACAAGAACAGAGAAAAGACAAATGTGTGATTCTATCTGCTGGAACTGGGATACATTCTTCCTCTCCTGTCCTTGGACAACTCCAGGTTCTGGGGCCTTTAAACGCTAGGATTGACACCCATGGACCCCCAGGTTCTCAGACCTTTGGTCTCGGACTGAGACTAAGAATTACATCATCGGTTTCCCTGGTTCTGAGACCTTGGCATCTGGAATGAGGCATATTATCCATTTCAGGGTCTCCAGCCTGCAGATGGCCTGTCTATGGACTTCTCGGCCTCCATAATAACATGAGATAACCCTCCTAATAAATTTCCTTATATATTTATATACTTGCATCCTATGCATCCTGTCTCTTGGTAAAACTTTGACTAATATGGCCCCTGACCACTGGACCCATTACAAACTTTACTGAAGTGGTTGGTCTTGGAATCTTCATGTGATTTACCTCCCATTCTCCAGATCACATGTGTTTTACCAAGGCATCCAACAGTCAACTCTTGCTCATCTTGTTCAATCAGCATGATGATGTTAATGTAGCGTATTGTTGTGATGTTCTGTGGGCTGGCCAAGTATTTCAGATATTCCCAGAGTATATTAGCATAGATGGCTGGAGAATAACATTGCCAGGCTGTAAAACTATAGCAGGATATTGTTTTCCATCTAGTGTGAATGTGAACTAGCTTTGGTATTCTTTGTTCAATGAAATGGAGAATATGTTTGCCAAATCAGTGGCTGTATGCCATATACCTGGGACTTTACACCATGTACCATGCCATGTACCTTAGCAATTACACCATGATTGGTACAACAGCTGTAACCAGAGCTATCACTTGGGTCAGTCTGTTGTTGTCTATAGCATTCTCTAGGACCCACCCACTTTATACAGGGTACAGACTGGAGAATTAAATGGAGACACGATAAAGAGGACCACCTGATATGGTTTGGCTCTGTGTCACCACCCAAATCTCGTGTTTAATTGTAATTCCCATTGTTGGAGGAAGGGCCTGATGGGAGGTGATTGAATCATGGGGCAGACTTCCCCCTTGCTGTTCTTGTGATAGAGTTCTCATGAGATCTGGTTGTTTGAAAGTGTGTAGCACTTCCCCCGTAGCTCTCTCTTCCTCCTGCTCCTGCCATGCAGGACATGTCTCCTTCCTGTTCACCTTTTGCCGTGATTGTAAGTTTCCTGAGGCCTCTCCAGCCAGGTTTCCTGTACAGCCTATGGAACCGTGAGTTAATTAAAAATGTTTTGTATCAGTCCATTCTTGCACTGCTATAAAGAACTACCTAAGACTCAGTAATTTATGATGAAAAGGAGTTTAATTGATTCACAGTTCTCCAGGATGTACAGGAAGCATGGCTAGGGAGGTCTCAAAAAACTTACAATTATGGTGAAGGTGAAGAGGAAGGAGGCACGTCCTACATGGCTGGAGCAGGAAGAAGAGAGCATGAAGGGGGAAGTGCTACACACTTTCCAACAACCAGATCTCATGAGAACTCTATCATGAGAACATCAAGGGGGAACTTGACCCCCATGATTCAATCACCTCCCACCAGTTCCCTCCTACAACACTGGGAATTAAAATTTGACATGATATTTCGGTGGGCACACAGAGCCAAACCATATCACCACCATGCATATTTTAAGCCTTTAATGGCAGCAGTATCTGTCATTAGTCTCCACTGCAGGACATCGTAATTTATTTTGATTTACTATCTTGGGCATCATCAGGGGTTGGGGTTGTTTCAGAGGTTTCCATTTAACCTTCTTCATTATGACAGCTCTTATTCCACAAATCAGGAACCCACTGTGGGGTTGATTCCAGGTGCCAATTATTTGGATTCAAGCTATGAACTCAGGGATGGACAGGAAATGAATATTGGGTAAATCTGGATTCACACAGGATACATTTTTAGCTGGACTTTAGGCAGGATTCCATTTATTCCCTATGTCCCACGAATTCCTACTTTAAGAGGTAGGTTATATTCACATTTTGAGTCTTTGGGTATCAGTGTCAACTTTGATCCTGTGTATAAAATTCCTTAAAATATTTGGTCATTCCACCCCAAAGGCCTATATGGCCATAGATCCCTTGTAGAAGGAATAGAAGAATAATTATAGCATATACTTGCCATGGTTTGCAGGGCCCTTCCTTCTATAATACAAAGCTAATCACCTCATCAGTCAGTGGGTTTCAGATCTGAAAGTTGGCTCAGAACTGGCAACTGAGCAAGGAATCATAACTGTTGCTTAGAATGACTGTACTCAGTGCTCTGCTTTTCCATTTTTGCTTTTTTTCTGTTATGCATGCTAAACATCACCCTTGTGGGATACCTGTTTATTTTGCTCCTAGGAATACGATTATCTATTAACCATCTCTACAATTCCCTGCAGATGGAGCGATGGAGCCCTACTGACTTCCCTTCTGACTTTGTTCATCATTATAGTAATTGTGGTCTCTGGGTCTATAGTAGCAAAGTACCACTACATAGCTCTGTTACTCCAGGTGTCCAACAACACCATTGATAATGAGCTGTGCTTACTGATATGTGACCATTTCTCCTACCATCATCCCTGGCCTACAGGAAAGAGCTGCCCCCAAACTTCCTAGTGATTTAAATACTCCTCCCACCAGTGCATTCCTGATGGCTTTGGAGAATTGAGTGTCCTCTGGGCACCTCAGAGAAACAAAATTCTCTCATGTGTCTTCTAGCTTTAAGTAATCTATCCATTCCAGCATTCTCACTTCCTTCAGCTTCTTTATTCTTTCTTATATCTTCTTTCCATGGAAACTTGGGCATTTATATTTCACTGAGATTTGGCCATTTTTCCAGGCTTCCTAGAACCATCCATCTGTGGATTTTCATCATTCTCTGTGGTTCTTATTGGAGTGTTTAATCCTGTACCCTGAGGAGGCACCCCCAAGTCAAAGAATTCTTGCATATTCAGCCTTATATTCTAATTTGCTTAATCAATCCCTCTCCAAACACACTTCCAGGGGCACTTGTCTGCTTTCTGCCAGTACATGTCAGCTAATCCTTGTAATTTGTAAGGCCTATAGTCTCTTTCCTTATTAGGCCTAGAATGTTCCCATTCACATTATTTTTCATCCTGGCATTCAGGAGAAGAGGTAAGGGAAGCTCATGGGTGGTCACCTGCTGCCCTGTGGGGGTGAAAATTCTATAGCATATTCCACAAAGTGGAATTTCTAGTCCTTACTAGGAAAGGATGAGCCACTTCTGCATGCTCAGAGGGTCCAGGGCATTTACAGAGCCAACAGCCTCCAGGGTGTCCATCTAAATGACCTCTTCACAGTTTTCAGGATCCCAAATCTGCCTTGGATTAGCATTCGAACATTTCTGGAGCTCTATAATCTCAAAATTACATCTTCAGACTGCCTATTAACAGTGTCTTCTCTTCCAGTACAGGTGATAAAGACCTCTTTATATCCTACAATGAGGCTCTCTGGTTCTCACATTTACTGTTAACTGACGGTTACTGACTCTCAGTCTTTCATTTTTCTTATGCAAGCGTCAATATGACTGAGCAATTATCAGCCAATTCCACCTTCTTGGTAGGCATATTTATTCCAGATATCAGCATCATTGTACCTACCACAGTATTCCCCTCAACACGAATGTGTGCCTGAGTCATCACTGTTGAAATCTTTAGAACCATTTGTGCTTTGATTCACACCATCTTATGTTATGTGCCTGACCCATGATTCAGGATGCCATTCTCTTTGCCTGCAGAGAAGTAGATGAACCAGTTCCAGATCCTATCTTTGCATGTATTTTCCAATCCGGTCCTTGTACTAGTTGGATCTTTCAAGAAATAGACAGTAAGACTGGGCTTAAACATCCACACTGTCAGAGAGCTCCTCTGTTCACACAGATCCAAACACTGGCATGGGTGATAATTTGCAGACTTCTTGAGGGCATTATATCAAAATGCTAACTTGTTCCTGGTCACTCTCCCTCCCCAGGACCCGAGCTGTGACTACAGGTGCTATACTCCAGGCACAGTCCTCGGGGGAGTGTTTCCTGCCCAGGGAACCTCAGCCCTTTTGTGTCCACATTACAGGAACCCTCTCAGACATTCCTCAGTGCTCATTTGGATTGCAGCAGTTGCACAGGGTGGATAAATGCAGGATTTTCAGTAGTCTAGCCCTAGGGGACTGTTTCTCCTAAGGGAAGGGAGAGTGCAGCAGCACAGTGAGGGAACTCTTCCTAGGACAAAGGAAACCAGATCATGCACTTTATAGTGCCCAGGAGCTCCCTGCTTGTGAGCTCTGAGTGATGGCACCATTCCCAGCAGAGATCCAAGGGCTGTGCTGCACTCTGTAAGGCAGGAATATAGTTCCATCCCAGTGGCCAAGTGGCCTCAGTGCTCAAGCCAAGGCATGGAGAAGGACACTTCTCCTCCCCTACCCCCACTGAGAACCATGGCTGCTTCCATGGGAAACTGGCCCAAGAATGCTGACAGCCTTTCTGGGGCTGCTAGGGGCAAATGTGTCCCCACTGGCAGTGCGGCCACTGTGTTGCATGTAAGGTGCCCTCCATGCCTTACATGGAGTGGCAGCACTCCTGCAGGGGAGAGCAGGAGAGCTGTTGGGCTGTGTGTTTTGGTTTGATGGAGTAAGTACTTCACCACAGCCATTTTAGTGGAGAGCTGTGGGGCAGGTGTTGTTCATGGCTCTTGGCTACCTTGCAGCCTAGAGATCGACAGACTTTAGGAAATAAAGTTCATTAGGTAATGGTAAAGCAATCAATTCAAGAAGAAGATGTAACAGTCCTAAATATATATGTACTCAACACTGGAGCACTCAGATTCATAAAACAAATGCTCCTGACCTACAAAAAGAGATAGACAACAATACAATAATTGGGGGGACTTCAATACCCTACTGACAGCAGACAGATCATTGAAACAGAAAATCAAGAAACACTGGACTTATATGGGACTTTAGACCAAATGGACCTAACAGACATTTACAGAACACTCTACACGTATCCACAGAATGTACGTTCTTTTCAGCAGTACATGGAACATTTGCCAATATAGACCATATGTTACATAACAAAACAAGTCTCAATAAATTTAAAAAATTAAAAATCATATCAAATATCTTCTTGGATGACAGTGGAATAAAACTAGCACTCAATACCATGATGAACTCTTGAAACTATAAAATACATCAAAATTAAACAAACTCCTGAATGATCTTTGGGTCAAAGACAAAGTAAAGACAAACATTTGAATTTTTTTGGAAATGAATGAAATTAGAGAGACAGTATATGAATACCTCTTGTGATAAATCAAAAGTAGTACTGAGAGGGAAGTTTATAGTGTTGAATGCCTACACTAAAAATATTAAAAAGTTGCAACTCAACAATCTGATGTCACTTATCAAGAACAATGCTTATCAAGAAAACCAAACCCATAGCTAGCAGAAGAAAATAAATAAGAAAGATCAGAGCAGATCTAAATGAAAATGAGAATGAAAAAAAATACCAAGGGTCAACAAAATGAAAAATTGTTTCTTTGTAAAGGTAAACAAGATTGATAGACTAACCAAGAATAGAAGAGAGAAGATTCAAATAAGCACAACCAGAAATGTAAAATGAATCATAACAACTCCTATTGCAGAAATACAAAAGATCATGAAGCGACATCACTATGCTTAAAAACTAGAACCCACAGGAAATAGGTAAATTCCTGGAAACATGCAATCTCCCAAGATAGATCTAGGAAGAAGTAGAAATCCTTAAAAAATGAATAACATCCAGTGAGATTGATCAGTCATAAAGAATCTCCGAAGTTAAAAATAGTCCAGGATCAGCCTGAATCACAGCCAAATTTAACTTGTCACATGAAGAATAACAGATACCAATCCTACTGAAACTGTGCCAAAAACAGGAGGAGGAATCCTCCCTAACTCATTCTACAATTCCAGTATCACCCTGATCCAAAAGTCAGACCAGGATGTAACAACAACAACAACAACAACACTACAGACCAATATCCTTCATGAAGATAGATGCAAAAATCCTCAACAAAAGACTACCAAACAGAATCCAGCAGCACATCAAAAATATAATGCAAAAAAATGAATTTTATTCTATAGATGAAGGGCGATTCAACATATGCAAATCAATAATTGTGATTCGTGACTTAAATAAAATTAATCATCTCAATAGATGCATACAAAAGACTTGATATAATTTAACATCCCTTCATCATATATACCCTCAACAAATTAGGCATAGGAGAAATATACCTCAAAATAATGAAAGCCATATGTGAAAACCCACATATGCAACCCTCCTATTGCAGAAATACAAAAGATCATGAAGCGACATCGCTATGCTTAAAAACTAGAACCCACAGGAAATAGGTAAATTCCTGGAAACATGCAATCTCTCAAGATAGATCTAGGAAGAAGTAGAAATCCTTTAAAAATGAATAACATCCAGTGAGATTGATCAGTCATAAAGAATCTCCCAGGCAAAAAATAGTCCAGGACCAGCCTGAATCACAGCCAAATTCAACTTGTCACATTGAATAGGGAAAAGTTGAAAGCATTCTGCCTAAGAACTGGAAGAATAAAAGAGTTCCCACTTTCACCCCTCCTATTCAACATGGCACTGAAAGTCCTAGCCAGCACAATCAGGCAAGAGAAAGAAATAAAAGGTATTCAAATTGGAAAAGAGAACTGCAAAATATTTCTGTTTGCTGATCATATGATCTTCTGACCAGAAAACCCTAAGGATTCCTCCAAAAGACTCCTGGATTTGATAAATAAATTTGTTCAAGCTTCAGGATACAAAATCAACATACAAAATAAGTAGCATTTCTATACACCAATAACAATCAAGCTGAAAACCAAATCAATAAGCTAATCCCATTTGCAATAGCTACAAAAAATAAAATACCTAAGAATACGTTTAACCAAAAGGGTGAAAAATTTCTACAAGGAAAACTGCAAAACATTGATGAAGGAAATTGTAGAGCAGATCCTACCCCTTAGTATGCACTCCTGCTTGTGGGGCACAAAGAAGGCATCTAGACCTGTGCCTGCCAGCACCCCATCCCGGAACAAACACCACCTCCAGCATAACCACGTACATGGCTGCCAGCAAGGGACCCCATCCCCACACACCTGCATTGCCTCCACCACTGTGGTGAATGCTTGCAGGGAAGCAGGCACCCTGGCATCCACAAACATTCTGCTTCAGCTGCCATTACCACTGCTACTGGCATGTGCAAACGAGGACAGATCCTGCTCTCACCACATTATGAAATGCTTTGGCTGAAACCACCCATCAGAGTGGAGTGACCAGCAGCCTGGGAGCACCTCAGCCTCCCCAGCACAGTGGATTCCTAACCTCAAGGATCTAGAGAGGAAAGTTAGGGCCCAATACAAGTCCCCCAGAGTTAGGGCAACAGTCCAGAAGTTGGGAGCTGAGCATTGGCCCCATAAAATCTTCCAGAAATAAAGCCAGTTGGCTGAATCCACCTTATGTCACAATCAAACTCGCAAGGTCATCAAATAGGATAAAAGAAAAAAAAACCCATCCAAAGGTCAGCAACCTGAAAGATTGAAGGATGATAAGCCCACAAAGATGAGAAAGAATCAGCACAAGAACCCTGATAACTCAAAAAGCCGTTTTTCCTCCAAATGATCTCATCACCACTCCAGCAAGGGTTCTAAACCAGGGTAAGTTGGCTGAAATGGCAGAAAGAGAATTCAGAATATTAACTGGTATGAAGATAACTGAGCTACAGGAGTACATTGAAACCCAATGCAGGGAAGCTAAAAATCACGATAAAAAATACAGGAGCTGACGGACAAAATAAACAGTATAGAAAAGAATGTAACTGGCCTGATGGAGCTGAAAAATACACTACAAGGATTTCACAATGCAATCACAAGTATTAGTAGCACAATAGACTAAACAGAGGAAAAAGTCTCAGAGCTTTAAGACTGGCTTTCTGAAATAAGTCAGTCAGACAGAATAGAGAAAAAAGAAACAGTGAACAAAACATCCAAGAAATGTGGAATTATGTAAAGAGAACCAAAGTACAACTCACTGGTATCCCTGAAAAAGATGGGGAGAATGGAACCAACCTGGAAAACATATTTCATGATATCATCCATGAGAACTTCCCCAACATAGCTAGAGAGGCCATCACTCAAATTCAGAAAATGCCGAGAACCACAATAAAATACTTCAAAAGGAGACCATCCCCAAGACACATAATCATCAGATTTTCCAAGGTCCGAATGAAAGTAAAAACGTTACAGGCAGCTAGAGAGAAAGCTACAGGTCACCTACAAAGGGAAGCACCTCAGACTAACAGCAGGCCTCTCAGCAGAAACCCTACAAGCCAGAAGAGATTGGGACCTATATTCAACATTCTTAAAGAAAAGAAATTCCAACCCAGAATTTCATACACAGCCTAACTAAGCTTCATACATGAAGGAGAAATAAGATCATATTCAGACAAGAAAATGCTGAGGGAATTTCTTACCACCAGACCTGCCTTACAAGAACTCCTGAAGGAAGCACTAAATATGGAAAGGAAAGACCATTATCAGCCACTACAAAAACAAACTGAAGTACACAGACCAGTGACACTATAAAGCAACCACATAAAGAAGTCTGCAAAATAACCAGCTAACATCATGATGACAGGATCAAATCCACACATATCAATACTAACCTTTGATGTAAATGGGCTAAATGCCCCAATGAAAAGGCATACAATGGCAAACTGGATAAAGAACACATTGGTATACTGTCTTCAAGACACCCATCTCACATGCAATGACACAGGCTCAAAATAAAAGGATGGAGAAAAATCTATCAAGCAAATGGAAAACAGGAAAAAAAAACAATGGTTTCAATCCTAATTTCAGACAAAACAGACTTTAAGCCAACGATCAAAAAAGAGAAAGTATGGCATTATCTAATGGTAAAGGGTTCAACACAACGAGACCTAATCACATTAAATATGTATGCTCTCAACACAGGAGGAGATTCACGGTTCTTAGAGATATTCAAAGAGACTTAAACTCCCACAAAATAATAGTAGGAGACTTTAACACCCCACTGACAATATCAGAGAGATCATCAAGACTGAAAATTAACAAGGATATTTGGGACCTGAACTCAGCACTGGATCAAATGGACATAATAGACATCTACAGAACTCTCCAACCAGAAACAACAGAAAGTATGTTCTTCTTATCACCACATGGCACTCTAAAATCAATCACATAATTGGAAGGAAAAAACTCCTCAGCATATTAAAAACAATTGCAATTGTAACAAACAATCTCTTGGACTACAGGGCAATCAAATTAGAAATCAAGACTAAGGAGTTCACTTAAAACCATAAATTTACATGGAAATTAAATAACCTGCTCCTGAATGACTTTTGGGTAAGTAATGACATTAAGGCAAAATCAAGAAGCTGAGTTCAGGTCCTGAATATCCTTGTTACTTTTCTGTCTCGTTAATCTGTCTAATATTCACTGTGGGATGTTAAAGTCTCACACTATTATTGTGTGGGAGTCTAAGTCTCTTTGTAGGTCTCTAAGAACTTGCTTTATGAATCTGGGTGCTCCTGTATTAGGTGCATATATATTTAGGATAGTTAGCTCTTCTTGTTGCATTGATCCCTTTATCATTATGTAATGCCCTTCTTTGACTTTTTTGATCTTTGTTAGTTTAAACTCTGTTTTATCAGAGACTAGGATTGCAACCACTCCTTTTTTTTTATAACCATTTGCTTGGTAAATCTTCCTCCATCCCTTTATTTTGAGCCTGTGTGTGTTTTCGCATGTGAGATGGGTCTTCTGAATACGGCACACTGATGGGTCTTGACTCTTTTTCCAATTTGCCAGTCTGTGCCTCTTAATTGGGGCATTAAGCCAGTTTACATTTAAGGTTAATATTATTATGTGTGAATTTGATCCTGTCATTATGATGCTAGCTGGTTATTTTTCCTATTAGTTAATGCAGTTTCTTCATAGTGTTGATGGTCTTTACATTTTGGTTTGTTTTTGCAGTGACTGGTACCGGTTTTTCCTTTCCATATTTAGTGCTTCCTTCAGGAGCTCTTGTAAGGCAGGCCTGGTGGTGACAAAATCCCTCAGCATTTGCCTGTCTGTAAAAGATTTTATTTCTCTTTCACTTATGAAGCTTAGTTTGGCTGGATATGAAATTCTGGGTTGAAAATTCTTTTCTTTAAGAATGTTGAATATTGGCCCCTACTCTCTTCTGCCTTGTAGGGTTTCTGCAGACAGAGCCGCTGTTAGTCTGATGGGCTTCCCTTTGTGGGTAACCTGACCTTTCTCTCTGGCTGCCCTTAACATTTTTTCCTTCATTTGAACTTTGGTGAATCTGATGATTATATGTCTTGGGGTTGTTATTCTCGAAGAGTATCTCTGTGGTGTTCTCTGTATTTTCTGAATTTGAATGTTGGCCTATCTTGCTAGGTTGAAGAAGTTCTCCTGGATAATATCCTGAAGAGTGTTTTCCAACTTGGTTCCATTCTCCCCGTCACTTTCAGGTACACCAATCAAATGTAGGTTTGGTCTTTTCACATAGTCCCATATTTCTTGGAGGCTTTGTTCGTTCCTTTTCATTCTTTTTTCTCTAATCTTGTCTTCACACTTTATTTCATTAAGTTGATCTTCAATCTCTGATATCTTTTCTTCCGCTTGGTCTATTTGGCTATGGATACTTGTGTATGCTTCACAAAGTTCTCGTGCTGTGTTTTTCAGCTCCATCAGGTCATTGATGTTTTTCTCTAAACTGGTTATTCTAGTTAGCAATTCCTCTGACATTTTATTAAGGTTCTTAGCTTCCTTGCATTGGGTTAGAACATGCTTCTTTAGCTTGGAAGACTTTGTTATTATCCACCTTCTGAAGCCTACTTCTGTCAATTCGTCAAACTCATTCTCCATCCAGTTTTGTTCTCTTGCTGGTGAGGAGTTGTGATCCTTTGGAGGGGAAGAGGCATTCTGATTTTTGGCATTTTCAGCCTTTTTGTGCTGGATTTTCCTCATCTTCGTGAATTTATCTACCTTTGGTCTTTGCCATTGGTGACCTTCGGATGGAGTTTTTGCATGGTTGTCCTTTTTTTCCATGTTGATGCTATTGCTTTCTGTTTTCCTTCTAACAGTCAGGCCCCTTGTCTGCAGGTCTGCTGGAGTTTGCTGGGTGTCCATTCCAGACCCTGTTTACCTGGATATCACCAGCAGAGGCTGCAGAACAGCAAAGATTACTGCCTGCTCCTTCCTCTGGAAACTTCATCCCAGAGGGGCACCCACCAGATGCCAGCCGGAGCTCTCCTGTATGAGGCGTCTGTCAACCCCTGCTGGGAGGTGTCTCCCCGTCAGGAGGCATGGCGGTCAGGGACCCACTTGAGGAGGCAGTCTGTTCCTTAGCAAAGTTTGAGCACTGTGCTGGGAGATCCACTGCTCTCTTCAGAGCTGGCAGGCAGGAACATTTAAGTCTGCTGAAGCTGTGCCCACAGCCACCCTTTCCCCCAGGTGCTCTGTCCCAGGGAGATGGGAGTTTTATCTATAAGCCCCTGACTGGGGCTGCTGCCTTTCTTTCAGAGATGCCCTGCCCAGAGAGGAGGAATCTAGAGAGGCAGTCTAGCTACTGTGGCTTTGCGGCGCTGTGGTGGGCTCCATCCATTCTGAACTTTCCGGTGGCTTTGTTTACACTGTGAGGGGAAAACCGCCTACAAGCCTCAGTAATGGTAGATGCCCCTCCCCCCACCAAGCTCGAGCACCCCAGGTTGATTTCAGACTGCTGTGCTGGCAGCCAGAATTTCAAGCCAGTGGATCTTAGTTTGCTGGGCTCTGTGGGGGTGGGATCCACTGAGCAGAACCACTTGGCTCCCTGGTTTCAGCCCCCTTTCCAGGGGAGTGAACAGTTCTGTCTCACTGGCATTCCAGGCGCCACTGGGGTACGAAAAAAATCTGTAGCTAGCTTGGTGTCTACTCAAACAGCTGTCCAGTTTTGTGCTTGAAACCCAGGGCCCTTGTGGTATAGGCACCTGAGGGAATCTCCTGGTCTGTGGGTTGCGAAGACCGTGGGAAAAGCATAGTATCTAAGCCAGATAGCACCATCCTTCACGGCAGGGTCCCTCAGGGCTTCCCTTGGCTAGGAGAGGGAGTTCCCCAACCCCTTGCACTTCCTGGGTGAGGCAACACCCCACCCTGCTTCTGCTCGCCCTCCGTGGGCTGCACCCACTGTCTAACCAGTCCAAATGAAATGAACCATGTACCTCAGTTGGAAATGCAGAAATCACCCACCTTCTGCATTGGTCTCGCTGGGAGTTGCAGACCGGAGCTGTTCCTATTCAGCCATCTTGCCTGAGAATCTATAAATATTTTTAAAGTACACAAAACAAATCTAGTCAACATTTTTTAAACAGTGAAGGAGAAAGATGTGATTATATGAGAGCAATGCCCTACCACTTGGCCCCTGCACCTGATGTTCCTTTAATGGCATGATCTCACTTATTGATCTTTATCATTTATTTTAATGACAAGAGAGGACTGAGTTTAAGTGCTAATTAGAGTGAACAAGCATAGAGGAGAGATAGAAAATAGAGGAGAGCAAAGAGATGAATAATAGAAGACATTTCCTGATAAGGTAGAGAAAAATGGGATCTGCTGCAGAGTTGTAGGGACTGGGCTTTGGTCAGAGTGGGAAAACCTATTCTATGCAGCAGGAGGGAGTGATAAGGAGATGTTTCGAGTGAAATTGAATTCCTACATCCAAGAGGATGTTGAGAGATTTCCCATAGAATGGCTTTTATTGATCCTTGAGGTAGGAAATAAAGTAATATTTTAAGAGTGAAGGGGCAAACAGGAACCCATGGTCAAATGTTTGAGGAGAAAGGAACAGGCTCAGAAGAGTTCTTGCATACATTGAAAAGATTTGCTGACATATGATCCATATTGTATAATTGTTCAGCATAGTGGAAAATCCACCTGCAGTTGGTGATCACAAATGTGGAATGGAACCAGTATGCCTGGCTGTGTGATTTTTATCCATGTGAATGAGAAAGTCCCAATGAAGGTAAGAAAGAGGTAGATGTTTGGGTTCATTTAAGGTTCTGTGTTGCTGAGTGGGTATGACAGTGAGGAATAAGGAAGTGGGTATGACATGGGGAATAAGGAAGTTTTGTGTATTAGCAAAAGAGTGAGTGAAAAATAGAAGGGTGGAATTCTAGAGAAGATTTTCTCAAGCTGTTGAGGATAAAACATCAACAAAATGGTGAAGTGGGCAGCTCCAGATGCTGTTCCTTCACAGTAACACTGAGAAATAAGCAGAAGTTAGAACGAAGTTGTCAGAACTCTGGCAAACAGTCGAAGTTTTATAGCAACACAAACAAAATGTGGTGAATCAAAAAGAAAGCAAATATGAAATGGTGGGAAAGCTTTGTGGTGTTTTACTTCACATTGCCCCGCCCCCTCCATGGCTCTGTAGCCATCTTAAAGATGGCAACCTGTGTTCCCAGTGTGAAACCCTGATTCTAGACTCTGGAGGAAGCAGAACAGACCATACTCACAGATTTTTCCATGTGTCTTTCCTAACCATCTGGGAGCTGCCTGAAGGAGTGACACAGGCAGTCATCTCTGTTTCACCTAATGTGGAGTCCACTCAGTGTGAGAAAGCAGCAGTCATTGCTGAAAAACATTGTGTGGATAACTAAAACCTGAAGCTTCCCTGGGCAAAATGCTATGATTGAGACATACAATAGACTGCCTAATGCCTCACAGGAAAGTCATGGGGAGCCTGTTTGAAAAGTTAGGGCATTGGCCAAGATGGATTACTACATCAGAAAAGGAGCTTATATTAAAAATATATATGAAACTCAAACTACTCATTAACAAGAAAACAAATATCTGAATTGAAAAAAAATGGGCAAAGGACCAGAGTAGACATTTCTCAAAAGAAGACATACAAATGACCAACAGATATATCAAATAATACTCAGTATCACTAATCATCAGAGAAATGCAGATCAAAAGTGCAGTGAGATGTCACCTCATACATGTTAGAATACCTATGATCAAAAAGATGAAAGGTAAGTGCTGATGCGGATGTGAAGAAAAGGGAACAATTGTATGCTGTTGATGGGAATGTGAATTAGTATAGCCATTTTGGAAAACAGTATGGAGGATCCACCCAAAAATAAAAATACAATTAGCGTATGATCCAGCAGTCCCCTTCTGGATATATATCCAAAGAAATGAAGTCAGTATGTCAAAGACATGACTACATTGCCATGTTCATCACATTATTACTCATAATAGCTGAGAAAAGAAAAGTTCATCACCTATCAACACGTGAATACATTTTTAACTATATATATATGTATCTCAAATGAAACAGTATTCAGCCATAAAAAAGAAGGAAGTTTTTTCCATTGTGACAACATGGATGAACCTAGAAGATAGTATGTTAAGTGAAATAAGCCAAGCACAAAAGATAAATATGACATGATCTCACTTATGTGGAATCTTAAAAAGTCAAACACATAGAAGTGGAGAGAAGAATGGTGGACTTGGGTTGGGTGTATGGGGAAAGGGGAAATGTTGGTCAAAGGGTGCAAAATTTCAGTTAGACATGAGGATTAAGTTCTGGTGATCTATTTCATTGAATGGTAACTGTAGTTAATAATAATGTATTGTATACTTAAAAATTATTTAAGGACTGGATTTTAATGTTGTCATTACAAAGAAATAATAAGTATGTGAAATTATGGATATTTAATTAGCCTGACTTGATCATTCAACAATATATTTCTGCATAGAAATATCACATTGTACCCCATGAATGTATACAATTTTTATTTTGAAATTAAAAATACTAAAAAGTGTATAAATGGATTAAACCCTCCAACCAAAAGACAAAGATTGCCATAAGTGATTTTTAAAAGCCATGATGAACTATATGCTTCCAACAGAAGACTCACTATAGATCGCAAAACACAAATAAGTTGAAAGTGAAAGGAAGCAAAAAGTTATTTCATGCAAACAGTAAAGAGAGCTGGGGGTAGCTATACTAATATTAGGCATTTTGGAACTGAGTAAAAAATTGTTACAAGAGACAGGGAAGGACATTACATAGTGATCAAAGGGTAAATTTACCTGGGAAATATGTCAGTGATAAACATAGGTGCATTTAACAACAGAGTCCCATGATGAATGAAGCAAAAATTGACTAATTTAAAAGGAAAAAATAGTTCTAAAACCATAGTTGAAGGGTTCAAACCTTATGTTCAATTATGAAATGGAACATGAATAACAGCATAAACCAACTAGATATAACAGATATATACAAAACAATCCACCCAGTTGCACCACAATGCACATTATTCTCAAGTACATGTGGAATATTCTCAAGTATAGGACATCTGTTAAGCCACAACACCTATGGCATAGGCATAGGGGGTGTATGGTAGGTCTCAATTAATTTAAAAAGACTGATTTCATACACAATATCTTCTCTGACCACAATTGAGTGAAGGTAGAAATCAATAACTGAAGGAAAGCTGTACAAATCACAAATATTTGGAAAGTAAACAACATACTCTGAAACAATGAATTAAGAAATCACAAAGCATATTAGAAAACACTGAAGAAGAAATGAAAATGAGAAAAAACAACATGATAAATAGTATAGGATGCAATGAAGTCAGTGCTCAGAGGGAAGTTTATCTGATATGTAATGTAAATGCCTACATTATAAAAGAAAGATCTCAAATGAACAACCTAGCTTTATACATTGAGAAACTATAAAATGAAGAGAAAACTAAATCTAAAGCTAGTAGAAGGATGGAAATAACAAAGATTAGAGTGGAGAGAAATGAAATAGAAAGTTAAAAAAACAACAGAGTTGTAGCTCAACTTACAACTTAAGAAAAATAAAACACACAAATAACCATAAGCTGAAATGAAAGCGAGCCTAGAAGCACATGGATTACTTAAACTGACACAGAGAACTAGAAAATCTCAAAAGACCTGTAACAAGTACAGACATAGAATCAGTAATTAAAAACCTCCCAATAAGGAAAAGTCCAGGCAAAGATAGCTTCACTCATGAATTCTACCAAATATTTAAAACAGAATTAAAACCAATCCTTTTAAAACTCTTTCAAGAATTAGAAGATGACAGAACACTTCTTAACTCACTCTAGAGGTCAGCCTGAATTATCCTGACACCAAAAGCAGATACATCTCAAAAAAGAAAACTATAGACCAATATCCCTTAATAATATGGGTGAAAAAAGTCAACAAATTAGTAGTAAATTGAATCCAACAGAATATTAAAGGGAGTATATACCATGACTAAACTGAATGTGTTCCAGAAATTCAAGGGCATTTCAATATACAAAAATCAATCAATGTAATGCACATTTATATAATGAAGAAGAAAAACCACAAGGTCATGCCAATGGATTCAGAGAATGCATTAAAAATCTATCATGCTTTTATGATAAAAACGTACAACAAACTAGGAAATAAAGGAAGCTTCCTCAATAGTATAAAGGACATTTATGACAGACTCACAGCTAGGATCATACTCAATGGTGAAAGACTGACTGCTTTCCCCTTAAGATTGGGAACAAGACAAGAATACGCACTTTTGCCACTTCTATTCAACATAGTACTGGAAGTTCCAGGAAGAGCAATCAGGTAAGATATAAAAGTAAGTCATCCAAATTGCAACAGGAAGTAAAATTCTGTGTATTCACAGATGATAAGATCTTATATAGCTCCCTCTCCCCCTCCCCCTCCCCCTCTCCCTCTCCCTCTCCACGGTCTCCCTCCGATGCCGAGCGGAGGCTGGACTGTACTGCCGCCATCTCGGCTCACTGCAACCTCCCTGCCTGATTCTCCTGCCTCAGCCTGCCGAGGGATTGCAGGCGCACGCCACCACACCTGACTGGTTTTTGTATTTTTTGGTGGAGACAGGGTTTTGCCATGTTGGCCGGGCTGGTCTCCAGCTCCTGACCACGAGTGATCTGCCAGCCTGGGCCTCCCGAGGTGCCGGGATTGCAGATGGAGTCTCGCTCACTCAGTGCTCAATCTTGCCCAGGCTGGAGTGCAGTGGCATGATCTTGGCTCACTACAACCTCCACCTCCCAGCCGCCTGCCTTGGCCTCCCAAAGTGCTGAGATTGCAGCCTCTTCCCGGCTGCCACCCCGCCTGGGAAGCGAGGAGCGTCTCTGCCTGGCCACCCATCATCTGGGATGTGAGGAGCCCCTTTGCCTGGCCGCCCAGTCTGGGAAGTGAGGAACGCCTCTTCCCGGCCGCCATCCCGTCTAGGAAGTGAGGAGCGTCTCTGCCCGGCCGCCCATCGTCTGAGATGTGGGGAGCGCCTCTGCCCCGCCGCCCCATCTGGGATGTGAGGAGCACCTCTGCCCGGCCGCGACCCCGTCTGGGATCTGAGGAGTGTCTCTGCCCAACCGCCACCCCGTCTGGGATGTGAGGAGCGCCTCTGCCCAACCGTGACCCCGTCTGGGAACTGAGGAGTGTCTCTGCCCCACCACCACCCTGTCTGGGAGGTGAGGAGCATGTCTGCCCGTCCGCCCCGTCTGAGAAGTGAGGAGCCCCTCCACCTGGCAGCTGCCCCGTCTGGGAAGTGAGGAGCGTCTCCGCCCGGCAGCCACCCTGTCCAGGAGGAGGGAGGCAGCCCCCGCCCGGCCAGCTGCCCCATCCGGGAGGTGGGTTGCAGCCCCCGCCTGGCCAGCCGCCCTGTCCAGGAGGGAGGTGGGGGCAGCCCCCGCCCAGCCAGCCACCCCATCCGGGAGGGAGGTGGGGGGCAGCCCCCACCTGGCCAGCCGCCCCGTCGGGGAAGTGGGGGGCAGCCCCCGCCCAGCCAGCCGCTCCGTCCGGGAGGGAGGTGGGGGGCAGCCCCCGCCCAGCCAGCCACCCCATCTGGGAGGTGGGGGGCAGCCAGCCCGGCCAGCCGCCCCATCCGGGAGGGAGGTGGGGGGCAACCCCCGCCCAGCCAGCCGCCCCATTCGGGAGGTGGGGGGCAGCCCCTGCCCAGCAGCAACCCCACCAGGGAGGTGGGGGGCGCCTCTGCCCGGCCGCCGCCCTGTCCGGGAGGTGGGGGCGCATCTGCCCGGCCACCCCGTCTGGGAAGTGAGGAGCCCCTCTGCCCGGCTGCCACCCTGTCTGGGAGGTGTACCCAACAGCTCATTGAGAACGGGCCATGATGACGATGGCGGTTTTGTCGAATAGAAAAGGGGGAAATGTGGGGAAAAGAAAGAGAGATCAGATTGTTACTGTGTCTGTGTAGAAAAAAGTAGACATAGGAGACTCCCATTTTGTCCTGTACTAAGAAAAATTCTTCTCCCTTGGGATGCTATTAATCTATAACCTTACCCCCAACCCCGTGCTCTCTGAAACATGTGCTGTGTCCACTCAGGGTTAAATGGATTAAGGGAGGTGCAAGATGTGCTTTGTTAAACAGATGCTTGAAGGCAGCATGCTCGTTAAGAGTCATCACCAATCCCTAATCTCAAGTACCCAGGGACACAAACACTGTGGAAGGCTGCAGGGCCCTCTGCCTAGGAAAACCAGAGACCCTTGTTCACATGTTTATCAGCTGACCTTCCCTCCACTATTGTCCTATGACCCTGCCAAATCCCCTCTCCGAGAAACACCCAAGAATGATCAATAAATACTAAAAAGAAAAAAAAAAGCATATCCAAAAAAAAAAAAAGATCTTATATAGAGATTTTCCTAAAGAGTCTACAAAAAATGTAAACCAAATTCAGAAAAGTTACAGGGTTCAAGAAAAAAACACACAAAAAGTTTTATGCCTGTACACTAGTATAAAAATCTGAAAAGGAAATCAGTAAACCAGTTCCATTTAAAATAGCATCCAAAAAATACAATATTTACAAATAAATTTAATCAAGGACGTGAAACACTTGTACACTGGAAACAACAAAACATTGTTGAAAGTAAGACAAGAAAACCTAAATAAATGGAAAGCTATCTCATGCGCATGGTTTGGAAGACTTAAATATTGTTCAGGTGACAATAATAACCAAAGCAATCTACAGATTAAATGTAATAGCTATCAAAATATCAACAGGAATTTTTGCCGAAATGGAAAAGCTAATCCTAAAATTCCCATGGAATTGTAAGTGGCCCCTAGTCCCCAAAACAATCTTGAACAAGAAGAAAAAAAATTAGAAAACTTAACATTCCCTGATTTCAAAACTTGTGACAAAGCTACAGTAATCAGAATAGTGTGGTACTGGCATATGCATAGACATATAAATCAATAGACTAGAGTTGAGATTCCAGAAATAAACACATATATCTGTGGACAACTGATTTTTGAGAAGGGTGTCAAGTCCATTCAAAAGAAAAAGAATGTTCTTTTTTTTTAATCTAATTTTATTATTATTATACTTTAAGTTTTAGGGTACATGTGCACAATGTGCAGGTTTGTAACATATGTATACATGTGCCATGCTGGTGTGCTGCACCCATTAACTCGTCATTTAGCATTAGGTATATCTCCTAATGCTATAACTCCCCCGTCCCCCCAACCCACAACAGTCCCTAGAGTGTGATGTTACCCTTCCTGTTTCCATGTGTTCTCATTGTTCAATTCCCACCTATGAGTGAGAACATGCAGTGTTTGGTTTTTTGTCCTTGCGATAGTTTACTGAGAATGATGATTTCCAATTTCATCCATGTCCCTACAAAGGACACGAACTCATCATTTTTTATGGCTGCATAGTATTCCATGGTGTATGTGTGCCACATTTTCTTAATCCAGTCTATCATTGTTGGACATTTCGCTTGGTTCTAAGTCTTTGCTATTGTGAATAGTGCCGCAATAAACATACGTGTGCATGTGTCTTTATAGCAGCATGATTTATAGTCCTTTGGGTATATACTCAGTAATGGGATGGCTGGGTCAAATGGTATTTCTAGTTCTAGATCCCTGAGGAATCGCCACACTGACTTCCACAATGGTTGAACTAGTTTACAGTCCCACCAACAGTGTAAAAGTGTTCCTATTTCTCCACATCCTCTCCAGCACCTGTTGTTTCCTGACTTTTTAATGATTGCCATTCTAACTGGTGTGAGATGGTATCTCATTGTGGTTTTGATTTGCATTTCTCTGATGGCCAGTGATGATGAGCATTTTTTCATGTGTTTTTTGGCTGCATAAATGTCTTCTTTTGAGAAGTGTCTGTTCATGTCCTTCACCCGCTTTTTGATGGGGTTGTTTGTTTTTTTCTTGTAAATTTGTTTGAGTTCATTGTAGATTCTGGATGTTAGCCCTTTATCAGATGAGTAGGTTGTGAAAATTTTCTCCCATTTTGTAGGTTGCCTGTTCACTCTGATGGTAGTTTCTTTTGCTGTGCAGAAGCTCTTTAGTTTAATTAGATCCCATTTGTCAATTTTGTCTTTTGTTGCCATTGCTTTTGGTGTTTTAGACATGAAGTCCTTGTCCATGCCTATGTCCTGAATGGTAATGCCTAGGTTTTCTTCTAGGGTTTTTATGGTTTTAGGTCTAACGTTTAAGTCTTTAATCCATCTTGAATTGATTTTTGTATAAGGTGTAAGGAAGGGATCCAGTTTCAGCTTTCTACATATGACTAGCAAGTTTTCCCAGCACCATTTATTAAATAGGGAATCCTTTCCCCATTGCTTGTTTTTCTCAGGTTTGTCAAAGATCAGATAGTTGTAGATATGTGGCGTTATTTCTGAGGGCTCTGTTCTGTTCCGTTGATCTATATCTCTGTTTTGATACCAGTACCATGCTGTTTTGCTTACTATAGCCTTGTAGTATAGTTTGAAGTCAGGTAGCGTGATGCTCCAGCTTTGTTCTTTTGGCTTAGGATTGACTTGGCTATGCGGGCTCTTTTTTGATTCCATATGAACTTTAAAGTAGTTTTTTCCAATTCTGTGAAGAAAGGCATTGGTAGCTTGATGGGGATGGCATTGAATCTATAAGTTACCTTGGGCAGTATGGCCATTTTCATGATATTGATTCTTCCTACCCATGAGCATGGAATGTTCTTCCATTTGTTTGTATCCTCTTTAATTTCATTGAGCAGTGGTTTGTAGTTCTCCTTGAAGAAATCCTTCACATCCCTTGTAAGTTGGATTCCTAGGTATTTTATTCTCTTTGAAGCAATTGTGAATGGGAGTTCACTCATGATTTGGCTCTCTGTTTGTCTGTTATTGGTGTATAAGAATGCTTGTGATTTTTGTACATTGATTTTGTATCCTGAGACTTTGCTGAAGTTGCTTATCAGCTTAAGGAGATTTTGGGCTGAGATGATGGGGTTTTCTAGATATACAATCATGTCGTCTGCAAACAGGGACAATTTGACTTCCTCTTTTCCTAATTGAATACCCTTTATTTCCTTCTCCTGCCTGATTGCCCTGGCCAGAACTTCCAACACTATGTTGAATAGGAGTGGTGAGAGAGGGCATCCCTGTCTTGTGCCAGTTTTCAAAGGGAATGCTTCCAGTTTTTGCCCATTCAGTATGATATTGGCTGTGGGTTTGTCATAGATAGCTCTTATTATTTTGAGATACGTCCCATCAATACCTAATTTATTGAGAGTTTTTAGCATGAAGAGTTGTTGAATTTTGTCAAAGGCCTTTTCTGCATCTATTGAGATAATCATGTGGTTTTTGTCTTTGGTTCTGTTTATATGCTGGATTACATTTATTGTTTTGTGTATATTGAACCAGCCTTGCATCCCAGGGATGAAGCCCACTTGATCATGGTGGATAAGCTTTTTGATGTGCTGCTGGATTCAGTTTGCCAGTATTATATTGAGGATTTTTGCATCAATGTTCATTGAGGCTATTGGTCTAAAATTCTCTTTTTTGGTGGTGTCTCTGCCCGGCTTTGGTATCAGGATGATGCTGGCCTCATAAAATGAGTTAGGGAGGATTCCCTCTTTTTCTATTGATTGGAATAGTTTCAGAAGGAATGGTACCAGTTCCTCCTTGTACCTCTGGTACAATTCGGCTGTGAATCCATCTGGTCCTGGACTCTTTTTGGTTGGTAAGCTATTGATTATTGCCACAATTTCAGCTCCTGTTATTGGTCTATTCAGAGATTCAACTTCTTCCTGGTTTAGTCTTGGGAGGGTGTATGTGTCGAGGAATTTATCCATTTCTTCTAGATTTTCTAGTTTGTTTGCGTAGAGGTGTTTGTAGTATTCTCTGATGGTAGTTTGTATTTCTGTGGGATCAGTGGTGATATCCCCTTTATCATTTTTTATTGCGTCTATTTGATTCTTCTTTCTTTTCTTCTTTATTAGTCTTGCTAGCGGTCTATCAATTTTGTTGATCCTTTCAAAAAACCAGCTCCTGGATTCATTAATTTTTTGAAGGGTTTTTTGTGTCTCTCTTTCCTTCAGTTCTGCTCTGATTTTAGTTATTTCTTGCCTTCTGCTAGCTTTTGAATGTGTTTGCTCTTGCTTTTCTAGCTCTTTTAATTCTGATTTTAAGGTGTCAATTTTGGATCTTTCCTGCTTTCTCTTGTGGGCATTTAGTGCTATAAATTTCCCTCTACACACTGCTTTGAATGCCTCCCAGAGATTCTGGTATGTTGTGTCTTTGTTCTCGTTGGTTTCAAAGAACATCTTTATTTCTGCCTTCATTTCGTTATGTACCCAGTAGTCACTCAGGAGCAGGTTTTTCGGTTTCCACGTAGTTGAGCGGTTTTGAGTGAGTTTCTTAATACTGAGTTCTAGTTTGATTGTACTGTGGTCTGAGAGACAGTTTGTTATAATTTGTGTTCTTTTACATTTGCTGAGGAGAGCTTTACTTCCAACTATGTGGTCAATTTTGGAATAGGTGTGGTGTGGTGCTGAAAAAAATGTATATTCTGTTGATTTGGGGTGGAGAGTTCTGTAGATGTCTATTAGGTCCACTTGGTGCAGAGCTGAGTTCAATTCCTGGGTATCCTTGTTAACTTTCTGTCTCGTTGATCTGTCTAATGTTGACAGTGGGGTGTTCAAGTCTCTGATTATTATTGTGTGGGAATCTAAGTCTCTTTGTAGGTCACTCAGGACTTGCTTTATGAGTCTGGGTGCTCCTGTGTTGGGTGCATATATATCTAGGATAGTTAGCTCTTCCTGTTGAATTGATTCCTTTACCATTATGTAATGGCCTTCTTTGTCTCTTTTGATCTTTGTTGGTTGAAAGTCTGTTTTATCAGAGACTAGGATTGCAACCCCTGCCCTTTTTTGTTTTCCATTTGCTTGGTAGACCTTCCTCCATCCTTTTATTTTGAGCCTCTGTGTGTCTCTGCACGTGAGATGGGTTTCCTGAATACAGCACACTGATAGATCTTGACTCTTTATCCAATTTGCCAGTCTGTGTCTTTTAATTGGAGCATTTAGTCCATTTACATTTAAAGTTAATATTGTTATGTGTGAATTTGATCCTGTCATTATGATGTTAGCTGGTTATTTTGCTCGTTAGTTGATGCAGTTCCTTCCTAGCCTCAATGGTCTTTACAATTTGTCATGATTTTGCAGTGGCTGGTACCAGTTGTTCCTTTCCACGTTTAGTGCTTCCTTCAGGAGCTCTTTTAGGGCAGACCTGGTGGTGACAAAATCTCTCAGCATTTGCTTGTCTGTAAAGTATTTTATTTCTCCTTCACTTATGAAGCTTAGTTTGGCTGGATATGAAATTCTGGTTGAAAATTCTTTTCTTTAAGAATGTTGAATATTGGCCCCCACTCTCTTCTGGCTTGTAGGGTTTCTGCCGAGAGATCCACTGTTAGTCTGATGGGCTTCCCTTTGAGGGTAGCCCGACCTTTCTCTCTGGCTGCCCTTAACATTTTTTCCTTCATTTCCACTTTGGTGAATCTGACAATTATGTGTCTTGGAGTTGCTCTTCTCGAGGAGTATCTTTGTGGCGTTCTCTGTATTTCCTGAATCTGAACGTTGGCCTGCCTTGCTAGATTGGGGAAGTTCTCCTGGATAATATCCTGCAGAGTGTTTTCCAACTTGGTTCCATTCTCCCCATGACTTTCAGGTACACCAATCAGACGTAGATTTGGTCTTTTCACATAGTCCCATATCTCTTGGAGGCTTTGCTCATTTCTTTTTATTCTTTTTTCTCTAAACTTCCCTTCTTGCTTCATTTCATTCTAAGGCTGGTTCAATATATGCAAATCAATAAATGTAATCCAGCATATAAACAGAGCCAGAGACAAAAACCACATGATTATCTCAATAGATGCAGAAAAAACCTTTGACAAAATTCAACAACCCTTCATGCTAAAAACTCTCAATAAATTAGGTATTGATGGGACGTATTTCAAAATAATAAGAGCTATCTATGACAAACCCACAGCCAATATCATACTGAATGGGCAAAAACTGGAAGCGTTCCCTTTGAAAACTGGCGCAAGACAGGGATGCCCTCTCTCACCACTCCTATTCAACATAGTGTTGGCAGTTCTGGCCAGGGCAATTAGGCAGGAGAAGGAAATAAAGGGTATTCAATTAGGAAAAGAGGAAGTCAAATTGTCCCTGTTTGCAGACGACATGATTGTATATCTAGAAAACCCCATTGTCTCAGCCCAAAATCTCCTTAAGCTGATAAGCAACTTCAGCAAAGTCTCAGGATACAAAATCAATGTACAAAAATCACAAGCATTCTTATACACCAACAACAGACAAACAGAGAGCCAAATCATGAGTGAACTCCCATTCACAATTGCTTCAAAGAGAATAAAATACCTAGGAATCCAACTTACAAGGGATATGAAGGACCTCTTCAAGGAGAACTACAAACCACTGCTCAAGGAAATAAAAGAGGATACAAACAAATGGAAGAATATTCCGTGCTCATGGGTAGGAAGAGTCAATATCGTGAAAATGGCCATACTGCCCAAGGTAATTTATAGACTCAATGCCGTCCCCATCAAGCTACCAATGACTTTCTTCACAGAATTGGAAAAAACTACTTTAAAGTTCATATGGAATCAAAAAAGAGCCCGCATTGCCAAGTCAATCCTTAACCAAAAGAACAAAGCTGGAGGCATCACACTACCTGACTTCAAACTATACTACAAGGCTACAGTAACCAAAACAGCATGGTACTGGTACCAAAACAGAGATATAGATCAATGGAACAGAACAGAGCCCTCAGAAGTAACGCCGCATATCTACAACTATCTGATCTTTGACAAACCTGAGAAAAACAAGCAATGGGGAAAGGATTCCCTATTTAATAAATGGTGCTGGGAAAACTGGCTAGCCATATGTAGAAAGCTGAAACTGGATCCCTTCCTTACACCTTATACAAAAATCAATTCAAGATGGATTAAAGACTTAAACGTTAGACCTAAAACCATAAAAACCCTAGAAGAAAACCTAGGCATTACCATTCAGGACATAGGCATGGACAAGGACTTCATGTCTAAAACACCAAAAGCAATGGCAACAAAAGACAAAATTGACAAATGGGATCTAATTAAACTAAAGAGCTTCTGCACAGCAAAAGAAACTACCATCAGAGTGAACAGGCAACCTACAAAATGGGAGAAAATTTTTGCAACCTACTCATCTGACAAAGGGCTAATATCCAGAATCTACAATGAACTCAAACAAATTTACAAGAAAAAAACAAACAACCCCATCAAAAAGCGGGTGAAGGACATGAACAGACACTTCTCAAAAGAAGACATTTATGCAGCCAAAAAACACATGAAAAAATGCTCATCATCACTGGCCATCAGAGAAATGCAAATCAAAACCACAATGAGATACCATCTCACACCAGTTAGAATGGCAATCATTAAAAAGTCAGGAAACAACAGGTGCTGGAGAGGATGTGGAGAAATAGGAACACTTTTACACTGTTGGTGGGACTGTAAACTAGCTCAACCATTGTGGAAGTCAGTGTGGCGATTCCTCAGGGATCTAGAACTAGAAATACCATTTGACCCAGCCATCCCGTTACTGGGTATATACCCAAAGGACTATAAATCATGCTGCTATAAAGACACATGGACACGTATGTTTATTGCGGCATTATTCACAATAGCGAAGACTTGGAACCAACCCAAATGTCCAACAATGATAGACTGGATTAAGAAAATGTGGCACATATACACCATGGAATACTATGCAGCCATAAAAAATGATGAGTTCATGTCCTTTGTAGGGACATGGATGAAATTGGAAATCATCATTCTCAGTAAACTATCACAAGAACAAAAAACCAAACACCGCATGTTCTCACTCATAGGTGGGAATTGAACAATGAGATCACATGGACACAGGAAGGGGAATATCACACTCTGGGGACTGTTGTGGGGTGGGGGAGGGGGGAGGGATAGCATCGGGTGATATACCTAATGCTAAATGACGAGTTAATGGGTGCAGCGCACCAGCATGGCACATGTATACATATGTAACTAACCTCCACGTTGTGCACATGTACCCTAAAACTTAAAGTATAATAAAAGAAAAAAAAGAAAAAAATAAATAAGTAAATAAATAAATTTTAGTGGATTACTTTGCAAATGTGATCTAATAGTTGACATTTTATTCAGCTACTTTCAGAAATATTTAATGTCTAGTTCTTTATAACTGATAATTGTGAAATTGGGGATTATGTTCTCATTTTCATTGTGCAAAGTAAGATAGTATGTTAAATTTTATGTGTTGATGAAAGGTTAGAAGGAAGAAATCTCCTTGCTTGTTTTAATCTTCCTTTTTTTGCCATGGTCCTTCATTTCTGCTGTTTCTCAAATTCTTACTAATATGAGCATCTAATCCATGGAGATTTTTTAACATCTGCAGAGGATGCATGTGTGAGAGACTGTGTGGGGGGGCTCTTGCTCTCTTCTATCCTTCTGATATGCTGTGCAGACGTGTTACTCGTAGCAACTGACTGAGGAGAGAATAATCACTTTTTTCTTTGGTAGCTGCAAATTGTGTAACTGTTTGAGCCATGGAGTTTTTTGCTTATGTAGCTTGTTCCCAGCTGGATCTAAGCTGGGAAACCAATAATTATTGCTGCCTTCCTGAGAATTTCTACATTTGCCATTTTCTTTCGGAGAACTATCCTTGGTGTGAGTATATGAACTTACTGTAGAGATATACTCTTAATCATAAATAAAAAGAAATTATTTAAAACAATTCATGGTTTTGGACTTCATTATGAATATTGAGTTTCACAAAAATCAGGTAAATGATTTATTAGCATGATAATTATGACAACCATTTACATTATAAAAATTAAATAGATAGGTGTTTGTTTAAGAGAATGCAAACAGATCTTTTGGTCAAAAATAAGTTTTTTACCTTTGCGCTCTTTATCAGATATAGATTATGAAGTGTCACCACTTAAATAGGAAATCCTTTCTAAACCTTTCTGATTTATATTTCTATTGTATGGGTGGAAGGAAAGCTTCCACTCTCCTCTCCAAAGGTTCACTGCAGACATGAACTGACAATACACAGCTTAAGAGGATAAGATAAACCATACAAACTTATTAACAGGCATAAACATGAGAGCCATACAAAATATACAAAATGTGAGACTGCAAGAAGGGCCAGAAGGTTAAAGCTTAAACAGCACCCTCTTCACTGGGGAAAGGGAGATGGAGACGTAGGCAATTTAGAGGGGCAGTAAATGATTTTTAGGGGAAATGAAACAGCCCAAGCAACAAACAATTGGCCTGGGACAAAGTTCCTCTGAGATGTGAGGGAGGTGGTGACAAGTTGCAAGAAGGTGAGGGGCAGAATGGCACTTTGAACAAAGGTTGTCTTATGATGCAGATAAAGTCCCAGGTAATCTCTTGGAACTGCTCTCTGAAGAATAAATGAAAAGTATGTCTAGGCAAGGTAATGACTTTTAATTTTTTCTCTTCTCCAGTGATTAATCTTTCATGGTTACTTCATGAAATTCCTAGGAGGGAATTTTAAGACAATTATATTTCTTCTGGAGGAACTTCCATTAATTAGATAAAGAAACTTCAGAAAAAGCCCCTCTTAGAGATTCCAGGACGGATCAGCAATATAGTGGGTAGGAGAAGTTCAGAAGGAGACCTTGGGTTCTGAGGCTTATTTCTGAGGCCTTACAATCTCCACTAATTCGAAGCCGTGAGTATGCCAAAGCATCATCTTCTGGAGTATTGTCTTCTGAGAGTCAACACTATGAAGTTATTATGTTGAACTAAATGATTATTATAATTTCATTGGATTACAAGTTTTGCTATTTTATCAAGAACTATAAATATTTCTTAATATGATTTGATATAAAATTTGATTTTCTTTCTTCTTGTTGCAGATAAGGCCTTCAGTATATCAAGGTAAGATTTTTAGGTATCTATTTCTTTTCTTTTTTTTTTTTTTTTTTTTTTTAGACGGAGTCTCTCTGTCGCCCAGGCTGGAATGCAGTGGCATGATCTCGGCTCACTGCAAGCTCTGCCTCCCGGGGTTCACATCATTCTCCTGCCTCAGCCTCCCAAGTAGCTGGGACTACAGGCACCCACCACCATGCCCAGCTAATTTTTTTTTCGTATTTTTAGTAGAGATGGCGTTTCACTGTGTTAGCCAGGATGGTCTCAATCTCCTGACCTCGTGACCTGCCCACCTTGGCCTCCCAAAGTGCTGGGATTACAGGTGTGAGCCACTGTGCTTGGCCGTGTCTATTTCTTTTCAATATTTTCTCACACTAGTATTTCATGTGGGCTCAAATTCAACTGGGAGTAAATACAATGAATCCTTATATCCGGTTGATCCGGTTGACTTCTTACTTCTTGAAAATTTTACTCTTCCTGGGTTAAAGTCTAAATGACAACATAGATGGAGTTACCATTTATTGAGATAAGAGAGTAGGAGGAGGAAGAGATCATAAGAGTAGAGAGAATAGGATGAGTTTAGCTTATCACAGCAATATTTAAGAAGCAAGTGCTGATATGAATTTGAAGTGTGGCAGGAATACTTTTGCATGACCTGGCTCTTGGAGAAATGGAAAGATGATTAAGACACTACCTGAGCCTAGAGAAAAATCCAGATATTGCTGAACAAAATGTGTATCATATTAGAGGTTTATAACATGTGTTTTGAGTGTTAAGTGAAGAGGGCCATTAATGCCAATGTAGAATATGTGGAAATGAATTTGATGTACAATGTGGAGAATGAATTCTGCACATTCTTCATAGACTGTGAAGATTACCTGTTGCTGTCTGTTGAGAGCTGCACTGTCTGGCACATAGTAGGCCCTCAGAGGCTAGGGTTGGTTACAGTGATTACAACGTTGGTAGTATTGAGAAGAGGGACCTCAAGGCAGCAAAGCTCTTACAATGGGCAAATAGAAAAGAAGATTGCACTTTGGGGTCAGATGAGAGGATTAAATGCCTGGCAGTGGGGTCTGGAATTGTGGGCTGTGTGCCAAGTGTTTTATGTTCCACCTATAGGATGGGAGCTTCCTGCATGCTGTTGATGTCTATGGTGGGTGGTGACATTCTCATCCTGGGCATGAAAGGCTTGTCTTAGAGGGCTTGTGAATCATCCAGATCCTGGAGAGACTAAGTGGTAAACCTGAGATTGTACCTAAGCTTGTTGGATTTCATACACCACGTCACAGAAGCCCCTGCACTGGTTCTCAAGAAGGACAGCCTGCTGGGCAGCAGGAGAACACTGGAGGCTTTTGAATAGCCAATCAGTTGATACTTTGAATGTTCCTTCTATGGAATTGCAAAGAGTGACTGGAAGTGAATCAAGCCTGCCAAAATGAGGGGCTTTTTTGAAGGGACCTATTTATTTGCCTTGATAATTAGAGGACAGAAGAGTTATAGATAGGATATTTAATTTTCACTGTGTTTCATCTCTGATGATGGTAAAACTGTTTGAACTGATGGAATTTTCCAAGAAGAATAGTGGCTATTGATGGAGAGCAATTAGGCAAAGACTAAATGTTTCCCAATATTTGGAAAATTATCAAATAGGATTCTCATTGAAATAGGGTTGTTATTTTCATATTTCTTTTCTTAGGCTCAAAAAGCAATTAACTAACTTGCTATCTTCAAGTGCAATAATAAAGCTAAAAAAAGTTATTTTATGATCATAGTGCCAGATAGTGTGTGATTGCAGCTAATACATTAGGGTAATTCAATTTTATGAGGTTTTCCTAATCTTAGAGATTGTTTTTATCTTCTTTTAGTTAATTTACAACCAGTTTCTGAGAAGATTAATGTCAAGAAGGAAAAGTCAGAACTTGTAGAAGAAATATACATTTGGGAACAGAAAGTATCATTGTCTTTTCAATTTTTTAATTTTTCATGGTTTCACTTTAAATAGCTCCCACCTCCCACAATTCTGTTATTTTGGTCCTTCCCCTTTCACTTAGTGTCCTAGTTCATATGGTCTATAAACTGTCCACATTCAAAGTAAGCTTCATATATGTAAAGTACTGTTGTTTTCATTTGTGTTAGGAGTTACATAGTTCAAGATAGGTTTTTCTAGCAGTATAATATTTTTAAATTCTGGTTTTTATTACATATTTATATAGATCAGTGGATCAAAGAAACATCCTCAAGAAACTAAGAAACAACACAAGATTCTCTCTGATGAAATGCTTAAGTATAAGGTAAAATCCCTTGTTTTTGCCTGGATTACAGTCTAAAAACAGAAAGAAGAGTAATGAATAATTGTTAATGATTTCATATGTTTTATTGAAGGATAACATCAAAAACTTTGAAGGAAAAATAACATTTTGAATGATGTCATTCAAAGTACATGTTCCCAGTTGCAATTGAGAGGGATCAGCATGTCAAAAGTCTGAACTTGATAAGAATTTGGCTGCTAAATTGTACCATGATTCAATTTGGCTTTTGAGCCTTTTTGTCCATTGGGTGAATTGAGCTCTACATTTTATCTTGCTGCCCGCCACAGTAAAAGTGTGGGTGTCTGGGGGCTGAACCTTCTTCTGAACAATGACCTGGAATAAAAGTACTAATACCACAATGACTTTTTATATTAAAGGGAATAGGAAGTGTGTTTTATTTTTACAATATAGGTAATTGTCACATTATTTGGCACTGCCCTTCAAGATATACAGAAAACAGAAAATATATGAGTGATGAAGATATCTAGGCACATTGAACAGTCCCTACCCCACTTAGTGCTGAACAGAGAATGTTTCAGTGTGAATTGGGGGAAGTTTTTCTTTACGTGCCTCTTTTTAAATATTCCATTAAGAAAAGTTCAGTTGAGCTGTTTGACTTGAACAATTTCGCATTGTCTCTACTTTCTCCTTGTCATCTACTCACTTATCCCATTATCTTGTAAGCAGGAATATCATGGGTGCCACAAAATGTTCATGCCTCATGGTGTTTCTTTGCTCTTCATTTATAAATGTGCTCAACATTTCTCCTATCCTCATACTGGGCCAGCTACTTCCCCATGAAATATAGCAGTAGCTGTGGGATAGGCATGGTTGCTGTTTCATCTTTTTAGCAGACCATTTGGTGCATCTACTGAAATCCTGGTACATGTTTTGCTTCTATCCTATATGCAAAAGTTGGAAACAAAATTCTACAAAGAACTTGAAAGATGTTATTTCAATGAATACCTCAGGAATTTCAGAGGTAAATGACCCACATCTGCCACAAGACTTTCATTGCATCTTAGCTATGAGGAGAACAAATATTTCATGTCTTAGAAGATTAAAATCATATGATATCCACATGGAATTCTTTGTTTGTGGAAATTAAGTCATTAGTGAGAATATTTCGCATCAGGTTCAAACTGGCCTTAATGAAGGTGGTGTCAGGGAAGGGAAAGTGGAATCTGAAGTAGGGCAGGGACAGAAGGGAGGTACTCCGCTGAAGATCAAGAAGGAGCAGGTGGTGAAATGTTACAAATTATAGAACTCAGAGAGCTAAGTATAATTACTTGCTTTTCAAATTGTTAAACATTTTTACCTGTGGTAAAATATTCATAACATAATAATTACCATCTTAACCATGTTTTAGTGTACAGTTCAGTTGTGTTAAGTATATTCATGTTGTTGTACAATTATTATTTCTTAAATGTCTTTTCTCAAATCTGTCTTAAAGTCACAAAATGTAAATGACAGATTCAAAGATTTACAGCTGAGACCCTGGAGGTCCAATAATCATAAGCTGGAAGGTTTACTATTTGATGGAGTCCCGATAGCATGGAAATGAGTTTGCCCTGGGATGGTGAAGAACAGCTTCCTGCCTTCAGATTTCTCACCTTCTCCTCTCCCCACCCTAACCAAGGTCTCAGGTACACATGCATGCACACAAAGAAAATGGTTTTATCCTTTCCAGGAATGAAAAATGACCAGAAAGTCCTCTTTGCTTCACGAAGTTCTATGGAAGCAGAAGTGCAACCTGAAATAAAAAAGATGAAGATGAAAGTAGATAGTGTTTACAAAATCTACAGACAAAGAACGACTACTGAGGAAGAGTAAGATGTCAATGTGTTCATTGACACAAATGCTGTTGTATGAACCATGTGTCAACCAAAGGAGACAATTATAATTTCCTTTAAAATATTTTATGCAATATTTGTGGCAAATTAAGTCTTTAGAAAATTGTGCTTGTCCTTCCTGCCATGATTTCTGTAATCTGCATATTTCCTTTCCCTTCATACATTCTTGTTTGTAATTGATTAGGTAGAAGAGGAGGAACTGGTACTGACGTCTTTACATTGAATACCTGGGTCACCTTTAGATCTATTTTCATAGTCCTTTAGGTTTTGGTCATATTACATTGCATTTTTCCTGCCATATGGCTAATCATTTTTTATTAAATGTGAGACACTGTAAAAAATATTCAGAAACAAACTGAGGCCTAGTTGGATGTTATCCTGCAGAAAAAATGGGAGTCTACTTCTGGTGAATGGTCAGGGGTACTAGCAGACCTGGACTCCCTTTATCCAGTCAGCAATTGAGGTCATCAGTGAAGGCTCAGTCCTTATAAAGGCAAATGTATTTCCTGTCCACCTTTATTCCTAGCGTGTGACTCTTCTGGGTCCCAACCAAAGCTACTGGACTTTAGTAGGGGTCACCTTCAATGGAAGACCCTCAACTCCACTTGTTTTCCATCCAATCCCATGCAGTGTGCAAAGGGTGCTCTGCTTCTTTACATCTCAGTAGTCCCTTCTGGAATTAAGCAGTGAAACTCAGGGAAATGGGCCCCGAATGCTGGGCTGACCTTTGTCCTAGGTTTTCTTATCCATCTTGTCCTCATGTCCTTTAATGCCATGTTAGCAATTGGATGCATTCAATCATGTGTTTTATATTCTGTCTGGTGTTCTCCATTGTTCTCGTGGGAGATCAGAAGCTTCAGATGCACTCATCCCCACTCAAAAGCAGAACTTCTCCTTTGCTTTTCTTAAGATTCATGTTTTGTGTTCCTAGTTCTCAAGAGCACAGCAGGGGTAATGATGTTCTCACTGGCTTCTCATTTGCATTAAACTGTGAGCTCCTTTAGGGTGGGAACAAGTCCCTGCTCCCCTTGCATCATCAGTACCTCACAACAAACTCCTTGCTTTGGGCTACTCCAGACAGCATGTGCTGAAGGATGGCTTAGGTATTCAGAAACAAGTGCATTCACTTTCTCTTTAAAGTGTCTTTGTCCCTGTTTCCTAAAGTTTGGCGAATTTTACGTGTCCTTCATATGAAATCAATTCTCAAATGAGATCCTTTGAATCAGAGTCGTGAATGAAGTAGTGTGAGGGCAACACAGCAAACCTATCTTTTTAGGCTATTGCCATTTTCTGCCTCCACTATCGATGAACTGAACCTTGTTAAACTCGATCAACACCAGGGTTGATGGTTTGCAGTTATCACCTATTTCCAGGACATAACACCCTGACTAAGGAGCCACTCAGATTATTTTTGATTCAGTAGATGTGCCCAGCACTCAGATTTACCTTTTCTGTCAACCAGAATCTTTGAAGTCGATGACAAGAGTTCCAATTCTGAATCATGGAAACGTGCAGTGGTGAACTACAGGGTTAATGACACCATATCCTGGAAGGATCTCTCTAAGGCTGATTGTCTGGGTTCTGGCACCAGCCTCTGACTGAGAATCAGGTCTCCCCATGGGAGGAGTCAGACAAAGAATGATCCTCTGCTCCATCCTGATTGATTTAGTTGTGATGAGTTGGTCAGGTCTGGTTTTCCACATTGAACTAAAATGAGCTTTCACTGTGTCAAGCACAAGACTGACCCCAGAAGGACACATAGTGCATCTCATAGAAGCTTTTTATAGTCCTTGATTTACTTACTAGTGAGTAGGAGTATAGAGCTATGAAGAGGAGCTGGAAATTACAGAGGACTTGCCAGCAGGCCAGAGTGTGAATTTTTTTTTTTTTTTTTGTCCCTCAATGGGAGGCTTCCATTCTCCCTCTCATTATGAAGATCTGTTGGTATATATATGGGAAGATTGGCAAAGGACCTTTTAATCACAGTCTTCAGATGCTGGAAGGGAAGAAAGAATCCCACACTGGCTACTGGATCATGTGCATACATTTCTTTCCTTTCTCATCTCAGGAAGCTGAGATGAAAGAACGTGAGCGAGCAGCAAAGGAGAGGCAGTTGTCAGAGGCGCAGGGAAGCTTGAAATTAGTAATTGAGGAAATACACACCTACAAGTGACTTCAGAGACTCAATACCAACCTCTTGGGAAACCCCTGTTGGAGTATTTTGTTTTTAACCTTTGTACAATGTTTATACCCAATTAACACAGAAAGATAAACAAATGGTCAGAAGACATATTGAGAGAGAGAGAAAATTCACACAAGAGAAAACAAAGTACTTTAAGATTTACCAATGACTGGCCAGGCGCAGTGGCTCATGCCTGTATTCCCAGCACTTTGGGAGGCCGAGGCGGGCGGATCATGAGGTCAGGAGATTGAGACCATCCTGGCTAACATGGTGAAACCCCGTCTCTACTAAAAATACAAAAAATTAGCCGGGCGTGGTGGCGGGCGCCTGTGGTCCCAGCTACTCAGGAGGCTGAGGCAGAAGAATGGCATGAATCCCGGAGGCAGAGCTTGTAGTGAGGCGAGATCGCACCACTGCACTCTAGCCTTGGGCAACAGAGCAAGACTCCGTCTCAAAAAAAAAAAAAAAAAAAAAAAAAGAGATTTACCAGTGACCAAAAACTGTGAAGTAATAAAACGTTTCCTGACTCCAATGCTGGGCAGACTGTGTTGAAACTCAGTTTACGCAAACTTTTCTAGGGATGATTGTCATCATCCTTAGGAAAGTGCATTGTTGTAGGATCAATCACATCCTTAAAAAGGACTGTGCCTGTTTATAAGCCCAGTTGTTCTTCCCTGTGAAATATGGTAAGGATATTAGTACAAGGAGAATAGAGATTTATGATAAGTGATGCTCAATGAAGGATAAATTAAGGACATACTGAGAGTAGGTAAGGAAATTGCCAACTCAGAACCCAGCAGGCATTAAATAATAGATAAGGAATCAATATAGCAACAGTTTTTTATAGTACTGTATTTTTATAACCATGTGGAATGCGTTTTCTATCTATGGATAGATTGTGTAAGGGTACAGTTGTGAGGATAACAGGAACATGGCAGTTTATTTAAAATCATACTTAAAATGGCACTTTACCTGATAAAAGTGATTCTAAACCATAGGAAAATGATGGAAGACACAGAAGAGCAGCAGAATTGGGTAGAAGACTACTACAGATGCCAGGTAAGGAGCCTTCTTCCCAGCAGTTGCAGAATCCTTCAGCGCTGATGCAAATGATCTCATGGCCCTTAGACTCCTTAAACATATGGTTTCTCATGTGTTGGCTTTTTCAGATCGCCACTTCTGAAAGAAAGGCTTACGACAACTGGGTAAGTTTTTTTTTTTTCTTTCCTTGCTTTTGGACATAATCTGCCAGGTCAGGACGTGGATGTATTTTTCTCCCCCACAGCTCTGTGTTTAAGCCTCGCAGAGGGAGATGCAAGAGAAGAAGGCTGCCTACAAGCAGCACAGGTAGGTAATTGTGATGGACATTTCTAAGGATGTTTTTGTTTTAAGACAAAGCTTTGAGTATCTAGTAAAGAACTTGGTGTTTTAATTCTTATTTAAGTTCATTCTTTCTCTATCTCCAAGATAGGAAATGATTGAAAAACAGAGAGTGCTGGAGAGACACATTAGTCAGGAGCCAGCTAGTGGACAACCAGGCATAGAGAATCATCCCCAAAGAGGTAGGAGCTCACTGTGAAGGCAGCCATGTAACTTCTGCTGTACAATCCACACACTCTGCTTCTCCTTTTGGGGGTGAGGGGTCAGGGTGGAGGGTAATTGTTATGTTTCCTGGAAAGAGTTTCAAGCACTTACTAAAGAGAGCAGTTGTCTCACTGGGTGTCAGGACACAATTTTCCTCAAATGCCCCAGACAAATGGCTCTCGTCCAGTCCCCCATGAATGGTGGAGCTCAGTCCCCTCCACTGACTGTGGACACCACCCCATCCTGAGCTTTTGGTTACTTTTAACAGAGGTGATGAGCCTAGAAGGGAAATGAGCCAGCTCCACTTCTCACCTTGCGTCAGAGTGAAGGCTTTATTTTTCTTTCATTTGATAAAAGCAACACCAATAACATTTTAGAATTGGAACTGTATGTCCTAATGAGAGAGGAAATTTTATTGCTATGTCTTCATGAATCAATATTGTACAATGAGATATGTTTTAGGAAAAGAGGCATTTATTTACTATTTTTGGAGCATCCTTTATTATTTTTGTTTGTTTAAATTGTTTATTGTGAACTATACAATTCCATTAGTAATAAATTTCTATGCAGTTTTACTCCTCTAACATTTTAAGTGTAACCCTAAAACTTTACAGTTAATTCCCATAGTTCTTACCTTTTCTCATTACTGTTAGTCTCTTTAAGTTATTTCTGTTCATTAATATTTATAATACCTGGTCTGATATGGAAGTTAGATTAAATATGAATCCAAAGAATTGTGAATGTCTCTATGGCTTGAAAAAAAGGAGCAGTGCTATTCCTGTCCAGGGTTTATTGATATTCTTTTTATCCTTGAATGCTCCTATTTTAATTTTTAGTCTGTGCTTAATTTATAAGTAGTTCCCTCTGATATGCACTGGGAACTTCTGATTTACAGTTGATTTCCAGCTAGTTCGAGACCTACCTGTTCGCAGTTAGTTGATTTGTTAAGACCAGGGCTCTGTGGTGTCCTTCTCAAGGACAAGGGTCCAGAGAGTTCCAGGGTCCTCTGTGGCATCTGGTTAATAAAGTCTGTAACTCTGGTAAGGGACCTGACTGTGACAAAGACAGTGACATGGCAGAGGTGGACATGGAGGGATTCTTATTCTGCAAAGAACATGCAAGCCAGAATAAGCCCCGATCCCTTCTCTGGCCCTTAGCAGATTCAGGACCTTATTTGGTTCCCATGAGGAACAGCAGCTGCATCCCAACTGAGAGCACAGAGGAGATAAAGGTAAATGCTGTGGTCATTTTCACTGTGCCTATTTCAGGACACTTTTGTCTTTTCATATAGCACCCTCTCCTGGCCTTGTCTCTGGTTTGTGTGTTCTGTGGTAACTTTTCTGTCTCTTTACTTTTTAAAAAGCAAAATATTCTCCACGAGGCTTCAGTCTTCTCCATTCCCAGCTGGTCATCTTTGGTGGCACTTCCAGAGACCATAAATGCTTAAGGGCCAAAGGCTGAAGAGCTTTAACTGTTCTATTTCCAGAAATAACATGAGAAGATGCCACTTAACTCCACTGCTATCGGTCTCATGGCCCAGTAGACCCTGACTGATCCTTTTTACTCAAGATGTTGCTGGGTCCCCTCCCCAAATATATGGGGATATTTTGTTGCTGTTATTTAATTCTATGGGGTAGGTGACTAACTTTTAGAATATCTGCTGTAACCCCCATAAGTGAAAAATATGAAAACTCATTCATCCAGTATTAATATGTGTTTTGTGCAATTCTGAATGCTCTTTGACAAAGCAAATTCCATAATTCATCACTGTCCCATCTCTCTTGGCAACTTTGCTATGCAAAAATGCCCCGTCTCCATCCAGTGGTGCCCTTGATCGAACATTCTAGTTGTCAGAGGTTTTATATTTGTAATAGAAAATGTACACTGGATGTGAGATAGTGAAGAGTGAAAGTCACTAATTACCTACAAGGACAATTCCCAACAAAGGCCTTAAATTATGGTCAGCTAAGCTGTTTCTCATGTGGTCCCTGTAGCTTTCACAGCTGGTGAGTCCTCCGATCACACATGACAGGATTTCTGCACTTGAAATTAAGTCACGGTTGTTTTAATTCTGTTATTTAGAACTCCCATCTCATTTTTCCATGGACAAAATTGTTCTTTATGTCATAGTGCATTTAAAATTTGGTAATACCTGTGAGTTAAAATAAATATTATAGCTGTGCCTAACTGACTTCTATAGATTAGATTGTTCTATCAGAAAATCCTTTCCCAGTTCCCCTGCAGGACCTCAGTAATTCATATCTCCCCAGAGCTTTTTGTGCCCACAGGTTGTACCTCCAGAGTAGAGAAGACCCTTTGTCAGGAAGGGAGGCAGAGGGGGACAAGAGGGTCTTACAGGTAGAGATGGGATCAATTTCCACTCTGCCTCTTGCAAGCTGTGTGACCCTGGGTAAATTCTCTCCTTCCTCTGGGATCCTCTTTCTTTCGATTTAGTGCAGAGTGGCCACACTGACCTTGCAGCATTCTGAGAATCAGAGATAGGACATAAAAGGCCTATACAAAGTTCTCCCAAGAGTAGCTGTGATTCTTGTATGAATAATGGACTTTTCATTCCTCCTTTTCTTTCTGTTCATCATATGCAAGGAACCAACTTCAGTGATGGTGGTGAGGGAGGGATGGGAGTATACCTGGGCTGGACACTCATGTGTCTGGAATATGCTTTTTTATTACTGTGTAATGGCTCTGTCTTCCCTGGAACAGGACCCAGAGTGCCTGCATTTGCAGACAGACACAGTGGCATGTGGTGACAGCAGGTTATCCTCATGGCTTCCCTTCACACCCCAGCTGTCCTCAGGACTCAGTAGAAGGGAGATTTTTTGGCACTGACACTGCTATTTTGAAATCTGGAGGAAAGAAAGGTGCCAGGGACTGTCACCTGCTGCATGGGGTTGGTGTTGGTGTTGGTGTTTTTGTCCATCATATTAATGCATTTTGAAACTTTTCTTCCTTCTGCTCTGCAGGTCAATATGGCTTTGGGAGGGCCCCTTTTTCAGGATTGCCCTACTTGCTCTACTGCATGGCTGGCTCTTCAGGACCATTTGTGGGCTGCCAGACACCTCCTCTGCCTGGGTGGCCTCTGGGAACACGACCACTGCCTCCATGCACACCACTTGGTATGTTGATCTGAAAAGTATGGACTGACTTTTAAAGCGGATTCATCTTTTTTCTCCTCATTGAATGAGTAGAAAGAAATGTCACAGATGGTACTGCAGGACTTTGCAATACGAGGGTAACACTGGCTGGGGACATGGCTATTTTATTTATTTATTTATTTATTTTTGAGACAGAGTTTCACTCTTGTTGCCCAGGCTGGAGTGCAATGGCGCAATCTTGGCTCACCAAAACCTCCACCTCCCAGGTTCAAGAGATTCTCCTGCCTCAGCCTCCCAAGTAGCTGGGATTACAGGCATGTGCCACCATGCTGGGCTAATTTTTTTGTATTTTTAGTAGAGACGGGGTTTCTCCATGTTGGTCAGGCTGGTCTCAAACTCCTGACCTCAGATGATCTGCCGGCCTCAGCCTCCCAAAGTGCTGGGATTACAGACGTGAGCCACCGCACTCAGTGACGTGGTTACTTTTCTCAAGTTTCTGAGGGCACAAAGTGGGTTGCATCATCTCCCCATCACAAGCAAGGCAGCAGGTATCTCTTGTAGATGAGGAAAGAGATTGCTTATAGAAGCCATAAATACCAATTTTGCAGGCATGTATGGAACCTGGACCATGTGGCCAGCTCTGTGAGGGATGAGACGCACCCTTGACCTGCAGCGCTTCCTATGTCCTACAGCAGAGAGACACACACCAAAGGGCAGGGATCTTGTGACCATCCATAATGGAAGCACGAGTGAAGGGCCCCAGAATGCAAAAGAGGAAGACAGATTCTCCTGGGAATAAAGAGGAGGGCATGGAAGAGAGATAAAGTTGGGAGATGTCACATGGGGGTTTGTTGAACTCACTTAGGTGGAGCTGGAAGGCCACTTCTGGCAGGCGCAAGCAGTGTGAGCAGGAGCGTGGCGGCTGCGTGAGGGCCACAACAGAGCCACTATGGGAGAGCTCAGATGGCACAGTGTAGACAAGAGAATTATCTTTCCCAGAAGTTGCTTGTTGCCCTAAAGCCTTTAGTCCATTATCTGCGGGAAGGATGATTCTTTCCCTGGATGTGTGAAGGCTCTGGATCAGGGTGAATGAATGCCTAGAGGTCTGGGAAATTTAACTTGGTTCTATAAGGGGACCCTATCTGCCTGAGTTTATTATGGCTCAAGGAGACTAACAGTGGTTCAGTGGAGCTGCGGCCTTGGCCTTCAGAATGAAACCGACTCTGCTGGGGAACTGAAGGCCAATCCTGAGCTGCCCTGGCAGGTCGGGTCTCAGCTCATTCCTGGCACCCTCTGCTTCTCACCTCTGACTCCCAGCTTTGCATCTCCAACATTGTCATGCAAAATTGTCACCCTTCCCTCTGTCCCTGCTGTCTGAGCCCAGATACCAACTTTCAGTGGAGCTCAGGGCCTCAGCTTTCTTATAAATGAGCTGGGGATGATGTGGTTTATGAGGTCATTGTGAGGACAAAGAGACCAAGCCCATAAAGGAAGCATTTTCCAAAATAGCTGACAGATGTTAGACACTCACCCCCTCACTGTTTAAATGAAAATATTCCCACTCAGAAGATCATCAAAAGATGTTCATTGAAGTTCATTAGATAAACCATAGGCTGTAATAGCTCAGGCCCAGAGATTTCCAATCCCTGTTTCAAAAGATAAGGCAAAGCCCCTGTCTCCACGATTAAAATTCAGATTCTACCAGATAAAAGAAAAGATAATTATAAGAATGTGTACACAGTTAAACTGTAAGACCTATACCTGAGACCCATAGATAATTGCTTTCCATGGCATATAGACACAGATGCAGCCACACACAGAAGTATTTATCAGGGGCACAGATATTTTATAGAAGACAAAGTGTATATAAGACAAAAGAAGATCACATGGAAATAATTTTTTTTTTTTTTTTGCTTTAAAGGACAAGCTGAAATTTGAAGAGGCCCCTGAGCTGTGACAGCCATGCTGTGGCTCCTACATAACTTGGAAAAGTATCCAATACATTTTACGCTGCCTGCCCAGTGCTGCCTCATCTGTCTCTAATCTTCTGTAGTGTTTCCCCTAATAAAGGTTTGCAGTCCTATCTGTTTGGGCGTCTGTTTTCTGGAGGACCAGATGACCCCCCGGTGTACCAGGTATGATTCCTCATACACTGTTCAAACCCAGGCAGATATTGCAGTGCTGGCTGCAGAAGCAGGGTTGCCCTTTGGGTAGTGTCGACTGGGAGGGCCCCAAGGGGGCTTTCTGGGGTGGGGAAATGTCCCGCATCAAGCCATGAGTGGAGATTGTGCTCATTCATTTTAGAAATAGTCATTGGGCACCTGATGCCTGCCAGTCACAGGGGTTCCTTGTGATAAGATGGACAGGAATGTATCCCCATGAGGTGGCTGATTTATCTTAATAGGGAATAGAAGAGGGACCAGCAGTGGCTGTGGAGCCAGTGATGAGACCCTGCAGAAGCTCAGGGTTTGTCAGAGCCCTATCCCCACTGAACCAGCTGCCCCTAGTAGCACCAAATGCAGGTAGGTCTGACAGAAGCTGAGCGGAGAGCAGACATTTCTCAATAAGTTTTGTGTCCCCCTCACCATCTTTCTATAATTTTCAAATTGTGGGATGTGCAGAGGTCAGTCGTGAGAGGCTCCCTCTGAACAGGGCTGGAAAGGAACACAGAGTGTAGGGGGTGAGGTTTGTAAGAGAAAGGAACAGGCAGAGAGAGAATGGGGGTGGGGAAGAGAAAGGGGGTAGCGGGAAGGGCAGAGAGAGAGAAAGGAGGGGAAAAGGAGGAAGCAGAGAGAAGCAGAGAAAGAGAGAGCAGGGAGCAAAGGCCCAGGTGAGGGGATAGGTTGTATCACTATTATTGTTCAAAGAATTTTTTAATTTCCATCTTGATTTCATTTTTGACCCAATGATCATTCGGGAGCAGGTTATTTAATTTCCATGTATTTCTGTGGTTTTGAGGGTTCCTTTTATAGTTCATTTCTAATTTCATTCCACTGTGGTCTGAGAGAGTATTTTATATAATTTCGATTTTCTTAAATTTACTGAGACTTGTTTTGTGGCCTATCATATGGTCTATCTTGGAGAATGTTCCATGTTCTGATGAATAGAATGTATATTCTGCAGCTGTTGGGTAGAATGTTCTGTAAATATCTGTTAAGTCCATTTATTGTAGGGTATAGTTTAGGTCCACTTTTACACTGTTGGTGGGAGTGTAAGTTAGTTCAACCATTGTGGAAGACAGTGTGACAATTCCTCAAAGACCTAGAGACAGAAATACCATTTGATCCAGCAATCTCGCTACTGGGTGTATACCCAAAGGAATTTAAATCATTCTGTTATAAAGATACATGCATGTGTATGTTCATTGCAGCACTATTCACAATAGCAAAGACATGGAATCAACCTAAGCACCATCAATGACAGACTGGATAAAGAAAATGTTGTACATATACACCATGTAGCCATTAAAAGGAATGAGATCATGCCCTTTGCAGGGACATGGATGGAGTTGGAAGACATTATCCTCAGCAAACTAATGAAGGAACAGAAAACCAAACACTACATATTCTCACTTATAAGTGGGAGCTGAGTGACGAGAACACATGGACACATGGGAGGGAACAACACACAGTAGAGGCTGTCAGAGGAAGGTGTGGCAGGCGAGAGAGCATCAGGAAGAATAGCTAATGGATGCCAGGCTTAATACCTAGGTGATGGGATGATCCGTGCAGCAAATCACCATGGCACAAGTTTACCTATGTAATGAACCTGCACATCCTGCACATGTACTTCTGAACTTAAAATAAAAGTTGAAGAAAAAAAAAGTCATGCGCTTTATTGTGTGAATGTTTTGCCACACTTAAACACATAAATATTATATGTATTATATATATTTAATAAATATAAAATATTAAACAATATATAATATACTTAATAGATATAAAATATTAAACAATATATATTTAAAATGTAAAATTATATATATATATATGTAAATGATCTCTTCTGGAGGTTAAAAGAGGCCAAAGTAAGTAGTGCCTAAAAACAAGGGCTTCTATTGATGGTTTTGGAACCTTACAAATATACTAAAAACCACTCAGGTATATACTTAAAATGGTGAATTTTATAATATATGAATCATATCTCACTTAAAATATTTTAAAGCAAGTAGCTGTGTGACCTTGGCAACTTGTTTAGCTTTTCTACCTTGACTGATTCATTGCACATTCAGCTTATTGTCTTATCATGAGAGAGAAGGCAGGACGAACATTGGGTGACCATGAGCTGTATTGGCTCTAAAGGACTTGGAAGGTCTGGATGGTCCCCACCTCTCCAGTGACTCCTGCATCCCAGCCCCCTGACCCTCTGTAGTCTGTGCATGAACCCTCAGAGGGTTTCTCTAGTGCAACCTGATCTCTTCCACCCAAGATGCCCCGTCCCCTACCTGGTGAACCCTTATTTATCCTTCAGCTCTCAGAACAGGAATTTCTTAGGGAAGATTTTCTTAATTCCGTAAAAGAAGTTAGGTTCTTTGTAATATACCTTCAATGAGTTCTGGTCCTTCACTTCAGATCACTTATTTCTGGTATTGGCTATACTTCTACTACACAATTCTTTGATTAAATCTGCTCTGCTACTCTACAGCCCTGTGAAGGTTGTTGTGGCTTTGCTTATCACGATGTCCCCATGCTTAGGAGAATGTGGGCTTTCCATAAGTGTTCATGGAATGGGTGAGTGAATGAATGAATCAGAAACCAGGCACAGAGAAAGACAGAGGGCCCTCTTACGACTCCTTCAGTTGTTCTGTAGCAGAGTTGTGTTAGAATCTAGGTCATGTGACTTCTAGTCAAAATATCACCAGTCTCACATTTTGTCTAATATTTTAAAACATAAGAGATGATTACTCCTAACCATTACTTTTCTGACCCTATGTACAATGCCCCTGTCTTTCTAAGACTCACACCACTTACCTTTACCACCCTCTACTACTCCTGGTTGCTATAATTTACCAATCTCCCAGTCATTCCTTATCCATTAAAGCCTTCATCACGAGGTTCATGATCTTTCCTTTACTCCACGTCCCACCATCATCCTGAGTGCCTCCTACATCTATATGAATGACAAGTTCTACCCTCTGGTCTCTTCATTTATTGACCCTGATCTCTAGGGAGTGTCATGACACTTAATCCACCTGTGGCTATACTCTTGTGTTAGCATCACCTGCAAATGTTCTACCTCTGAAATCTTAAGTCTATGTATCTCACTGTTTGACCACTGCTGCTATGGACTAAATTGTATCTCTCCCAAATCCATGTGCTAAAGCCCTTCTCCTCACTGTAATGGTATTTTGAGATGGGGCTTTTGGGAGGTAATTGGGTTTAGATGAGGTCATGTGAGTGATGCCCTCATGATGGGATTCCTGCCCTCATAAGAAGAGACACTGGGCACGGTGACTCGTGCCTGTCCTAAATACTCTGGGAGGCTGAGGCAGGAGGATCACTTGAGGCCAGGAGTTTGAGACCAGCCTGGGCAACATAGTAAGACCCTGTCTCTACTAAAAAATATATAAATAATTAGCCAAGTGTGGTGGTGTGTACCTGTAGTCCCAGCTGCTTGGGAGGCTGAGGTTGGAGAATCACTTGAGCCCAGGAGTTTGAGGCTGTAGGGAGCTATGACTGCATCACTGCACTCCAGTTTAGGCAATAGAGCAAGACCCTAACTCTTAAGAAAAAAAAAAAGTAACAACAACAAAACAGAGAAAGAGACTTTTTGCTCTCTCTCTCTCTTTCTCTGTCATGTGAGAATACCACCAGAGGTTAATAGTCTGCAACTCAGAAGAGGGCCCTCCCCAGAACCTGACCATGCTGGCACTCTGATCTTGGACATCCAGCATCTACAACTGTGAGTAAAATAAATTTTGGTTGTTTAAGCCACCCAATCTATGATATTTTGTTACAGCAGCCTAAAACAACTACCTTCAGTCATTCCAGCTCCATTGACATCCCCAGTGCTTTGCCTTCACACAACTTATCTGCCTTTTCTTGAATTCTCTTCCTTCCCCAGTCAGCTTAGTTTCTTAGTCTTTCATCTTAACTATTTTCTTTCCAATATCACTAGATCCCTTGCCCACTGCCCTTTTATTGGATCTTCTTGGCACAACTTTAATCCTGCTTCAATCCAACTGTTTACTTTCACTATGCTTATATCTGTATTTTAGAGTGATATTGGAGAAAATCACATAACTACATAGATTAGTGACTTTGAAAATGAATGCTCAGCAACCTCAAATGTGATCTTATAATTACCCATTTCTCCTTTATTTTCGCAATCTGCTCTTTCTTCCATATTCAGCAATGATCATTTTAAACATCCTCCACTCAGAATTCTATCACATCATTTTCACATTCTCGTCAGGTGACATTGCCTCATACTTCACAGAGTAAACAGGAATTGTCAGGTGGAAACTAGCTCAACTTCCTGCTGTGAAATCTGTAAGTTTATAAGTTATCTGTACTTGTAATTCTTTGTCTTGCAATGGAAGGGGGGTCCCTTTAGATTAAAGCAATTCCTTTTCCCGTGCTTCATATCCAGTTCTGCATTTCTAGTGTGTGCTAGTGATTTGACAATGTGCTTACACAGTGAATGGACAAGTTTGGTTTCTGGCTGAATGGTGAATCAGCATCAACCTACAGTTGCTGTCTTCCCATAGCCTTCATAGATGTTCAATTTAGTGATGTGTTTCCAGTCCTCAATCACCCCAGGGCTGATGGATCCTCCTACAGACACACAAAGCTTCAGACTCTTGAATCTGTAGCTGGAGAGGCATCAAAAGTTGTTCTTAGCCTTAGTGAATATTTCTACCAATAACAGGTCTGTTGTGAGAAAGAAACTTGCAAAAATGATACAGATATTGCCAAACATATAGGAGGTACTCATTAAGTGGTAGTTTATGTTCTTATTACTAGTCTTTTAGATAATCTATTCAGACATCTCAGTTACATCAGTCTCTATGAAGATTCATTTACTCTTCTGGACAAGAAGTATTAATGCTAAAAGTAAGTAAGTATTAACTGATGGTAGGAAGCCAGCCTTCTGTAGAAACCCTTCTGAGTTCTATTATCACCCCAAAAACCTTACCTGTGCATGAAGAATGTGTCAGCAATGGTAAGGTAAAGAAGGAACTAATTTTCTGAAGTCTGGGGATGGAGAGACAGCCACCAATTTTACAAACTGGGCTGAAAGTCTCTGGATATATGAGAAGTTTCCATAGGGCCCCAGACATAGATAAATAGTAGCGAACACTTTTTATAAACCCACAATTCATTTTATGTGTATTTTATTTTGGTGATGGTAGAAGGGTCCAGTGTGGGAAGATGATTAGAGCAAACCTCTTCATGGTCTCAGATAGAGATAGAATGACTATGTATTTTGAACACAAGAGTGTCAATTAATTGTTATGTGGTAGCTCATCTGTATTAGATAATACCTGACCTGCCCACCGAGTTAGGTCTTGAGACTAAGAAAGATCAGAATTGGAGAACTGTTTCTGAGTTAATTCCAAAGGCACCATTTTATCATTGCCTTTTTATTATTAATTTAAGGGTACAAGTGAGAGTTGACTATTTGTAAAATTTTAAGTCCTTTTCTATCAAGAGTATAAGAAATAATCTGTCTGGGCACAGTAGTTCATGACTGTAATCCCAGCATTTTGGGAAGCAGAGGTGGGAGACTTGCTTGAGCCCAGGAGTTCAAGACCAGGCAACATAGTGAGGCCAGGTCTCTAGAAAAAATGAAAACAAAAAACATCCAGGTGTGGTGGCATGTGCCTGTAGTCCCAGTTACTTGGGAGGCTGAGATGGGAGGATCCCTTGAGCACCTCAGCAGCCTGGGCAACAGAGCAGGTCCCTGTCTCAAAAAAAAGAAAGAAAGAATCTGAACATTTTATATGGGATGGCATGTTGATGAATAAAGATATACTGTATTTTAACTTAATTATTTTTAATTGCTCCATAAAATGCCAATGAACTAGGCATTTATGTCATCATAATTTAATACGTTGCTATTCTTTCCTCCCACAAATGCTCCCTTCAGAGAGTATATGTCCTTGCTCACACAGCTAAAGTAAAATTTAGAGTTAAATAATTATTTAGCAAACTCTAAGGCATGATACAATGCTTTGGAACCTGTGCTTTCTCATTAATCTTTAGTGATGATTAATCTGGGCATCACCCAGACTCCACAAAACATTGGCAGTTCCACTTCTCAGTGGTTACTCTAGAGAATTCTAGGATATGTGCAAAGATTCTTATTTCAGCAGCTTGGAAAAGATTCGAGTATCCTTGATAGGTACTTGGGGCTCATTAACATATAATTCATTCATACTAAGGAATACTATGCAATGATTAAAATATATTACACATATTATCATAAATAGAGCTCTAAGGAACAGTGTGGAGTGAAAATGCAGGTTTTACTATGATATACATAGTATGATACCATCTATATAATCCCATCCCAATATTTCAGTATATTGCAATGAAGATGGGTAGATAAATATAAATTTATTTTTAAAAGGCCTAAAAGGATTTATATCCAATAAGGAAGGTGGTCTTTGTTTTTAATATTTACCTTATTTATAGGTAATGTATTTGTCTTTAATGTTTATCTTTTTAAAGGGAGGTGTAATTACAAATTGATTAAACAAACTCAACCTTATGATTATAATTTAGTTCTATATTCTGGACTCCTGTGGAGCCAGAAGATACGGCTTTGAAAAGTCACAAGAGAATAAAAAAATCCCACACTCTAATGAAGTTATTGTCATAAATGGCAACAAGATAGGTGTGTTAATGAAAGATAGGATTGGATCTACTTCAACAAACTGAGGATTCCTAATCTTATTTATGATACCGTGAGTGGAAATGGACTCTCTCCTGAAAGATCCTCTCTTACCTGGCGAAACACTTGTGCTGAAGCAGTTCCTGGTACATCAGTGGATTTGCAGATAGAGTGGTGACGGAAGACCTGGACAGAGCCTGGGACCCCAAGGAAGAAAAAACCAAATCTATATGTTAAGTAGGAAAGACAGTTGAGACCGTGGCGGGGGAAGGTCCAGGGAAGGCCACTAACTTTGAGACTCGGCTGGGTCATGCCATTTGTCTTGGAGATTTAGTGATTCCTCACCCTCCAGACCTTGGGAGATAATTTAGCTTTAGCTGTGTGAACCTAGCAGCTATCATGTTATTCACTGATATCTGAATAGATACACAATGAGGCATTTACTTCTGGATCCCAGAAGCCTTGTTTTGATCTTTGTTGCTTTGAATAATAAGCCTGGATATTGCCAGTAAAATTGTGGATTGTGGAGGCACTTAAGAGGTTAGCACAACAGTTTAGAGATTGTGCTGTGGAGTCCAATAGACCATGATTGCTTAATGTCTAATTCCACCTCTGTGATTCCTTGGACTAGGTACTTATCTTCTATGAGACTCAGTTTCCCCAGTTTTTCCCTTACAGGGTTGTTGGAGAGATGAAATGAAATAATGCATATGAAGTACCAGTGGATAGTCAATGAATAGTAACTGATATTAATATTGTCTTCTTCAATGTCATTATTGTCCTTTAAAAGTTTTCTTTTCAGGCCAGGCACGGTGGCTCACACCTGTAACCCCAGCACTTTGGGAGGCCAAGGTGGGTGGATCACCGGAGGTCAGGAGTTCAAGACCAGCCTGGTCAACATGGTGAAAGTCTGTCTCTAGTAAAAATACAAAAATTAGCTGGGCGTGGTGGCGGGCACCTGCAATCCCAGCTACTCGGGAGGCTGAGGCAGGAGAATCGCTTGAACCCGGGAAGCGGGAGGTTGCAGTGAGCTGAGATCACGCCATTGCACTCCAGCCTGGGTGACAGAGCAAGACTCTGTCTCAAAAAAAAAAAAAAAAAAAAAAGCTTTCTTTTGAGTGCTACAACTGAAGTAGCCAAGTCCTCCTAATTCCAAAGGCCCTAGAGAAGTGAGGGGGCATTGCTCTCAGAAGTAGGGAGAGCATCTTTAAGTCAAGATCACATTCCGAATTTAATTCTTGATTTGCCCCATTTGGGGCATGAGCCACTGAGCCATTGCTAATGCCTCTTTCTGGCCTCTGCCCCACATGTCCCACAACAAGGACCTGGTCTTACATTTAGAACAGTCTCGGGACAGAAAATTGGCATGTGACACAGAAACACACAGGCTCCTTGGAGCTGAGCTCCCAAGGCAGTACTTAAAGATCCATCAAAGGCATCACTTACACCAAAAAATATTTGTTGGCTGGAGATCCATCCACCATCTAAAGAGGAATAGGAAAGCCATTTGGATTTTCTCATGTTGGTACTAGCAACAACAATAATACTTGCTATTATCAAGTACTAATCTGTGGAGAGAAACAAGGACCACCCAAATGAAAACAAACAAAGGCTATGAGGCCAGGAGGCTAATGGAGTCTCCTTAAATTCTGTGAGTATCACTTAATTGGTATGATATTGCCTTCCAGGATTCATGGCTTTCAGGGGTCTCTGAAGTGTTCTAGTAAGCACTTTTATTAATTAATTAATTGAATAAATGAATGATCTCCTAAACCATTTTAATAAATGAGTTAGAATAGTTTCTCCTGTTCTAATTCTCTACCTGATATCCACTGGCCATTATAGCTTATGAGAGTCAAAGCCTTTGAGGTGAGTATGAACATCACATACACCTGTTTCCCCTAAGGAAGCTTTGAGTAGAGTTTGTTAAGAGAACTTGAGTGTGGAGTCACAACACACAACCATTTATCTTAGGCAGAATTGAATGTAAGGTTGAGAAACTTAACCACAGACAAACCAAACTAAAACAAATGCAACCCAATTAATTACTTAATTGAGTGTTCAACCAAAGAGATTGAAATCAGTTTCAGCATCCCTTGAATTTGCCAAGAGAGACGTTTACTTCTGAACCCCAGAAGCCTTGTTTTGATCATTGTTGCTTTGATTAATAAGCCTGGATATTGCCAGTAAAATTGTGGCAATTTTACTGATGCTAGAAAGAGGCATTAGCATTGGCCCAGTGACTCATGCCCAAAAGTATTCGTGAGCTACTTAAATAATTTTTTTAAGGGGTAGTGTGATGACATGTGATTCTCATCTTAGAATCTGACTCTAGAACCCCAAACCCTCATAAATTGTGACTCTATCTCTGTGTTTATCACTACATATAGGGGTCAACACAATTATTCACCCCGGTGCTGGTAGCACTGAAGAACAAGTAACATCCAACGGTGCGTCTTTGGGATAATCATCCTGGATCCCTCCTCAACTGCATGGATTCACTGCTCTTCCTCTTTTTACCGTGTACTCTTAGATTTTTGATCTATAGTAATCTACTTTCGATCCTTTGGTGTACACCCTCCCACCCTGCTTTCAGCCCTGTTCCTTCTCTCAATATTGATGTTTTCTGCAATCTTGAGTAACGAACTCTTTTTTTTAGCTTTAGTCTCATGAAACTCTCCCTTTACCACTCCAGAGAAGAGCTTTCAAGCCTGAATAGGGTGTGTGAGGACTATATCTGGAAGGCTGGCTGAAATCCATTCCCAAATCATACTGGGAATACTCGGCCAGTTTGGAAACTCCCATTGTCCCTTTGGTGAAGAATATAGCCATTGGATGTTGACTTTTGGTCCCCATGAAGGTCTGCTTTGGAGGTACAACTCTGTAAATTGCAAAAGATGCAACAGCAAGGTTCTAAATTTAGGTTCTCTGACTTAGAGCCTAGGCTCCTGGTTTGGTAATCTTTGATTTTTTAAAATAACAGCTAGTATCTTGGTATATTGGGTGATGATTTGTTAGAGGTGCAGCTGCCATTTTTTCCCTTAATTTTTTTGCATTAATTTCTGTTGGATAAGTAATATATGATGCCTTTATGTTCCAGCCTTATTTTTCTCAGTAAAATACCCTCTATTTACTCAATTGCTCAAGGCAAAAATCTGTAGTAATCCTTATTATCAGTCTTTCCCTATGTATCTACTTATCTACCCAGCTATCTATGCCACATCCTAACCACTGGCAAGCCCTGACAACTTTACCTCTACAACGTGTCACAAGTCTGTCTCTCTTCATTATCTGTACTCAGGGCTGGGACTAAGGTGGAGCAAGTGAAACATTTGTGACAGACATGATATTTAAGGGGATACCAGCAAATTCAGTAGTCAAGATAAATAATATTTTAGTGAAATATTTTTAAAATAATCAAAACTGTCAAAAATTAATAATAAAATATCCAAATTTAATTAAATTAATTAATTTATTTATTTTTGTGTTGGAGTCTTGCTCTGTCATCCAGGCTGGAGTGCAATGGTGTGATCTCGGCTCACTGCAACCTCCGCCTCCCGAGTTCAAGCAATTCTTCTGCCTCAACCTCCCAAGTAGCTGGGACTACAGGCACCTGCCAACACACCCAGCTAATTTATATATTTTTAGTAGAGATGGGGTTTCACCATGTTGGCCAGGCTGGTCTTGAACTCTTGACCTCAAGTGATCTGCCCGCCTCGACCTCCCAAAGTGCTGGGGTTACAGGTGTGAGCCACCGTGCCCAGCCACAAAATTTAAAATAAGTACATGACAATGAATGCTCCCAAAGTGGCCAAGTATACCCAATACGATTTAGGAATGGGATTCAGCCAAGCCAGCTTCAAAGTATAGTTCTCACACAGCCTGTAATCCAACCAGGCAGTTGCATGACTCACCTTACTTGGTCACCCTAATGTTGTCTCTGGTTCCAATAAGATTGTATTTATAAAAATAGAAGCAGGTGATCTGTCAGCAGAAGTTTGCCAATATGATTTTATTAATTAAAAAAATTAAATTATTGTATTAAAAGCATAAAATTTATGAAATTATAAATTATAAACAGATGATATAAATATATAAAATAAATATGTAAAATTATATACAAATTTTTAAACTTCAATTATGAAAATTATTTTATAATTTGATTTTTAAAATGTATTTGAAAATTAAAATATTATTTCTCTTGATCACTGGATTTTTCAGTGCCCCTTTACATTTTGTGCCTGAGACGAGTTCCTTATTCGCCTTGCAAATTCCCAGTCCTGTGTCCACTGCCACCATCATGGTCCATACCAACACGGCTTCTCACTTAAACGACTGCACTGGCCTTCTGCCAGGTCCTTTACTACCTGTCTTGTCTCTCATTGTTCAGACAGCAGTTGAAGGAGTTTTTAAAACGTCACTCAGATCAAGTCCTTCTCCTCCACATTCCACAGACATTTCCTACATAACCTACAAGACCCGCTGTAATCTCGCTCTCCCTTGCTATTCAACCTCCTCTCCTCCTACTCTCTTTTCCACTCACCACACTTCAGGCACCCTGGTATTCTTTCTGTTCCTCAAACAAGTCAAGCTCTTTCCCACCTCAGGTCCTGTACCTTAGTATTCTCTCTGATATTATTCCTACAGATATTCAAAAGGCTGGCTCTATAGTATTCAAGTCTCAGCTCATCCTCTCCTAAGAAGCCACCAAATCTAAGATAATTCCCCCATCTCCACATGAGATCACTCTATTTAATTTGCCTGTTTTTGTTGGGAGTTTCTTTTGGAAACTGTATTATCTTGATCATTTATGTGTTTTCTTGTTGTCCATTTTGTTGTCTAGAATATAAAATCCATGAGGATAGGGGCTTTGTCTGTCTTGTTCATGGTTTTTTTTTTTACATCTCTGGACACTAAAATATTACTCTCTAAAGATGGCATTTATAATTATCAAACTTAATACAGTAGTCCCACCTTATCCCTGGGGGATATGTTCCAAGACCCCCAGTGAGTGCCTGAAACCACAAATGGTACTGAACCCTATATACACTATCTTTTTTCCTAAACATGCATACTTATGATAAAGTTTTATTTATAAATTAGGCACAGTAAGAAATTGAAAACAATAATTAATAAAATAGAAAAATTACAACAATATACTGTAATAAAAGTTGTGTGAATGTGATCTCTCTCTCTTTCTCAAAATATCTTATCGTACTGTACTCAACTATTTTGGACCATGGTTGACCACATGTCACTGAAACCACAGAAAACAAAACCACAGATAAGGGGAGACTACTGTATTTGGCTAACCTGAGGATAAACATGGCATCATGTTGTTTTAATATGTATTTTCTCATATCCCAGGGCCAGTGGGTTTTTTTTTATTTGTATAAATTTAAGGGATACAAGTGCAGTTTTGTTACATAATGGTGAAATCTGGGCTTTTAGTGTAACCATCACCAAAATAGTGTACATTGTACCCATTAAGTAATTTATCATTCTTCACCCTCTCAAAACCTCCCACCTTTGCGAGTCTCCAGTGTCTATTATTCTACACTCTATATCTGTGTGTACACATTATTTAGTTCCCACTTATAAGTGAGAACATGCAGTATTTGACTTTGTATTTCTATTATTTCATTTAAGATAATGGCCTCCAGTTCCATCCAACTTGCTGCAAAAGACATAATTTCATTCCTTTTAATGACTGAATGGTATTCCATTATATAATTTTGTATATATATAAGCTTTTTATTATGTTTTGTAATGTGTTTATATTTTTATCACCTATTTTTTTACCATCTCAGAATGAATGGTCAAGTATGAATCAGAAGATGAGACGTTCACTCAGACTGAGAACTTGTAGGCCAGATCAGGGATTCTTCTGTTGAGGGTGTTGGGGAGTTACTCTGTTTTGTTTTTTTTTTCAGGACTAGAAATTACCATTAAGCTTCTCATTACAACCACTCACACCACCTTCTCATACAACATTCTATCTTCCAAAATCAGACATTTTCTTGATTTAAGTTTCTCATTTGCAATGTCCACTTACTGAATCAGCTCCTTGAAATCCAACCACCCATCATAGCACTTATCTGACACCAGGAGCTTGGTCTTCAAGGTAGGGCAGTCAAACATGGCAGAGACCATGACTGGGAACATAGCCTCACTCGCACCAAAGCATTGGGCTTTAGACACGTGTAATTGTTAGCAAATTTCCTTGGCAGTCAGCTGGAGACTCCCAGGCACAAAGATGATTCCTGAAAAGGTCTCAAATAATGCTTCATACATATCTTTTGAGCAGAGAATATTTCCTCAAACATCCCGGAAGGCACAGATGAGGTCTCTGGAATACCCTTTCTCTTGGGAGTTTCTCCTCTGTACTGGGGAAGCAACATGATGGTGGCTGAGGAAGAACTGAGACATGCAGGAGACTGAGCTCATTGAAACAATCCAGTGATCAGTGGCTCTGCTGCTGTTATCCTTTCCCCTCGAGCAGTCCTAAATTTATATGGTTAGGCTTCAGACCACTAGTTACTTGAAATGTAGCCTGATTTTGAAACTGTGATGCAAGGGGGTTGTGAAAACTTCCCCTTTGTTGTTTCCTCCTGGCTTGAGAATGGCTTGTGCTATGGATTTCTGGATTTGCATTGGAGACGAAAAACAACAACAACAACAACAACAAACAACTTCCGGCCTTTGGCTGTTTCTGTAGATTCTTTTGCATCCATCTAACACCTGTTGGGGGCCTTCTATGAGACTGGGACATGCTGGGTGCACTTGTGTGCCAGAGGCTGTTCTAACAGAGGCTTCTCTTCACTTTTCAAGCTTGGAGAACTAGAATACTTCTAGGAGCAACTGATGATGACATTGCTTGTCTTTCAATGCTTACACTCCCTACTATAGATATACTGATTATGGAAAAGGATCTAGTTAACCAGTACAGGCCTTTCCCACATACCCTACCTTTATCTTCTGCTTCTCAAATTGAAATTCTTGGGCACCATAAAAAAGTCATTTTTCATAATAGCCCAAATGTGCAAACAATCTAAACAATCTAAATATCTATTGACTGATGAATTGATAAACTTTGCTATTGGCCTCCAGCTCCTTGCCCTGGTAACTTTCCTTAGTTATTCTTGTAAGTCCTACATTTTGTAGCTATTGCTATTGGAGCAAACAATTGTCCAGGACCCCAGATTCTACTCCTTACAGCATGGCGTAGATGGTTTTGACTTGGAACTTTTTAAAGAAGTTGTCAGGGGTCATCTATCACAGATCCTGAAAAGACTCTATAATGCACTCAGGAAACAGCTAATATGAGCTATGCTATTTTCATACGATCTTACCAGGAAAAAATAGTTACAAAAGATACCCAGAAAAGAAATGAAAATGTACCATATGGTATCACCAAACATGAACTGGTTATATTTTAGAATACATCTGCTCCCAAATTTTTATTTCATTGTTTTAGAAGAGTTCGACAATTTGTAAATGGATTAGTTGGTTAATCCAGACACAGTGTTAGATGCTGGGGACTCAGAGGTGAAGCAAATACTGCCCTGGCCCTCGAGGGCTTCACATAAATCACCAATTGTAACTACCTGAGGTAATGGAGATACAAAGCACCCAGACTGGCTTGAGAGAGTAAAGGAAGTCTACCAGAGCAGGTGATGGTAGAGCCCAACTTGGCAGCAAAGTGAGATTTTTGCCAGGTAGACAAGGAGGGGAAGGAAGGAATGACAGGAACAGGGAAGCTGATGGGCAGGTAAGTGTAAGGAACCATGATAGGCTTCTTCCACCTGGTACATTCAGGAGACTATGAGTAGTCCAGGTTTTCTGGAGTGAGGTATAAAGTGACAGGGCAGGGGGAATGCTGAGAGATTTGACCAAATAGAATCATGGTATTTTAAAAGCAAAAAGCCAAAAACATCACCGCCTGCTGAAAAATACACAAATGTTTTCCTCCAAACTTAGGGAAGAAAATCCAAATCCAGCCCCTGCCTCCCTCTCTGCCCTCAGCTGCCTCTTCCTGCTTCCTCTCTCATTCTGCTCCAGTCACAAAGGCTTCCCTGCTTGCCAGCTGGATTTCTAAAACCAAGAGAACCTCCTCTGGTCTCTAGCAGGCTCCACCATGGACTCAGACTAGATCTTTCTATGACCTTCAGAGTCTTCTTCCCCAATACCCGCTATCCTTTCTTGAAGCTCTCCTATACCATGTTTGTCTCAGGCCATATGAGCTACTACTCTTTTTACTATTTTTCCAGATAAACCCAGATGACTGGCAGCACACTAGTAATTTCACCCTCATTGTAGGTGAAATTCACCAAGGACCTTTTTAAAGGAGGAGAATGATCCTAGAACAAAATGTTTTGTGAGGTAGTGAGCTTCCCATCACCAGCGATGTTCCAGCAGAAGTTAAATGCCCGTTCCCAGGGAAGTTGTAGGAAGGAATCACTCACTGGGTGGGATCACATAGAGGACCTCTTAAGATTTTATTCTAACTGTACACAAACACCTAGACAGACATTATAATTTTATTAAAAGAAGGTGATATAGGTATCCCGTAATTAAGCAAAATATATAAAATGTAAATTTTTCAAATAAACAAATTTGAAGGACTGTATTTCATAAAAGGGATCCATTTGGGTGACTTTAACTAGAATCCTAAAATATTACAGGTAAAAGGGACTTTATTCACTTTGTTTTCTAAAACAAGAATTCTTTCTAATAGAACATTTTAGCACAATTACATTTGTTTAGAATTTGACCTGGTACATAGTAGGAGATAAATACATATTTGTTTAATGAATGCATAACCAAAGAAAAAATGTGATGTATATAACTTTTCAAAAATACAGCTATCGTTCCAAGTAAGATTCAAGTGTACAGTTTTGGCTGAGAGGACCTAGTTTGAGAAGTTGCTGTTGAGTGCAATAACAATAGTGAAAGGTGCTTGTTTTGTTTAATTTTGGTCTTGTTGTTTGGTCATTGTTGGAGAACAAAAGGTCAACAGTATTTTCTGGTGACAATTATATTCCTTTTAAAAATGTGGATCACCAGTAAAACTTCCAAAAGAAAACATCTTCACGTGTCCTTAGGTTATGTAAATGTCTATTGAGGTGCTCGAGAGGAGGCATGTTGTCTCACAGTTCCCTTATTCAGAATGTACCTGCCCCCACCCCTTATACATATGACCCACCCCAAGCCTCAGCTGCACTTCACCACCTGGTGAGTGGAGAGGGTGCCAGGCATGGTAAGCACAATCCCCACATGGCAAGCCCAGACAGTAAAGGTCAGATCTGTTGGGAGTGGCTGGGGGTTGAGATTATGAGGCTCATACCTATTTCTCTAAACTCAACACCCCAGTGGCCAATCTTTTCAAGAAATAGGAGGGAGAGCTTTGAATGGACTCTGGATTCATGAGGCAGCTTTTAGGGTCCCTTAGAGACCCTTCCCTGTGGCCTCATCTTTTGCTCCCCCTATCCCTTTATCACAGGAATTGCTGCCTCTAATACTGGGATGGGATCTACATTTTCAAGGGACGGTTCCTGTTGCACCTGCTTTTTAAATGAAGCTGACTCTAGCATAATATCAGCTGCTTGGAAAAGAACACCAGTCTCATCAAATAAGTCATCTTCATTGCTCGGCACATTGACTTGTCAAGTTCCAAATGTCACAGCCTGGGAAAACTCAAGAAAGCTACAAAGCAAATTAATGCTGGAGCAGTGGGCCCTATGACTTCAGCAATTTGAATTCATGATTACAAAAACTAGAAAAGCAAAGACCCACTGCAGTGCTCAACATGAACCAAAACACAAATAGACTCAGCATTTTTAATGTTTTTATGACTAGAAACAGAATCTATGCATACTGTACAAAGTGAACAGAAAACAAACATTAAATTAAAATAATGCATAATCTCTGATTTTTATTGTTTTGTGTTAATCTGTATTTTCAATTTTTGTATAATGTCCATGTGTTTGAAATAATAAAATAATGAGGCATTTAAAACTAATTACTTTCAACCTTCACATAATTTTGTACTTACGTTACTTTGTTAGCAACTATTTCATTAAATTCCGGATTCTGGATCTAGTGGGCCCTATCAGGTGAACAAGAAACCATAGTGAGAGAAGTTGAGGAATCTGCAATGAGTGTCTAGAAAAGTTACTTGAGCAGACTCACGGCATCTCAGACTCATCAGTACCTGCTGGTTGCTGCAAGGTGAGTGGGAGATCTGCTGGCTGAAAGGACCAGAGGAAGGCCGGACACCTCGCCCATTCTTAGAACACCCTTGTTTTTATCAGCTTGGGCTGCTATAACAAAACACCATCGACTGAGTGGCTTATCAACAACAAACGTATTTCTCACAGTTCTGGAAGCTGGAAGTCTGAGATCAGGATACCAGTGTGGCCGGATTCTGGTGAGGGCCCTCTTCTGGGCTGCAGACAGCTGACTTCTCCTTGTACCTCCACATGGCAGAGAGCAGAGAGAGGAAGCAAGCTCTGTCTTGACTCCCATAAAGACACGAATCCCATCCATGAGGGTTCCACAATTATGACCTTATTTAATCCTAACTAGCTCTCAAAGGCCCCACCTGCTAATATCCTCACACTACGGGGCTAGGTATCGACATATGGGTTTGCGAGGAACAAAAACATCCAGTCTATAAACGCTAAGATCACCCAGTGACTGCCACTCTCTAGGATTCTGGGAAACAACATCTTTTGTATCCCCTGGTGGTCCGGCATACCAGTACAGGGAGCTATTTATTGCTGGCAATGGCCAGGTCTTTCCTCTCTTGTCTACAGTGTATCTCCCTCCTGTGGGGTTAGGGATATGTGGTGGGTGGAGGGGTGAGAAGTGACAGGCAGCTAAGGAAGGCCATGAGAAGCAAGGAGCAAGGGAGAAAGTGCAAAGCTGCATGAGGTGGGTAAATAGAGGGGCAAAACCCTGTGACTGATGACCTCAGTGACTATGCAGATCAAGTTCCTGGGAGATGAGCATAACTTTAGATCCAGTACCAATCAGGTTCCTAGGTTTTTCTGGCTCCCATGGGTGGTTCCCTCATCCTGTCAGAGTGAGCTTCATGCCGATCCTTTTTTTATTGCTGGGTATTCAGGACATTGTGTTTGGAGGTCCACAGATCCTGTTGATACAGAAGGATTGCCAGAGTGCAGGCCATCCTAGGGTGGCCACCATAGCTGCCATGGAATTTTGCTCTAGTGAGAGAGAACAAATAAATGGAGAGATAGTCCATGTAAATGGCCTGGAAAATTCTATAGTTTTGAAATGCGTAGTCTCCCAAAATTGATCTACGTATTCAATGCAATCCAAAAAACTCTGTATTTTAGTGTGTGGAAATTAGTAAACCGATTCTAAAATTTATATAATATTCAAATGTTCATGAAAAAGAAGATTCATTTTAGAAAGAACCAGGTGTGAAGTTGGCATGGTGCTGACACGGACTCATTTGCATATGAAATACTTCATTAATGATAATTCGGCATTGCAGACCATGGGAAATTGACTGTCCAATTTGAATATTAAATGTTCACCAACAGAAGGATAAATAGATGCATTTTTGGCCTATTAATATAATGGAATGCTAGGGAGCAATAATGAAAATGATTTTTACAACTATAATGATGAGTAGGTGAAGCCAGACACAGAATTATGCACACCTTCTGATAACTTTCATATATATCTAAGAAATGCGGAAAATGAAACTCTGTTTTTCCAGAGATGCATATGTAGTTGGAAAATTATACAGCATAGCAAAGAAGTAATTACTAAAAAAGAATAGTGGTCACCTCAAGGAGTGAGGGTGGAAGATGCCAGGAAGAGGCACATGGGGACTTTGAGAATGCCAACAATGTTCTAGTTCTTTACCTTGGTAATGATCTATAGGTGTTCATTTTTACACACATATTTATATTTCATTCACTTTTTGTGTATGAGTGATATATCATAGGGATAAATGAGGATTATGAGAAAACATGTAACATTTTATAACAATACATTTGAACATTTTAATGTAGTGAATTAACAAACATTAGAAAAATATAACTCAACAAACTTGACTCACGAAGACACAGAAATTGTGACTAGACCTATAGCCATTAAAATAAATGAGTGGGTAATTTAAAATACTTCCCCCAAACAGTAAAAGCAATAATAAAATACGCTAGACTCACCAAATATTACAGAAGAAAATAATCTCAATTTTATACAAAGTCTCCTAAGGAACATATGAAAGAAAGAACATTTCCCAGTTTATATCATGTGATAATGATAATTTTGATAGTAAATATGACAATGGACGCATAAATAAAGGGCAATAAGAAATCAATCACACTGATGAAAATAAATGGAAAATCCTCAAGAAAACGTTGGTAAATTAATTCAGCAATCTATACACAAAAGAATATATCAAGACCAAGATAGCTCTATTAAGAAATAAATTTGTATAATCCACTATATTATTAGAATAAAGCATGGAAATCATATGATTATCTCAATAAATTTAATCATACAACATAGCAAAGTGTTTGATAAAACTCAAGTATAGCAAATTATACAGCATAGCAAAGTGTATGAAAAAACTCAAACTGCATTTATAATAAAACATTGCCAATATCTAGTAATAGAAAGAAACTAATGATGTACATCCTCAACAAACTAGACGGAGGAGGAACATACTTCAAAATAATGAAAGCCATTTATGAAAACCCACAGCCAACATCACACCAAACAGGGAAAAGTTCAAAGCAGTTCCTAAGTACTGGAAGAAGCCAAGGATGCCTACTTTCACCTCTCCTATTCAACATGGCACTGGAAGTCCTAGCCAGCACAATCGGGCAAGAGAAAGAAATAAAAGGTATTCAAATTGGAAAAGAGAATGGCATGATGTATTATATATAATGAAGGATGTTGAATTTTATCAAATGCTTTTTTGCATCTATTTAGATGATCATATGTTTTTTGTTCTTTATTCTGTTTAAGTCATGAATCAAAATTATGTTTAAGATGATTACTTTGAGTTCTTTTTTAGGCAATTTATAGACTTCAAATTGTTTGGTAGTTTACTGGAGTTTCATTTGTTTCCTTTGGTGCTGTTATATTTGCCTCATTCTTTGTGATCCCTGTAGACATTTATTGGTGTCTGTAATTTGAAGGAGCCAACCCCAGTCTTTATGGACTGGTTTTGACTGATAAAGACCATCTCCTGTTGGGTCCTCAGTCTGATGAGATTGCCTCCAGGATCACAGTTGAGTGGGGAGGGAGCAATGACATGTAGTTGCTACAGGTTCTGCAAGCAGGGTCTATGGTTGGTGGGCTTGTTAATTCAAGAGGGCCTGAATCCAGTTTGGTCTCTAGGTGAACTTGACTGCTTTCAGGATCTGGTCAGTAGGGCTGGTGCTGGGATTAGGGTCCACTTCAGGGCCCATACACTAAAAGTCTGTAGCCTGGTTACACACAGGGGTGGCTTCCTCCAGGTCTGTGGGAGGGCTCCCACTGGGTCACTGTGTGGGCCCCGGGCAAACAGTACTGGCTTTGGTCTGCAGATAAAAGAGGCTGGATCTGAGTCATAGAGCTGCTTCAGACTACTGCCTACATTGTTGGTTGTTTCTGTATTATAAAACTCAACTAAATATTATGTGAACATTGACCAGGAGACAATACCTGAGGAAATCTTTTTAGAAGTCTCTTAGTAATTTACTGGTGCCTCCCCATAGAGAAAACAATGAATGCAACACCCTTGCTCAGATGTCAGTTGTGTGAGTCTCTGAGACAGGGCTTTTGCCTCCCATATGCCAAGTAATAGCTGGTTCTGGTTGGCAGCTCTTTTTCAGGAATAAACGCCGATGAAAGGGAGACAGGAAGGGAGGCAGGCCAAGTGTTAAAGCCCTTCACAATGGGTAAGGCATCCATCTAGTCTCAAAGGGGCTTCTGATGTTGTTGTCATTTTCCAAGCTGCTTACTGTATTTTTTTTTTGTTAATAGTCATCTCCTGAAAACAAAATGTAGAAGCTAGATGGACTCTGAATTTTGGCTAATAATTGTTCATATTAAACCCAAAATGAAATTTAGTTATGTTAGACCAGATTTTTCTTATCACTCTCCCTATCAGGTAGTACTACGCATTCCAAAAATTATTGCATGTACGATATAGTCACAATGGAATTAGAGCTTCATTTCCTGAAGTAAACAGTGTTGCAATAACTTGTATAGGTATTTATAGGTCGAAGTTATTGCTGCTTTCCTTGACAAAGACATTACCTCCTCTTTACTGAAGAGCATCATCAAGTATAGTTTATCAAATATTTTGCAATCTTGCCTCCTTTCTTATGTTTATATGTTATTTATCGTGAAAAAATTTGACTCACAAGAAATTGCAAAAATAATACAGAGAATTCACTGTACCTTTCACCCTTCACCCAGCTTCCCCAAAATATAACATAACCATGACACATAATCTTGGTGTATTATAAAAGTCAGAAAATCTATAATGGCACCATACTATCAATTCACTTACAGACCTTATTCTGATTTCACATTCCTATATATACTTTCTTATGGCATATGTGTGTGTGAGATGTTGTCATTTGTACATATTTGTGTAACCATCATCACAGTCATGATATAGAAGTGTTTTATCACAACAAAGACTGTTCTGGTTGCTCCTCTTTTACAGCCAAACTCTCCCTCCAACACTAACCTTTGGAACCTAGCAATATCTTTTTAATCAGTATAATTTTGTCACTTCAAGAATAATTACAAAAATGGAATAACACAGAGTGTGATCATTTGAGATGGACTTCTCTCACTCAGCATAATGCCTTTGAGATTGTTCTAAGTGTTGTGCATATCAAATAGTTTACTATTACTGTTGAGTAGTATTCCATTGTATGGATGTACAACAATTTGCTTATCCAACAACATTTGAAAGGCATTTGGGCTATAATTTTTAAGTGTACCATTCTGCAGCATTAGTAATATTCACAATGCTGCACAACCATCACTACTATTTTCAAAACTTTTCCATCATTCCAAGCAGAAACTCCATACCCATTAATTAGTAACACCCCATTGCCTTCTCCCCCTAGCCCTTGAAAACCACAAATGTACTTTCTGTCTCTATCAATCTGCCCATTCTAGAGAATTCATAACAGCAGAATCATAAAATATTTGTCCTTTTGTGTCTGGCTTATTTCACTTGGGAAATTGTTTTTAAGCTTCATCCATGTTGTAACATGTATCAATCAGAAACGCATTCCTTTTTATGGTTGAATTATATTCCATTGTATGTGTATGCTACATTTTGTTATGCATTCATTTGTTGATGAACATGGGTTTCTACCTTTTGACTTTTTGGAATAATGTTATAATGAACACGGACATGCAAGTATCTGTTCAAGTTACTGTTTACCTTTTTTTTTTTTCACTAATTACCTGGGAGTGAAATTGTTGGATCATATAGCTCTATGCTTACCTATTTCAGGAACCACCCAATTTTTTTCCACAGTGTCTGCACCATTTTACCCTCCCACCAGTAATGAATGAGCATTCCAGTTTCTCCAAATCCTCACCAACACTGGATATTTTCATTTTTTTTTTAAATATAGACATCCTAGAAGGTGCCGTGATATCCCATTTTGGTTTCAGCTTGCATTTCACTAATGATTAATGATGTTGAGGTTTTATCATGTGCATATGGGTCATTTCTGTATCTTCCTTGAAAAATGTCTATTGAAGTCCTCTATCATTTTTAAAAATCGGGTTGCTTGTTTGTTTGTTGTTTAGTTGCAGGAGTTCTTTACATCTTCTGGATAATAAATGCTTGTAAGAAATGTATGATTTGCATATATTTTCTCCCATTTTACAGATTTTTCTTTTCAATTTCTTGATAATAACCTTTGATGTACAAAAGGTTTTAATTTTAATGAAGTACAATATATCTGTTTTTCTTTTGTTGCTCATGGTTTTTGTGTCATGTCTAAGAATCCATTGCTGAATCCTAGGCCATGAATATTTACCCATATGTTTTCTTCTAAAATTTTAATAGCTTTAGCTCTTATATTAAGGTTGTTGATCCCTTTTTAGTTATCTTTTATACATAGTGTGAGTAGGGGTCCAATTTCATTCTTTTACATGTGGCTATCCAGTTGTATCAGCACCATTTGTTAAAAAGAGCATTATTTTTCCATTGAATGAACTTGACACACTCATCAAAAATCAGTTGTCTGTAGATGTATGTGTTTATTTCTGGAATCTCAGTTCTATTCTGTTGATTTATATGTCTATGCATATGCCAGTATCACACTGTTTTGATTACTGCAGATTTCTATTAAGTTTCCAAATCAGGAAATATGAGTCTTCTAATTATTTTCTTTTTGTTCAAGAATGTTTGAGAGAATTGGGGGCCCCTTACAATTCCATGGGAATTTTAGGATTGGCTTTTCCATTTCTGCAAAAATAAAAAATCCTATTGCTAATTTGATAGCTATTGCATTGAATCTGTAGATTGCCTTGGGTAGTATTGTTTTGTTTTCTTTTCTTTTCTTTTTTCCCCCTGAGATGCAGTTTCACTCTGGTTACCTAGGCTGGAATGTAATGGCGCGATCTCAGCTCGCTGCAACCTCTGCCTTCCGGGTTCCAGCGATTCTCCTGCCTCAGCCTCCCAAGTAGCTGGGATTATAGGTGCCTGCCACCATGCCCGGCTAATTTTTTGTATTTTTAGTAGAGACAGGGTTTCACCATGTCAGCCAGGCTGGTCTCGAACTCCTGGCCCCAAGTGATCCACCCATCTCGGCCCCGCAAAGTGCTGGGATTACAGGCGTGAGCAACCCCACCCGACCTGTATTGTCATCTTTACAATATTAAGTCTTCCAGTCCATACACGAGATAGCTTTCTATTTATTTAGGTTTTCTTTTGTTTTCAGCAATCTTTTGTAGTTTTCATTGTACAAGTCTTTCACTTCCTTGATTAAATTTATTTGTAAGTATTATATTCTTTTGGATGCTATTTTAAATGGAATTGGTTTACTAATTTCCTTTTCAGATTCTGGTACTAGTGTACAAACACAAAAGTGATTTTTGTGTGTTTTTCTCATATCCTCAACTTTCCTGAATTTATTAACCGTACAATTTCGTGGACTTTTCTTAGGAATTTCACTATACAAGTTCTTATCATCCATGAATACAGATAATTTTACTTGTTCTTTTGGAATTTGGATTACTTACTCTTAATCTTACCTGATTGCTCTTCCTGGAACTTCCAGTAGTATGTTGAATAGAAGTGGTTAAAGTGGGTATCCCTGTCTTGTTCCTAATCTTAGAGGAAACAATCTTTCACCATTGGGTATGATCCTAGCTGTGAATTTGTCATAAATGGCCTTTATGATATTGAGGAAGCTTCCATGATTTCCTAGTTTGCTGCATGTTTTTATCATAAAAGCACGATAGATTTTTAATGCATTTTCTGAATCCATTGACATGATCATGTGGTTTTTCTTCATTATACAAATGTTGTGTATCACATTGATTGATTTTTGTATGTTGAAATACCCTTGAATTTCTGGAACACATTCAATTTAGTCATGGTATACAATTCCTTTAATATTCTGTTGGATTCAATTTGCTACTCGTTTGTTGACTTTTTTTCATCCATATTAATACGGGATATTGGTCTATAGTTTTCTTTTTTATGCTCCCTGTATCTGCTTTTGGTGTCAGGGTAATGCAGGCTGGCCTCATAGAATGAGTTAAGAAGTGTTATTTCATCTTCCAATTTTTTGAAAAATCTTAAAAGAATTGGTGTTAACTATGTTTTAAATATTTGGCAGAATTCATGAGTGAAGCCATCTTGGCTTGGAGTTTTCTTTCTTGGGAGGTTTTTGATTACTGATTCAGTGTCTATACTTGTTATAGGTCTTTTGAGATTTTCTCATTCTCTGTGAGTCAGTTTAAGTAATTTATGTGCTTCTAGGGATTTCTCTAATCCAGGTTATCTAATTTGTTGGCATACAATTATTCATAGTGTTCTCTTATAATCATTTTTATTTCTGTGATGTCTGTAGTAATGTTCTCACTTTCATTTCAGCTTATGGTTATTTGTGTCTTTTCTTTTTTTAAGTTGTAAGTTGAGCTACAACTGTGTTGTTTCTTTAACTTTCTATTTCATTTCTCTCCACTCTATTCTTTGTTATTTCTTTCCTTCTACTAGCTTTAGATTTAGTTTTCTCTTCATTCTATAGTTTCTCAATGTATAAAGTTAGGCTGTTCACTTGAAATATTTCTTTTTTTATAATGTAGATATTTATATTACATATCACATAAATGTCCCTCTCAGCATTGACTTCATGGCAGCCTATGCTTTTTATCATGTTTTTTTCTCATTTTCATTTCTTCCTATTTTCTAGTATGCTTTGTGATTTCTTATTTAATCCATTTGTTGTTTCAGCGTGTGTTGTTTACTTTCCAAATTTTAGTGATTTTTCCAGTTTTCCTTCAGTTACTGATCTCTACTTTCAATTGTGTTCAGATAAGACATTTTGTATGAGATCATTCTTTTTAAATTCATTGAGACCTACCATAGGCCTATGCCACAGGTCTTGTGGCTTAACATATGTCCTATGGTTGAGAACATTGCATATGTACTTGAAAATAATGTGCATTGTGCTGATATTTGATGGATTATTTTGTATATATCTGTTATATCTAGTTGGTTTATGCTGTTATGTGTCTTCCATTTAATAATTGAACGTAAGGTTTGAAACCTTCAACTATTATTTTAGAACTGTCTATATTTTTTCTTTTAAATTGGTCAATTTTTGCTTCATATATTATGGATCTCTGTTGTTAAGTACACCTATATTTATCATTGGCATATTTTCCAGATAAATTTACCCTTTGATCACTGTGTAATGTCCCTCCATGTCTCTTGTGACAATTTTTTACTCAGTTCCAAAATGCTTGATATTAGTATAGCTACCCCAGCTCTCTTCTCTTTGCTGTTTGCATGGAATCACTTTTTGCTTCATTTCACCTTCAACTTATTTGTGTTTTGGGATCTACAGTGAGTCTTTTGTTGGAAGCATGTAGTTCATCATGGCTTTAAAAAAATTATTCTGGCAATCCCTTTTGGTTAGAGAACTTAATCCATTTATACATTTTTTCATATTTTTAATTTTCAAATAAAAATTGTATACATTTATGGGGTACAATGTGATGCTTCCATCCGTGCAGGTATATATTGTGGAATTATCAATGGCTAACTAAATATCCATCACTTCACATATTTACTATTTCTTTGTAATGAGATCATTTAAGTCCAGTCCTTAAATAATTTTCAAGTATACAATACATTATTATTAACAATAGTTACCGTGCAATACAATAGATCACCAGAGCTTAATCCTCATGTCTAACTGAAATTTTGCACCCTTTGACCAACATTTCCCTTTCCCCATACACCCACTTCAAGCCTCTTGTAATCACCATTCTACTCTCCACTTCTATGAGTTTGACTTTTTGAGATTCCACATATAAAAGAAATTGTGCCATATTTGTCTTTCTGCACCTGACATATTGCACTTAGCATACCATCTTCTAGAGTCATTCATGTTCTTACAACTGACAAGATTTCCTTCTTTTTTATGGCTGAATACTATTTCATGGTATATAAATACCACACTTTAAAAATTTATTCATGTGCTGATGGGAACTGAAGTTTTCCTTTCCTTGGCTATTGTGAATAATAATGCAATGAACATGGTAGTGCAGTCATCTCTTTGACATACTGACTTCATTTCCTTTGGCTATATATCCAGAAGGGGATATCAAGATCATCCAATAATTCTATATTTCATTTTTGGGGGAACCTCCATACTATTCCCAAAATGGCTGTACTAATTTACATTCCCACCAGCAGCATACAATTTTTCCCTTTTCTTCACATCCTCATCAACCCTTATCTTTCAATTTTTTGATAATAGGCATTCTAACATGTATGAGATCATATATTATTACACTTCTAATTGCATTTCTCTGATGATTTGTGATGTTGAACATTATTTGATATATCTGTTGGCCATTTGTATGTCTTCTTTTGAGAAATGTCAACTCGAGTCCCTTGCCCATTTTTCAATTCAATGATTTGTTTTCTTCTTAATGAGTAGATTGAGTTTCATATATATTTTGGACATAAGCCCCCTTTTTTTCCTTCAATCCAATGCCCTAACTTTTCAAACAGGCTCTCCCTGACTTTTCCTATGAGTCTTTAGGCAGTCTACTGTATGTCTCAACCATAGCATTTTGCCCAAAGAAGCTTCAGGTTTTAGTTATCTGCACAATGTTTTTCAGCAATGACTGCTGCTTTCCCACACTTAGTGGATTCCACATTAGTGAAACAGAGATGGGTGCCTGTGTCACTCCTTAAGGCAGCTCCCAGAAGGTTAGGACAGACAAATAGAATGATTTGTGAGTATGATCTGTTCTGCTCCTTCTAGAATCTGGAATCGGGGCTTCACATTGGAAACACAGGCTACCATCTTTAAAATGGCTGCAGAGCCATGGAGTGGGTGGGGCAATGTGAAGTAAACACTACAAAGCTTTCCTACCATTTCAAGTTTGCTTTCTTTTTGATTCACCACATTTTGTTTTTGTTGCTATAAGACTTTGGCTGTTTGCCAGTGTCTGACAAACTTTGTTTTAACAACTTCTGCTTAATTTTCAGTGTTACTGTGGAGAGACAGGTGCTTGGAGCTGCCTACTTTACCATTTTTTGATGCTTTATCCTCAACATCTTGAAAAAATCTTGTCTAGAATTCCACCCTTCTATTTTTCATTCGCTCTCTTGTTATTACATAAGACTTCCTTATTCTCCATATCTTCACTGTCACACCTACTCAGCAACACAGAACCTTAAATGAACCCAAACATCTATCCTTTCTTACCTTCGTTGGGACTTTCTCACCCACTTGGATAAAATTACACAGCCAGTCATACTGGTTCCAGTCCGGATTTGTGATCACCAATTGCAAGTGGATTTTCCGCTATGCTAAACACTCATGCAATGTGGATCACATGTCAGCAAATCTTTTCAATTTATTCAAGAACTCTTCTGAGCCTGTTCCTTTCTCCTCAAACATTTGACCATGGGCTCCTGTTTGCCTGTTCACTCTTAAAAGATCACTCTATCTCATATCACAAGGATCAGTAAAGGCCATTGTATGGGAAATCTCTTAACATCCTCTAGGATGTAGGAATTCCACTTCATCTGAAGCATCTCCTTATCCTTCTCTCCTGTTGCAGTGGAAGAGGTTTTCCCACTCTAACCAAAGGCCAATCCCTACAACTCTGTACCAGATCCCATTTTTCTCTACCTTATCAGGAAATGTCTTCTATCATTCATCTCTTTGCCCTTCACTATTCTCTATCTCTTTTCTATACCTGTTCCCTCTAATCAGCACTTAAAGAAGCTCAATTCTCTCTCATCATTTAAATAAATGACAAAGATCAATAAGCAAGATCATGCCATTATATGAACATCTTTTATCAGGTGTTGTGGCCAAGTGGTAAGGCATTGGTCTTGTATAATCACATCTTTCTCCTCCACTGTTTCAAAAATGTTGACTAGGTTTGGATTTTCTACTTTAAAAAATTTATATTTTTCCTTCTACAATTAATACATGAGTCAATATAATTTTATGTTTAAATTTTAAACAAAACATTTAAATCTGTTAATCCTTCTTGACTATCCATTATACATGCCACCTCCCACCCCTCCAACCATATGTAACCACTCTTGTTAGTTTAGTATATCTCCTCCACACCTTTTTTCCCATGCATATACATACATTTAGATGTATAATTAGAAATAGCCATATTTTTCTGAAGGGTATTTGTAACAGTAATAGCATCCTTGGGAGTATATATGTAATGGCCGCAATAATATTCCTTGCAAAACTCTGCCTATAGAGAGTGTAATTGACAAAAGACGTCAGCTGCTGTCCTTGTAAATGCATTTCTGTGTTGGTGTCGAAGGCAAATCTCACATTGGCTTGTCTTAGCCAATGACCAAGTGTGGCAGGGACTTGTTCTTTCTTTCTTATTTTTTAAATTTTTATGTATTTACTTTTATAGATTTAGGGGGTACAAGTGCAGTTTTGTTACATGGATATGTTGTTGCATAGTGATGAAGTACGGACTTTTAGTGTAAACATCACTCAAATAACGTACGTGTACTCAGTAGGTAATTTATCATACCACACCCTGCTTTCACCCTCCAATCTTTCTGAGTCTCCAGTGTCTAGTATTCCAGTCTCTATGTCCATGTGTACACATTTTTTAGCTCTCACTAATATATGGACATTTGGTATTTGACTTTCTGAGTTATTTCAGTTAAGATAATAGCGTCCATTTCCATCCATGTTTACACAAAAGACATAATTTTATTCTTTTCCATGGCTGAGTGGTATTCCATCACATTTTCTTCATCCAATTATCCGTTGATGGACAAGTTAGGTTGATTTCATGTCTTTGCTATTGTAAATAGTGCTGTCACAAACATATGTGTGCAGATGTCTTTTTAAATATAATAACTTATCTTCCTTTGGGTAGATATCCAGTAGTGGGCTTGCTAGATTGAATGGCAGTTCTATTTTTAGCTCTTTGAGAAATCACCATACTGCTTTCCTTAGAGACTGTACAAATTTACATTCCCACCAACAGTGCATAAATGTTCCCTTTTCTCCCCATCATCACCAACATCTGTTATTTGTTGACTTTTTAATAATAGCCATTCTGACTAGTGTCAGATGGTATCTCATAGTTTTAATTTGCGTTTCTCTGATAATTAGTGATGCTGGGCTTTTTCATATACATGTTAGCCACTTGTGTATCTTCTTTTGTAAAAGGTCTGCTCACATTTTAATGGTTTTTTTTCTTGTTGAATTGTCAAAGTTCCTTGTAGATAATGGATATTAGTCCTTTGTCAAATGCATGGTTTGCAAATATTTTCTCCCATTCTTTAGGTTGTCTGTTCACTCTGATAATTATTTCTTTTGCTTGGTTTAGCTATTTGGCTTAATTAAATCCCACTTGTCTATTTTTCTTATGGTTTCATTTTCTTTTGGGGTCTTAGTCATGAATTATTTGCGTAGGCCAATGTCCAGAAGAGTTTTTCCTAGATTTTCTTCTAGAGTTTTCATAGTTTCATGTTGTACATTTAAGCCTTTAATCCATCTTGGTTAATTTTTGTATATGTTGAGAGATAGGAGTCCAGTTTTATTCTTCTGCCTGTGACAATCTAACTTTTCCAGCACCATTTATTGAATAGGGTGTCCTTTCCCTAGTGTATGTTTTTGTCAGCTTTGTCAAAGATGAGTTGGCTGAGGGTATGTGGTTTTATTTCTGAGTTATCCATTCTGTTCCACTGATCAATGTATCTATTTTTATATCAGTACCATACTGTTTTTGTTACTATAGCATTGTATTATAATTTGAAGTCATGTAATATGATGCCTCCAGCTTTGTTCTTGTTGCTTAGGATTGCTCTGGCTATGCAGACTATGTTTTGGTCCCATATGCATTTTAGAGTAATTTTTTCCAAATCTGTGAAAAATGACATTGGTATTTTGATAGGAATTGCACTGAATCTGTAGATTTCTTTAGGAAGTATGATCACTGTAACAATATTGATTCTTTCAATTCAGGAACATGGAATATTTTTCCACTTGTTGGTTTGTGTCATCTACAATTTCTTTCATCAGTGTTTTATAGTTTTCCTTGTAGAGATCTTTCACCCTTTTGGTTAAATGTATTCCTAGGTATTTCATTTTTTTGTAGCAATTGTAAATGGAATTGACTTCTTAATTTGGTTACCCGCTTGATTTTTATTGGTGTCTAGAAATGCTACGGATTTTTGTATGTTGATTTTGTATCCTAAAACTTTACTAAGTTCACTAATCAAATCAAGGAGTTTTTTGAAGGAGCCCTTAGGGTTTTCTAGGCATAAGATTCTACTTTGGGAAATTCTAAAATTCAAATAGGCTGGTATAAATTGTAAGAAAAAAAGGAGGCACAAAGAGGGAGCTTTAGATTAAAAGTGACTGAAACATATAAATTTTAATATGGGCCTGATTAAACTATAATATTTAATGATGCACACTTAGGTGATAAAAGCTTTAAAAATGCAAACAAGTGATCACTTTATAAAATTTAAGATAGTTGTCATTTTTTAAGGGAAAGAGAGTGCTGTAATTGGGATGGAGCATATGTAAGGGCTTCTGGGGTGGCTGGTAAACTTGAATTTCTTGACTCATGTTGGTCACAAGGATGTTCACCTTAAAGTAATTCAATAAGCTATTAAAAATAAGATATGAAAACAAAAGATTATATCATCAGCAAACAGAGAAAATTTGCCATTATTTTTTCCAATTTGGATACTTTCTATTTCTTTCTCTTGCCTGATTGTGTTGGCTACGACTTCCAGTGCCATGTTGAATAGGGGGTTGAAAGTAGGCATCTTTGCCTTGTTCCAGTTCTTAGTAAGGATGCTTTCAACCTTTCCCTCTTCAGTGTAATATGTGGTGTTTGCTGTGGGTTTTCATATACAGCTTTCATTACTTTGAGCTATGTTCCTCCTATGCCTAGTTTGTTGAGGATATATATTATGAAGGGATGTTGAATTTTATCAAATGCTTTTTGGCACCCATTGAGATGCTTATATGATCTTTGTCTTGAATTCTATTTAAGTCATGAATGACAATTATTGATTTCCATACGTTGAGCATTGTTCATCTCTGGAATAAAATCCACTTGGTTGTTGTGTATTATCTTTTTAATGTGCTGTTGGATTCAGTCTGCTAGTCTTTTGTTGAAGATTTTTGCGTCTAGCTTCATGAGGGATATTGGTCTGTAGTTTTGTTGTTTTTGTTGCATCCTGGTCTGACTTTGGTATCAGGGTGATACTGGAATCATAAAATGAATTAGGGATATTCCTCTTCCTCATATTTTTAGCACAGTTTCCATAGGATTGGTACCAGTTATTCTTCATATGTCAGGTTGAATTTGGCTGTGGTTCCAAAAAATGGCCCTGTACCATTTTTTGCTGGAAGATTCTTTATAACTGATTCAATCTCACTAGATATTATTAGTCTGTTAAGGATTCATATTTCTTCCTAGCTTTATCTTGTAAGGTTGTATGTTTCCGGGACTTATCCATTTCCTCTAGGTTTTCTAGTTTGTGAGCATAGAGATGTTCTTTGATCGTCTTTTGTATTTCTGTGATATGAGTGGCAATGTCTCATTTTACATTTCTGATTGTGCCAATTTGAATCTTCTCTATTCTTTTCTTGGTTAGCCTATCAATTTTGTTTACCTTTACAAACAACCAATTTCTCATTTTGTTGACCCTTGGTATATTAGTCTGTTATCTCATTGCTCTAAAGGAATACCTAAGACTGAGTAATTTACAAATAAAATAGTTTTAATTGGCTCATAATTCTGTAGGCTGTACAGGAAACATGGCAGCATCTGCTTCTGGAGAGGCCTCAGGGAGCTTTTACTCATAGCATTAGGCAAAGCAGGAACTGGCATCTTGCATAGCAGGAACAGGACCGAGAGAGAGGAGGGAGGTGCTACGCACTTTTTAATGACCAGATCTCATGAGAATATGCCCACTATTATGAGAACAGCACCAAAGGGGAAATCTGCCCCCATGATCTGATCACTTCCCATCAGACCCCATCTCCAACATTGGGGTTACAATTTGACATGAGATTCAGGCAGGGACACAGATCCAAACCATATCACCTCACCTCTAGCCCTTCCCAAATCTCATGTCCTTCTACATTGTGAAATATAATTATGCCTTCCCAACAGTCCCCCAAAGTCTTAACATACTCCAGCATTGACTCAAAAATCCACAGTTCAAAGTCTCATCTGAGACAAGGCTAGTCCCTTCCACTTATAAGCCTATAAAATAAAATAAAAAAATGTTAGTTACTACCAAGATGCAATGTCATTGGGTAAATATTCCCTATCCAAAAGGGAGAAATTGGTCAAAAGAAAGGGGCTACAGGCTCCATGCACATTTGAAACTCAGCAGGGAAGTCATTAAATCTAAAAATTCCAAAATAATCTCCTTTGACTCCATGTCTCACATCCAGGGCATCCTGGTGCAAGGGGTAGACTCCCAAAGCCTTGGGCAGTTCTACCCTTGGAGCTTCCCAGGATTCAGTCCCCACAGCTGCTTTCACAGGCTGGTTTTGAGTGCCTACGGCATTACCAGGTACAGGGTGCAAGCTGTTGGTGGACGTACCATTCTGGAGCGTGGAGGACAGTGGTGTGAGAAGAGTCTCACACCCCACTAGGCAGTGCCCCATTGGGGACTTTGTGGGGAGGCGGCTTCAACCCCACATACATTTTTCCTCCAAACTCCCCTAGCATAGGTTCTCCATGAAGGCTCTGCCCCTGCAGCAAGCTTCTCCCTAGACATCCAAGCTTTTCCATACATTCTCTGAAATCTAGGCAGAGGCTCCCAAGCCTTATCTCTTGCACTCTGTGCACCCACAGGCTTAACACCACATGGAAGCTGTCAAGGCTTATGGTGTACACCCTATGAAGCAGCAGCTAGAGGTGTACCTGGGCCCCTTTGAGTCACAGCTGGAGCTGGAGCAGCTGCGACACAGGGAGCAGTGTCCTAAGGCTGCACAGGATGGTGGGACCCTGGGCCTGGCCCACAAAACCATTTAGTACTTTTGAGCTTTTAGGTTTGTGATGAGAGAGGCTGCCATGAAGGTCTCTGAATTGCCTTCAAGGCCTTTTCCCCATTGTCTTGGATATCAGTACTTGGCTCCTCTTTACCTACGCAAATTCCCACAGCCTGCTTGAATTCCTGTCCAGAAAGTGGGCTTTTCTGCAACATGGCCAGGCTGCCAATTTTTCTAACTTTTATGCTCTGCTTCCCTTTTAAATGTGAGTTCAAGTTTTAGATCGTTTATTTGCTCACACATATGAACATAGGTTGTTAGTAGCAGCCAGGCCATACCTTGAATGTTTTGCTGCTTACAGATTTATTCTAACAGATACCCTAAATCATCATTCTCAAGTTCAAAGTTCCACAGATCCCTAGGGCAGGGGCACAATGCCTCCAAATTCTTTGCTAAAACATAACAAAAGTGACTTTTTTTCCAGTTTCCAATATGTTCCTCATTTCCATCTGAGACCTTCTCAGCCAGGACTTCACTGTCCATATCACTATCAGCATTTTCGTCATAACCATTCAACAAGTCTCTAGGAAGTATCAAACTTTCCATCATCTTCTTCTGAGCCCTCCAAGCTGTTCCAATCTCTGCTCATTACCCAATTACAAAGCTGCTTCCACATTTTCAGGTATCTTTATAGCAATGTCCTTCTGCTTAGTGCCAATTTTCTGTATTAGTCCATTCTCACATTGCTATAAAGAAATACCTGAGACTGAGCAATTTATAAAGAAAAGAAGTTTAATTGGCTCATGGTTCTGCAGGCTGTACAGGAAGCACGGCTGCATCTGCTTCTGGGAAGGCCTCAAGGAGCCTTTTACTCATGGTGAAAGGAAAAGTGGGAGCAGGCATCTTATATGGCAGGAGCAGGACCAGGAGAGAGAGGGGAGGTGCTACACACTTTAAACAACCAGATTTCACAAGAACTCAATCACTATCATGAGAACAGCACCAAAAGAGAAATCTTCTCCCATGATCCAATCACCTCCCACCAGGCCCCACCTCCAACACTGGGGATTACAATTTGACATGAGATTTCGGCAGGGATGCAGATCCAAATCATATCACTTGGTATTTTTATTGTTTTCATTTTCAATTAATTCTGCTCTGATCTTTTTTATTTCTTCTGCTAGCTTTAGGTTTGGTTTGTTTCTTTTTTATTGATGAGCATTATTCTGGATGAGTGACATCAGATTGTTGAGTTGTGACCTTCCTATTATTTTAATGTAGATGTTCAGCACTGTTTTTGCTTTATCCTAGAGGTTTTGGTATACTGTGCCTCCATCTTCATTAATTACAATACATTTCAAATTTCTGTCTTAATTTGATCATTGGCTCAAAGATCATTCAGAAGCAGGTTGTTTAGTTTTGACGTATTTGTATACCTTTTCCAGGTCTAGTAGCATTTGTTTTATGAATCTGGTTACTCCAGCATTGAGTGCATATATATTTAGGACTGTTACATCTTCTTCTTGAATTGATCCCTTTATCATTACATAATGAACTTTGTTTTCCTTAGTAACTGTTCCTAATTTAAAGTCCATCTATCTCTAGGCTGCAGTGTAGCTGAGAGCCATGAAAAATGCCTGTCCCAGAGCTCACTGCCAAAATGGCTGTGATGAACTTATTCCATCAGACCAAAACACACCAGCTCTCCTGCTCTCCCCTGCAGGAATGCTGCCACCACATGTAAGAGGTTGGGAGGCACCTTTCATGCAGTTTGGTGGCCACACTGCCAGTGGGAGCACGTATCTTTCATAGGAGGAGCAGGACCTAGCATTTGCCCCTAGCAGCCCCAGAAAGTCTGTCCCCCAGCATGCCCAGGTCAATTTCCCATGGGAGCAGCCATGGTTCTGTCTGTATCAGTAGCAGGGAGGAGAGGGGAAGTGCCCCTCTCCATGCCTTGACTTGAGCACTGAGGCCACTTGGCTGCTGCAATGAAACTACACTCCTCCTTTGCAGAGTGTAGCACAGCCCCTGTGTCTCTGCTGGAAGTGACACCATCCCTGAGAGCTCACAAGCAAGGAGCTCTTGTGCACTGGAAAATGCATGAGCTGCTTTCCTTTGTCCCAAAAACTGTTCCCTCGCTTCATTACACTCTCCCTTCCCTTATAAGCACCAGTCCAAAGGCTAGACCACTGAAAATTCTGTAGCTCCCCTGGGTCTGGCCACCCCTGTGCAACTGTGGCAATCCGTGTGGGCCCGGGGGAATGTCTGTGGAAGAGGGTGGTTCCTGTAATGTGGACAGACAGAGGCTGAGGTTCCCTGGGCAGAAAATGCTCCCCTGAGGCCTGCTCCTGTAGTATGGCACCCGCAGCCACAGTTCTGGTCCTGGGGAGGGAGAGCAATGGGGAGTGAGTTGGTAGTGTGGTATAAAGACCTCAAAAAATCCCCAAATCACCACCAACATTAGTGTTTGGGTCCATGTGGGCAGAGAAACTCTCTTACAGTTTGGATACCAGTGGTCTGCCACAGAGCCAAGAGGACTCAGATCATTCCAACCTGCCACTTTGATGAAATGTCAAGTCACGGCCGGGCGCGGTGGCTCACGCCTGTAATTCCAGCACTTTGGGAGGCCGAGGCGGGCGGATCACGAGGTCAGGAGATCGAGACCATCCTGGCTAACACGGTGAAACCCCGTCTCTACTAAAAATACAAAAAATTAGCCGGGCGAGGTGGCGGGCGCCTGTAGTCCCAGCTACTCGGGAGGCTGAGTCAGGAGAATGGCGGGAACCCCAGGGGGCGGAGCCTGCAGTGAGCCGAGATTGCGCCACTGCACTCCAGCCTGGGCGACAGCGAGACTCCGTCTCAAAAAAAATAAAAAAATAAAAAGAAATGTTAAGTCACTTGGGATGCCTAGACAATCCCTGCCAGCCTCTTGCTACCTTCTTTTTCTGTGCCCCAGCTTATTCCCATTAGTTTTCCACTAGGCTCCAATACTTTCCCCTTGATAGTCTATTCAAGTTATGATTATTCACATGTGACTTTGGTTCTTCTTTCTGAGGATAACTGTTGTCCAACATTTCTAGTCAGCCATCTTGGACCTATCCTGGAACTTGTTCTTGAGGAATAATTATTCCTGAGACACAGAACTTTTCTGAGAACCAACTAATGACTGAAGACTTCCTCAGGACTTTTCCAAACGTTTCACAGACTACAGGGCAGTCTAATACACTTCCACTCAAATTTCTCTGTATCCTTCTCTCAGGCTCAGACTTGCTTCATGATTGATGATTTCCTCAGCTTTACATTAACCCCTCCATATTTTCCTCATACAAGCATTTCCCCTTTTAAATACTTGCATGTTTAATACAGCTTTCTTGTCTGCTTCTTGAAAGATTCAAATAGTACAAGGACTGGTTTGGAAAATAGGTGCAAAGACAGGATTTGGAACTGGCTCATCTACTTCTCTGCAGGCAAAGAGGATGGCATCTCTATTCATGTGTGGGGCACATAACACAGGATGATGGCTCAAAGCACAAATTGTTCTAAAGATTTCGACTGTGGTGACTCGGGCACATATTCCTATTCAGGGGAACACTGCAATAGGTACAGTGATGCCAATATCTGGAAACTATTGGTAGGAATATGTCTACCAAGAAGGTGGAATTGGCTGGTAATTGCTCAGTTGTATTGATACTTGCAAAAGAAAAATGAAAGACTGAGAGCAGGTAACCATCAGTTAATAGTAAATGTGAGAACCAGAGAGCCTCATTGTAGGATATAAAGAGGTCTTTATCACCTATATTGGAAGAGAAGATACTGTTAATAGGCAGTCTGAAGATGCAATTATGAGATTATAGAGCTCCAGAAATGTTTGAATGCCAATCCAAGGGAAGATTGAGATCCCAAAAACTCTGAAGAGGTCATCAAGATGGTCACCTTGGAGGATGCTGCCTCTGTAACCACCTTGGGCCCTCTGAGCATGCAGAAGTGGCCCATCCTCCCCTTTTAAGGACTAGAAATTCCACTTTGTGGAAGATGCTGCAGGATTTTCACCCCCATGAGGCAGCAGGTGGCTCACAAGCTACCCTTACCTCTGATCTTGGATGCCAGGATGAAAAATAAGGTTGAATCTCAGCATAATGCAAATGGGGACATTCTGGGCCTAAAACGGAAAGAAAGAGACTATAGACCTCACAAATTACAAAGATTAGCTAGCACATACTGGCAGAAAGCAGAGGAGTGTCCTTGGAAGTGTGTCTTGCGAGGGATTAATTAAGCAGATTAAAATATAAGGCTGAATATGCAAGAATTCTTTGACTTGGGGGTGCTTCCTCAGGGTATGGGAGTAAATACACCAGCAAGAGCCCCAGGAAATGGTGAAAATTTACAGCTGGATGGTTCTAAAAACCTTGAAGAAAATGGCCAAATCTCAGTGAAATAGAAATGCCTGAGTTCCCCCGGAAGGAAGATATAAGAAAGAATAAAGAAGGTGAAGGAGGTGAGAATGCTGGAATGGATAGATTGTTTAAAGCTAGAAGACACATGAGAGGATTGTGTTTCTTCACCGGGCCTAGAGAACACCTGATTCACCAAAGCCATGAGGAATGCACTAGTGAGAGGAGCACTTAAATCACTAGGAAATTTGAGGGTAGCTCTTTCCTGTAGCAGGGATGATGATGGGAGAAATGGTCACATATTAATGAGCACAGCTCAGTATTGATTCTGTTGTTGGATACCTGGAGTAACAGAGCTATGTTGTGGCACTTCTCTGCTATAGGCCCAGAGACCACAATTACTATAATGATGAAAAAGTTCAGAAGGGCAGTGAATATGGCTTAATCTGCAGGGAATTGTAAAGATGGCTAATAGATAATGGTATTCCTAGGGGCAAAATAAACACGGATCCAATAAGGGTGATGTTTAGCATGTATAACAGAAAAAAGCAAAAATGGAGAAGCAGAGGGTGAAGTACAGTCACTCCAAGAAAAAGTTATAATTCCTTCCTCAGTTCCCAGTTCTGAGCCAACTTTCTGATCTGAAACCCACAGACTGAAGAGGTGATTAGCTTCGTAGGAGTAAGGACACTGCAAACCATGGTAAGTATATGCTACAATGATTCTTCTCTTTCTTCTATAGAGGGATCTATGGCCATATAGGACACTGGATGGAATGACCAAATAGTTCAAGGAATTTTAGACACAGGGTCAAAGTTGACACTGATACTCAGAAACCCAAAATGTATATAATGCCTACTTCTTAAAGTAGGAGTTCATGGGAAATAGGTAGTAAATGAAATCCTGGCTAAAGTCGGCTCACAATGTACCCAATGTGAATCCAGATTTATCCAATAGTAATTTCCTGACCATTTGCTCAGTTCCTGAGTTCATAGTTGGAATCCAAATAATTGGCCCCTAGAATCAACCCTACCAATCAATATATAAGAGCAAATTTATTAGGAATATTATATCATATTATCATGTAGGCTGAGAAGTCCAGAGACAGGCTGTAGGGAAACTGGAAACACTGGGATGCTGGTAGCGTGCCTCAATCCAGGTGCCAAGGCCTCAGGACCAGGGAAATTGATGGTGTAACTCTTAGTCTCAGTCCGAGGCCAAAGGCCTGAGAACCTTGGGATCCACTTGTGTCAATCCTAGCATTTAAGGACCCCAGAGTCTGGAGTTGTCAAGGACAGAAGAGGAAGTGTGTATACCAGTTCCAGAAGATAGAATGACACATTGGTCTTTTCTATGTTTGTTTTTTTCCCCCTCTGGGCCCCTGGCAAATTGGATGATGGATCTTCTCCAGCTAGGCCACTCAGACACACATTCTAATCTTCTATTGAAATGCCCTTTCAGACACACTCCAGAAGAATTTTTCATGATGTTTCTAGGTGTTTCTTAGTCCCGTCAAATTGACATCTAAAATTAATTATCTATACAGATTTCTGGGGAGTGGACAATACCCTACCTGTCTAGCTTGGGGCTAGAAAGAAAATGATTGAAAAATCAGAGACAATGAGGTCTGAAATAGAAGCTTGTGGTTTGCCATGCTGGAATGGAAACAACGTATGAGGATTTTTGGACCATACCTTAACATCCATCACAAAGTATACACCATGGGAAAGGAATTGAAAATCAAGTAAATAAAATGATTCAACCAGTTGACATTAGTCAGCCCTTGTCAGCCACTGCCAAACCAGCAATGGGCACATGAATAAGGTGTACATGGTGGCAGAAATGGAAGCTTCATACAGGTCCAACGGTATGGACTCCCACTTACCAAGACCAATATATAGTCTGATGCCTCTGGGCGTTCAACTTGCCAGCAACTAGGACCAACTCTGAGTCCCAAATATTACACTATTCATTGTTGTGGACAGTTGAAAACACTGGGTCTCATCTATCCTGGAAGGGCCAGTGGTTCGTGTTCACAGGGATTAATCCCTATCCCAGCTATAGATTTGTCTTCCTTGCCTGCAGCACTTCACCCAGCAAAAATACTCAGGAGCTTATGAAATACCCCGTAGACAGGCATGGGATTTCTCATAGCATAGCATCTGATGAGGGGGCCCATTATATAAAAAAGTAGGTACAGCATTGACTATGGGATTCACTGGTCATATCACATGCTACAAAATCCAGAGATAGCCATTCTCAGAGAATGCTAGAATAATCTCAATGCACAATTGAAGCACAACTCAGAGGAAACACTCTGGGAGGATGGGCTGCTATCTTTCAGGAACCAGTGTATGTATTAAATCAGAAAACTTATAAGGTGCCTTTACCTCAGTAAGGAGGACACATGGGTCCAGGAACCTAGTGGTAGAGGCAAGAGTGGCCCCACTTACCATCACTTCTGATCACCCATTGTGGATTTTGTACTCACAACTCTGTGTTCTGCACTGTTGGAGGTCTTGGCTCCAAAGAGACGTTCTGATTCACTCTTCTTGGGGAACACAGAAAATGCCCCATTGAACTACACGTTATAACTTCCTTACATCTTCTGTCGTCATTTGGGACTGGTACTCAGAAGCTAGCAGGTGCGAAGAGGAGTCATCATACTGGTAGGCTCCTGATCAGGAGGAGGGGATAAGGTTACAGCAACACAATGAGGGCAGGGAGAAATATGTGTGAAGCCCGGGTGATTCACTTTGGTGCCTCCTAGTACTCTCTTCCCCCTTGTAACTATGAATGTACATGTACAGTCATCCTGAACTGAGGATGTTCCCCAGACCTTAGTAAAGAAGTTGATCTGTGTGGTGGCCAGGAGAACGTGTGTCACAGGCCTCCTACAGAGAGCATAAATGACCTTTAATCTTATCTTGTCATCCACTTCTCAGAGTACACAGACCAACACAACATATCATTGAAAAATTTGCTTTGTTTCACTGAACGTGTCTTGGAGAATAATTCAAGACAATGTGTAGAGATAGCACATTCTTTAAACAACCACATATTATTCTCCGATTGATAGACACCTAGGATGTTTAGAAATTTCCACTTTTTACAAACAAGGCTGCAGTGAATATTCTTATACATGCTCCTATGTGCACATGTTTTATTGAGACATAATGTACATATTTGTGGGATACATGTGACAATTTGATACATGCAATGTGCAACAATCATATCAGGGTAATGGAAATATCCATCACCTCAAACATTTATCATTTCTTTCTGCTGGGAACTTTCTCTTCTAGCTATTTTGAAATATACAATAAATTATAACCTCCTTTGCTATTGATCACTAGAAATTATTCCTTCTTTCTAACTGTATTTTTGTGCCTGAACACAACCTCTTTTCGTTCCCCTTCCCCCTACCCTGCCTAAACTCTGATAATCACCATTCTACTCTCTCCTTCCATGAGATTAATTTGTTAGCCCCTACATTTGAGTGAGGACATGCGATATTTGTCTTTCTGTGCATGTTTTATTTCACTTAACATACTGTCTGTCTTCCAGGCTCATCCATGTTGCTACACATGACAGGATTTCATCTTTGTATGGCTAATGATATTCCATTGTGGCTTAAGGAGGTGGAGCAATATGGCAGAATAGAAAGCTCCACTGATTGTCCCCCCACAAAGACACAAAATTAACAACTATCTACAAAGCAAAAACACCTTACAAGAACCAAAAATCAGGTAAGCACTCACAATTTTAATTTCACATCGCTAGCTTTAACTTCATATCACTGAAAGAGGCACTGAAGAGATAGAAAAAACAGTCCTGAATCACTGATGCGACCCCTCCCCAAACCCCTAGAAGCAGCAGCGTGGTGTTGACAGCATCTTTGGGTGTGGGGGGAGGGAGAACACAGCAATTGTGAGGCAATGAACTCAGTGCTGTTCTGTTAGAGCAGAAAAAAAAAAAAAAACTGGACCAAGCTCAGCTGACACCTACTCACAGAGGGAGCATTTAAATCAGTCCTAACCAGAGGGGAATTGCGGTCTGCCTGCAAATCTAACCATTGAGGGCCAAAAGTGCTCTCGGTCTCTAAGTGAAGTTGAAAGGCAGTCCAGGCCATAAGGACTGAGACTCATAGGTGGGTCCTAGGGCTGAACTAGGCCCAGAGACAGTGGACTCGGGGCGGGGTGCATGCCACAGCTGTGGCAGCCAAGAAAGTGCTGGAATCACCTCTTCCCTAAACCCAGCCTGCACAGCTCGGGGCTCCAAAAGAGACCCTTTCCTTCTGCTTGAGGAGAGGAGAGGGAAGGTGGGGAGGACTTCGTCATGCATCTTGGATACCAGCTCAGCTGCAGCAGTATAGTGCACTGGTCAGTCAAGAGGCCCCCTTTCCAGGCCCTAGCTCCCAGATGACATTTCTAGACACACCCTGGGCCAGAAGGGAATTGCTGCCTTCCAGTCCTGTCAGCATTCATTAGCTGCTAACGGAAGAGTCCTTGGGCCCTTAATAACCAGCAGTGACACCCAAGTACTACGTCAAGGGCCGCAGGTGAGCCTCTGAGACTTGCTGGCTTCAGGTGAGACTCAGCACATTACCAGCTATGGCGGCTATGGAGCAAACCTCCTTCTTGAGACAAGCAGAGGGAAAAGTAAAGGGGACTTTGCCTTGCACCTTAGGTACCAGCTCAGCCATAGGGGGATAGAGCACCAAGTGGGTTCTTGGGGTCCCCGATTCCAGGACTTGACCCTGGTATGGCATTTCTGGACATGTCCTGGGCCAGAGAGGAGCCCACTGTCCTGAAGGGTGAGTCCCAGGCCAGGCCGCATTCAGCACAAGCTGATTTAAGAGATCTTGGGCCTTAAGAGAACATCAGTGGTAGTCTAGTAGTACTCCTCATGGCCATGGGTGGCAGTGGCTACGGGGTGAGGCTCCTCTGCCTTTGAAAAGGGGAGTGAAGAGTGGCAAAACCTTTGTCTTGCAGTTTGAGTGCCAGCTCAGCTGCAATACAATAGAATACCAGGTAAAATTGTAAAGTTTTCGACTCTAGTTTCAAAAAGTTGCCATAGCTATTATTTTTGTTAGGTTTGTCTTTTAGTCTTCCTATTCAAAATAAAAGTGGTATACACATTGCAATTATAGTGTTAGAGTGTTCTGGATTTGTCTGTGTACTTACTATTAGCAGTATGTTTTATACTTTCAGATGATTTGTTGTTCATTAATGTCCTTTTCTTTCACACTAAAGAACTCCCTTCAGCATTTCTGGTAGGATAGGCCTGGTGTTGATAAAATCCCTCAGCTTTTGTTTGTCCGAAAAAGTCTTTATTTCTCCTTTATGTTTGAAGGATATTTTGCTGGATATAATACTCTAGGGTGGAAGGTTTTTTTTTCCTTCGTCACTTTGCATATGTCATCCTGCTCTGCTAGCCTGTAATGTTTCAGCTCAGAAGTCTACTGCCAGACATCAGAGCTCCTTTATAGTTTGTTTCTTTTGTCTTGCTGCTTTTAAAATCTTTCTTGATCTTTGACTTTTGAGAGTGTGATTATTAAATACCTTGAGCTAGTCTTATTTGGGTTGGATCTGCTTGACGTTCTATGATTTTCTCATACCTGGATATAGATATCTGGCTCTGAGTTAGAAAATTTCTCTGTTATTATTTCTTTGAATAAACTTTTTTAACCCAATCTCCCTCTGTAACTCCTCTTTAAGGCCAATGACTCTTAAATTGGCTGTTTTGTGACTACTTTAGATATTGGAGACATGCTTTATTATTTTGTATTATTTTCTCCTCTGAGTGTGTTTTTTATATGACCTTTCTTCAAGCTCACTAATTCTTTCCTCCGCTTGATCAATTCTGTTGTTGAGAGTCTAATTCATTTTTCAGTTTGTCAATTTTCAGCTGCATTATTTCTGTTTGATTTTTTAAAATTATTTCAATCTCTTTGTTAATTTTATTTGCTAGAATTCTGAAGTCATTCTTTGTGTGGTCTTTAACATTCATTGAACTTCCTCAAGACATCAATTTTGAATTGTCTGTCTGAAAGTTTACATATGTCCATCATTCTGGGATGGGTCACTGGAGCCTTATGTAATTAGTCCTGTGAGGTCGTATTTTCCTAGATATTCTTGATGCTTGAGGATATTCGTTGATGTCTGGGCATTGAAGATCTAGGTATTCATTCCATAACTGGCAACTTTAGTTAGCCAGTGATGGAGCCAGCCAGAACTTGAGTTCTGCCCACTGAGTCTAAGAATTTGCCTCTGGCTAGGGCTGATCTAATTGCTTTTACTGTGGGCAGCAGCAGAATTATGTCCTGTTTTGTGTTCCACTGTGACAGAACAGCACTGAATTCCAAAGCGAAGTCCCATAATCACTTTACTCTCTTTCTCCAAAGCACAGATTATCTCTGCACGACACTGCAGGGGCATTAAGGACTGGTGGTGTATTCAATGCAAAACTATGTTTCCTAAATTCTTAAAATCTCATTCCTTGATATTATGTTAAAAGCAGGTGCTGTGATTACTAACTTGATTTTTTTGGTTCTTATAAGGTGCTACATTAAACAGAGGGTTGTGTAATTGGTGCTCCTGCATGGGGACAATCACTGGAGGGTTCTATTCGGCGATGTTGCTCTCACCACTCTCAATTTTTTTCTTTATCTAAAAGTTTGTCAATTTTGTTTATCTTTTCAAAAAAGCAATTTTTTGCTTTATTGATATTTTGTATTTTTTAGTCTAAATTTTATTTATGTTTTGCTCTAATCTTTATTATTCCTTTCCTTCTACTAATTTTGGGTTTGGCAGGTCCTTGCTTTCTAATTCCTTGAGGTTCATAACTAGGTTGTTAATTTGAGGTCTTTCTACTTTTTTGATGAAAACATTTATTGCTATAAACATCCCTATTAGTGCTGCCTCTGCTGCTTACCATATGTTTTGGTATGTTGTGTTTCCAATTTTATTTGTTTCAAGAAATTTTAAAAATGTTATTTTTAGTTGCATCATTGACCCTTTGGTTGTTTAGGAGCATCTTGTTTAATTTTCAAGTATTTGTGAATTTTCCAAATTCCTTCTGTTTTTGATTTCTAGTTTCATAGTGTTGTGGTCAGAAAAAATACTTGATGTTATTTTAATGTTTCTGTACTTGTTAAGACTTGTTTTTTGGAATAACATATGGTCTATCTTGCAGAATGTTTCATGTGCTCATGAGAAGAATGTGAATTCTGTAGCAGTTAGATGAAACATTCTGTAAAAGTCAGTTCGATCCATTTGGTTTAGAATGTAGTTTAACTCTGATTTTTTGTCAATTTTCTGTCTGGATGATCTGTCCAATGCTGAAAATGGGGTGTTGAATTCCACTACTATTATTGTATTTCAATCTATCAATATTTACTTTATATATTTGGGGGCTCTGGTATTGGGTGCATATATATTTATAATCATTATATCTAATTGCTGAACTGACCACTTCACCATTACATAATGAACCTTCTTTGTCACATTTTACTGCTTTTGACTTCATGTGTATTTTATCTGATAGCAGCATAGTTACTACTGCTTGTTTTGTGTTTCTATTTTAATGGAGTATTTTTTTTTCTGTTTCTTCACTTCAATTCTATGTGTGTCTTTATAGGTGAAGTAACATTGAGTATATAATTAGGTGCTGGTTTTACCTATTCTTTCGCTCTGTCTTTTAATTGGAGAATTCAGTCCATTTACATTCAATATAATTATTGATAGGTAAGGACCTTCTACCTCCATTTTATTACTTATTTTCTGGTTGTTTTATAACTCTTCTCTTCCTTTCTGTCTTTTTTTTAACTGTCTTCCTGTATGGTTAGGTATTTTTCACTGGTGGCATGTTTTAATTCCTTTTTTTTTTTTTTTTTACTTTTAAGCATCTCTGTTATAGATTCTTGCTTGTGGTTACCATGAGGCTTACAAAAATATCTCTATAGATTTATTACAAGTTATTTCAACTGGTGATAACTTTGATCAAAAGGAAAAAAACAAAGCAACAACTAAACAATTCTACACTTTATCAGCCCACATATTTGCAGTTGCCTCAATTCTTTTTATATTATCTATTAAGCAATAAATTTAGTAGTAGATTTAGTAATCTTTCAGTTTTGAAAGATTCGTGTTTTACTCTTCACACTAAAATAAGTGTGGTTTACACATCACAATTACAGTATTAGAGTATTCTAAATTTGCCTGTGTACTTACTTTTATCATTGAGTTTTATAGTTTCAGATGATTTCTTGTTGCACATTAGCAACTTTCTCTTGCTAATTGAAGATTCCCTTTAGCATTTCTTTTAAGACAGGTCTGGTGGTGACGAGTTCCCTCAGCTCTTGTTTGTCCTGGAAGGTCTTTATCTCTTTCATGTTTGAAGGGTAGCTTTGTTGGGTGTAGTATTTTTAGTTGTTGTTGTTGTTTTTCCTTCAGCATTTTGAGTATGTAATTCCACTCACTCTTAGCCTGCAGGGTTTCTGCTGAGAAGTCCACTGTCAGATAAATCAGAGCTCCTTCTTATGTTATTTGCTTGTTTTCTCTTGCTGCCTTTAGGATCCTCTCTTTGTCCTTGACCTTTGAGATTTTGCTTATTATATGCCTTGGGGTAGGCTTCCTTTGGCTGAATCTGTTTGGTGACACTTAACCTTCCTGTACCTGGATATTTACATATTTCTGTAAACCAAAAATGAAATTCTAAGCCCCCCCAACCATCTGATTGGACTTCCTCCTCAGCCACAGCTCTTAAAATTTAACCTGAGAGACTGTTTCAGTTCATGATGGGACGTGGGAGTCGAACATGCCTCATTATACCTCTCCCTCATTAACGTCAACACAGACTTTAAGTCAGGTAAGAAACATTTTACAACCTATTCCCTCTGAAGCCTGCTAGCTAAAAGCTTCATCTTCATGGAAAACTTTGGTCTCTGCAACCTCTTACCACAACCCAGACATTCCCCAGACAAAATCAGTGTATTTATTAAATGTATTTGATTGCTGTCTCATGCATTCCTAAAATGTATAAAACCAAGCTGCACCCCAACCACCTTGGGCACATGTTCTCAGGACCTCCTGAGGGCTGTGTCACCAGCCATAGTAACTCATATTTGGCTCAGAATAAATCTCTTCAAATATTTTACAGAGTTTGACTCTTTTCGTTGACATTTCTCTCTGTTTGAAGTTTTCTGTTATACCTCTTCGAATAAGCTTTCTACCCCTTGCTCTTTCTCAACTTCCCCTTAGAGGCCTATGACTCTCTGATTGTTTCTTTTGAGGCTATTCTCTTAGCCTGTCTTCAAGCTCACTAATTTGTTCTTCTGCTTGACCAGTTCTGCTATGGAGACTCTCCATGTATTTTTCAATTTGGTTATTGTATTTCTCAGTTCCAGAATTTCTGTGTGTTTTTAAAATTATTTTAATATCTTTGTTAAATTTCTCTGATAGATTCATTAGTTGCTTTTCTGTGTTATCTTGGCGTTCACTGAGTTTCCCTAAAACTGCTGCATCAAATTTGTGATCTTAGAGCTCACACAACATCATCTCATTAGGGTCATTAGCTGTCTCCTTTTCTTGACGATTTGGGAAGGTCATGGCTCCCTGTTTGCTCATGTTTCTGATGGATGTATGCCTATGTCTTTGTGTCAAGGGAATAGTTGTTTATTCCAGCCTTCAGTGTCTGGCTTGGTTTGCTTTTTCTAGGGTATGTCTGTCTAGAGGTTTTGTGTCAATTGACCACTGAGTTCCCTTAGCTTGAGATTGCTGCCTCCTTTTCGACACTAGATGACACCCTAAGTCCAGGATTGCTTGGGTTGTTGCAAAATTTGGAGCACTGACTGTCCTGGACAGGGGTTCACAAAGAATATACCATGGGTTTGTGGGAAGGCTGCCTATAGTCTGTGCCCAAAGGATCTCTGTATTGTGCCACCCACTGTGTGGTGCTGTTAAACAGCCTCTCTGATTTGATGTCTTTTTTGCTGGGATGAAGAGCAGCCGTAATTGTCATGTGCAGGGTGGTGCTAGCCACACCTCCACCCTTTCTCTAATTGTCCTCAGGATTTTCCACCCGGCAGGCACTTGTGATGCAGGAATCGTTTTCTTGTGTAGGAACCCAAGTTTGTGGAGAAGCTGGCTATCTACCTCAATCTCACTTTTTCCAGTATAGAAACCAAGAGTCCAAGAGACTTTTCTGCACAGTGCTTGAGGGAAGACCATTGCAGTTACAGAGCTCATTTCTTTTAACTTCTGCTCATGATTTTTCACTTACCTGTGGCCCTAGGAATCATCACGGCCTTGGTTTTTAGTTTTAAGATATTCCTAGTGTTCATCTTACACATTTATCATTATAATTAATGCCTTTGAGCATATTCTGTGTTTATCCCTGGACATTTTAGTATTGCTTTCATTGAATTCACTGAAGAGTTTGCATAAAATCCTTACCTATTCCATATATTTATCTTTGGCTTTTATTGACAGTTTAAATATTTTCTTCCAATTTTTCTCAACTATTATCTTTACTTGTAAGATATTTCAAGTCTTATGCTGTCAAATTTATTAGTTTTCTTTATAAATACTTTTATCTTCTTTAAGCAATCCTTTTCTATCTTTAGGTAATAAAACTACACTCTTATTTATTTTATAAAATGTTTATAGCTTTGATTTCACATCTAGGTATTTATCTGGGCTTGTCAATAAATATTTTCCAAAATGGATAGCCTATTTTCCCAACACCATTAAAATAAAATATGCCACATTTTCCCCACTGACTTACAATGGCATGTCTCTTTACAGCTTTAAGTGATGTTTTATGCTTTTTTTCTATAGTTCTTGCATGTATATGCTTAGGAAGAAAATTGATGAATTTGGGGCTATTGTCAGTGTATGGGACAACAATTGCTATTTGTAGAATGATACAGAAGTCTGCCTAGATTGTTTAATAAGTTAAATACAACTTATTAGTTCTGAAATCTTACTGGTTGATTTCTTCAGATTACCTACATAGGAAAGTAATCCAAACTTTTATTTCTAGTCTCATTAACCAACAAGATCTTTATTGTACTAATGAATGTTAGTGGCGATTGTTATTATAATTGCTTTAAATGTTAAGTATAGTGATTCCTACAGCTTTTTGATACATATAGTTTTTATATAGTTAAGGACACACTCCTATTTTATTATTTTTTTACCAGTAATAAAGGTTCAGTGTTTCAATACTTACTATACAACTATTAAGAATATTATGTCCACTATTTGTATCTTCTCACCTCCTATTAGGCATAGGGTCTCAGCTGACATGGACACCTGGAGATCTGTAGTGTCATGGAAGTTGGAGAAGGTTTAAGAGTGTAAAAACTGCCTTAGGTCTAGAAATTGTGAAAGGGTTTGTGCTTTTCTTATTTGAGCAACTTCCCTCAGACCCCTGGTTATTTACACTTAATTTTTTTTTTCTGGTACAAGCAAAGTGGTATCCTTGTAATCTGTCTCTCTACTTTTTGCATAGGGGCACCATGTTCTATTAATCATCTCCATGACTCTCTACACCTCCAACCTCCTTGGCTGTTAATTTGCATATCATTATGACAGTATGAACCTTTGGTTTCTGGTAGTTAAGAGCTGCCACTTCACTATTGTTTCAGGGTCTTATATTCCCAAATCCTGCAACAAGCCAAGATCTTCAGCAGCATCTCCTATACACAGCTCCTACATTTAGTACAGAAGAGGAGAGTCACTATTGAATGTCTTAGAGAGTTTAATATCTCCCTCAGCAGTGCATTCTTTATGGCTTCAGTAAATGGTGTGTCCTCTGGTCTTTTGAATGGAATGTACTCATCTGGAGGGGCTTCTGTTCACACATAGTTTATCAACTGCAGCACGTACATATCCCTGAGTCCTTTAATCCCTTCCACCACAATATGCCACAACAATTCTTGCATTTCAATCTCACTTAGCATGGGCCATAACATTTTCAATGCTCCTATGAGCCATTTTACTAATGAGTTTATACCATCTACTGGTGTCATTAGCAGTGTATTAAATCCTACATCTTAGGAGAGTGCTCCCGAGTCAACAAACTCTTGCTTATAGAGTTTTAAGTTATGACTCCCTGATCAAGCATTCTTACAATATACCCCTCAGCTCCTTTCAGTACATACAGCCTAGGTTTTAAGGAAGCCAGAATGACCTTCAAATAATAAAAATCTAATTGTGGCATCCCAGTGCTGAATCCCTTCCCTGCCTCCCCATTGATCTCAGGATAAAGTCCAAAACATTTCTCATATCAAACATGGTTTTGAATGGTCATGACTGATCTATCTCTCATTTCACCTTTTACTGGTTTCCCTCCTGCTCACTATGCTGTAATCACACTAGAAGCATTGCTTTTTATTTTGATTCCAATAGGCCCAGCTCCTTCCTCACTCAAGGCTTCCAAAGAGTTATTCTCTCAGTCTGAGGAACACCTCCCAACTTCTCCTACTGTTCTTTGCCTGGCTAATTCATGTTCACCCTTCCAATTTCAACTTAATCACCACTGACTGAAACAAGCATCCCCCTGATCTGATCTCCCCTACAGTAGGTCAAGACCTTGTGATATTCTCCCATAGCCTCCTGGACTTTCATTGTGTATGTGAATCCCAATTTTACTTACTATGACTAGTTTAATGCCTGCTAAACTGAAAGCTCCATGAGGGTAGAGAGATTCTGTCTGCTTGTTTACTTCTGTGTCATCAAGCTTTCTCTTCCTAAAATATGCCTGCATTCTTTGACATAAAAGTCTCTTTGCAGGTTTTTCAGACTTCTAATCCTGGTTCTTACTCTCATGTGATTCGCTCTGGGCTTTCTTCCGTTCTGTCCTATAGTTGCCTAAAGAAAACAATTACTATTAACATCACAATAAAAATGATCAACAACAGTGATGTAACATCTGAACTCAAAGTTCCATTCCCTCCACAGAACAATGACCAACAAGATAGTTGCAAAACTCACAGTGGTCCACTATCACCTTGCTCTGACTCTATTCCAGTGAATACTCAATCAAATCTTCTGTATGTCAGCCTCTTTTCCAATTTAAGCAAAAACAGGAAACACCAGAAATTACCCAGAGCCATTCTGTTGATATTCCTCAAAAAGTACTGTTGTAACTTATATGCACACAACCAAATGAAGAAAACATCATTTGCCCAACTGCCTAATTTTACATTCTGTGATGCCCATACCCACAAAGTGCATGAAATTTTACTATGATAATAATATCAAACAACAAAAATAACACATTAACAAGAGCAACTAAGTAAATCTCTTACAAGGGAATAAATCTTGTTAAAATTATTTCCATATAATACTATATTTTCACCATTTTTTCTTATTTAAACTTTCCATTGGTTTTAAACATGTTAACCCCAAAATAAAAACACTCAGTTGTTCTGTAAAAAGTCAGACCTAATTGCAGTTTCATTCTCACTTGAATTGAACAGCTTCCTTAGGCATTTTGTCAGCTTTGCACAGCCGCTCAGTTTTTCTCTCTTCTGGAGGATCCTCTCTTGAAAAAAACTAAGAAATTCCCAGGAGAAATGAGATTCCACATGCTTGTAAATACCAGGAAGATAAAGCATCCCTGCTGGTCTGCAGCCAATCCTGAATCCAGCAAAGCTTCATCTTCCACCCTCCCACTCCTGCACCTAAGATGGCACAATAAGTAGTGAGTGAGAAATCATTCCATTTCTCATCCTGAAATGTTACAGGGGTCAGGAAAACGTTTTCTGTTTGTGGGTAATAATATGAAGGATTACCTAATAAAAGATGGAACCTGAAACATTATACCAGGTGTTCCATCATATCCCAACTATCCCATCAAAGTGAAAATGGCCATTTCTCCAAAATACACACTTAGAAACACACACTTAAAATAATACGCCCAACATTTAGACACTTACCTATATCTTAATAAAGACCCAATTCCTAAGAGCATTTTGTATTAAAACAGTCATGATATTGCCTTATCATGCTGATAGAAATATTACAGTCATGGAAAACCATGGACACCTTTCTATGGTTTTGAATTGTTTAAATTTCCATGAAGGAGCAGACAAAAAAAGGGATGAGAAAGCCACATTTCACAGCAATTTCTCACCATATGTTCACACCCAAGTATTCATCTCTTGCCAGTATGGACACAGCCACACATTCAAAATCTCTTGGAATTTACTCAACAGGGGCTCACCCATCCAGTCAGCACTACATTTTTGTTTTTGTTTTTATTTTTATTTCCCTAAGAAAAAAAAAACAACCTTCACTGAGCTCCCAGGTTGAAAAGTAAAAATTGCAAAGCAATTCCCAAGATGCATTATAGTCATCTGCTGTGGTCCTGCTTCCCACATCAGCCAGAGAGACTCTGGAGTAATAGACCATGATTACACCCTCCTGTATTCTTAGCATCAAGGACAGTTTCTGGACCAATGTATCTATTTCCTCTGCCTGTCTTTAAGGCAGGGGCTCCTCAAGTGTGGTCCCCTGGCCAGCAGCACTAACATCACCTAGGACCTGTTAGAGATGCAGATTATCGGGCCTCACCCTGACCTTCTGCATCAGAAATTCTGGGGTTTGCAGAGCAGACATCTGTTTTTTAATAAGCCCTCTACATAGAAAGTGTATTCTGATGCACACTCAAGTGTGAGAACCAGCGTTTTCAGGAATGAACACCAAATCCCAAGATAATGAAAAATACATATAATAAAGACTCTGATTTACCTACATGTTAGTGATATTGCTATAGCTTGTGCATTGCAGGAATATTCTGTATCAATTAAGGTAAGCATAATCATAAGGGGTTATCAAATACTCTGAACAAATGGAGCATATAGTATACTCATGGATTGCAAGTGTCATTATTGCTAAAATACAAATTATCCTGATATTAATCTACAATTGTAACATAATCTCATCCAAAACTGACACATTTTTGTGGAATTTGACAACAGCTTCTAAAAGTGATAAAGAAATTCAAAGCACAAAGTGTAGGCAAAGCAATATTTAAGAAGATGAACAAAGCTAGAGAACACACACTACCAGATGTCATAAACTTTCCAGGGATATCATGATTGAGAGTGCATGGTATTGGTATAAAGAGGCACACAACCTCATTAATCCCCAGGGCAATAGAAATTGAAGTAGCCACTGACACCACCAGAATGCTGGCACATAACACGTGTTGGGGAGAATGAGAAGCAACCTGAAGAATCATACATTGCTGGTGGGAGGGAAAGTTTGTAAAAGTACTTATGAAAACTGTTGTGCAGGATCTACTAAAACTGAGTATATATGTGAACTGTGACTGAGCTTTTCCAATCTAGAAGGAGGAGATGGGGTAGTGGAGAAGAGTCTGTCTGATTCCAGCCCAGAATAACAAATTGCACAGTAGAAGATGGGGATTTCAAATTGTCCCGGTGAGAGAGGATTACCCTCAAACACTTAAAACACATCCTTGCCATCCGGGTTTTTGGAAGGCTCAGTACACAATCTTACTGTGGGAACCTGCTCTGAAAGGCTATAGTCTGGCAATCAGCTCAAGAAGGGAAAAACCCATGCCAAGAGAAAGGGCCTCATGGGGTTGTGCAAAAAAAAAAAAAAATTGTAGTTATCCTCTCCTATGGATCACTTCTTGCTCCAACACAGACCACCCTTCAATCTGACACAGCATTAGAAAGCCCCTCTGATATGGTTTGGCTGTGTCCCCACCCAAATCTCATCTTGAATTCCCACATGTTGTGGGAGGGACCTGGTAGGAGGTAACTGAATCATGGGCTAGTTCTTTCCTGTGCTGTCCTTGCCATAGTGAATAAGTCTCATGAGATCTTACAGTTTTATTTATTTATTTATTTATTTAGATGGAGTCTCGCTTTGTTGCCCAGGCTAGAGTGCAGTGGGGCAATCTCGGCTCACTACAAGCTCTGCCTCCTTGGTTCACACCATTCTCCTGCCTCAGCTTCCCAAGTAGCTGGGACTACAGGTGCCCACCACCATGCCCGGCTAATTTTTTTGCATTTTTAGTAGAGATGGGGTTTCACTGTGTTAGCCAGGATGGTCTCAATCTCCTGACCTCGTGATCCACCTGCCTCGGCCTCCCAAAGTACTAGGATTACAGGCGTGAGCCACTGCACCCTGCTGAGATCTTACAGTTTTATAGAAGGGGGTTTCCCTGCACAAGCACTCTTCTCTTGTCTGCTGCCATGTGAGAGGTGTCTTTCACCTTCCGCCATGCTTGTGAGGCCTCCCCAGACACAGGGAACTGTGAGTCTATGAAACCTCTTTCTTTTGTAAATTGCCAAGTCTCAGGTATGCCTTTATTAGCAGTGTGAAAACGGACTAAAACACTCCCCAGAACAAAGTCCTCATCTCAGCCACTCACATGTTGCAGCCCTCCCTGCCCAGAAACATGTGCTCACTCTCCTCTGAGTGCCAACTCAGAGTCAAGTGGAAGATATCACACAAAATCTCCTCCATGAAGTACCACTCCAACCTCAGCATCCTTGAGAAGTGGATATCACAGCCTTAGTTGTCATCATAGACTCCAGAGACTCCAGACCAGGTGATTTAGACAGCGGGGAGCTTGCGGATGTTCCTGAGCACTGGGCCTTTCCTCTGCATGATATAACAGCCTGCATATCCTCATTTATGAGAACTGCAGAAAATGGATGCCTTATCTCATGCACATGTTTCTTTCTCGTTGATGCCACCTTGTGACCTACTTCAGCTGCTACTGCCCACTGGCCCTTATCCAGCCTAGATGGAAAGAACTGTTGTGCATGTGTTTCAGCTGCTTAGGAAGGGGCCTGAGTCGTCTTTGTACCTGAGGTCCTTGCACAGTGCCTGGCGCACAGTATAAGTGATTGGGGAGTAACTGGAGGATGCAGCATGCACCCATCATTTACAGGGTCATCACAGTGGGAATAGAGAGAGTGCTGTGAACAGCAGTTATGCATCGTTATTCTCTGGCCATTTAAGCAGGAACACTAATTGCTTCCACTTCAGCTTGCATGCTGAGTGATAACTGAGCTGTATATCTTTAGAGGGTCCTATCACCAGGCTTCAGGCTGATTTGTGAAAAAACTGTTAAGGCCCCTCTGCCCTTTCTCCCTCTGGGTTCAATCCAAAGTACACAACATTGAAAACAACTGGAGATTGTATATGATATCAGGAAGGCAAAAACATGGAAGTAAGAGGCACCAAGCCCCCTACTCATGTGGATAGTCTGATTGATAAAGGAATAAAATCCACCTACCAGGAAGACCCTAACCTGAGAAAGGTTTTGAAGCTAGGAAAGCAAATGTGTTGAGACAGAGAACTCCTTGTGTTGTAAGATGCTGAGAAGCTTCCAGGTAAGGGCAGTAACAAAGATCCCTTTCCTAGAGGACAGTCTGGAGCTGGGCCAGGAAGGAGGGTGGAGACATGGCTTTGGGAAGAGTTGAAAGCCAGGGCCTGTGAACAATCCCGAGCAGAATGGGGAAATGCATGGAATGGCAGGGGGTCCGCAACCTGCCTGTTGAGAGCAGGAGAGATGAGTGGTCTAGTGCAGAGTGTGTACCTGTGTGTATATAGGAAGCAATGGTTAAGGATAGATAAGTTGACAAAACAAGAAAAATGATTGTGAGATATAGTTGGGTTGAGGTGGGGAAGGCATAAGTGTTTGACAGTGCTTGAAAGCCAAGCACAAAATTGCAGTCTGTGCAGACAGATGCCTGTGTAGAAACACGATGGGGAGGCCTGCATCTGAGGAAGGCTCTCCTGACAGAGGGCTTTGCAAGGAGTTTATAAGGAAGCCCTAGGATTGTGGGGGTGAGTGTCCAAGCTCCCTATGCTGAGAAGGAAGAAGAGGTGCTGAGTGGGCCAGAGCCTAGGCTCACAGCCCCCTGCTCAATTACAGCTCCTCTGCCATCCTAGTCTTCATAGACTAGGGATTATGCAGAGTAAAATGATTGCTACCATTTTTTAAAGAAATTATTCAGGTGGATAAAAGAATTATGCCAATAAAATATCTAGAAACAACAGCTTACTGTTTTTATGTGGATACTGGACTCAAAGAACCATGGACCAAGTTCAGTCATGGGCTGTCTAGTGCAGGTGGCGTGAGAGCTTTTAAGATACTTAAAGAGTGATGGCAGAGAGCCACGGAGTAGTTTAGGGAATGGAAATGGGTACTCTCAGCCTTGGACAAAAGGGGCCAGGTGGAGGTCTAGGAAGGGGGACTTGTCTTCAGACAATCAATGGATACAGCAGACACAATAGGATATGTAGGCCACGAAACTTCAGTGTGCATGGTGGGATAGGGTTGAGGCAAAACAGGGGATAAAAAGTGCTGTTTGGGTAAAAGTAGGGTCCAGAATTGGGACATTGGGTGCCCCACAGTTATAGAAGGGTGAGTAATAAATGAGTAGAGGTATGGCTCTCTAATGAGCTGATTTGGTATTTGGGCAACCTAACTACCTTACTTGTAGCAACTTGAATACTAATGTGGGAAGGGCATTAGACAATAGTTTGTCTCTGAGCATATCAGGGTGGCTGTTACTGGGGCTATGTTGGTCTTGTGTCAGTTCCAGGGTTTATAGTGAAGATGGTGAATCCAGTGGCATTCTGAATTTAACACTAAATTCTGACATTATGAAATAGACAGTAAACATATAAAAACACTAATCATTAATCATTAATCATTAGCGATATGAAAAGACACTGTCATCAATTCATCATATGAAAAGGTACTAATCATTGATTCATTAATCATTAGGGAACTGTGAAATAAAACCACAATATGAAACAATTACACAAACATTCACAATGTCAAACCACATTACACAATTTTCACAGTGTGAAACCATTACACAAACACCAGAATGGCTAAAATAACATTGAAGAAAAACAGCTCATTTTGGAGAAAATGTAGAGCACTCAGGACTTTCTCATATGGCTAGTGAAGTAGAAGCTGGTACAACCACGTGAGAAAACCTTTCCCCTGTAACTCTTAAAGCTGAGCAAATGCATATCCTATGACTCAGCAATTCAACTCCTGGGTATATACCCAACAGCAATGAGGGTGTATGTTCAGGAAAGGACATGTAAAGGGGTATTCATAGCAGCATTATTCATAATGGTCATAAGCTGGCAATAACTCAATTGTCCATCAAAAGTGGAGTGGATAAATAAACCACCTCACAGTTACATTGAGCAGCTTGTGCTGCTCTCCTTTTCAACAAGTTGCCTGCTTAAGACTCTTCTATATTTTGTCAACTTTCCAAGATTAAATGTGAATTGCTTTAAAACAATGCTGAAAGAAAAACTAAATGAGAAAAAGCCATATAAACCCCATATTTATTATTTCTACTGAAGTGAAGTGTCTGTGGCTCCAGGCAAGGCCATTTGAACATTTGATCTTTCCAAGCCACACTGCTCAGTCAATCCAATGGTCTTGTGTCAAAGCACCCGACCTTCAGAGCTCTCCTCACAGGACTCAGGTAATCCCTTGTGCCTCTCCCATCATCTACAGATGTTTCAAGTTCACTCACTTGAAAAGATGTGGGCTAGAAGTCTCTAATTAGACATTCCTCTTTCTGAACACATCCTCGTCTCCCACCAGCCTGCCTAGAGAACTGCTCCTGTTCTTCATCCACATAGGAACCTCCATCTGTCCTGTTGTCCTTCACATGAGCGAATGGCTCAAGCAGGTTGGGCCCTGAGTGTTCAGAATGACTTGCTGTAAGGATTCTGGGAGTCTGAGATTACCTTGAGGTTAACCTTGAGCTGCCTGGGGCACTCCTGTGTTCCCTGGGGCACTCCACTAGGTCAGGTTTGCAGCTGAACCCTGAGATGTTAATCCCTCATGACACACACACTGCTTAATGCCATTCACTGTCTGTGATGTCTTAGGCCATCTGTGGAAGTGAGGAAGCGCTGTCCTTCTGAGGGAGTGGTAGGAGAGCTACCTCAGCATCCCTGAGTGGGTTCAGGAAACTAGCTGATCCTGAGCTTGTAAAAGTGCCAGGTGATAACAACATGACAGGAGTGCAGTCCTCAAGGCACTTGCTGACTTTATCCCTCCTCCTCATCCTTTTCCTACCCTTCTACCCATATCCCGCTACCCAAGTTGTTTTGCAAATCCTGCTTTTGGGAGTGGGCAATGTGTGGCATGGGTCAAGACCCACTCTATGAGGACTATGAACTGAGAGAAGGCAGAAACAAACTTTCCTTGCTGATGTCAGCTGTTCTCTGAAAATGGATGAAGGGTGTGAATATGAACAAATTCCAGGGAGGAGAGAGTGAGGACAACTGTCCCCTGGAAGGTTGTTATCCTCCAGTATTTGGAAATCTTCCTCCACCTGGGAACTGAACAGGGCTATCTTTTTTTTTTTTTGAGACAGGGTCTCTCTCTGTTCCCCAGGCTGGGGTGCAGTGGCGTGATCATGGCTTACTGCAGCCTCAACCTCCCAGGCTCAAGCAATCCTCCCATCTCTCAGAGGTTTTTAGAGAAGCAAAACCTCTTCTCTGCAAAAGGTACAAAAATCAGCCAGGTGTGGTGCTGCATGCCTGTAGTCACAGTAGTCACGAGTACCTGGGACTACAGGTGTGCAGCACCACGTCTGGCTGATTTTTGTACTTTTTGTAGAGAAGAGGTTTTGCTATGTTTCCCAGGCTATGAACAGGATTTACAGTGTGGCCTCAGAGGTGGAGATATACATTGGAAGTTTCTTGCCCTGAAACATGGAAAATATGTGAACCAGGAGTCATATCATAACCTGAACTGCTCCTTGCACTGAAGGCAGTCCTCCATTCTTTGCCTCACATCCCCAACATGTCCACCACTTTTGCACAGCATATCAAGTGGCTGTTGAACTGGTTTTATTCCTTCCAGTTGCCTGCAGCAGTTTCTAAAATTGCTTTCATTCTCAAAGAACTACAAATAGAACTATCTTTTGACCCAACAGTTCCATTACTGAGGATATACCCAAAGGAAAACGAATCATTCTACCAAAAAGACACATGCACCCATATGTTGTTCATCACAGCGCTATTCACAACAGCAAAGACATGAAATCAACCTAAATGCTCATCAGTGGTGGACTGGATAAAGAAAATGTCGCAGCACTATTCACAACAGCAAAGACATGAAATCAACCTAAATGCTCATCAATGGTGGACTGGATAAAGAAAATGTAGTACATAAACACCATGGAATACAACACAGCCATAAAAAAGAATGAAATCATGTCCTTTGCAGCAACATGGATGCAGCTGGAGGCCATTCCCCTTAGCAAACTAACGCAGGAACAAGAAACCAATTATCACTTGTTTTCATTTACAAGTTGGAGCTTAACATTGGGTGCACATGAACATAAATGGAAACGATAGACACTAAAGACTGGAAGAATGGGGAGGGTGGGAGAGGGGAAAGGGTGGAAAACTACCCATTGGGAACTATGCTCACTATCTGAGTGACAAGTTTAATCACATCTAAAACCTCAGCAGCCCACAGTATACCTGTGTAACAAACCTGCATGAGTACCCCCAAATATAAAATAAAAGTTGGAAGAAAAACAACAAAAAATTATTTTATTGCTAAATATGTTCATCCTGCCTCAATATTTCATTTCATTTTCCAAAAAGTGAAAAGTACCGAGCTCTGATTTTCATATAACTCTCTTTCTTCATCTTTCTTAAGTGGTTTATCGCTGACAGATTCCACAAAATTGTTCTTCACCCCAAAATTCTAACATCTATAAATATTTGAGTCAAGTACTCAAGGAGCCATTAGGCTGGCTTAGCACATTTCCGTAAGTACGGAGAGTAAGGAGACAATGAGTTCAAATGGATTTGGACACTTTTTTATGCATTACATGGCAGGCCACATGAGCTTCATGTTTACATCAATTGCTGTGGTTCCCCAAGTCCTACCTGGTGGTCTGTGTCACTGCTGAGGAATTCTGAACTTAGAAATCGCCCAATCTTATAAGGGCACTGCTAGCAAACCTGACCCAATGTTGCCCTGGAGGAAGCCATTATCATTATTATTCTGGTTTGGAAACAAATCTGCCCTTTGACTGAGAGAGTGACATTATCTCCTTGAAATGTCTCTGGGTTGGGGAGGAGACTCAAGCATTATTACACTGGAATGTAAGCAAATACAATTCCTGACCTGGAACAGCTTTGCAAATATCCTCAAACAAAGCTGTAAATGCCATTTGTTCAGAAGATGTGCAGAAACACCAGACCCATGCCTTTGGGTGAAGATGGGGCGGGGGGGAATGCCACTTGGATCAATGACAAAAAAAAAGTCATTTTAAAAATTCAACATTCGATCTTAATGACATTTCTCATTAATAAGAATGAGAAATGTCATTAAGATCGAATGTTGAATTTTTAAAATGACTTTTTAAACGACTATCTTATGTAAATTAGGAACAAAACAAAGCATGTTTAACTTGATAGGCATAAGAATTAAAAGGCAACAATGTATTAGATAGTGAAACACCAGGATAATTCCAACAAAGGCAAGCAACCTAGATGCCTGATATCACCACTTTGGTCAAGACTTTACTGCAGATCCTACACAATTCACTAAGAAAGGAACAAAAAGAATAGATACGAATAATGAATAGGAGAGCAAAATTTTATCACCATTTTCAGAAAATTTCATCATCCACCAAGAGAAATAAAATGTAGGAGAATCAATGGAAAAATATCAAGAGTTTATTGAGTGGGAATTATATCAAATAACTATACAAAAGTTTATGGTTTTCTATATGCCACCTATCACAAATTAGAATAGAGTAAAAAAATGAGTGCATTCCAAACAGTAATTTTAAATAATAATATATCTACAAATAAACATAGGTAAAATGGTTCCATTGTTAAACAAATGAAAATGAAAAACTTTAACGAAGGCCAAGAAAATTCTGAACTTATAAATATGTCATATTCTAATAAAACCTGCATGAGATATGAGAACATGTTTAGGATTATAATTGAACTTAAAAGTGACCTGGACAAATAAATACACAGCTATGTACAGCTATAAAACCAAGACCGGCCAGGCGCAGTGGCTCATGCCTGTAATCCCAGCACTTTGGGAGGCCAAGGCGGGCAGATCACCTGAGGTCGGGAGTTCGAGACCAGCCTGACAAACATGGTAAAACCCCATCTCTACTAAAAATACAAAAATTAGCTGGGTGTGGTGGTGCACACCTGTAGGCCCAGCTACTCGGGAGGCTGAGGCAGAAGAATCGCTTGAACCCAGGAGGTGGAGGTTGCACTGAGCCGAGATCATGCCACTGAACTCCAGCCTGGGCGACAGAGTGAGACTCTGCCTCAAAAAAAAAAAAAAAAGCCAAGACCGGACTGAAGAAAAGCAGATAATGAACAGGGAATTGGCTTAAGTGATAGCAAAGTTAATGCAACAGTTAACAGTTAAGCAGTGTGGTTCTGGATTAGGAACTGATAAACTGATTAATGGAAAAGTATAGCAGGTCCAGAAATCAATCCCCGTATACATGAAAATGTCACACACACACACATGCTATAGAGGAAGGGAAAGGAAAAGAGATAGAACAAGTCTGACTGCATTCTGGAGAAGCAGCAGAACTCATTCCTGCAGAAAACTTTCTTACCTTCAGAACAAATGAGGCTCTATAGAGCTCCGTCACCACCAGCCCTGCTGTCAGCCCTGGAAGATCCCAGGAAGGGGAGGCCAACTGACTCTGGCAGTGCATCCTCACTCCTCCTCAGGAGACTGGGAGGTAAGGGTGTTGGTTTTCGGAGCAGAAGCCTCAGATCAGCAATGGATCCCAGGCCCTGATTGCAGCCAAGGGGTTGACCACAGCATGAGGACCCATGTTGTACTAAAGCCAGATAGAGTGGGCCCTGGAGTCTGGCTGGCCCCTGCTGTCATCCCCTGGAGACCCCAAGCAGGATGAGATTCCTCAACTTCCCCAACAGAGGTCTCCTGGAGGTGAGAGCCATGGTCTGAGGGGTCAGGACTCAGATTAGTAGAAAAGAGAAAGTCTATTCCATTCCAGGAATCACGGTGAGGACCCCGAGTGAGTATTCAGGGGATCAGTCGCTCTGGAGCAGAGAGGATGCTAGAGTCCCACCCCTGCTGTTGGCTCTGGAAAGCCCGGGCAGGGCTAACAAGATGAAATGTTTCCTTGCTTCCCTGCAGGTGTCTCAGGATGGTGAGGCCTTGGGTAAGTGGTGGTGGAGGACTCAGTTCAGCAGAAGGGAGGCCACCCATTCCCTGCCAGGTATCAAGGCACAGACCCTGGATGAAGATGAAAGACACAACCCACCCCAGAACAGAGGGGGTCCCACAAAATCTGACTTCTGTGGTCAGCCATGCAAGGCCCCCAGTAGGGCTATCTCACTGAGGCCTCCACTGGCTTTCTCCTAAAGAGGCTCTCTGTGTGGCTCAGACTGGATCTAAGGGGTTGGCCTCAAGTGAGCAGAAAGAGGAGACCCAGGTCCTCCTAGAAGTCTAGCTGAGGAGTCTGAGGGAGGATGGAGGAGACCAAGCAAACCAGAAGGTGCAGAGACCCTCACCTGTGCTATCTGCTCTCAGAGGCCCAGGGTAGAGGTTACTGGAAGACAGGCATGATCACTTCCTCCTCGGTGTTTTCTCTGCGGTGGGGCCTGACAGCAAAGGCATCAGGTCAACAGAGGAAGGAATCTCAGATCCTACCAGGAGTCAAGGTGGAGACCTGCAAAGTTCAGCAGCCCCCAAGACCACCCTCACATCTGACACCAACTGCAAATTCGGGTGTCCCCAAGCCCCACCTCAGGTTTGATAATGTGCTAGAAGGACTCACAGAACTCACAGAAAGCTGGCATACTCATGGTTATGGATTATTACAGTGAAAGGATACAGATTAAAATCAGCCAGGAGAAGAGGCACACAGGGCAGAGCCCAGGGAGTTCCAGGCACAGAGCTTCCAGCGTTCCTCTCTGTGTTGAGTCCCAGACAGCACTAACTTCTAGGTATGACAGTACACATGGAGTATTGCTAACTCCAGAAGCTCACCTGAGCCTTTGTGCCCATTGTTTTTATTGAGGCTCAGTTAGGTCGATATGGTTGAAAACCCATTTGACTAACCTCAGTCGTTAGCCCCTCTGGAGGTCGAGCTACTACCATGTGACCCAAGGCTGCCATCATAAGTCATTTTCAGCACAGCCTATCCAGCACGGCCTAAGGTTTCCAGATAAACATGGACACCATGATCAGGCAAGACATCCCAAGGGCTTAGAGACTGCGTCCCAGGAACCACAGCCAGACCTCTCTCTGGGCAAGGATTTTTCTCTAGGCATTTCCGTGGACAATGTAATCTTTTACCACAAGGTACAATAGAAGAACTAAGGGGGCCACACATGCCTGACCAGAGGGTTCTCTGCACAACTCCAGCCCTGGCCTCAGCCCTAGGAGGCCCTGATCAGAGCTGTTTAGCTGAGACCCCTGTCGCTTCCTTTTCTGGACTCTCATGGAGTTGAAGGCTTGGTTTGAAGGAGTTGTTCTTAGGTCAGCAGATTGGATGGAGCTTAGGCCCTGCCTTGAGTTGAGGTAAGAACCCTTATTGAGGATTGAGGGGACCACCACCCCAGAGTAGAAGAGAACCAGCATGATCTGGCCCCTGCTGTTCACTCTGGGAGTCCTCTACCTTCACTGTCTCCTCAGAGATATACAGGAAGTGAGAGCCTTAGTCTGAGGGGACAGTCCTCAGGTCAGCAGATGGCAGGGAGTGCAGGCCCTGCCTGGAGTCAAAGTGAAGACCCTGAGTGAGAACCAAGGGGATTGTTCACCCCATCACACAGTGGACCCCATGGAGTCCCATCCCTGCTGATCCCCATCAGCTCCTGGGAATGGCTTCGTTGAACCTGAGGCATCCCCCCAACTCCTCCTGGGGTCTCAGGTCTCAGGGTATAGGCCAACAATGTATGCAGGGCATTTCTCACTGTGAGCACCTTCAGAGCCCAGGAATAGAGCTCAGGTGTTCCACAGATCCTACCAAGTACAGTCTCAGTGTCCAGGAGTATGAGAGCTTTAGGTAGCCTCGATCCATGAGATTGAGGTGCACCCCAGAAGGATAAATCCACCTCAGTCCTCCTAGATATTCCCACACCTCCACAGGAAGTAGAGAGAGATGGTTTCAAGTTCTCTCCTAATTCTACTGCCGGTATTTGGGGGTTTTCGGTTGAAGGGTAAAATTGAGTTTTCTCTATTGAGGGTGGAGACTGTGGTGGTTTGACGGGGGCAGCCTCAGATTGAGCAGGACATGCCCTTCCAACCGCCAAGGCGATGACCCCTGAATACAGGCTGAATGTGCCACCATCTGATGCTCCTCTGTCAAAGCTGGGAAGCCCAGAGAATGACTGCTTGCTACTGAGGAGCTAGTTCACTGTATCTCCTAGGGTCTCAGGGAATAGAGTGATGAGAAGGATCAAAGTCTGGGTCAGTATTCTAAAGTACAAATGGCAGAGACAGCCTTCCTCCAATCCATGGGAGAGATTTCTTGCTGAGGCCCCTCACACTGCCAGGCCTAAGGTGAGAACCAGGCTCTTGAGGCTGAGGAGGAGGCCTTCTCCCCATTCTCCTGTTATCAGATCACAGGCCGCTAAGGGGAAACCTGCTGGTGGGACACTCATTGCTCCTCCATGTCCTTGGAATCCCCGTTTCACCTCCACTGCCACCTTACTTCCCTCAGGGAACAGCTCAGGTGAGGGAGCAAGCAGCCACAAGGAAAAGCAAGGGCCACATGCCCCATAGGCCCCACCACTTGCTGACTTCAGGCCCAGGGACCTCTTGAGCAGTAATGTGGCTGAGTTGGAGGTGTTCCTCCTGCTCGAGAACCAGAAGAAGGAGCCCACCCAAAAGGCAGAAATGCTGAAGCACATCATCCAACAGCACATGGATCATTTCCGTGAGGCCCTCAGCAAAGCCTCTGAGAGCCTGGAGTACTCTTTGGCCTTGAGTTGAGGAAGTGAACATGGATGCCAGGAAGCAATGTGACATCCTCATCAACAAAGTGGAACTTTCCTCTGCTGAGAGACTGAGTGAGTAAAGACTGGGGCTTGCTCCAAACTGTTATTCTAGACCTAGTTTTCATGGAGGGCAACTTTGCTCCTGAAGAGGACATCTGGAATATGCTGAGAGAGGTGAAGATGCTGAGAGGAAGCACATCATTTTTGAAAGGCCCAGAAAGCTTTTCATTGAAGATGTTTTGCGCAACAATATCTGAATTTGAGGCAGATGCCCAACAGGGATCCTATATGCTACAAATTCCTGTGGGGCCCTCATGACCACACTGAACCCAAAACCGTGTACATTTTGGGGTTTGCAGACAAGATTATTCACGTTGACTTCTGGTCCTACAGGTCAGTGTGCAAAGAGGTCCTGAGAGAAGATCAGGACAAAGTCCAAGCCAGGATTTCAGGGAATAGGGGAACTAATGCCATGGAGTGTGCAGGGGCCAGGGCCATTGCCAGTGGTACAACTGGTGCCCGTGCTATGGCCAGCAGCAAACATAAGTCAGGCTGAGGCAGGTAATTCACTCTGTGTTTAAAGTAGGCACTCAAATATGCTGTAGTGAGAAGTAGTGAAGAGCTGCATGTGTGAGGGGAACACACATGGTGTTCCATCACTGTTTGCTATGGACTGAATTGTGTCTCCCCAGCATTTATAAGTTGAAGCCCTAACCCCCAAAGTGACTTGGAGGTAGGGCCCAGAAGAAGGTAATTAAGGTTAAATGAGGTTGTAAGGGTGGAGCCTTAATTTGGTAGGATTATTGCCCTTCTAAAAGGGTAGTAAAGTGTCCGGCTGACAAGAGGCCGAGGGGCAATGCCTTCTGGAGTGGGGATCATGTGTTCTAGAGGAAAGAGATTTAGGGACCGTGAATGGGGTTGGGCAAGGAAGGTTTACAGGTATCTAAATATACGAATACATGGAATTCCTTTCATATGACATAAAATGTCTGCTATACATAAGATTCCTACATTTCTATCATTAACAGAATTATGAAGTATGCAAAATGACTGGGCATATTAGGTTTAAATAAGCAAAGCAAAGCTATGTGTCTTGTTTTACATAAGCTAGTAACAACTCTGAAAACTCCTAAAGCAATGAGTGTGATAACCACTGTGAAGGGAGTGTAAGCTTTCATCTGGATTCAGGTCTGGTCCAGAGTCTTGGGGGAAGCAGTTTCCCTCAATGATGGGCTTCTTCTCATCCTGGTGTTGGGGCTCCAGCCACCTTACATTTGGTATCAGGTATTGGGGCTGAATTGCAGACATCTGCAAGTGCCTTTTGTAGGTGGGATATGTGGATCCAGCAGTCAATGACCCGTAGCTTACCAACACATGGTTTAGTCAGGAGTACCAGGAATGGGCCTTTTCTGCAAGGCTCGAAGAAATCTTTTAGCTGGCATCTTTTCTAGTAAATGAAGTCTCCTAGCTAGAGGTCATGGTATCAGATTTCATCTTTTGATGGGCTACTGTAGAAGGATTCCACAACCAGTTTATGGTTAGTCGTTGAAGCCTTAACAAGTCCTTGGCAGTAAGTCAGGAGGTCTCCTTGTAACAGTAGGGTAAAACATTCCCTCAGGTAAATGCATGGACTGGCCTGCTGACAATCTCAAAAGGGAGAGGTGGTGTTTTCCAGAGAGGGTAGGTAGCAGGATCAACAGAGCTAGAGGGAGAGCCCTAGGCCAGGGCAGATTAAGAGTGTTTGTAATCTCAGGCAATGGGCTCTTTATTATCCCAATGATTCATTCTACAAGCCCAGAAGACTGTAGGTGGTGGACACAATGGAAGTGTTGCAGAAAAGGTCAGACATCATAAACTCTTTCTAATACTTGGCTAGTAAACTGGGGTCCACAATCACTGTGGAGTTCAGTGGGAACTCCCCAAGTGGGGATAATTCTCTCAAAAAGAATTTTGGCTAATATCATGGCCATAGCTTGTCTGCAAGGAAAGGCCTCTACCGAATGGGAGTACATATCTATCATCTCAAGTACATACTTGCATCCAAGTGAGGAGGGGTACTAGTTTGCAAAAGGGCCATTTGGTAATGGGAATTCTCTGGAGGCAGCCTTTGGGGGCTTCCCAGCATTATACAAATAACAGATTCTGCATCATTTATAGACTTGAGAAGCAACCATCAGGAAAGGACCCCAATTGTACTGTTTTCCCCACTGGATTATTTTGTAAGGGCTCCAATGGGTGAGGTTATGTTTAAAGGCAAGGGTGGCTTTTTGTAAATTTTGTAAATTTTCTGGAAGGACAGGATGAAAGTTAAGTCCTTTCCATAACTGGGATTATGATTTGTAAGTATAACCCTGTTTTGCCCATTTTTCCTTTTTTGCCATCTGCGGACATCTTTTGAGACCAAGAGAGTCTGGAGAAAAGTTTTTTGGAAGGAGCAATGGGTAAGGGTAGGGTTTGAATGGAAACAGGGATAACAGAAGTGGTACCATTTAGGGCTGCAGTCTTGCCTGTAGCATCAGCAGGTGGTTGCCCCTACTATCTTTCTACTATATTCTCAGAGGAGTGACCTTGGATTTCAATAGTAGACAGGGCTCTAAGAGCCAGAATGGCATCAAGAAGTGCCAAAACATGATCCTTATTTTTGGTAGGCTGTCTAGAAGAGGTCAGAAATTTTCTGTTTCCAAAGTCATGGATAACCCCAACAGCGTATCTGCTGTCTGTGCAAATGTCTGCAGTTTTATCTCTGGCTAACAGGCAAGCTGGGGTAAGTGCATGTTATTCTGCCTGTCAGCTGGACCAGGTATTAGTCACAGGCCCCCCTCATTCAAGAATGAGAAGGGAAACAGGAAGGTCATAATTAAGGTGTCCCAACATGAGAGGCAAGGACAGCTGATGCTTGAGATTCTTAAAGGCTTTTGGCCATTGGTAGTACAAGTGAAGGAGTCTGGGGAGAAGCCTCAGGCGAAGTATATCAAGGTTGTGTCATCAAAGAGAAATTAGGGATCCAAGCTCTATGGCAGACCACAAGTCCCCAGAAACCCCTCAGTTATCTTTTAGCATTGGGCAAGGGAAAAGAATATATGCCTTGAAAGCAGGTGAAGTCAATGTTTACTCCTGATGCCCAAGGAACTTGATGGAGTCCCAGCAAAAATATAATTTGTCTTAGAGCCTTGTGTGCCTTAAGGGCTAGCTGGTGAAGTAAGAGGCGAGTGTCAGTGTGGCAAGCCTTTTGAGAGAGGGAGCATAAAAGCAAGACATCAATATATTGTAATGGAGTCAAATTATCTGGGAAGGTTATTTCTTTTAGGTCAGCCTGCAGAATCTTGGAAAGGTGGGAAGGGCTTTTGGTGTATCCTTGGGAAAGCATCATCTATGTAAATTGTTAGCCTTTCCAAGCAAAGGCAAAAAGAAACTGACTTTTGGGGCTGACAGGAGGACTGAAGAAGGCGCTGCAGAGATCAACAGTGGAGAAACAGTGAGTGTCAGGAGGAATCTTGGGTAAGAGTGGTTGTGGATCAAGTACAACAGGGTGTCAGGGACAGACAATGTTGTGGATAGCTCTAAGATCCTGGATGCATCTTCATTCATTCACATTAGGCTTACAGACTGGCAGAACGGATGTATTACAGGGACTGGTGTAGAGGACTATGAGTCCCTGGGAAATGAAACAACCGACTATAGATTCTATATCAGCTCAAGCTTCAGAATTGAGGGGACATTGTTTTAAAATTGGAAGAGGGCTGTTAGTGTCTATCTGTATAGAAATAAGTGATGCTGAATGGGTCAGGCCAACATCTGTATCCGCTTTCACCCAAAGGGTTTCAGGCAGTTGCTATAGAACTGGGTGTTCAGTGACAACTACATAGCTAGAAACTAGCAGGGAGAAGATGCGAGTGACACTAGAGGCTGAAACCTTGGTTGGGGAGACTTCTAAGATGATATCTCCCTTGTGGGTGAAAGAAATGTGGGCTTGGTGTTTTTCAGATTATCTTTCACTATCAAGTGGATTGGGGCAGAGAGGACAACAACAAACTGTGTTGGCCGGCAAGGGGCCCTAATTGATAAGAAACTGGCTCAGACTTAAAGACGGTCATAGTTTGGTTAGCAACCCTCACTATTTCAATTGTTTGATTACTCTAAGGAGGGGGGGTCTGAAAAGGAGTTGAGGGTAAGCACCAAGAGCAGAGCTCCAGTGTCCACTAGAGCTCAGATTAATTTGCTGTTGATTTTAAGACCAGCTTCTCCTACTTAATTAACTGAAAGGAAAGGAAAAAAATCCCCCTAATTTCCCCCAGAAAGTCCTCAGTTTTACCCAACAAAAACTTCTCTTACAAGTTCTCGCGAGTAAGAGGGATTCCTTGCCTTACTTGAGTACTTCTGAAGCCATTGTTTGTACTTTTCCCAATATAATTTTATATAGCCAGGACCCTTACAGGCAAAGCAAATCATGCCCTTTAAAGTAGACAAGGCTACTGCTTTCTGTCTATTTTGTGGGGCTTGCTGATTTGAGGCTTTGAGTTGTTGAATATATAAGGCCACAAGTTTAGCAGTCTTTTTCCTCATTTCTGCTTTAGCCTCTTTTTCTTTTTGCATGGTTTTTGAGAGGCATTCAGCCAGGGAAGCTTTTCATGGGTCTCTTTGAAGCTTAGCAGGGATTATGTTGTTTAGCTAAAGCACTAAGGGCTTCATTGAGACCTGAAAGGATAAGTGAATTAAAATGATTTATGGTATCATCAGTTAGATCTTTGATACCATAGTCTTGTTGGAAAGTTTTTAAAAATCAGTCAAAGTAGTCACAACACAGACTCACTTTCTTTCTGAATGCATCACTGTATAGCCTTCCAGTCAATTTTTTTCTGGAAGGAGCATTGGAATGGATTTAATCAATTTAGCAGAGATTTTTCTCGCTGTCTTGTAGGCCCTTTCCCCAGTAAGATGAAAATCTTCTTGGGGCCTATCTCAGTTACATAATCCAATCTTCAGATCCACTTCAGTCACTGCCTGGACCGAGAGACAAATGTCCCTTTTTATTCAGATCCAGCTTTTTCTCGAGCTGTTCTTGGGACTGTCCAGTCATTTCACAACTTTGGCAGATCTAAAGAGCAGAGGTGACTCCAAGCTGGAGCTTCCCACTGTCTTCTCCTGGGCAGATGCAGACCCATCATTCACCACAGGAACACCCCGGGCTGATGCTGTGCTTCTCCTCAGTGTAGCCCACCAGGAGCAGCACAGACCCACCCACCCACCTCTGGTGATTTCAACCTGATAGTGGTTAAATACTCCTTTACAAACACAAATTTTGTCATGTCACTCTCCTGACTTAACTTTGCCAATGGTTTCCCACTGGCCTTAGAACAAGGACCACAGTGCTGACCATGGCCTCCAGACAATGAGTGCTCCTGCCTGCTGCCCTCTCCCTTCCGGTCCACCCCAGTTGCCTGCCATCTAGTCTGCTCTCTTGGGGACACAGCAGACTCTAGGGTGTCTGGGGGATTGCATACACATTCTCTCAACCCATTCACCCAAAGCCCACACTTATCACATTTTCTAAGATTTTGTACAGCTAAATCCTTAAAGGTCATGTAATTTCATATTATGCAAATTTCATAACATCATTCTTCAAAAGACAAAAAAAATGTTATTTGGCAAATCATCTGTGAGAATAACCCTCAATTTCTAAATCAAGAAAATAGTAGCTAAATACAGAGTCCATATTTAGGATAATTAGTGGAGAAAAATGAAATCTCAATGCTAAGTGAAAGCCTAATTGAAACAAAATTTATCATTAAAATTTCATAATAATTAAATGGATAGCTTATTGCCTTGCTATATTCTTATCTGTATGTATGTATATATGTGTGTGTATATATATATGTATATGTGCATGTACACAGACAAGTTGCAAGATATTTCAGGTTCACACACTGATGTTTACATAATCAGTCAGTATAGTTAATTGACAAAAAGTCCCAGTCCACATCCTGACAATCTATATAAATATTCAAAACAGCTTTTTTATACAGTGAACAATTAGTACAGGAAACAGATAATCGTTCAGAAGACTTATTAATATTTATGGATATTGAAATGCAGTGAGGAGGTGTGATTATTATGTCAAAGCTTTGTTACAGGACTTAGGGCAAGTACACATCCAACACTAAAATTGCGCCTCATCTCAATGAACCAAATGGCCGGCTCTGTCACCCCCTGTGGGATGGCAAATTCTTGGCCCCATGGACCTTCCCCAGAAACTCTAGTTCAGCAGGAAAGTTCCCATAATTTAGAATATCATAAGGAAGGAAAAAAAAAGCCCAAAATATATTTCCTTGACATAATTGGAGATTATATAAACAGAGCCAGCAAGAAGAGGTAGCCCTGCAAACCTGACTTTTGTGGGGAAAATTTGCATGTGTAAGCAATTTGCATAAACTAAGCCAAGCCTTCCCTCCTTGGGTCCTAAGAAAGAGGAACTAAGATTCTGACACCTTAAAGATTGGAAAGCAACACTTACCATCTATTTTCTCTGAGGGCTGCTAACTGTGAGGGTTCTTCTACATAACCAGACCACCCCTGCTATCCAGGCCTCCTTTTCTCTCTCTCCCATAACCTGTCTTGCCACTATAACCTGTTTTACCACTATAACCTGTTTGTGGCCATTCCCTAAACCCACGTTTTTTCTGTAACCTCTGTGATGCCCCCGTGTACACATCAATAAAGTTTCTATGCCTTTGCTGCAATCAATCTGCCATTGTGAGCTGATTTTTTAGCGAACCTTCCGAGGGCAAAGGGGACACTTTCCCTTGGCTCCTACAGCTTGACGCTGTGAGCAGGCTCTGCTCTCCTGAAACCCACAGCCAAGTGAATCCAGGTCCCGATGAGCTATCAAAAGGGTAAGGATTTCTTACCAGTCAGGCTCCAGGCCTCTGTCTCTCTGTGGAATCTGGTTAAGCAGACAGTCAATATTGTTGTTTATTTCTTTTTCTTTTCCAAAATCTTGATTAATGGGAGGAAAGGATTTGTTTGACTAGTCTTGGTCCAATGACTTTGATATACTTTTTGGTACTTTGTGGTTTGAATATTCATAATGTTTGATCCCTTTTCTCCCAGAAAGAGTATTTTCCTTTGTCTTTGTCTTTGTGTGTCCTTCTGTCATAAAGAGGGGTATCATTTTAGGTTCTCTCTCATCTTGTTTGATGTCCTTGAAAGCTTAACTTGTGACCAAGTGGAAGGACTCTCTTTTGGTATCTGCCATCTGGGCAGTGTGATTTTCAAGTCACGTTGGGTAGCCAGTCTCAAAAAGGCTGCAAAATTGAGACGTTTTGTTCCAAATATGTCAAGCTCTCAGGAGAGTTTGTCTTAAGAAGTTCCATTTCTACACCACTTTTGCCATCTCAATGCTTGTTGCCTGGTTAGTGCTGAGAAAGTGCAAGTCTAGGCAGGCCTATGAGGTTTCACAGATTAAAAGGTCTGTGAGTGGCATCCTCCCTCACAAATTCTGGGTTGCCAAAGGCATACACCATTCTCAACAATCTGTAGTAACAAGAGTCCTTTGCTATCTGAACCTATTACTGGGAGAGTTTTTCAGGGTGGGAGTCTTTGGGTTTGCTTCTCTTGTGCCGTCTCCAGGAAACATCTTTTTTTAAACCTGGGCTTTCCATGAAGAGGCTTTTGGATTAAGTCACTATTGAAATAAGTATGCCATTGGAAATTCAATGGCCAGAAGGTGAATCTTTTAAATTAGATTCCTACATTTTTTTAAAAAAGACCTTTGAGATCTCTCATTCTAAACAATTAATGGGAAGATCAAATTCAAAGAAAGACATGCAATAGTGTCATGGCCAGCCCTAGAAATCCTCTTGACATAATTAAGAGCAAAAATCTAACCTAATTTAAAATCTTTGTCAGCTCAAATTGCCTGCTTTAGATTCCCCGCAGGATTAAAATGAATGTTGCTCCACCTGTTGTCCGGTAGTTCCAATTTCACACTTTCATAGCCATGGCCTGGGTGTGATTTCTGCTCAGGGAACCAGTCCCTATTCATTTATTTGTGTGACTTAATTTCGGAGGTACCCACTTACATGTTTGGAGATGTCTTGTGAATCCTTGGTTAAGTCACAACCTTGGTCAAGGCTTATTGCTTTCATTTGGGAGGGTACACCTGTTGCAAAAAAAAAAAAAAATCAGAACTCAGAAATTCCAGCTAAGATCTGTTAACAAGAGATTTTAAAAGATTTTTTAAGAGCTCCATAGTCAAAAGTTAACTTAATTAAAACTGATATTTAGGCTATGTATTTATACATACATATTGTTTAAGGCCTCTATTTTCTCTCTGTAAAACTTATCAATCAACTGAATTCCTGTCTTCTTAAACCTCTGCTAACCATATTTGCTCCCTCTGTCTGCCTCTCCATCTATTCTGTGTGTCCCTCCTTCCCCTTGCCACTTTCAATGCCATAGGAGGGAACCTAAAAACAATTCTAACTGCCTGGGATCTCTTAAGGGAAACAGAAAAGGCAACATGGGCTTCTCTTTTGGGGAGGAAACTTTGTTTATCCTCATGGAACCCCAAGAATTGTAAGTGGACAGATTCAAGTCTGAAGCTCTACTCTCTTTTGCACTAAACTCCTTGATCTCTTTGGCTATTAGGTACATACATGTGCACATGTGAATGTTATATGTTGTGTCTACATATATGTATATGGTCATACATATCTTTACATATTATCTACACATGGTACCACAATAACTTGAATGAGTACTCATAAGTTAAATGAATAAGACCAAATGTTTTTTCAACTTTATGTGACTTGAATAAATCTTTTGGTAAATAAAACTATATTGTTATTGTTGGTTCAACAAAAATAACTATGTCTTCTGAGCTAACAAGAAAATATACATGTACTTAACTTTAAGGTTCTTGCTTTCATGATACTTGCCTAACATACACTAATATAGAAACGGCTAATAGAAAATTTCACTTGTGATGATGACTAGGTTTTTCTAATGTCTCCTAAAACTGCCTAAACATAATTGTTAAATGAATAAAATAGATGTAAATGAGATAAAAGTTTATAAATGAACTCTCCACAAGAAAAGTTTATGATATGTTTACTTAGGTTTTTTTCAATGCTTTTTAGTAACCACACCCTTAGAGTTTTGCTAAACTAAATTAAATGATGGGTTAGGGCCCAGATGCCATGGAGACTTTGGAACAAACTGTCCCACTTTCACTGGAGACTAGTCCAGCAAGAAAGCTCCCATAGTCCATAATATCATATTGAAGGAAATAAAAATGTATTACCACAAACATTGGCCAGATCTAGGCAAGATTAACTGAGAGTCTGATTCTTCTCTTCACCCCTGCAATATCACGCCAAGCATTTTCTTTTCTCATCCAAGAAAACCTGCTCCAGGGATTCTCGAGCAAGATGGCCAAATAGGACTAGCTCCAGTCTGCAGCTCCCAGCAAGACCAATGCAGAAGGCAGGTGATTTCTCCATTTCCAACTGAGCTACCCTGTTCATCTCATTGGGACTGGTTAGACAGTGGGTGCAGCCCACAGAGGGCAAGCAGAAGCACGGTGAAGTGTTGCCTCACCTGGGAAGTGCAAGGGGTCGGGGAACTCCCTCCCCTAGCCAAGGCAAGCCGGGAGGGACTGTGCAGTGAGCAACAGTGCTATCCTGCCCATATACTATGCTTTTCCCACGGTCTTCACAACCCACAGACCATGAGATTCTCTTGGTTGCCTACACCACAAGGGCCCTGGGTTTCAAGCACAAAACTGGGCAGCTATTTGGGCAGACACCAAGCTAGCTGCAGGAGTTTTCTTCGTACCCCAGTGGCGCCTGGAATGCCAGCGAGAAAGAACCATTCACTTCCCTGGAAAGGGGGCTGAAGCCAGGGATCCAAGTGGCCTTACTCAGCAGATTCCGCTCTGCCCACGGAGCCCAGCAAGCTAAGATCCACTGGCTTGAAATTCTCCCTGCCAGCACAGCAGTCTGAAGTCGACCTGGGAGGCTCCAGCTTGGTGGTGGAAGGGGCATCCGCCATTACTGAGGCTTGAGTAGGTGGTTTTCCCCTCATGGTGTAAACAAAGCCACCAGGAAGTTCAGACTGGGTGGAGCCTGCCACAGCACCACAAAGCCACTGTAGTCCGACTGCCTGTCTAGATTCCTCCTGAAATCTCTGAAAGAAAGGCAGCAGCCCCAGTCAGGGACTTGTAGATAAAATTCCCATCTCCCTGGGACAGAGCACCTGGGGAAGGGGTGGCTATGGGCGCAGCTTTAGAGACTTAAATGTTCCTGCCTGCCAGCTCTGAAGAGAGCAGCAGATCTCCCAGCACAGCACCTGAGCTCTGCTAAGGGTCAGACTGCCTCCTCAAGTACATCCCTGACCCTCGAGCCTCCTGACTGGGAGACACCTCCGAGCAGGGGTCAAAAGACACCTCATACAGGAAAGCTCCTCCTGGCATATGGCGGGTGCCCGTCTGGGACAAAGCTTCCAGAGGAAGGAGCAGGCAGCAATCTTTACTGTTCTGCAGCCTCCGCTGGTGATACTCAGGCAAACAGCGTCTGGAGTGGACCCCCAGCAAACTCCAGCAGACCTGCAGCCTGCAGAAGAGGGGCCTGACTCTTAGAAGAAAAACTAACAAACAGAAAGCAATAGCATCAACATGAAAAAAAAAAGGACAACCAAGCAAAACCTTGGTCCAAAGGTCACCAACAGCAAAGACCAAAGGTAAATCCACGAAGATGAGGAAAAACCAGTGCAAAAAGGCTGAAAATGCCAAAAACCAGAAAGCTTCTTCTCCTCCAGAGGATAACTCCTTGCCAGCAAGGGAAAAAAACTGGACAGAGAATGAGTTTGACAAATTAACAGAAGTGGGCTTCAGAAGTTGGGTAATAACAAACTCTTCCAAGCTAAAGGAGCATGTTCTAACCCAATGCAAGGAAGCTAAGAACCTTGATAAAAGGGTAGAGGAATTGCTAACTAGAATAACCAGTTTAGAGAAGAACATAAATGACCTGATGGAGCTGAAAAACACAGCACGAGAACTTCGTGAAGGTCACACAAGTATCAATAACCAAATTGATCAAGTGGAAGAAAGGATATCAGAAATTGAAGATCAACTTAACGAAATAAAGTGTGAAGACAAGATTAGAGAAAAAAGAATGAAGAGGAACAAACAAAGCCTCCAAGAAATATGGGACTATGTGAACAGACAAAACTTATGTTTGATTGGTGTACCTGAAAGTGATGGGGAGAATGGAACCAAGTTGGAAAAGATGCTTAGGATATTATCCAAGAGAACCTCCCCAACCTAGCAAGACAGGCCAACATTCAAATTCGGAAAATGCAGAGAACACCACAAAGATACCCCTCAAGAAGAGCAACCCCAAGACACATAATTGTCACATTCACCAAGATTGAAATGAAGGAAAAAATGTTAAGGGCAGCCAGAGAGAAAGGTCGGGTTACCCACAAAGGGAAGCCCATCAGACTAACAGCAGATCTCCCTGCAGAAACTCTACAAGCCTGAAGAGAGTTTGGGCCAATATTCAACATTCTTAAAGAAAAGAATTTTCAACCCAGAAATTCATATCCAGCCAAACTAAGCTTCATAAGTGAAGGAGAAATAAAATCCTTTACAGACAACCAAATGCTGAAGGATTTTGTCACCACCAGGCCAACCTTACAAGAGCTCCTGAAGGAGCTCCTGAAGGAAGCACTAAATATGGAAAGGAAAAATCAGTACCAGCCACTGCAAAAACATCCCAAAATGTAAAGACCATTGACACTATGAAGAAACTGCATCAACTAATGGGCAAAATAACCAGCTAGCATCATAATGACAGGATCAAATTCACACATAACAATATTAACCTGAAATCTAAACGGGCTAAATGCCCCAATTAAAAGGCACAGACTGGCAAATTGGATAGGTATCAAAAGCCATTGGTGTGCTGTATTCAGGAGACCAATCTCATGTGCAAAGAAACACATAGGTTCAAAATAAAGGGATGGAGGAAGATTTTCCAAGCAAATGGAAAGGAAAAAAAAGCAGGGGTTGCAATCCTAGTCTCTGATAAAACAGACTTTAAACCAACAAAGATCAAAAGAGACACAGAAGGGCATTCCGTAGAGGAGAGCCAAGATGGCCAAATAGGAACAGCTTCAGTCTATAGCTCCCAGCATGAGCGACACAGAAGACAGGTGATTTCTGAATTTCCAACTGAGGTACTGGGTTCATCTCACTGGGGAGTGTCAGAAAGTGGGTGCAGGACAGTGGGTACAGCACACCAAGCATCAGCCGAAGCAGGGCGAGGCATTGCCTCACCCAGGAAGCCCAAGCGGTCAGGAAATTCCCTTTCTTAGTCAAAGAAAGGGGTGACAGACGGCACCTGGAAAATCAGGTCACTCCCACCCTAATACTGCGCTTTTCCAATGGTCTTAGCAAATGGCACACCAGGAGATTATATCCCTCACCTGGCTTGGAGGGTCCTACGCCCACGGAGCCTCGCTCATTGCTAGCACAGCAGTCTGAGATCAATCTGCAAGGTGGCAGCAAGGCTGGGGTAGGGGCGCCCGCCATTGCCGAGGCTTGAGTAGGTAAACAAAGCAGCCGGGAAGCTTTAACTGGGTGTAACCCACCACAGCTCAAGGAGGCCTGCCTGCCTCTGTAGACTCCACCTCTGGGGGCAGGGCATAGCCATACAAAAGGCAGCAGAATCCTCTGCAGACTTAAATGTTCCTGTCTGACAGCTTTGAAGAGAGTAGTGGTTCTCCCAGCACGCAGCTAGAGATCTGAGAACAGACAGACTGCCTCCACAAGTGGGTCCCTGACACCCGAGTAGCCTAACTGGGAGGCACCCCCCAGTAGGGGCAGTCTGACAACTCACACGGCCGGGTACTCCTCTGAGACAAAACTTCCAGAGGAACAATCAGGCAGCAACATTTGCTGCTCACCAATATCCGCGGTTCTGCAGCCTCCACTGCTGATACCCAGGCAAATAGGGTCTGGAGTGGACCTCCAGCAAACTCCAACAGACCTGCAGCTGAGGGTCCTGACTGTTAGAAGGAAAATTAACAAACAGAAAGGACATCCACACCAAAACCCCATCTGTACGTCACCATCATCAAAGACAAAAGGTAGATAAAACCACAAAGATGGGGAAAAAACAGAGCAGAAAAACTGGAAACTCTAAAAATCAGAGCACCTCTCCTCCTTCAAAGGAACACAGCTCCTCACCAGCAACGGAACAAAACTGGACGAAGACTGACTTTGATGAGTTCAGAGAAGAAGGCTTGAGAAAATCAAACTACTCTTAGCTAAAGGAGGAAGTTCGAACCCATAGCAAAGAAGTTGAAAACCTTGAAAAAAAATTAGATGAATGGCTAACTAGAATAACCAATGCAGAGAACTCCTTAAAGGACCTCATGGAGCTGAAAACCAAGGCACGAGAATTACGTGACGAATGCACAAGCCTCAGTAGCCAATTCAATCAACTGGAAGGAAGGGTATCAGTGATGGAAGAGCAAATGAATGTAATGAAGTGAGAAGAGAAGTTTAGAGAAAAAAGAATAAAAAGAAATGAACAAAGCCTCCAAGAAATATGGGACTATATGAAAAGACCAAATCTACGTCTGATTGGTGTACCTGAATGTGACCGGGAGAATGGAACCAAGTTGGAAAACACTCTGCAGGATATTATCCAGGAGAACTTTCCCAAACTAGCAAGGCAGGCCAACATTCAAATTCAGGAAATACAGAGAACACCACAGAGATACTCCTCGAGAAGAGCAACTCCAAGACACATAATTGTCACATTCACCAAAGTTGAAATGAAGGAAAAAATGTTAAGGGCAGCCAGAGAGAAAGGTCGGGTTACCCACAAAGGGAAGCCCATCAGACTAACAGCTGATCTCTCAGCAGAAACTCTACAAGCCAGAAGAGAGTGGGGGCCAATATTCAACATTCTTAAAGAAAAGAATTTTCAATCCATAATTTCATATCCAGCCAAAGTAAGCTTCATAAGTGAAGGAGAAATAAAATCCTTTACAGACAAGCAAATGCTGAGAGATTTTGTCACCACCAGGCCTGCCCTAAAAGAGCTCCTGAAGGAAGCACTAAACATGGAAAGGAACAACTGGTACCAGCCACTGCAAAAACATGCCAAATTGTAAAGACCATCAAGGCTAGGAAGAAACTGCATCAACTAACGAGCAAAATAACCAGCTAACATCAAAATGACAGGATCAAATTCACACATAACAATATTAAACTTAAATGTAAATGGGCTAAATGCTCCAATTAAAAGACACAGACTGGCAAATTGGATAAAGAGTCAAGACCCATTAGTGTGCTGTATTCAGGAAACCCGTCTCATGTGCAGAGACACACATAGGCTCAAAATAAAGGGATGGAGGAAGATCTACCGAGCAAATAGAAAACAAAAAAAGACAGGAGTTGCAATCCTAGTCTCTGATAAAACAGACTTTAAACCAACAAAGATCAAAAGAGACAAAGAAGACCATTACATAATGGTAAAGGGATCAATTCAACAAGAACAACTAACTATCGTAAATATATATGCACCCAATACATGAGCACCCAAATTCATAAAGCAAGTCCTTAGTGACCTACAAAGAGATTTACACTCCCACACAATAATAATGGGAGACTTTAACACCCCACTGTCAACATTAGACAGATCAACGAGACAGAAAGTTAACAAGGATATCCAGGAATTGAACTCAGCTCTGCACCAAGCGGACCTAATAGACATCTACAGAACTCTCCACCCCAAATCAACAGAATATACATTCTTCTCAGCACCACACCGCACTTATTCCAAAATTGACCACATAGTTGGAAGTAAAGCACTCCTCAGCAAATGTAAAAGAACAGAAACTATAACAAACTGTCTCTCAGACCACAGTGCAATCAAACTACAACTCAGGATTAAGGAACTCACTCAAAACTCCTCAAGTACATGGAAACTGAACAACCTGCTCCTGAATGACTACTAGGTACATAATGAAATGAAAGCAGAAATAAAGATGTTCTTTGAAACCAACGAGAACAAGGACACAACATACCAGAATCTCTAGGACACATTCAAAGCAGTGTGTAGAGGGAAATTTATAGCACTAAATGCCCACAAGAGAAAGCAGGAAAGATATAAAATTGACACCCTAACATCACAATTAAAAGAACTAGAGAAGCAAGAGCAAACACATTCAAAAGCTAGCAGAAGGCAAGAAATAACTAAGATCAGAACAGAACGGAAGGAAATAGAGACACAAAAAACCCTTCAAAAAATTAATGAATCCAGGAGCTGGTTTTTGAAAAGATCAACAAAATTGATAGACTGCTAGCAAGACTAATAAAGAAGAAAAGAGAGAAGAATCAAATAGATGCAATAAAAAATTATAAAGGCGATATCACCACCAATCCCACAGAAATACAAACTACTATCAGAGAATACTATAAACACCTCTACGCAAATAAACTAGAAAATCTAGAAGAAATTGATAAATTCCTTGATGCATACACCCTCCCAAGACTAAACCAGGAAGAAACTGAACGTCTGAATAGACCAATAACAGGCTCTGAAATTGAGGCAATAATTAATAGCTTACCAACCAAAAAAAGTCCAGGACCAGATGGATTCACAGCCGAATTCTACCAGAGGTACAAGGAGGAACTGGTACCATTCCTTCTGAAACTATTCCAATCAATAGAAAAAGAGGGAATCCTCCCTAACTCATTTTATGAAGCCAGCATCATCCTGATACCAAAGCCTGGCAGAGACACAACAAAAAAAGAGAATTTTAGACCAATATCCCTGATGAATATCGATGCAAAAATCCTCGATAAAATACTGGCAAACCGAATCCAGCAGCACATCAAAAAGCTTATCCACCATGATCAAGTGGGCTTCATCCCTGGGATGTAAGCCTCGTTCAACATATGCAAATCAATAAGCGTAATCCAGCATATAAACAGAACCAAATACAAAACCACATGATTAGCTCAATAGATGCAGAAAAAGCCTTTGACAAAATTCAACAACGCTTCATGCTAAAAACTCTCAATAAATTAGGTATTGATGGGATGTATCTCAAAATAATAAGAGCTATTTATGACAAACCCACAGCCAATATCATACTGAATGGGCAAAAACTGGAAGCATTCCCTTTGAAAACTGGCACAAGACAGGGATGCCGTCTCTCACCATTCTATTCAACATAGTATTGGAAGTTCTGACCAGGGCAATCAGGCAGGAGAAGGAAATAAAGGGTATCCAATTAGGAAACGAGGAAGTCAAATTGTCCCTGTTTCCAGATAACATGATTGTATATCTAGAAAACCCCATTGTCTCAGCCCAAAATCTCCTTAAGCTGATAGGCAACTTCAGCAAAGTCTCAGGATACAAAATTAATGTGCAAAAATCACAAGCATTCTTATACACCAATAACAGACAAACAGAGAGTCAAATCATGAGTGAACTCCCATTCACAATTGCTTCAAAGAGAGTAAAATACCTAGGAATCCAACTTACAAGGGATGTGAAGGACCTCTTCAAGGAGAACTACAAACCACTGCTCAATGAAATAAAAGAGGATACAAAGAAATGTAAGAACATTCCATGCTCATGGGTGGGAAGAATCTATATCGTGAAAATGGCCATATTGCCCAAGGTAATTTATAGATTCAATGCCATCCCCATCAAGCTACCAATGACTTTCTTCACAGAATTGGAAAAAACTACTTTAAAGTTCATATGGAACCAAAAAAGAGCATGCATTGCCAAGTCAATCCTAAGCCAAAAGAACAAAGCTGGAGGCATCACGCTACCTGACTTCAAACTATACTACAAGGCTATAGTAACCAAAACAGCATGGTACTGGTACCAAAACAGAGATATAGACCAATGGAACAGAACAGAGCCCTCAGAAGTAATGTCGCATATCTACAACCATCTGATCTTTGACAAACCTGACAAAAACAAGAAATGGGGAAAGGATTCCCTATTTAATAAATGGTGCTGGGAAAACTGGCTAGCCGTATGTAGAAAGGTGAAACTGGATCCCTTTCTTACACCTTATACAAAAATTAATTCAAGATGGATTAAAGACTTAAATGTTAGACCTAAAACCATAAAAACCCTAGAAGAAAACCTGGGCAATACCATTCAGGACATAGGCATGGGCAAGGACTTCATGTCTAAAACACCAAAAGCAATGGCAACAAAAGCCAAAATTGACAAATGGGATCTAATTCAACTAAAGAGCTTCTGCACAGCAAAAGAAACTATCATCAGAGTGAACAGGCAACCTACAGAATGGGAAAAAATTTTTGTAATCTACTCATCTGACAAAGGGCTAATATCCAGAATCTACAATGAACTCAAACAAATTTACAAGAAAAAAACAACCCCATCAAAAAGTGGGTGAAGGATATGAACAGACACTTCTCAAAAGAAGACATGTATGCAGCCAAAAGACACATGAAAAAATGCTCATCATCACTGGCCATCAGAGAAATGCAAATCAAAACCACAATGAGATACCATCTCACACCAGTTAGAATGGCAATCATTAAAATGTCAGGAAACAACAGGTGCTGCAGAGGATGTGAAGAAATAGGAACACTTTTACACTGTTGATGGGACTGTAAACTAGTTCAACCATTGTGGAAGTCAGTGTGGCGATTCCTCAGGGATCTAGAACTAGAAATACCATTTGACCCAGCCATCCCATTACTGGGTATATACCCAAAGGATTATAAATCATGCTGCTATAAAGACACATGCACACATATGTTTATTGCAGCACTATTCACAATATCAAAGACTTGGAACCAAGCCAAATGTCTGACAATGATAGACTGGATTAAGAAAATGTGGCACATATACACCATGGAATACTACGCAGCCATAAAAACTGATGAGTTCATGTCCTTTGTAGGGACATAGATGAAGCTGGAAACCATCATTCTCAGCAAACTATCACAAGGACAAAAAACCAAACACTGCATGTTCTCACTCGTAGGCGGGAATTGAACAATGAGAACACATGGACACAGGAAGGGGAACATCACACACCGGGGCCTGTTGTGGGGTAGGGGGAGAGGGGAGGGATAGCATTAGGAGATATACCTAATGTTAAATGACGAGTTAATGGGTGCAGCACACCAACATGGCACATGTATACATATGTAACAAACCTGCATGTTGTGCACATGTACCCTAAAACTTAAAGTATAATAAAAAATAAATAAATAAATAAAATAAAAATTAAAAAAAAGAAGGGCATTCCATAATGGTAAAGGGATCAATTCAACAAGAAGAGCTAACTATCCTAAATATATATGCACCCAATACAGGAGCACCCAGATTCATAAAGCAAGTTCTTAGAGACCTACAAAGAGACTTAGACTCCCAGACAATAATAGTGGGAGACTTTAACACCCCACTGTCAATATTGGAGAGATCAACAAGACAGAAAATTAACAGGGATATTCAGTACTTGAACTCATCCCTGGACTAAGCAGAACTAATAGACATCTACAGAACTCTCCATCCCAAATCACCAGAATATACATTCTTTTCAGCACCACATCGCACTTATTCTAAAATTGACCACATAATTGGAAGTAAAACACTCCTCAGCAAATGCAAAAGAACGGAAATCATAATAAACAGTCTTTCAGACCACAGTGCAATCAAATTAGAATTCAGGATTAAGAAATTCACTCAAAACCACACAACTTCATGGAAACTGAACAACCTGCTCCTGAATGACTACTGGGTAAATAACGAAATTAATGCTGAAATAAATAAGTTCTTTGAAACCAATGAGAACAAAGACACAAAGTACCAGAATCTCTGGGACACAGCTAAAGCAGTGTTTAGAGGGAAATTTATAGCTCTAAATGCCCACAGGAGAAAGTAGGAAAGATCTAACATTGACACCCTAACATCACAATTAAAAGAACTAGAGAAGCAAGAGCAAACAAATTCAAAAGCTAGCAGAAGACAAGAATAACTAAGATCAGAGCAGAACTGAAGGAGACAGAGACTCAAAAAACCCTTCAAAACATCAATGAATCCAGGAGCTAGTTTTTTGAAAAGATTAACAAAATAGATAGACTGCTAGCCAGACTAATAAAGAAGAAAAGAGAGAAGAATCAAGAAGACACAATAAAAAATGTTAAAGGGGAGATCACCATTGATTCCACAGAAATACAAACTACCATCAGAAAATAGTATAAATACTTCTAATAAACTAGAAAATCTAATAACTAATAAACTAGAAACTAATAAACTAGAAAATCTAGAAGAAATGAATAAATTCCTGGACACACACACCTCCCAAGACTAAACCAAGAAAAAGTAAAATCCCTGAATAGACCAATAACAAGCTCTGAAATTGAGGCACTAATTAATAGCCTACCAACCAAAAAAAGCCCAGGACCAGATGATTCATAGCCAAATTCTAGCAGAATTACGAAGAGGAGCTGGTACTATTCCTTCCGAAACTATTCCAAACAACAGAAAAAAAGGGAGTCCTCCCTAACTCATTTTATGAGGCCAGCATCATCCTGATAACAAAACCTGGCAGAGACACAACAAAAAAGGAAAATTTCAGGCCAATATCCCTGTTGAACATCGATGCAAAAATCCTCAATAAAATACTGGCAAACTGATTCCAGCAGCATATTAGAAAGCTTATCCACCTCAATCAAGTCAGCTTCATCCCTGGGATGCAAGGCTGGTTCAACACATGCAAATCAATAAACGTAATCCATCACATAAACAGAACCAATGACAAAAACCACATGATTATCTCAATAGATGCAGAAAAGGCCTTCAATAAAATTCAACACCCTTCATGCTAAAAGCACTCAGTAAACTAGGTATTGGTGAAACATATCTCAAAATAATAAGAGCTATTTATGACGAACCCACAGCCAGTATCATACTAAATGGGCAAAATCTGGAAGCATTCCTTTTGAAAACCAGCACAAGACAAGGATGCCCTCTCTTGCCACCCCTATTCAACATAGTTTTGGAAGTTCTGGCCAGGACAATCGGGCAAGAGAAAGAAATAAAGCGTATTCAAATAGGAAGAGAGGAAGTCAAATTATCTCTGTTTGCAGATGACATGATTGTATATTTAGAAAACCCCATTGTCTCAGCCCAAAAACTCCTTAAGCTGATAAACAACTTCAGCAACATCTCAAGATACAAAATCCATGTGCAAAAATCACGAGCATTCCTATATACCAATAATAGACAAACAGAGAGCAAAATCATGAGTAAATGCCCATTCACAATTGCTACAAATAGAATAAAATACCTAGGAATACAACTTACAAGGGATGTGAAGGACCTCTTCAAGAAGAACTACGAACCACTGCTCAAGGATATAACAGAGGACACAAATAAATGGAAAAACAGTCCATGCTCATGAATAGGAAGAATCAACATCGTGAAAATGGCCATATTGCCCAAAGTAATTTATAGATTCAGTGCTATTCCCATCAAGCTACCACTGACTTTCTTCACAGAATTATAAAAAACTACTTTAAAGTTCATATGGAACCAAAAAAGAGCCCATATAGCCAAGACAATCCTAAGCCAAAAGAGCAAAGCTGGAGGCATCACGCTACCTGACTTCAAACTATACTACAAGGCATACTACACTACTTGTATACTATACTACAACTATACTACAGTAACCAAAACAGTATGGTACTGGTACCAAAACAGATATATAGACCAATGGAACAGAAGAGAGGCCTCAGAAATAATACCGCACATCTACAACCATCTGATCTTAGACAAACTGACACAAACAAGAAATGGGGAAAGGATTCCCTATTTAATAAATGTTGTTGGGAAAACTGGCTAGCCATATATGCAGAAAACTGAAACTGGACCCCTTCCTTACACCTTATACAAAAATTAACTCAAGATGGACTAAAGATTTAAATGTAAGACTTAAGCAATTGCAAGAAAAGCCAAAATTGACAAACGGGATCTAATTAAACTAAAGAGCTTCTGCACAGCAAAAGAAACTATCATCAGAGTGAACAGGCAACCTACAGAATGGGAGAAAATTTTTGCAATCTATCCATCTGACAAGGGGCTAATATCCAGAATCTACAAGGAACTTAAACAAAGTTACAAGAAAAAAGCAACCCCATCAAAAAGTGGGTGAAGGATATGAACAGACACTTCTCAAAAGAAGACATTTATGCGGCCAACAAACATATGAAAAAAGCTCATCACTCGTCATTAGAGAAATGCAAATCAAAATTGCAATGAGATACCATCTCACACCAGTAAGAATGGCGATCATTAAAAAGTCAGGAAACAACAGATGCTGGAGAGGATGTGGAGAAATAGGAATGCTTTTACACTGTTGGTTTGAGTGTAAATTAGTTCAACCATTATGGAAGACAGCGTGGCAATTCCTCATGGATCTAGAACTAGAAATACCATTTGACCCAGCAATCCCATTACTGGGTATATACCCAAAGGATTATAAATCATTCTACTATGAAGACACATGCACATGTATGTTTATTGCAGCACTATTCACAATAGCAAAGACTTGGAACCAACCCAAATGCCCACTAATGTTAGACTGGATAAAGAAAATGTGGCACATATACACCATGGAATACTATGCCGCCATAAAAGAATGAGTTCATGTCCTTTGCAGGGACATGGATGAAGCTGGAAGCTATCATTCTCAGCAAACTAACACAGGAACAGAAAACCAAACACTGCATGTTGTCATTCATAAGTGGGAGTTGAACAATGAGAACATATGGGCACAGGAAGGGGAACATCACACACCAGGGCCTGTCGAGGGGTGGGGAGCAAGGGAAGGGATAGCCTTAGGAGAAACATGTAATGTATATGACTGGTTGATGGGTGCAGCAAACCACCATGGCACACGTATACCTATGTCACAAACCTGCAAGTTCTGCACATGCATCCCAGAACTTATAGTATACATATAAAAAAAAGAAAAAAAATACCTACTCCAAAGTAGCAGTTAACCTAGCTGTTCCTCAGGTAGGAGTGGAACAACAAAAAAACAGGAACACCTGCACAACATGAAACGTTGTGAATATCATAAAAGATAAAATATGGAACACTTGGTAAATAAAACCTTATGTATTAAATATGCTCATTCATATGCAAATATATGTAAATGTTAATTGAAATGCTGGCCGCACAATGGAACTTTAAATCAAGAAGGACTAATAATACACCATGAAAATGATGAGAACTAATATGGTTTGGCTATTTGCCCCCACCAAATCTCATGTTGAAACGTGATCCCCAATGTTGGAGGTGGCCCCTGGCAGGAGGGTTTGGGTCATGGGGGTGGATCCCTCCTGAATGGCTTGGTGCCCTCTGCATGGCAATGAGTTCACAAGAGATCTAGTTGTTAAAAAGAGTCTCAGATCTTCCCCCACTCTCTTGCTATCTCTCTCCTCATGAGACACGCTGGTTCCCCTTGCCTTCCACAATGAGTAAAAGCTTCCACAGGCCTCACCAGACAGAGATGCTGGCGTCATGCTTTTTGTATAATCTGCAAAACCATAAGCCAAATAAAGCTTCTTCCTTGATAAATTACCCACGTCAACACAACACAAAATGGACAAACACAACAGCTCAGCAATATTTCAGTTCAGATCCCAGCTAACCCCTGCTGTCACCCTGTGATCTTGGGTCATAGACTTGGGTCATAGACTTGGGTCATAGCATTACATTCTTTTTCTCTAACACAGGCATTTAAAGGAGAACTTTCCCAGGTGGTCCAGGATTCAGTGAGATGTATTATGCAAACCTGTCAGTTACATGGGCATATGCTCCAAAGAACTAAATGCCTCCACTTGTGTTGGAGGCAACACAAGTGCCCACCAATGGATGAGTAGATAAACAAAATGTGGTATATAATATTATTCTGCCTTAAAAACAAAGGGAATTCTGACACATACTGCAGCATGGATGAAACATGAGTCATTATGCAAAGAGAAATAACCAAGACACAGAAGGACAAATATTGTATTATTCTGCTTATCTGAGCTACCTAGAGTAATCAGTTCACTGGGATATAAAGTAGAGAGGTAGTTTCCAGTGGCTGGAGGAGAGAGGAATAGGAAGTTAGTGTTTAATGAACACACAATTCCTGTTGGGGATGATGAAAAAAGTTCTGGAGATGGATGGGAGTGATGGTACATGACCACTGTAAATGTGGTTAATTCCATAGGACTGTATAATTAAGATAGTTTAAATGGTAAATGTTAAGTGTATTCAATCAGAAAGAACACAGGAATGAAGTACTGATGTATGTTATAACATGGATGAACCTTGAAAACACCTTAAGTGAAAGAAACCAGACCCAAAAGGCACATAGTGTATGAGCCAATTTATATGGAATGTCCAGAACGGCAAATCCATAGAGTCAGAAAGTAGATTAGTAGCTTCCAGGGACTGAAGGAGGGGGAAATGGGAAAGGACTTCATAATGGGTACTGAGTTCCCTTTGGAGATGATAAAAATGCACCGGAACTAGACAGGTGGCTGTACAACACTGTCAAGGTGTTAAATTTCACCAAATTGTGTACTTAAAAATAGAAGCCATCATTCTCAGCAAACCAACACAGGAACAGAAAATCAAACAGTGCATGTTCTCACTCATAAGTGGGAGTTGAACAATGAGAACACATGGACACAGGGAGGGGAACAACACACACCAGGGCCTGCTGGGGGGTGAGGGGCAAGGGGAGGGAGAGCGTTAGCACAAATATCTAATGCATGCAGGGCTTAAAACCTAGATGACGGGTTGATAGGTGCAGCATATCACCATGATACATGTATACCTATGTAACAAACCTGCACATTCTGCACATATATCCCGGAACTTAAAGTGAAAAAAAAAAAGGTTAAAATGGGGAAATGGTGAAATTCATATCAAGTAAATTTACCTCAAAAATACTCATCTCTTATATTTATTTCACTGTGCATAGGATTTGTTCCTTAAAGGACATGGTGCAAAGTTGCAGCCTTCCTGAGCCCTGGCTACCACAATAACACTTGAAGCCCAAGTCCAAACCCAAAGTCATAAGAGATAGAACTCTTTATTATGAACTAGTGACTTTCATGGCTGGACAACAAAGTACAAAATGGTGCCTTGAGACTGACTTTTTGATTGACAGGCAGGCATCCCTGCCCCTGTCCTCTGCCCTGACAGTTTGGTACACATCCCCAGGACCTATTTCCCTATCTGCAAGAAAATGATTCGCAAGGACCTTATGGTATAAACCAACCAGTGAGCTCTCCTGGGCACACCCACTCCTCGAGTATTCCCACAGGGCTTTCCTCCCTCCCACTCTGCTCCCCTTCACCTACCCCTCAGTGCTGCACAGCCCCTGAGTCCTTGGCACTCAGTCAGGCAGAAGGCATCAGGCTCATGCCAGAAACAGCCAGTGAAGGCTGGTCACTGCTGGTCATGACCAGTTCAGACTTGTCAAGCCTGGTCAAAACCAGATAAGACTGATCAAAGCTGGGCACAGTCAGTCAAAGCCAGTCAAATATGGTCAATTCTGGTCCCAGCCAGTGAAAGCTGGTCATGGCTAGTCAAGACCAGTTAATTGCAGTCATGGCTGGTATAATCAGTCCCAGACAGTCAAGACTGGTCTAGACTGGTCAGAACCTGTCATGCCCTGTCACAGCCTGTCAAAGTCAGTCAAGACCAGTTGATATCAGTCAAGGCTGGTCACAGGTCACATTGGGAGTCAGTGTCAGGGTCAGAATCTGGTTTAGGGTTTAGGGTTAGGGTTAGGGTTAGGGTTTAGGGCTAGGTTTAGTGTAGGGCTTGTTATGGGGTTGTGTTTAGAGTTAGGGTTGTGGTTATAGTTAGGACTAAGGCTAGGGCTAAGGCTGATTACATGGTAATCAGCAAAAATAATCACCAATAAATAGTTGGTTTCCAGAAAACTAAAATAGCAAAGTATAAAGATGATTATATCCTGGCTTTTGCCTTCTCTTTCAGTCTGGTTTTCTACAAAATTGAGTGATATACACATGGATTTCCTTAACTTTGCAAGGATGTAGAGAGAATAAATGTCTGATAGATGACATAATGCCAATTTCATCATTTATTCATCAGACATTGATTGAATACCTGTTGTGTGTGAATTGATGTGCTAAGTGTTGGAGTTTGTGCATTTTCTCCCTTATACTACACACACTCAATACAGGACAGTTCTGGCCACCAAATGAGGGGATTTTTCACACATTAACACATTTTTCTATTATCTGCAGACACCGGCTGGATGTCCTACAATTCAGTTCAATTCTATCACTAACTGGAGTTAGCATAGATCCCGCACTTTAAGAGTGCAGTCCCACAAGACTGCCTCCCACCCCAGATGCCAATCTTAAGCCCCAGGTTTTCACCTGTACTTCTAACTGACTGGCTATCATTCAGGGTTCCTATGACTCTTGGCTTTGATAATTTGTTAGAACTCACGGAACTCACGAAAACACTTGTTACATTTACCAGTTTATTATATAATGAAGAATATAATGAAGGATATAGATGAACAGCCCTTGAAGGGATACATAGGGTGAGGCCTGGAAGGGTCCTGAGTGAAGGAGCTTCTGTCCCCATGGAGTTGAGGTGTGCCACCCTCCTGGCTCATAGGAGTGTTCAACGACCTGGAAGCATTCTGAACCCCATAGTTTAGGGACTTTTATGGAGGCTTCACCACACAGGTATGGTCTATTATTAACTCAATTTCTAGCTTGTGTCCCTTTCCCCGAGGATAGGAAGTGGAGCTGAAAGTTCCAAGCCCTCTAACCATGGCTTGGCTTTTCTGGTGACCAGCTCCATGCAGGAGGCCACCAAAAGTTGCCTCATTGGAACAAAAGACACTTTTATTACCCAGAAAATTCAGGCTCTGTGTCAGAAATGGGGATCAGAGATCAAATATTAGAACAAGAGATGTTCTGTACACTCCTATTGCTCAGGAAATTACAAGGGTTTTAGGAGCTCTATTACAGGAACTGGAGACAGGAGACAAAACATGTATTCCTTGTTATATCACAATATCACAAAGGTATAAGGATATATGTCATCAAAGAGAAAGGTAGAAAATTATAAATCTGAAATTACTAATATTGGTTAAAGGGGATAAAAAGGGACACTGGAGGAAGAAGGTTAAGAAGAAGCAAGGCAAATTGTTTTAACTGTTCACAAAAACCCAATGTACATGTTAATCACACATATATATTGGGTGCATTTGTGTTCGTGTGTGCATATATGGAAGAAGAGATGCATTAAAGGATGGTCACTGTATTTGTTATCATTGCCATACCATATTACCATCAACTTAGTGTCTTAAAGCAAAACTCATTTATTAATTCACAGTTTTCATGGCTCAGAAGGCCAGGAATATCGTGGCTTAGCTGGGCTCTCTGCTTAGGGTCTCACAAGGTTGAGACAAAAATGTAGGCACGGATACATTCCTTTCTGCAGGCTCTGGGGAAGAATCTACTTCCAGGCTCACTCAGGTTGTTGGCAGAATTTAAAATTTCTTGTGGTTGTAGGACTCAGGTTTCCATTGTTCACCCACCGTCAGCTGGGTCCTTTTTCTGAGGAACTTCGGACTGCCTGCATTCCTTTTCACACGGCACCCCCACCTTCAAACCAGCAATGACCCGTCGAGGCCTCATGCTTCAAATCTCTGCGACTTCCTTTTCTGTTTCTACTCACTACTTTTAAGGGCTCAAGTGGCTACATCAGGTCCACCTGCATAATCCAGCGTAATTGCCCTATCTTAAGCTCAACTGGTCAGTAACCTTAATTGCATGTGTAAAGTCCTTTTTGCCATGTAATGAAACGTATTTGTGGGAGTGAGCCCCAGGAGTGAGGATCTAGGGGCCAAAATTCTGCCTGCCACAGTCAGCAGAAAATTAATTGCAGTCACCTCCAGGCAGAGCAATTTCAAATGCTCTCTACTTTTAACCACAAGCATCCCTGAGTTGTTTCAATTTTGAAAATAATTCATATGTATTCATTATAATCAGGAAAAGTAGCAATTTATCCCAAAGGAAAACAAAGGGCACGGGAGCAAGAGCTTGGCTCTTCATATAGATTAGAGTTTGGTAGGCAGGGAGAGGGCGTGTTCTGTAGGTCCCCTGTGGCCTTGCATCTAGAGGAAAGGATCCCATCACTTTCTTGCTTAAGACTATCCAAGAGCTTCCCTTACTTTCACAATCTGGGAAATGATAATATTCATTTTTGTGAATTGAAGTCTAGGTGGAGATCTGTGTGTCGCTCCATACCAGGGGCCCAAGATGGTATATTAGGCCTTTGAAGCAGGTTGGAGGACTTGGGATTTTCAAGGCATTTCCAGGAGAAGACCACTTCCAGCAGAGTACTAGGGAAACAAGCAGCCCCCCAAAAGCTCGTTTTTCACAGTCCTTTGGGAGACATCAGGAGGACTAGCTCCCAGGTATCATGTGCCTGGTTAACAGGCTGGTAAGCTTCCTCCCCTGGCCACTCTCAGGCCCAACTAGAGGGAGAGAAGAACAAGCCCACTGGGCTGCTGGTCTTTTCTGGGCTACAGGTTAGTATTTCCTGGAATTCAGTCTTCCAGGTCAAAAGGATTCCTGCTTTCCCATAAGGGATCATTGTAAATCAGGTGTATGGGGGATGGCAGGAGTCCTCCACATCCTTTTCAGTGACCAGTGAAGTGACTGACTTGAATATTCTATGTGAAGGTAGGGGTAGTCTATGTCCTATCAGGAGCTCCCTAGGGTTGACAGGGGAGAGTGTCCCTTGAGGTTCAGTACTGTGCAGGGATGAGCAGAGCAGCCAGGGCTATGCCTGGCCACCTTTGAGCAGGGGCTACACAGAGCAGAGGCCTCTGTTTGGGTGAGACTTTGCAGAGACACTGTCAATGTTCCTGATGTGGAAGGAGCCTGCTACAGGACCGTCCTTATGTGTAGGGTAGAACATAAATTTGTACAAGGAAAATGAAAAGGAAAACATGTTCTCGTGTGTCTATGCTTCCTCATCTAAACATCTATCTCTACAGGGAGCATAGGCTGGGGTGTGCATAGCAGTCACAGCTCTTGCAGGGGTGTGTAGGGTCAGGAGATATTCATCATTTTACACCTATTTTGCCATCTGAATGTTTTTCAGCAAGTGCTTATATTATGGCAGAGAATGACCATGGCACGAAAGTCAGGGCCTAGCAGCCTATCTTTCAGTTTTGTCTCTTCCCTGGTCTCTGGCCATGACCACAGGCTTAGCAGTCTCCCAGCCTTTGGCCGTCCTCTCAGTCTTAGGCTCAGCAGCCTCTGCTGTTCTAAATATATTGTTTGCTGCACCCCAGGGGAAAGGGCAAAGGGCCACGAAGCGGTCATGAGGCTCCTCTCCACCTGGCATTGACCCTCAGCTGGATTCCACAGGCATGTGAGGCAACTGGGCTTTTGAATTCACAAAGAAGTCTTCTTCAAAATCCCTGGCTTCTTTTCCCCAGAGGATCTGGGAATGATGAAAAATGAGTGGAACCAGACAAGGAGGGGAAAGGCATCTTCATTGTGAAATATGAGATTGAAAGTGAGTGGAAGGTCAGTGGAATAACACATATGATATTGAGGCTCTGGGTGGAAAGCACGTGGTTACAATTGAGTGTGTGTTTCCTGGAGCCACAGTCCCTTAGTTTCTGCACTGTCCAGCTGCTAAAACACTGTGTGTGTTCCTTCTGTGCTCCTAAGTTGACCCCACTGTCATAGCAGTCTTTTTCTTAAGTCGATTTACACTCACTGTGGCGTTGTCGAGACAACTATTCAGATGCAAGCGGAGCTCTATTGCATAAAGGATGCAGATTCATAAGGAAAATTAGATTCACGTCTCTTTCCACCCCCACATCCACACTCCCCACTCATTTCTGTATTAAACCATTCCAGTCAGAGCAGCCCACTATGTAAATTCATCCTGCATTCTAATCAGCACTGCCCAAAAAGCTAAGCAGAAGGAAAAAGTACAGCCCTAGGGCACAGGATCACAGAGTAACAGGGACAAGTATGTTCTTACGCTCATCCACCCACAACCTCTACACCTCCAGATCACCCAGGCCACATCTACCGCATCTCAAGCAAGCACATGTCCTTCTGGAAAGAAGCAATAAAATATGTGGAGCCAAAAGAATTATTTAAGTATTTACTTCCAGTATTTAAAAGGGAAGCTGGAGGGAAGTCGACTGGCTAGGCAGAGATAGCTTTATTACTCTCTACATTTTTCTGTTTTACCACTGCCCCAATCTCAGAATTTGAAGGTTTCAAGAGGGCCATATCCCAAAGCAGAGGGTGAGCTGCCCTCTAGAGAACTGCAGCAGTCAGGGTTCTCCAGAGGGACGAAGACAGGACCAATAAGATATATTTGTGTATATATTTATATAGCAGGAAGTTTAATAGGGAGAAATGGCTCACACGATTATAAAGATGAAGCCCCATAATATGCCCTCTGCAATTTGGGGAATAAGAAAAGCCAGCAGGATAGCTCAGTCTAAGTCCAAACACTTCAAACCCAGGAAAGCTAATACTGCAGTTCCCAGTCTGAGGCTAAAATCTTGAGATCTCCCGGGAGGCTGCTAGTGCAAGTCCCAGAGTCCAAAGGCCATGGATCCTGGAGATGGCTGTCCGAGGAAAGGAGGAGAAAATGGTATCACATTCCCAAATGTGGGGAGAGAGAGAGAGAGAGAGAGAGAGATAGAGAAAGTCCCCTTCTTCTGCTTGATTAGTTCTAACTGCACCAGCAGCTGATTGGATGATAACCACCCACATTAAGGGGGCTCTTCCCCTCCCAGTCCACTGATTCACATCAATCGCCTCTGGCTACACCCTCACAGGCACACCCAGAGACAATGCATCACCAGGCACGGAGGCATCCCTCAACCCAGTCAAGGTGACACTAATATTAACCATTTCAGGAACCTTGGATGTGCTCCCACCTTAGCAAGAAGAAGAGGTGGGTTGACAGTGAAGCTGAGGCTTGGGGTAATACTCTCACCTCATGAAAGTGGCGAAACATGACAATAATCTCTAGAACAGTAGTCACTCAAGACACACAAGGATGGTAGATGGGCAAAGGCTCATTCAACAAAACTCCCTGAAACAGTAAATTTTCCATGGAGCCCACCACACCAACCGAGAACCGAGTGATTAGGTGAGATTGCTTCATCCCACAAACAAGAGAACACAGACTCCTCCCACTGATCCTTCTTTGGGAGTGTCTGGGCAATCAGGTTTACTATATGGGAAGCAGCAGCGACATCACCAGGTCATGTAGGTCATGCTTCCAGGAAGATGTGATGAGCTAGTAGTTCCAGAAAGGAATCCCTGGCAATCACCAGTTGAGCTTCTTGCCGTGCAGGCTGCAATGTAGTGAACAGTCCAGGCTTTTCTATAAGGTGCCTTTGCCACCCTTAGTCTGCATAAGGGACCTTGATCAAAAGGTGATGCATTGCTAGCATGTACCATGTCTGTGTTCATTTCTCTGACTTTCTCCCCATCTTTCTAGCTCCAGTTTTTCCTTTTGCTGGTCCTCCCAGCCTTGTCTGGAAGTTTCAGACTCAACAGCATGTTTTAGTTTGCTGAGCAGAACAGAAACAACAACAAAAGCCCAAACTGAAGAGAGGATATTGAAAATTCTTCCAATTCATTTTGTTGTGCTAAAGCCTACATTGTTTTTCAAACATTTCACAGCCTCTCTCATGATTTGTAGAAGAAAACATACAAGAAACAAGCATATGGATATCAGGAGATTTTTATCATGCCATATAAAGGAGTGTATTACACACGTATATGTTAATATATATACACAAGTGTGTGTGTGTGTGTGTGTGTCAAGAAATAGAACATTACAGCCTCCCAGGTGCTTCCTGAGGTCTCTTCACACTGGCTGCTCCTTCTAAGTCTGTCTTCATTTTTATTTTAAGCATATTATTAAATATGTAACAGTAACATAATATATAAATTATATTCACACTGAAAACAGTAACTGTAGGGCACACACCACTACCTAAAGAACAGAATACTTCCTGTAATTTACAAACCGCTAGTATGTCCCTTCCTGAACACATCCCATTCAATCAAATCTAAATGTACCCCTTGCCTGACTTTCGTAAAAGTCTCTACTTTGCTTTCATTGATACTTTCTACCATCTTCATTTGCACCCCTAAACACTATAGTTTTGCTTATTATTAAAGTTTTTTTTTTTTTTTTTTTTTGAGACGGAGTCTCGCTCTGTCGCCCAGGCTGGAGTGCAGTGGGGCGATCTCGGCTCACTGCAAGCTCCACCTCCCGTGTTCATGCCATTCTCCTGCCTCAGCCTCCAGAGTAGCTGGGACTACAGGTGCCCGCCATGGCGCCCGGCTAATTTTTTTTTTTTTTTTTTTGTATTTTTAGTAGAGACAGGGTTTCACCATGTTAGCCAGGATGGTCTCGATCTCCTGACCTCATGATCTGCCCGCCTCGGCCTCCCAAAGTGCTGGGATTACAGGCGTGAGCCACCACGCCTGGCCTTAAACTTTTTTTTTTTTTTTTTTTTTTTTTTTTTGAGACGGAGTCTCACTGTCGCCCAGGCCGGACTGCGGACTGCAGTGGCGCAATCTCGGCTCACTGCAAGCTCCGCTTCCCGGGTTCACGCCATTCTCCTGCCTCAGCCTCCCGAGTAGCTGGGACTACAGGCGCCCGCCACCGCGCCCGGCTAATTTTTTGTATTTTTAGTAGAGACGGGGTTTCACCTTGTTAGCCAGGATGGTCTCGATCTCCTGACCTCATGATCCACCCGCCTCGGCCTCCCAAAGTGCTGGGATTACAGGCGTGAGCCACCGCGCCCGGCCTGGCCTTAAACTTTTTAACATGCAATTATACTGTTTACTTCTTTCGATTTGCAACTTTTGCTCACTCTAATGAGGGTCATTTATCTTGATGCTAGTAGCCATAATTTCTTTATTTTTTACTGCTGCATATATTTCATTCTATGAACATTCCAGAATTTACTAACCACTTCTAATAAAGAGGAATATTTGTATTGTTTCCAGCTTCAGAGTATTATCAAGGGATGCTATGAACATAGCAAAAAAAAACCTTCACATTAAATGATCTCCATAGATATTTGGAACTTTAATTCTCAATGTGTCCAATGTTTTGAATGACACTTAGCTTTACTACTTTTTAAATTTTCCTATACATGTATAACCGAAAGTAAGAGAGTTTTAACATTTTGACAAAAATATTTAAAAGTCACAGAATGAGCATAACTTTTCCTATGGTTATTGATATCGCGTGGTATGGTTGCAATTTGCATGGTCATTTGCATGGTCATTTCATGGTCCTCCAGTAGGTGCAAAGCGAGGACTGCCTGTACTAGTAAAACTCCTCCTACCTTTTTCTTAATCTTTGGAATTCTTGGCCTACTGCATCACTGTATCATAGTTGGAATCACCTTGTCAAATGCCACGCAAAAATGACTGCTTGGGATTTTGTTTGTGGTCACATCGAATCTTTAAAATGATTCAGAGAGAACTGATGCTATTACAACATGAAGTTTCACAGTCAGTGAACATAGTACATCTCACTATTAATTGAAGTTATCATTTATTACTATCTGTATTAGTTTGCATGGGCTGCTGTAACAAAGCACTACACCCTGGGTGGCTTAAACCACAGAAATGTATCCTTTCGCAGTTCTGGAAGCTACACGTTCAAGATCAAGGTGTCGGCAGGGTGGGTTTCTTCTGAGGGCTCTGAGGGAGAATCTGTCCCATGCCTCTCTCCTAGCTTCTGGTGGTTCCTTGCCTTGTGGCAGCTTAACTCCATTCTTCACGTGCCATTCTCCCTGTGTGTATGCCTGCCTGTGTCCAAATGTCCCCTTTGGATAACAACACTAGTCCTTGGACTTAGGAGCCCATGCTGATCTAGTATTACCCAACGTCATGTGTATATTTCTAGGTATTTGTTACAGCAGCACACTACTTCTCAGTACCAGAATCCATTCATTTGCTATGGCTGCCTTAACAAAGTACCACAATTGGTTGGCTTAAACAACACAAATATATTGTCTCACAGTTCTGGAGGCTAGAAGTCCAAAATCAAGGTGCCAGCAGACTTGGTTCCTTCTAAGGGCTATGAGGGAAGGATCTGTTTGAGACCTCTCTCCTTGGCTTGTAGTTGGCTGTCTTCTTCGCATGTCTCTTCATGGGGCCTTTCCTCTATGTTTATCTGTCTCTGTGTCCAAATTTCACCTTTTAATGAGGACTCTGGTCATACTGGATTAGGGTCTGTCTTAATGACCTCATCTTGCTCATTACAACTGCAATGACTCCATCTCCAAATAAGGCCACATTCTGAGGTACTAGGTGTTACAACTTCAACATACGAATGGTGGTCGGGAGAGCCACAATTCAACCTGTAACAGGAGTATCTCTTAAAAAAAGGTTATAGTTTTTTTTTCCATGTAGGTCTTTACTGTGTTGGATTTATTCCATGTACTTTCATCCATTATCATTTTATTGTCTCTCTGCTTGGACTGCATCCTTACATATATGCTGTTTGATAAACAACGTGATTCCATTAAGCATTTCTTTTTTCAAGTGAACACAATAAAAGTGAGCTTTCTCAGTAGAGGCTGGTGGAGGAACACTGAAGGGGGAAGAGGCATTCCTTCCATTTCCAGCAGAGGCAGGGTGAGTGGTGTGGGTGAGGCCATCAGGTGGAGCTATGCCACAACCACTGGCCCAAACTACAACTTATGCCATGAGGGATCCTTCCAAGTGTTTCTTTCCTTGCGTACTTTCCGCTAGCCGTATGGTGTCATATCAAGGTTCCATAAATCTCATAGTTAATCTTGATCACAGTTGAATAATTATTTGTATTAAAATAATATGTTTAACCTATGTAGTTTCTATCTTTTGATTAGACCCACGCTGATTTCTGATGATATTATTGTTAGTATATTTTAATTTACTCATTCTCTATCACTCTTTTGCCTATGTATTGGTTTGTAAATCTTATGTGTGTGTGTATGTATATGCATATACATATACGATCTAGTAGTGATACTTTTGTCTAACAATTTATGTATGAGTTATTTTTGGTTTTCTAGTCTATTATCAAATCACCTATGAATAATGACAGATTTGCTTCTTCATTTGTAATCCTTACACTTTTACTATTCTTGCCTTACTAAGTAAATTAAGATCTCCAATAGAATCATCAAGGGAAACTATTCCTCAATCTCAAAAAGAAAGCTTTCAGTATTTCAAAATTTAGTAGGATACTTATTAAAGTTATTTTTTAAAGATATCCTTTATCCAGTTAAGAAACTTGCTTTCTCTTCATGGATATCAGAAAAGTTTTATTATGAATGCAGCTTGAGTTTATAATTTATTTCTAAATGATAGACCATCTTGGTCTTGATATGTTATTTCATCTTGGTCTTGATATGTTATTTTGTTCATACATTGCTGAATTTAGTTTGCTAATATTTTCTTGAGGATTTTCCATCTATTTTCATGGGTGTGATTGATCTCTTATTGCCCTTTATTTTTGTGTCCATCATCGTATTCGCTATCAAAATTTTACCACATGATATAAATTGGAAAATGTTCTTTTTATCATATGTTCCTTAGAACACTTTGTATAATATTGGGATCATTTTCTCCTTTAATGTTTGATGAGCCTCGAGTATTTCATTTTTGCTTTTAATTCTTGGGACAATTTTTAATTACTCATTCATTTATTTTAATATCTACATACCTCTTCATGACTTCTGTATCATCTTGAATCAAGTTTAAGTAAAATTTTTCAAACATTTGTTAATACATTCAAATTTTCAAAAATATTGCCATAAGACAGTGTATATTTTCTCATTATGTTTCTTTATCCCTATGATATATTATGCATATACAAATGTGAATGAAACATAAATATACATATAAAATATGAACATACAGTCTTATATTTCAAAAGATATACGCTTTTCCTTTAAAATTTAAGTCCATCCAAAATGAATTTTTGTTTCTGATGTGAGGGAGAGGCCCAGTTTTCTCAAGACTAATTATGGAAAAGATAGTCAATTTCCCATGGTCTGCAGTGCCATAATTACCATTAATTAAGTTTTTCATATGCAAATGAGTCTGTATCAGCACCAAGCTGATTCACACCTTGTTCTTTTTCAAATGAATCTTCTTTTTCATGCACATTTGGATTTTATATAAATTTTAGAATCAGTTTGGCAATTTCCACACATTAAAATATAGAGGTTTTTTTTTAATTGCATTGAATATACAGATCAATTTTGGGAGACTACGCATCTAAAAACTATAATTTTCCAGGCCATTTACGTGGACGATCTCTCCACTTATTTATCCTCTTTTTCACTCTCACTAATATTCTATTATTTCTACTCAAATTGATTTATGTATTTTATGAGCTTTTCAAGTAAGTGTGCATTTTAATGTGAGAGTGTATTATTTTTCTTGCTTACATTATTGAAGTATAATTTTAAATCACTAAAGTTCACTCTTCTTGTGTACAGTTCTATGAGACTTGACAAATACATACCACAGTAGGCCCACCACCACAGTCAAAAAGTAGAACAGCTCCTTCACCATCAAAAACTTCCTCTGTAGGAAAAATGCCTCTATAGACAAACCCTGCCTCATCCTCTGGTCCTAGCAAACTGGCTGCTCCCAAGAGAAGCCCGTGGCCGAGAAGTTGTCCTGCTGAAACCAAAATTCAAGTGGAAGGAGGTGGCTTACTTGGTGTCATAGGCGACCTTGTCAGCAGAAGGGGGTGACCATGGCTGATGACCTCTGGGTTTGGAGCTGACATATTCTCTCTCCTCATTTAGCATTCCTAATAGTCCCTTCAGTGCTCTCCTCCTATCTCTCTGGTAGCTTCTTCTGAGGAGGCTTCACTGGCTCCTTTTCTTCTTCCTGCAAGAGATTCTCTCTCTTCCCATTGGCTTGTCAACAGCTACTTCTCCTTCAATTTTCAACCTAGGTGCTACTTTCTCAGAGAAGGCATTTGTACCTCTCCTCGAATCCCCCCCAATGAGATTTGGTTAAGTCCATACTGTTCTACACTCCCACAGCATCCTATATTTTCCTTGACAATACTTTTTCTACTTACAATTACTAGGTAAACATTTTGTAACAATTTGTTTCATTGTAAAATGTGTTCAATGTCTGTCTGAAGCACTAAACTCTATGTTGCTGTTCTGTGGACCACAATTGTCAGAATCCACTACAGGATCTGGCACATGGGCATTGTTTAAGGATGTGTTTTAACTGGCTGACTCTGATATATCCATAATGATGCTACCCAAGGTGCCATTCTTGGCAACGCCTCTTTTTTTTTTTTCCTGCTACATTCCCTTTTCTATTCTTCACTAATCTCTTCTTCATCTTCCCATTTCATTAGACTCATACTTGTTCAGTGTCAGCTCAACTATGTCCATGATGTCAGGCAACGACTGTGGATCACTCCTCTACCTGATCCCTGCCCAGCCCCTCTCCAGGTTTAGGTATTTGACTGTCCCTAGAAATCCTCATTTGGAAGGCTGATAGCACCCACTGGAGACCACTGAACTGTTTCCCTAACTCCACTCCTGCTCTACGTCCTATCCAAATTTCCTCCTTCCCCTCTTGTGCCTAAAATCTCAGTTCATGATACCATCATGCAACCTGTCTCCTGAGCTGGAACCTGGAATTCATTTTACATCTTACCTTCTCCCTACTATCTGTTTACCAACTTTGGTCATTCCTATCTTTTTTTTTTTTAGAGATGGAGTCTCACTGTGTTGCTCAGTTTGGTCTTGAACTCCTGGCCTCAAGTGATCCTTCTGCCTCAGCCTCCCAAAATGCTGAAATTACAGGTGGGAGCCCAGCCCATCCCTAAATGTAATGCTCTCTGAACTCTATTTCCACTCCTCCATCCAACTCCACTACTACAGCTTGAGACCAGGGCCACATCAGTTCACCTTGATTTCTTTATTTGGTGCTGTTTCTCACCCTGCCTTCCTTCCCCTTACCCACCTCCTCACCTCCATTTCATTCTCCAAGGCACCATCAGACAGGCCTGTCCAGAATGCAGAGTATTTATTTTCCTCTCATGCAAACCCCTCACTGACTTCTCACTTGCTGCCTGTAGGATAAATGGCAAACATGTCACCATCGCCTATTAGGAGAGTTTTGAACTTGCTCCAGTATTGGATTCCTAATCTACCTTGGGCACATCAGCTGCCCCAGAACCTGGGCTCTGACTGGGCCCTTAAGTTCATATATCAGGTCAGCATAGTTCACACACAGTCCTGATAGCTAACAGTCGGCTGTGCCCATATTCTGCTGACCTCTGCACATGAATCTTTGACTGACAGGCTGTCAGGATATAGCATCCAGATCCCAGGAGCACAGCCTGGCTGCCTCATTTCCTATATCAAGCCTGATGTCTCACTTAAGTGACTTCTACAGAATTTTCCAGGCATAAATAGTTCATTGCTCTCTCTCACTAGAACAAAATTCCATGGCAGCTATGGTGGCCACCCTAAGGTGGCCTGCACTCTGGCAATCCTTCTGTATCAATAGGATCTGTGGACCTCCAAACATGATGTCCTGAATATCCAGCAATACACAAAGGATCAGCATGAAGCTCACTCTGACAGGATGAGGGAACCACCTGTGGGAGCCAGAAAAACCTAGCAACCAGATAGGTACTGGATCTGAAGTAACTTATTTAGACACTCATTGCAGATTCCCCACCTTCTCTCACTGTGGTTTCTGGTCCACCTGAAAGGGCCTACTGGATTCAGAATCCAGAATTTAATGACATAGTTGCTTACAAAGTAACATAAGTACAAAATGATGTGAAGGTTGAAAGTAAATAGTTTTAAATGCCTTATTATTTTATTACTACAAACACATGGACATTATACAAACATTGAAAATACAGATTAACACAAAACAATAAAAATTCCAGATTAGGCCAGGTGCGGTGGCTCACGCCTGTAATCCCAGCACTTTGGGAGGCCGAGGTGGGTGGATCACCTGAGGTCGGGAGTTTGAGACCAGCCTGACCCACATGGAGAAAACCCATCTCTACTAAAAATACAAAATTAGCCGGGCTTGGTGGCGCATGCCTATAATTCCAGCTGCTTGGGAAGGCTGAGGCAGGAGAATTGCTTGAACCTGGGAGGTGGAGGTTGTGGTGAGCCAAGATCGCGCCATTGCATTCCAGCCTGGGCAACAAGAGCAAAACTCTGTCTCAAAAAAAAAAATCGCAGATTATGCATTATTCTTATTTAATGTTTCTTTTCTGTTCACTTTTTACAATATGTGAAGATTCCATTTCTAGTCATTAAAACATTAAAAATGCTGAGTCTATTTGTGTTTTGGTTCATGTTGAGCACTACCAAGGGTCTTTCCTTTTCCAGTCTTTTGTAATCAGAATCTCAAATTGCTGAAGTCCTAGGGCCCACTTCTCCGGCATTAATTTGCTTTGTAGTTGTCTCAAGTTTTCACAGGTCATGACATTTGGAACTTGACAAGTCAATGTGCCAGGCAACGAAGACAGCTTATTTGATGGAAGACTGGTGTTCTTTTCCAAGCAGCTGATATTATGCTAGAGTCAGCTTCATTTAAAAAGCAGGTGCAACAGGAACCGTCCCTTGAAAATGTAGATCCCATCCCAGTATTAGAGGCAGCAATTCCTGTGATAAAGGGATAGGGGGAGCAAAAGATGAGGCCACAGGGAAGGGTCTCTAAGGGACCCTAAAAGTTGCCTCATGAATCCAGAGTCCATTCAAAGCTCTCCCTCCTATTTCTTGAAAAGATTGGCCACTGGGGTGTTGAGTTTAGAGAAATAGGTATGAGCCTCATAATCTCAACCCCCAGCCACTCCCAACAGATCTGACCTTTACTGTCTGGGCTTGCCATGTGGGGATTGTGCTTACCATGCCTGGCACCCTCTCCACTCACCAGGTGGTGAAGTGCAGCTGAGGCTTGGGGTGGGTCATATGTATAAGGGGTGGGGGCAGGTACATTCTGAATAAGGGAACTGTGAGACAACATGCCTCCTCTCGAGCACCTCAATAGACATTTACATAACCTAAGGACACGTGAAGATGTTTTCTTTTGGAAGTTTTACTGGTGATCCACATTTTTAAAAGGAATATAATTGTCACCAGAAAATACTGTTGACCTTTTGTTCTCCAACAATGACCAAACAACAAGACCAAAATTAAACAAAACAAGCACCTTTCACTATTGTTATTGCACTCAACAGCAACTTCTCAAACTAGGTCCTCTCAGCCAAAACTGTACACTTGAATCTTACTTGGAACGATAGCTGTATTTTTGAAAAGTTATATACATCACATTTTTTCTTTGGTTATGCATTCATTAAACAAATATGTATTTATCTCCTACTATGTACCAGGTCAAATTCTAAACAAATGTAATTGTGCTAAAATGTTCTATTAGAAAGAATTCTTGTTTTAGAAAACAAAGTGAATAAAGTCCCTTTTACCTGTAATATTTTAGGATTCTAGTTAAAGTCACCCAAATGGATCCCTTTTATGAAATACAGTCCTTCAAATTTGTTTATTTGAAAAATTTACATTTTATATATTTTGCTTAATTACGGGATACCTATATCACCTTCTTTTAATAAAATTATAATGTCTGTCTAGGTGTTTGTGTACAGTTAGAATAAAATCTTAAGAGGTCCTCTATGTGATCCCACCCAGTGAGTGATTCCTTCCTACAACTTCCCTGGGAACGGGCATTTAACTTCTGCTGGAACATCGCTGGTGATGGGAAGCTCACTACCTCACAAAACATTTTGTTCTAGGATCATTCTCCTCCTTTAAAAAGGTCCTTGGTGAATTTCACCTACAATGAGGGTGAAATTACTAGTGTGCTGCCAGTCATCTGGGTTTATCTGGAAAAATAGTAAAAAGAGTAGTAGCTCATATGGCCTGAGACAAACATGGTATAGGAGAGCTTCAAGAAAGGATAGCGGGTATTGGGGAAGAAGACTCTGAAGGTCATAGAAAGATCTAGTCTGAGTCCATGGTGGAGCCTGCTAGAGACCAGAGGAGGTTCTCTTGGTTTTAGAAATCCAGCTGGCAAGCAGGGAAGCCTTTGTGACTGGAGCAGAATGAGAGAGGAAGCAGGAAGAGGCAGCTGAGGGCAGAGAGGGAGGCAGGGGCTGGATTTGGATTTTCTTCCCTAAGTTTGGAGGAAAACATTTGTGTATTTTTCAGCAGGCGGTGATGTTTTTGGCTTTTTGCTTTTAAAATACCATGACTCTATTTGGTCAAATCTCTCAGCATTCCCCCTGCCCTGTCACTTTATACCTCACTCCAGAAAACCTGGACTACTCATAGTCTCCTGAATGTACCAGGTGGAAGAAGCCCATCATGGTTCCTTACACTTACCTGCCCATCCGCTTCCCTGTTCCTGTCATTCCTTCCTTCCCCTCCTTGTCTACCTGGCAAAACTCTCACTTTGCTGCCAAGGTGGGCTCTACCATCACCTGCTCTGGAAGATTTCCTTTACTCTCTCAAGCCAGTCTGGGTGCTTTGTATCTCCATTACCTCAGGTACATGGGGTTAACATGTATGCAGCTGAACAGGTAAAGCCCGAAGACCACGGTGCTCTCTGATGAACATTCCAGGTATTACCCTCAAATCTTCTGCCTAAATGGATTCATTCACTTATTCAGCAAACATTTATTGAGCACCTGATAAGTGCCTGTTAAATGGTCAGAATCCATAAGTGAAAAAGACAGTGGAAGGTATTTGTGCATTGGAGGAAAGAGCCAGTTAACAGATTCCATTTGAATGCTCTCCCTCGGACTTCAAGATGTGCTGAAGGGCCTCTTGGTTGGCCCATGGTTTCTTCAAACACTGATTAACAGCTGGAGTGGCATCGCTGCTGGGTAGGAGGGGAAGTTGTAGGCTCAGTAGCCTTAATTGAAGGAAAATAGGGAGTTCTGAGTAGAGCATGTCTGTGAGTTAGTAAGTGAATTCCACGGGTCAGGCTAGGTGGACCAGAAGCACTGGCTACACTGAACATGTTACTCAATGCATTCCAGAGATTTGGATGTTCCCAGGCAGTGGGCTGCTGGGTACCAGAATGGTGAGAGTGCTTTACAAAATAGGGTTTTGGTGGGTTTTTATAAAATAGGGTCTTGATATTCCTAAAGATGATTGCATATATATTAAGAAGCAAGGAGTGTGGAGGGAACTCCAGTCTGTTCTTCAAATGGCAGCAGTCACAATGAAGTAAAAGAGGGGTGTCCCAATTGGGTCATGAAACAAAAGTTCCCATGGACAGTGAAAGCCTGCCTCTGTGAGGCAGTTCTCTAAAAACTTAATGTGAGACAGAAGTGAGAAAGAGAAATAGGGACAGAATGTCACAAAGTGCAAACTACTTTGACAACTTTTTCATCACTTCCAGCATGCATTTGTATGACAAACCCAGAAACAGTTTAAAGAGCAAGAAGTAGAGTGAAATGAATGGTTAGTGTAGACCTACAACACTCTTTGGGAAAATACTATGTACGAAGCAAGAAAAACAAAACAAAAACACAACAACTTGCCTCACTGGAGCTCAGCCTGGTCAGATATACCACAAAGCAATTCACCTAAGTGCAATTCAGGCTATGCTAAAGGGACATACCCCATTCCAGGGCAGCCCAGAGGAGGAAAGGCTGACTGCTGGGTTGGTTGGGAAGGCTTCTTAAAGAGAGGACATCTGAGTTAGGGCTTGAAAGATTGGTAGAAGGCTTTCCAGGGAAGGAATGATTCATGGAGACAGGTTTTAAGACAACCTAAGCTGAAACTTTGAATGTTTCTTCATCTCCAAGTGGGGGATGAAGGGGAAGCCCACATTAAAGATTCCTTTTCTTGGGTATTCAATTAATTATATCCCAGCCTTCTGTTTTGCTCATCAGCTGGATGGCCATTAGGTGGCAGCACAAAGTTAGAAATTGTGTATCCCTGAGCCATTGCATGCCTTTGCCTACAACTCTCATAAATCAGGATGCTTTTAATTAACATAATACAGAAGCCAGGTTCAGCTCTCTAGAAAATTAGCAAAATCCTGCTTTACAAGATTATGCAGGGTGTCGCTGCACCCAGATTATGTCTGTAGAGGCCTGTGATGGAACTCAAAGCGCTGACATCTACTCTGAAGATCCCACAGAGCTCATGAGGTGCAAGTGTAAGCTTCAAGCAGGATGAGAGATTGGGCCTGCCAATCAAGGTCTATTGGGTATTCAGAGCAGCAGGTAGCCATGTAAGAAACAGCATCCCAGGGCAACACTGCCACAGGGGCACTCACTACACTTAGGATATCTACTTGACGGAGTGGACAGCAGTGACATTACCAGTCCCCTACAGTCATAAGATTGTAGGATGTGATATCTGGACAGGGTGTCATAGATAAGAGTCCAGTCTTTCCGTAATGGATGCTGTGATGTATCGTCCAAATCCCCCTTGAGGACTAAATAACTTCTTCCCCTAGCTGCTGGAAGTGCTGCCTGAAAATAGCTCTTTGGGAATTTCCATTCTTTGAAGACAGCTGTCTTGCACAGGACAGCACTAACCAATGACCTGCCTTATGGGGGGATGGTGTAAAAACCTTATCCCTGATCCCCTGACTCCAATTTAGCATGACCATCTCAATTCCAGAGGGCCCTATGAGGTGATCTGCAGCCTTTGTTGAGGCTGTATCACAGTTCAGCCTCTCCCTCCAGCCAGTCTTGCTTCTTTACTTCCTCAACAGGTGTCAGTTCTGATAGCACTCCCAATAAACTTCCTACACACTAAGCTCTGGCTCAGAGGCCGCTTACCTAGGGAGTTTAATCCCACCTTTGTTTTACTTGTGGGGAAACTGAGGCAATTTGGAGGGTCATATTTCAAGGAAGATTATAATTCTAATAAGAATAATACTTAAAGACATGTTGAATATTAAATAAGGATATCCCCAAGGGCAGGGGGTTGCCTGTTTTCTTCCCTACCATAACCCTAGCACCTCCATACAGCAGGCACTCAAGAGGTATTAAATAAATATGAATCTAGGTTATACTTCTCAATGTCTCTGGTCAGGTGTTTTCTTGTTGAAATCCCATAGCTGTCTTCAGAGGATACATTCCTCTCTATCTCCACAGAAAATGAAAGGAAGCCCCAGAGAACCATGACCCACTCTGTGCCAGTCTTTGGGTGCATAGACTATATTGCCTTCACAAGACTGTCAAACTGAGAATAGATGCCCAAACTATATTCATGGACATTGGCTGGAAGAATGCAAATATTCAGACAGACCATGTCTGTATTATTGAGGCCAGGAGAAATTAGTTGTGATTATCTCTTAATTAGTGCAGAGAGCATTCCTCTGACTTTCACAGAGATTGACCTTGTTAGCACACTCTTAAAACTGCCAATTTAAAAAAATCTGATACAGCTAGAAAAAAGAATGGTGTAGGAAAAGCAAAGTGTTATAGCCCATAGCAGATTAAGCATAGTTTCTGCAATAAATGATGATTTGTTAAAATCTAAGTACTGCTACTTTATCAGCAGAGTGACCCTGGGAAAGTTACTTAACCTCTGCCTTAGTTTTCTCATCTATAAAATGGGGATGAAAATAATAGTATCTCCTTGAAAGTTTTGCTGTGAGGATTAAGTTAATATATGTAATGTGTGTAGACAGTACCCAGCGTATAGTATTTATAGGCTGTTAGTTATATATAGAATCCCATATTATCACATTCCAAAGAGAATATAGGTACTGGATTATGTATCCAAGGAGCCTGCAGAATCTTGGATGTCCTTTGCTTTAGGATTATCTGACTGTCTCTGTGGCTCTGAGTGTGTGGCCCAAGAATCTGTATTTTCAATTTGCCCTCTGAAAGTTGAGAATCATTGCTTTGCCATTTCAGTAGCCTAATATAGTATCCTTTTAATAAAAATTATCTTGCAGCCTTTGTGTTAATGCTTAACCCCAGGAATACTAACTAGGGCCTTCCTAATTAAACAGTAAATTATTTTACTATCTGCATGTGTAAGAATCCTTGAGGAGACATGAATTGGATTGGCTTGGTCCTAACTGAATTCTAAGTAAGGGCAGATAACTAATAGCTGACAGTTGGTAGCACCAAAGTTCCAGCAGTGTTCTTTACACTGGTCAGTAGGTCATAGAGATGACCACCATGATAGCATCTTCCTTTGCAAAAGTTTTCAACAGTCACTTAGGAGAATTCTTCCCATGGAAATCCATCTATGATTTCATAATGGAAATCAATAGGGTTCATGGAATTCACTTTAAATGCTATTTAGTTTTAGAGTCTTCCATATGAGCATTTGTGGGAAGTAATCTATCCTACAAAACAAAGTGTATATGTTTTAAACCATCAAGGGTTTTGAAAGCAAATATAAATAATATTCATTCTATGACCAAGTACCCCATTCCTACTGGCAAAGAAATCAGATGGCTACAGGTTTATCTTTAACCCTTGTGAAAGTGATTTGAGACACACTAGCTTCTTGACAGATATTTGTATGGTTTAAACCATGTTTCTTATTTTATTGTCAGTTTCATACAAGACCAAATCTAAAGCCAGATAAAGTAAAGATTTAATCTATCTAACATTTACTCACTCTGGAGTCAAACAGTCTATGTTCCTAGCAGCCATTTGCTTCTGGATGAACCCCAAAGATTTGGACTCAAATTAGACTTTGGGATTTTACTGGAAGAAAAATTACTAAAAAATGTCCCTTAGCGTTTCCAGGAGAGACAGATTTCAGGACTTTTAGTCTCAAAAACTGACCCCAAGCCTGATTCCCTTCTAAGTAGTCCGAAGCTCCTCAAGGAAAGCAAGTTAGTTCAGCAATTCTCTAGTTAGATTCTGAGCCTGGAGATGGTTTTAAGAGTGCTAGAATCTCTAGGGTATTTAGAACAGGTCTAACTTCTCCAGGCGTAGTTGTCAGCTATCTGAACCCCAGGGAATCTCTGGAATGAGCAAGTTTCTGACCAAGTCTCAAGGCACCTGCACAATTCAATTTTACAAGCTTCTTACAGGTCAAGGCTCTTGGAGACTTCCATGATTTCATAACATCTTCTCTTCTACATAGTTGCAAATTGATGGACGGTTTGGTTCCAAGAGCTTTTCTTCATTTTTTACTGTGATTGTCTTTAACATTGGCTACATACAGAACTTTGTTAAACATGTGCACTGCAGCAATGTAAAAGACACAGTCCTGGTTTCCGGAATTTAGACTTATATGAATTACATTTACCTGTTTAACTCCCACCGCTCCAGAACTCTGCTCCAGGGAACTTTTTATTTCATTGTTTTCCACTTTGATCAGAACATGTGCTTTGATATATGATTCACATACCAAACAATTTATTCATTTATAGTCTATGATTCTATGTTTTTTAGTATATTTACAGAGTTTTACAATCATCAGCACCACCAATTTTGTAACATTTTCATCGCCCCATAAAGAAAGCTCATACCCATTAGCAGTCACTCTCCATTCCCCCTGCCCTCCAGCCACTAGCAGTGACTACTAATCTATTTTCTGACTGTAGATTGGCTTATTCTTGACACTTCACATGAAAGGCACCATATATGTGATTTTCTGTGACTGGCTTCTTTCGTGAAACATAGTAATTTTAAGGTTCATCCATCTTGTACTATGCCTCAGTACTTCATTCCTTTTTACAGCCAAATGATATTTGATTGTATGGTTATACCATATTTTATTTATCCATTCATTACGTTGAACATTTGGGTTGTTTCTACTTTTAGATACTATGAGTAATACTGCTATAAACATTTGAGTACAAGTTTTTGTGAAGACATATGCTTTCATTTTTCTTAGGTATATACCTAGGAATTGCTAAGCCATATGATAATTCTAGATTTAACTCTTTGAGAAACTGCTGGACTGTTTTCCAAAGTGACTGCACCATTTTATATTCCTGCCAGCAGTGTTTTAGGGTTCAAATGTCTCTACGGGCTCGCCAGTGCTTCTTATGATCTTTTTGATTATAGGCATTGTAGTATACGTAAAGTTGTATCTCATTGTGGTTTTGATTTGTATTTCCTAATGACTAAAACATTGAGAATCTTTTCTTGTGCCTGTTGGCCATTTGTGCATCTTCTTTTGAGAAATGTTGACTTTGACCCTTTTCCGATTTTTGTCCTTTTGTTATTGAGTTGTGGGTACTTTATAGATTCTGGGTGCTAGGCCATTACCCAGTGTATACTTTATAAACCTCTTCTTCCATTGTGTGGGTTGTATTTTCACTTTCTTGATAGTGTCCTTTAAAGAACAAAAACTCACAATTTTGATAAAGTTCAATTTATCTGTTTTTCTTTTGTTGCTTGTGCTTTTGGTATCACTTGTAAGAAACTATTGCCAAATCTAAGGCCACGGGGATTTACCCCTGTTTCCGTCTAACAGTTTTATGGTTTTAGCTATTACACGAAGCCTTTGATCCACTTTGCCTTAATTATTGTATTTGATGTTGTTGCAGGACTTTTCCTTATTTCAGCTAAAGATGGGGTCCTCTGTCCACGGCCACAAAAATTCAGATTTGAATGGTAAGACAGGGTTTTATTGGATGTAAAGAAAGAAAGGGGGGAAACAGGGACTCTCACAAGGCCAGAGTCCCTGCTAGAGCGCTTCCCGCTCGCAACTTGAATCCCAGGTTCCACACAGAGAGAAGGAGTCAGGCACCTCCCTGTTGCAAATGGCATGAACTTCCCAAGGCTCCACCCCAGTGTGCAGGCTGGTTGGAGTTTTTCCAGGGACCCCCTCCCACTTGGCTGCCTCATTCGCCCCTCTAAAGAAGCACATCCAACTGCCCTTAGAATAAGGATAAGTATGAAGACCGATCTTAACTGCTTCCTGCTGACAGGGGTGCTGTTTTGGGGAAACGGCAGTTAAAGCTCCCTCAGAGGCCTGTGTAAGGTTCCCAGCAGAAGGGGCCATCATCAGAGGCTCTGGTTGCATGGCCACTTGGAGTTTGATGACCTGAAGGCAAGAAGAGACAAACCAGTTTATTAGAAAACATGTATCAAGTCGAAACAAGGGGAGGGGTAAGGACAGCTCAGAAATCCTGAGGCCTTTTACCAGTTTGCACATGGAAAGGAGGGCCAAAAGCCTGACCGGTAAAAAAACACTTTACCCTTCTGGTTCCCCTTCCCCTGAGCCCAATCCTAAGCCAACCAGTTTAAGGTTTGGGAAATTAACTCTTACCAGTTTGGAGGATGCATCTGAGGGGAGCATCCCATAGTACAGAGACACAATTACCTATCTGTGAAGAAGACAGAAGAGGAGAAAGGAAAAAAGAAGGTGCCTTTTAAAGGAGTCCCAGGGGTTCAGGATGCACTCAGAAAGGGTACAGACTGAAGATGAATGGCTACCCTTCTAGAAAGAGTGGAGCAGGTATCCCTGGTTCCCTTCTCTTCCTAACAGATACCCGGGGTACGTGAGGGAAAGAGGGAAGAGCATCGTCTTTCCCTCTTCCATCCTTGCATCCCTGAGTCCTGGCGACCATGGCACGTCCCGCCATGAATGTCACAGCGGCTTGCACCAATGAAGCGGGGGAAGGGTGGGTACGGGGTGGGAATCACCCACTCTTACCCACATATGCCCCATCTCCCCTGCTTTTCAGTAGCCGTGGATTCCCTAGACCTCATTTTTGCCATGGATACTAACGTGGCCTTTATCCATGAAACAAGAAGCTTGGGCTTGGCTTGATCGGCAGGAATCAGCCATGCTCACCTGCCCTGTGCCTTTTAACTTCCCATTATCATCCACCTCTGGATCCTTCAGATCCAGTTTTCTTTCCTAGGACTTTGACCCAAAGCTTGGAATTGAGTTTGGGACAAAAATGTGTCTCAGGGTGGGGGGTTGCATGGACTCCTTATTATAAGCTGAATGCTAGGGTAAAGCTGTGGGATTGAGTCTTCCTCCAACAAAGGAGAGAAAAGGATGTCTTGTGACATGCCCAGATAACTGGTGGCTATAGTCATGCTTGCTAGGATTTGGGTGCATGGTGCTTGGCTTTGGTTAGCTCCCTTGGTCTTACTTTCCCAAAAGGAAACCCCTGAGTGATGGGCACCCTATTTATTCCAATCGCCTGGCAGGATTTGTAGGATAATTTCTCAGAACTAGAATATTGATCTGGATTTCTACATTGCCCATCCCTTTTTTTCTCTCTGAGCTGAAGTTGGAGATTGCTGGTTGGTTCACGGAACAATCAGGGTTAGTCTAACATGTAGGCAAAAACTTAAAAACAACTAGTGAGTTTAGAATTTAGTGACAAATGTATGATAAGTGTTGAAACATAATTTTTCTCTCTCTCCAGTCCTCATTTTTGTTAAAAAACCAAATCATCCTAGGACTGAGTGGTTTGCAAAATAAACTTTAGTCTTATACTTGGCCTTATTATTTGCATAAAGTGAAGCAAGAAAAATTATTTCTACAAAGGCCTTTTAGATTGTCTGTGCTGGAACTCTGTTCCCCAAGGGATCTCATATAAGACCTTTTAGGCCGGGTGCGGTGGCTCAAGCCTGTAATCCCAGCACTTTGGGAGGCCCAGGCGGGCAGATCACCTGAGGTCAGGAGTTCGAGACCAGCCTGGCCAATATGGCCAAACCTCATCTCTACTAAAAATACAAAATTAGCCGGGCGTAGTGGTGCACGCCTGTAGTCCCAGCTACTCGGGAGGCTGAGGCAGGAGAATGGCGTGAACCCGGGAGGCGGAGCTTGCAGTGAGCCGAGATAGCGCCACTGCAGTCCGGCCTGGGCGACAAGAGTGAGACTCCGTCTCAAAAAAAAAAAAAAAAAAAAAAAAAAGACCTTTTAAAGCCAAGCCCAGCCATGGGTTTATCCTCAAGTACATGTGAGTTGGGTGATCCTCTCCTCTTAAGGTCCCAAGATAAACTTGGAGCTCTTGGACCTGTTAGAAAGTGACATTCTTTATTGACCACAGGTCAGGAACCCTGTACAGGGACTGGGTAGATGAGGGTATGAGGCCAGTCTCCCCACTGGGCTTCTATCGGCTCTGCAAGCCAAGCTTGACTCCTTAAAGGGAAGCATACCCTTCCAGTCAAAGCCTTGGTAAAATTACCACATTCTCCAATTGTGTCCTGCTGCAAAAGAAAAATTGATTCTTATTGCACTGATGCAAACAACTATATTGCCATAAGAACACTCCAGATAGTTTTCAAATTTAGAGGAACCAGGCAGAGAGAAACAAACGTGCTCCAAATTTTGTTCACAGTGGGTATTACCTTACTCAATTATTAAAAGGCTATAAATAGTTTAACATAAGTTTCCTTGACTCTGAAAAACAAAACACGGATCAGCAATATTCCAAGCAAAAGTCTTAGAAAGGTTGCTTCAGATTTCTGAGTTCAGTCCAGTTAGTTAACTCTTGTTTCACGTGATATTCATGAACATTTCAGCTCTTCGTGAATACTGTACATTTTCCTTTATTCCAATGTTACAATCTCCAAAGTTATCAGAAACCCAATTGTCTCAAACACAATCAGAAATTGTATTTGAGAGCACCTGTCAGAGTCCTATAGCTTATTATAAACCATCTTTTGAAAGGATTAAAACAAGACAACAATTGTCTGTGAATAGCAAAATGTCTAGAGCAGTTATAGTTAGAAACACAATTGACAAAGAAGTTTGGTTATCTCCGTGGTTTACAAATAACAACATAGCAACCTTAATTATGATTGATAGCATATACTTAGACATTAGAATTTTAGAAATCCCATACAATTTTGGAACATATATTAGCATTATTCACCAAGATATAACCTAAAAAAGATTGAACATCACCTTTGGCAATCTCATGTACCTAGACATGTCAAATAATCCTGTTTACCTCTCTTTTCTGGACATTCCAGGGGCCCTCTGGACTATCTGAAAGTTGTCAAGAAAGACAACTTTGAAACTGAAGTTTGATTTTGGGAAGACTGTTAAATGTGTTTAAAGCACTTGATATTATGAAATAGAATTCCAGATTACCATAAGTTATTTATTTTTCCAAAATGATGACTCATAAATTTTAAAGAAGCAAAAACCTTTTACAGCCCTTTTGAATTTAGTCAACATGTTCACACAGAGAACCTCTTCTGCGAGATTAATTTCTACAATTCTTCCACCACTTGTTTGAACCCTCAGTTTTTTCCTAATTCAAAACAATCGTTTAAGCCTAGGCAAAAATTTACATTTCCATGCCTTTTTGTAACCTTTTCCAAAAAAACACATTTTACTGTTCTTACACTTCTTGCATGTAAATTTACTTTCAGTAGCTTCAATTACGTATTATAATGGTAACTCCTAGCGGATTTTTAACTTTAAGGTAAAACTTGTTAATTTGCTTTGTGTGTTAAGTGCAGTCAAGGTTTGACTCCAGCATAATGAAGGGCATGGTTGGTTCCATATGTCCCCAGGCCTTACCAATTGTGAAGCAGGCAAGACAGATAGTTCTCAAAAGCCAAAAAGCAGTTTGTAACCTTAACACATTGGGCAAACCTTGCATCTGACCTGCACAGTTTATTTCATCTATTTACATTTTAATGACACCTGCATTCTACCAATAATCTTTAAGTCTGTTTTTATTTCTCAAAGATTAAAGTCACATGAACTGAAAAGTACCACAGCTTTTATCTTCCCTTTTAAAAATATTTAATCCAAGCGCTTGTCTTTCTTTAAGCCAAATTAATTAGAGCTCATTTTGCAGAAATCATACACAGTACATACACAGACAGGCAGAAAAAAACCCAGTAGCTGGATGGGGCCCTTTAAGAGACAGGGCTAGGAAAACATGCAGCTATGGAACCAGAGAGGGCTCATCCTCTGAGGCAGGATTGCTAAGCAAAGCCTTGCCCCCAGAGTTAGAAGCCATGCCCTCAAGCGGTAAAACAAGATGGAGGCTTGGTTTCACAACCTAAACTTTGCAGAGAATGCAAACAGTGATAGTTGGGTTGGGGTTGGCCTATCTTCTAAAAGAAAAAGAAAACTTTAAAGGTTAACTTGTTGATAGGGTAGAGAAGGGGAAAGAAAAAAGGTTTAAAAATGTCTGGGGAAGAACCTCTTATTCTCCTGCAAGTGGTTCCTCCAGCTGGGAGAGAAGCTTAAGCTTAATTACTGTCCAGTGGAACCAGCTGTGTGGGACCCTTGGGCCATGCATCCCAGCCCAAGCACGAGCACGGAGTGGGGAGCGGCAGGCAGCTGTGGCTCACCAGTCCATCTGGAAAAAGGAAGGAAAAGGCCATGAAAAGGCCTCCTTCCTGGGAGGGCCGGTGGGGGGCACTGTTTCCCATAAGCTCAGAAGTCCCAGGATGAAAAGGTTTAGGAGCAACAGTAAGAGGTTTTGAGTCCCCATTTCACTCACCGCTTCTCAAGTCCCTACGTTGCACGCCAAAAATGTTGCAGGACTTTTTCCTTAGTTCAGCTAAAGATGAGGTCCTTTGTCCCACAGCCATAAAAATTCAGGCGTGCAGACAGTTTGAAGGGTAAGACAGGTTTTATTGGGTGTAAAGGAAGAAAAGGAGGAAAAAGGGACTCTTTCAAAGCCAGAGTCCCTGCTAGAGCACTTTCTGCCCACAGCTCGAATCCTAGGTTCCACACAAGAAGAGGAGGGGCCAGGCTCCTCTCAACTGCAAAAGGCACGAAATTCCTGAGGCTCTACTCCAGTGCTCAGGCCAGTTGGAGTTTTTCCCAGGGACACGCTCCCATCTGGCTATCTCAATGTGAGGCAGAGTCTGACCTTATTCTTTTGTATGTGGCTATTCAGTTGTCCCCGCACCACTTGTTGAAAAGGATATTCTTTCTCCTATTGAATCGCTTTGGCACCTTTGTCAAAAATCAGTTGATTGTAAATGTGAGAGTTCATTTCTAGACTCTCAATTTTATTCCATTTATCTTTATTTTATCCTTATGCCAATGCCACGTTGTTCTGGTTATTCTTGCTTTGTAGTAACTTTTGAAATCAAAATGTGTGACAGCTTCAACTTTGTTCTCCTTTTTCTAAATTATGGTGGCTATTATGGGTCCCTTGAGTTTCCATAGGAATTTTAGGATCACCTTGCCAATTTCTACAAAGAAGCACACTATTATTGTGACAGAGACTACACTGAGTCTGTAGACCACTTTGGAGAATATTACCATCTTAATAATATTAAATATTCTGATCCATGATGTGGGATATGATGAGGTTTCTCTTCAAATAGCCTGATCAATCCTTTATTCTTTAATTCATAGTACCCACCCCTTTTTCCTTTTTGTCTTTTCTGCCTTTGTTACATACCCGGACACGCCACAGTACCAGGCTTATCAGTACCAGCTCACATTCCTTTCCTAATTTGGAAAGGAGACTAGCTCTCTAGCTCATTGCAGACACCCCTTCCCCTTTTTTTACCCTCTCCCTTACATGCCCACCTTATCTAAAAAAAAAGTTCAAATGTCTAGCCAACCGGAATTAGTTCAGATTGCACCACCCAACCCTAGCCAGTGGAGAAAGGGTACAGGGGCAGGACTTGCGTCAGGAATAAAGGCTCTCCTGCCCCTTTGTTCAGGTGTGCTCTCATGGCGACTGGCCAAGGAGAAGCACCCCTCTGCACAGAAGTAAAATTGCTTTGCTAAGACTCCTTTGTTTGAGTGTTCAGTCTCCTTAGGATTTTGAGCATTATTCCCAACAATGAGCATGGGATGTTTTCACATTTATTTAGATATTCTTTAAATTTTTAAACAAAGTGTTGCAGTTTTCAGTTTATAAGGCTTGCACGTCCTTGGTTAAATGTATTCTCAAATATTTTATTCTTTTTGATGCTATTATAAGTGGAATTACTTAATTTTGTTTTAAAGGTATTAATTGAAAATGTATAGAAATTCAGTTGAGTTTTGTACATTGCTCTTATATCTCAGGGAATTTTAAGGGCTAAGCTTACAAATTATATATCCATGTAAGACAAACTGCATTTATGTGTATTGGTTGCTTAGAAAATTTAAGATAGAAAGTTTTTTATCTTAACTTGACCAGAATAATTATTATACAACAATAACTTCTGGGGAAATACATAGAAATGGAAGAAGAAAAGGAAATCAATATTTTTATTGCTCTATTTTGGGCCATTTTAGATGCATTTTCATATCCAAATTTTTCAACAGCCCTACAAAGTACTGTTAGCTTCATTTTGAAAATGAGACTGGGGCTCAAAGGGAATTAATAACCTTCCCAAGATCACATGGCCAAGATGTAGCTAACAAGATCATGGTTTATCTGGGAGACGAGTTGTGTCTTCACAGAATAAACTCATTATCTCATCATAGATGGTGTTGGCCTGATAAAATTCTATATTCTCCCCAGGTTCTGTCTTCTGAAACTTCAACAATTCATTCAAAAGTTCAAGACATGTACGCTGAAAACTTTTATAGTGTTGAAATTAAAGAACACCTAAATTAATGGGAAGACATCCAGTGCTCAAAGATAGAAAAACTTAATAATGTTAAGACGGTAATACTCTTCAAAGTGATCTATGAATTCAATGGAAATTCTATCAAAATGTCAGTTGACTCCTTTATAGAAATTAACAACATAATACTTAAATTTATATGGAAACTCAAGAAACACAGAATAGTCAAAACAATCATGATAAAGGAGAACGAATTTGGAGGGCTCATAATTCCTGACTTCAAAGGCTACAGGAAGCAGGACATATGATGCCCTGCTTATTGGCATAATGATAGACATATAAATCAATAAAATATAACTGAGAGTCTTGAAATGAGTTCTCATATTTACAATAAATCAAGTTTTGACAAGGGTGCTGAGACAATTCAAGGAGAAAATAATAGTCTTTTCAACAAATGGTGCTAGAACAACTGAATATCCACATTTAAACAAACTTGAGCCTCAATCTCACACCATATGCAAAAGTTAACTCAAAATGAATAAAGATCTAAATACCAGTGTTTACATTATACAAATATTAGAAGAAAACATAGGGGTAAATCATAGGGCAATGGTTTCTTAGACAACAAAAGAAAAAAATAGATACATTGGACTTCATCAAAATTAAGATTTTTTAATGCTTCAAAGGACACTATTAAGAAAGTGAAAAGAGGCCAGACGTGGTGGCTCATGCCTGTAATCCCAGCACTTTGGGAGGCCAAGGCGGGCAGATCACCTGAGGTCAGGAGTTTGAGACCAGCCTGACCAACATGGAGAAACCCCATTTTTGTACTAAAAATACAAAAATTAGCTGGGTATGGTAGCACATGCCTGTAATCCCAGCTACTCAGGAGGCTGAGGCAGGAGAATTGCTTGAACCCAGGAGGCAAAAGGTTGCGATGAGCCGAGATGGTGCCATTGCACTCCAGCCTGGGCAACAAGAGTGAAACTCCATCTCAAAAAAGAAAGTGAAAAGAAAATTCAAATAATGAGAGATGATATATACATAAACTATATATTGGACAAGGGACTTATATCTGAAATGTACCTAAAATATGTAAAGAATGCTTGCAACTCAATGATAAGAAGACAAATCACCCAAATGAAAAAATAGTCAAATGATTTGAATAGACACTTCTGAAAGAAGATATACAAATGGTCTATAGGTTCATGAAAAGATGTTTAACATTAGTCACCAGAAAAATGCAAATCTAAACCACAATAGGATACTACCAGTGTCCATGAGGACATAGAGAAATTTAACCCTTATAAACTGCTGGTGGGAATGTAAAATGGTGCAGACACTCTGGAAAATAGTCTCGCAGTTCCTCAAAAAGTTATACCTAGAGTTGCTATTTGACCTAGCAATTCCACTCCTAGGTATACACCCAAGAGAAATGAAAGCACATGTCCACACAAAAACTTGTATTAGGATGTTTACAGCCGCAGTATTCACAAAAGCCAAAATATAGAAATAACCCAAATATCCATCAACTGATTAATAAACAAAATGTGATTTTGTTTATAAAACCATGTGATTGAATATTATTCAGCCATAAAAAGGATTGAAGGACTGATACATGCTACAACATGGATGGACCTTGAAAACATGCTAAGGGAAAGAAGCCAATCACGAAAGACTGCATATTGTATGATTCCATTTATATTAAATGTGCAGAATAGGCAAATCTATAGAGACAGAAAGTATATTAGTAATGGCCTAGAGCTGATGGGAATGGGGATTTAGGGGTTATGGATAAAGAATACATGATTTCTTCACGGGGTTATGAACGGGGTCTAAAACTGATTGTCCTGATGGTTACACACTCTGTGCGTATACTAAAACCACCTAATTGTACCTTTTAAATGGGGAAATTGTCTGGCATATAAATTATATCTCAATACAGCCTTTATAATCAGGGATGTGCTAGATGGATAAGGTATGTTCCAAACTAGCCATGGCTGATAATACTGAGTTACTAGCTCTTGATAGGGCTGTAATGTATGATTTTGCAAATTGTATACTCTGCAACTACAGGAAACACCATTTTATGGACTACGATGTAAATGGTGCCCCCTGAAGTTGTGCAGTGTACAATATATACAGCCTTAAGCTTCAGCTCTGGCACTTAGGAGAAAAATTCTGAGGCTGATCATTATGGGTGACCAAAGCTCATTTCCAAGAATTCAAAAGAAAGCTAGTTTTCAAGTAAGTGGCACAGAAAGTAATTTTCCCCACACAGCTCTTTAACTCAGCATTCAGGCAACCATTATGCTCCCTATCTTTTATTCTTTTTATCCTTTTGGGGCTTTTTGGCTTTCATCTTAAATAATGTATAATTAGCACAGCATCAAAGGATATTTTACAAGTAAGTAGGTGTACCCATAATCCCCCATCCTGAACACAATTGCTTTTATTTCTCTAGATCTCCTTTCAATCTTTATTCATATGTGCATATACTTTGTTACATAGCTGTAATTATAGTGTATATGCAGTTTGGTTCCCCTTTTACCATTATTTTATAAACACTGATCTATGTTGCTGTATAGTTTTGCATTTATTGTTTTAATGGATGTATAACATTCTTTCTAGTTAATGTACCATAATGCACTCAATCTTCTCATTCCCTGAATGCAAGACAATTAGTGCAATTACACAACAGCCACAATATGGAAATGCCTACATGCAAGGACTCTGATCTATTTTTTTCTTTTCTGCAAAGCTCTTATCATCATCTGTGCATATGACCTCATTTACTTAGTTATTTTTATTATTATCAATTGGTCCTATTTTGAACTTAATCAAGAAGAGCAAGGCCCCTTGTCTCATTTGTTCACTGATGTATCCCAGATCCTAGAATAGTAACTAGCATATAATAGATGCTCAATGAATATTTGTCAAATAAATGAACATTAAATCATTTTCTCAGGCTCAATTCCTAGCAGAGAACTGTCTTAGTCAAAGAGCATAAATCTTGGGTTTTCAGCAAGAAATTGTAGGAGAATTTTTTCTAACTCTGTACTGTCCAATTGGACGTTCAACTAGAGTCAAGAACACATGATTCTGGAGAGAGTATTTGGGTCTTTCACCTACAGCTCTGTGGTCCACATTCAGCACCCTAGTTTTTTGTACGCAATGCCCACATCTTGAAAAGATTAAATTGGTTGGTTGAAAGAGAAAACGACTCTTTCTCTATTGAACATGAGAGTTTGAACTAAGGCCAGGCTGATAGCAGATGTATCATATGTCATTTAAAAGCCATCTTTGAAAAACAGACCCTCTTTTTCATGGGAATAGGCTCAGCACCAATCACAGGAACCATACATATTGCAGTTCCAATATTTTTTGGGTTGACAAGTCATCTAAACTCCAGAAGAATTTTCATGAAGAAGTGGACCTTAGCACATAATTTGGATACCTGAGCACAGGTCCATTCTTTGGAGGAAAATGGTGATGTATCTACCAAAAAAGGGTCTTACCCCCACTCCATACTGTGACCCCACTCTTACACTTGCCATGTTTTCTATCACAAGGAAACACAGGGACTCCATGTGATCTGGAAACTGGCATGAGATGTCAGTAGAATTAGAGAAGGAGCACTGGATGAGGAATGAAAAGCATCGGCATTACTGGGCCATTACTATTTGCCACAGCCTTCCATCCTTTGTTGTTCAATGCAACCCTATGAAGTAGGAATTATTTTTGTACCTATTTTAAAATTGAAGAAACTAAGGAACAGAGAGTTGAGGTACCTTGTCTAAGGTCACAGGGCGAGTGCAAGAACAGGGATTCAAACCTAGGTTTGACTTACTTCAAAGTTGTGCTTTTTCTGTGGTAGCATTAAGAGATCATAATGCCACTCATAGGAGTGACCCTGAATAGCTTAAAGACTATGAGCATTTCCCTTTTCTCTTGGGGGCCTCAGTTCTCTTTCTATACAATGAGGAAGTTGGACTAGGTGATTTGCTAAATGCTCTTTTTGGTATCTAGTCCCATTTGATTATCAAAATATCCTATGATAGAAATTGGGCAACTCTTATTTTCAAAATCTCCATTTTATAAATGAACAAATGGGGGTTCAGAGAGGTTTTGTGTCTCGTGTATAGTCACGTAACTAGTTTCTGGGAGAGTCAGAGTGAACCCAGGTTCCTGAACTTCTAGATTGAAGCATCAGAGGCCACCTGGCCCACATTATATCACTCTCTTTTTATTTCTTCTCTTCATTGTGGGAAAATTCCCCATTTTCACAAACTAGAGTTCACATTAATAAAATGTTTATACATTGCAGTATGATTTATAACCCTCATGTACTTTCTCTTAATCTGAGTGTGTCATCAGTTAGAGGTTTGTTCTTGTTCCAGTGATGAAATAACTAATTAAGTCACACCTTGTCCCAAGGGGTTTTGATGGGAAGAAGTGATTTCTAAAATGTATTGAGAACCTACCATGTATATTAGACCCTGGACATCATTTCAGTATCTTCCAGGCTTTTTCAATAAGGAGAATCTCTGGAGAACTTGTTAAAAACACACATTCCTGCAATCTACCAAGAACTATAAATTTGGAATAAGAATATGAGTTTGTTGGGAGGCCGAGGCAGGTGGATCACCTGAGGTCAGGAGTGCAAGACTAGCCTGGGCAACACGGTGAAACCCCGTCTCTACTCAAAATACAAAAATTAGCTGGGCGTGGTGGCACGCACCTGTAATCCCAGCTACTCCAGAAGCTAAGGCAGGAGAATTGCTTGAACCTGGGAGGCAGATGTTGCAGTGAGCCGAGATCACGCCACTCCAACCTGTGCAACAGAGCGAGACTCTGTCTAAAAAAAAAAAAAAAAAAAAAAGAATATGAGTTTGTGAGTTTGTAAGATGTACCCACACACAATGCATCCTCATGATGAGCTAGGGCTGATTTTTAATTAGTATGGCTGACCAGTTGTCTTTTTTACCAGAATACATTCTGATTGATTGGAGCCCATGCCGTACCAGTTATCATGTTTTCTGAATATCAGCCAGTAAGGTAGGGATCAAATATATTCATTTGACAGAAGAGGAACTAAGGTCCCAAGTGGCTCAATAGCTTGCTCCACATCACACATATTAAGCAGGTAGCAGGGGGAGGGCCATGCTCATTTTCAAACTGCAGTAAATAGTCACTGCCAAAGAGAGAAGGCCATGTGGTATGTATCAATTAGAGCTTTCCAAAGAAACAGAACTAATAAGAAATATGTACATAAATAGATTTATTTTAAGGAATTAGCTCACATGATTGTGATGGCTGGCAAATTCAAAGTCTAAAAGGCAGGCCAGTAGGCTGGAAACTCAGGCAGAATTTCTATGTCACAGCCTCAAAGCACAATTCCTTCTTTCTGAAGAAACCTCAGTTTTTACTCTTAAGGTGTTCAACTGATAGAATCAGGCTCATGTACATTATCAAGGGTAATTTCCTTTACCTAAAGTCAACTGACAGCAAATATTAATCACATCTGCAAAAACCCTCCATAGCAAGGTCTAGACTAGTATCTGACAAACAGCTGGGCACCAAAGTACAGTAGTCCCCCTGCTTATCTACAATTTCACTTTCTGTGGTTTCCATGTTCTGAAAATATTAAATGGAAAATTCCAGAAATAAACAATTCATAAGTTTTTAATTGTGGGTCATTCTGAGTAGTGTGATGAAATTTCTTGCCATCCCACTCCATGCCGCCCAGGCCATGAATCATCCCTTTCACACTGACTGCCCATTAGTCACTTAGTAACTGGCTTGGTTATTAGATGACTATTGTGGTATTAGAGTGCTTATACTCAAGTCACCCCTATTTTACTTAGTAATGGCCCCAAAGTAAAAGAGTAGTGATGCTAGCAATTTGGACATGCCAAAGAAAAGCCATAAAATGCTTTTTTAAGTGAAAATGTGAAAGTTTTTCACTTAACGAACAAAAGAAAAACTGTATGCTGAGGTTGCTAAGATCTAGAGTAACAGCAAATCTTCTATCTGTGAAATTGTGAAAAAGGAGAAAGAAATTCATTTAGTTCTGTTGTCCTGTCCCACCTCAAACTGCAAACATGATGGCCATAATGTTTCACAAGTGCTTAGTTAAGGTAGAAAAGACATTACATTTGTGGGTGAAGGACATGAACAGAAACATGTTCCAATTGATGGCAAATGAGTTGAAGTACTAACTGCTGTTTCAGGCATCTACTGGGGGTCTTGAACATATCCCCTGAGTATAAGTGATGACTACTGTATAGCCAAATTGACACATAAAATTAACAATCACAGGGTGTTTGAGGGAGTGGAATGATCTGGGACAGCATGGATTTGAGCTCCATAGACAAATTCTGCTGTCCCCTCACTAAACTGCTGGCCCTATCCCTATTTATTTGGGCTTTTCTATATATCCAGGCTGCCATGGCTGGAACCTTGAGACTTAGTGACTCAGCCAGATTTAAAATGCAGTGGCTGTTATACTGGACTGTATACTGTTACTAGAAAGGCAACTGCTAAGATTAGGAGCAAAGAGACAGATCAAAGTCCTGCTTCTAAAAGACCTAAAAAATATGAGATTCCCTGTCTTCATCACATCTCTGTCATCCAACAGTTTCCTCATTTGTAAAATGTAGATAATAGTCATATCTGCCTCTTAGGGGTTTCATAATGATGAAATGGAATTTATATATATAAAGTGCTTAGAACAGAACCTCGCATGTAATAAACACTACATAGATGTCAGATTTTTTTTTGTTGTTGTTGTTATCATTAGCAGCATCCTAGATATAGCCCTCTATAGAAGTATAAGTTCAGCAAGTTTGTGTTCAAGGACCTCTTTAGACATTGGCCTATTCATGAGCTCCAGTGGCAGCACCTACAGGTAGCTTCAAGGGCTTTAGCTCTATTCCTCCATATCAGCATTAGCTACCCTCAATAAATATATCAGATGGGTAAAAAAGGTGTGATGGCCACATTAAAACAGCACAAATAAGTCGTCTAGCCTATGCCCACTTCCTACTGCTCTTTCCACCCTATTACCAACCTCTGATAAAGCTTGGAATCTCCAAAGCCGGCCACCCGATGTCTACACATAACTGGACCTCCCCTCACTCCACATAAACTGGACCTCCCCTCACCAAAACTCTATGAATTAAGAAACATTATCCTTAGGAAACTGAGGCCCAAATAATAAAAGGGATTTGACCAAGGTCACAGTTCTAATAAATGGAAGAGAAGGGATTTGAACCCAGATATATGACTTCACGGCCGTGCTCTGACCACCAAACCACATGAACTCATCCTAAGATGCTCATGGATTCAAATGGCTTAACTCCTTTCTTTTTTTTCTTTTTTCTTTTCTTTCTTTTTTTTTTTTTTTTTGAGACAGAGTCTTGCTCTGTCACCTAGATTGGAGTGCAGTGATGCGATCTCAGCTCACTGCAACCTCTGCCTCCTGGGTTCAAGCAATTCTCTGCCTCAGCCTCCCAAGTAGCTGGGATTATAGGCACCTGCCACCATGCCCAGCTAATTTTTTGTATTTTTAGTAGAGATGGGGTTTCACCATCTTGGCCAGGCTGGTCTTGAACTCCTGACCTCGTGATCCATCTGCCTCAGCCTCCCAAAGTGCTGGGATTACAGGTGTGAGCCACTGCACCCAGCCTAACTCCTTTCTTACAAAGAATTTGTGGGCCAGGCACAGTAGCTCACACCTATAATCCTAGTACTTTGAGAGGCTGAGGCAAGAAGATGGCTTGAGCCCAGGAGTTAAGACCAGACTGGGCAACATAGCGAGACTGTGGCAGGCCAGGTCTCACTAATGTAGGCCTCCATTACAACTGTCCCAGCACTGAGTGAGTAGCTAAGTTAAACATTAAAAGCTGATTGAGCCAGTGCTCTTATACAAAGGCTGGAATGTAACAAATAGCCCACCAAGAGTTTTCCCTAGGCTTTTCCTGGGCCTTGAAGCATGACAAACTAATGAAGGAATTCTTAACAGGACCCTTTTAGGATTAAACAAGTGTTTTATTGTGAGTCTGAAGAAACTCCCCAGGCCTCCACAAACAAGTTTATTGGGGTCTAAAGGAACTCCCCAAACCTTTATGATTTAGCAGGAGACAAGATAAGGGTAATCACCCTAGCATCTAGACCCATTTAGATTAAGTAAACTTATTGAGCCTCCAGAAGAAGGTCTTCAGGACTCAGACCTTAGTTATAGATTAAAAGAAGTTAATCACTTATGTCTTTAGACGAATGCACACTTACAGGTAGACCTACAGCTTAGAAGGTATGTAAGCTCTGGAAAACGTTGTACTTTTGAGTTGATCTGGCAATAATTTCCAGGCCTTCTCCCTGTAACTGGTTGCAGAAATAAAAACTCTCTTCCTCCCCAGTTCGTCTGCATCTCGTTATTGGGCCACGAGAAATAGCAGCCTGACCCTCAGTTTGGCTTGGAAACAAGATCACATCTCCGTTTTTTTGTTTTTTTTTTAAAAAAGGAATTTGTGCCAGGCATGGTGGCTTAGGCCTGTAATCCTAGCACTTTGGAAGGCTGAGGCAGGAGGATTGCTTGAGCCCACGAGTTTGAGACCAGCCTGGGCAACATGGTGAAACCTCATCTCTACTACAAATACAAAAATTAGCCAGGCGTGGTGGTGCCGGCCTGTAGTCCCAGCTACTCAAGAGGCTGAAGTGGGAGAATCACCTGAGCCCAGGAAGTCAAGGCTGTAGTGAGCTGTGATGGCACCACTGCACTTCAGCCTGGGTGATAGGAGTAAGACCCTGCCTCAAAATAAAAAAAAAAAAGAATTTGCATTTTAAAAGAGGAGTCATGTAGATGCAGAAGGCATCTTTTAATTAAACTGTGGCTTGTTTAAGATATGGAAAGAATCATGATAAGGTGGATTCAAAAAATAGACAAAAAAAGGATGACCTCAAGAATTTGACAGTTACTTTGATCTTTATCATAAATAATTTTAGCATATGTTCTTGGTAATGTCATACATAAATTCATTTATAAAAGTTTAAATGTTTAGGCAGTGGGAGGAGATTTGGAGGCGGGAGGTCTTTTAAGGGTGCCCTTGAAGCATACGGTTATATAAAGCCTAGACCTTAGACTTAAGGTGGTCATTGTACTGACAAACCATCTTGGGGGAGGCAGAATATAAAGGAAATTTCCTTATAGCCCGTGGCTTGGGAGAGGAGTGATAGCAGATACTACAGGAGATTCTAGTGTTAAGGTTCGTCTCTGTAATGTTCTTTCTAGGCACGTACTCTGTCAGTCTGCAAAGAACTCGAAAGTACTTTGAATTACTTCGGGACTTGCCATATCTTAGCTAAGCTGTCAATGTGGAAAATCACAAAGTAATTACGAGTGCTTTCACTGTCCTTCTAAATTAGGCAATAAATAGGATGAATCACTGAATGAGACATCAGTACTTTCCAAGCTCTCTGCAGCATACTGAGAAAGGTAATTATTGAATGAAAAGCAAAGAGCCACCCAAGCAGACGTAGCCTCAAAGAGTGTGTATGAAAAGGAGGGGCTTTAGAACACATACTAGCTTTAAAGTGTTGGCATTTTACAGATCAAGAAACATAACAAAATATTCTCAATATCCAAATACAGCTATAAAAAAGTCCCTCATAACTACCTTCCACTGCCCCAGTCAAACACAGCTTCTGGGAAGCCTTTGCCAATACTGAAGATCCTACAAAGAAGCCAGCTACCAGTCTTAGTCAGATCTCACTGCCATAACAAAATACCATAGACTAGATGGCTTAAACAACAGAAATCTATTTTCTCACAGTTCTAGAGTCTGTAAGTTTGAGATCAGGGTGCCAGGATGATTGAGTTCCCGGTGAGGACTCTATTCCTGACTTGCAGATGGCCTGTCCTCTGTGCTCATACAAGGGAGCTCTCCCGCTTTCTCTCATATATATATATATATATATATATATATATATATATATATATATATATTTAAGACAGGGTCTTGCTCTGTTGTCCAGGCTGGAGTGCAATGGCACAATCATGGCTCACTGCAGCCTCAAACTCCTGGGCTCAAGCGATCCTCTTCTTCAGCCTACCAAGTAGCTGGGACCACAGGCATGCACCACAATACCTGGCTAATTTTTTTCTATTTTTTGTAAAGACAGGGTCTGGCTATGTTGCCAGACTGGTCTAAAACTCCTGGGCTCAAGTGATCCTCCCCCCTCAGCCTCCTAAAGTGCTAGGATTATGTGCATGAGCTATGCACATAATATGCATATGCATATGCACATATGCAACTATGCCCAGCCATTCTCTCTTCTTTAAGGACACTAATCTCATCATGAAGACCTCACCTTCATGACCTAATCTAAAACTAATCACTTCTCAAAGACCTAATCTCCAAATATAATCACACTAGGGGTTAGAGCTTCGATTTATGAATTTGAGTGGGACACACATATCCAATCCATAACACAGCCCTTCTCATTTACCAGACCAAAAGCACCACCAAAAATAATAGCATTGAACAGTTGGGGGTCTCTCTTTGCAGTGAAAAATAGACTCACATGCAAACCTCATTTTTATCACACTGCCTACCTGTTCAGAAATTTCAAATTGTTCCTTTGCCTGTCAAATCAAGTCAAGTTCTCCAATTCCTCAACTTTTGTAATGAGATGTTTCATGATCTATTTCACTCCTATTTCCCATCTAAAAAATTCCTTTAGGGGATTCATTACCTTTCCATGGAGTTGAAATTTGGCACTTTTAACAATTTGCAGTTTGAACTATATAAGTGCAATGTCAGTGTTCTACTTCAGGTGGTAGTTTGCAATTTTTCTGAAACACAGATTTGATTTAGCATCATTGTGGAAGCTGGTGTGCAGGACTCAGACTCGCAGCTAGTCAAGGCATCTAATTTGCCCTTTAGTATCCACACCATGATATAGCTCTACTGCTCTTCCCAGCATTCATTGACATAAGTATCACCATCTCCATTTTACAAATGAGGCAATTAAATAAATTAAATATGATGTGTTCACTCAACAAACATTTATAGAGTGCCTGTTCTGGAAATTGAGGATACAGCAGTGGACAAAACAGCTACTCTGGAACTTCTATTCTTAAGGGGGAAATAGTCAAGTAATACAATAAATAAAATAGTTGCAGTGAAGAAGTGCTTTATGAAAATCCAATGTCTAAAATCTTAAAAGAAATAAAAGGATGAGAAAATGACAAGGTGAACAAAGACAAAATTACAATTTCAGCCCAAAGCAAATCAGATACCAGAGATGCAAACTGTTAGACTACTTCACACAAAAGCACCCAGTGCAATGAAGCAACTCTTGAGGTGATGTTGTTGAAGTATATTTAATGAAACAGAATATAAAACCCTATTAAACATAGCTTTTACAAAAATGTTTTATGGTTTTAAAATACACACATGAAAATAAGATTGGAAATATATTCATTGAACAATTATTTTTTATCATGTACTATGTGTAAAATACTATTCTAGTCACATTGAGGATATAGTGGTGAACAAGAAAGACAAGATCCCTGCCCTCAGAGAGCTGAAATTTCAGTGGTAAAAGGAAAACAAACAAGTGAACAAATATAGGGATTACATAATAGGAAGTGGTAAGTTCTCTGAAGGTAATAGAACAAAGCGATGGAAAGGGTTAAGTTACTTTAGATTAAGTTGTCTGAAAAGGACTATCTGAGGAAGTGGCATTTGAGCTGAGACCTAAATTAAAAAAAAAAGTGGGCAGTCATGCAAAGATCTTAGAGAAGAGCATCCCAGAAAGACAGCACAGCAAATGCAAATCTCAAAGGAGTAATTGCATTTGCCTTACCCTAAGAACTGAAAGACGATGCATGGGGCTGATGATACAAGTGAGGGATAAGGATGTGATATTAGTTTGGAGAGAGAGGCACGGCTCAGATCATGTAGGATTTTGTAGGCCATCATGAGGAGTTGGTTTTGTTTTAAGTAAAATGAGAAACCCACTCAGAGTTTTTTGTTTGTTTGTTTGTTTGTTTTTTTGTTTTTTTGAGACAGCAGTCTCGCTCTGTCACCCAGGCTGGAGTGCAGTGGCGTGATCTCCGCTCACTGCAAGCTCTGCCTCCCGGGTTCACGCCATTCTCCTGCCTTAGCCTCCCGAGTAGTTGGGACTGCAGGTGCCCGCCACCATGCCCGGCCAACTTTTTGTATTTTAGTAGAGACGGGGTTTCACCATGTTAACCAGGATGGTCTCGATCTCATGGCCTCGTGATCCGCCCACCTCGGCCTCCCAAAGTGCTGGGATTACAGGTGTGAGCCACCCTGCCTGGCCCCCACTCAGAGGGTTTAAGTAAGGGAGTGATATAATCTTATTGAGGGTTTTTATGACCACTCCAGTTGCTATGTAGAGAATGGTTTGTAAGAAGGGCTACACAGAAGAAGCAACGTGGGCAGTAAAGAATCTACTGCAGGAGTTCTGGTCCTGAGTAAGATAGAGTGAGCTTGCTTCACCCTGTCTGCCCCCCGAACACAACTATCAAACCAGGACAGAATACATGGGCAGCTATTTGAGGCGTCTGAAAGGTAAACAGTAGCAAGACAGAGAAGGAAAGAACACCAGTAGTAGAATTACCAGTGTATCAGCAGTGAGTTTACTTTTTATTTTACCCCTTTTCCCTTTAATATTGCCTATCCTGAACTCAGCACAGACCAAAATGCAGAAGTGGGCACCAGTATAGACAGACAGCTCCAGGAGAAGCCCTCTAGTACTGTCTCGAGGGCCAAAAATGGTAGCTCCTAATGCTCAGAGAGAGTGCAGAACTCCCATTTTTCCCCCTCTTTCTTTTTTGTTCTCTCATGCCTCAGACCCCAGGAAATCTTGTAGTATAAATGACAAAACCTCAAGAACCAAACCTCGGAGGGAAGGGAGCCAATCCTGTCCATTTGATGGAGCTGTGGTCCTAAGAGGGTGGGGGTAAACATATGTTAACCTTTTCCTCTCTCTGCCCTTCCTTTCTTGGGCCAGGAAATGAGCCCAATCACAAAAGTGAATGACAGAGAATGATAAACCAAGGTTATAAGAGAACTACATTTCTGGCTGAAGGGCCAAATAAAGGAGACTCAAGGAAGCAAAAAGCACCAGAAAGGTTGCAGAGAGGCAGTAGCTTGGGAAAACACCCTATGAAGTTTTTTTTCATATGAGTTCCAGGGCTAACATGTGAGCTGTGCATGCATGAATCTGATCTTAATTAGCCTACCAAATATTTTGAGAACTGAAGTAACTGATAGACCACTCCCTAAGACTCAGACTGGCTACTGGGAGTGGTGCACTCCACAAGACAGATTTGAATAGTACTGCAAAGTCTATGAAAGCTTAACTGCAATAGGAACCATGAGCAACAGAAGGCAAATTGGTGCCTGGGGCCAGAAGTTAATCAGGTTGACTACCTACTATAGCAAAACATCAACATTCTCCATAGAGTTTAGGAGAGACCCAGAGTTTCATAATTTTCAAAATGACAAGATAAATCCAAAGTTACTAGACATATTAAAAACCTCGAAAATTCCAAGTGTAGTGGGAAACAAACAAACATGAAAACAGAAATGACACAAATGTTTGAATTATCTGACAAATACAGCTATTATAAAAGTGCTCATAAAAGAGATCTTATTCTTGCAACAAATGTAAAAATACAGTGTTGGTGTGGCAAACAGACTTTAAGGTGGACTCCATGATCCCCACCTCCTGTTATGTATGCATTTGTATAACATACTCCCCTTGAATGTGAGAAAGATCTGTGACTTTGCTTCTAATTAATAGAATATAGCAAAGATAATGGAATGTCACTCCCATGGTTATGCTACGTTATATGAAAGAGGTGATGGGATGCTACTCCTGTGATGAAAGACCCCATCTTGCTAGACTTGCTGTCTTTCTCTCTTGCTGGCTTTGAAGAAGCAAGTTTCCATGTTGTGAGGCAGCTTATGGAGAGGGCTATGTGGTAAGGAATTCCAGAGCAGCTTGTAGGAGCTCAGCATGTCCTCTAACTGGTAATCAATAAGAATCATGATCCTCAGCCTAAGAGACACAAGGAAGTAGATCCTAACAACCAGAGTAAACTCAGAAACAGACCTAACACCAGTCAGGCCTCCAAAGGAAAACTGGGCCCTGGCCAACATCTTTTTTGTTTCCAGAGGAAAAAACAGTTCGCCTTTCACTACTTACAAAAGAATAAGGAAATATAAACTTACAAGTTTACAAAGATTGTTTTACCAATATATATTTGCTGGGGTTTTTTTGACGTTTATTTTCGGTTTAAGGGTACATGTGCAGGTTTGTTGTATAGGTAAATTGTGTGTCACGGGGGTTTGGTGTACAGTTTATTTCATTACCCGGGTAATAAGCATAGTACCCGATAAGTAGTTTTTCCATCCTCACCCCACTTCCACCCTTCACCCTCAAGTAGGCCCCAGTGTCTGTTGCTCCTTTCTTTGTGTCCATATGTACTCAATTTTTAGCTCCCACTTATAAGTGAGAACATGAGGTATTTGATTTTCTTTGCCTGTGTTAGTTTGCTTAGGACGATGGCTTCCAGCTCTAGCCATGTTGCTTCCAAGCACATAATCTTGTTCTTTGTGATGACTGTATAGCATTCCATGGTGTATATGTATCAGATTGTCATTATTAGTCTACCATTGGCGGGCGTTTAGGTTGACTCTACGTCTTTGCTATTGTGAGTAGTGCTGTAAGGAACGTGCACATGCATGTGGCTTTGTGGTAGAATGATTTATACTCCTTTGGGTATGAACCCAATAATGGAGTTGCTGGGTAGAATGGTAATTCTGCTTTGAATTCTTTGAGAAATTACTAAACTGCTTTCCACAATGGCTGAGCTAATTTACAATTTCCACCAGCAAGGTATAAGTGTTCCCTTTTCTCCGCAACCTTGCCGGCATCTGTTATTTCCTGACTTTTTAATAGTAGCCATTCTGACTGGTGTGAGACTGTATCTCATTCTGGTTTTCATTTGCATTTCCCTAATGATTAGCAACGTTGAGCATTCTTTTCATATGCTCATTGGCTGCATGTAGGTCTTCTTTTGAAAAGCATATGTTCATGTCCTTTGCCCACTTTTTAAACATTTGCATTCTCAGAGCCTTACAAAGAGAGAAGAAAGACAGTGCTGCTGAAAAAAAATTTTTGAATAAATAATGGAATAAATTTTCCCAAGTTTGGCAAAGGTATAAACCTGCCCACTCAAGAACCTGAGCAAATCTCAAACAGATAAACCAAGAGAAATTCATGCCAAGAAATATCCTAATCAAATTGCCAAAAACTAAAGACACACACGAAAAATCTTGAAAATAGCCAGAGAAAAATGGTCCATTGCATATGGGGAAGAAAGGATTCAGATGACTTTGGACTTGTCATCAGAAACCACAGGAGCCAGAAAGAAGTGGCACAACATTTTTCAAATGAAAGAAGAAAAGATCTATCAATTCCAAATTTATATCCAGTGAAATAATGTTCAGGGGGAAAGATGTGAAATAAAGATGTTCCCAGATAAAATAAATCTAAGAGAATTTATAGCCAGCAGATATGCATTAAGAGAATTGTGAAAAAGCCTTTTCAGACAGGAAGAAAATGTTACCTTGAAGGAAATGTGGAACATTGGGGATGAAGGAAGAATAAAAGAAACAGCAATCAATTGGGTAAACATGATAGGCCACTTTTCTTGCATTTTAAAAAATTGTATTTAACAGCAACGAACATAAAAATGTCTGATGAGTTTTCAGTATATGTATATATATGACAATTAGCATAAAGACAGCAGGGTAAAGGAACCTATAAAATGACAGCTTCAACATTCCAAATAGAATAGTAAAACATTGCATCTAGGTAGATTGTGAAAGTCAAATATACATTTTTAAATACCTAGAGCAAGGGTCACCAAGCTTGGGACTACAGGCCAAAACCACCCTCCGTTTTTCTTATTGTGATAAGCTACACATAACAGAAAATTTACCATTTTAAAATGTACAATTCAGTGGTATTTTGCAAATTCAAAATGTTGTGCAGCCATCACTACTCTCATTCCAGAGCATTTTCATTACCCCAAAAGGAAACCCCATACCCATTAAAGTCATTTCCCTTTCTCTTTTTGCCCCAGTCCAGTACCTGGCAACCACTAATATGCTTTATATCTCTATGGATTTCTCATTGTAATATTATAACTTATAATAAATTTATATTAGGTCTTCATTCCCATTTCCTGGCTCACTGGTCCTAAAATCCTTGGAATCTCCAAAGTGATCTCCAGGAAGATAGGAAGGGTGAAGTTTGAATTGATCACCAATGACCAATGATTTAATCAACCATGCCTATGTAATGAGGCCCCCATAAAAACACAAAAGGACTGGGTTCAGGGAGCTTTTGGGGTCCTAAACACATCCACATACCAGGAGGGTGGCATGAAGACAGAAGATCCTGTGCTCAGGACTCATCTGAACCTTGCGCTATGTATCTCTTCATCTAGCTATTCATTTGTATCCTTTAAAATACCCTTTGTAATAAATCAGCAGTATTAAGTGTTTCCCGAGTTCTGTGAGCCACTATAGCAAATGATTGAACCTGAGGGGGGAATTGTAGGAATCCCCTATTTACAGCCAGTATGTTAGCAGTTCCAGAAGCCCAGAATTGCAATTGGCCTCTAAAGTGAAGACAGTTTTGTGGGAATGAGCTCTTAAGCGATGGAATATGACTCCAGGTAGATGATGTCAGAATTGAATTGTAGTCACTCAGTTGGTGTCCACTGGAGAATTGCTTAGTATGGGAAACATACACGTGGTGTCAAAACTATTGTGAGTATTGTGAGAATAGTAGAACAGATAGTTTGTGTTTTTCCTACTATATACTCCTATTCTGGATATTTCATACAAATGGAATTGTACACTATGTGTCCATTTTGTGTACAGCTTCTTTCAATTAGCATGTTTTCAAGGTTTATCCGTGTTGTAAATGCATCTATACTTCACGTTTATGGTTGAATATCCCATTGTAGGATATGCCATATTTTGTTCATCCACATATCAGTTCATGGCCATTTGTGTTGTTTCCACCTTTTGCTTATTGCGCATAGAACTACCATGAACATCTGTGTACATGTTTCCTTTGAATACTTATTTTCAAGTATTATGGGTGTAACACCAGGATTGGAATTTGTGGATTATGTGGTAATTTTATGTTGTACTTATTGAGAAAACTCTACACTGTTTCTCATAGCAGTTGAACCATTTTATATTCTCACCAGCAGTGGTATAAAGGTTCCAATTTACCCCACATCCTTGCCAAAACTTAACATTTCCCTCTTTGTATTATACCCATCCCAGAGAGTATAAAGTGGTATCTCACTGTGGTTTTGATTTGCATTTCCATAATGATTAATGATGTTGAGTATCTTTTGATAGGCTCGTTGGACATTTATATGTCTTAGAATTCTCCGGAGATTCAGAGTAGTGTGTATCCTATTAGTATATACATACAGTATATATCATACATTAAAACATTCTTTCTCAATTTAATGATAATGGCATCCTTTTCAAAAAATGAATTGATATAGGTGTATTGGTTTAATTTTTGAACTCTCAATTCTATTCCATTGATCTACATGTTTATTCTTATGCTAGTATCACACTGTTTTGATTACTATAGTCTGCAGTAAGTTTAGAAATTGGGAACTGTGGGTCCTCCTACTTTGTTTTTTTTTTTTTTCCAAGATTGCTTTGACTATTTAGGGTCCTTTGCAATTACACATGAATTTTAAGATGAGATTTTCCATTGCTGCAAAAGAGGTCATAGAGATTTTGATAGGATTGCCTTGCATCTGTACATCACTTTGGGGAGTATTGCCATCTTAACAATATTAAGCCTTCAAACCCATTAACACAGGATTAGTTTCCATTTTTGTATGTCTTTAAATTTTCATCAATGTTTGTAGTTTTCTATGTACAAGCCTTGTACATTTTTAAAACCTATTCTTAAGTATTTTTTATCATGCCACTTCAAATGGAATTATTTTCTTAATTTCCTATTTGTATTGTTCATTGCTTGAGTATAGAAATACTGATTGTAGTGTGATTTATTATACTGCAACTTTGCTGTATTTTTATTAGCTCTAATCGTATTTTGAGGATTCATCACAATTTTCTATATATAAGATCATGTCATCTGTGAATAGAGATAGTTTAAACTTTTTCTATCCAATTTGGATGCCTTTTATTTCTCTGTGTTGCCTAATTGCCCTGGCTAGAACTTCCAGTATGACATTGAATAGAAGTGGCAAATGCAGGCATGCTTGTCTTATCTCTAACATTAAAGGAAAAGCTTTCATACTTTCACTATTGAGTTTGATGTTAGCTGTGGGTTTTTCATAAATGCTCTATGTTGAGGAAATTGCCCTCCATGTTTTTTGAGTGTTTTGTTTTTTACCATGAAACAGTGCAGGATTTTGTCAAATACATTTTTTCCATCAATCGAAATAATGTGCTTTTCCCCCATCATTCTATTAATGTGGTTACATTGATTTTTGTATATTGAACCACCCCTGCATTTGTGGGATGCATCCAACTTGGTCGTGGTAATAATCCTTTAAATATGCTGTTGGATTTGGTTTGCTAGTATTTTGTTGAGGAGTTTTGCATCTGTATTGATTTGGGATATTGACCAGCACTTTTTTTTTCTTACAATGTCTTTGTCTTGTTTTGGTTTCAGGCAAATGCTGGCCTCACATAGTGAATTAGAAATGGTTTTCTCCTCTATATGTTGGAAGAGTTAGAGAAGGATTGGTGTTAATTCTTCTTTAAATGTTCAGTAGAACTCACCAGTGAAGCCATTTGCTTCTGGGCTTTTACTTCTTGATTGGTGATTCAATTTGTTCACTTGGTATAGGTCTGTTCAGATTTTCTGTTTCTTGGGTCAGTTTTGGTAGTTTGTTTCTAGGAATACGTTCATTTCATCTGCATTGTCACATCAGCATGCATTTCTTCATAGTATTCTCTTATAATCTTTTTAATTCCTGTTGATTCAGTTGTAATACCCCACTTTCATTTCTGATTCTACTTCTTTGTGTCTTCTGTTGGTCAGTTTAGCTATTATTAGTTGTAAATTTTGTTGATTTTTTCAAAGAACCAACTTTTGAATTCATTGATTTCCTGTATTTTTATGTTCTGTATTTCAACCATCTCTTCTTCTATTGTTAGCTGTGGCCTCAGTTTCCTTTTTTTTCCTAGCTCCTCAAAATCTAAAGTTAGCTTATTGACTTGAGATAATTTTTCTGTTGGAATGAGGGTGTTTACAGCTAGACTTTTTTTTTATCTAGGCCAGTGCACGTGACCTTATTTTTCTTTTTCTTTTTTTTTTTTTATTATACTCTAAGTTCTAGGGTACATAGGCAGAACATGCAGGTTTGTTACATAGGTATACATGTGCCATGTTGGTTTGCTGCATCCATCAACTCATCATTTACATTAGGTATTTCTCCTAATGCTATCCCTCCCCCAATCTCCCACCCACCAACAGGCCCCGATGGGTGATGTTCCCCACCCTGTGTCCATGTGTTCTCGTTGTTCAACTCCCACTTATGAGTGAGAACATGCGGTGTTTGGTTTTCTGTCCTTGTCATAGTTTGCTGAGAATGATGGTTTCCAGCTTCATCCATGTCCCTGCAAAGGACATGAACTCATCCTTTTTTATGGCTGCATAGTATTCCATGGTGTATATGTGCCACATTTTCTTAATCCAGTCTATCATTGATGGACATTTGGGTTGGTTCCAAATCTTTGCTATTGTGAATAGTGCCACAATAAACATACATGTGCATGTGTCTTTATAGCAGCATGATTTATAATCCTTTGGGTATATACCCAGTAATGGGATCGCTGGGTCAAATGGTATTTCTAGTTCTAGATCCTTGAGGAATTGCCACACTGTCTTCCACAATGGTTGAACTAATTTACACTCCCACTAACAATGTAAAAGTGTTCCTATTTTTCCACATTCTCTCCAGCATCTGTTGTTTCCTGACTTTTTAATGATCGCCATTCTAACTGGCTTGAGATGGTATCTCATTGTAGTTTTGATTTGCATTTCTCTGATGACCAGTGAAGATGAGCATTTTTTCATATGTCTGTTGGTACAGCTAGACATTTTCTATTGAGAACTGCTTCAGTGAATTCTTATCATTTTAAGTCGTCTGGGCATTTATTTTAAATATAAGTTTAATTTTCCTTACCAGAATCAGGGCTCAGTCACCCTTTACACAGTTTCCAGTGGGTTTTTTTTTTTTTTTTTGAGATGGAGTCTCACTCTGTCACTCAGGCTGGAGTGCGGTGGTGCGATCTCGGCTCACTGCATCCTCTGCCTCCCAGGTTCAAGTGAATCTTCTGCCTCAGCCTCCGGAGTAGCTGGGACTACAGGCATGTGCCACCACATCCGGCTAATTTTTGTGTATTTTTAGTAGAGACGGGGTTTCATCATATTGGCCAGGCTGGTCTCGAACTCCTGACCTCGTGATCTGTCCACCTCGGCCTCCCAAAGTGCTGGGATTACAGGCATGAGCCACCGCGCCTGGCCACAGTTTCCAGTTCTACACCCTCCCCACCCCCAGTTTCATAATGTGGTTGATCCAGATATGTGTCTTAGACAACTTCCTCTTGGTGATCACTTCTCTATAAGATAGCTAGATACAACCTCTTGACTGGCTCTGCTGACCCCCACACCCTGCATGCACTGTGCAGATATGCCACAGTGACCACCTCTCAGACACAGCGTTACCTATTGGAATTCATGCCTGATTGCTTTAAACCCACCAGTTAAAACTCCCTGAGGGAAACCTGTTTGGATAATGCCCTGGACCAATAAAGGTATTGGCCCACCACTCATGGTCTCTCTCTTAAAATCTTTATTTTCATCTTATGTCTCTCCTAATCATTGAAGGGATTCTTTCCATCTTAAAGAACCTAAATTAAAACATCAGCTTTTGCAGGATCCCATGAGTTTTGGTATGTTGTCTTTTCATTTTCATTTATGTTTAATTCTCTAATTCCTCTTGTGATTACTTCTTTGACCCATTAGTTGTTCAGACACATGCTAATTTCAACGTATTTGTGATTTTTCCATTTTTCTTCTGTTAATGATTTCTATTTTTATTTCGTTGTGGTTAGAAAACATATTTTGCATGATTTCAATAATTTTAAATGTATTGAAACTAATTTTGTGTTCTAAAATATTATCTATCCTGGAGAATATTTCATGTGCACTTAAGTATTCAGCTGTTGTTTGGTATAGTCTGTTAGATCTAGTCGGTATATAGTGTTATTCAAAATCTCTGTTCCTTATTGACTTTTGTCCAGTTGCTCTATCCTTAATTGAAAGTGTGGTATTGAAGTCTCCAACTATTATTGTAGAACTGTCTATTCTTAGACAAGTATACAAATTGCACATCTTCTTGAAGAATTGACCTGTTTAAAAATATATACTATCCTTTTATGTCTTTTTAACAATTTTTACTTAAAGTCTATTTTATCTGATATAATACTATAGCCATCCCAGCCCTCTTTTGGTTACTATTTGCATGGAATAGCTATTTCAATCCTTTTACTTCAAACTATTTTTTCCTTTATATTTAAAGTATACATTTTATAGACAATACACAGTTGGATCATGTTTGTTTCATTTATCCATTCTGTCTATCTCTGCCTTTAATTGAGGAGAATAATGCATTTACATTTAAAGTAATTACTTATAAGTACTTATATCTATTATTTTGCTATTTGTTTTCTGCATATCTTATACTTTTTGCCCTTCATTTTCTCCATTACTACCATCTTTTGTGTTTGATTTTTTTATAGAGTGACAATTTTCTTCTCATTTCCTTTTCTCTACATTCTAAAGTTATTTTCTTAGATACCCTGGGGATTATAGTTAACATCTTAAATGTGTAACCATTTAGTTTGTATTAATACCAACTTAGCTTTCCTATTACACAAGATCTGTTTCTATAAGGCTCCATCTATACCCCTTTATGTTGTTATTATCACAAATTGCATCTTTATATATTGCGTTCTTATCAACATATATTTATAGTTATTGTTTTATACATTTACTTTTGTAATAAGACAGAAAAAAGAGGAATTACAAACTAACAATATAAGCCAAGTGCAATGGCTCACGCGTGTAATCCCAGCGCTTTGGGAGGCCAAGGCAGGTGGATCATTTGAGGTCAGGAGTTCAAGACCAGCCTGGCCAACATGGTGAAAACCCATCTTTACTAAAAATACAAAAATTAGCAAGGTGGTAGTGGTGTGCGCCTGTAATCCCAGCTACTCAGGAGGCTGAGGCAGGAGAATCGCCTGAGCCTGGTAGCTGGAGGCTGCGGTGAGCGGAGATCACACCACTGCACTCCAGTCTGGGTGACAGAGTGAGACTCCGTCTCAAAAAAGAAAAACAAAATTTTAAAAAACAAGCAATATAATAATACTGGCTTTTATATCTACCTATTAAACATAGATAGGTTACTATGACAAATTACCAGACACTGTGTGGCCATAACAAACTACCATAAACTGGGTGGCTTAAAACAACAGAAATTTATACTCTGTTCATTTTCTTCAAAGTTTTGGAGGCTAGAAATCTGAAATCTAGGTGTCATCCATGTTGGTTTTTTCTGAGGACTCTGAGACAGAATCTATCTGATGTCTCTCTTCTAGCTTCTGGTGACAGCTTGTAATCCTTAGTGTTCCTTGTCTTGTAGATGCATTACTCCATTTCCTGCCTTCACCTTCACATAGCACTCTCCCTGTGTGCTCACACAACATTTTCTTATAAGAACACCACTCATTGCATTAAAAGCCCACGCTGCACCAGAAGAATCTTTTCTTAACTAATCACATCTGCAATGATGTTACTTCCAAATAAGGTCACATTCTAATATATTAGGAGTTAGGACTGCAATATAACTTTTGAGAGGACACCAGCAACCCAAAATACATATGTAGCTACCTTTACTGGTTTTCTTTATTTCTTCTTACGGTTTAAAGTTACTGTCTAATGTCCTTTCCATTCAGCCTAACAGACTTAGATTATGATTTATTGTAGGGCAAGTGGCAAACTTTTATAAAAATCTTGCAATGTCCTAATTTCTCCCTCATTTTTGAAGGATATTTTTGCTAGATGTAGAACTCTTGGTTGACAAACTTATCTTTTACCACTTTAACATATCATTCCACTGCTTTCTGACCTCCATGGTTCCTGAAGAAAAATTGGCAGTTAATCTTATTAAGGATAACTTGTATGCAAGGAGTCACTTCTCTCTTGATGTTTTCAGGATTCTTTGCTGTTGCTTTCAACATTTTTACTACAACGTATCTTAGTATGGTCTCTTTAAATTTATGGTACTTGAAGTTTGTGGAGCTTCTTGAATGTGTAGATTCATGTCCTTTATCAAGTTTGGAAAACTTTTGGCCATTATGTCTTCAAACATATATATGTTGGTATGCTTTACATTATCCTGCAGTTCCCTTTAGAACTATTCATATTTCTTCATTTTTTTTCCACTTGCCATACTGGAAAATTCCAAATGACTCATCTTCATATTCACTGACTCATTTGACTATTCAAATCTCATACTGAACACCTGTAGTAAATTTTTCATTTCAGTTATACTTTTTGTTCCAGAATTTCTATTTAGTTTCTTTGTATAATCTCTATCCCTTTACTAAAAATTCTCTAATTGGTGAGACCTTGTTCTCCAGATTTCCTTTAGTTCTTTGCCAATGTTTTCCTTTAACTCAATGAGCTTAATTAAGACAGTTGATTTAAAGTATAAGTCTAGTAAATTCAATGTATGTGTTTCCTCATGGACAGTTTCTGTTCACTTATTTTTTTTATGGTGAATGGGTCATCCCCCCTTGCTTTCTTGCATACCTCATAATTTTTTTAATCAAAAAATGGGTATTTTGTATATTATTACATGAAAATCCAATTCTCCTTCCCTTACCAGGGTTAGTTTTGCTGCATTTTGTGGGTTCTGGTTTTTCGTTTGATGAGTTTCCTAAACTATTCTAGTCTTTGTCATGTGTGATTTCCTAAATTCTCTGTTCTTTTAGCTTAGTGATCAGCTAGTGATTTGATAGAGATTTCTTTAAATTCCTGAAGCCAAAAACCAAATTTCCAATCTTGAAGCTAGATTGGGTGTGTGTGTGTGTGTGTGTGTGTGTGTGTGTCGCGCACACGGGAGCGCACTGAGGCATGCTTTCCACATTCTCCCAGGCAGTTTACAACTATTCTTGCACCTTCGCTTCCTGCTTGTGTAGAGCTTGAAGACAGAGCTCAAAGCTTAGTGCCTTTTTTTTTTTCTGAGCAGTCTGCCACAGGCATGTATATGACCTCCTAAATTCTGAGGAACATGTGGAAGCTTCTCAAAGCCTTTATTCTCCAAGACATCTTCCTTCCTAGATTGTTCTCACAGTATTCTTAATATGTTTATTATTTGCCCCTAATTGATATCTTTTGCCCCAGGTCACAGCAGCCAGTTCATTTATTTCTAAATGCTTTAAACAAATTCTTCTTTTACAGTTGCTTCTCTTCCCTGAGAGAATTCCTGGTTAGGTTCCGTAAAGATAAGGCCTTTGTGTTACTCCTTCAGAGAATCACCCAACAGGTCAAAACAGAAAACCATACTTCTTTAGAACAAGTTCATACTGCTTCCTCTGGCACCAGAAACCCACCACAGGAATGTGGGCTGACATCTTCCAGACTGCCACTGAGCCAGGGAAAGGGGGATCAGGCAAGGGTAAGTGAAAATGCCACAAAGCTCTCCTACTGGGTTTTCAGTCACCCTTTCCTTAAAAGACAAAGATTGTCAGATTAGATTTCTTTAAATGACTGAAGTATACATTATATACAAGAAATTCACTTCAATTATAGATAGGTTAAGTATAAAAGGATGGAAAAAGATACACCATGAAAACAAAAATCAAGAAAGCTGGAGTGACTGTAGTAATATCTGACAAAGTAGATGTAGACTGCAAAACAAATACTATTTTACAAGAGTAAAGAGGAACATTATGCAATAATAAAATGGTTTTTCATTAAGAAGGCATGGTAAATAAAATGTGTATGCCATTAATGACAGAATTTCAAATAAAGCAAGAACAGAACTAAAAGCAGAATCAGACAAATCAATCTACACAGTAAATTAAATGTGTATGCCAGTAATAACACAATTTCAAATAAAGCAAGAACTAGCAGAATTAAAAGGAGAAATAGGCAAATCAATTCACAATTATACCTGGAAATTTCAACATGCTTTTCTTAGTGATAGACAGACAGAAAATCAGCAATGATGTAGAATAAATGAATGATGTTTCAAACTGGATCTAATCAACATTCATAGAATTTTTCACTCAACAATAGAATATAAATTCAAGTGTCCATGCAATACTCATCAAAACAGACCATATTTTAGGTAATGAGACAAAATTTAGCACACGTAACACAATTGAAATATATGAAGCATGTTCTCAGATATAAATTTAACATAATTAAATTTAAAATCAATGACAAAATGATAACAGGAAAATTTCCAAACATGTGGAAATTAAATGACATACTTATATGGGACAAAAAGAAAGTCTCAATCAAAATCAGAAAATATTTAGCATTGAACAAAAATAAAATTACAACATATAAAATGTGCACCATGCAGCTAGAGTATTACTTAGATGGAAAGCTACAGCATTAAATGTCTATGTTAGAAAAAAAGGAAAATCTGAAAATTGTAATCTAAAGCTTCCCCCTTACATGAGCAGAAAACAAGAAGCAAAATTAAAGCAGAGTTTAAAAATAATAACTGTAAGAGCAGAAATCAATAAAATATGAAAAGAAAAGTAACAAAGAATCAATTAAACCAAAAGCAGTCTTTCTGAAAAGATTAATAAAATCATCAAGCCTGTAGCAAGAATAAAATAAAGAGAACACAAATTATCATCATCAAGAATGAGAGAATATTACTTTAGGTCATACAGATTTAATTGTTTTATTGTTATGTAATATTTTTACATATTTATGGGGTACATGTGACATTTTGTTACATGCATAGAATGTATAATGATCAAATCAGGATATTTAGGATACCTATCATCTCAAGCACTTATCATTTCTATGTGTTGGCAACATTTCAAGTTCTCTCTTCTAGCTGTTTTGAAATATACAATACATTGTTGTTAACTATAGTCACTCTACTCTGCTATCGAACATAAGGACATATTCCTTTTACCTACCTGTATGTTTGTATCCATTAACCAACCTTTCTTCATGCCCCACCCCACCACACACTCTTCCCAGCCTCTGGTAACTATCATTGCATTCTCTACCTCCATGAGATTAACTTTTTAGCCCCCACATAAGAGTGAGAAGATGCAGTATTTATCTTTCTGTGCCTGGCTTATTTAGCTTAACATAATGACCTCCAGTTCCATCCGTGATTCTGCAAATTACAAAATTTTGTTCCTTTTTATGGCTGAACACTATTCCATTGAGAATATATACCTCGTTTTCTTTATCCATTCATCCATTGATGGACACTTAAGTTGATTTCATATCTTGCCTATTATAAATAGTGCTGCAATAAATATGCGGGTGCAGGTATCCCTCTGATAACACTGATTTCCTTTTCTTTGGATAAATAACCCATAGTGGGATTGTTGGATTGTATGGTAGTTTTATTTTTAGTTTAAAAGGATAATAATGGAAGAGTATGCACAAATATACACATGTAAAGTGACAACTTAGATGTAATGGGCCAATTTCTAAAACAAAAACACAAACTATATAAACTCCCTCAAGAATAAATAGGTAGCTGAAATAGTCTGTGACTATTTTAAAAATTGAATACTTAGTTAAAAATCTGAAAACAAAAATTCAGGCAAATTCAATAAATTTATAGAGAAAAGTAACACCAATTCTACATAGCATCATTCAGATAACAGAGAAGGGAACACTTCCCAACTAATTTTATGAAGCCAGCATGACTCAAGTCCCAAAATCAAATTGATTACAAGAAAAGAAAACTTCAGAAAATATATTATTTATGAATGTAAAATTTTTCTAAATGAGCTTTTAGAAAATGAAATCTCAACATTAAAATGATAATATAACTTTAACAAGCTTTTTAATGCACGCAATGATTTAATAGATTCATTTCTTCATATTTCTTGTACTAGGTACAGCCAAACAACATAGACAATGGCAGAACTTCCATAACGGAACCTCCATAAATCTGCTCTTCTAGCAAAGCAATGAAAATATTACCAATTTATGAAAATCAACCTTTTCCAAAGTCTTATAGTTAATAAAAGGTTTGGAACAATTTGAAAAGCATTCATTCAAGAAAACCTATTGAACCTTAATGAGAACAGCAGTGTTTGGGGTGTTTAACCTGGCATCCTTCATTGTGAGAGGGAACACTTGGAGAAAAACAGGTCTACTTTGGCCATGTTGCATATTTGATGTTTATTATATATCCGATTGCTTACTTGATATTTCCACTCACATGTCTATGTCTAAAGTTCAGTGGAAGATCAGAGCTACGGATGTAAAATGTGGAGTTACACAGATGTTATTTAAAACCACTGTGCTACGCAAGGGTCTTCTTATTCAAGACCTTCCTGGTTGCTTCATATATGTCATCCACAGAGCTCTGTGAGAGATATAGAACTTTAAACTGCCTACTATTGCCCTGAGAAATCTATATTTTACTTCAGTGAATTTCCAGCAATGTAATTCTAGCTGAGGAGGTGGCATTAAGTGAACAACTAACAAAGCAGAATGTCCATATATGATGACAAGGTGGGAATTAAGAAGCAGAAATATAAGGCAGGTGAAACGTACTAATGAAAGCAGCCTATCTGAGCCAAAAGCCTAGCAAAGCGGCCTCTTGGGTATAGCAGAGACTATCATATGTCAAATTGTTGGAGAAGCAGAGGAATCATACCTGTATGCTTGACTATGTACCTTTAGATTTTTCTATGCCCTTTACTGTAACTATTGGCCTCAGTCTTTCTGGTGACATTTGCTATTTATCTAGAGATTGCTGAAGGTGCAATAAGCAAGTGGGACAGTCAAGACAATGGAGGTAATGGCTAGGCCTAGACTAGAAGATGCCAATGTCTAAAGTTGATCCCAGTTCTATTGCCTTTGGGATGTTATTTACTGGTTCCTTCAATCTTTCCATACTGTGGAAGGGCTGGACCAGCAAAACACCATGTATTGTACAATTTTACCAAAATATTGTTATAATAAAAAAGTATTTCTGTAATAGGCCCATTTACCATGTCTGCGAATTTTCTACCTTTTGAATCTAGATAGAAAGCAAGATTTGCCTCCTATCATGGAAGTTACAATTATGAGACATTTACTTTCCCATCTTCCCTCTGAGGGTGTGGGCACATGATCCAGACTGGGTCAATCAGATGCACCCATTCTAGACCCTGAATCAGAAATCAGTGACACAAAGAGAAAGAAGAGAGAATAATATTTTATTTCATGAGCCAGTAGGACAAATGGCAGGAACATTCAATTTCAACAATATCAGTACTGGGGCCAAAAGTATTGGCAGTGAAACACTGACAATCACTGTAGCAGTGAAGATGGCAGCAGTATATGCACAAAATTAGTTCTGTGGAATGGCTTTTGACTTTGCTTTGTGAATCTATTTTGTTCAGCCACTTTCTCCAAGTCTGTTTCTCTAGGCTTCTTTGAGATTCCATAAGGTTCAGTATGTTTTCATAACTTTTTTTCTATTCAAAATAGCCAGAGTTGACTTTTGTTGCTTGCCATCAAGAACCCTGACCGATATACCTTATTGCCATTCTAATATATAAAATATATTTAATAAATGGAGATTTACAAAGAAAGAAGTCCTACATAATCTAGGATGGCAGTCTCCTACACTGGAAAGCCACAATTTTGTTTCTGGTTATGATGATCATAACTGGAAAATTTGGACAAAATTTCCCATTAAAAACAACTGTAAAAATGAATGGGGTTTATTTTTTTTAAGTTTTATTAACACAATAAATAACTGACAATACAGAAAGAAAATTAACGGTAAAAATTGAAGGGAAACTAAGAATTCAGAGAGGTAAATGATTATGAAAACTGTTTTATTTAGAAGTTTCAGGTAAAGTAAATCAAAACACAGAGCTTACATGAGATAGAAAATCTAACAGTAGAGCTTTTGCACAATAATCCAGGACTTCAAAAGGCTACAGTATCTGGGTGAATGTGAAGTGGAAGTGGGTCAAACATCATTTGGAGTCACATCCAGTTTGACTTGACTGGGCCATCTGGGAAAAATCAAAGCTTTAACCTTATTAACGTGGTCCTGAACTGGGACTATCCCCCTAATAGAAGCACATGTGGATCCTTTTTGAAGGAAGATATTTTCATTCTAGGATTTAAATTATGCCTACAAATAATATTTAACACAGTGATTGGCTGTAAGCATAGATAACCAAGAACTAGGAAACAAGATACCACAATAAAGAACCAGCAAAAACTACAGACAGAAAAGCCCAGATACACAAAGACTGCTTTAGAAATTGGAGTAATGAGAACTTACAGATGTGAAACACATGCTAAATTTTTTGAAAAGAAATGTTTAAGCTTAAAGATTTCTGCCCAGAAGAGGAAACCATAAAAAATTGAGGTAATAAATTTGAAAAATAACAAAATAGGATTTATAGAAATGAAAATCACAGTAACTATGAGTTAAAACAGTCACAGGATACTAGACCCAGCTGAAGAAAGAATTAGCGAATTAGGAGATAAGTCAAAGATACTATTTAGAATGCAGAATAGAGAAAGAAAAGATGGGAAATATGTAATAGATACAAAAAGACAAAGAGTCCAATAAAAAGACTAAAATATATTTAATCAAAGTTTCAGAAAGAGAATAAAAAAGGAAAGAATCAGAGGCTGTACATGGGGTATATGTTCTGAGACTGCCAGTGGATGCCTGAAACTGGATAGTACTGAGTCCTATATACACAAATATATATGTATTTATATATGTATAAATAACACATACAAAATATGCATATAAATGCATATATTTGTCTTTATATAGGGTATTATTTATTATGCTTTATTATATTCTATATAAATAGCAATATATATTTATTTGTATTATTAACTAAAATACATTAATAATATATATTATACATATATGTATAATATATATTATATGTACATATATAAATATACATTTATATTTATATATAAATGTATATTATTTATATTATATATCTATTACTTATATATGATACATATATACACTTATATATAATATATTTATATATAATATATAAATGTATATACAAATATATATGTATATTCACACATGTATACATATATATGTATTTATATATACACACTTATGACAAAGTTTAATTTATAAATTAGGCACAGTAAGAGATTAACAACAACTACTAATAAAATACAACAACTATAACAATATGCCAGCATCACTACTCTTGTACTTTGGGGCCACTACTAAGTAAAATAAGTGTTACTTGAACACAAACACTGTATCATGCCAGTCAATCTGATAACCAAGATGGCTATTAAGTGAGTAATGAATGTGTAGCATGTACAATGTGGATACACTGGACAAAGTGATGTTCCCTTCCTAAGTAGGATGGAATGGGATGACATTAAATTTTATTATGCTACTTGAAAGAGCATGTAATTTAAAACTTATGAATTGTTTATTTCTGGAATTTTTCATTTAATATTTTTGGATCATGGTTGACCCCAGGTGACTGAAACCATGGAAAAACTGCACATAATGGGGGGACTACTGTATTTGAACAGGTTATTACTGAGAATTTTCCAGAACTGATGAAAACACCAATCCACAGAATCCAGGAAAATTAATTTTTATAGCAGAAGCCTGATTAAAGACTCTCGTTGTATATGTTGTAAGTCAGAAGAAATTTCTTAACACATATGCAGGAGATCTATGCAAACATTTTTTAACCAATCTATCAGAAAGAGAAAGAAACACAAAAAGTCAGCCTAGGAAATATTAACTAGGGGGCAGAGAAAGAGGAGCCTGCAAAAGAGAAAAATTATCCTAGGGACATAATAATCAGGAAAGTAGTGTCATAAAAGAAGAGAGGAATGAGGAGAGTTTCAAGAAGAGAATTTCTTGCATAGTTAACAAGATCAAATAGTATTGATTAGTCCAGGCAGATGAGGAGATAAAAGCACTCATTAGATTTAGAAACAAGGAGGTCATTTTTTGGCCCTGTCAGAGCAGAGTCAATGGAATGAGAGAAGAAAGTTGACTGTGAGATTTTGAGTGGGAGGCAAAAAAATTAGAGGCAGTGTAAGTTGAAATCTCTAAGAAACTTGGTTTTGAAGAGGATAATGGAGAAGGGGGAGGCAAGTTGGTATGAAAGTTTATATTTTTTTAGGATGAGATTCAAAATGTAAGCCAATGAGGATTCACATTAGAGTAGGAGGCTGATTCTACAGAAAAAAAATAAGGAATAAATTAAAGTGCCAAGTAGCTGATAAACTGGAAGTGAATAGCATAGAAAGTATAAGGCACAAGAATGAGCAGATAAAGAGATAGAAGCGATAAAATCCAGTAACACTGAGCACACCCAGTGCCAAGATCTTGGCTGTTAGTAACATTTTCCAATAAAAATATTCAATCAGGGATCCTTAGACAAATGGCTGATTCTAGGTCTTGGTCAGAATATATACAAGATAAGCATCTTATAAAGCCAAAAAGCAAGGAAATGCTCAAAATTTTTAAAAACCCACATATCTGTGGATGAATGTCAAAGGGACACAGGAGCCAACTGAAAAAGTTCCCAATATCCAAAACTGAAGCAATTTGGGCAACAACATAAATAACATAGTATATAACAAGTAGAAAATAAATACCTATTAGCCCACACTTACATATATAAATATATAAATGGAGGACAATAGACAAATTTCCTGTGGAGAAGAACTCTAAATAATTTATGTTGTTATTACCCTCTCAAGAAAATGGAGAATTCTTTCCAAAGAGTACAGAATGAAAATGGGGCAGGAAGAGTAATTTTGCATGGAGAAAGGTGTCAAATGCTATCTCAGCCAGGTGATCAAGTAATTAGGAGACCACAGTAATAAGTCACATTGATAGCATGTATGCTTGATATATGAGAACTGCACTTTACCTTTGTTATCTTCCCCCCTGAAACCCATAACCCTAGTGTAATCATAAGAAGTATATCACACAAATCCCAATTGAGAAACATTCTCCAAAATTCCTAACAAGTGCACCTCAAAATTGTCAGCATCATCAGAAACAAGGAAAGTCTGAGAACCTGTCACAGCCAAAAGGAGCCCCAGGAGACATGATGACTAAAGGCACTGTGTTGTCTTGGATGGGATCCTGGAACAGAAAAAAAAGCATTCAGTCAAAACTAAGAAAATCTGAATAAAGTATGGATGGTAGTAAATAATAATGTATCAATAAGGGTTAATTACTTTTAAATGTACCATAGTAATGTAAGATATTAATAGTAGGGAAAACTGAAAGTGGGGTATATGGGAACCCTTTTTGTACTATCTTCACAACTTTTCTGTAAATCTAATACCATATAAAACTAAAGTTTTGTTATTAAAATCATAGTAAAAATAAAAATAATGGAGAAACTAAGATAAACAAAAGCTGAAAAAATTATTTACTAGAAGACCTGCTGTATAAGAAGTACTAAAAATAATCTTTCTGGGCTAAAATGGAAAACACTAAATAGTAACTCAAATTGACAAGAAGAAATGACAAGCACCGGTAAAGGTAGGTAAATATAAAACACAGTATGAGTGTATTTCCGTTTGTAACCCTATTCTTCTCCTATCTGATTAAAGAGACAATTGCATATGTAAAGTAATAATTCTAAAACTATTCATGTCTTTATAATGTATAAAAATGTCTTTTGTATGACAAAAGTAGCACAAAAATAGAAAATAGAGCTATACTGAACCAAAGTTTTTGTATACCTTTGAACTTAAGTTAGCATTAACCAAATTAGTTTGTTTAAGATGCTAATTGTAAATTCCAGAGCAAGTGTTAACAAAATAACTCAAAAATGTAACACAGGAAATGACAAGGAAATTAAAATGGTACAGTAGAAAATATCTATTTAATACAAAAAAGCAGTAATGCAGGAAATCATACTAAAAAATGTCTCTAACCACAATGGAATGAAATCAGATATCAAGAACAGAAGGAAATTTAGAGACATTGGCAAATATGTAAAAATTAAACAACCCAGTCCTAAAAAACTAATGGATCAAGAAGAAATCACAAGGGAAATTTAAAACTACTTTGAGATAAATGAAAATGAAAACACAATGTTTCAAAATGAACGGGATGCAGCTAAACCATAGTTTAGAGATGAATTTATCACTCTGAATGCCTATATTTAAACAGAAGAGGCTGGGCACAATGGCTCATGCCTATAATCCCAGTAATTTGAAAGCTGAGGTGGGAGGATCGCTTGAGCCCAGGGGTTCCAGACCAGCTTGAGCAACATAGCAAGACCCCATGTCTCTACACAAAATTAAAAAATTAGCCAGGCATAGTGGCACACACTTATAGTCCTAGCTACTCAAGAGGCTGAGGTAGGAGGATCCCTTGAACCCAGGACACTCAGGCTACAGTGAGTTGTGATCACACCACTGCACTCCAGCCTGAGCAACAGAGAGAGACCCACATCTCAAAAAAAGGAAAGAAGAGAAAAAGAAAAATCTCAAACCAATAGCATACCATACCATCTTTAAGAAATTAAATAAAGAGGAGCCATAAACCCAAAGCAAGCGGATGGAAGGAAATAATAAAGATTAGAATGGAAACAAATGAAAGAGATAACAGAAAAACAACAGAGAAAAAAATGAAACCAAAAGTTTGCTCTTTGATAAAATTTAAGAAAATTGACAAGCCTTTAGATAGCAACATTATTATATCTGTAAGACCTCATGTAGCAGGGTGAGGCCAACCTGTGGTATTGATCTTGATTATGCCCTTTAGGGGTACTGGATTTAACCAGTTAGAAAAAAAATCCCATTCACCACAAAGGTCTATCTTAGAAAGCCATGTGACTTTTTACTTGTTTCCGTACTTTAAAAACACTAATTCAGGCACAGCACAACTCTGGCCACTTAGTTTAAGCTGACCTGAAATCCTTTTGGGACTCAGGCAGTGTCATGATAGTATGAGTACACACAAGAAGTATAGTCCCAGAAGGCTCATGTAGTACCCCTAGAAACAAAGAATTTATAATTATTAGGGTACCCCAAGTAGGACATACATTAGGCAGTACAGCTTATCAGGACCCCAACGTGGCCTCCATAATGGGAATTCCTGCCCTAAGTTTCCCAGTCCAGTCTGAAAAATTAGAATTAGTCTTGATTTCAGAGAAAATGACTAAAGTAATCTGTTCCAAACGGGTTTGCTTGCACATAACATCAGTTTATCAGCTTTATAAGCGTGGACAGCATTTGGAGGTATTCTATACAGAAGGTACAGGATCTGGGGCCACCCATTGCTGTCTGAGTCAGCATACCAACAGATATGATCATAGGCTCTGAAGTTTGCATACAAAGCACTTGCAGCTGTTTGGAAAGACAGCATGAGGAGTTTTCCTTCAAGACAAAGGGAAAGCTTCAAGGAATGGTTCTGAAAAACAGAGATCATTAATATCTCCCCTCCCCACTCCTCCTCATGCCTCCACAGGTGGCAGGGTTTTGATTTTTCTCCCACTTTTACAAAATGAGTGTGTTCCATTCAATTATCAAAACTTTACATTTTCCCCAATCATATTTTTAATTCTCACTCAGACCTTTTTGATAGAGGCAAGAAGCAGACAAATGCCTAGGCAGACAGGGTGGGGTCCCTGGTGAAACCCCACCTCCAAGCCAAAGACAGTTTAAAGCCTGAAAGCCAAGCTACAAGTCAAATTCACTGAGAACCTGTCTTCCTGTTTGGTGTACATTCCTCTGATTGATCTCCCCAACCCTTCTCCTATTTTACATATACCTATGCTTCCCTAATTGATTTTTTACACTGTTATGCCCACCTTTGAGTGGTACCTTTAACTTTTTTTGCATTCTCACAAATCAATCAGTACTCACTCCCTTATTCTAAGCCTTGAAAGCTCTGGACTCAGCCACAGTGAGAGAGAAACCACCTGACTCCAGGTGGCGGACCACCCTTATGTCCCCTCTCCACTGTGAGCTATTTCCTCACTCAGTAAAATTATTCTCTGCCCTCCTCATTCTTTGATTGTCAGTGTATCCTCATTCTTCTTGGACACAAGACAAGAGCTCAGGACCCACCAAACATGGGTACAGAGAAGGCTGTAACATTGTGGCCCTCTGTCCTCCACCAGCAGAGGGCAGCTGCCCCATGTGACAGAAACAGTGGCAGGGCCGAGCCAGCCCCAAAGCTGTGGGTCGAGGCAGGGCAAGGGTGTTGCCAGCTGGGTATCTCTGGCTGGCAAAAGTGATCAAGAAAAATTCTGTGTCATTTTCATCTGGGCAGGTTGTATGTAGGAGGGACAAAAGCATTTTCACAGGACAAAAATTATACAACATAACCAGAAAGATACATGTCATGATAGAATTTTGAGTTTCAACACTTTTCAAGATAGTTTTACATAACCTCACACCCCTTTTGTCCTGACCACTTATCCAAGTGGGCAGCCTAGAAAAGCAAAATCTCTTTCTGAGGAGAGCTGCATTAAATAAACTGCCTTACTGAGATGTGTGCACCAGGAGAACAGTAAGGGAAGTAGTTAGGCCATCAGTTTATTGTTGCAAACTGTAATTACTCAAGAAAGTAAAACAAATCAACATCAGTGAGACACCCCTAAGAATGTGTCAAGTGTCCAATCTGTCATGAGTGGACAGAAGATTCATATTCCTTGTAATATGTCCATCCCTAACTTATAATTTGGGGAAGGAATCACAGGTTAGGAACACAATTAGCCTCTGCATCAGAAATATAAGTCAATCAGCAACTCAATCTTAGATGGTTTCATCAGAGAACAAGCCCTTCCTCATGGGCATCTGCAAGTGATCCAGATAGTCCATCCAGCATCAATGACGTTTTTATAGACTAGGATCCCACAGAAGGGTGTTTAAAACATGCAACAGAGTCCCAGAATCAGAGTTCTGCTAATTGAGCCTATGCCTGCTTTCAGTTATGCACAGCTCTGCTCAGGCTGAAACTGCCCATAGAAGGCACTATCAGCTTAGAGTCAGGTTCAGGTAATTAAGATCTGTGAATTAAGAATTCCAAAAACAGCCAGTGGTTTTTCTTCAACAGCAGCAAAGTCAAAATGTTGCAAAGACAGATAGCCATGTTCCCAGTCCAAGGGACAAGCAAGGATTCCATAAGCCCTTAGCATCTATTTGACTCACTCAAAGATAGGCAGTGGGAAATCATTAGCCTTTAAGTGTCAGACTCTGACAGTCCATTTGCAACATAAAAATTTCTTTTTAAAACTCCAAAAGTAAATCTCCATCTAAAAATTGTCTCTTATTTCCTGTTGTTTGCCCTTTCCCAGAGGATCCAATAGACAAAAATCATAGCAAATAGCATCAGTTAGAGAGATTTATTCTGTTTGCAATACCCTAAGCATTTAAGTTATAATATTCTCACTGGGGCAAAAAGAAAGCAAATTATGTCCCATTAACACTTTCTTATATTGAGGTGATGTCTCTAGAATTTGTGAAATTATAAGAATTTTATCATACATCTTTCTATGAACTGAATATTTATGTCTCTCCACCCCCCGAAAGTCTGGTTTTGAATCCCTAATTCCCAGTGTGATGGTATTTGGAACTGGGGCCTTTGGGACGTGCTTAGGTTTACATGAGATCATAAGGATGGACCCCCCTCCCTGTGATGAGATTAGTGCCCTAATTAGAAAAGAAGAGACCAGAGCTTGCTCTCTCCTCTTGCCGTGTGAAGATACAGCACAAAAGTAGCTGTCTGCAAACCAGGAAGTGAGCCCACCACACTAGACACAGAATCTTCCAGCACCTTGATCTGGAACCTCCCAGCCTCTGAAACTGTGAGACATTAATGTTTGTTGTTAAATCTCAATCAATGGTATTTTGTCATAGCAATGTAAACTGATTGAGACACGTTTAAATGCAATAGTCACAAAAATACAATGTGAATTTTTACAATTCTCTCCTTTTTTTTCTCACTGCAGACCCCTAGCAGTAAACTCAGCATGTACATTGTTAACATTATGGTTGCTTGGAGATCACTACTGGGATTCAAGATGTGTGTATTTGGGGGAGTCGAGGAAGAAGCTGCTCTGGTATCTCACTGGTTTCCCTCCCCCCTTTTCTTTTTCTCTCTGGCTTAGCTAAAGCTTTGCTCTAGCCAAGGGAACGGATTTAACTTTTTGTCCCGCAACTTGAAGGATAGAGCAATGTAAGCTTTTAACATTTTTGACCCACCCAAAACTTACCTTTGGAAATGTTTGGGCTGTTTTTCCTTCTACCTGGAGGCAAAAAAACAAAACCAAAGCCACTTTTTTGCATTTCTTTTTTGCCCTTTAGAATGACTAAAAGCAGCTAAGGAATCCAGCAAATCAACTCTCAATATAATATACCCCAGTAATAAAACAAATGACAAATCACATGAACATCTCAATAGACACAGAAAACACTTTCAACAAAATTTATCACCATTTTTATGATTTTTTTTTTTTTGAGACGGAGTCTCACTCTGTCACCCAGGCTGGAGAGCAGTGGTGCAATCTCAGCTCACTGCCACCACTGCCTCCCGAGTTCAAGCAGTTCTCCTGCCTCAACCTCCCAGGTAGTTGGGATTACAGGCACCTGCCACGGTGCCCAGTTAATTTTTGTATTTTTAGTAGAGACGGGGTTTCACCATGTTGGCCAGGCTGGTCTCAAACTCCTGACCTCAGGTGATCCGCCTGCCTCAGCCTCCCAAAGTGCTGGGATTACAGGCATGAGCCACCGCGCCCAGCCCCATTTTTAAAAATCTCATCAAACTAGGAATAGAAGGAAATACCCTCACCCTAATAAAGGACATCTATGAAAAAAGTATTTCTAACATAATACTTAGTTGTGAAAGACTGGATACTTTCCCCTTAAGATCAGGAACAGACAAGAATGTCTGCCTCTAGCACTTCTATTTAATATTGTACTGGAGGTTCTAGCCAGGGTAATTAGTCAAGAAAAGAGAAATAAAAGACATCCAGATTGTAAATGAAGAAATAAAACTTTATTCACAGATGAGACGAACTTGTATATAGACAATCCTAAGAAATCCACAAAAAATTTGGAGCCAATAATTGAGTTTAACAAAGTTGTAGGCTATAAAACCAAAGAGGGTTGGGCACAGTGACTCACACTTGTAATCCGAGCAGTTTGGGATGCCGAGGCGGGCAGATCACCTGAGGTCAGGAGTTCAAGACTAGCCTGGCCAACATAGCAAAACCCCATCTCTACTAAAAAGTACCAAAAAATTATCCAGACATGGTGGCGTGTTCCTGTAGTCCCAGCTACTTGAGAGGCTGAGGCAGGAGAATTGTTTGAATCCAGGAGGCGGAGGCTTCACTGAGCCAAGATGGCGCCACTGTACTCTAGCCTGGGCGACAGAACAAAACTCCATCTAAAAATAAATAAATAATACATTAAAAAAACAAAGTGGAAAAAAATTGTTTTTCTATTACTAGCAATGAACAATCTGAAGATAATTTTTAAGAATCCATTTCAATACCATAAAAAAAATAAAATAATTGGGAATAAATTTAACAAAAAAAGCACATGACTTCTACACTGAAAACTATAAAAAAAACTTTGAAATATAGATCTAAATAAATGGAAAGATACTCCATTTTCATCAATTGGAACACTTAATATTGTTAAGATGGTGCTACTTTTCAAATTGATCTATAGATTTAACACAGTCCCTATCAAAAGAGCAGCTGGTTTTTTTTGGTTTTTTGTTTGTTTGTTTGTTTTGTAGAAACTGTCGACCTGTTCTGAAAACTCTTATGGAAATGCAGGGGAATCTAAATATTTTTAAAAATCATGAAAAAGAAGAACAAAATTGGAAAACAACACTTCCCAATTTTAAAACTTACTACCAAGCTACAATATTCAAGATTGTATGTTAATGGAACATGGATAGACATATAGATAATGTAATACAATTGAAAGTCCAGAAATAAACTCATATAGTAAACTGATTTTCAACAAGGGTGACCTGACCATTCAATGTGTGAAAGATCTGTCTTTTCCACCAGGCGCGGTGGCTCACGCCTGTAATCCCAGCACTTTGGGAGGTCGAGGTGGGCAGATCACAAGGTCAGGAGAGCAAGACCATCCTGGCTAACACAGTGAAACCCTGTCTCTACTAAAAATTAAAAAAAATTTAGCCGGATGTGGTGGCGGGCACCTGTAGTCCCAGCTACTCAGGAGGCTGAGGCAGGAGAATGGCGTGAACCCGGGAGGCGGAGCTTGCAGTGAGCCGAGATCATGCCACTGCACTCCAGCCTGGGCGACAGAGCAAGACTCTGTCTCAAAAAACAAAAAAAGGAAAGAAAGATCTGTCTTTTCAAAAAATAGTGCTGGGACAACTAGATATCCACATGGAAAGAGTGAATTTGGACCCCTACCTTACATTCTGTATAGAAATTAACTGAAAGTGGATCATAAACCTAAATATTGAACCTAAAACTATACAACCTAGAAAAAACATAGTGGTAAACCTTTGTAACCTTAGATAAGGTAATAGATTTTTAGATATGACATAAAAATACAAGCAACTAAAGAAAAAATAAGTTGGATAGACTACATTACATTAAAAATGTGTGTGCCATAAAGATACACAAGACAAAAACCCATGGAATGAGAGAAAATATTTATAAATAATATCAGATAATGATCTAGTATCTAAAATATGTAAAGCATTCTTACAACTCAATAATAAAAGATAAATAACCCAATTAAAAATGGACAAAGGATCTGTATAGATTTTTCTCAAAAGAAGTTATACAAATGACCAATAAGCACAGGGAAAGAAACTCAGCTTCATTATTCATTTGGGAAATGTGAACCAAAAACCACAATAAAATACCACTTCGCCTCCACCAGTACGGCTAAAATAAAAAGACAGACAACAAGAAAATTTGTGAGGATATGGAGAAATAAGGATCTTCATGCATTTCTATTGGGAATGTATAATGATGCAGCTGCTTTGGAATACGCTTTTATAGTTCCTCATAATTTAAGAATGGAGTTACCATATGACCTAGCAGTTCTGTTATGAGGTATATAGTATATACTCAGGAGAAATAAATGCATATGTTAAAACAAATACTAATACATGAATTTTTATAGCAGCATGATTTACAATAGCCAAAAAGTAGAAGAAAAAGTCCATCAACCAATGAAAGGATTAAAAAATATGGCATATCTATACAATGGAATCTTGTTCAGTAACCAAAAGGAATAAAGTACTGATATATACTTAAACATAAATGAACCTTAAAAATATTATGGTAAGTGAAAGAAGCCAGAAACAAAAGGCAACACACTTTATATGATTCCATGTATATGAAATAACCAGAACAGGCAAATCCATAGAGACTAAAAGCATAATAGTGTTTGCCAGGGGCTGAAGGGAAGGGGAAATGGGGATTGACTACCAATGGATATGAGTTTCCTTTTGGGGTAACAAAAATGTTCTGGAAATAGTGGTGATGGTTGCACAACTCTTTGAATACACTAAAAAACACTAAATTATACATTTCAGTGTTGATGAATTTTAAGATACGTGAACCTTTATAAAATAAGAACCAAAAAAAAAACCTTCTAAATCATGGTATATTCTATATGTTAATAGAGCCTTGAGTTATAGAGGTGTATGTATTTGTTAAAATTTGTCAATAGTACAGTTGTGAGTTGCGCATCTCACTTGACATAAATTTTACCTGAAGAAAGAATAAAGCACATATAAATATTGATCTCTAGTTAATTACATGCATACCAGAATATCCAGAGTTGAAGTATTCTGATATGCAACTTTCTTTGAAATGAATCAAAATAAGTTGGACTGTTGAATGGACAGAAGGATGAAAGAGAGATGGATATCTAATAAAGCAAATATTGAAAAACATTGTTGGTAGAATCTAGGTAGTGAGCTTATGGATATTCAATTTATCATTCTTTCAACTTTTCTGTATGTTTAAGAATGTTCATATTAGTCAAGATAGGAGGATCATTTGAGGCCAGGAGTTCAAGACCAGTTTGGGCAACATAGCAAGACCCCATCTCTTCCAAAAATTAAAAAAAAAATTAACCAAGCATGGTGACACATGTGTGTAGTCCCAGCTACTTGGGAGGCTGAGGCAGGAGGATTGCTTGAGACCAGGAAATTGAGGCCGTGATCATGACACTGCACTTCAGCTTGGATGACAGAGTGAGACCCTGTCTCCAAAAAAGAAGAATGTTCATATTAAAATGTTGGCCAAAAATGACCCTGTTTTATCTATACCACATTTTAATTAACACATCACCTTTCTCCATTTCTTATCTACCAAACTTACTACATTCATTCACCAGATATCTGTTGAGGGCTGTTATCTATTTGCCAGGAACTGTTCTAGATATACTGGATATATTTATGAACAAAACAGACAAAACTCCCTGCCTTAGTTGCTAGTGGGATTCAAACAACAAACAAACAGAAGTATAACTTGTCAGGTATGGGCAAATACTATGAAGATAATTAGAGTATCAGGAAATAATTATCCATACTAATGCATCTACTTCCACATCTTCCTCACTCTTCAATGTCTCATAATCTAGGTTTTATTCCCACCATTTTAAACTTCTTAATAAAACATAATCATTTTTCTTCAGTCCTCACCGCTCTTCTTCACAACTTGTCAGCAGCATTCAACATTGGTACTCAGTCCCTTCTTAAATGCAGACCCCCGTCTGATGCTCCACATTTAGCTACCTTCTAATAACTCTCTTTAACTATGGTTTCATATACCTCCACAGCTTCATTTATCAGGTATTTCCAGTTCTGACTTATCTTCTACATCCTAGATTGGTATTTTAACCACCAGAAACACCTTTATTCCTAGACATCTTACCAGTACCTTAAACTTCATACAACCAAAGACAAATTCATCATTGACCCCACAGGACCATTTTGTGCTCTGGGTTTCATGTATTTAGAGGTGGTACTATACAGGGTACAAAATTCAATTCTACCTTGGTCTTATTTTCTCCCTCAAAACCAATAAGTCACGGAGGCCCGCCATTTATTTCTTAGTAATATCACTCAAGGACCTAGGCATCCTAGTAACATAGGAATACAGGAATCTGAACAATAACCTGGTTGCCTGTACTTATTTCTCAGCTTTTTTGGTACCCGTTTGGGACTTGCAGCCCTCCCAAAAGTGATATTATAATCCCCTTGGATTGGAAGAGGATCTTCTACCAGACAGAAATGTAAAGAGCATGGTCAGCAACAGCTCACATAGAAGGAATCTTGATGAAAGCCCAATAAAGTACCATCTCTTCCAACTTGGCATGGTGATCACAGCTCATCACTCTGTATCTCAGTTTTCTCATCTGTAAAGTGAGAAAGATCGAATTTACCACATAGGGCGTTTATGAGGATTTAAAGTCTTAATACAGGCCTACCTTGGAGATATTACAGGTTTGGTTCCAGACCACCACAATAAAGTGAATATTTCAGCAAAGCAAGCCACACAAATTTTTTGGCTTCCCTGCCCATATAAAAGGTATGTTTATACTAATACTGTAGCCAATTAAGTATACAATAGCATTATCTTTAACAAACAATGTACATACCTTAATTAAGAAATACTTTATTGCTAAAAAAAAAATGCTCACAATCACCTGAGCCTTCAGTAAGTTGTAATCATTGTGGAGATGAAGTGTCTTGCCTCAATGTTGATGGCTGCTGACTGATCAGAGTGGTGGTTGCTGAAGGCTGGGATGCCTGTGGCAATTTCTTACAATAAACAATAAAGAAGTTTGCCACATCGACTATTTCTTTCACAGAAGATTTCTCTGTAGCATGAGATGGTGTTTGATAGCATTTTACCCACATTCCTTCTAAAATTTGGAGTGAATCCTCTGAAATCCTGCTATTGCTATACCAACTAAGTTTATGTAATATTCTAAATCATTTTCTGTTATTTTAATAATGTTCACAGGATCTTCACCAGGAGTAGATTCCACTTCTCAAGAAACCACTTTATTTGCTTATCCATAAGAAGTGACTCCTCATCCATTCAAGTTTGATCATGAGATTGCAGCAATTCAGTGACATCTTCAGGCTCCACTTTTAATTCTAATCTCTTGCTGTTTTGCTACATCTTCAGTTACTTTCTCCACAGAAGTCTTAAACTGCTCAAAGTCATCCACAAGGGTTGAAATCAACTTCTTCCAAACTCCTGTTAATGTTAATATTTTGACCTCCTCCAATGAATCATGAATGTTCTTAATGGCATCTAAAATGGTGAATTCTTTCCAGAAGGTTTTCAATTTACTTTGCTCAGATCCATCAGAGGAATCACTATCTATGGTAGCTATATGTGTTTCTTAAATAATAAGATTGAAAGTCAAAATTACTGCTGATCTATGGGCCGCAGAATCATATTGTGTTAGCAGGCATGACAATAACATGAATCCCCTTGTACATCTCCATAGAGCCCTTGCATGACCAGGTGCATTGTCAATGAGCACTAATACTTTGAAAGGAATCTTTTTTTCTGAGCAGTAGTTCTCAACAGTAGGCTTAAAATATTCAGTAAACTATGCTATAAACAGATGTGCTATCATAAAGGCTTTGTTGTTCCACTTACAGAGCGCAGGCAAAGTAGATTTTGCATAATTCTCAAGGGCCCTAGGATTTTTGGAATGGTAAATAAGCACTGGCTTCAACTTAAAGTCACCAGCTGCATTAGCCCCTAATGAAAGAGTCAGCCTGTCCTTTGAAGCTTTGAAGCCAGGCATTGATTCCTCTCTAGCTATGAAAGACCTAGATGGCATCTTCTTCCAATATAAGGCTTTTTGGTCGATGTTAAAAATCTGTTATTTAATGTAGCGATCTTCATCAATAATCTTAGCCAGATCTTTTGGATAATTTGCTGCAGCTTCTCCATCAGCACTTACTCCTTCACCTTGCACTTTTATTTTAAGGAGATGGTTTCTTTCCTTAAACCTAATGAGTCAACCTCTTCTCACTTTTCTTCTGCAGAGTCCTTACCTTTCTCAGCCTTCCTAAAATTGAATAGAGTCCATGCCTTGCTCTGGGTTAGGCTTTGGCTTAAGAGAATGCTGTGGCTTGTTTGATCTTCTATCCAGACATTCAAAATTTCTTCATATCAGCAATAAAGCTGTTTTGCTTTTTTATCATTCATATGTTCACTGGAGTAGTACTTTTAATTTTCTTCAATAACTTTTCCTTTGCATTCACTACTTGGCTTATTCTTTGATGCCAGAGGCCTAGTTTTTGGCCTATCTTGGCTTTTGATAGGCCTCCTTCACTAAGCTTAATCATGTCTAGCTTTTGATTTAAGGTAAGAAACGTGATTCTCTTCCTTCCACTTGAACACTTGGGGGCCACTGTAGGGTTATTCATTGGCTTAATTTTAATATCATTGTGTCTCAGGAAGTAGGGAGTCCTGAGAAGAGGAAGAGAGATGGGGAAATGATCAGTTGGAGCAGTCAGAACACATACATTTATTAAGTTCACTGTCTTATATGGGTACAGTTTATGGTACCCTGAATCAATTACAATAGTAACATCAAAGATCACTGATAACAGATCATCATAACAGACATAATAATGAAAAACTTTGAAATATTCCACTAATTACCAAATTGTGACAGAGACATGAAGTAAGCACATGCTACTGGAAAAATGACACAAATATACTTGCTTGATACAGAGTTCCCACAAACTTTCAATATGTAAAAAACGCAGTGTCTGTGACATGCAATAAAGTAAAGTGCTATAAAATGAGGTATGTTTGCACACACAAAGATTTTATAACAACTCATGGCATGTATTGTGCCAGATAAGTGTTAGCTGCTGCTATTATCACTATTCTAATATCTGGATTGGACTCATTATTTTTAAATGTGAGTCAGTCTCATTCCTTGGATTGGAAGGTTGAAAAAACTAACAAGAAATGTCAATACTTATTTCATGCTTACTATATGTGAGACACCATTCTAAATACCTTACATGCATTGGCTTAATCTTCATAACAGTATTATTAATAAGCTTAAGATTTGTTATTTTTCTCATTGTATAAATGAGGAAAGTGAGTTCCAACTCTAGCTATCTTCTTTGTTTAGGCCTCAGGAAAAAGCAATCATTAGAACAACTATGGAATGAGGTGGGCCTATATGTATTGAACATGTTGTTAATGAACAAGTTAAGAAGAGACTGTGCAAAGCAACATGAGTGATTCCATTGGTTTTAAGAAAAAGTTCAGGTTACAGAGTGGAGAGAGCGAGGAGGCTGCATCTGGCTCCCACTCTCACAGCCACTGCAGTACATTGAGCTCCATAGAGACAGCTCCAGGGCAGGTGAGAGCCAAACAGGCACTGGGTGATTCTGCCTTGCTGAAGAAAAATAACATAGGCAAAGGAGATCCTAACAAGCTGAAAGGCGAAATGTCATCACATCATATGCAATCTTTGTGCAAACTTCCTGGGAGGAGCACAAGAAGCAGCACCCAGATGCTTCAGTCAACTTCTCAGAGTTTCCTAAGAAGTGCTCAGAGAGGTGGAAGACCTTGTCTGCTGAAAAGAAATGAAAATTTGAAGACTCAGTAAAGGTGGACATGGCCCATTATGAAAGAGAAATGAAAATCTATATCCCTCCAAAAGCAGAGACCAAAATGAAGTTCGAAGATCCCAATGCACCCAAGAGCCCTCCTTTGGCCTTTTTCATGTTCTCTTCTGAGGATTGCCCAAAAATCAAAGAACATCCTGGCCTATCAATTAGTGATGTTGCAAAAAAACTGGGAGAGATGTGGAATTACATTGCTGAAGATGACAAGCACCCTTATGAAAAGAAGGCTGTGAAGCTGAAGGAAAAATATGAAAAGGATATTGCTGCATTTGGAGGTAAAGGAAAACCTGATGCTGCAAAAAAGGGAGCCATCAAGGCTGAAAAATGCAAGAAAAAGAAGGAAGAGGACAAAATGAGGAATATGAAAATTAAAAAGGTAATAATGATGAATAAGTTGGTTCTAGCCATTTGTTTATTGTCTATAAAACATTTAAGCCCCCTGTACACAACTCACTGCTTTTAAAGGAAAAAAATTAAACTATAAGCTGTACATAATTTGTTTTTAAACCTTACAGTGTCTTTTTGTGTGTGTGTGTGTAGTTATCCCACTACCAAATGTGTCTTTAGATGGCCACAAACTGCCTGGTATGGTATAGGGGTTGTAAATTGGCATGGGAATTTAAAGCAGGTTCTTGTTGGTGCACAGCACAAATTAGTTATATACGGGGATGGTAATTTTTTCATCTTCAGTTGTCTCTGGTGCAGCTTATATGAAATAGTTGTTCTGTTAACTGAATATCACACTAATTGCAAAAAAGTTGTAGCAATTTTGCTGACATTATGAATGCTTCTAATACAGTTTTTAAAATTAGTATTGTAGTCCTTTTCATAGGTCTGAAATTTTTCTTCTTGAAGGGAAGCTAGTCTTTTGCTTTTGCCCATTTTGGATCACATGAATTATTACAGTGTTGATCCTCTCATATAGGTAGCTGATAAAATGCTTTTGTCTACACACCCTGCATATCATGATGGGGGTAAATAAAGTTAAATTGAGATCATCGTCATCCATAACTGAAGCTCAAAAATCTTAATCAGTTGATAAATTTCACATAGCCCACTTATATTTACAAACTGAAGAGTAATCAGTCTACTCACAGCATGGGATTATTAAGATCAAACATTTTGAAAGTCCGTCCTTTGAAGCACTAAATAGAAAAGTGTGTTCTAATCTTTACATGAGGACTCTATGTTCTTTAACTCCCATTACCATATAACGGCAATTGTATTTTGCAGTTCTGACATTCAAGAAGACTTGAGACTGTATCCCCAAAAGGTGTGAGCTTAAAATATAAGACTGCCATATTAAATTTTTGGTTGATACTAGTAAAGACTATGAAAATGCTGGCTGTAGATGTCTTTTCCCATTTATCTAAATATGAACTGCTCAGGAAACTCAAAACTCTCCATAAAAAGTATTTTTAATTAATTGGACCAGCTTTTAAAATGAAGATGCCACGTTTAAAATAGGTTACATTTTCCTATATTACAGCTTGCCCCTTTATAAATCAAATAGATAGGAGGAAAGAAGATACAACCTTTGCAACTCAGTATGAATTATTTGATTTATTTAAATAATTTTTCTTTACAAAACCCAAACTCATTCATTAGTCATGTTTATCTGCTTAGCAGTTTAGGGAACAATTTGGAAATTTTGTTTATTTTGATATTATCATTTTCTTAAAGTGCCAGTATTTTAAAATAACATTCTTGTAATTTTACATGCTTTTGTGATGGAGTGCTATTTTGTTATACAATTTTGACTTGGATTATTTTCATTTACATTTGTTTATGTAATTTCAGGAGGGATAATGAACATCTGAGGCCTAGATGATACTAATAAACTAATAATTACAGAGATTTAGAAAACAGTTCAGCTACATATGTGTAAGTTTATACAAGAGTTCTGGAAGGATACACAATAAATTGGTAATAGAGACTGCCTCTGGACAGTAGGATTTTATATTTTTAGTACTATTGGGATATTTAACTAGGCATATGCATTACTTTTATTATTTTGAAAGTAATTTATTTTTTAATGCACCCTCGTGAGGGACCCAAAGCCAGAGGCACCCTACTAAGCTGTGCCCAAATTCTTGATCTGTAGAAACTAAGATGGTAAATATTGTTTTAAGCCACTAGGTCTTGGGGTAATTCTTTAGGCAGCAATAGACAACTAACACAGATTATATCTCATCGTTGCATGCAGTCATTCCATAGAGTCAGAGACAGTGTACACTTTAGGGAACAATTTTACAACAGATATCAATTGTAAAACAACTCTGTGTCCAGCTATGGGAGGCATAATAGTATCGTGGTTAAGAGCAGGGACTCTGAAGTCAGACCACTGGGACTCAAATTCTGGTGCCATCCCTTATCAGCTAATGACCTTGTGCCGGCTATGTGACCTCTGGGCTTCAGTTCTACATCTGCAGAACAGAGGTAATAATAAGAGCCACCTTATAAAGTGGCTGCAGGGAATAAACAATATAATACTTGTAAATTATTTAAAACATTACCTGATTAATAAGCATTTGATACATGCTGCCTATTATCATTCTTATGAGGATGATAAGAGAGGGTATAATTTTTGGTTTTGGACCACTGGGATATAAGAAAATAGTAAGAAGTAGGGAATTTATACACAGGGATCCTTCCTAATAACGTGCTCACTCCGGGTTTATGAGGGGATGTAAAAGATGAGAAGACCACAGTGTGTGTATACTCTAGAAAGAGAAAAATAATCCTTATGTTATTGGAAAATGTAAGACCTGTGGTGAATGGAGAAAGGCAGGGAGATGCGCCATATGATGCAAGGGTTCTGCATTCCTGTGGGATAGGAAAATTTGTGAGCTGATGTTAAATGTACAGGTCTAGAGAATGTCCATAGGAAGCACAGTCCTTCTTCTCAGCACTGCCCAGCTGTTGACAGACACAATGCATGTGTGTGTACTAAGTGGAAGGGTGAGATGAAGGAACAACAACAAAAAACATTTCTTCTACCTTGTTACACTGAACTCTCCTCAAAGTCAGAGCCTCCTCCTTCTCCTTCATTTCTTCTTTCTTTTTCTTCTTTTTTGTGACAGGGCCTTGCTCTGTCGCTCACGCTGGAGTGTAGTGGTGTGATCATAGCTCACTTCGGCCTCAAACTTCTGGGCTCAAGCAATCTCCTCATCTCAGCTTCCTGAATATCTATGACTACAGGCATGCAATACCACACCAAGATAACATTTAAACATTATTTTGTAGATACGGGATCACATTCCCCCCATGGCTGATATGTGGCCCAGGCTAAGTAAAATAATTCCCCATTTATTGTAATGCTGTCTTGACAAGTCCTACTGCTAGTAAGAAACATATAGGACAGGCCTAGGGAACAATGAACACATAGTAACAGCACTGATGGTTGTCTCTCCTCCTGGTCACATATTATTCTCAGCCATACCCAGCTTGATATAAAGTGTATATCTTTTTAGTAATATACAATAAAATATACTATAACCCAAAAAAATCAATTATGCCAATACTTATTTAGGCCTACTGGTACAGAAACAAGAGACAACAAATGAATTGCTCAACACAAGCAGTTTATCTCCCTTCATGGTTCTGTCTACTTTCCCCATGGTCTCAGCCCCAAAGTTTTTGACTACACAATATCCATTCCTAAAAAGGGGACAGTTTTACATTACCTGAGTCACCGCTCTCCCAACTACAGTCATCAGAGTGTGGAAAGAGATATCCTTTGCTTGGGTGAAAGAGAGAAAAGTGAGCATCAGACTTAACTTTGGATGCCAACACTAGATCTGCCACAGTAAAGCCCAGCAACAGGCAGACTCCACAGCTCCAGGCCCCAGGCCAATACCCATGGACTAAGTTTCTAGGCTTGCCCCAGCACCAGGCTGGACACTACAACCCCAGACTCCAGGCTGGTATGGTAGACTGAATCTCTGGTTTTCCCTACTGCCAGGCAAACCTCAGTGGCCCCAGGCTCTGGACCACCCTCAGTGCCAAGCCAGCACCAGGCTTTGGGCCCACACCAGTGCCAGGCAAGCCCCCCTCAGACCCAGTCTCCAGGCACATCCAGGGCCAAAGCCAATCCCAGGACTCTAGGCCTCAAACTTCACCCAGCACCCTAGCACAGGACAGCATCCACAGCCCTAGTCTTCAGGCCAGCACCAATAAACCCATCCTCCAGGCCAGCCCCTGAACACATAGGCCACAAGCCTGTTCCATGTTTTAGACTAGCCCAGAGCTGTGTCAGCCCCCATAACGCCAGGATATAGGCCTGCTCCAATCCACATATCTGATAAGAGGTTAATATTCAAAATATACAAGGAACACAATTCAACAGCAAGAAAACAAATAACCTGATTAAAAAATGGGCAAAGAGCCTGAACAGACATTTCTCCAAAGAAGACATAAAATGGCCAAAAGGTATATGAAAAAATTCTCAGTATCACTATTATCAGCAAAATGCAAATCAAAACCATAGTAAGATATCACACGTGTCAAGATGGCTATTATCAAAATGACAAAAGATAGAGTGTTGGCAAGGGAGTGAAGAAAAGAGACTACTTGTACATGGTTAGTGGGAATATAAATTAGTATAGTCATTATGGAAAACCGTATGGAGGTTCTTCGAAAAACTAAAAGTAGAAGAAGTACCATATGATATGGTTTGGCTCTGTGTCTCCACCAAAATCTCATGTTGAGTTGTAATCCCCATTGTTGGGGGAGGGACCTGGTGGGAGGTGATTGGATCATGGCATCAGATTTCCCCCTTGTTCTTCTTGTGATAGTGAGTTCTCACGAGATTTGGTTGTTTAAAAGTGTGTAGCACTTCCCCCTTAGCTCTCTCTCTTGCAGCCTTGTGAAAACGTGCTTGCTTCCCCTTCACCCTTCTGCTACGATTGTGGGTTTCTGGAGGCCTCGCCAGCCATGCCTCCTGTACAGCCTGTGGAACTGTGAGTCAATTAAATGTCTTTTTTTTATTTTTATAAATTGCACAGTCTCAGGTAGTTCTTTATAGCAGTGTAAGACCATACTAATACACCATATGATGCAGCAATCCCATTTCTGGGTATTTACCCAAAATATTTGAAATCAGTTTGTGGAAGATATCTGCATTCCCATGTTTATTGGCTACTTACAATAGCCAAGTTATGGAATCAACCTAAGTGTCCATCAGCGATGAATGGATAAAGAAAATGTAGTATATGTACACAATGGAATACTATTCAGTCTGCAAAAATAAGGAAATTGTCATTTTCAACAATATGGATGGGATTGGAGAAAATTATGCTAAGTGAAATAAGCCAGGTACAGAAAGACAAACACCATGTGATTTCACTTGTATGTAGAATCTAAAACAATTGAACTCATAGATACAAAGTAGAATGGTGGTTACCGAGACTCAGGGGTGGGGATGCTGGAGAGATGATAGTCAAAGGCTACAAAATATCAGGCAAAAGAAATAAGGTGTTTGAGATCTATTGCACAGCATGGTGAATATATTTAATAAAGTATAGTTAATAAAGTTAATATTCACTATGCATGGTACTGTACATTTCAAAATTTCTAGGAGAGTAAATTTAATGTTTTCACCACAAAAAGTGGTATTTGTGATCATAGAGATGCTAATTAGCTGGATTTAATCATTTCATGTTATATTTATAAATTATACCATGTTGTACCCCATAAATATATGCAGCAATCAATTTTCAATTTACAATATTTTTTTTAAAAGACAAAGGATAAAGTGTTGACAAGGATGTGGACAAAAAGTAACCCTTGCACACTGTTGGTGGGAATGTAAATTATTACACTCATTATGGAAAATAGTATGGTGGTTCCTCAAAAGATTAAAAAGAGAACTACCATATGATCCAAAAATTCCACTACTGGATATATATCCAAATGAAATGAACTCAATATGTTCAAGAGATATCTGCGCTCCCATATTTATTGCAGTATTATTCACAGTAGCCAAAATATGGAATCAACCCAAGTGTCCATCAATGGATGAATAGATAAAGAAAATGTGGTATATGCTTTAACCTTTTTTCAACAACAGATGCTGTAGAGGATGTGGAGAAATAGGAATGCTTTTACACTGTTGGTGGGAGTGTAAATTAGTTCAACCATTGTAGAAGACAGTGTGGCAATTCCTCAAGGATCCAGAACTAGAAATACCATTTGACCCAGCAATCCCATTACTGGGTATATACCCAAAGGATTATAAATCATTCTATTATAAAGACACATGCACACGTATGTTTATTGTGGCACTGTTCACAATAGCAAAGACTTGGAACCAAACCAAATGCCCATCAATGATAGACTGGATAAAGAAAATGTGGCACATATACACCATGGAATACTATGCAGCCATAAAAAAAGAATGAGTTCATGTCCTTCGCAGGGACATGGATGAAGCTGGACACCATCATTCTCAGCAAGGTAACACAAGAACAGAAAACCAAACACTGCATGTTCTCACTCATAAGTGGGAGTTGAACAATGAGAACACATGGACACAGGGAGGGGAACATCACACACTGAGGCCTGTTTGGGGGTGGGGGGCTAGGGGAGGGATAGCATTAGGAGAAATACCTAATGTAGATGATGGGTTGATGGGTGCAGCAAACCACCATGGCATATGTATACATATGTAACAAACCTGCACATTCTGCACATGTACCCCAGAACTTAAAGTATAATATAAAAAAAAGAAAATGTGATATATATACACAGTGGAATACTATTCAGCCATAAAAAAGAAATCTCGTCATTTGTGATAATGCAGATGAACCTGGAGGATGGAGGACATTATGCTCAGTGAAATGAGCCAGGTAAGAAAGCCAAATACTGCATGATCTCACTTACACATGGAATCTAAAAAAGGAGTTGAACTTACAGAAACAGAGAATAAAATAGTGGTTACCAGCAGCTGGGGTGGGAGGTGTTGAACAAAGAATAAAAAATTTCAGTTAGATAGCAGTAATTTTAGGAGATCTAGTCCATAACATGCTGACTATAGTTAATAGCAATACATTGTATTCTTGAAAATGCTAAGAGATTTTGTATTCTCACCACAAAAGTATTACGTGAGGTAATACATATTTTTTTTTATTTTTTTTTATTTTTCATTTTTGAGATGGAGTCTCACTCTGTCACCCAGGCTGGAGTGCAATGGCATGATCTCGGCTCACTGCAACCTCTGCCTCCCTGGTTCAAGTGATTCTCCTGCCTCGGCCTCCCAAGTAGCTGGGATTACAGGTGCGTGCCACCATGCCCGGCTAATTTTTTGTATTTTTCAGTAGAGACGGGGTTTCACCATGTGGGCCAGGCTGGTCTCAAACTCCTGACCTCATGATCCACCCGCCTCGGCCTCCCAAAGTGCTGGGATTACAGGCATGAGCCACCGCACCTGGCCGGTAACACATGTTAAATTAGCTTGATTTAGTTCTTCCACGGTGTATATTTCAAGTCATGTTGTACATGGTATATTGCATGCAACTTTGTCAATTTAAGAATAAAAACTTAAAAGTACAGAGCATTCCCATATACCTTTTTCTCCCCAACACATCTTTCAGCTTTCTCCTGTTATTAACATTTTTCACTGGTGTGGCACATTTGTTATAATTGATGAACCAGTATTGACACATTATTAACTGAAGGCCATAGTTTACATTAGTGTTCATTCTTTCAGTTGTACAGTTCTATGGGTCTTGACAAATACATAACATGAATCTATTATGGAATCATGCAGAAGAGTTTCACTGCCCTAAATATGCCCCATGCTCCACGCCTCCCTCCCAGCAAACCCATGGAAACCATTGATCTTTTATAGTTTTGCCTTTTCTCTGAATGTCATATGAACGGAACCATACAGTATATAGCCTTTTCAAACTGGCTTCTTCCATTTAGCAATATCCAGTCAAGGCTCTTCTATATCTTCTCATGGCTTGATAGCCATTTTCTTTTTATTGCTGAATTATATCCCATTGTATACATGTACCACAGTTTGTTTTTCATTTACCCATTAAAGAATATCTTGGTTACTTCCAAGTTTTGGCAATTATGAATAAATCTGCTATAAACATTTGTGCGCAGGTTTTTGTATGAACATAAGTTTAACTCAAATAAGTATCAAGAAATGTGATTGCCAGATTGTATGATGAGACTGTAGTTTTATAAAACTGCCAGACTGTCTGCCAGAGTGGCTACACCATTTTGTATTCCCACCAGCAATGAATGAGAGTTCCTGTTTCTCCATATCCTCACCATCATTTGATATCAGTATTTTGGGTTTTAGCTAGTCTAATAGGTGTGCAGTGGTACCTCATTGTTTTAATGATATATGTTGTTGAGCATCTTTTCATATGCTTATTGCCACATATATGCCTTTTTTTTGAGATGGAGTCTCACTCTGTCATGTAGGCTGGAGTGCAGTGGCATGATCTTGGCTCACTGCCACCTCCACTTCCTGGGTTCCAGTGATTCTTCTGCCTCAGCCTCCCGATTAGCTGGGACTACAGATGCGTGCCACCATGCCCGGCTAATTTTTGTATTTTTAGTAGAGACGGGGTTTCACCATATTGGCCAGGCTGGTCTTGAACTCCTGACCTCGTGATCCACCCACCTCAGCCTCCCAAAGTGCTGGGATTACAGGCGTGAGCCACTGTGCCCAGCCCATGCCTTTTATTTTTTGAGGTGTTTGTTCATATGTTTTCCCCATTTTTAATTGATTTTCTTACTGTTGAGTTTTCAGAGTTCTTTGTATATTTTAGATACAAGCCCCTTATCTAATATGTTTTGCAATTTTTTTTCAGTCTGTGGCTTATCTTTTCATATTCTTAACAGTCTTTCACACAACAGAAGCTTTAATTTTAACAAAGCCCAACTTATTTTTGCTTTTTTAGATAATGCTTTTGGTTTTGTCTCAGAAAAGTCATCACATAACTCAAAGTTATTTATATTTTCTCCTATGTTATCTTCTAGAAGTTTTATAGTTTGTGTTTGACATTTATATCTATGATCAATTTTCAATAAACTCTTATTGAAAGTATAAGGTCTTTGTCTAGATTTGTTTTTGTTCTAGCACTATTTGTTGAAAAAATTACTCTTTATCTGTTGAATTGCCTTTGCTCCTTTGTCAAAGATTAATTGACTGCATTTGTGTGGATCTATTTTTTGGGTTTTCTATTCTGTTCCATTGATCTATGTGTTTATTCTTTCCCCAATACTACAATACCTTGATTACTGTAACTTTAAAGTAAGTATTAGTCACATATCTATAGTAAACCACAGCTAACATCATAATTAATGATGAAAGACTGAATGCTTTCACTCAAGATCAAGAACAAGAAAAGAATGTCTGCTCTCACAACTTCTATTCAATGTTGTATTGGAAGTTCTAGCCAAAGCAATTAGGCAAGAATAAAAGGTATCTAGTTTGGAAAGAAAGAAAGTAAAACTATCCACATTCCCAGATGATATAAACTTGTTTACAGAAAATCCTAAGAAATCTACACAAACTATTAGATGTAATAAATGAGTTCAGCAGGTCTGCAGGGTATAAATTCAACACAAAAAAATGAATTGTATTTCTACAAATTAGTAATAAACAGTCTGATTTAACAAAATGTAGAAAACAATTCCATTTATAATATCATCAAAAATAATTTTAAAAGCTTAGGAATAAATTTAAGTAAGACATCTACTGAAAATGTTAAAACATCATTGAAAAAGTTAGAGTCCCTAAATAAAAAGATGTCTCATGTTTACAGATCAGAAGACTTAACGTCAAAATGGCAATACTATTCAAATTTGTCAGTAGATTCAATGTAGCCCCCATCAAAGAAATCCGGCTGGTATTTTTGTAGAAATTGAAGAGTTGACCCTAAAATTAATATGGAAATACAAGTGACTCAGAATAGCCAAAACAATCTTGCTAAAGAATAAAATATTTGGAAGAATCACACTTTCCAATTTTTTTGTTTTGTTTTTGTTTTTGAGACAGGGTCTCACTCCATTACCCAGGCTAAAGTGCAGTGGCATGATCTCAGCTCACTGCAACCTCTGCCTCCCAGGTTCAAGCCATTCTCATGCCTCAGCCTCCCCAGTAGCTGGGATTACAGTTGTGCGCCACCATACTCGGCTAATTTTTGTATTTTTTTTTTTAAGTAGAGACAAAGTTTCACCATGTTGTCCAGGCTGGTCTTGAACTCCTGGCCTCAAGTGATCTACCTGTCTTGGCCTCCTTAAGTGCTGAGATTACAGGTGTGAACCACCACTCCCAGCCAACACTTTCCAATTTCACAACTTACGACATATCTACAATTATAAAGACAGTATTGTCCTGGCATAATAGACATATGGATCAATGGAATAAACTTGAGAGTACAGAAATAAACTTATATTTATGGTCATTTTTTACACATGTGCCAAGACAATGGAGAAAGATTAATCTTTTCAATAAATGATGCCAGGACAACTATATAACCACATGCAAAAGAATGAAGTTGGACTTTTACCTCACACAGTATGCAAAAATTAACTAAAATAGATTTAAAACCTAAATATAACAGCTAAAACTAGAAAACACTTAGAAAAAAACATAGGCGTAAATTTTCATGACACTTGGATTATTCGATTTTTCTCCAATGATACCAGAAGCACAAGCAGCAATAGATAAAAATAGATAAACAGGGCTTCTTCCAAATTAAAAACTTTTGTGTTCAAAGAACACCATCAAGAAAGTTAAATAATCCACAGAATCAGAAAATATTTGTGTATCATAGCTCTGATAAGAGATTAATATCCAAAACATATGAAGAACTTTTACAACACAACAAGAGACAACACAATTTTAAACTGGGCAAATGGTTTGAATAGACATTTATCCAAAGATGATGTGCCAGTTGCCAATAAGCACATGAAAAGATGCTCCACATCATTAATCCTTAGGGAAATGCAAATCAAAACCACAAGGAGGCACCATTTCACTTCCACCAATATGGCTAGAATATAAAACACAGACAATAATGACTGTTGATGAGGATGTGGAGAAATTGGTACTCTCATACATTGCTGGATTATAAAAGAGTGCAGCCACTTTGGAAAATAGTTTTGCAGTTCCTTAAAATGTTAAATATACCATATGATATACCATTTCTACTCCTAGGTGTATACACAAGAGGAATGAAAATATGTGTCTACACAAAAACTTCTCATGAACATTCATGGCAAGATTATTCATAATAGTCAAAACATAGAAACTTGAACTTCCATCAGATTGATGGATAAAGGTTTGGTATATCCTACAATAGAATATTATTCAGTAACAAAAAGAAACAAAGTATGGATATATGCTATAACACAGGTGAATCTTGAAAACATACTAAAGCAGCCAGTTACAAAAACTAAATATCATGTGATTCTATTTATTTAAATGTCCATAATCCAGAGAAAAAGAAAGTAGACTAGTGGTTGTCAGGAGCTGTTGGTAAAGGTTGGGGGAATGGGGATTGACCACTAAAAGGCATGAGGTTTCTTTTGTGGTGAAATTAGATTGTGGTGATATTTACACAAGTCTGTGAATATACTAAAAACCACTGAATTGTACACCTTAAATAGTAGCTTTTATGGTAAATTACACCTCAATGAGGCAGTTTTTAGAAAATAAGACTAATACCTCCTACTTCATAGTGCTCTTGGGAGAATTAACTGAAGACATGAAATGTTTTACAAGATTAGGCCAAATAGTTTGTGTAACTGAAGTTCTGCCTGCTTCCCAACTTTGCCCAGAATTGGTTGTGACATACTACCAAGGTAAATGCAAAAGAGATCCACGATCAGACACAAGTTTAAATGCCTGCTCCTGCTCCTTTTGCACCCATACATTAAATGAAGTTCCAGCTTACTCATTGGGATTGTTGGGACTATGTGGACTTGCTTCCTACTTTCCCTTTCCAGATCAAGTAACCATTTCTCCCCACCTACATGGGCAGACAGGCCCCACCCCCACCCACGCACCCTCCTCCACTAGCAAGCATGTATTCTTCCTCTCAGAGGAAGGTTTGAGGTATAGAACTCTAACTTTGGATTTGAGAAAAAGTACTGAACTGAAGCAATATTTCAAAGGAAGAATCCATAACATCATCCTAAGTAACCCCATCCTGCCAGTGTTTTTCTTGGGTATTCTGATAACTCAGGGCTTAATGGATAATAGGGCCAATTAATCCTGAACCTTCCATAAACAGATTAAGTTTCCTATGTATTCAGCACTCACAAGGCTAGGAGATCATGACTTTCTGAAAATCCCTAAGAACAAAGATGCTGAACTCAGGATCTGGTCCTATAATCGAGGTCCATCTTCAGGCCTGTTAGATATTTGTGCCTACCCCAAGTAGGCTGGAGAAATGGCTAGACTGGAAGCCCATAGTTCCCCTCCCAGATAAATCTGCAGCATATATAATGATTACAAGAACTGCCTTACTTAACATAGCTATTACATTCTATTATAATTTAAATCATGATTTTGAAATAGTAGGATATAATAATCATCTTACTTGATACACAAACTATTTTATATTACATTGATTCCCATGGAAAAATAAAATATGTGAAAATTGAGATGTTCCATGTCAGGAAGAATGCATCACTCACAAAAAAATGTCATAATTGAGTGTTTGTATTCATTAAGGACCTACTAGATGCCAGGCTCTTATAATATAGAAAAGGGTAAGATGCAGTTGAAACTCAAAAGGGGCTCCGTGTTTTTGTAAGAATAGACATATATACTAGAGCGTATTAAAGGCAGGTATAAAGTGCTATATGAACACAGAGGGACACCTAGAGACTTGCAAAATATTCAGTCTAGCTGAAGATGGACCTTGGTTATAAGACCAGATCCTAAGTTTAGCATCTTGGATCTTAGGGATTTTCAATAAGTCATGATCTCCTAGCTTTGTGAGGTCTGAATACATAGGAAACTTAATACACACCTGAGGCTGGTATGTCAAGGGGACATTGAGAAGATGAGAAATGCCTGAGTTGATTCTTAAGGATACAGTAAAGAAGGTAGACAGGCAAACTGATGTTAAGGAATAGCTCCTCAGTCACAAGAATAAAATTTGCATTTATACACTTGCAAGATATTCAGCCTAGTTGGAACCAGCTTTTGAAGGGAGTGGTAAAAGGAGTTAGTTTACAATGAATAGGTAAGAAACGTAGGGATTTGACAAACACACATACCTACCCTAAATCAGTCCCATCCCATGAGAATTGCCATAAGACTAGTCAAGAGCAATTGGGCAGGGAAAGACTTACTGGCCCCTTAGGGGCTTCCCTAAAGGGGCACCTTGGCGAGGGCTGATGGCTAGCAGTGTTTCCTTAAGAGAGAAGAACTTCAGAGGACGCTCCAGCCCTGCCCCTCAGGGATTAGGGTTGAATTCCTAGCCATAGCTAAAGGGAACAAAGGAAATAAATTCCTTCCAATCTCTCCCAATTCTAAAAACAGTCAAGATTTTCTTCAACAGTGAAATGATTTATTTGCAACAAAACCCAGTCCCGTCATTTAAATACAGTATAGGAGTAGAAAGGAGTCACACTGCAAGCATCATTTATTTCAAGGCATCGTTCCATGTCTCCCAAAGACAACAAGCCCTTCTCCCTTAGAGACCCCGGTCCAGATCCAAACTGAACACAAGAAACAGGCAAGCCCAGAATAAAGTCAGCTCCAGGCCTTGGCAGGTTTCACCCTTATTCTGTAGTCCTTCCTTCACAGCCCTCTAATCCCCTGCACCCCCAATCAGGCCAACTCCTAGCCTCGGAGCCACCAAGGAACTTTGTAGGATAATTTACAGGGGTTTAAGTGTCACATAAGGAAAATACTCTGAACTCTATTGTTCCATAGAATACTTAAAATAACTCCCCCATTCATAATACTAATCAGCAATGACAGGTTTTCTCTTCTTCACCATAAATGCAGGTTTGAAGTAGATTATCTCAGACAGCTCCATACTCTAGTTTCCTTATGGGCTTCATTAAATGCTACTGTACTCACCTAGGACAGGAAATAATCCCAGATACTTTTCCCAGATTCAGAGGCTAAGAGGAAAAGCCCTGCTGGTTTAGAAAAACATTTCCTTCCTTCTAGTCCCTCAAAAGATTTCTATAAAGACTGTTACCTGAAAAATTTCCAGTCTGAGAAAAGTTTTAGAAGGTAATACTAACACAGAAGCAGGCAATTTATCTGATTAGCTACTAGTAGTTTCCAGGACATAGGAGGCAAGAAGAGGAGTATAAAATCCCAAGCTATTTTCACCACCCCAAATCTTATAGAGCGTCAGAATATGGACACTAGGAAAATATGGACACCCACCTTTCCCAGGCTGGGAAAAGTTGGAAAATTTCTGAAGTTCTACCACTACTGACTGCTGACTTTTGACAAAGCCCCAAGGAAAGTAAAATAGAGGACATTTTACCCAAGCATTAAGGGCTCTGATTAGTGGTCAAACTGTACTGATTCATGCTAGGGGACTGGTATCAGAACTGTTTCTATAAACTGACTAGCTCACAAGTGGGGGAAGAGACTTAAGTAACACTTAAGGCAAGAAATATAACCTACAGATTGGTACAGGATTACTTGCAGCTTTAACACTGATATTTTAAACTCTCCTCCAGTTTCCTGGGAAACCTGATCTAGCCGTACTGTTGCTGTCATCTGCATGTACAAGACTCAGCAATCATACCCTCATACTCCTTGTACAAAATACTCCCATTTGCCTCAATCATAAGGACACTAATTGGAACATACTTATACGGGACACAGGAGGGCCGGGGGACACTCTGGTCCACCAACTGATTGATAAGGTTCTGAATAATGGCGTGATTGGGGGAATTGAGACCATCGCGTAGTACTCGGAGACAAGTTCCTTTACAGTAGTTTGGGGTGTAGAAAGGGGGAGCAATGATCCAGTGATCCCAACCCAGCTGGCGGAAGCTGATTTGGAAAGGGTGGAGGGAACACTGGTTATTTTCAGGCCCGCTATGTTTTGAGGAAGAGGCAGTAACCTCAGCTGAGATACCATCTGCTTGTCGGGTTCTCCGGAGAAGAGATTCCCTTTCCATGAACTCCTCCATGCCCCTGGGAAGAAATTTAGCCTTCCGAATGCTTTTATGAGTATCATTGAAATAGAGTAACAAGAAGGCAATGTCCAAGGATGAAGTGCCATGCCAGAGCTCAAGACCACCACTATCTTTTTGCTGCTGACACATAAAACGGAGTCGTAGGATCCTGTGTCCCTTGTTATTCCAGAACCTTTGCTGAACAAGTTGTGTGATATCCATCTCTTTCCAAGCGTTAGACATCAGGGAAGGTTTTGAGGAATCTCCTTCTGAGGAAGGGAAGTGGTTGGTTGGGTTTTTCTGCACCCAGGGCTCCACATGGCAGGAGAGATTGAAGCGAGTTAGTTGGAGATGATGGCGGTAAACCACAGTGGCTCTAACTAGTTGGTATAGTCCTCGGTTTGGTCTGAGAGGAAAGCCCAGGATCTGTATATGCCAGGTACCTGCAGAAGTAAGAGGGAACAAGAGCAGAGGTTTAGCTTCTTACCTCTTAACATGAATATTCCTCATAAACTGTCTTGATATAGACTGATAGCTATAATCAGCCCTAAAATTAACTCAAGATAATGATACTATCATTTACTGAGCACTTACTAATACACTAGATGCTTTACATGTATTAGCTCTTTAATTCTTAATAGTCTTATGAGATAGTTATTATCCCCATTTTGCAGATAAGGAAATTGAGGCTCAGAGAAGCTATGACAAAGGACACACAGCTGGTATGTGGTAGAGTTAAGATTTGAACCCAAGTCTGTTTTTCTTAAGAGAAACTGTCTCACTGTTAGATTACTTACAGTGCTGGGCTCGGGGGAAAAAACTCAAATATAGAATTATCTTGTGTGCATACTGTATGTAGGGGAGAAGATCAATATTATTATTAGTTGACCATTAAATGTGTCCATTTAGAATTGTTGAAACATACATGGATTAAGAAAGAGTCTCATGTCATATCACTATACAGATGCAGCTTTGGGACAACAATTCAGTATTGGGTGCTATGGCCTGCTATAATTTCAAACTCAGGACCAAGGCACTACAAAATAATTTTGTCTATCATCCTCTAGTACAGACAGCTATCTTACCACTTCTGCCTTCCATCTACTTCAAGAATTGCTTCTTAAGCATCTTTTCCTCCTTTGGCCCTTAATCTCTCTCTTTACCACTCCTTGCTGGAAATTGTTCTCCATTTACCCCATTCATTTTACCACTATTCCTCTATATACTATTTTCAACACAGTCTTGATCACATAAATATTTTGTTTGCTGAGAAGTCTACTAAAAGCTGGATGCTGCTTTGTGAATAAGAGCTTTAATCCAAACTGTAGTGCTGACACTCAACGGCCAAAGGATTGAAAGGTTACATCCATGGTGCTCCAAACTTCTGCACCCCCTCCCGGCGAAGGTCAAGAGCAAAGATTACAAAAGCCTGGCACCACAGGAAAAAGCCACCTCTCATCTTCAGACATCTTATCAGTAAATAATTCCATGTTAATTTGTATTTATTCACCTAGTCCTTCTTCTCCACTGAATCCACAAGCCTGGAATTCTTCATTAGATGTGGCATTTTTAACACAGAAGTTCTTTTACATCTTGATGTTCCAGAATTTTTTTTTCCAGAGTCTCCCTCTGTCACCCAGGCTGGAGTACAGTGGCACAATCATGGCTCACTACAGCCTTGACTTCCCAGGTTCAAGAGATCCTCTCACCTCAGCCCCCATGGATAGCAAGGACTACAGGTATGTGCCAACATGCCCAGCTTTTTCTGTTTTGTTTTTTGTAGAGACAGGGTTTTGCCATGTTGCCGGGCTGGTCTCGAACTCCTGGGTTCAAGCGATCTGCCCCCTTTGGCCTCCCAAAGTGCAGGGATTAGCCGCCCTTTGAGCCACTGCACCCAGCCCCAGAATATCTTTAAAAGTTCAAATTCCGGCTGGGCGCGGTGGCTCACGCCTCTAATCCCAGCACTTTGGGAGTCTGAGGCGGGCGGATCACCTGAGGTCAGGAGTTTGAGACCAGCCTGGCCAACATGGTGACACCCTGCCTCTACTAAAAATACAAAAAATTAGCCGGGCGTGGTGGCAGGCACCTGTAATCCCAGCTACTCGGGAGGCTGAGGCAGGAGAATGGCGTGCACCCGGGAGGCAGAGGTTGTAGTGAGCCGAGTTTGTGCCACTGCACTCCAGCCTGGATGATAAGAGCGAAACTCCATCTCAAAAAAATAAGTAAAATAAAAGGTCAAATTCCAACTCATGCTTAATATACCCTTGGGCTTGGCGCACTAGACATTATTCACACAAATCCAAGCCAGGCTTGTATTTGCTTTCTCAAGTTATTCCACACTCCCATCTTACAGTAATCTTTCTTAGAGGCCCACCCTTAAACCTGCTCCACCCTGGCTATAAAGGAACTCAACCCAAACCTCTAGCAGGCTGTCTGGGGAGGAACTGCCCTTTTCTTTGAGACCTTGACATCACATGTTTCCTGAAGCAGGATGGGGTTGCTAAGAATCAGAGCCAGGAAGGGTCTGGTCAAAGCTTTTCAGGGAAAGGGCTGAATCACACATCCTGTGTGATTGAACCTGTCATCTGTCTCTGGATCCTTTCCACAGTCCCTAGATACCAGTATATTCCACAGTGAGACCAGGATACATGTCTAATTCTAGGCATCCTCCTTTCTAGCCTCACATCATCTGTACAAGCCTAATTTTTTCTTAATTTGTGGGGTTGTTGTTTTTTTTCCTTGAGACAGGGCCTCACTGTCACCCAGGCTGGAGTGCAGTGGCACAATCATGCCTCACTGCAATCTCAACCTCCCAGGCTCAAATGTTCCTCTAGTCTCAACCTCCCAGGCTCAAATGATCCTCTGGTCTCAGCCTCGTGAGTAGCTGGGACCACAGGTGTGCACCACTACACCCAGCTAATGTATTTTTATTTTTTGTAGAGACATGTCTCCCTGTGTTGCTCAGGCTGGTCTCAGTCTCCTGGGCTCAAGTGATCTTCCCATATTGGCCTCCCAAAGTGCTTGATTTTTTGCAACTTTCTGCTGCTCTTAGGATCCAGATCCCTTATCACAGCCTACAAGTCCCTGCTTCTCATTAGCCTCATACCCTGCCATTTCCCACAATGCTCATGAGGATCCAGCCATACTGATTTTCCTCTGTTCTTCAATTGGAACCAACTTGTTTTCACCCTCTAGGCATTTGCACCTGTTGTTCCTCTGCCTAAATCAGGCTTCTCCCTACTCTTCTCATGCCTAGTTTATCTTATAGACCTGAGCTCAAATGGCACTTCTTCAAAGATACATTCCCTGACAAGTCCATGGAAAGGGAAGGTTTCATTGCCATTCTCTATCTTAACAACCTACTTCATCCTTTGATAGCACTTACCACAATTCACAATTTAACTGTGTGTGCTTATTTGTCTCCCCTACGAGAACATATGTTCCATGAAAGTAGGGGTTTTACCTATCTTGATCACATCTGTATGCCTAGTACTCAGTAGGTGCCAACATTTGGCACCTAATATTTGTTCAATGAATCTCTACCCACACCATTTTCTCTTTCCTAAATCAGAATGCACTTATCTGCCTCAATGCATGACCTCTTTGCTCCTTCTGCAAGGTCAGTTTCAAGTACTACCTCCTCCATGAGGCCTTCCAACAGTCTCTTCACTTCAAGAAATGAGCCATTTCTTCTCATAGGTCCTGGGAGCCCTACTGTTTGTCCTTTCCAAAGCACTTGGCATACTGTAACATTATTATGTAATTATCTATCCATTCCACTATACTGGGAACTTCTAGAGGTCGGAAAAGTATTTGCTTCTATATACCCAACCCAAACACACTGCCTGGCACTCAATTAAAATCCAGTGGGGAGTCAGAACAGCAAGATGATTAACACACAGGCTTTGGGCCTGAGAGCCTGGGTTTGATACCTGGCTCTAGCAATTACTGGTTGTATGACATGGGTAAGTGACTCTGATCCTCAGTTTCTTCACCTATCAAGTAGGCATGTTAATACTACCTAATCTGGTAGTTGTGAGGATTAAGATAATGTTTATAAAACATTTTGTGCAATGCCTGGCACACAGTAATCTCACAGTAAGGGTTAGGTACGAGAATATTTATTGTTTTGCTTGGGGAGGGGATTAAGTCCTGTCCCTTTTCATCTCAGACTAGTGAAGGCTACAGATTGATCTCACTAGGTTCCCAAGAATTCCTTGAAGTTGATGACTGTCTGCATTCTCTAGAGAGTCCTACACTTCAATAGCCCACTGTTGTCCTGCAACAATGTCTGATGCAAATGTTAAAAGCAAAATCAAGCATGATGGGGACAAAAAAAAGTTCCAAAATACACTTAGTCCCAGAATCCCAAAGTAGCAATATGGCCCAAGTAGAAAAACTATTGGGGGTACAAGGATATTGGAATACTGCATTTAAAGACTTAAGAAGTTACCGACAGACTTTAGAATCAGACAGACTTCAGCTGCAATCCCATCTCTGCGACCCACTATCTGTGTACCATTTGCAAGTTACTTAACCTCTCCGTGCCTTAGTTTTAAAATTAGGCTAATTGCATCAAGACAGTTAAGATAGTAGCTTTCATTAAGAAATACAGTAGCACATGTTCACAGAGCCAGGTATACAGACCCTCAGATGTAAGCTTATTTATGTCCTTTCTGAGGCCTTATAAGTTTCCCCAACTCAGCAAGCTGTACTCTAAGAGCAAAACGCCACTTAAATAGCCCTCCACAAGAATATAGCTGGATATGTCTCTACAGTTTTCAGAACTATCACAAGCAATAAAAGTTTCTGTGAAAGATAGGTGATGGCACATCACTCAGTTGTCCTGGGGCCTGGGAAAGATTTCTCAGTAGGCACCAAGGCAATCTGTTCTTAAGTTGATGCCCTAAAGGGAAGTAGGCTTGGCGCTGGCTTCTCCAAAGCTTGCCATCCTTTGAAAACCAAGCCTAAAGAAACAACCTGCCCACAAGGCAACAAAGCCTGACAGTAAACCCACCAATTCCCTTTTCTCTACACTCCTCTCCACTTCTCTCCCTTCCAGGGCAGTATGGGGGCATAACAACTCACCTCTGTGAGGCCTTGCCACATTGGTCAAGGGCTTCACCAGCCTCACCATGGTGGCCCCAATGGTGCGGTTCTCTCTAGGGTGCCCATGCGAGTCAGCTGAACGCCGGTACAACTCCAGCATGTACCGCAGTGAATGCCCTAGGAGCCGGGGCTTCCTTGGCTGTTCGCCAGGGGATTCTTCTAGCAGCTCCTCAATCAGGGGCAAAGTAGGGGCCTCAGCCAGAAGGGCAATAGAGGACTGCCCTCCTTCTGCCATTTGGGCCCTGTGTTCCATGAAAAGCACGAGTTCACAAAGAAAAAGAATTCTAAGAATACTGAGGAGGACCATCTTGAAAGGCTTAGTGTTCAACAACAGGCCCCAACACAAGCCCAAGGGACGTCACTCTGACCATTTCCTTTCATGCAGATAACTGCATCCTGGCTCCACAACCAAGGATGGGGCAAGAAAAAGAAAGGCAGGCAGGCCCTATGTTGCTTTCTCTAAGAGGATCTCCTGGACCAAAGTTGCCTCATAACTTGGCCTCTTTGCATCAAAAGAAACAGAAACAGAAGGTGGGACAAGGCAGCATGCCCCTCCCGCTCTCCCGGGCTGAGAACAAGATAGTACCTATTGAGAGGCTCAGGTAACTTAAAAGGAGAGGTCCATTTCAGGACCCACTTCCTTAACTTATCCACTAGAATGAAAAAAAGCAGCCTGATCCTACTTGCCCCTACAGCCTTAAAAGTAGTCCCTTAATCCATCCTTAAAGGGCCAGAGGCCTCCTGTTCCCATCCTACTTCCATGCCTCTAATGCAGCATTTCTCAAAATATTGTCTGCTAATAATCTGCAGTGAAACTATCTGGGGTGATTATTAAGAATGTAGACTCCTGGGTCTGAACCAGGATTCTCTGGGATGGCGTCCAGAAATCTGGCTCTTTACCAGTGCTCCAAGAAGTTCCTATGAAAACCTAAAATGTGGAAACTACTGAGTATGGCTGCTGGAGCTTGAAGAAGATGCCGTAACAGTGGTTCTCAATCTTGGCTGTAGATTGGAATCATCTGGGAAGCTTTAACTATTATGAATGCCTGGGTACCATTCTGATGTAATGGGCCTGGGTTGTAACTAGTGCATCAGGATTTTTTTAAGTTCACAAGTGATTTTAATGTGCAGCCACGTTTAAGGACTCTGACTTATAATTTTCTGGTTTACCTTGGAAGGTGTTGAGATCCTTATTGGGCTTCATTAGAGAAGCCTGAGGAAGGGGAAGAGTAATCTATGGGAGCTAACCTAGCCCAGATGGTTAATGTGAAGCAGCAGGGCTCGGCCAGTTTTAAGGCTGCCTCAGACCATTATTCTGCAGAAAGATAGTAGGTATAGTCCTGGCCGTACCGAAGTAGAAACATATGGGGATCTGGAGAGAAACTGGGGAAGCAGGTCAAGACCTGGCTCTAGGAGATGATGAGTCAGGCTTGATTTGTGGGAGGCCTTTACCTTACACCAGGAGTATCTATGGACAGACATTACTGTGGAACAGGCGTGGACTTGGTAATCAGGCAGATCTGTGTTTGAGTTGCAATTCTGTCCCTAGCTGTAATTTAACCTTTCCAAGGCAAATTTCTAGCTGTAATTTAACCCTTCCAAGACAAATTTCTTCACTTCCCTACACCTTAGTTTTCTCATCTGTAGAATGGAGATAACACGTTTTACCTCACAGGTTGTTGTGAGGAAGCAAGGAAATAATCTATGTTAATTGCACAAAGCCTAATTAGACACAAGACATAGGGTTACATGTTCAAATTTATTTGTGCTCTTCCTCTGTTTTTTTTTCTAACATGACCTTGGGCCCTGGCATGTAGTGTAAAACAAAAGGCATAGGTTTACGGGTCCTCTACATCTGGACTCAAATTTCAGCTCAAAAACTCATTAGCTGGGTTACTTTAAGCAACATTTCTCCCAGACTTAGTTTCTTCATCTATACTGCTGGCTCCTTCAGAGAGCTGTTGTGAGGGTTGTATTGTATAATATACAAGTAAGGGATATAAACAGATGATTCACAATAGGCAAAATTTAGATGGTCAAATGTATGAAAAGATGTACTGGAAATCAGAAAAACGCAACTGAAAACAACATTAAGATACTATTCAACACCCAGTATTGATAGCACATTAAATGGATCGATAGCACATTAAAAGTCTGGCACTATTAAGTTCAGGTGAGGATATGGAACATAGGTATAATATATAGAATATCTATATAGATATTCTATATAGAGAGATTCTATATAGAGAGATATGGAACATCTCACACTGCTGTTGAGAGTGTGATTTGGTATAATAATTTTGGAGAGCAATCTGGCATTATCTCTGTTAAGGTTGAAGATATACAATTCAGCAATGCTATTGCTAAAGCAGTAGCAGTTTTAGATACTTTTGTCTGTGACTTACAAAAATGAATACATTTTACATTGCTACCCATTACAAACACAAGCACACACGCATATATACCTTGAAGTAAATCTTTTCTGAAACAATACTTATTCTTACAACATATTGGAAGAGGCAATACAGTTGACCCTTGAACAACATGGGGGTTAGGGGTGCTAACTCGCCCCCCCATCTCCCATGCAGTCAGAATTTGGTATAACTTGACTCCCCAAAAACTTAACTACACGTCAACCTTGAACAACATGGGTTTGAACTTCACGAGCCCACTTAAACACGTTTTTTTTTTCCCACCAAACATGGATCAAAAATACAGTATTCTCAGGATGCAAAACCCGCTTACATGGAGGACTGACTTTTTGTATGTGTGGGTTTTGAAAAATAGACTGCACGCGACTTGAATATGTGCAGACTTTGGTATCTGCAGGAGGTCCTGGAATCAATCTGTCATGTATACAGAGAGGAGGGATGACTATACTAATAGTCCGCTGTTGGCTAGAAGTCTTATGGATAACAATCAATTAACATATTTTGTATGTCGTATGTTTTATATACTGTATTCCTACAATGAAGTAAGCCACAGAAAAGAAAATGATTTTAAGGCCAGGGGCAGTGGCTCACACCTGTAATCCCAGCACTTTGGGAGGCCAAGGAGGGAGGATTGCTTGAGCCCAGGAGTTCCAGACCAGCCTGGGCAACATGCTGAAACAACGTCTCTATGAAAAATACAAAAATTAGCCAGGATGGTGCATGTACCTGTGGTCCTAGCTACTCAGAAGGCTGAGGTGGGAGGATAGCTTGAGCCCAGGAATTCGAGACCAGCCTGGGCAACATGCTGAAACAACGTCTTTATGAAAAATACAAAAATTAGCCAAGATGGTGCATGCACCTGTGGTCCTAGCTACTCAGAAGGCTGAGGTGGGAGAATTGCTTGAGCCATAAAGGCGTCACTGAACTCCAGTCAGCCTGGGTGATAGAGTAGGACCCTGTCTCAAAAAAATGATTTAAAAACATAAAATACGTTTACAGTATTGTACTGTATTTATCAGTACTCTAAGTTTTACATCGTCTGTCTGAAATGGCAGGTAACCACAGCTGCAGATCTCAATCTATGATACATATTAACCAATTCAACTTTTTGTTGGAATGTCATGACTTTGCTTTTTAGGAGCACTTCTGGCAGCAGTAGTGGCACTTCATGTGAGTCCCACGGTGTTATTCATGGTTTACAGTATTGCACTAAACACGATGAAATGTACATGGTGAAACGTACAGGAGAACTACCAGAGATGGCTTTTTTTTCTTTTTTGAGCCAGAATCTCACTCTTTTGCCCAAGCTGGAATGCAGTGGCATGCTCACAGCTCACTGCAGCCTCAAGAGAGATCACTTTTTATCTCCATATGCAATTTATTGTTAAAGCAGACCACTCAAGGGGAGATGATTAGCATCACATGGTGGCATTTTAAGCAGATACTCTCAACACTTGAGCTCACCACCATGGCAAGAGGAGGTGGGTACGTAATTTCATGCAGTTATGATTTAATACTGAATCTTTACATTTGTTTACATTTCTCTTCACTGTGAATGGCACCATGTATGGTCTGTGGGTGTGTAAATTTTGATAAATTTTAACTTTTTATAACAGATTTGTGTGTATTTTATGGTAGAAAATAATAAAATAGACTAGTTTATATATATATTTATACATTCATAACATATGTAACTTTTTCTTAAGTTTTTTGATATTTCTAGGCTACACAGTTCATCTGCAATTTTTACCAATTGTTGAAAATCTCCAAAAATGTTCTAATATATTTATGGAAAAATATCTGCAGTTCAAACTCTTGTTATTCAAGGGTTAACTCTATATCATGGCAGGTGAGAACACAGCTCTGGAGGCAGAATCCTAAATTTAAACTCCAACTCCACTGCTTGTTAGCTTGACCTTGGATAAACTACTCAACTTCTCTGTGCCTCAGTTTCCTCATCTGTAAAATGAAAATCATAGCCTCTCTCTGCTACAATGTTCTAACATGTAAAACAGGATTTTTGTGAGGATTAAATGAGTTAACAGATGTAAAGCACTTAAAAGAGTGCCTGGCACAAAGTAAGTACTAGATGTAGGTTAGTTATTATTATATTTGATGCAAGCTGAATTCCCCAGAAAGCTGGGGCTCAACCTGATATGCCACTTCTAGCCTCAGGAGTTGTAGAGCGGCAGCCACACAACTCCCTCCTTTCCTAACCCCTTCCCTGCTTCCCAACATTTTCTTTGTTCTTTAACCTCTGTCTGTTACCAATTTAAACTTCCTATCTTTCTTTTTTTATAGTTTAATGTATTTTAATAGCTAACTTACAGGAACAGCACAGAAGACAGACAACATTAAAAACATGTACTTGCATGTAAGACAACTCAATTAGAAAAGTATAGTGAATGGATGGAATCTACTGTATGATAAAAAATGCTACAAACACCATTTAGTTGCCGTCGATAAGAAATTAACTTGTTTAAAAAAAATCCAAATGCTGGCATTGTCCAGAAAAATTTAACAGATTTATAATTGTTATAAAGTTGAACCGCTGAAACTTGTTCACTGAAACATTTTAACTTGCATTAATGCTTTATGTCTCCACATTTATATTAAAAATTCAAACACAAATGAAAATGGAAAAACTGTCAATACCTGATTTCTGTCCCCTATTTTTCCACTCACAATCATATAGTTAGGTACATTTTGACCCCATGGAAAAAAAAATATCTAACGTTCAGAACTACCAATAACAGGAAGAAGATTTTTTTTTTTTTTGAGAATGAAATGTTTCACATCATGGTGTATTCTGAAACACGTTCTCCACGTATGTGGCGTGCTAGCTGGATGTCTTTTGGCATAATTGTTACACGTGTGGCATGGATAGCACACAGGTTGGTGTCTTCAAAAAGGCCAACTAGATAGGCCTCACTTGCCTCCTGCAAAGTACCGATAGCTGCCCTCTGGAAGCGCAGATCTGTTTTAAAGTCCTGAGCGATTTCTCGCACCAGACGCTGGAAGGGAAGTTTGCGAATCAGAAGTTCAGTGGACTTCTGATAATGTCTAATTTCACGGAGTGCCACAGTACCAGGTCTGTAACGATGAGGTTTCTTCACCCCTCCAGTAGAGGGCGCACTCTTACAAGTGGCTTTTGTAGCCAGTTGCTTCCTGGGTGCTATACCACCGGTAGATTTGCGGGCAGTCCACCTTGTACGAGCCATGGTATAGAGACCTCCTTCGTTATCCCCCTTCTGCTTCAGGTGGAGCTCTGCAAGCGAGAGGCGGCGGTGGTGTTGGAGAGCGAACACCACTTCCTATCTGTATTTATTTATTTATTTATTTATTTATTTATTTATTTATTTTATTTGAGACGAAGTTTCGCTCTTCTTGCCCAGGCTGGAGTGCAATGGCACGATCTCGGCTCACCGCAACCTCCGGCTCCCTGGTTCAAGCGATTCTCCTGCCTCAGCCTCCCGAGTAGCTGGGATTACAGGCGCGTGCCACCACGTCCGGCTAATTTTGTATTTTTAGTAGAGATGGGGTTTCTCCATGTTGGTCAGGTTGATCTCGAACTCCCGACCTCAGGTGATTCGTCTGCCTCGTCCTCCCAAAGTGCTGGGATTATAGACGTGAGCCACCGCGCCCGGCCCACTTCCTATCTTTCTATTCAAAACAACTATATTAAAAAAGAATTCAACACAACTACATAAAAACAAACAAAAAAAAAACAAGATGTCAGAACAACTAGCAAGAGGTCTATATAGAGGTTTGGGGCATGGTTCTTTTTGATGTTTCAGTGATGTTGGCTTGGGTTTACATATGTCAAGAACATTTCCTTGCCATCTCTTTTAGTAGTGGGATTTTGATACAGGATCATAAGAAGTAGAAAGAGAAAACATATTACACTGGAAAGAGCATGATTTGGGTTTAAATTCCTGGTTCTGTTATTTTTTGGCCAATGCTTAACCTCTCTGCTTCTCAGTTTTCTTAACTGTAAATTGGGGATATTGTTTGCACTTCTATTAAATGAGATAATGTATCTAAAGTATCTAGCACGTAGATAATCCTCAAGCGCTCAATTTTTTCATTAATAGCGTGCGATTTTAAAGTATACATAAAATATATCTGACTGAGGCCCAGTGCGGTGGCTCAGGCCTGTAATCCCAACACTTTGGGAGGCCGTGGCAAGTGGATCACTTGAGGCCAGGAGTTTGAGACTAGCCTGGGCAACATGGTGAAACCCTGTCTCTACTAAAAATACAAAAAATTAGCCGGGCATGATGGTACATGCCTGTAATCCCAGCTACTCGGGAAGCTGAGGCAGGAGAATTGCTTGAACCTGGGAGGCGGAGGTTGCAGTGAGCTGAGTTCCAGCCACCTCCCTCCAGCCTGGGCGACAGAGTGAGACTCTGTCTCAAAATAAATAAATAAATACATACATACATACATACATACATAAAATATATCTGACTGAAGGAAGCGTCTTCTCAGCACCACAGTGGAATTCCATCCCTCTACCCAACAGGGCTTCAGGAGACTCGCCTGGCTGAGTCTCCTATTTTCATTTTCTAAAATGGATATTAATAGCACCATTGTAGAGGGTTGTTGTGAGAATGAAATAAGCTTATGCATGTAATATGCATACTTTGTTCTGGACACTACAGTCAACTTTCTTATTTTCGGAAAGATATAGTTTCTTATTTCAAAGAAAGAATAAAAATCCAACCCTATTCTTATCATCAGACTTGAAAAGTAGTTGACATAATTGTTTTCTGGAAATGCCCCGTGGTGGGCCCAATGTATGCAACAGCCCTAAACCCCCAGAAGAGGGCACCAGCTGTCTCTCTAGCCTTCTAGTTGATAGGGGGTAGGGAGGGGCCGTTTAATAGGTGATCGGAACAAGATCTAAAAAAGGATATATACCAGCCCTTCCTGCTTTAGAAAAAGCCAGTATGTGAAAAAAACTAATTATAAATCAGACAGTTTAGGAGGTGATTACTGACTTGACAAAAGGACACAACAAAACGGATCACCGCAGTTTACTCTGAATAGCAGGAACCCTTAAAGCTCAGTATGGGTTACTTTTTCAAACTACAATGTGCTGGGCACACTAGTGAAATGCATGAAGTTTACAAAGAATTGATTTTTATCTAACTTTTCAGAATATCGCTATTGTATTAAGCACACATGTATAATGGAATTCTTCCGTTAAATGAACATAATTTACATTTTCTTGCAATTGCATTTATTCAACAAATATCTAGTAATCACTTCCTATCTGATTGTGTTAGGTGTTACCGTGCAGGCTAAGAGCTAGGCTGCTTGGTTTAAATTCCAGCTCTATCACTCTTAGCTTGGTAATTTAGGGCAATTGGCTTAATCTCTCTGTGCCTTAGCTTCCTCATCTAATAATAAGGATAATAATAGCATCATTTTAGAGGGTTGTTGTGAGAATGAAATAAGCTTATACAGCTATTAAGTTGGCGCAAAAATAAGCTTATATAGCTATTAAGTTTTGCCATTGAAACTAATGGCAAAAACTGCACTTACTTTTGCACCAACCGAATAATATGCATACTTTGTTCTAGACACTATACCAGTCCCTAAGAGTACAGAAATTAACAGGACAAGTCCTCTATCTGCAGTGCTCCCAGGCACTATGCTAGGCACTGGGGTTGGTTGGCAGACACCAAGATAAAGATTTCTATCTCAAGAAAATAACAACCTGGATCAGGACATAATAGATAGGAAACATTTCCCATAGCCATGACATTTCCTCTGATTACTATTCTGAGTTCGTGAGAAATGGACCTATTTCCCAGATAAATTTTATCTTAAAAATAATTTTCATTTTCCATAAAACAAGAGTATGTTGTGTTATATAAAAGTATTTATTGATTTGGCACTAGGCTACATTCTTTTACATATTATGCTTTGTTTAATCTTTATATCAACTCTATGAGGTTAAAGCATTATTATTCTCATTTACAGGTGAGAAAATTGAAAATAAAAAAAGGTAACTTGCCCAGGGTAGTAGCACAGCTCTCAAATGGTAGAATCCACTAGGATTTGGACCCCAGGAAGGCTGACCCTTCTTGTGCTTTATTAGTTGCTATATAAGCTGCCAATGAGCATTTGGCACCTTAAGAAAACACATTTCCCCTGTAAAATAATCCCACAGAGACTTCTGAACATGGCACGAAAATCTAAGTTCTGTGAAGTCAAAGATCATGCCTATTTTATTAATTATTGTAGATGCTCAATAAATATTTGTTGAACAAATGGTTGCAGTAGGAGCTTATCATTCTTTCAGAAATCTAGGCTGATGGGCAGACTCTCGTTGAATATGTTGTAATGTATCCTTAGAGAAAGCTCTTCTGAGTTTTGAAGTGCAGGAAAGTCTGAAACAACCACATTCCTCAATTCTTTCAATCCCATGTAGAAAAAAAAATTAATATTGCCTGTATTAAGAAGCCCTTGTGACTCTCAATCTGTAAAGATTTTAGCAGCCCCAAGACAAAAAGTGACTCCTTTGCCATGCCTAGGTAAGAAGATTCACTGCTCCCAGCACTTAGAAATGGGCATTGTACCAGCCTCACTAGCCTGAAGACCAGAGCAGGTCTAACCCAATTGCAGTTGGTTCAGGTCCAGACTCGGATGGAGCCAAATCAGCCTCAGGTCATGGACTCAATGCTAAGACATACTCATCAAGCCTCAATAGTATGCCAAGAATTGTACTAGGTAGATGATAGTGAAACCCCATATAACAAGCAAAACAAATGCAAAGTCCTGAGGATGCAGAAGACCTGTGTGGATGGAGCACAAAGAAGAGAATGGGGGTAAGAGTTCCAGGTAAGAATGGTGTGATAGATAGGAGCCAGAACATGCATGGCCTCGTAAGAGATGCTGCTAACTTTTGTTTATCTTTCTGAAAATTAAAACAAGGGTGGACAAAGTAGAAAAAGGCACTCCTTCTGGGTATATAGAGCCCTATAAATGCATGGTTTAGCAAGGAGAACACAGGCTGGATTTCCGTCCTCACACGCCCCTTTGACAGGGTACGTTTGTATTGGGCTCCAACTGCACAGCCATGCACAGCTACTCTATTTATAAGGCTTTTGGCCTTCCCTGTGCTTTAGCCTCACTGTTCTTCTGATTTTCTTTCAGTTTTTCCAACAAACTAGATTACCTTTTGCCTGAAGATCTTTACATATATTGTCTCCTCTACCCAGAATATAATCTCCTCTCCCCTTCCCTAGGGTACTCTCACTCAGCTTTCATCTGTCAGCTCAAGCATCTCTTCCTTGAGGAACTCTTCCCTTAGTCCCTAGGTAAGATCTAAAAAGTATTTGAGGAATATGTGCAATGAGGTTGACACTTGAATTGGGTCCACAGTTACAAATAGGGTTTTGATAGGTGGAGAAAAGAAGGTTGCCATTCCAGGATCAGTTCAGAATTTTTCAAATATTGCCTTGAAAATTGTAAGAAGGACCTGAAGAGCAGTGTCATCTCTACCATGGGTCCCTTATGGGGAGTTGGGCAGCATTTGTAAGGCACAGCAGTTGTAAGAAAGAAGTTCTGATACAAGTCACTGATACTGATTATCTACTGTATACTGGATCCTTTGTGCATTTGTTTGTTCATTAATTACAACTGTGAAGTAGGTACTGTAATTGTATTCCTGTTTTAGAGAAAGAGGAACTGAAGTTCAAAGCAGTTAAGTGATTTAACCTGGATCAAACAGTTATAATGAAAGGCAGATTTGCACACAGGTCTCTTGACTCCAAGTCCTCGGCTTTTGTCACACCTTTGAGTCTGTACTTATCTTCTACAGCACTCCTCAGATTTGGATTCCCGTGCTAGATCTCCAGAATTTGGTCTTCAGCGTGGCAACAGAGTTGCTTCTATCCAACAGTCCCTATGAGAGCTCCTCATGATGTTTCTGGGATCTTTAGGCTGGAGGGGGTGTCCAAGTAGAGAATCTCCAGGAAGAGAAATCTAGAAACAACCTTGTAAACCTTAGCATGAGAGTGCAGAATTTTAACTGTTATCATTGCTTACAAACCATAATAACTCCCAGGGAAACCAGGGGAGTATTTATTTTTTTAGTCAAGTAAACAAGCAAGAGCTAAGCATGATAATCTCTGAAGATCCTTTCAGCCTTCTCATGGACAGCATTAGCTGGTGGAGCCACTGGAGTTTTTGATCATCGCTGGATAACCAAGTCATCAGTAAAACATTGACCATATTCCCATCCTCTGTCCTCCCACCGTCTGGTCTCCGTAGCCATTTATATATATAAAATATATATAAAAATTTTATGCTAAAGCAAATGACTAGGCAACTAACTTCCTAGGAAGACTGTCCTTCCCCTAAAAGTCCTACAGAGACTGGCTGCATAATTATCACTCCATTTTCTACTGTATGTCAGCTTCCCAGGGATTGGGCATGGCTGAATAACAATGGAGCCTGGTCCAGAACAACTCAGTACAGGGAAGGTGTTGTGGATACTTGGGCAGAGAAAAGGGAGGTTTAGAATGGGCTCTTCAAGCACTCAGCAGCTACTCTGCTGTTCTGCAGATCTATAACCCCTGTCTTCATCTCAAAAGCCAGTGTAGAGTTTGGTGTTGAAATGAAAAAGACCTAGGGCTTGGAACTAAGCCATGCACTTGAGACTGACAGTAGGGAGCATAAGGGTTTTTTTTTTTTTTTTTAAGGATGGTCACTTTCTCTCTCTAAACAAATCCTGACACTGTCCTACTGAGTCAGACAAGGTCAGAAATGCCTCTATCTTACTTTTCACTTCTGATGTCTGGAAGAAAGTAGACAGGTTAGTGTTTCCCTTTCACTGTCCATAAGAAGTGTTCCTTTCCCCTACTACTATGACAAGACTTTTGGAAAGACCAGAGCTTACAGATCCCACGGACCCAGGAGCCAGAATCTGGAACATAACCACCAGGTGTCACAAGGTTTGGAAGCATAGATTCCTTATGTCAGATTTTCTACCTTGGGCCCTGAGTTTAACTGCTCCATTTGAACCACGAGGAGGGTAACTCCAGCTCTCATGTTGAAACTGAAAGTTGAGGGAAAAAAAAAAACCTTGTGAAAACTGAATTAGCCCCAGATAAATTGATTGCCAAACTTGGAAACAATCCAAAGCTTCAGCCAAATCTCTAAGCAAACTTCAAATGTTTTAGATTCTCAGGAAAATATAGTGAATATTTTTATTGTGTTTTTCCTTTTGACTCTTCTCAGGTTAAAGAAAAGCTGGTGAAAAACCTAGGGAGAGGACTGTGGGCAAAAGAGAACAACGCGGTATAATACTTAGCTCAAACTTGGAAGGTAAAATAACTTGGAACATTGTTAAGAACTTTACTGAGTTCTGAAAGATAGCCCTTTTTTTTTTGAGACCGTCTTGCTCTTTTGCCCAGGCTGGAGTGCAGTGGCATGATCTCAGCTCACTGCAACCTCCATCTCCCAGGTTCAAGCGATTCTCCTGCCTCAGCCTCCTGAGTAGCTGGGACTACAGGCGTGTGCCACCACACCTGGCTAATTTTTGTATTTTTAGTAGAGACGGGGTTTCACCTTTTTGGCCAGCCTGGTCTGGAACTCCTGACCTCAGGTGATCCACCCGCCTCTGCCTACCCAAAGTGCTGGGATTACAGGCGTGAGCCGCCGCGCCCAGCCATCAAAGATAGCTCTTAATCAGAGTATCTATTCATCAGACCCTGAAGTAGGTTCCCAAACTGAGAAGGCCCTTCCTCTTTAAGAGAGGAATATATGCTTTTTGAGAAAAACTTGTACTCATTCACTCATTTATACATATATTCACTGAACAAATATTTATTAACTGCCTCCTATGTGTCAGTTCTCAGTGTTGAGGGCATAAACAAGAGCAATACTTGTGGAATTTACAGTCAAGTAGTGAAGACAGACATTATGTAAACAATCTCACAAATAAATACTTAAAATTATGATAGTGTGTGTAAAAGAAAATTTTAAATCCTCAGGAGCCCCCAAACTTCTAATGCAAAAGGGAAGGTCACTCTTCCAAATGAATAGCTGTTCCTAACATATTATGCATCAGCTAGATCTCCACGGAAAGGTAAAAGGTCTCAGATATCTGTGAAGGACTGCCCGCACCCCCAACTAAGTTATTTGCTGGCCTTCCATAAACAAGGATATGCCACATGTGACTTTAGGTCTACAATCTAAGTCTAGCTCCTAATACTAAAGTCTGTTTGATTCTACACTGATAATGTCATTACAAGCTTATCCTCCCAGGTGCAGAACAAAGTCAAGACTCCTTCCTCCACCTACCTAGAGACTTCTGCATAATTGATTTATCTTTTACTCCCTTTTTCTTTCCAGACATTCACTTTATCTTATATAAAATGTAGATTTACTGAGCACTAACTAGTATCTCACAGGAATGCAACTATTCACCCAAACACCTACCTGCCTCTCTTCCTATATGCCTTCCCCGCTTTAAGGAAGTATACAAATACAAAATCTCCTGAAAACCTCTTCAGAAAAACAGCCATGGATGTATCTGTGATTCGTTTTCTTCGCAGACACACCCTAAAATAAACCGCAGTGATTGAGACTTATACCTCAGTCACTCATCTCAGTTGTCGAGTGCTATGAAGGGAAATTATGGGCTCCCCTGGGAAAATAAACCAGCAGGATATGAAGGTGGGATGGAAGACCGAATTTAGTCAGATGGGTCCAGGAAGATTCACTCAAAGAAGAAATATTTAAGCTGGTATATAAAGGTTAAGTAGGAACTCAGCAGGTAAAGATTTGGAGGAAGAATATTCCAGGAAGAGGATACACCAATATAAAGACTCTGAGGCCAAACTTTTGGGTGTTCTGGGTGTCCCAAAGGAATTGAAAGAAGGCAAGTTTGGCATGAGCACACAACACGAGATAAGGCTGGAGAATTAATCAGGGGTCAAAGCATGCAGCGACCATTTAGACAATACAAACAATTTTGGATTTGGGAGAGCAAGTTATCAAGAATGATCAAATTCTGGTATGCTGCACTGGAGGAATGGGGTTCCATGTTATTGAGTTGGTGAGCACTGGAAGAAGTACATGTTTGGAGACAAAAGGAGATAATGACACACACAGGAGATGGAAACACTGGATAGAAGAGGGCGGTTCCCTGACAAAGGCCCCACCCTCAAGCCCGGAGACCCATGGCCCTAAGTGAGAATAGGCATTTCTGTTTTTGTGCCCAAAAAGTTGCATTTTGGCCCATCATGCCCCCCTATCCTGTATCCATATAAACCCTGATCCCCAGGCTCCAGAAGCAGATGAGCAGACAAGAAGACAAGGAGACAAGCAGATGAATGGCAGAACAATGCAGCAGAGAAAGAAGAGGAGGAAGGTCTGAACGTCAAGAGGAGTTCAGCTAAGGGTGGTCATCAGAGAGGAGTCTGGCCACTGGACAGCCAAACTCCAGTGGAAGATCATCTTCCCACTGCATCCCCCCTTCTGGCTCCCCATTCATCTCACTGAGAGCCACCTCCACCACTCAATAAAACCCCTGCATTCATCCTTCAAGTCCACGTGTGACCCGATTCTTCCAGGAAGCGGGACAAGAGCTTGGGATACAGAAAGCTGTCACACCGACCCTCTGCCCTTGCAGAAAGGCAGAGGGTCCACTGAGCTGGTTAACACTCAAGCCGTCCATGGACAGCAAGGCTAAAAGGGCACACGCCCATTTGGGCTCCTACACCTGTCTGTCTGCTCCCCCTCCCATAAGGGGTTTGAGCAGCGGCAGTGACTGAACAGATGAGTCACATCCCTGTTGCATGTCCTGTGAGGGGGGTCAAGGAACTCTCCCGTTTCATCAGTGAGTTTGATTTTGGTTATTATGATTTCAAGTACATGCTAAATAGGTAACTGGATACACAAGCATGCCTTATTTTATTGTGCTTCTCTTTATTGCTCTTTATTACACTTCACAGATACTGTTTTTTTCTGTTTTGTTTTGTTTTTGTTTTTGTTTTTACAAATTGAAGGTTTCTGGCAACCCTGTGTTGTGCAAGTTTATCATGCAATTTTTTTTTTCAACAGCATATGCTCACTTCATGTCTTGTAACAGATTTTGGCAACTCTCACAATATTTCGAACTTTTTCATTATTATTATATTTGTAATGAGGATCTGTGATCAGTGATATTTGATGTTACTATTGCAATTGTTTTGAGATGCCATGAACCACACCCACATGAGGTGGCTGACTTAATCAATGTTGTCAGTTCTGCGTGCTCCACCAACAGGCCATTTCCCTGTCTCTCTCTCTTGACTCCGGCCTCCTTATTCCCCGAGACACAACAATATGAAAATTAAGCCAATCAATAACCATACACTGGCCTCTAAGTGTTCAAATTAAAGAAAGAGTTACACATCTCTCACTTTAAATCAAAAGCTTGATTAAGCTTAGTGAGAAAGGCATGTCTAAAGCAGAAATAGAATGCCACATTAGGCCTCTTGTGCCGGTTAGCCAAGTTGTGAATGTAAAGAAAAAGTTCTTTTTTTGATACATAATTGTTCATATTTATGGGGTACATGCTATTTTTTGATGCATGTATACAATATGTAATGATCAAACCAGTGTACTAAGGATATCCATCACCTCAAACATTTATCATTTCTTCATGTTGGGAACATTTTAAACTCTCTCTTCTAGCTATTTTGAAATATAAAATAAATTATTGTTAACTGTAGTTACCCCACTGTGCTATCAAACATTAGAATTTATTCCTGTTATCTAACTGTATGTTTGTACCCATTAACCAATTGCTCTTCATCCCCTCCTTTTCTAAGCCTCTGACAACCACCATTCTACTCTCTGTGTCCATGAGGTCAACTTTTGTAGCTCCCACATATGAGATAGAACATGCAATATTTTTATTTCTGTGCCTGGTTTATTTCACTTACCCCAGTGATCTCCAGTTAAATCCATGTTGCCACAAATGACAAGATTTCATTTTTTATGGCTGAATAGTATGCCACTGTGTATATATACCTCATTTTCTTTAACCATTCATCCATTGATAGACACTTAGATTGATTGCATATCTTTGTTATTGAGAATAGTGCTACCGTAAACATGGAGAAGCAGGTATCCCTTTGGTATACTGATTTCCTTTCCTTTGGATAAATACCCAGTAGAGGGATTGCTGGATTATATGGTGGCTTTACTTTTCGTTTTTTGAGAAACCTCCATACTGTTTTCCATAATGGCTGTACTAATTTACATTCCCACCAACAATGTGTAATTGATCCCTTTTCTCCACATCCTCACCAGAATTTACTATTTTTTGTCTTTTTGATAATAGTTATTCTAACTGGGGTGAGATGATATCTTATTGTGGTTTTGATTTGTATTTCTGTGATGATTAGTGATATTGAGCATTTTTTTCAAATACCTGTTGGCCATTTTTATGTTATCATTTGAGAAACGTCTATTCACATTCTTTGCTCACTTTTTTTAATTAACAAAATTGTGGGTACATGGTAGATGTATATATTTATGATATTTATGGGTTATATGAGGTGTTTTGATGCAGGCATGCAATGTGAAATAAGCACGTTATGGAGAATGGGGTATCCATCCCCTCAAGCATTTATCCTTTGAGTTATAAACACTCCAATTACATTTTAAAGTTATTTTAAAATGTTCAGTTAAGTTACTATTGACTACAATCACCCTGTTATGTATCAAATAGTAAGTATTATAAATTCTTTCTATTTATTTGTACCCATTAACCATCCCTGCCTCCCTGCCAGCCCCCACTACACTTCTCAGACTCTAGTAACCATCCCTCTACTCTCTACGTCCATGAATTCAACTGTTTTGATTTTTAGATCCCACACATAAGTGAGAACATGTGATGTTTGTCTTCCTGTGCCTGGCTTATTTCACTTAACATAATGATCTCCAATTCCATCCATGTTGTTGCAAATGACAGGATCTCATTCTTTTTATGGCTGAATAGCACTCCATTGTGTATAAGTAGCACATTTTCTTTATCCATTTATCTCCTGATGGACACTTAGGTTGCTTCCAAATCTTAGCTATTGTGAACAGTGCTGTAACATACAAGGGAGTATAGATGTCTCTTCGGTATACTGGTTTCCTTTCTTTTGGGCATATACCCAGCAGTGGGATTACTGGATTATATGGTAACCCTATTTTGGTTTTTTCCCGACTGTTCTCCATAGTGGTTATACTAATTTACATTCCCACCAACAGCATATGAGGGTTCCCTTTTCTCCACATCCTCGCTGGCATTTGTTTTTGTTTGTTTGTTTGTTTTTTGAGATGGAGTCTCACTCTGTTGCCCAGGCTGGAATGCAGTGGTGCGATCTTAGCTCACTGAAACCTCCACTTCCCGGGTTCAAGCAATTTTCCTGCCTCAACCTCCTGAGTAGCTGGGATCACAGGCACCCCCCACCATTCCTGGCTAATTTTTGTATTTTTAGTAGAGACAGGGTTTCACCAGGCTGGACTCGAACTTTTGACCTCAGGCGATCCACCTGCCTTGGCCTCCCAAAGTGCTGGGATTACAGGCGTGAGCCACCATGCCTGGCCGACAGCATTTGTTATTCCTTGACTTTTGGATCCAAGCCAGTTTAACTGGCATAAGACTATATCTCATTGTAGTTTTGATTTGCATTTCTCTGATGATCAGTGGTGTTGAGCACCTTTTCATATGCCTGTTTGCCATTTATATGACTTTTTTGATAAATGTCTATTCAAATCTTTTGCCCATCTTTTGATTGAATTATTAGATTTTTTTTCCTATAGAGTTGTTGAGCTCCTTATATATTCTGGTTTTTAATCCTTTGTCAGAGGGCTAGTTTGCAAATATTTCTCCCATTTTATGAGTTGTCTCTTCCCTTTGTTGATTGTATCCATTGCTGTGAAGAAGCTTTTTAACTTGGTGTGATCCCGTCTGTCCATGTTTACTTTGCTTGCCTGTGCTTGTGAGGTATTGCTTAAGAAGTCTTTGCCCAGACTAATGTCCTGGAGATTTTCCCCAGTGTTTTCTTATAGTAGTTTTATAGTTTGAGGTCTTTTGCTCACTTTTTAATGGGATTATTTGTTTTTTTTTTTTTTTTTGCTTTTGAGTTGTGCAAGTTCCTTGTATATTCTGTTTATTAGTCCCTTGTTGAATGAATAGTTTGCAAATATTTTCTCCCATCTATAGGTTGTCTCTTTGTTGGTCATGTCAATTGAAGAATCATGAGGTTCCTAAATTTGGAAAGGAGGGCTTTATTTCTCATAAAGGAATGAAGCCTGCAGGCTGGCCATCCCACAGGCTGGGATATGTAGCCTCTGCCCAGTAGCCGAGAGCAAGCACTTTGAGGGAGGGAAGCATAAGACAAGAATTTATGGTGAATGGGTTGGCTAAGTATACATATTCAATAAGTTATAGGAAGAGTCATGAATAATTATGAAAGGAGATGCGTGCACATGTGCAATTGAGCTTCATGCTTCTTCATCAGTCACGTGTACAAAAAATGGCAGTGTTAGCATGATCCAAGGGTGGAGTTTTTGGACCTCTAACATCAAATGGTAAAACAGAGGACATGAAAACCCTCATTGCACATCCTCTGTAAACTGGCCAGAACCACTCTCTGGTCAGTGGTCTTTTATTAGGAAGAGATGCATTATGAAGCTGCTGAGCTGTCATATTGAAACTGCAAAGACAGGGAGTCTGGTCATGGCCTCAGATGATTGGCTAAAGATGATAAAGGAATGAGTTATCCTTTTCTCACTTTCCAGAGCTAGTTTCTGCTCAGTCCTTAGGAAAGAATTCTAGTTGAAGGTTAATAAAGAAGGAGCATAATCAGGTATATCCAACCCCTCATCCATCATGGCCAGGAACACAGTTTTTAAGGTTTATCTGGGGTGCTCTTGGCTGAGAGAGGGTCTTTTCAGTTAGCTGGGGGACTTGGGATTTTATTTTTATTTCTCAATTATTTATTTTGCTGTGCAGAAGCTTTTTAGTTTGCTATAGTCCCATTTATCTGTTTTTGTTACCTATACTTTTAAAGTCTTACCCATAAAATCTTGGCCTAGACCCTGTGCAGAATTGTTTCCTTGTATTTTCTTCTAGTCATTTTATAGTTTTTGGTCTTAGGTTTAAGTCTTTAATCTATTCGGAGTTGATTTTTGCATATAGTGTTAAATAGGGGTCATGCTTTATTCTTCTGTATATGAATATGCAGTTTTCCCAGTGATATTTTTTGAAGAGGGTATCCTTTTCCCAATGTATGTTCTTGGTGCCTTTGTTGAAAGTCAGTTGATTGTAAATGCATAGATTTATATCTGGGTTCTCTATTCTGTTCCATTGGTCTATGTGTCTGTTTTATGCTGATACCATGCTGTTTTGATTACTATAGCTTTGTAATATTTTTTAAAGTCAGGTAGAGTGATGCCTTCAGCTTTATTCTTTTTGCTCAGTATTGCTTTGGCTATTGTGGTCTTTTGTGCTTCCATATTAATTTTAGTATTTCCCTTTCTATTTCTTTGCAGAATGTCATTGGTATTTTGATAGGGATTGCATTGAATCTGTAAATCACATTGGGTAGTATGGTCATTTTAACAATATTAACTCTTGCAATCCATGAGTATAGGATATCTTTCCATTTGTTTGTGTCCTCAAGTTGCTTTCATCAGTGTTTTATAGTTTTTGTTGCTGAGGTCCTTCACTTCCTTGGTTAAATTTATTCCTAGATATTTGTCTTTAGCTGTTGTAAATGGGATTGTTTTCTTAATTTCTTTTTGAGCTAGTTCATTGTTGGTGTGTGGAAATGCTACTGAACTTTGTATGTTAATTTTATATCCTGCAACTTTACTGAATTTGTTTATCAGTTCCTAGAGTTTTTTTGGTGGAGTCTTCAGGTTTTTCCAAATATAAAATCATTTCATCTGCAAAGAAAAACAATTTGAGTTTCTCTTTTCCAACTTGGATGCCTTTTCTTTCCCTTGCCTGATTGCTCTAGCTAGGACTTCCAGTACTATGTTGAATAAGAATGATGAAAGTGAGCATCCTTGTCTTGATTCAGTTTTAGAGGAAAGGCTTTCAGCTTTTCCTCATTCAGTATAATATTTGCTATGGATTTGTCCTATACAGCCTTTATTATGTTGAGGTATGTTCCTTCTATGCCTAATTTGTTGAGAGTTTTTATCATGAAGAGATGTTGAATTATATCAGATGCTTTTTCTGAATCTATTCAGATGATTATACGGTTTTGTCTTTCATTTTGTTGATGATCACATTTCTTGATTTGCATATGTTGAGCCATCCTTGCATCACTGGGATAAATCCCACTTGATCATAGTATATTATCTTTTTAATGTGTTACTAGATTTCATTTGCTAGTATTTTGTTGAGGATTTTTACATCTATATTCATCAGGGATATTGGCCTGTGGTTTTCTTTTGTTGTTGCTTCCTTGTCTAGTTTTGATATCAGAGTGATGCTGGCCTTGTAGAATGATTTAGGAAGAATTCTGTCCTCATCATGTTTTGGACTAGTTTGAGTATCAATGTTAGTTCTTTATAAGTTTATCTGTGTTCTCTTGTACTTCACTGAGTTTCTTTAATATTATTATTTTTAATTCCTTTTCAGGCATTTTATAAATTTATTTTTCTTTTTTTAATTTCTTTTTCTTTAAGATCTGTTACTGGAGTATAATTGTGTTGCTTTGGAGGTGTCATATTTCCTTCTTTTTTCATGTTTCTTGTGTACTTACATTGATACCCGGTGTAACAGTCACTTCCTCTAATTTTATGAATTATCTTTCATAGGAAAATCCTTTTTCACATAGATGTGTTTGTAGTGTTGATTGGATAGGGTTCTTTGGCTATGATTCTGGGTGGGCACAGTTTGTATTTTCTGTATGATTTCTTTGGCTCTAATCAGTGTCAGTGGTGTCCATGAGTTACTCAGTGGGTTGGCTGCAGTTATTAATGGAGGCTATGATGAGGCTTTTCTGTGGCTGGGCATGCCAGGCAGGCCAGTCCTTAGGTACTAGTGCTGTTAGCAGCAGGCAGGCATGCCAGTCTTTAGACCTCCAGGTGGTGTGCTCAGGTGCCAGGATTGGCAGCAGTGGGCCAGGTGGGCAGATCCTCAGGCCCTCAGGTGGTGTCTGTGATATCAGTGGTGGTAGTGGCAGTGACAGGCCAACTCTCAAGCCTCTGAGTGGCTCCTGTAAATGTCAGCAGTGGTGGCGGGCTGAGCAGGGAAGTCACCACGCCCCCAGGCGGCATACACATATGGGTGCTGGTGGCAGTGGTGGCAGACTGGACAAGCCAGTTCCCAGGCCCCCAGGAGGCATGCATGGGCACTGGTGGTGGGGTGGGGTGGGGTGTGGTGGTCTCACCCTTATGCCTCTAGATGGTGTGCATGTGTGTCCATAGTAGTAGGCAAGGTGAGCCTATCCCCAGGCACTGGGACTACATGCATGGGTGCTGGTGGCAGCAGCAATGTGGGTGGGCAGGGCAGACTTGTCTTCAGGTCCCTGAATGGCATGCATGGGCACTGGTGGTTGCAAATGGGGTTGTTCTATCCTCAGGCCGCTGGACAACATGTGGTGGTGCCAACAGTGGTGGTGGCCGGTGCGTTGAACCTGTACTAAGGCCTCTCAGTGGTGCTCACAAGCACCAGCTGTGGTGGGCAGGGCAAGTCAATCCCCACATCTCAGACACTGCATTCGTGTACCTGCAGTGGTGATGGTGGGAAGGGAGGTCTGTGCTCAGGCCCCCCAAATAATGCATAGGCAAACTGGTCCCTAGGCGCCTTGAAGGCACATGCAGGTGCATGGTGGCCCTGCCACTGTAGGGGGCAGTGTTGCTGGCAGTGGCAGTAGCCCCATGTAAGCAGCTCTCAGGCTATGGTTACCACGTATTTCAGCTCCCTTTGTTTGAGGGGCAGCCTCCCTGGTACACTGCACTACCCATTCCCTGGGTTTTAGAACACTGTGTGGGCTACAATGCTGGTACCCCTGCTGCACCACTGGGTCTAGCCAACATCGGGAGGCTGCAACCCTCTGGGTGGGTGTAGGGGGATGTCAGGAAGGCTCCAGTGATGTAGAGATATAGGGGCTGTTGGGTCCCAAGGCAGAATGTAGTCTATGGGGGCTGGGCTGTCAAAATGGTGCCATGGGAGTAGACTACGTAGTTTATGGGGGCTGGGCTGTCAAAATGGTGCCATGCTGCAGCTGCACCTCTGGAGGTGTGTAGGACCCAGCTTAAACAACCTCTCTGAGACAGTGCTGCTACATGGATTCCAGGCAGCTTCCTATACTAGTTTCGGGGCCTGCAAGGGCCAAGGGGCTCTCCTGTGGCTAGGATTACAGGAGTCTGGAGGAAATGCGGACTGCTGGGGATCTCTCACTTACTTTTTTTCTGTAATGCTCAGTTCCTCCTAGCTGTGAGCTAATTCTAGCCAGGCAAGATGCTTTACTTCCCTCTCCTTCTATGCCTTAGAGGTTCCCTGTCACTTGTCCACTGAATTCCAGTGTTCTCTTTCAGAATCTCTACTTAATGTGTTCTTATCTACGTACTGTTTTGGTCCTTCTTTGCAGGTGAAGTGAGTGTCAGGTGCCTCTAGTCAGCCATCTTGAAGTACACCTCCCAGGAAAAGTTCTTGAAGGACATTGAAAGTGCTACTTCAGCAAACACATGAATTATAAGAAAGAAAAACAGCCTTTGTGCTGATAAGAAGAAAGTTTTTGTAGTCTGGATAGAAGATCAAATAGAGAAGAAGAACAAATCACCTACAACATACCTTTAAGCCAAAGCCTAATCCAGAACAAGGCCCCGGACTCTTCAATTCTATGAAGGCTGAGAGAGGTGAGGAAGCTTGCAAAAGAAAAGTTTGAAGTCAGCAGAGGCTGACTCACGAGGTTTAAGGAAAGAAGCCATCTCCATAACATAAAAGCACAAGGTAGAGCAGCAAGGAATAATGAATAACCTACAGAAAGTTATCCAGAAGATCTAGCTAAGATCACTGATGAAGATGGCTACACTAAATATCAGACTTCCAATATATACCGAAAAGCCTTATATTGGAAGAAGATGCCATCTAGGACTTTCATAGATAAAAAGAAGTCAATGCCTGGCTTCAAAGCTTCAAAGGACAGGCTGACTCTCTTGTTAGGGGTTAATGCAGCTGGTGACTTTAAGTTGAAGGTAGTGCTCATTTACCTTTCTGAAAATCCTAGAGCCCTTAAAAATTATGCTATATCTACCCCACCTGTGCTCTGTAAATGGAACACCAAAGCCTGGATTACAGCACATCTGTTTACAGCATGGTTTGCTGAATATTTTTAAGCCCACTGTTGAGAACTACTGCTCAGAAAAAAGAAGATTCCTTTCAAAATACTAGTGCTCATTGACAATGCACCTGGTCATGCAAGGGCTCTATGGAGATGTACAAGGGGATTCATGTTATTTTCATGCCTGCTAACACAACATGATTCTGCAGCCCATAGATCAGGGAGTAATTTTGACTTTCAAGGTATTATTTAAGAAATACATTTCATAAGGCTATAGCTGCCATAGATAGTGATTCATCTGGTGGATCTGGGCAAAGTAAATTGAAAACCTTCTGGAAAGGATTCACTGTTCTAAATGTCATTAAGAAAATTCATGGCCAGGTGCGGTGGCTCACACCTGTATTCCCAGCACTTTGGGAGGCCGAGGCAGGCAGATCACCTGAGGTCAGGAGTTTGAGACCAGGCTGGCCAATATGGTGAAACCCCATCTCTACTAAAGCTACAAAAAAAAAAATAGCCATGCGTGGTGGCATGCACTGTAGTCTCAGTTACTCGGGAGGCTGAGGTAGGGGAATTGCTTGAACCCGGGAGGCAGAGGTTGCAGTGAGCCGAAATCATGCCTCTGCACTCCAGCCTGGGCGACAGAGCAAGACTCCATCTCAAAAGAAAAAAAAAAGAACATTCATGATTAATAGGGGAAGGTAAAAATATCCACATTAACAGGAGTTTGGAAGAAGTTGATTCCAGCCCTCATCGATGACTTTGAGAGGTGGAGAAAGTAACTGTAGAAGTGGTGAAAATAGCAAGAGAACAAGAATTAGAAATGGAGCCTGAAGATGTGACTGAATTACTGCAGTTTCATGACCAAACTTGAATGGATGAGGAGTTGCTTCTTATGGATGAGCAAATGAAGTAGTTTATTGAGAAGTGGAATCTACTCCTGGTGAAGATGCTGTGAACATTGCTAAAATAGCAACAAAGGATTTAGAATATTACATAAACTTAGTTGATAGAGCAGTGGCAGGGTTTGAGAGGACTGACCCTAATTTTGAAAAGAAGCTGTACTCTGAGTAAAATGCTATCAAACAGCATGGCATGCTACAAAGAAATATTTCATGAAATAAAGAGTGAGTAAATGTAGCAAACTGCATTGCTGTCTTATCTTAAGAAATTGCCACAGCCACCCCAACCTTCAGCAACCACCACCCTGATCAATCAGCAGCCATACACTTCAAGGCAAGACCCTCCACCAGCAAAAAGATTAGGACTCACTAAAGGCTCAGATGATCATTAGCATTTTTAGCAGTGAAGTATTTTTAATTAAGGTATGTACATTTTTTAGACATAATGCTATTACATACCTAATAGACTGTGTTATAGTATAAAGATAACTTTTATTTGCACTGAAATCCAAAGAATTCATGTAACTTGCTTTATTGCGATATTCACTTTATTGCGGTGGTCTGGAACCAAATCTGCAATATCTCTGAGGTAAGCCTATACCATTCTGAAGCTCAGAAGAGAAATCTAGAAGTATAAAACTGGTATTCATTGGCATATACACTGTTATTGAAGACATGAGAATGGTTGAGTTCATGTAGATAAAGTACAGGGTGAGAAAATGAGAGAGCCTAGGGTGAAACTCTGGATGATGCCAACATTTGAAAATTGGATAAACCTAAGAGGGACAAACAGGCAGGACAAGAGCTAGGAGAGTGCTGAGCCCAGAAGCCAAAGACAGTGTTTCAGGAAGAAGAAAATGATGAACTGTATTGAATTATGCACAGTAGTAAAGAAAATGAGAGCAAACAAGTGACCATTAGATTTAGCATCAAAGTCATAGAAAACAGGTAATAGTTCTGTTTGGTGGAGTGAAGTAGCACTAATGTGATCGTTTTGTGTTTGGAAGTGAATAGAAGGAGAGGCAATGGAAAAAGGCTAGAAAATCCTTATAGAAGTGTTGTTATAAGGAGAGAAAAATGGTAGCTGAAGGGAAATGTGGGGTCCAGAAAAATTTTTAGTGGGAGAAAGTTGTAAGTGTTGATGTCATGTACCAGTTCTATTTTTCAAGATCCAAAAACCAGAAATTGGTTAAGGTTAGGCCATAGACAGAAAGCTTGGGCCCATAGCCAACAAAAGCAGATTTCCTTGGGGTGCCCTGATCAGACTCAAATAGACTGCTCTCAATTGCTTTTAAATAAGCTATACTTAGTTTTTCTGATGTCCCCTAAAGAAAGAGGTGTTTATCTGTAAGTTTAATAGGCTAAGGCCCTGTTTTTCATTTGGATGATATCTTAATGTTGTCCTTAGCTATGTTCAAGATCATCTATACTGCGACTATAAGAGTAAGCTTTCTAAAGCACGTCTCATTATGTCACTGTCCTGCTTAACACATTTCAGTTGTTCTCCACTACTTTCAGGATGACATCGCAAACTTTTCAGAAAGACAAACAAGGCCTTTCTGATCTGATTTGATCCATAAATATTTATCAGACTTCATCTATGTTCATATCCACATTTGCATCCTATCCTCCATTCAAACCAAAGTACTAACCATTCTTTCAACCAGCCAGTCTCTCCCTTAATCCTCCCTGCCATTTCTCATGCTGCTTGCCTTGCCTAGAACGCCTTCAGCTGAGGTGGTCAACAAAAATTGGTAAATAAATGAATAAGCAAATGAAGGAATGAATGACTTTACCTCAGTTTCCTTGGCACTTTTTGAGAGAAGCTGTACATAGTAATGAGTAGGGTGTTTATTTGGGGAAGCTGAAGGATACTTAAGTGGTGGGACTTCTGGAAATCATTGAGGTCCTCACTGCATTAAACCATCACTCCTATTAGACTGTCTCTGGATCATATCCCATGAGAGTTTCATTTTCCTGAGCAAGGGATTGGTATTACTGGAAGTCCCTGAGGGAGGCAGAAGTGCTAAAAAAGGAAGAGGGGCCCAGATGGAGAAACTGGAAGTGAGAGGTAGGTGATAGGAAACAGTTAACAGTACCATTTTGCTCAGAACTGATGTTGTTGTGATGGCACGGGAACAGAAACAAGCCAATTTAAAATATAAGTAACTACAGGGTAAAGGTTGATTTGCAGCTTAAAACATACTTTAAGCAATTTTAATCATCCTGTTGTTGAGCTAAAAAGCAATTAAAATCACCTTTACTCTCCATCCCAGATGCCCAAGATAGAGAACTAAGTAGAATGCAGCAGGAGGGTTCAGGCCATTTCCAAAGATAGATCCCTTCCAGCAGATCCCTCTGGGTTTGAGACACAGTGGCGTGGGTATATTAGGATCCCCCAGCAGAGCCAAGTCCATGAGATAAACAGATCCAGAAAGTCACAAGCTTTTCATAGTCCTTGTGGAGGGCCAAAAGGACACCTGGCTCATAAGTATCACAAACCTGGTGAACAAGCCAAGAGGCTTCCTCCTCTGGTCACTTTCAGGCCTACCGAGAAGGAGATTAAACCCACCCAGTCCTATGGGCTTTTTGGAGCTGACTAGGGTTGATATTTCTGGGATTTCAGTACCCCAGATCAAAAGATTCCCACTCTTCTGCAAGAACTGTAACAGGAGACAGGAAGTAAGAAAATAAAACTCCATTATACTTTCTCTCTGAAACTCTACTCCTTGTAAACTACTAAACATACCTTCCTTGCACTGGCCAATTTTATTAGTTATTTGAGGAAAAGGAAATTTGAGGATTGGATAGGAAACAGAACTTGAGAAGGCATACGATACAAATAAGCTTTACGGTCCTGTTTTAAAAAATCTGTTCCCACAGATGTTGTTGAAGGGTGGTGGAAAAAGTATGGACCTTGAACTTGCTTTATTCCCATTCCACTTATGCCAACTTATTACCTATATGACTTTGAAAATGTCCCTCACTGGGTCTTAGTTTCCCCACCTGTAAGATGAAGTTATAGTGCCAAGTTCACCCATATGAGGGTTAAATTCTTGCTACCCAGGAGGTAGTCAATCAATGCTAGTTAATTTTTCCCCTATTTATGGAAAATGATGGGGTGGTAGGTAAATCCTGTTCTGAGGGACAAGGATTTTGAAGTCCTGAGGTCTAAGTTGAGCAGAAAGGGCTTGGGTAAGTACTTAGATGGGATTTGTAGAGGGGAGGGTCTTTGAATTGATAAAGTACAACTCTAGTTGGGAATTATTGTCTGGGTACCTTCTATATAAATAAGCTGAGTTTGGAGGGTAATACATAAGTGAGTGATGTAACAGGGTCTGTGACAGCAAAAAGTCTGGATTTTTTACCCTGCCTGGCTCAAATTTGCACGTATGTTGTCTTGTATATACCACTCTGTTTTCTCAACTCTAGTAGCTTTCTAAACAGACCCAGAACCCTCCTGCCCCAACTCCCACCATCAAACCAAGCTTTTATACAGACTAATAATTATTCACAAACTATGAATCTCTGGATACTCCATGGGGAAAGGAAGAGGAGGGTGAAAATTGGGAGAGAGATAGAAAGAAAGACAGGGTGTCATTAGCAGGAGAATGAGATTTAGAAAACAGCACTGGAGAGGTGCTCTAAAAAGATGCTTTGCATAAGAAGGGGTATGGTTTGGCATTTAACTTGCAGAATTTGAGACCAGAAATCATAACTATCTATTTGCCAAGAGTGGAATTTGTTTGAGTGGTCCAATTGGAGGGCCTTGCTTTGAGCCACCTAACATAGAGATTGAAAATATGAGTTTCTATTGCATGACATGGACATGTTTACAGGATTATTAATGGTTTTGTAGCTATGAGTACAGCTAGGAGCATTCGAAAATGATTTTTGCCCTGCCATCAATTGAGTGATATTTAAATTGCTCAATGGCTTATGTAAGAAACTCTACAAGTAACCATCTTAAACATGCTTTCCTCTCAATGTTTCTACTCTCTGGAGATCTATTTTTGTCTCTTTCTTTCGTTTCACCATCAAACATCTGGCTTCATAATTACTTGTTCAGTGACTTTGGCTCCTGCCATTCAACCTATACTTTATCTCAGAGGTTCCAGTGACCTCCACATGATCTAAATCTCTGTCTGCCTCCTTCTTGATCTCCTAACTTTGCTGATTTCTTCTTCTTTGAAACTTCTTTTCGTGCTGGGCCCAGGGGGGCCCAATAAGTGTAGATGTTCACTTGGCATGGGTGGGTCAAGAAGGTATTCTAAGCATGAGCAAGAGCATGGGAGAAAAAGAGAGCACACACTCCACTTAGGGAAATGCAAATTATGAGAGATAACTAGAGTGTAGCAGGAGAAGTGTGGCAGGAAGCCAGAGAGGTTGGTAGAGGTAAGATCATGAAAGGCCTAGTATCTTTACTGAGGAGTTTAGGAGCCTAGGAAACCATTAAAATATTTTAATCAAGAGAGCAACAGATGTGATTTGTACTCGAAGAAGTTTTCCCTGGCAGTGGTGAGGAGGTTGAATTGGAGAAAGGCAATTCCAGTGAAAATCTAATAATAATTTCTTGAAGCCTGAAAAAATAACATATACTAGGAAAGTAAACAGGCAAAATAATTAAGAAAATTGTACAAAAGGCCAATTAATAAGGGCCAAGAAATGCAAACACTAGGAAAATAACCCTGTGGTTAAACCCACTATGATGGTTACTTTTATGCGTCAACTTGAATGGGCCACACAGTGCCCATACATTTGGTCAAACATTCTGATTGTGTCTATGAGGATGTTTCTTGGTTAGATCAACATTTAAGTTAATAGACTGAGTAGAGCAGATTGCTCTCCCTAATGTTGGTGGACTTCATCCCATAAATTAAAGGACTGAATAGAACAGAAAAGCTGACCTTCCTACAAGTAAGACGGAACTCCTCCTGCCTTCCTTCTTGAACAGGGACATCTCCTCATTCTGCCTTATGACCCAAACACTGAAACATCTGCACTTCCTGGATCTTGAACCTGCCAATTCTCAGATTGGAACTTACACCATTGGCTCTCCTGGTTCTTAGGTCTTTGGACTTGGACTAGAACTATACCATTGGCTCTCCTGGGTCTGTAGCTTGCCAACTGCAGAGCTTGGGATGTCTCAGCCTCCATAATCACAGGAGCCAAATGTATATATGCATATATATATATGCATATATATATATGCGTGTATATATACATATATATATACGTGTATATATATATATACACATATATATACATATATATACATATATATACATATATATACATATATATGTATATATATATACATATATATATACATATATATATACATATATATATACATATATATATATACATATATATATATACATATATATATGTATATATATATGCATTCCTGTTGGTTCTGTTTCTCTAGAGAACTCTAATACAAATTTTGGTACCAAGAAGTAGGGTGCTGCTGTAACAAATATCTAAAAATGTGGAAGTAGCTTTGGAACTGGATAATGGGTAGCGGCTGGAAGAGTTTTGAGGTGCATGCTAGAAAAATGGATGTTAAAGGCAATTCTGGTGAGGTCCTGGGTGGAAATTAGGAATAGGTTATTGGAGGCTGGAAGAAAAGCAATCTTTGTTATAAAATGGCAAGGAATGTGGCTTCATTGTGTTCTAGTGTTTTGTGTAAAGTAGAACTTGTGAATGATGAAAATGGATATTTAGCAGAGAAGATTTCTAAGCAAAGTGTTGAAGGTGAAGCCTGGATCCTCCTTACTGCTTATAGCAAAATGTGAGAGAAGAGAGATGAATTGAAGAAGGAATTGTTAGGCAAAAAGTCACCTTTTGCCTAACACTCTACCCATTATCCAATTCTAAATAACTTGGAGAATTGGAAAATTTTCAATTTTTCCATATTATAAAAAATGAGAAAGCTGTTTCTGAAGAGAACACTAAGGGTGTGGCTGAATAATCATTTGATGAAGAGATTATGGGTGCAACACATGGATTTAACCAACTATCTCAGCAGAAGCCAGGAATAGAGATGGGATTATACTGGGAGAAACATACCAACAGGAACTAAAGAAGACAGAAAAAAAATGAGACTAAATGAGGAAGGCTGTTGGATTTCTTAGGTCCTACAAGACCAGACCATAGAGTCATTCACCTGCCAACATGCACTATTCTTCAAGAAAAGGGAAGAATGACTCACCCCAAAGGTGATTCAGAGATCATCATGTCTGCCTCCTTGGTTTCAAAGGGTGGTGCCATTGCCTCAGTTTCAACTGAAACTAAACAGCTTCTAAACAGGGACATGGGGGTGAAGCCACTGCCCCATTGGGTCTGGAAGGTGGATATCAAGCCAAAGAGGATTATTTTTGAATCTTAAGATCTAATAAAACTTGTCCTGCTAGGCTTTGGATTTGATTGGGACCCTGCACCCCTTCCTTCTTTCCTACTTATTTTTATCTTATGCCTGTCTCATCATTGTATTTTGGAAGCACATGACTTGTCTGGTTTCACAGGTTCACAGCTGGAGAGGAATTTTGCCTCAGGATCAATCATACCTCATTTCTCACCCATCTCTGATTTAGGTGATATTTAGATGAAACTTGGGTCTTCAGAATTTAGAGTTGATACTAAAATTAATTAAGAGTTTTAGGGCTGTTGGGATGATATGAAGGTATTTTGCCTGCTATAAGGACATGAATTTCAGAGGCCCAGAGATAGAATGCTATGAACTGAATTGTGTCTCCCCAAAATTTATATGTTGAAGCCCTAACACCCCACATATTGCCTTTAAGGAGGTGATTAAGGTTAAATGAGGTCATCAGGGTGGAACACTGATGTAAGAACTTGCATTACTATAAAAGAGGAAGAGACACTAAAGATCTCTATTTCTCTCTTTCTCTCTCTCTCTCTCTCTCTCTCTCTCTCCCCACACACACACACCCTCACCTCCCACCATGTGAGGACATAACAAGTAGGCAGCCATCTGTAAGCCAGGAAGAATTTCAGTCTTGGACTTTGCAGCTTCCAGAACTGTGAGAAAATTAATTTCTGTTGTTTAAGCCACCCAGTCTATGGTATATTATTGTGACAGCCCGAGCAGAATAAGGCACCCACAAACCCTGATGCTGCATTGCTTCGGTTCAAGTCCCAGCTTTACCATTTGTTGAGCAGGTGAACTCACATTATTGATTTGGCTTTCCTCTGCATCAGTTTTCTCACCTCTGACATATATTTCCATGTTTCTGCAACGTTTTTGTAACTATCCTTTTAATTTTGTATAGCCTTTACCCTGTTGTTTAGTTTTAAGTGTTTTTCTGTATTTTTACTATCATAAAAATATCCATAGATATAGCCTTTTTTCTATTAAATTTTTACTTTAGAATTGAATTTCAGGAGTGAGTTTGCTAGATTAAGGAGTGAGATTATTAGGCCTGGGGGGGAATTGGCTTTTTCCCATGGTCATAGACCATCTAAACCACCCCACATGACAAATGTCATTACTAGCCCTTTCAGGCCAATGTTTTTTTTTTTTTTGCAAGTCAGTTTCTGTCAGGGTTATTAGCTTGGAACTATCAGGCCTAGGATCAGCAGCTTTTCCTCTGTTCTAGGAGTAGAATCCAGAGTTGCTACTTGAGAGGATCAGGGCAGGGTCTCCCTAAATTGCTTCTTTGAGCCTAGATGGAAAAAAATTGGAACCAGTAGTAACCATTTTGATCAGGATGGCTGGTTGTATCAGCTACCCATAGTCTCTGGGAAATGAATTTCAGTTTTCAGAATTGGTTCCCTCCTATCTATAAAAGGGAAGCCTCCTACACAAGAATGCTATGCAGACAAGTAAATATCTGCCCATAATATAAAAAGATACAAGTGTCTAAAAATATCTTATTTGTACAGTGATATTCCATTAGAGCACAGTTCAATAGGACCTGAACTCAGACATACCACTTGGCAAGTGCACACAGCCTCAGAATCTATAAAGCACCTCTACTTCCATTATTCCATTGATCCTTACGACAAATCTGTGAGATAGAGACCATTAACCTCTATATTGGTTAGGATATAATAGGTTATGCTGAGATGACAAACAACTCCAGAATTTTAGTGGCTTAAACCAATGAAAGCTTTTGTGTATGTGTGTGTGTGTGCATGTGTGTGTAATATATTCATTCATGTCCATTGCTAGCCAGTGGAGGACTCTGGTACATGTCATTTTTACACAGAAACCCAGGCCAGTGGAGGTACTATCATTCGGAATGTTATCTAGTAGTAGCGTTAAGAGAAGACAGAGAATCACATGATCTCTTAAATGCTTCCACCCTAAAGTGACACATGTCACTTCTACTCATATTTCATTGATCAGAGCAAGCCATATGGCCATATCTAGCTTCAAGGAAGAAAAGAGGTATAGCACCCCTATATTACTGAAAGTAGAAAGGAACTGAATATTGGTGAACAGTAGTATTTTCTACCACAGTCTTCTTTTACAGCTGATAAATCTAAGGCTCAAAGGACTGACATGTTGAGGGAAGCAGTTTGAAATTATAGACTGAGCTTGCAATAAATGATTTTTAGCTATTGTTACTAAAAGACTTCATGCTTTCAGGGGAGAGAAGGTCCTCGGAAGCTGAGAACACGGGAACACAGGTTTTGGAGCCAGACTTTCCTGGGTTCAAACCCCAAATCATGCCACTTACTAACAGAGTTACTTCAAGCAGGTGACATCACCTCTCTGACCTTCGATTTCCTCATTTATAAAATAGGGATAAAGGATCAAAAGGAAAAGTTTGCAAGGTTGATGTGATGATTCCCTCACATATCAGTCCTTCGAGCCTTAGAGTTAAATGGAGTTAATGTGCATAAAGTGCTTGAGCCCAAATTCAGTTATTCTAATCCCAAATTTATCCCTTTACCCCCTTTCCTCTGCTAGGTATGCCAGACCATAAGCATCCTATGGAGCAACTCTGGGTCTGATTCTTCTCTGGCTTTCTATCTCCCATTGTGACATGTGAATAGGTGAGAGAATAGAAAGAAGGGGAAAACTTGAGACAAGAAGGACAACCATTATTACCATGAGTTCAGAAATGCCTTTCCATACTCTGTTCCCTCTCTTTGCAATGCCCTTTCGTGTCTCCTTTGCCTAGCCAACCTCTACTTATCCTTTAAGGCTTAGGTCAATTCAATCACTTTTTTGGGACATGTTTCCAGATTCCCTCATGCTGAGTTTGATGCCCCTTCTCTGGACCACCCCTCCAAAAAAAAATACTATGTGCCTAGATCTATCTCCTTAGCATGATGCTTTGTAAAGGTTTAGCACACAGCAAGTGCTTAATACATGTTTATTTAATGAATGGGTAAGTGCTTTGCATGGCATACAAGTCCTTGTTGATTTTTCTGTCTGGCCTCAATTTCTTGTTTCTTTTTTTTTTTTTTCTTTTTTTGAGACAGGGTCTCGCAGTGTCACCCAGACTGGAGTGCAGTGGCATGATCAAGGCTCACTAAAGTCTCGGCCTCCCAGGCTCAAGGGATCCTCCCAGATCAGCCTCTCAAGTAGCTGGGACAGGTGTGCACCACTGCGCCCAGCTATTTTTTTTTCTATTTGTTTTTATTTTTGTAGAAACGGGATCTCACTATGTTGCTCCTACTGGTCGCGAACTCCTAGGCTCAAGCAATCCTCTTGCCTCGGCCTCCCAAAGTGCTGGAATTACAGGCATGAGCCTCTCTGCCTGACCTCTGACCTCATTTCTCTCCATCTATCTCCTGACCTTGCTCCACCCATTCCCCCATTACCTCAAAACACACACTTGCTATTCCAGAAATACTACAATTTTTAAGGACCCTGGAATCCCTCAGACTCTTTAGGCCTCCGCCTTTGTAGATGCTGCTTCCTCTGCGTGACATGTTCTCTCGCTATCTGGCTGCCTTTCAAACGCTTAGTCATTTTTTTAGCAGAGGCTGAGGACATGGTAGTCTGCCACATGGGCTGTGAACCCAGGCTGTCTGAGTTTGAATTCCAGCTGCGGTCATTAGCTGTGTGATGTCAGGCAAGTTGTCGAACTTCTCTAGGCCTCTATTTCCTCATCTATAAAACAAGGCTAATTAATGTACCTACCTAATAGGCTTGTTATGGAGATTAAATGAGTTAATACATTTAATTGTTTACAAGAGTACCTGGTACGGAGTAACCTCTATGTAAGTGTTTGCTATTATCATTTAAATCTCAGCATAAACACTACCTCCTTTGTCTAAGCTTGGGTCATAAATTGGCAGCTTCCAGGGCATGTTTTATTAGGACCACATGGTGTTTAATTTTTTTTTTATTACAGTGCCCTCCAGTTTGGTGCAAACTCTACCACTCCCTGCATCCACCTGTTTGATTCATTGGCCTGGTCCTGAAGGCTTTGGGTTTGCAATCTGGAGCAAGCACATATCTTTCCTAACCCCATCAGACAGAATACCATAGGCTCAGAGCATACCTGCATTAAAGCAATTCTATAGCCTTGTAATCGCTTTCTTGTCTGAGTCTTCACTCCACTGTCAGCTTCTTGCTTATGAGGATGGTGGTCTCAGTATGGCTAGTACCTAGAATGCTGCCTTGCACAAAGAAGTGCTCAATAAATACTTGCTGACTGACTGAATGAATGACGAAATGAATAGTTAAGGTAGCCCCTATTGTCAGTGAAGAGCAGGCATCTGGAGAGAGCTGCCGGGCTTCTTTGCAGGCATGCCTAAACTCAGAAGCTATCCTCAGAGAGCTTTCTGGCCTTGGCTGAGAGATTTAAAGAATTCTCTTTAACCCCTTTCCTCCGGGGCCATATCTTCTCTGACAGTCATTAATAGGATCAAAATAATGAGACTTAGCCACAAAAGCTAAAGAAGCAAAACACAGCACGACTTCCTTTGCCTTTGTAAGTAATTTGGAAGTTGTCGGGATAAGAGTTTAAGTCTCCTAAATGAGAAAGACACGCGTTCTTTTTTGAAGATAACAAGCTCAGGGTTTGCACGAAATTGTCCCAAAACAACATTCCATCTTTAGAAGTGATAAAATTTTTTTCTGAGTTAAGAGAGTCTGGGTGTATTCATAAGTTAGTCAGTTAGGATTCTAGGCTGTGTAACCCAGGACACAGGTTTAAGGGGAAGAGCAGGCTTCTTAGAGGTACTCCACTCTGTGCTTGGCAAATGTATCTTTGAATGAGTGTATGTATATTTGAGAGTGGTGATAATGTATGTCACACATCCTTAATGGCAACAGTGTGATCCAGTGGAAAGACCGCTTGATCTGGCGTCAGACAAAGCTGGGTTGGAGTCTATGGCAAACAGACTTTAAGGTGGCAATCACAGTCTCCATCTCCTGGTGTTCCTGCCCATGTGTAAGCCTTTTCCCTTGAATATGGATGGAACCTGTGTCCTGTTTCAAACCAATAGAATATGACAAAGATAATGGGATATCACTTCTATGATTATATTCTGTTTTATAAGATACACTCTTGCTAGCAGACTCACTCTCTCCCCCTTGGTGGCTTTCAAGAAGTGAGCTGCCAGGAATCCTGCAGCAACAAGGAACTGAATGCTGCCAACAACCACACAATGGAGACACAGATTGTTCCTTAATCAAGCCTCCAGATGAGCCCCCAAACCTGGCCAATGCCTTGGTTGTGACTTTGTAAGGCTCTAAGCAGAGGACTTAGCTAAGCCATGCCCAGACTTCTGAGCAAAGAAACTCTGAAATAATAAATATGTAATGGTTTAAGCTGCTAAATTTGTGGTAATTTATTATATACAGCATAGAAAATTAATACAGAGTCCTAGCTCCACCGCTCCCTGGAAGTATAACTCTGGACATGTGCTTTCCCCTCTCTTTGCCTTGATTTGCTCATCTGTAACATAGGAAATGATGACCATGTAATTGCTTGTCCTGCCTCCCTTCTAGAAGTACTGTAAAATCCAATGAATGTGGGGTTTCTTTGTAAATCATAAAGCATTGTACCAATATAAGGAATAATTATTACTTTTCTTTTTAGACTCTCCAGGGTCTAGCAGTTAAAGCAGGTCACCTGGAAAAAACAAAGAGAAGATGGGGAATAAATAACCAAAAACTATAGTGGCCATAAAACTGACACTGGTTTGTCTGGCCCAAGTTGTAAAATATACTTTTATAAAAAAAAATCCCTGGGGGGCAGATTGAATCATCGCAAGCTGTTTGAAAGTCATCCTAGCAGATCCTGAAGGTGCCTGGCTCTTTTGGCCACACACTATCCAATGGCTCAGTGCAATGCCTCACCCTCTTTGTCTCCATCCACCTCTCTTCCAAATCCCCACGTACAAGTCAGCTCCAAAAGCCATTATCCAATAGGCTCATTCTTCCCAGCTGTTGCCAGGTGGAGTACAAGGCTGCTGACAGCTAAGGGAGGGTTGAGCCTCTTTCAGAGACAGACCAGCAGTTCATATGGCCACTCACAGCGATTCAATCTGAACCTGAGTTAAGGAAAAAATGTTTGTTGCATGCTAGGGTCACCAGACCACTTACACAGGTTGGTCATCAGCCTGCTCTTCCTTGAAAGTAGCAGAAATGTAGGTGCTATTCAACTGACCCAAGCCCATTCTGCTTCTTAGCTTGGCATTGTACATGCTTTTCAAAGCTCTTCCTGCTCTAGCCCCTGCCTCCCTCTTCTGCATCCTCCATCCAGGCAACTTCTGTCTCTTCTTCAAACACTGGCTTAGGACCTTCTCTTAGCCATTCGCACTCTATCATAAAACAGAGAAACCTATAATAATAATAATTATTATAGTGTCTATATGCTGGGTACCTTCCTAAGTTTATTGCATATATTAATTCATCCAGTCTTCACTATGACAATCCTATTAGGAATGAACTGATATTATGATTTCCATTCTGTGGATGAGACTATAAAGGTTAATATATTACTGGCAAAATATAGTAGTGTTCTGATTTGAACTCAGATACATTGAAGATGAAAGCCATGCTCTCAGTCATCATGCCATGGTTTGCTTTTTGTTTTCTTGTCTATCTCTCTCTTTAGACTTTGAGCTCCTTTTGAGCAACAATTTTATGCCCAGTGCATAGTACAAACCTTGGCACATAGTAGTGCTTAATAAATGTTTATTGGATGAGTGAAAACATGAATGTATAGTGAAAAGAGTACAGAACTTGGGATCAGAAAGCCTACTGTACAGCTTGGAATCTATCATCGAATGATTCCTGTGGCTTTGAGTGTGTGAGTTAACCTTTCAACCTTTCCATGTCCAAGTAGCATAGTGTTGGCTGGACACAGTGGCTCATGGCTGTAATCCCAGCACTTTGGGAGGCTGAGGCAGGAGAACTGCTTGAGCCCAGGAGTTTGAAACCAGCTGGGGCAACATAGTGAGACCCCATCTCTATAAAAAATAAACAAAATTAGCCAGGTGTTGTGGCATGTGCTTATAGTCCCAGCTACTCGGGAGGTTGAGGTGGGAGGATTGCTTGAGCCCTGCAGTGAGCCGAGATCACGCCACTGCACCCCAGCCTGGGTGACAGAGTGAGGCCCTGTCTCAAAAAAAAAAAAAAAAAAAAAAAAGGCCGGGCGCAGTGGATCACGCCTGTAATGCCAGCACTTTGGGAGGATGAGGCAGGAGGATCACGAGGTCAGGAAATCGAGACCATCCTGGCTAACATGGTGAAACCCCTTCTCTACTAAAAATACAAGCAATTAGCTGGGTGTGGTGGCACGTGCCTGTAGTCCCAGCTACGCAGGAGGCTGAGGCAGGAGAATCGCTTGAACCCAGGAAGCGGAGCTTGCGGTGAGCCGAGATCTCGCCATTGTACTCCAGCCTGGGCGACAGAGCAAGACTCCATCTCAAAACAAAACAAAACAAAAAAACAAAAACAAAAACAAAAAACCCAAAAAACAAAAAACATAGTGTTTACATATTTAGATTTACATAGGAATCAGGCTGCCTATGTTCAAAATAAGGCTCTACCACTTACTAGCTGTGTGACCCTGAGCCGGACTCTTAAACTCTTAACCTTTCTGGGCTTCAGCTTCCTATTCTGAAAAATTAAGCTAATTGTAATAACCAGATAATGGGTTTGTTGTGAGGAAAATATGAGTTAATATATACATAGTGCTTAGAACACTGTCTGGTACATAGCAAGCGCTTCACGAATGTTAGTCATTAATGATATTATTGTGCTTTAGCATGCTCACAAATAAAAATCAGGATAAGAATATTTATCTCACCAGGCTGTTGTGAGGATTCAATGAGACAACGGTTGTGGAAATGCCCTGTCATGTGAACAGCACAGTGTAGATGCTAAAGCTAAACTTAGTAACTGTCCCAAAACATTTGTTCAGGTCCTGAAACATTGGTTCAGTGTAGCTTAGCTTCACACTCACAAATGAGAGGCAAACTCCCAAAAGTCTGGAGAAAGCCAGTAGGGATGGCATTGCCCGTGCTAAGAGGCCCACAACTTCTAGAGTATGTGTGAGCACGGTGTTATATATGTAGACACTGTCCCTCATGTAGACTATGGTTGTCTGGCATTTGCCCCTTTAAAAGGCCAGGAGGTGGTTAGGACTTGGTGGGAAGAGTGCCTGGGAACAAAAAGGAACAGACTATATCAAGCAACATGGCAAGGAGAGAGGATCTGTGAAGCCTTAGGAAAAGGCTCCGCCCTACGCACCTTAGGTCTCCACTGAGAAAGGGGAATGACCAAGGCACAGAGCAAATGAGTTGGACACCATGAGCGAGAGAGAGAGCAGTGGGGAGGAGGATAAGGAGTCAAGCAGCAGTCCAGCAACTCTGGTTCTCAAGAAGGAAGGGAGTAGGGAGGAAAATAACCACACATTGCTCTAACATCTTGGGCTAGTATGTAGGCGGTACCTGAGGAGATTACAGTTCATACATGCTAGGATTTCCAGAGACAATGACAGCTAAATTTTGTTTAGGCTGTAGACTCTCTTTGATCTTCTTAGGACAAGAGTCTCATTCACCCAGCCTCACTGAGGGCAAGAGGAATCCAGTCACTTTAAGCAAGCAAAACACATTTTTTAACAGTGAGGAAAATGTGAAGTGTCTGGAAAATCCCCACTTGGGTTCTCAGAGCCCCTTACTGCTAGCAGCTGCTGACTGGGGTTTGAGACAGATGGTACAAAGGAGGCAGAGAAGGAAGGGAGGGAGAGATTTATGGACAGGCCAGAACAAGAAACTGATCCAAAGGAGGCTGGAGTATAAGAACATACAATGCCTGGACTGGAACCAGAGATAACAGTGAGTGCAGGATGCAGCCATTCTCCCCATGTGGAAGCTGGAGCACAACTTGCAGTATTTTCTTTTTGTTTTGTAATACCCACAGTGACTAGCATAAGGATGGCCATGCAAACACTCCACTGACTGTTTAACAGCAAAAGGGCTGCTGAGCGAGGACTTAGTGCAGTTTGGAAAGCCTAGGAGACCTCAGACTAGGTGTGAGAGCTGTGCTATACATCTTGTAGAATTTTAATATGATTACAACAAAAATATATCGCTAGAGCTACATGGCTAGCTGTTTGGCTGGCTTGTACTGAATCTGTTGCTCAACAACTGGATTTTAATATGGATATTCTGAGCCCCTAATTGGGGCCTAGCCTCAGGAGAAGGGGACTATAGCAGATAAAAAGAGGTTGAAATCTAGTCCTTGCTACCTAATTGGGAACAGAAAATAAACGCTTTGGCTCCATTACAAAATATACTGAAGGGCCATATGAGTAGGCTCAGAGACCACAGGAAGGTGAAAGTGGACTGAGTTGCTGGACCTTGAAGATGGGTAGATTTGTGAAGGTGGAAAAGAGAAAAAGTAGGGAAGGAGGGGAAGAGGGTACTTTAGTAAAGCCATGGAGGCTAGGATGAGCATAGTCTGTTCTAAACACATGATCTTCATGCAATGTAACATTTAATGCTTATTCAAAACACTTTCTTCACTCTTTGATCTAACAAAGGATTGGCTTGATAGTTAGGAGAGTAGTCCTGGGTCAGGAAACAGCACCATGGTTCATTATTCTGGGTTTACCACTACACTAATTGACTATATGACCTTAGACAGGTCATTTACTCTCTGTGTTCTCTGCTTTCCAATCTGTAACAATAGGGGATGGAGGGCGAAAGTAAGATGGTTCTTACAGTCTATTTCGGCTTCAATCATCACAGAAGTGTTTTCTATAGGTTAGTATTCTTTAGAAACAACTAGAGAAGCTTGTAAAGAATGCAGATTTCTAGAGATTCTGGTTTATTAGACCTATGATGGGGCTTGGGAAAATGTATTTCTCACAAGGAACACAGATGATCCTGCTGCATGTGACTCACATGTGACTGTGAGGCCAATGTCCTATAGGTTAGTATTCAAACAGATGTTAAAGACTGTTCCTGGGGTTCTGGATGGCTGTAACAGGAGTCTCAGACCTCCTCTCCCCTACCCTTGAGCTAGCTCGGAATCAGCTGTCACTCACCATTTAGGGACACCAACATGGACCACTCAGCTATAATGTGTCAAGGAGGAGTGGTGCCTCTTTTCTACACTTGTGGGGGCATGTTGCTGACTGGCCATAGTCACAGTCCAGGAAAAACTACGAATGCCTGGGCGGAATGGCCTGAGCTGGCCACAGGATGGGGCCAGGCACCCAGACTCTTAACCTGAAGGAAATTCACCCTCTTACCTATCCCTCCCTCATCCACATGCTCCTAACAATGGTGAACACCGCAAGGAACCCATATAATAGCCCCATGAAGTGAACAGGGCTTCCTGGATCTAATCAGAGGCAGTAACACCAAGAGCTAAAGCCCATGACAGCCTGAGCCCATTCTGCTCAAAAGATTAAAGCTCAGATTCAGGATGGTGGGCAGGGGAAGGGGCCACAGTGTGGACTTGGGACCTTGACTGCTGCTGGAGTAACAGCCCGTGTGTCTTTGGGAGGAAGAGGTTCCAGTTTTCCATCCTGCACCCCATAGGCTTCCCTTGGCCACCCAGGGAAGAGGCAGGGCTGGAGCTGGGCAGCCAAGAGACAGACAGAGCTGACCCAAGGCACCAAAGTGTCAGGTGCAGAAGAGGCCTGCAGGCCACCTGTCCTCCTTGGTCAGCCCTTCTCACTCCAGGCCCTCACCAGGCTCAGGCTAGAAAAGCTTTCAGGTCACCTGTTGCCACCCTCTTTCCCTTCTGCCAGCTTTCCCTCACCAGCCTTCCTGCCAAGTGCTCCCCATATATCTTACAACTGAACTGGGATGGACCTGGAAGTTCCCTGCCTCTCTCTGCAGGCACAGGATTCCACTTGTCAGAATGTTCTTCCTGCTGATGAACCAAGCCTGCTCCCCTATGACTTCCTCCTACTCACTCAAGTTCTGTCCTCGGACTACCACCCAGACATAACTGCTCCTTATTTTCAGGCATGCCCTTCACATATTTGAACACAGCAACCTCTGCCAATCTTGCTCCACAGCTAGGCTTCTCTTCCCTAAACAAAATACTCTCAACTCTTTCAGCCAGTCTTCATCAATGCCAAAGGAGTTGATGCTGATACTGGTGTCTGAGAAGTACTACAGTGAGGTATATAAATGCCCAACTTGGGCAACTTGGGCTTGATTCAGACTCGTAAAACTTTGGGTAAGTCATTTTGCCTCTCTAAGACTCAGTTTCCCATGTATGTGATATTTTTCTTTCTGGTAATGAAATGTGTTTACATGCTATGCTCTCTTGTGGGATATAATGGCAAGCTTATATATGGCTAATCATGATTTTTTCTATAAATCCCAATATGGCCTTAATAGGCTCTCAATTCCTTTAGATATGTACCCAGTGCATTCCTTGTATACGTATGCATATTACGTACATGTGCATATACAAGGAATGCACTGGGTACATATCTAAAGGAATTGAAATCAGTATGTTGAAGAGATTGCAGCACTATTCATAATAGACAAGATATGGAATCAATATAAGTGTCCATCAATGAATGAAAGGATAGAGAAAATGTGGTACCTATACACAATGGAGTACTATTCAACCATAAAAAGAATGAGATCCTATCATTTGCAACATGTATGAAACTGGAGATCATTATGTTAAGTGAAATAAGCGAGGCACAGAAAGACAAACATCATATGTTCTCAGTTACTTGTGGGATCTAAAAATCAAAACAATAGAACTCATGGACATAGAGAGTAGAAGCATGGTTACCAGAGGCTGGGAAGGGTAGTGGGGAACTGGGAGGGAGGTGGGGATGGTTAATGGGTATAAAAAATAGTTAGAAAGAATGAATAAGACCTACTATTGACAGCACAACAGGGTGGCTATAGTCAATAATAAATTGTACATTTTAAAATAACTAAAAATGGTGTAATTGGATTGCTTGCAACACAAAGGATAAATGGCTGGGTGCAGTGGCTCACACCTGTAATCCCAGTGCTTTGGGAGGCAGAGGCAGAAGCCTCACTTGATCCCAAGAGTTTGAGACTAGCATGGGCAACATAGGGAGACCCTATCTCTACAAAAAAAAATGCTTGAAGGAATGAATACCCCATTCTCCATGATGTGATTATTTTACATTGCATGCTTGAATCCAAACATCTCATGTTCCCCATAAATATATACACCTACTACTAACAAAAATTAAAATTGAAAACTTTTACAAAAGAAAATGTGGTATATGTATATAATTAAATACTAAAGCCTTTTTTAAAAAGGAAATCCTGTCATTTGCAACAAAATGAATGAATCCAGAGGATATTATGCTAAGTGAAATCAGCCAGCCACAGAAAGACAAATACCACATGATCTCACTCATATGTGGAATTTTAAAAAGTCAAACTCATAGAAGTAGAGAGTAGAATGGTGATTATCAGAGGCTGGGGGTGGGGGATAGACAGGGAAAAGGGAAATGCAAATCAAAGGGTACAAAGTTCAGTTACACAAAAGGAATAAGTTCTAGTGATCTATTGCACAGCATGACTATATTTAATAATAATGTATATTTCAAATTGCAAAAAGAGTAGATTTTAAATGTTCTCACCACAAAGTAATGATAAGTATGTGAGGTTATGGATATGATTGGTTCATCTGGGGTAACATTTAGCTAACAAGTTGTTGTTCATGTTGTAACATTTGCTCTTGTCATTGGTTATATTCTTAATTTTTCATGTTTCATGGTTACTATGTTTTCCATTTTATCCCTAATTTCCCAAATGTATCAATGGCTCAAAAGTGGTTCATTCAAGTACAAATGCAGTTATGAAAATCAGTAGTAACTAAAGGTAACATTAAAAACATAGTGAACTTGAATTTGGGGTAAATATAGAATATGAAGATATATGCATTGGGACCGGTAAATATGCAAATATTATGATTTAATATAAAAAATTTAAAATGCCTCAGAAATTAAGGAGAAATTAAAACAATGAATATCTAAACACTGACTTTTATTGGGTGGAGATTATGTCTGTTGTAAAACTTTATCCAGCGATGCCACAATAGCTTTCACAACATTTTCATACAAAGCACAGGGACCTCTCTGGTAATCAGTCAAATGTTTCCAGAAAAAGCAGAAATAATGGTTTTCCATACTACATTGATGCATATTATTACTAAAGGGAGATAACAGGCCCAAACTACAATGGCATCAACCAAAATTTCACTGCTTAGAGTATATGCACTAGTTCTAACAGTATTTCCAAGAATTTATAACGCTAATGAAAGAGTTTATGGCTACTATTATATTCAGAAAAAGTTCAGAATGAATTTTTGGCACAATTCCTTTATCACTATCATATGTTGGATAATATTATTGAATTAAAGAACAATACATGAATGTGAACATGCTATGGGATATTTTCAATTGACATATCTGATACACATATGCAACAGAAATGCTAGTGAACATTTATTCCATGTATCATTCAAAAACAATCCTTCAAGAGAAGATAATATTTACTATCTTAAAGATCATTTTGTGATATGTGAATCAAGACTGGAAAAAATCAGGCTGAAATTAATATTGACAAAGCAGCAGCTATGCACACAATAAGGAAGGATGCTGCAGCCACATGAATAAAGAAGTTGTGTCTGAATGTCAATTCATACTTAGTTGTGGTCAAAGAAACATTAGTGGTTGATAATATCTCTCATGGCTTTGATTCAGTGTTGAAGAAAAGAATCAATATTGGAGTTATGACAATGTATCTCCTATCAAATGTTCATCTTTTCATGATGCTAAGTGAAGAAATGGATAGCATAGGACAGATCTATTTTTTCACACTGATTTATGAGAGCTATCAAGGAGAAAGATATTCTCCCAAGTTTTTTGAAGGGTGAAGCATAAAGCATTTCTTCACAACAGTGATAACACCAGAAAAGATTATCTGTATGATTTCAATTGAATTGTTCAAGAGGTATAACTTGGCAATACATTCTGTATTTTCAACAGCCTGAGCTTATCACTTCAGGGCTTAAATATTAAATGTTATGATATCAGGATTTCTTTGGATTACTTAAATGTGATACAAATGGTTTAATCAGCAATAGTTTTGATTTGATGATTATCTTCCCTTAATGAATAAGATAATTTGGCATTTTTAAAAAACTTCATCCACATGCTGTAACAAAATGTGAAAAAAACACCTTTCAGAGCTATATGTAATCAAAGAAATAATTAGATTCATCTTCCAAGTTGAAACATTTAAACCTTTCAGCTTTTAATTGTGAAATGCTTATTATTTTCCTGTCTAATGAAGTATTGAAAGTAGTCTTTAGTGAGAAATCATTCTATAATTTCTAGGTTAATGTTCCATTCAAATATAAATATCCAAAACTGTCTGTCAAAGCCACCAAATACTCACTGCCATTCCCAACAACTTAAATTCATGGATCAAAATTTTCTTTTTTAGTGAAAATACAGCTAAGAAAAGAACCCAAAGGGATATCAAATCTAACCTATAACTCAGTCATTATTTATCTAGATATAGGTGTCATGGTGAAATATTGCAAAGAAATTATTGTCATCATTATAATAAAATTATTATCATTGATTTTTAAAAGTCAGTTTACTTGTTCTTAAAGCTTGTAATGGATATTTGTGTGTGTGTGTGTATGTGTGTGTGTGTGTGTATCAAAAGCATGGAAAATACTAACCTATATAATATGGACTGGGGACTGGGAAACCTCCAACCCAAAAATATCCCTGCATGCCTGAATTTCTGCTGTGAGAGTTTTTTAAAAAAAAATTTATAATCAAAATGAAAATCCCACTGACACACTAGCACATTAAGCTTCTGCCAGTTTTCAATGTCGTTTTGCAGGTGAATTGATTAGATCTTTTCCCAAGTAATTGATAGATTAGAACAAATTTTTGTAGGGAAAAAGTTGGGGTGGGAAAGACAGGCCAGACCATAGGATTATAGTCATCATTTAGGATGCTTTGAAACAATACTGATATCCAGGCTCCACCATAGACAATTGATTTTCCTAAGTCCCCAGATGATTCCATCATGCAATCAGAGTTGAGAATCACTGACCACTGGTCTACACGCTTCCAGCCAGTTTTGTTTTAATGTCGAGGTGGGGTTAGGGGTAGGGGCTCTTGGGCTCCTGACAGAGCTGCAGGGGGAAGAACACCTAGCAACAGAGAAAGGGAGATGCTGGGAAGAGAAGAGGACACTAATAAAAAGGAAGATAGAAGGGGCCTTGTAATAAAACTGGTTTAATTTTCAGTTCAAATTTTATTCGAATTATTTAGTTCAGATGGAATACATATGGTCTCTTTCAATTTTCTAGAGCAGTTTGTAAATATGTCAGTTGTTTCTAGGGGGAACTAGCTAAGAAATTTAGCAGTAACCTCAGCAATGTATGTAAGCAACTCCCTGCTTGAGGCACTCTTGTGGAAGGATGGAATGCGAAGTGAACTCTAATAGGGAAGCGGGGGTGGAAATACACACACACAAGGAAAAACTGTCCCGGCAAAACGGCTATAAAACTTTGTATGACTGGAGTAAACCTAATAAGTGGGGCATTTTTTCTTTTACTCATGGAAGGGAAGAAGGAAGAAATGTTAGAGGAGAGAAATCACCTTTCTCTCCTTTACCTCCTTGCCTCCACTTAACGTGTTCTTTCAGGCTATGAGAGGGAGAGACAAAATAGAAAGGAAATTTCTATCTGACAGCAGAGATGAAGGCTGAAGAGATTTTGAGGCTGAGCAAGAAGTGCAGGCTAGCCTGCCAGGAAAGGCATTCCTTTCCAAAATATGGCAAGGAAAGGGAATTAAGGATAAAAGAAAGGAAACAAAGATATCTAATTGTATCCAATGGCTTGCTTCAAAGTTGCCCTAAAGTATCAGCTTTTAAAGGGAGATATTTGTTTAAAGTTCTCTTAAGATTGGCCATATGTTTGATATAAGGAGGTGGGGTACTGAATTGTGCTTTTAAATCTTATGGCCCTGAATTCAGAATTCCCATGTGACTCTCCAGAAAGACACATGCCTTTCTATTTATCCTTTGATATTGTGCACAGACCACCCATTCTCCAAGACTAGCCTCCTGAAATGGAGAGGGCTCTTCAAGCAGCATGGTGTAGTGCAAAAGCCTGGGAGACTTGGGTTTCAGACAAATCTGGCTTCAAATCTCAGCTCTCCTCTCATAAGCTGTGTGATCTTGGGCAAGGTACTTGGCCTTCCTGATTTGCAACTTCCTCATTTATAGGATGGGGAAATGATAGTGCCCACCAGTTGGTTTTTGTTTTCAGGATTAAATGAGATGATGTATAATAGCATGCTTAGCATGTAGTAGGTGCATTTATAATTACAATACCAGGTATTGAGCTGTATTTCCTTTTTGTTCTTTTCAGTACTAAAAATGTCCTGTGAGGATGGAACCCAAAATTAAGGAAGATCAAAAATATAATGTTGAAATGAGGAACTAGTAATATGCCCAATTCACCACAAAGACAACTTGAGTTTGCAAAGGTGAGACTTTTCTGGCAGATCGTAATTGCTACCACCTTTTTCTTGTATGCATCAAATCAGAACCAGTGTCCATTTTCTCTATTTGATTAAAAGAAGAGTATTTAGGCTGGTCACAGTGGCTCATGTCTGTAATCCCAGCAATTTGGGAGGCCGAGGTGAGTGGATCACCTGAGGTCAGGAGTTCAAGACCTGCCTGGCCAACATGGCGAAACCCTGACTCTACTAAAAATACAAAAATTAGCCCGGTGTGGTGGCTTTGCACCTGTAATCCCAACTACTCGGGAGGCTGAGACAGGAGAATCGCTTGAACCCGGGAGGCAGAGGTTGCAGTGAGCCGAGATTGTGCCACTGTACTCCAGACTGGGAGACAGAGCGAGACTCCATCTCAAAAAAAAAAAAAAAAAAAAAAGAGTATTTACTATTTAGAAACTGGACACTTTATAAAGAAGGTTAAATTGTTGATTGCACAAATATCAGACAGTATGGCTCTCAACATAGCTCTATAAAGACCACCTTGGTCCAGGGATATCCAGCTCTTAACAGAACAAGTCGTTTATCTCACCAGTTCAAAGTGAATTATGAAGATAATTTTTAGCATTAAGGAAGATAACACAATGAATCACAGGCATTCTGTTTTGGGGCCATCTAGTGCTTGAGGCTACCAGGTAGAGTTTTTCTCCTGGGAACCATGAAATCACCTAGTAGGCCTAGATCCTCTTGATCATATTACAGCTACAGTTGACCAGCAATCCTTATCTCACTTTGTTATAGCTATTCAGGCTGCATCTGAGTCACCAAGTAGTCCACAGATAGAGCTACCTGCAGTGGTATGCTACTGGCCCACACCTGCTCATAAAAGCTGATAGTTATATTTTCAGGAAGATCGCAAGGAGGCTATTAAATACAACCATTATTCCAAATTAAATTATATAAACTTATAATCAAAGAGAATAAATACCCACTCATCATTTATTAATTATTTTACTACATTTACTGTTATCTATGATTTTGAAGTTATTTGTATCTGTTTTTATCTATATGGCGGAAATCCTATATGATGGCTTGCATCTCTTCTCAACTCTGCATTCAGTGATGCCACATGGAGAGCTTGAAATTGGCCATGGTGGTAGTATTTACAAGAAGGAAAATGACAAATGCCACAAATTACAGTCCTTTTCCCCAGAGAGCTGGTTGTTAAATATTTACCAGCATACCATTGGACTTGTCTCCCTCAAGTCTCTAGGGAGTATATTGGCCATCATCTCAAGTGGAATACTAAGACCTCTCTGCATATCTCTATGCCCCAAATGGTATTTCCTGTACAGCCTTGTAATTGGCTGTTACTCCTTACTGCCCTCTTCACATTCTCTCTGTCTCCTCCCCATAATGTCCTTCTGTCATTTCTGTCTCCTGTCTTTATAAAAATATCTCTTTATATCTCTTCTTATTGGGAGCATATATTGGACTCATTTCTCCCCTTTAAACCCTTAAGGAGCTCCAAACCCTTTTAAATGCAAAGAAAGAAAGAACTCTGGCTTGTACTATAATTGAATGGAGATATGCTGGCTATATTATCCATTTATTTATTCATACATTCATACAAATGTTTTAATAAGCATTTACTATGTGCCAAGCAGCTAGGTACTGAGAATCCTCAGTTAAAATAAGACATGGTCCTGCCCTTAACCTCACAGTCTAGAAGGGAGACAGACAAGTAAACATAAAATAATTCAATATGATAAGTACTGAAACGGAAATATGTATAGAGTGTCATGGGAAACTAGAGGAGATAAGTGCTAAACTTTTCTTGAGAGGGTAGGGACTGGGAAAGATTTCACAGAAGTTATATCTGGGTTGGTTATTGAATGATGAGTAGACACTCTTAAGGCCACAGAGGCATATAAGGGCATTCTGAGGATTGTAAACAAGGACTTGGTGTATGGGGGCATGGCAAACATTGTAGTTCAAACTTTTCAGACTTACGAAAACTTGGGCTAAATTGATAAAGACTTGAGGAGGGATAAAATACAAACTAGAGTGTCTCTGGGGATCTAGGTATATAGGAAAAGAGGCATGGTCTTTTCAAGGTACCACAGTATGGCTGAAACAGTTCCAACATTTTTCTGTCCTTATTCTCAAGATTCAAATTCCTGAGAGAGGGTGTGTTTGACATACTTTATATTATATGCCCACCCATGCCTTGGCTAGGGTTGGACATAGCACCCTGATTGACAGTACTACTAAAACTGTACCCAATGGGTTAGGAAGAGTTCCCTGGAAAGGAAAATCATGGCGTAGGTATCACAAGAAGTGAGAATGGATGCTGCTTGGTCAAAATCAAAAGGTATCCAGCAGTGTCGTCTAATTCAAGTGGCATCTCTAGCTGTGGCTGGGTCTACTCCTAAGTTCTAGTTTCTGATGACAAACTTTCCCTCCATTGTTATAGCTTTTACCTGGCAGTCTCTGCAATGAACTTGGCACCTGAGCTATAGTAACACTACCTCTTTCCTGTCTTCTTGCAGCCCTAGTGGTAGTAAGCAGGTTTCTACTATTGTTGATCTCTGACTTGCCTCGCTTTCTCTTCTTTGGCCTTTCAGCCCTCCCAACATGTTTTCTCTATTAAATTTCATCTATTGAACGTTTGATATAGGCTCTACTTTTCTAACTGGTATAGTTCCTACTCCCTTTGCCAGGCTAACAACTGACAAAAATGAACAAAAGGGGCCACTAGGCTCAGAAGAGCCCACATACCAAGGCTGCAAATAGGGCTATTCCATTTACATACCTGGACTTTAATCTTAGAACCACTAGTGCTGAGCAAGATTGGCAGAGAAAGCTGAAAAATCACAGTAGTGTATCAAGGGCGAAAGAAATAGCTATAAACTGTAACCAAACATTCACTAAGCTGTTGTTTTGTCCTAAAACTCCATGGGGGGTATTTTAAAAATGAGTTTTCCATTGAGTTAGTTAATTATTATAGGCCTTTTCTCGTGACCTTGTCCCTTTTTTGGAAATAAATGCTTTGTTGTTGTTGTTTTAGAGTAGAATAATGCTGTGTCTCAGCTCAAAGCATGTGTGTGGGGTGTGGCATGTGGTCTCTTAGGGAACCACGTGAGTGCAGGGGTCTGAGTGTACACGATTTCAAGTCTGGTGACTCCAGTTTAGACTTTTCATCTCTAACTTTTATATAGGAGAACTCTGACCCTAGACAGTGAGGCTGGAGATTTTTGCTGTCTCATCAGGCCAGTTCTTTCCTCAACCCAATCGAGTCCATTTCTGCATGATTTGTCATTATTGGCCAAGAGAATTTAGGGCCAGCTAGGGGAGAAACACCTGGGTTGGCATTAGGGCAGGATTGGGACTTTAAATTCCTTATGATCTCCATTAGTCACCCTCAAAGTCCCCAGAAAAGCATACAACCTAATTCAAAATAGTATGCTTGCTATGCAAAAGCTTCAGAACAAATTCCCTAGTTTGCCCTCACCCTGCACATTTACAAACAGAACAATTATCCAAGCTTCTTCTACTTGGAAACTCAGGTGTCTCCATTTCCCCAGAGCATCATTTATTTGAGAATTACTTGAATTTCTTTCAATCTCTGAATTCGGGGTCTATGGCCTTTTATATGGCTGTTATGACCAGCAACCCTGTCTCTGTAGAATGGGGTTAAGCCAAGATCTGTGTCCAGCCATAGCTGGTCTGGCTTTATTTACTCAGATATTGATTCACCTAGGTAAAAGTCCACTAGTATAAGGGCTGTGGAGCCACTGGTGAGTGACATGACTGTCTTCTCCACTTGGGAGCAGTAGGAAAGGGAGACACGAGTGGAGGTCAACTCACTACTGGACACCTGTTCTGGATTTCTCAAAGAATCCTGATACAGTGCTGCCAGATATTGCCACAAAGTTTCTAGCTACGGCATTAGGAAAATGAGCCACAGGTTATAGGCCATATTGCAGGTCAGACCAGAGGTTCTCAAACAAGATCTTGCATCAGAATCACCTAGACGGCTTACAGAAGTTCTGTCCTTTAACAAAAACATCATAAAGAAAGCAAATATTATCAGAATCAATAGGGTGACTACAGTCAACAATAATTTATTATACACTTTAAGATAACTAAAAGAGTATAATGGGATCGTTTGTAACACAAGGAAAAGATAAATACTTGAGGTGATGGATACCACATTTACCCTGATGTGACTGTTTTAGGCCATTCTTGCATTGTTATAAAGAAATATTTGTGACTGGGTAATTTATTTTAAAAAGAGATTTAATTGATTCACTGTTCTGCAGGCTGTAAAATCATGGCACTGGCATCACGTGGCTTCTGGGGAGGCCTCAGGGAGCTTATACTCATGGCAGAAGGTGAAGCAGGAACAGGCACATCACATGGCAAAAGCAGAAGCAAGAGTGAGAGAGTGGTGGGGTTGAGGGAGCGGGGGAGAGGTGCCACACACTTTTAAAGGACCAGATCTCACAAGAACTCACTCACTATAGCGAGGAGAGCACCAAGCCGTGAGGGATCTGCCCCCATGATCCAATCACCTTCCACCAGGCCCCACCTCCTACACTGGGAATTATAATTCAACATGAGGCTTGGGTGGGGACAAATGTCCAAATTATAACAATGATTATTACGCATTGTATGCCTATATTAAAATATCTCATGTACCCCATAAATGTATACATCTACTATGTACCCAAAAATACTAATTTTTAAAAAAAGAAGAACCAGTTTATCAGAATTCTGTAAAACAATTAAGGGTTTACAACAACCAATCAAGTGAATGCTTAATTATGAAAAATGCAACTTCAAAGTGGTAGGGAAGCTCTGTGGCACTTTTACTTGCCCTTCCCTCACCTTCTCCTCTGTGCGGCAGTAGTCTTAGCTCGCATTCCCAGTATAGGATCTTGGTCCCTGGTTCCAGAAAGAGAAGCAGAGATCTTATTTCCAAACTACTGAGTATGTCTATTCTAACCTGTCTAGGGGCTACCTGAAGGATAGACACAAGGTGCTCATCTCTGTTTCACCTGGCTTGAAATTCAGGCTGAAAAAGCATTTCTCATTGCTTGAAAACACTGAAAGTTGAACTGGCAACCCACAGATGCCTCAGCCAAAATATTACTTTTAAAATTTACAATTAGTCAGGCACAGTGACTCACACTTGTAACCCTAGCACTTTGAGAAGTGGAGGTGGGAGGATTGCTTGAACCCAGGAGTTCAAGACCACTCTGAGCAACACAGTGAGACCTCCATCTCTGCAAAAAATAAAAAATAAATAGCTGGGTGTGGTGGTGTGCACCTGTAGATTCAGCTACTCGGGAGGGTGAGGCAGGAGAATCACTTGAGAATCACTTGAGTCCAGGAGTTCAAGGATCCAGTGAGCTACTGCACTCCAGCCTGGGTGACAGAGTGAGATCCTGTCTCTAAATATATATATATTATATATTTATTATATATATTATATATTTATTATATATATTTTATATATAATATATATATATATATATATATATATATATATATATATATATATATATATATATTAGATTGCCCACGGCCTGAGAATAAAAGCTGGGGAGAGTTTCTTTGGGAAATTCAAACATTCAAAAGTGCCACTCATACAGAAGAATTAAGAAGGCCACATGCATGCCTAGGGAGAGGCACATGCTCAGAAAAGAGCTGAGATGCCCCTAAGCTTTCAGCCTGGGCTGATCATTAGCCAGTCTGCAAAGATTGCGAAAGGTATTTCTTTATTTGTTTGTTTATTTTGAGCTATGGACATTCAAGGAAATCGCTGTCAAAACACTAGTAGCTGAATATAAGCTAGGGAGCAGACACTTCAGTGAACACACACAACATACCAAAACTTATGGGATGCAGAAAAGGCAGTGCCTAGAGGAAAATTTATAGCTGTAAATGCTTACACTAAAAAAGAAAGAATATCTCAAATCAGTAACCTAACTTTATGCCTTGAAGAACTAGAGAAAGAAGAGAAAACTAAAACAAAAGCTAACAGAAGGAAGGAAATAAGACTAGAGTGGAGAAAAAGAAAACAGAGAATAGAAAAACAAAAAGAGAGAATCAATGAAACCCAAAGTTAGTTCTTTAAAAAGGTCAATAAAATTAACAAATATTTACCTATCTGATGGAGAAAAAGAGAGAAGACATAAATAAATAAAATAATCAAGTGGGGACATTACTACTAATCTTACAGAAATAAAAATGGATTATAAAAGAATACTATGAACAATTGTACACCAAAGTATTTAATAACCTAGATGAAATAGATAAATTATTTGAAACACACAAACTACCTAAACTTATTTATCCCAGGAATGCAAGAGTGGCACAATGTAGAGAAAAATCAATCAATGTAATAAAACACATTAATAGATGGGAGAAAAATCCACATGATCGTCTCCAATGATGCAGAGAAAGCATTTGCAAAATCCAATACTCTTTTATGATAAAAAAAAACTCTCAGAACTAGGAATAGAAGAGAACTTCCTCAACATGTTACAGGGCATTTACACAAACCCATAATGAATTCCATACTGAATTGTGAGAAACTGAAAACTTTCCCTTTAAAATCAGGAACAAGACAAAGATACCCACTCCCACTACTGCTATTCAACATTGTATTGAAAATTCTAGCCAGATAAATTAAACAAGAAAAAGAAATTCAGGGCATCTAAATTGAAAAGAAATAAGTAAAACTATCTCTACTTGGAGATAATATGATCCAATGTATATAAAGTGCCAAGGAAACCAGAAGACAGCTAATAAAGCTAATTAAAGAATTCAGCAAAGCTGCCAGGTACAGGACAAACACAGAAAAAATCAGTTATGTTTCTATATACCTGCAATGGACAATCTGAAAAAGAAATTAAGAAGGCAATTTCACTTACAGTAGCATCTAAAAGAATAAAATACCTAGGAATAAATTTAACCAAGCAGGTGAAAGACTTGTGCAGTGAAAATTATAAAACATGGCTGAAAGAAATTAAAGACTTAAATAAATGGAAAGACATCTCATATTCATGGGTAAGAAGACTTAATATTTTTATGATGCCAGTACTACCCAAAGAGACTTACAGATTCAACACAGTATCTACCAAAATTCCAACAGCTCCCCTTTTCTTTACAAAAATGGGAAAGCATATCCTCAAATTCATATGGAGCTGCAAGGGCCCTGAATAGCCAAAATAATCTTCTAAAAGAACAAAGTTGGAGGACTCACATTCCAGACTTCAAATCTGCCTAAAAGGCTACAGTAATCAAAACAGTGTGCTACTGGCATAATGAGAGAAATATAGATCAATGGAATAGAATTGAGAGCCCATAAATAAACCTATACATCTATACCCAGTTGATTTTTGACAAGGTTGTCAAGCCTATTCAATGGGGAAATAAATAGTCTCTTCAGTACATGGTGTTGGGACAACTAGATTTCTACATGCGAAGAAAAGGGCTTTGCACTCCTACCTCAAACCATGTACAAAAATTAACTCAAAACTGATCAATGACTTAAATACAAGAGTAAAAAATCATAAAATACTTAAAACATGGAAGTAAATCTTCATAACCTCAGATTTGGTAATGGATTCTTAGATATGCCACCAAAAGCATGAGCAGCAAAAGAAAAAATTACTAAATTGGATTTCCTCAAAATTTAAAACTTTTGTGCATTAAAGGGTGTTATTAAGAAAGTAAAGCCGGGCACGGTGGCTCACACCTGTAATCCCAGCATTTTGGGAGGCCGAGGCAGGTGGATCACCTTTGGTCAGGAGTTCAAAATCAGCCTGGGCAACATGGTGAAACCCTGTCTCTACTAAAAATACAAAAATTAACTGGGCACGGTGGTGCATCCCTGTAATCCCAGCTACTCAGGAGGCTGAGGCAGGAGAATCGCTTGAGCCCAGGAGGCAGAGGTTGCAGTGAGCCAAGATTGCACCATTGCCCTCCAGCCTGGGTGACAGAGTGAGACTCCATCTCGAAAAAAAAAAAAAGGAAAAAGACAACCTACAGGATGAGAGAAAATATTTGAAAATCATATATCTGAGAAGTGTTTGATATTCAGAATATACAAAGAAAACCTACAACTTAACAACATAAACAACCCAATTTAAAAATGTGAGAAGGACTTGAGTAGATATTTCCTCAAAGAAGATATATAAATGGCAACAAACATATAAAAATGTTCAATATCATTAGTCATTAGGAAAATGCAAATGAAAGTCACAATGAGATGCCTCTTTATACCTACTAGGATGACTGTAATTTAAGAAAATGGAAAATATTCAGTGTTGGCAAAGATGCGGATAAATTGGAACTCTCATACATTGCTGGTGGGAATGTGAAATGGTTCAATTACTGTATAAGATAGTTTGATGCTTCCTCAAACATCTAAACGTAGAATTACCATGTGACCCAGTAATTCTATTTCTAGATATATATCCAAAAGAATTGAAAATAGTTTTCAAACAGATACTTATACACTACTATTCACTGCAGCATTATTCACAATAGTCAAAAGGTGGAAATGGTCGGGCGTAGTGGCTCATGCCTGTAATCCCAGCATTTTGGGAGGCCAACGCGAGCAGATTACCTGAGGTCAGGAGTTCGAGACCAGCCTGGCCAACATGACGAAACCCTGTCTCTAGTAAAAATACAAAAGTTAGCCGGGAGTGGTGGCATGTGCCTGTAATCCCAGCTACTTGGGAGGCTGAGGCAGGAGAATCTCTTGAACCCAGGAGGTGGAAGTTGCAGTGAGCTGAGATAGTGCCACTGCACTCCAGCCTGGGTGACAGAGCAAGACTCTGTCTCAAAAAAAAAAAAAAAAAAGGTGGAAGCAACCCCAGTGTCCATCAGCATATGAATAAATAAACAAAATGTAGTATATACATATGATAGAATAGTATTCAGCAGTGAAAAAGGAATGAAGTTCTGATACATGCTTCAACATGGGTGCACACTGAAAACGCTATGCTGAGTGAAATAAGCCTGACACAAAGGACAAATATTTTATGATCCCACTTATGTGAAATATCTACAAAAGGCAAATTCACAGAGATAGAAAGTAAATTAGTAGTTACCAGCATCTGGGGTGCGGGAGAATGGGGAGTTAATTGCTTAATGCTTACAGAGTACCTACTTGGGTTGATAAGAATGTTTTGGAAATAGATAGTGATGATGATTGTACAACACTGTGAATACAATTAATGCCACTGAATTAATTAAATGGCACTTAAAATAATTAAAATGGCAAATTTTATGCTATATATATTTTACCACAAAAAAAAAAGAGAGGAGAGGAGGTGGTTAAATTGGAAGAGAAAGAAATGAAAACAATGAAAATAACTTCCCAGTTGCAAAAACAAACCCCAAAACCTGAAAATGCAAACTGATCTATTGTGACATGAGGAAATTTTGGGGGGTGATGGACATAATCGTTATGTTGATTATGATGATGTTATATATACATATACAGACACACATGTGTATATATACATATGTGTATATATGTGTATATGTATATACACACACACATAAGAGAGAGAGAGAAAGAGAGAGTCATCGCCTGGTATCCACAGAATATTGGTTCCAGGATCTCCCATAAATACCAAGTCCACAGATGCTCAAGTCCCTTACATAAAATGGCATAATATTTGCATATAACCTATGCACATCCTCCCACATACTTTAAATCATTTCTAAATTACTTGTAATACCTAATACAAGGTAAATGCTATGTAAATGGTTGTTATACTTTATTTTTTATTTGCATTATTTTTATTGTTTTAAAAGTATTGTAACTTTTAAAGTTTATTCTTTTGAATATATTTAATTTGAAGTCAGTTGAATTTTTGGATGTGGAACCCACAGATACAGAGTACCAACTGTATGTATATATGTATATATGTCCGAATTATTAAATTGTACATTTTTAATGTGTTGCTTATTATATACCAATTATACCCCAACAAAATATTTTTGAAAATTAAACTTAATACAAATCAGTTTTATTAAAGATTTTGGGTCTATGTTAATAACAAGGTAGAAGATAGACCCAGTCTCTGCTATCATGGAGCTTACATCCTAGTAGGGGAAATAGGCTTTAATCAAATAATCACATGAACCACTGCATATTATAAATTGGGATATGTTCTCGGAAGAAAAATTATGTGGAGCTCTGAAAGCATATTTCTGTGGGGCGTCTTCTAGTCTGGGACTGAGTAGGGAAGGCTTTCCTAAGCAAATGTCCTTTGAATTGAGGATTGATAGATGAATAGGCATTCATTCCATGTGGATTAATGGAAATGAAGAGATGGGGAAGGGGGCAGATTTTTAGTACAGGGAACAGTTTATGCAAAGGCCCTGAAGTATAAAAGTGCTTGGCATGTTTGAAGAACTAAATAAAGGCCCGTGTGGCTAAGGCATAGTCATCAAGAAAGGGTGGTAAAAGGAAAGACTGAAAAAAGTAGGCATACTCAGATCATGTAGTATCGTATAAACCATATAAAGATTTGAGTCTTTATCTTAAGAAAAGTATGAAGCCGTTGAATGGTTTTAAATAGAAATGAAATGTTAACTTTGAAAGGAACACTTCGGCTGCTATGTGAACTGTAGGACAAAAGTAGAGTGAAAGAAACCAATCAGGAAGCTACTGCAATGAACGGTCCAGGCATGAGATGACAGTGGCTTGATCCATGGTGGAAGTAGCAGAGTTGGCAAGAAGTGGACAAATTGAACATATTTTTATGAACTAGATGACAGAATGGGTTTTGAGGAAAAAGTTATGCCTTGCAATAATTCTTATCAAACTACAGCCTGCAGGCCAAACTGGCCCACTGCCTGTGTTTGCACAAGAGTTTTATTATAACACAGCCACATCCATTCATTTACATGTTGGCTATGGCTGTTTTTGTGCCACAACAGCAGAATTGAGTAGTTGTGACAGAGATTATATGTGGCCCTCAAAGCCTTAAATATTTACTGTCTGACTCTTTATGGAAAAATATTTGCTGATCCCTGATCTAGGATGATTACTCTAGGTACCCAGCTTATATGACTGGATGATGGGTAGGCGGTGCAGATAGAGAGAGAAGAAGGTAGAGAGGGAGGGAGAAAAGATAGAAGGAGCAGCATCCTGGGGGAAGAAGTGTAGTAATACAAGGAGAGAAAAGGATGTGAGGAGTGGTCCTCAGAAAGAGAAGGAAAAGGGCAGAGTTGCAGCTTCCGTTTTTGCTCAACTCTGGTAGTTGAGTGTTGTGGGGGGTGCTGGTATTCAGGAGACCTTAAGACACTCTTTGCAGACCTCAGAGGTGATGCTCACTGATGCTGATTCCAATCACAAAATCTCTCTCAAACACTGCTGTGAATACTAGTTAATGAAAATCCTGTACTGAATAGCAGGGCAAGGGGGTGTTTCTCAGGTAAAACCCCTGAGTATAGTTTGGATCGTCTGAGTGCAGCAGAGTTAAGGGGTGAGACCTTAATAGCCACAGTGCATATACATGTATGTGCCCGAAGTGTTCAGACAGCTCAGAGAACTGAATGGGAGGCTGGTAAGAAAGGAAGAGAGATTTCTTTTCATGCCAACATTATTTTTATTCAGTGGCTTGATTAGGGACATTTACAGAAGACACAAAGCAGGAAGGGCAATGACTAAGGTGGAGAATGACTCAAAACCCAAGTTATAATGTTTATTGCGTTCTTAGTACATGCTAAACTCTGTTCTAAGCATTTGACCTGTGTTATGATTCCTTATAAATAATGCAATGAGGACGGGTGCAGTGGCTCACACCTGTAATCCCAGCACTATGGGAGGCTGAGGCGAGTGGATTGCTTGAGCCCAGAAGTTCAAGACCAGCTTGGGCAACAGGGCGAAACCCCATCTCTACTAAAAATTTAAAAAATGGCCAGGTGTGGTGGTTCACGCCTGTAATCCCAGCACTTTGGGAGGCCGAGGCAGGTGGATCACTTGAGGCCAAGAGTTAGAGACTAGCCTGGCCAACATGGTGAAACTCCGTCTCTACTAAAAACTCAAAAAATTAGCCGGGCATGGTGGTGCATGCCTGTAGTCCCAGCTACTTGGGAGGCTGAGGCAGGAGAATTGCTTGAACCCAGGAGGCAGAGGTTGCAGTGAGTCAAGATCACGACATTGCACTCCAGCCTAGGCAACAGAGCGAGACTCCATCTCAAAAATATATAAATAAATAAATAAATAAATAAATAAATATTAGCTAGGTGTAGTGGCGTGCACCTCTGGTCCTAGCTATTCGGGAGGCTGAGGTGGGAGGATCACTTGAGCCCAGGAGGTCAAGGCTGCAGTGAGCTGTGATTGCAACACTGCACTTTAGTCTGGGTGACAGAGCAAAACTCTGCCTCAAAAAAAATGCAATGAGGCAGGTGCTCTCACTATAGCCATTCTACAGATGAGGAAACTGAGTCACAGAGTGGTGATGCAACTTGCCTAGGATGACACAGCTAGTAAGTAGCAGGGGTAGAATTGGAACTCAGACAGAGAAAGTATCTGCTCTTAGTCACAACATTATGAACCCAGATAAAGTCAAAGAGAGACCTAGCCTTGGGGACAGGAAGACATTCTAGAGAAAAATATCCCAACTATACTTGGAAGTTTTACCTAAGAAACACACCCTTGCCCTGCTAGACAGCACAGGGTTTTCATTAGCAAGTACTCATAGCACAGTGTTTGAGATTTTGTGATTGGAATCATCATCAGTGGGCATCAGCTCTGAGGTCTGCAGAGAGCATTTTAGGGTCTCTTGAATTCCAGTACCCCACCCACAACACTCAGCTGCCAGAGTTGAGCAAAAACAGAAGCTGCAGTTCTACCCTTTTCCTTCTTTTTCCGAACTGCTCCATTGCCTTTCTGAGGACATACTTTTCTTTCATCAGGTGCCCAGATGCCAGCATTTATCTTCCTCTGCATACTGAAACCACCTTTGCAAAATTATGACTAGAGATAGTGAAAGAGATCCAACCTAACCAACTTCATCTTGCTTCTAACCTCCAAACTGTCCTTGGTCATTCCTGGGTGTAGGCTGAACTAACTTTGGGAGGAACTTAGTTTACAGTTTATAATAGTTTATAGTTTAAAACAAAGATGATAACAGCCATTTCCCAAAACAAACCTTCTTGCCTGGGGACTAGACTGCCTCTGTAGGACTAGCATTAACCACAAGATTAGAAATTATGATTTAGGAGTCGTGCAGCTGGAGGCTACAAGATTCCGACCCCCTCTAAACTGCTCCTAAGATCAGTGCTTGAGATATTTTGCAGACCCTGCACTTGATGGATCAGATCAGCTGGCAACACCCAGATTGATAAACTGGCTCTTCTGATCTTGAGGCCCCCACCCAGGAACTGACTCAGCACAAGAAGACAGCTTGGACTCTCTATGATTTCATCTCTGACCTGACCAATCAGTACTCCCAGCTCACTGGCTTCCCCCACCCACCAAGTTGTCCTTAAAAAGTCTGATCCCTGAATGCTCTGGATTTGAGTAATATGCTCCAGACTGGTTTGAGTAATGATCAAATTCCAGTCTCCTGCACAGCTGGCTCTGAGTGAATTACTTTTTCTCTATTGCAATTTCCCTGTCTTGATAAATTGGCTCTGTCTAGGCAGTGGGCAAGGTGAACCCACTGGGCGGTTACAAATTTGGGAGCTCGTCTGGGATTGCCCTTGTGGCTACCTGCCCATGGTTCATCGCCATCCACCTGGCGATGGATCCAGAGGCCAGCCCAAGTGGCCACCTAGTTCTCTTGGACTGGGGTCTGACTCTGGTTCTCTACTTATGCTCTATCTGGTGCTGCTGACCCAATGTGCATTGGATTTAATTGCAATGGAGAAATAGTCCTGGGAAGGAATCCCATAACTGTAGCCCCATTAGAGGGTGTCGGTCTGTAGCCCCATTGCAGGGTATCTGGGTTGGTGAGTATCCTAGGCATTGCCAATGCCTCCTTCCTTCTCCTGACTGGCTCTGTAGCCCTATGGTGGGGTGTTGGTAGCCCCATTGTGGGGTGTCTGTTTGCAGCTCCACCTCAGGATGTCTGTCTCGGTTTGGCTCCTTCAGGGGTCTCAGTTTGTCTGTAGCTCCATTGGGTGGTGTCTGTCTTGGTTCGGCTCCTGGAGGGTCTCGGTTGGCTTTCCCTAACTAGTAGGAAGAATCTTGGTTCAGGAGACTTCTCAATCAGGAAAATTTGGGGGAGATTTCTCAGACAGAGAAGGGGAGGGTAGTTTGGAAGGGATATTCTTGGAGTTCTTGGTTAAGGATCTGATTTGGAAGGCCTTCTGTCTGTCTTGTCTTTGTGTGCATTTGTATATGTGGAGGGGATCTCAGAAGGAATTGCTGACGGAAGTCCAGCAGGCCTAACTCAGAGAACCCCCTTATTTGTCTGGTCACATTCCATTCGGTAAGCCCTAAAAAAAGCTCAACAGGCTTGTCTCAGGGTGACTATCTGGTCTTTGCCTTGCCCAAAGATCACCCATTGTGAATTATTATTTGGAAGTCAGCCCTCCCCACCTGGAGTGGATCAAAGACAACAGGGACCAACAGAAGAAAGTCCGAACTTTGCCAGGTTGATATTGGGTGCTGAATGAGGTGACTAGTGTCTGTTCTGTTACGTGTATTTTGTTGGGCTGGAAAATGTTAATTCGGTTACCCATGCAGCCTGTTGGGCAACATCTTGCAAAATTGACAATCTTTTGCCTATGGTTCCATAAAACAGAAAAGGGTGGCTTTTCAAGCCAGCCCAGCAGGCTGGTTGGTTAAAACTTTGCAATGGGTTCCTGAAACGAATACAGGATGAAATATCTCTGTCTTGTTTTGTATCCTTAAGAGCTTAACCTTGTGACCATGTGGGGATACTTTCTCTTGGTTTCTGCAATCCAGAGGACAGGAATTTGGGGGTTCATGTCATAGCCCTAAAAATTATCTTGAGCAGTTAAAAGCCTTTGCAAGCTTGAAATTAGCTGCTCTAGACTTCTTCTGGGAAAAGCAATGGAAACTGCTCAATGCTGTATAACTCAGTAGCTAAGCCTTTGTCTTTTTGACAATGGCAGCCTGGATTCAATTCTTGGCTTCTGGAATAATTCATTTCTGGTTTGTTATGTGTGTAACTTTGCCATTTATTGAGGGTTTTTTATTAACCCATCGATAGCTTCTGTTCTTCTGTTCTTGTCTTGGTAAAAACAAACAAACAAAAAAACAAAAAACTGCTTACCATTCCTTTGAGACACCGTATGTGTCCGTGGTTAAGTCATAACCTTAGTTAAAATTTATTAATTTCACATGGGAGGTTGCCTGCAGTAAAGTTCAAAAGCCAGAAATATTGACTGACTGTCCTGGCTAGAGTCTGGCAATAAAATATTTTAATTTTTTTTTTTTTTTTTACAAAAGGAGCTCTGTGGTTAAAATCTTCTTAATTAAAAACGGATATGTGGCTGGGTGCGGTGGCTCATGCCTGTAATCTCAGCACTTTGGGAGGTCGAGGCGGGCGGATCACTTGAGGTCAGGAGTTCGAGACCAGCCTGGCCAACATGGTGAAACCCCATCTCTACTAAAAATACAAAAATTAGCCATGCGTGCTGGCACATGCCTGTAATCCCAGCTACTTGGGAGGCTGCAGCATGAGAATCGCTTGAACCTTGGAGACGGAGGTTGCAGTGAGCCGAGATCACACCACTGCACTCCATCCTGGGTGACAGAGCAAGACTCCATTTCCCCACAAAAAAAGGAATGTATATACAAGCTATATGTATTTAAAAGGACTTTATCTTTTTCCTCTTCTTGGATTGCGTTTTTCCGAAAAAAAGTTTTATTCTTCTTGGTAGACTGAATTGTTATTCTCCATTTTGTCTTCTTGCCACTCTTGATGCCTACATGAAAGAACCTAAGATAATTCTTTTTTTTAAAATTTTTTTATTATACTTTAAGTTCTAGGGTACATGTGCACAACGTGCAGGTTTGTTACATATGTATACATGTGCCATGTTTGTGTGCTGCACCCATTAACTCATCATTTACATTAGGTATATCTCCTAATGCTATCCCTCCCCCCACCCCAACCCCACAACAGGCCCCGGTGTGTGATGTCCCCCTTCCTGTGTCCAAGTGTTCTCATTGTTTAATTCCCACCTATGAGTGAGAACATGCAGTGTTTGGTTTTTTGTCCTTGCGATAGTTTGCTGAGAATGATGGTTTCCAGCTTCATCCATGTCCCTACAAAGGACATGATCTCATCCTTTTTTATGGCTGCATAGTATTCCATGGTGTATATGTGCCACATTTTCTTAATCCAGTCTATCACTGATGGACATTTGGGTTGGTTCCAAGTCTTTGCTATTGTGAATAGTGCCGCAATAAACACATGTGTGCATGTGTCTTTATAGCAGCATGATTTATAATCCTTTGGGTATATACCCAGTAATGGGATGGCTGGGTCAAATGGTATTTCTAGTTCTAGATCCTTGAGGAATCGCTACACTGTCTTCCACAATGGTTGAACTAGTTTACAGTCCCACCAGCAGTGTAAAAGTGGAGAACCTAAGATAACTCTAACAGCCTGAGACTCCTGGAGAAAAGCAGAGGAGGCACCACAGAGACCATTCCGGGAAAAACCTCTGTTTTCCTCACAGAAGCCCAGGAGGTGAAAGAGAATAGATCCCTCTCAAAATATAAGGTTCTAAGATAATTCTAACAGCCTGAGACTCCTGGGGAAAAGCAGAGGAGGCACCACAGAGACCATTCTGGGAAAAACCTCTGTTTTCCTCACAGAAGCCCAGGAAGTGAAAGAGAATAGATCCCTCTCAAAATATAAGGTTCTGTTCTGTTTTGCATTGCCTTAGTTGATGGTTTTGACCTTTGTGGGTGTCAGAAATTACTTTGCATTATGAAAGAAGCTTGGTGTGTAATAACTAGGTAGGAAATACACTTTTGAGGATGGTTAATGGCAGTTATGGGGGGATACTTGGCTCTTTGATGTTTCGATTAGAGAAGCATGCTTTTGGCCACCTGGAATAGATGGAAACATCCCAAACCCCCACTAAGAGATGAGACTCCCATGGGGGATGAACTGATTACAAAATGGGCTGGTTGGCTTTGGGTTGCCTTGCAATGAAAGGCACGGTAGAAGCACTGCACTGTCTTCTCCCATAGTTTTCCCTCCTTTTTGGGGATCCAGGATCCAGTATAAAATGGCACCCTTAATTTTGGGGATCTATCTTTGCCTTTCATCTGTGTCTCTTTATTAGGCCCTAGAAACTGCATGGTTTCCTGGCCCTGTTTCTCCAAGGGCTCCACCTTGAAGCCTGTAATCCAATAAAGAATCTGGCAAATGAAAAATCTTACAACTACTGGATCTTCTGTCTGTCTATTTGTATGTGTTATGTGTGTGATGTTTATATAAAAGAGCTCTAATTAATTGGCTTAGGAAAATAAGCACTTAAGTCAAATATTTTGTTATAAAAATAGAAACTTTAGGGCTGGGCATGGTGGCTCACACCTGTAATCCCAGCACTTTGGGAGGCCGAGGCAGGTGGATCACCTGAGGTTGGGGGTTTGAGACCAACCTGACCAATATGGAGAAACCTCATCTCTACTAAAAATACAAAATTATCTGGGTGTGGTGGCACATGCCTGTAATCCCAGCTGCTCAGGAGGCTGAGGCAGGAGAATTGCCTGAACCCAGGAGGTGGAGGTTGCATTGAGCCAAGCCGCACCATTGCACTCCAGCCTGGGCAACAACAGTGAAACTCCATCTCAAAAAAAAAAAAAATGAATAAAAATAAAAATAAACTGTAATGCTATTTTGTTCACATGACTTTAGTAATCTTTTGGAAATAAAGACAGTTTTAAAGATTATTGGTAAAATAAAATGTCTTCAAAACATAGACATTTGGTCTAAATTAAGGTCAGATATCAGTTGTGCTAAATGCTTTAAGATCATAAACTGCTTCTTTGACTTTTGAAAATTGTTCAATTTATCTACTTTGGAGCATTAGATTCTAGATAAGGCCTGGGGACATGTGGAGTTAGCCATGCTCCCACTACCTATGCTAGAAAGAGTCATACCTTATCTTCACTTCTGTATAATGTCCTAGGTTCCACCCTTAGTACATAATTAAAATTGCTTCTTAGGTTTTTCACCAAAAGTAAAAGTTGCTAAGAGTTAACATTGTAACAGGTTATTGAGACTACTGGAGAAACAGTTTTACATACAAGGTATGTAAGGAAAGTAGAATGAGTTTTTGGTAAAAGATTATGAGAAGGCATGGGAATATGGCTTCTTTTAATGGGAATGTAATTTTGTATAGTTCATAGGGTTTTAAAGATTATCTTAACCTAAAAGAGTAATGAGACAAAACTGAAGGTTTAAGCAAAGTGAAAAGGGTTTGTGAAGGGTTGGTCTTGTAAAGAAAGCTCTGTGGTTATGAGCAAATTGGCTAAGATTTGAAGGGGATTATTTAATTTTTTTCCTGTAGGTTAAAACATTAAAATCATAATGATTTGGGGTCAGAATCTGGGCCTATGTGTCTGAATAACAGGGTTTTCTTAGAACATTAATGGACTATTTAATGGAAAATTATAAAGGGTTCTAAAACATTTGTGAAAATCTTACCTTATAGTCAAATTAATTAAAACTGGATAGATTTATAAAATTTTATGTAAAAACCAGCTTTAGCATGAAAGATGTACTCATGCAAACATGAAGTTTGGTTTTTTGGAAAAGATTTTTATGTAATATAATGAAAGGTTTTTGTTTGCCCCTTTGGGTAAGTGGGAGGGGGAAAAAAGGACAGAAAAGAAACAAATTCAGTTGGCCTCTTGTTATCTTCATTGGGTCTTGTTTGGAAAGCTAAGTCTCTTCTATCAGAGTAAAGATTTTTGCCTTTAAAAAAATTTTTTTTGAGTTACCGCTTAGTATAAATAAATAAGCTGTGATCCTATTTTGTGAGATCCAGTGTTTTAAACCTTTGATATTTGACAGACTTTCAAAAATCAGCTTAGTTATAAAGTATGTGATTTTCTGACCTAATTAATCCTCTAGACATTAGGCCCTCTGAAGTCCAAAAATGACACATTTGGCTTATTTGATATAAAAATCATACAGGAAGCATTGCCAAATATGAAATGGTGCTTGACTTTCTGTGGGCTATATTTGTGTAAATGTGTTATTGTTATATGTTCCAAAATTATGTGAAACTCCTATAATTCTGATATGACTTAGTGTATATTATCAGTAATAATTATAATTGTTATGTTAAATTATTGTGTGCCACGGAGGTAACAAATTTCCTTGTCAATTGTCTTTAACTGTGGCTGCCCTAATCTTTTTGTCATCCACAGACAATTCTTGTCTTGTTTTGATCCTGTTTAAATGATGGTTTTATTTTATTTTATTTTACTTTGAGACAGAGTCTTGCTCTGTTGCCTAGGCTGGAGTGCAGTGGTAGGATCTCGGCTCACTGCAACCTCCGCCTCTTGGGTTCAAGCGATTCTCCTGCCTCAGCCTCCCGAGTAGCTGGGACTACAGGTGCATGCCACCAAGCCCAGCTATTTTTTTTGTATTTTTAGTGGAGACGGGGTTTCACCATGTTGGCCAGGATGGTCTCAATCTCTTGACCTCGTGATCTGCCCACCTCGGCCTCCCAAAGTGTTGGGATTACAGGCGTGAGCCACCACACCCAGCCTAAATGATGGTTTTATAATCAGCTATGAAACTCTATCAGGTGCTCTTAAATGCAAGTTTCTGATTGATAACTCTGGAAATCGTCACATTACAATAGAGGAAACACTTTCAAATAGAAGGCTGAAGTAATCTTTTTTGACTTTTCACTTAAAACATTGCTAATCCTTTTATGTTTTCCAGAGTCAAGAAGGCTTTTCTTTTGAACTATTTACAGCTTTTAACAATTGAGTAAAATGTACTCCTGCAAACAAAATTTGGAGCATATTTGTTTCCCTCTACCTGATTTCTCCAAAATTTGGAAACTATTTATGAGTATTCTCAACTTATGGCAGTATAGTTATTTGCATACGTGCAATAAAAATCTGTTTTCTTTTGTAACAGACACATTTGGAGAAACTGGTTATTTTACCAAGGCTTTCATTGGAATGGTATGCTTTCTTTAAAGAATCAAAGTTGGCTGGGCATGGTGGCTCACGCCTGTAATCCCAGCACTTTAGGAGGCTGAGGTGGGCGGATCACCTGAGGTCAGGGGTTCGAGACCAGCCTGACCTACATAGAGAAACCCTGCCTCTACTAAAAATACAAAATTAGCCAGGCGTGGTGGTGCATGCCTGTAATCCCAGCTACTCGGGAGGCTGAGGCAGAAGAATTGCTTGAACCTGGGAGGCGGAGGTTGCAGTGAGCTGAGATCATGCCATTGCACTCCAGCCAGGGCAACGAGAGTGAAACTCCATCTCAAAAAAAAAAAAAAAAAATCAAAGTTGACTTACAGAGCCAGTAATAACCCCTTGGGGAATCTGGCCTCATACCTTGTCTACACAGTCCCTGTACAAGGTTCCTGACCTGTGGTAAGTAAAGAATGTCACTTTCTGAGAGGCCCAGGAGCCCCAAGTTATCTTGGGACCTCAAAAGGAAGGGAATTTACCCAAATCATAGGTATTTGAGGGTACAAACCCATGGCTGGGCTCAGCTTTAAAAAAGCTTTATATGAGATTCCTTACGGAACAGAGTTCCATCAAAGCCAATTTTAAAAGTCTATGTGAAAAATAATTATTCTTGCTGTACTTTATGCAAATAATCAGGCCAAGTACAATAAGACTAAAGTTTATTTTATAAACAAATCAATTCTATCATGATTTGTTTTTAATAAAAATGAGGACTAGAGAGAGAAAAATTATGCTTCAAAAGAAAAACTATAGTACACCTCTTGTTAGCTGTTCTTGAGTTTTTTCTGCAGTTTGGACTAAATCCTAAATTCTTTGTGGGCTACAAGTCCCCAAACTAATGCTTTCAGATCTTTACTTTTAAAACTGGGAATTGCACTCCTTACCCTAGTACACATTATTTACCTTATAGTATGCTGTTCCCTTAAATGCAGTACTAAAACTATAGATGACAATACTAACACCTTCACGATGCAAGCCTTGGAACCCCAGCCAGGCCTGCATGAGTGTGCTCAGACAGTGGCAAAGTGGTCCTAATCCTCTCACCTTGGGGTCAACACCTACCTCCACTACACCCCTGATCAGAAGGAAGAAGTTAGAGTAGTCTTTGCTCTTTTTCCATCTTCATTAGCCAACACCTTAAGATCAAGGTGTTATAAAACGCAAAGGGAGGGATTGAAACTGCCTTTGCAAAATTATGCTTGAGACAGTGAAAGAGATCTAACCTAACTGACTCCGTCTTGCTTCTAACCACTAAGCTGTCCTTGTTCATTCCTGGGCGTAGGCTGAACTAACTTTGGGAGGAACTTAGTTTATAGTTTAAAACAAAGATGATAACAGCCATTTCCCAAAACAAACCTCCTTCTTGCCTGGGGATTAGACTGCCTTTGTAGGACTAACATTAGCCAGAAGATTAGAAATTATGGTTTAGGAGTCACGCAGCTGGAGGCTACAAGATTCTGACCCTCCCTAAATTGCTCCTAAGATCAGTGCTGGAGATATTTTGCAGACCCTGCACTTGATGGATCAGCTGGCACGACCCAGATTGATAAACTGGCTCATCTGATCTTGTGGCCCCCACCCAGGAACTGACTCAGTGCAAGAAGACAGCTTGGACTCCCTGTGATTTCATCTCTGACCTGACCAATCAGTACTCCCAGCTCATTGGCTTCCTCCCACCCACCAAGTTGCCCTTAAAAACGTTGATCCCCAAATGTTCAGGGAGACTGCTTTGTGTAATAATAAAACTCTGGTCTCCTGCACAGCTGGCTCTGAGTGAATTACTTTTTCTCTATTGCAATTTCTCTATCTTGATAAATCGGCTCTGTCTAGGCAGCAGGCAAGGTGAACCCACGGGACAGTTACAATACCAGCTGCTTAGCTAGAAAAAGCCTCTCCCTTCCTCACTAGACAGGCTACACAAATCACCACACTGGCTCATCAGATTGTCTGCCCTCAGCCCTGATAAAGCCATGCCCTGGCTGTTTGCGCTGGCTGCCTTTTCTCCTCACTTGCTGTATCATTGAAAGGCTAGCCAGACCAATAGCAAAAAACAAACAAACAAACAAACAAACAAACAAAAAACAAAAAACAAAAAACAAAACCCAACCCTCCCTATGACAAGATTTGAAATACCTTGCTTTGCCTGGGCCCCAGGAAACAAGTTCCAGACACCACCTCCATCCACCCCATTTACCTGTGCTTGCTGCCACCCCCTACAATACCTCACACACTACCATCCGTCCAGAAGCCCATATGCTGTCCTCATTTCAGGGTCATTTTCCTAGTCACCTTGCTCTCCTTTTCAGTTAAATTTCCTGGAATGTCTCTGCTTTGCCTGAAGCTCGTTCTGCTTGCACTTCTGAAGCCGCCTTCCTAGCTGCTATTTTCAAATCAGCCTTTACCTGAAGAACTGCTTGGAACTAGAATTGGTATGGCTTTGCCACATCTCTATATAGATTGGAGATTTTATCCTTTTTAATAGTCTTTCATCTCCTTCTCTTCCCTCAGGCCTTCTCCTCTTTTCTCAATGTGTAGCATATTCGAATTTCATGGTCAAGGGCAAGGCTAAACAGAGTCCCTTCCACTTCTGAGGAGTCAAAGAACATATGTAGGGACAGGTGTCATTGCTGCCACTGCCAGCTCTGCCTGCCTGCCTGGAAGCCTTGAAGCCCCTTTATTATGTCTGGTATAAAGTACACACCCTAATTCAAGGAGCTTAACAATCAACATGAATCACACTTAGAAATCTAAGATTCTGAACATAGGCCCAAAACACAACCTAGTAGGGGTTATTAAGGGATGATGGAACTTAGCAGCAACCTGAATAGAAAAGACTTGAGGGCTTCAACCCCAGGCCTCAGTGCAGTGTGGTGTAGCTGCCAAAAAAGCAGTGAGGATGCAGTAGTTTTATAACCAAAAGTGTGGTGTCCATAGCAAGGAAGATGACAGTCCTACACAAGCCCAATGTACAGCCAGCATATGATGGCATGGCCATACTGAGTATTAAAATATTAAAATCCTTCCAGGCCGATTAGTATATGGCAGCAGCTGAGAACCCTCCAAGTTCCTCCTCTGTTACCCTAGTAATATCCTGGACCCTTGACTTTTCTATAGATCAGAAATTGGTGGGTTAGTGCCAGACCCAACAGAAATACCACAGGACTTTCATCATTGCTCACACATTCTGATGGATTATGTCCACGCTTTAATCAGTAGGGGTATCCAATCTTTTGGCTTCCCTGAGCCACATTGGACAAAGAAGAATTGTGTTGGGCCACACATAAAATACACTAACACTAATGATAGCTGATGAGCTAAAAAAAAAAATCACGAAAAAAGTTCTTAATGCTTTAAGAAAGTTTACAAATTTGTTTTGGGCCACATTCAAAGCCATCCTGGGTCACATGCAGCCCATGGGCCATGGTTTGGACAAACTTGCTTTAATGCATTATTAAATATATTGGATATTATGTAAATACTTGCATTATCACCCCCATGTCCTACTCTACCCCATCCCAATGAGAACACACCAGTTAAGGATGACAGCAGTAATCAGGAAAATCACTTTATAAAAAGCAGTAATAAAAGCAAACCCTCTGCTAAGTGTTTTACATGCATTAGCTTATTTAAGCCTCATCATGACCCTATGAGGTAGAAACCAATATTTCTGCTTTTATGCTTGGGAAACTGAATCACAGAGAGGTGAAGTGACTTACCCAAAGTTTCCCAGAGAAGGTGGATCAAACCCATGCTACCCAAACTTATATGACGTTTCCAGAATAGAAAAATCAATAGAAACACGAAGTAGAAAAGTAGCTGCCTAGGGCTTAGGTGGTGGGGAGGAATGGGTTACAAATAAGTACAGGATTTCTTTTTGGGTTCATGAAAATTTTCTAAAATTGATTGTGGTGATGGTTGGGCAACTGTAAATAAATGGAAAAAACTAAATTGTGCATTGTAAATGGGAAACTTGTATGGAATGTGAATTATATATCAATAAAATTATGTGGGAGAGAGAGGCAGGGAGAAGGCTTGGCTCACCAGCAGAAAGAACGTTCTGACAAGTGGAATCCTGTGCCTGCAGAGAGAGGAAGGGAGCTTCCAGATCCATCCTAGCCCACTTGGAAGATACATGGGGAGCACTGGGCAGGAAGGCTGGGGAGGGAAACCTGGCAGCAGGGAGAGAGGGTGATAACAGGTAATCTGAAAGCTTTTCTAGCCTGAGCCTGGTAAGGGCCTGGAGAGAGAAGGGCTGACCAAGGAGGGCAGGTAGCCTGCGGGTCCCTTCTGCACCTGACACTCTGGTGCCTTGGGTCAGCTCTGTCTGTCTCTTGGCTGCCCAGCTCTAGTCCTGCCTGATCCCTGGGTGGCCAAGGGAAGCCTGTGGGGTCCAGGATGGGAGACCGGAACCTCTGTCTTCCCAAAGACACATGGGCTGCTTCTCCAGCAGCAGTCAGGGTCCCAAGTCCACACTGTGGCCATCTCCCCTGCCCACCATCCTGAATCTGAGCTTTAATCCTAAGAGCAGAGGAGCAGAATGGACTTAGGGTACCATCTACTCTTGGCAGCCGAAGCTGGATAAATGTGAGCCACTGAGATGAGACTCACTTTTACCCTTGGCCATTCTCAAACTATAGGACACCTTCTACTTGAAGAATAGAATTGGAAACTCCCTAGCTTAACTCCAGCAAGCTGTGTAATCCCTGTATCCAATAAGCCCCACCTTGGCTTTAGTATAAATGTAATAGCAACAGCATGACTTAAGGAAAAGGCCAAGAATACAGGTTATCACCTGGTTTGCAATGTGACCAAAATACCAGTGTTATTAGTGTCATTGATATACTTTTCCAAGGGTAATGATAGAAGATTTTAGAGACTTAGTTAAATCATCTCTTTGCAATGCTATGGTATTGGCTGTCTGCCTAATTATCGCTGGCAGGAAGATCTCAAGGAATTCAAGAATTCTCTGTGGCAGCATTAGAGGTGGACACGGAATTGTTAGCTAAGAATGCTTTCCTAGGCCCAGGACTGAGATGCTCTGCACAGTGATTAAAAACCTGGAGTTAAAAATATTAACACGCTTCTGTAATGGTTTGTGAATAATCACTGCCCCAAGTCCCTCATGGATTCCCTTGGTCCTGGCCACTCAACCTCCTCCTCCTTATGCTCCTCCTACTGCCCAACTTGATCCAGCGACTACAGGACAATGACTAACACAAAGGGGCCTTCCAAAACCCAGCTCCTACTGAGACCAAGGGTGGTTAAATATTTTGAATATTACCACCTAATTAGGTCCCAGGTCTTTTGTCTGGGAGAGGAAACATGAGACTTGTGGTCAAGCATTTCCATGGCAAAAAGCCAAATTTAGAAGAATGCTATTGCACTGTACATAGAGAGGAAATATGGAGTGATTTCTGTCAGGAAGAAAAGTCAATGAAGGGCTAGGTCCTAATTCCCAGCATCGTGACCTGAGGTGAGACACTTAAGCTCTTTGTAACAAGGTGAATTTAATATTATAAAGTTAATTAATATGTTCCAAGAGCTTATGATGAAGGACAGGAAAAGTTTTTTAAAATCTTTAAGTTGGGATTTGTTAATTACTGTTATTATTCCTCCGATAGGTCTTAGTACAGTAGATTATACCAGTTTTTTTGTAATACAAGGATCCTCCTTGAAATACCTGTCAAACTTAATGATAATAGTTAAACATTTATAGAGCACTTACTCAGCCAGACACTATTTTAAGCACTTTGCATGTAGAGCCTAATTTAATACAACAATTGAGGTAGACACCACTATTGTCACTATTTGATGTTGAAGAAATTTAAACCTGGAGATGCTTTAACTTGCCCACATGGCTCACCTGGTAAGTGACTAAACAAGGGTTTGAACTGAGGCAGTCTGACTTCAGAGCCCACATGTTTACCCACTATGCTGTATTTATATGGTCGAACAGGCCTTACTACGATATGCCAGGGTGCTTTCACATAAATTACCACCATTTACTCTTCCAACATCTAGCTTATTAAGGCATTCATTATCACCTTCATGTTTCAAATAAAAAACTGAAGCTCAGAGATGAAGCCACTGCCCCTAAGGTTACCCAGTCGATAATCATCAGAACAAAAATGCTATAAAGGACAGTTTATTGCCACAATTGGAATATGGAATATTCCATAAATGAAATGTAGAGTGTAGGTTATATTAAAGTAGCATGTAAATGTTAAATTTAATGCTGGTGATAATGGTATGAGGATATGTAAGAGAATAGTGAAGTGTTTATGATTAAAAGGGCTATGATATATACAATGTACTCTAAATGGTTGGTTCAGGAAAAATCAACTATATGTGTGTATAGATAGATAGATAGATAGACAGATAGATAGACAGATGATAGAGTGAGTGGCAAATCATAAAGGAAATGGGGAAAATGTTAGCAATAGGTGAGTCTGTGTAAAAAACGTATGAGTACTCTTTTTATTCTTATTCTCATAATTTTTCTGTAAATGTGCAAGTATATTCAAATAAAGTATGAACAAATACAGGTCACAATCCGTACCATCCTATTTAGGAGCCCTCTCTGCTTAGTTTTGTAGAGGCTCTCATGGCTCCAGAATAGCGAAAGATGTCACCTGTGGATTTATAAGTTTTGACAATAGAAACTCACCACAATCATTTGCGGGAGATCTTCCAGGAGAAGAATAGTTACTCAAGAAGGATTTATTGTGTTCCAGGCACTGTGCTGCATACATGTTGGGATAAAAGGCAACTAAGGCAAACTTCATGCTCTCAAGAAATTCGTGAACAGACATGTAAGCTGTGTGTCAAGTGCTATAATTAGAGGTATGCACAGGTTCTAGGAGAAGCCAGAAGAGAGATACCTTATTCAGCCATGGGTGAGGATCAGAGGTAGTAAGGAATGTGGAGAAGTCAGGTAACATTTCCCAAAGAAGACTCAAATTAAGCCTTGAAGGGTTTTGCTTGGTGAACAGTAGGATGGGAAAAAGGACATTCTTGGCAGATTGTAAGAAATGAAAGAGGCAGGGTAGTAGTTAAGAACACAGACTGTCTGGGCTCAAATCCCAAATCTACCACTTATTTTACTGCATGACCTTAGGTAAGTTAGTTTGTCTCTCTCTGTCTCAGTTTTCTCATCTGCCACATGGGGATGATGACAGCACCTACCACGTAGGATAGTTGCTGATGATTAAATTACAAGATATGATACATTTAGGCCACTACCTGGCACATAATAGGTGTCCAATAAATATTAGCTCAGTTCATGTCCCTTTCAGGAAACTAAAAGTTTCAATCAGTAAAGTGCAGGGTTCATAGCAGGGAAGGTAGAGAGACAGGAGGGAGGATGTGATGCCAAGCTAAGGAATTTGTACTTTAGCCTAAAGCTGATGTAAATTTATTGAAGAGTTTTAATGACTTGCTCTATTAATAATTTGTGCTTTAGAAATGTCCCTCTGGGCCGGGTGCGGTGGCTCATGCCTGTAATCCCAGCACTTTGGGAGGCCGAGGTAGGCGGATCACTTGAGGTCAGGAGTTCAAGACCAGCCTAATCAGCATGGTGAAACCCTGTCTCTACTAAAAATACAAAAATTAGCTGGATGTCATGGCGGGCACCTGTAATTTCAGCTGCTTGGGAGGCTGAGGCATGAGAATCACTTGAACATGGGAGGCAGAGGTTGTAGTGAGCCAAGATTGCTCCAGTGCACTCCAGCCTGGGTGACAGAGCGAGACCCTGTCTCAAAAAAAAGAAAAGAAAAGAAAAGAAAAGAAATGTCCCCTTGGTGTGGATAATGAAGAAGTATAAGAATGCAGGCAGGGAAGGGTCATTGCATCAACTCAGATGAGAGGAGTTGAGGGTCTAAGATAGGATAGTGGGGCAGAGTAGTTATTGAAGAGAGAACATTTTCAAGAGACATCATGAGAATAAAAGTCAATGTTAACTCCCAGGTGGAAAAGGGCTCCACCCTTTGAGATAAGGAACAGAGAAGTAGAGGGGTTTTGGAGGTGGTGGGGGGCAAAGATGATGAATTGAGTTTTAGCCGTGGTAATCTTGACATCAAGCTAAACTTGGCTGGGCTTTGCTATCATTTAAGATTCACAAAGCAAATTTTACTATTTTCTACCTGTGTGGCCTTCAATTAGCTATATGCCTTTGCTCCACTTCCTCAATTATAAAATGATTGTGATGATTAAAATGTCCTAGTGTAAGTGAAAAGCTATCAATAAAGTGTGATGTATGATACAGATGCCAGATATTTTTCTTTTGGGGAGAGCTGACACAGAGAAAAAAAAGCTTGATTCTTGGGTCATCTTTTAGGAAACATTTCCCCTCTAGAGGAATAAAAAGAGCCAAGAATCCCTAGGAACAGACTTGTCCGTCCTAAGCCTGTCTTTTCCTCTCATCCTAATCTATCTAGACTAAAAATAGTCAGGTCAGAGACGTTGAAATAAGTCTTAAAGGAGGCAGAAGAATCCAGAGCTGAAATGAGGGGACTACAGAAGGCAAAACTTGAGGTAGAATTCAAAGATTCTGAGGGTATGTCACCTTTATTGAGATTTGACCAACTCCCAGATAATAATGGTTAAACTCCAGACTCTGACTTTTGCAAAGTGCTTGGTTCTCATCTACTCTTATCAAGGTAAGTATGGTTTGTGACTATAGAGGCCACACAAGAGGTATCCTAACTCTCAGTACCACAAACTAACCTTTCTCTGTAAATCCTTAACGGCTTGTCTACAAAAATTGTACCCTTGCTCCAATGACCTTGCCTCCTAATTTTCCTATGGAAGTCCTCACAAGCCCCCAGATTCTTTAAGAACAACAGAAAGAAAATTAACTATTTAAGTTTCAAAACTGATTCTACTTGTAGAATGTGAAATATCTGGGGGAAAGAGTACACAGTGTTTCTCTTCAGTTCAGCTTGGCAGAGATTCACTCATTAACTGGTATTTTTATTGGGCTCACATTTTTGTTGTATCCCCATATCTTGTGACCCTGATCTTTGAATCAATCATCTTTGAATCTATAGGCTCAACATATACACACCCGTTTCTCAAAACCTCTGTCCTTTTTTGTATAGGTGATGAGGAGCTTTCCTTTCCTCGCCTCTAAAACAGAAACATTAATACTTATCTTGGGAGGACTAAATTAGATTATATGTTGAAAGTCCATACCTACCACATTCATTCAAAAAATATTTACTGAGAACCTACTATGTGCCAGGCCCTGCATAAGCATTGAGGATTGTCAGTGGACAAAGACAAATATTCCTACCTTCATGGAATTGATATTGTAGTGTGAGAAGTCTGACAAACAACTCAATAAATAAAAGTATAATATAACAAACAATGATAAGTGCCATGGAGAAAAATAAGACAAGGTATGGGGCTAAGTGAGTGCTAGTCAGAGTTGGAGGCCACCACACAATAGATGTTTCAGAAATAGTAGTTATTTCTGTTAGGGATCTTTAGTGTCTATACCTCAAGCATTCCTTGGATACAGGTCCTAAGTGCTTGCAACAGTTCAAAAACATCTATCAAAACCTAAGTATGGCTCAAGCACGTGATAGGTTTTAGGGGGTATAAAGATGAACAAAGCATGATCCATGGCCAGAAGGATCTTTTCAACATATTGTAGTAAGTGATCAGACATGGGGTGTGGAGTACAGAGGGTACAGGAAAGTCAGTTAGCACAGGCAAGAATCAGGAAAGGTTTTCTGGAGGTGCTGATGCCTAAGCTTAGACTTAAAGCTTAGGCATCCTGAGAGGAAAGGAATTGGAAGGGTGACCTTGGCAGAAAATAGAACACAACCAAAGTCATAGGCGAGGTGAGTAAGAAGGAACTACAAGAAGTTCATGGGATGGAGAGTGGCAAGAGATGAAACCAGAGAAGTAGGCATAAGTCAGGGCATAGAAAGTAACGTCATAGACATCACTCAGAGATAATTATGGAATAACTAAGTTCTCAAGAGGGAAATAATATGGTCAGACTGCATCTTAGAAAGATTACTTTGTATAAAAACACTTTTTTTCTACAAAGCAATCTTTGTAGGATAAATTACAAGGAAGTCAAAACTAGAGGCAGGGAATCCAGATAGGACACTACTAGCATACTCCAGGTAGGGGAAGATGAGGACCCTACAGAAGATAGAGAAGAAAAGATGGATTTGAGAAGTATTAATATTTAGAAAGAAAAATGGGAAGGCCTTAGTGACTGGTTTACCTAAAAAATGAAAACTCAGTAGTTACTCCCAAGTTTCTGATGTAGGTGACTGAGTGGATGGTAGTGCTATGATGGCAAGTACAGAGCAAAGGATGGATTCCTTGATGAAAGATGATGAATTTAATCTTGGACCCTCTAAACCACATTCAATGACTTATTTCCAGAAACCACTCTTTTGGGGCTTGGTATAATATAAGGTTTTATGTGGGCCTAGACTATACTACAGAGGTAATAATAAAAATTTACCTCATAGGATAAGGAAGACAAAGTTTTATAATGCACATGAATTGCTTAGCACAATGCTTGAAAAATAGTAAGTGCTAAATAAATACAGATTTTGTATTAGCTATTATCATTAGGCCCATTCTTTTCTCTTCTTTTCTTTTCTTTTTTGAGATGGAGTTTCACCCTTGTTACCCAGGCTAGAGTGTAATGACGCAATCTTGGCTCACTGCAATCTCCACCTCCCATGTTCAAGTGATTCTCCTGCCTCAGCCTCCCAAGTAGCTGGGATTACAAGCATGCACCACCATGCCCAGCTAATTTTTTGTATTTAGTAGAGACAAGGTTTCACCATGTTGGTCAGGCTGGACTCAAACTCTTGACCTTGGGTGATCCACTGGCCTAGGACTCCCAAAGTTCTGGGACTAAAGGCGTGAGCCACCGCGCCCGGCCAGCCCTGTTCTTTTCTAGCCTCAAATCACACCTCCCACTTTTGCTCAACTCTCCTAAAATTTCTTTTAAGGTTTTCTAGCTGACTTGCCTCTGACCTCTTAGTATACTTCTTTGGGAGCTGCCCCATAGATTTCTATAATCTGCATTAACCATCCTGCTTACTTTCCAGTTTCTTCGTGGTTTTGAAAAGAGCTTTGTCTCTATTCTGCAAATGTTTTCCCTGCTGAATCACCACCTCATGCTCCCCTTGACCTTCAGATTACTGTGCTTTGTACTGCTTGCTTAGACAAATTTTTAGCAGGTACTTCTCTCCAGGCACCAATCTGATCAGTATCAGCATGATCATTAAATGCTCCCTCCATTATCTGATAATTTGTTACCGGAAGAGACTGCCCAGTGCAACAATTTTGATGATGATACTTACCATACATTTAACACCTATTTGGCCAGGGGTGTGACATTTATTCTCCCAATTAATCCCTATAAACCCTCTGAGGTAGGTACTGGTATTATCTCAATTTTATAGCCAGAAACTAACACTTATTCAGCATTTGCATGATACCAGGTACTGTGTATATTCTGTTTGGGCTGCTATAAAAAATACCATAGGCTGAGTGGCTTATAAACAACAGAAGGCTGGGTGCAGTGGCTCACACTTGTAATCCCATCAATTTGGGAGGCAGAGGTGGGAGGATTGCTTGAACCTAGGAGTTCGAGACCAGCCTGGGAAACATAGTGAGACCCTATCTCTACAAAAAATATATAAACAAATTAGCCAGGTGTGTTGATGCATGCCTTTGGTGCAAGCTCTTCAGGAGTCTGAAGTGGGAGAATCACTTGAGCCCAGAAGGTTGACGATGCAATGAGCCATGATCACACCACTGTACTCCAGCCTAGGAGACACAGCGAGACTGTGTCTCAAAAATGAAAAAAAAAAAAAACCCAGAAATTTATTTCTCACAGTTCTGGAGGCAGGGAAGTCCAAGATCAAGCTGATGGCAGGTTCATGTCTGGTAAGGGCCAGCTTTCTAGTTCATAGATGGCCATCTTTTTGTTGTGCCCTCACATGGCAGAAGGGGCAAAAGCTCTCTGAAGCCTTGTTTATAAGGGCACTAATTCCATTTATGAGGGTTCCTTATGACCTAAATCACCTCCAAAAGGCTCCACCTTTTAATACTCTCACATTGGGCTTTGGATTTCAACATATGAATTTTGAAGGGACATGAACATCTAGTCAATAGCATACTATGTTAACATTTTGCATGCATTAACTTATTTAATTCTCATACCAACTCAAAATGTAAGTAACATTATTAGCCCCATTATTCAAATGAACAAACTAGGCCTTAGTGTAGATAAGCTAAAGTAACATGCTTAAGGTCACACAGGTGATAGTGACAGTTCAGGGATGGAAATATGAGCATGTTTGCTCCTATGTCCTGCTGTATGCCACAAGGGGACAAGAAAAGGAAGGACTGGAAAGTGGGAGCCTGACTGAATATGTATGTCTGATTGGATGAGTGGATATGGCTACTGTATATCTTTTTATTTAAAAACAAAATTAGGTCAATTTCTTAGATGGTGTTACTTCTAAGGTGATGATCAGGAAATAGAGTTAAAAGGGCTGGAATTTGAAATTCCTTCTCCAACTCCTTCCCACTCCCCACCTCCTACCCAAACACACATTAAAACTTCTAATTCTGACATCAATAATCAAAGGCATTGAGTGTGGAGGAATAGACTATACTTTGACCCACGTCCTAACATAAGAATTTTCATTTTCTGCAGTCCTTTCTAGGTTGTATCCATATAATACAATTTTACATTGTTGTAACTGCTTTGTAATGTATTCATTTAATATTTTAAAGTAAATCTTTTATCATTCATATTTCATTTACTGATAGGCCCTAATATATATCAAATTGCTCAACATTTAGATTATTTTCCATTTCTCATTAGCAAAAGTAATATTGCATTGACAATCTTTGTGTCTATAGGCTTTTGTTTTACTTCTGCTAAAGTCTGTCCTTAGGACAGAATCCCCAGAGAGGAATTGTAGTATTAAAGGGCAGGAACATAATTATGGTTCGTGAAGCAAATTACCAAGCCAGTTTCCCAAAGGATCGGACCTATTTGCATTGTAGTTGTAAGAGGGCAGGCTCATCATGGCAAATGGATTTTTTAGTAGCCATTTTTCTTTCCATGTTTTTAGTTGAGTTTAATCTTTATTGCTTCTATGATGAGGTATATACTCAAAATAGCAGGAAGGCATCAATAAAGAAAATATTACAATTAAGGAATGAAATAACTGGCTACAATTTTAAATCCATTTGAGATAAATTTGTGTCCATGGGGTCTCCCAGCAGTCTAACATTTCATTACTTTTCAGATCTACTGTTCCATAATGAGATGGCAGGTGGAAGTACACCCAGCCTGGCAGGAGCCCCAGTTGGGAAAGCTTAGGTTGACAGTGGGAACGGACATCAGCCAGTGTTGGGGGACCTGGTGAGTGCTGTAACCAAGAAACAGAAGGCAAAATAACGGTTTGAGGATGGACTAATAACTATCTTTGGCAACAAAGTTTTCTCCGTTTTGTAATTAACCTAGTAGTATCTCCGTCATACAGAAAATAATTTGTACTCAGACTAATTAGAATCAAGAAGTAGCATTGGCAATAAGGAAGGGAAGTCCAGGCCCCTGCTTCTAGGGACAATGGAGAAACAGAATAATAGCAATGCTTATTCAAAGAGCACTTTCCATGTGTCCAATATTGTGCTAAATGCTTCCCCGAGCTTATCTTGAATTCTCATAGCAACACTGAGATTGGTACAATTAAGTCGATTTTATAGATGAAGAAGCTGAGGCTCAGAGAGGTTGAGCTGGCAGACAACATGAAGAGGTGGTTAACCCATTTATGCCTGAGGTTGCAATTTTTTTAATTTTTGCAATCAGACCTTTGCGATGACGTTGAGCAGTAGGATATAAATAACTCCCACATGCTTAGCGTTCCAATAATGGAACACTAGGCGTAAATTGGTAGCAAAAGCTCGTTGGAAACCTGGCTTCCCATGTTACTAGTTATGTGACTTTAGGCAAGTTACTTAATTTCTCTGCCCTTCAACCTCTTCCACTGGTAAAGGAAGATTAATATAAAAGCTTACCTTATAAGATTGTTTGCAAGAACTAAAGGAAGTAATACATGAAAAGTGCTTTAAACAGTGACAAGCACACAGTAAGCACTCACACTAAGCTGTAATCATTATTATTACCTAAGATGCCATAGTCAGTAAAGAGGAGAGCTTGGATTCCAGCATATGTCCGCTGACCTCCAAATGTTATCCTCTCATCATTACATCAAAGGCTCCACTTAGAACCAATATACGTTGTTAGCAAAACCTGGTCAGCCACACAAGCTATTTGTTTGTACTCCAGTTCTCATAGTAAGCCATATGAAGTGGTAATGTTAGAATTTAAGAAAGTCTTTTCCTAGCTTTTGTGGATCACCAACTCTTCCCCGAGGGGAAAGACCACTTCTTCCTTCTCTGGATTCATGAGGCTTGGAAACTGGCTGACTGCGAAATAATCTTTTCACACTGAGAGATCCAAGATCGTAAGTTCCATAATAAAATAGAATCCGCCAGGCCAGAGATGAGCTACCATTCTGTTGAATTTTCTTTTATTGAAGCCCAGAAGGTATATTTAAGCTCAATTTTAAATCTCTAACCCAGGGCTTTGCCTCAGGTCAAGTGTAATAGGTAAAGTGATATTTAAGTAGGGAGGAGCTGCTGTTAATACCTAACCATAAGAGTTAACACTTATTAAGCACTTAAAAATATTCCAGGCATGATTCTCAATGCTTCATATCAATTTCTGCATTTAATCCTCACAACAACCCTATATGGTTGGTACTATTCCCATTTGGCAGAAGAGGAAACTAGGCACAGTGGTTAAGTAACCAGCCGAAGGTCACTGAACTATTATAGTAAATGCAGATGTTAGTTCAATCCAGGACCCTAGAGCCACAACCACTATACTATACTGACTTCCATTAATGTTAAGGGGTTAATGAACAGGCAAAGGCTAATCTTAGTGTCTAGTACAGCCCCGACCCATAGAAGACATTTATTACATTTAGAACGTCAAATGAACCGTTTACTATTTATGCCTCTTTACCATGCAACCCAGTAATAATTATGCATATAACCAAATAAATTAGAGTCATGTTATTAATTTGTCTAAGTATCAAATTAAACTGTTTGCCTGGATTTGGCTTTCAGTATCGCTCTCTGTAATTTAATCATCTGTTAAAAATGCACGGCAGAGCCATTCATTCATCCTTCATTGATTGAGAGCACCTACTAGAAGCCAAGCCCCCATACTGACCTCTAGCAATACAGAGGCAAATAAACATAGGAACTCACACTCTAGTGGAGGAGACAGGTACACACACACACACACACACACACACACACACACACACAAAATGATACAGTGTAATCAGAGTTACTGGTGGGGGAGAGGAATATGGGAGCATAGAAGAGGAAAACTGAGTATAAGCATATAGTGCTTTTGCTGCCCAACATATCTGCTTTTGGTATCAGGTCTCATCCCACCTAGATTCTGTTTCTTTGGTCATTGTGGTTGGTTCAGACATGTACTCAATTCTGGAACTTTCGCTGGGACTTTTAAGAAAATGGATCTGTGTTTCCACTGGGGTTGCTAAATGGTAAGATGCAAATCTATAGTTCTTGATGGCTATCTTGGCCATCATGTGGGAAAATTTGCTTGAGAGTTTAGTTAATATAGGAGAAATCAGAGCCAAGAGATAGAAGGAGATTGCTGAGACACCATTTGAGCACCTGGATCTAGAACTGCCTAAAATTATGCCTGAATTTTTCTTAGTATCAATAACCCCCTTCTTTTGGCTTAAGCATATTTGCATTGTATTTCTGTGACTTACAAGCAAAAGAGTCCTGATTCATAGAGACATCTATCTAGACTCAGTGTGTGTGTGTGTGTGTGCATGTTGATTAGTTAGAAATGGCTTCCTGGAAGAAGTGAGGCCCGAGCTAAGTCTTAAATTGTTAGTAGGAATTACCTAAGCAAAGGAAAAGCTACTCTGGGCAGAAAGACAGCATGGATAAAAACATAGAGGTATGACACATCATGACATAGCAGGTGCTGTAAGCAGTTTGGTGTGGCCAGAGGGTAAAGTGTGAGTCAGAGGAGGGAATGACAAAGCTGGAAACCCAGGCAGGGGTCAGTTTGTGGAGCACCTGGAATACATGTTAAGAAGATGACAATTAACATTCCTTATAGTCCTTGTCTATAATCCAGCCAAATTGTTACATTTTTGTATTAGTTCTCCAGTAGCATGTAACAGTAAACAGCATCAAAGTAGAACGTTTCCTAGGCCTGGAGCTGGGTTAGTCCCAGGGTTCTTTTTTGGGTTCTAAGTCACTAGAGGAGCCTCTCTGAGGTGTCCCATTTGCTGGCCACTCTACGTGGGGCAAGCCTCATATTCCACTCCATGATTAAAAGATCTATCAACACAATAGCCAGAAAGTTATTCTTATATAACCAAAAATGCCTTTGGTATTCCAGGCCCACGTCATGTATTTAGCGATGATTGAACATCGACTATGTCCAGGTCCTGTACTGAGGAACATATTGAGGATCCAGACATGGTTCCTGCCCTCACAGAATATCCAGCACAGGGAAAGAAACAAGTACAATAAAATATAAGCAGCACCATAATAGAGAGATACAAAGGAGGTAGTAAGAATATCAAGGGAGAACAGTCTAAGGTTGATTAAGGGTGCAAAGGAAGGTTTCTTTCTATAAGTGTGAATTCTGTACTGACTTGAAGAAGGAGTAGAGGTTTACCAGATGGACAAGGATGAAGTGGAGGGTATTCCAGAAAGAAATAATAGCTTATAAAAAGGCTGAGAGTTACAAGAGAACAGGTTGTACTTGAAACCATGCATAATTTGGTACTTTCAGAGAGCCATGTGTTGGGGGGGAAAGGGAACAGAGTTGAGGGGGCATGGGGGTAGAGTGCTGGGTATTATGTAGGCAGGATCCATGTATTAAGAGTCTTAATCAAGGAACTCAGAATTTATTCAGTAAGCAATGAGGAACCATTGAAGAAAATTGGACAGGGGAGTGACATAGCTTGTGCTTCAGAAAGAGCACCCTGGCTGCAAAGTACAGTTGTCCCTCAGTATACGTAGGGGATTGGTTCCAAGACACCCTCCCATACCAAAATCCGTGCATACTCAGGTCCTACAGTCAGCCCTGTGGAACCCATAGATAAGAAAAATTGGGCCCCTGTATATGTGGATTTTGCATCCAGTGAATACTGTATTTTCAATCCACCTTTGGTTGAGAACAATCCATGTATGAGTAGACCCACGTAGTTCAAACACATGTTGTTTAAAGGTCAACTGTACTGCAACGTGGAGAATGGATTAGATGCATCTGGGCAGAACTGCAGGCATCAGAGAACCTTGTTAGGAAGGTATTGCAATGGTCTAGGTGTGAGATGGCGATGGAGTGGCAGTGGGCATGGAGAGAAGTGGACTGATGTAAGAACTAATTTAGGACCAGAAATGACAGGGCTTGATGATTGAGTGGACATAGGTGATAGGAGGAGAGAAAAGAAAGAGTTAAGTATCATTTCCAGGTTTCTGAAGTTTACTCTAAACCAATGACAGAAAAAAAAAAACACTGAAAATGCCCTATATATTAGAACGTCAAGGAAGTGTTTCCAAAGAGACTCTTGACAATTGTTTCAGAATTTAGGAACCTCTTTCTCTAGTAAGTTGAGCTGCCAGACTCTCAGAAAAAAGCAGGTTTCCCCAATTTGAACATAAAGTCTTATGTATGAGTTTGTTCATGTGTCCGTATGGGTAGAAGGGTGTATGTGCACACATCCAGGCACATGTACACATGCCTGGGACTACTTCCCCCAAAGAAAATATTTGGAGAAAGCAATTCTTTTCAGAAGCCCCTCTGACACTCCTGGACAAAGGCAGCTGGTCATTCTTTCCTCTTTGGGCTAGGTCATTCTGGATCTGAACCAAAGCAAAATGATTTTCTCTTTAGCTAATATATCACAGATGGGGTCATTTCTACTAAGTCAAGAGTAAAAATAAATTATCAAAAAGGAAAGAAGAATCTATCTATCTATATATCTATCTAATGTATATCTGGAAAATACGGGGCAAGGGAGTAAAACAAACCAAACTCTCAAGCTTCCCATCCCATTTTCTATCTGTCTGCCTCAACTGCACATCACCCATGTCTCACCTCCCATGACTTGTTGAATATGTGCATATGTTTGTGTGTGTATCCCTGACACCACAAATAGTTCTTTTGACTGCCATCTGTGTATTTCTCAAGAGCTTCACCAAAACTGTAGTGAGGGCTTTATCTTGCTCAAATGCCCAATGAATTGGTGTACTTTCTCTGTCACTATAGGAGGGCAAAATGATGAACAACTTTGGAAGGGGAAAAAGTTAAAGCTGGGGTTTGTGCGTATATGCATGTGTGACTTTTTTTCTTTCCATGGTTGGATGAATTGAGGTCAGAGCTTAACATGTGCTGAAAATTTACTTTATGAATTATCAAGTAGTAATGGCTCACAGAAAACAGTATTTGGGAAATAGAATAAATTGGCTAACACACAGCTCAAAGCAAGGGGTAGCCCCTGTCTGAACTGGGTACCCAGAAGAGGCCATCTTTCAGCCCACATATTGGATCTGAGCAGTTCATCTGATTTTTACATCCTTGCTATGAGGAAGGAGTCAATTGCTGGCTGAAACTTCTCTAGAGCAATGGCAAACATGCATCACAGCCCAGCTAAACTTGTACCAAGTGAGTGACTTCCCCAAGGGCAAATGGAGAGTTTCCAATTGAGCTGACACTACTGTGAGCTTAGGACACAAACAAACCAACTCCTGCTTCAACAAGCCTTCTCTGAGAGCACCAACCACCACAGATAGCAGCCTTTTACACACACACACACACACACACACACACACACACACACACGAATGCTGTCTAGATTTATTAACTCAAGAAGGATGAAGAGGCTTTGAATCTAGTCTCAAATCTAATACGAAGCCAAGATCCTGAGATTCCATAAGAAAACTGGCATTTTTTTCTGAATGGATAAAAGAACCAGATGACCCAGAAGAGACACTTCAACAACAGAAAGATTTTTTTATAAAGTTACCCAAGGAGCAACATAAACTCCATATTTCTCCAGAAGTATGTACTTATAAGAATTTATTTACCTTAAATAATGTCAGCTATAACATTTTATACTAATGTTATACTAACTTTAACTCAAAATAAACAGACCTTGACTATAAATCTTTCCCTAGCCCTAGGCAAAATTTCCCAGGAATCAGACACACTCTTTAGTAGGACGGTCTACTTAGAATTCTCCTTTGCTGCACCTGCCCGTCCCTTACATACCTGCACACCCTTAGATGTATAGATAAATGGGAAGGAGAAACTTGCTACTATTTTCATGTAATCTGCATATGAATAATACCTAGAACATTCAACTTTTTTCCCCTCTCCACTGCCTATGATTATTGACCCAGATTCTCTCCCCTGTGAGAAACATCCAGAAGTGTCAGGGTAATTGTTTGGGCAGCGTAGGGTAAATGGGGAAGGAGAGAAACAGAGGCCCTAGAAACCCACGTGGAATACTCCAAGAGATTCAACTGATGAGACTAAAAATGAACACCTTTTGATATTACTTCTGACAAAATCTGTTTCATTAAAACATGGTCTGGTTCCCCTTTTGCCTGTTAGGCAACTGGCCCAGGAATAGTCGGCCCACCAACACCTGAAATTCCAAGGAAGTGTAGGAAGAATGATTAGTTAAGCAATGAAACTATTTTACCTTTGGTTTCATCTGTAAAAGGGTGACTATAATTCTGACTCTTACCTTATTTTTCCCAAGGGTGTGATGAAATTAAGAAGATGACTTGACATCATTTATCAAGTATGTTAGAAGTACGGGCCACAGAATGCTAGATAACAATCACAAAACACAGGTTAGATTTCTTTAGTATTATAATCTGCCTATGAAAAATGAGAATTTCCTTAGTCTGTAAACAATCTTCAATCTTTGAGCCAGCACAGAAAAGGCTTCTGAAATAGTGACTGCTCTCCCTCTTCTGACACTGCTAGCACAGAGATGAGAAGAGGAAGGTCTGTGGCCCCAGAATGAAACAATCGGCAAAGAAATGGGCTTAAGCATTCTTTTCTGGTAGAGCCTGCTTCTAGTAAAGGACAAAAAGCATTATGATAGTTATGTGAAGGTAGCCCTCAGAGCCAAATTCAAGGAACACACCTTCATTCTCTCTCCTTCTTTCACCCATGCACATGCAGATCATTTTCCTTAGGACCACATGGAGCTTTGGCCTAATACCCACACACACTTCCTGTTATAGGTATCTAGGCAATCAGAGGTACATTCACAGACAGGCTCACACAGACACTCAGGAGACAATATGGAATAGATAAGTGGACAGAAGGACACAGGCTGATTAGAAAATAGGTTGAATAAATACATTTTGGAACAGTAGTGAATAGTAGCACACCTCTCATTCATTCCCAAGTTCAGAACCAACTGATAGACACAGGAAGGAAATAAACAGAGATTAAAACTATCAGTTTATCACTGTTAAAGTCTGTATTGGAAGATAGGGAATAGAAAGTCTGCCATAATAGGCTTCCTAATACTCCCTACACTTAGCGATACAGACTTGCCAACTCACCCATCACATGAAGAGGGGGAGACAGGCCAGGAGTGTTATTCTAACAGAAGTCCTCCCATGTGGAAACATGAGGAGAGCAAAACGGAGGACTCCAACTCCCTTCCTTCTCTGCAAAAGAGGGGACTATGATAGAGACATGATAAATAAAGTTATCACAGGATGCTTCTGCAACCTCCCTGCCTTACAATCTCGGTTCTACCACTTCATGGAGCAGTTTCCTCACTTGGAAAACAGACTTAATAATGCCTACTTTGTAGGCCTATTATAATACTTGCCAATAATATATGGAACATGCCTTGCACAGTACCTAGTGCTTAGCAAGCATTCTTTCAGTCTAGGGCAAATTTAACTTACTGAGTGAATACCTTTTCCTTGTTTTGTTTCTTTTGTTTGTTTGTTTTTTGTTTTGAGACGGAGTTTCACTCTTGTCGCCCAGACTGGAGTGCAATGGCACAATCTCCACTCACTGCAAACTCCACCTCCCGGGTTCAAGTGATTCTCCTACCTCAGCCTCCCAAGTAGCTGGAATTACAGGCACCCACCACCACGTCTGGCTAATTTTTGTATTTTTAGTAGAGACGGGGTTTCACCATGTTGGCCAGGCTGGTCTCGAACTCCTGACCTCAGGTGATCCACCCGCCTCTGCCTCCCAAAGTGCTGGGATTACAGGCGTGAGCTACCGCACCTGGCAGTGAATATTTTTTTCTATTGAAACATTCTTTCAGTCTGGGCAATATAAAAGACCCCATATCTACAAAAAGTACAAAATTTATCTGTGCATTGTAGTGCATGTGTGTAGTCTCAGCTACTCAGGAGGCTGAAGGGAGGATCACTTGAGCCCAGGAATTAGAGGCTGCAGTGAGCCGTGATCACACAACTGCACTCCAGTCTGGGTGACAGAGTGAGATCCTGTCTCAAAAGAAAAGAAAAAAGAAAATAAAAGAAAGGAAAAGAAAAGAGAAAGGAAGGAAGGAATAGAGAGAGAAAGAAAGAAGGAAGGAAGGAAGAAATAAAAAAGGAAGGAAGTAAGAAAGAAAAAGGAAAGAAAGATTGGTTCAGTAAATATGTAAGCTCTTTAAGAGAACCTTTTAAAATAATTTCATTTTTATCAATATATAATAGATGTATGTTATTTTCGGGGTACATGTGATAATTTAATACATTCATATAATTTGTAGAAATCAAATCCATGTAATTGGGATATCCATCACCTTAATTTGCCTCTCTTTAATCAAGAAACATTTGAAGTATTCTCTTCTAGCTATTTTGAAATATATAATAGACTATTTTAAACTATAGTCACTCTACTGATCCATCAAACACTGGGTCTTATTTCTTTTATCACGTTATATATTCTTACTCATTAATAAACCTCTCTTCATTTCCCCCTTCCCTCTACCCTTCCCAGCCTCTGGTGATCACAAATCTACTCTCTATCTTCATGAGATACACTTTTTTTTCTTCTTTTTTTTTTTTTTTTTTTGAGACAGAGTCTCGCTCTGTCGCCAGGCTGGAGTGCAGTAGCTCGATCTAGGCTCACTGCAGTCTTCGCCCCCCAGGTTTAAGTGATTCTCCTGCCTCAGCCTCCCGAGTAGCTGGATTACAGGCATGCGCAACCACACCCAGCTAATTTTTTTTTTTTTTTTTGTATTTTTAGTAGAGACGGGGTTTCACTATGTTGGCCAGGATGGTCTCAATCTCCTGACCTCATGATCCACCCACCTTGTCCTCCCAAAGTGCTGGGATTACAGGTGTGAGCCACCACACCCGGCCGAGATACACTTTTTTTTAGCTCCCGTAAGAGTGATAACATGTGATGTTTGTCTGTCTGTACTTGGCTTAGTTCACTTAACATAATGACCTCCAGTTCCATCCATGTGGCTGCAAATGAAAGGATTTCATTATTTTATTTTTTTTTATTTTTGGAGAAAGGTTTTGCACTCTGTCATGGAGGCTGGAGCATAGTGGCAGGATCATGGCTCACTGCAGCCTTGATTTCCTGACCTCCTGACCTCCTGGGCTCAAACAATCCTCCCACCTCACCACCCCTAAGTACCTGGGACTACAGGTGTGCATCATCATGCTCAGCTATTTTTTTTATTTTATTTTTGGTAGAGATAGGAACTCCCTATGTTGCCCGGGCTGGTCTTGAACTCCTGGGCTTAAGCAATCTTTCCACCTTGGCCTCCTAAAGTGCTGGGATTACAGACATGAGCCACCACATCCAACCTCATTCTTTTATTATGACTGACTAATACTCCATTGTGTATATATACCACATTTCCTTTATCCATTCATGCATTGATGGACACTTAGGTTGATTTCATATTTTGCCTACTGTGAATAGTGCTGAAATAAACATGGTAGTGCAGATATCTCTTTGATATATCGGTTTCCTTTCTATCAGATAAATAACCGTAGTGGGATTGCTGGGTCATATGGTGCTTCCATTTTTAGTTTTTTGAAGAACCTCCATGCTGTTTTCCATACTGGCTGTATTAAATTGTATTCCAACCAACAGTATATGAAGGTTCTCCTTTCTCCCCATCCATTATTATCTCTTTTTGATAAAAGTGATTTTAGCTGGGGTAGGGTGATGTGATATCTAATTGTGATCTTGATTTGCATTTCTCTGATAATTAGTGATATTGAGCATTTTTTTCATAAACCTGTTGGCCATTTGTATGTCTTTTGAGAAAAGTCTATTCAGACCTTTAGCCTGTTTTTTAGTTGGAGTATTCGTGTGTGTGTGTGTGTGTGTGTGTGTGTGTGTGTGTGTGTGTTTAACTATTGAGTTGTTTGAGTTCCTTATATATTCTGGTTATTAATCCCTTGTCAGATGGGTAGTTCACAAATATTTTCTTTTATTCTGTGGGTTGTTTCTTCACTTTGTTGATTGTTAACAAATGTTCTTTTAGTCCATACCCAAAGTGATCTACAGATTCAGTGCAATCTCTATCAAAACTCCAAAGGCATTTTTTTTCATGAGTAGAAAAATCCCTAAAATTGGCCAGGCGCGGTGGCTCACGCCTATAATCCCAGCACTTTGGGAGGCCAAGTTGGCGGGGGCGGGGGGCGGGGGGGGCAGATCACAAGGTCAGGAGTTCGAGACCAGCCTGGCCAATATGGTGAAAACCCATCTCTATTAAAAATACAAAAATTAGCTGACCATGGTGGCGGGCGCCTGTAGTCCCAGCTACTTGGGAGGCTGAGGCAGGAGAATCACTTGAGCCTGGGAGGTGGAGGTTGCAGTGCCTAGATCGCACCACCGCACTCCAGGCTGGGCAACAGAGCGAGACTCCATCTTAAAAAAAAAAAAAAGAAAGAAAGAAAGAAAAAAGAAAAACTCCTAAAATCCATATAGAACCACAAAGGAAGCCAAATATCCAAAACAATCTTCAGAAAGAAAAACAAAACTGGAGGCCTCACACTTACTGACTTCAAAACATATTACATTCGAGGTTATTATTGATAGGGGAAGATTACTCCTGTCATTGTATTGTTTATTTTCTGGTTGTTTTGTATATTCTTTTTTTCTTCCTCTTTTATTGTTTATTTTTGCAGTTGGGTGGTTTTCCGTAGTGATAACTCTATAGAGATAACAAGTGTTGGCAAAAATGTAAAGAAAGAAACCCTCATACACTGTACACTGTTGGCAGGAATGTAAATTACTGTAGCCATTATGGAAAACAGTATGGAGGTTCCTCAAAAAATAAAAATAGAACTACCATATGATCCAGTAATCCCATTGCTTGGTATATATTTAAAGGAATTGAAATCAGTATTTTGAAAAGATATCTGCACTGCCATGTTCATTGCAGCATTATCACAGTAGTCAAAATATGGAAATGATCTAAGAATCTGTTGATGGAAGAATAGATTTAAAATGTTTTGTATACACACACGCATACACACGCATACACAGTTATGTGACACGTGATAATATTTTGATCAACAGCTGACTGAATATACAATGGTAGTCTCATAAGATTATAATGGAGCTGAAAAAGTCCTATCACCTAGTGACATCTTGATGATTCTAATCCTGTGTAGGTCTAGGCTAAATTGTGTGCTTGTGTGTTAGTTTTTAACCAGAAGGTTTAAAATGTAAAAAAATAAAAATAGAAAAATGTTTATGGAATAAGGATATAAAGAAAATATTTTTGTATAGCTATACAATGTGTTTGTGTTTTAAGCTAGGTGTTATTACAAAATAAAAAAAAATCTAAAAGTTTAAAAGTAAAAAAGTTACAATACGTTAAGGTTAATTTATTATTGAAGAAAGAAAAAATGTTAAATAAATTTAGTGTAGCTCAAGTGTACATTATTTATAGAATCCACAGTAGTGTACAGGAATGTCCTAGGCCTTCACATTCACTCACCACTCACTCACTGACTCACCCAGAGCAACTTTCAGTTCTCCAAGCTCCCTTCATAAATGCCCTTTACAGATGTGCCATTTTTATCTTTTATACTATATTTTTACTGTACATTTTCTAGGTTTAGATATGTTTAGATACACAAATACTTGCCATTGTGTTACAATTGCCTACAGTATTCAGTATAGCAACATGTTGTACAGGTTTACAGCCTAGAAGCAATAGGCTATACTATATAGCCTAGGTGTGTAGTAGACTATACCATATAGGTTTGTGTAAGTACACTCTGTGATGCTCACACGATAATGAAATTGCCTAACAATGCATTTCTCAGCACATATCCCAGTCATGAAGTGATGCATAACTCTATATATATGTGTGTACCCCTTCATTTAAAGAAGAAGGAAATCCTGACATTTTTGACAAAATGGATGAACTGGGAGGACATTATGCTAAATGAGATAAGCCAAAAACAGAAAGACAAATACTGCATTACTGCATGATCTCACTTATATGGCTGGGGGTGTGGGAAATGGAAAGATGTTGGTCAAATGGTACAAATCTTCACTTATAAAATCAATAAGTTCTGGGGATCTAACATGCAGCATAGTGACTATAGTTAATAATGCTGTGTTTTATATTTGAAATCTGCTAAGACAGTAGATCTTATGTCTTCTTACCACACACATGCAAAAAATGGCAGCTGTGACGTGATAGATGTGTTAATTAGCTGATTGTGGTAATCGTTTTACAATGTATGCCAATATAAATCATTATATTGTACATCTTAAAAATATACAATTTTATTTTTCAAATATACCTCAATAAAGCTGGAAGAAATGCTCATTGACAGATGAATGAATAAAGAAAAAATGTGTATTTTTTATATGAAATTGAATCTTATTCAGCCTTTAAAAAAAGAAGGAAATCCTGTCATATGAAATAACATGCATAAACCTGGAGGACATTATGCTAAGTGAAATAATGCAGTCACAGGAAGACAAATGCTACATGATTTCACTTATATGAGGTATCTAAAGTAGTCAAACTCATAGAAGCAGAAAGTAGAGTGGTGGTCACCAACAGGCTGGGTGTGAGGCGAGAGTTCTTGTTCAATTTAGGTAGATTCAATCGTGCAATATGAAGAAGTTCTAGAGATCTGGTGTACAACAATGTACATAAAATTATAAATACTGTTCTGTACAATTAAAAATTTGTTACGAGGGTAGACTTCATGATACGTGTGGTTTTTTTGTTTTGTTTGTGTTTTTTTTTGTTTGTTTTTTTGCTTTTACCACACACACAAAAAGAACAAATCTTGTCTTTTTCTAGAGCAAGGATATTTTTGTTTTTGTTTTTGAGATAGAGTATCACTCTGTTGCCCAGGCTGGAGTGCAGTGGCGCAATCTCAGCTCACTGCAACCTCCACCTCCCGGGTTCAAGTGATTCTCCTGCCTCAGCCTCCCCAAGTAGCTGGAAGTACAGGCGCGTGCCACCACGCCCGGCTAATTTTTGTGTTTTTTTTTCAGTGGAGAAGGATTTTCGCCATGTTGGCCAGCTGGTCTCCAACTCCTGACCTCATCCACCCGCCTAGGCCTCCCAAAGTGCTGGGATTACAGGCGTGAGTCACCACACCCAGCCTAGAGCAAGGATTCTGAAGCTAGGGTCTATAATCTCAGCCCAAACTATATATAGCATTGTGTGAACATGTGTAGCTTTCAGGGGGAGAGAGTGCATAGGTTTCTCTAGAATCTCAAGAGGTTCCTCATTCAAAAAGGAGTTAGATTAGATCCCACAGGGGAGGGAAAAATAAAATTTTTAAAAATGATAACAAAAACAAAAAAGCTACAGGCACTGCGATGAGGAAAATTGTATTCAAATTTGAGTTTAGAAAAAAGGTTCAGCTAAGGAAGTTTTAAAAAAAAAAAGCTCAGAGAAGGACTGCTATTTCAGTCTTCCTTCTTCCAAAAATGTAAACTTCTCAATAGCTTTTGAATGAATACAAGACTCCTGAGAGGAATGTTTAATGAGGTGGAAGTACCTAGCCTGGTTTTAATTTATCTCTCCCTGGTTGGCCTTTTGCCCACCTCCTGTGTCTACTCCCTTGTGGGTCTTTTGTTATCCTTCCTGACTTTTGAATATTAGCATATTTTAAATATTAGCATAATCCAGGATTCTACTTTCTGGGTGAGATTCTAATTTCTCTGAGTGAGATTATATACTGCAAATAATGGCTTCAGTTATCATCCAAGTGTGTATTATCAATCACCACCCCTTCCTTGATATGCAGTTTCCTATTTCTACCTGCCTAGTGGACTTTCCACCTTTTCCCCACAGGCAATTTAACATACTTTAGAATGAATTTATCATCTGTCTGATAGCTCCAGCGTGTGCATGCACTTTACACACACACACACACACACACACACACACACACACAGAGTAATATACCCCTCGAATGTTCTCCATTGCTTTCTTTTTACTTGGTTCAACTCTATCAAGATTTTGTTTGCACATATACTACGTTCAGGCACTTGCCAGGAAGTAGTCACAGAATTTGTAAACTGTAGAGGAACTTAAGAAATCAAGTCGCTCAACCCCTTCAACTTACAGAGAGTGGGGGTGACATGCTTAATATCCACAGTGAATTAATGGCAGAACTAGCTTAGAATCTAGGCATCTCAAGTTCTACCCTGTACCCTTTCCACTATGCAGTCATGCTACCACTAACTGTATACTTCCAAAGAAGAATGAGATGCCTGCTAGCAGCACTGATTTTTATCAATAAAGAAGCAAGATAATCTAGCCACCTTATGTTCAGAATATCTACTACTTATGCACTGTTTGTACAAGGGGCTAGGTAATTTATGTTCTGCTGTAATGATGAAAAGGATAAACTGAAGAGTGCAACAAGACATCATTGTAGAGTAAGGCTTGGAATGAAAATAGGTTAGTTAAAGACTAGCTCAGTGCTTGCTTTCATAATAAGGTTGTGAGAGGATTTTTACTTTTTCCTTACCAAAGTGTTTTCATATGTATTATTTCATCTTAGTCTCTCAACAGTCCTGGGAGGTAGGAAAGTCAGGGCTTATTAGCTAAAGTTTACAGAGGAAGAACAGGAGACTGAAAAGAGTTAGCTCAGTGATTTGCCCAAGGTCACCCATCTAGTTAGTGACAAGGCCAGGGCTCAGATGTGTGTCTACTGCTTCCAAACGTCTTTCCTCTAGTCTAGACACATAATTCTAATAGTCCTTGAGTGATGACTATATATCCTGTGAACTGAACTTTACAGATATGCTGGGACTGAAACACGCTGGATTCTACCAAGTTACAATCATAGAAATATTATCCGAAAAAGAAAAAAAATGCTGAGTTTCAAGGTGGGGCAGGGCAAATGAATGTTATAACATAGGTTAACACAAGTAAGAATCAACAAGTTGAGTTGCCATTTTATCAAATTTTCTGCTTTCAAATAAGGAAAATATAAAACAATAAACATGATCAAGACGGTGTTTGTAGGCCTAAAAGATCGAGGATGGTTTCCCATGTGCATCATCTCTAAGGACTTTAAAAAGGCAGGCTATAAACACCTAAATTGCCATTTTATTAAAGAAAAGTCAGGGCAGCATCATATATGCAGACAGTCCAGGGGGGTGCTAAGAAAAAAGGATTGATGGAGGGGGGTGACTTTGAGAGACATTTCAGTGGCCTGCTGCAGCACACCGCAGGCTGCTGTGCGTTGAAGAGGCAGTGACAGGTGAGGAAGTAGAAGTAGAGAGTGGAAACCTTGACCGCAGAAAGCTGGCTGTGAAGGAAGGGGCCGCAGTGTGTTTGTTGGCCATGAAGAAGAAGCTGCACAAGAACAGGGGAAGAAACTGAACAGGCGAGACAGAGTGGGAACATCCTGTTGAGTCACAACTGAGTTGTCAACACTTTCTCCGCTAGTGCGAGGCCCTTTAAAAATTCACTGCCCGCATGTGGCTCCAGAGAAAACACCTCAAAGAGAGAAGATAACCTGTCCAAGTGAAGGCAGAGAAATCAGCACAAGATTCAGTAACAAATTCGCTTTTCAGGACTATTATTGTGGCTGTTTGGTCTATTACAAAAGCCCAGCTCAGAAACTACAAGGTCAAGCTTGAACAGATGTGCAGAGATGTTCTGGACCCAGTCTAAAAGCTGATTCTTCCCAAAGGCACAACATTATTAATTGGCCAGCTTATCAATGGATGCTCTTTCCTGTAGGTTTGTTTAGAGACAATACTGCTAGTCATAAAGTTTGCTGATTGCTGGCTTGCTCATCTCGGTGGGGCAAGTGCAAGGCCGTGCCAGGAACTCCAGATGACTGGAACATACACAAGCACAGTGCTAGCCATAGACACCAACACTGAGCCAGGGTGCGGGGGAGCCCGAGCAGGGGGCATCCTCAAAGTGCTTCTTTATTTAAACTATGCTCTGGGGCAATGTTTCATAATGACCCCACACACCTAGCGCGTACACACAGAGCAGTCTACACACACAGCCTCACTATGTCCGCTGGCCTGCTGGCTTTGCTTTCCACCCCTCTAGGCAAGGTCCACAAATTAGCAGCCTTTTAACCCTCCCAGGTCTCCGTTCTCGGGACCTTCAGAAGAAAAAGGCAGTCAGAGAAACATGAACGCGCTAATCAGGAAACCAGCGTTTCAGCCCACTCAGCCACGCGGGCCGTCCACACTAACGACTTTCACCTCCCCTCGCCTGGGCTGGCTGGAGGGGCGGGGAACCCGGCAGTAAAGAGGAGGACCAAAGAGGGGCCCTGCTTGAATGAAACAATGTAACAATTGATGTGAGGCCTCGCCTCGCTCCCACTCCCCAGCGATCCTATAGGCGAGGTCCCAGTGACTGCCCCTCCCCATTGCTCCGTTTTCTTGTCCATTACGCGCTATCCCTCCGCCTCTCCTTCTTTCTTTTCTTTTCTTTTTTTCCCTTCTCCTTTTCCCCCCTCTCTCCCCCTTTCTCCAGCTCCGTGTCATTTCCTCCTTGCGCTCGCTCGCTGCCTGAGCGTCTCCAGCCGGGAGAGTAGGCGGAGCAGGGCGGTGCGGGGTGGCGTAGAGCTGGAGGGCGATGGTGGCGGAGCTGCTGGGGGCGGAGGCAACGTAGCCCCCTCGGAAAAGGAGCCCGGCGGCGCCTGAGCCCAGCCGAGGATGGAGAACCGGCCTGGGTCCTTCCAGTACGTCCCTGTGCAGCTGCAAGGGGGGGCACCCTGGGGCTTCACCCTTAAGGGGGGTCTGGAACACTGTGAGCCGCTCACAGTGTCTAAGGTAAGAACTGGCGGCTGATGTCCTAACGGCGCCTAACTTTGAATGGACAAGCGGGTGCGAAGGCTGCCGCTGGACGGGGCCCTCAGGCCAACTTTGAAACTTAGGGCTGGGAGCGAAAGACCCTCTGAGCGGCACGGAGGGGTCTTGCCACCAGTCCAGGTGCAGACATCCCCTAAGGGTGGCTGGAACACGAGCTGGGAGCACAACTGGCCCCCGGCTAGAACCTTGCGCGCAGACACACTCGCGAGGGCGCTGGGGCAGCCCTTGCTGCCCCACGTCGGGGCGGCTACTTCCCTCAGTTTGGGCCGAAGGAAGTGGAGGCTGTTGGGGATTTCTCCTTGGAGGCCTCTGCGTCCCTGCGGGACAGTGAAGGACTGAAGGGACAGTCATCGCGGCTTGGCAGCTCTCTTGGCAGCGTTGTCCCCTCTATCGACCGGCGGGCCGTCCCTCCCAGGCAGGTTGCAGGGCTAGGGGCTGGTGTGGGAACGGAGATGAGGCCATTGGTGGCTTTTGCCAGCCACACTTCCCACGGCCGGACGCGCACACATCCATTCAGCTCTTGGGGCGTTGTTGCCGCCGGTTCGGCTCGGCCTCTCCCTCCCTCCAGAGTCCTGCCCCAGCGCCGGCGAGATTTCCTGCACGTTGAGAAGTGTGGAGGAAACTTGCGCCATGGAGCGCAGCTGTGCTGGAGCTACTGCTGTTGCTGCTGCCGCTGCCGCCGCCGCCGCCGCCGCCGCCGCCACTGCCGCCGCCGCCGCCGCCGCCAGGGTTTGTTTGTTTTAGGAGTCTGTGATCTGCTGGAAGCCAAGTTGCAGCTGAGGACAGGAGAGAGGAGCTCTCCTGAGTGCTCCAGAACCCCCAAAGCGAGCCTCCCCCGTAGGGGTGAGGGCGAGGGGTAGGGGCAGCTGGAGCTGTTACCAGGAAGAGTGACTTGTGGGACGACTCACCTTGAGGTGCCAGATTGCCAAGTGAACGGACTTTACGAACTTTATTCCACTTTTTTGTTGTTTCTCTTAAATCCTCAAATCCGAAAAGCCCTCCCGCTTCCAACCCGCTTAAATGGCAGTTGAAGTTGTAGATGTGGGTTCAGGCTGGAGATAGAAAGATGTGTCTTTTCAGCAGGGAGCAAATATCACTTTTTTTTTGCGGGGGGGTGGGGTTCAACATTGGTCACATCTCAGCAGAGGGTTCAGCAAACGTCCACCGCAACACACACCCACAATAACCTGTGCGGCATTCGCCTTGCATTGGAGCCTGTGGTTGACTTCCAGTGTATGGGATCCTTCAGGCCTTGGGGCCCACACTCTTAGCAACCCTGGAGTGTTGCCATGGGTGTACCAATCAGATTGAGGAGTCTGAGGTATGCTGAGGCAACATTTTGAGGGGCTGGCAGGGACCCCTCTGATCATTAGCCTCCCCAAACTAGCCCAGATCTTCATCCAGCACCCTTTCCCCCATACTTGTCATGTACTTTAACCAGCCTGAGATGCGTTTGTCATCCACTGTCACAACCCCTCCTGAGGCAGTCTCCCTCCAGTGTTCTCTGGAGAAAGTTATATGCTTTTTTTTTTTTTTTTTTTTTTTAACAAAAACACTCAACTCCTTTGGTGAGGGGAATCCTGGCCTTCAGGAATTTCTTCTAATCAAGCTCCTCCTCTCCCCACTCTTTCCACCAAGGTCACAATGGGATATGCAGCCCTCCATGATCTGGCAGTTCCTCCCTTTCTTTTTCTCCTCACACCGCCCACAGAATTTCCACAGTCTGCCTAGACAACCTGCCTTGGAGAGGTCATTTTTCAGCTCTGCCCAGAGCTGACCCATCTTGAGAAGCACCCCAGAGAGTGCTTGCTGCTGTGGTCCCGGATTATTTTGTGAGCCAGTGAGAGCATGGCAGGGGGTGTTACTAAGTATGGGGCAGCCAGCAATTTGTGGTCTGGCTGGGGGATTATTTGAGAGGGTAGATGAGGGTTTCCTTGGCCAAGCTGTAGAGGAAGTGCTTCGTGTGTTGAGAGGCAGGGTGCCTTTTAATGATTCCCTTTCCACTGAATGTACAGTTGACCCCTATTATATGAAGGCTCATTATGACATGCATTTAGATATGCAAGGGATAAAATTATTTCTCCCATTCCTCCCAAATAGCCTAGTTCTTAACAGTAAAAGTCAGTTATAACTGGGTTGGCTTCAACGGTATATAAAGGGACCATAGTATTTTTTTAAGCACAATGATTGCCTGTATTGTGTTTTTCTTGACAAGACACTGTTTTGGCATATTTCATTAATTCCCTCTTCATTTTTCAACCTTGATTTTATTTCCTTTTATGATTCAGAACAATACAGCTTTCTCCTTGAAAACAGCCTTCTTAGTCTGTACACACTGGTTGGGATGGGTGGAAGGTAATAGAAAGATAATTGGGTTGGCAGATTAAAAACTTGGGTTCTAATCCTTTTTCTGCCACTCTCTAGTTCTGGAATCCTAGGTATATCACTTGCCCTACCTGGGTCTAGGCATCCCCATATCTAAAATGACATTCAAGTGGGTGGTCTTTAAATGATACTATGACAATCTAGTAGCCATGTTTTTGTTTGTTTGTTTTTGAGACAGGGTCTCACTCTGTTGCTCAGGCTGGAGTACAGTGGTGCCAGCTCGGCTCACTGCATCCTGTGCCTCCCAGGCTCAAGCAACCCTCCCACCTCAGCCTCCCAAGTAGCTGGGACTACAGGCACACGCTACCATGCTTGGCTGATTTTTTGTATTTTTGTATTTTTGTATTTCACCATGTTGCCCAAACTGGTCTCCAACTCCTTCAAACAATCTGCCTGCCTCAGCCTCCCAAAGTGCTGGGATTACAGGCGTGAGCCACCACTCCTGGCCAAATAGCTAATCTTTTATGCTAGCTCTGGCTCTCTTCTCAGAAGTGTTGCTGCAGAGTGAGGAAAATGAAGCTTTGCTTCATTTGCATACAGTGTTACTATTTACAATGTGCTTCCTCATCCTTTATTTCATTACTCTCTTGCAGCTACACTGTGAGGCAGTCAGGAAAGATTGTGGAGAAACTGATGGAAAACCCGAGACTGATGTATTCAGTGGCTTACCTATGTCTATCATACTGAGAGTCAATGGCAGTCCTACTAAGAGAGTTTCTGATTCTTCTGTTAGTACTGTGGTTTGTGAAGGAGCACAGGGCAATAACTTTCAGGGATGTATCTAGTCTTATTAGCCTCCTAATGCAGTGTCCCTTTCCATGCCAGCCTGTAATTCCATACTTGGTGACGGACTGGGTTGTAGGTACACTCTGATGGAGTCTGGGCTCAGAGTAGGAAAGGACTATTTTGATGACCCCAAATCACTTGTGATGATCTCAGGTCAGGGAGAGACAGAGGTAAGGTGCAGGAAGCATGGTGGAAAATGGCAGAGAACCTCCTTTGTGGAAAAAAAACCAGAAGCGGTTTGCATCAGGGATGGTGTGGCATACATGCTCAGAGATATCTTGTGGCACAAGTGGAGATATCTGGGGAGTGGGGGAATTTGAAAAAGTAGTGATTAGTGGGGGAAGAGGGTATGCAGTGTGAAAGTCTAGTTCATAGTTGTCATGGGAGACCCTTTGGACCAGGAAATGATCAAGTTGGGGAAATCATCAATTCCTGCTGGTTCCTATGATTTCCCTGAATATGGGGAATTCAACTGCCTGATTTATGGACACTTGTATAGTACCCCCCGACAGTCAAGTGGCAAAGAAAGAGAAAATTTTTTAATACTATTGCTGGATGCGGTGTCTTGCACCTGTAGTCCCAGCTACTCAGGAGGCTTAGGTAAGAGGAATCCCTAGAGCCCAGGAATTCCAGGCTGCAGTGTACCATGATTGGGCAACATAGTGTGACCCCACCTCCAAAAAATAAAATACGATTGATTATCCTAAATAATAAGGGATAGTTTATGATGTTTCCCTATATTGTGGTGTTTCGAGTGAGATCATGGTAACAAGTAAAAGATACATGACCCATAAAGGAATAGGGCCCATGACATTGGCATTATTGATTCCTTTGGTTAACATGTTACGCTACCTCATTGACTCAGAAGTACTGTCTGGATGGAATGGGGATTCTCTTCTAATCAGATGTGTCTGATGATATGTAGGCTCATGCTAACATATTTTCCCTTTTCTTGGCTCGTTTATGGTAGATGTTTCTATCTGGCATAGTGAAGCAAGTGGGGCTAGTTACTGCCCTGGAACAAAACAGAGTGGGGTAGGGGAGTAACCTGGAGGAGAAAGAAGCTTTACTCCCATCCACTTGATGTGCTCTGATATTGCTATATAATTTTACACTCTCCAGACCCAAGTCTCTATTTGCAGAGTGGGGCCTAGGCATAACTGCCCCATCTCTATTATCACAGATGATGAGACAATGAATTAGGCAAACTCTAATAGTGTTTGCCATCCTTAGCCTAGGACAGTGGCAGGGCATGCTCATCAAGTTGTTTTAGTCTGTATTCCATTCCTAGTCTGACCTTATTTCTAGAAGCACACAGAGAGGCAGTTGAGACTTCAAGAGGATCTGGATAAACTCAGATAGAGGTTGTCTTGTGGCTGGAAGTAAATTTGGCTGTGATTTTGAATTCTTATTGGGTGCAGAGGTGGTATTATGTGAACAATGAGAGTTCCTGTGAAATCTTTTGAGCTGTGTTACAGACCAGTGCCTGGCACTCACAAAGGGACCTTCGTGGGGTGTGCATCTTTGGAGCTTAGTCCAGCCTGGTTACCTACATGAATCCCCTCCTCATTTCTGCCTCTAGAATCACCAAAGATGTCCACTACCTCAGTTTCCCACCTGCTGCCCTATCCCAGAAAGTAGAGGGCATTTTGAGGCATGGATTAGAAATCCATCAGAGAGATACAAAGAAGGTTGGAGGGAGGTGGAGCAAGAAGGGTGGGTGGTATGGCTGGTAACCCTTGGCTGAGCTTTGAGTCGATACTACTTTTGGCCCTGCTGGGTTTTCATAATACACCTGGTACCCCATTGAGAGCCACATGTATGCTTGCTGAAGTTAAAAAAGGTCAAGCCTATTAGAGGATTTTCCCTCTCCAAAACTTCACACAAAGAAAATAATTCAACTCCATTGTCCCTTAAAAAAATTAAAATGATTTCCCCCCTTGCCTTCCCCAACCCCCTCCCCAGGAATTTCTTTAAAGAAAAAAGAGAGACTCAGACTTGAGATTGGAGGTTATGGATGATTATCTGGAGGGAACATCATGGCTTTTATAGTTAGACTTCTTTAGAACTAAGGGAAAAAAGATGCTGACCCATCTGAGAAAAGTTAATGAAGAACAGCAGGGATTATGGGAAGGGCTGCTCTCACTGCCTGCCCCTCTACCCCTCAAGCACCAAGGGGCAGACTTAACTCAGTGCTCCCAGAGTAATTCTGTTCTTGGTAGAGACCTAGAATCAAAGAATCTCAGAGTAAAGAGAGCCTTTTAGAAGTCACCTAGTCTAATCTTAACCATTTCATGAGCCTCCTGTGCAGTGTCCCTGAGCTTGTTCTACAGTAGTCACAGGGGAGCTCATTCCCTTCTAAGCCTATCCATTCTGTTGCTGGAAAGTTTTGACTGTGGACAGCTTTTCCTTTGTTAAGCTGCAATCGTTTTCCTTTTAGCGATCATCCATGGGTCCTAGCTGTATCCTCTGGATAGCATCACACAGAACAAGGGTGCTTCCTCTGTCTTGGGACAGCCCTTGGGATATCTGAAGGCAAATATTATATCATCTTGTTTCACTTTTCTAGCAGAGCCCTAGCTCTTTCAGCTGTTCCTTATGGGATGTAGATTCCAGCCTCTCCTCCTGTTTCCTCCTCCCACTCATGATGCACTTCAGCTTGTCCATGTTCCTCTTAAGTTATGGATCCCACAGCTGAATACTGTAACTGAGGAGAATCTGACCACAGTTGAGTATGAACATTCTTTAAAAAAATACAGCTGAAGATCACTTTGGCTCTTTCTGGCGGCCATGTCATACCAAGGCCCTGTGTCAAAATCTTTTAATGGAAGTAGCTGTGCTGCTATTAAGCCATACCTGCCTAAGGCCTCTATGAAGGCATCTGGGACAGCCACATAATAGATTTGGGAGGGACACATTTCATCTCCTACTATTTATTTAGAATTGCCTCTGCCCCTAGCCCTGGCCAGCCTTGGTAAATGCATCGTAGGGGAGATGAGAGAGAAGATATAAGCCCTGACTTCAAGGAACATGTATGTTTAAACAAAGAGATTATTAAGTTACAGAGAAGGAATTTGTATAATAGAAGAAGGAAATGGCATTTAATGAATAGTGTCAAAGTCAGAATTCCAGATCTTTTTTATTTCCTTTTTACCTCTCTGAACTTAATTTTTTCCCCTTCTGGAAAGAATAGTTGTCTCCAAGATTGAAGATGCTAACCATATGTGCCATACACTCTTCAATTTACAGAGCCCCTATGTAGGAATATAGAGACAGCAGTCTCTGTCCCTATCCACTGTCAGATATATATTTCCCTGCATACCTCCACTGACACTGATTGGAAAAGCCCCTGCTGTTGCTGCCATCCTTCAGCTCTGGGTTCTTCTGTCTGTACCTGGAATACACACAAGAGTGACTCCTGCTGGAGGTCTTGCATCCACAGCCTCTTTCTCCCCATCTCCCCACATTTACCAGTTGTCATCTGAGCTGGAAAAATATCTTTCGTTACTACTAAAGCCTCGATCAGGGAGTGGATTGGAGTGGGGCTTAATCTATATTATTACTGAAGGGTAAGGGGTCTGAGGAAGAGAGTGTAGAGGTCTAGGAAACGTGTCTTCACTGACACAATGTTATTTATAATGGTTACATTCAGAACAGTTCTGGAGAAGCCTATTTAATCCATAGTGTATCATTGATTAAATTACACAACCTAACCATCATTTATAATGTCCTATCTACAGGAAACAGAATTCAAAGCTCCAAGCTGCTTATTTATAGAAGATATTCTTGGGAAACAATGCATTCATAAGTTAGGAACAAAAAGTGCTCTAGATAGCTCTGTTACACAGTTCTGGGGGAGTTTGGGATTCTGCTACCATTAGTGCCCAAGGTGTTCATACCTTTGATGCTGGGACCAGATGTGTGTGCATGGTTACATTTCCCTCTGAAACGGAATTCCAGGTTTCCCTGAGAGTTATCTTGTAATCAGCAAGTAACGTTTTTATATTGGTTATGTCGGTATCAAGATCACTTTCACTCAGCTTCCATGGAGCCAAAATTTTGTCTCCTGGTGCTCCCTGAGATATACTCCCTTCACACATAATTCAATAAAATCATTAATGAATAAGTTGAGTTACTATTTTTTATGGCTAAAGATTGGGTTCCAAGGACTGGGAAGGGGTAGAGGTTTGTCTCCTTATACCTCTTTGCCCTATCCAGTGTAAATAGGCCAAGTGGAAAAATTGTCTTACGCATTAGTGTTGCAACGGATGATCCATTCTTCCTCACATCACACTGGCATGTTTGCTTGGTCAGATAGCCATCCTGGCCACGCACTGAAGTTGCAAAAGTCAAGATGACTTGATCTTTCAAAGTGAGCTCTAACCTCTCCCCTTTGACTTCACATCCACATCCTCCTCTTTCACTGTGAATCTATGACTGTACCATATCGCAACACAAGTACTGCCTAGTAGCAACAGAGACACATTTTCCATGCATCTAGGCTGTCCTTCTTTCATGTCAAGTCTTTAGTTCCCATCCCCCACCCAAGAGCACCAGTTGCTTGAGGCCTACATTTTGGACCGTCTCATTCAAGTGCCATTGCCCCTTTGTTCATTCATTGACTGCCCTGCCCTCTGTCCAAAACCCAACTTTTTTTTCTTTTTTGGTCACAGTGAGCCCTTCTAGTCTGCTGTACCAGCTTTGTCCCTCTTGGCTCAGCCATGCTTCCAGTGGTGGCGGGGAGGGGTGGTGGGTAGGGAGGAGGGAGAGAGAAGCTCACAGAGTTGAGGTTGATAGGTTTGAAAACAATCAGCAAATCATAACAGAATCAGAGGGAAATTTCCTCACACTGCATCTCTCTCTATCCTGTTTCAGTGATGGACAGAATCTCTGTTCTTATATTCTTTTATCAACTTGCTGAATAATCATGGCATGCTACTTTGGCTCTCCACACCCTCCTGTTTCTTCTCATACCCTCCATGGGACAAGTTCTTGCTTTACTGAAGGGTTGCTAAGGACCCTTACTTGGTCTAGGCTGTGGAAGTGTGAAGGCTGACTGACAGCAGGCAGCTCTTGGAGTGCATTGCTTTTCTCCACACTCCTACTTCCTATCTTTCTAGAAGTGGCTGTTTCCTGGTATGTTCTCAGGGAGGACATGGTCTGTTAACTTTCACTCAACTCTTTTAATGTTACATCTGTGAGGAATGCGGGAGGTGGGACTAATTTGACAGGATCAAGGGTTAAGCCCAGTTACGAACAGCCCCTTTGTGGTGTCTTCTGTCCCCCACCCTAATGCCACTCAACAGTTTCCTAGCTGTATGATCTTCTCTCTTTTTTCCTGAGCCTCTGGCAGGGAAGTTTTCAATGGTTCTCCTATACTGCCTTTCACGGTCCATAAGAAACTGATTTTTCGTTTCGGGGAGGGGGTTGGAGGTGAGATGAGGTAGAGCTAGAAGTAAAGCTGGTTTGACTAGTTATTCTGGAAAGGAGTTAGAGTCTTATGGCTGTAGCCCCATCTTTACTTATGAGAGGATGACAAGCTAAAGCCTTGTCTTTGTTGGGCTGCCTTGCTGTTTTCCATTTCTTTTTGTTTGTGTTTGATATAAGTAAAAGCCACCCTGAAAAATTCTACAGGTAGGCAGCTTTGGATGGCATCTTACTCTGACTGAGAGTGTGAGTGATGACATCTTGAAGCTTCAGGGGGTAAGTATCAGGCTTGACTCTCACATTCTGTAGAGGATTTGACAAGAGTTTGGAGCTCTGTATTAACTTAAATTGGCGATCAGGAAGGATCAAGACAACAAGCAAAAGTAGACCAGGCAAGGATTTGGATACTTCAGTTGTGTGGCTGTGCCTCATTGAGTTCAGTAACCTCTTGAACCCAAAGGTGGTCAAAGCCTAGACATGGTGGGATCGGAGAGGTAGTGGACCGCTGTATAGCAAATACTGCTATTTTCTAGGTGTTTTACATGTATTTTCATTTAACTTTTACAGTAACTCTTTGAGGCCAGATATTAATGTCTCCATTGTGCAGATGAAGAACCGAGACTCAGGAGAAGTTAAGTGAAAGACTCTAAGTCATATAGTAAGTGGGACAACTGACATTCAAATTTACTTCTGTCCAACTTCAAATCCCATGCTCTTTCTAAAATAGTGTGTTTACACAGGTGAAAGACAGAGAAATAGAAGAGAACTAGATAAGAATGAGAGGTTGGGGGACAGACGGAGGGAGGGAAATGAGGGAAATGAAATTTGATGCAGAAACTGATAATATTATGAGTATCTATTCCTCAGAGGTCAGGGTCAAAGGAAGGTCTTTGTTTTGTTTTAAATCTCAAATCAAGGTAAGGGGACTGGGTCGGTATTCAGAAAGCCTAAAGTTTAGTCCCAACTCTGCCACTCTTCATTTGTGTGACCCTGGGAAGTCATTTTCATCTCTCTATCTCAATTGCCCTATTTGCAAAATGAGAGTAATACAACCTGCGCTGTTGTCCAGTAGGGAGAGAGATTCATTTTATCATTTATTTCATATTATTATTAGCAGTATATGTGATGTAAGAAAGCAAGCAAGCGCATTCCACAGGTGTCCCTTATTAAACAGGAATTCTCTTAAGAAAATTTTGAGCCTAAAAATTGAAGTGTATGAAGTTACCTAATCATTGGGAATTATGTGAAATGGCAGGGCAGCTTTCGTGTAATGTCTGCTACTGCAAAAAGTTGGAAGACCAGCCATGATTTCTGCTAATGTCTGAACAGCCAGCACTTTGAAAGGCTAACATCTTAAGAGCTCTCAGTTAGGCCTCCAATCAATCAATCAATCAATCAATCAACTGATCAACTAACCAACCAACCAGTCAACACAGATTTGTTGAGCACTTTGTAAAGTGCCTAACCCTAAACTAGAGAATACAAGAGTTAGCCACCATAGAAGACCTGGTTTCTGGATTCTCAAAAGAGATGACAGTTTTGTTGAAGAGCTGCATTACTATAAGCCCAGGAAACAAAAAGCTTTAAGTACTGAAACTGTGGGGTAGGATCTAAGAGCAACATTTATTCAGTGGGAAGAGATTTCATTGTGGGCTGATGTAGCTGGGTGTTTTGTGAAAAAAGGAAGAATTGGAGCTAGGCCTTGAGGGATAATACAGGATTTAGGTAGGTAGGCCTGGGAGGAAGAAGGACGTTGATTCCAGTTACTACAAGCACTGCATGTCCTAAAGACACAGACAGAAGACTGAGACCAGTTTGTTCACTCCACAGTGTGTTGACTAACAGCATAAGGGCAGAGCATGTAGTGTTTGTTCATTTATCCACTTATTAATTCATTCATTAAATTTTATTGAGTGCCTGTTCTAGGAGCTGAGCTATTCTTCCTATGGCCAATGAAACCAGCACAGAGCTCCATAGATGTCACTTTTATTTGTTTTCTAACAAATACTTTATAGTGCATATTCTGGGCACTAGTTTTCTAACTTAACACATATTAGCTCTTTTATTTTATTTTTTGAGACGGAGTCTCTCTCTGTTGCCAGGCTGGAGTGCAGTGGCGTGATCTCGGCTCACTGCAACCTCCGCCTCCCGGGTTCAAGCGATTCTCCTACCTCAGCCTCCCGAGTAGCTGGGACTACAGGCGTGTGCCACCACACCTGGCTAATTTTTGTATTTTTAGTAGAGATGGGGTTTCACCATGTTAGCTAATTTATTAACTCCATTTTACACATGAGGAAATTGAAGAAAGATTAGGTGACTTGCCCAATGTCATATTGCTTGTGTGGATGGCTACATAAGTGAGTCAGTGGAGATCTTCTTGATTCTTGCAGACTAGTGGGATATAAAGGTGAATGGATTTGAGCCAGGTATTCTGGATACCCCAGAAAACTGGGCTATAGAATGGATGCAAGTTGGAAGTAGGTAGCCATTTTGTGGTTTGGATAATCAGTGTATTAAGAATAAGGCACCTAGTCTATGGTCATACCACCCTGAACCTGTCCGATCTCATCTGATCTCAAGAATAAAGCACCTAGCACAGTACCAGTCACATAATTGCTTCCATGAGGAAAGACCTGAACTGAACAATAGATAGGTAAGGTCATTTTGAAGGAATCAGCCCATCTTGGCAATTTGCTGACTTGTCATACATTAGTGAGTTGCCAGAAGTTAGTGATAATGCATACCATTGAAGAAATGAAGAAGAGGTAGGAGTCAGGGATTAATCTAATATGTAAAATCTAGAAGGCTCTGAGAGATTATGGGAATTGGGAAGACCAACCAGGTTTAGTTCAGTTTTGGATCTTCTGAGACTGAAGTGTCTGTAGGCCAATCAAAAAGTCCCTAGGCAGTTGGGGAGCATGTTTATTTAAAGCCACTGATCAGTTAAAACAACAAAGCATTATTTTAGGAACATAATGATCAACACAGACAATTTACTAATCTACTGGTTGTTGTGGAAACGAGTTAATTGCCAGACAATCTTATGCCCCAAAGATAGTAGAACAGACCTGCATTGTTATTTAATGGGCTTTCCTGGCCATAGCTTTGTCTTGCTATCTCCTCCAATCTGTGGGATGCTTTGTCAACTGAGGTGTTACTGGCTAAAGTTCATTTTGTATAACTTAGAACTTGAAGTGATAGGAATCACTTCTTGGAATGCCTTTCCGTTGCCACTTTTGTGCAACATCACCCGATTTTCTACATGGTGAAGAACTGAAAATCCGAATGTTGTAAAGATGCTTATGCCATGCAACCTGGTCTAAATTAACTCCTTCCCTACCTTCTTGTAGACTAAAGTCACTTCTTGCTAAAAGGCTAATGACCACATGGGTTCCTTTACCTAGCTCCTCTCTCTAACAACATGAAATAGCTTGTAATTTATATTTGAAATTGATTTGAATCTGTAGCTGCTGGGGAGATTTTTGTGTAAAAGATTGCCCAAGTGCTCTGATTTTTACAAGCGCCTGCTTGCTAACTTCCCTCTGTTGCGTGAGCCCTGGTGGGAGGCTGATACTCTCCTTTTCTGGAGGTAAGGGGCTCAAGATGTAATTTGCGTGTTTTTCCCATGCCTTTGGCTGAAGAAAAGTGCAGTGTTCTGAAACCTGCCCAGACCTTGCACATACTGTATCTGCTTAAAGAGGGTTTTGGCTCTTAGCCCTTCTCAGCTGCATTAGGGTTCAGGTTACATCCCTCTCCCCATCTAGCCACTAATAAAAGCCAAAATAATTAAGGATCAGGGAGAGTTAATTCCCACTGCTAAGACCCAGGTGGGGCCCTTCCATCTCCCATCCCCTAGCTTGGAGCCCTAATTTAAGGCTGAACTTTAGTCTAAGTCTATAAGTGACAGTGATCTGGAACAGGCCCCAGAAAAGCACTTGACAATCAGGTTTTGCCCCATGCTGGCAGTACGTGTTCTCTCTCTCTCTCTCTCTCTCTCTCTCTCCTCTTTCTCTCTCTCTCCTTCCCTCCCTCCTTCTCCCTCTCCCCTTCCCTCCTTTCCCTACCACGTTGGCATCTTAGAGGAGACCAGTGACCCCAGGGATCAAGCCAACTGATTCTGTTGCAGCAATGGAAATAATGTATCATACTTCCCTTTCATCTAAACTGGGAGATTCAGATGAAGCTTCTGTTTTTTTTCAAGCCCTTGACCCAACTTCAGTACAACATTAGGAGCCTCATTCAGAATAAGAAACATCATTGATATATCTCTCAACTCAAAAGAGTTGCATAGTAATGAGCTCTTAGTGAGCTCAGATGGGAAAGGGCAGCTTTGAAGGAGGATCTTGCAAGAGCTGGGACAGGCAGGAAGAAGCCTCATTCTGGAACAACTACACTACTGTAGTGGCCTCCTCAATGGTTTCTTTCCCTTTGATCATCCCCTCCTCCCTCCCTTAAAATTATTTAATGGTTCCCTGCTGCCTGTAGAATAGAGCCCAAACTACTTTTGCCTGGTATTACAGACCATTCTCCATCTGGCTCCAGTCTTAGCAATCCTTCCAGGCCCCAGGTTTTCAGGCAGAACGGTTACCTCTCTGTTCCCCAAACCCACCTGGGAAATTCTGGCCTCCGATTTTCTCACCATGATGTTCTTTCCAGTGGCTAGACTTCACACTGCATCCTTGGAAGGACTTCTCACTTCTCTGGCCCTCTCCATAGGACCTAACCTTCAAGCCCTACCTCTAAGCCTCTAGGGCATCATCTTTGATTGCTCCTGGTGGAAGCAATCAGAACCTCCCCTCTGAAATGCCGGAGTTCTGATTTTCCAGTAGCTGTCTTTGGGTACTTTGGCTGTCTTGTGTTTGGTTTGCTGGATCAAGATCTTCTAGACGACAATGGCTGTATCTTCTATATATTTTCCATAGTCAGCACAGAGTAGACTCTCCATCATGGTTTGCTGGTTTAGATAATATGTAAGAAGAGTCAAGCAAAAATTTTTTACTCCGTGATTGGTAATCTTTCCCCTTTCCACTTCCAAGCCTAAATTAGAGAATATGACTAGATGATCTGGATATACTGGCCAAGTTTCCCAAACTTTGTGTGACACCCCACCTAAGTGGGGTGAGCCTTGAATGACACACACATGGGAACTAGAGGCAGAGGGAACACTTAGAAGAAAATAATGTTGGGGACAGAAGTTGAGAAGGATCCCAGAGGCAACCCAGGATGAGAAGGAGCAGTAGAGGATGGGGTTGGCTACCTGCTTGTCCCCAGGCTGCCTGAAGTTTGGTTTATAACAGTTGAATTTCATGCTGCTGCTGGAGTTCCTGTGTGTAAGCTGTGTTCCGAGGTTTGCATGTGGGAGAGGCCGGCTGGCTGATGATTGCAGCATTTCCTATGGTGTTGGGACGCGTTGCTGTGAGACTCTTAAAACAACAGCCATCCCACTTGTTGCTATGTGTTTAAGGTGGGTGTAGTGTGTGTCTTCAGTGAAACTCAAGTGTTTCACTGCTTTAGCTGAGAGGCAGTAGCTTTGGGTGAACACACTCTGTGTGTGTATGTGTGAATGTATATGCATGTGTTTTCACTTTTTCTTAAGCAAGCTCTGACATGTTGTGTCTGACTGGCCTTGGATGTGAGTCACTGTCTGGTATTTATACCCAGTGTCTTAAGTGTCCTTATTATTTGACCATGATATTGCTATTCTCCCTATTTTACTCAAAGCTGAGAATGCTGAGAAGGGCCAAAGGGAACTCACTCTGTCTTCCTTCCAAATGGGGTCTAATCTCATTGGTGGTTAACTGTCTCTGTGGCAGTCAATTAGGTTATGTAAGGGCACTAAAGGGAACAGGTTGAAATTCACAGTAGTAGTACTGTGACAGTTTAAAAGACACACTATAGGGCTTCTCTTAGTTTGTTCCTGTCCAGGATACTGTTGGAGAGTTCACCCACTGGAATGACTTTAGGAACAGGCCTCGAAAGGGCCTTAGCACAATCACAATAAGTATGAAAGGAGTACAAACAAACTGAGAAAGCCTTAGAGAGGAGATGATCCAGCCTTTGCAGGCATTGGTGAGAGAAGCAGAGAATGTTAGCTTCCTCCTTACTGTTGTTTGTATTAAGTCCTTCCAAGATTGAAAATTTTGTCTTAGAAGCAGGCTCATAGAGTGTGGGAATGGTAAACCCCATCAGAGGCACTGTTGTTATCAAAGGGACAGAGCCTCAGATAGGAAGGACATGGCTGCTAGCATGGTCATTTGGAGGCCAGGCAGCCAGTAAATCATTTGAGAATGAGTTAAAGGTTCAAAGGGCAGGAGGGAATTCTTTGGGTGACCTCATAGGTGCTTGAAAAATCAAAGGGATAGCTCGTGTGCTTTTATGTTTTCAGGCCTGGTTCGGAGGGTCAAGGGAATGGAAATGCACAGTAGAAAATTGGCATTGCTGTTTTTATGTGCTTGGGAACCCTAACTCCGGGCTGGTGATCGTCAGAGTTACCATTAATTAGATGCATATTTTGTTCTGGGAATTTTATATGCATACTCTCTAATCTTCTCATCTCTACTTACTGTAAATTAAGTAGTAGTATTCCTATTTTACAGATGAAAATAATGAGGTTCAGAGGGGCAAAGTAATGTTCTCCAAGTAACCAAGCCAGTAAGTGGTAGAGCTGTGATTTGAACTCAACTCTACCTGACCCCAAATCCTATGCTTGTCCTACTATACCTTAAAATTTTACTTCAGCCCCAAAGCCCCTTTCTGTGTTTCATATTGTCTTTTTAATACCACTGTTAACTATGATGACTATATTCTGTGTTTCATAGCATTGGAAAACGTGGGTTTCACAGATCAGTCAGTTTACAACTTTGCTGGGAAGCTTGTTAAAAAACACAGATTAGACTCTGAGGATGAAATAATATAATGCACGAAGAGGTACTTAGTAGTGTCCCTATTCCAAGATGCAGAAATTGAGGCTAAGAGGGAAGTAACTTTCCAGAATTCATTGGACCAGTAACTGGCAGGGCTGGTATTCAAAATCCAGTTTATCTGATTTTAGAGTGCCTGTTCTTTCCCATGCTCTTGTTGCCTCCCAAACTAGAAGGGGAGTAAGCAATAAACAAAAAACCAGACTTGACCCTCTCGGCCCCTACAAACCTACCCTTCTTACTGCCCTCTCTGTCAATAAATTTTTTTTAAGTGAGGGGTGGCCTCCCTCTCTCCCTCTCCCCTCCTTCCTTCTCTTCTAGCACAATTTATTTATTTAAATGTTTATTTTGGGGATAGATGATAAATGTTCATGGAACAAAATTTTTAAAACTATATAAATGGGTACATCTTTCTTCATTCATGTCCCTAAACCACCTAATTTCCCTTCCCAGTGGCAATCACTGTTACCAATTCCTTGTGTACTCTTCCAAAGACACCCTTCCAAAGATACATTATATGTAGGCATGTTGTATATGCTCATATACGTGCATGCTCAGTGTCTCTGTTTCCTCACTGCCTGTCTTCCTGAATCCTCTCCAATCTGGCTTCCAATGAGGTCTTCCTGAGGGCCAAATATACTGGCCTTCTCACTGTTTTCATCATCCTTGTTTTCTCTATACAATTATTGTTTTTCAATAATTTGTTGAATAGGTAATGTAGTTATGTGGTTTAAAAGGTAGTTAGTATGAAAAGGCGGAGAATAGTTTCCCAGTCATCCTTGTCTCTCATCTGTCCAGTTTCACCACTACCTCCCACTGTGCTTAGATATTTCTGTGTGTCTTTTCAGAGCCTCTCTATACATACACAAGCAAATGTCAATATAGATTCTTTATTTTGCCTTTTATACAAAAGGTAGCATACTAAAACAATCTTTTGCACTTCGCTTTTTTCACTTACATATCCTAGAGATCTTTCCCTATCAAGCATACAGAAGGTTATCTCTATTTTTTAACAGCCACATTGTATTTAATTATTTAAACAGTTCTTAGTATTGCTAGTCATTGGCATTGTTTCCAAACCATTCAGACTCGACCTTCTCCAAACTCTGCTGCCAGTATAGCTCCTGTAATACTGAACTCTCCTGTTTCTGCATCTTCTCTTGCTGTTTCTCCATTCTCCTCTGTAAATCGACTGCCTCTCTTATCTCTATCCTGTGGATATTCCTCAAGGCTCAGCACTCAGTCCCTCCCCCCGCACTCTTTTCTCTGTTTCTTCTTTCCCTATTCTCCCTCCCCCCATCCTTTCCCCCTCTCCTCTTTTCCTCAAGAAAGCAACGATGAGATCTCATAACTCCTGAATCTCTAGTCTTAATCTTTTCCACTGTCTGATAGTATTCACTGGAATATTTCTTTTTTACCTCATACCCCAGTATGTCTAAAATGGAACTTATCTTCCCCTTGTAAAATGGGCTCTTTCCTTGGCTTCCCCACTCAGCTAGCATTAAAATCATGGAGTCATTGCTTACTCATCCCATATCCCACATTCTGTCAGTCTTGCTTCCTTTACAATAGCCCTCATATCCACCTGCTTCTTTTCAATTCCTGCTACTCCTACCCTCTTCCAAGCTCTTATTACTTTATGTCTGGTTTCTGGATTCCTGGCTGGCTTCCCTGCTTCTAAGATCACTCCTGTTAAATTTATCTTATAAGACACTTCTTCTATCCAAGAATTTTAGTTTCCCTTTCTATACAATGAGGAAGCTGGACTGACTGGTTCATCTCAGAGGTGGGTTAAAATCCTAGCCCTACCATTCCTTCCACCTCCGACATTCTAGACCAGAACTCCATCCTTTCCACCTCTAACATTCTAGACCAGAAATCTTCCCAGTGTCTCCCCACCTCCCACCATTTCCACTCTCTGTACTGTTCTCTTTCACTTGAATTGTTGCTATGGCTCCATGCTCCCAGCAGTGCCTTGAAAAAATCTTTCTTCCATATTGGTCCTAGAGTCTTTATCCTAAATTAACTTACAGTTGAAAGGAATCTTAGAGGCAGGCCATCCAAGCTGACCAACACTAACCTGCTGCCTGAGTGCCATTAATAACACCCTTGAATTTGGTTGGTCAGACTGTTCTTTTGAATGCTTCCATTGATGGAGAACATTATCTCATAAGCCAGCCCTTTGTATTGTCAGATAGCAAGAGTTGTTCTATATCTCCTACCACAAACTGACACCAACTGATCTGCCTTTATGATACTCTATTATTAAAAACTTGCTTCATCTTGATTTAAGTTCAAACCCCTCAGGTCTGGCATCCGAAGTTCTCCAGAAATATGGCTCCTATCTTCCCCTGTAGGCTGAAATCATGGATACTTCCTTTGCACTTCATCCACATTTTAAAAAATAGCTAATATTTATTCAGCACTTATTGGATGCCACTGTTCTAAGTGATTTTACATGTATTATTTAATCCACATGGCAACTATATATGTTTCTATTATTCTTCCCCATTTTATAGAGAAAGAAAATGAGGCATATGGAAATCCAAATGGTTTACCCAGAGTCTCACAGTTAGTAAATGGTAGAGCTAGGATTTTAACCCAGAAAGGCTATCTCCAGAGCACATACCCATAATCACTGCCATACACAGTCAGCCTCAAATGTGACAATAATTTTCTGAATATGCCCAGTGACTTGTTATCATGGTTTCTTAAAATGCATTTCTAGTCCCAGCTACCTGACTAAATCTTACCTGTTCCTTGAAGCCCATCAGAAATTACCCTTCCTTCTGGTCCCATTCTACCCCATCTTCCATCTGGTGCTCACCATGTTCTTTCTAATGAGCTGGGCATGCTTGTTTTATATACTTCATGGGATATGCTCCTTGAGGGCAGGGCCCACAGACATAAACTGCTGGATTAGGCTTTTAACCCCAAATCTGTTCCATAGAGCATTTAACAAGTAGAGCTAGGCTTTAGGAACTTCTGAAAGACTTGAGATTTCTTCTTTTTGAGTTTGTATGAATCTCCTCTTTCTAAATCTGGCTCTAAATTCTTTCTTTCTTAGGCTATTAATTCATTTCTGTTTATTGCCCAATAGTTTTGCACATTTGTTCCCAGGTACTCTCAGGGCCAGAAAACAAGTGTTGTTATCCATGGTTTTATATATATATATATCATATATATATATATATATATCATATATATATATATATATCATATATATATATCATATATATATATCATATATATATATCATATATATATATCATATATATATATCATATATATATCATATATATATGAGATATATATGATATATATAAAGATATATATAAAGATGTTGTTATCCAACATATATCATGTATGAGATATATATATATGCACACACCTATATTTATATATATTTATAGACACATACACATATATATATATATATATACACATTTATACACATATTCATACATATATATACTGGGAGCCAAATGAGGAACAATATTAAAAAGAAATTTCATTACATCCCTTATCTGTGATCTGACTTCCTTAATATTTATAACTTCTGATCTCCTCTCTTCCTTGTCCTTAACATGTATTACTATGCTAGGTAGATAAATAGGTAGGTAGGTACCTCACCACACAATCTAGAGATTGTGAATCTAGAGACTGTGAATTTTAGTGTGTGTGTGTGTGTGTGTGTATGTGTGTGTGTTTGTGTGTGTCAGAGAGAGAATGATGGAGGGTGGTTGGGTAGTTGGAGGGACAGTTTTTTGAGTGCAAAGCTTCCTTGTCTTCTGTGCTAAGAAAGTCTCTTTAAAATGCTGCGTCCTGCAGAACATCCCTCCCCCAACCTCCTCCTTCTCTTCTATTTCTTCTCTTAATTTCATAGTGATTGTAGTTTCCCATGTGTATTTTGTAAATGAGTTCTGTCTAAAATTTGCCAAGCTCTCTGTTCGAGTGAGATATGCTCATCTAGCATGTTAGACAACAACATGATTTACTACCCAGACAGGCTAATTCAGCGGGTAACACATCATTCTCTGAAGGATCACGGTACTGTTAATTCAATGTGTACCAATTTAATTATATTTCAGAAGTTAAAAAAAGTTAAATAGCTCCAGTTGCAGTGTTCTAGTTCACTAAGCATTGACTATAAATCATTAGTGGTTACTTTACAAATTTATGTTGATGCACTGGCTGGTATTTTACATAAGTATAAGCCACCTACCTCAGGGTGTCTAACTTGGTTTTGTAAAGTACAAAATGTGCTCTTGATTTCTCTCTCTGGCCCCATAATATCTTCATCAACCCCCACCCCAACCCATACAACTTTCACAGGGCCCCTTTTTTTCTCCCTTCACATATTTCATCAGACTCTTTAAGGAAGTCATAGACTGGTTGTGATTATTACTGAACCATATGGGAACCACACATCTTTTTTTTTCCTTCTACTTTCTTGTATAATGGTTATGACTTCTTAAATGAATTAAAAAGCCCCAAGATTAGTTTTTAACTATTGAAAGACTTAAGGCCAGGTAGCCCTGCTTTAATTTCATCATTCAAAAAAGCCAAAGTTAGTAACCCCTCTTTTTTCTTTTCTTTTAGATATCACCTGAAATCTGTTCTCCAGAAGGGTGATACTAGTTACTGCAATATACATTAGCGTGCAGCATTCATGACCCTTTATTGTTTTTACTAAAATCTTCAGGATTAGAAGGGTCTGGGAGTCATTAGATAGTCTCCTCTTCCAAAATGGGTTGTGCCTACTAGATAAAATTTGACTAAAAAGCAATGATACTGATTTTTTTCTCCAGTCTTTACTTTTGTATTTTCGATGTCAGAAAGTATATTCATATGTCTTGTTAAAATTTTACATTCATCTAACTTACTTTTTATTGTAGTGAGAACATTTAACATGAGAGCTACAATTTTAACAGGATTTTAAGTTCACAATACCACACTGTTAACCATAGGCACAATGTTGTACAGCAGATTTGTAGAACATCTTCATCTTGTATTACTGAAACTTTATACCCCTTGAATAGCAACTCCCCATTTCCCTCTCCCCCTGGCTCCTGGCAACCAACATTCTACTCTCTGCTTCTGAGTTTGGCTATTTTAGGTACGTCATATAAGCAAAATTATGCAATATTTGTCCTTCTGTGACCAGCTTATTTCATTTAGCATAATGTCCTCCAGACTTATCTATGTTGTTGCATATTGGAAGATTTCCTCTGGAATGATATTTCATTGTGTCTTATGCCACATTTTCTTTATTCTTTCATCCATGGACATTTAGGTTGATTCTACATCTTGGTTATTATAAACAATGCTCCAATGAACATGGGGTTTTAAATATGTTTTCAAGATCCTGATTTCTTTTAGATGAATACCCAGAAATGGGAATGCTGGATCTAGTATGTAGTTCTAGTATTAATTTTTTGAGGAACCTCCATACTGTTTTCCATAGCAGTGGCACCATTTTACATTCCTACCCATGGTGTACAAGTGTTCCAGTTTCTCCGTATCCAACACTTATCTTTTCTCAAAAAAAATGGCCATCCTAATAGGTGTCAGGTGATATCTCATTGTGGTTTTGACTTGCATTTCCTTAATGATTAGTGATGTTGAGCATCTTTTCATGGTCCTGTTGGCTGTTTATGTGTCTTATTTGGAGAAATGTTTACTCAAGTCCTTTGCCCATTTTTAACTGGATTTTGTTATTATGCTGTTGAGTTGTATAAGTTCCTTATATGTTTTGGATATTAACCCTTTATCAGATAAATGCTTTGCAAATATTTTCTTCCATTCCATAGGCTGCCTTTTCTTTTTTTTTTTTCCTGAGAGAGAGTCTTGCTCTGTCACCCAGACTGGAGTGCAGTGGCATGATCTCAGCTCACTGTAACCTCTGCTGCCCGGGTTCAAGCGATTCTCCTGCCTCAGCCTCCCAAATAGCTGGGATTACAGGTGTTCACCACCACACTTGGCTAATTTTCTTTTTTTGTATTTTTAGTAGAGATGGGGTTTCACCATGTTGGCCAGACTGGTCTCGAACTCCTGACCTCGGGTGATCCACCAGCCTCGGCCTCCCAAAGTGCTGGAATTACAGGCGTGAGCCACCATGCCCAGCCTACCTTTTCACTGTGTTAAAAGATTCGTTAGTTGTGCAGAAGCCTTTTAGTTTGATGTTGTCCCACTTGTTTATTTTTGCTTTTGTTGCCTGTGCTTTTAGTATCATATTCAAGAACCCATGGCCAAGACTAATGTCAAGAGCCTTTTCCCTCACATTTTCTTCTACAAGTTTTGCAGTTTCAGGTCTTATGTGTATGCATATGGTGTAAGAAAGTGGTTTGATATCCAGTTTTCCCATACCATTCATTGAAGAGACTATACTTTCCCCATTTTGTAGTCTTGATACCCTTCTCAAAGATCACTTGGTCGTATATGGGTGGGTTTATTTTGGGGCTGTCTCTTCTGTGCCCTTGCTCTATATGTACATACTGTTGATTACTATAACTTTGCAATATCAATTGAAATCAGGGAATCCAGCTTTTTCTTTTATAAGATTGTTTTGGCTATTTGAAGTTCTTTGCAATTCCCTCTGAATTGTAGAGATTTTTTTTTCCTATTTCTGTAAAAAATGCCACTAGGGTCCCAGCACTTTTGGAGATTGAGGCAAGAGGATTGCTTGAACCTAGGATTCCAAGACCAGCCTGGACAACATAGTGAGACCTTGTTTCTACAAAAAAAAAAAAAAAAAAAAAAAAAAAGTCAGGCATGGTAGCACATGCCTGTAGTCCCAGCTACTCAGGAGGCTGAGGTGGGAGGATTACTTGAGCCTGGGCAATCAAGGCTGCAGTGAGCCTTGATCATGCTACTGTACTCCAGTCTGGGTAAAAGAGTGAGACCCTGTCTCAAAAAAAAAATGCCATTAAGATTTTGATAGGGATTACATTGATTCTAGATCACTTTGGGTAGTATGGACATTTTAACAATAAGTCTTGCATTCATTAGCATGAATGTCTTATTTATTTGTGTCTTTGATTTCTTTCATCAATGTTTTATAGTTTTCAGTATACAAGTCTTTTGCCTTCTTAGTTACATTTATTCCTAAGTATTTTATTATTTTAGGTGCTATAGTAAATGGGATTGTTTTCTTATTTTTTTGAGGTAGTACATTGTTAGTGTATAGAAACACTGTTGATTTTTGCATGTTGATTTTGTATCCTGTAACTTTACTGGATTTATTAGTTCTAACAGTTTTTTTATGGAGTGTCTAGGATTTTCTCCGTATAAGATCATGTTATCTGACAACATACAAGATCATGTTACCTGGTAAGTAAAAAATAATTTTACTTGTTTCTTTCTTATTTTGATGCCTTTACTTATTTTTTCTTGCCTAATTATGCTGGGTAAGAATTCCAGCACTATGTTGAACAGAAGTGGCAAGAGTGGGCATTTTTGCCTTGTTCCTGATCTTAGAGGAAAAACTCAGCTTTTCACCATTGAGTATGACATTAGCTGTGGGGTTTTCTTATATGGCCTTTATTTTGTTGAGGTAATTTCATTCTATTTCTAGTTTGTTGAGAGCTTTTTATGAAAGGCTGTTGAATTTGTCAAATGCTTTTTTTGTATCTCAAAATGATCATGTGCTTTTTATCCCTTATTCTGCTAATATGTTGTATCACATTTATTGATCTGCATATGTTAAACCATCTTTGCATACCAGACATAAATCCCACTTGGTCACAGAGTATCATCCTTTTCCTGTGCCATTGAATTCAGTTTTCTGGTATTTTGTTGAGGATTTTCGCATCAGTTTTCATTGGGGATATTGGCCTTTAGTTTTCTTTTTTTGTAGTGTCCTTATCTGTATCAGGTATAATGCTGGCCTCATAAAATGAGTTTGGAAATGTTCCCTTCTCTTCAATTTTTGGGAGCGTTTGAGAAGGATTGGCATTAATTCTTTTTCAAATATTTGATAAAATTCACCAGTAAAGTAATCTGTTCCTGGGTTTTTCTTTATTGGGAGATTTTTAATTTACTAATTCAGTCTCCTTACTAGTTACAGGTCTGTTCAGATTTTTTTCTATTTCTTTGTGACAGTCTTGGTCAGTCATATGTTTCTAAAAATTTATCCATTTCTTCTAAGTTTTCCAGTTTGTTGGCATATACAGTCATGCATCTCATAATGATGTTTCAATCAATGACAGACCACTTATGTGACAGTGGTCCCATAAGATTGTAATACCATATTTTTACTATACTTTTTCTATGTTTAGCTATATTTAGATTCACAAATGCTTACCATTGTGGTATAATTGCATAAAATATTCAATACAGTAAGATACTGTATAGGTTTGTAGACTAGGAGCAATAGGCTCTATCATATAGCCTAGGTGTAATAGGCTATACCATCTAGGTTTGTGTAAGTACACTCTGTGATGTCACACAGTGATGAAATCACCTTATGACACATTTTTCAGAACATAATCCTGTCGTTAGGTGATGCATGATTGTAATTGTGGTATCAGTTGTAATGTCTTCTCTTTCATTGATGATTTAATTTATTTGTATCTTTCTCTTTTTCCTTGGCCTAGCCAAAGGTTTGTCAATTTTGTTGATCTTTTCAAAAAATTAACACTTCATTTTGTTGATCTTTTCTATTATTTTTCTATTCTGTATTGTTTATTTATGTTCTAATCTTTATTATTTCTTTCCTTCAAGTAACTTTGGGATTAGCTTTTTTTCCTTATTTTTCTAGTTTCTTGAGGTGTAAAGTTGGGTTATTTGAGATTTTTCTTTTTTAATGTAGGCATTTGTCACTATAATTTTCCTCTTGGTACTGATTTTGCTGCATTCCATCGGTTTTGTACATTCTATTTTGTTTTTCATTTATCTCAAAATATTTTCTAATTTCCCTTTTGATTTTTTTGTTTCACCCATTGGTTATTTAGGAGTGTATTGTTTAATTTCCACATATTTTTGAATTTGCCAGTTTTTTTTCTGATATTGATTTCTAGTTTCATTCCATTGTGGTCAGAAAATATACATGGTATGATTTCAATCTTCTTCAGTTTGTTTTGTGACCTAGCATGTGATCTATTCTGGAGAATGTTCTGTGTGTACTTGAAAAGAATGTATATTTTGTTGCTTTGGGTGGAATGTTCTATGTTTCTGTTAGGTCCATTTGATCTATAGTGTTGTTCAAGTTCACTGTTTCCTTTTGATCATCTGTCTGGATGTTCCATCCACTATTGAAAGTAGAATATTGAAGTCTCCTACTATTATAGTATTGCTATCTATTTCTCCCTTTAGTTCTGTCAATGTTTGCTTTATATATTTCGGTGGTTTAATGTTGTGTACATATATATTCACAATTCTTATATCATCCTGTGAATTGGCCTTTTTTCATTGCACATTGTCCTTTGTCTCTTGTGACAGTTTTTGGCCTATTTTGTCTGATATAAGTGTAGCCACCTTGCTGTTTTTTGGTTAGCATTTGTATGGAATGTCTTTGTCCATTCCTTTACTTTCAGCCTGTGTGTCCTTAAAACTTAAGTGAATCTCTTATAGACAGCATATAGTTGGATCTTGTTTTTTGATCCATTCACTCACTCTATATCTCTCAATTTGGGAGTCAACCCATTTATATTTAAAGTAGTTATTAATAGAGAAGAACTTAGTATTGCCAATTTTGCTTATTATTTTCTGTCTTATAATTTTTTTTTTTTTTTTTTGAGACGGAGTCTCGCTTTGTCACCCAAGCTGGAGTGCAGTGGCTCGACCTCGGCTCACTGCAAGCTCCGCCTCCCGGGTTCATGCCATTCTCCTGCCTCAGCCTCTCCGAGTAGCTGGGGCTACAGGCGCCCGCCACCACGCCCGGCTAATTTTTTGTATTTTTTAGTAGAGACGGGGTTTCACCGTGGTCTCGTCTGTCTTATAATTCTTTTTTCTTGTTTTGTAATGTCTTCTTTTGTGTTTTGATTTCTGTATTGAGTGATTTCTCTTTTTCTTTTGTGTATATTTTCAATAGGTATGTTCTTTGTAGTTAGAAGAGTTTACATTAAAATATCTTATAGTTATTGTAGGCTATTTTAAGCTGATTAACAACCTAACTTCGATCACATACAAAAACTACAGTTTCCCCTTCACACACTTTATGCTATTAATGTCACAATTTACCTATCGTTTTATTTTTATCATTAACATTAACATATTTTATATTTACAGTCTAACACTTTTGCCTTTTAAATTTTATACTAGAATTAAAAATGTTTTACCTACCACTATCACAGCATTACATCATTCTGTATTTGTTTATATATTTAACTTTGCCAGTGAATTTCACACTTGTCTGTATTTTTTGTATTATTATTTTATGTTCTTTCATTTCAACACAAAGAACTCCCTTTAACTCTTTATCATTTCTTGTAAGGCAAGTCTGGTGGTGATGAACTCTCTCGGGTTTTTTTGTTTGTCTGTTTGGTCTGGCAAAAGCTTAATCTCTTCATCTTTTTGAAGGATAGTTTTGACAGGTATAGTATTCTTAGTTGCTGGTGGGTTTTTTTTTTTTCTTTTAGCGCTTTGAATATATCATCTTCTGGTCTGCAAGGTTTCAGCTGAGAAATCCACTGATAGTCTTTTGGAGGTTTCTTTTATATGACAGGTTATTTTTCTTTTGCTACTTTCAAACTTCTCTTTTCATCTTTGCCTATGGACAATTTGATTATAATGTGTCTTAGTATGGATTTCTTTGAGTTTATCTTATTTGCCATCTATTGAGCCTGATGGATCTGGATGTTCATTTCCTTTCCTAGATTTGCAAAGTATTTTGCAACTATTTATTTGAATAAGCTTTTTGGAACTCTTTCTCTTTTTACTCTCCTTCTGGAACTTCCATAATGCATATATTGGTCTACTTGATCATGGCCTTTAAGTCCCTTTAGCTTTCTTCACTCTCTGTAATTCTTTTCCTCCTCTGACTGTATAATTACCAACGACTTGTCTTCAACTTTGCTGATCCTTTCTTTTGCTTGAGTCTCATGTTGAACCCCTCTAGTGAATTTTTTGGTTCAGTTATTATATTCTTCAGCTCCAAGATTTCTGTTTTTTTTTTTTTCTTTTTTGAGACATGGTCTTGCTCTGTTGCCCAAACTGGTGTGCAGTGGCAAAATCATAGCTCACTGTTGACTCAAAATCCTGGGCTCACGTGATCTCCCATCTCAGCCTCCCATGTAGCTGGGACTACAGGCGAGTGCCACCACGCAAGGCTAACTTTTTAAATTTTTTCTGTAGAGACAAGGTCTTACTATGTTGCCGAGGCTGGTCTCAAACTCCTAGCCTCAAGCAATCCTCCTGCCTCAGCCTCCCAAAGTGCTGGGATTACAGGCATGAGCCACCATGCCCAGCCTGAATTTTTAATATATATATTTTATATCTCTTTTTTGAAATTTTTACTTTGTTCATGTGTTGTTCTTCTGACCTCCTTGAACATCTTTATGTTAGTTTTGGCTGTCAGGTAAATCATATATCTCCAATTTATGATACCAGGACATTTATTTTGTCCCTTTGTTTGGGATATATTTCCCTGTTTCTTCATGTCCCTTGGCTCTTTGTGTGAGTATCTGTTCATTAAATAAATGGCTACCTATCCCAGTCTTCATGGCCTAGCCTTATACAGGAGAAGACCCTCATCAGTCAGGCCAGCTAGAGATTTAGGGGGCCTTTTAAAGCTTTATGCTATTCCACCCTACTTTCTTTGTTCTTAGCAGGGTAACTGCAAGGCCAAACCGCCATCTCTGATCACACTGGTCCTGAAACAGAGTGTGCTGGGTCCTGTCAGTACTTCAATACAAACAAGACATAAACCAGTCCTTTGTGCATCCCCCACAAAAAAGGTTGGAGCACGGGACACGTGGTCCAACTCCTTTCCTCACCAGAGAGAAGATAGGAGCTAGGGATTTTCATCTGCTGGCTCTGTGCTAAGCTGGGAAGAGGGGTTATAGCAACTGCTAGCCTAACATACTGTCTCTCATCTCTGGTTCCAAGGTGGCTAGGTGCTAGGTCCCATCATCACTCTGAGACAGGCAAAACTGAAGCCAATCTTCTGGACAGCTCCTGGAAAAGTTGGGGCACTGGACATGTGGTCTAACTCCTTCCCTTCCTAGGGAGAATTTGGAATCTGGTGAGGGGGTCTTCCCAATTGTATGGCTCTGTACAGGGGGAAGTTATTATGCTGACAGGGTCTCTCAGATTTCCCTGCTGGCTTTAATGTGGTAGTCTCATCGTACAGGAGTCTCTTATGTAGTTTCTGGATTTTTCAAAAAGGGAATTTGTCTATATTTTGTTGTTGAATTTGTTTGTTCATGTGGTTAGGAGAGTTGAGGGTTTTCTATTCCATCTTGCTGATGTCACTCAGGATACTGATTTTTATTTGTTTGGAAAATTAGTCTTATTTTATTAATATATTCACTATGATATTCAGGCAAATTGACTTAATTTTACATTTTATTGAGATATATTTGATGTACAATAAGATATACATGGATATACATGTATAAATACGTATATAAATTGATGAGTTTTGAAATGTGTGTGAAACTATTACCATAATTAAGATAATAAGCATGTTCATCACACCCAAAAGTTTCCTTGTGCCCCTTTGTAATCCAGCTCCACAACCCCCAGGCAACCATTGATGTGCTTTCTATCACTACAGTAGCTTGCATTTTCTAGAATTTTATGCCAATCGAATTATACAGTGTGTATTTTTCTTTGCCTTCTTTTACTCAGCATAATTATACTTATATCTGTCTATGTTGTTGCATATATCAGCAGTTTGTTCTTTAATATTGCTGAGTAATATTCAATTGCATAGATATATCATAGTTTGTTTATTCATTCACCTGGTGAACATTTGCATTATTTCTGGCTATTATGAATAGTTTTTCATAGCTATTATGAATAGTTATTCATAGCTATTATGAATAAAGCTGCTATGAACAGTCACATATAAGTCTGTGTGAACATATACTTTCATTTTTCTTTGTTAAATCTATGAATAGAATGGCTCATCATGGTTAAATCTATGAGTAGAATGGCTGGGTCATATGGTAGGTATATCATTATCATTTTTTAAAGCTGTCAAATCATTTTCTCAAGTGATTGTAAACATCTTAAGTCAATACTGTAGGAGGGTTCCATTCCTCCACATTCTCACCAACACTTATTATGGTAAGTTTTATTTTTTTAATTTAGCCAGTCTAATAGATATGTATTGGAATTTCTTTGTAGTTTTAATGTATATTTTTCTAATGGCTAATGATGTTGAGCATCTTTTCATCTGTGTATTTGCCATATGTATATCATCTTTAGTGAAGTGTCTATTTAAATCTTTTGTACATTTTTATTGCTTGTAATACTAATATTGAGTTGTAAGAGTTATTTTTTATTCAAGATATAAGTCCTTTGTTGGATATGAGATTTGCCAATATTTTCTCCCAGTCTGTGGCTTGCCTTTCCATTTCTTAATAGTGACTTTTGAAAAGTAAAATGTTTTAATTTTGAATTTTCATAAAGTCCAGTTTAATGATTTTTTCTTTTATAATTTCTGCATTTGTGTCCTATTTAAGAAATTTTTGCCTTAACCGATGTAACTATGATTTTTCTTTTATATTTTCTTCTAGAAGTTATATAACTTTAGCTCTTGCACTTGGGTTTAGGATCCATTTTGGGTTAATGTATGTTTTGTGAAGTAAGAGCTAAGGGATTTTTGGGTTTTGTTTGTTTTTGCATATGGACGTCTAGTTATTCCAACACTATTTGTTGCATATGAACATCCAATTGTTCCAGCACTATTTGATTAAAAGATTATCCTTTTCCAGGCCAGGTGCATTGACTGACACCTGTATTCCCAGCACTTTGGGAGGCTGAGGCAGGAGGATTGCTTGAGGCCAGGAGTTTGAGACTAGCCTATGCAACATAGCAAGACCCCATCTCTACAAAAAAACAAAAACAAAAACAAAATAAAACCACTTTTTAAAAATTAGCTGGGTGTAGTAGTGCCTACCTGTAGTCCTGCTATGCAGGAGGCTGAGATGAGAGGATAGCTTGAGCTTAGGACTTTAAGGCTGCAGTGAGCTAGAATCACACCACTACACCTCAGTCTGGGCAACAGAGAGAGACCCCATCTCTAAACAAAACAAAACACAAAGATTATCCTTTTTCTACTTAATTGCTTTGGTACCTTTGTCAAAAATCAATTGACCTTTTACATATGGATCTATTTTTGGCGACGCCGTTGTGTAACATTAACCCATATGTTTATCTTTATGCCAAAACCACACTGTCTTGATTACTGTAGCTTTATAATATGTTTTGAAATCAAGTCGTATAAGTCCTCCAACTTTGTTCTTTTTAAAGGTGTTTTGGCTATTCCTTGTTTGAATTTTTATATAAAGTTTAGAATCTGGCCGGGCACGGTGTCTCACACCTGTAATCCCAGCACTTTGGGTGGCTGAGGCGGGTGGATCACCTGAGGTCAGGAGTTCAAGACCAGACTGGCCAACATGGCAAAACCCCATCTCTACTAAAAATACAAAAATTGGCTGTGCATGGTGGTACATGCCTGTAGTCCCAGCTACTTGGGAGGCTGAGGCAGGAGAATCACTTGAACCTGGGAGGTGGAGGTTGCAGTGAGCTGAGATCACGCCACTGCACTCCAGGCTGGGTGACAGAGCAAGACTCTGTCTTAAAAAAAAAAAAAAATTAGAATCGACTTGTCAATTTCTATTTAAAATGGCTGCTGGCATTATGATTGGGTTTGTGCTGTATTTATAGATCAGTTTGGAGGAGAATTAATGCCTGAGCAGTACTGATTTTTCTAATCTAGGAACAATGTATATCTCTCCATTTATTTAAATCTTATTTGGTTTATCTCAGCCATGTTTTGTAGTTTCACTCTAGGTCATGTACATCTTTTGCCAAATTTATCTCTAAGTACTTTCATATTTTTGATGTTATTAGAAATGGTTTATATTTTAAAATTTCACCTTCTGATGGTTGACTGCTACTATGTAGAAATATGTTTGATTTATATACATTAGTTTTATGTCCTGCAACCTTACCAATCTCACTTATTAGTTCTAGTAAACTTTTTCTAGATTCCTTAAAATTTTCTGCCTGCCTGATCATATCATCTACAAATAAAGATGATTTCACTTCCTTTGCAATCTGTATCCAAACCTCATTTTAACCAGCTGTACGTGACTTGGATGTTATATAACTTCTCATTTTATTTTATTATTTTATTAGTCCTTATTGTGGTAAGAACATTTAATGTGAGATCTATTCACTTAACAGATTTTTAAATGTACAATATAGTATTGTTATTTATGGGCACAATGTTGAACAGCAGAACTCTAGAACTCATTCATCTTGCATAACTGAAATTTTATTCCTGTTGATTAGCAACTCCCCATTTCCCCTTCTTCCCAGCCCCTGACAGTCACCATTCTATTCTTTGCTTCCATGAGTTTGACTATTTTAGATATTCCATATAAGTAGAATCATGTAGTATTTGTCCTTCTGTGACTGACTTATTTCACTTAGCATAATTTACTTAAGATTCATCCACATTGTTGCATATTGCAAGATTTCCTTCCTTTTTAAGGGTGAATACTATCCCATTGTGTGTATCGATTGTATGTATACATCACTTTTTGTTTTCCACTCATTCATCTATTGTAGGATATTTACATTGTTTTCACTATGTAACTTCTCTTAAACCTGAGTTTCCTTATCAATAATATGGAGATTGTAACAGTACATACTCAGAGGGTTATTGTGAGGATTAAATGAGATAATGTGGATAATGTTTCTAGTACAGGACCTGGCAGAATTATAGCCCCTATATGTTTCTCTTTTGGGCCCTCCTCCTATTTCACAAAGTCAACATCCATAAGTAATGGTTGTCCTCCTGACATTAATTTCCTTTTTAGTGTCTCTCATCAGCTAATTTATCCAAACCTTAAAAAAAATGGTTTATATAGTCAAGCTGTTTTAAACCATGGGAGTGATGTGCTTTCTGTTTACTAATTGTATACAGTTGGACTTAATTTTATTAGATTTTTTTTTTTTGAGATGTATTCTCACTCTGTCACCCAGGCTGGAGTGCAGTGGCGTGATCTCAGCTCACTACAACCTCTGCCTCCAAGTTCAAGCTATTCTCCCAACTTAGCCTTCCAAGTAGCTAGGATTACAGGCAAGTGCCACCACACCAGGCTAATTTTTGTATTTTTAGTAAAGATGGGGTTTCACCATGTTGGCCAGGCTGGTCTCGAACTCCTGACCTCAAGTGATCTGCCCGCCTTGGCCTCCCAAAGTGCTGGGATTACAGGTATGAGCCGCTACGCTCGGCCCATTTTATTTGTTTTAAATTGACCATTTTTAAGCCTTTCATATGAAGATCTCCAGCTTGATGCTATTGTCCCTGAGATGTGGTAACCAGACCTGTACACAATATCCCAGGTGAGAGCAAACCATGAAGAGGGAATTTAGGGGCAGGATGAGGTGAGGGAGTGAGGGAAGAGAGTATTTTCTGTCTTTATTTTTTTTTCTTTCTGTTTCTGATCTAACTAGACCGATAATTGTTTTGGCTGAAATAGCAATTTGGGCTGGTGTGTTCAGGAAACAGTCTACAGTGACTTTCATATCTCTTTCCTTGTTCGGAGCTGATAGCTTGGAGCCCATATTCCTAGAGACAGAATCTGCATCCCCCCCACTCCCCATCCTTAAAAAAAATGGCATTAATTATCTTATAATTGTCCCTGCTAAGCCTCTGAGTCTGTATCTGGAATAGCTGGGAGGCCTCTTGGTCTCAGCATATATGCGTAAGTAGTCAGGGTCAGACAAAAGCCTCCCTGGAAGTGTCCTGTGGACCCTTTCAGCCTTAAAACTTCTGGTTCCAACATTTGTTTTCCCTTCGTGAGTGTAATATGGAGCTTAACAAATTATGTTGGATGGTGGTTATGATGTTTAATTTTGTGTCAACTTGACTGGGCTAAGGGATGCCCAGATAGCTGGTAAGACATTATTTCTGGGTGTGTCTGTGAGGGTGTTTCTGGAAGAGACTAGCATTTGAATCAGTAGACTGAATAAAGAAGATCACCCTCACCAATATGGGCAATCATCATGGGATCTGTAGGGGTCCCATCCAAATAGGAAAAAAATAAGGCAGAGGAAGGGCAAATTCTCTCTCTCTCTTCTTTAGCTGGGCATCCATCTTCTCCTGCCCTTGGACCATTGGTGCTTTTACTTCTCAGGCCTTCAGACTCAGACTGGGACTTACACCTTTGGCTGTCCTAGTTCTCAGTCCTTTGGCTTGGACTGGAACCACAACACTGGCTTTCCCCCCAGCTTACAGAGGGCATATGATGGAACTTTTTAGCCTCTATAATCAGTGAGCCAATCCCTCATAATATCTCCCTTCCTATATTTATCTTTATATCCTTTTAGTTCTGTTTCTCTGGAAAACTCTGATTAACCAAAGACCATAACTCTGTTGGGAGTTTTGGATTTTAGGTTATCAAGTGAAACTCTTATATCCAGCTATAAATACTTGAAAAGAGATCGAGTGAGTTAGAAATGAAAGATGAAATATCTGGATCTATTTGGGGCCAAAAGTTTAATGTTTGTCTCTACAGTCCTAGTTTTTATCAATATGAAATCCCCTGAAGACATAGACTACAGGGTTGCTACTAACCCATATAGTGCTTTTGTGCCAATTACAGAAAGACTGTCTTTTCTGCAGGTGGATTCAGCCCTGTTTTGAGGCATGAGACTTGGCAGGTGGAGCTTAGGTTCTCATTTACTCCCTCAGCCTCGGGACTTTATGCACTGTTTACATGCCATGTGATTTCATTAATAGCACTTTTCATGATTTCCTTTTCAGATAGAACTCACCTTTGTTTCTCCAACTCCTTAAATTTGAATTTTCCAATTGTATCTTATCACTGCCATCACTGACTCATTTTCAGCTGCAGCATCCTTTGAGGTTGCAATGCAATTTTCCTTTTTCCCTACTTTCTTACCCTTTGCTTGGTATACCATATTGTTGATTCTAGATGCCATGAACTCTGCCTACTACTTAGTTGGCTTTTAAAAATTATCTTATTAATTTAGGTGGCTAAAATATCTCATCTGTATGCATAGATAATTCAGTGTCTATTTCTCTTCCTTTCTTGTAATAAATGGGACTGACTGACTCAAGACTCTTTTGCATACTTTTTTACCCAAGGGATTTATTACCTAACAGCCACACAAAGAGGTTCTCACTGATACGCCAAACACCATGCTGGGAGCTTCAGCTGTGCCTCTGGCCCCTGGGCCTATTCTCTCCACTAGATGCTGCCACCGCTTGCTATGAATTTGGAAGAATCCCAAAGGCCACCACTCCCCACATTCCCCTTCCAGGAATGTCCTTCCAGGAAGAGGACTATTTTCCTAGCTCTGGCCCTAATCCCAAGCATTATCCCCCTCTGACTTCTCTTAACAGCAGTGTGTGTTTTGCAGATGGTGACTGGGTGAATTCCCAGGGCAGGAAGGAAGAACCAGAGATAGCAATGTCCAGGAGAGGAGTGTTGGAGGCACATTGCGAGACTCTCTTCTTCTTCCTGCATGTTCCAGATTCCCTGATTCTAGCTTAGGAATATCTGTACATACTTCCTGTACAGGGGCAGTCTATGTAGCTGGGGATGTAGACAGGTTTCCATTAACCATTTATTGGCCTGAAATCCTGATGGAGAAAATCCCAGAGACCCAGATGATTATCCTTGGCTTGCTCTTTACAAACTGTTCACTTCATGTTTAAGTCACTGAATGCAATATCCACAGTACTATTTTAATTATTTGTATCACTAAGCTTGTGAGTTCTTACAATGCTAATCCTTCTTTTCTGAAATCTGGGCACCCAAAATAGTCAAACCATCAACTTTTACCTCATTCTATATTACATCTTCGAATCAACTGTTTCTTTTCTCTGTTGTCTATAAAGCCCTCTTCTTATAAGGAACATGGACTCTGAAATCCCTCAGACCTGAAGTCAAGTCAAGCTGTGTAAACTTTGCCTTCTGTAAAATAAGATTACCATTAATCTTGCTGAGGAGTTGTGAGAATTCAATAAGAGTATGCAGACACCAGAGACTTAAATTTCAGGCACGCAGTCTGTCATGGAACAATTCTATATTTATGATTATTAGTGGCCTAAGTTTTGAAATACTTATTATAATTACCTTCTAAAAACATTTAATACCTAAAACTTATACAGTGGTAACTCGGCCAGATGCTGTTCTAAGAGTTTCCCATCTCTCTACTCATTTAACTCTTACAACAACCTTGATGTGGATATTATTAGTATCTTCATTTCACGGATGAGGCAATTGAGGCACATATAGGCCAAGTAATGTGCCTAAGGTCATGTAGCTGGGAAGTGTCGGAAAGTGATTCTTGATCTCAGGCTGGCAAGCTCCAGATTCCCTTTATTAAAACCACTATGCTATAATAAATAAGTTTTATGGTTACTTTTAAATATGGTCTTTAAAACTATTTTTACTTGATGAGCACTTATTGAGGGCATGGATGGTAGAAGTTGAGACAAAGGAAGAGGAAGATTTAAGTTAATACTTTTTAATGATCTTACATCTAAGAAAGGGGATGAATAAACATATGTGAAAGACACAAGGACAGTTTGGAATGAGTCAATAAATCTGTGAAAAAGCTGTGAACACTTTGCTCCATCTGCCAACTTTAGGGCCTTCTAGACTAGTGTTTCTCAAATATTACTGTGTATACAAATCACCTAGGGAACACTCTTTGATTCAGTAGGTCTGGGTGGAGTCAGAGATAATGTCTGTCTAAGAAACTCCCAGGTGAGTCTGATGATACTGGTCCAGAGATCACACTTCGAGTAGGAAGGTGCCACATTGCCACTTACCAATAGATAACTTGCAATGAGGGTCTACTACGTAATGCAGTGCTTTCTAGTTAAGCAAAACATGTTGAACACTTTTAGCTGATTATATGGGAACTTGGGTGATAATTGAAGAATGTCATAGAATAATTGGCTAAAAAATTAGTGTGATATGTGAAGGGTACTCAAGAGTCTGCAGTAGTCTGAGCAAAGGATTAACATGGTCAGAAAGCTGATTCTTGATACATTGTGGAGGGTGGATAGAGGAGACCAGAAGACTGGGGTATGTCCAGCTGGAAGACTGGTATGGAAGTTCAGGCAATGGGAGGGTAAAGGCCTGAAGTGTGATGATGGCAGTAGAAATGGGCAGGAAGCCCTGGCTTTAAGAAAGATTGATTACTACAGAACACCAAAAAAATCAGCACATGTAGGATTTCCTCAGCAATATAGCTCAGAAGTGACTAGCACTCTAATGTTTGAAAAAGAAATCACTTCCACATCCATCATCTTATTTCATCAACACAGAAACTGTGGGAGATTAGTAATTACTTTCACACCCATTTTACAAATGAAAGCAGCAACTTCAACCATTTATGAGAAAAAGCGAACCTAATTGTAAGAGCAAAAACACTGTGGAAAGGGTCAGAATTATTAATCTTGGTTTTTATAAAATTGACTTTTTTTCATTAACAGAGTAATATATTTTGATTATAAAAGTAATATATATTTGAGATCACACTCCTGGTCATATTGTCTGTATCCTTCCCTCCAGTTCTTCCACTTAATTTATTATGGTTCTTTTCCCTTGTCATTATGATTGTTTTGAAAATTTAATTTTAAATTACTGCATAATAATAACCCATGATATGAATGCATTATAGTTTAATTTATTAGCTCCATGTAATTGCCCATTTAGGTTTTCATTTTTTGCTATTATAAATAACATTGTAGAAAACATCTTTGTATATACATCCTCATTTAAACATCTGATAATTTACTTAAAAACTTACCAACTCTTTAAAAAGTCTTCTTATCTATTTACAGCCATCTGATTTAATGCTTGATAAAGGATCATGTCAGTCTCCAGCTTGAGGTGATTACCTAAGCATCTCATTGTCCCAGATTATACAGTGAACTCCCACTGGGCTCCCGGGCTCAGGAAGTAATGTCTTGGAAAATTCTCCTGCATTCTAGTGTCATCACTGATCTTGGGTCTCCTCATTCTGGTCCATCAGCAACAGGTGTGACTACCCATTGGGGTAAAACAGTGAGGGGAAACTAAATAAATGCCTAGTTCTTGCCTTATCAGCTCTTTGGGGAAAGAGCTGTGGGATTATGAAGGAACAGGTCAAATCAAAACACTAGTTTATGTAGCTTGAAAGTCTATAGAGAGGCCGGTGCGGTGGCTCACACCTGTAATCCTAGCACTTTGGGAGGCCGAGGCAGGAGGATCAATTGAGCCCAGGAGTTTGAGACAGCCTGGGCAATATAGTAAACCCCGTCACTACGAAAAAATTCAAAAATTAGCCAGGTGTGGTGGTGTGCACCTGTAGTCTCAGCTGCTTGGGAGCTTGGGGTGGGAGGATGGCTTGAGCCCAGGAGGTTGAGGCTGCAGTGAGCCATGATCATGCCACTGCACTCCAGTCTGGGTGACAGAGCCAGACCCTGTCTCAAAAAAAAATAAAAAAAAAGAAAAAAAGTCTTTAGAGAATAGCAGATATGTAAATGATATTGTGGATGCTTTTGTTTTCTTCTTTCTGCTAATTTATATTTTTGTGGTATCTATATCAAAGAGGTAGGAAGGCAGTGTAGCATGGATCTGGAGGCAGACAGAGTTAAATGGAAATTCTGTCATTTATTTTCCATGCGACCCTGTGCAAGTTATTCACCCTCATTCTTCATCTGTGAATTGCAGATAGTGTTATTTATATGTAGATTTTCTGATGTGAATAGATGATCTAAGCCACTAAGCATTTGGTGCTGTGTCTGGCACACAGTAATGCTCAATACTACCTTGTATTATTATTATTAGATATTGTCTAAATAAAAGGTTAAAATATACGTATATATATGTATAAAATGTGTATATATGTTATATTTAGAAATAACACAATAGGTAGGATTTTAACAAAGCCTAGAAAGCCAATTTTGATTGGCCCTACTTCAGGAAAGCAGCTTTTCTCTGGTACTAGGCTGCCAGGGGAAAGGTGCTGCTGCCCCTCGCCCCAGTGTTGGGGGCCTGGTTTCTTAGTTACATAGGGCTGGCTCTGTTTAGCAGCCATTGAATTGGAAGACTACAAGATTTGGAGCCACAGACATCTGGCTCAAAGGCTGGAAGTGCTCTTTCCTAGTCAGTTGCCCCTCAGCAATTTCAGGGAAGCAACTCCCTGTATCTCAGTTTCCTCACATGTCATAACGGCAATCATACTTAAGTCCCAGGATTGTTGTAAGGAGAATTAAATGAAATGATGCCAGTATTTGGCTTACGGTTGAGTGCAAATTCTTTTCTTACTGGAATTTCCTCCTGGCTTTTGCCATACCACACCTTCCACTGCTTCTCTAGCTTTGGTTAAGCACCAGTTCCCTCATATGTCACACCTGGGTGAGACTTTGGCTCTTAACAGTATCCCCTTTTACTTGTCACCCAAGTCAGATGTTGGGCTCATAACATGAGTATGTAAAAATGTCCTTTTCATCAGGCTATTCAGAATTTTACTTCCCAGACTCTGTTTCTTCAACATCCCCCTTACCTGCCCTTGTGAGCATGCCATTTCTTTCTCTTTGCTTGCCTCAGAGTGCCCCACCTCTTGGTCACTTGGGTGGGCGTTAAGGGCTTTCCATATCGAAGCCAAACATTCTTTCCAGCCTGTAATTCTTACCCCAGTACTCTTCCTGGAAGCTGGACTGTCTACTGGTTAACCCTTCCCCCAGACCTCCCTCTTTGTATTCATGCCTAGGATTCTTCGCTCCTGAGTATGATCTTTGATCCAAACTGAGCCTGACTCTGACCTCGCTTGCTGGGTGCTGATTATTTTTGTACCTCTGATCCATTAGGCATATGAGCTGTAGTGGAAAGAGCCCTTTAGATACCATTGACTGTCCTACCCAGAGCCCAATATCAGCCATTTCTAAGAAGCTAGGCTGCTAGTTAAGGTAGTTGACACTAACATGGCCCTAAAAATATTCTGGGCCCAAACTGGTATCTGCTGTCTAAACTCAGCATTTTGGAGGTCCCAACCAAGTATCCAGAAACTTGGAACAGATCCAAAGCAGCAGCATCAGGAGGGTGTTGGCACCACTTGCTCACAGGCCCTTCATCAGGAGTACTGGGAAGCAAGTGAGGAAAAACAAAAGGATTGTTCACATGGGGAGGGTAATTCAAGACATGAGTGTCAATTTAAGGAATGATTATATGACAAAAGTATATTCTGGCAAAATAATGTCAGAAATATCAGTTTTTGTGTTTTTAAAGTTTTTTTCCTTTTATAGTTTGCATGTAGAATCCAGTGCTCATAAATAGTTTGCCTCCTGATAAATTAGCTTGTTTCCTTTTATCAGATTAAGGTTCTGAAACCTATAGTGTTTGCCTTTGTGTCTTGGCTGCTGGGAAGCTCAGATCAAATTTGAACATTCGATGAACATATATGTAAACAAAAGGTTTCCTTTTTAAATAAAATAACCTCATTTTCTGTTTTTTTTTTTTTTCTAAATCTTTCTTTTAATTTTATGACCCTGTGACATCAGAATTTTTTTGTAAGGTGCTTCAAATCTTTTTGGATATAAATGGCCACCTGGTGGGTGAGGATTATAATCCTTAATTTTTGGCCATCCTGAGAAGTAAGCAAAAGTATTTGAGAAACTCCCCAGTCTCCCTTGAACAGGACAACATGCCCTTTGGGGAGAAGTACCTCTGCAAGCTTAGTTTAAGTGGGATAGAGGGAACTGTTCGTGGTCCTTGGCATTTTGCTTTTCAAGAGATGTATTCTCAAGTCCCAAGGTGTTTTTTTCTGAGATTAGATGTAGGTGGTTTAAGTGAAAAATAGCACATTTTGGACATGTCAACAAGAGTGTTGTTGTTGCCTAATACCATACTGAGACCCTAGAAAGGCTGGAGTGTCTTCTTCAGTGTGAACTCTGTAACCAATACATTTGTACATCTGATGAAAGGGAACCAGGCCCTAGCTTCCTTTATCAACTCCAAAAATGTAGCCCTAAAGTCCTCAGTTTGGGAATTCAAGGGGACAAGTGATGTTCATGTGGATGCCTTAGCACCTTGGAGACCTCCACCGCAAAAGTGGCTTATTTTGTAGGCTAGCCCTTCTTGCCTGTATTCAACCTCAAAAGAGAGATGACATTGCCTCAGGGAAAAGGTGTCACCATCATCAGGTTAATTTTTCCAAAGCCCATGTTTGATAATGTCATTTTTCTGTTCATCACTCTTCTTTGGATCTGCCTTCATGTTCATCTCCTCTGATCTATCTCACCGATGGTACCCTGGTCATTGCTTTTAGCTCAAACATAATTCATTTGCCAAAAAGAAAGTGCCTTTCATAAAGCTGTGCAAGAAGCATAGGCTTTAGTGTCAGTCAGACATAGTTTAAACCTTGGCTTTTTCACACTGAAGCAATGGGGGACAAACCTCTGTGAACTTGTTTCCTTACCTGTACAATGGGTATTTCTCTGATATGATTATTGTTGAGATTAGTATATTAAGGCATCATTTATAATTTACTGGTCATATGCTATTTATAGCATCATTATTATCTCATGTATTCTCTAAGTCATGTACTAAAATTAGCACATAAGACAAAAATCATGAATCGTTGAAACTCTTCCTGGAAATCTTTTGTATTGCAGTACAGTACTGTATCTGTTGTGCATAGAAGTCTATACAGTAATTCTCTAAGTTTGTTAACCTGTGAGCTGAACTAGAGAAATGAACAAATGGGAAGTATTTATGTAGGTGTCTGAATATTCAAACCATTCTAGCTCTAAGATGACCTCATGGTGAATAAGGGAACAGTGGAGAATTCTAGATGCTTTGTTTGTTGATTTGTTTCATTTTGATTTCATATTAGGTAGGCCTCAACCTTAAGCCATGTTAATAGGTTTGTGGTCGTGAAAACTTACATTGTATGTAAAGCACTTAGCCTGGTTTCTGTCACTACCAGTGAGGATTTAATAAAATGTTAGTTGTTATTTTTCGTAATGGTAGTATGAATAGTAGTAATAGTAGTACTCATAAGATATGTGACAGCACCTAACACAGAGCCTGGTACATAGTCATTGCTCAATAATGTTTGCTAGATTTGGTTAATTGGATCTATATGTTTACTTTCCATATTCTTTGTAAGTGTAGTAAAGAAGAATTTGGCAACCTGTTTTCTGTCTTCCCAAGTTTCCTGCTGTGGCCCCTTGGTCATTGGTCACATTTCAACTTGGAGTTTGTTCTCAAGTAAGCCTCTCAGGTGAATGGGCCTGTGATGCACTAAGGATCAGATTGCACATTATCTGAAGGCAGGGAGTCTGCCTTATTCATCTTTGTATGCCCACAGTTCCTAGCATATGATAGGTATTCAATGAAGGAATGGATGGATGGATGGAGGAAGAAAACGTTTGAATCAAACAAAGACTGTCTTTGCATTTGTGAGATTTAAGGGATGAAGGTTCAATTTGAGCTATTGCTGATTTTGGTCACCTGGGTTTTGGCATCAGGCTCTAATAGTGCTGCTTCCTTGAAACCTTGCTCTGAGCTAGAAACAGTTATGCTCTTAATGGGGTCTTTCTGGCGTAAGTAATCAAAAGTATAATAACTGGCTTTGATACATTGTTTTGAGCACTTCAAGGGAGAAAGGGCCCTAGAAGAGGAAGGTGGTAGAGCATCAAATAAGAGAATGAGATTTGGAGTCAACAGAAACCTCAGTTTACATCCTAGTTTTGTCACTTTCTAGCTGTGTGTCCTTGGGAAGTCCCTTAAACTCTCTAAGCTTCAGTGTTTTCTCATCTCTAATATGGGGACAGTATTACATACCTCATAAGTACTGTTATGAGATCAAAATATAAGTGTACTTAAAACCAAGGTACATAGTAACTGCTCAGTAAATGTTAGCTACTATTATTGTTGTTACCACATGTTTTCTCTCCTTTCCAAAATGACCGTAGCTTTATTGTTTTCCACATCATCAAAAGCAATAATGTTTGTTGATTTAATATTAACTTAGAAAATACACAGAAGTTTAAAGAAGAAAATTAAAATTAGCCACATTCCTACCTCCTAGAGGTAACAGGCATTGATATTTAGGTGTATGCATATCTCACACTTCATTCTTCCATGTTTATACACACACACACACACACACACACACACACATAAAAAACAAGGTCATATTATATGTAATGTTTTCTAGCCTATGTTTTTACAACTAACAATACGTTGCAGAAATCTTTTCAGATCTACAGAATCACTTTAATGGTATCACTGTATTACACTTTATGACTATATAAATACTACAGGTATTTTCACCAGTACCATATTAATTGACATTTAATTTGCTCCTAACATTTTGCTAATATAAACAGTGCAACAGTGGCCATTTGTGTACGTACACCTTTGCACACTTATCTGATTATTTTACTAAGAGATATTTATAGAAAAAGCAGAATTGTTAGGTCAAAGGGAATTAGTCACACCACATAATGGATTAATCTTTATTAAATGGCATAATGAATGGGAGGATGCTGTGTAAACTGTCAAGTGCTATGTAAGTATGAGTTATTGCATTGCAACTGTTATTGCAGGAGGCGTGGCAGACCAATGACCTTATGGGCTAGAAGAAGGCAGAAGGCTTAATTTCTCCCAGATTTCCATGAATACACCTAGATGAACAGATACACACAAATGGATGGTTACTGTTTATTCTAATGGATCTACATTTCCACTCCCTCTCCCAAACTGCCAAAATGAAGAAAGGTTCTTGCAATCTTGAAATTAAACAATTGTTTTTAAACATGGCTGCTTCCAGCCAAATGTTCAGATCTGTTTTTTGCCAACCACACAGTTTAGGAAAGCACTCGAATAGAGAAGCACAAGGTCTCCCAAGCTGCTTCTGCCTGAGTTGTTCTGCTGCGCTCTAGAGAACCAAGACTGAAGGCCTGGCTACTTTCTTTGTGTGTGAAGGGAGGGTGGGGAAGGCAGATTTGGGGAGAAATACCTTTTTACTAAGACAGGGGTGGTTGGTCAGTTCCAGCTTAAAGATACCTTGGTCACACCTTCAGTGGAGGCATTCAGCTTTCTAGTGAGCCTGACATTCCACAGAGTTCAGGCCAGTCTAGAGAGCCTAACTGACCTACCCACTCCTCTGGCTTCCTGTTTTTCTAGCAGCCAGAGTGCCTCTTGAGCGTAACTTTATTGTAAGCATTGTTGAGTAGGGGGAAGTGTGTGTTGAGAAGTCTTGAATCTGGATCTCCTCATCTAACAGCCTGCATTCTCTCTGACTTCAAAGGCTGGGCATTCATCCAAGAATGATGCTCTTGGCCTCTGCTAGAAGGTGGGGCCAGGTGTGGGAATGCAAACAGACTGGGGGCCTGTATGAGGGTGGAAGGCAGCAGGAGACTATGTGACCATGGAGAGGAGCAGACGCCTGGTACTTGGCCAGGCTCCACCTTACAAAGGGTGCTCCTTGCAGGAATGTTTTCAATGATGTCTGTCAGGGAGCTAGGGCTATTTGAACCTCTAAGTCTGAATTGGGTGATGTTTGCCATAAGCAGTAATAAGCATGGAAATAATTTACTCTGGGACCTTGACTGCATTAGTATGAAATCACTGGCATACTGATGGGGCCTATTGATCCTCAAACTGTTTCCTGAATTCTCTCTGCAAATCCATTCTTTCCTGTCCCAGCAAACCAGTTGTCACTGCTGACTGTGTATGTATGCTGCTGCCTTGAAACACAGTATGTTGGACTTATTCATTCACCTTTCTATCCAGGTCTTCAGCTCACTGAGCTGTGAAATTTCCCCCTCCCAATCTGTTTACTTTTCTTCTGACTTTGTTTGTAAGCAAACCTGTGTACATACCTTTTCATGTGTTTACATGTATTTCTTGGAATGCATGCTGGCTCCCCGAGGCTATTTGTAAGTCTGTGGCTCTTTTATATAAAGGGATGTATCTCCTCTGAGTGTACCTAGTCAGGCACTTCAATTGAGTGCAGTGGGGGTAGTCCTTGGGGCAGGGGAGTTGCTGTGCTGGAAGAGTGATTGACCCTTCTCTTGGACAGGAAGGCTTTGGTAAGACCTTAATTGAATTATGACTCTGGAGAACAGGGAAGCTTATCCACCATCATTGGGAAAAAGATGGAAGCTTACACTGACTCTGGAAGTAAACATCTTCTTTTTATTCCCCCCGAGAACATGTGGAATGAACTCAGATGACTAATGCAGTGTCTAGATTCAAAAGGGCCCTTCTGTTCAGGAAAGTCCAGGGCTTGAGATATGCAAGTGGGCTTAAGCAGAGGTTTTGAATGGTTCTTATGTTCCCCACCCTAACCCTAGACTCTAAGCCCTTCAAGAGTACGTTGTTATTTTTGCATTTCCTCACTGGGCCTTGTACAACACAGACACTTAATAATTGGTGAGTGGATTATTAAGGCAGAAGGGTAGACTGGTTGGCCTACTGAGACTATTGATGGCCCTACAGACTCCCACAGAACTCCACAGGAAGGAAGGCTTAAGCCCAGGAGGTCTTGTTTCCAGAGCAGGCCTTAGACAAAGGTCCCGCCCAACCCTACTCATGAAGTAATTGGCAGAATGGCTAGAACAAGTGAATGATTGTGCCATAATTAGTTTATGACCTGAGGGCATGCCAGTTTGTAGCCCTGCCAGTCTGCTAGCTGCCACCAGCACAGATATGCCTCATAAAAGCTCAAGCAACAAAGCTGTGGTCCTATTGGGCCTGCGACGCCTAATGATTCAGGCCTATGAACTGAGAGAAACTGAGCCAGTGTGTTAACATTTCCTGAACTGACCTTTTCTATTTTCATTTTATGCAAAAGTAACCTTTATATTTATTACAGCTGTTAATTCTTGCTTTAATTGTAATGCTTTTCTTTTTCCCTTTCTTTCCTTTTTTTCCTTCTTTCCTTCCTCCCTCCCTCCTTCCCCTTTCTTCCCTCCCTCCCTTTCTTCACTCCTTCATTCCCTTCCTCCTCTCCCCTTCCTTTCCTCTTTTTTTCCCCTCCTTCCTTTCCTCTTTGTTTTGGAGCTGGGAGAATAGTTAGAATAGGGCAAGAGGGAGCATCTGGCCCATTGTGTGACAATAATTGAAATCATTTCCTTCGGATCTGCTCAGGAAATGGCTCAGCCAACATCTCCTTCAAGTCTCACCCTCCTGGCCTGCTGCTGGCATGATTGTTTTCCAAATATTCTCTTCTAGTTTCCTGAGAGTTCAAGAAACCCAACCTTGGTAATGAGAAATCTATCAACCTGCCAACCTAATTCCTATAAATGTATACAAGACTGTTGATGCCAGACCTCAGCAGATCTGGATTCTGAAACTAGGTTTTGCTTCTGAGGTTCCATGAGTTCCTCTTTCCTTTCCTGCCTATCAACCTGCATTATATTTTTACTTTAGATGCTCAGCATATGTAATCTTTGGACCCATTAAAGTTGAATTAATAATGTATACACTATTTGTTGCTGACAAAAGCACTAAGCAGCTCACGTTCATAGGTGGGGGAAAAGATTTACAGATTCCTGAATACAGGTTTTACATATAAGAAATAAAGCAATTTACAGAATGACCAAACTCGAAGGATGGCTCCCATTTAGTGATTTCTTTCAGAACTATAAGGATTATTGTTTCCAACATCATACAAGCAGACTTAACGCCCTTAGCCCCATCCAGGGAATAGACCTAAGGTGGGAAATTCTTCACTTTTTATATCTTCTTCTCATCACAGCCAAGTTTTCAAAGCTTAAATTTCTTCTGAGTGTTTTGTTTTGTTGGTTGTGTGGCTCAAAATGAAGGTATCCTTCTCTTTTAACATTGCCAGCAATCGCTTTACCCACCCAGAATGTTCTTATTTCTATTTATTTTGAAATGCTTTTAATGTGTCCACTGACTTCTTTGGTAGGAATGGTATCCAAGTCTTTCACAAAAAGGCTCTAATATGTTTATATTAGCCTCTATATCTGGGGACTACTTTGATTTCATTTTTGAAGGCTAATCATGTATGGCCTTAAGTAAAACCTCCAACTTAGAACCAACATTTTGTTTTTAAAAAGTAAGTTTGAGATTGAGTCCTTGATGAGAATTATGACTGTGTAATTTTCACATATTTGTGAGATTCAAGCACATTATTATTATGAAGCAGTAATAAGCTGTAATGAACCAAAAAGACCTCAGTTTTAAGAAATGTATTTTAGTTGACAGTAGGCATATTACCATGACTCTAATAGATGTATTTGTTATTACTTGTCCCCAGATTTCTTTTTAATCACAACATGGCCAATTCTATTCACAGAACTTATAATTTATAAAGTTTAAGGCTATCTTTCTTGATCAAAGGTGTTTCCATGTTTCCATATGAAAATATTTCTATTATGGACTAGAGGAGTTTTGCTCAATACATAGCGTTCATGAAAGGCAAACAGTTTTACTAAGAGCCTGTAATTAAAGCAAAACCATTTTTTTTAGCAATACCCCACTTATCCTGAAGCTCAGAGAACAGCCTGGACTCTGGTAATAAGTTTAAAAAGAAAAAAGAAGCCTTTGAGATTTTTCAAACAGCTGCCAGAAAGCCCATGGTGCAGGAGAAGAGGCCCTCATGTCTTGACCTCAGAGAGACCCACTGGTCCTTAATTTAATGGGAGCCTGATATTTCCTCAGTTACAGCAGCAAATTAGAATTTGGGGCGGCAGGATGGGTGGGTTTGAGGAGGTAGTTTACTCTAGAAATAGACACAGTGACAGCTAAGTAACAGACACCCAGGATGGAGAAATCATAAAAGCAAAGACCTGGCAATGTGGAATAGGCAGATACCCTTACACATGAAAATATAAGATTGTGTGGTATTGACATGCCAGATTTTGCTTAGCCATTCTATTATTGGAGATTTAAGTTATTTTAAAATTTTTACTCTTATAAAAAGTGATGCTGTGAATGGTTCTGCACAAATTGCATTTCTTCTGTTTAGAGTTATTGCTTTCTGGTATCTTACCAAATGTGTAATAACGAGGCCAAAAGGTATGAGCTGTTTTATAGCTGCTGTTACATGTTGCCAGATTGTACTCCCAAAAGATTAAACTGCATAAGTGTGCCTGTTTTCACAGATCCCTGCAGCACTGAATGTTATCATTTTTAACCTTTTTGCTAGTTTAGTAGGTATATAAGTATACTATCCATTTGTTTTAATTTTATTTAATGAGGCTTTTCATTTTTTAGTGTCATAATTTGCTGTTTCCTCGTTCATCTTCTTTCACCACTTCTCAAGTAAAATCTGGGTAATGACCTTATATATTTTTATCCATTCTCTATATTTTGGATAGTCAGCTTCATCATTTATATTTGTCACATATTTTTCCAATTTTATTGCTTTCATTTTTATGTATGCTTTATCATATTTCACTATGCAAAACTATTCCTTTTTACATTTATATATTCAAATCCATCCATCCTGTCTCTAATGTTTCTTTCATTTTTCAATATTCAGAAATTTACCACTCCTCAACAGCTGGGACAAATATGTGATTCTGTCTTCCCCACTCCCCCAGGGTGTTTTTTTCTTTTTTGTGTTTAATTTTTGGGCCCATCTGGAATTTATTCAAGTGTATGGTATGAGGTATGGATCTAAAGTAAAATCTCCATACTGATATCCAAATGTTTCAGCAATTCAATTTGGCAAATATTTCTTGAACTCCTCCTATGTCTCCTATGTGATAAGCATTGTGTTAAGTTCCACAAGAAAGTTTTTTTTTTAAATGAGGCAAAGTTCATGCTCTTTAAGACTGTGATCCTGTGTGTGTGTGTGTCTTTCTGTCTCTTGTTCGCCCTCTTTCTCTGAAGAGGGAAAAAGTAGTGGTGGCAGGAATAATGTAGGTATTTAAATAATTATAACAAAGCACAAGGGAAACTATGATAGGTATCATTAAAAAGGTTAGAAGCAAGAAGCTGTGGGAATTTCAACAGGTGAGAGACTTGACCCATTTGAGACCAGGAAAAGCGCCAAGGTGGAGGTGACATTTAAGGGTTCAGATGGTTCAGATGGCAGAAATTCATTCATTAAAAAAATGTACTGAATATTCTGACAGGCCTTGTGGTGGGTCCTAGGGGCAGAGATGGACAAAACACAATCCCTTCCGTTAAGGAACTTTCAGACTAGCAAGACAGGGTGATGACGGTGAAGGAAACATACCAGGTGAAGGTAGTAGAAAGGGAAATAAATGTGGTTGGAGAAAGTTACAAATTGGGGAACAGTGGAGATTGAGTCTGGAAAGAAAGGTTAGGGCTAGTTTAAAGTAGACTTTAAATGTTAGGAGGCATTGGTTCTTTCATTGTTTGGGCCTGCAGAAAGTTTAAGGGTATAACAGTGCCATGATCAGCATAGATTTCTCGGCCAGTTCATGTCATTTGGAAGGCTGTTGTTTATCTGTTTGCCAGACAGTTTACGGAAATGTGAATGAGGTAGATGTGTGCACCATTTGATATTTGGGATCCTTGGCAGTATCAATTATACTCTTTACAGTGTCTATCAATGTGTCTGACTGATCTCTATAATTGGCAAAGTTTGTGATGTCTTTCATATATTGTACCTGCTTCCTTTTTAGCAATCCTTCATTCTCCCTTTCAAGTAGTTAGAATCACCTGCCTTTGTGTAAGTTACTAAGGAGATATTTTAGAGTGAGTCCACCAACATGACTAAAATGAAATGTCTGGTACTTGATGGAATAAAGTTTGGGTATCTTGGATATTCAGTTATGGGAAAACAACTCATTTTTACTTTCTGCTGGAAAATGAGGAGGCTATATGCATGAGACCGAAAATTAACTTGAATGTAGTCACTCATATGAGCATACACCTAATGAATTTGTGAAATATTTTCTTTCTTGTTGTGGGCATTGTGTTTGTTGGTCTATATACATAAAGCCTACACTACAGAAATTAAACCATTGGTAAGCAGAACCAACTCATCTGCAAATCTAAAAATGGATTGTGATATGGTCTGGCTGTGTCCCCACCCAAATCTCATCTTAAATTGTAGCTCCCATAATTGCCATGTGTCATGGGAGGGACCTAGTGGGAGGTAGTTGAATCATGGGAGCTGATTTTTCCTGTGCTGTTCTCGTGACAGTGAATAAGTCTCATGAGGATCTGATGGTTTTATAAAGGGAAGTTCCCTTGCACATGCTCTATTGCCTGCTGCCATGTAAGTCATGCCTTTGCTTCTCCTTCGCCTTCTGCCATGATCGTGGGGCCTCCCCAGCCATGTGGAATTGTGAGTCCATTAAACCTTTTTTTCTTATAAATTACCCAGTCTCATGTATTTCTTCATAGCAGTATGAAAATGGACTAATACAAGTTGGTTTCCAAAAGCCAAGAAAAGCATAATAAAAGGCTTAAAAATCAGTGGTTTAGGAGCAGGACTTCCAGAATGGCTGTGTGAGGAGCTAAACATATTCTCTCCCCATTGAAGCAACCACTTAACTGGTGAAAATTATTGAAAACAACTATTTAAAGTCTCTGGAAATTGACCTCAGGGAATTCAGTATATTGAGATGAATTAATTCAAGAAAATCTACTAGGTCTCAATAAGAATAAAGGAAGTCCAGCTAGCTGTCATCACCTCTCCCCAACCCAGCTCTTTGTCGTGGAAGCTATACTTTGGGCAGGTATAGCCAAGAAGATGGGGCATCCTTTATGCCAAGCTCCTAGTCATAAGACTACAGTTTCACCTGAAGAGAGACAGGCTGCTCTTTTTCCCCCCACTCGCAGTGTCTTTTTCCCCCCACTCTCAGCTTCATGTTTTAGAAGCTCTATTTTGGGTTGGCGTAGTCAAGAAGACTGAGGTTCCTTCCCCACCCCAGATCCCACTTGTAGGGTAGAAGTTCCATACCAGGAGGTACAGATCAAAAAGATGGGGCTACCATCCCCATCCTCCAGCTCCTGCTTATAGGGTGATATCACTTAGGTAGAATCAGACTACTACCATATCTTCATTCCAGTAAGGAACGACAAAAATTCTGCTCAGGGTGTTAGGAAAGACTGGAAGACTGGCAGGTCAGCAGCGCTGTTGAGGGCTGACTTTATTTGGAACAGAGAATGGAAAAACTCACTCCTAAAAGGTGTTTTCAAAAACGGTAGAGATCTTTATGTTGAACAACTAGTAGGAAGCTAATAGTTCATGTAACTAGAAGCAACGAATTAAATGGCAGACCAGCCAGAAGTTTAACAGACAGAATCAAGGGGAGAGACAGCTAAAAAGAGTCCTGTTAAGATCACTGGGGGTCAGGATGGCATGCACATGTGCTACACTGCATTGACTCAAAAGCAACCAGAAAGTGTACTTGAGAGCTACTAGTCACTGCTTGAACATGGAGCCAATTTATAAGTATTCCCCAAGCCACACAGAAATCCATCATCAAAGTTCTATATCATTAAGGCTTAAGGGGCATAAGCACAATTCTGACCAATCACTAGGTAAATATTAAGTTATACTGACCCAGGAGCTACTCTGAGGTAACAAAGAAACAAACCAAGGAGAAAAAACTGAGCAGTAACATTGGAGATTTCACAGTGCAGGGAAATTAGACTTCACAAGATTAGTCCAGGCAAACCACCAAACAGCAAGCCCCATGGTAGTGGTGGGAAAGCTAATCAGAATCTAGATTTGTTACAGTATATCATCTAAAATGCCCAGTTCTCAAACAATTATGAAACATGCAAAGAAACAGAATAGTGTGACCATTGTACAAAAAAAAGCAGGCAATATAAACAACGTGTGAGGTTGTAGGGGTAGATAATATATCAGACAGACACAAACACTTCAAAATAACTATTATAAGTATGTTCAAAGAACTAAAGGAACCAGCCTAAAATGAGAAAATAACAAGTCAAAGAGATAATAAAGAGAGAAATTATAGAAGAAAAATCAAATGAAAATTCTGGAGTTGTAAATTACAACAATGGAAAGGAACAATTTACTGGAGGGGCTCTGCAGTAAATAAGGCTGGAAGAAGAAAGAATGAATTTGAAGATAGATAATTAGAGATTATACACTCTGAAGAACAGAAGAAAAGAATAAAGGAAATGAACAGAGCTCCAGAAATCTGAGACACCATTAAGTGCTTCAACATACACATGATAAAAGTACTGCAAGGAGAAGAGTATAAATGGGGCAGGAAAAAAATGAATGCATAATAGCTGAAAATTTCCAAAACATGATGAAAAATGTTAATCTACATATGGAAAATCCTCAAGAAATTCCAAGAAGGATAAAGGCATAAAGATATACACCTAAGTATATTACAGTTAAAATGTCAGAAGCCAAAGACAAAAGGAAAAGTCATAAGAGCAGCAAGAAAATAAATGACTCATAATGTACAAGTGAACTCCAAAAAGATGAATAGCTGACTTCTCATCAGAAAGAAAATGGAGACCAGAAGGCAAAGGGATGACATAATCAAAGTGCTTGAAGGATAAAGATATCAACCAAGAATCCTGTATCTGGCAAAACTACCTTTCAGAACTATAGGCAAAATAAAGACATTCTCAGATAAACAAAGACGGAGATAATTTGTCGATGTCAGACTTCCCTTACAAGAAATATCGAAGGAAGTTATTCAGGCTGAAAGGAAGTGATGTCACACAGTAATTCATATCCACATGAAAAAAAACTAAGAGTGCTGATAAATGTAATTATGTAGTAACTATAAAAGACAGCATAATTACATATTCTTATCTTCCCTTAATTGATTTAAAAACAATAGCACAAAACAATAGCAGTATAATTGAATTGGGGGCCTGTAACATATAGAGAGATACTTAACAATGACAGCACAGAGTAGGCTGAAGGGAAGGAAGTTGCAGTGGAGCAAGACAATGACATCAGGTAGTCTCTCAAATGCACAGGAAGAAATAAAGAGTACCAGAAATCATAAATAAGAAGCTCAACATAAAACTTTATAAGTATAGTTTTATTTCTTTTTTGTTCCTTCAAACAGCATAAGATTATTTAAAGCAACAATTATAACACTGCACTGTTGAGTTTGTACTGTATATAGACAAAATATATATGAAAATAAAAACACAAAGGAAGAAGGAGGAAATGGAGCTATAGTAGAGCAAATTTGTAAATATCTTACTGTAATTAAGTTAGTATAAAACTGAAGTAGAATATAAGATGTATATTGTAATTCCTAGAGCAATAAATAAGAATATAACTTTAAAAATAGAGTTTAAACAACTCCATTAAAAAGGAGGCAAAGGACATGAGCAGATACTTTTGAAAAGAAGACATACATGTGGGCCAGGCGCAGTGGCTCACGCTTGTAATCCCAGCACTTTGGGAGGCCAAGGCAGGTGGATTATCTGAGGTCAGGAGTTCGAGACTAGCCTGGCCAACATGGTGAAACCCCGTCTCTACTAAAAATACAAAAAAGCCAGGCGTGGTGGTGCAGGCCTGTAGTCCTAGCTACTCGGGAGGTTGAGGCAGGAGAATCGCTTGAACCCAGGAGGTGAAGGTTGCAGTAAGCCGAGGTCATGCCACTGCACTCCAGCTTGGGTGACAGAGCGAGACTCCGTCTCAAAAAAAAAGAAGATATACATGTGGCCAACAAGCAAGCAGATGAATGAAAAGCTCAATATCACTGAGCATTAGAAAAATGCAAATCAAAACCACAATGAGATACCATCTTAACCAGTCAGAATGGCTATTATTAAAAAGTAAAAAAATAACAGATACTGGAAAGGTTGTAGAGAAAAGGGGACACCTATACACTGTTGGTGGGAGTGTGAATTAGTATCATAGCTTTTGAGGAAACATAGATGGAGCTGGAGGCTATTATCCTTAGGAAACTAACGCAGGAACAGAAAACCAAATACTGCATGTTCTCACTTGTAAGTGGGAGGTGAATGATGGGAACTCATGAACACAAGGGAACAACAGATACTGGGGTCTGCTTGAGGATGGAGGGTGAGAGGAGGGAAAGAAAAAGAAAAAATAACTATTGGGTACTAGGCTTAATACCTGAGTAATGAAATAATCTGTATAACAAACCCCCATGGCATGAGTTTACCTATATAACAAACCTTCACATGTATCCCTGAACCTAAAATAAAAGTTAAAAAAATAGGGTTTAAAATTTAATAAAGAAATTAAAATGCTACATTGGAAAATACCTATTTCATACAAAACAAGGCGGTAAAGAAGGGACAGAAAATATTTTGTAAAATACGACATATGGAAAACTAATAGCAAATGGCAGATATTAATTCAACTGTATTAATAATAATGTGAATGTGAATGGAGTAAATAACCTGATAAAAAGAAAGAAATTCTCAGACTGGATAAAAAAACTGAGGTCTAACTGTATGCTGTCAAAAAGAGATGTACCTTCAATTCAAAGATACAAATAGGTTAAAACTAAAATAACAGAGAAAGATATACCATGTAAACTGCAACCATCGGACAGCTGGAGTAGCTGTTAGTGTTATCACACAAAATACGTATTAAAACAAAAAAAAATGTTGTCAGGTGTGCTTGTTCATGTCTGTAATCCCAGCTACTTGGAAGGCTGAGGCAGGAGGATTGCTTGAGGCCAGGAGTTCAAGACCGGTCTGAGCAATATAGTAAGATCCCATCCCTAAAGAAAGATAGAAAATTAGCTAGACATGGTGATGGGTACCTGTAGTCCCAGCTACTTGTGAGGCTGATGTAGGAGGATTGCTTGGGCCCAGGAGTTTGAGGCTGCAGTGAGCTATGATTGTACCACTACACTCCATGCACTCTAGCCTGGGTGACAGAGACCTGTCTCTTAAAAAAAAAAAAAAAAAGTTACTAGAGATAAAAAATAAATATTTTATAATGATAAAAGGGTCAATTAATCAGGAAAATATAACAAACATATTAAATATTTATATACTTAACAACAGGTCCCAAAAATACATGAAGCAAAAATTAACAGAATTGAAGATAAAATAGACAATTCAACAATAATAGTTGGAGATTTCAATACTCATTTTCAATAATGGATAAAATGATTAGAAGATCAACAAGAAAATAGAGGACTTGAACAACACAATAATTTAAATAGACCTAACAGATATTTGCAGACCACTCCACCCAACCACAGAAGAATATACATTCTTCTCAAGTGTATGTGGAACAATCTCCAGGATAGACCCATATGCTAGGCCATAAAACAAGTCTCAACAAACTTAAAAGAATAGAAATCATATGCAGTAAATTTGCAGATCACAATATAATTAAATTAGAAGTCAACAACAGATGGAAATTTGGGAAATTCACAAATATGTGGGAATTAAACAATATACTCCTAAATAACCAGTGGGTCAAAGAATAAATCACTGAAGAAATAAGAAAATAAGATTAATGAAAATGAAAACACAACACATCAAAACTTACAGACTGCAGGAAAAATAGTAGTCACAGGGAAATTTGAAGCTGTAAATGCCTATATTAAAAAGAAGAAAAAATGTAAAACCAATGACCTAATCTGCCTTAAGAAACTAGGAGATTCAGAAGGAATTTTGCAATGTAAATGCAAAACCAGTGGAAGGAAACCAATAATATGATAATTACTAGAGTTGAAATAAATGAAATAGCAGAAAAACAGCATAGAAAATCGATGAGACCAAAAGTTGGTTGTCTGAAAATATCAACAAAATTGATCGTTTGCTAGCACTGCCATAACAAATTACCACAGACTTGGTGGCTTAAATAACAGAAATCAATTTTCTCACATTTCTGGAGACTGAAAGTATAAGATCAAGGTGTCAGTAAGTTTGGTTTCTCCTGAGGCCTCTCTTTTTGGATTGCAGGTGGCTCACCTTTTCAATATGTTTTCACCTGGTCTTTCCTTTCTGCATGTGCATGTGTCTAGTGTCTCAATATGTGTCGTAATTTTCTGTTCTTATAAAGATACCTTTCAAATTGGAGTAGAGCCCACTTTAACAGCCTCATTTTAACGTAACTATCTCTTTAAAGGATTTATCTCCAAATTCATTCATGTTCTGAGATACTGTTGAGTTAGGGCTTCAACCTACGAAGTTTGGATGGACAGTTCATCCCATAACAATCAACAAAATATATTGACAAAGAGAAGACTCAAATTACAGATTTCAAGAATTGAGGAGGGAACATCACTTCAGAACTTACAGAAAAATTAATTAAAAAGTATAAAGGAGCACTCCAAACAACTGTATGCAAACAAATTAGATAACTTAGATAAAATGGATACATTCCTGGAAAATGCAAATTATGAAAACTGCTCAAGAAATAATAGAAAACCTGAACAGACAAGTATGAAGATTGAATTAGTAGTTTAAAAATCTTCCCATAAAGAAAAGCCCAGGTCCAAAGAGTTTTACTAATAAATTCTACCAAACATTAAAAGAAGAGTTAATACCAATACTTCACAAACTCTCCCAGAAAATAGAGGAAATAAGCGTCAACTCATTCTACAAGAAAAGAAAACTATAGACCAGTATTCCTTATGAAAATAGATGCAAAAATCTAGAACAAAATACTTGCAAACTGAATCTAACAATATGTAAAAATAATTATACGCCATGACCAAGTGGAATTTACCTTAGGAATGCAAGGCTGTTTTAACATGCAAAAAATCAATGAATGTAAACATTGCATTAGTAGAATAAAGTACAAAAACAACATGATAAACTGCATACATGCAGAAGAATAATTTGACACAATCCATCACCTTTTCATGACAAAAACCCTCAACAAGTTAGGAATAGAAGGGAATTTCCTTAAGCTGATAAAGGGCATATACAAAAACCTTACAGGTAGCATCATACTTAATAGAGAAAGACTGAATTCTTTTGCTTTAAGATGGGAACAAGACAAATATGTCTACACTTACCAGTTTTATTCAACATTGCATTACAGATTCTATCCAAGGCAATTAGACAAAAAAAGCTAATTTGTCTTTATTCATAGATAATATTATATTTTATACAGTAAAACATAATTTTTCATCATGTCTGTAGGATATGACATCAACATAAAAAATCAATTCTATGTCTTTATAGTAATAATCTGAAAATGAAATTAAGAAAACATTTTCATTCACAATAGCATCAAAAAATGGAATAATTAAGAATACATTTGACAAAAAAGTATTTTGTACACTGAAAACTATAAGACACCAGTGAAAGAAAAGAAAGACTTAAATAAGTAGAAAGATATCCCATGTTTGTGAATTAGAAGATATAATATTATTAAAATGGCTGTACTTCCCAGATGGATCTACAAATTCAATACAATCCCTAGAAAAATCTCAGATGACTTTTTTTTTTTTTTTGAGATGGAGTCTTGCTCTGTCACCCAGGCTGGAGTGCAGTGGCGTGACCTTGGCTCACTGCAACCTCCACCTCCCGGGTTCAAGCGATTCTCTTGCCTCAGCCTCCCGAGTAGCTGGGACTGCAGGACTGTGCCACCACGCCTGGCTAATTTTTGTATTTTTAGTAGAGACTGGGTTTCACCATGTTGGCCAGGCTGATCTCGATATCCTGACCTCAAGTGATCCACCCACCTTGGCCTCCCAAAGTGCTGGGATTACAGGCATGAGCCACTGCACCTGGCCTCAGATGAGATGACTTTTTTGTTTCAGAAAATTACAAGCTGATTCTAAAATACACAGAGAAATGCAAGAAACCCAGAGTAGCCAAAACAGTCTTTAAAAAGATCAAACTTGGAGGACCTACAGTGGCCAATTTCAAAATTTATGACAAGGCCACAATAGTCAAGTCAGTGTGCTACTGGCTTAAGGAAAGACATATAGATAATGGCAATCAGTTGAGATCCCAGAAATAAGCCTTTACATGTGTGATCAACTGATTTTGGGCAAACTTGCCAAGAAAATTCAAAGGGAAAGAAATAGTTTTTTCAACAATTGGTGTTCAGGCGGTAGAATATTCACATGCAAAATAATGAATTTGATCTTTGACTTCACACCATACACACCAATTAACTCAAAAGTGTACCATATACCTAAGTATAAGAGCTTAAACTATAAAACTCTTAGAAGAAAACATAGGAGTAAATCTCTGTGATCTTGAGTTACACAAAGATTTCTAAGATACAACAACAAAACCACAAGTCATAAAAACATGATAAGCTGGATGTAAGCTGGACTTAAAATTTAAAACCTTCACACTTTAAAGATACCATCCAGAAAGTGAAATAACACCTCAAAGACTGAGAGACTATACCTATAAATCATATATCATACAAAGTCTTTAGATTCAGAAAATATAAAGCCTCTTACAACTCAGTAATAAGACAGATTATACATTAAAAAGCAGGATAAGAATTTGAATAGACATTTATCCAAAGAATATATATAAATGGCAAATAAACATGTGAACAGATACTCAACATCATTAGTCATTAGGAAAATGAAAATCAAAACCATGATGAGATTACATTTCTCATCCACTGGAATGGCTATCTATTAGACAAAAATAAGTGTTGTCAAGGATGTGGCATATCAGAACACTCTCATACATTGCTGATACGAATGCAAAATGGTGTAGTTCTTTGGAAAACAGTTTAGCAGTTTCTAAAAATGTTAAACATAGAGCTATCGTATGACTCAGAACTTTCACTCATAGGTGTATACACAAGATAAATGAAAACATATGTCTGCACAAAAAGTTGTACCTGAATGTTCATATCATAGCATCATGACTCACACAAGCCAAAAGGCAGAAACACCCCAAACATCCTCAACTTCTGAGTGGATAAATAATATGTGGTATAATCATACAATAGAATATTGTTCGGCAGTGAAAAGAAATGAAGCAGTATTATATGCTACTATATGAATGAACCTCAAAAACATGCTCAGTGGAAGAAGACACATAAGGCCACATATTGTATGATTCCATTTATTGTATATGAAATGTTCAAAAAAGACAAATCTTTGGAGGCAGAAAGTGATTAGTGGTTGCTTGGGGCTGGGTGTTAGGAATGGGGACTGAATATAAATTGCACAAGGTTTCTGTTTAGGATAATGGACATATTCTAAAATTAGATTGTGGTGATGGTTGCACAGCTCTGTAAATGCTAAAATTCATTATATTTTATGCTTTAGATGGGTGAATTTTATCATATGTAAATTATATATTTAAGTTGTTAAAGTGCAGTGGTTTAAGAAGATAAAAATTTTGATAATTTTATAAAGAACATCTCCACCAAAACATTATAAAATTCCTTCCCAGATAAAGTATAGCTCATGAATTTCTATTTCTATTTCAGGACCTTGTTCCATTTGTCAGTTTCCCCCATGTACCTCTCCTGTACCCTACTACCATGGACCTATTTCTCTGGATTCTGTGTTCCAACTTTCCCTTGCCTTGAGCCTGTTCACCCTTCCAGAACTTTCTCATTCAGCATTCTGGCTTGTGCGTTCACCTCTATCCTAAAGTTCTTTTCTCCTGAGTCTCATTTCATTTTTTCAAACCACTGCTTCTATTTCATTGATGAAAAGTGGCAAATAATTTATCCTGGGCTTGTTTATGTATTTGACAGATGTTTACTGAGCACCTACTGTGAACTTGGCCCTGTGATGATACTTGTCGTGTCTTATGTTGCTGGTTTTTATATTCAGGGGGCAATAAGTATGTTTAATGTGCCACATGAAAGATTCTGTAGAGAAGGACCGAGTAGCTATATTTCATGGCAATTTTTGCCCAGTCTGTAGAAGGGTCTCTGTTTCAAAATGACAAGTGTGTAATTGCCTTATCTTTGTCCCTGAGTTGTCCATGTGTCTTGCGGTTTAAGCTAGTGGAGTGCTGGCAAACCAGCTCTCCAGAAAAACAGTAAATAAGTAAAACCTAATTTGTAGCACTTGTGGTTTCTATAGCGGATATACTCCCACCATGGCCAGTTTCAAGTTGCTAAAATGATATTACTGAATACTTCACTGGAAAGCTAGCCAGTGTGAGCCCTCCACTAAGAGGCAATTGCTTAGTCCTAATCCATACAAGAATAGCTTTCATGCTGTTTCTAAAATACCACCCAACTTGGAAGGAATGTGGGAAGAAAACTAATGCTTCTGGAATACTAACTGTGCCAGGCACTGTGCCTGTTAGATATTCATTCCCATAATCCTGTGAGGAAGATAGCCTTTTCACAGGACAGCAGATGAAGGAATGGAGAGTTAAAATGATCTGCCTGAAGTCACAGTGCACTGCAGAGCTAGGATTTGAATCCTGGTCATTTTGGTGCCAAAGCCCATGCTACTTTCATTGCACCATGATACCTCCTGGGACAAAACTGGTAGTGGAGACAGTGAGATAATGTACTTTTCTGGTGGTAGTGCTGTGGATATTGTTTGCTTCCTGAGGGTTTGGCACGTCACTTGTAGCCCATTTGACATACTAGAGGATAGTGGGTTAATCTCTTTGTGGCAGGTAAGAGATCAGTGAAGACTGATGCATGGTATGTGGAGGGAGCCTACAAACCTTTTGATTGATTTGAGCCTAAGGAGGGGACTGCATTGATTGGCTAGTAATTCTTGACTATTCTGGGGAGTGGCAGAGATGCTGGAACAACACATACCTTACAGGCTTTAGGTGAGACCTAGAATGACCATTTGAGAGGTCAGTGCTGTCTATGGAGAAAGTGGTTTCTGAATCAAGTTCCGAATATAAATGATTGGAGCGAGCTTTTGAAAACAAATCTATGACTTATTTTTACCAGAAAGAAAAGTCTATAAGGGCAGGAATCTTTGCCTGTTTTGTTTATTGTTATATTCCCATTGTCTATAGAACAGTGCTTGAGACTCAATAAATTAAGTGTTGAATGATTGGATAGATGAATAAATGGGAGAATGAATTCTTTGCCTCCAGTTCTGTAGCTCCTTCCTAAGCCTGGCTACTGCTTAAAACCAAGCATCATCTCAGAGATCCATGAGGAACCAACACTGAGGCTTCTCACATTTTTCTCAGCTAAGGATCTCATTAGCAGTTATGTAAAGAAAAATGATGTTACCTGGATGGTAAGATGTATAACATTTCTTTGGGAAGCGCTTTTCACTATCTTTGGGCAGAATACCTGTCAATTGTTGAGTTTTTACTAAGTGCCAGGTACAGAGTACAGAGATAAGCGTTATGTATGCATTAGCCCATTAAATCCTTATGAAATTAATAACGTTATGAAATAGACAATTAGCCCCATTTGGCCTGGAGAGCTTAAGTAGGTTTCCCAAAGCTGCACAGCTAGCTTTTCTTGGGAGCATCTCAAATACCGAAAGCAAAAGGAAAAACTTTAGGAGTTAGGTATGACAAAATTCATAAACATAAAACAATATAACAATACGTATATGCCCTTTTAAATTTTCAAGTAATCACATTAAAAAGGTAAAAAGAAACAAGGGAGACAAATGTTAATAACATATTTTAGTTAACTACTCAATATATCTAAAATATTAACATTTCAACATGGAATCAGTATAAAAGTTACTAATGAGATATTTTGTGTTCTTTTTTAATATTAAGTCTTTGAAATCTGGTGTGATATTAAACTTGACAAGTGTGTGTCAATTTACACCAGTCACATTTAAGTGCTCATTAGTCACACGTGGCTAGTGGATGGCTACTGTACTGGACAGCTCAGTGCTAGGCCTTGCTCCCAGGTATACTGAAATGTATTAGAAACCTTTCTGTGAAGTGATGAGGAAAGGCACATAAACTGCAGTGAGCCCAATAACAATTTGTTTTGCAGAAAGCTGTTCTTTAAATTATTACCCATATAGGTTACAAATTATGAGATTAAAACCCGATGTAACATTAACAGTCCTTCAAGCTCCTTCAGAGTCTCCTCCACTGGATTTGGGAGAGTAACTCTCTTAAAGCAGGACATCATTTTGATTCTGCAAATATTCTCCAAGGCAAGGAGGTTACATATCTCTGCAGAGTGTCTGTGAACTGAGGCCTGAAGCAATTTAAGGTAGGGACTTCAGGGTCATCAAAGAAGAAGCACATGCCACTCAAGTCCTTTACGTAATCTAGAGGAAAGACCAACAAAGAACTAGCTAATAGTCTGGGAATTATTTCTCGTTTCCCTGTTCTCTGCCCTTCTTCACCATGCAGTCTATTCTCCCAAGACACTCCATCTCTCAGAGGTTCCCAATCTCTCTCTATAGTCTAGGGGATGTATAACTATATAAGTGAGGGTATGTGACCCTATGTGAGATTAGGTGTGTGCTGTCATGGGTCAGCTATGTAAAGTATGGAGAGTGAGTTGGCAGCCCCAAAAGCATAGCTATGAATAATCAAGTAAAAAGATTCTCCCCATTTCATGTCCTCTCAGAAGAAGGAGACATAAATTAATGGGGCCTGTAGGCACTGAGCTGACCTGACAATTTCCATCACAGAGTTTCCCTGTAGTTGCAGGGGCTGTCTGGCATAAATGAGGATTCCAACCTGGAATTTGATTTTTCTCCTTTAGAGCACAATATTTGAAATCCATTTACTCACATAAAGGGCTTTTAAAGTTGTCTTAGGCTTTAGGTAGACTTCCTTGATTAGAGACTTAGAAATATGTTTCAAAGAGGGTCCTTGTAGAAGGTAAGTTTCTTTTTTTAACCTTTTAGGGTGGAAAGGAAAAGAGAGATGGTAGAGTAGTATTTTTCATGAAGAACCCCTCAGCCCTTAAGCTGTATCAGGCATACCCTCAGTCTGACTGTAATGGCAATCTGACTAATGGAATTAATCATCTGAAAAGTAAGGCAGGTGGCCATCTCAAATTGTGTTGTCTGCTTTCCCCAGAGATATGTGACTCTAAGCTAGTGTATCAAAAAAGAAGAAAATAGGCACATTCCTTAAGATTAAGATGTGGGTGAAACTTAACCTGTCTTCTCTGTCAGAATAGGAAGTGCTTATGGACCAAATTTGCCAGAGGACTTAGTCTTCTGTTGAAGAACCATGTGCAGTCAGGAATGACTAAACCTGGCTTTAAAGCTGGAGGGAGATCAGGACAGGGAATCCCTATAATATTGGGCACAAAAAGCATGGACTAAAATGTTTTTTCTCTGTGTTTAGTCAAGATTTGGTGAACACCTGATCAGAAAATCCTGTATTGTATTATCAGATGCAGATATGGTACAGAGGAAAGGGGAAAGTAACTTTCATTTACAGAAATGTGCCAGGCACGTTACATATTCTTAGGGCCATCCTGTAGGTCAAGATAGCATCTTACCCACTTTATAGATGAGGGGACTAAAACTCACAGAACTTATGTGACTTACATAGCTAGCTCGGGAGTGGGGTTCAAACTTGGAAATGTCTTACTCCAAAGTGTATTCTTCCCACTGCCCTATACTACTGTCTTAGATCTTACTGTTTAGCTAGAAACACATGACTTGTACTCTCAAGTAACAAAGAAATAACTGTATTAATTATAATTAAACACTGCTAATATGAAGTCAGGACAGAATGTATTTTGCATGATCAGGAACAGTTCTAAGGTCAGAGCAGATCTTGTATTTCCCTGATGGTGTTGGTCAGTGTCATGATGGATAGTAAGAAATGTAGACAAGGAGCTGTCAACAACACAGCCCCATGTTGCAAAATACCATTATTATAGAAACCTTCCCCACAAAGGACGAAATATCTGACAGTGAGCCCCAGATCTTCCTGACGTACAGAATGTCATTAGCTCCTTAGCTAATATTTTTTTGCCCTAGTGATAGAGAAACACCATTTTGACAAGGCTATGTCTGAGTTCTACTGGTAGGTGAAGAAATACTAGTTCTCTGTTGTTCCCCCAGGAGCTATAGCTGAGGATTCAATGCCTTGATAGTTCTGGAAGATAAAGCTTCCATTGTTTTGTTGTTTTATTGTCACATCACCCTAGGAGCAATAATTTCACAGTTGACCAAAGTGGTAGTATCACATGGGTTCATCTACATTGTGGACTCTCTTTGGCATAGACTCCATGAGTTCGATTAGAGTGGTAGGATTCTATCATTGTTTCATAGCTCTTGACAAAACTAACTGTCCTAACAAAAAAGAATAAAGATAGGTGTAAGTTAATACTGCTTTTAAAAATGCATTTTCTATATGTATGTCTTTATGAAACCTTGAGTTAAAGATGGTGAAGGCAAGCCTTGTAATTTCATCCCATTTTTACTGAGCAAGACAAACTCCTATTGTTGAATATGGAGTGACATATTAAGTGATACGTTAATGTTTTGTCAAATCTTAATGGCCAGCATCTTCTAGTGGCCCATTTTAGGACAACCTTAATCAAGCTATGGTTAGAGAACTTTTATTAAATGCCCAGCACTGTACTACTTTCTAGCATTTCCCACTCTGATCGTTTGCTTGAGGATGATGAAGGATGATAAATATTATAAATAAGATTGCTTCCCATATAGGTCTTAAAATCAGCTGAGGTCAATGCAGATCTACTGCTAGAAATGATTTGGAATTTTGGCTGCTTCAGGAGAAGCATAGCAGCAGAAACAGGAGATCATTGAACATTTTAAGAAGGAGGCTACCCGCAAATTCAGAAGTTCATCCCTTTAGGAAGGGTCTGTCATAATAGTAGGAAGGGACCAGGCACAGTGGCTCACGCCTGTAATCCCAGCACTTTGGGAGGCCGAGGCGAGTGGATCACCTGAGGTCAGGAGTTCGAGAGCAGCCCGGCCAACATGGTGAAACCCCATCTCTACTAAAAATACAAAAATTAGCCAGGTGTGGTGGCAGTCGCCTGTAATCCCAGCTACTCGGGGGAGGCTGAGGCATGAGAATCACTTGAACCCAGGCGGCGAAGGTTGCAGTGAGCTGAGATTGCGCCACAGCACTCCAGCCTGGGCAACAGAGTGAGACTCCGTATCAAAAAAATAATAGGAGTAAGGATTCCTGACTGAAGCCCTTTGGACACTTCCTGCTGGAAACGCATGGGCCTTTAGTAACTGATGTTGGCCAGGTGAGCTGGCACATATGGCATTCTTTTGTGGTCTCAGGATTTCATGGTAAGAAGATCTGGGCATAGCTTATAGCAAAGACCTCTATATCAATCATTCCATTCCTAGAAGTGCCACCTGGAAGAGGCCAAGATAATGAGATGTCTGTCCTCTTGTGTTGGTGGCTATGGTCAAGTTGAGGTCCTCAAGAAGCTTCCCTGTTGTCCAATTCCAGTTCACTGTGGCTTTGGTAACCCTCAAGAGAGAGATAGTAGATGGAGGTCTTCTAAAAACCAGATTTCTAGTGGCAAGCGCACAGCCCAGTCTGCGGTCATCAGTGGAAGCCAGTTCAGGGTATCAGCAGTTGGTAAGCTTGCTGAACATGCCATTTTAGAGAGAATCTCTCCATAGCAAGAATATGAAGAAATTGATTCACCACTTTCTCATACATCTTATGCCCTAGCCAACCCATACCTGACAAACTATCTTTCTTAAATATCCCAAGATCTTCCCTACCTCTTTTTCTTTGCACATGTTGTACCCTTTGCTAGAATGTACCCTTCCTCTTTCTACATGGTGAACTCTCATCTATTTTTTAAGGTCTAGCTCAAATGATATATTCTCTGTATAACCTTTCCTTCATTCCATCCCTACTACTTCTGTGGTTCTACAGCCTGTTGTATAGATCTCTATCCTCCCATTGCTCTATACAGGGAGTAAATTATCTATGAAGATATCTCTCTACTACTAAACTGTGACCCTTTTAAAGGTGGTAATTGTTTCTAACTTCTCTCTGTTATCTCCATTAGTCAGAACAAAGCCCGGCATATAATAAGATGAACCAGGGAAATGCTGATGAGTGAGTGACTGACTTATTTATTCTGATATGGCTAGGGTTAGATTCTTTAGATTCCATCATCATTAGGCTTTATTTGGTATCATATTTTATAAGTGTGTATTTCAGTGGCCTCTTCTCTTTTTATTTGTATTGTTTTTTGACACAGGATCTCACTGTGGCACCCACGCTGAAGTGCAATGGTGTGATCACGGCTCACTGCAGCCTCCATCTCCTGGGCTCAAGCAATCCTCCCACCTCAGCCTCCCCAGTAGTTGGGACTACAGGTGTGCACCACCATACTCAGCTATTTTTTTGGATTTTTTGTAGAGGTGGGGTTTCACCATGTTGCCCGGGCTGGTCTTGAACTGCAGAGCTCAAGCAATCCACCAGCCTTGGCCTCCCAAAGTGCTGGGATTACAGGTGTGAGCCACTGGGCCCAGCATCTTTAATGAAATGGCTAAACTTTTTGACTATGTTTATTTGTTTCTTTGAATAAAAGGTACATTTGTAGTCTTTAATTGGTCCAATATACAGATTCCAGTGGAACAGCAATGGCTCCCTCTTGTGAGGCAGTCTCAGAATTTCTCCTATAATTTCTTTGGAGATGTGTGGATAAGGTCCTCTTAGGAGAGTTAATTCTAATGGTCTGAATACTTTGGCTCCTAAGTATGGGGGACCAACTAGTTCTTTCTTGGAAAGTTTTAAGAACATCACTTGACAAGAGTAAAGAAGCCATCCCGGGAGTCTTAATCAGCACAAAATCTGAACTTCCTGGAGTTGGAAGGGTTCCTGGAGGTCATCTTTACAACTGAATCTCACACAGCAACTCATGTCAGTTTTGAGTTGCTCTCTCTCTCTTAGAGTTTTATGTTTTTTAGTAGATTATTCCTTTTAAGAAACTAAAATCTCCCTCCAGCTGATCTAGGTCCTAGCCTTTGGAACCACACAAAACAGTATGTACCTTCTTGATAACTAATTGCCCTTTAGGTAGTTAAAAGACAATGTTAGGTTTCTCATGATATTTTCTACATTCAGTTTTTCCAACATGTATGAACACCTCCCTAGTGCCAGGCATCCTGGTCTAATCTTCTCCAAGTCTCTCAACTGTTCCCCATATGTCAGTTTTCCAATCCTCTGAACCACTTCTTGTAGATCATTTCCACCTTGTCACTGGCTCTGAAGTTTATAATTTTTACATGTTATCTTTGTTAAATGTTTTCCATTGTTCCAGCCAGCCTCGATCTTTCAGGATACTATCATATATGGGACCTACTCTATCCTAGGAGAGTCTCCTCTTTCAGTTCATCAGTATAAGCTTCCAGTTTTGACACTTTAGAATAAAGCAGTACTTTTCAGGCAACAGCATGGAATAGTTGAACTAGATGGCACCAGATCTGCGTTCAATTCATTTAACCTCTTTGAGGCTAAAATGGTGCTAATAATCCTTCCTTTATAGGGTAATACCCATGATTCATGAGATACTGTCTGTAAAGCATTAAGCACTGTATCTGAGCACTTAGTGGGTACACCACAGAAATTAATGTTCCCCCCTTCTCCTCCTGCCAGTCTTGCCCTGCCCACCACTGCCCTCTACTGAGGAGAGTCAGTAACTGCTTTAAACTTGAATTCTTTCTTGTTTGAGCCAAGTAGCCCTATTCCATTTAATCTCTTTGTAGCCTTTTAATGAATGACAAACCTGCATGAGATGCAGCACAAACTGGAAGATGGCATACTGGCCTCAATTTTGTAAGATAGCCCTTGTAAAAATATTGCAGTAAGCATCTTCGCCAATTTCTGACACAGCATAACTGAGTTAGAGTTCTACATTCCATGGATAGCTATTTGTCAGAACTTTTTTTTAATATTACAAGATTCCAAGGTGCTAAACACAGATGCTTGGAATGTAATCCAGCATTTGTGGTTCGCTGTCATGTAAACAGTCAAAGTCACAGCCTGATTCTGAATTCATTCATGGGTTTTCTGGATATTTCCCATGCTCTTTTTGAAGAGGGGCATTTATGTGAATTAGCACTTTTAATTCGTCTGACAGAGTGATATAGGCTTGTATAAAAGCAATAAAAATACAGGGTCCCAGGTGGCATTTATTGCCACACAGATGAAAAGCCATATAGTTGGAATTCTCCTCTTATGAGAGGCTTTTGGGATGTGGAGGGAAATCCCTAAGCTTAGCAATCTGACATTATAGTACAGTGGATAGAGGGTAACCTAAGTGTCAGATCTGAGTTTCAGTTTCTCCTGTGCTAGTCACTATGAATATGATCTGGGACAAGTCCTTTCACCTCCTTTTACCTCAGCTTTCCCTTGTGTACAATGGGAAAAAATTGTACCAACTTTGTGGATTGGTTGTATTATAAATGAGATTAACAATTCTATACCACCTAGCCCAGTGCTTGATATATGGTAGGCAAGCAATAAATCATTGCTCTTAGGATCAGTTCTAGTTGATAACAGCTAAGCCTGCTGGAGTTGCCATATCATTTTCCTCTTGAAGAGTGAAAGAAGTAATAGCATGTGTATAGTTTGGGGATTCAATTCCTGGGTCTCTGTAGAAACTGGACCACCCTGAGTCCCTCAGACTGTGCTGGGAGTTTATAATCATTCATGTGAAGGACAATGGGAAAACATTGGGTTGCTTAATAGCCCTTGCTGGTACCTAAGCAAAGACAGTGAGAAGAACCCTGGTGACTTCTCAACCCTTCTCCACTGTAAGGGAAGAATCCTAAGGCTTTTCTTACACTGTAGCCTATAACTCCTTAAATGCAAGGACTTGAATTTACCAACTCAAACAGGAGTGAAATGCTGTTGCCTTTTTTGGAGGTCTGGAAACATATACTTGGGAATCTGGTGAGCTGGTTACTAAAACTCCCTTTGCAGAGATGGCGGTGGCTGGATTCTTTGTTTTCTCTTGAGTAATTTTGACCTAGAGGCAAAAAGAAAATCTCTAAAAATGTTCTGCTCATAAGAAAAGAGCAATTGGGCTGAGGGTGGTCCCCTGGTAAAAGAGAAACTTCACCACCAATCAGCTTTGTAAATTAAAAACAGGTGCAAAAACTAATCTATAGTGACAGAAGCTAATTAATGGTTACCAGAGGGAGGGGGACAGAGAAAACTGGGTGGCAATACAAAGGGCACAAGAAATCTTTTGGGATTAATGGGTAAGTTCACCATCTTGATTATAGTAATAGAAGGTACATATGTCAAAGATAATCAAATTGTATACTTTAAATATGTGCAGTTTAATGTATATCAACTATACATTAATAAATCTGTTAATTCAAACAAATCCAGTGTATATAACACCTAGTACATAGTAGGTGTGTGCTAAACATGTGTTGAATTAACAATTGTGACAGACCAACTTCTAGTGTGAAGAGCTCAACAAACCCTCTCACCAGTAAAACAACCATTAAAATGGTAGAAGATGATGTAAAACAACCATTCAAAGTATCTGGAAACTGGCTCAAGGTCATGCAACAAATTGAGAATCACTTATTTAAGAAAAATCTATGGAACCTTGGTAAGAACAATTGGCATTTGAGCAAGGAACTGCTTCCATTCCTCCTCCCAACTTTATGTTGCAGAAGATTTATTCCAGGTGAGTACAACCGAGAAAACAGGGGGTCTCTTTCTTACCAGCTGTTGATTATAGAGCTATAGTTTCATTCCAGAATGATCAGGCTGCTAGTGACTCTCATTCTTCCATCTCCAGTTCTCTGTTGTACAAGATTTATTCTTGGCCACAAAAAACAAGAAGATTGGGGGTTCCCATTCCGTGCTCAGTTCCCACTCTTAAGATGAAGGCACTACCCTAGACAGTTGCAGCAAACTGTGAATGGCAGTTGGAGAAGACCAGGGCTCCTATTTCCCCACTCCCAAGTCGAGGGCCCAGTTTTTTTTTTGTTTTTTTGTTTTTGTCAGACAAGGACTTCAGGGGGCTCATAGAGCAGAGATGTCACTGTAGAAGAAGCAGGCTGCCATATCATTCTCTCCTCATCCAGCTCCAAATAGTAACATAGCCTATGGGGACTGACTGACTTTAGAACAGAGCATGAAGGAATTCATGCCTAAAGTTATTGTTGAAAACAGCAGAGATTATAGTAGTGAATATTAGAGAATTACATATTAGTAGCAGCTAGAAGAAAAAAGACCAGCCAGACATTTCAGAGAGAGACCTGTGGAAAGAGTTTAAAAATGCCCTGCTAAGATCACATTTGTCTATTGGTCTGGAAGGCTGTACACACACACTAGGCTAAACCTGTGTGGGAGCTACCAGAGATATGATATTTATGAGCTGCTAAACCCTATTTGAATGCAGGATAAAATTAAAGACTTCCTGAAGTATGAAAGCATTCCCCAATCCATACAAAGATACATTGGCAAAAGATAGAAGCTTTACTGGATCTAGGAACTTAAGAAAAACCTGTGACCTTTTGATATAAGATGACTCCTAGAAAGCCAGACTTAAAAGTAAAACAAGAAGAGAAATGAACATGACATCAGAGACTGTACACTACAGATGAAATAGACTTCAGAGAGAATTAGTCCAGGCAAGACACTGAAGAGAAATAGAGAAAAAGCAGAAACAAAAACAAAGCCCAGGTTATGGGGGTGGGATAGGTAAACAGAATTCAGAGTTACTACAATACATTATTTAAAATGTCAAATTTTCAACAAAAATTATGAGCATTGCCAAAAAATAAGTTAAGTGTGACCATGGACAGGAAATAGGCAATATAAATCACCTTTGAGGGAGCTCAGATGTTGTACGTGACAGACAAGGACTTTAAAGCAGCTATTATAAATATATCCAAAAAACTAAAGAAAACTGTGTTTTATGAACTAAAGGAAAGTGTGATGATAACAACTCATCAAATAAAGAATATCAATGAAGTGATAGAACTTATTTTTTAAAAAGAACCACATGCAAATTCTGGACTTGAAAATAAAATAAGCAAAACAAAAATTCTTAAGGCCAACAATATTTTATATCATGGCAGAAGAGGCAGAAGAGAGATTACTGAAGCAGAAGACAGATTAATAGAGAAAGAAAAACAGAAGGAAGAAAAATGAACAGAGCTTCATATATGTGTGGGAAACAAACATATCAACATATATGTAATGAGAGTACCAGAAGGGGAGAAGAGAAAAAGGCAGAAATGTAGTCACAGAAATTATGGCTTAAAATCCCCAAATATGATGAAAGACATTAATCTAAACATCAAAGAAGATCAGTGAGCTCCAAGTAAGATAAACTCAAACAGATCCATACCTAGACATATCATAGTCAAAATGCTGAAATTCAAAGCCAAAGGGAAAATCCTGAAAGCAGCCAGAGGAAAATGACTTATCACATACAAAGGAATCACAGTAATTTCAACAGCTGACTTCTCATCAGAAAAAGTGGGTAACAGGAGACAAGGGGAGGACATACTCGAAGTCGTAAAGAAAAAAAATCAACCAATATGTCTGTATCTGGAAAAACTAATCGTCAAAAATGTAGGCGAAATAAAGATGTTTCCAGATAAACAAAGATTAGGAGAATGTGTTGCTAGCACCTGCCTTATGAGAAAAACGGAAAGAAATATTTCAGGCAGTCTGGGGGCAGTAACTCGTGCCTGTAATCCCAGCACTTTGGGAGGCCAAGGCAAGAAGATCGCTTGAGCCCAGGAGTTCCAGACCAGCCTGGGCAACATAGTGGGCCCCATCTCTACAAAAAATTTTAAAATTAGCGGGGTGTAGTGGCACGTGCCTATAGTCTGAGCTACTCAGGAAGCTGAGGTGGGGTGTGGGGGTCGCTTGAGCCCGGGTTAAGGCTGCAGTGAGCCATGATCACACCACTGCACTCTAGCCTGGGTGATAGAGTGAGGCCCTGTCTCAAAAACATAAATAAATAAAAAGAAATCCTTCAAGCTGAAAGAAAGTGACAACAGACAATAATTTGAATCCATAAAGAGCCCTGGTAAAGGTAATTGTGTAGTGATTAAGACAGTGTAATTACATATTCCTTCTCCCTCTTCTCTTAGTTGATTTGAAAAACAAAACCATACTGAAGCAGCAGTGAACACAACTAGTGCCCAGAACTTGGATTCTAATACCATTTTTCAATGAAAGGAACCAGGGATCCTTGAAAAAATGGCTGGTTCTAGGACTGGATCAGGAACTACATGAGTCTGGAGAATCTCGTAGTGCCAGGAAGTAAGGAAGTACTAAAGTGCACACACACACACACACACACACACACACTACTGAATGGGTTATGTCAAAAGGACACTGGAGTCAATTGAAAGAGGTCCCAATGGCCAAAGCTGGAACAACTTGAGAAAAAAAGTAAATCAATAAAGTACTAATAGATTATAATCCAAGATATTTATTTTATGTCCATGAGTCCATATGGGTTAAATAAATAAATGGGGAGAACCATACAAACATTTTATGCAGAAGAATTCCAAATGATTTATGTTACTACTCTGTCCTCAAGGACATAGAGCATAACTTCTCACTGTTTAAGTGGGGCCTGTGCATAGTGACTTCCTTGAAAGAATACAGTATGGAAAGGAAAAAATTGTAATTTAAGTGAAGAAAGCTGGCAAACACTACCTTAGCCAGAAAACCAAGGTTAACATCAATGAGATAAGTCATGTTGGTAGTGTGTTCCTTGATATGCTGTGATGAAAATGGTATTTCACTTCTGTGATTGCCCCCCCCCCCGAAAAATTCATAACCCCACTCCAATTATGAAGAAACCAGCAGAGAAATACTAATCGAGGATTATTCTACAAAATACCTGACCAGTACTACTGGAAACTGACATGGTCATCAAAAACAAGGAAAGTCAAAAACTGTCACTGCAAAGAAGAGCCTAAAGAGATATGCCAACTAAATGTAATGTCATATGCTGGTTGGGATCCTGGAACCAAAGAAAAAGAACATGAGGAAAAAACTAAGGAAAATTGAATGAAGTATGGAGTTTGGTTAATGATATAAGTGTATCGGTATTAGTTAATTATTACAAATGTACCATACTAATATAAGTTGTTAATAACATATAGGGCATTGTGTGTGAGGTGGATGGTAAATCTCTATAGTATCTTAGAAATTTGTCTTAAATCTAAAACTATTTGAAAATATAAGCATATATTTAAAAAGCAACAGCATAAAACAGTATAATATTGACAATAATAGCACAAAGCAGGGGGGAAGTGAAAGGAGGTATAATAGAGTAAGGAAATGAAACCAGAGAGTAATTTCATACACAAAAAGAATATTAGAAGTGGCAAATAAGATTGTTTATAATTACATACATTTTTCTTAAAAATTATAATATGTATTTTTCTCCCATCTTTTAGCTTTTTCTAAAGACACTAGATTAGAAAGCAACCATTATAAAACTATATTAGCATATAAAATATGTTTATAACATATAAATAGGATTGAAAGTTTGGTTTAACACTTAAAAATTAATAAATGTAACACATTAATGGAATAAAAGGCAAAAACATGATCATTTCACTAGATGAAGTAATATAAAAAACCTGGGAAACACTCAGGTAACAACCTACAACAAATTAGGGAGATAAGAAAATTTCTTTGACGTGATAAAGAGCATCTATTAAAATCCCACAGCTAGCATCCTACCAAAAATGTTATACAAATGACCAAAAGCACATGAAAAGGTGCTCAATATCATTAGTCATTAGGGAAATGCAAGTCGAAACCACAGTGAGATACTATTTCACACTCTAAGAATGCCCTTAATTTTTATTTATTTTTAAATTAATATTTTTAATGACAAATCATAATTGTATACACTTATGGGATATAATGTGATGTTTTCATATATGTGGAATGATTAAATAAAACAAATTAACATATATATCACCTCATTTACCTATTATTTTTATCATGAGATATTTGAAATTTACTCTTAGTTATTTTGAAATATATAATATGATTATTGACTCTAGTCACCCTGCTGTGCATAGCTCTCAAAACTTACTTCTATCTTAAACTTTGTATTATTTGTTGGACAACACCCCATTGCCCCTTTCCCCGCTCTTCCCTTCCCCTTCTCAGCCTCTAGTAACCACCATTCTACTCTCTATTTCTATGAATTCAAGTTTTTAGATTCCACATATAAGTGAGAGCCGGTATTATAAAGTGATTATAATCAAAACAGCATGGTACTGGCATAAAAACAGACACATGGACCAACTGTAGGGACATAAAGCCCAGAAATACACCCATACATTTACAATCAATTGATTTTCAACAAAGGCATCAAGGACATACAATGAAGAAAGGACAGTTTCTTCAATAAATGATGTTGGGAAAACTGGTTGTCCACATACAGAAGAATGAAATTGGATACTTATGTCCCACCATCTACAGAAATCAACTCAAAATAGATTAAAGACTTAAATATAAGACCTGAAACCATAAAATATAGGGGGAAAGCTGTACAACACTGGTCTGGGTAACACTTTTTTGGATATGACCCCAAAAGAGCAGACAATAGAAGTAAAAAGTGTATTTAATTTTGTATATTTGCATGTTTTCAAATGGCTTTGTTATTTTCTCATTTAATTTCATTGTTGATATCACACATTTCTATAATTTCAATTGTTTTACATTTTTTGAGACTATTTTATACCCTAACATATGGCCTATCTTAGTGATGTTCCATGTGTGCTTTGGAGGAATGTATTCTACAGTTCTAGGCTAAGGTGCTCTATACATGTCTGTCAGGTCTGATTGGTATAAGTCAAGACTGTTGTTCAAGTAACCTACATCTTTGTTAGTTTTCTGCCTGGTTATTCTGTCTTTTATTGAAAGTGGAGCATTAGAGTCCCCTGCTATCATTGTTGAGTTGCCTATACTTCCTTTTAATTTTGTCAGTTTTTGCTTCATATCTTTTGTGGCTTTTTGTTTGGATGTTCATGTAATTGTTTTATCTTCCCAATTGATTGACCCTTTTATCATTATAAAATATGCTTATTTATCTCTCATAACAGTTTTTTTAAATTATACTTTAAGTTCTAGGGTACATGTGCACAACGTGCAGGTTTGTTACATATGTACACATGTGCCATGTTGGTGTGCTGCACCCATTAACTCATTTAGCATTAGGTATATCTCCTAATGCTATCCCTCCCCTCTCCCCCGACCCCACAACAGTCCCCAGTGTGTGATGTTCCCCTTCCTGTGTCCATGTGTTCTCATTGTTCAATTCCCACCTATGAGTGAGAACATGCGGTGTTTGGTTTTTTGTCCTTGCGATAGTTTGCTGAGAATGAAGGTTTCCAGCTTCATCCATGTCCCTACAAAGGACATGAACTCATCATTTTTTATGGCTGCATAGTATTCCATGGTGTATATGTGCCACATTTTCTTAATCCAGTCTATCATTGTTGGACATTTGGCTTGGTTCCAAGTCTTTGCTATTGTGAATAGTGCTGCAATAAACATACATGTGCATGTGTCTTTATAGCAGCATGATTTCTAATCCTTTGGGTATATACCCAGTAATGGGATGGCTGGGTCAAATGGTATTTCTAGTTCTAGATCCCTGAGGAATCGCCACACTGACTTCCACAATGGTTGAACGAGTTTCCAGTCCCACCAACAGTGTAAAAGTGTTCCTATTTCTCCACATCCTCTCCAGCACCTGTTGTTTCCTGACTTTTTAATGATCGCCATTCTAACTGGTGTGAGATGGTATCTCATTGTGGTTTTGATTTGCATTTCTCTGATGGCCAGTGATGATGAGCATGTTTTCATGTGTTTTTTGGCTGCATAAATGTCTTCTTTTCAGAAATGTCTGTTCATATCCTTCACCCACTTTTTGATGGGGTTGTTTGCTTTTTTCTTGTAAATTTGTTTGAGTTCATTGTAGATTCTGGATATTAGCCCTTTGTCAGATGAGTAGATTGCAAAAATTTTCTCCCATTCTGTAGGCTGCCTGTTCACTCTGATGGTAGTTTCTTTTGCTGTGCAGAAGCTCTTTAGTTTAATTAGATCCCATTTGTCAATTTTAGCTTTTGTTGCCATTGCTTTTGGTGTTTTAGACATGGAGTCCTTGCCCATGCCTATGTCCTGAATGGTATTGCCTAGGTTTTCTTCTAGGGTTTTTATGGTTTTAGGTCTAACATGTAAGTCTTTAATCCATCTTGAATTAATTTTTGTATAAGGTGTAAGGAAGGGATCCAGTTTCAGCTTTCTACATATGGCTAGCCAGTTTTCCCAGCACCATTTATTAAATAGGGAATCATTTCCCCATTTCTTGTTTTTGTCAGCTTTGTCAAAGATCAGATAGTTGTAGATGTGTGGTATTATTTCTGAGGGCTCTGTTCTGTTCCATTGGTCTATATCTCTGTTTTGGTAGCAGTACCACGCTGTTTTGGTTACTGTAGCCTTGCAGTATGGTTTGAAGTCAGGTAGCGTGATGCCTCCAGCTTTGTTCTTTTGGCTTAGGATTGACTTGGCAATGTGGGCTCTTTTTTGGTTCCATATGAACTTTAAAGTAGTTTTTTTCCAATTCTGTGAAAAAAGTCAATGGTAGCTTGATGGGGATGGCATTGAATCTATAAATTACCTTGGGCAGTACGGCCATTTTCACGATATTGATTCTTCCTATCCATGAGCATGGAATGTTCTTCCATTTGTTTGTGTCCTCTTTTATTTCATTGAGCAGTGGTTTGTAGTTCTCCTTGAAGAGGTCCTTCACATCCCTTGTGAGTTGGATTCCTAGGTATTTTATTCTCTTTGAAGCAATTGTGAATGGGAGTTCACTCATGATTTGGCTCTCTGTTTGTCTGTTATTGTTGTATAAGAATGCTTGTGATTTTTGCACATTGATTTTGTATCCTGAGACTTTGCTGAAGTTGCTTATCAGTTTAAGGAGATTTGGGGCTGAGACGATGGGGTTTTCTAAATATAGAATCATGTCATCTGTAAACAAGGACAATTTGACTTCCTGTTTTCCTAATTGAATACCCTTTATTTCTTTCTCCTGCGTGATTGCCCGGGCCAGAACTTCCAACACTATGTTGAATAGGAGTGATGAGAGAGGGCATCCCTGTCTTGTGCCAGTTTTCAAAGGGAATGCTTCTAGTTTTTGCCCATTCAGTATGATATTGGCTGTGGGTTTGTCATAAATAGCTCTTATTATTTTGAGATACGTCCCATCAATATTTAATTTATTGAGAATTTTTAGCATGAAGGGCTGTTGAATTTTGTCAAAGGCCTTTTCTGCATCTATTAAGATAATCATGTGGTTTTTGTCTTTGGTTCTGTTTATATGCTGGATTACGTTTATTGATTTGTGTATACTGAACCAGCCTTGCATCCCAGGGATGATGCCCACTTGATCATGGTGGATAAGCTTTTTGATGTGCTGCTGGATTCGGTTTGCCAGTATTTTATTGAGGATTTTTGCATTGATGTTCATCAGGGATATTGGTCTAAAATTCTCTTTTTTTGTTGTGTTTCAGTAAGGCTTTGGTATCAGGACGATCCTGGCCTCATAAAATGAGTTAGGGAGGATTCCCTCTTTTTCTATTGATTGGAATAGTTTCAGAAGGAATGGTACCAGCTCCTCCTTGTACCTCTGGTAGAATTCGGCTGTGAATCCGTCTGGTCCTGGACTTTTTTTGGTTGGTAAGCTATTAATTATTGCCTCAATTTCAGAGCCTGTTATTGGTCTATTCAGGGATTCAACTTCTTCCTGGTTTAGTCTTGGGAGGGTGTACTCTCATAACAGTTTTTGTCATAAAGTCCATTTTGTCTAATATTAGTATAGCCACTTCAACTCTCTTATGGTTACTCTGCGTGGTACATCTTTCTCCATTTTTTAAACTTCCAATCTGTTTGTATTTAAATATATAAATATGTGTCTTGTAGATAGCATGCAGTTATATCTTGTTTTCTTATCCAATCTGACAGTCTATGCCTTTTGACTGGGTTATTTAATCCACTTAAATTTAATGTCATTGATTTGGTGGAATTTATTTTGTTGGTTTTTTTCTGTATGTGTCATGACTACTTTGTTCCTTTGTACCTCCTTTACTATCCCCTTTTGTATTTAATGAATATTTTCTAGTGTACCGTTTTAATTTTTCAATGATTTTCAACTATTTTCAAGTTATTCTCATTGTGGTTGTTTTGGCACTTATGATATACATCATAAGTTATCAGAATATACTTCATATTTATAGTAAGTTAATTCTTATAATATATTTTACATTTACTTTTATATAGTTCCATTCATTTCCCTGTTGTCTATTATTTTATACGTATTATGTTTACATATGGTGCAAACACAACAAAATATTCTTTTGAAAATCCAAGATGCAACTTTAGTACATATTTCATTCTACAGAATACTTATACACTTAATCATTTTCCAAAGTACATTTTGCAAGACATACTGGTCTTCACCAGTAACTACTGTTACTTCCTCTTTTTAAAACAGATTTATTGCTTTTATACTGTTGGCGGGAATGTAAACTAATTCAACCATTGTGGAAGACAGTGTGGCAATTCCTCAAAGACCTAAAAGCAGAAGTACCATTTGACCCAGCAATCCCACTACTGGGTATATACCCAAAGGAATGTAAATCATTCTACTATAGAGACATGCAAATGAATGTTTATTGCAGCACTATTCATAATAGCGAAGACATAGAATCAACCTAAATGCCCATCAGCGATAGACTGGATAAAGAAAATGTGGTAGGAATACTGTGCAGCCATAAAAAGAAATGATATCATGTCCTTTGCAGGGACATGGATGGAGCTGAAAGCCATTATCCTCAGCAAACTAATGCAGGAACAGAAATCCAAACACTGCATGTTTTCACTTATAAGTGGGAGCTGAACAATGAGAACACATGGACACAGGGAGGAGAACAACACATATTGGGGCTTGTTGGGGGGTATGCTGGGGAGATGGAGAGCGTTAGGAAAAACAGCTAATGCACGCTGGGCTTAATACCTAGGTGATGGGTTGATAGGTGCAGCAAACCACCATGGCACACGTTTACCTATGTAAGAAACCTGCATATCCTGCACATGAACCCCAGAACTTAAAATAAAAATAAAAATTAGACTGCTTTCCACAGTGGCTGGATTATTTTACATTCCTAGCACCTAGCATGTATGAAGATATGGAGAAATAAAAACCCTGTGTGTGAGGGTTTTTATTTATCCATATCTTCACTAATGCTTGTTGTTACCTGATTCTTTGATTCTAGCCATGAAGTGGTATCTCATTGTGGTTTTGATAAGCATTTTCCCCCGATGGCTAATTATGTCAACCATCTTTTCTCTCTTCCTTTTTTTTTTTTTTGAAACAGTCTCGTTCTGTCACCCAGGCTGGAGTGCAGTGGCGCGGTCTCGGCTCACTGCACCCTCCATCTCCTGGGTTCAAGCTATTCTCCTGCCTCAGCCTCCCAAGTATCCGGGACTGTAGGCGCACACCACCACGCCCAGCTAATTTTTGTATTTTTTAGTGGAGACAGGGTTTCACTATATTGGCCAGGCTGGTCTCAAACTCCTGACCTCGTGATCCGCCCACCTCAGCCTCCCAAAGTGTTGGGATTACAGGCGTGAGCCACTGCGCCCAGCCACGTTAATCATCTTTTCATGTGTTTGTTGGCCATTTATATATATTGTTTGGATAAATGTCTACTCATATCCTTTGTCTGTTTTTTTTTCATTGACTTGTTTTTCTCTTTATCATTGAGTTCTAATTTTCTTTACATATCCAGATACTATCCCTTATCAGATATATGGTTTTAAAATAAATTCTCCTGTTCTGTGGGTTGCCTTTTCACTTTATAGTGTCTTTTGAAGCTCAAAACTTTTACATTTTATGCAGTCCAATTGATCTATTTTTTCTTTTGCTACTCATGCTTTTGGTATCATACCTAAGAATCCTGTACCAAATCAAAAGTCATTAAGGTTTACCTGCTTTTTCTTCTAGTAGTTTTATTGTTCACATTTAAGTCTTTGATAATTTTGAGTGAATTTTTGTATACAGTGTGACATAGGGATCCAGTTTAAGTCTTTTTGCATATGGGTATCCTATTGTCCCTGCAACATTTGTTTAAAAGATGATTCATTTTCTATTGAATTGTCTTGGCACCCTTGTCAAACATCAGTTAAACATAGGTTTATCGGTCTATTTCTGAACTCTCAATGCCATTCCATTGCTCTGTGTGTCTATCCTTGTGCCATTACAAGACTGTCTTGCTTTCTGTTGTTTTTAAATAAGTTTTAAATTGGGAAGTGTACTAGTCTGTTCTCAGCTGCTAATAAAAACATACTCGAGACTGGGTAACTTATAAAGGAAGGAGGTTTAATTGACTCAGTTTCACATAGCTGGGGAGGCCTCACAATCATGGCAGAAGATGAAGGAAGAGCAAAGGGACTCCTTACCTGGCGGCGGGGGTGGGCAAGAGAGAATGAGAGCCAAGCAAAACAGGAAACCTCCTATAAAACCATTAGATTTCATGAGACTTATTCACTACCACGAGAACAGTATGGGGGAAACTGCCCCCATGATTCAGTTATCTCCCATGGGGTCCCTCCCACAACACATGGGAATTATGGGAGCTACAATTCAAGATGAGACTGGGGCCGGGCACAGCAGCTCATGCCTGTAATCCCAGCACTTTGGGAGGCTGAGGCAGGCAGATCACTTGAGGTCAGGAGTTCCAGACCAGCCTGGCCAATATGGTGAAACCCCGTTTGTACTAAAAATTACAAAAATTAGCCAGGCGTGGTGGTGGGTACCTGTAGTCCCAGCTACTCGGGAGGCTGAGGCAAGAGAATCACTTGAACCCAGGAGGCAGAGGTTGCAGTGAGCCGAGATTGCACCACTGCACTCCAGCCTGGGTGACAGAGCAAGACTCCATCTCAAAATAAATAAATAAGAAAAAAGAAAAAGAAAGATGAGACTGGGTGGGGACACAGCCAAACCATATCAAGAAGTGTGAGCCCTCGTACTTTATTCTTCTTTTTCTGGATTGTTTTCAGTATTCTGGGTCCCTTGTAATTCTGGGTCCCATATGAATTTTTGAATCAGCTTGTCAATTTGTACAAACAAGTCAGCTGAGATTCTAGTAGGAATTGCTTCAAATGTATAGCTCAGTTTGGGAAGTACTGCCATCTTAAAAATGTTAGGTCTTTGAATTTATGAATGTAGTGTAGTTTTTCATTTATTTAGACCTTTAATTTCTTTCAACAATATTTAGTAGTTTTCAGAGTGTAAGTTTTGTACTTCGTTTTTAAAAATTTATTCCAAAGTATGTTATTCTTTTTATGGTATTGGAAATAGAATTGTTATGCTCAATGTCATTTTCAGATTGTTTATTGCAAGCAGATAAAAATACAACTCATTTCAGTATATTGATCTTATACCTTGCAAACTTTTTGACCTTATTTATTATTTTAGTAGATTTTTAGTGGATTCCTTAGGATTTTCTATATATAAGATCATGCCATTCTTGAAAAGAGAAAGTTTTATTTCTTCCTTTCCAATTTGGATGTCTTAAATTTCCTTTTCTTGGCTAATTTCTCTGGCTAGAATATCTAGTACAATGTTGAGTGGATTTGACGAAAGTGGACATTCTTATCATTTTTCTAATCTTAAAAGGAAAGCTTGTAGTCTTTCATTATATGTATCATAGCCAGTTTTGTGTGAGTATAACAGAATAGCAGAGACTAGCTAATTTATAATAAACAGAAATTTATTGGCTCACAGTTTTTGAGGCTGGGAAGTTCAAGATTGAGGGGCAGCATCTGGTGAGGGCTTTCTTGCTGTATCATTCCATGGTGGAAGGGCAAAGAGAGGGCATGCATGAGAGACAGCAAGAGTTGGATGAACTCATTTTTTTATAAGGAACTCAATCTAGTGATAACAGCATTAATTTATTCATAAGGGCAATGCCCTCATGACCTAATCACTTCCTTTTAGGCCCCACATCTGAACACCTTGCATTGGGATTAAGTTTCCAAAATGTAATGCTCTGGGGGTACACATTTAAATGATGGCAGTGTGGATTTGTCATAGAAGCCCTTATCAAATTGAGGAAGTTCTCTTCTATTCCATGTTATTCAGGGTTTTATCATGAAGAAGTATTGGATTTTGTCAAATGCTCTTTCTGTGTTGATTAAGGTGGTCATTGATTGTTTGGTTTTTATTCTATTGATATGATGTATTACATTAATTGATTTTCAGATGTTCAGCCAACTCTGCATCTCTCAGATAAATACCACTTGCCATGTTTTATAATTCTTTGTATATGTTGCTACATTCAGTTTGCTAGAATTTTCTTGAAGGTTTTTGCATCCATATAAATAAGACATTGTTGTATAGGTTTCTTGTGATATCTTTGTCTAGCTTTGGAGTCAGGGTAATATTGGCCTCATGAAATGATTTGGAAAGTATTTCTTCCTCATCTGCTTTTTCTCTTGAAGAGTTTTTTAAGAATTTATATTAATTCCTCTTTGAATGTTTAGTAGAATTCAGCAGTGAAGATATCTGGGCCTAGGCTTATCTTTGTGGATAGTCTTTTTATTACTTATTCAGTCTCTTCACTTGTTAAGGTTATCTGTTACTTCTTGGGTCTGTGTTGGTAGTTTCTGTCTTCCTAGAAATTTGTCCATTTCATCTAAGTTATCTAATCTGTTGGCATATAATTGTCCTTAGTATTCCTTTATAAGCTTTTTAGTTCTGTAAAGTCAGTAGTAATTCTCCCTTCAATTTTTGATTCTAGTAATTGAGTCTTGCTTTTTTTCTGGTCAAACTAGCCAAAGAGTTGTCAGTTTTCTGATCTTTTCAAAGAACTACCTTTTGGTTTTATTGATTTTTTCTATTGTTTTTCCATTCTCTGTTTTATTAATTTCTGTTCTGATTTTTATTATTTCCTTCCTTCTACTTGATTTGAGTTTAGTGTACTCTTGTTTTCTGGTACCAACTCTGGATACTAGCCCTTCCCTTCTGGAGCTTGTTATTGTTATTTGCTTATCTGTTTAGTAATTGGCTGGATTATTTTAGTGAAGTTTACCCCTCCAGCACACACGCAGTCTTAAATCTTTGATGTTGCCCCTCATTTAGGCACAACTTTGGGTGTGCCCACAATCACCCTGGAATGACTGTGGTGGTACTGGCAGGGCTGTTATCCTCTTTCCTTGGCCACACCCAGCTGTTAAGTTCTACCAATTGAAGGCCAATTATTCTGTTGTTTACAACAACTCCCTAGGACAAGAATTCTTCTACAAATTTATCTAATCTGAGTGTGGCTCTTTTCAGGAAATAGTTTCTGAGGTCAGTGTTTGATACTTTTTTCGGACCACAGGAAGGCTCCTACCAGCTGTCTTATTCTCCAATTCTCTCCTGCAAACTAGCCAGCCTATAGTCTTGGCTGTATCTTCATTAGATTCATGAGTCTACTCCCAATTTTCTTTATCATAACCTCCAATTTTTTTTAGAGTGTTTTTAGGTTTACACTTATCCATGCTCTCTTGCAAATGAAGTCAGCCTCTCTGAAAAGAGATTAGTAGCTATCCATTTTTATAGGCTGCTTCTCCCCTTAGGTAAAATCTCTGGGCTCTGGTAGGGACAATGGCAATTGTAGGAGCTGACTTGACTTTGTGCATGACTTTCACAACTGTAGGAGCTGAGTGCTAGGTGGAGAGGTGTCACTAGCCTGAGGTCCTCTTGGTTTGCCTTTTCTGGTGTGGAACTACAATCTCAGAACTGAGAGAAGGGCTATTGGAGCTCTGGTGTTCATAACACACCATGACCATGGTAGATCCTCTCTTCCATGAGTGGGGATTGGATGGAAGACAGGATCCCCATCTCTTGACCTCAGTCACCTGGAACTTATTCTCAGCCACAGACAGCTTAGGGACAAATGAGAAATGCTGAAGTCCTGTTCCCTTCAGAAGAAAGCCTGCTGGCTGGGAGCTGAGGGGAGAAGGAGTTCTGTGTTCTTAGCTGCAGCAGTGTGGAGTGGAGTCCCCAGATCACTAGGCTGGGTGGAAGAAGGAGAGAGGGAAAGAGGGGATAGAGGGGGCAGTTTTTGTTCAGATACCACAGACTTGCTTTTTTTTTTTTAAACCAAATTTCTATGGATTTTCTTCAATAAATATTTCTTCATTTTCTGTTTTGCCCTTAGGACCATTTCCAGAGGCTTTAAATGGTTCACCTGTTTTAATGCGACAGAGTCAACAGAGCACCTCATATTGTAATGCCAGAACTCAATCTCCCAATAATATATTTTATAATTATCATTTTATATAACCTTATATCTTTTAAAGAAGAGAGGAAAAGAGAACATAAATATCTTTATGGCTTTTAAAAAATAACCTTCTCATTTACCATTTTTTATTCTCACCATTTCTTTCTGTGTACTTGAGTTACCATTGGGTATCGTTTTCTTACTCCAATACAGCTTCATTCTGACGCCCCTCCTATGTGGTGTTATTGTCATATGTATTAAATTTCTATATGTTATAGGCCCAACAATAAATTTTGTAGTTAATGTTATTTTTTTTTTTTTTCTTTTTCTGAGACGGAGTCTTGCTTTATCACCCAGGCTGGAGTGCAGTGGTGCGATCTCGGCTCACTGCAACCTCTGCCTCCTGGGTTCAAGCAATTCTCCTGCCTCAGCCTCCAGAGTGGCTGGGACTACAGGTGTGCACCACCAAGCCTGGCTAATTTTTGTATTTTTGTAGAGATGGAGTTTTGCCATGTTGGCCAGGCTGTTCTTGAACTCCTGACCTCAGGTGATCTGCCCACCTTGGCCTCCCAAAATGCTGGGATTACAGGCTTGAGCCACTGTGCCAGGCCTGTAGTTAATGTTCTGTGCAATTGCTTTTTATTTTTTTATTTGATTTATTTTATTATTATTTTTTTGAGATGGAGTTTTGCTCTTGTTGCCCAGGCTGGAGTGTAATGGGGCGATCTCAGCTCACTGCAACTTCCACCTCCTGGGTTCAAGCAATTCTCCTGCCTCAGCCTCCCGAGTAGCTGGGATTACAGGCATGTGACATCACTCCCGGCTAACTTTGTATTTTTAGTAGAGATGGGGTTTCTCCATGTTGGTCATGCTGGTCTCGAACTCCCAACCTCAGGTGATCCGCCCGCCTCGGCCTCCCAAAGTGCTGAGATTATAGGTGTGAACCACTGCACCCAGCCTGCAATTGCTTTTTAAATCAGTTAAGAGATAAAAGGTAAAGAAATATATTCCTTGTCACTACCTACACAATTAACCTTTAACACAATGCTTTGTTTTTCATGAAAATTCAAATTACTCTCTGGTGTCACTTTGATTTAGCCTGAAGAATTTCCTTTAGATTTTCTTGTAAGTCAGGTCTATTAGCAATGAATTCTTTCAGGTTTTTATTATATGGGAACATCATTATTTTGCCTTCATTTTTGAAAGATAGTTACTGAGTATATGATACTTGGTTGATGTATTTTTTTTTCATTCAGCACTTTAAATTTGTTATCCCACTAATTTTGTTCTCCATATTTTTCTATTGAGAAGTTCACTGTTAGTCTTATTGGGGTTTCCTTTAGATATGATTAGTAGTGTTTTGCTTGATGCTCTCAAGATTTTTTCTTTATCTTTAGTTTTAATATTTTAAATATGATGCATCTGGGTGTGGATCATTGAGTTTCTTCTACTGGAGTTTGTTGAACCTTTTGGATTTGTAAGTTAGCCTTGTCCATCAAATATGAGAAGGTTATTGTCATTATTTTTCTAATTTTTCTGAGTCTCTTTATTTCCTCTCCTTATGGTACTTGTAATATATGTATGTTTGTGTGCTTAATGGTGTACCATATTTCTCTGACGCTCTGTTTCTCTTTATTTTTTTCTGTTCATTTTGTATAATCTCTATTCATCTGTATTCAAGTTTATTGATTCTTTCTTCTGCCAACTTAAATCTCTAGTGAATATTTCATTTGGATTATTCTATTTTCAACTCCAGAATGCTATCTTGTTTATAATTTCTGTCTCTTTTTCTATTCTCTATTTGATGAATTTTTATCATACTTTTCTTTCATTCTTCAAGCATGCTTTCTTTCAGTTGTTTAAACATATTTATAATAGCTGCTTTATAGTCTTGGGTAAGTCCAACATTTGGACTCTGTCAAAAGCAGTTTCTTTTGCCTGCTTTTCTTCCTATGTATGGGCTGTGCTTTCCTCTTTGTTTCATATATTGTAATTTCTTTTGAAAACTGGACATTTAAAATAATATGTGATCTCTTTTCCACATCAATGATATGTGTAGCAGCTTTAAGTAATGACCATCTCCCACCCCCACCCCCAATTTTTGGGACTTGCTGTTATTTGTTTGGTTGTCTGTTTATTTTTTGACTTGATAGTCTATTTCCAGTAGTGTATGCAGCCTCTAATATCCATTCCCCAATTTTTTTTCTTTGTTCTTATTTTTTATCCTGTCTTCTTAGGGGTCACCCTTGGGTGCACATGAACCATTTAATCACCAAAGGTTATGATTACTCCCCTTAGTCAGTTAGACTCTTTACTTTTGCATGTATTTGTAGCTTTGAGTTTGTTTTCACAGTTGAGGGTGTTTATGATTTTTTTTTACATTTAGCCAGATGTTCTCTCTCTGGTCTTTTCTATGAGGGTGCAGCCTTGGGCATGCACACAATGTACCAGACCACTAGGGATTAGTTTTACTTTGTTTTTAGACCTGAATTCCTAGAAGCAGCCCTTGGGTCAGAATAGCCTATTGTTCAGCCAGTGTTTCATCAGGAGTTGTGCAAAAGCCCCTTGATCTAATGGATCTGTGTGTGGCTTGGAGAATACTTTCAAGTCTGCCTTCCTTCTAACTCTGATTGCTTCTGATTAGGTGTAGCCTAGCTTATGCACACAGGCTTTCAGATGTCCAGTGATGTTGGTGACCCCAGGAGGGCTCTGCTTGGCTATTTCTTTTTTTTCTTTTTCTTTTTTTGAGATGGAGTCTTGCTCTGTTGCCCAGGCTGGAGTGCAGTGGTGCAATCTCGGCTCACTGCAAGCTCCACCTCCCAGGTTTACACCATTCTCCTGCCTCAGCCTCCTGAGTAGCTGGGACTACAGGTGCCCGCCACCATGCCTGGCTAATTTTTTGTATTTTTAGTAGAGACGGGGTTTCACCGTGTTAGCCAGGATGGTCTCCATCTCCTGACTTCGTGAACCGCCCACCTCAGCCTCCCAAAGTGCTGGGATTTGGGCTATTTCTATGGCTCTGTCTTTTAAACTTCTGATCAGTTTGCATTTCACTAGTATCACAGAGCTACCAGCCTTCTTGAAATTGCTCACCAAGATCTCCATTGATTTAATAACATTGTCAGACATAAACTTCTCCATATTCTGTTCCAAATAAAGTCAATCCCCTCAGGCAGAACTGCTAAAGCCTTCTGTTTTTATTACCTGCCTCTCCCTCTGGGCAGAAGCTGTGGATCATTGCACTGGAGCTGAATGTAGCAAGAGCGGCCTGTTTCTTCTAGATTGACACCCCTATTATATGAGCAAGTCCTGGTATAGGGTATATTCATTTTCACACTGCTATAAAGAACTACCTGAGACTGTGTAATTTATGAAGAAAAAAGGTTGAATTGACTCACAGTTTCCCATGGCTGGGGAGGCCTCAGGAAACTTACAATCATCTAGAAGGTGAAGGGAAAGCAAGGAACATCTTACGTGGCAGCAGAAGAGAGAGAGAAAGTGAGGAAGTGCTACACTTTAAAACCATGAGCTCTTGTGAGAACTCACTCACTATCATGAGAAAAGCATGGGGGAAACTGCCACCATGATTCAGTCACCTCCCACCAGGTCCCTCCCTTGACACATGGGGATTACAATTCAAGATGAGATTTGGGTGGGACACAGAGCCAAACCATATCATTCTGCCCCAGCCCCTCCCAAATCTCATGTCCTTTTCACATTTCAAAACCAATCATGCCTTCCTAACAATTCCCCAAAGTCTTAACTCATTCCAGCATTAACTCAAAAGCCCAATTCCAAAGTCCCATCTGAGACCAGGCAAGTTCCCTCTGCCTATGAGCCTGTAAAATCAAAAACAAGCTAGTTACTCTTAAGATACAATGGGGGTATGGGCATTGGGTAAATGTTCCCATTCCAAATAAGAGAAATTGGCCAAAACAAAGGGGCCATAGGCCCAATGCAAATCTGAAACCCAGAAGGGTATTCATTAAATCTTAAAGCTCCAAAACAATCTCCTTTGACTCCATGTCTCACATCCAGGGCATAGTGATGCAGGAGGGGCTCCGAAGGCCTTGGGCAGCTCCACCCCTGTGGCTCTGTAGGGTACAGCCCCCATGGCTGCTTTCATGGGCTGGCATTGAATGCCTGTGGCTTTTCCAGGTTGTACAGTGCAAGCTGTCAGTGGATCTACCATTCTGGGGTCTGGATGATGGTGGCCCTCTTCTCACAGCTCCAATAGGCAGTGCCCCAATGGGGACTCTGTGTGGGATCTCTGACCTCACGTTTCCCTTCCAAACTGCCCTAGTAGAGGTTCTCCATTAGGCCTCTGCCCTGCAGCAGAATTCTGCCTGGACATCCAGGCATTTCCATACCTCCTCTGAAATCTAGGCAGAGGTTCCTAAACCTCAGCTCTTATCTGCTGTGCACAGGCTCAACATCATGTGATAAGCCACCAAGGTTTGAGGCTTGCACCCTCTGAAGCAATGGCCTGAGCTGTACGTTTTTCCCTTTTAGCCATGGCTGGAGCTGGAGTGGCTGGGATGCAGGGCACCATGTCCTGAGGCTGCACAATGCAGTGGGGCCTTGGGCCCGGCCCAAGCCATTTTTCCCTCCTAGGCCTCCAGCTTGTGATGGGAGGGGCTGCCATGAAGATCTTTGAAATGCCTTGGAGATGTTTTCCCCATTGTCTTGGTGATTAGCATTTGGCTCCTCGTTACTTATGCAAATTTCTATAGCAGGCTTGAATTTCTCCCCAGAAAATGGGTTTTTCTCTTCTACTGCATGCTCAGGCTACAAATTTTCCAAACTTTTATGCTCTACTTCCCTTTTAAACATAAGTTCCAATTTCAAATCATCTTTTTGTGAATGCATATACTGTACGCTTTTAGAAAAAGCCAGGTCACTTCTTTAACACTTTGCTGCTCAGAAGTTTCTTCTGCCAGATATACTAAATCATCTCTTAAGTTCAAAGTTCCACAGACCTCTAGGGCAGGGGCAATGCCACCAGTCTCTTCGCTAAAGCATAGCAAGAGTGACCTTTGCTCCAGTTCCCAATAAGTTCTTCATTCTATCTGAGACCACCGCAGCGTGGACTTCATTGTCCATAACACCATCAATCAGCATGTTGGTCAAAACAATTCAACAAGTCTCTAGGAAGTTCCAAACTTCCCCACATCTTCCTGTCTCTTCTGAGCCCTCCAAACTGTTCCAACCTCTGCCTGTTACCCAGTTCCAAAGTCACTTCCACATTTTCAGGTTATCTTTATAGCAGTGCCCCACTCCCAATACCAATTTTCTATATTAGTCTGTTTTCACACTGCTATAAAGAACTACCTGAGACTGGGTAATTTATGAAGAAGAAAGGTTTAATTGACTCACAGTTCCACATGGCTGGGTAGGCCTCAGGAAACTTACAATTATGGCAGAAGGTGAAGGAAAAGCAAGGCACATCTTACATAGCAGCAGGAAAGAGAGAGCGGAAGTGCCCCACTTTAAAACTGTCAGCTCTTGTGAGAACTCACTCACTATCACAAGAACAGCATGGGAGAGACTGCCGTCATGGTCCAGTTACCTCCCACCAGGTCCCTCCCTTAACACGTGGGGATTACAATTTGAGATGGGATTTGGGTGGGAACACAGAGCCAAACCATATCAGAGGGAGATATGGCCCTGATACTCTCTGCTTGCGCCTCCCACCGTGGAACCTATGCCCTATGAGCAAGTTGTGGTGAGGTGATTGGGGCCTTAGTATTCTTGGCCTGCTTTGCCAGAGCAGAGCCCTTGGCTTATGAGTGGAGCGAGGTGGGGGAAAGAGACCCAGTCCACTTAGCTGCAGCTTCCTAGAGCAGCATTTTCATAACAAGGGCCTACTGAGGATAAGAGGTGCCAGTGGATTTCCCCTTCTGGGGTGAAATCCTAGAATAACCTTAGCCTGGGTCTTAGTCTTGACTATGAGCTGGGGATAAAGGGAGCCTTCCTCTTTTCTTAGCCACATCTGCCTTGTATCCATAAAACTGGGATAGAGATGGGTTAGGAACAGGTCATGTATCAAATGCCACTGACTCCTATTGTTCTTACCAAAATTCACTAAGTTTACTTGAATAAACATTTCTTCACTTTCCATAAGCCATTAGGACAATTTCCAGAGACTTTAAATGGGAGAGGATCCACCGAGCTCCTCATATCCCTATTCTGGAAGTTCTATCAGCAACGATTTCTTATATACAATACCAAAGACATAAGTGATGAAAAGATGGATAAAGATTGGACTTAATCAAAATTAGAAACTTTTGTTCTTTAAAAGACACTGTCTAGAAACTGAAAGGGGGCCGGGCACGGTGGCTCATGCCTGTAACCCCCGCCCTTTGGGAGGCTGAGGCAGGCGGATCACCTGAGGTCAGGAGTTCGAGACCAGCCTGACCAATGTGGAGAAACCCCGTCTCTACTAAAAATACAAAAAATAAAATAAAATAAAATAAGCCAGGTGTGGTGGCGCATGCCTGTCATCCCAGCTACTCGGGAGGCTGAAGCAGGAGAATCACTTGAACCCAGGAGGCGGAGGTTGCAGTGAGCCAAGATCGTGCCATTGCACTCCAGCTGGGCAACAAGAGCGAAACTCTGTCTAGAAAAAAAGAAAGAAAGAAAGAAACTGAAAGGACAATTTATATTAGTTTTCTACTGCTGTTATAGGAAATTACCACAAACTTAGTAGCTTAAAAAATACAAATTTATCATTTTACAGTTCTGTACATTAGAAATATGACATGAGTCTCACTGGGCTAAAACCAACATGTCAGCAGGGCTCATTTTTTTCTGGAGGCTCAAGGAGAGAACTTCCTTGCCTTTTTTAGCTTCTAGAGGTTGCCCATATTCCTTGGCTCATGGCTCTCTTCTTCTGTCTTCAAGGAGAGTTTATAGGCTTTAAAAGGCCATGCTGTAACAGGCAAGTGATAACAGGCTTTAGTGCTGTGGGATGGGATATTGGCGTTGAGCGGGGTAAGGGTGATTAGGTTTTAATGGGATCGTAAGGGGTGCATCATCCATCACCAAGGAGGGAGTAGAGGTGTCCTACACTTGTGGATTAAGGTGGGGAGATACAAGGAGAGGATGTGAAGGAGGCTTTGAACTGGGGGAAAAGGTGGCAATGAGGTGTGGCTGTGCAGGGAAGCAGATAATTTAGTTAAAATGTCTCGACCTAATAAGGGAACTAGGCAGGTGGGGATAACTAAAAAGGAGTGCATAAAAGAATGTTGTCCAATTTGGCACCAGAGCTGGGGAGTTTTAAGAGGTTTAGAAGCCTGGCCGTCAATACCCACAACAGTTACGGAGGGAAGGGATACAGGCCCTTGAAAAGAAGATAATGTGGAGTTGGTAGCCTCTGTATTGATTAAGAAGGGGACGGACTTACCCTCCACTGTAAGAGTTACCATGGGCTCAGAGGCCTGAAAGGAACATGGACTGACTGTATATGAGCTCAAAGCTCTGATCATCAGCACCTGCTGTAGCCCCAGCATACCCTCAAGGTGTGGACTCTCCCCTCTAACCAAGGAAATTAAAGCATCAGAATGAACCAAAAGCATTTAATGGGTAAAGGCAGCCATCAGTACACTCATAGGAAGCCCACACTCCTAAAGAACAGGAGGGTCTTGCAAAAACCTCCCAGGCTTGTTTGTTTCTCCCTCTGTTTCTCTCTCTCTCTCTCTCTCTCTCTCTCCCTCCCTTGCTCCCTCCCTCCCTCCCTCCTTCCTTCCCTCCCTGCCCCTCTCCCCCTCCTCCCCCTCCCTCCCCCCCTCCCCCCACCACATTTCTGAAATAGAGCCCAGATGAGAAACCTGCTCATGTGTATGTCTGTCCCATTTAAGAATAGTAGATTCTGACTCATGGGCAATTTCATTCCTGAAATTCCAATTGCAGAAAAAAGATTAGCAGAACAGGTTTTATTTCATTTTCTATCCCCCTCCCTTTCCATCATTTCCCTTGACATCACATATGTCAATAAGTAGCATGTACGGAAGCACTGATCATTTCTTAATTAATACCTTTACAGTTTCTTTTTGAGGACAATGGAAATGTTCTAAAATTAGATTGTGGTGATGGTTGTACAACTCTTTAAATATACTAAACAATCATTGCATTTCGCTTAAATGGATGAATTTTATGGTATGGTAATTTTATTGTGTGTAAATTATATCTCAATAAAGCTATAAATTAAGAAACAATCAGTGCTTCCCTACATGCTACTTATTGATGTATGCTATCTCAAGGGAAATGATGGAAAGGGAGGATAGAAAATAAAATAAAACCTGCTCTCCTAATCTTTTTTCTGCAATTGAGATTTCCGGAATGAAATTGCCCATGAGTCAGAATCTACTGTTCTTAGATGGGACAGACATACACATGAACAGGTTTTTCATCTGGGTTCTATTTCAGAAATTCATGGAGAGAGAGAGAGAGAGAGAGATGAAAGGAAGGATGGACGGAAGGAAGCAGGCCTGGAAGGCTTTTGCAAGACCCTCCTGTTATTTAGGAGTGTGGGATTCCCGTGAGTGTATTGCTGGCTGCCTTTACCCATTAAATGCTTTTGGTTCATTTTAATGCTTTAATTTCCTTGGTTAAAGGGAGAGTCCACACCTTAGGGCTGCGCTGGGGTTTAGCAGGTACTGATGACCAGAGGAAAATCTACTGAGTGCTAAATGCAAACAAGTCAAGGACTGAAGCTGGCCTGAGAGTCAGGGACCCCTTCCCTTAGGTAGGTTTTAGCCTAACTTCTATACATTTGCTGTAACTGAAGCCCCACCCCCAGCAGCTACATTCCCTGGCCTTCCCAGAACATTGCTGTGGGCCCCCATACTAGATTTCCCTCCTTCCTCTGGACATCTCTAGAAACATCTTTTCTGCATTGCTGCAAACTTTCATTTTAACTCCCTCTCTGCTATTACTTAACTCAAGGACAGAGGAAATAGCTGCAGTCCAGAAACAGAATAAAACAAAGAAGAAAGAAAGAGAAGAAGCCCCAAACTCCTCCCAAATCTTTAAGAAAACAATCCTGTAGGATTTGGTTGGGAATTGCCATGCAATGTGGGGAATGTGAAACATGTGCTAATCATGGCCCTTTCTGCTTGGATCCTACCTGACTTCTCTCCACCACCCCCAGCCAGCTGGGCTAGGCTAGGCCCAGGGGAGCCACAAAGCTGCCAGCTTAGAAAATGGAGACAAATGAGGAGGCCCCAGAGGACAAAGCAAGACTTGTTACTAGTTTTGAGGCCAAAGCAACACATACAGTATTTAAGGGCTATGGGGGTAGATGCTGCAAAGCCTGGAATCCTAGCTTTGAGCTTAAAGATTCAGGCTAATTTGCAGTGACTGACTGTGTCAGAGGTGTTTGAACCAGAGCAACTCCATCTTGAATAGAAGCTGGGTAAAATGAGGCTGAGACCTGCTGGGCTGCATTCCCAGGAGGTTAAGGCATTCTTAGTCACAGGATGAGGCAGGAGGTCGGCACAAGATACAGGTCCTAAAGACCTTGCTGATACAACAGGTTGCACTAAAGAAGCCAGCTAAAACCCACCAAAACCAAGATGGCGACCAGAGTGACCTCTGGTTATCCTCACTGTTACACTCCATCCAGCACCATGACAGTTTACAAATGCCATGGCAACATCAGGACATTATCCTGTATGGTCTAAAAAGGGGAGGCATGAATAATCCACCCGTTGTTGAGCATATCATCAAGAAATAACCATAAAAATGGGCAACCAGCAGCCCTCAGGGCTGCTCTGCCTACAGATTAGCCATTCCTTATTCCTTTACTTCCTTAATAAACTTGCTTTAACTTTACAGACTCACTCTGAATTCTTTCTTGTGCAAGATCCAAGAACCCTCTCTTGGGGTCTGAATCCAGACCCCTTTCTGGTAACAACTGTTCTGGAGTCAGTAGTTTCTGAGCTAGGCCTCACTTGGTTCACCATCTTGACTCTTGCCTTGATTATTGCCAGACTTTCCTGGCTCGGTGTCCCTGCATGCAGTCAGTGCCACAGTGATCTTTTCAAAACAGAGATCAGAGATCTGATATCAGTACTCCCTCTCTTCCAGTCTATCTCATCTCCAGGAGAAAACCCACATTCCCTAACATGGCATATGAAATGAAACCCTTTATAATCTGGCCTTAGTTGCTCTCGCTTCATATTCTATCACCTGTCCTCACCCTCAGGTGATCCCACAAAACTATTTATACTTTCTTGAACATTTTTTTTTTCTTCCCCACATCAGTGCCTTTCCATCTGCTATTCCTTCAGCCAGGAATGAATGCGCTTTCCATCTTTTTCTCCATTAGGTTATAATCCCACTCTTCATTTAAGACTAAGTGCCTCTGTGAAACCTTAGGCTTGCTAGGGAGGGGTTTTCAGCTTTCTTCTTGTTGCCAGATCTCACTGAACATACCTTGGGAAGGCAGAGTTGTGCAATGGAAAGAACCTACATGATAGAGTCAGACACACTATGGGATGGTGAGTAAAAGACTTTATCTCTCAGTTTCTTCATCTGTAAAATGGGAGTATGAATCACTACAAGGCAAAAAGGTTTATATTGGTAAGTGCCAAGCACAGTACTTAATACATAGTAGGTACTTGGGCAATATTGTATGTTGTAGAAGAAATAGAAAAATGATTCCTTTACTCTCAGTTGGGGACTCTAAGGAGGAGTTTCTGAGCAGACAACCAAGTGGATGGTGTTCTCTGGGGCCTGTTTACCTGTCTTCTTGGGGTTCACCTGCCTTTGGCCACCCTCATGTCTAAATGATATTTTGCAATTATCCTGCCTTGTTGGGAGCAGCCATCAGCTGCTTTCCCATTCATGTCCCTTAAAAATCTGTGTGGGCAATCATAAGAGGAGAGGGAAGAAATTTTCACATCCCCTTCTTTTCTTCCCCATGTCCTTGTCTTGCCCCCAAGCCTCAGATTGTCTAGCAGTCACTTCATGTCGGCCTTACCCCTTCCTGCAAACATGCTCCCCCTAGTCTTTTTTCTGCAATTGAGATTTCAGAAACAAAATTGCCTATGAGTGGGAATCTACTGTTCTCAGATTGGAATGGACATACACATTAGCTGGTTTCTCATCTGGACTCTATTTCAGAAATGTACACAAGATGTCAAAAATATACCATTTGGAACCAGAGCAATATTTATTTTGAAAAAATTAGGGAGAAAAGTTTCCTTGCTTCAATTCCTACTGGAATGTAAAATAACTATGTGCTGATGCTGCATTTTGACAGCATTGAGTTAGTTACCCTCAGGGTCACTAGATGAGTGGTGCACAGACACACACGCACACACATGTGTGCACACACACAAACACATATATTCAGAGTGCTTTGTTGTTGACTGGAAATTGCAGGCAGTCTGATGCCAGAGTTAGGCTTTAATGGATCAAGCCATACATTAACAACACTTTAGTAAGTGTTCCCTTATGTGCCAAATCTTGTGCTAGGCGGGGAGAAGAAAAGGACAAGTCACAGATGGAGTAATCTGAACACAACAAGAGAGCATAAAGCACTAACACATTAATACTGAGAGTAAATATTTAAAGAAGAAGGGGTTGAGGTTACTGAACTATAGTTACCAGGGAAAATTTCCTGGAGGGAATGGTGAGACCTGAGCAAGGACTTGGAGGATAAAATTGGCGACTCTGATTTATCCACAGAATTCTCTTAGAAATGACTATTAGAATAGATAGAATGAATATTAGTTTGCAGGAGGTGGAAACAAAAATGACCTGAAATTGTATCTGAAGGAGGTTATATGGAAAAGATTGAGAGGAACATGGGACCAAGAAGTAGAAGGCATCTTAGTCGTAGAGTCACTACTGACTCATTGTGAATGACCTTAGGCAAGTCCTTTCTCTTTGAAGGACTTTTCCCGTCTCTACATTGGAGCTAAATAATATCAGCCTTACTGACCTCCTAGGACTATTGTTAAGAGAACAAATGAGATAATTGTGTGACTGTGCTTGGAAAAATAGAGAAGACTATCCAAAAATATAGTTTGGGTTTATGAAGGCAGAGTTTATACTGTAGCCACTCTCTTGCAGCTGGGAATAGGATGACCTCAGTATTTGAATGAATTTTTCTTGGCAGGCCTCTTGCCTGCCATAATTACAGCCTGCCAGCCACTAGTTGAGTATACATACTGAAGCAGGATCTGCACACAAGCATGCATGTGTGTGTGTAAGTTTGCATTGGGCTAGGAGATTGTAGCCAAGAGAATAAAAAGACGGGAGAATTCTTAGGAACCAAGGAGATCTATAGAAATGGAGATTTATGTAATCATCTTTGGGCCTGCCACTTCAGTAATTCAGGACATCATCCATCTTCCTTGGTATATTACAAAGCCTTCCTACTTATCTGCCTGACTTCATGGTGCCCCAATCTAGCCCATCTTCCACACTGCTGCTAAAGTGTGTTTCCAACCCAATGACATTTTGGGGCTCCTGGATGACCACAAGGTAGCACTCATGCTCATTCACATGACATAGAAGCAGGGCTGTATTTAACTAGTATTCACTGATATGACCACACTTCTTGTTAAAATTATGGGATCCTTTGAGAGGCTCTTTGAGCCTCTTCAAGACCCCTCCTGCTGCCCCAGCTGCCCCTCCCAACTCTTGGACCCAGCCACTAAAGGGTTAGTGCCCAGCACAGCAAGGGACCTGGAGGACATTGTTCCATGCACTGACCTGCATCTATTCTGCTTTGTTGGTGCTGCTGCTGCTATATTGGTTTTTATATATGTTTAGGATTACTTTTGCATTCATGATTCATCTCATCCCAGTGCATGTTTCCAGCTTATCTCTCACAACTTTTCCACACAGATATCAGCAAATTGAAATTATCATATTCCGCATCTGGATTTATATGCCTGTCTCTACCACAATACTGGGAACCCTTTGAGAGTAGGGACAAGTGGCTTCCTCACCAATGTAGCCCCAAAGCCAAGCTCTGGACCCAGCACACAGTGGACACTCAGTATATGTTTGTTGCTTATCATAGAGGATGTTGGTAGATGGAGCCATTCTGTTTGTAATCCTCTAAAAACCTTCAGGATCTAGGCCTGAACCTGGTGCAGGGCACTTTCTTGGTCTTCTTGCAGACCTCATGAATGTTATTCACATTTCCAGTGTCCTTGGAAGGGAGGGAAAGAGCAAGTATTATTTCCATTCTATTACTGGGGAAATGGAAGTATTCCAAGAGTACATCTCAGCCACACAATGAATGTTTAATGGAACTGAGACATAAAGTCATCTCTCTGGAAATTTTCCTTACCCACAGTGCTGGAAAGCCTTTTGAGATTTGGGGTGAAAACTGCTGCCCTAATGTGAGTAATTGAAGACTGCTGCCTTCTGGGGAGATGCTGGCTTGGAGTCTTTTTAAGTGGGCTGAAGGACTATCTGGTGGAAGTGATGTAAATGTTCTTGTCCCTTCTGTCCCAGCACTGCCAAGAGAGACACTGGTGTGTGGGGTTGAGGTGGAGAATACATTAAATCTCTTCTGATTTGGTTGCTTGGCTTCTGCTGCAACCAATTAACATGGCTTCAAGCCAGGTATGGTGGTTCACCCCTGTAATCCCAGCACTTTGGGATGCCGAGGTGGGCAGATCACGAGGTCAAGAGATAGATCGAGACCATCCTGGCCAACATGGTAAAACCCCGTCTCTACTAAAAATACAAAAATTTAGCTGGGTGTGGTGGCGGTCGCCTGTAGTCCCAGCTACTGGGGAGGCTGAGGTAGGAGAATCGCTTGAACCCGGGAGGCGGAGCTTGCAGTGAGCTGAGATCGCACCAATGCACTGCAGCCTGGTGATGGAGCAAGACTCTGTCTCAAACAAACAAACAAAAAAACCATGGCTTTACAACTGGTGGTCCCTTCAGCAACAAGTTAACTTTCATTTCAGGAAATCCTCTGGCACCCTTTCTCTGAGATGGATCCCCCTTACCCCTACAAGAATAGTCCCTTGTAGTGAGCCAGCCTGGAAGTGCTGTAGAGAAGGCCAGACTGGGAGAATGACTGGAGCCCTATCTTTAAGAAATTTAGTCTTCCTGGGAAGCAGGCATCGTACGTCAGGTACGACTTAGGCTGCAAGTAACTGAAACCCAAACTCTAACTGGCTTAAACAATTAGGAAATGTATTATCTCACATAACAAGAATTCTAGGGAAGAGGCAGGCTTTAAGATTGGTTGATTCAGCTGTTCATAATGACTGTCAGCGGGTATCAAGGTAAATCATTACTTTGTTCTCCAGTTGAAGTGAGAGGAACCTAACAAGTAAGTCTGGGAAACCATATAGGTGTCAAAGTTTCTCAGTTCTATCTTTATAAAAAGGAGAGAAACATGGGCACTGGAAAACAATAGGGTAGATTCAAAGTATCCACTGAGTTCATATTAGCTGTGTGGCCTTGGACACTCAGTTAATTGCTCCAAGCCAATTCCCTTATGTGTCAAATGGCAGTTGTTAAAATATTTGACTTGCTTCTAAACAGGCTGCTGGTAGGGGTCATGTGAAATAATGTGAAGACATTTGGTAAGTCACATAAGGTGCCATATACCTTTGAAACCTTTGTAAAAAAATTATTTTTAATTGACATAAAAATTATATATATTTATGGTGTACAACAGGATGTATTGAAATATGTAAACACTGTGGAATGGCTAAATTGAGCGAATTAAAATATACATTACCTCACATACCTGTCATTTTTGTGGTGAGAACACTTAAAATCTCTGTGATTTTCAAGAATATGATACATTGTTCTAACTATAGTCACTATGTTGTACATCTCTTGAACTTATTCCTCCTGTCTAACTGAAATTTTGTATCCTTTGACCAATATCTTCCCCAAACCCCCTTCCCCCTACTTATCTGCCCCCACCCCTGGCAAACACCATTCTACCCTTTGATTCTAATAGTTCTAATAAGCTCTCACATGAGTGAAATCAGGCAGTATTTGTCTTTCTGTGCCTGGCTTATTTCACCTAACGTAATGTCCTCCAGGTTCATCTATGTTGCCACAAATGATGGGATTTCCTTCATTTTTAAGGTTGCATAGTGTTTCATTGTATATATCTACCACATTTTCTTTATCCATTCATCCATTAATGGACATTTAGTATCTTGGCTATTGTGAATAATGCTACCATGAACATGGTTGTGCAGATATCTCTTCAAGATACTGATTTCCTTTTTTTTTTTTTTGGAATATATACCCAGAAGTAGGATGACTGGATGATAGGGTAGTTTTATTTTAATTTTTTGAGGAACCTTGATACCGTTTTTCATAATGGCTGTACTAATTTACATTCCCACCACCGCTGTGCAAGCCTCACCACAGCACCTAACCACCACCTTTCCTCCACAGCCTCACCAACACTTCACTCTTGTTTTTTTGATAGTAGCCATCCTAACAGGCATGAAGTGATATCTCGTTGTGATTTTGATTTGTATTTCCCTGATGATTGGTGATGTTGAGCATATTTTTATATGCCTGCTGGCCATTTGCCATGTCTTCTTTTGAGGAATGTTTTGGCAGATCTTTTGCCCATTTTTTAATCAGGTTATTTGTTTTCTGAGGCCTTTTAAAAATTACTATCATCAGACATAACACCTACTGTGTAAAAGGCACTGTTAGATTGAAAGTTTAAAATAAAACCTAGGTACTAACCTTAAGTTTCCCCAAACAGTGCAACACACATCTACTGAGCACCCATAGGTGCTGGGGACACAGGTATGAGAGAGACCCCCTGCCCAGTAGAGCAGGGGACACAGACTTATGAACAGACAACTTCAGTACAACTTGGTAAGTGAACACAAGAGTAGAGGTGTGTGCAGAGTGCTCTGGGAGTGCACAGGCCTTACTAACCTAACCAGGCTTCACAGGGAAGGGGTAGGCAGAATGTCAGGAGCGTATCAAGCAATAAGAGGGATATGAAAAAATCTGTATAACATAGAAACATATATAAGCAAAGCCCTCAAACAGCCTTCTTATTTTGTATTTTAGGGACACACTAAGGGGTAGAGTCTATAGAAAACAATGAGTAAACAACAGTGTAATGAACTTTTTTCTCCCTCCTCTCCATCTGTTGTGGTTAACTGGCACATGTTCCCTAGAGCTTCTAATCAACAGTCTGAAAACTAAGCCTCTCTATGTAACAGGGTCTCAAAATGTCTCTGAACATGGACCTTCATTGGCAGAACAGTATTCTCTGAAGCTTCATGATCTTCTGTAGCATATCCTCTGGGAATTGCAGAAGATTGAGCCTCTAATAACTGGTTGGGCAGGTGTATCAACTTTTTCAGGAAGGATTATTTGACTACAGAGTTTCACATATCCTATCATTAAAAGTTGCACTCTCCTATACTGTGTTGCTATCTTAACATACTGTAAATTAAAGTTATAATTTAAAAGTGTTGAAGTGCATTTTAAAAACAGTAAATATTATTTAAATATAAAGGAATCTCCCACCCCATTGTCCAGTTTTTTCCTTTTTTTCTTTTATTGATACATAATATTCTACATATTTAAGAGGTACATGTGAATATTTGTTACATGCATATAATGTGTAATGTTCAAGTCAGTGTATTTGGGGTATCCATACCTTAAGTATTTATTATTTCTGTGTTGGTAACATCTCAAGATACTTTCTTCTAGATACTTTGAAATATACAATATATTGTCCATTGTTGGATGAATAGTTTGCAAATATTTTTCACAGAATTGGAAAAAATAATCCTAAAGTTTGTATGAAAGCAAAAAAGAGCCCAAATAGCTAAAACAATGCTTAGCAAAAAGAGCAAAGCTGCACGCATCACCTTCTGACTTCAAAATATATTACAAGGCTATATTACAAAACAGCATGCTGTCGGTATGAAAACAGACACATAGGCCAATGGAAAAGAATAGAGAACCCAGAAATAAAGCCATGTAAATAAATAAATAAAGCCAACAGATTTTTGACAAAGGCACCAACAGCATACAGTGGGGAAAGGACACCCTTTTCAATAAATGGTGCTGGGAAAACTCAATAAGCATATGCAGAAGAATGAAATGATTTTTGTATCTCTCACCATATAAAAAAATCAAATCAAGATGAATTAAAGATTTAAACATAAGACCTGAAACTATAAAATAACTGGAGAAAAACCTAGGGAAAACTCTTCAGGACATTGGTCTGGGCAAAGATTTTATGGCTGAGACCTCAAAAGTACAGGCAACAAAAACAACAATAGACAAATGGGACCATGCTAAATTTAAAAGCTTCTGCACAACAAAGGAAGCAATAAACAGTGAAGAGACAACACGTTGAATGGAAGAAAATAAAGCAATCTTTTCATTTTTTCAAGTGCTAGTTTAATCAGTCCCATCAGTACTGTGGGTGGCACTGTGAGGACAGGGTGAACCTTAGGGTTATTTTTAAATTTATTTTTACTTTTGTTTTTTGAGACAAGTCACCCAGGTGGGAGTACAGTGGTGCAATCATGGCTTACTGCAGCTTCAACCTCCTAGGTAGGTTCAAGCAATCCTCCCACCTCAGCCTCCTGAGTAGCTGGGACCATAGGCACATGACACCATGCCCAGCTAATTAAAAAAAAAATTTTAGAGACAGGGCCTCCCTATGTTGCCCAGGCTGGTCTCAAATTCCTGGGCTCAAGCAATCCCCCCACCTAGGCCTCCCAAAGTGCTGTGATTACAGGCATGAGCTACTGTGCCTGCCCCGAATCTTTGGGCTAGATGTTGAGTCCCAGTGACAAATAATTGCTTGACATCACTCTCTTGTGTAGACATCATTGCTGCCAAAGACTTTTTGCCTCCTAAAATGCCTTAATTATAGCCTGATTAGGTCTGACCACTATAAAGTCTGCTGCACTTTGGGTGCATGATTTCCTGTGCTACATAGAGCTCTGCTGTTAAACAGGCTCGTAAAGAACCCTCCCGGACAGCTTCTCAGGCCCAGGTTTCTTTTCTGCTGTGCTTTATTATCTCCTGGGGTGGATACCCGCCTGCCTGCTCTCGAGTTGCTTCCCCAGACCCAGAGTTTGGCAGTGCTTTCCTGGCAGAACAGTCAACCTTCCTGTTACCTCAAACCAGGTAGGGGACTCAGAGAAGCCAGACGCAACCCCTTGCAGAGGAGCATACACCTACCCTTGAAAAGCAGACTGTTTCACCTCTCTCATACCAATTAGTGAATGATGGGATACGCATCAAGGGGAAGAGTGCTGAGAGAATCCTCTCAGGAAGTGAACTGAAAAGGAAACCAACAAGGGTTGAGCATGTTTTCCAAATGACAGGATTCTGTTTTGTGGGGAGTCATCCCAGAGCTGGAAAAGATGTCAGAACTATGAGAGAAGGTAAGCAAGAGAGTGAGTCAAGTGTTTTCACCATGGGTTCAAATGGATGTAGGCAGAACTACCTTAGACCACACTCCAGCTTTAATCTCTTGCTTAAATTTTGCTTTATACTCCTTTCAGAAAGTTTCTATTTTTAATTAATTTTGGGGTACGTAATAGGTGTTTATGTGTTACATGAGATGTTTTGATACAGGCATGCAATGTGAAATAATCACATCATGGAGAATGGGGTAGCTATCCTTTCAAGCATTTATCCTTTGAGTTACAAATAATCCAGTTACACTCTTTTAGTTATTTTAACATTTACAATGAAATTACTATTTACTATAGTCTCCGTGTTGTAGAAGGATGGTTACCAGAGGCTGTGAAGGGTAATCTTTCTAATTTTTCTTGTTTGCAAAGGGGAGTTTGAAAACCAAAACTCAATTGAATGTCAGGGAGTCAGTTGAAACATATGAACACTATATACCCACCATAATATAAGGTCGTGGCCCAGGCTGCAATTTTCAAGAAACAAAAAGTGCTCAGCAATCAAGCTGAAGCTGACACAAAAGAATTTCCATAGTTGAGATCCCCTACAGATCCCACAGGGGAGAGGAACAAGTAGCACTTAATTGAGAGTTCCCTACTCAATATAGCTCTCATTAGGTGGTCAGCAATTGAAGTGTAATTTCAACAATAACCACCCTGGGAGGTAGGTGTTATTATTCTCACCATTAAACAAATAAGGAAACAGGTTTCAGAGAGGTGAAGTGACTTGCCCAAGGTCACACTGTCACTAAATGGCAGAACCAGGATTTGATCTAGTGCCTTGCACATAGTACGATTTCAGTTCATGCATATTGGAATGCATACATCAATGAAAGGTCTGTGGGACAATAAAAATCCAAATTTTTTACTTGTTTTTGTGTGTTTCTGACGTTTTATAACAGAATGTTTTAAATTTACAGAAAAGCTGAATTTTACATTAAACACTTATATATACCCATCACCTAGATTCTACTAATCTATTCCTGCTATACTTGTTTCATATCTATTCATGTATTGATTTTCTCTATTCACTCATCAATATTATTTTCTGATACATTTCCAAGTAAATTGAGGACATCAGTGCAGGTCCCCCTAAAATTTCAGCACGTGTATTATTTACTAGAGTTCAATGTTTGTTTACAGGTGTTCTTTTCCTTTTGAGGTAAAATTTACAGACAATGAAATACAAAATCTGACGTGGGTGAGTTTTGACATCCCATGCACTTGTGTATCCAAAATCTCTATTAATGTATAGAACACTACCATCACCCCAGAAATTCCCCTCATGTGTGTTGGTTTTAACCATGCTGTGTAACTTCCTTACCTGAACCAGAATCTCTGTTGGTGGTTAGAAGTCATTGATTCTAACTGGGAGGCTGTGTTGAGATCTCTTTTCTTTCCTTGACTGATGCTTTGGGAGAAAACCAGGTGGCATACAATAAGATTTGGTCCTCAGTGCACTTCACTTTGATAAGTTTCACCTGGAAGCATTTCTTTTCCTTTTCAGCAAATGTTTGTGAAAGGTTGCCCATTGATTGCAGCAGTTAACTTTGTCGGTTTAAACTGAGGTGAAACAATGACTATTTGTTGTAATTTATTTTAATTTAATGTTACTAAGGTATAAGGGCTAGCATTAAGTGGTGGTTCTTTACAGCAGGGACTCTTTCATCTGTGTTTGTTTAAAATTAAAAATAAGGCTGGTAAACATAAAATGTTCCTGGCTTGGTCCTAGAGTGAGCTCTAGTCAGTTCCTTGAGACTTAGATCAAGGCTAAGGGCGAAAACAGTCACAGAATACTCAGAGGAGTGTGTGTGCCTGAGTAGGATTTAGATGAAAAACCCAAAGGGACTTTGGCTTATTTGAAAGAATCTTATCAAAGCAGACAGGCTGAGTTACCTTTGAAACCCAGGCTTCAAGGAATTGGGTGTGTAGTAAGATTCAGACTATTCCATGACCCAGGAATTGTGAGATATTTTTTATTTATTTTTTATATGTGTATACATTTTTAAAAATAATTTCAACTTTTTAGATTCAGGAGGTACATGTGCAGGTTTGTTACGTGGGTGTATTTCGTGATGCTGACGTTCAGGGTACAATTGATCCCGTCACCTAGGTACTAAGCATAGTACCCAATAGTTAGTTTTTCAACCCTCGTCCCTCTCCCTCTCCCCTCTGGTAGTCCCCAGTGTTTATTACTGCCATTTTTATGTCCATGAGTACCTATTGTTTAGCTCCCACTTATAAGTGAGAATATGTGGTATTTGGTTTTCTGTTCCTGCATTAATTTGCTTAGGATAATGACTTCCAGCTGCATCCATGTTGCTACAAAGGACATGATCTCATTCTTTTTGTGGCTGCGTAGTATTCCATGGTATATATGTATCACCTTTTCTTTATCTGACCCACCACTGATGGACACTTAGGTGGTTTCCATGTCGTAGCTATTGTGAATAGTGCTGCAATGAACATACAAGTGTGTCTTTTTGGTAGATCAATTTATTTTCTTTTGGATACTCAGTAGTAGGATTTCTGGGTCGAATGGTAGTTTTAAGTTGTTTGAGAAATCTGTGAGAGTTATTATAGGCTAAATTAGCAGAGATACTGATGGGCTAGTGCCTGCCCCTACCAAACATGCCTGTGACTTTGATTCTTTTGGTTAATATTATTGTTGCTGGTTGGCAATGTGAGCATCACCAGGAGGACTTCTAATTCAGAGATTTTTACACTGTAGCATTCGTCAGCATCACCTGGAGGGATTAAAACACAGATTACTGGCCTCACCCACAGAGTCTGTGATTCATTTGACCTAGGGTGAGTCCTGAATTTCTAACAAGCTCCCAGGAGATGCTGATGCTACTGGTCCAGGTACCACACTTTGAGAACCACTGCTCTGAGTACTGAATGAATGAATGTATAAATAGGATCCCTTGTGCCAGACACATTTCTTCCCCTCTATAAATATGGCATTATTTATGATTCAGTGAGGACAGGCATGCCCCTTAGCTCCAGCTGCATTTTAGAGTGAAGAGATTCTAGGAAAGACACATAGACTACTCCTTTTCTCCAACCTGCACAGCAGGAATTTCAGTTTGTACTGGACTTATTATGACCCTATCTTTTCACAGTCCTAACTGATCTTGCTGCATACAGGGAAAGAATCTAGGCCCCCAACCACATGGCATAGTTTTAATTAACTCCCTTCTGTGTTGGGACCCTCAGAAGAGATAATATGTGGCTATGGAGACCATACACCCAGATTTCCTGGGACAGCTCTGATTTCATATATTCTATCCTTTTGTCCTCATAAATATAATTGTCAGACCATGTTCTGCTTTTGGGTTCAGAAAATATTGTTCCCATATGCATGGCCTAGGGGCCCTGTGGAGCCAAAAGCAAGTCTTCGCTTGCTTTCTTGGGATTGTGGGGGCCAGGGCAAAAGCTTGGCTCATTGTGAGGGATAGAAAGTTGGGGAGAATCTAAATGTTTAAGATCACCAGCAAGCTTCTCGTTGCTTCTTTCTTTTCAAGTGTCCCAGTGACCGTGTTACAGATCCCGGAATGTTGCAAATAAGAGATTCTGAGTGCTGAAAGGGACTAAATTGGACCTCTGGCTGCCTCTCTTTCCTCCGTCCCCCACCCCTCTGGAAGGACCACACAGAAATAGCAGAGAAGAGCCACTCTAAAGAAGGAAATTCCACAACCTTCATTGACTGACCACTCAGTCTAACATTTACCTATTTTGCCTGGCAGGAAGTTCTTCCTCCTTGCTTATATCAGTCCTTCTCGTTGCAATGTCAGTTTCTTTTCCTTTGCTCTGCTTTCAATCAAAATTGAGAACAGCTGGTCCTTCCCTCTAAATTTTTTTTATGTGCTTAGAAGTCATATTAAACCATTCTTCCTGGGTCCAGGTTTAACCATCCTTGGAGCTCCTTTATCCTTCCCGCATGTATCTGACTTGCCAACCATTTCATCATTTTGCCATAGGAAAGCAGCTTAGGCAGCCTGGGCGAACAGTACAGCAAAGCCTAAAGCTTTATGGCTTGTGCTAATGGGCGTGCTAAATGTTTAGTAGAGACTATTTTTGAGCACGCAATTGTGAACAATTTAAAGTGGACCGTACATGGAACCCATTTCCTCTCCTGGCTCCCCCAACAGGGCCTCCCCTTAGCAGCTGAAATGAGTTAGTGGCAATCAGCGCAAAGTAGGAATCCTGTGGTTTCTGCCCTTCCCTCCTGCTGCTTCTATGGCAGCTAGTCTCTTAAAATGAGCATTCTCTCTAGAATAGCCAGTAAATGTGACATTGGAATCAGTTGGACAAAGGGTCTAGGAGTCACTTTAGCTAAATAGCAGGAGGTGCTAGTGCTGAAGCACCACTGGAGGTTTTAGGAGAGGTTGAGGGGACAGGGTTGAACAGCGATTGATGAAAGAGTTTGGACCCAGAATATTTGCTATCCACAGAACGGTTGTACCTCAGAGTTGTACATGCCTTTTTTGCAAGTTTGTAGAGGACGTTTCTGGCCTTTGTTCACTTGGCCTTTGTCCACTGTCTCAACTATGCTAAAGTGATGCCAGGAATCTGTGGCAGAATCCCAGCTTCAGGGCCAGTTGGGTTCCTAAAAGAGAGGAGGGTAACTTGCCATGCATGGGATTCTTCTGTCAGGCAGGCTACCTGCCTTTGATGGGATATGTTCTTTGATTACTCAAGTGATTTGGGAGGGCTGCTGCCTTAAGTTGGCCTGCAGGGTGGGTCCAGGGCCCATGTTAGGGTGAATTGGATATATCTGATGGCACTGCAGAGAAAAGGGATATTGTCCTGTTCTCATCTTCTGACTGTTGGCTCCTCTGTTTTAATCAAACCTTAAAAGCTCTTCTCTTTATAAGCACCAGCCAGGCAGTTTGTCTCAGCAGAGCTACAGGAGCACTTAATATATGCAGCCATAAAGAAGAAGGAAGAAAAAGAGACGGAGAAAAAAAAAACCTTTGGCATTTGTATGAGAGTGTCACTGAAGGCTTCATCACAGATACACTCAAGACTTAGAAACTGAAATTGTCTTGGGGTGGGGGTGGGGAGAGCAGTTTGATTGAAGCGTTAGCTGCCTTGGCCCTGAGCCAAGGCAAATTGCCAGAGAACCATTAAACTCTGTGTAATTCCATATAACTCACAGCAGCCACAGGTAATCTGAATCAGACCTGACAAAACTTCACTATCACTTATTGTCCATTAGCACTGAATGCATGCTACAGATATTAAACTTTTTAAAGCCATATCATGGTGGCCATATTTTCTAAATCCCAATCAGAAAACCTGGCTTGACAAAGGATTTATTTTCTGACTTGTGAATTTGTTTATATGAAAAGCCTCACAAAAGGTATAATCACTAACTCACAGAGGTATAAAATACTAAACCCACTGAACAAATGGTTTTTAAGGAAAGAACTATAGTTGCATGAAATTGGGTCAGGGCAAACTCATTTGGACATTGATGAGGGTTCCCCCCACCCCACACATACTTTTTGGGGGTCTGAGGGCACTGGTTAACGAAGCACTAAATCAAATTAGAATCTGGTTTATGCCCATCATCTGGATTTGCTCTTAAATTTTTCAGGGATGGTGAACTGAAAGAGCCTGTTGTAATGTCTGTACACACGAAGGTGGAGTCGATGTTACTTTGAATTCCCAGATGGTGGGAGTAGTTAAATATCCCACTGTTCATGGTCTGTTTGTGAGGGCTTGTGTGTGTTTTAAATTAACTTCCTAAGGCAGAGAATGTTAAAAACTGAGGAGAATCATATCTGGATACAAGTTATTATTGCCATACACCTCAGTTTCCTTAAAGGCTCCATTCCTTCCACTAAATTGAGAGTCTAACATTCACCCTGGGGCACCTCGTGACAAATGGGATATTTAGCTCAAAGGATAATTATTCTGGATTATTCTGAGCCAATAATAATGCTTTTTACAAAGTTTAAAGTGTCTCTTTAGCAAGAACTCTTAGTATTGCTAGTTAAGGATCATGAATAGCAATATACCCGTGAAATCCAAAAGGTTTTGTCACAACCTTGCAGAAGAAAGTATCTTAAACCTAATAGATGCTCTATCCCGGGCAAGTCATATAATATCCCTGAACCTCAGTTATATGAAAAACAAAGTGAAAATATTGTTACTTCTCCAGAATCAGTCAAATGAATAGGGTGATATCCTGAGATCCCTTTTAATTCTAATTTCAACAAATATTTGTTGAGCAACTACAATGTGTTCAATACAGACATTTATTTTCCTAGGTGCCAGTGACAGAGCTGTATAAAGGCATTGACTATCTCCCACACTATAATGTATCTTGACAGCAAGTAAACATACATAGAAATAAGTGAGATCATGTAAGATGGTGGTAAATTCTATGAAGACAATAAGACAGGTAATGTGATAGAGAGTGATGAGATGTGGGTAGAGAAGAGAAGGAACATTCTTTATGTGGTTGGTCAGGAAAGGCCTCTCTGAGGAGGCAAGATCTGAGCTGACACCTGAATGATAAAAGGAGGTATGTAGGATCTAGAAGAAGAATGTTCTCAACAGATAGAATAGTAAGTACAAAGATCTTGAGATAGGGATGGGCTTGACCTCTCTGAAGAACAGAAAGTTTGGTATGACGTGTGTGTGTGTGTGTGTGTGTGTGTGTGTGTGTGTGTGTGTGTGTGTAGAGGATGAGAGGTTGTGGGAAATAAGGTCAAAAAGGCATGCATGGCCAGATCATGTAGAGCTTCTGATCTGCTGCTGTTTACATTGTAAAAATCATTCTTTGGTCTGTCTGATTTAATTAATGAATGTTAGTACCAGATGTTAATGACAGGAGGGCTTGAAGTTTGCCCATAGGAAACCCAAGGAGAGGGTCTGGGTGTGGAGTAGGGGGGCAGAAGGGGAAGATGAAGTAGAAAAGGCGAGCTCAAATGCCTTGTTGGCAGGGCAGGGAGAGGTGGGAGTGGAAAAGATAATGTGTAGGGAGGGTTGGAAAAAGTTTGAGGGAGGAGGAAAAGCACCAGAGTGACCTCGGCTGTGAGGAACACCGTCAGTGCCAAGGTTGTGGAGTCTGCTATCAGAGGGGGTCAACCTTTATAGGAGAAGGGACAGGACTGTACTCTTGTTTAAAGTTAGAAGAGTGAGAATGAGCAGGAACTGAAGCTAAAAATCTGGTCCTCTCTTTTTATCCAGCCTTAACTTAAAAAGCAGGTCTGATGTCAGAGAGAATGGCGTTCACATTGCTTGCCTTATTTATTTTCCAGGTCTTGAACTCAAATGCCTATCACTTCCTCCTGCATTTTCTTCTCAACTTAATCCTGTCATTGCAAAAGGAAATAATCTCTGATGCAAGAGTCCCTTCCCGCCACTAACACATAAGCAATTGAGTGCATTTTTTTTCTTTTTTTTCAGTTGTGGAAACTCAGTTTTGTTTTATGTTATTTGGCACGTTTTGTTGAGTAGGAAAGAGATGGTGTGTCATTTCTCAGTCATGATGTGAACAGGACAGTAGCTTGGAACAGACTGTGTGATGGCTCACTTATTCCCAGATTTGTAGCACTATGTGAAAGCAGCAGCAAGTGTGCTGATTTAATATAAAATGGGATCTGTCCTAGGCTCAGTAAAGGATGTTATTATTATTGCTTTTGCAACATACATGTATGCCTTGGTAGGTTATTTATTTGGGAGCTGTTTGCTTTGGTAGCAGTTATTCATAAGGGTAAGAGGAAGTTAAATCTCTTTTCTCCTCCTCCACCTCCCACTGGTCAGAGGTCTAAGTGGAGACCAGAGATTAAAATTACTGCCAAGGAAAGGGGGCCTGGGCAGGGTCAAATAATGTTCTGGGAGTGGCATGCAGGTGCCCACCTCCGGGAAATAGAAAACAAACCCCCTCTCCCTTCGTCCACATCTGCTGGAGGGTATACAGGCTCCTAGTAAGCTGGACAAGTGGTTTTCAGGCAGCAAAGCAGGCCTAGTAGTTTCCAGAGGCAGCCTTTTGTCCCTACCCCGAAGGGTGTTTAGTCCCTGGGTCCTTTTCCAGTCAGAAATGACTAATGTTGGCTATGTGTACTCTTTAGAAACTGTCTTTGGCTTTTTGCATAATGGATTATAAATAAATGGCTTTAGAGAACCAGCAGTGAGTTATTGAGTGAACCTGGCTTTGGGATGGTTCAGATTCCAGATAGTTAATCACATCCTCTTGGGCTGGAAGACTGTATCCAACTCACTCACATTCAGTAGGCAAGTTAAAAAGGCATTTTTGATCAACTTGAAAAATAGTTTTCACATCAACAATGGCTTGTTACTGAAGAAATAAAGATTATATTAATCCAAGTAGAATTATTCCCATCACTCTCTAACAGTCTGGTGGAATTTAACACACCTCTTGTTTTAATTTGGCCATTTCTTACAAGTATTAATGCACAGTTTGAAAATGACAATGAATTGATATGTCCTCTTTATAGTGTTTTTATATTAGGCGGTAGGTAAAAGACTGTTGGTCTTTTCAGCCTCCTAAGGCTCACCTGCTAGATTTGTACACAGTGCTCTCTTAATGCTGGAGGACATTATGGACTTTCTGGTTTGTCCTAGACTATTTTAATGCTATACAAGGGTAAACTCTGTTGCTGACAACTGCTTCTGGAAATCAGGAGCAAATTCACTTGCACTCTACCATATTCATTCCTCCGGTTTGTTCCACTCTGGTTCTCCCTGAACTCTCTCCACCACATCAGCTTTGCAAGGTTCTCTGATCATTTGTATCACTGAAAGTCATATCTTATTAGACAGTCAAGAAACATAGGCAATCTAACAAAGAGACTGCATTAGTCCATTCTCACACTGCTATAAAGATACTACCTGAGACTGGGTAATGTATAAACAAAAAAGGTTTAATTGACTCACAGTTCCACATGGCTGGCTGGGGAGGCCTCAGGAAACTTACAATCATGGCAGAAGGTGAAGTGGAAGCAAGGCACGTCTTACATGGCATCAGGTGAGAGAGAGCGTGAAGAAGTGCCACACTTAAAACCATCAGCTCTCATGAGAATTCCCTCACTATCACAAGAACAGCATTGGGGAAACTGCCCCCATAATCCAATCACCTCCCACCAGGTCACTCCCTCCACATGTGGGGATTACAATTCAACATGAGATTTGGGTGGGAACACAGAGCCTAACCATATCAGGGACAGTAATGGTGCCTGAGGAAAGGCTAGTTGCCTGTGTGACAACAGCCTGATGAAGTTCAGCTTCTAGGAGTAGGTGTCACGAACTCTGGGGACCGTAAGAAAGAAACATATCTGAGATTGACATGAACTCTGGGGACCATAAGAAAGAAACATATCTGATATTGACAAGAGGAGTAGCAGTAGATGGCTCCAACATTGGATGAGGAATTGATTCTATTTTTATAATATGTCAAGACAAAAATTGGCTGGAGATTAAAAATGGAATCAAATCATTAAGACTTTTCACCTTTACCTGTCAACTGGTAAAATAAAGTGTTGTTCTTTATTTTCATTTTTTACTGAAATCCTCTACCTTCTAAGAGGTAGGGAGGATGAATACTATCTCAAAGCAGACAGGAACAGTGGGTAGATTAATAGATTATAGCCCTATTGTGAAGGCTAACGTTTTAAGAGAAATGTTTTGCCTTGATTAAAACTATGAGTATGTGAAAATGATGCTGGAGTCTTGGTGCCTACCTCAGAAATATAAGCTGAATAGTCTAGAATTAAAGACTAAAGAATAAAGAATAAACCATCAGGTCTCGTGAGAATTCCCTCACTATCACAAGAACAGCATTGGGGAAACTGCCCCCATAATCTACCCTCTTTTTCCTTGTTGGTATCTCTTAGAATCTGATCTAATTATTCTTTTAATTCTTTCTTAAATTAAGGAATAATTTACATATAGTAAAATGCACAAATCTTAATGAATGTTTAGTTATGTATATTCCCATATGATCTGCAGCCAGATAACTATGTAGAACATTTCTAGCACCCCCCAAAAATTATGCTCATCTGCCTTTACAATCAGTAGTACAGAGTTAACCATTTTTTCAAATTATCACCTCTCTTCTTTACCTTCATATAAAATGAAATCATACAGTATGTGTTGTTTTTGTCTGGTCTCTTTCATGCAACATAATCTTTTAGACATTCATTTTATTACATATATTGCTTTTTTTTGACTGCTGTATAGCATGTCATTTTTTGTATGTGTATGTTTTGAAGGACATTTGGGTTGTTCCTACTTTCTATTATTAATAAAGCTGCTGTGAACAATCAAATCTTTTTATGGACACGTGCACTTATTTCTCTTCGGAGTCTCTAAGTATGGAATTGCTGGATCTGAGAGTAGGCATACAGATTTCCAAAATGGTTGTACAGCTTTATACTCCTGCCAGCAACGTAGAGAGATCAAATTGCTGTACATTCTCACCAATACTTAAGTCTTTTTAATTCTGGCCATTCTGGTGGATATGTAGTGACACTTTACTATAATTTTAAATCACATTTCCCTAATGAAGAATTATATTGAGCACCTTTTCAGATGCTTATTGGGTATTTGGCTATCTCTTTTAGTGAAGTGCTTGTTCAAGCCTTGCCAATTGTTAATTGGCTATTTGCCTTTTTCTTATTGATTTGTAGTTCTTTTAATATTCTGGATATAAGTCATTTGTCAGGTAATATGTATTATGAATATTTTCCCAGTCTGTGGCTTGTCTTTTCCCTTTTTTAGAGCTGAAGATTTTTTTTATTTTGATGAACTCCAATGTATCACTCTTTCCTTTATGATTACTACCTTTTGCATCCTGCTTAAAAAATTTTTGCCCACCTCAAGGTCACAAAGATATGCTCCATGTTTTTCTCTAAAAGCCTTATGATTTTAGTCCTCTCATTGGGTCTGTAATCCAGCTAACATTTTTAGTAAAAATGTACATCAGTAAAAATGTTTTGAGTATGTGTCCCCAGTATACACAATTTTATTTATGGATGATCTAATTTATTATCACCAATATTAAATATTAATAAAGCTTGATTTTTAAATTTTTGTAGATATATAAACAGAAGTTCCAGTGGATCACCTTGTACACAGCCTGGGATATATGTACCCCATTCTGAACACTATTGTTCTATACCACCAAAGACTAACATTTGCCACAAACACTGATAGCATTAATGTCAGAAGAACACTTCAGTGTAAACAAATGGCTAGAGGTGACAGAGCCCCAGTGAGCATATCTGCTAGCAATGTAAGAAACCCTCAGTTTACTCTTGTGCCGTCACGTTTGTCTCCCCTTACCAGACTTATAGAGACAGCAGGACGATCTGACTTGGCAGGAGCAAAGACAAATTTGCCTTTGGTTGCTGACATAGGGGACAGTGCTCTTGAGTCTTCTTCCCCTGTCCTCACCACCAAATTCCTAGAGCTGGTGGCACTGGGCTGAGTTTTGGCAAAGATGCTTAGAATTTGACTGGAGCTAATCCCCAGGGAAATTTAATGATTTGGAGCTTAGACGGCCTTTGTTGTGAGGATTAGTAAACTAGATGGTGATTAAGCAGCTGGGGAGGAAGAAGCTGTCTGTTGGGCTAGGTCATGCTGTGGGGCACAGCGCATAGTTCCGTTGGCTCAAGGTCAGGGGAGCCCTTGGGCCTGATTCACAGAGCTTTATACTCTGGGGCAGCTCCTTGTAGGATTTGGGCATCTGCTTATTAGCTGGTAGAGGGAAAGAATGGCTTCTCCCTTGGTGTACACCTCTTCCCTCTATCCACATATAGGGATTACTCCTTTGAATCAGGTCTACTTACATCTTTTTAATTGGTTATTGTTTTTCAATTCTCATTGAAAAGTTTTTGTTGTCTGTTTTGCCTTTTGGAAAACTGGTGTAAAGTACGGAAGATGAAATTAGGAACAGAGTTTCTTGGTTTTCTAATCTAGACTGCTTCGGAAATTTGAGAGCGGTTTTTAAGGGAAGAAGTTGCTGAAAGAGACAAGTTAGGTATTGAAAGCCATGGCAAGAAGACTGCCGAGGTTTGAAAGCCTGTATCTCCCATGTCCAGGGAACCCTGATTAATTTCTCCTAGCATGATCAGATTCTAAGAGATACCAACAAGGAAAAAGAGGGTAGATTAGAAACAGCCCCCAACCTGTGGTTTGCTTAAGATTTCAAACTAAGTTTCAGAATGAGCAAGCACTTTATTCATTCTTTGATGCTCCTACTTCTTAATAGTTAAACTTCCCAAAGCCAGCTTAACCCTAGCTCTACATTTTTCTATTCGTTTCCCAGAAAAGGCCAAATTGATGAACGGATGCCTGGAGTGTTAGTAAAAACTTGAAAATCTTTCTAAGATGCTAAAAAGATATTCGGAAGGTATATTCTTTCTTTAAATAACTGGACTACAGTATTCTGAGTGGATCTTTTCTGTCTATTTGCAAAAACAATAAAACAAAAACAAAAAAACAAACACATCAATTTAAACAATTATGTTGTTTGCCTTCTTTAGATGATAGACAAGCTGGTGGAGGTAGCAGTATGGGCTGGTAATTTGGCCAGAAGCTCTTGGAACTGACCAAGAAAGTTTCAGTTGATGCCCATTTTTTCCAATAAATTTCCTGTAGCAGGCAGAGGTATTCACAATCATGTCACTGATTTTTAATGCTGCTCTTACACTATTGTAATAGGTGTTCAGTACCTGTCAGTTATTGCTGCAGATGGTGTTTCTCCTCTGAATGCATTTTTAAATTATAAACCTGATTTAATAATTCTTCTATTCCCTTTTTCATCTCCTAAATGTATTCAAAGACCCAAGCAAGTATCTGTTAGTATCTGACTAAATAAAAGCTACTAGAAAGCCAGCAAGTGCTGTTAAGTCAATTGTTGTTTGCCTTTACTCTCAAGGGGCCAACTTGTCACTTTGTTGACAGCTATCAGAGTACTTCATGCTTCATTGAAGACCCATCAAAAATTTCCAAATTGCTAGCTCATTAGCACAAAATAGGGCTTCAGGAATCTCTTTCTCTCAGTGTCCTGACTGGGCCTTATTAAGTGTTCCAACCTTGGTGGACCACTCTGAAACAGTGGATAAAGACCAGGGGAATTGAGAGATGGATGTTAATTAGTCAATTTTGAAGGAGTAAAACATGGGTGAAGGCAGAGTACAATGGGACAAAAAGCTGAGATTATCTGTGTCAGCAGAAGGATAATGCATGACTTTGCTAACTGTTCACAGGTCACTGAATGTCAGAGCTGAAAAGGCCCAGAGCTGTCAGAGCCCCAGGAGATCATCTGGTCAGTCCCTCTTACACATTTTACCAGTAAGAGAAGAGAGGCTGCAAGAAGGGAAAGGGACTTGTCCAAAGTCAATCAGCTCTTCCTAGCTTTCCAGGCACCACCTGGCTTTTGGTTATATGACCTCTATGTAATCAATTTTCAATTACTTGGGCCACTCACTGCTAGCCCAGCAATCACTTGGGTAATCCAAAATGACACATAAGTTAACCATCGTTTACATTGAGCTTTGTGATGTGTGTTTATACCGACATTCCAATGCATCTGGGTCTAATCTGAGAATTCACAACACTTCAACTGAAACAAGAAAGCCACCCTGAAGGTCTGATTCAGGAAGAGCTGGAAAGCTTACTGAATGGATAGCATCATATATTGTTATACAGCCCCTCAAACAAGGTATGTTAATTTCAACAAGTTTGTTGATTCACACCTTTCCAGGGCCCCAGCCAGAGTTAGGAGGAGGAAGGTGGGAAGGGGAAAACAAAACCTTTTACGGAAGAATATGCATATCATCTTTCGCCCCTCCATCCCCCTTCACCCTTCCTCTCATTCATTTTTCCTTCCTTCCTTCCTTTCCTTTTTTTATTGATAGAAACATGAACATCTGCTTTGTCTTCCATATAAACAAATATGTGGCTGAGACATTGACCTATAGAACTGGCTGTAAGGAGGCCAGACAATAAATAGAAGACGTGCTAGACCTCAGAAATCTAGAGGTAGAGTGGGGAGGAGAAAGACCAGTGAGCAGTAATTTAAAAAGGACCAACAAGTCTGGAAGAGTATAGAGTCCATTGCACAGCTCAGTAAATACCCTGGGTCTGGAAAAGGGCTAGTCTGGGATATAGTTGAAGGGATCTTCAACCAAATGGAGTCTTACTTCCTGATCTGGACCCTTCTGAACTCTTGGATTATGCTGGGGACCCAAAATTTGCTGGCTTTTTGTCTGAGCATCTTCAGACTTGCACTAAAGTAGGATTATTTCACTTAACATATCTCTTAAGGAGGAGGATGCTGGTGACTGAGAAGGGGCATGGAACAGAAAAAAGGGGTATGAACAGTTGGCCTGATGCTGTAGTCCAAGAAGGAGTCTGTGCAAGGACTCAGATAGTGGCAGCTGAAGGAGCAGTAAGGAATGCCAAATGCCTGAGCTTTTGCTACAGCAATAATTAAGCATTTTAGTTTAAAAGGTTTTCCCCTTTTATCTTTTGGTCTAGAATAAACAGAGATCTTGCTGCTGTAACAGAGTGTTTAATTAACGAAAGATGGTACTTAATACATATTGAGGGGAAGACTTGCTATGGGTAACAGTAATATGGATAATTAAGTTGTATGAATTAAAAACAATGGGTAGAGTGAATTAAGACTAATGTACATCAACAGGGAAAATCTATTAGCATTCATTAGTTAGACTTCTGTTTGTGGTTCTTTGTTAGCCTCGGGAAACTCTTTCAAATGGCTGATCCCTGTTGAAAGTTCTGACTGGTGCTAAGGGCCTTCTATGGATGCCAAAGTAATGAGTCATTCAAATAGAACTTCTGAAATTCAAGTACAGCACTTTCCTTTTCTCTCTCTCTTTTTTTCTTGGCGGTAGGCAGCAGTGACTGTGAAGTAATAATGATAATGACAATGGAAATAAGAGTGTAATCCTGTTTAATTTGCTTAGAGTTGTTCCCCATTTACCAATATTGGCTTGTTTGGTGTTGAGTGTGGCCCGGGTACCGGAACAAAGGCATATATATTCAATGTCACTTGGCTAACCTATGATTTGTCAGACAAAGGTTAATTTTTTTAAAAAAAAGTTGGATTAGCAGCAATAAATGTAATAACATTCTGTGATTTAACTCAGAAGTTCAATTAATTCGATGGAGTTTAAAAAATCCTGAACTTAATTTTTTCTCTGCACTCAGGAGGTCTCATCTGCCAAATTTGCACATGAGCTGGCCAACCTAAAGCTCAACAATATTATAACTTCCATGGTGTGGGGATAGATGGAGGAGACATTATAAAAGACTGAGAGAGAGATTGGAACAAGAGTAGAAGTGTAAAAATACCTCCAGTGAATACCAGCCCTTAATTGCCCCATTTAGAATCTGCCATCCCCTAAGGACTATACAATTTAATTATCCTTACGTTCCCTTTCCCTGGAAACAAACAAAAACAACTCCTGATTATATCAGTGAGTTGGAGCCTTTTTTACCTGACCGTCTTAGTTGATAAACAAGCTGTAGACAACTAATTTCTGCCCCTGAGGCTAGAAATTAGGAGCCTTGTTCATTTTTATATCTCTAGCATGTAGCATGTTGTCCTGTACATAATAGAAATGTGATTCAATACTTAAGGAATGATTAATGGATGGATGAGATGACTCCTTTCATGGATTATCATGGATGGAATTGATGTTCTAATAGGTGGAAATCACCTTCATGGTAAAAGGAATGTAATAAAAATGAATGTATAAAATTAGCCATAAGCAAGGACCCCCAGAGACATTCTGCTTTGCTTTGCTTTGCTTTTGCCTGCCCCAGTGGCTATTATTTCTGCCTTTGCTTTCAATACCCCTCAGTCTGACAATCTTCTTCCCCAGATTGCCCTGGTTAGTGGAAATTCTATAGGCTGTGTTGGAACAGTAAATACCCATATTTCCAGCTTTCTCTGAATGCTCACTGTGTGTCAGACACTAGAAGCACTGTGCTGGGCACATGTTGAAGAGACATAGATAAAGAAGCAGCTACATTGTACCTACTTGTATCTTTTGAATTTGCCATTCTACTCACAGAATGTTGAACTGTAAGCCACTTTCCAGGTCTTCAGAGTCAACTCCCTTGTTATAATAATCAGAGCTCATGTTAATTGAGGACTTACTGTTCTCAGATATATACTATACTAACAACTCTGTGAGGTAGCTAGTCTTGTTATCTACATGTCACGTAGGAGGGAATTGAGACACAGATGTTAAGTAACTTCCTAAGGGTCACACAGCTAGGAAGTAGCAGAGCCAGGATTCAAACTTACGTTTGTCAGACTTCAAAGCCTGCCCAAAGATAGGAAAGAGCTTACCAAAGGTCATTTTGATGGAGCCTAGCTCTTCTGGCTCTAATTTGTCTGCACGTTTTGGTAGGCCACGCTGCTGCTTTAGCCACATAGTAGGGTTCATTCCAAGCATCAGTTTCGTATTTAGAAGTTCTAGTCTTCCCAGTTGGACTGCTCATTCCTCCAGTCAGGGATTGCATTATTTCCATGTTGCCTCCTTCCTCAAAGGTTTGCCCAAGCTTTGCCTTCAGTAAATAATGACCTGTGATCAGCTCCTGAGCTACTCCCAGGAGCTGCCTGGAGCCATTCCCCAGTACTACTTGTGGCTCCAGGGTTGGAAGAAACAAGTAGAATTTTGGGGAGAAAGTCATCTCACTACCTGCTTTCTGTTTTGTTCTCTGCAACACAGATTGAAGATGGAGGCAAGGCAGCTTTGTCCCAGAAGATGAGGACTGGTGATGAGCTGGTGAATATCAATGGCACTCCATTATATGGCTCCCGCCAAGAGGCCCTCATTCTCATCAAAGGCTCCTTCCGGATTCTCAAGCTGATTGTCAGGAGGTAAGGTACAGGGAGATTCTCCGTAAGGTGCAGAGGCCACTGAAACTTGGTTGGTAATAAAGCTCAATAGAGTCATGTCTCTATCAATATTATAAAGGAAAGAGGTGTTTCACTTGAATAGAATTTTGCAGACAACTGAAGCAGAATAGCACAGGAGAAAGAGCCTTTGGTTCAAATCCTGGCACTGCCACATAGACACATAATCTTGGATATATTTATTAGTCCTCTGCAAGACTGTTTCCTTATTTGCTATAAAGAGGACTAAATTACTCATTATATACCAAAGGGCTACCTAATCCAGTGTTTTTCAATCTCCTTCTTTATAATACACTATCATTCCTGAACCACATATCAATGGAGACTTAAAGAGCCCCTACTACAGCCATGGAGGCTGTAGCAAACTCTTAGAAACCCTTTCCTTGAGGATTGCACAGTCTAGCAGGGGACAAAATATACACATGTGACTAAGTAGCAGTATATTTTTAAAGAAGGCAATAAAGCCTTGTGTGTGATTATCAAATGGATTGTTCAGACAAAAATTGCTGTTAGAGAAAGAGATCACTGCAGAAGGTATTGATAGGGTAAGACTTCATAGAGGAAGTGGAATTTAAGCTAAAGGGTGAGTATAATTTGAAAAATAAACCATCAGAAGAGGAAGACATTGCAGGTAAGTGCAGTGGCATAAGCAGAAGGAAGGGAAGGACATATTTGGGCACAGTCATTCTGCTACCACCAAAAGCATCTGCCTATTGGTGAACTTTCCACATGGCTTTTCTTTCATTTTGCTGCTGCGCCTTTGCTTTGTATTATTGGAGCTCAGCCTTCTCCCTTTCTATTGTTTTTTTTTTTCTTTATCGTATATACACACCTAAGTTTTTCCATCTTGCATCTTCCCACAATCTCACTTCTCCCTCTGGCTCCTGCCCCGTCTTTCTCCTTTTGTTCATACTCAGTCTCAAAGGAAGAGTCTATAGTCACTATCTCCACTTCTCCACCTGCCATTTAGCTTTCCACCCTCTGCAGCCAGAATTTGACCCTCAGAACTCCACTGAAACTACTCTGTCAAAAGCTACAAATTATTGCCTAATTGTCAAAGTCAATGGGTTATTTTTCATATTCATCATATATGGCATTTAACATTATAGCTCTAGATTTTGCCCCCACCTTCCTTTATGAAACTCAATACCAAAAATCTCACACAGCAACTCAATAGCAAAAAAAAAAAAAAAAAAAAAAAAAAAATCCAACTTAAAAATGGGCAAAGACCTGAATAGACATTTCTTAAAAGAAGACACACAAATGGCCAACAGGCATATGAAAAAATGCTCAACATCACTAATCTTCAGGGAAATTAAAAACCACAATGAGATATTATCTCACTCCAGTTAAAATGGTTTTTATTAAAAAAAAAAAAACAGATGCTGGTAAGGATGTGGGAAAATGGGGAATCCTGGTACACTGTTGGTAGGAGTGTGAAATAGTACAGCCACCATAGAAAACAGTATGGAGGTTTAGCAAAAAACTGAAAATAGAATTATCATATGACCTAGCAGTCCCCTGCTGGGTACATATTCAGAAGAAAGGAAATCATATAAAAGAGATATCTGCACCCCCATGTTTATTGCAGCACTATTCACAATAAACAAGATATGGAATCAACCTAATCCATCAGTAGATGAATGGATAAGGAAAATGGGGAATATATATACAATGGAATACGATTCAGCCATAAAAAGAATGAAATCCTGTCATTTACAGCAACGCAGATGTAACTGGAGGTCATTAAGTAAAATAAGGCAGGCCCAGAAAGACAAATATTACATGTTCTCACTCATATGTAAAGGCTGAAAAGAGGGATCTCATGGAGATAGAGAGTAGACTGGTGGTTGCTAGAGGCTGGGAAGTGGGGAGGTTGAAGAGAGGTTGATGATGGGTATAAAAATACAGTTAGATAGAATGAATAAGATCTAGTGTTCAATAGTTTGGTAGGGTAACTATAGTTAACAATCTATTGTATATTTCAAAATAGCTAGTAGAGAAGAATTCATATGTTCTCAACATAAAGAAAAGATAAATGTTTGAAGTGATGGATATCCCAATTTTCCTAATTTCATTATTACACATTATATGTATGTATCAGAATGATACATGTACCCCCAAAATATGTATAACTGTTACGTGTTAATAAAAAAAAAAAAAGCTCTTACTTTTTTTTTTTTTGAAATGGAGTTTTGCTCTGTCGCCCAGGCTGGAGTGCAGTGGCATGATCTCGGCTAACTGCAACCTCCGCCTCCCAGGTTCAAACAATTCCCCTGCCTCAGCCTGCTGAGTAACTGGATTACAGGCATGTACCACCATGCCTGGCTAATTTTTGTATTTTTAGTAGAGACGGAGTTTCACCATGTTGGCCAGGCTGGTTGCGAACTTCGGACCTCAAGTGATCCCCCTGCCGCAGCCTCCCAAAGTGCTGGGATTACAGGCATAAGGCACTGCGCCCGGCCAAACCTCTTACTTTCAAGATAGTCAGTTTCCTTGTTATTTTCCTACATCCCTGTCCATTTTTTAAAAACCAGGCTCTTTACTACCTGCTCTTCCTCTGACCATTCCTTAAATGTTGGTGTTTCCCATAGTTCCACCATTTTTAACTTAATGTACCCTGGAAAATCTCACCCAGCCCTATAGCTTCAATTTATTTTCTATATCTCCTATGCTCCAGACCATATAACCAACTTCCTATTAGACATTTATACTTAAATGTGTCAGAGATATTGCAAACACAACATGCCCCAAACCTAACACATCATCATCTTCTCCCAAGATCGCTATCTATGACCAGGACCACTATGTATGTACTCAGCCAACCAAGTCAGAAACACAGAAGCCATCTTTAATTATTCCATTATCCTCATGTTCTATATCCAAATGATTTATCCTGAAGAGAGAATATTTAAGGAGAAAGGCTTTGGACCTAGGAAGAATGAGGTTATGTAGGATCCCACTGACTTCTATTACCTGCTGGTACCTAAGATTAATCCATACCTGCCCATGTACATGGATAGGAGGTGACATGTTAAGTAATGCCTTATATAATAGATACATTATCACTGATTAAATCTTGGATTGGTCAAGATTTAGGTCTTAAATAAGGCTTCTTGGAGGGGTAATTTGGTGAATTTGGAAGCGTTTTTGTTTTGGAGTTAGATATTCCCATGTTTGCAACTTCCTAGGTCTCTTATATGACAAATAATAATTCCTATATAATGGCATTATTGTGATGATTAAATAAGATAATTTATGTAAAATGACTGTCACATAATGGGTTGTCAGTGAATTTCATTCCCATTTGTTTCCTTAGGGTCTAAAAGAAGCATAATTGGAATAAACAAACATTGTTAAATTGGGAGAGCATCAGAATGGTGGTGTGCTTTGCAGCCTAACCTGCAGAGAATGATGTGCTAAGGAATCATTAGGGGTGGCAATGATCTGAATAAGAAATAAAGGCCCCTGTGAGATGCTGGTTGTACAGAGACACCAGCAACTTAGAGGGAGTGTGAACACTATCTAGAGTGTCTTCTGAGCCAGTCACAAGAATGAGAGTGTTCAGGTGTTTCACCCACTCATCTCGCCAGGGTGAGTTCCATGTCCTCTTTCCTCATACTGTAGCAACATCTGCCACTATCAGTCACTTAGGAGTGGCTATAATTATGGGCTTGGACTAGCAGGGCCCTTTGGTTTTCATGGTGTGGCAGGTCCTATGGCTCCCGGAACCTGTATTTTCTACCCTTTTAGCCTCCCCATCTCAGCCCCTATTGGTGAAGGCTTACAATGACATAATTTATTAGGTGATGCTGCCCTCTTGTGGAAAACTTAACCTTCACATGTGGACTACCTTGGGCACGGTATAGGAAATTAATTCCCTCTCGTTCAGTCCAAATTTTTCGTCAACTTTATGAAAGAGCTCTTAACACGTAAAAGAAGTGTGATTACCCTAAAATTTGTGAATATTCAGCCTAGTGTTTTATACAGGTAGAAAGACTTTGGTTTGAGTAAACAATCAGCTGACAAAGATCCAACACTTAGCTTTAGGTCTGGGCTTGAGTCCTTTTGGGATGAATATAAACAGAAGGAACTTTAGAACATGGCCAATTCTGAAAAGCCAACCCAGCTCTTCTTCCTATATTGCTGTCTAGATAATGGTCAGCTAAATCAGAAATGTAGGTGTCACCCTCAACTCCTCTCTCACCCAATTCAATTAATTCCAAGTCTACATAGACCTCTTGGTTGCCTTTGTCTTAATCCAGCCACTCATGATTTCTCACCTGGACTATTCTAAGAGCCTTCCCACTGGCTTCTCAGCTTTCAGTCTCACTTTTTCCTAATCAATCCATTCTCCAAATAGGTATTTGAGCATGTCACTTCTCTATTAGGAAAAAAAAATCAGGAACAATGACCACACAACCATGTTGATCCCAAGATATTCATTTTATATTGATTGATGATACAAACCGTATTGAAGATATTATATTTATGAACCATTTTTTTTTTGCAAAAAACATGGCATCCAAATATATAAAGAAAAAACTGTCAGCTATACAAAAAGTGATAGAAACTTCTGTATGGGAGAGTTTAACATAATTTAATTGACAATAAAGTAGACCAAAATAAAGTACTTAGAAGATTTGAAAAACAATTCATTAGATCCAATTAATACATTTTGAAAATTGTTTATAGACTGCATATTGTCTCTTCAAATATTGAGATAATATTTTTAAATGATCATATGTATGTCACAAAGAAAAGCTTTGCAAACTCTTTTTTTGAGATAGAGTCTTGCTTTGTTGCCCAGGCTAGAGTGCAGTGGCACGATCTTGGCTCACTATAACCTCCGCCTCCTGGGTTCAAGCAATTCTCCTGCCTCAGCCTCCCAAGTAGCTGGGACTACAGGCGTGCACCACCACACCCAGATAATTTTTGCATTTTTAGTAGAGACAGGGCTTCACCATGTTGGCCAGGCTGGTCTTGAACTCCTGACCTCAAGTGATCTGCCCGCCTTGGCCTCCCAAAGTGCTGGGATTACAGGCATGAGCCACCAAGCCCAGCCTACACACGCTTAAGAGTAGAAATATCTGATGATAATGTACAATGTTTACAATTTAAAAACAAATTTTAAAGTCTTCAATTACTTGAATATTTTAGATCACATTTATATGTGAATATTAGCACAAAGAAACACTAGCAGACTAACAAACAATAATAAAAATGAGATCATGACTTACCAAAACTTTGAGAATATTCAGAAGTAAATTCATAACCTTAAATATTTTATTATTAAAAATGAAGAATGAAATTAAATGACTAATAATTCAATATAATATGAAACCAAGGACTAGGTTTCTTTTCAGAGGGATGAATTAAATAGATAAGCCTTTAGCAAATTTAATCAAGAAAACAAAGATGAATTACCAATAAAATTTAAATGACAAATGGAATACAACAACAAAGAAAGATTTTTTAAATTAAAGGCGCACTACTATAATTGTACCTTAATATATTTGAAAATCTCAGAGAACTTAAAAATATCTAATAAAATATTAAATGCCAGAAATTATTGAGAAGTTGAAAACTAAATGGACATGTAACAGTAGAAACTTCGAAAACAATTATCAAAGAGAAACTTCCAAAAATACTTTAGGGACATCTAAAAATACTTTAGGGCTTTAAGGGACAGATATTTTTATCTGTGAATTCCTTCAAATTTTCTAGAAATAGCCACGTTTAATTCTATAAGTATGTTATAGTATTGAAAATGTTGCAGAATTATTCACATTGTTTTTGAAGCTAGCATTACTCTGATACCAAAACCTGACAGACTGCTCTAAGAAAGAATATTCTATCCAATTTGTGAATTTAGATGCAAAATATATACATGGAATTCTATGAAATCTAATTCAATAGTATAGGACAGTAACAATTCATTACAAGTATTAAAATAATTTTTAAAAGGCAAAATTTTGATTCTTACGTAGACAAAAAATGAACATGTTAAAGATTGTATTTCACTCATTAATGAGGAAAACGTAAAGTGTTACAACCAGTTCAAAGGAGAAGTCAAAGAGTAACAAATTTAAAGGTAACAATAGACCACAGTAATCAATTAGAAGCTATATGGAGAAATTTATGTCATTCGTAATGGGAACAAACTCATAAGCAATCAGGAATGCCCTTAAGAAATATGCATGAAAGAAAGAGGTTGTGTATGGAGGAAATTACAAAAATGTACAGACAGAGAAAATGAACACAAGTAATTTTTGATGATGTGGGTAAAGTCTTAGGGTACTGTATTACTTTTTCTTACAAAAAGGCAAGATACAATTGAATGTACAGTATATTGACATATTCTGGTTTAGCCATGCTCTCCATAGACAACTTCCGAACCATCATTCCTCCACCCTCATGTAAGATTCCCTTCATTTTTGAAGCTCAGACAAGCAGGGATTATCACTCTCATTTCCTTACCAATGTCATTTATCAGCCTCCAGGTTATTCTTTCACTTCCATTTTTTAATTTATTTTAACTGATACATAGTACGTATTTATGGGGTACATAGTGGTTTTCCAATGTGCAATGTATAGTGATCAGATCACAGTAATTAGCATATCTATTATCTCAAACATTTATCATTTCTTTATGTTGGGAACATTCAATATCCTTTCTTCTAGTTATTTGAAAATATATAATACATTAATCTTAATGCTGGTCCAGGATCTAGATACCAGGTTCATATAATAAAAACTAGATTTTTTGCTTTTTGATCAGTGTACCCAAAATTGATCAGTTATTTAAAAACAGTCTTTCAAATATCCATAATCATAATAAACTGAATGGAATGTCATATGCCAATTTAAGTGACCACGAAAAATATAACTATCAAGAAAACCAGTTACTCATAGTTCCTACTTCCCTACATGAGGATGTGTAAAAAAAAAAACTCCTGAGTCCTTCCTATGTGTCATAGAGTGTACTAGGTGCTGAGAACGCAACAATGAACAAGCAGCCCCTGTCCTCATGGTTCTAGTCTAAGGGTCATTTTTTTTCCTCTATAGAGCCAAATAAATATTTTAGGCTTTTTGTGTCACACAGTCTGCCACAACTCAATTTTGCCATTTTGTATTATTTAACAAATCTCTGTATATCCCTCCCTTCCCCCTACCTTCTCACCCTCTAGTAACCTCTGTTCTACTCTTTACTTCTATGAGATCAATATTTTTAGCTTCCACATATGAGTGAGAACATGTGGTGTTCAACTTTCTGTTCCTGGCTTATTTCACTTAACATAACGTCCTCCATGTTGCTGCAAATGACAGGATTTCATTCTTTTTATGGCTGAATAACACTCCATTGTGTATATATACCACATTTTCTTTATCCATTCATCTGTTTTTGAACACTTAGATTGATTTTATATCTCAGCTGGATACTGCTGCAATAGATATGGGGTATAGATATCTCTTTGATATATATATACACACATACATACATATATGTATATATTTTAAATGGTTGGTGGAAAAAAGAATCGTATTTCATGATATGTGAAATTATATGAAACTCAAATGTAAGTGTCCATAAATAAAGTTTTATTGGAACCTATTGATTTATGTACTATCTATGCTTCTTTCATACTAAAATGGCAAAATTGAGTTGTGGCAGACTGTGTGACACAAAAAGCCTAAAATATTTATTTGGCTCTATAGAGGAAAAAAAAATGACCCTTAGACTAGAACCATGAGGACAGGGGCTGCTTGTTCATTGTTGCGTTCTCAGCACCTAGTACACTCTATGACACATAGGAAGGACTCAGGAGTTTTTTTTTTTTACACATCCTTATGTAGGGAAGTAGGAACTATGAGTAACTGGTTTTCTTGATAGTTATATTTCTCGTGGTCACTTAAATTGGCATATGACATTCCATTCAGTTTATTATGATTATGGATATTTGAAAGACTGTTTTTAAATAACTGATCAATTTTGGGTACACTGATCAAAAAGCAAAAAATCTAGTTTTTATTATATGAACCTGGTATCTAGATCCTGGACCAGCATTAAGATTATGAAAAGGAACTGCCATATCTTTGAGCCTTGTCTAGGCCACCTGCCAGCCTCCCTAGCTGTCCTGTCTTTGTTGTTGTCATAATACTCCTGCCATCTATAATTAAATGGAAGGGGTTACAACTGTTGAAACTTGTTAAAACTGAAGTTGTCCTACCATGTATTAATATACCAGGGATAGGAAGATGTTTACAGTTGGCACAGTGTTAGAGAAGTCCTGGAAAGGCAAGAGAGAGAAAAATTAAAATAATAATATAAAACAGAGGTGGGGTAAACTATGGTCTGTGGCCAAATCTGGCCTGCTAACTAGTTTTCCAATTAACATTTTATTGGAATAAAAGCAACTGGAGCAGGCATGCTGATCTATCTATGTGTTGTCTATAGCTGTTTTTAAAAAAAAAAAAAAAAGACACCAAAATGGCAAAGTTGAATAGTTGCAACAGACACTATATAGTCTACAAAACCTAAAATATTTACTACCTGGCCCTTCACAGACTAAGTTTGCTGGCCCCTGGTATAAAGCATTCTCCAAAAAGAAGACCTTGAGGCTCTCTCTAAAGCTTAAAAAGACTGAAAGAGAACCATCGTAGTCTACAAGTGAGAATGAATAAAAAAATCACAGAATATTTAAGCCAACAAACATGGTAGGCAAACTGCTGGATTCTTGAGATTCAATTATTCTTTTGAATTTGGGCAATGATGTGGTTGGTACAGGGTAAAATGAATGGTATATGGGTTCACACAAGTGTGTGTTTGCTTGCCTGCTTCCTTCTGTTCACAAGATATTTATTAAATGCTACTTCCATCTAGATACGGAGTTAGCTGTTGGGGATACCATGGAGAATAACATAGACACATTCCCTGCCCACATGGAGCTTATAAATCTGTTGTGTTTGACTCTGGCACGACCCCTACAGGTTGTGTGACTTTGAGTAAGTTTATATAACCTCTTTTAGTCATTCTTTTCCCATCCGTATGATAAGAACACTAATGTCTCTTTTGCAAGTTTGTTATAATGATCAAATGACATTATATACACACACATATAAAATATGTGTATATATAAAATATATACATATATTTTTCAAGTCATTCAAACAATATTGAAAACTATGTGCTAAGCACTATTTTAGGTATTAGTGATATATCAGTTAATAAAACAGATTTAAAAGAAAATCTTGCCTTCATGTAAATTACCTTTTAGGTAAATATATGAAAGTACCTGAAACAGAGTAGCCATTTGGTAACTGCTCTTTTCTTTTTCCTAAGTAAAAGGAAGGCAGTACTTATCCTTCAGTACTGATTTTAGCAGGCAGTACAATACTGGTTAAAACTTCATCCGGCCAGGCGCGGGGACTCACGCCTGTAATCCCAGCACTTTGGGAGGCCGAGGCGGGCGGATCACGAGATCAGGAGATCGCGACCATCCTGGCTAACACGGTGAAACCCCATCTCTACTAAAAATACAAAAAAAAAATTAGCCAGGCATGGTGGTGGGCGCCTGTAGTCCCAGCTACTTCGGAGGCTGAGACGCAGGAGAATGGCGTGAACCCGGGAGGCGGAGCTTGCAGTGAGCCGAGATCTCACGCCACTGCACTCCAGCCTGGAAGACAGAGCCAGACTCTGTCTCAAAACAAACAAACAAACAAAAAAACTTCATTACACAACTCATAGACCAGGTGTTATTATCAATCACATAGTACCCTAATAATTGTCAATCAGAATGATCATTAGGTTGGATAGCTCAAGTTGTGAAAATGACTAGTTCTGAATTCATTCATTTCTCTTTTCTTAAATGTGCCTCTTTGCCATTGTATACTATTTCTTGATCTAGAAAGTTATCTACCTCTCTTGCCAAAACAAAGGCCAAAGTCAAGCTTCAATCAAAGGAAAATGTACTGCTAGAGCTAAAAGAGGTTTCTGTAATCACCGTATTCAGTGACCTCATTTTATAGGTGAGAAGATTGAGGATTAGAATGAGAAAGGACTTTCCTAAGGCCACACAGCGACAGAGGTAGACTAGACTAGAACCAGCAGCTTCTTCTTACCAGTCAAGGTTTCTTTCCACTGTTTCTGGGATGTTTCACATTTGCTACCTCCTCTAGGAAGCCTTTCTATACTTGGGGGAAATGTCTCCTTTCTGTACCTAAAGTAAGTTTGTGATTCTATCCTTTGCCTTAACTTTTTCCTCTGCCAATTCATCTTTTATGAATTTATCCACTTCCAAAGGTTTCACCTCTCTCCTGGATATAGGAGACTGCCAGATCTCTCTTCCCAGCTTTCCCTTCTTCCTGAGCTCCAGACTTCCATTCCAAGGTGTACATTAACCCTTACCCAACCAACCCCCTCCAGTGTCCTAATATCTCTATTTCAGTCTATGGCATCTTTCCCATCCTTGTCAATCAAGCTCACAATAGTAGAATCCACTTAAATTCCCTCTTTTATTCCCAGCAGTCACCAAGTCCTTTCTGAGCTCCCTGTGCAGTGTTTCTAATATCCATCTCATCTATTTCCTTTTCCTTCGTCCTGCTACTGCCAGGGACTCATTACCTCTTGTCTGGATGCCCTCCAACCCATTCTCTGCACTTCTGCCAAATTAATCTTCCTAAAGTACATCTCTGTATTTATTTCAATCAGCAGTAATTGTGCTTTGGGTAAATCTCATGAGTTATGAGGTCTCTATTGTGCTTAGCCTGGCTCATGTCATTTCCTTTCTCAAAAAAGCTCCAACTGCCTGCAGAAATAAGTCTAAATACTTCATCCCAGCATTTAAGACCCTGTATAGATGAATCTACGTGACTTTTTTCTATCCTTATCTTTCTGAAACCCAAAGGGGTATATCTTAAAAGAGTTTACCTCCTCACTTGGACATACCCAATTTTTTCACAGGTGTCCTGGACCTCATTCTCCTCCACTTTTTAAAGAAATCTTGCTCCTTTAATTTCCACTCTCCCTTTTTCAGGCATTTTCAACCTGTTACCCTTCTCTTGTCCTAGTTTTTTCCCCTAAGTCTACAAACCAGCTCAAGTCTCCCATTTTGAAAACACCTTTCCCAGACCTATAGTCATCTTTAGGTATTGTGCTCTTTTTTCCTTTCACAGGTAAACTATTTTGAAAAGCAATGAACTCCTTTTGGTTCCTGTGTTACTTCACCTCTGTATTAGTGTCCTAGGGATGTCACAACAAAGTGACACAGACTGGGTACCTTAAAATAGCAGAGATTACATAGTTCAGGATACTGGAAGTCTGAAATCCAAGTGTCGGTAGGGCCATGCTCTCTCTGAAGGCTCTAAGGGAGGGTCCTTCCTTGATTCTTCCTAGCTTCTGGTGTTTACCAGCAACCCTAGGCATTCCTTGGCTTGTAGACATAGCACTCCAACCTCTGCCTCCATCTTCACATGGCCCTTTCCCCTGTGTCTCTGTGTGTCTGTGTCTATGTGGCCTTCTTGTAAGGTCACCAGTCATTGGATTTAGGTCCTACCTTAGTCCAGTATGATTTCATAATAACTAATTACATCTGCAAAGGCTCTGTCTCCAAACAGGGTTGCATTCAAAGGTTCTGGGTAAACATGAATTTTGCAGGGGCACCATTCAACTCAGTACAACTTCTCATCAGCACTTAACATTGTTGAACATTATTGTCTTCTAAAAATTTTATCTTCCTTTGGCTCCAGAAACACTATGCTTCCCCTGGTTTTTCTTTGCTTTCTCTTGTCTATTCCTTTTTTATGGTTCCTCTTCCTCTACTTGCCCCTTATGTATTAATATTCTCTGAAGTTCTGCACAAGTTTCTCTACTCTTCTAACACTGTACATTCTGGGTGATTTAATTCATTCCATGATTTAATTTAGCAAATAAGACTTCTAAATCTCTCACTCCATCCCATACCTCACTCCCATTTATACCACTTCTTTCTAGGTATCTTCATTTTTATACCCCACACGTATCTCCAAAACTCTATATGTTAAAGTCATTAACTTCTACCTCCAAACCCTGATAAAATCTGCTTCTCCTCCTGTGTGCCTCTATAAAGGTAAATAATTCACAGTGAACCCAGTTTTTTCAGCTCCTTATTGCTATATCTAATTGAGCAAGTCTTGGCCATTTTATATATGCTGAAAATTTCTCAAACTTCTTCTCTCTTGTTTGCTCACTGCAAGTCTCTCAATTTGTTTACCTACCTCTAGTTTTACCATGCTCCCTACCTCCTGAATTTATTCTCCACAGTGCAACCAGAGTCATCTTTTAAAATGCAAATCTCATCATGAAATCTTTACTCACCAAAACCCTTCAAAGTTCCCTATTGTGTTCAGGTTAAAATCCAAACTCCTTAATTTGGTGAACAGGCCCCTTGAAATAGAACGCCTGTTTATCTCTGCCATCTCCACACAAGCCTGCACTTTATGTTATGGCCACATTCAACTGCTTATATTTCTCCAATGTATTCGTCAGAGTTCTCTAGAGGGACAGAACTAATAGGATATATATATGCACACACACATATATATAAAGGGGAGCTTATTAAGTATTAACTTACATGATCACAAGGTCTCACAATAGGCCATCTGCAAGCTGAGGAGCAAGGAGAGCCAGTCTGAGTCCCAAAGCTGAAGAAATTGGAGTCTGATGTTCGAGGGCAGGAAGCATCCAGCATGGCAGAAAGATGTAGGCTGGGAGGCTAGGCCAGTCTCTGCTTCTCACATTTTTCTGCCTGCTTTATATTTGCTGGCAGCTGATTAGATTGTGCCCACCAGATGAAGGGTGGTTCTGCCTTCCCCAGCCCACTGACTCAAATGTTAATTTCTTTTGGCAACACCCACACAGACACACCCAGGATCAATACTTTGTATCCTTCAATCCAATCAAGTTGACACTCAGTATTAACCATCACATCCAGCTACAACATATTCTCTCATATCTCTGTGCCTTTTCACATTCTGCTCCTTCTTCCCAAAATGATGACTGCTCCTTCCTCTTCTTTGTTTAGCTAACTCTTATTCAACACTCAAGACTTGACCTAAGCTTTATCACTTCTAAGAAGTGTTAGGGTTGATATCCCCAGACTGTATTAAGCTTCCTCCCATAAACAACACCCTTTAATTTCCTCTATCTAGAATCGTAACAGCCTGTTTACTTGTCTATTTCCCCCCTGTAAATTTTGGGCAGTGTCCATGTGTTGTTTTTCCTCCTATCTTAAGTATAGTGATCATAGTGCTTAGCAGGGTTACATGCTCGATACTCATTGAATAGCTAATTGAATGGAATGAATGTATGCCAGGCAAGGGCAGTAAGGGTTATTGCAGTGAGGATTAGAGGCTGAGACTTTTAGGGGTATTGGGTTGTCAGGCATCCAAATACTTGAAAGCTGAGATAGTGGATTCAGCAAAGGAAAGAGATAGAGTCAAAGATGAGTGCAAGGTTTCTTGCCAAATTGGATTGAGTTAAAAGATACTAGTTACAAATGCTATTTATAAGAACTAGCATTTATTGAGTGCCTCTTAGACACTGAGCATTTGACTAGGTACTTTATATGCTTTATATCAAAAAGAAACAAAATAATGAGCTAGTTTTAGACATGTGGAATTTGAAGCATCTGTAAGACGTCCAAATATAAAGGACGAGTAGACAGTTGTAACTATGGTTCTTGGGTACACAAAGAAAAAAATGACTCAATAATTAAATTGAAAGTTATTTGGGTCGATAGTAATTGAAGCCATTGGGATGGATGGGATCTTCCAGAAACAGTAATGTAGGGAGGAAAAGAAGACGATCAGGGACCAGATTCTGGGGGACATATGTGAGCTAAATGCAAAGAGGGGAACCATTCATTCATTCATCTAACAAATATTTACTAGAGCCATGGTCTGTGTCGGGTACTATTTTAGGAACTGGGGGTATATCAGTGAACAAAATAGCCTTTTCCCTCATGGAGCTGATATTCTAACAGGAATGGGAGAAGTAGACAATAATCACAAATACGCAAACATGTTATATCCATTACTGGTAAGTGCTATAAAGGAAAATAAAGCAATGCAAAGGCATATAAAATGACTAAATGTGGGTGTGGTAGGAGCAGCAGGGGCAGGGGAGACTTTAGCTCATTCAGGGAAGACCACTATGAAGATATTTGAACCAAGAGTTAAATGATAAGAAAGAGGCAGCCATATAAAGATCTGGGGAGAAGAGCATTCCAGCCAGAAGAATATCAAGTACAAGAGCTCTTAAATGGAAAAATACATGATGTATTCAAGGGTCAGAAAGAAAGCTTTAAAACTGGAGTGTGGTAAGCAAAGGAAGCATGAAAGGAGAGGAAGCCAGGCATATAATCACACAGGGCCTTGTAGGCTCTGGTAAGAAGTTCAAATGTGTACAAATGTATTCTATTTGCAGAAGGAAGCTGTTAGAGAGTTCTAAGCAGAACAGTGGTATGATTAGTTTTGGATTGATAGATGATCACCGTGGCTGCTGTATGGGAAACAGACTGTAGGGGGCAGAGAGGAAGCAGGAAAACTTGTTAGGAGGCTACTTGGAATAATTCAAGCAAGAGATGGTAATGAGTCGGATTTGGATTTTAGTGATGGAGATGGTAAAAAGTTGTTAGATTTAGGATTTGTTTTGGAGGACTTGCTGATGGATCAAGTGTGAATTGGGCAGGGCTGTGGTAGGGAATGGGTAGGCAAGGACTAAATGCTTCCTTGGGTTTTGACCTGAATAACTGGGTGGTACCATTTACTGAGGCGAGAAAGACTGGAGGAGAAACAAGTTTTATGGGTAACGGGAAGAAGTAGGAAAGAAGTAGCTTGGTTTTATACACATTAACTTTGTAAATGTAATGACATGTCTATTGGACAGCTACATGCTAATGTTAACTAAGAAATTAGGTAGAAGAGTCTAGAATTGAGAAAATAGGTCAAGGTTAAATATTTAAATTTTGGAGTCACCCTCTGATAAAGCTTTGACACCAGGTGAGAACATTAATGGGTTAAGTATATTATAAAATGGTATTAATATAAAAATTCCTGAATTTGATAATAGTACTGTAATTGTATAAGATAATTTCTCTCCTTAGGAAAGACAAACTGAAGTATTTAGAGGTAAAGGGGCATGAGGTCTGAAACTCTCTCTGAAATAGATGAGTAAATACATACATGCATATTAATTTATATGTCTAGAGAGAGAGGGAGTGAAAAAGCAAATGTGACAAAATGTAATCAGTTGGTGAATCTAGATAAAGGCTACACAGGAATTCCTTGTACTGTTCTTACAACTCTATCATACATTTTAAATTATTTCAAGGTAAAAAATATTTTTAAGCCTAAGTTGGACCAGTTGAGGAGGCAGCCTCTAATTTTGGCAGGAGCTAAAACCATGGACATTAAAAGGAAATTAAATCTTGATAAAATAAAGTTACCTTTAATTTTTTTAAGTGTAGGCAGCAAAGAGGAGAGGTCCTTGTATTGAGCCCTGGGATACTCCGATATTTAAAGATAGGGCAGATGAAGAAAAACCCAAAGAATAATCTGAGGAGAAGTGGCCAGTGAGGTAGGAGAAAAACCAAATGAGAGTGGTATCCCACAATGCAAGTGAAGAAACTGATTCAAGAAAGAGGGAGTACTCAGCTGTGTCAAATGTTGATGAGACATTGATTCTGAGAATTGACTATTGATTTTGGCAACATGAAAGTCATTGGCAACCCAGAGACAAAAGCCTGAATGGATTGTTTCATAAAAGAATGGACAGTGAAGAAGTGAAGGTAGTAAGTCTTTCTATGAGTTTAGTTGTAAAAGGAGTATAGAAAAATAAGAGTGTTAGCTAGAGAGGCAATTGGGATAAATATATGGTGATTTTTGTCGGTTAATAAAATTAATTTTTAAAAGAAAGGAATAAGTTCCAGTGTCTGATAGCACAGTAGGGTGACTATAGTTATCAGTAACTTATTGTATATTTCAAAATAGCTTTAAGAGAAGATTTGGAATATTCTTAACATGAAGAAATGATAAATGTTTGGGTGATGGATATTCCAATTACTCTGATTTGATCATTATGTATTATTTGCATGTATCACAATATCACGTACCCCCAAAGTATGTACAATTATTATGTATCTATAAAAATACATGCACACAAAACAATATATATGTTAAAGGGACACATTCAATAAAAGTATATTAAACATAAGGGGAAATTTTAAAATCACAAATATTAAATATCTGACTGCTAATGGAAATAATTCAGTAGCAAGGGAGAAATTGATGGTATAGAAAAGAAATGGACAGCATAGACAAATATAATTGCAGCAGCAAGGTCCTTGGGAAGATCAGAGCAGAAGTGCGGAGTTGAACTTTGTTAAGGATAAGGATAATTCACCCATATTAAGAGGAGATAAGGCAAGGTAGGTTGGTGATGCAGCGGTGGAAAGAAGAGGAAGTTCTTTTCTCAATGCTTATCTTTTTAAATCAACTATAAGGAGAAGCTGTCTGCTGAGAGGAAAGGGAGAAAGTGGTGTAAAGGAGAGAAAGAAAGGGCACTCAGAAATGTAGGAGGAGACGTGGGAGAGTGGTGTCATGGAAACCAAGGACAGGGAGAGGATTTCAAGAAAAAGCAGTCCAACAATCAATAGTGCTGAATATTCTTGCATTTTAGTTGGATGAATATTGAAAAAAGACTATTGAGTTTGCTAATTCAGAGGTTACTGGTTGACTTTGGCAGAAAAGGCTTTATTAAAACATTATGAGCAGAGGCCCAATTTCAGTGAAGAGTGAATGGGAGATGAGGAATTGTATTTTCTTTAGAAAAGGAGGGTGGCAGGGGGTAAATTGGGGAGAGGGACCTATTTATCTCCTGTATTAGACTGTGAATTCCTTGAGAGAGAACATGTCAGATTCACTAGGGTATGACACTGCTAGTTTTCAACAAAAGTTGAGTGTGAGAGTGAAGGAATAAGTTCTGCACCCAGATAGATTCAACAAAATCTTCTAAGATGTTCTTCTGAATTGGATCTGTTCTGCCAGACCCTCAAAACATGTGGTTAGAAAAAAATCACTGAGGAAGTACTTCTGTACCCTAGAGAAGTAGAAGAGTGGAGGTGACAGGATGTCATTGAAATGCAATTTGTGGTCTCTGGACACCTGCCCCACTGCCCAATGTATAGGAAGAGACCTGGAAGGTCTGACCTCAGAACTGCAAGAAATTAGTTGGTGTTTTCTGCATAGGGTAGGAAATACTGAGATGGCTAGAAGTTATGGTGGGGTTGCAGTTTTGTCTGCTGAGTTTAGCTTAAGATTAGGTCAGCCATGGTGGAGAGGGGAGAGAATTTGTTATGATAGGCATATAGCTATATTTGAAGGATATAAATACAGCAGCAAAAGAGGAATTGCATAGAATGAGATCAGGGTAGATCAGAGCTTAATTAGATGAAATCAGGACAAGGGCTGTTTAGGCTGACTATCAGAGAAACCATCTTGATGCTAAAAATTACTGGAGCGTGGGCTAACCTTTGAGAGGAAATGGTGGAAACTTTGCCACTGAGTCATTTATAATTATTTACAATTATACAGGACAATTTTGTTGAAAAATAATGTAGCATAATACAAGGAGTGGTTTTGCTCTGTTCCCAGGATGGAATGGATGTGACTTAATAACTTTTTCCTACGCTAATTTGGTTGATTGTGTCAGAGAAAAGATAGGTTGGTCATTTTGTTTTTCCCCTTTTGAATGACTCATACTTGAGTTGATCACAGCCATACAACCAAAAGAATACCCACTGATTAGGCAGATAACAGAATGTAGAATGGGAAGTCAATAGGTTGACTTAGAACTCAGACTTACCTAAAACTTGGAGAATTGGTCAGGAACCAATAAGTTTCCATAAAGCTAGGCCTTGTGTTTTTCACCATTAATCTCCAGGACGTGGCTTCAGAGCCTGGAATACAGTATTTGATGAATAAACAAATAGTCAATGAATGAATGCATGAATGTCACTTTGGGAAGAACACCTAGGACCACCAGTATAAGATTAGCAGTGGACTGATAAGTTGGACGTCTGCCTTAATATCTCTGGGTCCATTTTCTCACCTCTTTTTCACTGATTTCTACTGAGGATGAAATGAGAGCATGCAGATACTTAGAATTTAGCATCTTTAGAAGTATTAGCTGTCTTTTCCCCTTTATTTTTCTAGACTCAATCTCACCAGTCAAATCAAACTTTATGTTTTACCACATTAGGAAGAGAGAAAATTATGCCTTTTGTCTATTAAAAATCCTAGATATCGGTGTTGAGATATCTTAGATTGACATTAACCAAAACCACTGGCAATTGTAGAACAATTTTTAAAAACAATAAACAGCTAAGGCACTACCAGGTATGATACTCCTTCACTTTGCCTTTTATCAGCTCATCCCAAATCTTAATTTAAATTCAAATAAAATGAAAATGTTCTCTAGAAGCATGTTTTCATCCTTGGGCCTCCCTTAGTATCCAAAATACTCAAGTCTGCCATTCTCAGGGATTAACTATAATTCATACTGTGTTGGCCATTGATATGTTCCCCTAGCCTTGACTATTGGAGCTAACTAGTGGGAAACTCCAACTTTACCTGTTCAACATCTTTGCTTTCAGATTTCCTTCCACCATTCTTTGTCCTTCCACACCAGACAGAATTTATAGAAAAGGGAATAGCTTCATTAAGGAAGTGATGCCACTATGTATGTAAAAATCCCGTTTCTCTCTTTCTTTAAGCAGGAAATATTTTCTATTTTTATCCTTTGCATTACTTTTCTTCCTTCCACTTTGCTGCTTTTCAAGCTGGAATTAAGAGACACCAGTTTAATTTGGATACAATAACTGGACTTGATTAATATTCCGGTACAGCTCACTTCCTTTAACAACAGGGCCTGACACTTTTTTTTTCTCTGAAATGTTTTTTTCAAGGGCTTATATCCCTTGCACAGAACAGAATGTTTTGAACAATATTTAAACGCAGTTTTTGATCAGAGAGTTAAAGTGATCCTATCATAATAGCTAAAGATGGGTACAAAGAATTTGGTGAGCAATCAAGGAAGTGATATAAAATAATTAATGGATAGAAAAGTCATTCAAGTGAAGGCTTTGTGAAAGAATCAAGATTATTCAACCCAGAGAAGATAAAATTTTCAAGCCCTTAGAAATAGCCACTTGCCATGGATGGTTTCAAACACAAAAACAAAACAAAACCAAAGCAAAATTGCCGACTTAACTCATTTCACAGCCAATTTAATGTCCATAGGGGAGTTTTGCCTTGCAAAATAAATAAGCTGTGTATTTGATTCTTCATATATTTGTTTTGTAAGACAAGAAGAAGTGATTTAATAACTGCTTTCAAGGACTAGAAAAAAAAAAAACTACTTTTCTAGAATACCAGGAATTGAATCCCATAATCTTATCCACATCTTTTTCCCTGTCAACCCTAGGGCCTCCCATCAGCCACTTTATTTGTCTTGAAAAATCTACTTCCCCATGCTGTCCAGACTGGAAAACATAATTCCATGATACACACAATAGGGTATCTAACTGTCTTCTTTTTCCATTAAGACAGCACATGAAGAAACAGTATCATTTGTAGCAGGAAGGATTTTAGCTAGGTCTTCTAGAGAACTAAATCACTTTCTGCAGTCAGTAATAAATCACCAAAGAAAGCTATGGAATTTTCTTTACTGACTTCAGCAGATCCTTACCTCCCCAGAGATGCTATGTGGAGATAGAAGAGAAGGGAGTTGGCAGCAATGGCTGAGAAATGGCAGCCTTTTCATCTCTTTGTCTTATTCAAGCCAGAGTTCTCTAAATGTTAATGCATTGAGGGGAATCTAAACTAGTTTTGTGAAGACCGAATGGCAAATAGTCAAAAAGGAACATTGGACTTTGCTCTATCAATTTTTTTTTGTCTCTCAGACACCCAGCTTCTCAGTGTGCCCTTTCAGTATGTAACATAATTTACTACTATAGCATCAACTATTTGAATACTGATGCCTCACACATTTACATCTCTAGTCCAGAACTATTTTCTCAATACTAACTTCATATTTCCAGTTGTCTGGAGGACATTTTTGCCAAGAAACACAGGTACCTCAAACTCAATATGTTTTAATACTTTCCCCCCATCCAGAAACAAGAATGCCCTCTCCTCCTTTCCTGTTCCTGATCACATTTAATGGTCCTAGTCCTTTAAAGTAGGAATTCAAGAAGCATCTTGATCCCCTCTTCTCTCAGCTACCCACTTCACCTTTATCAAATCAGTTACCAAATCCTGTTGGTTCTACCTCAGATATGTATTCATTCAAATCTCATTTTTCAAAACTTTTATTGTAAGTTCAGGGGTACAAGTGAAGGTTTGTTACATAGGTAAAGAGTTAATAGGTAAACTTGTGTCATGGGGGTTTGTTATACAGATTATTTCATCACCTAGATATTAAGCCTAGTACTCATTAGTTATTTTTGTTGATCTCTCCCTCCTCCCACCCTCCACCTTCCAAAAGGCCCCAGTGTGTGTTGTTCCCCTCTCTAAATGATGACAACGTATGGACAAATCTCATACATTTAGCCTCCTTGAACATATTAACCGTTCCCTGAATACAGTGTCCTCTCATGTCTCTGCCTTTGCAGATACTGTTCTCTTTGCTTAGAATAGTGTCCCACTCCTTTACCTGCTAAGTCTCTGCTCATTGTTAAAGGTTTCTGCTATGTATTACAAACTGTTCCTCATCCCTACAGGAGAGCTCCGTCCTCTGTGCACTTAACCACATCTCATCATAACTGTTAGTTTAGATATTGCTTTTCTCTACTAAACTATGATTTCCTTGAAGACAGGGGCTGCATTTTAATTATCTGTAAAGTCTCAGTATCCACAACATGATAGTCTATGTTAACAATTAATGAAGGAATGAATGATGTAACTCAAATCCAATTTATCGGTTTTTCCTTTGATGAATTAATATATACTTTTGGTGTCAAGTCTAAAAACTATTTTCAATGTCCTAGATCCCAAATTTTTTCTCCTATTTTTTTCTAAAATATTTATAGTTTTACATTTACATTACCTCTACATTAAGTCTATGATCCATTCTGAGGTTTTGTGTGCATGTTTAAGTATCAGACTTAGGTCGAGGTTTGTTTTTAGGCCTGTTGTTGTCTCATTGTTACAGCACCATATGTTGAAAAGGCTATCTTTTTTTCCATTGAATTGCTTTTGCAACTTTGTCAAAAATAAGTTTGGCATATTTGTGTGGGCCTATTTCTGTGTTTTCTATTCGATTCCATTGATATATGTGTCTGACCCTCTACCAATACCATACAGTCTTGACTGCTATAGTTATCAAAGTCTTGAAATTGGGTATATTGATTCTTACTTTATTCTTCTTTTTCACAATTGCTTTATCCTAGTTGCTCTGCCTTTCTGGAACAATTGTGTCTATATCAAGAAAATATCTTGATGAGATTTTGATAGGAACTGCATTAAATATGTATAAACATTTAGAGAGGATTAACATGTTTACTATATTGCGTCTTCTAATCCATGAACACAGTGTGTCTTCCTATTCATTTGGATTTTTTTCTTTTTTCAGCATTATGTGGTTTTTAGCATGCATACCCTATACATGTTCTGTTAGATTTACATCTAAGCATTTCATTTTTTTGCAGCAACTGTAAATGGTATTGTTTTTTATTTGTTTTCACATGTCTATTATTTGTATACAGAAATGTGATTGCTTTTGGTATGTTGATCTTGTATGCTTCGTACTTGCTGAACTTGTTTTGTTTGTTTGACTGATTGATTTTGTTAGTTTTAGATTCTTTGGGATTTTCAACATATGTTATCTCCAAAAAGCGACAGTTTTATTTTATCCTTTCCAAATCTGAATGCCATTTATTTCTTTGGTTGCTTACTTTATCTGCTATTAATATAGCCATTCTCTCTTTCCTTTCATTCACATCTACATAGTATATTTTTTGTCTTTGTACTTTCAACCTGCTTATATTATTTGAAGTGAATTACTGTTGACAGCATATAGTTGAATCATGTGTTTTTATGCACTCTGCCAGTCTCTGTCTTTTCATTGATGTGTTTAGACCACTTACATTTCACATACTTATTAATATGTTAGGGCTTAAATCTTGTTTTGTTTTCTCTTTGTTCTCTTTTTTACTTTCTTTACTTTCTTTTTTCTCTGCCTTACAGTAGGTTACTTAAACATTAATTAGAATCCCATTTTGATTTATCTTTAGAGATTTTGAGTATATCTCTTCATATTGATTTTTTAGTGGTTGCTATAGGTATTAGATATACATCATGTATCACAGTTTATTGATATTGTCATTTTACCAGTTTGAAGTATAGTAACTTTACCTTTCTTTACATCTCTTTATGCTTCTCTTTTTACAATAAAATTATCTTAAATATTTCCTTTACATACATTTAGAACCACATCAGACAATGTTATAATTTTTGCTTTCACCATCAAACATAACTTAGATAATTCAAGAGAAAAAGGAAATCTATTTTATTTACCCATATACATACATACATATTTTCTATGTCATTTCTTCTTTCCTAATATTCCAGGAATCCTTCTTTTGTCATTTCCTTTCCATTTACAGAACTTCCTTTAGCCGTACTTTTAAAATAGGTCCACCAGTGGTGAATGCTGTTAGTTTTGCCTCATCTGAGAATGTCCTGATGACTCCTTCATTCCTGAAGGATATTTTCTCTTGACATAGGATTCTGGATTGAAAGTTCTTTTCTTTCAGTAGTTGAAAAAAATATTGTGCCACTTCCTCTGGCTCCATTGATTTCTGATGAGAAATATGATGTCATTCAAATTATTTTTCACATATCAGTAATGTGTCACTTCTTTCTCTCTGCTTTCAAGATTTTTTTGTTTGTCTTTAGCTTTCAGACTTTTGACTAAGATGTGTCTTGGTATGAATTTCTTTGGGTTTATCCTGTTGGGATTTTCTTACCTTCTTGAATCTTCAGGTTTATGTCTTTTGCCAAATTTGGGGAAGTTTTAGGTATTATTTGTTCAAGTATATTTTTAGTCTTGCTCTGCTTCTCTCCTTCTAGTACTTCAGTACTATGAATGTTAGATCTTTTGGCATGGTCCCAAAGATCCCTGAGGCTCTGTTTATTTTTTCAGTCTATTTTCTTTCTGTTGTTCGTATTGGGTAATTTATATTTTTCTATCTTCAACTGTACTGATTCTTTTGTCTTCTCCATTCTACTGTTGAGATTACAGGCATACCTCATTTTATTGCACTTTGCTTTATTGCACTTTGCAGATAATTATGGTTTTTACAAATTGAAGGTTTGTGGCAACCTGTGTCAAGCAAGTCTATTGGCACCATTTTTCCAATAGCATGTTCTCACTTCATGTCTCTGTGTCACATGTAATTCTCACAATATTTCAAACTTTTTCATTACTATCATATTTGTTATGATGGTCTGTAATCAATGATTTTTTGATGGTACTATTGTAATTGTTTGGGGCACCACAAACTGTGCCCATATAAGATGGCAAACTGAATTGATGTCAAACTGTCAAATTGATGGCAAACTGAATTGATAAATGTCGTGTGTACCGACAGGCCATTCCTCTATCACTCTCCCTCTCCTCAGACCTCCCTATTCCCTGAGACACAACATTGAAATTATACCAATTAATAACCCTACAATGCCCTCTGAGTCTTCAAGTGAAAGGAAGTGTCACATAGCTCTCCCTTTAAATAAAAAGTTAGAAATGCTTAAGCTTAGTGAGGAAGGCATGTGAAAAGCCAAGATGGGCTGAAAGCCAGGCCTCTTGCACCGAACAGCCAAGTTGTGAATGCAAAGGAAAGTTCTTAAAGGAAATTAAAAGTGCTACTCCAGTGAACACATGAATTATAAAAAAAGTGAAACAGCCTTATTGCTGATATAGAGAAAGTTTCAGTGGTCTGCATAGAAGAGCAAACCAGCCACAACATTCCCTTAGCCAAACCCTAATTCAGAAAAAGGCTTGAACTTTCTTCAATTCCATGAAGGCTGAGAATGCTGAGGAAGCTGCAGAAGAAAAGTTTGAAGCTAGCAGAGGTTGGTTCATGAGGCTTAAGGAAAGAAGCTGTCTCTATAACATAAAAGTGCAAGGGGAAGCACCAAGTGCTGATGTAGAAGCTGCAGCAAATTATCCAGAAGATCTAGCTAAGATCATTGACGAAGGTGGCTACACTGAACAACAGATTTTTAATGTAGACCAAACAGCCTTATATTGGAAGAAGATGCCATCTAGGACTTTCATAGCTAAAAACGAGAATTCAGTGCCTCAATTTAAAACTTCATGGGATAGGCTGACTCTCTTGTTAGGGGCTAATGCAGCTGATGACTTTTAAGTTGAAGTCATTGATCATTTACCATTCCAAAAATCCTAGGGCCCTTAAGAATTATACTAAATCTACTCTGTCTGTGCTCTATAAATGGAACCAAACCTGGATGACAGCACATCTGTTTACAGCAGGGTTACTGAATATTTTAAGCCCATTGTTGATAATTACTGCTCAGAAAATTCCTTTCAAATATTACTGCTCATTAACAATGCACCTGATCACCCAAGCACCCTGATGGATATGTACAAGGAGGTTCATGTTATTTTCATGCCTGCTAACTCATCCATTCTGCAGCCCATAGATTGGGGAGTAATTTTGACTTTCAAGTCTTATTATTTATCAAAAAGTGGGCGAAAGATATCAACAGACACTCCTCAAAAGAAGACATTTATGTGGCCAAAAAACATATGAAGAAAAGCTCACCATCACTGGTCATTAGAGAAAGGCAAATCAAAACCACAATGAGATGCCATCTCATGCTAGTTCAAATGGCAATCATTAAAAAGTCAGGAAACAACAGATGCTGGAGAGGATGTGGAGAAATAGGAATGCTTTTACACTGTTGGTGGGAGTGTAAATTAGTTCAACCATTGTGGAAGACAGTGTGGCAATTCCTTAAGGATCTAGAACCAGAAATAGCATTTGACCCAGTGATCTGATTACTGGGTATATACCCAAAGGATTATAAATCATTCTGCTACAAAGACACATGTACACGTATGTTTATTGCAGCACTGTTCACAATAGCAAAGACTTGGAACCAACCCAAATGCCTATCAATGATAGACTGGATAAAGAAAATGTGGCACATATACACCATTGAATACTATGCAGCCATAAAAATGGATGAGTTCATGTCCTTTGCAGGGACATGGATGAAGCTGGAAACCATCATTCTCAGAAAACTAACACAAGAACAGAAAACAAAACACCATATGTTCTCACTCACAAGTGAGAGTTGAACAATGAGAACACATGGACACAGGGAGGGGAACATCACACACAGGGGCCTGTCAGAGGGTGGGGGGCTAGGGGAGGGATAGCATCAGGAGAAATACCTAATGTAGATGACAGGTTGATGGATGCAGCAAACCACCATGGCTCATGTGTACCTATGTAACAAACCTGCACATTCTGCACATGTACCCCAGAACTTAAAGTATAATAATAATAAAAAAAGAAAAAAAAAGAAATGCATTTTGTAAGGCTATAGCTGCCATAGACAATCCTCTGATGAATGTGGCCAAAGTAAATTGAAAATCTTATGGAAGGGATTCACCGTTTTGATGTCATTAAAATATTCATGATTCAAGGGAGGAGATCAAAATATCCATATTAGCAGGAGTTTGGAAGAACTTCATTCTACCCCTCATAAATGACTTTGAGGGGTTCAAGACTTCTGTGGAAGAAGTAACTGCAAAGGTGGTAGGAATAGCAAGAGTACTAGAATTAGAAGTGGAACCTGAAGATGTGACTGAATTGCTGCCATCTCATAAAACCTTAACAGACAAGGAGTTGCTTCTTATGTGTGAGCAAAGAAAGTGGTTTCTTGAGATGGAATCTACTCCTGGTGAAGATACTGTGAACAATGTTGAAATGACAACAAGGGATTTAGGATATTCAACAAACTTAGTTGATAAAATAGTGGCAGGGTTTGAGAGGATTGACTCCAATTTTGAAAGAAGTCAGGCCAGGCACGGTGGCTCACGCCTGTAATCCCAGCACTTTGGGAGGCCAAGGCATGTGGATTGCTTGATCCCAGGAGTTCAAGATCAGCCTGGGAAACATAGTGAAACCCCAACTCTACAAAAAAAAAATTTAGTTGGGTGTGGTGGCATGTCTGAAGTCCCAGCTACTCAAGAGACTGAGGTGGGAGGATTGCTTGAGCCCAGGGAGGTAGAGACCGCAGTAAGCTGTGATCACGCCACTGCACTCCAGCCTGGGTGACAGAGCAATTCTCTGAAAGAGAAGAGAGGAGAGAGGAGAGGGAAATCCTACTGTCGGTAAATGCTGTCAAACAGCATGGCATACTACAGAGAAATCTCTCAGGGAAGGAAGGGTCAATTGATGCAGCAAACTTTGTTGTTGTCTTATTTTATGAAATTGCCACACCTACTCCAATCTTCAGCAACCATCACCCTGAGAAGCCAGTAGCCATCAACATCAAGGCAAGACCTTCCACCAGCAAAAAGATTATGACTCACTGAAGACGCAGATGATCATTAACATTTTTTAGCAATAAAGTATTCTTTCATCAAGGTTTGTACATTGTTTTTAGGCATGATGCTATTCTACACTTAATAGACTACAGTGTAGTGTAAACATAACTTTTATATGCATGGAGAAACCAAAACAATTCATGTTACTCACTTTATTTCAGTATTTGCTTTATTGCAGTGGTCTGGAATCAAAGCAATATCTCCAAGGTATGCCTGTATTCATTTTGTTTTTTTATTTTGAATATTGTATTTTTAAGTTCTAAGATTTCCAGTTGGTTCTTCTTTATATATTCTACATCTTTGCCAAGACTTGCTAATTCTTTGTAAGTCTTTCTGTTTTTTCATTTGTTTCATGCATGTCTGTCATTACTCATTGAAGCATTTTTATAATGGGTGCTTTATCATATCATTCTAACATTTCTGTGATCTTGTGGTGTCTCATGATTATCTCTCTTTCATTCAGTTTGAGATCTTCCTGGTTCCAGCATGATGAATGATTTTTTCATTGAAATCTGGATATTTAGGATATTATGTTTTGAGACTCTGAATCATATTTAAGCTTGTTTTAGCTGGCTTCCTCTGACACCACTCTGGCAAGTGATGGGGGTTGCTGCCATATTACTGCCATGTGGAGGTAGAAAGTCCAGGCTCTCCACTTGGCCTCTATTGACACCTGAGGAGGGAGGCTGCTTGTTTCTGCTAGGCTTTCACTGATATCTCCCTTGCTGGGAGTGCCTCTGACACCACAGAGAAGGGGAGTGGCTTGCTTACTGCTGGGCAGTGGTGGAGGTTCTAACACCCCACTAGGCCGCCTCTGAACACCACCTCAGCTGGGAGGAGGGGCTCCTTGTTACCGCCAAGCGGGGAGCGGATGCCTATGCTCCCCATGTGTTCTCCATTAACATCATGAGTAGGAGACTTGTTATCACCTGGCATGGATGAAAGTCCTGTCTCTGTATTTGGTCTTTCCTACCAACACCTGGAGGAGGAGATTTGCGACACCTTATTAATAGCCTAGTCAGAGTGGAAGTCTAGGCTCCCCACTCAGCCTTCATTGGCATGAGGGTGGCTGGGGCCACAGTTTTCCTGTGCTGTTTGACTGGAGTAGAGCAGTTATTATCTAAAAGTTTTATGTCTTGGTGTCTACCCCTCTCCCAGTCCTCTGGATAGTGAGAGCAGGCTCTTATTGGGGCTTATATTTGGTCCGTGCCCACAAGTATTTCCAGGTTGTTGCTTCTCAGCTCCAAATCTGGGCTATAGAAGGTAAAAAGAAAAGCCAGAGACCTTATCACTGTGTCATTCCTTGGAACTCAAGGTCCCTCACTGGTTTGCCTTCTTAATGTAATAGAAATCATTTTCATTACATTAACACCCTTCTAACTAGATTTTTTTTACTCCTAAGTTTTGAAATTTCTTTTCATGTTCTAGATACTAGTCCTTTGTCAGAAATGTGTTTTGCAAATATTTTCTCCTAATGAATGGTATCAGAGGCAGTCAGCTGAGAGTCATCTTATGTTTGTTTTATACATAATGTCCAAGGGTTCTAGTTATATTAGTGAAAGGAATGGGAGAAAGTTCATCTCCATTTTCCCAGAAGCAGAAGTCTCAATAAATAATGTTTTTGCCCCCAATCCTAAGATTTATAAGTATTACCTCCCCATATCTTTAATAAATTTTAAAGTTAAATAAATATATTTATTTAAAACCCAATATCTTTAGTAAAACAGCTAAATGAAGCAAACCTTAAGTACCTAAGCTGTTTGTTTCAGCTGATGAAATAAACGTGTGAATTTTGAAGATGTTGAATATGCCTCACCAGTCTATTACTTAACAACTTCAAGCCTCAGTCTTAAACTTGGGTTCTGATAAGCATGCCAACTCTGGATCTTAGCGCAAATGTCAAGATCCCTTCTGGGGATTAGTCTCTGAACTGCCGACTTTTTGGACATCAGGCCAGTTTCTATCCTGAGTGAGAGCTCCAATCTAACAAGAGTGCATTGATTGCTTTCCAGCTAATCAAAGGGAAAGCATGGGTTGGCTGTTCTGGCACCCTTGTTCAGCTAAAAATGATTGTCTCTGGCTCCTAATGCAGAGATATATTCTTCCTTTTTTCTGTGATGAAGGTGTAGAATATCCCTCAATTTTGTTAAGTATAAAGTTAATGAATGCCTTTGAATAGTCTTTGAGAAGTTATACATGGTAGTTTTTTTTTTCCTCTGGGGGAAAGAGTAGAACATCACCTGCCCTTCTCTCAGTCATAAAAAAAGGCTTGATTTAAATTTACACACATTGAAGGTTACTTACCTGAGGTTTTCCCTCTTTGCACTTCAGAAAGATATTTCTTAAAGTACCCATGGCCCTTCCAAAAGAATGGAATATTTTGAACAAAAATTAAAAACTTGTTTTGGTGTATGCATTTTGTATGAGATTAAGAAATGTTTCTCTTGTTATATTCCTGCCTCCCCACCTCCTCTCTCTCTCAGTATGTGTACCTGTGTATGATTCTTTTCTACTTTCTATTTCCTGGGAAAGGCCTGGAGTTGAGTAAAGGAAAAGTTTAAGGATGAGTAGGAGAGGCTGCTCATGAAGTGATGAAGAGTATGGCTGGTCTATAATATGTGATTCAGAATCACTATTATGATGAATTTCCTAGAACAAGAAGAATTGCTAGAGGCCCCTTTCACGCCACAGTAAGTTATCACCATAAAAATAATTTCTTTTCCCCTCCCCATAACTCATCAGGGTAAAAGCTTGCAATGACCATTGGTTTGTCCCAGCTAGACTGGGAAAGTAGCTCTGTGTTGCCTGTGTGTTGTATCCCAGGATCTGAGTAGCTTGCTTGGCCTGAGACCTCATGCCATCATGGAATACAATAGTGATAGCAAACCAAGGCTCAAATGGACATGTCAGTTGTCTAAGACCACAAAGCTAGTAAGTGTCAGAGCTGGAACTCAAATTCAGTCTCTGTGTTTGACTCCAGATCCCATCTATTTTCCCTGTATAAACGGGGCTGAGTTTTGGAGAATTCCATTCATTAGGAGTATCGTAATTCTACAGCTCACTGTGATAGTGCCATATCAGTCCTTGGCCCAACAGTTGGTCTGAAAATATTAAGACCAGGAAAAGATAAACAAAATTATCCTTAGGGATTTCAATCCAGAATGAAGAGTTCTTCCATGATGCCTTCCCACCTAACTTAGAGGCTTGGCCAGAACCATGATTACTTTCAGATTTAATAGACACTCCGTAAATGTTAGTTCTGTCCCTCTATCCCAGCACATACGGTGGGTGAAATACAGTGCTAGCAGCTAACAAATGCATCATGTCATTTAATTGGCACAGCTCTCTTATGAGGTGTAGGGATAAATACATCCCCACATTACAGATAAGGAGACTGAGGTACGAAGAAATGAAGTAACTGACATGTCCACTGTCTCACAGCCAGATCTATCTGACTTCATATCTAGTTTGCTCATATCTAGTTTGCTCTCTGTAGCACCTCAATTGGTTCCTACTGATGTACCTACCTACCTCTGTCTCAGCGGTATTTTCAGAGGCTTTAAATGAAATATTTTGACTGGGTTCTTCAGAAATCCTTATTTGAGTTTAAAAATCAAGTTGTGCATGCTTTCTCCCTTGCCTCACCCTGTGTTATCCTCAGTAGTAACCTTGACACCCCAGTAAAGCCCAGAGAAAAAGAAATTGTAAATTGATCTGAGAGGATAATTGAGGATTTCTAAGTTACCCAGGCTTTAACTTTGCCTCGACCTGAGATGCTCACCAGTCTTCACAGAAGAATAAACTGAGTTAATTAGCTCTTTGATTGGATGAGGGTTAAGGTTCTAGGTGTGGGTCTGCTTGCAACTAAAGTGATGATTGTTGGCTCCTAACGTTAAGACATTAGTAGCCATCTGTTGGGTGAAGGCATCCTCTTTTCTGATTTGAAGCTAGGTCTCAGTCAGTGGAAAAATGTCATTTGTATTCTGCATTCCTCCTGTTTCCTTGGGGTATGCTATGTTTAATAATGTATGCATTAGGAGATGCTGAAAAGTGTCTTTTCAGTATGTCTTTTTAATCTAGTCTTTTTCTCCCAATAGGTTTAAATTGTCCCCAAAGTGTGTGTGTGTGTGTGTGTGTGTGTCTGTGTGGTGTGTGTGGTGTGGTGTGTTGTGTGTTTTAGACCAAGTATTGCTGGAGAACACCTCATTATGTGTAGGTTATTGCATTTGTGGAGCAAAATCTCCCTTAAGTAATATATCTACTATGTGTCATTAAAAATGTATTCACTTTATATGTGCATGTTTTCAATTCAGGCATCTTTAATAGGGAAATATATTCTAGTAGATTAATTTACAGTTGTTTCTAAATAGTAAATCATAAACACCAATAAAAGAAAACATGCAAAATGTGCATATTTGAGAGTCGATTATATGTTGATTAACCTTATGTGCTTTTGCTATAATTCTTACTATTGTCATTTCCCTTGCTGTCAAACAACAATTCATTTCTGGAACATATGATGCATAATTATGAATGTTAATGCAACACCCAGCTGCATCTCATCTCCCTTTGCATTATGGTACAAGTTTACTTTGGGGACACAAAGGTACTTTCTCTCATTAGTGACAGAAACTGTAATTAGACACTAAACCTGAGATAAAAATATACTCATTATTTACCTATTTTCTTAATTAGAATTTTCATATCAAAAGTACAGAAAAATAATCTTTTTAATTCAAGTAAGAACAATATGATCCTGTTTAAAAAATAAAAATGAAAGAAAAAATCTGTGTTGTGGAGAATAGAGCAATGGACTTGGGGGTTTTGAATGCAGGCTGTGAGTACTCTGTAGAAGTAGTAGAAATACTGGGCAAGTCTTTAAACATGTCATAGTCTTCTCTTTATGGTTTCAGAGTAATAACCTTCACCCGACAGGGATCTGGTAAGAATTAAATAGGTACTTCAAGAGAAAGTACCTGATACTGGGTACATAGTCAGTGAATGTGTATTGTTGTTCTTAATATGGCATTTGAGAGTTTTTTAAAAAGGCATTTTCCAAAATTAATTCACCAATGATCTCTTCAAATGGCAAGGTCTCATGATACAATTTCATTGATTTAACAAATATTTTTGAGTGCTGAGCATGTATGTTAAGCAATGTGGTGGTGATCATAGAAGGAGTATGCTCTAGCCCTGTACTCTAGTTGAGAGAGATAAGACATACATAGGCAAAATGCTTGAGCAGGGAAGTACGTGGTTATCAAAATGAGTGATGCCAGCAGCAAGTGATTTTGAAGATTAGAGGAAGAAAACATAACACTATGCTTGCAAACAAGAGGGGGAGCTTTGCTTAATTCCTAAATAGTTCATAGGAATGCATAAAAAAGGGATGGAAAGAAACGTAGTTTTGGGAAACATAAAGGAGGTCCATCCAACTTAAGATTTATATAGGGGATCAGTGAGAGATAAATGTGAACAATCTATAGAAGGCCCAGAAAAAGCAAGCTTTACTTAGTAGGCCATGGGGAACCACTGCAGGATTGCAAGCAGATGAATAAGTATGAGATTGGAATTTGTGGAAAATTGGTGTGGGTTGGATTGGATGTAAGGAGCTCATGCTACACAATTGCTTATGTAGTACAGGGAGCAGTGACAGTAGGAATAGACAGGACAAGTTAATAGGTGAAGATATTTCAAAGCCAGCACTTGGTGACTAATTCAGTATAAAGGCTGAAGAAGAGGAGGAGTACACAATGATTACCAGGTTTGAGCCAGTCAGACCTTTAAGGATTTAAAATGAACAAACAAAACAAAAATAGAAAGAGCTAGGCTTGGCATCAATTTTTGTTTGGTTTTTGTTGTTTTTAGTTTGGGGTGATAGAAGATATAGAAAGCCAGTGGGCAGTTGTAGGGAGTAGGTAGAACTGGTGTGGTATTTAAGTGAGAGGTCAGGACTAGAGATTGTCCTGGAGCCTTAGAATGAAATTTCTAATCTAAATTAATCTAAATTCTACATAAATATTTGCAGGTGGTCTCTTCATCCTAAAAACATAATCTGCCCTTAACCTTTACCCTCATCCAACTACCAATTTCTTTTCCTTCACAGCCAAACATCTTAGACATTGGCTCTATTTTCTCACCTCCCATTTCCTCACTACAGTCTGCCTTCTACTCCTACCACTACTATGCCACTGTCCTCTGTATGGTTCCAAGGTGAATTAATGTCTTCCAGATTGAAAAAAAATCCAAGGAGCGTAGTTTCTTCTCCTTTTCTAATGTGCAATTTTTCAGTAAGTTTTTAAGCCATTATTATATGGTAGAACTGGTGTCAAATCACATATAAGCTAGATGACCTTTGGTAAGTTACTTAATCACAGTTTCCTTTTCTGTAAAATGGGGATAATGATATTTACTTTATTACATGAGTAAATGAGCTGATATACATAAGCCCTTTGGAAATAGTAGTTGCTTAATAAATATTATTTTGTTTCATCATTGCAGCTTTGGGCACTGTTGAGCACTTTCTAGAAATTTGTTTTCTTTTATTATCATAACACTTTTTTTTTTTTGAGATGGAGTCTCACACTGTCACCTAGGCTGGAGTGCAATGGTGCGATCTCCACTCACTGCAACCTCTGCCTCCCAGGTTCACGTGATTCTCCTGCCTCAGCCTCCCAAGTAGCTGGGATTACAGGCACACCCCACCACACCTGGCTAATTTTTTTATATTTTTAGCAGAGACGGGCTTTCACTATGTTGGCCAGACTGGTCTCGAACTCCTGACCTCATGATCCGCCCACCTTGGCCTCCCAAAGTGCTGGGATTACAGGTGTGAGCCACCACGCCTGACGCATAACACTTCTTTTTCCTTGTTTTCCTACTACTAGTTATCTTGAGCTCTTTTTCCTTAATTTGTCTTATCCACAGATATACCCTAGAACAGTAGTTCTCAGATTTGAACATACGTTAAATTTCCCTGGAGAGTTTATATTAAAGAACATACTGCTCCTCCCCTGTCTCCAGAGTTTCTGATCTAGTAGGAGCTCAAGAAGTTCTCAGATAATGCTGATGCTGCGGGTGTGGGGACTGAATTTTGAGAACCACTAACCTAGAGTTCTATCTCAGCCTCATTTTCTTATTCTATGAACTTTTATTGAGGGGCTTCAGGTACCACTGATGACTCCCAGATTTCTATATCTAGGGAAGAACACATGCCCAGATTCCAGATTATCATTTTCAACTGCATGTTAAATTTCTACACACGGAGTTGTCCTCCAGACGCATTACAATCCAACATGCCCAAACTGATTCTGAAGTACATATGTAAGACTAGTCAGGAAAGGTCTGAATAAAAGAGGAATAAAAGACAAAGCAGCTAGTCCTGTTAAAACATATTATAAAATTACAGTAATTAAAATACTTTGGTACTAAGCACATGAATAGACTGATCAGTAAACCGTAATGAAGTCTAACCATGATTCAAAGACAATTGTTTAGTATATAACTTTTAGTATATGATCTTATCTTTAAATAAGAAAAGTCTTTCTAAGCAAAACACAAAACCTGGGTGCTGGCCGGGTGCGGTGGCTCATGCCTGTATTCCCAGCACTTTGGGAGGCCGAGGCGGGCAGATTACCCGAGCTCAGGAATTCGAGACCAGCCTAGGCAACATGGCAAAACCCCGTCTCTACAAAAAATACAAAAATTAGCCAGGCGTGGTGTTGGACGCCTGTAATCCCATGAGAATCACTTGAATCCTGGAGGCAGAGGTTGCAGTGAGTGGAGATCGCACCACTGCACTCCAGCCTGGGCGATAGAATGAGACCCTGTCTCAAACAAAAACAAAAACAAAAAACAACCAACCAAACAAAAAAACCTGGAAGCCATAAAAGAGAAAATTGTTAAATCTGACAACACGAAAGTTGAAATTTAAAGCACCCGAAAAATACAAAAATAAAATCCAAAGAAAAAAACTGGGGAAAAGGTTTTGCATCTGATATGGCAAGAGGCTGGTTCCCTTAATATATAATATATAAAGAGCTCTTGAGAATAACAGGAAAATGCCAACAAACCATTCAAAAAAGGAAAAAAGAACCTGAACAGGCAGTTCAGACAAAAAGAAAGTGGGCTTATAAAAACAAATGAAAGATACTCTGTTGGCACAGTGTCTCATGCCTGTAATTCCAACATTTTGGGTAGCCAAAGCAGGAGGATTGCTTGTGACCAGGAGTTCAAGACAAGCCTGAGAAACATAGTGAGACCCTGTCTTGACAAAAAGTCTAAAAATTAGCCAGGTATGGTGGTGCACGCCCTGTAGTCCCAGCTACTCAGAGAAGGCTGAGGCGAGAGCATCACTTGAGCCAGAGTTTAAGTCTGCAGTGAGCCGTGATCACGCCCCTGCACTCCAGCCTGGGCAACAGTGCAAGACCCTAACTCAGAGATGGAGAGGGGAAGAGGGAGAGAGAGAGGGAGAGAGAGGGAGGGAGGGAGGAAGGGAGGGAGGGAGGGAGGGAGGGAGAGAGAGGGAGGGAGGGAGGGAGGGAGAGAGAGAGAGAGAGAGAAGCTCAACACTTACAATTAAAGCAGTATAGATTAATTTAAGCAATAAGATGTAACTTTCACCTATCAGAATGGGAAAAATCAGAGCGTTTAATGTACATTTTTTGGGGGGCAGGCATGTGGAGAAATACATGTGCTCTTATACCTTGCTACTCAAAGTGTGGTCCTTGGATCAGCAGCATCTGCATCAACTGAGAGCTTTTTAGAAATTCAGCTCCACCCCAGATCTACTAAATCAGAATCTGCCTGTTAATCAGATCCCCAGGTGACTTGTAGGTATATGAAACTTCGTAAAGCACTGCTCTGACACACTGTTGGAAGTATAAATTAGCATAACCTCTTTGGATCTTAGTATATTTTATCACAATTAAACATTGATGTACTTTTTGACCTATAGTTCCACTTGTAGGACTTTATATAAAATATATAATCATGTATGTGTGTGAAGACATGTAAAAAGGTATTAATCACAACATTATTTGTCTTAGCAAAAGCAACTTCAGTATTCATTACTTGAGTAAAGGCTAAATAAACTATAAAAAGTTCACTTGGTGAAATACTATTCAGTTATTTAAAATTTATTTAAGAAAAGTATATGTGGATACGGAATTATCTCCAGTATATATCGTTAAGCACAAACGGCAAGGTTCCAAGCAGTATTATAACCTGCCTTTTCTGTGTCCCATTATTATAATTCCCATTTTAGAGATAATGTAAGTGAGGCAGAGAGGTTAAATAACTAGCCCAAGGACATACAGCTGGAAATGGTAGATTCAAATACAGACAGTCTTGTTCTAGAGCTTATGTTCTTCACACTCTGCCATATTGCTGCTCAGGGATAAACAACAAACTGTTAAAAGTGGTTTCCCCTGGAGTATGGGGCACTCCTTTTTCATTGTATATGCCTTTGTACTATGTGAATGGTTTTCCTTCTACAAGTATTGCTTTAAATAATTTAAAAATACTTAAAAACTGCAATTTTTCTAAAACCGAACTAATTCTCCTCCCCACTCTTCTGCTGATGCTAGCGACAGGCTGAATCATAAACTAGAGTGAAAAATCTAATAGACACTGTATACTCCCTCTTATTTATCCCTCACATCTGTCTCATCAGCTACCAAGACTAACTGATTTTACCTCCTAGACCAGACATTTCTCAAACTTGCCCCTCTACTCTATCCCTGCATTATACATCACTTGGACTATAGTGTTCATTTCCTCTCTGATCCACCTGCATCTTTTCTCCCTACAAAATGCCAATGGACACATCTTTCCAAAATGTGAATCTGATTTTACTATTCTCCATGTTCTGGCCCAGTTTGCCTGTCTGGCCTTACTGTTCACCACTTCTCTTCCTCATATATCCTACCCTCAGGACACCATTGTTCCCCTTTCATTTCCATGATTTTAATATGCTATTCCTTCTCTAGAAGTACCTTTCATCTGAGTGAATTTCTACCCTTCCTTGACAACCAGATCTCAATTTGGATTTCCCCCTGGATGCAGACTGTTAGTAGACATTATATATTCTGTATTATGCATGTCAGAATACCTCAAGTTTCATGCTCCTTCAGTGTTCCATAAGAAATGTCCCCAGCATCAAAGCATTCCTGCCTGAATGCTGTGCATTCACATTCCTTGTAGACTCCTCTGCTCCCCAACATGGATGCAGTATCCTGCGGACTGCTTCTCCAGATCTCCCCATGGCTAATTCATGGTTTTTCTTTGTCCTAAGTTCTCTCCTGGCCCTCAGCACTCTTCTTGGTCATGAAGGATTTCTGGGAGGCTTTCCCTTTTATTATCAATTTCAGGTTCATCATCTTCCCTTCCTATCCCTCTACCTGTACCTGTAGAGGAGGGAGGTTAGAATAGTGGTTAAGAACAAGGAAGGTCTAGGCTGCCAAGCTAATGAATTTGGACTTTTCCCATAAGTACTAGGAAGCCAGTGAAGAATTTTAAGCATGAGAGTGGCAGGACCAGATTTGCACTCTGAAAAGATGTATTCATTGGCATTTTGCAGGGAGAAAAGAGGCAGGTCAACCAGTTACAAAATGAATGCTATAGTTAAAGTGATTCAGGGATAGAGTGGAGGGGCAGATTTGAGAATTATATAGTCTAGGAGGTAGAATCAATAAGTCTTGGTGCCTGATTAGACAGATTTGAGGGGTAAATAAGAGGAGGGAGTCCAGAGTATCTACCAGATTTCTCACCTTAGTAAATGTCACCTGTCACCAGCACCAGCAGAAGAGTGGGAAGGTGTCTTAGTTCGTTTATGCTACCACAACAAAATACCTTAGAGTGGGTAATTTATAAGGAACAGAAATTTGTTTCTCACAGTTCTAGAGGCTGGGAAATCAAGACCAAGGCACCAGCAGATTCAGTATCCAGTGAGGGCTATTCTTTGCTTCAAAGGTGGTGCCTTGTTGCTGTGTCCTCACATAGAAGGAAAGCAAAGGGGAAAAATGCTGTGTCCTCACATAGCAGAAGAAGTAGAAGGGCAAAAGAGGCAAACTCTTCCTCAAACCCTTTTATAAGGGCACTAATACCATCCCTGAGGGCAGAGCCCTCAATGCCTAATCCCCTCCCAAGGGGCCTTATCTCTTAATACCATCACCTTGGGAGATAAGTCCCAATATGAATTCTGAAGGGACATACATATTTAAACCATAGCAAAAAAGAATTAGTTTGGTTTTGTAAAAGTTGATTTTTAAGTGTTTCTTTTTTTTTTCCCAAAGCAATACTTGCAGAAGGAAAACCATTCAAATAGTACAAAGGCATATACAATGAAAAATGAGTCCTCTACACTTCAGGGGAACATTGTTAACATACCATAATGCTATATTATTTTCCTTCTGAGGAACATAGATTCACCTACCCCCACCTTCGCAACCCATTCCCCACTGAATTTCCTTATTTCCTTACTGCAAAGATAGTTCAACATACACAAATCAATAAATGTGATATACCACATTAGCAGAAGGATAAAAGTCTTATGATCATCTCAATAGATACAAAAAAAGAATTTCACAAAGTGCAACATGCTTTCATGATAAAAAAAAAAAACTGTCCAAAAATTAGGTGTAGAAGGAATGTGCCTCAACACAATAAGGCTATATATGAGAAGCCCACAGCTAACATTATATTCCATGGTGGAAAGCTGAAAGCTTTTCCTTTAAAATAGGGAACAAGACAAGGGCACCCATTTTCCCCACTTCTACTAAACATAGTACTGAAAGTCCTACCAGAGCAATTAGGCAAGAAAAAGAAATAAAAGCCATATCAATTGAAAAGGAAGAAGTTAAATTGTCTTTATTTGTAGGTGACATGATCTTATACAGAAAACCCTAGAAGTCCACCAAAAGGCTCTTAGAAATAATAAAAGAATTCAGTAAAGTTGCAGGATACAAAGTTACCCTGTAAAAATCAATAATGTTTCTATACACTAACAACAAACTTAGAAATTTTAAAAATGATCCCATTTACAATAGCATCAAAATAAATCTAAAATACTTAGGAATAAATTTAATCAATGAGGTAAAAATCTGTATACTAAAAACTATAAAATATTGATGAAATAAATTAAAGAGGACACAATAAATAAGACAAATAAATAAAAAATAAAGATATTCCATGTTCATGGGTTAGAAGAATTACTATCATTAAAATGTCCATACTGCTGAAAACAATCTACAGATTGAATGCAATCTCTATCAAAATTCCAACTACATTTTTTCACAGGAATAAAAAATTCTAAAATTTGTAAGGAACCACAAAAGACCCCAAATAGCTAATGAAATATTGAGGAAAAAAAAAAAGCTGGAGGCATCATACTACCTGATCCCAAATATACTACAAAACTATAGTAATCAAAACAGTATGGTACTGGCATAAAAACGGAAATACCATTCAATGGAACAGAAGAGAGAGCCCAAAAATAAATCCACACATTTACAGTCAACTGGTCTTCAACAAAGGTGTCAAGAACACATAATGGGGAAAGCACAGTCTCTTCAGTAAATGGTGTCATGAAAACTGGATATTCACATGCGGAATGAAATTGGACTCTTATCCTACATCATATATAAAAACCAATTCAAAATTGATTAAAGACTTAAACATAAGACCTTAAACTCTAAAACTACTACAAGGAAACATATGGAAAAGCTTTTTGACATTTGGCTTTGGCAAAGATTTTTTGGCTATGGCCCTAAAAGCACAGGCAACAAAAGCAAAAATAGGTTGGATTGCATCAAATTAAAAAGCTTCTGTACAGCCAAGGAAACAATCCACAGAGTAAAGAGACAACCTGCAGGATTGGAGAAAATATTTGCAAATCATATTTGATAAGGAGTTAATATCCAAAACATATAAGGAAATCAAACAAGTCAATAGTAAGAAAACAAATAACTTGATTACAAAATGGGCCAAAGATCTGAAGAGACATTTCTCAAAAGAAGATATATAAATGGTCAACAGGTATATTTAAAAAAATGTTTGACGTCACTAATCATCAGTGAAATGCAAATCAAAACCACAGTGACATATCACCTCACATATGTTAGAATGTCTATAATCAAAAAGACAAGTGTTGGTGAGGGTGTGAAGAAAAAGGAACCCTTATACACTATTGGTAGAAATGTAAATTAGTATAGCCATTATGGAAAACAGTAGGGGGGCTTCTCAAAAAACTAAAAATAGAACTATAATATAAGCCAGCAGTCCTACTTCTGGGTATATATCTAAAGCAAATGAAATCAGTATGTTAAAGAGATGTTTGCACTCCCATGTTTATTACAGTACTATTCACAATAGCCAAGATATGGAATAAATCTAAGTGTCCAACAACACTTGAATGAATGTGTTATAAATGAATGAATAAAGAATGAATTTATTCTTTATGATGAATAAAGATGATGAATAAAGAAAATATGTTATATAATATATATTTCATATATAAAAATATATGTTATATATAATATATATTTCATATATAAAAAATATATGAAATATATATATACACACACACATATACAATGAAATACTATACAGCCATAAAAAAGAAGGAAATCCTGTCATTTGTACAACATGGATGATACTGAAGGACATTATGCTAAGGAAATAAACCAGGCACAGAAGGACAAATACCACATGATCTCATATGTGAAATGTAAAAAAGCTGAACTCTTACAGAGCAATCCCATTACTTGGTATATACACAAAAGAAAATAAATGTTTCTACCAAAAAGACACCTGCACTTGTTTGTTCATTGCAGCACTATTCACAATAGCAAAGACATGGAATCAACCTAGGTGCCCATCAATGGTGAATTGGATAAATAAAATGTGGTATATATACACTATGGAATACTATGCAGCCATAAAAAAGAATGAAATCACGTCCTTTGCAGCAACATACACAGAGCTGGAGGTCATTGTCCTAAGCAAATTAATGTAGGAACAGAAAGCCAAATACCACATGTTTAGCTCCCACTTATAAGTAAGAACAATGGGTACTCATGGACCTAAAGATGGCAACAATGGACACTGGGACCTACTAGATAGGGGAGGGAAGGACAGAGGGGGACAAGGACTGGAAAACTATTGGGTACTGTGGTTAGTACCCAGGTGTTGGGATCATTCATACCCCAAACTTCAGAATCACACAATATACCCATGTAACAAACCTGCACATGCACCCCCTGAATCTCACATAGAGGTTGAAATTATATTAAAAATAATAATTATAATAGTAAAACATCAAACTCATAGAAGCAGAGGGTAGAATGGTGGTCACCAGGAATGGGGCGGGTGGGGCAGGAAATGAGCTGTTGATCAAAGGCTATAAAGCTTCAGTTGAACAAGAGGAGTACGTTCTGGAAATCTAATATACAGAATAGTAACTGTAGTTAATAATAATGTATTGTATACTTAAATTGCTAAGAGAGTAGATCTTAGATGTTCTCACCACAAAAAATGATAAGTATTTGAGGTTATGGATATGTAAATTAGCTTTATTTAATCATTTCACAATGTTTACATGTATGAAAAAATATATTGTATATTATAAATGTGTACAATTTTATTTGTCAACTAAACCTTAATAAAGCTATGCAAAATGAAATGAACAGCTTGATGAACTTGAGGTTTGTGAATGTAAATACCTCAGAAAGAGAAATTTCCCAAGGGCTTATGTGAACATTGTGGAACCAGACAAAAGCCTTAATGAAAAGAAGCCTTACCAGGGAAGTACATATATGGCAACTGCTCACCAGCACTTATCTCCCCCTGACAAGGGCAGCTGTGATTCAAGAATTGCCCTCTTGGTCCTGGGAGCTTCCTCACCCTAAAGAAGAACATTCCTGTCCCTGGAACCTAAATACTTTTTAAGCAGCTGCCCTCTATTATACACATAGCACTGATAGCTAAAGGTAGGCTTCCAGCCTACCTTGGAAAGCAGCACCCCACAAGAGCCAAAATAGCAGCAGCCCGTATTTAGAAGTCACTTGAAAATCTGTTTTAAAATGTATGCTACAGTAATGGTTCTCAAACTTATGAGCGTGCATTAGAATCATCTAGAGGATCCACCACGATCAAGTCGGCTTCATCCCTGGGATGCAAGGCTGACTCAGCAAATGCAAATCAATAAATGTAATCCATCACATAAACATAACCAATGACAAAAACCACATAATTATCTCCATAGATGCAGAAAAGGCCTTCGATAAAGCTCAACACCCTTCATGCTAAAAACTCTCAATAAGCTAGGTATTGATGAAACATCTCAAAATAGTAAGAGCTATATATGACAAACCCACAGCCAGTATCATACTGAATGGACAGAAGCTGGAGACATTCCCTTTGAAAACCCACACAAGACAAGGATGGCCTCTCTCACCACTCCTATTCAACATAGTATTGGAAGTTCTGGCCAGGGCAGTCAGGCAAGAGAAGGAAATAAAGGGTATTCAAATAGAAAGAGAGGAAGTCAAATTGTCTCTGTTTGCTGATGACATGATTGTATATTTAGAAAACCCAATCATCTCAGCCCAAAATCTCCTTAAGCTGATAAGCAACTTCAGCAAAGTCTCAGGATACAAAATCAATGTGCAAAATTCACAAGCATTCCTATATACCAATAATAGACAAACAGAGAGCCAAATCATGAGTGAACTCCCATTCACAATTGCTACAAAGAGAATAAAATACCTAGGAATACAACTTACAAGGGATGCGAAGGACCTCAAGGAGAACTACAAACCACTGCTCAAGGAAATAAGAGAGGACACAAACAAATGGAAAAACATTCCATGCTCATGGATAGGAAGAATCAATATCGTGAAAATGGTCATACTGCCCAAAGTAATTTATAGATTCAGTGCTCTCCCCATCAAGTTACCATTGACTTTCTTCACAGAATTAGAAAAACGTACTTTAAATTTCATATGGAACCAAAAAAAGAGCCTGGATAGCCAAGACAATCCTAAGCAAAAAGAACAAAGCTGGAGGCATCATGCTACCTGACTTCAAACTATACTACAAGGCTACAGTAGCCAAAACAACATGGTACTGGTACCAAAACAGATATATAGACCAATGGAATAGAACAGAGGCCTCAGAAATAATGCCACACCTCTACAACAATCTGATCTTTGACAAACCTGACAAAAACAAGCAATGGGGAAAGGATTCCCTATTTAATAAATGGTATTGGGAAAACTGGCTAGCCATATGCAGAAAACTGAAACTGGACCCCTTCCTTACACCTTATACAAAAATTACGATGGATTAAAGACTTAAATGTTAGACCTAAAACCATAAAAACCCTAGAAGAAAACCTAGGCAATACCATTCAGGACATAGCCATGGGCAAAGACTTCATGTCTAAAACACCAAAAGCAATGGCAACAGAAGCCAAAATTGACAAACAGGATCTAATTAAACTAAAGAGCTTCTGCACAGCAAAAGAAACTATCATCAGAGTGAACAGGCAACCTACAGAATGGAAGAAAATTTTTGCAATCTATCCATCTGACAAAGGGCTAATATCCAGAATCTACAAGGAACTTAAACAAATTTACAAGAAAAAAAACCCATCAAAAAATAGGTGAAGGATATGAACAGACACTTCTCAAAAGAAGACATTTATGTGGCCAAACATGAAAAAAAGCTTATCGTCATTGGCCATTAGAGAAATGCAAATCAAAACCACAATGAGATACCATCTCACTCCAGTTAGAATGGCAATCATTAAAAAGTCAGGAAACAACAGATGCTAGAGAGGATTTGGAGAAATAGGAATGCTTTTACGCTGTTGGTGGGAATGTAAATTAGTTGAACCATTGTGGAAGATAGTGTGGCGATTCCTCAAGGATCTGGAACCAGAAATACCGTTTGATCTAGCAATCCCATTACTGGATATATACCCAAAGGATTATAAGTCACTCTACTGTAAAGACACATGTACACGTATGTTTATTGTAGCACTACTGACAATAGCAAAGACTTGGAACCAACCCAAATGCCCATCAATGATAAACTGGATAAAGAAAATATGGCACATATACACCATGGAATACTATGCAGCCATAAAAATGGATGAGTTCATGTCCTTTGCAGGGACATGGATGAAGCTGGAAACCATCATTCTAGGTAAACTAACACAGGAACAGAAAACCAAACACCACATGTTCTCACTCATAAGTGAAAGTTGAACAATGAGAACACATGGACACTGGGAGGGGAATGTCACACACTGGGGCATGTCGGGGGTTAAGGGGCTAGGGGAGGGATAGCATTAGGAGAAATACCTAATGTAGATGATGGGTTGATGGGTGCATCAAACCACCATGACACGTGTATACCAATGTAACAAACCTGCACGTTCTGCACATGTATTCCAGAAAGTAAAGTATAAAAACAAAACCAAAATTCATATTGCTGGGCCCCACCCCCAGAGTTTCTGATCCAAAAGGTCGAGGATGGGTCCCCAGAATTTTCTTTCCTACAAGTTCTCAGGTGATGCTGATGCTGGTCTATAGAACAACTTTGAAAAACACTATTTGGGGGTTGGGGGACATAGAAATTTGGATGCAAAAAACTTGTGTTCAAGCCTTATGTGATTTATTTCACCTCCCTAAGCCTGAGTTTCTTCTTTTCTGAGGTGGACTTAGTAAGGTTATGAGAATGAAATGGAATGGTGTATATGAAAGTTCTTTATGAACTGTAAATGTTGCATAAAAATATTAGCAGTTAGATGGCTTTACAAATGGTACTTGCTGCCACACCTCCACCACCACCACTAAATTTTCTTGTACTTTTGTTCCCTCTCTAGCCAACTTTGTCCCACCAAGTCTATCAGGCAGCTGGAAAAGAACTAAACCCAGGAAGGCCCTGAGTAGTGTTTTTTTGTTGGTTTGTTTGTTTGTTTCAACACACTGGGCATGGCCTTGATACTGACCTTGACTTGACTTCTCTTTTCCTTTGCCTGGCCTCCTCTCAAACTTGCTCCTGGTTCTTCCAGCCCTGGTCTACTCTCACAGCAAAGAATAGCTCCCAGTGCTAATATTAAGGGTAAAAAACTGTCAGATGGAATTTTTAAAAAATAGTAAGACAAAAGAATCCACTGCCAAGCAGCAAAATTATGTGGAAAAAAAGCATTTTGCTAGGTTGGTGGGCTCTAGGCTGATTTCCCTGAGGGAAAAATCTAGATCTTTGAAATAGTTAAGTGAAATCACCAGTATAATTGCAGATTCCTAATTTAAGAATATGTCAGACAGTTATATCAGACAGTTGCCTGGGTAAATGATATGTCCATGTAGAATGGTGACATTTTTCTTTAGAAACCTCTTTTTATGGCTGGTTGCGGTGGCTCACGCCTATAATCCCAGCACTTTGGGAGATCGAGGTGGGCGGATCACGAGGTCAGGAGATGGAGACCATCCTAGCCAACATGGTGAAACCCCATCTCTACTAAAATACAAAAAAAAAAAAAAATTAGCCAGGCGTGGTGGCACGTGCCTGCAGTCCCGGCTACTCGGGAGGCTGAGGCAGGGCCATCTCTTGAACCTGGGAGGCGGAGGTTGCAGTGAGCCAAGATCACACCACTGCACTCCAGTCTGGCAACAGAGCAAGACTCCATCTCAAAAAAAGAAACCTCTTTTTATTTAAAAGGTAATACATGTGTGGTGTATAAAATCTAGAAATGATTTAAAAGTATGAAAAATAAAAATAACCCTTAATTCCACCACACAAAGATAAATACCCACTGATACAATATTAGTACATTTACATCCAGCCTTTCAATATTTGCATATCTGTATAAGAATATGTATATATGCATATATAGTTCTTGAATTGAACTTGTAATATGTTCAGGTTTATATACAATTTTTAAATTTACCATTACATTGTGAGCCTTTTTCAGGATCATTAAGTAGTCTTCAAAAACATGGTTTGTAATGACAAACTATTATTCCTCCATGTAAATGCACAATATGTTCTAACTCTTCCTAAATGTTGGACAGCTAGGATATTCCAAATTTTACCATTATGAATAACCCTGCAGTGGAAGACACTTCAAGTACATAAATAAATGTGTACATCTTTAATGGCTTTCTTAGGATAAAATCCTAGGAGTGGAAAAACTGGATCAAAGGATATGAAATTTCTTAAATATAATTCACATACCATAAAATTCACTATTTCAAGTGTGTAATTCAGTGGGTTTTAGTACATTCACAAGGTTGTGAAACCATTACCACTAATTGCAGTAAAAATACAGAGCATTTCACAAATTTGTGCATTATCCTTGTGCAGGAACCATGCTAATCTCTGTATCATTGCAATTTTAGTTATGTCAGCCAAAGCAAGCACAGTAGAAACATTTTAAGTCTTCTGATAACATATGCCAAAATTCCCTTAAGCAAGTGTGTACCCATTTCCATTCCCACCCACCAATGTATATCTATTTCCCCACAACTTTGTCAGCACTTACCTTTAGAAAGTATTGCCAATATGACTGAAAATGGCATTTCATTGTTTTGTCTCTATTACCAGCTCTTCTTCCTCTTCTCACTGAACTATAGCTCTGCAGAGATCTATCATCCCCCGTCTCCTTTGCATACATTCACCGTGGGCAGTCACATCCACGGCAACAGCCTCGGCTGCCTCCTCTGGATAGTGACCACATGTCCATACCGTGCCCCAACCTCTTTCTAGCACTGCAGTCCACACATCAAGCTGCTCGCTGGGCACACCTACCTACAGAATTTGCTAGCATAACAAACTAATATCTGAAATCAAACTCATGTTTCCTAAAGCTGGTTCTTGCCTATGACTTTGCTATTTAGATTACTGATATCAGCCTTCTAGGTGCTTCACAGTCATCTGTTCTCTCTGCTTATGTAATTAGCAGTCCAACGCTGTTGATTCTCTGTCACATTCTTCCTTTCTGCTCCATCCCCACTGCCATTGCTCTGATTTTACCTTTTATTGTGTCTATTCCATTAGCTTACTCACTTCTCTATGCTTCCAGTATCTATCCACATAATTTATCCTACACATGGCTACCATAATAACTTTCCTATAATACCGCTCGTACCATATTGCTCTCCTACTCTGGAACTTCCAAGGGCTCTCTCTTGCTTATTGGATTATGTGAAGTAAAGGCTTTAACTTGACTCTTAAGGCCCACCATGCTCTTGAATCATTCTAATTTCACTTCCTCTGTGCCTTATAAAAACTGTGTTTTCTTCCTTCATGGTATTCCTGTGCTTCTCACTTCTGTTCATGCAAATCTGGCATGGCCTCTCTCCCAGTCATCTTCAGTGGTGATTGTATTGACTCTTCCAAAATCAGCTCAGAGGCTCTGTGATGCCATTCTTGATTCAGGCAGCAGTGCTCTCTCCTTCTTTTGACTCTCATTTTGTTAGCATTTCCTTTCTGATACTTCTGACATTCCATCCTTTTTAATGGTTTTCTAGGTATTTTTCATCCACCCTCTACCACACTTAATTCCTTGAGCACAGGGATTACTTCTTCTTCATTTTGGCATGTTGCCTAGTACCTCTCCAAACACCTTAAATGTAGATAGAGGAGCTCTGTAAATGCTTGGACAAAACAATAGTGAAGACTGCCAATTTTCTTTTTAGAGCCCCTAATGACTCAGTTTCAGGAATGAATACTGTGCTAAGAAGGTACAGATGCCAGGTGACTCAAGTATCATAGCTCATTCTTTTTTCCTCATTCTCCATATTCAGTCCATCAACAAATACTGTCAGCCCTACCTCTTCAAAATACCTCTAATCAAATCTCTTGTTCTTGTCCCAACTGCTACTTTCCTAGAACAAACCACCATTATCTCTTACCTATAATAGCCCCTTTAAATGGTTCTCTGGCTTCTACTGTTGACCCCCACACACACAAATCCATCAGCCAAGTCAAACCTTTATAAAACTTACATCATGTTAGTCCCCTGCTTAACAACCTCTAACAGCTTCCCATTTCACTGAGAATAAAATTCAAACTGTTTCAGCCTTTGGAAACTCCATGATCTGGCCTATGCACCTCCCCAGTATCATCTCCCACTGCAGTCCACCTTGCTCACTGTGCTCCAGCTCTGCTGGGTCTTGGCTCCTCCTGATTGTCAAGTTGTATCAAAGCAGAGTGACTGGGTGTTCTTGTTTCTATTGGGGTCCTAACTGTTGTTGGTTATTGTCCTAGGGCTCCATGTCTTTAGTAGTAGAGATGACCTGGGGAGTGGCCAGAAGTAGTTCTGAGGATTTTGAGACTTGACTCTGGGGAAAACCTTTATGGATTCCATCAGACCTCTGAAAAGTGGTAGGTCGAACAGTGAGTTTGAACTGAAAGGGATAATGGGCTTTAAGGAGGAAGAAAAGAAAACTGGTATTATTCCTACAGCCTCTTTCCCAAGGGACGCTATAAATGTTACTGATAGAAACCAGAGCTGGAGGACAAACATCCTCCACCTTCTTTATCGCTTTGGGTGTTGGTTTAGGAAACTGGGCATCATGGCAAAACCTTTAAGGCTATCTGTTGAGTCAGATGGTGCACTGTGAACTTGATGCCATTTTCCCTATGTGCTCCTCTGAAGTCTCCCTTAGCCCTCTGGTGTTGCACCCTTAACTTCTGTACATAGAAGGGAGAGGGAAAAAAACTCTTTCATTATTCAGATTCTGGACTTGCTCCCCTTGCTCCTAGAAGCTTCGAAATATTCACTATCCACCTCTTTGCCTTTAGGATCATTGATAAGATCAGCCAGCTTTTTCCCTCTTCTGTCAGTTAAACAAGTCTATGACTGGTATGTTTTATCACACTATATATAGAAAAACTAGAAATTTCTCTCTAGCCCATTCTGAAAGAGAATCCCGAGTACTGCATTTCTAAAGTACTAAGCATTTTCCTACCCGCTGCTATGTGCAGAGCTTTCCCGAGTCATCTGTATGGTTACTTCCTGCCAACCTTCTTTGGAAAAAGAGGTGTCCCCCTGTGTCTTAAAGATTTCAATGTGAAAATGGAGAAATGGAAGCAGAGGGTCAAATGTAATGCCCTAGCCAGATGAAGTTATCACTCCCTATGCAGAAAGACAAAGAGCACCCCTGACACACACCACAGCATTTGTGGGGAGTCTTTATTTCCACTCGAACATTCCCTTCTTTTCTTATTCCCTACCCTGGGTTTCTTTGTAGCCAGGGATGGATTCTGAGGTGGAGGGTGGAGAGGGGGACCCAGCAGATTTACATGGAAGAACTTGAACTGGCTATTCAGAGGAGGTGGGGAGAGGAGGGGAGGCAGGGAGGCAGAGCTGGGTACCAAAAGCCCCTTCTCCAGAGAGTATTCATCTCTCAGATGACCCAGATTATAGCTTTCCCAGACTGATGAGAAAGCCATTGTCCTGAAAGTTCTCTTTCAAATTACACACACACACACACACACACACACACACACACACACACACACACACACTCTTCCCCCCTTGGTTGGGTCTATAATAAGGAAGGGTTTCCTGATTACCAGGCTGCAAGGACCCCAGCCAACAGTGGGTGGGGGTGGGCCTTCAGAGCTCTGTGTCCCTCCATGGTGACCAGGCAGCTTTTCCCCTCTTCTGTCAAATAAACAAGCCATGCATTGTTCTGTCCTCCGGCTTGTCTGTGGGCTTCCCTTCCTGCTGAGCCTGCCAGAATGAGCTTGGGCTTCTTCGTGTGGGGCAGGTGGAATGTGCTGTTTGGAGGGAGGCTGGAAGAGCCACAGAAAATAAACAGAGCTAATCAAGGACGTTATTTTGTGCTTCTATTTATATAAATACTTTAAAAAGAGGAAAGTACCCACACTCTGTTATGGTCCAGGCCTCAGGTTGAGCACAACCACAAGCAACAGGGGTTACATTTTCCTTTTTCCCCTAAGTTAGAGCAGAGTCATGGTTCTCTTTCTGCTCATCTTCTCCCAAGTATCTCTTCAGGGGTCTGCTGGGAGCCAGGCTCAAAGACAGATGGTGCTATCGGAAGATACTGGGGTGACAGCTGACTAGCGCAGCTGGAGACTGACTCCTTTCAGAATTGGTCCACCTCCACCCCTCACCTCTCACAAGAGCCTTTATAAGGCCTCTCCTGGGAGCCAGCTTCTGGCTTTTCTGCTGCATGTGCCCACCCTCCTGTGCCCCCATGCCAAGTTCACGTCTCCTGAGTACTTGGAAAAGAAGCAGTCATCTTTACCGTCCCCTGAGCACAGGAGGTCATACTTGATCATGTTATCTGGAACTCAGCTCCGCTAAATGGGAGCATATGCCCTTTTCCCTCCACCACCTCTCCCAACCTCTTCCCCAAATCCCAAACTGGCTAAACCGCTCAAGTTTCTCTCTCATCTTCCCTCAACGAAGGATTTCTTGAGTATACACTATTTGTGCCCACCTGCCTACTCCTCATCTGATGACATCCCAACTCTCATCTTCGCACCCTTTCTCCCTACCTCAGCCAGCTCCATGAACATGCTTGCACCTCTAGTCACAATTTCTTCAGCCTCACCTGGCCACTGGCAGGGTCACACTGATAACAAACCAGTTGCTCTTTATTTTGTTAGGAAGTGGGGATTGGCAAACTTCTTCAGGCAAGCGTTTGCATGGGCTGGGCCACTGAGCAAAAGGAGAAAGACATTTGGCGACCAGAAGAGCAAGGGCGGCCGGACACCCAGGCCTGAGGAATGAAATGAAAAGAGATTTTAACCTGATGCATTTTTTGGACCAGATTATGTCCTGGTATATTGCCACTCAGAATGTGGTTATCACACCAGGAGCATCAGTATCACTCTGGAGCTTATTAAAAGTCAGAACCTGGGCCTCGCTGAATCAAAATCTGCATTTTAACAAGATCCCCAGGTAATTAGTATGCCCACTACAATTTGAGAGTGCTGTTCCAGAGTGTACTGGGTTTGGCATTTGAGCCTTCTCTTAACTAGTCCTTTCTCTTTTATCTTCATTTGGATTGAAGAAATCAGTTTTCTTATTGCTAATGGTACCTCGCTCATTATTATTTTGCATACGGGTAATATTAAAAACAGATAGCATTTATTGAGTGCCTTTTACATGCCAGGCATGTTTTATAGATGAGGAAACCAAGGTTCTGTGACATGCCCAAGGCCAAACAACTAGTGAATGGTAGAGCTGAGACTGTAAGCCAGATCCATATGCTCCTCAAAGCTCCCAAACTTTCCCCTATACAGTTGATAAAAGTCAACCCAGACTCTCCTGTGAGATACAGAGGGAAGAAAGGGGAAGGGGCCTCCAGGCATGATTTCCCCAGAGAGGAAAGGCCCTAGCATACATACTTCATGTCCTAAGGGAGTTTGCATAAGCCCTCTCAGGAGCCAGAAATTACTGGAATTGAGGCCAGAGGCCAAGGGAAACTGGAGTAGGGAATTGGGAGTGTTAATGAAAGGAAAACCCTGACTCTAATTCCCCAAGATAAATTAAATCCTGGTGCCTGAGCCTGGGCTTAGGGGGTGCAACAAATCCACATAGGGCTGCTCTGGATTCTGGCTACTGCGCTAATCACTTAGGGCATCATTTGGAACCTCAGCCTGGGGCCTAGGACTACTACATCATAGCATGCTAGAGTGGGAAGGGTCATTTGTGACGATTGAATTCAATGTTTTATTTTACAGGGAGGAAACAGAAGCCCAGAGAGTGGGAGTAAGTTGCCAGAGGTCAGAGTGAATTCATGGCAAATCCAGGGACACTGACCCCAAACACCACATTTCCAGCATTGCTAATGGGCACCTTTTCTGGAGTTGAAGTCTCTGGTGTAAAATTGGGTTTTCTTTGGATCTGCTCAAGTCCGCACAGGAAGTGCAGACCCCTGTAAATACATCCGAAAATGTTTGTGAGCCTTCGTATCTCACCAGGACCTTCACCTTGGAAAATCTCTCAGTCACTTGCCCCCAGCTATATAAAATCAGCTGGAGTGCTACTCCTCTGGACCTGGAGGCTGCTAGTCCTGGCTTATCTGTACTTTTCTGGGGCCCAGAGGACCTGCAGAGATGGCTGGGTGGGGTCAACTCAGTCCAGGAAGCACAGGAATTCTTTTAAGTGTATGTGTCTGGGGTATTTTTCTCTCTCACTTACGTGTATTTTTAAAAATTCTTTTTAGACACCCGCTTTATCTTTCCCAAACATCATTTCCTTGCTCCTTTCCTGAGTTCTAGCAGTGGCTGGGGGCCCAGCTTCCTTATTGGCCTCTGAGCTGCCGAGGGGGTGGGCCAGGGCTCAGAGGAGGTTGGAGTAGGGAGCAGGGGGGCTGTTTATGCTGCTGGAAGTGCCTTTCATCCTTCCCTTTGCCACCAGGGTGCTGGCTGGTTCCTGGAGCAGCGTCTTCACTCCTATCCAGCTCTTGACACTGGCTTTCGTTCCCTAAGGCTGTGGCCATATCTAGGTCCATCCAGGCTGATGGTCATACCTTGCCTTCAGTGCTACTCCTTCCTGTTCTTAGAACTGGAACCTGACTGTGCCTGAGCCCCTTGGATCACACTCAGCATCTTGGGCTGATGGTCCCTCGCCCCAGAAGGTCTTAACTGGAGGGCAGATGGGTCCCAGCTAAGGGAGGACGCTGGCTGGAGGGTTTGTCAACGAGAGTCTGAGCTAGCCGGATACCCCGCTCTCTCCCAAGCCATCTCTCCACCCTGGGCAACTTCCATGGTAGGTACAGCCAGTAGCCATGGCTGCTGCCACTCTTCCCCCTCTTGCTTTCTTTCTTCAATATCTCTTTCTTTTTGCTTCCTAAGAAAAGCATTTTGGAGTAATGAAGGATGGGATGAGGTGTGTGCTTATTGATAGTGCCTGAGCCAGCCTTAGGAGAAAGGCAAGCACTGGGGTCACTGCCTTCACATCTTGGCCTAGAGCTGCATGGTTGGTCGTAGGCATTTTCTTACTTTTCTGTTTGTTTCTCCTCCTCTCTCTCCCCACTGCCTATGGAGGGAATGGTTTCAGCTCTAGGACTAATGAGACCTCCCTTTGCTGACTGCTTCTTGAGGGAATTGCTATGGGAAACCTCAGGAATACAGGCTTTTTCAGATAGACTCTTCCTTGGAGAGGAGGGGTCGTGTGGTATCCTAGGAAAAAACTGGAGGATCTGAGTTTCATTCCCAATTCTGCTGGTTATTAGCTATGTGCTCTTGGCGAATCACTTAAGCTTTATGCATCTCTGGTTCTCCATTTGTAAAGTGGGGATAATAACTTACCAGCTGGACATGGTGGCTCATGCCTGTAATCCCAGCACTTTGGGAGGCTCAGGCAGGAAGATTGCTTGAGGCCAGGAGTTCAAGACCAGCCTGGCCAACATGGTGAAACCCCATCTCTACAAAAAATACAAAAAAATTAGCCGGGCACGGTAGCATGCACCTGTAGCCTGTAGTCCTAGCTACTCAGGAGGCTGAGACAGAAGGATAGCTTATGCCCAGGAGTCTGAGGTTGCAGTTAGCTATGAGTGTACCATTGCACTCCAACCTGGGCAACAGAGCCAGAGAGGCCCTGTCTTAATAATAATAACAATAATAAAACTGTTTCACATAAGGTTAGAGAGATGATTAAATCAGTTAATGCATGTGAAATGCTTAGTGCCTGGCACATCTTCAGTGTTCAATAAGTGGTCCTGCTGTGTGTTTTCTTTAAGTTTATACAGTATGTCAGGCACTATGCTGGTTGATTTCACACATGGGACTGCATTTAATCCAAAACATAACTCATGAAAAACAGATGGTCATCTTCCCCATTTTGCAGATAAAAAATCTGCAACTCGCAGAAGTGACTTGCCCATGGCCACACAACTACAGTTTGAATGCAAGTGTAGACTGACTTCAAGTCTAGGGCTATTCCGAGCTAATAATAGGCCAAATAGTAGACCATATAGATAGTTTATTCTCCTGTCCCAAACTAGGGTTAGAAGGCTCTAGCTCTGGCTCCAGCTCCCTCTGTTTGGATTTTTCTTCTTCCAGTCTTTAGTTTTCTCTGTGTCCTAAAAGCCCCCACTTCCCTCTTCTGTCTACTTTGGGATTGGTTCCTACTCCTGGAGAAACCCTAGAAAGAGTAAGGGGCCAGCCAGGCGCAGTGGCTCACGCTTGTAATCCCAGCACTTTGGGAGGCCGAAGCGGGTGGATCACCTGAGGTCAGGAGTTCAAGATGAACCTGGCCAACCTGGTGAAACCCCATCTCTACTAAAAATACAAAATTAGCTGGGCATGGTGGCACATGCCTGTAATCCTAGCTACTCAGGAGGCTGAGGCAGGAGAATTGCTTGAACCAGGGAGGCGGAGGTTGCAGTCAGCCAAGATTGTGCCATTGCACTCCAGGCTTGGCGACAAGAATGAGACTTCGTCTCAAAAAAAAAAAAAAAATAGTAAGAGTCTTTGTAAGGTATGTTTCACAGTGTGGCAAGGTAGTGGTACAGTAGAACCTCAACAGTGGATGGTACCCTAGGTGTGGGTACTCTTGAGCCATCAAAAGGTACAAGTCTGAGCTAATAACCATTATTATAGTACCTGCTACTTACTGACCACTTGCTGTGCATCAGGCTGTGTCCCAGATGCTTTGAGAATACTATCTCTAATCCCCACAGTCACCTAGCCAGATAGGAATTATTGTTTCCTTTCTCAGATAAGAAAACTAAATTTCAGATGGGTTAAGCAACTTACAGATACACACATCTAAAGTGGCAGAGGGGATCTGAACCTACATCTGTCTCACTCATTTTTCACCCATTGCCTACTGGCTTGGTATAGTTGGTGAGATGAGACTGACACACATGAAATGATGATGGGCAATATCAAATATCATATTATTATGGACCCAATTGTGAGGGCTAGATTACCCTGAACAAGCTTCCTGGAGGAGATGGTACTTGAGCAGTACCTTGAAGAACAGGTAGGATTTAGGTTAACAAAAGGAGAGGGGGCATTCCAGGCAGAGGGAACAGTCATAGTCATAACTATGATTGGTCGAGGCCTTGCCAGGCCTGATTCAAAGCACTTGCATTGTCTCATTTGATCTTTCAACAATCCCATTTGGTACTATTATCCACATTTTACTGCCATGAAAACTAGGGCTCTGAGAAGTGAAGTCACCTGTCTAAAGCAACAGAGCTAATGAGTGGTAGAGCTGGGATTCAAACAAAGGTGGTCTGACCCCAGAGCCTGTGTTAGATCAACAGGAATATCAACAGCAAAGGCACAGAATCAGGAAGGGACAGAGCTGGTTGCAGGCTGTGATTGGAGCAGAGAAATGAGAGATTGAGCTGATGGGTAAGGATAGCTTATTGAAGACTTTGAAACTGATCTAGTTTACGTTTGATGTGGGACAGAGTAAGAAATAGGGAGCCAGTGAAGATTCTTGAATAGGAGAGTACCCCAATTCAGTTGGCGTTTAACATGATATGACCTAAAAGCAGTGACTGGAGGTAGAACAAGGCAGACAGGCCGGCAGACTTCTGCAGTATTTGGGGCATAAAGTTTCAAGGGCCTGGACTAGAACAGGAGCTGCTGGTGGTGGGTTCTGGGAGAAGAGCTGTGGTTCTGTCTAATGGCCACAGTGAAAATGGAGGGGGGGTAGGGGGAGAGAGAGAGAGAGCAAACCAGGGCCAGAGAAACATCATAAAAAAAAGACTCAGTAGAACTCCGTGTGGGATTGGATGGTTAGGGAGAAGGTGGCACCAAGGCTGACTGCCCGCACTTTAAACCCAGAACTCAAGAACCCTAAATATGGAAAAAGGCTTGAAATAGGAAGGATACCCTGTTCACCACTATATCCTCAGTGTCTAAAAGCATAGGTCATAGTAGATACCCATGGTACATAGTACTACTACTGGTAGATGCTTGACAAATAGTTGTTGACCGGATAACTACCTGGTAGCAGCAGCTGGAGAGATTTCCCGGCAGTGTGGCTTTGTGTGTAGGACTCCAGAGCAAGCATAGCCCCCAAGGTCTCCTTGTGCCTTCAGCCCCCACTCTGGGCACTCTGAAATCAATAATAGAACAATGTGATTACAAAGCTAGGGGCTTCACCTGGCTTTCCTCCGCTTAAATCTTAGCCACTGTTGCTGACCTGTGGCTATACTTCCTGGCCTTTGACAAACAGCTTCCCCTGCCCTTCCTCCTATACCTCCTGGTCTGTGTCTGGCCTATTACCACTCAATCCTTGTTTTCCCCAGCAAGGCTATTCTTCTGAAGACTATCTTTTTAGGCCTTAGCCCTCTAGAGCCTTGTACTACTGAGATCTTCTATGCTTCTGCTGGGGTGAGGGGCATTTCCAGCTAGGATGGAATCCTCCAGCTTGAGTGTGACCATGAATGCTCCTGGGAGGTAGAGAGCTGCTTTATCTCACGATATAGCCAGCTTGTTGAAGGCAGGGGCCCTTATCCTATTCAACCCTGTGCTACCAGTGCCTAGTCTGGACCCTGGCACAGTAAATATGAATAAATTGATGAAAATAATTTTTCTGTTTACTTCTGTATCATCTACTTATTTATCATGTTTCTTTTACTCTGCCATTCACCTCTTTCTCTGTCATCCATTTCTCTCTACTATATATTTCTCTACAATCTTTCTCAGAGTTTTCTCTTTTTCTGTCATTTATTTTCCCCTCTATCATCTCTCCTTCTTATCTCTATCATTTGTCTGGCGCTTCCAGCATCTCTCTCTCTCCATTCTCTCTCTACTCTCCCTCCTTCTGTCATTCTCCCTCCCATCAATCACCTTTTTATCTCCTGGCATTATCCATGCCCCACATGTACTCTTCACCACACTACTCTTCCCCACTCGCAAGGGTGGCAACTGCTCATGCGAAGTATGCCAGGGGACAGCGATGGGTCCTGTATGTGGCAGTCAGTGCAAAAGTTGTGGCTGTATTCAGAGTCATGGCCTCAGGCCTATTTCCCTTTATATACCCCTGACCTGCTGAGCAGCCAATCTCCTCTGTCAGCCTAACATGGTGCATTCACCACTTTGTTCTATCTTCCCTCACAGGAGTTGGGGCTTCCTGCCACCAGTTTGCCTACCAACTCAGGTGTCTCACCTCTGTACCCATCTTATCTTTCACTCTGTCAATACCTATCCCATGCTTTGTTTGAACCAGCTCTGTCTCTCCCATTAGTCTGTAAGCTCTCAAGAGCAAAGACTGTATTGGATTCATCTCTGTAATCCCAGAGTTACACGTAGAGGACACACAGTAAACATACAACAAATGCTTATTCAATGAATGGCTAAAAATTGGAGAATTGACAGCCCAGTGTTGACCTGTTCAAACTTTTCAATCACTTGCCCATTCCTTTCTCAGAGAAAAATGGGAAGATTGACCAGATTGATTTTCTTTCTCAAAGAGAAGTGAGGATGTGCTCACTGTTCATTAGGCAGCAGCACTCATTTATTCCACAAATATTTATTGAACATCTACTATGTGTCCAGCACTGTGATACGTGCTCAGGATACTCTTGTGAACAAAGCAGCCCTATGAAGCTGACATTCCATATCTCCAGAATGAAGGAGACTTGAGAACTAGGAGCTCAGGAGGGCCACTAAGATTCCCACACCAGTTCCTTGCAAGATGTTCTACTTTACTGAAGGAAAAGAGGGGGTGGGGCGGAAGCTGCCTGGGAAGTGATTTCAGCTCTGGTTCCTTCAGCCCACTTCCTGTCCCTTTCTTGCTGTAGGAGGAACGCCCCTGTCAGTAGGCCGCACTCATGGCATGTGGCCAAGCTGCTGGAGGGATGCCCTGAAGCAGCCACCACCATGCATTTCCCTTCTGAAGCCTTCAGCTTGTCCTGGCATTCTGGCTGCAACACAAGGTGAGTCTAGAGCCCTCCCCTCAAGACAGGCTGGAGGGTAGACACCTTGGACACTCCTCCTCCTCTGCTCTAGTCCCTGTTGGATGTTAGAGCCTCAAGTACTATAATGGAAAAGCAAGTGGGAGTCCAGAGTACCTGAGTTCAAGTGCTAGTCTCTTGCTAATTCTCTGTGATTTTGGGCTAGTCCCTTTCCTTCTGGATGATGTTTCCTTGAAATACCTCATTGGGCTTACAAGACACCACACTGTCCTGCTTTTCATTCTATTTCACTAGCTGTTCTTTCTCCGTATCTCTTTTCCTAATTCCTTTTGTTCTCCTGTCTCTTAATGTAGGAGGACCCCAGGGCTCAGTTCTGGCCTGCTTCTCTGTCAATGGCGACTCACTGGTGCCCTTATCTGGTCTTTATTACCTCTGTCACATAGCCAAAGCCTTCAAAATAGGGACCTTCCTGAATAACCATTGTTGAAACAGTTGCCCAAGAGGCAGACAACGTTTTCTTCAGGCTGAGAGCCAGCAAAGGTGCTGCCCTTCACTGCCTTTTCCCTTCCACAAGAGCTTCCCTCCAAGAAGGGATTTCTGTTGCAGGTTCAGAGAAACTAAGGGTTGCGTTTACCCCAATTCGGTGACTTTATTTGGAAACCAAGGGCTCAGGGCACAGGCAGTTTTGTTCTGGAAGAATATGCAGAAACACACTTTGACATTCTTGAGCTTGGCTCCTGTTTGAGTGAGGATTTGTTTTTGTTTTTGTTCTTTTCAGCAGGAATAGTGGTGGAGTGGGTAGCAGGTTCCCTTGCCAATAAGAAATTGATGGATTCCTTGCCCAGAGAACAAGTGAGCTGACTGACTAAGGGGCAAGGCAGGGAGCAAGAATGAGCAGAAAATGACCTGAGGGTCTCATGGGCTGCTGCCACAGTTCAACTCTGGCTTTCTAGACTATGGCCTTTCTGAGAGCAGCCTGCAACCTCTCGGGTTCTAGTCAAAGGGAGTTACTGGCATGACTTGGTTCAGTTTGGCTTTGTGTTTGGGAAATGGTACTTAAAATTGAAGATTGCATCTGATCCTAGCCCTTCCCTTGGTCTTCCAGGTTTGGCTTTGCTGTGGGAGTTGGGGGAGGCGTGGGTGGGCAGAGGCCCCTATATTATCAATACTAGTATTAGAGAGGATCCTGATGGCAAAAACTAATAATCAAGAGAGTAGCAGCTGCCATGTATTGAACCCTTGCTAGGTACCTGGGCTGTGGTAAGGACTTTACATTTACTATCTGCTTTATCTACACATCAACCCTCTGATATAGCTATTACTATTATTCCTATTTAAAAGACCATATGGCAGTAGCGCTAAGACACTGGACTCAGGCCTGATTCAGATTCCAGCTGTGCTTCTTCAGCAGCTTAGTGAGTTTGTCAGTTTACTTTACCTCTCTAAGCTTAAGATTCTTCCATTGTGAAGTGTAGATAATAATCTGTCCCATAAAGATGGGAACAATAGACACTGGAGAATACAAAAGCAGGGAGAAAGGAAGTGGGACAAGGGTTGAAAAACTACCTGTTGGGTACTCTGCTCACTTCCCAGGTGATGAGTTCAATTGTACTCCACACCTCAGCATCATGTGATATACCTTTGTAACAAACCTGTACGTGTACCCCCGGAATCTAAAATAAAGGTTGAAAAAGAAAAAAAAAGATCTGTCCTCTTCAGCTTGAAATGAAACCTTGTAAAGTGTCCGGCACATTGTAGGTCCTCAGTAAATAGTCAGGATTGCTATTATCAAGAAAAGAATAGGGGAACACCTGAATTACAGCCCTGTCTGTGCCAGTAGTTAGAGCTGGGTGTTCTTGAGTAAATCACCATCTCAAAATCACTTCCCTTTGCTGGGCTTGCTTTACACCAGTGGTTCTCAAAAGTGTGATTGCTGGATGAGCAAGCAGCCCCAGCAGCACCTGGGAAGTTGTTGGAAGTACAAATTCTCAGGATTCACCGAGACCTAAAGCTCTAGGATGAGGACAAGTGACCCGTGTTTCAACAAGCCCTGCATGTGATTCTGACGCACATGCTCAAGTTTGAGAATCACTGATTTATTTACAAAATGGTCCGGCTAAAACTGAATCAGCCCTTTAGGGCCCCTCTCTAATGCTGATATTCTGTGATTGTCTCTTTTGGCAGGGAGCCACATGCTGACTCCCTAGGGACAGGGACAGCCTAGAAGCAATTTCAGACTTGCTAATGTCAGGGAAATAGAGGATAACCCCCATAGAGCTCTCCCACTTTTAGTCTTTGGGGTGTTTCCCCATCTTTTTTCCATATATCATCTTGTGTCCCATTTTACTAAGCCCCTGAGGCACCCCAATGTCCATCTTCTTCCCTGTTTCCCTTTCTTCCCCCTTTTTTTTTTTTGCCTACCCTCCTCTCTTTTGTGGCATGGGTACCTCTGGGCTGGCCTGCCCTCTCCTATAGTAGGGCTGGCCATGACTTCGCTAACTAACCAGTATGCCCTGTGTCTTACAGTGACGTGTGTGTGCAGTGGTGTCCACTCTCCCGGCATTGCAGCACCGAGAAAAGCAGCTCCATTGGCAGCATGGAGAGCCTGGAGCAACCAGGCCAAGCCACCTATGAGAGCCATCTGTTGCCTATTGACCAGAACATGTACCCTAACCAGCGTGACTCAGCCTACAGCTCCTTCTCGGCCAGCTCAAATGCTTCTGACTGTGCCCTTTCCCTCAGGCCAGAGGAGCCAGCCTCTACAGACTGCATCATGCAAGGCCCAGGGCCAACTAAGGCCCCCAGTGGCCGGCCTAATGTGGCTGAGACCTCAGGAGGTAGTCGGCGCACCAATGGGGGCCACCTGACCCCCAGCTCTCAGATGTCATCCCGTCCACAGGAGGGATACCAGTCAGGGCCCGCCAAAGCAGTCAGGGGCCCACCACAACCTCCAGTGAGGCGGGACAGCCTTCAGGCCTCCAGAGCCCAACTCCTCAATGGAGAGCAGCGCAGGGCATCTGAGCCTGTGGTCCCCTTGCCACAGAAGGAGAAACTGAGCTTAGAGCCTGTGCTACCCGCAAGGAACCCTAATAGGTTCTGTTGCCTCAGTGGGCATGACCAAGTGACAAGTGAGGGCCATCAGAACTGTGAGTTCAGTCAGCCTCCTGAATCCAGCCAACAGGGCTCTGAGCATCTACTGATGCAGGCCTCAACCAAAGCTGTTGGATCCCCAAAAGCCTGTGACAGAGCTTCCAGCGTGGATTCCAACCCACTCAATGAGGCTTCTGCAGAGCTAGCTAAGGCTTCTTTTGGCAGACCTCCACATCTCATAGGACCCACAGGGCATCGCCATAGTGCCCCTGAACAGCTGCTGGCATCCCACCTGCAGCATGTGCACCTTGATACCAGGGGCAGCAAAGGGATGGAGCTCCCACCCGTACAGGATGGGCACCAGTGGACTCTGTCCCCTTTGCACAGCAGCCACAAAGGGAAGAAAAGTCCATGCCCCCCTACAGGAGGAACCCATGACCAGTCCAGCAAAGAAAGAAAGACCAGACAAGTGGATGACAGGTCTTTAGTTTTGGGACACCAGAGCCAAAGCAGTCCCCCACATGGAGAGGCTGATGGACACCCCTCAGAAAAAGGTTTCCTGGACCCAAACAGAACAAGCAGAGCAGCCAGTGAATTGGCCAACCAGCAACCCTCTGCCTCTGGCTCCCTTGTTCAACAAGCCACGGACTGTTCTTCAACCACTAAAGCAGCTAGTGGCACAGAGGCAGGTGAAGAAGGGGACAGCGAGCCCAAGGAGTGCAGCCGGATGGGTGGTAGGCGAAGTGGAGGGACCCGGGGCCGCTCGATCCAAAACCGGCGGAAGAGTGAGCGTTTTGCTACCAATCTGCGTAATGAAATTCAGAGGAGGAAGGCCCAGCTCCAGAAAAGCAAGGGTCCCTTGTCACAGCTGTGTGACACTAAGGAGCCAGTGGAAGAGACCCAGGAGCCCCCAGAAAGTCCTCCACTCACTGCCTCTAACACATCTCTTCTATCTTCATGTAAAAAACCTCCCAGCCCCAGAGACAAGCTCTTCAACAAAAGCATGATGCTCAGAGCTAGGTCTTCCGAGTGCCTCAGCCAAGCCCCTGAGAGCCATGAATCTAGGACAGGCTTAGAGGGACGAATAAGCCCTGGCCAGAGGCCTGGCCAGTCCTCTTTGGGCCTGAACACCTGGTGGAAAGCACCTGACCCATCCTCCTCAGACCCTGAGAAAGCACATGCTCACTGTGGAGTCCGTGGAGGTCATTGGAGATGGTCTCCAGAGCATAATTCACAGCCACTTGTGGCAGCAGCCATGGAAGGCCCTTCCAACCCAGGTGACAACAAGGAATTGAAGGCTTCTACTGCTCAAGCTGGGGAGGATGCCATCCTCTTGCCTTTTGCAGACAGAAGAAAGTTCTTTGAAGAGAGTAGCAAATCCTTATCTACATCTCATTTGCCAGGTTTAACCACTCATAGCAACAAGACTTTTACCCAGAGACCAAAACCTATAGACCAAAACTTCCAGCCAATGAGCTCCAGCTGTAGGGAATTGAGGCGCCATCCCATGGACCAATCATATCATTCCGCAGACCAACCATATCATGCCACAGACCAATCATATCATTCCATGTCACCCCTTCAGTCAGAAACTCCCACTTACTCAGAATGTTTTGCAAGCAAAGGTCTAGAAAATTCCATGTGTTGTAAGCCACTACACTGTGGTGATTTTGATTACCACAGGACCTGCTCTTACTCCTGCAGTGTTCAAGGAGCTCTAGTCCATGATCCTTGCATTTATTGTTCTGGGGAAATCTGCCCTGCCTTGCTAAAGAGAAATATGATGCCAAATTGCTACAACTGCCGGTGCCACCACCACCAATGCATTCGGTGTTCAGTTTGCTATCATAATCCTCAGCACAGTGCCCTCGAGGACAGCAGCTTGGCACCTGGCAACACTTGGAAACCCAGGAAGCTGACAGTGCAGGTGAGGACTTGGTTCTTGGGTGGGTAACCTTCATTATTGTCTTTGAGAGGGGAAAGCTACGTAAATTATTTAAAAATATAACAATTATAATTCCTTGAAACTGTACAGCACTGGCTTCAGTAGTTGTTAGCTTAGTAACCTTGAAAAAGATACTCAGCCACCAAAATTGCAGTTGTCTCATCTTTAGGGTTAGATAAAAGTAACTTTTGCTTCATAAAATGGGCACAACTGAGATTTATATCCTGACTATAAAATTGATATCTGAGTGACCCAAAGCAAGTCATTCAACCACACAAATTTGAAGTATGTAATTCTAAAGGGAAAAAATAATTTTTCTGTCATAAAATAGCCAGTATTAAGAAGAGTCTCACTACCTCATCTCTAAAATGGAGGAATATCATGGCCGCCTCATGGATCACTTGTGAGAATCAAATCAGATTGTGTCTATGGAGTTCTAGGCCCAGTGCATGATACAAAATATCACTTATTGCCTCCCATTTTCTACTTCAGAAGTATTTAGAGATGCAAAACTTGCAAATATCCCCAGGCTTTGCTTTCAGAGATCTGACTTGTTGGGTTTTTAAAAAGACAAATCCTTTCCCCTTTCTCCATCCTGTCTCTGTTGGAGACCCAGGTCTAAACTGGCTGCTCTTATATCCCGGTTATGACCTATTACCATAACACAAGCTACCACCATCCCCCAGGCTACTTCTGGGAGGACTCCCTAGGTCCTTGCCTACTCACTGCCAGATTACTTCCCCATGGCATCCCTGATGCCATCTTTTGGCCGGTGCATTCAAACCAGAAGTTAATTCCTGTGTTCAGCTGTTGCATACACAGACACTTTTGAAATGACTTAGTATCTGAATTTGCTCAATATATATCCTTGGTAAAAAGGAACTTCAAGGGTGATAGAAGCCTTACACAAAAGACTATGAACTCTACAATTCCTTTTATATGAAATTCTAAAACAGCTATTCTATGGGGGAACAAATTCAGAACACTGCTCGCCAATGGGAGGTGGCACAGAGATTGACTGGAAAAGGGCAGAGGGAACTTGTGGGGTGGTGACAATGTTCTATATCTTGGTAAGAGTTTGAGTTAAACATATGTACCTGTCAGAACTCAACAAATGTATAGCAAGGCTCCTAGACAGCCAATGCACTTAGTATTTGTGCATTTCACTGGAAGTAAATTTTGCCTAAAAATGTTGTAAACAAATATTAAACTTTATTTAATATGTATGCTGAAGTGTGTTTGAAGTATACTGCTGTATTCAACTTATGTTTTCAGCATACAAATCTTGTACATATTTTGTTATATTTGTCCCTGAGATTTTATGAAAGCGCCGAATCCTAGCCACCCAACCACCAGGGATATTTGTCCCTAAGATTTTATGTTTTTAGATGCTATTATAAAGAGTATTATTTTCTTAATGTCAAGTTGAAATTCTTGATTACTAGTCTATAGAAATATAATTGAATTTTGTGTATTGACATTGTATCCTGCAACCTTGCCAAACTCACTTATTAGTTCTAATAGCTTTTTGGTGGATTATAAAACATTTTCTACATACACAATCATGCCATCTCCAAATAGAATTTAGTGTCTTCCTTTCTCCTGTACATGCCCTTTTCTGGGAGAGAGAAGAGCCTTATTGCACTCTCACCTTCAATACAATGTTTGGAGGAAATGGTAAGAGTGGACATTGTAGCTTTTTTCTTAATCTTTGACTATAAAGTTTGATGTTAGCTGTAGGATTTTTTTGTAGGTGCCCTTTAATTGAGGAAAATCTCTTTTATTCTTAGTTTACTGAGAGTTTTCATCAGAAGTGGATGTTGTATTTTTTTTCAAATGCTTTTTCTGTATCTGTTGAGATGATCATATAGTTTTTCTCTTTTAGTCTACTGATGTGGTGAATGACATTGATTGATTTTTAAAATAAATAGAAGCCTAGCATTGCCAGGATAAATCCCACTTGGTCATGATGTATTATCCTTTTATATGTTACTAGATTTGCTAATATTTTGTTAAGGATTTTGCCCTTATGTTTATCAGGGATTTTAGTCTATAGTTTTATTATAACATCTTTTTCTGTTTTTTGTTTTTTTTGTTTGTTTGTATCAAGGTAATGCTAGCCTTAAAAAATGAGTTGGGATGTATTCCCTTCTCTTTTATTTTCAGGAAGAGTTTGTATAAAATGTCTTCCTTAAATGTTTGCTTGAATTCATCACTGAAGCCATCTGGGCCTGGAGGTTTTTTGGTAGAAAGCTTTTTAACTACAAATTCAATTTCTTTAATAGATTTGGGGACATTTAGGTCATCTATTTCTCCTTGAGTAAGCTTTAGTAGTTTGTGTCTTTCAAGAAATTTGTCCATTTCATTTACATTTTAAAATTTATGGGGATATAGTTGTTTTCAACTTACTTTAAAATGCACCAGGATTTTAAGATGGATTGGTAGATGGATAGAGGAGTAAATGGATATATGATAAGGCAAATATATCAAAATGTTAATTGTAGAATCTAGGTGCTGGGTATATGGGTGATCACTGTGAACTTCTTTCAACATTTTTGTATGTTTGAATATATTCATAATGTTGAAAAAAAGAGGAGAGGAAATATAAAATAATGGTTTTAAGGGCACCGAAGCTGGAACCAGACTGCCTGGTTTTGAATTTCTTCCCCCGAACTTACAATGCCTAAGCTTTCCCATCTAAAAGCATGGGGGTAGTAACAACACCTACTTCATAAGTTGGTTGTGGGGATTAAGTGATGTAACACATTTAAGACTCAGAGCAGTGACTGCCAGATTGTAATCATCTTATAAGTGAGTTATCATCTCTTAAAGGGACATTTTGGCTTAGCTTGAGAGACTTTTGCTGGAAGAAGGACTCACAGATAGACAGTAGACAAAGGGGGCTGAGATTGGGGGTGAGTGGGGCGGGGGAAGTGAGGAGATGACGGCTGCAGCGGTGTCAGCCCAGGACCAGCAGCTCTATAAGAGATGGAGGTACGATTTGCAGGTTGCAGCAATTGGCAGCAGTAATGCATGCGGGTGAGGCTGTGCCTACACCATGCCTCTATTTTTTGTACTCTGAGGGAGGGATACCTTGGGTTCCTAATGCTTGTTAGACCAGCTAAGCAGGTCTGCTTAGATACTAGGCATTCCGACACGTGGATGGCTGCCTAGGAGACACCACATGCCCATTTCTGCCCATCATCTGAACCTTCCACTCCTACTCCACCCCCCTCAAGAAATGGGAAAAACTTGCAGCATGGGTTAAGATGCCATCGCTCTGATGACTCAGGTACTTGTGGTGGTAGCTATCTGAAGTAGGGCTGAGATCCTGCTCCTAATGCCCCTGGACGAGGTTGGTGAACTAATTGTCTCCTGTTCAGTGCTGTGAAGACTGAAATCAGCATGCACTCACGTCCTTCATACCAGCTTGTTTTTCATTCATTGTCAAATTATTTCACTTACCAATTGTATGGGATAAGTTATAATAGGATCTCCCATTTTACAGCTGAGGAAGCTGAGAAAGCCAAGGCTCAGAGAGGTCACACATCTAGCAAGTGGCAGAGCCAGAATTTGAATAACATGACAGTAACTAGCATCTCAGTGTCTACTGGGCACCAGGTACTATTCTAGATGCTTTACATGTATCAAGTCATTGAGTTCTCAAGCAATATTATTATCGTGATTATACTATTATATAGTTGGGGAAACTGAGATAAAGAGAAGTTGAATGGCTTGCCTGAGGCCGCAAGTGAAAGGCAGGTGTGCGATTTGAATCCATGCTATCAAGCTCCAGAGGCCAAGCTCCTGACTGTGCTACACTGCCTCTCCATAAGCTGATTGCAAAGCCCAGGCCCTCTCTAGTGTGGCCGGATGCCCTCTAGCAGTATCACTTCCACTGGGACAGCAAGTTCCCATCACAATCTCCATTTGCAGCAAGCGGTGGGGATAACTGCCTCTTTGATTCAAAGGGTGCAAGCAATGTACCAGGAACCTATGTGGCTTAGGGAAAAAAAAAGTAGAGTGATACTGTGGACCTGGGAAGGTGGTTGGGAGTTGGTATAGGACTTTGGTTTGGCCACTGCTATTTACTGAGCACGTCCACAGGGCTAGACAGGGCATGGACAGGAAATCCTGGCCCCCACTGTGGTTGAACAAGTAATGGTGTCTTTGCAGGCAGGAACGTCTCACAAGGGCATCGAGGCAGAGTCTAAAGTACAAGTGGTTAGAGCTGTTCTGACATGCCAGATATAGGCAGGGACTGCTGTGGTCCTTTAAAAGCTGAAGCCAAGAAATAAACCTCAACTTTTCCATTGCTGCTAACATCCAGAGCCTCTTATGTGCCAAGCAATGTGCTAGGAGTTCTCTCTGCATATCTTATTTATTATCACTACTGGTCACCCAGATAGGAAACTGAGGTGAGGTTCAAGGAGGTAATATGAATAACCTCAAATAACACCACTATTAAGTGTCTTAGCCAGTGAGACTGCGCCAAGGATCTATGTTTATTCTGCTTCACCAGGCGTCTTACTTCCAGTAGGGAGACCTACTGGGGCAAAGGTAATAAAACTTTGAATGGGACTAATAGTAGTAGCATTGGAGAAAGAGGGAGTTTGGAAGATCAGTGAAATTTAGGAAAAACTGTGCATTCCCATTGAACTAAACTCTGAGTCTCTAGGTGTGGAGTATTGGATACAAAGAGAGAATCTGAAAGGCTAATTTGCATTCAGTTTGGAGCTAAAATAGGAAGGCAGGGACAGTTTTACAAACGGCACATATGGCTTGGCCTAGAAAAAAAAAAGAGTTGCTTGGACATGGCCCTTAAGGAAAAAATGCCCAGGGTAGAGAGTCTGCTCCTGTAATGTAGGGACTGTGGCAACCTGCACTCATATTCCCCAGAGATGGGCCCACCTCAGCCCCTGCCAGCAGATGTGGGCAGAGAAGGAGGAGCCACTGCAGTTGGAGGCATGCTGGCATACCTGCTGTCCCTCTGCCTCACCTGGGGAGAGGGTTGCTGCAGCCGGAGCTTCTGCCCTCAAAGCCCCCCTCAAGGGTCAGGGCTTCCAAGTAGATGCTTTCTCTGTTGGAAGAGGCAGGAGGAATGAGCAGGTTCACCCAGCAGAACAAACAAAAAGACCTCCATCTCTCTGTGCAGGCAAGAGCCAGGGCAAACAGCAAACATACTAAACTGGTTTTTAATGTGGTTTGGGAGGGGAGTGGAGAAAGAGGGAAACAGCATTCCTAGACCATGGTGTCCAGGTCCCTAAGTGCTCCCTTAGTCTCTGCATGTCTGCAGCAGTTTAGCAAGCCTGCCGACAGAAAGGCAGCCCTCCAGGTACAAATTTCTCAGCCTGCATAGCAGAGTAGAAGAAACAAGCTGGGGGGCTGGGCCAGACACCGGCTCCTGACCTCTTCACATTTTTGAGGCCATCTAGATACCTGGCTGCTCAAAGCTTTCTAACTTATCAGGATTTTTCTTTACAGGAATTTCCTGGGGACAAATGGAATCCAATAACAGGAAACAGGAAGACCAGCCAGTCAGGGAGGTAAGTGAGCGCTCAGGGAGTTGGGGTGGGTTGGTGCCTCTGGAGCTTCTGTAGAAATTGCTAAGGTCTTTGGTTTGCTTAGTTTCCTTTGAGGAAACTGGCCTGGTATCTAGACTAAGGGCTTGATACCATAGATATAATTCAGCCTGTCCCCCTGCCCCCCGCACTCCTAGATAGCTGGGTACAGACCAAACTGATTGCTAGGACATTTTGGAATATGCAAGTTTCCTGTATTAGACTGAGATCCTTGAGAGAGGACACCATACCTTGGTCATAGCTTTATTCTCTGTACCTAGTACGGTGCCCGATACAGAGAAGTTGCTCAAGAGGTACTTGTCATTTGCTTGCCAAATGAAGAAATGGAACCTCCTCCACCATTAATGGGTGAAATGACACAAAATAATGCTAGCTAACATTTCTTGAACACAGTGCTCTATTCTAGACCCCATTCAAATCATTTTACAAGTATGTATTTATCACTATGACCTTATGGAGTTGGTAATATTAGTCTCTCCATTTGACAGAGAGAAGAAATTGAGGCACACAGAGATACATTCATTTGCCTGAAGTCCCACAGCTAATCAGTTGACTAGACCCAGGCGGTCTAGCTTCAGGGACACTATACTACATTACAGTGTTTCTCTGAAATGGTTCTTTTACTGATTAGTCAGTGAAATAAGAGGACTTTATTGAAAACCTAATATAGGTCCTGCCTTTTTCTGGGCAAGGTGAGAAATACGAGCAAAAGAACAGCAGGAAGCACAGTGCCTGCCCACAGCTTGAGCAGGGAAGACTAACCCACACAAAGCTAAATGGCAATAATAATAAATTACCACTTGCCAAACAACCTATGTGCTGCAAGCCGAATTACACATATTATCTTATGCTTTATCTTCCCAACAACTCTGTCAGGTAGGTATGATTATAACTGGGGCGGTGGGTCTCAAAACTTGATTGCGCAATTGAAACACAGATAAATAGTTGGACCTGACCCTGCATCCTGAGAGTGATTCAGTAAGTGGGGAGTGGAGCTCAAAACCTGCAATTCGAACAGGCTCAAACAGCATCTGGGTGATGCTGATGCAGCTGGTCCTGGGATCCAGTTTGAGAATTGCTAACTCACATAAAGGGTCACAGTCAGAGAGCCTAAGGAATCTACTCAAGGTCTCACAGCTAGTAAAGGGATAAGCTAGGAATTAAGCCCAGCTTTTACTTTCTCACACAAGTTGACAGAAGATGAAACCCTGTCAAATACAGGGCTTAAGAAGCACCTGGCACCTGGTAAGGGGGCAGCACGTGGTAACTATTACTGTACACTATTTAAGTTCATTGGAGGATAAAAATAACTGAGGGTTGGTAGCTGTAAGAGGAAAGGCCCATAGAGGAGACTAAGCAGGGTGTGTTGGAGGAATAATCCCCACTGGTTAAGTTCTGGCCTTGGAGTCAGTTCTGCCTGGGTACAAAGCCAGATTCTTCTATTCACTAGCCATGTGGCCTTGGCAAGTGCCTACCTGCCTGCCTCACTCCCTCTCTCTCTTTCCCTTCCCCCCTTATTTATAAAATGGGATAAGAGTACCTATCTCAAATGTTTGTTGTTATGAGGACTAAATGAATTAATATATGTAAAGCATTTAGAGCAAAACCTGACACCGTAAACTCTCAGGAAATGTTATCTGTAATGAGGAGGAAGAAGAACAGCAGCAGCAGAGAAGAAAGGTGAGTAGTGAAGCACTGGACCAGCCTAGGCAGGCCTTGACCAGCCTAGGTAGACCAGCCTAGGTAAACCTAGATAGGATCACAAACATGGGAGCAATGAAAGGTTACCATCAGGTAAGTGATATGATAAATGTGGCCCTTTAGGCAACTTTGCAGTGTTTGCAGCCTAAGTGGGTTGAAGAGAGACCAATTAGGAGAAGTGATCTGGCCATGACAGAATGTGGCCCTGGATTGGGGAGGTAGAGGTGCGATAGAAATGGAGCAGAAGGAATAGATAAATAGGTGTGATATTTGGGGGAGGGGAGTTTGTTTATTGTAAAAACAATATTACAGGAAATTAAAAATAGAAGAAAAAAAAACCTTATTGTCACCACCTTAACACCTTGGTTGTTTTCATTTCCCTGTCAGCTTTATCTATAGGTATAGAGAGTTTTCTAAGCATGATTATAATAACCATGTAGATGTAATTTTGTGTGTCCTGCTTCTTTTTCCTCTCTAAGCATTATGTGGTAAACAACTTTTCATGTTGCTATGCAGGCTTCCTCAAGTCATAATTTTTAGTGGCTGTATAATATTTCACCAGCTTAATATGCTCTAATTTGCTTAATCATTCCCAAATTGTTGGGTAAATAGGTTGTTTCCAATTTCTGGCTATTATAAAGTAATGCAGCAGAAATATTTTGAGTCACTATAGCTTTTTTTCTCATTTTGAATTATCTCATTAAAAACAATTATGTGGAGTTGGGATTACTAGTGCAAACAATACAAACATTCTTATGGTTCTTCATAGATCTTACCAAACTGTTTTCCCCACGAGATGTTTTACATGCCATTAGCAATATATGAGCATACCAGTTTTCCAAAATTATGTCACCATTGAAAATTTTCTTTTTCTAATGCCATACAGTTTGATGGGACCTATTATAGTATTAATTTGCTTACTTTGATAATTCTAGTTTGAATATTTTGTGTGTCTAATTAATATATTAATATCTTTATTGCTTCTCATGTGAATTATCTGTTCAGATTATTTGCTCACAAATATGTGACACCTTTTGAGGGCAAGGTAGAGAAAACTTGGTGACTAGAACTTGAGGAGAAAAAAGGAAATATATCTTAGCCAAGCATGAGATAGTACACACCTGTAGTCCTAACTGCTCAGGAGGCTGAGGTGGGAGGATCACTTAAGCCCAGGTGTTCGAGGCGGCAGTGAGCTGTGATCACATGACCGCATTCCATCCTGGGTGACAGAGCGAGACCCTGTCTCAAAAAAAAAAAAAAAAAGATAAAAAGATAAAAAACAACTCTGAGCCCCAGTGACTTGGAGAATGTTATTGGCATAGATGGGGCACTTGAGAAGGGGACCTGGTTTGGTGAAGATGCTGCTAAGTTTGAATTGGGATATGTTGTATTTGAAGTTAGTGGAAGATACAAGTTGAGTCTTTCAAGGCTTGTCAAACACCCAGCCAGGGCACAGGATGAGGAAGAAGAATCAACAAAGGAAACTGAAGGGTCAAGCAGCTGAAGTAGTAGAAGGAGAAATCTGCCAGTGTAGAAGATAAGCAGATGACTGTTAATGCCCTTAACAGTTTGGAATTACAAGTGACCTTCAAGAAAGCAAATTCAGTAAAGCGGTAGGCATAGAAAATAGATGGCATGGTGGTCTGTAAGGGGGGAGCACAGAGAAGAAATGCAAGCAGCTTTTAAGTGTACCTGTTTTAAGTGTACAATTTAATGCAATTTAAATGCAAGTACCTGTTCTAAGTGTACAATTCAATGATTTTTAGTAAATTTACAGTGATGTACAATCACCACAATCAAGTTTTAGAACATTTCTATCACCCTAAAAAGACCCCTCATGCCCATTAGCCATTGCTCTCCATTCCCACTCTCAACCTTAAGCAACCACTAATCTACTTTGTCTTTATAGATCTTCCTTTTCTGTGCACTGCATATGACTCTAATCGCACAATATGTGGTCTTTTATGCCTGACTCCTTTCACTTAGCATAATGTTTAGCAGTTCATCCATGTATCAGTACTTCGTTCCTTTTTATTTCCAAATAATATTCCATTGTATGGATGCATCACATTTTGTTTACTAGTCCTTCCACTAATGGATTGTTGGGTTGTTTTCACTTTTTGGCTATTGTGAATATTACTGCTATGAACATTCATGTACAAGTTTCTGTGTAGATTTATGTTTTTAATTATCTTTGGTACATATTTAAGAGTGAAATTGCTGGGCCAAATGGTAATTTTATTGTTTAACTTTTTGAGGAACTGCCCGTTTTCTAAAGCGACTGCACCATTTTACATTCCCACCAGCAAAAGAGAGTTCCAGTTTCTTTTGGCTAATTTTACTACAAAGATTAATTGTTACTGTGTGGTTTTTAAAATGTTTAAAAAGGGGCCCGGCGCGGTGGCTCACACCTGTAATCTCAACACTTTGGTAGGCCGAAGCCGGCAGATCCCTTGAGGTCAGGAGTTCGAGACCAGCTTGGCCAACATGGTGAAACCCCGTCTCTACTAAAAATATAAAAATTAGCCAGCCATGGTGGCAGGCGCCTGTAATCCCAGCTACTCAGGAGGCTGAGGCAGGAGAATCGCTTGAATCTGGGACGCGGATGTTGCAGTGAGCCAAGATTGTGATACTGCACTCCAGCCTGGGCAACAGAACGAGACTCTGTCTCAAAAGAAAAAAAAATGTTTAAAAAGGAAGATGTTTAAAAATAGTAAATTAGCTAGGAAAAGGAAAGAGAGAAATAGGATGATAGTTAGAGGGAGCAATTGGGTTTAATTTAGTGGTTCTCAAAATGTGGCCCCAGGCCCAGCAACCTCAGTATCACCTGAGAACTTGTTAGAAATGCACATTCTCAGGCCATACTCAGACCTACTGATTCAGAAAGTGAGGATGTGGCCCAGCAATCTCTGTTTTAACAAGCCCTCCAGGCAATTCTGACGCAAGCTAAGTTTCAGAACCACCAGTTCAAATGAAACTTCAGTCAGAATCTAGAAAACTGAATTAAGTTTAAAACAGAAAGGAAAGCTCAATAGAAAAGGAAGTATTGACACTGAAGATGGAAGAGGCAGGTCCCAATTAAAGGTCTCAGGAAACATGAGAAGGACTAGGAGATGTCCAGGGCATAGATGACATCTGTGAGGAGAAATCCTGATAGAGTTTCCCTTCACACCTTCCCCCACCACCACACACACAAATTTTAACATTTACTATGTTATTTCTGTAAAAACTGGAATGATGAGTGTAGGTGGAAAAATCAAATGTGTATTCTTAAGCCACTCTCTTTGCCTGGAAGCCTGCAATGAATTGCTAATTTCAGGTAGTTATACTCTTAGTTGTCTTCCTCCACTGTTATTTGGTTTTCCGTGAAGAGAATGTAAAAATTGTAATATTAGCAGGAGGGATAAAAATGGTGAGTAGATCTACTGGGAGAAAAAGCTACATTACTGTGATATATTTAAAAGCCAAAATAAGTTATTTTCTGGATTATCTCTCTTGGTTTTCTGTACCTATGATTGCCTGCTGTGACCCTTTCCATTTTTTTCACTTTGCACAGAACTTTAGAATGTGTAGGGTGTTTTTATATGCATGACCACAGTTAATTCTCACAACAACACTGAGGTTAAACCTTATTTTTCCCGTTTTACTGATGAGGAAGCCAAGACTCAGAAAAGGTATTATACCATTAACAGCAGCCACAACAGGTATAATAGCTAACATTTATTGAGTGTTTATTCTGTGTCAGACACTGTTGTAAGCATTTCATATGAAGTATTTTATTATTTGTAATAACCCCGTGAGAGCATTACTGTTTATTGACCCAGTTTTGCAGATGAAGAAATTGACTCACAAAGAGATTAAAGTCATTTGCCCAAGGTCAAACAGGCATCTGACTTCAGAGCCCATTACTACTGGGATTATACAGCAAGTAAGTGACCAAACTAGAGCTCTACTTAGGATTTTCCATTCTCAGCCTAGGGTTCTCTTCCTTCCCTTTGTCACACCACATCATGAGCAGAGTGTGAAATACCCGGTACAGAGTTCCTATTTACTGATTGAGTGAAAGAATATGGGTAATTCAGAGTTGAATCTGATTTCATTAGGAAGAGTACACTTTTCAGGAAGCCTTTACTACCTAAGAAGAATGCAGCCTTCAGAGGCTCGGAAGGATTTGTCACAAGTATAACTAAGTGAATTTAAATACTTAGGAATTAATTTAACGCCAGGCACACGAAACTTATTCAAGGAAAATTATAAAACTCTAATGGGAGAAATAATATGAATAAATGCATAGTGTATACTTTGCTTTAATTTAGGAAGACTGAATATAGTAATGATTACAATTCTCCCTAAATTTAATGTGTAGACATAATGTACTCCAATTGTAGTCACCATGGGATACTTTATAGAATTTGTCAAATTTATAGTAAAATTTATCTGGAAGAATAAGTAAGTGGGCGGAAATACCAAAGAGTACATTTATTTTAAAAGTTAATGATGGTAGACTTACCCTATCAGATTTTAAAGCGTATCATAAAACAACAATTATCAAAACCATATGATAGTGGGTTAAAAAAAGTCAAACAGTGAAATTAAAAAAGAGCTTCTAGAAACAGACTCAAGCTATTTTAAGTATATAGGACACACTGGAAACAACCCTGAACTGGGGAAAGCAATTACTATTTCTTTAAAAAATGTTGGGAATTTTAGATATCAATATGGAGAATAATTAACTTAGATTCATATCACATACTGTATAGAAAGTGGACCAGTAGAATCGCATATTTATTCCAGGTGTGGATGGAAGATAAATTTGTGTCTGTTAAATGGAGGATATCATCAGAGACAAGATCGATGGATTCAAATATATAAAAGTTGGTGGGGGGGAAGCCTTTGTACAACAAAATGTAATAAAAAGCTAAGCAACAGAACGAGGAAAATGTCTGGGATCAGCATCACTGACAACAGTTGCATGTCCAAAAAATATATATATAAAAATGGGTAGAAGGTCAGCTTTCAGATTTAGCTTCGTAAGTGGGCAAGGAAAATGAACAGGCAATTTACACATGAGGCAATAAAGGGAGTAAAATCATTGCATGGAAAAGTACCACCTCTCTAGCAATTAAAGAAGTACAAATAGAAGCAACTTCAAGGCATCATAATCTGCTTATTAAACTATCAGCAATTAAAAAAATCAATAAATAGAAATTGTAAAATGCTACCTTGGCAAGGCTGTGAGGAAACGTGCTTCTGGAAACAATACAAATTGGTTTAGTCTTCCTAGAGGGCAATCTAGAAAAATGTGACAAGAGTATGTGTTTCTGGGTTTAGTCTTCCTAGAGGACAATCTAGAAATATGTGTTCATATTATTTGGCCTAAAATACCCCCAAGGAAATAACCTAAGAGGGAAAAAATTATTTAAAGATGTTCATAGTAGTGCTTATTATACTCATGGAAAGAGTTTACCAATCTAATATATCATCATCTTGGAACAAAATAGAATAGCCATCAACAGTGACAGGTATACAAATGTTGGGTCTTTCCCAGAAATGAGTGGTTGTAATATTAACAAAAAAATAATAAATATGAAACCACATGTTGAATCTAATCTGATAGTAGCCATACACAAAGAAAATTCAGAAAGGAATCTGGCAAAATGTAAATAGTTGGATATGAATGTACATGGTGTTCTTTAGGTACATGTCAAGTTGTTGGAATTTATAATTAAAAAGAAAATCTGAATAAGAGGTGGCCCACGTTGGTTTGATATAGACCCGAGAAGTTAAAGATCAAGGGCTTTGTAAAAAATCCCCGTACCAATGACAGACAATGTTACTTACCAGACATGCTTACTCTCACTGCTAGCTAGAATTGGGTTTGCTAGAATTCTCCATCCACTAGCACTTTTGCTTGCTTAAATCCACAAGAACTTTGACATCACCAGACCTCTACGAATCTCCAAATTTGTCACCACCACTACAACATAGTACCCCCTCACACACACCCCCACCAATAAACATTTTATTATCTGCCTCAGAACCATCCCTTTCTTAAAGCTTTTCCATTTCCCTTCATTTCTATCACTAGCACTAGTTTGCATTTCAGTGCTATTATTCACAAAGAAGCACATTTTCTCTCTACCACAGTGACTGCATATGTATGTATTACTTGACAACAAATATAGATTGGGGTCATTGGAGAGAAGGAGCTAAGCTTCACCCAGGACAGCCCCAGTAAAGCAAGGACTTCTCTGATTTCTTCACAGGACACTTTGCATCAGCCTCCTGAGGACTAGAGAAGGTTCAGGGCAAGCACTGCCACTTGCATTTGTTGTTGCCAAGCTAATTGTTCATTACTTGAATTTCTGTGGGCCCGGGGGCAAGCAGGGGTGGCAGCAACAGGCTCTCTGGGTCCTTCTCCCCTCCCTGTGTATCCTCCTTGCGTCTCACTTCCTGGATCTTGCAAATATTTCCTTCGGCAATAACCTGGGAGTGTCTGTTTCTCTTGGAGCAGTCTTACTTGGCTGCTGAGGGAAGGGAAAGGCGAGACGGGTTGGGCTTGTGTGCTGTTGCTACTGAGATTCTAGAATGCCAAGCTATTGTGGTGAGCTTAAAAATAAAGTTTCCAAACAAGAAACTTCAAAAGGGCCGAGGAAGAGGTAGGAGGAGATTTTTCAGTCTCTGCAAATATTGGTTTTCATTTTCAATTCCTATTAGGCCAAAAAAAAATATTTTAACAAAAAGGGAAAATCCGTTCTTCAGAAGAAAAGGCAACCCATGGAAGCGGAAAAGAGATGAACAACCCTGGTTTTGGCAGGCAATTTACTTTTGTTTTTGAGATGTAGTCTCCTTGCTGATGTCAACAAAGCCCTTTCTCATAGTTTGCTTTCATGCTTCCTCTGCTTTCCTCAGTGAGGCGCTAAAGCCTTCATGGACGCCCGAGGATGAATGTAGCACAAGTACCTTTTGCTGTACCCCAGGAGTCCCTGCTTCCCTGCGATTATCTCTCAGAGACAGACAAGGCAGGTCTGGACACTGTGCTTTTTACTAGCTGGGAAAATGATTTATCCTTTTTAAGCCTCAGGAGTCTCATCTGCAAACTGACAATAATGGTTGTTGTGAAGATTAATGGAAATACATACGTGAAAGTGCCTAACACGGGGCCCAACACTTGGCAACCAGAGTAGTCGACTGGGTGCGGTGGCTCACGCCTGTAATCCCAGAACTTTGGGAGGCCAAGGTGGATAGATCACTTGAGGTCAGGAGTTCGAGACCAACCTGGCCAACATGGCAAAAACCAGTTTCTACTAAAAATACAAAAATTAGCTAGGCATGGTGGCACACGGGGAGGCTGAGGCATGAGAATCACTTGAACCTGGGAGGCAGAGGTTGCAGTCGGCCAAGATTGCGCCACTGCACTCTAGACTGGGCAAGACACTGTCTCAAAAATAAGAAAGGAAGGAAGGAAGGAAGGAAGGAAGGAAGGAAGGAAGGAAGGAAGGAAGGAAGGAAGGAAGGAAGGAAGGAAGGAAGGAAGGAAGGAAGGAAGGAAGGAAGGAAGGAAGGAAGGAAGGAAGGAAGGAAGGAAGGAAGGAAGGGGAAGAGAAGAGAAGAAAAGAAAGAAACCAGAGTAGTTCCTTTTCCTTAATGAAGCTCCTTGCCCTCCACTCCAAGGAAAGAATCCTTACTTGGTCTCAAAGCAGAGTTGCAAATTTCTGTACATTTAGGAGGCCTGATCCCCTTGAAAATAGGACTTCTAGAGGCCAACCAATATCCTTGGCTTGAGGCTGACACCCTTCAATGGAAGCCTCCCTTTCACCATCACCATTTTGCTTCAATTGTTAAAGCCAGGAAGACAGGAGCAACATTGGTTTTGCTCCCCTTTGATCTGGTCATCTTGCACAGTGTAATATTCAGCAAGGATTTGTTGAAGGAATGACTAGTACACACGTTGGCCCAGATGATCCCATTAAGGGTAGCCCTTCCCCTTCTGGAGTTGGTCTTCTTCTGCCTGCTTGATATAAGTGACTCTGCAAGTCTCAGGCTGCCCCAACACAGGGCAAGTGAGTGGGAGGGCAGTGGTTTTAAAATGAGGGCTGATGCAGAGAATAGCAATTCCCAAGTTGCCTTGTGCCCAGTACCTCCAGATAGGGTCACAGTTCCATGACTTGGGGCACCAGATGTCCCTAGAAGGGCATGTTCTTTTCTTCCAACTGTTTCTGGAGTTTATTACCGGGATGGGGTGGGGGGGGGGATTTTTTTAAGGCTAACACACATAGTTAGTACTTAAGACACCTTTGAATATCCAGACCTTTTGATTGTCACACTGCTCTTAACCCTAAACTTGCCTTTTATTATATCTCCCTTTTTAGTAGATAGGAAAAGTTTGAGTGAATGAGTCCAGGCTTAAACTCCTTAGTAAACTAGGGCCTCCTGGCTAGTCAGCTATGTGGTTGAGCTGGGACTTGAGGTCTCCTGGTTTCTTGGCTATTGAGCAGGGTTGAACATTAATCAGGGAGTGCAGTCCAATTCTCTTGATGGGAACAAGGAGCAAGCCTGAAGCATACAATTGTGAAGGCAATTTTCCATGTTCCTAGCATCATTTCTAGGTCCTTTTTACATAGTTCATCCTTATGACTGCTTATTTGTAAGATAGGTATTTTGTTGAAAATGAGGTAAGTGAAATACCTTGCTCAAGGTCACACAGCTTTTGAGTTATAGAGCCAGATTTTTAAATTTTATTGGAATTCAGACCCAAGTCTTTCCAACACTGTGTTCTTTCTGCTTTGCTCAATTGCCTGTCCTGTGCCCTGGTTAGGGAAGAAGAAAATGTGGTAAATTTGATTGTTATCATGGAGCAGGGTTGTTTTCATCACAGCTGCAATACATTGGCCCAATTGTTGCCTTTGAGGATATTGCTGCATTTCATAAAATCTACATCGGAGGTGAAGGTCGGGAGAGAGGCAGGGACAGGAGATAGAAATGGGCAACCAGGTGTGTGTGGTGAGGGATGGGGGACAGAATGTATAGTTTGGAAACCAACCTAATTGGAACAAATAACTGCCCCCAAACCATAGCACTCCCAACCCTTTTACTCTGAACCTTTGTTTCCATGATATGGTCCCTGAACCACCTGTGTTAGAATCCTTTAGGTGAATTGCTTAAAATGCTGATTCCTGGATCCCACCACAGAGGTATGAAACCCAATTTCTAGGGTTGGGGCCTATGAATTTGCATTTTAAACAACTTCCTGGGTAATTCTAATGAGGAGCCACTTTGATTATGAGCTGTTTTCCCAGACTAGTGGTTTCCAATGAAAGTTGGATCATGTACCCTTCTCAGAAAGAATTTTTTAAGCATGTACCCTCAACATATGTTGGCAATATATTTATTAATTTCTTATATGTGCTAATGTCCTCATATTTATGCTTTGAAATGCAAGAAATAGAAAAAAATAAATATAAAAGAAGTTCTGTGAACACAACTACCCTAGACTAAAAAATAAATGACCAGTCAAAAAAAAAGGGTAGGTGGTTGAAATCCAGTTTCAGGGAGAAGGAAAAAAGAATGGTAAAAGCCCAGTAGAGTGGAGAGTTGACCTTATTTTTCTACAAACCCAGAACTCCTCCAGAATGAAGAAAAAGGGAACTGACCATAAAGGTTTCAAGGTAAATATCAGTAACCCATTAATCGTTAATCTTTGGATACCAAAAACTGAAAAAATGATTGGACAAGGCTGAAGGGCGTTGGCCAGGCACCCAGTTGAAGTAGGAAGCAGCATTTTATGAGAGCACCTACATGAGACAAGCACCTCATCTTTTGAGATGTGTAGCTAAGGACGGCATTGACAAGGCACCAGCTTTGATCAAAGCAGCAAAGCTCCATGCAGCTCATGAACTCCGGTGCTCTTTGAGCACTGTAGGGTAAATCAGCCCAGTAATAGAATTAGGAAGCTTGATAAGGTTGAGCAAAGCAAATAATTTCCATTAGCTTGCGCTACCCCAAATAAATACGCAATTTAGGTAAAAACAACAGACTTGCTATGCAAACACAGCCTCGAGATAAATCCCAGGCCACTCCCCCTCCCCCCACCACACACAAACCCCAATCAGATTCTGGAGCAATTGGACAGCTGCTGACTGCTTTACCTGCTACTCATTGTTCCCATTGCCTGGCAACCTGGGCTACGAGGTTACAGTAAAAAAGATCTAACTTTTCTTCTTTTCCATAGTCACACAAACCTGCATTTATTTCACATTGAAGAAATATGTACTGAGCACCCACTGTGTGCCGGGCACTGTGCTGGATACTAGTGATACAGTGGTGAACTTGACATGTGCCTTCACCCTCAATATGGTTATGTGGAAGGGGCAGACAACTAAGCAGTAGTGTGCTAGGAAAATTAATGGGTGCTGTTAGAGGACAGTCTGGGCACCTATCCCATGCTTTGGGGGAATCAGGGAAGGCTTCCTCAAGGAAATGATATCTCAGTGGAATTCTAAAAGTAAGTCAGATAAAGAGGCGGAAAGAGAAGATAAAGAGCAAACAGCATGTAAAGGCAAAAAGAAGTGTGGGAGGATAGGAAAGGCAGAATTTTAAGAAACCTAACAAATCCTAGTAAGGGTCTGTATTTTATGAATAATGTAGGCTTCAAGCAGAAAAATGTATAACAAAATCAGATTTATGCTTTATTTTTCTGTTTACTAATTTTTAATTGAAAAAAGTAATAAATGCATTTAGTGTATACACACACACACACACACACACACACACACACAATAAGAGAATCTCACCCCAAACCATCAGTACAACTCTTTACAAGAGACATTACTGGCAATTTGTTGTGTATCCTTCCAGAAAAGTAACGTGTGTGCATGTATATACATTCTTTTTTACAAAAATGGGAACATATTGCATATCTTTTCTATTGTACATCCTGCTTTTTTATTTTAGTGATTATTCTATGTTACACATAGCTCTATTGCATCACCTTTAACGCTACATAGTGTTCCATATATAGATATTCCCTATTTTATTTAGTCCCTATTGAAGGACATTTAGATGGTTTCCAGTCTTTTGTGATTACATACAAATCTACAGTGAATATCCTTATGGATATCTCTTTGTGTTCATGTTGGAATGTGTCTGTAGGATAAATCCCTAGAAGTTGAACTACTGGGTCAAAGGATATGCACATTTTACCTTCTTTGCCTTCCAAATTGCCCTCCCTAGGAGTTATGCTAATTTCAACTCCCACCAACAGTGTGTAAGATCACCTGTTTCCTTATACCCTCATTAATTCTTTAACTTTTTTTATTTAAAAAGTGTCATTATTGTTTGGATTTGCATTTTTTAAATTTTAAGTGAGGTCGAACACCTTTTGGTAAATTGATAAGTCATTTTCTGTGAACTATACCTTTTTCTCCCTATGGAGTTGTTGGTCCCTTTTATTGATTGGTAAGCATACTTCACATATTAAGGATATTTACTCTTAGTTGTATATGTTACAAATATTTTTCCCAGTATATCTTCACCTTTAGACTTTATGGTGTTTTTTCTGGACATAATTTTTTAAGTTTTAAGAAGTCAAATTTATAAACTTTCCCTTATTACTTTTATGTTTTGTGTCTTACTTAAAAAGAACTTATCCTGCCAAGATTATTTTATATTTTTAAAAATGTTTTCTTCTAGTACCTTTATGGTATTTTTTTGACAATTGAGTCTTGATACATCTAAACTTTATTTCGTTGTAAAAAGTGATAGGATGATTCAGCTTTATTTTTGTCTCAATGGCTATCCAGTTCTAAAACTACGTATTGAATGATTCATCCTTCCCCCACTATTTGAAATGCTTCATCACAAACTAACTTCCCCTATGCATTTGAGTTGACTTCAGTGTTCTAGTGTTCTCTGTTTTATTCCATGGATCTACCTTTCTATTTGTGAGACTGCCTTATTTACTGCTAACTTTAGAAATTATTTCAATAATTGGTAGGGCTGGTCTTCCCTCTTTCATCTCTCTTTTTCCATACCGTTCATAATAATTCTTACGATTTTAATTTTCCCATATGAAATTTACAATAATGTTCCAAAATGCAGTCTGTTGACACTTTTATTGAGTTTCTATTAAGTTTATAGATTCACTTGGAGTTGACATCTTAACAATGTTGAGTCATCGTTGCTAGGAAATTGTGAGTCCTTTCATTTATGTGCATCTAGTTTTATGTTTCTCAATAGAGTTTTAAAGTTTTTGCGTATAGATCCTGCATATATCTTGTTAGGTTTATTTCTAGGCATCTTACCTTTATAATTGCTGCAGTAAATGTGATCTTTCCCTCCATTATATATTCTAACTAATTGTTGCATCTATGTAGAAAAGATGATTTCCATATATGAATTTTATACCCTGACACCTTACTGAATTTTCCTGTTGTTGGTATTATTTTTAAATTGTTTATGATGAGGCTGCGCACAGTGGCACATGCCTGTAATCTTAGCACTTTGCGAGGCCGAAGTGGGTGGATTGCTTAAGGCCAGGAGTTTGAGACCAGCCTGGGCAACATGGCAAAACCCTGTCTCTACTAAAAATACAAAAATTAGCCGGGTATGGTGGTGCATGCCTATAGTCCTAGCTACTTGGGAGGCTGAGGCACGAGTGTCGCTTGAACCTGGGAGGCAGAGGTTGCAGTGAGCGGAGATCATGCACTCCAGCCTAGGTGACAGAGCTGGACTCTGTCTCAAAAAAAAAGTTTCTGATGAATTTTCCAGATAAATAATCGTATCATCTATACATAATGAGAAGATATCCCCTTCTTCCAATGTTTACATCTTTATTTTGTTAAATTGCACTATTGCTTTCAGAACAATATTAAATATTAGTGGGGAAAGTGGGCACCTTTGCCTTGTTCTTGTTTTTAATGGGTATACCTCTAGTGTTTTGCCATTAAGCACAATATTGGCTTTTGACTTTAAAACAAAAGTCTGATGATAATGATGGTATTATGGAAATAGACATCTTTTTCTGTTAGGTTTTTTTTTTATCTGGAAGTGATGTTGAATTGTTATCAAATACATTTTAGCATTAGGGAAATTGTTATGTGCCTTTTATCCTTTGATTTATTAATGTTGTCAATTATATCAGTAGATTTTCTATTACTGAACCAGTCTTACATTTCTAGGATGAACCCCACTTGATCATGGTGTATCATATTTCTTAACATCCTCTTAGATTCTGTTTGCTAATATTTTATTTAAGATTTTTGCATCTGTATTCTCAGATGAGATGGGTCTCTAGTTTGCTTTTTCTGTTCTGTTTGCTGGGTTTTAGTATCAATGTAATGCAGGAATCTTTTCTTCTCTCTCTATTCTCTAGATTTCCAGATTCTAGAAAATGTAAATAACATTGGTTTGATTTTTTTTCCTTGAAGGTTGGTAGAATTAACACAAGACTATGTGATTGTGCTATTTTTGGTCAAATTTATACTTTTTTTTCCTATGGTAACTGGTGGGTTTATATATTCTCATTCTTCTGAAATCAGTTTTGGTAATATTTGTTTTCACAGAAAAATACTTTAAGTTTTCAAATTTGTTTTATGGGGTAGAGCAAAGTATTCTCTTATTCTTTTCATTTACTCTGTAACTGTGGTTATTTCTCAATTTCTAATTTTGTGCATTTGGGTGTTTTTTTTTTAATTAGATTAGCAAGTGGTTAATCTGTTTCATTGTTTTTTATTTTCTTTTCAGGAATTGGTTTTGCCTTTAATTATTCTATCACTTGTTCTCTAGTATATTAATTTCTGCCGTTAGTTTTATTGTCTTTCTGCTTTGTTTTAGGTTTATTTTTATGATTCTTTTCTTCTTTTGTTGAATGCTTAATTCATTTATTTTAATTCATTCTTACATACTAATATAAGTATTTAAGGCTACAAGTTTTTCTTTTTCTTTTTCTTGAGACAGAGTCTCACCCTGTCAACCTGGCTGGAGCTCTGGAGTGCATTGGCGCGATCTCAGTTCACTGCAGCCTCCGCCTCCTAGGTTCAAGCAATTCCCCTGCCTCAGCCTCCCGAGTAGCTGGGATTACAAGCGCACGCCACTACATCTGGCTAATTTTTCTATTCTTAGTAGAGACAGGGTTTTACCATGTTGGACAGCCTCGTCTGGAACTCCTGGCCTCAAGTGATCCGCCCGCCTCGGCCTCCCAAAGTGCTGTGATTACAGGAGTGAGCTGCCACGCCCAGCCTACAAGTTTTTCTTTAACTACTGCTTTAGTCAACCATATCCTCTAGCTTCTGATATTTTCATTGTTTGTTGTCATTTTCTAGATATTCAACAATTTCAAATTAGATTTTCTCTTCGACTAAAGTGGAAGAATTTTTTTCCCGTTTATTTTCTACATGCTAAAGATTTTTATTTTCATTTTGTTATTAATTTCTAGTGTTACCGTATTGTCATTAGAAAATATGGTCTGGGGAGGCCGAGGCGGGCGGATCACGAGGTCAGGAGATCGAGACCATCCTGGCTAACACGGTGAAACCCCGTCTCTACTAAAAATACAAAAAAAATTAGCCGGGCGCGGTAGCGGGCGCCTGTAGTCCCAGCTACTGGGGAGGCTGAGGCAGGAGAATGGCGTGAACCCGGGAGGCGGAGCTTGCAGTGAGCTAAGAAAGCGCCACTGCAGTCCGGCCTGGGCGAAAGAGCGAGACTCCGTCTCAAAAAAAAAAAAAAAAAAAAAAGAAAAAAAGAAAATATGGTCTGTACTACTAGTGTTACCGTATTGTCATGAGAAAATATGGTCTGTACTACTTCCATTTTCTGGCTCAGTATATAGCCAATTAAAAATATACTCAATGGGCCCTTGATTAAAAAAATACAGTCTGTTTCAGTATATGAAGAAATTTAGATTTTCTCATTATCTTAGTTTTTGACTGTCATGATCTGTCATCAGCTGAAACAGTCTCATATTTTGTTTCTACTTTTTTTCTACCTTTGCATTTGCTATAGATTTTGCTTTAAGAATTTTTATGCTATGTTTTTTGGTGCATAAAAGATCAGAGGAGGTAGACCATCATGTGTTCTAGTTGTTAACATTATAGTGCCCTTCTTTGTCTTATTTATTGCATTTTGCCTTTAATTCAACTTATGTATGAAATGAGTATCATAATTTATTTTTTCTTTAATTTTGACCTTAATTCCTTTGTTAAACATATTTATTGAACACTTACTGTGTGCCAGGCACTAGAAACCTATGAATGAGACAGACAAGATCCTGCCCTCATGGAGCTTACATTTTAGTTAGAGATTGGAGCAGAAAATAATCAAGTAAAAATAGATATGTGATATGATATCAGGTGGGGATGAAGATGAATACTCAAAGAATGAAGTAGAATAAGGATAATTAAATGTAAGTTGTCTCTATTTTTGATAAAGTAGTCAGGAAAGGCTTCTCTGCCTGGTACACGTTTGTCATTTTTTTACTTTCCACTTGTCCATCACTGTGTGTGTGTGTGTGTGTGTGTGTGTGTGTGAGAGAGAGAGAGAGAGAGAATATGCCAGGTGGAACAGTTTGCACAAAAGGGATTGTTATAATCTTAATGATCTATAAGTGTGCAAAGGCCCAAATGAGAAGATAGTGGGTATGTCTGGATATGAATTTCTGATCCACATGAGTGGTGAGCTGACCAGAATGGGGGAGGGATAAGAGGAGAATTAAGGACATTTTGTCTTCCATTCTGTCTGAATTTGGCTATTATTATGTGTATTATTATTTTTTAAAGAACTATTTCCAATCTTCATCATGATTATTGAATGGATATTCTGTATGATGATTTAATTGAACCCCTGGAATTTCCTGTCACTGGGCAGGACTTAGCATGATGCTGATTGCTCACAGGCTACAGCAGGAAACCAGATCTTGTGGTTTAGAGGGCTTAACTCTTTATACTCTGAGGCTAAAGAGATGTCTTTTAACTTTAGTCAGTGTTTATTATACAGAAGTTTGAATTTTTATGTAAATTCAAATAAACCTGGACTTATTTGGAGGTTTTCTTCTATTGCTTATGAGAATCTTATTTCACCTCACAATGATAGTCTTTTTAATTTTCTGATAGGTTTTTCTTATGTTATATATGTGCATAATATATACACATATATATACACATATAACATATATAATATATTAAAATTATACACACACACACACACACACACACACATATCCATGACTCTTGATCTGGAATTTATTTTGGTATATAATATATGATGTAGCTCCAAAAAGCACTGCTTTGCAGTTATCTCAAAAAGATTTATTAAATAATATTTCTTTATCTCCTTTTTGGGGGAAGATTATGTATATGATGTTTTTATAGGTAGTCTGCTTTGTTTCTGAACTTTCTATTCTGTTTTGTTGATCAATAACACAGTTTCAATTACAATTATTTTATAATATACTTTATCCCTTACTTACCCCCTTCCCCATTTCTTCTGTAGCAGAATACTCTTTAATATTATATCCTGCTTTTATTACAAGTTAATTTTCTAAAAATTCTGTAGTTAAATGTAGTTTAAAAATTCCTATTGAGAATTCTGATTGGAATTGCATTAGGATATTTTTTTTTTTGAGACAAGGTCTTACTCTGTCACCCCAGCTGGAGTACAGTGGTGCAATGATGGCTCACTGTAGCCTCGACCTCCCAGTCTCAAGCTGTCTTCCCATCTCAGCCTCCCATGTAGCTGGGACTAAAGGCACGCACCATCATGCACAGCTAATTAAAAAAAAAATTTAGAGACAGGGTCTTGCTATGTTGCCTAGGCTAGTCTTGAACTCCTGGACACAAGTGATCTACACACCTCAGCCTCTCAAAGTGCTGGGATTACAGGCATAAGCCACTGTGTCTGGCCAGAAGGAGATATTTTAAATCCAAAATAGCAGATAACTATGAATGACCTGTGTGGTGTTTTTTGTTACAAGTATAAAAACACAGAAAGTATATATATCTAATTCATAATACAGGTTGCATCTAGAGAGGCAATAGGGGAATGGAAGTGGAGAGTTATGTGAAGGGTATTATTTCTTAAGAAACAGTCATAAAACATAAATGGCAAAGTATTCAAACTTACTAAGTCTGGGTGATAGGTAGGAACATGGGTATTATGGCAATCAATCTCTGTACATTTCTAAATATTCAACATTTTTATAATGAAAAACAAACAAAAACAACAGATGAGGCAGGATAACCAGGCTTGTAAGCCCCAGAAAACAGCACATGCAATCTGACTCCTATAAACAGACTGGGGTAGTATGTGTATATCCAGACTTTGGAGCTAAACTGTTCAAGTTCAAATCCTAGCTCTACCACATACTAGCTTTATGACCCCAGGCAAGTTACTTAAATGCTCTATGCCTCAGTTTCCCCAACTGTAAAATCAGTGCAATAGTAATAGCTACCTCCTGGGGTTATTGTGAGGATTAGATAAGTGAAGACATGGAAACCACTTAAACAGTGCCTAGTATTTAGTGTGTGCTCAGTAAGTGTTAGCTATCATTATTATAATATTATTATTACTATTATTACATTTACTACACATACTACATTGTTTTGTGGACATTTTAAATTTTATATAAATGTTGTCATCCAAAATATGGGCCTATCTGCAACTTGCTTGTTTTTCTCAGTACTCATCTGATGTTTTGCAGGGAAATGGCTCATTCCAAGACTAGCTTTTCATGGGCAACCCCTTTCCATCCTTGCCTTGAGAACCCAGCACTGGACTTGTCAAGCTACCGAGCAATTTCTTCTCTTGACCTCCTTGGAGACTTCAAACATGCTTTGAAAAAATCAGAGGAAACTTCAGTTTATGAGGAGGGGAGCTCCCTTGCCTCCATGCCCCACCCACTGCGCAGCCGTGCCTTCTCAGAGAGTCACATCAGCTTGGCGCCCCAAAGCACCCGGGCCTGGGGGCAGCATAGGAGGGAGCTCTTTAGCAAAGGTGATGAGACCCAGTCGGATCTTCTCGGAGCCAGGAAGAAGGCCTTTCCTCCTCCTCGCCCTCCTCCTCCCAACTGGGAGAAGTACAGGCTCTTTCGTGCAGCCCAGCAGCAGAAGCAGCAACAGCAGCAGCAGAAGCAACAGGAGGAGGAGGAGGAGGAGGAAGAAGAAGAAGAAGAGGAAGAGGAAGAGGAGGAGGAGGAGGCAGAGGAGGAGGAAGAGGAGCTGCCACCCCAGTATTTCAGTTCAGAAACCTCTGGTTCCTGTGCTCTCAATCCTGAGGAGGTCCTAGAGCAGCCACAACCCCTCAGCTTTGGCCACCTGGAGGGCTCGAGACAGGGTTCACAAAGTGTCCCAGCAGAGCAAGAATCCTTTGCACTCCATTCCAGTGATTTCTTGCCTCCAATAAGGGGTCACTTGGGATCTCAACCTGAGCAGGCTCAGCCCCCTTGCTACTATGGCATTGGTGGGCTTTGGAGGACATCGGGACAGGAAGCCACTGAATCCGCCAAGTAAGTACATATGAAAGATACTAGGTCTCTGAAGAGGCAGGCAGCACAAGTTTGAATTTTACCTCCACTATTTACTAACTGGATGACCTCAGGCTGGCCAGTTAAACTGCTCCCAGCCTCAGTTTTCTTACCTGGAAAATGGGTATAATGATACTTGCTTCACATGATTGTTATGAATATTAAGATAATCTACATAAAGGATATAGCTCCATGCTTAGCACATAGTACATGCTCAGTAAATATCATGTTCTTATCCCTAAATATCTTTATTAAAGTACTATACTTTTCCTTAGTGTGTCTTCATGGTATCCATCAATTTCTGGCCCCTGATCCCAAAGGCATTGAACACTTGTTGCCTATACTAGGTCTTTCCCAGAAACCTGGCTCAGGCACTTTTCCTGCCTTCTCTTCTGCTTGCCCTCCAGAATAAGAGGCCAGCTCACAACCTGACCTGCCTCTGCTCTAGGACAAGTAGCCTGGGCTTCTAAACTCGTCCCCCCACAACCACCAGCATCAAAGGTATTCCTGGGGCTGGGTGCTTCATGCCTTGATAATTCCTTACAATAGATAAGGACATTCTTTTTCTCTTCCACTTTCTCCCCCTCCTTGTTTACCTGCCTCTTTGCATTCATGTGGGTGTGTAATAGGTGGTAGTTGACAGGGTGAGCTGCCTGGGCAGGGAGGCCAAAGCAAGAGTGTGTTCTGGCAGCAGGACTGCCAGTGTTTGTTCACTCCACTGAGCCAGTTGTCATCTGCATGCCCTATAGTGCATGGTTGGGTTTTTTTTTTTAATTTCTTTTGCTCCAAAGCAAAAGCCCCAGGACCATCATTGCTATTATTGCTCAGTGCTCTGGCTGTCAGCAGCTCCACCTGCTCTCCTGTGGAGAGCTCAGCCCACTCTCTGCTGGGGCTGAGGTTCGGGAGGCAGGTGGCTTATAAGTGCTTTCCTTAACTCTCTTTATAGCAGGAATTTGCCTGAGACTTGTTGCGGTTAGAAGTACCTTGTTATCATGTCTTTTATTGTCAGACAAATCTGTGACTTGTCTATGTGGAGCTAGTTGATCAGTTTTCCAGCCCAAGATGCCATAAGCACAGCATTTACAGGGCCTGGCTCCCAGGCACTGTTAAGAATCCTTCATGAGGGGGGGAGGGGGGAGGGATAGCATTGGGAGACATACCTAATGCTAGATGATGAGTTAGTGGGTGCAGCGCACCAGCATGGCACATGTATACATATGTAACTAACCTGCACAATGTGCACATGTACCCTAAAATTTAAAGTATAATTAAAAAAAAAAAAAAGAATCCTTCATTAGATCCCATGTGGCTGCTTCTCAAGCTGTTCTTCTACCTGGGGAGCATTCTCATTGTAATTAGAAAACATTTTGTGAAAAATACCTGTGATTGTTATCTATCATAGCAGGGAAAAGGGAAAATGACCTCCCAATAGTAGGCACTTAACAAATATTTAAGAAGAAAGAACAAATAAATGAATGGATGAACATTTATTAAGTATTTCTTATATACCAGACACTGCCAGACATTATGTATCTATTTCATTTAATCCTCCCAATAGCCCTATTAGCCATTATTATCCCCATTTGACAGATGAGGAAACTAACTAATTCCAAGTTACACAGCAAACATTCAAAGCCAGAGCTGTCTGACTCCAAAGCCCATGCTTATTTTGCCTTCCTAGGCAGCCTCTCCCAGAGAGATCTTGTTCTTTCCATAGGCCAGGAGTCACAGGGTCCTCTTCTCTCCTGTAGGGCAAGGTGTACCAGAGGCAGCAGTTACAAGCCCTGGTTCTTCCTTCTTTGTGTAGCTCCCTTTGCCTTGGCACCTTGGCCAGACAGAAAGAAATCACTATTACTAGAGATCTTGTAACTTGCTCCAGAGATTTATTTTTAATGACTCTAGGATGTAAGGGAAAACATTTGTTTGCACACAGCTCTGCTTGTGACTACAAAATCAATTAGATGCTCCTTTGAGTGATGGAGATTTAAGGAACAGCATCATTCCCAAAATAGCTAATTTTTTTGATTGCTTACTATGTGCCCTGCATTGTTCTAAGCACTTTGGGTAATGATTGATTTAATCATGAAAATAAACCTATGAAATAGTTACCATTCATCTTCTCCATTTCTTAGATGAAAAAAGCAAGGCCCAGGGAGATAAAGTAACTTTATCACAAGATCTCAGGTAGCTCACTATGCTTGCTATATCATCCCACGATCTCTGGGCTCTTGAAGAAGATTCTATTCCAGACCCTAGGAGAGGACAGTGTCCTAGCCAGAAGGAAGCAGCTTTAAGATTTTGTAAGGGACATATAGATGCATAATATTTTGAATCTAAAATGCAAACAAAGATATCCTAATTTCAGCCAAGTTAAACTCTAGTACCTTTATAACCTACATACTGTTCTGTTAAAAAATGCTGGGATACACACAGAAGCCAGCTAGTGGAATAATTAAGTATTATTTAAGTCTAATAACTGATTCAGGTATAGGTATAGCTTGCTTTATGGACTCTATGCATTTCCTCTCAGTGCTCTGTGAAAGGAATCTGCTTTTTGCTTTGATGTTTACTACATAGACCACCTATAATCACTTCCCTATTAATGGAGGTGATAAGGAAAGGATCCCTAGAATATAGTGCCTAATGTGATATACTATAATATGATGCAGGGATGTGTATGCTGGGGAACTGAGTCTCCAATTAGCACATCCTTTTTTTCCTTTATAACACCTTCTGACACAGAACTTTCACACATACCCTAAATATTTTTCTTGTAGATAGGAATTCCCTAAGTTCAGACCTTCATATTCCCTCCAGAATATTCTCCATTATCTGCTAACATAGATATACTCCAGCCAGAAAATTCCTTACATGTAGGCTTTTATATGATCTCAAGTTGTCCCTTTGGCAGTATAGCATAGCGGCTTGAAGCACAGATTCTAGAGTCAGGTTGTCCAGGTGCAAATTGCAGGTCTGTCATTTAATGTCTGGTGACCTTGAGGAAGTCACTGTACCTCATGTTGCCTCATGTTCCTTATCTGTATAATGGTTTTCATGAGCATTCAATTATATATGTATATACCTATGTGTGCATGTATCTATCTTAGGATGGTTTCTGGGGCATGGTAAGTATGGTGTGCATGTTAGCTAGTATTGTTCTTTTATCAGTGTTACAAGCTTGAAACTTACATATAAATGAATTTACCTAGGATAAAAAATATTGGCGGGCCCAACTTTCTTTTGTGTGATGAATTAGGAGACAGCATAGCATGAATCAGTAAATAGCTGTGGAGCCTTTTAACCATTATTTTTGACCTTTAAGAACTGCAAATAGCTGCAAAAATGACTAATGAGTTTCTCCTATTTTCCCTTTCAAACAGCTAGAGGTTAGCGAAGGGGTAGTGACACAGACAGGTGGAGGATGGGAGTGGCTAGCAGGCAATGAGAATATAGTGAGGGCGGGCCACCCCCTAGCATAAACCACGGGCAAAATTATTTGCCCCTCCATCGCTGAGACCTAACATTGTAGCATTTCTCTCTACTTCCTTCCTCACACCAGACTGGAAGCTTTGATGGCAGAAGAGGCCAAACCCAAGCCAGCATGGAACCAGAACTACTTTTTTTCCTGAGAAGTTCTATTTCATGGGCTGGGGCTCTGAGAAGCAATGCCTCAGCCCCACAGGCTTTGGTGAACCCAAGACAACAGGGTCTGTTGCTATACTTGTCAAGCCCCTGGGTGCCACTGGTTCCATTTTTTTCCCCATTTCATTCTACAACCATGGAGGAGGCAGGAGCCATTGGGAATATGCCAGAAGTGGAGAGATGCTATCCCTTTTCAGGCTGAAGTCCTGCCCTACAGCAGGCAATGTCTGAAGAGTTCATGAGAGATGTGGTGGGCGGTGACAAGTCCCTGGCAGGGTGCTAACTGCAGCCTCCAACATGGTGACCACTGTTGAGGTCATGGGTGACCTCTTTGCTGTGGGAGATCTGCAGCAGAGGGTCCATTTCAAGTAGGAGTGGCATTGGAAAAGAAAAAAATGATGAGAGTGTCCAGGAAAGCCACAGGGTGCCTTTGTAAGCAAGAAGACTAGATAGAGCCAGGATGGGTTGAGATCCAGGGGTAGGTCTGAGGGAGGCCAACAGGCTTGGAGAACCAATAGATAAGGTCTCAGATACTTCTCTACCACCTAGCCCCTACTTTGGGATCCACATACTGGGGTCATGCACCAAAGGGATGATGATCAGAAGGCCTGCCAGGTTTTCTGGATTTTAATTGAGTGTTAATGACCAAACCAAATTATCTCGAAAGAAGTCTCCCTAGCCGATGAAGTCAGGGGCATGGAAATAGCCTTCTAAGTTCTTAAAACTTACCTTTACTTAACTCCAGTTTGCCTTCATGTGGCCTGTTTACATTTGAACAGTGCCTTCTCCATTTTTTTCAACTCCTTGGTGAAGCAGGGTTCCATTTTTCAGATGGAGAAATTAAGAAGCAGAAATGTCAGCAGCCTCTCAACAGAGGTGCTCAAATGGTCATTCTTTGTTTCCACAGACAAGAGTTTCAGCACTTTTCGCCTCCTTCAGGGGCCCCAGGAATCCCTACCTCTTACTCAGCTTATTACAATATTTCTGTGGCCAAGGCAGAGCTGCTGAACAAACTGAAAGACCAACCTGAGATGGCAGAGATTGGCCTAGGAGAGGAGGAAGTTGACCATGAACTGGCTCAAAAAAAGGTAAAGTTTTTTGATGTGTCCTAGAGATTTTCAGAATTTAGCTTGAATGTATCTGGAGGATGACCAGCCTTCTACACTCTCTAGAACATCTCGCATTCCCATATTTTCAGTATGGAAACCATACAGCCTCTCTGGATTTCTCACAGATCCAAGTCCTGTCTATTTTTGATCCAGTCAATAATAATAATAACAATCATAATCATCATTATTGTCTCTGTGATCCTTAGAACAACCCAACAAGGGCTGGGCACGGTGGCTCCCGCCTGTAATCCCAGCACTTTGGGAGGCCAAGGTGGGTGGATCACCTGAGGTCAGGAGTTTGAGAACAGCCTGGCCAACATGGTGAAACCCCGTCTCTACTAAAAATACAAAAATTAGCCAGGCGTGGTGGTGGGCACCTGTAATCTCAGCTGCTCGGGAGGCTGAGACAGGAGAATTGCTTGAACCCGGGAGGCGGAGGTTGCAGTGAGCCGAGATCGCGCCACTGCACTCCAGCCTGGGCAACCAAGAGTGAAACTCAGTCTCAAAAAAAAAAAAAAGAAGAAAAGAAAAGAACAGCCCAACAAGGCAGATATTACTATCCCTTTTTTACTAGTTGAAGGGACGAATTTGCCCAGGGATTACAGACTAAATGGTAGATCCAGCACTTGAAGTCAAGACTGTCTGAATTTCTACTGTACAGTACATGCTGTCTCTCTGAATTAAGCCAGCCTTGTAAGTAACTCACTACCCAGGGCACATCAGAGTTTCTGCCAGTGGGCTCCTCTAACCAATGGCAGTGCCATTGATTTTTATTCTTTGTGCAACTTTGTGGGAGACAGAAGAGACTAAGTAAAATAAGGACAACTTATAGGCTGGCAAACTTTAGTATTTATTTGCAAGGATAGTCAATTATGTCTTAAAAGTACAAAATAGTTAAGTGGAGATGATGATGTTGTTGTCGTTCCAAAGCTTTCCTTTCTTTGTCTAAGTACCACTAGTCTGGTTTTCTAATCCAATTCTTGGAATCACTTTCCCCTCCCTGCACTTACCTATTGTATTTCATAAGCAAATAGGGTTGTCATGGCAACCTCAAAGGCTCAATTTACCTTCTTTGTGGACATCTAAACTCAATGTAAATTGTTCTGCCCATATTTCTTTCAGGATATGACCCGTAGGAAGTTACAGGGCCATTTGCAAGAGTCCTTCCTCCAATTTCCTATCTGAAGCAAAATGTCAGGGGAAGAATTGGAAGCATGGTGGTGTTGAAGTTTTACTGATGCAGATGTCTGCTTCCTTGGATTCCATGTTCCCCGAGCAGGGGTACTCCTAGCTTACTCAGGGCCTGGCCTCTGCAGGGGCAAACCTAGAAGTCTGACCAGGAAAAGAGAGAGATGATCAGAAATGGCAGAGCACAGAACGACAGAAAGTGAACTAAAGTGATTGTGGGTGGGCTATGACAGTTTTTGTCTCTGAGGAAGAAAGGTGAGGAATGTCACCAATTTGCGATGTCCCAGAAAAAGCAACTCAGCTCTGGCTGGATCTGTGATGACTCCACAACTCTATCCATCACACTTCCCCAGGACTGAGGTTCAGGTTGTAGAGCCCAAGTTCCAAGAAGTAAAGGGCTCTCTCCACTTTTATCCTTCCATCTATCCCTGGAGCTTGGGAACTGGGGTAAGAAGGTGATTTTCCAAGTGGGTCATTTTCTAGATGGCCCCTAGCCATCCTTTGTCCCCAGCATTGACTTTTATTTGGGAGAGCAGATGGTGGGAATATAACTGACAGCCTCTTCATCTAATTGTGTTGCCTTATTCATATCACTGATCCCCAGTTCTCAGTGGGTTTTGGAACTTTCCCCAAATGCAAACCTATTATACTTCAGACTGAGATCATGGTGATCTCCTGACTTTTGAAGAGTTCTAAAATATGACAACAGGTCTTGGAACCTGGAGGAGGCTTTCTTAGTCTTGGTCACTTTGGACATCTCTAATTAAATTACTAGAGGGGAATACATTCCAGAAAACTACAAACCTATGGGCCCAGTGCTTGGGCTAGAATAAGATTAAAACATACACTGAAGCATACTCCTATGAACAAGATACTATTCTAAACATGTAACATGTGTTAACTTATTTAATTCTCATAACAACTCTATGAGGTAGGTCCTATTGTTATCTTATTTTTTAGATGTGGAAATTGACGTGCAGAGAGGTTGAGTAATTTGCTCAAGGTCGTATATAATACCACTACTTTCCAGCAGAGCAGGAGTTCAAACTCTGGTAGTCTGGCACTGGAGTCTCTGTGCTCTTAACCACAAAGCAGTACTGTCTACAGAGGCTATGGGCAGCCTGGGACAGGGCCATTCTTGTCATAACCTTGCAGCTAGACAAGTATCTATTAGTTTGGAGTATGTTGTAGAACTAATTTAATAATAATAATAACATTAGTAAGCATGCATTGAGCATTTAAGTGCCAGTCATAATACTAAGTCTTTTACTTATGTGGTTTCATTTACCCATCAGAAAATCTCTGGAGTTGGGGAGGTGTCCACTTTACAGATGAGGAAACAGAAGTGGGATTAGGTATCTATCCTAAGGCCATAGAGTTTGGAGGTGGAATTGGAATCCAGATGTCTCCGACTCTAAAACTTTGCTGTACTTCCCTGTGACTGTACTCACCTATAGGGGAGACAAATCAGAAGACACAGACAGCACTTCCCTTAAGAAACTTACAATCATTAGCAGGTGAGAGATCAGACACACACAAGGAATAGAAAGTGAGGAACTTCAAGTTACACTATAGGGTTCTAATTCTAAAATACTTAAAAGCTCGGACAAAAAAAGATCACTGAGAGAAGACTTACAGAGGAGGGCTTCCTGTGAGGGAGGGGAGGGGCAGAGCTGTCCCCTGAAGAAATTTAGGAATAATCAAAATGAAGAAAGAGATAAAGAGTAGGTGGAACTGCATAAGCTACTCAGGAACACAAGAATGAGTGTTGTGAACACAGAGGAGAATGAGGAGCTAATTCTGAAAGGCTCTGAGGAGGGACATTAGAATGGCAAGGTGGGGCCAGACTGAGTAACAAATAATAGCAGCCTAGCTTTTACGCAGCACTTACTATGGGCCAAACACTTTGCATGCATAATCTCATTGACTCCTTATTATGACTCAATGCAGTGGGTAAAGCAATTATCCCCATTCTACAGATAAAGAAAGTGAAGCTCAATAATGTCAAGTCACCCAAGGTCCCACAGCTACGAAGTGGCAAAGCTATAAATCAAACCCAGTCGTTATAACTCCAGAACTCACAGTCTTATCCAAAAGGCCTCAAAAGCCAAGCTAAGGAAGCAAAGATCTAGCATAGTGTCATGAACTTGAGAGGTACTTAAATGGATTGAAGGAGAATGAATGAAGTGATAGGCAAATACCTTAGTGCAAATGCTTTTCCAACCTAGGCTCTCAAAAGGACTGTAGCTCCTATTTATTAAATCGTCCCAGGAAGGGACTGGGTGCAGAGGCTCACACCTGTGATCCCAGCATTTTGGAAGGCTGAGGGGGGCTGATCACTTGAGGTCAGCCTGGCCAACATCATGAAACCCCATCTCTACTAAAAGTACACACACACACACACACACACACACAAACACACACACAAAATTAGCCTGGCATCCATGACATGCACCTGTAACCTCAGCTACTTAGGAGGCCGAGACGCAAGACTCGCTTGAACCTGAGAGGCGGAGGTTGCAGTGAGCTGAGATCGTGCCACTGCACTCCAGCCTGGGCAACAGAGTGAGACTCCATCTCAAAAAAAAAACAAAGTGCCAGCAAGTATTTATTAAGTTGCATCTGGTAAATGAAGTTTAGTGCATGGATACCACTTACCCAATGCCAAAAAGTTTGGTGGTGACATGGAGATCCCTACCAGACGGATAGAAGGTGCTTGCCCAAAAGACTGGAGTTGCTCATGACTTGCCCAAGTTTCCTTTGTTTCCAGTGACTAGGATAGAGCCCACCATCTGTTCCTTGGATTCCAAAACAGAGGTTACAGGCACAAATCAGTTTCTGTTGATCCCCATTCTCATCCTTTGTCTTCTCCTGTTTAATTCCCCTAGATACAGCTTATCGAAAGCATCAGCAGAAAACTTTCTGTCTTGCGGGAGGCCCAGCGAGGGCTGCTAGAGGACATCAATGCCAATTCTGCCCTTGGGGAGGAGGTGGAGGCCAACTTAAAAGCCGTCTGCAAATCCAATGAATTTGAAAAGTACCACTTGTTTGTTGGGGACCTGGACAAAGTGGTCAACCTGTTGCTGTCACTCTCTGGACGACTGGCCCGGGTGGAGAATGCTCTGAACAGCATCGATTCAGAGGCCAACCAGGAGAAGGTAGAGTTGGGGTCTGTGGGGTGTGGGTAGAGGGAAATACCATTTGTTTCTTCTCAGGGCTCCCTCTTTCAAGTTGGGCTACTATAGGAAACAGTAGAGCATGGGATTAAAAGCATGTGAGCACTGAGGATGGGCACGGTGGCTCATGTCTGTAATCCCAGTACTTTGGGAGGCCAAAGCGGGCAGATTGCTTCAGTCCAGGAGTTTGAGACCAACCTGGGCAACTTAGTGAATCCCCATCTCTACTAAAAATACAAAAATTAGTCTGGCAGGGTGGCGCATGCCTATAATCCCAGCTACTCCGGAGGCTGAGGTGGAAGGTTTGCTTGAGCTTGGGAGGCGGAGACTGCCGTGAGCAAAGATTGTGCCACTGCACTCCAGCCTGGGTGACAGAGCAAGACCCTGTCTCAAAAAAAATAATAATAATAAAATAAAAAAATAAGAGTGTGAACACTGGCTTTTAAGTGCCCTGAAATTCTTGCCCTACCATTTATTAGCTGTGTGACTGTGGACAACTTACATAACGTCACTCTGCCTCAATCTCTTCACCTGTAAAATGAGGTGAGCATACTACCTGCCTTATGGGATTATTGTGAGAATTAAATTAGTTTATGTTAATTACATAAAACAGGGCCTGGGACAGGGTAAACACTGAATCAATGCTAGCTCCCAGTAGTAGTAGTAGCAGCAGCAGTTTTGCCTCACTCTAGAGTTGGAGGGGGAGGTCTCATCAAGTATTTGAGATTGGAAAGCTGTCAGTTTCACAGGTTGGGTCACTATGCATATACTCCTGAACCAAAATTGCATCACCTTTCCCTATACAGGTGGCTTTGGATATACCTTTGAATCCACAACAAGAGGCACATATCTACATACATATACATACATACACAGACACATACACTCACACATATCCACTCACACAGACACACACATCATACAGAAAGCACCTCCACAGTGACAGTTGTTCACCAGGTGAAAGGGACACAGGCTGGCTTTGTCAGAGCCTTCCTCCACCCCAAGCCCAGTGGTGGTCCCTACATTGAAGACAGCGTTAAAGAGATGGAAAGAGGTAATTTCACATCCCCTATCCAGAATTGTTGTCATGTTTACCCTCCTGCTACAGGAAACAAAGGCTTTTGCATGGAGGTAGACTTCAGGGCAGAAAATCTAGGACTGACTAATTAGCAGAATGTATAGCTGCTTTGTGGCAGCATCTCTGGTGGAGTACTGCTAGGCAGCACTGTTGGACAGATGCCTGGTAATTGAGAGAGCCCTTACTTGGTCCTCTGCTTCCCCAGTTGGTACTGATAGAGAAGAAGCAGCAGCTGACGGGGCAGTTGGCAGATGCCAAGGAGCTGAAGGAGCACGTGGACCGCCGGGAGAAGTTGGTGTTTGGCATGGTCTCCCGCTACCTGCCTCAGGACCAGCTCCAAGATTACCAGCACTTTGTCAAGATGAAATCTGCTCTCATCATTGAACAGCGAGAGCTGGAGGAGAAGATCAAGCTCGGGGAAGAGCAACTCAAATGTCTCAGGGAGAGTCTACTCCTGGGGCCCAGCAATTTCTAATTCTACCAGCACTCTGCCACAGCATCCCTGCCCAGCCATGTGGGAAGTGCTTTCAATCTTCTTTGTTAGCAGTTTCTCAGCAAGTAGATAGCAATTAGCAGTTTGTTCCAGCCCTCTACCCTGGATGTCTCTCACTACCCCTTCCCTAGCAGTGGTCCTAACCAGCTAGGAGACCCTGGGGAAGCCACAAGCTTCTACCCAAGGGAGCTGCAGCAAGGTGTGATCTTAGAACCACACTCTCCTTCCCACAGTTGCCAAGGGCAAGTACTTGCTGCACAGAGAACCAAGGAAGTGCCTTCATTCTGCTTTGTACTAGGACACCAAAGACATCAAGTACTCATCACCCACCCATATCATCAACAGCCTCTAAAGGCTCAGAGGGAATCTGCCTTGCAGCTCTACTCTGCCCCAGGGCTTGTGGCCAGCCATTTCTCACAGAGAGCTGGCTGCCTTGAGGGCATTCACCTGGCACCAGTTTCAGGGCCTCACCCAAGCTTTGCAGGGGAAAGCACAGAGGGAGGAATTACACTGAAAAAAATGCAAGCAAAGGTTGAGTACCCCCAGGTGCCCCTTAGGAAGGAACCAGGTTTAAATAGGCTCTACCCTTACCTTTCCCAGCAGCAAGTTCAGGGGAAGAGGCCTACTCTTAGCCCTGGCTAGTGTGACCCTCTTCCTGTCCTAAGACTTTGGTCCTACCACCTCTTGTTTCATCTTTCCTTTACATTGCTGGGGGTTACCGCAGGTGCCTACCCCAGGGCTTCACCATATGGGCCATTAATAGCTCTACTAAAACTGACTTCTAGATGTAGGTTTCATTATTGGGGGAGGGGGTTCTTATTGTTATATTTTAAATGGCCTTTTGATTTTATTTATTTTTATGTTTTGATTATTTTTTTCTTTTTTAACTAATAAGGCGAGAAGAGGGAAGTTGGAGAGGGAAAAGTTAGCCCAGAAGGAAAGCATTTTCTGCAGATCAGCCTGAATCCACCGTGGCTAGGTAAGCAAGTGCCAAGGCGTTGAATTGTTCCCACCATAGCTACCGATGTCTAGGAAGGAGTTTTCCCCTTGAACTCAGAGCCTCCCTACTGTGGCCTGGCCTTGTGCTTCCCTTAAAGTCTAAGTGACTTGAGTTTAGCATTCCCCAGCAGGGTTTAAGTTTTTCTTACTGATTTCTTTTTGAAACCAAAGAAATCTCCTGAAATGGAGAAAGGTTCAGTCATTTCTCTACCATCTCCAAGCTATGGGATCAGTAGAGGTGAGCTCAGAAGGAACTCCTCTAACCATTGCTTTCTCAGCCTGTGGCCTGGCTCAAGGGAACCAAAACTCAAGGTAGCTGGGAGCTCCAGCCAGAGCCAGCTCCCCAGAGCAATTGAAGACCCAGCCAGGATCTTAGGCATACAAACAACTAAAACTGCTGCTGTTGCCAAGGCCCTGACACCAGTAGCTAGTTTCTATGCTGGAAAAGCAGCCCTCAGGTGGACGATGGCAAGAAGGGGGTTATGGCCAAATGCTGCCCTGTTATCCAGCTTAGCTCCCTGTTCCTCACTAACTGGGGCCAATCCTTGGTATCACACAACCCAGCCAAGGCCTGGCATCTCTTCTAGTTACTGCTGAGTTCCTCAGGGTCCTTGAAGGTCAACTGTAGCAGCAGGGATGTCTCATTCAACCAAAGAATTTGCCAAGGAACTTTTGCTGCTGTTACAAATACTTGTCACTAGCTTCCATTTCCTCTTCATTGTATTTGAAAACAATGGGAGAATCTTGGCCAGCAGGGTGTCCTGGGGTAGGGGGTGGGGTAAGCCTTTCTGTGGAGCTCTGGGTTTGCTCTTAGTACTGCTGCCAGAAACACTGTTAGAATGGCAACCCTGCCATTCTCCCCTCCAGTGGAAGATTCTACTTTATTCAGGAAGGCTGGTGGCTTGCAGGGGCTAGGCTTACACAAGCCAGCCAAGATTGAGAAGGTAGGGGAGTGCTTTCAATGGAGGCCATAGTTGTCATCTTTTCTTCTGAGCAGGCTCTAGGACAAACAATGAGCAAATTGAGATGTCCTGTATTGGGAGGATGAGGCTGATATGTTTCATCATTCTCAGAATTTGTGGGCTAGAGCACCTTTTTGGGAATATGGGCCTAGGGAAAAGAACGGTCACTTACCTGGACACTATGGCCATAGTCTTGAGTTTTTCTAGTCAGCATGTGATTGGTTGTACCTTAAGTTTATGACACCAAAAATACTATTAACTCTGTTATTTTTGTTCTTAATCCCATCTCAAATTAGTTTCTAGAGTTAGAATCAGAACACAAGGATGCTCATTTTCACATGGAGGGAAAGTTGCCAAAGCATTTAAAAAATAACCCCAAAAGTATATCTAGCAGTGAAGCTTGGTAGATAAAGGTGAACTGCTAAACAGACACTGGCGTGCCACACTCCTGCCAGGGCAGTCTCATTGTGTGTGACGGTGCTGCAACACTGCCAGTATTACTTGAGATGCAGTCTCTCTCCCCTGTTCTCAGTTCCTGGGCTCAGCCCTCCTCCAAGGCCTGCCAGTGAGTAGCAGTTTGGAAGGCAGGCCAAGGGAGATCCCCAAAGACAGTTATCAGTCTTAACTTCTGCTGTCTCCCGTCAAATACTTATACAGGCCCCCATGGGTAATAGGCAAGCATGATGGCTGATAGAGAAGTCAGTGCATGAGTTACTATCACATGTCCCCCCAACCCCTCCTGCCACCTCCCAGGGCTCTGGATAATTGAATCTTCCTGAGTCCCACAGCTGGAGACTCAACCAGGATATAGCTGTAAATGCCCAAGTAGAATCTGACAGAATAAGACAGAGACACTGAAAATAAAGCCCTAGAAAGGAAGAAATTGGAAGCAAAGAAAAGGAGAGGTGAAAAGATAAAAAGCCTCCTTCAAGGTTAGGTTCAGGTTCTGTTTTCCATTTAACCTCATGTGCCATAAAGCTGCCCAGGCACACCAGAGCCACATCCTGAACCCGACCCTCCCTGACAGTGCTGCTCTGCCAGTAGCAAGCCCCAGATGGAGGAAGCTGGGCCCATTTCTGGCCACTTCCACCCATTTGGAGCTTTGCCAGAGGAGTCGTCTATGCCAATAATATTTCTGCAACAGCATATTATATTATTTGAAGATTAGTAGATCTTTTTGGGGGGGTGGGGCAGGGGACAGTTTCTATAGATGAAGAACCAGTGTTGGTTGTACAGCTGTTGGGGGTCATCTATCCCATGTGAAGCTATTCTTTTTCCAAATCTTGTTGTTTCTGCATTTGTGTCCTCCACCACTCCCTTCTTGGCTGACATAGATATGCCTGCCAGATTGTCATCAAGGGTCATATTTCAATAAAAGGTGCTAAGGACAAAAAAAAATCTCATGTGTTTTAACTCAGGTGATGGAAGTCTAAAGATTCTGCTGAAAAGTACTGGAAAGGAATTTGGTCACCTATCCATAGTCCTTCACAGATAAACATATGACCAGACCCTTACCCACATCCCTAAACCCTTACCCTGGCCTCTGAGGGATGGTATTGATGCTATACCATTCATCATCCCCAGTTAAATAGCAGGATCTGCCATAGCCTTTTTAGGGGAACAGCTTTTAGACATCTATTTCAAGACCATCCTGAGTAGGGGGTACAGAGTTTAAGCCATTGGTTATTTCTGTTGTTATCACAGTATTGAAGCATGGTATTTTTCTACTCAGAAGGATCTCAGGATCACAGCCCTGCCCTTTAGCTCACTGATATATTTCTTCCTCTCTGGTTACTCAGTGGCAACATCACATCCAGTCTAACCCCATGTTTAGAATGCAGAAAAAGTCAACAATAGGTGTAATCTCAGGTATAGACCTAAGCAGTATACAGAGTCTAGTTCTGGAGTCTAGCCTGATCGAAGGTAAGCCATTCTTTCTAGACTTCTTCCAATCTTGAATTCTGTCTAGTATTTTCATCTTACTTCTAGCTGATAGTCCAATCTCACACCTTCATGCTCAGCTCCCTGGAAAGCAAGGGCCTTGGTGATCTGCTCTCCAAGGCAACCTCAAAGATTAGACTCAAATGTATTCCAGGAAGCAACTCTGACATTGAAAAGCTTTCTTTTTTCGTGATCCATATTCTGTTCACATTCCAACTATCCTCCTTCTACTCAAGATATCCATTGTGGTAGAGTAGAAAGAGTCCAGCTTTGGCATTAGAATGAACTGTGTTCAAATCCTGGTTCTGCCACTTATTCAATGAACCTGGGCTACTAGCTCAACTTCTGAGGTCATTTTCTTATCTGTAAAATGGGAACAGTATTATCTTGCTTGCAGTTATTGTAACTTGAAAATAATAAATAAAAGCCACTAACAATCCAAGAAGTTATTAGGCAGAATCCCAGGCCCACCCCAAACCCAGTGATAGCAGTCTGAATTTTAACTAGATTTCCAGGAGATTCATGAACATATTACAGCATGGGAAGTACTGACTTGTTGAAAACATATTCAGTACATGGTAACCATTATTATAGTCCTGATCTACTCAATTCATTTTTTCCTTATCCCAGGCATATTCTTGCTCTTCTCGTGTTGCTCACAACTACCTGCCTGGATGAATTTAGGAAAGTTGCAGGATACAAGGTTAAAACACAAGATCAAATGAACAATCCGAAAATGTTATTAAGAAAACAGTTCCGGCCGGGCATGGTGGCTCACGCCTGAAATCCCAGCACTTTGGGAGGCCGAGGCAGGTGGATCACGAGGTCAGGAGATCAAGACCATCCTGGCTAACACGGTGAAACCCTATCTCTACTAAAAATACAAAAAATTAGCCAGGTGTGGTGGCACGCACCAGTAGTCCCAGCTACTCGGGAGGCTGAGGCAGGAGAATTGCTTGAACCTGGAAGGCAGAGATTGCAGTGAGCTGAGACCACACCACTGCACTCCATCCTGGGCAACAGAGTGAGACTTTGTCTCAAAAAGAAAGAAAGAAAGAAAGAAAGAAAGAAAGAAAGAAAAGAAAGAAAGAAAGAAAGAAAGAAAACAGTTCCATTTACAATAGCATCAAAAAGAAAAAAGTACTTAGGAATAATTTAACAAAAGAAGTGCGAAACTTTTACACTGAAAACTATAAAACATTGTTGAAAGAGATTAGAGAAGATCAAAATAAATGGAAAGACACTCCATGTTCATGGATTGGAAGACTTAGTATTGTTAAGATGAAATGTGCCCCAAATTGATCTACAGATTCAATCCAGTGCTTATCAGAATTCCAGTGGCTTCCTTGTGTAAGTTTACAAGCTGATTCTAAAATTCATATGGAATTACAAGGGACCTGGAACAGTCAAAACAATCTTTAAAAAGAACAGTTGGAGGGCTCATACATCCCAACTTCAAAACTTACTGCAAAACTACAGTAATCAAGACAGTGTGGTACAGACACAAGGGTAGGTGTATAAATAAATGGAATTAAATTGAGAGTCCAGAAATAAATCCTCATGTATATGGTTAGTTAATTTCAACAAGGGTCCCAAGAGAAATTGAGGAGAGAATAGTTTTTTAACAAATGATGCTGAGACAACTGGGTATCTACATGGGAAAAAATGAAGTTTTCCTTAAATCACATGCAAGAATCAACTCAAAATGGATTATAGAATGTAAGAGTCAAAATTATAAAATTCTTAGAAGAAAACATTGTAATAAGTCTTCCTAATGTTAAGACGATTTGCACAAGTGATACAAGAAATAGAAATAAATTGGAGTAAATCAAAATTAAAAACTTTTGTGCTAAAAATATACCATATAAAAAAGTGAAAAGACAAGCAACATAATATTAGGAGAAAATATTTGCATATCAGATACTTCAAAATATGAAAAGGACTCTTACAACTCAATGATAAAAATAACCAATTAAAAATGGGTTAACAGATTGTAATAGACATTTCTTCAAAGAAAATATGTGTTTTAGTATGCTTGGGTTGCTATAACATACTACCATAGACTGATTGTCTTAAATAACATTTATTTCTCACAGTCCTGGAGACTGGGAAATCTGAGAGCAAGATGCCAGCAGATTCAATGCCTTGTGAGGGCCCACTTTATGGTTTGCAGATGGCTACCTTGTGGCTGTGTCCTCAGCAAAGACAGAAAGGGATCTGGTCTCGGCCAGGCGCGGTGGCTCACGCCTGTAATCCCAGCACTTTGGGAGGCCGTGGCGGGCGGATCAGGAGGTCAGGAGATCGCAACCATCCTGGCTAACACGGTGAAACCCCATCTCTACTAAAAAAAATACAAAAAAATTAGCAGGGCATGGTGGCAGGTGCCTGTAGTCCCAGCTAGTCGGGAGGCTGAGGCAGGAGAATGGCGTGAACCCAGGAGGCGGAGCTTGCAGTGAGCAGAGATTGAGCCACTGCACTCCAGCCTGGGTGACTGAGCGAGATTCTGTCTCAAAAAAAAGAAAGGGATCTGGTCTCTTCCCCTTCTTATAAGGGCATTATAATTTCATTATGAATGCCTACTCTTGTGACTTCATCTAAACCAATTTACCTCTCAAAGGCCCCACCTCCATATGCCATCACATTGGGGATTAGGGCTTCAGCATGTGAGTTTGGAGAGGACACAAACATTCAGCTTATAGCAATATGCAACTGGCTAGCAAGCACAGGGAAAGATGCTCAAGCACTACTATTCATTAGGGAAATGCAAATCAAGACCACAATGAGATACCACTTCATACCCACTAGAATAGCTATATCAAAAAGCCAAACAATAACAAGTGTTGGTGAGGAAATGAAGAAATTGGAACACTCATACATTGCTGATGGGGATGTAAATTGATGCAACCTCATTGAAAAACAGCTTGGCAGTTTCTCCAAATGTTAAACATAGAATTTCCACATGACTTAGCAATTCCATCCCTAGGTATATACCCAAGAGAATTGGAAACAGGTGTTCAAACAAAAGCGTGAACATGAATGTTTAAAGTGGCATTACTCATAATAGCCAAAAAGTGGAAATGACCCAAATGTCCATCCACTGAGGAATGGATAAACAAACTTTGATATATGCATACAGTAGGGTATTATTTAGCCATAAAAATGGATAAAATACTGATACATGTAACATTGATGAACCTTGAAAATATGCTAAGTGAAAGGAGCCAATCACAAAAGACCACATATTGTATGATTTAATTTATATGAAATGTCCCAAACAGGCAAATCTATAAAGGTAGAAAGCAGATTAGTGGTTGTCAAGGCTGGGGGCTCAGGGGCAATAGGCATGGGGTTTCTTTTGGGGATGATGAAAATATTATAAAATTAGATTGTCATCCTGGTTGTCCAACTCTGAATGTACTGGAAACCATTGAAGTATACATTTTAAATGGGTGTGCTAAATGGTATATGAATTATTTCTCAATAAGTGTGTTTTTTTAAAAAAGCTATTGATTATTTCCATCAGTCTCATTCCTCTTGACAAAAATCTGAGTTGATGGTGAGCATGTACTTCATTCCTGACTCCAAAGGGTACAATATTTACAATATTTGAATTTGGGAGTGACTTTACTATTACAACCTTCCCCTTGAAGACCTGGAAGACCCAGCAACATAAGGACAAACAGTAGTCTCAGCCTTGTACTAAGACTTCAGCAAAAATAAGAGAGATGGGAGGGACTACTATTGGGAAGGAGGGGCAATATTTCTAGGCAAATATTGTGGTAGAATGGATAAGAGCTTCGGCTCATTGGGCAAATAAACCAAGTTTTAAATCCTGATTCTACCAATTTACTGTGTCACCTTAATAAGTTACTTGACTCCTCTCAACCTTAATACCTTCATCTACAGAAGGGGGCTAATAAAAGCCCCACCTCAAAGTGTTACTATGTTGATTAAATGAGATAATTCACATGAAGCACTTAAAATAATGTCTGCCATGTAGTAAGTATTTGATAAATGTTAGCTGCTAGATTTATTTTTATTGAGGTGAGATTGAAGTAGAACAATATAAGGAAAAGTAAAGCATCTTCAGCTTTGGAGTCAGACAGCTCTGTTAATGTGACCTTGGAAGTCACTTTATTTATTGAGCCTTAGCAAATAATGAGGATAGTAATCCTTCTCTTACAGAGGCAGTTCCAAGCCTGGACACTGGAACCCACACCACGTAGGTTTTCATACTGGCTCCACCACTTACACATTGTGTAACCTTGAGCATGTTTAACTTCCCTGTACCTGGATGTCCTCTTCTGTCAAATGGTGGAAACAAAAATACATCCTTGTGTTGTGAGGAATTATTGAGTTAATCCATGCAAAGTACTTAGGACAATAAGTACCCAATGAATGTTAACTTTTATTATAAAGCTAAAGTAGGAATCAAATGAGGTCTCTGGTAGAGCTGTTCATATGGTAGGTTCTCCGTAGATGATGGTTCCTTTCCTTACCTACCCTGCTGTGTGCACCAGGTCAAGATTTTTTGGACCTGCAGATAAAATGTTTCAGCCTTAGGAGTTCCCCACTGTAAGTAAAATTTTCTGGCAAGCTCAATACTACCATCTGATGAGAACAATGTAGTCTGTTAGCTGCCTGCAAGATGACTAGTCTATACTCCCAAGAAAACACCCCCTTCAGAACAATAGAGAAGGAACTGTTTTGCATGTGGACCACTTAAGGTCCAATTTGAGGCTGGTTTGGGGAAAACATCCACTCCTCCTCAAACCTATCTTTAGACTTAAAGTCAACTTAAATGTCATTGAGTTTCCCACCCTGGGTTAAGCACTTTCACTTATCTTTGCTTACACTATTTTTCTATCTAAACATACATTTTTAAAGCAGAAATCCTCATTTAATCTTTAAAACAGATCTGTGATTTTGAAACACTATTTAATCAAAATTCAGAATTGTGGTAGCATTTTTGCTGTTTGTAAGTTAAACAAAATAGATTGTAAGTGTGCAATGCCATTCATTCATTCAACTAATGTGCCAATAATTTGTTTTGTGCTTCAGGGATTCAGAAGTGGACAAGATAGACAAAGTCCCCACTCTCGTGGGGCTTTTATCCTAATGAAAGAGATAGATAAGTATAAATATACAATTACATAATACTTTATATACAGAAATATACACACAATCACTTTTTACCCTGGTATGGCAATGCGAAACATTCTTCCTTGATTTCTTCAGCTATGTGCAATAGGCTAAACTCATGAATCTCTTTGCTACTGCAGTAACTAAAATATTTTTTGCATTAATTTTCACCAGAGAATAATGTTTCAGTGAACATGAGAGTGCAGATATCTCTTCGAGATACTGATTTCATTTCCTTTGGGTATTTACCCAGAAGAAGAATCTCTGCATCATATGGTCATCGTATTCTTAATATTTTGAGGAATATACACTATTTTCCAAAATGGGGTACTAATTTACATTCCCACCAACAATGTACCAGGGTTTCCTTTCCTCCATACCCTCATCAACATTTGTTATCCCTTGCCTTTTTGATAAAAGCCTGCTATTTATGACAAAATGGATGAACCCGGAGGGTATTATGCTAAGTGAAACAAACCAGACACAGAAAGAAAAATACTGCGTAATCTCATATGTGGAAGCTAAAAAAGTCAAACACACAGGGGGATGGAGGTGGAAGAAATGAGGATGTTGGTCAAAGCTACAAAGTTGCAGCTACATAAGATGTATAAATCTAGAGATCTCATGTACAGCATAAGTTCTATAGTTAATAATGCTGTATTGAATACTGGAAATTTTCTAAGAGTAGATTTCAGGTGCTCTTACTGCAAAAGAGGGTAATTATGTGAGGAAATGCATATTTAATTTGCATGACTGTAGCAATCATTTCACTATGTAATGGATGTCAAAACATCATTTGTACACCTTAAATATATACAATAAAAGATTTTCACCAAAGATATTTTCTCCATAGGATTTGTGATGAGATTTTTAAAAAATTGTCTAGCAAAAGGATGACAAACTATCACTGAAGAGGTAGGATTTGAAAGTAGTTTAGACAGAAAGGTTGAATTCCACTCTTGATAGAGAAAATCAATTCATGTCACATGGAAATCTTGCCCATTCTGTGCAACATTCAAACATGGCCAAAGACTAAGGGGTTCTGGCAAAAGCTCCTCTCCTCCTGAGCAGTGTAAACATTAACAGACCACATTCTGTTTGTAAACTGCTTAAAAGTTTCTTCAATATGACCCTTCATTCTGGAGTTGCTTACTGCCATTAACAGAGTAAAATAACATGGCTTTGAATTCCCATTTTCCTCCCAGCTACTTATTTTCTATCTGAAAAGGATAATTAATGGAACTCACCTCCCTGGGTGTTGAGTTGATTCTATTTTTTGCAAAGGAAAAAATCTGGGAAAAGGCCATGAGTAAAAAATCTTTCCAGCTTGAAAATGCATTAGATTAAATGTGAATAAGTCAAAGTGCTGAAAAAATAACAACTTGTTCCCTGATTTCTCCTCAGTTTTAAATTTGATAAAGATGAAAAAGCAGACCAAACTCAGCAGATACAATAAATGATAACTTATAATTGAGAGAAAACTCTTATTTGGGCTAAACTTAAACAGCTACTGTTTAGAAGTCTCATAAATGACTATATATTTAAGCACCTTTTACAAATATGGAAGCTTTAGTTTTCTTTTAGAAAAGTGGGCAGTGGTAAGAGTGAGGAGAGGCAGATAGAAAAGAGTAATGAGATTGTGGATAAATTAGATAATATTATGCATTTAGAACATAATTTTGGACACTTTCTCACAGGCTGGTAGATATTTTGTTCTATCAGATAAGCCTGTCATAAAACTCAGACCGTTACTAAAATCTTTTATAAAAAAAAATCCAGTTTTGACAAAAGATAACCCAAACCAAGTCTGTTATTGAAGCAATCTCTGAGTGAGAAAAACCATGTATCTTTGGGAGCTCGCTGGAATGGCACTCAAAACCCTTAGACCTGGACGCAGTTCTGCCCTTCTCACTCTGTGACCTCGTGCTCTTTTATCAGTTTTGTGAAGAGGATATTTTGGTGGCTATTAAACTGAAGAACAAACACCCTGCCTAGCTGCATAACACCATGCTCCAAATTTTGCCTCCAAATTGCACACTGGCCCAGCTCCCTCTAATTGACCTGGCTGCCCAGAGGATGAAGTCCTGATTCTTGCATATAAGGCCCTTCATGTTCTGTCTCCTGTGTGCTTCTCCAGCTATGACCCCTAACACCTTCTCACACTCATCCTTAGCTCTAGCTGGTTCTGCAAATGTGTCATGCAGTCTCATCCCTCTATACACTCAAAAAGGCTGGTCCCTCTACCTGAAAATCCACCACCCCACTCCCTGAGTTCCCTATTTAGCCAATTCCAGCGTGTCCTTTGGTGTCAACTCAGATTTCACATCCTTCAGAAACATCCTGTTGATATACTAATAACAGTGTGTGGTATTCGGATATGATCATTGTTTACACTTTCTGTCTCTCCCTTTAGGCTGTGGGCTTCTTGAGGGCAGAAACTAATTTATACCACTAACACTTAGCACAGTGCCCCAAGCTCATAGTAAACACCTCAGAAATACATGGTAGTAACAATTCACGAAGGCTTTGCTGTGGGCTTCATATTTCTGGTGATATCTTACACTGGCTTATCCTCCTCAATACAATCATTAAATGTTGGACTTTCTTAAAACTTGGTCCTAGGCCCCTCTTCTCTTCTTGCTGTATGCTCTTGCCCAACTCTCTTTCTTAATCATACATACCCATGGTTAGTTAATCTCCCATATAAAGCTGGCTCCCAAATTTATATCTCCAGTTCATATTTTTTCATAGCTCCAAAACTTTATATCTGGTTGGCTCAATGACACCCCAAAATCCAAATATTAATGTATCCAAAATTAAACATTTGATTTTCCCCTCCCGAACCTGATTCCCTCTAGTGTTCTTTATATCTCAGTGATTAATACTCCTCTCCAACCAACTAGGAAAGCTAGAAGTCCTAGAGTAATCCCAGACATCCTCCTCTTTCTCACCCCTTCCATATAGAATTGATCACCAAGTCCTATCAATTCTGTCTCCTAAATATGTCTCAAATCTATTCACTTATTTTTCCACAACTATTATCCTCTGAACTACATCATTAGCCTAACTATTCTTCTTATGCCATTTCTTGCTTTCTGTAGACTGTTCATGCTGTAGCCAGGGTGATCTTGCCAAAACCCAAATATGATTATATCACCCCTTCTCCTGTCTAGGTCATTTTGATAGGTTTCAAAGCCCTTTCCATTGCCTGTGAGGCTCTGCATGCCCATCTATGCCTAATGATGTACCAACATCAGCTTCAACCTCATTATCTGGGCAAACCTGCTTTTCAGATTCATTTATAGCTTTGGCTTTGATATTTAAAGACTGAATAGCCAAATATCTTCTTCAGCATTGAATTACTTAGCTTTTGCTGCAGCAGCCAATGACCCTCAGTTTTCAGTGGTTTGCAACAACAAACATTTTCTTTTCATCTCACATGAAGGCTAATGGCTAGCTACAACTTTGCTGGCCTTGGCTGGGTTCAGGTACCATCATGAATCTTCTGATTCAGGGACTGAAGATGAAAGATCTGCAACTCTCTTGGGTACATGTTTCTCCTTTTGGAAGTCAAAAGCTCAAGAGAGACAGAGCCAAACCATGAAAGGATATTTAAGTGGCTGCTCTGATGTAGGGTATATCATGCCCATTGTATTAGTTTTCTATTATAACATTACCACAAACTCAGTAGCTTAAAACAACACATATTTATTACCTCACAGTTTCTGTGGGTCAGAAGTCTGAGCATAACTTAACTGTGTCCTCTACTTAACAGTTTCACAAAGCTGCAGTCAAGGTGTCAGCCAGGCTGCAATCTCATCTGAAGGCTTGACTGTGGAAGAATCTGCTTCCAAGCTCACTCATATTGTTGGCAGATACATTTTCTTGTGGCCATAGAGCTGAGGGCACTGCTTTCTGACTATCAGCTGAAGACTACCTTCAGATCCTAAAGGCCACCCTCACCTCCTAGTGGCTGCCTGCAGTTCCTAGATGCTGCTCAGAGTTCCTAGAAGCCTTGCCACAGTTCCTTATAATATGGCAACATGGCTGCTTACTTCATCAAGCTAGTAAGGAGAGTCTCTAAAGTGAATCTGATAGTAAGACTAGATCATATAGAATGTAATATAATCACAAATTAGACATTTTATCACCTTTGCCATATTCTATCATTTAGAAGCATGTCACAGGGCCATCACACTCAAGGGGAGAGGATTGTACCAGGGCATGAATACTAGGAGGTGAGGAACATGGAGGCCATCCTAGAGTCTGCACATCACATCTACTTACATTCTATTGACTAAAGCAAGTCACTGACTAGCCAGTCCTAAGGACAATTGGACACTAAGGTATACTCTACCTATAGGGTGGGGACGAAATGAATAATTTTTAACAAATAATACAGTCTACCAAAACCATTATTTCTGACATTCTTAAACTTGTGCATGATCAATGATCAGGTGATCACCTAGGCTACTGCATAATAATGACAGTAATATGAATAATGGAAGTCATTTGGAGTTATTAATATTTTAATATTCACTTTAAAACATAGTTAAGCATTCTAGATAAAACTAGGGAGAAAATCTCTTATGTTCTATATATTTTAATTCTGTCAATCCGTTGAAAAATAAATGTGTATCTTTGAAAGAATAAAATACAATAATGCTGATTGTAAGAACTCTTAAATTTATCTCCATAAAACTTAACTTCCAAATAGTTAAATATGGAAGCAGATTGGTAGTTAATACAAATTATGAGAGCATACACTCACTAAATAACCTTAGGGAGAATATTATATCAATTTTGAGACAGTCTTTGAAAACTTTAAATAATAGAGGTTCAAGTATATTATAATTTTAAACTATACACTTGGTTGAGGTGTTAGCATTCACAATAGTAACCAAAATAACCTTTATGTACATATTAAATTTTAGTTAATCATTTCATGATTCCTTTAGGAAAAAATCTTATTTGGGAATTTTTCACATCTTATGAGGATGACTTAAAACCAGTGTCAATCCAAATTTTTCAAGGAAGAAAAATCTCCAAAATGGAAGTTAAGAGAATCTTTCCAAAGGAAGTAACAATTCAGTTAAAACCTGAAAGAGTTAGCTAGGCAAAAGTGAAGTGAAGAAGGAGAGGGAACAATCCGGGTAGAGGGAGTGTCATATGAGAGACCAAGAATGCTGAATACAAGTCAAAGGGGTTGAAGTGCTGAGGAGGTATATTCCTTTACTATGATGCCACAACTGAATGGCTTAAAATGACTCACATTTACTATCTCATAGTTTTTCACGTCAAGGCACAGCTTAGCTGGGTCCTCTGTAAGACTGCAATCAAGGTCTTGGTCAGGGCTGGGCTCTCATTTAGAGGCTTGACAGGGGAAGGATCCACTTCCAAGCTCACTCTAGTTCTGAGCAGTTCCTTTCCTTGTGGCTTTAAGACTTATGGCTGGCTGCTTTTTCCAAACAAGCAATGGAGAGAGAAAGACTCTAAAATCAGCTAGCAAGATGGAGTCATATATTGTAATCACAGGAGTGACATCCCATCACCTTTGCCATATTCTATTGTTTAGAATCAAGCCACACTTCCCACTTACACTCCAGGGGAGGGGATTATACAGGGGTGTGAACACCAGGAGGTGGGGATCATAAAGACCACCTGAAAAATTTTCCCCCACAGAGAGGCAAAGTGGTATAAGATATGTGGTAGAGGTTCACTTAATCTGCGGTTTAGCCAAATGATGCTTGGCTAGGTGTAGGGGTTCAGTCAGGATGGTGGGAGAAATTGTGAAATTATAGGAAATAAACACAAACCCTCTTGGAAGGCCTGGGGGTTTGCATGGTTTCAGTAGTGTTTGGCTGAAGGCAGCTGAATTCTCTTAAAAGCTTAGGGCATAGATACATAGGAATGTAGAGGAGTTTATCTAAATAACTTGTTTATTCATGTGGTCCTAAAACTAACCTTTGATCATTCAAGGGCAGGATGGCTCTCTCAGGGAGAAGGCTACCAGGTTAATTACCCTCTAATGGTGTTGACCCAAAGCCTTTGTCATTTAATGTGTGCTAAATAAATGCCAGTAGGGCCAGCAAGTCAGGGCTGCAGCTGCAACTCTTTACACCACCCTCCTTGGTGTCTATAAGTGGCCCAGACCCTCAGCCGGACTGACAGGCAAAATATCTGTGTCAGTATATGTTATTCATCCATCATTAAGTCAAGGTCTGCAGGACAAACCCCCACAGCTAGGTATCAAAATCAAGATTAAGCAAAAACTAAGCCCAAATCCAAAAATCCTCATTATATATTGAAATTCCAGTATACAGGCATAAATTTGAAAATATGTCAAAATATTAATCATAACAAATTTATTATTAAAATGTTAGTAGCCAATTTTTAAAAGTTTATTATTACAATCTGGGAACAAAATTCCCAAGTACTATCACACTGCCTACCACACTGTTGATCTTTCCTTCACAGCATTTTTACATCCACAACTCTATATTTACTTGTATGAATAGCTGATTAATATTTGAATCCTGTGCTAGACTGTAATCTCCAAGAGAGCAGGAGCCTGTGTCCAGTTTTGCTTATAGTAGTACTTTTGGTGGAATAGGATTTTTTGGCTCCCATATTCCCTTTGATCCTACCCATCCTCACTCAGGAGACTTTAGCATCATTAAATTGCATCAAAGTTATTCTATCAATGGTATTCAGGAAATGACAAGAGAAGGGTTTGGAACAAGAGAGTTAACTTTAAATTTGTTTAACAATTGTGAAAATTTGGAAATAACCTAAATGTCCAACAGTAAAAGAATTGGGTGTTTTTTTGTTTGTTTGTTTGTTTGAGGTGGGGTCTTACTCTGTGGCCCAGACTGGAGTACAGTGGCATAATCATAGCTCACTGCAGCTTCAAACTCCTGAGCTCAAGCGATCCTCCTGCCTCGGCTTCCCAATGTGTTAGGATTACAGGCATGAGGCACTGTGCCTGGCACTGGAATTGTTACATATACCATGGTACATTCAATCTATGCAGGGAGAATGGATGCCACTTCTTTCTTTATTTAGTGGTTACCTTGTCCAGGATAAAGAAAACAAGTGAGGCTGTTGCCCAAGCAGTACCACATGCATTTCCTAATAATAAGGTAGCAAAAAATTAATTCAAACATGTTTGTGTTCAAACTCTAATTCTACCAATCTTGGATGACCAAATGGAGGTCTACCTATCCTGAAAAAGATTTGTCTAAAGCAGTGGTTCTCAAAGTGTGGTCCTTGAAGCAACAATGGCAGCATCATCTGGGAATATGTTAGAAATACAAGTTTTTAAGTCCCAACTCAGACCTACTAAATCAGCAAATATGGGATTGGGGCCCAGCATTCTATTTTAACAAGCCCTCTAGCTGATTCTGATGTACACTCAAGTCGGTGACCCAAGACCCTTGGTTATTTTTGCCTCTGACCACAAGGTGGCAACCTTTGTCTAAAGTCCTATGAGTTGTCCAATGGTTACGTTAGGTGTAATCTTGTCTAGCCACTGAACTGTCCAGAGGCAGTAAGTAGTGATGTGATATGGGGATGTGAGGGAGAAGTGAGAGATGGGAGAGGAAGAAAAGAGATGAAAGGAAGAATGGGGACTGGAGGAGGCTTTATCTCTGCTTTGAACACAGCAAGTAAACTACAGTGAGGAGGTGGGACAATGTTAGGGGTGCTGGTTGTTTATCATCTAACAATTCAGCTCATTCTGGATATAAAACAATGTGAAGTAATGTTGGGGATTTTGTGTGCAGCCAATTTTATCTATGCTTTTTATCCTTGTAATCCCTAGACACCACCCAAAGGCAAGCACCTCCTCACACTATCACCTATCCTCTTCCTACTCTCATAATATAATCATGAATTCCTTCCCCAGTTATCTTCCATCACAGAATCCCCTCTTTTTAAACCTTTCCACAGTTTTCCCGGGTGCCCTGTTGCACAGTAAAATAAGCTCAGCCTATGAAAATATACAGAAATGTTGTCCCTCTTATTTGAACATTTCCTGCACATCTGTAATTGAGACCTGGCACTCCACTGAAGATTCTACTTCCCATACAGCCCTCTCCGATTAAAATTGTTAATTTTTTCATTCCCCATAAATTATAGGGTTTTGCCAAGAGGATAGAGGGGAGGAAAATACAAAGACAGAAGTCTTAAAGGAGGATAAACTTTTCTCAGCTCTGGTAATGGTATCCATGCAGACATGTCATCCAACACCTTAACTTCTCAGTTCTGTTGAATGCCTCAATTCTACTTCGCTTCAACCACTGTCACCCAGGACACATAGTGGATGTTTTCAACATTTAGAGGAAATCCACACTGTAAATCATTTTTGAATCACTTATATTTTTCTTCTTTCCTATTTTCTACAAAATAGGATGAATTTTCTTCTTCTGGTTTACAAGTTATAACTGCCATTTTGGTTCTTATTTTAGTTGCCCTTAACTAACAAATACCCATGTTAATTTAACCATATTAGTTTCTTAAATTTATCAGTATCTACATTTTTCTCTTAACATTACAAGTACTTGAAAATGTTCTCATGTTTTTTGAGTTCCACCACACCTTCCCCATCACTTTGATAATGTTTAAAAATATCTGTTCTGAGTTACTATGGATATACACTTTTTCTTCTTTTCTGCTCAGTATTTAATTATCAAGTCAGCAATAAACTATACTACCAGTGTATACTTGCCCTTACTCCCCATGTCTTTGCAGCATCTCCTGTATTTTTTTCCTTTCTAATTTGAAGACCTCCTCCAAAATTGTCTTCAATGAGGGTCTTTGTGTGACAAACCTTCTGAGATAGTGCATGCCACAGAATATATTTATTACTATGCTACATTTAAGTTAAAAAATGGGCTGGGCACAGGGGCTCATGCCTGTAATTCCAGCACTTTGGGAGGCCGAGGTGGGTGGATCACTTGAGGTCAGGGGTTCAATACCAGCTTGGCCAACATGGTGAAACCCTGTCTCTACTAAAAATACAAAAACTGGCCTGGCACGGTGGCTCACTCCTGTAATCCCAGCACTTTGGGAGGCTGAGGCAGGCGGATCATGAGGTCAGGAGATGGAGACCATCCTGGCTAACACGGTGAAACCCTGTTTCTACTAAAAATACAAAAAATTAGCTGGGCGTGGTGGCACGCACCGTAGTCCCAGCTACTCGAGAGGCTGAGGCAGGAGAATTGCTTGAACCTGGGAGGTGGAGGTGGCAATGAGTCGAGATCACGCCACTGTACTCTAGCCTGTGCAACAGAGCGAGACTCCGTCTCAAAAAATTTATAAAAATAAATAAATTAATTAATTTAAAAATGGCTGAATATAAAATTATAGGTTCAAAGTCATTTTAAGCATTACAGGTCCAGTCCTTTAAAATATTGTCTTGTATTCAATGTTGCTAAAAGTCTGTTGTCAATTTAATTCCTTTCTTTGTAGAGGACTTGATTTTTCTCTCTGGAAACTTTGAGAAGTTTATGTTTAAGTTCTGTGATTGTGTGTGTGCGTGTATGTGTGCATGCACTTTACCTTCTCTGTATTAGTCTATGTCAGCCTCATTGTGTTTGAAGAGTGAGGAAAGGAGAGCCCCAGGTAGCTCAGAACATGTTAATAATTCCCATTTGCTGCCACTCTATAAGCAACTGATATGATCAAGGCTTCATCTTAAAACTTGTTTGAAAGAAGCAGTGCTGGGGGGGTATCAGTGTCCCAGGTTGTAACTCATCAACTTTGGGGATTTGAAAAGTGTGGAGGAGTGAATGAACAATGGAGCAGGGGAGTCCCTATCTGTTTTCAACAGCCTCCCACTCAACCAAGCAGGGCTTTTTTGCTGCCCTGATATACTCTGATACACCCTCCATACACTGGTAACTATGGTTGGAGATATTTCTGCCGATTTCTGTAGTGAAGGGTAGATAATGTAGGTAGGCAATTGGAGGAGAGACAAGAACAAAACTTTTAAAGCTTTCCTTAAATTTATCCTCTCACTGCTGCTTCCAACTACCCTCTATTTCAGGCTGCAAAAGAAAACCACCCAGCTATGCAGATTGAAGCCACTACAAAGAGATGGCTTGTTTTCTCAGCTGGACCCTCAACATCACTCAGCCATCATTTTACTTGTCAGTTCCCTCTCCCATTCTTTCAGTGCCTATTAAAATCTCCACTTGTATTCCTTAAACCTCTCCAATTCCTCTTACTTTCAGCAATTGGCTGTTTATTTTGCACAACTTCAGAGGCACCCTCTCATATGTGAATAACAGTTCTAAAATAAAACATAGAATAGTGAGTATTACAAATCTAGTGTTATGCTAGACTGTAGCCCTGCAAGGGCTTTGAGTCTTACTTCAAAGGAAAATGAAGACAACAAAATGACAAAAAAGAAAATTATAGGCTAATCTCTATGTCCAGTGAAAATATTTCTTAGGAAATAAGTGGAAATCAAGACATTCTCAGACAAAGGAAAACTAAAAGAATCTGTCACCAATATACCTTTGCTATGGCTAAAGTAAGTTCTTGAAGCATGAAAAAAATGATAAAAGAACGAATTTGGGAACATCAGAAAAGAAGAAAGAACAATGGAAGAGTTAAAATATGGGTAAATGCAATAGACTTTCCTTCTCCACTTAAGTTTTCTAAATTACATTTGATAGTTTAAATAAAAATTATAATATTGTCTGATTGTGTTCTTAATGTATACAGAGGAAATATTTGAGAAAATTATAAATGGGGGAAGAATAGAAATTTAAGAGGATATGAGATTTCTATACCTCACTCAAACCGTTAAAATGTCTGTAGACATTGATAAGTTATTTATGTATAATGTAATGCCTACAACCACTAAAAATTTTATATGAAAAGATACACTCAAGAACACTACAGATGAATCAAAACCGATTTTTTAAAAATATTGAAGTGATCCAAAGGAAAAATAAAACAGAGAAATGAAAAGCAGAGGGAACAAACAGAACACACACACACAAACACACACACACACACACAAAATGGAAGACTTAAATCCAGACATATATAGTTACATTAAAATGTAAATGGTCTAGGGACTTTGATCCAGACAAGAGGACATAAACTCATCTCTTTCTGCTTCTCTTTGCTAAATATAACTATGACATAACACAAGAAGCAACCGTAGGAGGACTCTGAATGGTGGAAAGAGGAAGATGGACTGGCTAGGGACCCCAGTACTGGAAGAGCAACATAGCAGTTGTGTGTCTTACCACCCCTCACCCAGCAACAGAAGGCATTTAGGCCTGGAATCTCCTGACCCTGACATATCAGATAAAGGTTACTCAGGTAGGCTCATGCCTTCTCCAGATCAGTTGGGAGTCCTGCTAATTACTCCAGTTGGGCCCAGTGGCACTGGTGATCAAGTAGGAGCTCCAGTAATGATAAGTGACCAGAGAAAGTGCATTTCATTCTTATGGGCCAGAGAGTTTCTTTTCTCACCTAGAGACACCCAATGGCCCCAGTGGTACAAGCAGGGTGACCCCACCACAACAAGCTGTCCTGCCTGGAAAACATTTTTCTGTACTCTATGGATTGGAAACTCTATTCGCCCACCTAAAGACACTGGAAGGCCTAGCGGCACTGAAAGGGGGTGATTCCCCCCACAAAAAGTGACCAAATACAGGAATACAAGGCAGTGTTTCCCTTCTTATATAAAATGTCCAGGAAAAGACAATGAAAGTAGGTTTCCTGGGATTGAGGATTCATGGAACTGCGGGTAGGGGAAAATGTTCTAAAACTGGATTTGATGGTTTCATAACTATACATTTACTAGAAATTATTTAAATAGGTGAATTTCATGGAATGTAAATTATACCTCAATCAAACTTTTTTAAAATGACTCACAGCTAACTAGGAATAGAAGGAACCTCCTTAATCTAATACAGTATATCTACAACTAACATCATACTTAATATGCAAGATTGAATGCTTTTTCTTTAAGACTATGGAAAAGACAAGCATCTCTATTCTCACCACTCCTATTTAATATCATGCTGGAAATCTTACCTGGCGCAATAACACTAGAAAAATAAAAGGCATACAGAATATAAAAGAAGGAATAAAACTATATTTATACACAACAAAATTGTCTCTGTGGGAAATTCCATGGAATCTACAAAAGAACTATTAAAACTAATAAATGAGTTTATCAAGGTCTCTGAATAAAAGGTCAATATACAAAAATTAATTGCATTTCTGTATACCAGCAATGAACAATTAGAAATCGAAAGTTTTTTTTAAAAGTACAATTTTCAATTATACCAGAAAAAATGAAATAGGTAGAAAACTAATAAAAGTGTTCAAGATATGTATACTAAAAGCTATGAAACATATATGAAAGATATGACAAACTAAATAAATGGAGATATGAACCATGTTCATATGTTGGAAGACTCAATATTGTTAAGATATTAATTATCCCAAAATCGATCTATAAATTCAATGCAAACTCAATTAAAATCCCAGCAGGATTTTTTTTCTAGATATTAACGAGGTGATTCTTAAATTCATATTGAAAGGCAAAGGAACTAGGATATCCAAAATAATTTTCAAAAAGAATAAAGTTGGAGGACTCGTAGTATCTTATTTCAAGACTTACTATTAACTATATCAACACAGTGTGGTATTTGGAGGAATTACTCTATTGGATGTTAAGGCTTATTATCCTGCTATAAAAAATAAAGGTAATTATTGTATTGGCAGAAGGATAGACACATAGATCAAGTGAAAAAATAGAGGCCAAGAAGTAGTCCAACACAAATAGAGTCAACTGATTTTTGACAAAAATTCAAAGGAAACAAGAGAAAAGGTAGTCTTTCAATAAATGGTGCTGGAATATTTGGACATCCATATATTTTTAAAATGAACCCGAATTATTTTTACACAAAAATAAACTCAAAATGGTTCCTAAGGCTAAATTTAAAATGTAGAATTTATAATATTTTGAGAAGAAAAAACAGAATATCTTTGTGACCTTAGGTTAGGCCAAGAGTTCTTACATACCACACCGAAAGCACATGTTATAAAAGAAAAAATTTGATAAATTGGGCCTTACCAAAATTAAAAACTTCTTCCCTGTGAAAGACAATATTAAGAGAATGAAAAGACAGTATATATAAAATATTTGCAAAACTCATATTTGATAAAGGACTTGTATCCAAACATATAAAGAACTCTTAAAACTCATCAATAAGAAACAAATGACTCAATTTAAAAATGGACAAAAGATCTTAACAGACAAGTCATCATAGAAGATATACAGATGACAAGTAAGCATAAGAAAAGATGCTCAACATCATATGTCATCAGGGAATTTCAAATTAAAACGACAATGAGATTATTTATACAAAAACTCAAAATTGTTCACTGCACACCTTTTAGAATGGCTAAAATCCAGAACACTGACAGCACCAAATGCTAGCAAGGATGTGGAACAACAGGAATTCTCATTCGTTGCTGCTGGGAATGCAAAATGATACAGCTACTTTGGAAGACAGTTTGGTAGTTTCTTACAATGATAAAAATAGTCTTGCCATATGATCCAGCAATCATGTTCCTAGGTACTAGCCAACTGACTTGAAAATTTATGTCCACACAAAAACCTCAGTGCAAATGTTTATAGCAGCTTTATTCCTACTTACAAAAAACTGGAAGCAACCAAGATGTCCTTCAAGGCGAATGGATAAACAAACTGTAGTGCATTTACACTATGGAACATTATTTAGCAATTAAAAGGAATGAGATATCATGCAATAACATGGATGAATCTTAAATGCATATGCTAAGTTTAAAAAGCCAGTCAGAGAAAACTATATACTACACAGCATTTATATGACATTGTGGAAAAGGGAAAACTGTAGAGACTGAAAACAGATGGGTGGTTTCCAGGGATTTGGGGAGGAGAAAAGGTTAAGTGAATCACAGGGGATTTATGTACCATATGAATATATTATATATGGTACTGTACTGATGGATACATGACACTACCCATTTGACAAAATTCGTAGAACTTTACAACATAAAGAGTAAACTTAATGTATACAAATTTTAAAACTCAACTAGGAAGTTGGGGATCTTAGGTTGGAATGTAGACTGTAACAAAATAATATAACTGTATTACAAATATATGGCACAATTTAACCGAAGGGTTGGGGAAAAGGAAGTACTGACCTCAGTAACTTTGAATATGGCCGAAAAGTACAAAACTGAAGACCATGGGAACCATACATAAGCACTTTACCACAAGTTGTTTTTTTCACAGGGGCACAGGTTAACAATTCTGAAACCACTGTACATGTATACCAGGATTGAACAAATAAGTGGTTGGTGGCAAACAGGTTTCTCACTGTTAGAGTGAGATATTACAGATAAGCAAGAGAGAAAGGCTAGAATGAACCATGTAATATTGCTATTACTGTTGGAGACATCAGTATGAATTTATGTTTAGCTTAGCATAGAAACCGATATAGAAAGAATTGTGTGTATCCATGGCTAGTATACATACATGTATTTCCTAGCTCTGTGAGAGGGCCTAGAAACAATGACACTGTAGTAGCAACAGGCACACCTAGAACCCAGATATTGGTTTTTAATATCATTTTCCAATAAAAGGAACCAAGGCTCCTTGGAGAAATGGCTGATTCTAGGACTGGGACAGGAAAGACATAAGACAAGCCTGGAGCATCTTGTAGTTCCAGAAAATAAGGAAGTACTCAAAAAAGTCACAGTGATGGGGGCATGTTAAAGGGACATACATACCAACTGAAAGAGTTTTAAATGACCAAAGCTGGAACGATTTGAGCAACAAAATAAAGTAATATTGGTCTATAAGCCAAAGTATAAAATAAATATCCATAAGTCTATAGTGATATAAATTACCAAATAAACAAATGGGGGAAGACATCTTTTATGCATAAGAATTCAAAATAATTTCTGCAGATACTCCACCCCTAAGGAAATGGAACATCACTCTCCACTTAAGTATGGGCTGTGCATAGAGACTTCTTTCCAAAGAGTATGATATAAAAAGGAGGAAAAAAGAATAACTTTATAGTAGAGAAACCTGACAAACACTAACTTTAGCTAAGTAATCAAGGTTAACATCAACTGTGAAAGATCATGTTGACAGTATGTACTCTTGATATGATATTATGAGAATGGCACTTTACCTTTGTGGTCTTCTGTAGAAACCAGTAACTCTAGTGTAGTCATTAGAAAAATATTGGACAAATCGGCTGGGCGCGGTGGCTCATGCCTGTAATCCCAGCACTTTGGGAGGCCAAGACAGGCAGATCACAAGGTCAGGAGATCGAGACCATCCTGGCTAACACGGTGAAACCCTGTCTCTACTAAAAATACAAAAAATTAGCCGGGCGTGGTGGTGGGCGCCTGTAGTCCCAGCTACTTGGGAGGCTGAGGCAGGAGAATGGTGCAAACCTGGGAGGCGGAGCTTGCAGTGAGCAGAGGTTGTGCCACTGCACTCCAGCCTGGGTGACGGAGCGAGGCTCCATCTCAAAAAAAAAAAAAAACAAAAAAGATAACACTATACAACTATTAGAATGGCTAAAATTTTTTTTAAAAAGCTGACAATACCAAGTGCTGACAAGGATGCAGAGCAACTGGAATTCTTATAAATTGTTAGTGGGGATGAAAAATGGTACGGTAACTTTGAAAAACAATTTGGCAATTTCTTTTTTTTATTATTATACTTTAAGTTTTGGGATACATGTGCAGAAAGTGCAGGTTTGTTACATAGGTATACATGTGCCATGGTGGTTTGCTGCACCCATCAACCCATCATCTACATTAGGTATTTCTCCTGATGCTATTTCTCCCCTACCCCCCCATCCCCCGACAGGCCCTGGTGTGTGATGTTCCCCTCCCTGTGTCCATGTGTTCTCATTTTTCAACTCCCAGTTATGAGTGAGAACATGTGGTGTTTGGTTTTCTGTTCCTGTGTTAGTTTGCCTAGAATGATGGTTTCCAGCTTCATCCATGTCCCTGCAAAGGACATGAATTCATCCGTTTTTATGACTATATAGTATTCCATGGTGTATATGTGCCACACTTTCTTTATCCAGTCTAGATCCAAAATTTGTTCTCTTAACCTCCACCTCTTTTGCCTGCACACTGTTGAGAGCTCTTTCCTGTTTATTCTTATACTGCTGGTGTTCCCTGGAGTTTATCTTCAACCTCCTCTGCTTTTCTCACTCTACAAGTTCTCCTTAGATAATCTCCTCTACTCTCATTATGTAAAAGACCGTCTACATGCCAATGACTCCCAAATCCATACCTACCACCCTGACCTCTCTGCCAAGTTCAAGACTGTCATCATGGTCATGTGACCTGTGCAGTCTCACAGGGCCCCATGCCTAGAAGGACCTTGCACATGGTTTAATGTGCTGCTGTAGCCACCTTGAAATTTATTTATAATTTTTGAAAAAGTGGCCAAAATGCCACCTGTACCCCAATAACTTATGGAAAAATAAAATAAATGTAAATATAAAAAATAAAAATAAATCTTTAATCCATCTTGAGTTAATTTTTGTATATGGTGAAAGGTAGGGGTTCCAGTTTCATTCTTCTGCATATGGCTAGCCAGTTTCAAATAAAATTTTTTATTTACATGGCAGGGTGACATACTACTAATTTAATGTCCAAATACTTTGCTCTTTATTTTTTCAGTGAAATGGATTAATAAACAAAGGCACCAGGAGGTTTGGGGCAGGTCCTAGGTTGTAGCATATTTAACAAGCTCTTGGGTGATCGTGATACACAGTGAAGTTTCTTATAAGCTCATCATGGGGATGAGGCTGAGTTGCCAAGATAGAGCAGCGGGGAGTTGGTAAGTTGTACAGCTTCCCTCAGGGCAAGAAACAAACTAGAACCACCAGTTTTCTAGTTCTGCTTCTGTTCATAGAGAACACATTGGTGGTGACAGGCCTGGGATAGTGGTAGCTCTGTGAAGACTTGGTTATTAGGCAAGCCTGAAGTGCCCCAGTGAAAGTCTCCATTGCAGAACTCAGCAAAGAGGGAGTTTAGCAGGGAATCGCAAAGTTCACCTTTGAATGAATGGACCACACCAGCCTAGAAGAGGAGCAATGAGATTTTTGTCGCCACAGCCTGGTAACCAGGGCCCTTCCTCTTTTCTTCCCAGACTGCCTAAACCCCAAGATTTGGATATAATCAAAGGAAAATGAAAGAATCCCACAAAGAAATTGATATTGGACTTCTAGCCAACTCTGCTGAGTGAGAGCTCATATAGGATGTATTTGTTTTCTAATTGAATCCACATAGATTCTATTGCACTTTAAAAATGAATATACATGGCAGTTTATTTCTAATAATTGATAAATCTAATATATGGAGTTAAAAGCCAACATTGTTCTAGCTTTTAAATGCACTGATTCTGAAGCTGCACTAAGTCCTGCAATAAAACTTCAGGTTCCACACCTCAAAATTGCCCCGAAATGTAACTTTCAAAAATATGTATATACTAACAAAGCTTATGTTTTACAAATTTATGCCAACACTAGCATTTACCTAAAACAAAGCAAAGCCATAGTTCACAATAAAATACTATTTTCTCTATTTCATGAATCAGAGAATCGATTTTATTTTAATTAAGCACTTAAAATATAGATTAATTTTTAATTAAATTTTTATTTGAGATATAGATTCATATGGAATTGCAATAAATAATACAGAGCATGGAACCTTCATTCAGCTTCCCCCAGTGGGAAATAGTACAATATCACAGCCATGATATTGACATTGATACAATCCACTGATATTCAGATTTCTCTGGTATTACTTATACTCCTTTCTATGTATGTGTATGTATGTGTGTGTATTTAGCACTATACAATTTAATACATATGTAAGTTTGTTTATCCTCCACAATAGTCAAGATATAGAGCAGTTCCATCCCACAGGATCTCTCATTTTGCCCTTTTATAACCACATACATTTCCCTCTCCTGAACCAAAACTCTAAATCCTGACAACTACTAAATTGTTCTCAGGTTCAATGATTTTGTCATTTCAATAATTTCATATAAATGGAATCATACAGTACATAACCTTTTGAAATTGGTTTCTTTCACTCAGCATAATTACTTGGGTGTGTTTTTTCCCATTAATGTATTTTTGAGTTTGCATTTGGTTCTTTTTTATATAATTTCTATTTCTTTGCTGAAATTTTCATTTGTTAATTTATTTCTACCATGTTCATAATTGCCCATTGAGGCATTTTTATGCTGACTGCTTTAAAACTTTTGTCAGATAATTCCAACATATGATTCATCTCCATATTGGCATCATTTGGTTATCTTTTCTCGTTCAACTTATTTTCCTGGTTCTTGGTATGACAGGTGATTTTAAAATATGTTCTACAAAATATCCACATTTTTGTTATTGAGTTAGGAAAGTCTGAGAGTCCTATGTCAATCTTCTATTTTAGGAAGTCTCCTTGTTTAGGTTTAGCATGCAAGTCCTGGCCTACTCTTGTGTGCTGTGGTTCCAGTGACAGTTTAATTTTCAGAGCTTTTACTGTGCTTTCATCTGCTTGGTTTACGTGGTGCCTTTGAGGCTTTCCCTGGTCTATGCTGATTCGGCCTGTGGAGGCAGAAGGTGCTTCCCCAGGCTAGGTTATTATGATGCCTCTAGGTGGGAAAAGGGAGTCTCCAGGAAGAAGGGTTCCTGCAATTGGCCATATGTTGTGCAGGATCCACTCCCCCTACCCCAAGGGCAACCTGGCCTGTCTGTGTGGGGGAGGGTCTTCTCAGGCCCAAGGACACAAAGAAGCTTCCAGGCTGGGTCACTTGTTCTGAAGGGATTCCTCTTACAGGTGACCTCCTAACCACCAAGTACTCCAGGCCCACAGGAAAAAAAAGGTTTATTATCAGAATTTATAGTTGTATCTAGTGGGGAGGAGCAACAAGAAAGGAGTCTATGTATGTCATCTTACCTGAACTAGAAGACCTCTCTGTTCTCTTTTCTGCTGGTTAAGATGTCTTAGTATTGAACTAATTTCTTTCCCCTTCTAAATTGTGTAGGGCATTTAAAAATATATTGTTTTTGTTTTACATTTAAGAAACTTACCATCTCTAATTTCTATAGCCAACTGGATCATTCACCAATAACTTAACTGGAACAGTCACTGGTGTTTTATGCAATGTCATTACTTTAAAAAACCTGTTTCTTAAAGTACGACATAACTAGAGAAAAAAATGAACAAATCTTAGACTTACACACCAGTGAATTACCACAAAATGAACATACTGATAGAGTATTCTATTTGATTTAAAAAAGAATCTGGAGATCTGTTTCATAACAATTTGAATCTAATTAACACTATTTAACTGTATACTTTAAAATGATTAAGATGGTAAATTTTGTGTGATGTTGTATTTTTTTTACCACAATAAATAAAAAAAATAGAATATCAGGAGACAAAGAAGCTAAATTCTGGAAGACACCAATAATGCCTCCAGACTCTCAGGCTAGTAGAGGTCACTGGGGCAAATTTTCAGCATATAGGGCCCTATGTCTTCAGCTATTTTTTCTCTCCCAGAGTCAGGAAAACAGTTCTTGATGTTTTTTCATCTATGAAGAAATAATAAAGAAACGTGGAATCCCTTGTACCTTAAGCATTGTGGAGCCAAAGCATAGCTGTTCTAGTTGAAGTTAAGATAGCATCAGCAGCCCTGCCCTTTTCACTGGACTTTTCACTGCACAGTCTTCCTGTCATCAGGGCCCTTGTGCAAATTAAGTAAAATAAAATAGGCAAAAGGCCTGCTACATGGCAGATGTTTTTTAAAAGTTTATTGAATATAGAGATAAAATGAGAGAGTAATACAGATTGACTCATATTATAAACACACACTGCTGACAAGAGATGTGCTCTTTTTTTTTCTGCCAGGGAAGAACAGACAAGAAGTGGGACTTACTTTGTGTGCCAAGCACCATGAAAAATGATTTATAAATGAGATCTCATTTAACCTCCTACACTTAATGCTAAGAAAGGTATCTATTAATTTTCCACTTGACAGATGAGAAAACTGAAGCTAAGAAAGGTTAGGCAACTTGCCCACTGACACACAGTAAAAAAAAAAAAAAGTGCTAAAACTAGGATTTGAATATTAACCCTCTAGCCCAGATATAAAGTCAAGCCTGTCCAAAGAAAAGAATAAAGCTCAAACCCTTCTTCTTGGAGTGCAATAATCCAATTCAGGCAAATCTTTCTGGCCTTTTCTCTCCTCACTTCCCTGCCTTGTATGTTTTGCTCTAGTAATTGAATACTCCCTTCTTCACCCCTCCCCCAAGCCAACCATTGCATCTTTACACCCTGCTGCTTCTCACTTCTGTGCGTTGTTCCTACTGCCCTCATCTTGACATCATCTTTTCCTCCCTCTCCCTTTTACATGACCAGCCACCTTTTCTTGGTAATCTTCCTAAATCCCCACTGCTTCTGTCTCCATAACCTGCCCCCTCCATACATTCCCACTATACCCTGTGCTTATTTATACTGAATTGCCATTGTATATTTTCTTTTCTGTGAGATCCTTGAAGGCAAGAACCATTTCTTATTCTTTCCTCATCTGTCTATTGTGTCTAACATAATATCTGTCACATAATCATTTTCCAGTAAATGTTTATTGAATGAAAAAAATGAATGACTTCAGATAGTGTTTCTTCCTCTTCAGCCATTCATCTATCCCATTCTGAATTTTTGGAGCCATATTCTTATGTCAACTTATTATCATTTATTTCATATATTTCTTTAACTCAAGTCACTTTTCAATATTTTAAATCAATTTAGCATTGTTTAAGCAATGTTTGTGAAATCATAGGCTATATGTATTATAGATAGATGTATATTTCTAATATACATCAAGATGAATACATAACTTTGACATTTAAAATGCTCACATTTATCTCCTAAATCATTTTGTGTACAGCCAGTGGTACGCATACCATGGTTAAAGAAATAATGGCCTAATGTCACTGCTGTTGCTGCATTAAGCCTAGATCTGGTGAACAGAGGGTTCTCAACCCTGGCTACACATTATAATTATCTGGGGAGATTAATTTTTTTTTGCTAGACATTCTGATTTAATTGGTGCGGTGGGGCCAGAGCATTGATTTTTTTCAAGTTTGTCCAACGTATAGCTAAAGTTGAGAACTACTGAGTTCATTGGAGAATTAAATGAAAACATGTACAAAGCATTTGGTACACAATATATTCAAAAGAAATGTAAGCTGTTATTAATATTCTTATCATTTTATTAGGTTTTTTCATTGGTTACTGTTTCTAGTTTCCATTCCAGTAACCTATCCACATCCTGCCTTACTCTGGCAAGCCCACGCATCTCTGGCCCCAAAGACCTGGCCAGCTGTCTGAATCACGTATGCTGCTGATGGCTTTGAACATCATCCTTTGCCCTCCTAGTAGAACATCTGTGATGGGCCTCTGCCACTGGAACAACATGTATTCTACACACTCTGGTTGAAGGCACCCATGGCCAGGTTTGTGGGTGATTGTGAATAAGCCCCCATACCCTGCTTCTCTGTGGAACTTGAAATGCAGCGGGTGGCCATGGCAATCACACGTTGCCTCTCTCCCCCTCCCGCTTATCCAGGGACATCAGGTTACAAGAGAACAGGCTGTTCTTCTGTCTTAGTAATGGGGTGGAGGAAGGGGGAAAGGCCAGCTGTATGCATATGAGTCGCATATGAGCTGCATATGAACCTCAGGTGAATTTGTTGTTATGGAAGTTGTTTTGCTTTTTTTTTTTTTCATACCATCAGCAACTGAAGCTGATTATGAGCCTAAGCAAGGCTGGTAATGTGGCTACTTGCTAATGATCACCCTAAAAGCAATAGTTAATGTTTATTAAACACTATGCACTGTGTTAAAGTGCTTATATATGGATGATCTTATTTAATCTCCACAGCAACCCTTTGAGACAGGGTCTATTTTTATCATCTTTACTTTTCAGATACAAAAACTGGAGGCCCAGAGAGGTGAAGTGACCTGTCTCAAGGCAGCAGGAGGAGAAGCCCAAGAAATCTGGCTCCCAAGATTGTACTTTTCACCCGATCTCTAGATTTAGTCCTAGAGATACAAGAGACCTGAAAGATCACCCAATCCAACTCCCTTATGCTATCAATAGGCGAAACTGAGAGCCAGCTAGGGAAAGGAATGTTTTTCTGAGCCATGAGCATTTTTTAAGAACATTTGTTTAACAAAAAATTTTAAGCATCTACCAATGCCAGACCCTGTGCTAGGTGCTGGGGATATCCAGTGCTTTTTTTAAAAGACAAAAATCTTGCCCTCATGAAGCTTATATTGCAGAGGGAGAGAAAGACTATAAACAAATTAATGAAATAAATGTGGTGTATTAGATGTTGATGAGTACTATAAGAAAAATGAAATGAGGAAGAGGCATAAGGAGTATGGATAACTTTAATTTTAAATAGGGTAGTGAGGGAAGATCTCACTGAAAAGGGACATAATTTGAATTAAGACCTGAAGGAGGTAAGGGAGTAAATTATTTGAATGTTTTGGGGAAGATTTTTCCAGGCAGACATAACAGTGTGGCTGGAACAGAGTGAGCATGAGGAAAAGTCGTAGGATATGATGTTGTAGAGCTAACGAGGGAACAAACCATGCAGGCACTTGTAAGTCATTGTAAGGATTTTTTTTCATTTTGTTAAGTATTTATTGATCAGCCTTTTTGCAATAGACACAGTTCTAATTACTCAGGATACTGTGTTGAGTACTTGCATTTAAACTCCCAGATCTCATTTTTTTAAACCTACATACATCAACAGTACATAGCCATCATGCCAAAAACAGTTGATACATTAAAAGGAGACATTCTCCAGACCAATGGAGACAATTCAACAAAATGTATGAGTGAACAAGGAGTCCTAGCTCTCAATTTGTTGTTACCTATATGTGAAATATTGGAGATACCATTTAGCCTACCAAGGCCTTAACATTTAACTATATGCTCTTCATATTTATACTTATTTAAGATCTAACTAGCTGCTCTTTAAAGCTTGTAACAAACAGAAATTTAACTAGATGATTTTTCAGGCTTATTTCAAGTAAAAAGAAACTTAAAGTTTTTCTTTTAATCTCTCAAATCAGTGGTTTTCAAAGTGTGGTCCCCTACCAGAAGCCTAGAAATTTGTTAAAATGCAAATTTTAGACCTCACCCTAGACATACTGAACCACATACCCTGGGGCAGGGAGTGTAGCAATCTTTGTTTTAACAAGTTCTGATGGGTACTAGAGTTTCCCAACCACCTCCTGGACATATATGATATATTTAATAGTAAATATATGTATGGATAACTTTTCTTTTTTATTTTTCCATAAGTTATTGGGGTACACAGGGTATTTGGTTACATGAGTAAGTCTTTTTTTTTTTTTTTTTTTTTTTTTTTTGAGATGGAATCTTACTCTGTCACCCAGGCTGGAGTGCAAGTGGTGCGATCTTGGCTCACTGCAACCTCCAACTCCCAGGTTCAAGTGATTCTCCTGCCTTAGCCTCCCAAGTAGCTGGGATTACAGGTGCCCACAACCATGCCCAGCTAATTTTTTAAAAATATTTTTAGTAGAGAGAGGGTTTCACCAAGTTGGCCAGGCTGCTCTTGAACTCCTGAGCTCAGGTGATCTGGCCTCCTCGGCCTCCCAAAGTGCTGGGATTACAGGTGTGAGCCACCACGCCTGGCCGAGTAAGTTCTTCAGTGGGATTTGTGAGATTTTGGTGCACCCATTACCCATATATACACTGCACCATATTTGTAGTCTTTCATCCCTCACCCCCTTCCCACTCTTCCCCCCAAGTCCCCAAAGTCCATTGTATCATTCTTATGCCTTTGTGTCGTCATAGCTCAGCTCCCACATATCAGTAAGAACATACAAGTTTAGTTTTACATTTCTGAGTTACATCACTTAGAATAATAGTCTTCAATCTCATCCAGGTCACTGAAAATGCTGTTAATTCATTCCTTTTTACGGCTGCATAGTATTCCATTGTGTGTATATATATATATATATCACAGTTTCTTTATCCACTCGTTGATTGATGGGCATTTGGATTGGTTCCACGATTCTGCAGTTGTGAATTGTGCTGCTATAAACATGCATGTGCAAGTATCTTTTTCAAATAATGACTTCTTTTCCTCTGGGTAGATACCCAGTAGTGGGATTGATGGATCAAATGGTAGTTCTACTTTTAGTTCTTTAAGAAAACTCCACACTCTTTTCCATAGTGGCTGTACTAGCTTATATTCCCACCAGCAGTGTAGAAGTGTTCCCTGTTCACCCATCCACACCAACATCTACTGTCTTTTGATTTTTTGATTATGGCCATACTTGCAGGAGTAAGGTGGTATCCCATTGTGGTTTTGATTTGCATTTCCCTGATAGTGATGTTGAGCATTTTTTCATATGTTTGTTCACCATTTGTATATCTTCTTTTGAGAGTTGTCTATTCATGTCCTTAGCCCACTTTTTGATGGGATTGTTTGTTTTTTTCTTACTGATTTGTTTGAGTTCATTGTAGATTCTGGATATTAGTCCTCTGTCAGATGTATAGATGGTAAAGATTTTCTCCCACTCTGTGGGTTGTCTGTTTACTCTGCTGACTGTTCCATTTGCCATGTAAAAGCTCTTCAGTTTAATTAGGTCCCAGATATTTATCTTCATTTTTATTGCATTTGCTTTTGGGGTCTTGATCCTGAAATCCTTGCCGAAGCCAATGTCTAGAAGGGTTTTTCTAATGTTATCTTCTAGAATTTTTGTAGTTTCAGGTCTTAGGTTTAAGATCTTCATCCATCTTGAGTTGATTTTTGTATAAGGTGAGAGATGAGGTTCCAGTTTCATTCTCTTACATATGGCTAGCCAATTATGCCAGCACCATTTGTTGAAAAGGGTATCCTTTCCCCACTTTATGTTTTTGTTTGCTTTGTCAAAGATCAGTTAGCTGTAAGTATTTGGGTTTATTTCTGGGTTCTCTATTCTGTTCCATTGGTGTATTTGCCTATTTTTATACCAGTACCATGCTGTTTTGGTGACTATGGCCTTATAGGATAGTTTGAAATCAGGTAGTGTGATGCCTCCAGATTTGTTCTTATTGCTTAGTCTTGCTTTGTTTATGTGGGCTATTTTTTGGTTCCATATGAATTTTAGAATTTTTTTTCTAATTCTGTGAAGAATGATGGTGGTATTCTGATGGGATTGCATTGAGTTTGTAGATTGCTTTTGGCAATATGGTCATTTTCACAATATTGATTCTACCCATCCATGAGCATGGGATGTGTTTCCATTTGTTTGTGTCATCTATGATTTCTTTCAGCAGTGTTTTGTAGTTTTCCTTGTAGAGGTCTTTCAACTCTTTTGTTAGGTATATTCTGAAGTATTTTTTTTTTTTGGCAGCTATTTTATAAGGGGTTGAGTTCTTGATTTGACTCTCTTCTTGGTCGCTGTATAGAAGAGCTACTGATTTATGTACATTAATCTTGTATCTGGAAACTTTCCTGATTTTTTTTATCAGTTCTAGGAGCTCTCTGGAGGAGTCCTCAGGGTTTTCAAGGTAAATGATCACATTGTCAGCAAATAGTGACAGTTTGACTTCCTCTTTACCAATTTGGATGTCCTTTATTTCTTTCTCTTGTCTGATTGCTCTGGCTAGGACTTCCAGTACTATGTTGAAGAGGAGTGGTGAGAGTGGGCATCCTCGTCTTGTTCCAGTTCTCAGAGGGGATGCTTTCAGCTTTTCCCCATTCAGTATTACATTGGCTGTGGGTTTGTCATAGATGGCTTTTATTACATTAAGGTATTTCCCTTGTATGCCAATTTTGCTAAGAGTTTTAATCATAAAGGGATGCTCAATTTTGTCTAATGCTTTTTCTGCATCTATTGAGATGATCATGTGATTTTTGTTTTAAATTCTGTTTATGTGGTGTATCACATTTATTGACTTACATACATTAAACCATCCCTGCATCCCTGGTATGAAACCCACTTGATCATGGTGGATTACATTTTTGATGTGTTGTTGGATTCTGTTAGCTAGTATTTTGGTAAGGATTTTAGTGTCTATGTTCATCAAGGATATTGGTCTGTAGTTTTCCTCTTTGGTTATGTCCTTTCCTGGTTTTAGTATTTGGGTGATGCTGGCTTCATAAAATGAATTGGGTGAGGGGGTTCCTTCTTTCTCTATCCTGTGGAATAGGTGTCAAAAGGATTGATACCAATTCTTCTTTGAATGTCTGGTAGAATTCTGCTGTGAATCTGTCTGGTTCTGGAATTTTTTATGTTGGTTAACTTTTAATTACCATTTCAATCTCACTGATTGTTATTGGTGTATTCAGGGTATCTAATTCTTCTGCTTTAAGTGAGGAGGGTTGTATTTTTCCAGGAACTTATCCATCTCTTCTAGGTTTTCTAGTTTATTTGCATAAAGGTGTTCATATTAGCCTTGAATGATCTTTTGTATTTCAGTGGTGTCAGTTGTAATATCTCCTGTTTTGTTTCTTAGTGAGGTTATTTGGATTTTCTCTCTTCTTTTCTTGGTTAATTTTGCTAATGGTCTATCAATTTTATTTATCTTGTCAAAGAACCAGCTTTTTGTTTCACTTACCGTTTGTATTTTTTGTTGTTGTTGTTTCAATCTCATTTAGTTCTGCTCTGATCTTGGTTATTTCCTTTCTTTTACTGGGTTTGAGTTTGGTTTGTTCTTGTTTCTGTAGTTCCTTGAGATGTGACCTTAGATTGTCTGTTTGTACTCTTTCAGACTTTTTTGATATAGGTATTTAGGGCTATGACTTTCCTCTTAGCACTGCCTTTGCCGTATCCCAGAGGTTTTGATAAGTTGTGTCATTATTGTCATTCAATTCAAAGAATTTTTAAATTTCCATCTTGATTTCATTTTTGACCCAATGCTCATTCAGGAGCAAGTTATTTAATTTCCGTGTATTTTCATGGTTTTGAAAGTTCTTTTTGATGTTGATTTCCAGATTTATTCCACTGTAGTCTGAGAGAGTGCTTGATATAATTTCAATTTTCTTAAATTTATTGAGTCTAATTTTATGGCCTATCATATGGTCTATCTTGGAGAAAGCTCCATGCACTGTTGAATACAATGTGTATTCTGTGGTTGTTGGATGAAATGTTATGTATACATCTGTTAGGTCCATTTGTTCCAAGGTATAGTTTGAATCTGTTGTTTGTTGATTTTCTGTCTTGATGACCTGTCTAGTGCTGTCAGTGGAGTATTGAAGTCCCCACTATTATTGTGTTGCTGTCAATCTCATTTCTTAGGTTTATTAGTAATTGTTTTATAAATTTGGGAGCTCCAGTGTTAGGTGCATATATGTTTAGGATTTTGATTTTCCTGTTGCACAAGGCCTTTTACTGTTATATACTGTCCCTGTTTGTCTCTTTTAACCACTGTTGCTTTAAAGTTTGTTTTGTCTGATATAAGAATAGCTACCCCTGCTCGATTTTGGTGTCCATTTGCATGAAATACCTTTTTCCACCCCTTTACTTTAAGTTTATGTGAGTCCTTCTGTGTTAGGTGAGTCTCCTGAAGGCAGCAGATAGTTGGTTGGTGAGTTCTTATCCATTGTGCAGTTCTGTATCTCTTTTGTCTAAATATCAAAGTTTATTGAAATAAAATATAATCTATAATAAAAAATACTACAGGTGTTATTCACTGGTTACAGTTTTAAGTATATTAACAAAAACAGCCAACATTTTAATCCAACTGTATCTCTTAAGTGGAACATTTAGGCCATTTACATTCAACGTTAGTACTGAAATGTGAGGTACCGTTGCTTTAATTGTGCTCTCTGTTGCCTGTGTACTTTGGTTTTGTTTTTTGTTTTTGCCTTTTAACTTGTACTTTTGTTTTGTAGGTCCTGTGTGACTTATGCTTTAAGGAGGTTCTGTTTTGATGTGTTTCCAGGATTTGGTTCAAGATTTAGAACTCCTTTTAGCAGTTCTTGTAGTGGTAGTTTGGTAATGGCGAATTCTCTCAGCATTTGTTTGTCTGAAAACGACTGTATCTTTCCTTCATATATGATGTTTACTTTCGCTGGATACAAAGTTCTTGGCTGGTAATTGTTTTGTTTGAGGAGGCTGAAGATAGGGCCCTAATCCCTTCTAGTTTGTAGGGTTTCTGCTGAGAAATCTGCTGTTAATCTGATAGGTTTTCCTTTATGGCTTACCTGGTGCTTCTGTCTCACAGCTCTTAAGATTCTTTCCTTCGTCTTAACTTTGGATAACCTGTTGACAATGTGCCTAGGTGAAGATCTTTTTGGAATGAATTTCCCAGGTGTTCTTTGTGCTTCTTGTATTTGGTTGTCTAGGTCTCTCACAAGGCTGGGGAAGTTTTCCTTGATTTTTCCCCCAAATATGTTTTCCAGGCTTTCAGAATTCTCTTCTTCATCAGGTACAGCAATTATTCTTAGGTTTGGTCATTTAACATAATCCCAGACTTCTTGGAAGCTTTGTTCATATTTTCTTATTCTTTGTTTCTTTGTCTTTGTTGGATTGGGTTAATTTGAAGACCTTGTCTTCGAGCTCTCAATTTCTTTCTTCTACTTGTTCAATTCTATTGCTGAAACTTTCCAGAGCATTTCACATTGCTAAAAGTGTGTCCAAAGCTTCCTGAATTTTTTATTATTTTTTCTTTAAGCTATCTATTTCCGTGAATATTTCTCCCTTCACTTCTTGTATCATTTTTTGGATTTCCTTGCATTGGGCTCTGCCTTTCTCTGGTCCTTCCCTGATTAGCTTAATAACTAACCTTTTGTATTCTTTTTCATATAAATCTGGGATTTCTTCTTGGTTTTGATCTATTGCTGGTGAACTAGTGTGATTTTTTGAGGGTGTTGAAGAGCCTTGTTTTGTCATATTACCAGGGTTGGTTTTCTGGTTCCTTCTCAATTGGATAGGCTCTGTCAGAGGGAAGGTCTAGGGCTGAAGGCTGTTTTTCAGATTCTTTTGTCCCATGGGGTGTTCCCTTGATGTAGTACTCATCCCCTATGGATGCGGCTTCCTGTGAGCCCAAATGCAGTGATTGTTGTCTCTCTTCTGGGTCTAGCCACCCAGCAAGTCTACCCAACTGGGGGTTGTCTGCACAGTCTTGTGACGTGAACTGTCTATGGGTCTCTCAGCCGTGGATACCAGTGCCTGTTCTGGTGGAGGTGGCGGAGGGTGCAAGGGACTCTGTGGGGATCCTTAGCTTTGGTGGTTTAATGCTCTATTTTTGTGCTGGTTGGCCTCCTGCCAGGAGGTGGCACTTTCCAGAAACTATCAGCTGTAGTAGTGTGGGTGGGGCTCTAGAACTCCCAAGATTATATGCCCTTTGTCTTCCACTACCAAGGAGGATAGGGAAGAACCATCAGGTGGGGGCAGGGCTAGGCATGTCTGAGCTCAGACTCTCCTTGGGTTGGTCTTGCTGCAGCTGCTGTGGGTGATGGGGAGGAGATTCCCAGGTCACCAGGGTTGTGTACCTAGGAGGATTATGGCTGCCTCTACTGAGTCATGAAGGTTGTCAGGGAAGTGGGGGAAAGCAGGCAGTCACGGGCCTCACCCAGCTCCCACGCAAACTGAATGGCCAGTCTCATTCCCACTGTGCCTGCCCCCAACAGCCCCAAGTCTGTTTCCAGGATGAGGGGGAGATGGGCTTCAAAATTTGCCCAGGGCTCTCCTCCTCCCAGCTGCGAGAGAAAAGGGCTTTAGTTCTTCCCAAGCCTGTGAAGTCTGCACACCTGATTCGCTCCCTCCCCTGAGTTCTGGCCAGGAGGCTTCTCGCCCTGTTCAAATCGTTACAAAGTTCAGCTAGAGAATTTCTTCTTCCTGTGAAGTTTTAACCCCTGCTCCTCTGGCCACCCTCCGGATGGATCCCTGTGGTGCCAGGCAGGAATGGGCTGCTTGGGGACCCAGCGAGCTCCCGGGGCCTTTCTGCTGCTTCCTCTACCCCTGTATGTCACTCGGTTCTCCAAGCTGACTCAGCTCCAGGTAAAGTCGGAAACTTCTCCCACAAACAGACATTCAGCTTCTCCAGTGGGGGTGTGTGTTTGGGAGAGGAGGGTCTCCCTTTCCCACTTCCCCTGTTGGGGCACTCACAGTATTTGGAGTTTCTCCCAGCTCCTGCAAGAGCAGTCTGCTTCCTTCAGAGGGTCTGTGGGTCCTTTCGGCATTGCTGGTTTGTTCTTGCAGTCGATCTGGAGGTAAAATTCACAGTGCAAACCTCTGCATGCTGCTGTGTCTTGAGGTGCAATCTAGTCCTGTCTCCCGTCTGCCATGATCCCCTGAATCCCCCATTGTAAGGATTTTAACTTTTACTCTGAATGAGATAGTCATTGAAGGATTTGGAGCAGAAAAGTGACATATCTGACTTCAGCATTGAAAGTATTCCTCTGGGCCAAGCGCAGTGGCTTACGCCTATAATCCCAGCACTTTCGGAGGCCAAAGCGGGCGGATCACAAGGTCAAGAGATCGAGACCATCCTGGCCAACATGGTGAAACCCCATCTCTACTAAAAATACAAAAATTAGCTAGGTGTGGTGGCGCATGCCTGTAGTCCCAGCTGCTCGGGAGGCCAAGGCAGGAGAATTGCTTGAACCCGGGAGGTGGAGGTTGCAGCGAGCAGAGATCGCGCCGCTGCACTCCAGCCTGGTGACAGAGCAAGACTCCGTCTCAAAAAAAAAAAAAAAGTATCCCTCTGGCTGCTGTGAGGAAAACAGACTAGACAGGCAAGGGTGGAAACAGGTGGAGGAGTAAGGAGGCCAGTGAGTGAATGGTGGCTTAGAACAAAGTGGTAGTGGTGAAAAAGATTAAAGAATGGTCAAATTCTGAGTAAATTATGAAGGTAGACCTGGTCGTGAGGAAAGAGCAGTTATGGTGTGGGGTGTGATAAAAAGAGAAGAATCAGCCGAGCACAGTGGCTCACGCTTGTAATCCCAGCACTTTGGGAGGCTGAGGCGGGTGGATCACGAGGTCAGGAGATCGAGACCATCCTGGCTAACATGGTAAAACCCTGTCTCTACTAAAAATACAAAAAATTAGCTGATCATGATGGCACGCGCCTGTACTCCCAGCTACTCGGGAGGCTAAGGCAGAAGAATTGCTTGAACCCGGGAGGCGAAGGTTGCAGTGAGCTGAGATCATGCCACTGCACTCCAGCCTGAACAACAGAGCAAGATTCTGTCTCAAAAAAAAATAAAATAAAATCAAGAATGTCTGGTTCAGACTCCTCCATCACATTCTCTGTTGGGCTCAAGAATTGCTTTAATCAAGCAGCTGCCATTAATTCTTATCTTCTCCTGTTTCAGTCCAATTCTGAAGATATTTAGCAGGTTGGCTATGTGCTCTGGGAAGTCTACTGTCCTCTAGAGGATCATAGAAAAGAGCTGAAGCCAGCAGAATCATAGAGCCACTGTAGTGAAGGTGAGGCAGCTTGCCCTGATGTGCCCTAAGCCAGTCTGATCACCTGCCTCAGAACCACTGCAAGAAAAAAGAATATTCTGAAATTTGAGGCCATACGTGCCCATTTGCCTGCTGAGTAAGCAGCAATTATGGCCCGAGCAGGAAAGAGTGTGACTCTCCTGGCCCCTCCTGCAGACAGTCAGCAGAGACCCACTTTACAGCCTATAGATAATATCCCAAGTGGGGAATCCACCCTACCCCCTTTGCAGGTCACCTTTAAGAAGTGTCTCAGATCTCTAGGCAGACATTTTTAACCTAGAAGAGAGAAAGCTCTGGTTTTCTATTTTGGGTGATAGCTGTACGTTAAAACATTTGCAGACATGTGAAAATTAATTGGTTTTGCTCCTCCCAACTCCCTGTTTTTTGGGTCCTGTCTACTAGGATTTACAGTTTGAAAATTCTTGAGAATAGCAGCTAATTCTAGTCATGCTTTCAATTGCATCCTTCTAACAACTACATTTCCAGGAAGATATCAGGCAGGTTAAAAGTTTCTTAGCAGATCCAAAAAATGAAAAGGGAGAGGCATAACACTTCATCAGAGAGCAGAGTGTACTAGGAAATGGGGAAAAGTCTGTCACCCTTTAGTCTATTCTGAATCTAATATAACACATCCCATCCATGTACACATAGCTTCCCCAAATTCTCTGGACTGGTGTAGATAACAGGGACTGGGCAATGCAGACATCTCCCAATTCTAGCAATGGCATATAGACCAATAGCAGGAAAAGTAGTTAAGATATAATCTCACTCCTTTTTAGCTATTCCCACCCCAATGGTGGCACACTACCCCCTAAGAATGGTGGCCACATATGTGGGACAGCTTTCCTAACTCAAGCCTGTCCATGGTCATACTTGCCAACTGGAAGATACCAGCAACCCAAAGCTATAGAGGGTCAGTAGTCTGAGCCACAAGCCACCAGGAGAGGAATTGACCCAAAAAGTAAATGTATTTTCACTAGGAATTCCATTTAGATGGGCCTTTAAGGGATCACTGACTAGTAACACTAAAATAGTTCTTCTGAAGTCTATGCTGAGAACTCTACAAGTCATAAAGTAATAATAGTCATAGCTTCCATTTATGGTGATCTACCCTGTGCTGGACACTTTACATGCTTTTAATTTAATAATTACAACAACCTTTCAAAATTGGCATTGACATACCCAGTTGAAATATGAGGAAATGAAGGCTACTACTGACTTTGCCCATGTCCCATAACTAATCAATGGCAGATTCAGGATTCAAAGTTGGGCCTGCTGTGCTTGTTCTACAACACTTGATGCAAGCCTCTAGAATTCAATATTCTTTGAAGCTGCCTCCCTTCTTACCTATCAAACTCTCTCGACTCATGACTTCACAGTCTGTGTGATCTAATTGGACCTCTATCACCACACACCCTCATGAAAACACCTTGCACACTCCAGGAGGTAAATGGGATATTAGTTAAGACTATAGGCTCTGGAGCCAGACTGTCTAAATTCATAATGCTTCTTCTACCATTTACCTATGGTGTGGGCTGTTTCTCATCTGTGAAATTGGGGTAATGGTACCTATCGCAAAGGGCTGTTTTGAGGATTAAATGAGATAGGGCATATAAAGCTCTTAGAATGGTGTTTGGTACATAGTAAGACATCTTTAAGTGTTAAGTATTATTTTTCCCACCTCCTTTCCCATTTCTGTTTTTCTGTTATGCTTTATTTAGAAAACAGTTCCCATCCTTTTCTTTCCATCCAGGTACTTCTTAGCTAGTCTTCAAGGCCTAGCTCAAACCTCCCTCAAGATTTTTCTGATCACAACTCTGCAGTACTTACTGTTGACATATTACCCACTTATTTTGTGTTAACTGTCCCTAGCCTAAGCCTGGAACCTAGGAGGTGCTCATTAAATGCTTGTGGAGATGCACAAATTTATAAATAAAGGAGTCTTGTTGCTAGCTGTTTTTTATATGTGAAGATTCCTCCCAACCACCCACCCTGCGACACACACGCCCAATTAGGCAATGCAAGCATTCCTGTCCTTTTTTATAACTTCGCTTAACAAGACTTGGATTTCAGGGTGGGATTTTTTAGTCCAGGCAACTTGCTCATTTCTCACTCTCTGGCTGGTCTCCAGGAGACAGATGAACACTAATTTGCCAACACTTTGCCTTCCTGACTAGGTACCTTAGCTTTATAGTGGGAAAAGCATAACTTTCCTCCTTCTTACTGGTCTAAGGACCACTGAGGGATTCAAATTTGAGGGTTTGAAGCTTCTCCTCCTAGTCCAATTCCTGGGCCCTCTTCTCATCCCATTCTGTATTCTACCTGGGTGATAGCATTAATTCACATAGTTTTAATTACTGCCTCCATATTAATGGTTCCCATATACTGCTGTGCTGGTAAATGTTTAACCATGGGCTCTCTGTCATCAATTGATGGACATTTGGGTTGTTTACACTGTTTACACCTTTGGTTATTATAAATAATGGTGCTTCAACATCTACACCCTCTTAGAATACAATTTCCTCATCTTTCCTTGGTAATTTCAAACGTCAGCTCAGATATCTGCACCTCCAAAAGTCTTCTTAGGCCTATGCAGAAATTATGGAAGTTTCTACAGTCTCCTTTTCCCCTACTTGATACTTATACTGTGATCAAGTGTTTCCCCCACTATACCACAAGTAACTCCAGGGTAGAGACTATATTTATTAATCTCTGTATCCCCAGCCCTAGCATAGTACGTATCTTGCAAGATATATTCAGTAAATATTTGTTCAATGAATGAATCAGCTCACTGTCTATGCTCATCCCCCATCTCCATATACTTATATCAGCGACTTTGTTCTGTCATTTACCTTAACCCCTCCTCAAACCCCACATACACCATTCATTGTCTCTTTCCATGGGTGCTTTTCCTCAGCCTATTGACACTCTCTTTCAATCATTTCGTTCATTGCCACCCTTCTTAAGTGGGTGTTTGGAACCCCTATAGGCATTCTCTCTCCACCCACTCCTTTCAGAACTCTGTAATGCTACTAGAACTCTATGGAAATTGCTCTTTTTAAAGCTTTTCTGCTACCAAATTCCAGGGGCCTTTCTCAGAAGCCTGTCCCCCTTTTGTCTATCCTGAATCTAATATAATACATCCCCTCCCTGTACACACACCTTCCCCAAATTCTCTTCTTTTAAATCTTCCATAATAGGATTCTAGCCTGGTGATCCTTCTGCCACTCAGGCCATGTCTTCTTTGTTTTCTTCGCTACAGTCTCTCTGGCCTCTCCTCACATTGGTGATGCTTCTCCAAATTCAATATTGTCCAACTGCGTTTTAATCAATACTCTCCAGAAAATTTTCCCTCTCTTTATTTCCTTTCCCCACCCTCCTCTCACTTTGTTCCTCTAATTCCAGATGTCCATTAAACAGTCCCATATAGGCTATTCACTTCCTCTTCATCCCCTGAACATTTCACCATGAAATTTGTGAGCTCCCTCTCTCATTGAGCATTCCAGCCCAACTTTCTTTCCTCTATCAGTGGAATTAAAAATGTTGTGTCATCTTTGACTTCCCTATTGCCTTTATTCCCAAGAACCAATTAAACTCTATAATCCAAACACTTTTATCTCTTTCCTCTCCACCTGTTTCTCTCCAGCCCCACCATAACCATCCTCTTCTTTACTCTTGAAACTTTATACTTGATCTTGTGCAACAGCCTTCCAGCTGTTCTCCCTGCCTCCATCCCTCTCTGCCCTGTCACCAATTCCAACTACCCAATGAATATTACTCAAGGAAAAACTGTAAGCATGTTCACCAAAAGACATGTACAAGAATGTTCATAGCAGCAATATTTTTAAAACCTCTAAAGTTGATACAATATAAATGTCTATCAACAGTAGAATAGATACATATATTGTGATATAGCCATACAATGTAATACTATACTGCTTATGAAAATGAAGGAACTACACCTGCATGCAACAAATGATGGAACCTAAAAATAAAATGTTGATCAAAAGCTCCAGGACATAAAATAGCACATATTATATAATTCCATTTATATAAGGTTCAGTAACAGACAAAAATAATATATGGTTATGAGAGTGGGCACACTGGCTCACACCTGTAATCCCAACACTTTGGGAGGCTGAGGCAGGAGGATCGCTTGAGTGCAGGAGTTCAAGAACAGCCTGGGCAACATAGTGGGATCCTGTTTATAAAAAAAATAAAAAATTAGCCAGGCATGGTGGCCCACAGCTGTAGTCCCAGCTACTCAGGTGACTGAAGCAGGAGGATTGCTCGTACCCAGGAGGTTGAAGCTGCAGCGAGCTGTGATAACACCACTGTACTACAGCCTGGGCTACAGAGTGAGATTCTGTCTCGAAAAAGAAACAAGAATATATGGTGATCAAAATAGGATATTTGTTATCCTTGATCAGTAATAGTGCCTGGAGAGAGACACAGGAAGACTTTGGCAGGGAAAAATGGAAGATAAGTTCTTTTTTTTGATACATGGGTGTGTTCCATTTGTGATAATTTATTGACTTGATTGCCCATGTGCTTTTCTGCATGCACATTAAAATTAAAATCTGACTGTGTCTCTCCCTTTCTGAGCTAAGTATAATAGAATGAGCACAGGCCTCTAGCATCTGACAGACCTGAGTTAGAATCTCAATTCTTCCAGATAATTGTTTATGACCTTAAACAAGTCATTTCATAAGTCTGTTTCCTCATCTGTAAAATGTGAATAATAATATCTATTTTTCTTGGTATTTGTAAGGATTACATTGAGAAAATGCACTTGCAGTTTATAGCATAGGTTCTGACATAAAAAGTAGTAGGCACTTAGTCAATGCTAATTGCTACAGTTGATGTTGAGGGTGGGAGGCAGGGGAGGGAAGCATCCCATAATCCTGTGATTAGCTGTCAGCCTTAGTTGGCTTGTTCCTCTAGGCTGTGACCATTACAGGGCTTATGAGCTTTTCTTCTTTCTTAGGTGAGACTGGAAGAATAGAAGGGGTTGGAGTTATCTAATTGCCCTTGCCCATACTGGATAAGGCTCTGGTGAAATAGTTTCCCTTAAGGGAATCCTTTTGTTATGGAGAACATAACACTCTGGGCCTACTTCAAAACTGTTACTTAAAATGGGTTGAATTATGTCTCTCATGTCCAAATGGATGTTGAAGTCCTAACCCCCAGTACCCTTGATGTGACTTTATTTTGAGATAGAGTCTACACAGAAGTAATCAAGTGAGGTCATTAGGTTGGTCCCTAATCCAATGAGACTCGTGTCCTTATAAATTTGGACACAGAGACATGCACGGAGGGAATGTGATGTGAAGATATAGGGAGAATGATATGATTCCTCCAAAGAAGATATGCAAATGGCCAGTAAACACATAAAAAGATGCTCAGCATCATTAGTAATTAGGGAAATGCAAAGCAGAATCGCAATAAGATACCACCTCACATACACTAGGTGTCCATAATCAAAAGTACAAAAAATACATTGCTGGTGGAAATGTGAAAGGGTTCAGCCACTTTGAGAAACAGTTTGACAGTTCCTCAAAATGTTAGACATGGAATACTATATGACCCAGCAAACCTACTCTAAATATTTACCTAAGAGAACTGAAAGCTTAAGTCCACACAAAAACATGTACATTAATGTTCATAGCAGCATTATTTATAATAGCCAAAAAGCAGAAACAACTCAAATGTCCAACAACTGGTGAATGGAAAAAAATGTTTATGCCTACAATGGAATAATATTTGGCAATAAACAGGAATGAACTGCTACTGGTACTGGTACAACATGAATACACCTTAAAAACATTGTTACATGAAAGAACTAGTCACAAAATACCACATATTTTATGATTCCATTCATAGGAAATATCCCAAATAGTCAAGTCTACAGAAACAGGAAGTAGATTAATGGTTGCCTAGAGCTGGGGAGAGGGAGAGGAGGTTGGCAGATAAGGAGTGACTGCTAACGCATATGGAAATTTATACATATATATAAAGCCACTACAGATACACAGGAAGTTGCAAACATAGTACCAAGAGGTCTCATGTATCATTCATTCTGTTTTCCCTAATGTTTACATGTTATATAATTATGGTGCAATATCAAAACCAAGACGTTAACATTGCCACAAACTGTGTGCATAGTTCTATGTCATTTAATCACATGTGTAGATTCTTGTAAACACCTCAATCAAGATACAAAACTATTCCATCACTTCAAAGATCTCCCTCATGTTACCGCTTTATGATTATACCTACTTCTTCTATACCCCAAATCCTCGTTCCCTGGCAACCACTAATCTGTTTCTCATCTCTATAGTTTTGTTATTTCAAGAGTGGTATATAAATGGAATCATACAGTATGTTATCTTTTAAGAGTGTCTCTTTTTTTGACCTAGTGAAATGCCCTTGAGATGCATCCAAGTTGTCCCATGTGTCAGTGGTTAATTACTTTTTATTACTGTATAGTATTCCATGTTATTGATGTACCACAGTTTGTTTCACCATTCACCCATTGGCCATTTGAATGATTTCCAATTTTCTTTGGTTATTACAAATAAAGGTGGCAAGAACAATTGTGTACAGGTGTTTGCATGGAAATAAGTTTTTGTTTCTTTGGGATAAATGCCCAGAAATGAAAGTTATGGGTCATATGATAACTCTATGTTTAGTATTTTTTTAAATACCATCCTCAGCAAACTAACACAGGAATAGAAAACCAAATACCACATGTTCTCACTTATAAGTGGGAGCTAAATGAGGAGAACTTATGAACACGAAGGAAACAACAGACTGGGGTCTACTTGAGGGTAGAGGGTGGGAGGAGGGAGAGGAGCAGAAAAGATAACTATTGGGTACTTGGCTTAATTTCTGGGTGATGAAACAATCTGTACAACAAAACCCTGTGACATGAGTTTACTATGTAACAAACCTTCACAAGTATCCCTAAACCTAAAATAAAAGTTAAAAAAACAAATAAAGTGTTTGTTGGGAGAAGGATATTGAAGTCTCCAATTATAATTGTGGATTTATCTAATTCCCCTTTCAGTTCTATCAGTTCTTGCTTCATATATCTTGGAGCTCTGTTGTTTTTGCATACGCATTTAGAATTTCTATGCCTCCTTGATGGATCGATCCTTTTATCATTATGTAATGTCTCTGTCCCTCATTATTTTCTGTGCTCTGAAGTCTACTCTATCTAAAATTAATTTAGGCACTCCTGCTTTTTTGATTAATATTTGCATAGTATATCTTTTTCCATCCTTTTACTTTTCACATATATACATCATTATGAAGTGATTTTCTTGAAGTTGGTATGTAATTGAGCCTATTTTAATCTATTTTATTGATCTCTGTCTTTTAATTGTTGTATAGAGGCCACTTACATTTGCTTTAATTATTGATATATTTGGGGCTTATGACTGCCATTTTATTTTTTATTTTTTGTTGTTCTCTGTTTTTCATTTTTCTGTTTTTTGTTTCCTTTCCTCCTATGGGTTAACATTTTTTAGAATTCTATTTTTATTTAAATATTATATTTTTGGATATATATCTTTGTATACATTTTTGGTAGTTGTACCATCTATTGTATTTTATATATTTATACATCTGTATCTATCTATCTTTAAAAAGTCTACCAGTTTGAGTGAAGCATAGAAAACTTACCTCCCTTTATGTACTTTTGCCCTTCTCCCATTATAATATAATTGTCTTAAATATTTCTTCTATATACATTGAGAACAATATCAATGTTATTTTTTCTTCAACCATCAATCATAATTTGGAAAATTCAAGAGGAGAAGCAAAATCTATTGTATTTCCCTATATAATTTTCTTTTTCCACTGGCCTTTTTCCCTCCAGATAGTCAAAGATTCCTATTTTTTCATTTTCTTTCTATTCCAAGAGTTTCCTTTAACAATTTTTTTAGGTTATGTAGATCTGGTAGTGACAAATTCACTTAGTTTTTCTTCTGAGAATGTTTGGGTTTTCCTTCATTCCTGAAGGATATTTTTGTTGAAAATGTAATTTGCGATTGACAGTTCTTTCCTTCCAGCTCTTGAAAAATGTTGCACACACTTCCTTCTGGCCACCATAGTTTTTGATAAGAAATGTGTTGTCTTTCAAATTGTTTTTCCCCTATAGGCAATGTGTTGTTTCTCTTTGGCTGCTTTCAGAATTTTTTTGTTTTTAGTTTTCAGAAATTTTACTGTGATGTGTCTTGTCATGGCTTTCTTTAAGTTTATTATGTTTGGAGTTATTTGATTCTTGAATTTTTAGGTTTATGTCTTTTGTCAAATTTTGGAAAATTTCAATCATTATTTCTTTGAATACTTTCTCAGTCCCTCCCTCTTCTTTCTCCTTTCCTTCTGAAACTCAAATAACATAAAGTTTAGGTCTTTTGTTACAGTCTCATAGGTTCCTGACACACTATTTTTTCCCACTTATTTTTTCTCTGTTATTCAGATTTGGTCATTTCTATTATTCTGTATTCAAGTTCTTTCCTCTATCGTCTCCATTCTGCTGTTGAGTTCATTGTTGATATTTTGAAGTTAACTATTGTGTTTTTAACTTCTAAATTTTCCATTTGGCTCTTTTTATATATTTGCTTGCTGAGATTTTTCTATTTCTTTGCTGAGAATTTCTATTTTTTGTAATTTTTTAAAGTGTGGTTATGATTGCTCATTGAAGCAGTTTTATGATAATTGCTTTAAACTCTTTGTCAGATAATTCTAACATCTGTCAACGTGTTAGCATCTGCTGATTGGTTTTTATCATTCAAGTTGAAATCTTCTTGGCTTTTTTGCATGTCAGTGATTTTCAGTTGAAACTTGGACATTTGAGGTATTATGAAAGTCTACATCTTATTTAAATCTTGTGTTTTAGAAGGCCTCCTCTGACCACTCTGCAGGTGAAGGATGGTGCCGCCTTATTACTTCCAAGGAGTCTGGGACTCCTTGTTACTTCTGGGTGGAGGTGGGAATTTAATGAGATGGTGTTATTCCTTGGATTTCAAGGTCCCTAACTGTTTTATCTTTTTTTTTCTGCACCTTTTTTTTTTTTTTTTGCATGTCAGTGATTTTCAGTTGAAACTTGGACATTTGGGGTATTATGAAAGTCTACATCTTATTTAAATCTCGTGTTTTAGAAGGCCTCCTCTGACACCACTCTGTAGGTGAAAGATGGTGCCACCTTATTACTTCCAGGTGGGTGTAGAAATTCAGGTTTCCATTCAGCGTCTGTTGATATCTGGCAGGAAGGGACTCCTTGTTACTTCTGGATGGAGGTGGGAATTTAGCGAGATGGTGTTATTCCTTGGGTTTCAAGGTCCCTAACTGTTTTACCTTTTTTTTCTGCACCTTTTAGATACTTCCAAATTTCTGTCCCACATAATGTTCAGGGTTTTTAATCTGTACTTAATTGGAAGAATATGAAAATATATGTGTATTCCATCTTTTTGAAGCATAAATTCAGGCATTATCTTTTGGGGTGATTAAAATGTTTTAAATATACATTTTAGTGATGATTGTACAACTCTCCGCATATATTTAACACCATTGAATTGTATACATTCAATGGGTTATTTTACAATATGTGAATTATATCTCTATAAAACAGTTAAAAGTCAAAAAACAAAACAAAAACAAAAAGAAGTGAGGGTCAGGTGCAGTGGCTTATGCCTGTAATCCCAGCATTTTGGGAGGCCGAGGCGGGTGGATCACTTGAGGTCAGGAGTTGAAGACCAGCCTGACCAACATGGCAAAAACCTGTCTCTACTAAAAATACAAAAATTAGCTGGGTATGGTGATGCATATACCTGTAATCCCAGCTACTTGAGAGGCTGAGGCAGGAGAATCGCTTGAACCCGGGAGGTAGAGGTTGCAGTGAGCCGAGATCGCACCACTGCACTCCAGCCTGGGTGACAAAGTGAGACTCTGTATCGAAAAAAAACTTAAAAAATAATAATAATAAATGAGAGGGTTGCTCAGTAGCTAGAAGAGTACAGGAGGTGGCTTATTTTTGGGGGGGGGGTAAATGTCAAGGGGGAGACTGCCTCTATTTCTGCCTCTCTATGTTCTCTCTAATTGTCCAATGACTAACTCCAATGTCACCATCTCTATGTCTCCTTATCCATGAAATTTTTCTCCATGGCAAACTAACTTTGTTGAGTGACTACCTCAACATTATCACAGGCACTATGATAGTCATTATTATATTCAGTTATCCCAATGATACTGTATGGTAAATAGTGTTATTTCCATTTTAAATTTGAGGAAAGTATGGTTCTATAAGGTTAAACAACTTGTCTAAAGTCAAACAAATGAGAAGTTAGGAAGCTGAGATTTCTACTTTATCATCTTATCTCCTTTAGAGTGTTCTTCACTTTCTGCCTTGCATTACAGATACTTGTCTATTTGTACCATTATCTGTACTAAGTTGCAAGCTTCTTGAATGAAGGAATAATGTCTTATTCACATTTGGATGTTTTGCAGTGCCTAACATGTAAGTGTTGTGGTCAATACTGAAATGTTTGTTGAATGAAAGAATGGCTATAATAAAGTCCATTGAATGAAAAATATTGTTCAACTAGTGCTATTATCTTCCTCTGCTAGGTAAACAGGAAACCTGAGAGGCCCCAAATGAGTCAGGCATGGAATAAGTGCCACTATTCAGTGCTATATGAGTCCTTTGTTGGATATGTTATTTTCAAATATATTTTCCCAGTCTATAGCTCGTCTTTAACAGTGTCTTTCACAGAGTGAAAGTTTTTATTTTGATGCATTCCAATTTATCTACTTTTTTTTTCCTTTGCTGATATCACTCTTGATATCATGTCTAGGAACTTTTCATCTAATCTCAGATCACCAAGATTCCCCCTGTGATTCATCTTTAAAATTTTATGGTGGATCTATGACCTGAGTTAATTTTTATATAAAGTTTAAGTAAACATCCGTTTATTTGTCTATGAATGTCTAATTCTTCCAGTGCCATTTGTCGAAGACTATACTTTCTCCATTAAACTGCTTTTGCACCTTTGTCAAAAATCAATGACCATATTTCTGTGGGTGTATCTATGGACTTCCTATTTCTATTACTGTTGTTATCTTTCTGTTGCTTTCACTTCCACAGTATATTGATTACCATAGTATTATAGTAATTCTCTATTCTGTTCCATTGGTCAGTTTATCTATTCAATTCACCAGTACCATGCTGTCTTGATTATTGTAGCTTTATAGTAAGCCTTAAAGTTGGGTAGTGTCAGTCCTCTGATTTTTTTGTTCTTCAGTATTGTGTTAACTATCTTGAATTTTTTGCCCTTCCATATAAATGTTAGAATCACTTTGTCAGTAACCATTGCTAAATTCTAGCAAGTTATTTTCCAAACTTTTATAGTTGGGAAAAATTGACATCATAACAATATTGAGTATTCCTATCCATGAGTATGTACTATCTCCTCATGAATTTATGTCTTCTTGGATTTCTTGAATCAGTTTTGTAGTTTTCCTCATATAGATCCTGTAGGAATTTTGTTAGCTTTATTCCTAAGTATTTCATTTTTTGGTGCTAGAGTAAATGGTTACGTTTCTATTTCAAATTCTAATTGTTCATTGCTATTATATAGGAAAGAAATAGACTTTTGTATATTAACCTTATATCCTGTGGCTTTCCTATAATTGCTTATTAGTTCCAAGAGTTTTTTGTCTATTCTTTTGGATTGTCTACATAGACAATTATGTTATCTACAAAGACAGTTTTATTTTCTCCTTCCCAATCTGTATACATTTTATTTCCTTTTCTTGTCTTATTGCATTAGCTAGGACTTCTAGTATAATGGTGAATAGGAGTGGTGAGAGGAGCATCCTTGCCTTGTTCCCAGTCTTACGGAGCAAGCATCCAGTTTCTCACCTTTAAGTTAATGTTAGCTGGAGATTTTTTTGTAGATTTTTAAAAAGTTGAGGGAGTTCCTCTCTTTTCCTAGCTTGCTGAGGGTTTTTATTATGAATCTGTGTTAGATTTCATCAAATGCTTTTTTCTGCATCAATGGGTACGATCAGATGATTTTTACTTTTTAGCCTACTGATGTGGTAGATTATATTAATTGAATTTTGAATGTTTAACCAGCCATGTATACTTGGAATAAATTTGATTTAGTCATGGTACACAATTCTTTTTATACATTGTTGGATTTGATTTGCTAATATTTTGTTGAGGATTTTGGTATCTATGTTCATAAGGATGTTGGTCTGCAGTTTTTTTCTTATAATATCTTTATGTGGTTTCGGTATTAAAATAATGCTGACTTCATAAGATGAGTTAGGAAATGTTCTCTTCTGTTTATATTTTCTGAAAGAGATTATAAAGAGTTGGTATCATTTCTTCCTTGAATGCTTGGTAGAATTCATCAGTAAAACCACCTGGGCCTACTACTTTCTGTTTTGGGAGGTTATGAATTATTGACTTAATTCCTGTAATGGATATAGACCTATTCAGATTATCTATTTCTCTTTGTGTGAGTTTTGGTAGTTTTCTTTTTTTCAAGCATTGGTCCATTTTATCTAGGTTATCATATTTGTGGGCATGGAATTGATCATAATATTCTTTTATTATCCTCTCTAACACCCATGGGCTCTCTTTGATTTCTGATATTAGTATTTTATGTCCTCCGTATTTGCTTTTCATGGTTAGCCTGGCTAGTGATATATCAATTTTGTTGACCTTTTCAAAGAACCAGCCTTTGATTTTATTACTTTCCTCTATTGATTTCCTGTTTTCAATTTCATTGATTACTGATCTAATTTTTATTTTATTCTGCTTGCTTCAGACTTATATTATTCTTCTTTCTCTAGTTTCCTAAAGTGGAAACAAAGATTATTGATTTTATATTTTTTCTTCTATAATCTGTGCACTCAATGCTATAGATTTCCCTCTAAATGCTGATTTTACTGCATCCCACAAATTTTGATAATTTTTATTTTCATTTTCATTTAGTTTAAAATATTTTAAGGTTTCTCTTAAGACTTCTTTTGACTTGTGTATTATTTAGAAGTGTGTTGCTTAATCTCCAATTTTTTTTAATTTTTCAGCTATTTTTCTATCACTTATTTCTAGTTTAAGATTCCATTGTAATCTTTAAGTATATTTTGTATTATTCATGGTCTTTTAAATTTGTTAAAGTATATTTTATGGCTCAGAATGTGGTCTCTCCTGGTGTTGTTCCATGTCAACTTGAGAATAATATGTATTCTGCTCTTGTTGGATGAAGTATTCTATGAATGCCAATTAAATTTAGTTGATTGATGGTGCTGTTGAGTTCAACTATATCCTTACTGATTTTCTGCCAACTGAATCTGTCAATTACTGATTGAGGGGTGGTGAATTCTCCAACTATAATAATGAATTCATCTGTTTCTCCTTGTAGGTCTATTAGTTTTTGTCTCACATATTTTGATGCTCTGCCTTTATATGCATATACATTCAGGATTGTTACATCCTCTTAGAGAATATGCCTCTTTATCATTATATAATACTTTTCTTTATCCTTGATAAATGTCCTTGCTCTGAAGTCTGCTTTGTGAAACTAATATAGCTAACCCAGCTTCCTTTTGATTATAGTTAGCATGGCGTATCTTTACTTTATCTTACCCCTTTACTTTTAATCTATTTATTTATATTTAAAGGTTTCATTTAGACAACATGTAGTTGGGTCTTGTTTTTTAATCTACTCTGACAGCCTCTGACTTTTAATTGATGCAGTTATAGCATATACATTTAAGGTGATTACAATATAGTTAGATTAATATCTAGCATGTCTGTAACTCTTTTATGTTTGTTGCACTTGTTTGTTCATTTTTATCTTCCCCTCTTTTCTGACTTCTCTGATTTTAATTGTACATATTTTATAATTTCATTTTCTCTCCTTTCTTAGCATATTATACTTCTTTTATTAATATTTTATTAATTTCCTTAGAGTGTACAGTATGCATTTACAATTTAATATAATTTACGATTACTATAAGTCCACTTTTAAATAATAGCGTACTTCACAGGTAATGCAGATGTTTTATAACAGTAATTCCAAATTATCCCTCATCACTCATAACATTGTTGTCATTTATTTCACTTATTGATAAACTACAATCACCAAATACATTGTTATTATTATTTCAACATGTTATCTCTTAGATCAACTAGGAATAAGAAAAATAAAAGATTTTATTTTACCTTCATTTATTCCTTCTCTAACATTCTTCCTTTATGTAAATCTGAGTTTCTGATCTATATCACTTTCCTTCTCTGTGAGGAGCTATTAACATTTCTTGCAAAACAGGTCTACTAGTGAAAAAGCCCTACAATTTTAATTGCTTTTTGAAAGTCTTTATTTCTCCTTCACTCTTGAAGGATGCAGAACTCTAGGTTGGTGGGGTTTTTTTTCTTTTCAAAATTTAAATATTATACTTCACTCTCTTTTTGCTTGCATGGTTTCTGAAAGGAAGAATGATATAATTCTTATACTTGCTCCTCGGTAGGTAAGGTTTTTTATTTTCCTCTGGCTTCTTTCACAACTTTTCTTTTCCTCTGGCTTCTTTCACAGTTTTCTTTGTCTTTGATTTTGTGAGGTTTGAATATGATATGCCTACCTGTAGATGTTTTGGTATTTATCCAGCTTGTTGGGGCTCCAAGCTTCCTGAATCTGTGCTTTGGTGTTTGTCATTAATTTTAGGAAATTCTCAGCTATTACTATTTTAAATATTTCTTCTATTCTTCTCTCTTCTGATATTCCCATTACACTTATGTTTTACCTTTTCTAATTGTTCCCAGTTGTCTTTTTTTATTCTTTCTTTTGCGGTTTTGTAAGCTTCTATTGGCATACCTTCAAGCTCACTGATTTTTCCTTTACCGTGTCCAGTCTACTAATGAGCCCATCAATGGCATTCTTCATTTCTGTTACAGTGTTTTTTCTTTCTAGAATTTGTTTTCAATTGTTTCTTAAAATTTCCTTCTCACTGCTTACATTACCCATGTGGTTTTGCACGTTGTCCACTTTTTCCATTAGAGCCCATAGCATTTTATTCACAGGTATTTTGAATTCCCAGTCTGGTAATTCCAAAATCTCTGCCATATCTGAGTCTCATTCTGATGCATTTTTATGTGTGTGCCCTTTAGTGCTTCTGGTAATTTTTTGTTGAAAACCAGATATTATGTATCAAGTAATAGGAACAGAGAGATAAGTATGCCTTTAGGGTGAGGTTTTATGTTTATCTGGCTAGGAACTAAGCTCTGTTTAATGTTTTTTGTAGATATAGGTGAACTTCAGTTTCCTCTAGTGTCCTTATTTTTATCTTCTCTGATATCTTTGGGTTTGCCTAGCAACTACTTCTTAAATAGAGTCTGCAAGTTTTTTTCAGCTACAATTCACTATAATTATAAAGGAACCCTATTAATGTGGTTAGATGTGGAGGAAAGTGAAGCCTCCTATAATCTTATTATTAGGTATTATCTTTTAGTGAGCCTGTGTTTTTTAACCAATATGATAATCTTTCTTTTTTGATTGAATTGTTTAATCCATAAACATTGAATATTATTATTGATAAATTGGACTTACATCTGTCATTTTGCTTTTGGTTTTCTATATATCTCATGTCTTTTCTGTTCCTCTGTTTCCTTTTTAATGCTTTGTTTTGCACTAAGTGAATATGCCTCGTGTAACAGTTTAATTCCTTTAATTATTTTTTCACTATATTTTTTGAGTTATATCCTTAGTGATTTCTCTAGGGCTTACCATATACATCTTAACTTATCAGAATCTAATTCATATTTATACTAGCTGAATTCTAGTATGATATAAAAATATTATTCCTATACAGCTCTATCTGCCCCTGTTCTGTGCTATTATTGTTATATATATGTAGATAGATAATACCTATATATATTTTAAAACCAACAATGCAGTGTTTTAATTATTACATTATATAAATGTATGTATTTGAAAGAAGCTGAGAGAAGAAAGGACAAGTATTTTTTAAACAGTTTAGTAGCCTTCTTAATTAGCTATTTGAGTTCTTTTTGTTTCTTCTTTTGTATTCGTATTACCATATGGTGTCATTTTCTTACTCCAAATCAGCTTTTTTCCTACCTGCAAGCTTTGTCCTTTTATTATCAAACGGATTACATTCTATTTAAGTCCAAAATACAATTACATGCATACATCTTTTATGTGATTGACTTTTAAATTGGCTATACTGTTATTTATAATTACCTGCACAATTACCTTTATCAGTGCTTATTTTTTCTTGTGGATTTGAATTTCTATCTGGTATCACCTGTTTTCAGCCTGAAGAACTTTCTTCAATATTTCTTATAAATCCAGTATTCTAACAACAAATTCTCTCTGGTTTTGTTGATCTGAAAATGTCTTTGTTTCCCCTTCATTTTTGAGAGGTAGATATTCTGGCTACAAGATTCTTGGAGTTGGGGGCAGTGGCTCACGCCTGTAATCCCAGCACTTTGGGAGGCTGAGGCGGGTGGATCATGAGGTCAAAAGATCGAGACCATCCTGGTCAACATGGTGAAACCCCATCTCTACTAAAAATACAAAAATTAGCTGGGTGTGGTGGCATACACTTATAGTCCCAGCTACTTGGGAGGCTGAGGCAGGAGAATCGCTTGAACCCAGGAGGCGGAGATTGCAGTGAGCTGAGATCGTGCCACTGCACTCCAGCCTGGCTATAGAGCAAGACTCTATCTCAAAAAAAAAAACAAAAAAAAACTTGGTTGACAGCTTTTTGTGGTTTTGTTTTGTTTTGTTTTGTTTCTCAGTACTTTGAAGATGTCACACCACTGCTTTCTGGACTCCATTGTCACTGATATGAAGTCATCTATGTCTTCTTTGTACATAATGAGTCATTTATCCTTCACTAATTTTAAATTTTTCTCTTTGTCTTTGACTTCAACATTTTAACTGTAATGTGTCCACGTGTGTCTCTCTTTGCATTTATCTTTATTGGAGTTCATTGAGCTTCTTGCATGTGTAGATTAATATTTTTCATCAAAGTTAAGAAATTTTCAGCCATTATTTCTTTAAATACTTTTCTGTTCATTTCTCTCTCTCTCTCCTCTCCTGGTTCTCCTATTATGTATATGTTGGTGTGCTTAATTATGTCCCACATGGTTTATCTGCACCTCTGTTTATTGTTCTTCATCCTTTTTTTCTCCATTCATATTGCATAATCTTTATTAATCTGTCTTCAAGCTCATTGATTCTTTCTTGTTTCAACTCAAATCGATTGTTGAATCCATCTAGTGAATTTTTCATTTTGGTTATTGTACTTTTCAACTCTGGAAATTCTATTTGGTTCTTTTGTATAATTTCTTCTTCTTTATTGATTTCTCCATTTCATGAGATATTGTCATCATACCTTCTTTTAATTTTTTAAGCAAGGTTTTGATTTGTTCTTTGAAGATATTTATAATAGCTGCTTTGAAGTCTTTGTCTCTTTTGTCAATATGTGGGTCCCCTCAAATGCAGTTTCTTTTGCCTTTTTTCTGTATATGGTTCATACTTTCCTGTTTCTTTGCATGTCTCATAATTTTTGTTAAATGGATATTTTAGATAATTTATTGAAACCAGTCTAGATCCCCTCTCAGGATTTTTTTCTGATTGCTTAATTGCATCTTCATGACTCAACTGGACTACTTCAGTGAAGTGTATTTCCCCTTAATTCAGAACTTCTGTTGCTCCTCAGAGGGTACAGCCTTAGGCCTACACACAGTTTTCCTGACTGCCAGGCTTGACTGTGGTTTAACCTGGCTCTGTTTGGCAGTCTCTTTACCTGATGTTATTCTTAAGCTTCTGGCTGATCTGATTCTAATAGCATTATGACCAACTGTTAGCCTCTATTAATTTCTAGCTGATTTCTCTGTTGTTTTCAACAATGCTCTGCAGCGTAAGTTGCTCCACAGTCTCACCCAATCGTAGTTGGGTTCCTTGGTGTTAGGCTTGCTCGGACATGCCTCTGGGAAGAAACTTCACATCACAAATCAGAAGCAGGGGTGTGGAGATGGGGGATGGGGAACTTGTTGTTCACTGTATATTCACTCAGATCCTTCCTCTGGAGCAGATAATGTGTGTTTGTGTGTGCACATGTGCACTAGTGCCACCTCCAGCTGCTGACACTGCTTAGTATAGATCTTCTGCAACTCAGAGCTGGAGAGGATGTGATCTCAACTTTCACTGGCCACTGATTCTACCAGGAATAGGTCTTCCACCTTGGAAATCTTGGCAAGATTGGAGCTACCACTTGACTGTGAACACAATGAAGCTGCTTTCCCATAACACAGAGATGTGCGGGAAAAGTCGACTATTCTTTTCACCAGCTACCCTGTCTGAATCCTCCCTACAGAGTGGGAATTGGGGATGGAAAACAGGCGGTTCCGGGCTGCTTCCACAACTCTATATAGGCTTTACATAGAACAGAACTGTGGAAAACGGGATATGATGATGTTTGCCAACTGCCAAACGCACACAAGATAGTTCTTCCACCCCAGGAGTCAGGGAAGATGAGAATTGTCACTTGGCAACCAAGCTTGCTGAAACAGTTTTTCTGCATGACATAACTGCTGGGGATGGCTACAGTCCCTAGCCCATATGCCATGGCCTCCCTCTGTTCTTATCAAGTTTCTGTACATTTTAAAAATAAATGTTTCCCAACTTTTTGTAAGCCCTTTGATCAATCTCCAGAGACTTTGTTAATTTTGAACAGCTTACTAGATCTTTTTGGGGGGATTTTCTTGAGCTTGCTTAGCTCTTCTGGAAGTTGGAAATACTCTCTTTCCTTTTATAGTCACTTTTATAGAATAAGTTGTTTACACATAGTTTCTCACTTCCTCTTTTCATTCCCTCCTCAAACTATTGCAGTCTGGCTTCTGCCTTCACTTTTCCCCACAGATAAATTTCCTCATGACCTGCTGCCTGTCAAATCAATGCGGGCTTTGCAGTCCTGATTTCATCTGAAACTCTTAGCAGAGTTTGACATTGTGGACCAATCCTCCTTTGAAACTCTCTCCCATCTTGGTTTTTGTGATGCCATTATCTCCTGAGTCTCCTCCTACTTCTCAAACTATGCTTTGATATTCTGTCTTTCAGAATCTTCTTTCTCTACCTGCTCCTGCAGTGTTGAGTTTTCTCAGATTTCTGTCTTTATTGCACTTACTCTATAAACTTTCCCTAGGTGATCAAATTCACCCTTTTGGTTTCAAGTACTGCTGATATTAAAGTGTCTCCCAAATTTACATCTATATTACCTTGCTTCGAACTTGATACTTGTGCATCCAAAATCCTGTTGAAAGTCTTCACACAGCTGTTTATTGACTCTTCAAATTCAACATCTGCAAAACTGGCCTTAGCGTCTACCTTCCTCCAAATCTGCTCCTTCTTCTATATTATCAGTCTCAATGAACTACACCAGTGTCCACCTAGTCCCCCAAGACAAAAGCCTGTAAATTAGCCTTAATTGCAATCCCTTATTTTCCTTAAATCCAATAAAGTCACTAAGTCCTGTTGATTTTATCCTCCGAAGATCTCTGTAATTCATCCTTGTGTCTCTAGTCTTACTCTCTCTGCCTTAATTCAGCAATCATCTTGTCTGACCTTGACATAATGGTCTTCATGTTCTAGTCTAAACACATCACCTCCCCATTCTTTACACAACAGCCAGAATGATGTATCTATAACACACAAATGATGTCACTGTCTTTGAAAAACAAACAACAACAACAACAAAACCCTGTGACAGGTCCTTATCACCAATAGAATAGTGTTCAAATTTCTTATGTCCTATAAAGCTCTTCATGACCTGGTCCCTGACCACTTATCTGGCTGCATCTCTTACCAATTCCTGTCCTTCTCTATCCCTTCCCATCGTGCATTCGAAGCTACCCAATACACTTTTAATAAATACCTTTTCAGCTTCAGATTAAGTTTCTGTTGCTTATAATAACAATTACAACCAATGCCCAATCTCTTTGTGTTACTCAGCAAATGAACCAGGCTTTTGATTGTTTCCAAGTATTTTCATAAGTTTTTTAAAAAGTTAGAGTATTTCACTTAAATCTCTTGACTGCTTGGCAATATCTACAAGTTCTTCAAGACTCATTACCAATACTAACTTTTCCTTGAGGCCATGATGATGTCCCTATACTAAATTAGGCATGCGGGATTTCAAGTGTAGTTAGTGTTCGTCTCCATATCCATGAGGCCTAGCACAGTGCCTGGCATATAACCAGTATTCTGTAAATGTTTAGTAAACAAATGAGTTATAGTTACCACTTACTGAGTTTCCGTTATGTGCAGGGTGATCTACTATTGCTTTCTCTTTTTTTTTTACATCTGTTAAGGCAATCCTGTCAATACCACTACGTGATTTCTATTATTATCTCTATACTATGGTTTGGATATGGTTTGTCCCCTCAAAAACTCATGTTGAAATTTAATTGCCATTGTGATGGTATTGGCGGATGGGACCTTTCAGAGATGATTAGGCCATGAGGGTACTGCCTTCATAAATAGATTAATGCCACTACCGTGGTAGTGGATTTGTTACAAAAGGATGAGTACAACCCCCTTTTGCCTCTCTCTCTCTCGCCCTCTTTTCCTCTTCCACCTTCCACCATGGGATGAGGCAGCGAGAAGGTTCTCATAAGATGCCAGCTCCTTGGTCTTGGACTTCCCAGCCTCCAGAACTGTGAGGAAATAAATTTCTGTTCATTATAAATTCCCTAGTCTCAAGTATTATGTTATACCAGTACAAAATGGACTAAGACACCCTATTGTATACACAAGGAAACTAAGGCACAGAGAAGCAAAATCCCTTGCCTAAGATCATATGGCTGGTTAGTGGAAGAGTTCATATTGGAACCCAGCTCTTCAGGACCCTGAAGCTTGCACAGTATAAACTGTTGAAATGAACTTCAGTTGAGAGTACAGGGAATAACACAAACAAGGTTCAGAATTGGAAACAAAAGACAAATATGGGGAACTGTAAATATTCTAGCTGGTTTGTGGGCTTGCAGAAGCTTCCATAGCAGGAAGACATCTGAATGCAGATGGCGTGAAATGCCAAACAGAGAAGCATGAACTTTATTTAGTAGACATGTATTGGAGTGACATGATGAATGTATCCTTTTGAGAATATTAATCAAGTGCTACTGTGCAAGATGGATTCGAGGGGAAGAGACTGAAGGACAGGAATAAAGTCAAGGCCCTTGATGCTGATCAGCAATCTTTTTTTTCTCAAACCTCACTCTCTCCTTCCTCTTAGCAGATTCCAAGTTTTTAACACTTTCCTTCAACCCTTTAACCACCCCCATTGCTTGAATTTTTATCAGCTAAGCTTTTTTGAGAAATTTAGAGGACTTCGGTTGGAATATCTTTCCATTCTTGGCCTTCTACTGCCAAATTTATCTCTAGCTTACCCCCATCCTGTTCTCATTGGTAGTAATAACTACCATTTTTATCATTTACTCTTTCATGTAATCCTTACAACTACATTGTGAGAAAGGTTTAGTTATCCTCAATTTGTAACTGAGAAAATGGATATTTGGAGTGATTAAGTGCTTGTCAGGTTTACCCAGATAGCAAATGGCAGCGCTGAGATTTGAATCTAGGCCTATTTGATTTCAAGATCACCCTCATCACTACTGTAGTCTGAGAGTGAGCAACGACTGCACCACTCTCCTCTTGAGTTCCATTTTATCTTCGCCTTCTATCTCCTTAGGGTCCCTCTCCAGCAACTATCCCGTCTTTCTCCTGTAAAGTCAACTTATCTGTTCCCGTGGACTTTTTCCTCTCAGTAAATATACACCCTAAGCTCTCATCTGCTAAAGAACAATATTAAATTAACAAGAGTCAACTTCACCCATGTTGTTCCTCATAAACATCATCCTGTTACTCTTTATTCCAAATGTCTGTAAATATTTGCCTATTCTGTCTCTACTTCCTCACTTCCCCCACTGAAATCTGGTTTCAGTCTCAATACTACCTGATAGCACTTTTGCTAGAGTCACAAAATTGACCAATCCTATTTCATCCCTAATATTATCTGGTCTCTCTGTTTCCGGTACTCTCCTTCATGTCACTCTTCCACTCTGTCCTATATTCTAAGCTTCCAAACCACTACATTACTTCAGATTCCCATCACCTCTTTTCTGGGTAAATCTCCTCTCTCTACTCTTGCCATCTCCAATCCATTCTCCACATTGTCTGTAAGAGTAAACTTTCTAAAATGTAAATGTAACCATGTTACTGTCTGCATTAGTCCATTCTCTCATTGCTATAAAGAAATACCTAAGACTGAATAATTTATAAAGAAAAGAAGTTTAATTAGCTCATGGTTCTACAGAGTATACAGGAAGTATAGCAGCTTCTGCTTCTGGGGGGGCTTCAGGATGCTTCCAATCATGATGGAAGGCAAAGGGGGAGCGAGGCATCTCACATGGCTAACGCAGGAGGAAAAGAGAGAGAGGGGAGGTGCTACATACTGTTAAACAACCAGATCTCACAAGAAATCACTCACTATTTCAACACAGCACCAAGGGAGATGGTGCTAAACCATTCATAAGTAGCCACCCCCATGATCAAATCACCTCCCCCAAAGCCCTACCTCCAACATTGGGGATTACAATTGATATGAAATTTGGGCGGGGAGTGGGAACGCGGATCTAAACTATATCACTATCCTACTTAAAACCCTTCAATTCAAATACAGAACTACATAGTAGGTAGTATATAGCTCTTATAGAATTATGGCCTTTGTTTAGGCCACATCTTCCCCCTCTTTTTCCTGTACACTCTTAAGTTCTAGCCATATTGAGTGCCTTACTTTCTCATATCCTCATGCCTTTACAAGTGCTCTTCTTCCTCTGTTTTATACATTTCTTCTCCTTGGCCATTGGTTGAACTTCTCTTCTTTCATGACTTAGTTCATTTATTCTGCCATTCCTGCAACTTCTCCACCCCAACTCTTCCCCATGTTCCAATCCCCCAAACAGTTTGTTGCTTTGCCCTCTATTTTAATAAAATGCCTCTAATAGCACTAATAGATTGCAATAACAGAATCATTATATGCTCCAATGAGACTGTCAGTTCCTCAAAGATGGAAACCTGATCATGAAATTTTTGTTTTCTTAGTGTCTGGCACATGATAAGTACTCAATGAATGTTTGTTGAACTTAAAAAATGAATGAATGAGGCTGTCCATTTTTTCTGTATATAAAATAAGAGAGCCACAACCTATGGTAGCAGCCATAAGGACAGACATTCAGATTTCCTTTCAGTCACCCATTCATTCGATAAATATTCAACCTAGCAGTGGACTAATACTGACAGTAAGTAACATGGTTAGATTTACATTTTAGAAAGTTCATTCTTACAGACAGTGTGGAGAATGGATTGGAGCTGACAAGAGTGGAGGAAGGAGATTTACCCAGAAAAGAGGTGGTAGGGATATGAAGTAATGTAGTGGTATGGAAGCTGAGAATAGAAGACAGAAAATAGAAGACAGAATAGGCCTTGGAAAATGACTGTGTATAGAAAAGAGGAGATGAGCAAAGTGGCAAAGATGATTGGGGATAACTGGGTACATGATGGTATCAATGGCAGAGAATTGAAAGCTAATAGGATTGAATCTCAAATGCTGAAATGGGACTGGTTATAGTAAATGTAAACATGAGACATTTAGGTGGCAATTTGGGGTCATTGGAAGTGGTATGAAATGGTATGAAAACCAAACTGCAATTTTCAGTATGGAAAGAACCTGAAAATAGCCTTCTCTTATAGAAACTAGATGTCACAATAGGACTTTGATTGAAATTTCCCTGCATCACTTTCTTTATCTCCAACAGATTTGAGGAAGATAGTTACTAAGAGCTTCCTATTTACAAGCCAGGACTGATTATTATAGTTGCATGTGTGTGAGTGAAAGAGTGATGAGGACAGACATTCAGATTTCCTTTCAGTCACCCATTCATTCAACAAATATTCAGCAAGCACCTATTCTCTATTATGCTCTGTGCTATGTGCTTATCTGAACAATATACACTAATTCCCTGCTTTCATGTGGCTGATGGAATTGTGAACAAAACACCATAAAACAAACAATTACATGAATACATAAAAAATCATAAGCTAGAAATTATGAAAACTATGATAAACGAAGGTGAAAATAATGGGGGGAATCTAGTTAAAATGGGAACAGAGTGTACAGTCAAGACTTTTTTGAGGAAGTGATATTTAAGCTGAGACCCTGATTTTCATCACACTTTTTGATGGTCATTTACTTAGAAATAGAACAAAAACCAGACATAAGGAGTCATTCAGCATTGGGGAGCTCAGTTGTGTATCAAACTGATCCCCTCAACCTGACTGCCTTACATATACACACCACCGTCACCATCCACATTTCACAAATCTGCCCCATTGTGGCTACAGAGGGACAAGGTGGCTGGGGCAGGGGGATTGAAAGGGCTCTGTGACGAGATCATGCCAGTGCACTCCAGCCTGGGCAACAAGAGCAAAACTCAAAGACAAGAAAAGAAAAGAAAAGAAACTCAAAAGAAAAGAAAAGAAAAGGGTAAAGGGAAGAGAAAAAAGAGAAGAGAAGGAAAGAGGGAAGGGAAGAAGGGAAGGAAAGAGCTCTGTGGAAGCTAGTCTACAATATAACCCCCCACTGTGAACCATACTTGCTAGTGTTCACACCTTCCCACATTGACTTTGGGCTATCCCTGTGATTAACTTTCACCAATAGAATGTGGCAGAAATGATGCTTTGTAACTTCTGAAGTTGAGTCTTAAAATATCTGAAATTTCTGCTTTCACCACTTAGTACACACCTTCTTGAACCCAGCTGTGTTGCTGGGAGGAAACCCAAGAAGCCATGTGAAGAGGCCCACATGAAGGAAAACCAAGCCCTTAGACAACAATCCCAGCTGAGCAATCAGCCAACAGCCAGCACCAACTTATTAGCCATGTGAATGAGATCATTTTGGACTGTTCAGTTATCCCAGCATCACAACTGACAGCACATGAAACAAAACTGCCAAGTCAACACACAGAAGCATGAGAAATAATAATCTATTGTTCTAAGCCACTAAATTTTGTAGCAGTAAATGAAACAGGTCCTTGCACACAGGAAAGACCAAAAGTAAGATAATGTGTTAAGCTAAAGTAACTTGTATTATCTTCTTTGCGCTTTTGGTTTTGTTTATTTCATATTTTCCAACCTTTTTTCTCTTATAATGATAAGCAACTACCTTTATAATTAGAAAAATAAACGTTTTTAGAATTAAAAAAATAGGAGCATTTCTGGGGCATTTTAGATATATAGTCTTGGTCAGAGGCTTGGGTGGTTAGCCTGATAGATGATTGTCCACATAATCCCTTTGCTGACTCTGTTGACTGCACTAATGAGAACTGCATGCTTTTTATGGAACCAGTGCAGTATTGGTAAAGTATCCTTCTGACTCATATGAGTTCAGACTGCTGTTAGAGGTTGAATAAAAGGCACCCCAAACTATTTGGAAATTTGGATATAATACAGGGAATTAGGGAGCAAAATTTGATAATATTATTAAAACATGGTTACTAAAAGAGGCTGGAAGATATGGAGTCATGGGCAGAGAATAGCTGGATATTTCTGGGAACAGTTGAAACCATGCTATTAGAAGAAATCTGGTGCAGAGACAATTAAGTATCTATTTTTTAGACAAGAGTCTCACTCTGTCACCCAGGCTGGAGTGCAGAGCCGCAACCTCCTATTCCCAAGCGATCTTCTCACCTCAGCCTCTCAAGTAGCTGGGACTGCTGGGACCGTAGGTGTGTGCCACCATGCCCGGATAATTTTGTTTTCTGTAGAGACAAGGTATCCCTACGTTGCCCAGGCTGAATTAAGTATCTTAACAAAACTCTGTCTCTTCTCAGTTCTCATCTTCCTTTCACTGAATTTCTTTGCTTGGCAAGAGGCATACAGGTAAACTTCAGCTTTCCAAATAAGCAAATCAAAATAACAGCTGCCCCACTGATATTATCTATCAGACAAGAATCCCTTCTTCTCTTGGTGAGAAGACATCCTAGTTGGCACCCAGCAGTTTTATGGCAGCAAAACAATGAAAAAGAGGAATTGGACACAAAAATGCATTTTCTTGTCACTTGCCACAAAAACAATAAGGGTTAGAAATTGCTACTTCAGCCTAAAAAAGGAAAGAAAAAGAGCTTTCTTCAGATTTACTCCTTTGGCAAAAGAGAGGCATGTTTTGAAATTTTCCTCCTCTGTTATTCCATTCAATTAGCAAGTGGCAATCCTTTTTCATTCAATCTGTTGATTAAATGTGCATCAACTTATTCAAATTCACCCAACCAGCAACTTTGGTGATAGTCTCCTCCTAAGTGTGTATAAATGTAATATAAACCGACATCCATAACTGGATTATAAGTATTTCTCTTTGAACAGTACATTTATTGCTTACCTCTGAATTATAAATAAACAAAATCAAAGCCACGTTCAACATTAAAAATAAGACTAAGGTCATTATGAAATAGCAGAATGAGAGAAGAAGAAATGCTTTAACAATTTCAGGACAGACCATCAGCCCCAAATTTTTAGTTTTGGAAAAAGTTTTGCTAAAATCTAGCTGCTAAAAAGACACAGTCAAAGAAACACACAAATGAATGATATAATTGGTAGGTTCTCGTTTCATACCTTGATAGTGTAGATATTGATCTGTTCATGAGTTAATGGTGCAAGAAAATAGACTATGGATGGCAAAAAGTACTGTGCTCTACTTCTTATTCAATCAACTGTAGTTTGAAAACAGTCACTTGTCACTTTAGAATAGATTACAAAAATGAAATTAATATCTAAATGTGTTCTTGTTCAGGCAAATATCTGTCTATGAAGATCAAGATCTGTGGAAGTATGGGACATTGTCTCAGTGACACCTAGAAAGGCTAGTAGGGAGGTGACTGAGAGATGAGTGCTCTTAGAGAAGATGTGGTTTCTTAAATCAATGATGATGGCTTTAAACATGACCAATACGGGTATAGTTACTTCAGTTGTTGGATACTTGTAAAGATCTTTTGTTCTAGATGATTCTGTAGACAACATCTGCGGAAGCTACAATATTCAGAATAGGATAGAAAAGGCCTTGAGTCACCAGAAGAAATGTAAGAAAAAGGTCTGGTTTTAAATGAAAAATACTATTCATTCATTGATTTATTGAAAACATATTTATTTCATTCCTACTCTATGTCATGCCCTATTATAGGTGCTAGGGATATAGCAGTGAGCAAAATCAAGTGTCTGCTCTCACAGAACCTACATTTTATTAACTAAATTGGAAACGGCAGTAAACAAAATTTTAAAATGGTTGTGAAAGAGGGATCCATTTGTGAGTGATGCCTATAATTTCATTTCTACAAGCTCTGTCTGACTCCTGAGCAACTGATTTAAATTACCCTATGGGCATCTCTAGATCAACATCAGAGAGCTGCTCCCACCCCCAAGATTCCCCCTGTCTGCTTTAGCTCCCACCTAAACATCCTTCGTCTCTCTGAGGCTGACCTTTAGGGGTCAGGATGAATTAAGAAGTTAATGTTAACTCCACCTTGTAGAATAGGCCCCTCAGTTTGTGCTATAGTCTCTAGCCCCAAAGGAAGGCCCTGAGTGTCCCAATCCATTGGCTGTAGGCCATGCCAGGTAAGAGAAGTTAGTCAGTGTGAACGCAAGCCAGAAAGTAGGGGCATGGAACTAAATTTTCACTCTAGTCATTTATATTTAGCTACTTGCTCCTAAGAAGCAGCTTGCTATGGGACTGTAAAACCAAGGGTAAATGATACTGCCCATGAGTAGTCAGAGAGAGAGAGAGAGAGACAGAAACACAGAGAAGGACCATGGGCAGATAGAAAGAATCTGAGCCAGAATACACATAATTGTGTTTTCCAGATTAAAGAAATTTTATAACCCCTTGGATAAAAAAACTACATGCATTTGCTGCCTTTGTTGTGAGCCATGAAAAAAATCCAAACTGAAAAAATAAAGCAACCCTAAGCATAGCTGGTACACATACAATGTAGTGTAAAAACACACCTAGACCAGGATAACTTTTTTAAAAGTTTTGAAGAGAAGTTAAACATACTAAAGAATTAGCATCTTCAGGCTCTAATTGCCTTGAAACTTTCCAGAAGTCCTCTTCAGAATTTCCATGAAATTCTCAATTTACCTCTTGAATTTAACCTGATTTTTCTCAAGCACTAGCTTTTCAAATACATAAAAGAACTTCTTGTTCAATTTTGTTTTCTCTTCTACATTTAAGAATATTACTTTCTACTCTTCTGCATCGCAAATGTCCCCATACTTTAGCTACATTATAGAGTAAATTGGTTTTATGGACTAGCCTTGAAACCTAACAACCATTTATAAAAGATTTTACATGAAAAAATGGCTTCTGTACTTCAGACACCTGAAATACAAATGAACTTTGCAGCTCAGACCAATTGTAAATTAGCTATGACCTGTTTGTGATTGACGAATGTCAGATGATGCTGCAGCCAATAAATTCCATTATAATTCAGATGGAAAGAGCCCTCTGTATTAAAGAATCTGGGAGGAGTTTTACAGATGAGATAAGAAAGCATCCTGGGCAAGTGAAACAGCAGGAGCTAGGGCATTAAAACAGGAATTTCCTAGGAAGTATTTAGGAGACATTGCTGGAGTGAATGACTTATATGGAAAATGTTGAATAGAGTCAGATTATAGAGATGTCTGAGGGTCTAGAACTTCACAGCAAGACACAGATGTACACAAGGAACCTGAATTTATATGGTCTCCCATGTTAATACTCTCAATCAACTTGAGCACAGATCAATGCACAGCCATACACACACACACACACACACACACACACACACACACACACACACATACATATATATATTTGCATATGTGTGTATGGAACGCATTGCCTTCCACTTCAAATTATGGTCTACCCTTTCATTGTACCTAATCTCAGTGAATGATACCACCATCTACCCATCTATACCAGGTAAAAAAAAAAAAAAACTGGTTAATTTTCCTTGACACCTTCTTCCCCTTCATTTCCACATACAACCCATCAGTAAATCTTGTGAGTTCTACACCACAAACATATCCACTTCTCTCCAGCCACGCTAGCCTGTACTCCTACCTCCATAGTCCAGTTCACAAACATCTCTCACCTGGGCTACCACAAGATCCTTCCACATGTATATTTGCCACTTTCTATCAATCCACTCCACTCCACAGTCAGAATGACCTTTACAGAAAGTCAATCCGATTGTGTTACATGCACTATTTAAACTCCTCAGTGGCTTCCCATTGCTTTTAGAAAACCAAACCTCTTTTTTAAATTATACTGTAAGTTTTATGGTACATGTGCACAACGTGCAGTTTTGTTACATATGTATACATGTGCCATGTTGGTGTGCTGCACCCATTAACTTGTCATTTACATTAGGTATATCTCCTAATGCTATCCCTCTCCCCTCCCCCTACCCCACAACAGGTCTGGGTGTGTGATGTTCCCCCTCCTGTGTCCAAGTGTTCTCATTGTTCAATTCCCACCTATGAGTGAGAACATGCAGTGTTTAAACCAAACCTCTTAACATGGCCTTTCATAGTTTGTCTCCTACTGTATCTCCAATCACACCTCAAAGCATATACCATCTACTCTCTACACTCAGCCATGCTAGCCTTCTTTCAGTCCTTCCTCCTTCCCGTGTTTCCTACAGCCAAAAGAACTTGGAATACCCTGCTCCCTCAGCCTGGAATGTTTTTTTTATTCTTCAGGCTTCACCTACTTAACTCCTTTTCATTCTTCAGATTTCTACTACCTAGCAATTCCTCCTGAGAAACCTTCCTTGATCTGCCAGTCTAAATTAGGCCCTCATATTATTCTCTCACAGCACGTGGAAGTTTTCCTTTCCAGCACTTTTCAAAGTTGGACTTTTAGATCTGCCTGTTTGATTAGTTGATATCTCTCTGATATGGTTTGGATTTGTGTTGCCCCCCATCAAATCTCATGTTAAATTGTAATCTTCAGTGTTGGAGGTGGGACCTGACGGGAGGTGATTGGATCATAGGGGCGGAGTTCTCATCAATGGCTTAGCACCATCCTCCCTTGGTACTGTATAGTGAGTGAGTTCTCAAGAGATCTGGTTGAGGTAGCACCTCCCTACCTCTCTCTTCCTCCTGCTCCAGCCATATAAGACTTGCCTGCTTCCCTTTCACCTTCTGCCATGATTGTAAGTTTCCTGAGAAGCCAAGCAGGTGCCAGCATCATGCTTCCTGTACAGCCTGCAGAGCCATGAGGCAATTAAATCTCTTTTATTTATAAATTACCCAGTCTCAGGTATTTCTTTATAGCAGTGTGAGAACAGACTAATACACTGTCTCTCTTATTAGACTATAAGCTCCAGGGGAGCAAGGACTGGATTTGTTTTGCTTTCTATCATATTCCTGATGCTTAGCACAATGAACAGGTGCTCAATAGAAATATGAATCCAATCTCCTTGCTCCTTTGTGCTTCTAGCCATACTAGCCTCCGTGCTGCTCCACTAACCTGCTCTTTGAACACTCCTGTGCAGGGGCTTTGGCACTTGCTCTTCATTCTGCCTAGAAAACTCTCCCACCAGCTTACCCCTTCACATCATTCAAGTTTCTGCTCTAATGTCTTTTCTTTGAGCAGATGTTTGTGGCATGCACACTTGCACAAAGTGCTGCTATGTGGTAGTGATGGTAAGGATTATTAACACAGCCCCAATGGAATATGAGCTTCATAAGAACAAGGATGATGATCTGTTTTGTTCACTGCTCTGTCCTCAAGGCCTAGAACAGCGCCTGGAAAATGATTGCTACTCAACAAATATTTGTATGTTCTAGGATAATAAGAAAGACTATTGAAAAATGAAGATCATTGGAAAATTTGTGGGTAGATATCTGAAGCAATTTGTATGAGGAGTAAATGTTGGGAGATTTACAAGTTATTGGAGGTTCTTTTTTTCTGGCTTTATGGGATATAATTGACAAATAAAAATCGTATATATTGAAGGTGTACAATATGTTTTGACATACATATATATTGTGAAATGATTGCCACAATCCAGCTAATTAACATATCCATCACCTTATATAGGTATTGACGTTTCTTTAGAACTTAGATTATATTAATGGTGAACACATCTTGAGGTTTCTCAGAGAGTCTCTCAAGTTTGGGTGTGAAGGATGTCTCAGCTTATATTATCTTCCTCCCAGAATTACCTAACATTGACTTTAAAGTTGTTCTCATATGGATTAGTTTGATCTTCTCAACTACTATAAACTCCTCGAGGTAAGGGAGTATGTTTTTCTCTTGTCTCCAGAAGAGATTCAGTGGTTTCCAAAATGCATGGACTGAGCCTCATTTAGGTAAATGCTTCTGAAGTTACGTATTTACTTTTCAAGACCAGTGCTTCCCTGTCCTTTTTCTTTTCTTCTCCCAGAAATACTGCAAGTCATGGGGAGAGGGGAATGGAGCTGCAATGATTGCTTCAGAAATAATCCCTGAGTGTTCCTACATGAATAAGAATATTGTTTTTCCCACAGATGGGCAAATCAGAATATTAAAGAAATAGAACAGAGATGTACTTCTTAATATAGTTAAAGAACGATGGCTTCTGCCCTATGAATCTTAATGGTAGTGGACTTTACAACCAAAATTATATGCTGGAAACAAACGATGGAACCAATTCACAACTTTATGGCAAGGTTTATAATTCACATCATGGAGAGAAGGGCCTCTAGAATTCATCTAATCAGTGTCGCAGGGCCCTGAGTGTGGTTCAAACCTCACAGACCAAACACAAAGTGGACTAAAAGTAATTTTTCAGCTTTTCTGAGGTGACTAGCTAACAAACCTAGTTTTGTTTGTTTGTTCACTCTTCCATGGACTGTATTCCCTTTCAAGCTTCTTAAACAAAATAGAATAATGACTATAGAATGCAGTTAGCCAGACTTTGAGGTTCTTGGGTGAAAATGAACCTTAAAGTACCCCAGGTATTATTCCAAATTATTCCAACAAAAGGAGTAGGTGGCAACAAGGCAGTGGATGTATTTTCCTTTATTCTTGTAAAGATAAGACATCAACTGAGCATTGCCAGACTGCCCTTATAGAACTGACAGGCTGTTACATAGGGAAAGAACCAAACACCACAATATACACCCTTCAAAGCCTTCAACTTACCAGGCTCATTTACAATGGCTCCAACGTGTGGGTATGGAAGAGGTGTCAGGCAGGGGCCTGCTTTGGTATTGTGAATTGATTTTTTTGCACCTTCCAATCTCCTTTAAAGATGACCCGCTCCCACATGCTAGTCTCTTATAAGTCTGTTCAGACATGTGAGGCACATACTAAAATGCTCCCAGGTATGTGGACAAGGAAATGTCAGACATGTAGTCAGGGAAGGAAAATGAACTACAAAACCAGAACAATCATATAAAATAAGAAACCAGCTTTGCCATCATTCAGGTTAATTTTATTGTATATTCTTTTGTTTTTTTAAAGGTAAGGTATCCCCAAAGCCCAGCCCCTCTGTCATTAACTACCTTGTGTTATGGCTAAGTTAACAGTATCTGGAACCAGGCTACTCTATTCAAATTTCAGTTTTACCACATGAGCCTTAAAAAATGAATTCACTCTCTGTTTCTCAATTTCCTCCTCAGTAAAATGGGGATAATAGTACATACTTCCTAGGGTTTCTGTGATTTAAAAAATATTTATAAATGAGTTAAAACAGTATCCAACTCACAGAACCTTGATGTTCAATAAACCATAATTATTATTCATTTAGCTAAGGGGCAGGGTAGTCAGTTATATCAGACAAAACAAAGTATTCATAAACTTAAGAGTAAACATCCATGGTTTTTAAGCTTCTCTATTTCAATATATTGCCATGTTGCTTCCTTTCCCCTTAGTTTCCAAATTTTAAAAAAACCTGCTTGGGCCCAAATCATGCCTATCATTTACTATCTGTGTGACGTTCATTAAGTTACTTACCCTCTCTGTTCCTTCACTTATAAAAAACATAATAGCACCTTCATGATAAGGTCATTATGAGGATTGAAAAGATTCATTCACATAATATCCTTAAAACAGTGCCTTCTATAATAGAAAGACTGGATGGAACTTTAATCTTCCCAACAAGACCAGCTCCAAGTACTTTTATTATCAGCCTCATTTTGTAGATAAGGAAACTGAGGCTCAGCAAGGCTAAGTGACTTATTCATGGATAGCATATTAGTCCGTTCTTCCACTGCTATAAAGAAATATCTGAGCCTGGGTAATTTATACAAAAAGGAGATTTAATTGGCTCACAGTTCCACAGGCTGTACAGGAAGCATGATGCTGGCCATCTGCTCGGCTTTTGAGGAGGCCTCAGGAAACTTACAATCATGGTAGAAGGGGAAGGTGGAGTGAGCACTTCACATGGCCAGAGCAGGAGGAAGAGAGGAAGAGGGAGGAGGTGCTACACACTTTCAAACAACCAGATCTCATGAGACCTCTGTCATGAGAAGAGCTCTAGGAGGACGGTGCTAAACCATTAGAAACTGCACCCATTATCAAATCACCTCCCGCCAGGCCCCACTTCCAGCATTGGGGATTACATTTCGACATGAGATTTGGGTGGGGACACAGATCCAAACCATATGAGCTAGTAAATGAAAGAAGGACACAAGGTTCTAATCCAGGCCATGTGATCCCCAGGACCATACTCTTTCCCACTCCACTCCACTGACTGGCGTCAGGCTTCTCTTCACGAATTTCTCTCAGCTCCCCAGTTTGATTCTGAGCTAATTGAGGGGAACAACTGTGTCTTATTTATCTCTATAGTTCCAGTGTACCTAGTAGCATAGTGTTTGGCAAGGAATAGGTATCATAAATATCTATTTAATAAGAATCAGCTTCCAACTTAATTCACAATTTCACCTTGGAAATCAAACAGAAACAAACATGAATCATGTTTATGGATGAAATTAGGCAAAGTAGTGTGGCTTGATCATCAATTTCATTAGTCATCAGTGGCAGGGTGATGTGTGCATATTCTGGAATCTGAGATAAGCTTCTTTTTGTCTTTCTGTCTTTCTTTCATCATTCATTCACTCAACAAACTATAATAGTGGTAAAAGTATGCATAGCAAGTTGTGGGAGCATATAGAAAAGAATTGAATGGGTAAGGTGTGGTGGGTAGGGGGTGTGTTGAGGAAGGTTTCTCAGAGAAGGTGTCATAGTCCCATTTAGCAGCCACTGCAGAACCATTTCAATAAGTGGATGCATAACAAATGGCAGTAATAATACCATTACCTAAATAAATAATGGAAATAGAATACAGTTGGCAGGGATCACTTGATTTTAGAATTCTTAGTGAAAGCATGTTAGAGAAAGGATCTTTAGGCCTAAGGGCATGGGATTTGCCAGAGCTGAAAGTATAGATACTTAGTAAGTAGTAATAGATGGGGGAATTAAAAAAGAGTTTATTTATTCTTTATCCCCAGACATTGCATGCTTGCTAAGTGCTAGATGTTTTCTGTGTGTTATTTCATTTAATTCCCAAAGGAATCATGTGAGTATTTCCTTCCATCTTATGGTAATAATATTAAAGACAGGAAGGTGAAGTGACTTACAAATGGTGAAGATAATTTCGACTTTAGTTTCAGTGCTCTTTCCATGAATACAAGTAGCAAACCCTTACATAGAGATTATTATGTGTCAAGCATGTTTCTTTGGGTATTACATTTATTAAGTTGTTTAATCTTCTTAACACCTCCAATGAGGTAGAGTCTACAATTATATTATTTTACAGATAATGAAACTGAGACACAAGAAAATTGAGTAATTTGCCCTAAATCACACCACAAAGAAAATGATGGAGCCAGAATTCAGACACGAGTCATCTGTCTCTTAAATCATTTACACTAGGCTGCATCCGGTATGTTAGGCCCAGTTAGCTAGGAGACTGCCTTCCTACTTCTACCTGGCCATTAACACAAACTGTTCCTGCAATGGTGACTGCCTGGGGTTGGTGGGATAGAGAGTAGGAAATGAGATCTGGGGTCAGCAGAAGAAATCAGCATTTCTTACTGCCTCTTTTCTTTCCCTGATTTATTTCAAGGTGAGAGAGGTAGATGTGTGGCAGCGTAGGGGTATAGAAGCCACAAACTATTTCCTCATCCCTGTCTCTGAGTATAACAAGAGCACTGTCAATCTTTTTGGAGATATCCCATTACTAACTCCCAATCCTATCCTAGAGAAATGCACAATTATCTGTGCTAGAGCCTTAAATTTCTCTTCAATTTGCCCTATTTACTACCTGGGATGAGTATCATGCCAAAGAGGGAAGCCAGAGAGAGTTAACTAGTGATAAGGGTGTCCCCTTTAAGGATCATGGTTAGGTATCTGTCTTTAACACTATTATTAATAATCTCAGGATATAATTATGATTTTCAGGAACCACAGTTAAGCTGCAGCAGCACACAGGGATAATCACACAAAAGGAGGCCTCTCCTATCTCCATTGCCAGAATGGAAAGAATTGGCAAACTGGTAGCCATCTCCAGCTTTCCTGGGTGGGTGTGGTTTAAGGATGCTCTCAATGTGGTGGGGACAGAAAAGGGTTAGAATAGGGATGTTGAGCCTCAGAGAGGAATAGTCTCAGACTGGGAAACCGGGAGTCTGACTAGGCTAACCACCATCAGCAAGGACTTCTGGGTAGAGAAGTCTGAACTTGTTTAGATCCCTGCTTTCTCTTGGTTAAGAAGTAAAGCACAGTCTAGGGGAGGAGAGGCATGGAACTTTCTATTTCTGGGCCGCAGGGACCCAACTTAAGGAATGAAAGAATATTCTGGAGGCCCCATGAGAATTATCTATCCTTCCAGCAACAGACCTTTGATTTGTCCTAGTATTAGTTGTCAAAATCAAGATCTCCTCTTATCCTACCCCTTTACTACTCAACTTACCTTTCATTTCTGTTGCCTTGTTTTTTTTGACAAAGTAGCTGGCTATCTGTCGTCAACATTTGTAATGTCATTTGAGTGAATGTGTTTCAGTAACACTTGTTGGTTGGTTTTCATGGACAGACAAATAGAGCAGACAGGAGCCTTTATCATGGCTCTGGTCCAGACTGTATTTCCTAAAGGCACTTCTGTCTGACATGCCAGTACCTCACTGACATACCACTCAATGACATTCAACTCATCTCAGGTCCCTCCACATAGTTGGAATTGAGCTTATCATGCCACAGCCCCCACTGAGGTGGCTAGGATACTCCTGCTTACAGAAAGGCATACATCAATTGAAATGGGCAACCCTTAATCCTATCATGATTAAGAAATGAAGCATACACATGATCCCTCCAAAATTTTCCAGTTTGCAAGTCAATACAGACAGTGGTTTGTATCAAGGCAGAGAAGTATCATTCTAAGTGTTTTCTGCAGTTTGACTTTATTGTATCTTTAATTAAATCAATGTGGTTGCACCTACTCCCAATGGAAGTGGTAAAGGACAGTTAGCTCAGAGGATTTCTGAGGGAATAAAGGGCTTCTTCAACCTGTAGGCAGAGAAAAGTGCTGGCTGAAACCAAGCCTGCAGCAACTGTTGTGGGAAATGAAAAAGGGAGAAGGAAGGGGTAAGGAAGGGAGATAAGAGGTACATATGGAGAGGTAAAGGGAGTGGAATACTGGATAGCCAAGGCCAGAGAGAAAATGAAGGATGCAGCAGCAACTGATCAAGCCCCATATCACAGAACTGAGATATCTGGAAAGGTTTTTTTTCCCCTCTGGGAAATAACTAGGACTGTGAGCATATTAAGATCTTCATTGAAATAATAAATATCAGCAGGGATGTGAATAAGAGGAAACCCTCATGCACTCTTGGTGGGAATGTGGATTGGTATAGCCATTATGGAAAAACAGTATGGAGGTTCCTCAAAAAATTAAAAATAGAAATCCCATATGATCCAGCATTCCCACTTCTGGGTGTTCATTCAAAAGAATTGAAATCAGTAGCTCAAAGAGATGTCTGTACTCCCATATTCATTGCAGCATTATTCACAATAGCCAAGATATGGAAACAACCTACATGTCCATCAGTGGATGAATGAATAAACAAAATGTGTTATATGTACACAATGGAATACTATTCAGACACAAAAAAGGAGATCCTTCCATTTGCCACAACAGGGATGGACCTGGATAACATTATGCTAAGTGAAGTAAAGTAGACACGGAAAGAGAAATATTGCATGATCTCACTTATATGCAGAATCTTTTTAAAAGAGCTCAAATACACAGAGGTAGAGAATGAAATAGTGGTTACTATGGGCAAGTGTTGGGGGGAAAAGGAAATGGAGAGATGTAGGTAAGAGGTTACAAAGTAGCAGATATGAAGGATGAACAAGTCTAGAGATCTAACCTATAACATGAAGACTAAAGTTAATAAAATTGTATTCTATTAGGAACTTTTGTTAAACAACTAGATTTTAGCTGCCCTAGTCACAAAAAGTAACTATATATGATGGTAGATCTGTTAGTTGGTTTCAATATGGTAACCATTTTACTATCTATATATATCCCATAACATCATGTTGTAAACCTCAAATATACACAATAAAAATTATTTTAAAATACAAATAAAAAAGAACCTCATTGAGCAGCTCTGTGACTATAGCTGCTAGAGCTATGGAGTAGGGAGGGCAAAAGACACAATCCTGGATGTTAGAATGACTTGAAGGGGTCTGGGATGGAGAGGGATTGAGAATAAAGGGGGGAAATGCAACAATTTCTAAGAGAATAGGGAAAAACATTGAAGGTAGGATTCAGATGTTGACATTCTTTTTGTTGTTCAGTGTCAGAGTCTCACAGGGGAAGAAAGAATTGCACAGTTCTCAAGGTGAAAGGAAGACACGTGCAGAATCACTGAGGGGAAGAGAAAACATCAGTAAACGATTCAAATGATGATTTGTTGTCAGGATTAGATACCCAGTGATATAAGTAAATATTCGCATGGAGACTGTGTGGTGGGAACATTAATAATTCATACATTGGGATGCTTCCCAGGGATCTATTTGCTATGATTCCAATCTGAGCCTTGACAGAATTTGATATAAGTTGGAGGCTCCAGGGACAGCAGCATATTGTATGGTGTTAGAAATAAGCCTACAAAGGAGAGAATCAGATAAATTTCAGAACTAAAGAATCACCTAATTGAACTATCTCCTTGACAGATAAAGACACCATGGCTCAGAAAGAAGAGACATTTGTCCAGTAAATTACTATGGGACCTGGGCTTTTAGGCCATGACCACACGCTCATCCCCAAACAATTGTTTGCTGGTGCCATCTGTGTGGGTCCAGGACTGAGGAGAATTGGGACAAAGAGACACCCAAGCCAAATGCAATCTCCCATCCCCATATCCAGGAATCCGGAAGTGGAGAGATCCTGAAATGAGTGATAAACAAAAGGGAGAAATGCCTGTAAGAAAGGCTGGGCCATCAGAGCAAGATAAAAATGGGCTCTTCAACTCTTTATCTGAATTAAATGGAAACAGTATCAAATCACATGCAGTCAAAATAATGCTCTAGCATTATTTATAAATCAAAAAGTACTTTTTGAGATACTTCTATGTATTCCATACTATGTGAGGCTATGAGAAATATAAATAAGGCATGATAATTTGCTCCCTCAAAGGATATCTCTGTGTCAGTGGGGAAAAATAGCTCCAGCACAAGTGATCCCCTTTGTATGTTCATGGTTGCAAAACAATGTCTTAAACCACTTGGGTTACAAATTTGGATCACACATTCATTCAACATATATATTTACAGGGTACCTGCTCTGTGTCTGGCATTGTACAAGATACTGGGGATACAACTGTAACCAAGACACAGTCCCTGGTTTTGTCGCATTCACAGTCTGGTGAGAGACGCAGACAAGTAAACACACAATTACAGACATAAGGGATAAGGGTGATCATGGACTGATCCATAGAATACTACTATAGGAACATAGAGAAGGGGACACTTTTATGCCTTCAGTGGGCTGAAAAGGCTCCTGAAAGGAGATGATGGTCAACCTAGGGACTGAAGGACAAGTAGGCAAAAAAGAGAGTGATGAAGGGGAAGGAAGGATATTCCTAGCAAAGTGAATAACATGTGCAAAGTTTCAAAGACAAGAAAGAAAAATATGGAAGTTATTCAAGATCAATTAAGTGCTAAATTGTGGGTTTGCAAGCATTAAGTATATCACAAGGTCAGAAGCAGGGGGAAGCTAAAAGTTTTTTGTGGAGGAGCATTGCAATTTTGACTTTCAAGAAAATGGAAAAAGAATGATTCTGAAAACTATTGACCATAGTGTTTGCTGTTAATCCAGGTCCATATTTCCAAATGTATTGTTAATGGACTGGTTTAAAAACAGATTATTTTTGCAAAGAAATAAAACAAAGCAGAGCTCACCAAGTGTTAACCGTGACAGGCTAACTTCATTTTCTCTATTTATGGGCTTACCAACTTAGGGAAAACCTATAAGCAGAGCATATCTGAGTGCCAGGCAGGTCTTTTCTGCTGTCTTTCTCAACAACTGGAGAAATGAGGCTGGATGAAAGTAGAATTTGATGGATTCCCAACAGGATGAATGCCCATACCCAAACATGCAAATGACAGGATATCAAATATGATGGAAAACAGAATAAGGAGCCACAGAGACTTTTTTCTCAACCAGGCCATAAATGCTCTATAATTTATTATCCAAGCTGGAACCTTTTGAGAATAACAGGGGGCATTTTTAACAATTATGTCAGAAAAACAAGCATAAACTAGAACTGTCCCCAGGTAGACCTGGCTCTACAGTCCCCAATCTATAATTATTTGTTGAATGAATGAAGTAACAAGTGCACCAATGGATCTCATCTAAGAACTCCACTCCTCCTTACAGTAAGTATCAAGTAAAGATACTTGACAGTATCAAGTATCTTTCTAGTTCTCCATTGCTGTTTCAAAAAAAAAAATCACTCCTCATGTAAAAGCCCTCTTTTTTTGAGGTTTGTATCTTCAAGTAGGTGGTCAATGCCATGTAAAAACCTCCTGGTCATTCTTCCATATTCATTACAGACTGTGGAACACATCCTAATTTCTCCCTCTCTCTCTCTCAAGCCTCCTGCCATCTTTGGGGGCTTTCAATGGTCATTAACCCATTCAAGCCCCTGGTCTTACAGTTTCTGGCTTTGTTTAATTGGGACGACCTTCTCTTTTCTGCTTCAACTGTAACCACATCCCGGACTTTGCTGGTAATTGGAACTGCTCCATTTCTGAAACTTTGAACTTGAATATCCTACCCTCTGATCACACCTTCCTATCCTTCTAACTCTCTCACTTGCTTACTCCTAGGACATCAATTCTTCAATTTCATTGAGACCTTAAATTACTTTCCTTAACCAGCATAGAACCCCTGAGTGATAACTTCTCTTCACTCTCCTCTCTCCTATTCTGTTTCCATCTTTTCTCTCACAACCAAACTTTAACCTGCTCTTTCCTCTCCTATCCCAGGCTGTGTATGACTAGAGGAAAATCACACAAGTACGTGTATAACTACTGATGGCAGTGGCTGCCGCCATCACGCCAGCTGCGCAGCTGGGGCTGCACACTCCCTGGAGCTGGCGGGAGCCCCCCCCCTTCTGAGTTGGGACCGGAGCTACCTGGGTGCCCGCTGCAGCTGCCCAATGCAGCTGTAGACCCCAGCCTCCTGCTCTACAGAATGGGCAGGAGCCCTGACCTCCTGGTGGGGCTACAGCCTTCCAAACTGCAGCAGTGGATCTCAGCCTCCATGTGCTCTTGGGGGAGCCACGAACAGGCAGGATCTGCCTTCCGGGGTGCAGTTGCAGTGGCTGGACCTGCGGCTGCAAACCTGGGCCTCCCGCTCCATGAGCCAGGCAGGAGCCGGGGACAAGCCGGAGCCCTGCCTCTTCTGAGTTGGTGGGGTGGGAGCTCCCAGGCGCAGCTGCAGCTTTCCTCACAGGAACTGGGTCTCTCTGCAGCCTGCACCCTTGGGGGCCCCAGGATGAACTCTCTCCCCACCCCACCCCCATTTCTGCAGGCTCAGGGTTGTCTGCCTGGTCTCTCTCTACTCTCAGCACCTGCTCCAATCTCAGAGCGGGGTTGGGGCTGAGCCCCAGGGCAATGAATGGCAGTGAGAGGCAAACAGAGTCCTGGGTGGAAAGGAGTGGCGTCCACAGTAAGGCTCCACCCTCAGACCAGGGAGGGCCTGAAGGCTGGGGACTGGGCTGCCAGTCTCGCTGACTGGAGTAGGGGCTCATGGTGCCTCTTCCCGGCCCACCCATGGCCACCCATGGATCAATCAGCTGAGCCCTGGGCTCAGCCAGAACAGGGCAGAGGACAGCCAGAGGATGAATAGGGCAGAGAGACACTGGGATGACCAGATGCAGAGAGGAGTACCCTCTCTGCTGATCTCTGGAGAGGTGGGACAACCAGCTGCAGAGAGGAGTACCCTCTCCACTGAGAGCTTCAGAGATGACCTGCTGGCAGAGAGGAGCTACTGTCTCTGCTGAGAGCTTCAGAGATTTGCAGAGATGTCCGAACGACTTGCCTGCAGAGAGGAGCCACCCTCTCCAGGGTCTCCTATCTGCTGAGAGCTGAACACTCAACAGGACGACCTGTCTACAGAGAGGAGCTACCCACTCCTCTGAGCTGTTCTAACACTAAATAAAACTCTTCGTCTTCTTCTTATTCTTCACACTTCACTTGTCTGCATACCTCATTCATCCTGGATGCAGAACAAGAACTCAGGCAAAGGCGCGTCTACCACAGCCCTTGTGGGATCCAGACCTGTGCTCTTGATCCCACATCTTCTGCTTCCTCCAGAACCTTGCTTCCTTGTCTTTTCTCTCTTCTGTATCTTCAACATCTCCCTATGCACTGAAATAGCTCTTTCAAAGGACTCTAATGACCACTTGGGCACAAAGTCATTTTCTTCAAAATTTGCTTAACTTTTTACTTTGAAATAATTACTGCTTCACAGGAAATTGCAAAGATAGTAGAGAGAGGTTCCATGTACCCTTCACCCAGTTTCCCACAAGGATAACATCTTACACAATTATAATACAATATCAAGACAGGAAATTGGCATTGGTACAGTGTATGTAGATAGTTTTATGTCACTTTAACATATGTTTTGATTCCTGCAACAACCACTGCAATCAAGATACTGAACTGTACCATCACCATAAAGAACTTCCTCACGCAACCCTTGTATAATCTCACTCACCTCCATTAACCCCATTATTCTTAACTCCTTGTAATCACTAAACTGTTTTCCATCTCTATTATTTTGTGATTTTGAGAATGTGATGTAAATGGAATCATACAGTATGTGACCTTTTGAGAATGGCTTTTTTTTACTCAGCATGATCCCTTTGAGATTCATCCAAGTTGTTATATATATCAATAGATTAGTCATTTTCATTGCTGAATAGTATTCCATAATATGAATATATGATGATTTGCCCATTCATCTGCTTTAGGACATTTTGGTTGTTTTCAGTTTGAGGATTTCAAAAAGATTGTTTTAACTATTCTAGGACCTGTGCCTTTCATACAAATGTTGTAATAAATTTCTCTATGTCAACAATCTTGCTGGGATTTTGATAGGGATTACGTTAAACCTATCTAACACTTTAAGGATAATGTCATCTTTACTATGTTAAATCTTCCAATCCATGAACACAGTATGTCCCTCAATTTATATATTTTTCCAACATATGGTTCTTGCACATATTTTGTTAGAATTACACCTGTGTGCTTAATTTTCTTTTTTTGAGTGATTGTAATGGTATTTTACTTTGTTTCATTTTATTTGCAACTGTTATTGCTGTCCAGGCAAATATTTTATTTAAAAATGAACAGAAAATGGCTGTCAATATTCATACAAAGGTACTGTGGACAAAATCAGAAAATTAAAATAAAAAAATTTCAGTGATAAAAATTTCTTTCCAAATAAAGCACAAGGCAAAATAAAATTGTGAGACATCACAAAATAGTAAAAGGTATTGTATTTTAAATTTCAATTTTTATGTGTTTTTGCTGTTACATAGAAATAAAATTTATTTTTGTAGTTGATATCATATCCTGTGATGTTGCTAATTTCACTCATTAGTTCTAGGAGTTTTTGTACCTTCCTGGGATTTTTTTATGTAAACTATCATGTCCTCTGCAAATTGAAACAGTTTTTTTTTTCCAATTGTTTTTGTCCTGTCCTATCTGTATGCCTTTTATTTCCTCCTTATTGAACTGTCTAGAACTTCCAGCACTGTGTTGAATAGCAGCGGCAGAAATGGATATCCTTGCCTTCTTTCAGTCTTTCACCATTAAATATGATGTTAGCTGCAGGTTTTTTGTATATGTTCTTTATCAACTTAAGGATGTCTTCTGCTATTCTCAATTTGCTGAGAGTTGTTATCAAAAATGGGTGTTGAATTTTGTCAAATGCTTTTCTGCATCAATTGATATGATCGTGTGATTTTTATTCTTTGGCCTCTTAATGTGGTGGATGGCATTGATTAATTTTCAGATATTTAAGCAGCCTTTCATCCTTAGGAAAAAAAACCCATTTGTTTCTCTGTTATTGATTTCTACTTTGGTTCTGTGCAGCCATAGAACACACTCTGTATGATTTCACTTTATTTAAATTTGTTGAGGTTTGTTTTATGACCTGGGATGTGTGTTATCTTGGTATATGTTGTTTAAGCAGTTGAAAATAATGTGTATTTTCACCATAGAATACTATGCAGACATATAAAATAATGAAATCATGTTCTTTGCAGCAACATGGATACAGCTGGAGGCCATTATCCTAAGCAAACTAATGTAGGAGAAACAGAAAACCAAATACTGCATGTTCTCGCTTATGAAGTAGGAGCTAAACATTGAATATACATGGACACAAAGATGAGAACAATAGACACTGGGGACTGCTTGAGAGGGGAGAGTTGGAGGGGGCATGGGTTGGAAGTTACTATGCTCATTACCTGAGTGATGGGATCATCTGTACACCAAACCTCAGTGACAAGCAATTTACCCATGTAACAAACCTGAACATGTACCCTTAGAACCTAAAATTAAAGTTGGAGAAGAAAAACATAAAAATAAAAATTACTTTATATATTAATTAATGAAGCAAAAAATATATAGACAAATTATTAATAATTTAATAAAAAAGTAATGCATATTCAGATGTTTTTGAGTGAAGTGCTCTATAAATGTCAATTGGAACCTGTTAGTTGATGGTTGTCTTAGTCAATTCAGGCTGCTATAACAAAATACGTTAGACTGGGTAATTTACAAACAACAGAAATTTTTGCTCACAAGGCTGGAAACTCCATGATCAAAGCACCAGCATATTTGGTGTCTGGTGAGGGCTAGCTTTCTGCCTCATGGATGATGCCTTCTAGCTGTGTCTGTACATGACAAAAGGCATGAACAAACCTCCTTGAGCCACTAATCCCATTCTTGAGGGCTTTGTTCTTATGACCTAATTACTTCCAAAGGCCCAACCTCTTAATATCATCAGTGTGGGGTTAGGTTTCAACATATGAATTGGAAGGAAGACAAACATTCGATCACAGCAATGGTGTTATTGAGTTATTCTGTATCCTTGCTGATCTTCTGTCTAGTTGTTCCATCAATTGTTAAGACAGGGTATTGAATCTCCAACTATAATTCTATATTTGTCTATTTCTCCTTTCAGTTCTATCAATTTTACTTTACAAACCAGCTCTGTTGGTTTGTCCAAAAACATTTAGGATTGCTATGTCTTCTAGGTGGATTGACCAAGAAAGACTATTACATAATGTAATAGCCACTCCTGCTTTCTTTTGATTAACACTTGCATGGAATATCTTTTGCCATCCTTTTATGTTCATCCTACCTATATCATTATAATTAAAGTGAATTTCTTATAGATAGCATTTAGTTAAGTCATGTTTTTAAAAAATTAACTCTGCCAATTTTTGTCTTTCAATTTGTGCATTTATACCATTTGTATTTAATGTAATTATTGATAGGTTAGGACCTAAGTCTATGAATTTATTTTTAACATCTATTTTTCTGTTGTTCCGTTTTTCAGTTCTCTAGTTTTCTTCCTTGTAGGTTACTTGAACATTTTTAGCTCAGTTTAGTTTTTATTTTAACTCTTTGTATAGCATTTTAGCAATTTTTTTTTGTATTCCACTTTACACACATAACTTATCACATTCTACTGGTGTCAACATTTTTCCATTTAGAGATAAGTGTAAGAACCTTACCTCCCTTTATGTCCCTTTGCTCTCCCTGCATTAGTCCATTCTCACACTGCTATATAAAAAACTACCAGAGACTGGGTAATTTATGAAGAAAAGAGGTTTAATTGGCTCATGGTTCTGCAGACTGTACAGGCTTCTCGTTCTGGGGAGGCCTCAGAGAACATACAATCATGGCAAAGGCAAACGGGAAGCAAACACATCTTCACATGGCTGGCAGGAGAGAGAGGGAGAGAAGGAGGAGGTGCTACACACTTTCAAACTACCAGATCTCCTGAGAACTCTATCACAAGAACAGCAAAGGGGAAGTCCGCCCCCATGATTCAATCACCTCCCACCAGGCACCTCCAGCAACACTGGGAAATTATAATTTGACATGAAATTTGTGTAGGGACACAGAGCCAAACCATATCACTCCCCCACTTATAATTTAATTGCCTAAATTTTTTTATACATTGGGAACAACTTTAGTGTTTTTATTTTTGCTTCAACCATCAAATATAAAAATTACAAGAATGAAAGTATTAGTTTGTTAGGGCTGCCATAATAAAATACCACAGACTGGGTGGCTTAAAAAACAGAAATTTATTTTCTCACAGTTCTAGAGGCTAAAAGTCCAAGAGTAAGGTTTTGGCAGGTTTCATTTCTTCTGAGGCCTCTGTGCTTGGCTTATGGATGGCCACCTTCCTGCTATCTTTTCACATGGTCTTTCCTTTGTGTGAGCACATATCTGTGTCCAAATCCCCTCTTCTTATAAGGACATCACTCATACTGAATTGAGGCAAAGCCGTATTACCTCATTTTACCCTAATTACTTCTTTAAAGGCCCAATATCCAAATATAGTCACATTCTGAGGTATCAGGGTTTAGAACTTCATACGAATTTCAGGGGGACATAATTCATTCCATAACATAAAGTCTGTTGTATTTACTCATATTTTTGCTCTTTCTGTGTTTTTTTTCTTCCTAATCTTCCAAGATTTATTCTGTAATCCCCTTTTTTGCTTTTAGAACTTCCTATAGCCATTCTTTTAAAGTAAATAGGTCTGCTAGCCACAAATTTTCTTAGTTTCCTTCCTCTGACAATATCTTGATTTTGCCATCCTATCTAAAGGATATTTTCACTGGATATAGAATTCTCATTTGGCTGTTATTTTCTTTCAGCTGCTGAAAAACTCTTGTACCATTTCCTTCCAGTCTGTATGTTTTTTTATGAGAAATTTGCTGTCATTTTATAGGACGTGCATCATTTTTCTATGGCTGCTTTCAAGATTGTTTGTCTTTAGTTTTCAAAAGTTTGACTGTAATGTGTCTTAGCATGGATTTATTTCATTATGTTTTGGATTCACTTAGCATCTTGAATCTGTAGTCTTATGTCTTTTGCCAAATTTGGAGAAATTTAAGCCATTTTTCTTCAAATACTTTTTCAGTCCCATCCTTTTTAACCTCCTCTTCAAGAACTCCAATTACATGGGGGTTAGATCTTTTATTATAGTTGCATAAGTCCCTGAGGCTATTTTTTCAGCCTATTACTTACATTGGGTATTTTCCATTGTTCTATTTTCAAGTTTACTGATTATTTCCTCTGTCTTCTCCATTATGGGCGATTGAGCCCATTCATTGTTTTTGAATTTTGTTATTGTATTTTTCAGTTCTAAAATTTCCATTTGGTTCTTCTTTATAGCTCCTTTTTTGCTGAGAATTTCTATTTCTTTTCTAAGACTTTCTATTTTTTTTTCAAGCATGTTTGTGATTGCTCTTTGAAACACTTATGACAGTTGCTTTAAAATTCTTTTTAGATAATTCTAACATCTGTGCCATCTTGTCTTTGGTATCTGTTGATTGTCTTTTGTCATTCAAGTGGAGATCATCCTGGTTCTTGGTATAATGAGTTATTTTTTATTGAAACCTGAACATTTTAAATATTTTATTATGAGACTTCGTATCTTATTTAAATCTTTTGTTTAGCAGGCCTCCTCTGACTCTGTTCTTGTGTGGAAGGGAGGATGCTGCTTCGTTACTGCCATGCTTGGATTAAAGCCCAGGTTCTCCATAAGCCTTCGTTGATACTCAGGGGGAACATTGTTGAACGTCTCAACCCTCCACACGACTTCCTCTGATATCACCCTCATTACCACAGGTGGATTGAAAGTCTAAGTTCCTCATGTGGTTTCCACTAACACGATGGAAGGAGGGTCTCATTACCTCCCGGTGAAAATTAAAATCTCAGTTTCACTCTTAGCATTTTCTGACACCACCCTGGCAGGGGTGGTGTGGGATTGGGGTGCCTTGTAATAGCCTAGCCAAGGTGGGAGTCTAGCTTCCCCAACTGGTCTTTGATGACAGTGGTGAAAGTGGGGCCACAGTTTTTCCTGGGTGTTTGGTTACAGAGTTTTCTGTCTTGTTACTTTTACCCTTTCCTGGTCCTTTGTCTAGCGAGAACAGGCTGTTCTAGGGCTTTTGTGTGTTTGCACCTGTTGGTGATTCTGGATTGCTGACTTCTCTAGTACCCAGTCTTGAATGTATGAGGCCCAAAGTAAACCCAGGGGACTCATCTCCATTTAATTCCTTAGGGCGCAAGGTCTCTAGCAGGCCTGCTTTCTCTTCTACACCTTTCAGAGTCTTCTTATTGTTGTTGTATGTATAACTACCAGGGCTTTTAGCTGTATTTAGTAAACAGGATATGGAAAAACATGTCTACATCACCATACTGGAAATAGAAGTTCCATAATCCCAAATGATAATTTTATATCTTTAACGTATTTGACATCCCTGCAGCATTTGATTCTGTTGAGTACATCTTTCTTCTTGAAACTGTTTCTTTGGATTGTTACCTTACTCTTCTTTTCTTCCTAATTCTTTTGGTGTTCATTGTTAGTCAACACTATGGGCTCCTTTTCCTCTGCCCATATGATACCTTTTGAGGTTCCCTAGGTTTCACCATCAAATTTTAAATTTCTCAATTTATATCCTATCATTATTAACTCTCGGACCTAAATATCAAGCTCAGATCCTTTTGTTAAACTCCCCATCCATATATCCAGTTGCCTACAGGACATAAACACTTGGATACCACATATTTATTGCAAACTTAACATGTCAAAAATTACAGTCATCTTTTTTTCCCTCAAGCCTGACTTTTTTGCCTGTATTCTTGGAGAGGTGGTATGACATAATGATTAAGCACGCGTACTCTGGAACCTAGATTCAAATCCAAATTCAGTTCATTACTAGCTGCATAGCTATGGGAAAGTTATTTAATTTTTCAGCATACCAGTTTTATCATCTGTAAAATGGCATAGTAACTACTTCACAGGTGGAAGGGTAAATTCTTATGACTTAAAATTTTTTAAAGGCTACTCCTCTTTTTCAAGATCCAATCCAAACCCATGACCATGCCAAACAAGGCATAGTCCCATGTGTTAATACCCTCCCTGTCACCGACACCTCTGTTATTGTCAATACACAGTTCATATGCTGTCCTACTAAACTGGTAGATTTCAAAATGCACCATGTTCTTTCTATCCCTACTCTGCGTGAAAGGTTTTGTCCTGCTCTTTTTAAGCAACTAATATTTTATGAAATTGCTCAAATGCTCAAGATCGAGCTGCTGAAGTGCCTTCCTTGATTTATTTAACACTTATATAGCCCTTACTGTACTCCAAAATGTGTTCTAAAAGATCCACATGAATTAACTCATTTTATCCCTACTATTCCATGGGTAGGTGCTATTATTATCCCCATTTTAGCCATAAAGAGGGTGAGGCATAGAGGGATCACACAACTAGTAAGAGGCTAAGTGAATCTATCACTCTAGTCTCATCCTTCACAAACTTTATTTTAGACTGAGTATTCCTTTTGTGTGCTTCCACATAACTCTAAGCACACTTCTAATTTAGTATTTATCTATCAGTCTTTTTACTACCTTTTCCCCTATAGTACATGGAGGTGACGGGCTATCTTTGTATTCCAATACCCAGCTCAAAACCTGGCCCATTAAATGTTTGCTGAGTGAATGAATGGGATGATGAGTTAAATGAAACAAGGTTAAATTTAACAGTAATGTATGCGAAGGATTCCCCCTGGGTCCCAAGGACCAGTGGTGCAATGCAGAATGAAGAACTGTGTCTTATATCAGCCTGTGATCCTGTAAGATCTGTATAGATTTGTGGTTCGTTTTGACAGTGCCCCTATTTGAGCCAACAGTGGGATGTGGCTGTCAAAATTCTAAAGGAACAGCAACCCTCATTAGCTCAACCCTTCACAGCTAGAGTCACTGCAAGCTCAGCCCTGTCCTTATCATGAGCCAATTGTGGCAAGGTATATAGTACATTTCAAGTCTAAAATGGCATCAAGTAGAAGTTGCATACAAATTTCAAAAACACCAAAAATGAAAAATGACTAAGAGCCATTGTAAAATGTCATTGATTGCAAGGCCAATTTTGTCTTCAAAGAAAACAGAAGCATGCATCTTTAATTTGATGAAATATCAGTAGTATCTGCATCCTTAGCCCTACCACTTGGTGGGACCTAAAATAGCTTCACTAGCAATTCATTGGCAGTGCTAGGGCTAAACACAAAGTTTTTGTATAACCTCTGAGTTACAGCACTTCCCTAATCCCTATCTTCCTTCCCACTTTCTCCAACTTCTCTATGTTAACTCAGGAAGTACAACAGAGTGTCTATCTGTCTGTCTTCATGTCCTTCTTAACATTGGATATTCCTCTGGTCCTAAAGCCCTACTCCAAATCTTAGTCCATATGGATAAGGCTGGACCTAGATCTCTGAACCTTCCAGTTCCTAGTAGAGACTACAGTGAATAAGTTAATTTTCCAAAATTCCCTGACTGTGAGAACCCCTCTACCCTTTGGGCCTCTGAGTCTCAATCAGCTTTTTCTGATGGCCTGTGCTTGCCCCACCCTTTAGACACTAGACATTAGACCTGCTAGTGGCCCCTCAAAGGCTGGCCTCTGCAGCCTAGTTAGTGTCCCCAGTACTGCTCTGCTCTGTCACGAAAAGCAACCTCACAGCTGCAACAAGAGCAGCTCCAAAAAAACACTTCATCATAGCTTGAAGCCTGCCGCAGTGTTTAAAGCACATTCGCCACTTGATTATCAGCCTGTGGATCCTTTATTTTCTGAATTATCTGTGGTCATTTAGAGTCCGAGTTTGCCCCTCCTCCAATGCAGAGGCTGCATCCAGGCGCCTCCACTCTCAACCACCAGGCTCCCTCCTCCCTTTGCCAACAATGCTTGTGTGCTTGGGAAATGCAAACTCATTCTAATATCAGCCCAGGAAAAACAGAATTAGGAACAGAGGTGGCTGTAAAACAAATTCTTAAATACATCTCTAAGCCAAAAGGACATCATTCTGAGCTTATTAGTACCAATGATAACCTCAATTAGCGCATACAATTAAGAATGGACCTGATTCTCTGAAGGCACTCTAAGGCACATATAAACATGTAATCTGATTAAATCCAGGCAGCAAAATAGGCACTATATATATTTTTTAGCTGTCCAGAGTTAGATCATGTTTTATATCTAGCTGAGAAAAGACTAGAAATCAGAGAACTAGACAAAAACCCAGAGAAAAAGAATGAGATGGCCTGAAAGCTCATTGCCACTGAAAAATAAGACATGGAGGCTGAAGAGATTTTTGATGAAGAGATGAAGAACTAACAAACATGGCAGAGGAGTGGAGGAGGAGGGAAAAGGGATGAGAGAGGGACTTTAGACACTTCGGAACATTTGATGTAACAATGATGAAGACAGAGAAGAAAACCAGCAGTGCTGCTTTCTGCCTGCTGCAGGGCTAAGGCAGCGAAAGAGGGCTCTAGGGTAGAACACAGTCTGGAGTAACTGCAAGGGGCGACTCAGGGATGTCTTTAGGGTTGAGCTGTAGATATTTGCATTTATTTGTCAATTGGCTCAAAATAAAGAGGACAAGCAAGTGGTGGGGGGAAATGGTAAAAAAAAGTGATGGGGAAAAAGAAAAACCAGAAAATGAAGCCCTAAGGAGGCTGGGGCCAAGAATAAGAAGCGAGTTGTGAAGACTGAAGATTAAAAGTACTTGAGGTCCAGCTATTTTAAGAGCCTGATGTGGAGAGCCAAATGAGGCATAGCTTTGGCCATCATTGTGCCCTCAATGCCTAGTTCAGTGCCTGGCACATACTGAGTATTCAAGAAAGGTATTTGTATGATCCAGGATGTGTGTTGTGCATGTGTGAGTGTGCACATGCATGTGCATGCATACTCCTATAGAAAGCTGGGTGAAAGCAAGAAAATTAAAATTTCCACAGAGATATGAGAAACCTAGCCAAATTTATTCCTATCTCTATCTTCACTAAGGCTTTGCCCTGCAGATCATATCAAGTCCCAATAATGGCTGCCTTCTCAGGACTCCAGCTGCTCTGCTTGTGGGATCCATTTTGCTCTGAGAGTCTGATGACAGGGTTTTCTGCCTTTCCTGTGCATTCATCAGGGGTATAGAGCAGTTATTCACAACTGGCACAAAGCTAGCTACATAGTAGGTGTTCAAGACATACAGAGCAAGTGGTTTAAATACCTGGAAATTCCAAGTACTCTCCAGATAAATCGTGGCTTGATCTTATTCTCCAACGAACTGCCTTATGGTAGAAATGGAGAGCAGCAACTTTCCAGCAATGATGGCTGAAGGTTGCTTATTACTTTGGAGAACACACGACAGGGCTGCTTATTCACTCCTTCCATCTTCTCCTCCCAGAAAGTGTCTTGACCCCAAAGGTCATACTGGGAATCAGAATACTCTGTTCTTAGTAAACCTGCCTTGCTGGAAAAACCCCTGAAGATGTTCCTACTACAGGAAGACAGCTCTGGTGCATGCAGTGTGACCTAACATTTTAGGACAAATGCCAATTTTAAGGCATTTCTATTTTTTTTCAAGAAAATAAATATATCTCTGCATATTATATTAAAGGGTTTACATGCAGTTTGCCGAAATGGATCCCATCTTGCACAGGATAGAAAGAGTCCCTAGAATTGCCTTAATGGAAAAAGAAGTAGGAGATGATAATGACACCTAACATTTGCATAACACACTCTAGTTTGCAAAGGTTCCTTATATCTATTGTCACATATAATCCTCATGGCAACCTGTAAGGTTCAGTTTACGATTTTACAGATTAAAAACTGAGATTTAGAGAGTTGAAGTGACTTGCTGGGAAATGACAAATGCAGGATTTGAACCTGCATATATTGCAAGTTATCAACTCCGCCTAGAAACTCTAGCTGCCCAGTCCCATTGCAGTTTGCCATACCCTCCTGATAACTGTGATTTAAAGCTTCTTCCTTAGGGAATTTCTCTATCCTCCCCATGAAGAGTCTGAAACGTAGCCTGGCATATCCCTCTGGCCCACTAGCTTTCTTTGGGAGGGCCCAGTCTTTCACTTGGCTGCAACTAAGTGGCCTATATCGGGTCTGATGGATGAATGTGAAATAAGTTACTTAACCACTATGAGCCTCATTTCATCTCCATGGAGCCATTATGAGGATAAATTATAACAATGTGTGCCAATTTTCTTATTTATCCACTTATTTATTTACTAAGGTGTCAGTGACAAATCCAACACAGTGCTGACACAGAGTAGGAACTCAGTGACTGTTTCCTCTTGGAAAACCTCTTCTCTGACTAAAACCTCCTTCCAATCCTTCTATCTCTGTCATTTCACCCTCATCAAGATGGTGAACTTCTCCCTTACTTCCAGTTTACCAATTTCTCCTTTGTCTCTATATCTGATTGAAGTCTCATAGCCCCTTTGATTAAACAGCTCATCATAGTTGTTTTGCCTAATCCAAATTCATGGGTCTATGTGCCAAAATTTTTTTCTGGTTATTTCTCTGGCCCCAAAGGAATACAATGGAAGAAAATTACACTTTCATATCTTCACTCAACCCATATTTATTGAGCCATTTATAAGCCACACTCTCAATAGGTATTGCAGATACAAAGATGAATAATATTTAAGTCACTATCTCTAGATTCTCACAAGGAAGATCAGATAATAAATAAACATAAACAAATTATTACAGCACAATGAGATAAGTATTTTAATAGTTTACTCCTTTATAATGCCCTTGGCAGCAGCATTCCCCCTTAGGAGGTAACATATGACTATTCCACAGTATCGTGCCTGGCACTGTCCTGTATGTATGTGAAATAATTAATTCCCGCAAAGTACAGCCGTTCCTTGCCTCCCCTATTCCCAGGCCTTACTAGGTCTACTTATCTGTACCCTTTGATTCCATTGACCAGCCACTTTCTCCTTATTGATGGGGTTTCCTCCCAATCCTCTGTGTCTTTTGGTTGTCTTCCTACCTCTTTGATTGTTCCCCTTCATTCGTCTTTCTTAGCTTCTCACTCACACCCTAAAAGTAGGCATTTCTCAAGGTTATATCCTTAGCCAACTTCCTTTTTTTGCTATATGCTTTTCATGGGCTCTTTTATTCATTCTCATGCTCTCAGCTGTCATCTATATATTATCTGTATATATTATCACACACATATATATGTGTGTGTGTGCATATATATATATCTCCATATATATCACCTGTCACCTATTATCTTTATATAGGATAATATATACAGATAATACCCAAATTAACATTTGAAGCTCTGGTTCTCAATGGGGGTGCTTTTGCCCACAGGAGACATTTGGCAATGTCTGGGGACATTTTTGGTTGTCACAACTGGGAAGGATTCTGCCACTGGCATCCAGTGGGTATAGGCCGGGGATGCTGCTAAACACCTTGCAACATGCAGAACAGCTTTCCATAACAAAGAATCATCCAGCCCAAAATGCCAATAGCGCTGAGATTGAGAAACCCTGATTTAAAGCAACCATAAATCTTAAACATTCAAGCACAGATATTCTGTTTCATTCCCAAGCAATAACAGTCATTCTTAGGACTAGGCAGTCAGCCATTTTCATTTAAGAAACTGTGACACACAGAAAAACACATACACACACACTCACATGCATGTGCATGCACACAAACACACACACACACACACACACTCCAAATCCATATTTTCAATTGACTTCTGGAGAGATCCGTTCAGATTTCTCACAGAAACCTCAACATTAGCTTGTCAAAAATGCTATCCATTGTCTATCCAATCTCAACTCTACCATCTGTGTTTCCTATTCTAAAAGGTGGGAGTCATTTTTGGCCCTTTATTTCCCAACACTCCCCCCAACAAATCAGTTAGAAATTCTCTTACTGCTACCTCCTGAATATCTCTCAAACCTCATTTCTGTTACCCCAATCCTAACGTAGTCACCATTGTTTTCTTATAAGGATTATTGAAAGAACCTCCCAACAGGTTTCACTGTCTCTGGTCTCAGTCCCTCCAATCCATTCATTACACTGCTTCCAAAGAAAGTATTTTAAAATGCAAATCTGATCACATCACTCCCATCTTCCATGGTTTAGGTTCCCCACATACACCTTGTACTCCAGCCACATAAGGTTGTTCAACAATCCTTGACAAAATTCTGCATAATCTCTAACATCCACTCAGAAGTATTACTGCATTATTTCAGTGTAAATGTGGTCAAGAGACTTCAACAGGTGCTTCACAAAATAAGATATTCCAGTGGCCAATTAAGCACACAAAATGATGTTCAACCACATTAATGATCAGGGAAATGCATATTGAAACCACAATCAGTTACCACTACATATCAACCAGAATATCTGTAATTAAAGAGACTGGCAGTATGAAGTGTTCGTGAAGGTGTGGAGCAATAAGAACTCTCATATGCCACTGAAGGGAATGTAAATAGGCTCAATCACTTTGGAAAACTGGCATTATGTGAACCTACATACATCCTATAACCCAGCAAATTCAGTCTTAGATACATACCCAAAAGCAACGTGTGCATATATACGTCAAAAGACAGGTACAAGAATTTTCAAAGCACCATTATTCATAATAACTGAGGAACAGAAGGTATCCACATGCCTAGAAACAATGGAATGAATAAATAAATTGTGGTATATTCCCACAATGGCATGCTTGTACAGCTACATGCAACAACATGGATGACTTTCATAAGCACAATGCTGAGTGAAATAAGCCAAAAGAGTATATTACATTATAAATTCAAAAAGAAAACAGAATTATATATTATTTGTATATATACTATATATATTCTTTATGTATCCACTATTATATATAGTTTTGGAATACATAGTTGGGTGGTAAAACTATAAAGAAATAGAAATACAGTGAAATAATTACATTGAAAGGATAATAATTATATTTAGTGGGTAGAGAGATGATGATTGGTCAGGGACATACAAAAGGCTTCTGATATACTGGCAACGTTCTATTTCTGGACCAGGGTGGGGGTTAGCCAGTTGTTCACTTTAAAATAATTTGCTAGCTGTACATTTATGTTTCATGTATTTTCTGTATATCTGTTATATTTTATTTTTAAAAGTTTTTTAAAGTTCTGCTGTTTTCAGTTTTTGAAATGAGTTGTGTACTTGTGGAGACTGTTTAAGTAGTTAAATATAATAAATGATTATAAGACAGTGCTTTTGAAATTTGTTAAATTGGTCGTCTTGATTATCTCTGCAACAACGTGTCAGTAAGTGTTAAGACCTTCATTAACATCTAAAAGACCCACAAAAGGGGCTATCAAATGAAGGCAGTCACCTCTAGCAGATCCACAAGGATTGGTTTGGGGTGCAAATCTCCGGGGAAAAAAAGTTTTGTGCTGCTGTCTTCTATGATCCTATGAACATTATCTGAAACCCAATGACAAGACACAGTGCTGCTGCAGAAGAAACAAATACCCAGGAATGGGTGTCTCACCCCTCTTCCTCAACCTTCCCAGGACTAGTCAGGAATATAGAAGTGTGGTAGAGCTATTGCACTATTAATTATTGGGTATTCCTTTGTCTTAATCAAAGACGATTCATTAAGAGTGGCTAGTGGAAAAGAATCTGATTTCTAAGAAGCAGTTCTACAAAAATCTCCTGCAGTAGATTCGAGCTATGGCTTATTCAAATAAATATCAGGAAATTACTATTTTTATTCATTCAGTAATTCAAAATTACTATTATCTGTCCCCCTCTTCCTCTCCCTATGCACATCACTAAACCTTACCAGATGCTGCTTCCTCTGCCTAGAACACTGTCCCCAATTCCCACCACAGCTCTTACCCAGGCAACCTGTACTCTTCTATCTCAGCTTACATGATAACCCCTCCAAGAAGCCTATCCAAGCCTGTCCAAGGCTAGCCTTGATGCCATTCATTTGTATTCCCAGAGCACCCTGCACTCTCCCTCACATAGCCTATGTGATCACACTAGATTGTAATTGCTCGCCTAGGGTCTTGTTTACCATGGTAGTCCCAGTATCTATCACAGTTTCTGGCATATAGTGGGTGCTTGATGAAGGCTGTTGAATGAATAAATGAAAAAAAAATCCCTTCTATGAAGCCTTCCCCATTTCTCCCAGTCAGAACAAATTGCTCTTTCCATGTTTCATAGCACTTTTTTTAACAGACTTCTATTCTAGGCTGCCTCATGTTATAACTAGTTGTGTACTGGCTGTCTTCCCTCACACAGTTTCATGCTTCCAGGAGGCAAGAAATTTACCTTATTTATCTTTGTACTTTCCCCAGGACCTACCTTCTTTCTTATATGTACAAAGTAGACCTCAACGAATTTAATTGAATTTCCCTGCCCTCTAGCCCCACTGTCACACAGTTAATGATCAATAATGATTGGTTCACGATTTGTAAATAAAAAACTTAACTGTGCTAGGGAAATAGCTATTTAAAGGAATAAGTTAGTGACTGGGGAAAGCAAACAATAAGAAAGAATAATGAGTAATGTGAATAATTATCTTCTAGTTTATCTAGTTTGTAAGTCCAAGATTTCATAAACTGGGTTTTGGGATTTTTTTCTGCAAGTATAAGAATAGCCAGCCCTGTGATCACTTTAAATTTTGCAATTTTTCTTATTTTGTTCTTCGGGATATATATTAATTAGGTGTGGTCAGAATTAATTTTAGAGAACTAGATGAGAAGACACTGAGATGCCACACGTGCATATGCAAACACACAGACACATACACACGTACCTACAAATGGAAAAAGGGTTGTAAATTAGAGAGACCTCCTTGGTCTCAGCTCTAAAATGAAGGGGTCCTAGTTAATTGAGATGAGAGGCAGCATAATGAATATAGCCTGACACCTTTGTAAGTCACTAATTTAAACTCAAGGCATGCATATTCAGTCTTTGTAATTTGTTGCTTATATCACGCTTGGTCACAACTTTAAAAAATTAAATGGAACACTGCCATCTCTACTCCACTGATCTCGCAGCTTCCACTCATTTCCTCGCACAGTCCATTTTCCACACAGCTTTCCAGAGCATCCTTATAAAACACAAATCATATCACGTATGTCCACTGCCTAGAACTCTCCAATGGCTTCACATCACATGAGATCAAAATCTAAACTATCTTGATCTAGCAGATCTTGAATGATGCAACCTCTACCTAACTCTTTTTACTATTTACCTTGCTCCAGTTTTCTTTCAGTCCCTTGAATAAGCCAAGGTATTTCCAGCTTAGAGACTTTGCAAATACTGTTTCCCTGCCTGGAGTGTTCTTCCCTTAGATCTTCCCATGGCCAGTTGCTTTTCATCTTTCTGATCTCAAATAAGATTCATTAGGAGATCTGACCTCTTTGTTTAAAGTAGCCTTATATCCCATTAGTCATTTTCTAAATTATTACCTTCATAGCACTTATAATCATCTAATATCATTATCCTATTTATATATTTACTTATTTTATGTCTTCCTCTTTAAGAAAGTACGTTCTCTTAAAGCAAAGGCTTTAGACACTGCTGTATCCTCAGCAGCTAGAATAGTGCTTTGTCCAGAGTAAGTGCTTAATAAATATTTGTGAAATGAATTATTGTGAAATCAATTGGGATCCTCTGCATCACTGAGTTAGTTCAGTGTCTCGCCCAGGGATGAGCCGTTCAATCTGATTCAATTTAATTTAGTTCAACAGGCATTTGTTTTATTCACCCCTGATTCTCCAGAACTAGAACAGTGCTCGGCACATAGCAGATTCTCAACTAACAAAGTTTAAATGAATGAATTACTTTTATTCTACTGTAGGCAACATTGAGATGGGGAGAGCCACTGGAAAGGGCATTTGCAATAATGAGGATAAGAGCCCAGGAGCCATTTGTTGACTGCCAATAGGGCAGAGGCAAAGGCTGGGCCAAGTCTCCATGGCAACCTTTCAATAGGAAGCATAGGAAGGAATCTCTCTTACACCTATTCCCCAAGCCAATTAGGAGCTATAAGGAAGATGAGAAAAGAAGAGGCATTTTTCTGAGACCCACGTCACCTGTCATTTTCACTAACAGGATGTGGATCTCTAAACTGCTTGCAGGGTACGTCTGGGAGAGAAGCCTCTCTGTCAATCTTGTTCTCACCAGAGATCACCGATGGAGGAGTGCAGTACAGCCCCAGTTTCCCAGTAAGGTGATCCCTTGGGGTCTACCTGAATCACCGCAGAGGAGGAGTTTCCATAGAGAGGGCTGCTTCCCTTAACTCCACTAGGCCTGGGTGAAAGGTGGGGATGGTAAGCAGGAAGGGGCCTAGCCTGGATTAAAGCTGCAGCTTGTGTGACTCTTCCTACAGCTGTGCCTCTCTCCTGCTGCCCTAGTTACACTATGGGTGACATCTTTATGAAAAAGCACCATCTATGCTGTAGAGTCTACAGAAGGGGTTCTTTCTAAAAGCATTTGCTCTAGACTGCCTAGTGAGAACTGGTCTCAAGATATATTATTTCTATTCTTCAAAACTCCAAAGTAGGGTAATACTAGCCTCATTTTACAAATGAGGAAACTGAGGCTTAGGTTGAGTAGAAATTTAAAAGCTCAGACTCTAGAGCCAGATTACCTGAGCTGAGCACCACCACTATGGGATCTCAGGCAACTCACTTACAGAGCTTCAGCTTCCTCACCTCTAAATTGAGGATAATAACAGTATCTTAATCCATAGGAATTCTACACGCATGCACACACACACACACACATACCTATACATATGTACATGATAAGCCCTTAAATGTGCTTAGCACATTATCTGATAAACGGCACGTTGTTCAATAAATATTAGCTCTTGTCATTATCCTAGGTTACCTAGGTAGTATGGAGATCAGATTCAAACCCAGGTGTGTCTGGCCCCAAAGCCCAAATTCCTCTCATTATGCCAGGGGTTCTCAAACCTTAGCATGCATCAGAATGACCTAGAGCACTTGTTAAAACACAAGTTACTGTGCTTCATGTCTAGAGTTTTAGGTCTGGGTAGAGCTTGAGAGTTTACATGCCTAACAAGTACCCAGATGATGCTGCTGCTGCTTCTGCTGGTCTGCGGACCATGCGAAATACCACTGCATTAAACTGTTAACCCAGAGCTTCACTCTCAAAAAGCATCTAAAAGCAGCTCAAGAGATTTTAGATGATAATAAGGTGTGAATGCTTGCAGAGCAACTGCATTTTAAATAGAGAATTATGGAAGCTGAGATAGTGCACGTCTGCCTAGAGAGGGGCAATGAGTAGGGTCGCTTTTTTAGAGTAAAGAACTTGCCCCTCCAGTCACAAATAGCTATAAGCCAGCTCTTTATCCTGAGACTGTGCAACTACTCTGTGCAACAAGAAGGCCCTAGAGGAGAATCTCCTCTTGACTGCTAATGGAGCCACATGGCAAATAGCCAGCCCTGGGGAGTGCTTGGGGCTTTTCTAGCCACATCCAAGCCACATTGTTGGCACTGGGTCAGGCCTGAGCTCACACCTTAGGGATTTGGGAGTTACTGGGAGATAAGGAGCTTGTAGGTCTGATTTTACAGTCCACTTGGCTGAGATGGACTTTTCCTTTCAGTGGAACAACTATGAAATACTGCCTTATCAACAATCCATTTCAAAAAGGATGGAACTTGGATATGTGTGCCCTCTCAGTTGTCCCACAAACTAAAATTTGTGCTTAGGAATTCTTCACCCTGAAGCATCCACATTGATTTCCTTAACCTCCTATCTCTAGTCCAGCTACTACTGGAGTGAACAATTCACCATGTAGGGTTTATACAAAGGCCCACTCCCCACTGCTTCTTAAAGCCCCCTGCCCTATTCTTGACGCCCATTGCAGGCATCCATTTCCACTATAGACTTTCAATTATTTGGTTCCCCCCACATCATCATGGGCATCCAAAAACCAGATTTCAGCCTCCTGGCAGGCAGCCTTTCCCCACATTTCTCCCATAAACATTGGTTCAAAATGCAGTTCTTTGGCATAGGTTCCTCAAAATGCAAATTTCCCTGGCAGAATAACACTTCTAAACACAGTAAGTCTGAATACCTAAGTGTCAGTGAGTCTGGGAGTTCTTACCAAGTGTCAGAAAGCTAGGAAAAGATGGGGCACAAAATTCAAGCTTCTTGAGGGTTGAGCCCATGACTGGTACATGTCTATATTCATTACCTGAAGAAGGCCCTGCTTTTATTCTGCCCTGTTTCTTTTCCAATTTAGTTATTTCTTTGGGAAAGGCAGGTGAGTGTCCATGTGCATTAACTGCTAAGTCTTTCAAAACCCATCTATACATTAATAATGTGAAAATATTACACTATTGTCTTGGCTCCCCAGTTTTCAATTGTGTAAATAATAGATAGCCTCCTTTCCAGAGAGTAAAACGTGTATGTGCTCTCTCTTTCTTTACCCCCCGCTCCCCTGACCCTCCCCTCATATTATGCTAGAACTGGAGATCCCTTGTGTGAGTCTGTTTTGCATTGCTATAAAAGAATGCCAAATGCTGGGTAATTTATAATGAAAAGAGGTTTATTTGGCTCATGGTTCTATAGACTGTACAAGAAGCATAGTGCTAACATCTTCTTCTGCTGAAGGCCTCAGGAAGCCCTCAATCATGGCAGAAGTTAAAGGGGGAATTAAATCACTTTATAAAACCACAGATACCTGGGCCCTACTCCATATCTAATGAGGCTCCAACAAGGGGACCTGGGTATCCAGATTTTCAAAAACATACTGCCTTTCACTTCTAATACACACCCTTAGTTCATCTAGTTTAAGCCCTTCAGTTAAAAAATGTGGAAACTGAAGTCCAGAGAGGGAAACAACTTGTCCAAGCTTACATGGCCAGTTAGTAGCAAAGCTGACTCCCCAGTTCAACCTTGAAATAGCCAATTCATTGCCTTCACTCATGACTGTGTTCAGAACTGCTCTTTCTCAGTGTAGCTTACAAACTTAAATGTACCCAGCAAAATCTATAAAAGAAAGAACTCAAGGGAAGGGATAAAGGAAAAACAAGGTGAGGGGAAAAGAAAGCACAGTGGATTTCAAACTCTTCGAAGACTTAGATGGGGATAAGAACCTATGAATATCTGAAATTTCCAGTACTCACTAGCCAGACAGAATCTGCACAGAAATGATTTGAGAGTCACACTGCAAACACTATTAGGAATTTTATGATCCCTGAGCTCAGTGGCTGTCATCTTCGTATTGCTATTAATCAGCCAGGCTTACTCTTCATTCCGCAGTATAATCTCTTCAATTGTCCCTAGCCCCAGACTATTTCATGTGATAGCATCACCCTATACCAATCTTCCATCTCTTTGTAGGTCAGACACACTCCCTGTTATCTTTTCTGCATGAAAGCCACTTAGGGAGGGGCAGAGACAATGGCCCTATGGACCTACTTACATGAGTTAGTTTTCTTTTCAGATTACTTTTTTTTTTTGAGACGGTGTCTTGCTCTGTCACCCAGGCTGGAGTGCAGTGGCGCGACCTCGGCTCACTGCAACCTCCACCTGGCAGGTTCAAGCAATTCTCCTGCCTCAGCCTCCCAAGTAGCTGGGACTACAGGCATGCGCCATGATGCCCAGCTAATTTTTTGTATTTTTAGTAGAGAGGGGGTTTCACCATTCAGGCTGGTCTCTAACTCCTGACCTCGTGATCCACCCTCCTCAGCCTCCCAAAGTGCTGGGACTACAGGCGTCAGCCATCGCGCCCGGCTCTTTTCAGATTTCTTGAAGGTGGAGGGGAGCTGGAAGCCTCCAAAGCTTTCTCTGACAACACATCAATGACATCCCAATCTAGAGGAGGGATTTTTAGCTGTCACAATTGTCTTTTTGAAATAGGATCTTGAAAGAAATCAAGCTATTGTAAATTCAAGATTAAGAAAAAGTGAATAGGGGGTTGGGAGCACCAATTTCTCAACCACCTTAACCATTTGCCAATACACAAGTAACCTCTGCCCTCTGTATTTGTGTTTTCTGCCCTTCTGAGCCTTGATAGAAGAGGTCTCGATTATATCATTTTACACATGTAGCTTTTGGCTCCCCCATCACATTCCCCACAACATCTGTCACATACCTTCTTTGCTCTTTCATGCTCCCTCTACTCAATCTTGCCTCCCACCTTACTGAAATCAAAGTCATCCTAAGTGAGCTCCCTAGACTTCCCTTCCTCTTACATTTCTACCTAACATTCTATTTCCTTCTTTGCATCACCTTTCTTCTCTGCAATGACTGCCTGTATCCACCCACTCACCCTTTCCTTAACCTCCAGCACTCTGGTTCTATCCCTACCACTGTCATACACTCTTTTATTTTTCATCAGTCAACCCAAGAAATGAGGTCATACTTGTAGAGCACATGACACAGTTCCTGACACAGAATAAGAACTCAGTAACATTGTAGGTCTTTCCAAATATAAGCAAGCATACACATGTGCACACATGCACAGAGTTAACTCCAGTGGCTTTCCCTCTCTCATCCACCACCTATTCATGGCATTTGACACTGTTGACCACTCGAAACTTTCTCTCACCTGACCCGGGAACACTGTACATTAATTCAGTATCTTATTACTTCTTTTTCTTTTGATAAGTCTTTCTCCTCTACCCCCTCCAAGTATGGTCACATCCAAAGGTTCACAACTGAAATCTCTTCTCTTGCTAGATTCTTCCTTCCACAGAGAGCTGCTACTCAAACTGTAGTCCATGTACCAATGCCCATCAGCAAACTGTCAGTTATTGGTTCACGACAAGATAAGGAGCTTGTCCAGAATGTAAATCACTCACATCGCTAAACACATACATTAGTTCAGCTGGCATTTTTTTGGTAACAAAGCTTTCTCAGTGAAGGAAGCAGTGCAATGAATTACATTCTGCCACAAGTGTCTCCTCTTGACATGGCCTGATGCTTTGAGGAGCATCACCTTTGAGGTCCCTTACACTCTTTTAGCTTCAGTACTCACCCCTATGCAAAGAAAACACACTCAAATTAACTCTGTAACTCCAGCTTCTCCCCAGAGCTCCAAACGTGCATCTGTGGCTGCCTGCCAGACCTGTCATCACTGACAACAACCTAGATATTTCATTAGCTCTTTAAACTCAACAAGTCAAAAGCTAAACTCACAGTTGAAATCTGTTTTAGGAACAGATAACAAATATGCATATTTTCAAATATATCTATTTTATATAAATTTTACTTATACACATAACACATGAATTCATTTTCCTTATAAATATTTTGAAAGTTACAGATAAGGTCCATTTTGCATATCATCAACAACCAAGGTCCACTCCTCTCCTCCCTAGAAATAACCATTGTTGACAGTTTAAATTTTGGTATCCTTCTAAATCTTTTTCTACACATGTTCATTCATATACAGAATACATATTTTTACACAGTGCATTGTTTTGTTTTTTGTTTTAAATCCCAGTGTTACTATATTGTAACATATCATTCCCAAATTATTTTTTCTGATCTCAAAATATTCTGCAGATCTTTCCATACCAGTCCACATAGAGATGTTTCATTCTTTAGAAAGTGCTGAATAATGTTCCATAGAAAAGACATACATAGTTTAAGAGAAGCAAGAGCAAACACATTCAAAAGCTAGCAGAAGGCAAGAAATAACTAAGATCAGAGCAGAACTGAAGGAGATAGAGACACAAAAACACTTCAAAAAATCGATGAATCCAGGAGCTGGTTATTTGAATGATCAACAAAATTGATAGACCACTAGCAAGACTAATAAAGAAGAAAAGAGAGAAGAATCAAATAGATGCAATAAAAAATGATAAAGGGGATCTCACCACTGATCCCACAGAAATACAAACTACCATCAGAGAATACTATAAACACCTCTGAGCAAGTAAACTAGAAAATCTAGAAGACATGGATAAATTCCTCGACACATACACCCTCCCAAGACTAAACCAGGAAGAAGTTGAATCCCTGAATAGACCAATAACAGGAGCTGAAATTGAGGCAATAATTAATAGCCTACCAACCAAAAACAGTCCAGGACCAGAAGGATTCACAGCCGAATTCTACCAGAGGTACAAGGAGGAGCTGGTACCATTCCTTCTGAAACTATTCCAATCAATAGAAAAAGAGGGAATCCTCCCTAACTCATTTTATGAGGCCAGCATCATCCTGATACCAAAGCCAGGCAGAGACACAACAAAAAAAGAGAATTTTAGACCAATATCTTTGATGAACATCGATGCAAAAATCCTCAATAAAATACTGGCAAACCGAATCCAGCAGCACATCAAAAAGCTTTTCCACCATGATCAAGTGGGCTTCATCCCTGGGATGCAAGGCTGGTTCAACATATACAAATCAATAAACGTAATCCAGCATATAAACAGAACCAAAGACAAAAACCACATAATTATCTCAATAGATGCAGAAAAGGCCTTTGACAAAATTCAACAGCCCTTCATGCTAAAAACTCTAATAAATTAGGTACTGATGGGACGTATCTCAAAATAATAAGAGCTATTTATGACAAACACACAGCCAATATCATACTGAATGGGCAAAAACTGGAAGCATTCCCTTTGAAAACTGGCACAAGACAGGGATGCCCTCTCTCATCACTCCTATTTAACATAGTGTTGGAAGTTCTGGCGAGGGCAATCAGGCAGGAGAAAGAAATAAAGGGTATTCAGCTAGGAAGAGAGGAAGTCAAATTGTCCCTGTTTGCAGATGACATGATTGTATATCTAGAAAACCCCATCATCTCAGCCCAAAATCTCCTTAAACTGATAAGCAACTTCAGCAAAGTCTCAGGATACAAAACTAATGTGCAAAAATCACAAGCATTCTTATACACCAATAACAGACAAACAGAGAGCCAAATCATGAGTGAACTCCCATTCACAATTGCTTCAAAGAGAATAAAATACCTAGGAATCCAACTTACAAGGGATGTGAAGGACCTCTTCAAGGAGAACTACAAACCACTGATCAACGAAATAAGAGGACACAAACAAATGAAAGAACATTCCATGCTCATGGATAGGAAGAATCAATATCGTGAAAATGGCCATACTGCCCAAGATAATTTATAGATTTAATGCCATCCCCATCAAGCTACCAATGACTTTCTTCACAGAATTGGAAAAAACTACTTTAAAGTTCATATGGAACCAAAAAAGAGCCCACATTGACAAGTCAATCTTAAGCCAAAAGAACAAAGCTGGAGGCATCACACTACCTGACTTCAAACTATACTACAAGGCTACAGTAACCAAAACAGTATGGTACTGGTACCAAAACAGAGATACAGACCAATGGAACAGAACAGAGCCCTCAGAAATAATACCACACATCTACAACCATCTGATCTTTGACAAACCTGACAAAAACAAGAAATGGGGAAAGGATTCCCTATTGAATAAATGGTGCTGGGAAAACTGGCTAGCCATATGTAGAAAGCTGAAACTGGATCCCTTCCTTACACCTTATACAAAAATTAACTCAAGATGGATTAAAGACTTAAATGTTAGACCTAAAACCATAAAAACTCTAGAAGAAAACCTAGGCAATACCATTCAGGACATACACATGGGCAAGGACTTCATGCCTAAAACACCAAAAGCAATGGCAACAAAAGCCAAAATTGACAAATGAGATCTAATTAAACTAAGGAGCTTCTGCACAGCACAAGAAACTACCATCAGAGTGAACAGGCAACCTACAGAATGGGAGAAAATTTTTGCAATCTACTCATCTGACAAAGAGCTAATATCCAGAATCTACAAAGAACTCAAACAAATTTACAAGAAAAAAACAAACAACCCCATCAAAAAGTGGGCAAAGTATATGAACAGACACTTCTAAAAGAAGACATTTATGCAGCCAACAGACACATGAAAAAATGCTCACCATCACTGGCCATCAGAGAAATGCAAATCAAAACCACAATGAGATACCATCTCACATCAGTTAGAATGACGATCATTAAAAAGTCAGGAAACAACAGGTGCTGGAGAGGATGTGGAGAAATAGGAACACTTTTACACTGTTGGTGGGACTGGAAACTAGTTCAACCATTGTGGAAGTCAGTGTGGTGATTCCTCAAGGATCTAGAACTAGAAATACCATTTGACCCAGCCATCCCATTACTGGGTATATACCCAAAGGATTATAAATCATGCTGCTATAAAGACACATGCACACGTATGTTTACTGCGGCACTATTTACAATAGCAAAGACTTGGAACCAACCCAAATGTCCATCAATGATAGACTGGATTAAGAAAATCTGGCACATATACACCATGGATTACTATGCAGCCATAAAAACTGATGAATTCATGGCCTTTGTAGGGACATGGATGAAGCTGGAAACCATCATTCTCAGCAAACTATCGCAAGGACAAAAAACCAAACACCGCATGTTCACATTCTTAGGTGGGAATTGAACAATGAGAACACTTGGTCACAGGAAGGGGAACGTCACACATCGGGACCTGTTGTTGGGTGGGGGTGGGGGGAGGGATAGCATTAGGAGATATACCTAATGTAAATGACGAGTTAACGGGTGCAGCACGCACACCAACATGGCATATGTATACATATGTAACAAACCTGCACATTGTGCACATGTACCCTAGAACTTAAAGTATAATAAAAAAAAGAAAAGACATACATAGTTTATTTAGCCATTTTGTATTGAAGGACATTGTGGCAGAGACATTGCTATATGTTCAGCAAACCACTCTGTTTTTCTCCTGGGCACACGGGAAGTCACAGGTGGACAGTATGACTAGTTCTGGCCAAAGGAATGTGAATAAAAGTGACACATTCTACTTCTAGGTCTGGGCACTAAAATCTACAACAAATCCCTCTGCTCCCTTTCTTTCACTTCTATAGTGACCATAGAGGCCATATGTGGAATATGGCCAAATTACAAGATGGGAGAAACTTGATTTCAGAATGACTATGAGGACCAGAGAATCTCTCTCCTCTCTGAAAACATTGGACAATCATATGAGCAAGTAATGTATCCTCATTGTGTTAAGTCACAGATTTTGAGATTGTTTATTATGACAGCTATAATTGCTTATCCTAACTCATACTGAGAAAACAAGATGGACAGAAATTAAGGGGAAAATGTTTAAGAGATGAAAATGTGACCACTCCTAGGTAGCCATGAACCTATGGTGGCCTTAACGTTTTCTTCTTTGTTCCATTCATGATTCAACCAAAAGCTGTAATTATGGTTGACAAGTATAAGAGCAGTGCTGATTCAATCAAATTAAAGAATGAAGAGTCATATGCTTTAAAATAAAATTAACCATGATAAAGAAACTTTGCAGTATCCTCTAAAGTCCTTGAAAGTGCCAAAAGTCTTATTCAGAATCTCCACATGTATATTTCTTCATCTTTTACACCACTCGTAATTAAACCAGCTTTTCTTCAAGTGCTATCATTTAAAACTCATGTATTGTTCAACTTGATAGTTCATTTTGCTTAATTATTAGTACCAGAACAATATTATTTCATATTAATTTTCCTAATAAATGTATAGCATTCCAGCTATGTCATGGACAAACTGGATTTATGGATCCACCTATAAAAGGTATATATCTTTAGTAAGTTCCCAAAGTAAAATGAACTTCAAGTTCCAAGCAGCTGCCTTACAACCCAGCTTTAAAAACACCACCTATTCTTTATTGTTCCATGTTTCTTTCTTAAGAAATAAACAACAAATCTAGCCAAACAGTACATAAGCACCTTAAAGTTAGGAACGTTGCCATTTTCATCTCCTACCCATTCCTAGTTGCTCCAACACAAGGCCAGGTACACAGTCTACATCTTCTTCAGAGAAGAGGACAGAGTTCAGATGAGAATTCAGTTGAGTGGCAAACCACACCTGCCTTCTCCATATGTGTTTCTTTTGCTTTCTCTCTTCCTTCACCACCACACTTCTTAACCAGTTTCCATACCTGTATCCTGGGGACATAGTAATTTACTTAATTGATGTAAAATGCTGAGGACAGTGTCTGGCTGTTTAACAAAAGTGGTCCGTCTTTATTATCTCACCTCCTGGCTCACTGTCAAGAAATTACTGTTACTGATAGAGTCAGGCCTCCTCAGGTGTGTTAGAGTGAAAAAAGTGTTGACCATCACTGCCTGAGATGGCAAGATGGCACCTCTGTGGATTTCAGAATTTAGTCTTTGTGACTGCCTTGAGGAACCTTGATGGACTCAGGAGTGCTTACCAGATCCATTTGCAGACAAATCTTTAAGCCCAGTAAAGGCGAATGGAGAGAGGAATGTTCCCAGCTTGGGTAAATTCAAATGCTTCCAGGAGAGTTGCATTCCCTGCATGATAACTTTCCCCCTGCACTGGAGATGAGGCTGCTTTGAGGCAGATAGGAGCTTTTCCAGAACCAAAGGGGTCAGTAGGTCTGCAGACCTTACTCTCCAGAAGGGATCTCCAAAACTGTGATTGATTCATCACCCTATCAGAACCAAAAGATACCCTCATACATGTATACTTATTCATATATATTATATATAAACCACAGCACAATATACAAAAATAAATACTAATATTAGATACAACTAAAAAGTATCTGTTGCTGATCATCCTGGCTGTATACTTCAGTGTACAAGAGACCCTCAGGACGAGGTGCACTGTTATTAGAATGTTTATAAATCCATATGTCAAAGTAAAAAAAAAAAAAAGAAGAAAGTAGTCTGTACTCTCAGTCTCCAATTCCTTCCCTCCCATTTGTGTCTCAGCCTACTTGGGCTGGGCTCTCCTGGCACCATTCTACTGAATATACCCTCTTTAAGGTCACTAACACCCCTGAGTGCTAAATCAAGTGGGCTCTGCTCCTGCCATCATCTTTCCTGACGTCTATGCTGTATCTGACACTGTGGACCATATCTTCCTTCTCCTCAGGTTTTCCTCCTATCTCTCTGATTATTCATTCTCCTCCTTCATAAAATTCTCTTCCTGTATCTACCCCTTAGAGGTTACTATTTTCAGAGACCCTCTTCATAAGGCTCTTCTCATATCATTCTGGAAACTTGCCCAGGGAAATCTTCTCCATTCCCATGGCTTCAACTACTCCATTGATGATACGGAAATTTTTGTCTCTGACTTTCATATCTCTCCCCTACTCCAGACCCATATATGCAACTGTCTCCTGGATGTCTCCAACTGATCTCTATTAATGGCACTGTCATCTATCAAGTTACCTAAATTAGAAACCTGGGAGTCACACAAAACATTTTTCTCTCTCCAATAACTATGTTCAATTGGCTGCAAAGTCCTATTATATCTTCTTTGGAATCACCCCTTAACCATATTCTCTCCTTATTGTTTCCACTGTCACTGCCTTTGTTCAGACCCTTATCATCCTCACACTAGGATTTTTGCAACAGCTTTTTAATCTGTCTCTGTGCATCCATTCTTGCCTCCCTTCAAACTGTCCTCCATGTAGTTGTTGGAGTGAACTTTATAAATTGCCTATAATAGTATGCCATGTCTCTGCCTAAAAATGTTCAATGCTAAATCCAAGTACCTTAGCATGGCATAAGGAGGTTCCTCATAATTACTCTAACTTCCCTTTTTAGCAAGACCACCTGACATTGCCTCAATCAAAATGAACTTCCTGCAGACCTTTGAACACTCTGTGCCCCTTTACATTTCTGTGTCTTTGCATGTGCTTTTCCTAATGCCTGAAAATAACTTTTTCCTTATTCTCCATCTTTGAAACATAGCTCAAATGTCACCTCCTTTGTGAACATTTCCCTGCTTCCCCAGAGCAAAACAAAAGCCCATACTTTGTCCAGGCATCTAATCATCAAACTTATTATTCTGTGTTTAGGTGATTCATGTGGGACTATCTCTGGAAGAGAGATCCGTATGTGGAGCTATAAGTGCATCAAAGGCAGGAAATTGTTTCTTACATGTCTTTAAATCTCCAGTATCTACCACAGTGCCTGGCACACAATAAGTGCTCAATAAATGTTTGGTGAAAGAATGAATATGGTTGGCTGCATAAAAGGACACTAACCCCTTCCTCAAAAAAAACCCCCCAAAAAACAGACTTTCATGCATTGAGAACCATGGACTATTTAAAGCTCAAACCTCTTGCTATATCAAGATATCTTAGAAAAAATAATAATAAAGCTCAAATATCTGGATTCACCGTGAATGGCTAAATGCACTGTTCTGAAGGTACCTAGAGTAATAACAGAAGGCTCTCTAGCAGGAATCAGGACTATAATAACTGAGAAACTAAGTTACTTAGTTACTTATGGCACTGTGATATCCCCTTCTATTCTTTAGTATGTTCACTCTTGCCCTTGAAAAAGAAAAACACTAGTCCTTAGGCTAGTGGTGGAGGTGGGAGTGGAGGAGGGGAGTGAGAATTAGCTGACTCATCAGTCTCACTCACACATTTTGGTTTCCATGGAGGAGAAAGAGCACACATGTGATGTCGTCAAGACTACAAAATCTTCTCCCATCACTCTTGTCTCCAAAGAAGTCAAATATCTTTTACAAACTCTATACTCTGAATTACCATCACCCCCTTCACCAGTCACACATACAAAAAGAACATTTTTCAAGGAAGGAAAGTCAATGATATTTTAGTACATAGTCAGTCAATCTGGCCACCTCATTTATCATCATAGAAGTATGTCTTGATGAAGCCTAATATAACACAGTAGAAAGAAATTTACAGAGGAGTAAAAATCCAACCAGAACTCCGCAGAACATAAATGGTTAGAGACAAAGAGTGTCAGCTCTACAGGAACTGCCAGAGCTAATGTTACAACGGAAACACAGGGGTCTAGGCAAATCTCACCTATGTTTGCTGATTGACTTGATTGTCAGTGTCCTCTGTTCTCAATTGTATTGATTAACACTAGGGGGGAAGAACCCAAGAGGACTTGGCAAAGCAGAGCATAATCTCTGCTATAGACTGAATTGTGTCCCCCCATATTTGTATGTTAAAGCCCTAACCCCCAACATGACTTGAAGATAGAGCTTATAAGGTGGTAATTAAGGTTAAATGAATCCATAAGGGTGGGGCCTTAATTCAATAGGATTAGTGTCCTTATTAGAAGAGACACCAGAGAACTTGCTCTCTTTCTCTCTCTCCACCATGTGAGGACACAGTGAGAAGGCAGCTATCTGCAAGCCAGAAAGAGGGCCCTTCCTAGAGCCCAACCATGGGGGCACCCTGATCTCAGACTTCCAACCTCCAGAACTGTAAGAAATAAATTTCTGTTGTTTAAATTCCCCAGTCTAATGGTATTGTGTTATGGCAACCCGGGCTGACTAAGACATCCTTCCAGGATTTCTCCTAGGGGTAAAAACTCCAAGTAATTCATAATAAGTTAATGTAATTTGTACCGTCTGTTCCCAGTCCCCCCAACTCTTCCATTTCTCAAGAAACTTGGGGAAAGTCTCAAATTGCATTAAAATTACTTCTTCCTGTTCCGCTTTTTTGCCCTCTTCTAGGCTACGTTCATGTGAACAATTCAAGACATTTCCATCCTTATGCGTTTTATTCCTGAAATTCCACATAAATTTGAAGATTGGGCAAAGTTCTCATCTCCACTCCAAGCCTCCATTTCTCCTATGAAGAGCTTGTGGAGTAGAATAAGGCTGTAGTTCCATGCTACAGTTGAGGCAAAGGGGACATTCTTGCCACTTTGGGCAATAATACAACTATAAGAGAGGATTTTCAGAAGAAGCAAAATTCTGAGGCAAGAATAGGAGGAAGTGGTTAACCAGAGGGACAGGCAGTATGAGCAAAGAGTAGATGCATCCTACCACAGGTGTGGAGTAGACAGCAAATGAGTAGGAATGGCAACAGCTAATGCGATGTGCCCTCTTACTACTTCTAGAGCCCCTGTCATAATTTGTTTTGAAACTATACTCCCCAGAATTTGATTGATTTAGAAAGAATTCACTTGGGGAATTCAATGATAATAAACTACAGATGGGTATCTACCTCACAGGGCTATTGGGGAAGTTAAATAAAATAATATATGGAAAGTGCTTATTATGGAACCAGGCTTATAGTGATCACTTCATAACTGGGAGCTGGTGTAGTAGTAGTTGTTGGTGGTGGTCATTACATTAGGGCTTTCTTATCATGGTAACTGTGTTCCTGGCAATGTTAGATTTGCTCTGAGCTGGTTTTGTGGTGACACCAATTGTAGTAGTGAGGGAGACAAGTGTGTTGATAGCTGTCCTGGAAAATGACATGAAAACAATGAATCACAAAATGGGTGAAATCCACCATCCATCCTACTACACAAGCTTAGGAGACATTGGTGACACCTCCCTCTCTCTTCTCCCCACTCTCAATCTACTACCAAGTGCTATCTATTTCTTCTGTTAGAACTAGCTACCTAACTGTTCTCCCAACTTCCACTGTTATCCCTCCCTCATAGTCTTCTTCACAAAAAGGTCACAGTAATCTTTTTAACATGTAAATTAGGACATCTCATTGACCATGACAATTTGAACACGTGTATTTACCTCCACTTCGCTGCCAACCCTCATTAAAATGACAGTAATTTGGGGAGAGAAGACAACAATGCAATATTTAAAGCTAGAAAATAGACATACAAGGGTAACTGACAGCCGACCTGCAGAAACTGAATCCAAAACTGGCATTGGGGAAAATTGACAACCAACACAATTCACAATAAAGAACCTCCAAAAGGCTCAAAAATTGGCAGTACCAGTACTTCTGGAAGTGGAGGTGAAAGTAAGTCTAAAAACAAGAGTATTGGTTGAAATTCTTATTAACCAGTTGGATCCTAAGATCTCCCCCACAACTCCTCACGGTTGTGTGATTGTCTCTGCCCCAACTCCCATCAGATGTGAGGTTTATTCTCTAGAGAGAGTAAAACAGAGGGTCTCTGGACTGCGGAAGCACAGTTGAGGAAGAAGTACCATATGGAAAACAAGGACATTCAGAAGTTTATATATTGATTGTTGATACTCTTAGCCTCTTATCCCACTTAGTACTTTTTTTTTTTTTTTTGAGATGTTGTCTTGCACTGTTACCTGGGCTGGAGTGCAATGATGCCGTCTCGGCTCATTGAAACCTCCACCTCCTGGGTTCACGCGATTCTCCTGCCTCAACCCTCTTGAGTAGCTGGGATTACAGGTGCACACCACCACGCCCAGCTAATTTTTTTTTTCTTGTATATTTAGTAGAGACGGGGTTTCACTATGTTGGCCAGGGTGGTCTCAAACTCCTGACCCCATGATCTGCCTGCTTCGGCCTCCCAAAGTGCTAGGATTACAGGCCTGAGCCACCGTGCCTGGCCCCACTTAGTTCTTAGAATGCTGACAGTCAGGCTTACAACCTCCAGGCTGGAATATCCTTCTGTGGAAATGTGAACAACCTCAGAAAAAAATAATAATAAAGAAAAAGAAAAAAAACCCTAAAGATGTTGATATAAAGGGTTGTCCAATGAAATGACCCAGCCAGATCACCTTGCAGTGAAACCCATTGTGGTAGACAGACCCAAGGTAATCCCCAGTGGATACCACCTCCTGGTACTCATGCCTTTATATACTTCTCTCTTCTTGAATGGAGATGGGAAATGTGACTTGCTTCTAACCTAACAGAATATGGCAAAGGTGATGGGATGTCACTCTCATAGTTAAGTTACATTATAAAAGGCTCTGCTTTAGCAGACAGAAGCTAATGTCTCTTCCTCTGGGCTTGATGAAATGGGAGGCTATGTTGCAGAAGCCTACATGGCAAGTAACTGCCAATCTCCTTAAGGAGCTGTGGATGGCCTCTAGGACCTGAGGGTAGCCTCCAGCCAACAGTTAGCAAAAAGCTGAGGCCCTCAGTCGTGTGGTCATTAGAAAATAAATTCTGCCAACAGCCTGATTAAGCTTGGAAGCAAATTCTTCCCCAATCAAAACTCCAGATGAGTTTACATCCTGACCAACACCTTGATTACAATCTGGGGAGACTCTTGAAAGAGGACTCAGCTACCCCAGACCTGAACTCCTAATGCACAGAAACCATGAAATTATTAATGCGTGTTGTTTTAAGCCACTACGTTTGTGGTAACTTGTTACGCCACAGTAGAAAACTGATATACTCACACAAGTCTCACTAAATACTCTGACCTTCTAATTAGCTTTTTAGGAACCTACTCATAAATATGAGCAAACAGCCAAGGATGACAAGCTATCTGAGGAAAGCCTCCAATATCAAAGATAGAAACCTAAACCAACCAATAAACCAAAAACTTAAAAGAAACAGAAATGAAAATTAATAACCATTATTGTACTCAAAGAGATAAGATGTTGTATCTATCAAAAAAGAGCAAGATTATATTTAAAAGGATACTCAGAGGGCAAAAAATTGCTCTGAAAAATTCCTGCTTTAGCTGGAGGCCATTATCCTGAGCAAATTAACACAGGAACAGAAAACCAAATACCACATGTTCTCACTTATAAGTTGGAACTAAACACTGGGTTCTCATGGACGTAAAGATGGCAACAATAAGTAGTGGGGACTACTTAGCAGGAGGTAGGGAGGGAGTCAAGGGTTGAAAAACTATTGGGTACTATGCTCACTACCTGGATGACAGGATCATTTGTACTCCAAGCCTTGGCATCACACAATATACCCATGTAACAAACTTGCACATGTACCTCCTGAATCTAAAATAAAAGTTGAATTTTTTTTTTAAAAAAATCCTGCTTTGAACTTCTTATTAGAAAATGTTGTAGAATGAAAAATTTGTCTGGTTTTTGTTGCAGGACCTTTGTCTCAGTTTCCTGGGAAAGAGCTTCTAAACTCTTAAAATTTCTTGAGTGATAAGAGTGTCTTTGTTATTCATGATGGGCCTCTGGGCCCATGACTGAATTTATGATAATGAGGTGGCTTAGGGTGGGCTCTTGGATAGTTTCAGGATGGGGGTTGGTGAGGCTGAAAAGACCAACAACCATGTGACTAGAGAGTTGGGGCTTTGTGCCAGATGATATCAGGCGAAGATGACCTCTGGGGAGGGAAGAAGGGGGAATGGAGACTGAATTCAATCACATGATCAATGATTCAATCAGTCATGCCTGTATAATGAAACCCCAGTGAAAACCCTGGACACCAAGGCTCAGGTGAATTTCCTAGTTAGTAAACATATTGATGTGCCAGGGGTGACATATCCTGATTCCACAAGGGGAGGACACGGAAGCTCCACAATTAGGGCACTCCTAGACCTCATCCTGTAGGTCTCTTCATTTGGCTAGTCCTGATTTGCATCTTTTATAATAAAACTGTAATCATAAACATGGTACTTTTCTGAGTTCTGTGAGTTATTCTAGGGAATCATCAAACCTGAGGGGCTCATTGGAATACCCAAGTTGGTAGCCAGTTGGTCAGAAGTGCAGGTAACCCTGAACTTGTAGCTGGCATCTGAAGTGAGAACAGTTTGTTGGAGACTGTGCCCTTAACCAGTAGAGTCTCTGCTAACTCTGTTAGTGTCAGAATTGCATTGCAGTATTGCAGAAGCAATGAAAGATAAAGCTGAGGGAACAGCCCAGAAGTAGAGCAAACAGACAAGCACATGGAAAGAATAAGAAAAATGTAAGCAAATTACATTATTCAGGTAGTCCAACATAAGAATAACATGAGTTCCAGGGAGGAAAAGGTCAGAAAAACTGGAGAGAACAAAATTAAATAAATAATTCAACAAAAGTTCCCAGAGTTGAAAGACAGTTTTAAGATTGAAAGGGTCCACAGAATACCCAACACAGTGAAAGAAAATGGACACACACCAGGGGAGATCAATGTGATGTTGCATCCTAAGGACAAAACAAAGAACCCAATGGCTTCCAGAAAAGAAAAATTACAAGGGATCAGGATTCCAAATGGTTTCAGGCTTCTCAAAAGTTAGAAGCTAGAAAACAATGAAGAAATATCTTCAAAATTATTAGGGATATCATGGGATGAGAGTGCTCTACAGATCTAGAGAGCAATTGGGCCATATTGGAGCAATTCAAAGATGTCTCACAGAAGACGAGACTGACAGAAGAGCCAATGCATCTTCACATATTGGGAGAATATTTAGTCAACTGGGGAACAGGTTGTGGATGAGCTAATGTTAAGTACGTAGAAAAATAAGCAAGAGAATAAACAAGACAATTATCGGCTCCATTAAAAACAAGCAGATGTGCAAGAAAGGAAAAGTAATCCTAGTGTGCTATGTAACTCAGCTGTGAATAGCATTTCCAGAGTCATAATAATGTAAACACTGAATATTGATCTAGTCAAAATTATGACATAACTGTACTGGTAGAGTGGTGGAATGGGAAGTCTGTGTTTGTGCATGCACGGGGGCTTATGGTGATAATGAACTAAACTCTCCTCTTCCATAGAATGCTTTAATCTGAAAAATTATGAATTAGCTTTACAAGCATGCTATTTAGCTAAAGGAGCTCCAAGTAGTTCCCTCTAGGGAGCAGATAATGGGAGAGGGGGGCAGGTTGACAGCTATGACAAGTACCTATTTGTTTCTTTAAACTGCATACAAAGCAAAATTCTTTAGAAAATAAAAACTATTTTTATTTTTTAATTTTTTATTATATTTTTTCTTTTTTCTTTTCAACTTTATTGTATTTATTTTAAGTTCTGGGATACACGTGCAGGACGTGCAGGTTTGTTACATAGATAAACGTGTACCATGGAGGTTTGCTGCACAGATCAACCTATCACCTAGGTATTAAGCCCCGCATGCATTAGCTATTTATCCTGATGCTCTCCCTCCCGCCACCTAACCCCAGGTCCCAGTGTGTGTTGTTACCCTCCCTGTGTCCATGTGTTCTCATTGTTCACCTCCCACTTATGAGTGAGAACATGCGGTGTAAAAACTATTTTTAAAAGCAAATTCAAATCAGATCATGTCACCAAATTACATAAAACCCTTAGTGGCTTACCATTGCAATTAGAACAAAATCTTCTCTTTCCCATGACTTATATGCTTCATCATGATCTGAATCCCGCCTATCTTATTTCATTTCATGGGACTCTCCCCCTTGATCTCTAGGCTCCAGTCACTCTGGCCTGCTTTTTCTCCCTCAAACACAAGCCTGTCTCCATCTCCAGGAATTTGTACTTGCCATTCCCTCTGCCTGGAATCCCTTTCCCCAGATATTTTCACAGCTGCCTCCTCCTGTTGACAAGACTCAACTGAAAGTTGCCTCTTCAGAGAAGCCTTTCATGACAATCCAATCTGAAACAATCAGGCAAACCCAAATTGAAACTGAAATCCAGTCTAAAGACAACTGCTCTGTACTCTTCAAAAGTGTCAATGTCATGAAAGACAAATGAAAGCTGGGAGTAATCTAGATTAAAGAAGACTAAAGACACAGAACTAAATGCAATCTATGATTTGACCCTATATTTACAAAAAAAAAAAAGCTATACAGAGCATTATTTGGACAATTTGAGAAATTCAAATATGCATTGTATTCTAGATAATATTAATGTATCATTGTTAAATTTCATAAGTGTGATCATTGTATTGTGTATGAAGGAGAATGTCCTTGCTGTTTATGAGATACATGCTGAAATACTTATGTGTGACATGTCATGATGTCTGCAACAAACGTTCAAGTGGCTCAGCCAAAAATAAAGAGGTAGATATGCAGATAAATAGATGGAGTTATAGATATTAAGTAAATGTGATAAAGTGTTAGCAATCAGTAAAGAATATGTAAGTGATCACTGTATTATTCTTGCAACTTTTCTGTAGGATTGAAAAGTTTTCAAATCAGAAGTTGGTGGAAAAAAAATCTTGAAGTTTATTTAGTAGGTTTGTTGTTGGTAGTAGCATTGGTGAAGTAATTCCAAACTATTTTGGATGTGCTATAGGATTAAGCAAATGAGTAAATAAATTGACTGACCAAAGTAGCCCTCCAGGCACTTTCTATCACATCATCAGTTTTTGTTTTCTTTATTGCACTTATTTTCTGAAACAACGTCTTCATGTATGTATGTCTGTATTTCCCCAGCCCTTAGCCAATAAATGCTATTTGAGCACGGATGATGTCTGTCTTGTTTTTTGGTGAATCCTCAGCATTCAAATGAGTGCCAAGCATGTAGTAGATGTTCAATAATTATTTGTGGAATTGATGACTGAATAATGCAATCCCTAGAAACCCTGGGTGTCAGGCTGCTGCAGTTTTGCCCCAGGGCCACGTTAAGGTTCTGAGACCCAGTTGGGAAAGGGCCTTGTTATTGCAGAGACCAGTGAAGCTGAGAAAGAGAAAGGGGGAAACTGAGCCTAGTTCTGTCATATGAAGTGTGGTTAAAGGGAATAGGCCCTTCCAGAAATGGCCATGCCTAAAGGTCATAACTAGAGCATGGGGACTTAAAACCAAAAGGTGAATGATAGAAGGGAGGTCCTGGAAATGACTGTTGAATGCTTTAATCTCCATCTAAGACAACTGAGTTCTGTGACGCCTTGTCCTTGCAAGTCACTTCAATTGTGTAAAGCCTCTCCCCTGAGATTCCTTCTTATGACAGAACTGATTAATTCTGCATTTTGAGCTAACTCTCAGTAAGGGAGAACTACAAGAAAGAGAAAAAGGGACAGCTGGAAAGGCTGCTGGCAGTTCTTTGGAGGAAAAGAAAGCCACCTTCTTCCCCAACCTTTTTCATCACAGCAGTTCTGCCTATCAACACCTCTTTTTCTTAAATTCCTTTCTCTATTCGTTCCTCCCTCCTATATCCATCACTTTCCCTCTTAAAGTCAGTCATAAAGCGTTTGTAGAGGGTGGTGAGGTAACAAAGTAATTTTGTGCGAGACAATTCTTACTAACATTATCTTTTTTCCTTTTTGGATAAAGACACACACACATACACATATTCAAATACTGAGATTGAGTATTACAAATGTCTGCCTGCCTCCATTACTGACACCACACCAGGAGGGTTCTAATAATCTTTTTCACTCCTTCTAAACACCATCACCTAAGGGACACTATCAGCTCTATACTCCCTCCCTCAGATCCCCCCACACACACCTGTGATCTGCCACACCAAAATTTCCACCACTTTTTTCTCTATGCCATTAGAGCAATCTGTTTTCTCTTATTAATACAAGCTGGGTTTAGATCCTTGGCAGGTTAGACTGGATGGCTGTTTCTCATCAGCTTTCCCCCATGTCTAAGCCACAGTGAGTTAAAGATTCTGCAAAGATTCATTTTTTTTCTTATCTTTCTTCAAACTGTTTTCAGTCTCTGAATCTGCTTTGAGGTCCACAACCATCCCACTCCTGCTTACCTACAAAGACCTTTCTCTCATCCCCTGGTCATTCATCATCAGTTAGAATTTTAAATTAGAAATCCCATTAGCATGTTGAGTCCATGGAAGCCAAATGACCCATTATGGACTAAATCCAAATGTATAGGCAGGTGGTTAAGCCAGTTGGGCCAGCAGCCTTGGCAATGCAGACCCAAAGCTAGAGGTTGCAGCAAAAATAAAGAAAGAATCATGATTTTACAAATTACCTCAAATCAACTGGATATCAGCTCTAGGGAAACAAAGCAGATTTGTAGATGCTTCCAGAACCAAATACACAGTCAAGGACAATTTTTCCTCACTGGTTAGTTTTACCATGTACACCTATATTCAAACAGCCTTCATTGCTCCCATTACCTTTAAAACCAAATCTTCCAACTCTTCAATCTGATGTTGAAAACCTTTTACATCCCGCTTTCTCCCTACCACTTGCTTCACTCTAATCTCATCTCTCATCAGTCGTTGGTATGTTCCCTCTATCTCAACCAGCCTGGCTCATTCTCACCTCCAGATTTCTATCTTTGCTTCTCTCCTTGTCTGCAATGCCTTTCCACTTCCCCTTTGCTGATCTATGTTAATTGCATCATTCAAGATCCATTTCAAGATCTGTCCCCTTACAAAAAGCTGTCCGTGATTCACTCACAGGATTGCTGATATTTCGTGCTAAAACAGACTTTAGAGCTAGATGATCAAGCTCAACTTTATTCCCACCTCCATTTTTCATACGAGAAAACTTAAGGCCCAAAGACATTAAATGATCTGTATAAGGTCATGTTGAGAGTTTAGTGGTAGAACCTTAATATGAAGCCAGATTTCCTGACTCCCCTTGCAATTTCCTTTCCGCTCTGTCACACTTAGTCCCCACCCACCCCCAGCCCCCCAGAAAAGTACAAAGTGTGGTGTCATGATCATAAACTGGCATCTGTGTTTGGATTGCTTTTCACCTGTATTTGGCTTATCTTGACCACCAAGCTCTAATAATTCTTGTGGGAAGGATCACGTCTAATATTTCTGCCCTTTCTCCTTCCCCAGGACACCTAATAGGGCTGTATACACCACAGACTGGCAGTAAATACCGCTTAACTGTGGAGTGCTTCACTTCAAGAAAACATAAAAACAGAACCAATAAAATGAGTATACCCTGGTTGAATTATTATATTACATACATATTCAAAAATGTTCCTCTAAACAGGGACCTCCTATAGTGAGCTTGGTTGCAGATCATTAACTGCTGTCCAGAAAGAGTGAGAGCTGAGAAACCTCTGCTCCTTTGACAAGCTCAAGAAAGAAAAAGGCATTAAGGCAGCCTTCCCACTCTGCTATGAAGAGGATTTACACAGACCCTGTCTCACAGCCCCCAGCTCACAGCCCTCAGTATTGTGCTCTGGTCTCCCTCAGCTGGAAATTGAGTGACACAAGTTCTAAATGTCTGTTCCACCACTAATTATCTCTGTGACCTAAGACATGGCACTTAGTCTCACTGGACTTGTGTTTTCTCATCTGTTAAAGGGTAGGGGACAGGGGTATGTGATGGAAGTCCGAATTTGCTTGCCTCACACATTTGTTGTGAGGCTGAAGTGAGATAATATATGTGAAAGTACTTTAGAAATAAAAAGGCATTATACAAATGCAAGGTATTAACTTTTTAACTCTCCAATCCTATATCAATTAATCCTAGGAGACTAGAGTGAGTAAAGGTTAACAGGTTTGCATTTTAATCCCAGCTAAATTAATAGTCTGAATCCTCTACCTTCTCCATACATGCTGCCTGTTCTTCATCCCATCTCCTTATTTTATTTAGTAGATTATTATAAAGGTTGCTATTTTGGCTTGGCACATCCCGAGGTAGTACAGTAGGGGAGGTTGGCAGCTGCTAAGACTCGGGAGAGACACTGATTTCTTCCCAAATTGCTCTAAAAGGGAGGACTTAGGGAATTTAAAGCTACTGATCAAGGGGGGAAGGGCTTCCACTCTAGCAATACAGTGCCACTCTCTCATTCAATAATGAAAATGAAATGAAAACAGGAAGGGAGAAGAGATTTAATTTTGTCACATTTCTCAGCTTTTCTCTCCTTTGCCTCTCCAGAACTCTGAGCACGGCTGAAATTGAAGGAGCTCCATGCTGGCTTGGATAAGCTTTATTCTGGGTAGAATCAGAGTAAATGCTGGCAGTTGGGTAAGGTAGTGCATTGCATATTCAAAAGATATGAGCCTATTGTACTGATCGATCCTTCATCCAGCCCAATCAGGTAACTTATATAACATGCCCAAAAGTCCCAGGCTAAGGACCATTTCTGCCCTGGGACATCCAGAACTATGTTCATCCAAGCCTCTGTGGATACGGTCATCATTCCAGATATGTCTGGTTAAAGAAATTCTTATGTACCTCTTTGCCTTTTTAAAAATCTGTATTGTTTAATTAAAAGAGAGCCTCTTAGGAGATCATTAATCATTTGAAATATCAAATAGTGCTGAAAAGCAAGGCAGAAAAATACATCCTAACCAGTAACCTACAATGAATCATCCACTTAACAGACATTTCCTGAATCCTGACTATGACCTCAAGTCCTGGGTTAGGTTGTGAGGAAAATACAGAAGCATCTAAGTAAAACTTTATTAAGAAACCAGCAGGTTATGGGAAAGAGGAAGGTGTAGCTTAGTTACAGCAAAGGTGCCTCCCCAAATCAGGTACCAATCAACCATTCTGGCCATCCCTCTACTCTGCCTCCAATGTAAAGCATGGTATTCAATGCTGGGCTAAGGAACCCCCGACACACACACACAAAGAACCCTTACTATGATATGAGGCAATAAGGTAGCTAATGATGGGCTGAAAAATAATTTTTTAAAACCTTCAAAACTAATCATAATGCAGTTCAGGCAGTATATCTCCAGTAACCTACCCTAATGGAGCAAAAGCCATGTACAAGCAACTATTTTAGCATTCAATCTCAAAATGACCTTGTAGCAAGAGTCTACATCATAAATGTTGGCCTCATTATAATTGAGTGTAGAATTATAGACAAGAGTTTCAATAAACATACATAAAGCAGTAACTCCAAGTTGTCCCCTGGTGGTATCTCGCTTGACAATACACTGTCTATGCCAAACCCCAAGAGGCCATCTGTAACCCAAGAGGCCATCTTACTCTGTGACTGCTCAGCCTTCAGCCCTTCTAACTACATGTTGGGTTTAGTAAAAAGCAAAATTTAAATGTGGGATATCTGCCCCTTCTAAGGACAGGGATTCCATTAAGGTGTGAGAGCCAGAAAAGTGATCTCCAGTCCTGGACTTGCTGGTTGGTCAGATCTGGCACTTTAATGCACCAGATCCAATAATGAGATCTGGCACCTGTATATTTCAGTCCTGAACTCTTAGGGTTAAAGGCGGCTTGGCTACTTGAGTGTGGGATAGGGGAAAGGAGAACAAGCCCAAGGAGGGTGAAGAGAGTGGGCTCCTAAGGTGAATTTACTGGAAGGAGGACTGCCACGTGAGGGAATTGATAGGGCTCACTTCTCCTGGTCTTCCCATCCCCAGAGTTTAAGGACGGTCCCTGCACTAGCTTAGTAGCTGCCAAGCAGTGTTAACACATCTCTGGAAAGGTGGGCTTAGGCTGTGAGGCTGCAGCGAGGATCTGGGAAATGCAGACCTCACCAGAGATTCTGGTCTTTGGAGGGATTTAGGTGAAACTGTGCTCTTATGGTATTATTTATTGCTGAGACATAGTATAGGCAACAGAAAGATGTTGCAGATTCTAGAAAATTCTGGCTAGGTCAGTGTCCGTTGGCAAAAGAAGAGGGAATAGTGGGGGATATGGTCTGGGAGTAGATGGCTAGAGAAGGGGCTGCAGAAAGAAGGCTGCTACCCACAACTGCAGCATTATGTGTATGGGAGATAAATTCACTTGTCATATTTCAAATCAGGTTTACAGGTATTTCTCCCCCGTCCGCTCCCCCCACCCAGCTGTGGCTTAACAGGTAGTCTTCTCAAATTTTAATTACAATTGGTAATATATTGGCGTCTAAAGTCTAGGTCTGACTAAGATGATGGTTTGTGTGTATGTGTACGTGACTATAACAGAAAGAGCTTCTAAAGTCTTCCGATGTGGTGGGAAAGGTGCTGCGCTAGGCATCAGTCGTTCTCTTCCCAAGAGAATCTCCCATCTCTAATGTCAGACTGCTTCAGGAGGTGAAAAGGGTGTGGGTGTTGCAGTGAATTTCCCCAGCCCAAGACACACACACACACACACACAGACACACACACACACGCGCGCGCGCGCGCGCGTTAACAAGTTTGGGGGGGGCGGAAAAACAAACTCCTGCTGATGGCTGGGAAATCCAGCTAAAAGCACAAGGCAGGCTCCTATAGCATAGGCGAGCCAGACAGACGCCCAGATAGCCTCAGCTCCCGAGCGCGAAGCCCAGCTGCTGCCGGGGCACTCTCGACTTGCTCTCGGGGAGGCTGCAGGCTGCGGAAAGCCGGGGCGCCAGCCTCCCTCATCACACTCCTTTCCCGAATCACCTCAAACTCTGTACCCAACGGCAAAGCTCAGAAATGCAAAAAACCGAAGAGGGTCAAATTGTACTTCAATCCAAAGGAGGCTGAACACCCGCCCCCCCCGCACCCCCCCCCCCCACCACACACACACCATGCCGCTTAATTTCTTTTCCCGGCTTAGATAAAAAGCATTACTTGCCCATCGAGGCTTGGAGATGGGGGGCAAGAGGTTGGTCCGAGGCTAAGCTCACCTGCTGCTGAGGTGAGAGAGCAGACACAGGATGGAAGCTATTCTGACCAGCAGCTAAGTGGTTGGGGGATTGCAAAGACCCTCAACTTCGCCTCTGGCTTTTTTTTTTCATTCGTGTCACTAAAGGGTTAAACACGGCAAGGCTCCAGCCCGCCCCCCAACCTCCACGCCGCTCCACTCCCCCTCCCCTTTTTGTCTCTCCCCTCCCCTCCCGCGCGTCGCTAGGAGGTCATCAAGCGCTCTGCCCAGTCCGCGTTCGCAAGCCCCTCTGCTTCCCGCCCATCGGACCCGTGGCTGCTTACGAAGAGGTGTGCGCACACTGAGGGGCGTGTTCCAGCATAGGGAGACGCTGAGCGCCCACGGGTTAGACCTCAGAGCCAAGCCAGCCATGGAGTGGGATGGGGGAAAGTTTGGCACCCTGCGAGGGGCTGCCGGACTGGAGTGGGCGGGGCGCCCGAGGGTACTTTAGCCTTCCAGGCTTAGGGACTCAGGCTGCCCAGACCTGAAGCGGTGTGCGGCCATGGACCGCGGAGCTGCCGCAGCCCAGGGCACTGCCCCGCCTCAGGATGGAGAGCAGCCCGCTGAGTCTCCAGAGCCTCCGCCGCCTTGGCCGCCGCCGCCACCACCACCGGCTCCGCCGCCGGCTCCGCCGCTGCTCTCCGAGGCTTCGCCAGAACCCATACCAGAGCCCTGTCCAGAGCTTGCTCCAGGTCCCTGTCCAGAGGCGACCTCAGAATCAGCCACAGAACTGTACACAGAACCGACCCCAGAACCAGCCACAGAGCCGGCCTCAGAACCGGCCCCAGAACCTGCCACAGAGCCGGCCCCAGAACCTGCCACAGAGCCGGCCCCAGAACCGGCCCCAGAACCTGCCACAGAGTCTGCCCCAGAGCCGACTCCAGAACCTGCCCTAGAGTCGGTCCCAGAGCCGGCCCCAGAGCTGACTCCAGAAGTTGCCCCAGAGCTGGCCCCAGAGCCGACCCCAGAACCTGTGACAGAGCTGGCCCCAGAGTTCTGCCCTGAGGCGGCTCCAGAGTTCCGTCCAAGTCCAGCACCATGTCTATTGCAATGTCCGGTGGACACTCGAGAGAGAGGTCTAAAGACCTCGCCATCGCCATCGCCATCGCCATCGCCCAGAACGCCAATGTCGTGGTCCAGAATAAAGGTAAGCAAAAGACCCCCTGAAGCGGGGAAAAGAAGCAAGGCGAAGTCAGATGGCTATGGAGCCCGCGGGACTCCGGGTACCCCTTGCATCCCGCTTGTCTGGCACTGGCTGGCCAAGATGCTGAGAAAGATGCAGGGATGGGGAACCCGGGGGAATGGGAAGGGGTTGGGAGGCGGGAAGCAACATGTGGGAATCGAGAATGGGCTGTTTGGGGCTAGAAACGGGGGTGACAGCAGGGGGTGGGAATCGGAGCAGTTTTCCCCTTGAAGAGAAGCGACAGTGCGGTGAGCGCCAATATCTTGAAAGAGAGGAGGAAGATACCCTCGGGGAGCGCAAGAGACCTGGAGAAGTGTTTGGGGCTGGCCCCGAATACATAGCGGACGGATTGAGTGGGGGCGGTGGGACACACCTCTTAGCCGCGGTCACTGCCGCAGAGGCCCAAGCTGCGGAGCCTTCGCCTGCTTGGCCCCCTCCCTGCCACTGGGGAGGGGGCGCCTCAGCTGGGCGCAACTGGCGGCCCTCCAGGGAGGTGCCCGGCGCCTCTGCCGGCTGCTTCGAGCTGGTACTCCTGGTGAGGACGAGGGGATGGGCGGCGCCCACGCGCACTGCAGGGGAAGGGCAGGGTTCTCCGGGAGGAGGGGGAGAGCATGCGTGTGTCGAAGCCACCATTCCATCTGTCTGCAGGATTTCCCAGCAGGTAGGTGCAAACGCAGTGATACAATGTTGCGCAGCGTCACAAACGGGGCAACTGGCATCCCGCACCAGGGCCAATTGGAATGGTACAGGAGTCCTGGTTTAGAGACACGAAAATAGGAGTTGGGATTGCAGAACGTGTGAAGGGGAACCTTCATCTCTACCAGTCTACCGCGACGCCTTCTAAATCGTTACACTTAGCCGGGAAAAGATGAGTGGAGAATCTTCTGGCACTCGCCCAAGGGGAGTAGGGAGGAAAAAGGTTTTCGTGTTTACCTTGGACCCTGAAACCCCGTCTGCTCTTAAGCGGGAGTATGCCTGTCTTTCCTGCTTTCTCTGCACTCTCCCTACTCTTCCTTTACCCTAAACTTCGTTCCACAAAACTGAAAACCAGGATAATGCACACACACACCTCAATTTAGCTTCCCCTGCAGGAAGACATACACACGCGCGCGCATTCACACACACACACACACACACACAAACGAATAACACAACACACGAACAATACCGGTCCATCCTGCTGCCTAGCAGACCATAAGGACACGGCTCAGGAACCCTTCTGCTGTGGACCGCACACTTATAGAATGTAGAATGCGGGAGGGGAGGGGGCAGATTGGCATCACGAAATGGAAGCATTGGTTGCTTCCTGAGTTCTTAGTAGGGAGGCTTGAGTTTGCAAAATATCTGCAATGACGAATAACTGAAAAAGAAGGCTAAAATGAAAAGTTTCACAGAGAAAAGAAAGTGCAGAGGTTTAAAAATAAATAAAACATGACGGTGGGAGACTCTGATAAGTTTTTAAAAATTCAACACCCTAGCTCTCACCAGGGGATGTATCCCTCCCCTTCCTGAAAATACCCTTTCCTGCAGTGATCTTAAGAAGGGCAAAGTTGGGGTGGCTAGATTTGGGAGCTCACCCTCACCGGGTGATTGATCTTGTCTTTTTGGAAGAGTTTGCATTAAGCTGGTGGGAAAGAGACAAGCAGGAATCACCTGACCTGTGGCCATCTTAAGCGAAATTTTGGGAACATGGCTGTGAAACTGACACGTGGGGACGTAATACCCAGAGAATGCATCTCCCCTTTGGCCTCTGAAAGGCTGACTGGCGACCAGGACCCTTCCCCCAGTGAAAAGCATCCCCTGCTCCCATGCGAAAGCATCTCCTACCTGTTTGACAGGAAAATGTCATTGCCAGACAGATGAGGAAGATTAAGGTAAGGGGAATCAGATTAGTTTCCTCTACGTAGTGCCCACTCAGACGTGCTGGCTAGCTGACCCACAGACATCTGGCAACACTGGCAGGAGACCAGGATCCCAGGGGTTTGACTTTGCCCTTAGTAGAGCCAGACATTTGTTGAATCACTTATCTGTAGAATGGGGTTAAGAACCACGACCATCCGTTAAGAAGGCCATGCAGATTAACTAATCAGTGGCTCTGGAGAATTTTGAAGGATGTAAAGGATCTAGGTACGTGCTCAAATTAAATTGCTTGGAGCCAAACCCTTTTACAACACCCTCAATGTTGCTATGCAATTGCTCTCTGGTGCAGCTGGGAACATCTGATCTTCAGTGATAGGATCATTCTCTCCTGCATCTTCCTCAGACAAATGGCACCTGCAACCAGCTGGCTTGTATCTTAACATTCAAGGCAAACAGGTTGTCATCTTAGCTGGGGTGATGTTGTTTTCAAACACTGCCTCCTCGAGGCAAGCTTGGGGGGAAAAAACTGTGCAACACGCACAGGCGTGCACACACCCCTAACACACACACATACTATACATATGTGCCCAAAATGTCAGGGAACAAAACAAAATACAGGTCTCATCATGCAATGAAATCCTCCATAGCAAGCATGAAACTATCCTGATAATTCAAAGGATGAAATGAGCAAAACCAAGTGTTTGAATATGACTGCAAGTTTCTCCCAGATAATTTTGTTGACTGGTATTGTAGCAAAAAACCAACATCTTTCAGCCTTGTAGTCTGCTCTTTTTTGGAATTTCAGGAAAGTTTCAGAACCTGCAATTGACTGAGAAAAGGGGGCTCATGTTTTCTTTTCAAATAGCTACCAGGATAACACAGTCAGTCTGTGAACCAAACATGTCTATTTCTTTCCTTTCTAAAATGTTTCAATTCCCAGGAAATGAGCCATGGTCTCCCACCTGGTGGCAGCAAGTGTAAGTAAGGATGTGTGAATTGGTTCTTTAGCAATGCTATAACTCTCTTGGGGGAGGGATGGGGCTTATATGAAGTAGACCATGTTTCTTTCTCTCTCATCAGCTGTGCTTGAAGAAAGACAAAATTTTGTTTATTCATTGGGTTTTGACCAGCTATGAAATGAAAATCACATCATACAAATGATTGATGAAAATCTGAGGGGAGATACACTTTCATGGCTTTTGGGGGAGATAAAAGGGGTCTGTGTATCCCTCCTGATGACTGCACAGTAATAACCATTATCCTCAAACCATATCAGGACAGCTTTTATGCACAAAACTGATATTTTTGTACATTTTCTTGCAAAATAGCAAGCATTTGTTTATATGATATCTGGTGATTCCTATCAATATTTTATTAGTGATTTCTGAGCTTCTCAAAAATAGGGGTGGCCTTTCTCAGTGCCTAGTTCAATGCAGCCCTCCTTGATTTTGCTTAATAAACACTTGCTGAAGCTTGAAAACTATCCATTTCCAGCAATGTAGAGGCTGCTGCTGTGAATGAATAAAAATTTGTTCTCATTGGTTTCAGAGTGAGAAGTAAATACTTATTTAAATGGCATGGAATATATAGCCCTTAAGGAAATACAGTCAATCTTTCCATTTTCAGAGTGGTTATTGGAACTATAATTAAGAAGCAAATTACTAACAATTTTTATTAATGGCTTGGAAAGTGTCCTTATCCCATGCAGTCCCAGCAGCAGCAGACTAATAATGATATTGTTAGCTTCAGGGGATAATAAATTTTTTTCCTAAGTGAACAGAGTATCTGCAGTGACTGTAAACAGATTTGGGATTATAGATTCAGATGTTTAACCTGTTGAAGGTCAGAATGAAATTACTTTCTTTTCTCTTCAGTTTTTCCCCCCTCCTTGCCAAGCTTTGATGATACCATCTGATTTATTTGGTGTATTCTAATAGTTCCTAAGCAGTCACTACAGGGTGTTCTAGAAAAGATAATGAAGTATTGGTCAGTGGTCTTTAGTTTCTCAGAGTACAATTCTTATGCACTTATTAAAATCTCCGACTAGGGCTTCTGCAGATCTGCAGCCCAAAGGGAAAGTGCCTCCAAGGAAAGGCAAAAAAAAAAAAAAAAAAAAAAAAGAAAAAAGAAAAAGAAAAAAATATCCATAGAAACCAGGAAACCATTCAGGGGTATTCTAATAAGGATTATATAGTTCCTTCTGCTCCTGTGGCACTTTACAGTTTACAGAGTGCTTGCCTCTGCATTATTAACCCTTTTATTTCCTTGAACAAGGCAGCAGGTGGGGGAGGGCAAAAATAAAACTTGACAGCTTATAGGATGTAATGATTGAATTTTCTATTGTAGATTTTTTTAAAAATCTGACATATGGCCTTTTGTGATACATAGGATCCTCATTTGTCTAAGAACAGTCTTTTAGCTGACATTTCATCAGCTCTGAATTTTTTTCCAAAGCGGTGGTTGCTGCTCCACTTCTGATGCTCCCAGAGGGGGCCAGCATAGAAGAGGAGCCAGAGAAGAAACGAGAAGAGGCAGAGACCCTGAACCGATTACTCACAAAGACCTTTTTTGTTGGTGCGTGTGTGTTTTGTAAAGGAAATAAATTGAAATCCTGCTAAGGATAGGGTGCCCGACCTTTCCAAAGCCCACCCACTGTAATTCTTTCAGTGGAAAAAAAATAATTTTAAAGGAAAAAAAAAAAAGCAAGCAAGCAGCCATTCTAAAGGGAGATGCCCCACCCTCACCAAAGCAAATAGAGCTCATTCTCAAAATAATAAAAACAAATTTATGAATTTTAAAAACGAAAAGAAAGGGACAGTGACCCCAGATAATGAAATTTATCTCTCCTCTGAAAATTATTTTAAGAAAAAAAAAGAAACAGCTTCTAAAAGGAAGTTATCCTCACCCTCATCAAAGCCCATGGAACTTATATCCCCCAAAGAAAAATTTTAAGATGAAAAAAGAGAAATCATCTTAAGTTAAACAGTATTTCTAACCTTAAAATATTCATGAAATTTGTAAACTTTATTTGACTTCATGGCTCATGCTTAATCTCTTGAGAAAATTAAGGGGGCAAAAATAAAGGGAAGGTCCCCCAACCTCATCAAAGCTTCCTGACATTATTTTCCCGATTACATAAAATGTGCAGAGGAGGCAAATCCTTAGAGATGGAAAGGAAATGAGGGAAGCAATATGGGAGGTGGAAAAGGGGATGATGGCTAAAGAGTACAGGGTTTCTTTTGAGGGTGATTAAAATGTTCTAAAATCAGAGAATGGTGATGGGTGCACAACACTGTGGATACAATAAAACCCACAAAATTGTGTATGTTAAGATGATGAATTTTATGGTATGTAAATTACATCTCAATTTTTAAAAATAGTTCAAAGAAAGATACCATCCCTCTAACCACAAGATAAGAGACCTATTATTCTCCCAAAAACAAAAAACAAACAAAATTGAAAAAAGGAACTAAAAGAAAGGGAGATCCTCTTAAAGGATCTTCAACCTCGCCAAGGATAATAACCTTTATTTGCCACCCCTTCAATTAAAAAAAAAGAAATTAAGGAAAACAAACAAAAAAAGGAAATCTTTTTAAGGGCAGATATTCTCAAAAATCATAAAAGTTAATGAAATTTACGAATCCTCCCCTCTAGATACACACATTTTAATTAAAAAAAGAAAGAAATATTAAAGGATAGGTCCCTGACTATACCAAATCTCCAGAATTTTTAATTCCAAGAAGCAGGGGCGCGGGGGGTGCGGGAGGGAGGGACAAAAGAAATACCACTCCTCCATGACTAAAGAGCATAAACCTTATTCTTAAAATACAATTTTTTTTAAGATTTAAAATAAAATTAAGAATGGAAGGGTATATGTGTTGGTGAAGAGGATATTACTAATGAAACAAAAACAGAATCCTCTTAAAGAGAAGAAGTACTTCAATGTCACAAAGACCCATTAATTTTCCTGTCAAAACACAACCAAAAAAAAAAAAACCGATTTTTTTAAAAGAAGAAAAAATGAAAGAAAATCCTTCTAATGGGAGTTGACTCAAATTCACTCAAAAACTTTATTCTTTTTATTTTATTTATTTATTTTTAATTAATTTTTAACTGATGCATAATAGATGTACATATTTTCAGGGAACATGTGATAATTTAATATATTTATATAATTTACCAAAAGATTTATTCTTAATATAGAATTTTTGTAATTTGAGAACAAATAGAAAAGATAGGTAGGGGAGAAACACAAAGCCAAGAAAGTCCTCTTAAACAAAAGTATTCTCAGCCTCAACAAAGCCCCTTTTTTTCTCAAAACAAGCAAATACATTTAGAATTATGGGGGGCGGGAAGGGAAGAACATGAACAGTATATTTTAAAGAGAAATATTTTTCTTAAGGAATGAAGATGCCCCCAAACTCACCAAAGTCCTTGAATATTTTTCTGAAAACAAAAAAGAAACAAAGAGAAGGAGAGAGGGAGAAAGAAGGAAGAGAAGGGAGAAGGAGAGAGAGAAACAGAGAGAGGAAGGGAGGGAGGAGGGGAGAAGGAGAGAGGGAGAAAGAAGGAAGAGAAGGGAGAAGGAGGGAGAGAAACAGAGAGAGGAAGAGAGGGAGGAGGGGAGAAGGGAGGGAGGGGGAAAGCCGGACAGGTAGAGAGGAGAGGAAGGTAGGAGCAGGTAGGGAGAGACTGAGATAGGGAGAGGAAAAAAGAGGGAGAGAGACAGAGGAAGGGAGGGAGCCAGAGAGAGAGACAAAGGGAGAGGTGGAGAGGGAAAAAGAAAGAGGGGGAGAGAAGGGAGGAGAGGGAAAAAGAAAGGGGAGACGGAGGAAAGGAGAGGGAGAGAGGAAGGAGGATGGGGGGAGAAATGTGAAGGGAAGGGGAAAAGGACTAGGTAGGATAGAGTGAAGGTGGCAGAGAAGGAGGGGTGGGAAAGAGGAAGAAGAAAATTAACAAAGGGATTATTTTTTAAAGGATCAAAGAAAGAAATTCTCTCCAGGAAAATGCACCAACACCTTACTGCAGACATTGCGTATTATTCCTGATGACTACCCTCTCCATCCCCCACAATAAGGAAAAAAAAACCACACACACACAAAATCTCTTTCTCAAGCTTCTTCAAGGTGGGGAATGTGCGTGTGGGGGGGGTGGTGGGTATGTACCCAATCTCACCCTATCCCAGGGACCTTATGTATCTTTCAGCCTTCACTGTTTCATTAAAAAAAAAAAAAAAAAAAAAAAAAAAAAAAAAAGCAAGGAAAGGAAAAGAAAATCTTTCCAGGAGAGATGTCTCCCATTCTAATTTTTCCCAATAAACTGTTTCTTTTAAAGAAAAGGAAAGAAAGAAAAATCCTACTAGGGAGGGCTCCCCAGCTTCATTAAAACAAGTTGCCCTTGTAGGTCCTCTCCACAAAACCTATTTTTTAATGGAAATCCTCCAGACCTAAAGAGAGATGCTCCCCCACCTCCACCAAAAGCAATGAATCTTTTCCCCTGGAGATTTTTAAAGAAAAAAATCTTCCATTGTAAGAGGAGATACCTTCAACTTTACTAAAATCAATGGACTTTATTCCTCTCCACATCCAAGAGGAGAAAAAAAATATTTGAGGAAAAGGGAAGAAATCCTCCTAATCTAAGGCAAGTTGGCTATAATCCCTCCAACACCATTGAACTTTCTTCCTGAGATTTTTTAAAAGAAAAAGCAAAGACAGAAAAAAAGCCTCAAAAAAAAAAAAAAAAAAAAAGCACTCACTTCTCCCACAGGCTCCACAGATCTGAAGTGTTGTACAAAGAAAAGGTACTATCCCTCTCAAATGGCACCAGTGAACTTTACATTCAGCACTAAGGCTAAAGGATGATACATTTTAATCCCAGGCTGGCTTCCCGCTGCCCCAGTCTATTTCTGGTTACCTTCCCCATCATCCAGGTAGGCAACACTCCCAAGAAAGGCACTGTCCAAAAGAAAAAGAATTAGGAGGCAAACCTTCTGGGGAAAAATCATACCTCTTTTCCAAACCGAACAAATGATTTGGGAATTCGCTGCGTCATTGTTCCCATCTAACACTACAGAGAATTAAGAGTTGATGATAAACTCAAAAGCAGTGACACTCTTGCTATTAACTACCAATTAGTCAGACACCCCTACCTAACAGGGAAGGACCCTTCGCCAACTCAGTAATGGAGGTGATCCATCCTCCATTATGTTTCATTATGTGCTGGCTTTGATGTCTGTTCCTGCAGGGCGATAAAAGGGCTTGATTTTCACAAATCCATAAAATTTGCAAATCATATTTATAAGCAGAGAGACTCAATTAATGTTTTCCAAATTTTAAAATTCATTTATTTCTTTAAAACGTAAACTGATACCTGCTCCCTATGTGCTATGTGTTTAACATTGTGCTAACCACTGAGGATTCTACAGTGAACAAAACCACATGGATGAGACTACCTTTAAGCAAAACTGGTAAATGAGAGACTCAATTACCAAAACAAATATGCAGATGGTGGTTATTTGTTTTACCAGATGCTTTGCCAAGGTATTCACTATTAATAGTCAGTTCTCTCAGCATTCCTCTACTTAAACTAAAATTCAATGTAATAAAATAAAGGAATGCATGCTAATTTCAGAGAATGTGGAAAATCAAGAAAGCTTCTAAAAAGTAAATAAAAATCATCTAGTACCCCACCACTCAGAGATAATCACTGTTAATATTTTGCTATATTTTTCATTTATTTTCTCTGAATATTTGCTTATAGTCTTCTGTAGTAAGACTTTGGGGAATGCACAATTGTGTCTCGGGCTTCACCCTGCCCCAGTCACAGCCCCACACGCTTAATTATTAGATCGTGTTCATTATTCTACCTTGGATTTAGGAAACACTTGTTCATTTTAGCTTAAAGTTCATCTAGTCAAACTCCTGTCTGATCTGATTGTTAAACATATGCTTGAATCACAACCATTCAGGGGCATATTTGCTGTGTGAAGCAGTAAGTATATAGATTTTATGTAGACACAATTGTTGCAGTTGCTCCCATATACAAATGCAGTTTGATCTCACATTTACTTACTGCACTTTTTTGGACACTTAGATTTTATTTGTCCAGTTAGCTTTTGTGACTTGGCCTTGGAGAAGGAGATCCAGAACAAAACCAACCTTATCTTCCCACTGTTAAATTCCCAAAGGGAAAAAATCTAAATTTCTGAGTCACTTTTAACTATATGCCAAAAAAAAAAAAAATTAGTGATGGCTTTGTCTCTTTAACAAGAAGTTACAGCATTATGCTAAACTGGGTATGCCATACCCAGAAGGGAAATAAGAATATATGAGGACATTATCCACAATTATAAGGAAATAGAATATTCAATTCATCCAGCTTTCATTAACCAAGTGTGATCAAAACTTGAGAGAGTTAATAAACTGTATACAACCCAACCAAGGCTGAATCAGTAATTTAAAAGGGAAGTGTAATGCATTATTGAGTAAGATCAGAATCTTCAGCCTGGTCAGTAGCACTTCAGAGATTTTCATCTTCCAAAGCATTATAGGCATTTATTGTTTAAGCCTCTTGCTTTAAAGAGCCTGTAAAGGAAATATTGGCCCCTGAGGACAGGGATTCTTACCCCTTGTTTCCCTCAAGCACGTGTAGGATACTGAGAGATATGCTTAATGCTCCCCACCCACCCACACATCCAGAGCTTTGCAGTGTTCTTCTGAAACAAGAGGCAGTAGTTCTGAGGACTGAGCCTTTTCCCTGCCTCCAAGAGTAGAGGGGAATGAAAGTATGGCTTGTAGGACTAAATCCTGGATGTTCATTCATTTACCTTCTCCTGCAGCAAATGTCTCTACCTTTTCTCTTCTGGGATTTTGCAGCTTGACGCAGGAAATGAAAGGTACCTGCTGAGCAAAAATTGTTAAGCTCCTTGGCTGTCAGTAAAGAGACTTGAAACCCAGAAAGTTTTCATGAACTCTGGGCTCTGTCAGTTGAGCCCTCACTGTCCTGAAGTCAGCTCCAGCATCATGGTGATGTCCTCTGAACCCCAACTCTAAGAGTAGTTTCTCAGTTCCATTTTATAATAAACTTGGTTTTTAATTTTCCCTTGATAAGTGTCACTTGCATTTATTATGTACATTTAACATATTATTTCATGGTTTATTCACATCACTGTGCACTATAGAGGAAAATATGATGTAGCTTTATTAAAACAGCTAAGTGTAAACAATAAAGAGGACAGTAAATGAAGCTGCAGAACAAGATTCTTGATTTCAGAAAATTAGCAAGTTGGTACCCTTCTCACTAACCTCAATTAATGCTTACTGTGACAATTTCCCTCCTGCAGAGCTTGAGTAAAACAACTTTTCTCTTACCCAGAATTCGGATATTACTGTCCCTTTCTTCCCTACCTCACCTCTAGTGCAAACTACTTAACTCTCTTTGACTGTTAAGACTAATTAAAATGATAATTTTGACATTGTTATGATCTCCTCTGCTTGAATTTACTTAACTTGGTGACATTTTTTTTGTTTGTTTTTTTGGATGTGAGAGCTTCACTTTGGTTTCACATGGAATCAAAGTACCCATTAGTGGTTCTCTTCATGGCTTTCTTATTATATTCCTTCGCACTTGTGAGTCCTCTTTCTAGAAATTCCTGAAAAAGCCTTACTTTGCCTTTCCACAATTCCTTACTGGCACTGAACTTTTTGAATTTCTCTGTCTTTTTTTCTAATGATGAAAATGATGAAACACAAAGGTAGACCTTTGAAACAGCTTGAAAGGTTGTTTTTTTGTGTGGGAAGTACTTTGTACTCCGTATAGCAGGGCATTATTGTGACCTACTCACAAAGTATCTGCTTGTCTGTTAAGTGTTCAATAATTAGGTACTTGGTGTTTTAAATGCTTTATAATATGATACATATTTGGAGGATTGTTACATGGGCATTTAACAGTGTTTTACCATATTTGAAGAAATATTGGGACTTTTAGATGTGGTGGGAATGCATTATCGCTTTTCCAACCTAAATAATGGAACAAAGGTTCCTACAATTCAAAATTCATCATCCAACAAGTTTTCAGAGATGGATTAGGTGCAGATATGAGAGACTGCCTGATAGCAAATTCACTTTGATGTAAGAAGTTTAGGGGAAAAAATGAAGAAGTTGTTTGAGGAACGTAGGAACAATATATCCCCCTCAAACCCAGAGAGGAGAGAAAACTGGTATTAAATTAAGCAGTGACAGTGAAAAGTATCAGTAGAAGTGAAGTTATACTTGAATTGGGCAGGTGAGGCCAGGGCCAGGGAATCATAGGGTACTGATTGAAAGATTGTAAAAAATAAAGTAGATGAGGCAAGTCCTATTGAAATTTTAAAGACAACAGATTCCCTGGCAAGTAGACTCAGAAAAATAAATAAATAAACGCAACCGACAAAATTTTGTATATCACCTGATTAATGTTGTGCAATCATTGAAGAGCTGTTGATTAGTATAACATGGCTGAAGTGGAGGGTTGGCTGATGGGGCATATAATTAAAAACTATCCAGCTTTCAATTTATTTGTATGCTAAATTCCAATTTAAACTACAAAAGCTAAAACGGGAGAAAATAAATATATTATCTAGTATCCTTTTCCTGCTGTTTCAGGCCCTCTTTTATCCACATTACATGGTTACAAAAGTCTCATCTGCTTTCTCTATGACATTTTTTCCTATTTCATTTCAGTGTTTTCTATAGTGGAAATAAGAAACCATGATGAAAATCCAGTGAAGCCTTTTATCTTCAGTATTATAGACCCATAGAATGTCCTGGAAAGAGCCTTTGGGGGTCAGGTAGTCCAGTGGTTTTAAAACCTTTTTAGCAGTAGAATCTCATGTTTTTCTCAATGAAATAATAAATGAAAGCCAGACACTTAACATAAAACATGCAGTATTTTATCACTCCTCTTCTATGCTAAAATGGGTTTGTAAATAACTTAGCTTCCCAATTGCTTATTTTAGGCTAAGAGGAGAGTGTGTTTGCGCTCCCTGTTTATTACTAGCTCCTTAGCAAGGAGGCTGGTGATGCAGGAGCACATGGGACCAAAAAGAAAAAGAAAAAGAAAGAAAGAAACAAGTCAGGGTTTAAATTTTGGCCTGTAATATTCCAGAAGGTAGATCATACTTTCTCGGAAACATGGCCGTTCTCTCAAGTTTCTTTCTTCCCTCCTCCTAACCTGGAATGTGTTAAAACTATCTCATAAAGTGGGTTGTCATAATGCACACTGTCTTTGCTTATAGCTCTTTATTATTTTTGGGGATTGTGTTCCTGACAAAGAACACTACACCAAATAAACTGTAGATATAACTAAAAATATGTGGTAAAAGCTAGTATATAACTGTAAGCCTCTGTAATCATTTAAAGCAGCAAAATTGTTCCAAGTCCTATAAAATAGGCATAAACGTACCATCCACATTGAATTTGTAAGGGGCCTCAGTGTACTATAAACTGTACATGAAGCACATAAAAGAGCTAATTCTACATAACTTTAATCCGTTGTTTATTATTTATTTAGAATTTACACTCTGCCTGCATCCAGAAAAGATACGAAGTATCTTACAAAATCAAATGCACATAAAACAGTACAATTAAGCACAGATAAAAACAGGACAAAGCCAGTTCAAAGCAAGGGTGAATCAGACCTAGAACAAATGTATGCTAGTTATAATAAACCCTAATTACATTATTAATTAGCGGTACTTTTGTTTGCTGCCTTTGATGGTCGAAGGACTTTGGGTAATGATTTGAATGACTCAGGCCTCTTAAAGTTGGTGTCCAAGGAAGTTTGAGCTGATGCAATACATCTTCCTGTAGCAAGCTGCAGCAACTATAAAATGAAGAACTAAAGGTTGCCAGGATTGTGGTATAGGTGTTAATGAGCTGTCCTAAAATGCTGCAAGACTGGGTTATTTTGGTGTGCCTGCATTTTAATATGCTAATGTTCGTGTCTGTGAGGCATATCAGTATGGAATTTTCTCACAAAAATCTTTGCTCCGTGGTAACTTGTAGCAAGAAGTTGAAGAGTTTGGACTCTTCTTAGATTGGAAGTCACCTCACTTTGGTGGACTCCAATTTAGATGGTGGTGCAATATGGGGTAAATTGCTTAATCTTTCTGTGGCTTAGCTTTTATGTCTCTTAAATAAAGCCAGTGATGTGCCATTAACTCAGCTCAGCAGTCTCATCCAGCAGGCCTTCACTGCTATCCCCTCCGGGCTAGACACCCAGAACCTAGGGTTCCCATAGCACCCTGTGCAAACCTTTGCATTACCAGTAGGCGGTGGTAAGCAGGACTGCCTCATATCTTCCCAGAGGATTATAGATTTTTCTAACTCACACAGACACACCATATGTACTAGGAGGAGGCCCATATTGATTGTGTGGTCTTGAATTACTAGTCTTCAGTCATGAACATAGTTAATTTTAATAAAAATGAGAATGATGATTTATCTCCCCAGTTCTTAAAAAAATCCAAAATGCACATTTATTAAAATACTACATAATAACACTAAATACAGCATAATAACACTAAAGACTATTGCATTTAAGTGTACTATATGGAGAGCAGGTTGAAACAAATAACTAAGTACCATTTGGTAACCTTTTCACTAATCTTAACTGTTAATCAGAATTTAATCTATTTCTGGTAGGCTTTTCACTTTAATTGAAAAGCTCTTGACTCATTACCTTAGTGTCAAATTTCTCCTGTACCTGGCACTTGAATTTGGAGCTAGGTGTCAGTAGGACTATTCCAAGGCTCTCTCTTTTTTGTGAGGACTGAGAAGCAACAGCTAAGCTCTGATGTTCCTTTGGCAGTCCAAGTTTTATCTAAAATAGCGTTCTACTAATTACAGGAAAAGCCTTAACTTGTTTCACCAATGCCTCTGATCAGATTAGCACCCTGACCTTGAAATGGTCTGGTCAGGGAAGAGAATATGAAGTCTCCAATCAGAGAGCAGGAAACCCCAACAGGCACCTTGTTTCCAATCAGAAGGAACAACTTTTCCTTTTAAATGAGAAGGAAAACTTCTACCCTTTCTAGAATAGCTGCAGGGCAAGATGACCACATAAAGTTGTACAGGTTGTGCACTATATGAGGGTGTCATGTCTAATGGGACACCTTTCACATTGTAGACACCATAGATGTATATATTCATTGTGGCAATTTTCTAGCAGATGGCAGTTAAGTGCCTTGCTTTGACAAAATTGGTATATTATGACAATAAGGGAGTGTAGACAAATGTGGGCAAATAATGTTTAGGGAAAAGGGGAGGGGAAAAATACTGAATTAGAGGTTGAAGTATTGGAAGCAAACCAGGAGAGAAAGAATGTGTAATTTTTTAAGGAACATTTTCCTTTAAAGGGTTGATCCTGAGTAATTTTTTCAATAACTTCTATTTTTCCTTTGGCTATTCTCTCTTTGTTGATGAAAATCCTCCAAATGGCTTTGAAAGGAGGGGAATATTATTAATGTGTTGCCATTGGATGGAATGCAAGTGTCTTTTCTCTCATTACACAACTGCTTATTTATAAGCCTTGGAATATATTGCGCTTAGGGAAACTAGTAATGAAGGTTAATATTTATCCAGTTATTAATAGGAGGAGTATGAAAATACTTCTCTTTTATTAAAATAATGAGAATATATTGTTCTGTATGTAAAAATTCTATTTTAATGTTCTTCACACATAGTGTGAAGTATTAAGTACCTATACTTAATAACTGCTGAATTAACATGAACAACAAAGCAGTGATAGACAGATAAATAGAGACATAGATAGATACAGATATTAAAAGATCTCCAAAGACAGCAAGCTAAAATATACTCAGAGCATTATAAAATTTGCTCTGAAAATGTTGAGGGAAAGTGAGGACTTTCTTAAAGAAAACTGGTCTTACCAAGTCAACATCATCTTTTAGGTATCAACTGAATAATAAGCTCCTTAAAACAGCTGCAGACAGTGGAGGAAACAAAGGGAAGGCCAGACAGAATAATCAGGGAATAAATCAGTAATTGTTTGAAAGTGTGAACTGAAGACCTAGTAGGTCCCCAGTTTGTGGAAAGAACAAAATGGATGCAAATTCTGCAATCTCATTTGAAAGACAAAACGTGTACATTGGAGACAGGTACATAACAATATAAGGAAAGATATGATTTTGTTACAGGAAAAGTGGTACAGAGAATAATGCTGTAGAATTATAAAAGAGGACAAATAAAGGATGGAGGAGGCTTTTCTTGTAATTAGTAGAAAACTATTTTAGATAAAACTTGAACTGCCAAAGGAACATCAGAGCTTAGCTGTTGCTTCTCAGTCCTCACAAAAAAAGAGAGGCTTGCATTAGTCCTACTGACAATCTAGCTCCAAATTCAAGTTAGGGAAGGCTTCCTGATGGACTTGAGATCAACTGAATTTAGATCTGTGGAGAGGAGAAAGCATTCCACTACTAGGGAGCAAGCAACATACACAAATACCTGGAAGCAGCAAGAACCCTATTCAGCTGATATCAAAGAGCTTTGAGAGAAAGGCAGAGGGATTTGGACCTTATTATGTATAGCAGGATATTAATTAATGTTCTTGAGTAGGAGAGTAACATAATGAAAGTACTGTTTTTAAGATATATATTGTGACAGTGTAAAGGATAGATTGGAAGGGAACAATACAGAATGCAGAAAGGTTACTTGGGCTGTTGCAGAAATCAAGGTGAGAGATGATGGTGGCCTGCTTACCTCAGGCAATGATAATCTAAAATCATTCATTTAACACCTACTCTGTGTTGAGCGCTGTGCCAATAACTGTAATTTGCCTGAAGGAAGGAAATTATAGTCAAGTAAAGGAAATAAGACCAAGTATACAAATAACTGTAATCTCAAATAGAAAATGAATATAGCCACAAGAGAAACTCAAATTTAAAGGAGATAAGAATTGATTGGGGCCTAGCAAGATGGGGTAGACTTGGGTTCAGTGATGAGTAAAAGAACATTCCAGAATTTTTCTTATTTGGGTGGAGGTGCTGAGAGGAGTGATGAGAAGGGAATTCTAGGCAAGCAAAACGGTGTGAGCAAAGGAACAGAGATGGGAAAACTGTTTTTTTCTTTTTCTTTCTTTTTTTTTTTAAGCCTGAAGGTGTGAGAGAACTGGGGGAGAACAAGTGAATAGTGGAGTAAGGAGAAAGAAATGGTCAGAGGAGGTAGCATAGGATGTTGATAATGTCTCATTTTCTCTCCACTCTGCAACTCACCCTTTTCTCAGGCTGGCTGGATTCTTTGTGGGTGCCATCCGAGGGTCTGCAATGCTTTCGTTTCCCCTCTGGATTGCCCATTTCTATGCACCATCTTTCTCTGCCATGAGAGCATCAGATCTTGATTGGCTTTCAGAGATGTCCATGTCTGAGAAGGGAGCTAATTCCCCCATGCATTTTATACAGGGCCAGTTGCTACATGAAGGAACATCTATATTCAGTCTTTGGTATTCAAGAGAATCTTTCAGTCTCAGTTTTGTTTCCTGTATATGTCTGTTTGTCATACTTTTGGAAGGCCTTGTCATGCATGTAAGGAATACTACTTCTAATTGGCTTTCTCTCTAGGCTTATAATATTGCAGAATGAGCCTTCAGAGACCTTCCCAATCAGGCATGTTATAGCCAAAAAATGTAGTTGTCTTTCTAAACTACCCCTTGATTTTTGTATCATACTCTAATGCCTTATACACATGCATTTCCCATGTCCTATGTCCTTGTATTCTCACCCCAATCCTCTGTAATTAGCGATATTCATTTAATTCCCATTGTGCAGATGAGAAAACCAAAGCTAAAGGAAACTTAACTGAAGATCAGAGTCAAGACTGAGGCCCAAGGCTCCAGACTACAAAACCACTTCCTAGTCCACCTCAAGATAATTAATACAAGGTTTTCAAAGCAGCCTCTTTGAGCCTAGAAATGATCTAGGTTCCTCTAAACAAAGTGGGATAATGGGGGCCACTTGCCTGCCTTTTAGGACTAATTACTTTCTTTAGGGCTAAACAAATCCAGACTTAAGATGAGATACCATTTTAAGGTGGTTGTAATGATTGATTTTTTAAAAGGCTTAAAACTTTTAAAATGCTTATAATGATGATTCATCATTTAAACTGTTTGAGACTTCCTGAGATCAGAATTCTCAAAAGGTTCTACAATTCCTAAGAGATTAAAAACACACCAGTCTAGTGCTTTGGGCCCAGAATTGAGATTTAACAGGCTGACTCTATTCCTAGCTGTGCCTTTGTGATTTGAGATAAATCTTTTAACCTCTCACTTCTTATTTATCCATTTGCAAACAAGCATATTTCCCACCATAGAATATCTGGGAAGCACTTTAAAATTCTAGGCTCAAAGGTATTTTAAAGCCTTATGAATTCTGTAAAGCACTTTGCATAGCTTTAAAATGAATGTGACACCAATACATGGTGGAATTCATTCACTAAAAAACAGTAAAGAGCATGGGGACAGGGTTAGAGCCCAGATTTCTGCCTGCTTACTACTGTTTTTTAACAAGTGCATCTCAGGACTGTGCTGTGCTTCCATCTCTGCCACAATGTGGTGTTGTCACAGCAAGTTGGATTATTTTGTACACTGCCTCTTGTTGAGCATTATGTCACTAAGACTGATTGCTGGGTAGAGATTTTTCTAAGGTAGAAGCCTAGTGAAGAAGGCGATTTCTTTACTTCACTTCCCCGCTTTGGAGCCTAGATTATATGAAAGAAGAAATGTTTTAGACTCTTTGGAATAATACTTCTCTGTCCTATGCCTTAATGTCCTTGTCTATAAAATGGAGTTAAGATTTGCTTCTACCTACAGAAAGTACGGTGTGAGGGTAAATGAGAGAGTTGCAGTGCAATATAGCGGGCTTCAGAGTCAGACGCATTTGGGTTGCAATCCCAGCTCTGTCATTTCCTAGCTCTGTGACCTTGGGCAAAGACCCTCACTCACCTTTCTGCGTCTCATTTTCCTTATTTATGATATCAGTCTAATAATTCCCACCTTGTAAGGTTTTTCTAAGGATCAAATGACATATCAAGTTCTTAGTTCAGTGCCTTGTGCCTAACTGATTCTTTAAAACTATGGTAGCCCCTACAATGTGGAGAACACTGATTTTGTTTCAAGCAAATGCTATACTTGCTCATGACCTCTGGTCCGTTTTCCTTTCAAAAGGATGAGTGCCCTATGCAGAATAAGGAAAAAGTCAGAACAACAAGGATGGCTATCTTAACAATGCATCTTAACATCAGAGTCATATATCCCCTTTAATTACTGCTGTTTCCTTCTCTTCTGGTTAAAGGGGAATGTTAAGAGAAAGATCCACAATTCAATTCAACAAGTATTTCTGAGTACTTAGCATGTACCTCTCTGACTTTTTTCATAGTAAGTTCTTGCCTGTTGCCATAATTTTTCATAGAAAAGTGGTAGATACTTCATTGATATTAGTAATTGTAGGATTTCCTGAGTTTTCAGTCAATGATTATTTTAATCTTTCCCGACATCTGAGCTAACAATATCTGACTAATCACTATCTCATATATATATTCTACATATAAATTGTATATAAATATATAATTTCCAGTGTGCATAGAATTGGCATCAATTTCATTTACACTTGTCTCTAGCAAGAATATTAGTAACACTTGGGTGACCTGCCTTCAATCATTGAGGATGACGATGAACTTTCATCATTCTGGAAAATGATGAACTTCCTTCAGCAAAGAATGGTGACCTTTCATGATCAATGTATGAGAGTTCACAAAGTTTTGTATTAACTTTATTCCAACTGCTGAAGAAATTGCTGGAGAAACTTAAGTCCTGAAAGAAGCTCTTTTCACTTGGAGTCTCTCCTAGGTAGATTTTTCAAGTAGATAGAGGCATTAATTCAATATCTACATAGAGTTTTTTTCCCATTCATAGAGGACTAGAGAAGTGCCATTAAATTTCAAAGCCCCATTTTTTTATTTTTTCACTTAGAGAAGAAAACTATTTTGTGTTGCCTTCCTCCCTGCCACCCCTCTTGATTAGAGTTGTTCTGAATCTGAGAACACTGACAACTATATTTTCCTAGGATGGCCTTGTAACTTGAGATTGCAGCATAACAAACATGGCAGACACAATTTCTGATGCATGGATTTATATCCATAAGACGAATTGGAGGGAACAAGGCTATTCTGTTTATGCATTGACATTGCAACATCTGCTACTATTAAGAGACCTGAGCTCTGATATCAAGTTTGGCTACCCTGACAAGGTCTCCAAGATCCTAAGGCTCCTCACAGTTGATGATATCTTCTATAGTCAACTCTCCATCTCTAGGTGAAATGAAGACAGATTTAGGTATTTAATCCATGGTCTCAAGTAGCCTTGAGATTTCATAGAGGAGGCTCATGGCAGAGCATGCCTCTTGTCCTCTGGGAAGAACTTTGACTCAGTAGTCTAAAAATAACATGAATGCCAGGGATAGTCATGTATACACTGCTGTGGTCAAATGGCTGTGTTTGCTAAGCATACACCTTAGAAGACAGACAAATGATTATAAATGGTTGTGAAGAGACAGCACTGACCTTCTGGGAAGTGTGAGGCAAACCTAGCTTATGTGTCATCCTGCAACAGGATCAAGTTCTGTATACAGTGGAAAGCTGCCACTTGAAGCCCACCAACGGAACAAGGTCAGCCAGATAAAAAAGGCAGGGCAGCAACATCCAAGTTCCCATCACAGTTCCACTCATCTGAGTTGGTGCTCTGTGTTTTATAAATGGCAGTTGGAAACTAAACAGCCAGTGTATGATGTGGTCAAGTAATCAGAAGCCTAGAGGATGAAGAAAAGCTTTCTGGAACACACTGAAATACAGCATGGCTTGGCCTTGGACTTCCAGCAAATGAGAATGTATGTGCAGACCGTTCTAGTCAGGAACTCTCAGAAACAGAATGTCTTTTTGCATATGGAGCCAAATATGAATCTTAGTTGCAAAAGTATGAAAAATATCTAGTGTGAGTAGTGGATAAGGCTGGCCTCAAGGATAGGGTTTGTGTGTAGAGCATGGAAGATAGTGACCACAATTATTTGCAGCCATGTGTATACATGACTAGTCATCACTCTCACCTGTACTACATTTCAGCATAAAGGACAACAATGTGTGCCTTGTTTCTCAAGTCCATCTCGCAGAAGGCTAATCTACACATTTTCTATGATTTAGAAGAAAGAAAATATTTAAAAAACGCCACATACAGTTAGTCATCCTTTCTAGGCTAAAGTCAATTCGAGGGATTGACTCTCAGTTGCCAGGGGGACTTTCGTGGGAAAAGTTAAAGTACTGTAGCTGGAGAAGTCAGTCAAGAAAGCTTCAACTCAGTCGTAGGTGCTATTGGGGCCCTCTATACCCCATGCGTGTCTGAGCAAGGTCGTGGTACTAGTGGTGTAAACAGTAGCACAGGAGTGGTTGTGAGCCGGCTCAGCTCTTGAAGCCACTGTGCTTCATCATTGCCTTTTCTCTCTAGGGAGGCTGATCACTAGAGTCTTTGTATGACCCATTACATTATTTCCTCAGAGGCAGCTTAGGGTTTCTGTTCTCTGGCATGTGGCTTCTATCTCTGCGCAGAGGGAGGAAAAATAAACAATAAATTAGTCCGCCTTGTCTCTCCTCAGTGTCTTCTAGTCCCAATACCATTGAACGTTGTCTTAGATGTTTCAACCAAGGCTTCTACTACAGCAGACACTTCCTCTGTGGGATGGCTATTGATGAGGTATTTGAATATTTCATCACCTTTGGGTGGATCTTTCCCAGGTTCCACTTAAGGAGGGGAAAAACAGGAGGAGTGAGGGAGGAGATGAGGCTCCAAATGGGTAATATCTCAAATGCTGTTACTTCCGCTATCTCCCCTCTGACTACTCCCTGGGCTGCCACCCTAAAGGGCACATGGTTCTTGCTTTGGGGTGTCACCATGTGGTTTAGCATACAACTGTCATTCCAGAGCTTGATCTTCCTGCAATGTAGTGGTGATCTCAACAAAGAAGGAAACTGATGTGTGCAAGCTAGTGTGGGCAGGCTGTTGAGGCTGTAAGCTGACAACAATGACTTCTACTTTACCCTGCCCCTGCTCTGGGATAAAAGGCCCCAATACTCACCACAGGAAAAGATGCCACTCAATTCATTCTAATATCCTGGCAATTATTTTATCAGGGTGAATACAGAGGCACTTCCCCATTCCTCCCTGCTTCACAGGTTCCTGCAGTCCCTCTGGGGCAATGAAGACCATTATTCCTAGGGCATCCTGCAGGGGGAGTTCTAGGTCAGAAAGCAGATAGAAGCCCTTAACCTGGTTCACTGTTGGGACACCTTCAACTGTGACTCATAGTAGGCATCTGATCTTCTGAGTCACCACTATTAAGGGATACTGGTCATCCAGTGCTCATTGTGAGCTCCTGATAGCTATGCAGACTTTACAGACTCTCGGAAGAACAAGAGAATCTATTTTGAAGCTCACCACTCCCTACCTCACGCCCTCCATGCATTATTGAGTCCATTTGTGGCTGTGTGTATACTTATGCACACTCATATGGATTTGCCCCTGCTGATGTATGTGTGTTTCTCTTCCTACTAGTATGAGTTAGTGTTTCTGTGTAGGAGTCTAGCATTATGTCTTTTAGTCAAGTCCTGTGAGGGGCATTCTCGGATAATTAATAGAGTAATTTGTTTAGAAAGCACTTCCCACCCCCAGATGTCCCTAAGCAGACTGGGCTGATCACAAAAAATGAATGAATAAATAAATAAATCAGAACTATCTGGGGAGCTCCCAGAAGATCAAATAGCCCTATTTCAGATCAGCCATTTGGGATCCAGGAAATGGTATTGGGGCCAGAGCCTGCAAGATGGAAGTACTGGGTATGAGATGGAAAAAAAAAAGAGAAAGGAGCTTTAATAAAAGGTTAAAAGTATTCCCACCCAAAAAATGGATGTAACCTCTGCCAGATGCCTAATTTCTCTTTCGATGTTTAGAAATACCACACAAATAGCTCTTGCATTTGAGTTGTCCAGGTGGCTGGAGATCCATTTATTTTACATTTAACAAAGGGTCAAAGGATCTTTACAGATGTTTTTGCTTAAGGGTCCCAAATAAACTGTCCACCACATTTATCTGGAGGTTGACTGGGGTGGGGGTAGTTTGTTCAGTACTTGCTATTTTTATGTCACCTTTAAGTCGCTCCTTTTTTAAAAAAAATAATTGAAAAGCAACATTTATGTCCTGAAAGATTTCCGAAAAGAATACAGAAGATCTGAGTTACTGCTCCCCCTCCTTCCCAAGAGAATTTCTCACTGGAAATCCAAGCAAGTCACTTGGACTCTGCCCTGAACACAAAGGATTATCCTGCAAATAACAGAAATTGGTTAAATATTGGTACAACCCAAGGGAAAGTGTCAGAAATCTAGCCCTACCTTAAGCCAAGTTGGGTTTTGAGAGTTGGCGGATAATGATAACTAGTCAGTGTTTGACAATGTAAGCTCATAGAATCTGATTGTCTTTGTATGAAACACCTAAAACCAGTGCTCTGCAGTGAGTTCCAGTTTACTGAATTTTGATTCATGTTGGTTCCTTATTAAGTAGGTGTGTCATGCATTTGTTGTACAGTGGCCTTGGATCTCAACTTCTGTGAAATATATATATAATATATATATATATATATTATATATATATATAATATATATATATTATATATATATATAATATATATATATTATATATATATATAATATATATATATATATACATACACACACACATACTACTTCTCGTAGACATTAACGAATTTTAGATTTTTGACTTATGTATGACCACATACTTTTCAAGACATTTATATAAATCAAGACAGATTTATATAAATATAAATATATATATATTATATATATACACACACAATAGTCATGCTTCCCTATTTAATTTTTATAAATGGAGCAGTATAATTTGAAGAGGAATTGTAATTTTATGAGCTATTTCCTCCCCATGCACATCAGGCATGGTAAATAAACCCTCACTAGATAATATCTTTTACAGTATTATATTCAGCTCTAGGAGCTATGGTTCTATGAATTCCATCGTAGTACATATGCATTAGCATTTATGCATGAGCAATAAGCTCAAGCTTTTCTAGTTAGACCAGTCAGCGTACATGCACATGCACACATGCATGCACGTACACATGCACATATACATATACACACATGTATGCACATAAATGTAAAAGCCTCCAAAAGCATGAAAGACAGCAGAAAGAATTTCATGAAGAACGTTTCTCCAAAGGCAATATATAACAATATGCTATCAAAAGCATGAGCCAGAACAGTAAGAATTGATCAATTATACCTCATCAAAATTTACAACTTTTACTCTGTAAAAGAACTTCTTAAGAGGATAAAAAGACAAATTGCAGATTAGGAGAAAATATTTTCAAGTCACATATCCAACAAAGGACTTGTATCTGGACTCTATAAATAACTCTAAAAACTCAACATTTAAAAAACAAAAAATCTAATTAAAAAAGAGACAAAAGGCACACAGAGACATTTCATCCAAGAAGATATACAATAGCAAATAAGCAAAAAATGCAAAGATGTTCCACATCATTAGCCATTAGAGAAATACAAATTAAGACCACAATGAGATGTCACCATACACCTATTAGAATGGCCAAAATAAAAAAGTAATGACAACACCAAATGCTACAGAGGATGTAGAGGAACTGTATCACTTATAAATTGTTGGTGGAACTCCTATTCAACATAGTACTGGAAGTCCTGGCCAGAGCAATCAGGCAAGAGAAAGAAATAAAGGACATCCAAATAGGAAGAGAGGAAGTCAGACCATCCTGTTTGCAGACAACATGATTCTATATCTAGAAAACCCCATAGTCTTGGCCCCAAAACTCCTTCAGCTGATAAACAACTTCAGCAAACTCTCAAGATACAAAATCAATCTAGAAAAACCACTAGCATTCCTATACACCAACAACAGCCAAGCCAAGAGCCAAATCAGGAACGCAATTCCATTCACCATTGCCATAAAAGGAATAAAATACCTAAGAATACAGCTAACCAAGGAGGTGAAAAACCTTTACAAGGACAATTACAACACACTTGTCAAAGAAATCAGAGATGACACAAACACATGGAAAAACATCCCATGCTCATGGATGGGAAGAATCAATATCATTAAAATGACCACACTGCCCAAAGAAATTTAGAGATTCAACACTGTTCCTATCAAAGTACCAATGACATTATTCATAGAACTAGAAAAAACTATGTAAAAATCCATATTGAGCCAAAAAGGAGCCCGAATAGCCAAGGCAATCCTAAGTAAAAAGAACAAAGCTGGAGACATCACGTTACTCGACTTCAAATTTTACTAAAGGGCTACAGTAACCAAAACAGCACAGTACAGGTACAAAAACAGACACATAGACCAACGGAACAGAATAGAGAGCCTAGGAATAAGGTTGCACACCTATAACCATCTGATTTTCTACAAAGCTGACAAAAACAAGCAATAGGGAAAAGACTTCCTATTAAATAAGTGATGCTGGGATAACTGGCTAGTTATATGCAGAAGATTGAAACTGGACCCCTTCCTTACACCATATACAAAAATTAACTCAAGATGGATTAAAGACTTGAATGTAAAACCCAAAACTATAAAATCCCTGGAAGACAAACTAGGCAATACCATTCTGGACATACAACTTGGCAAAGATTTCATGATGAAGACGCCAAACACAATTGCAACAAAAGCAAGATTTGACAAACGGGATCTAATTAAACTTAAGAGCTTCTTCACAACAAAAGAAACTATCAACAGAGTAAACAGACAACCTACAGAATGGGAAAAATATTTGCAAACTATGCATCTGACAAAGGTCTAATATCCGGCATCTACAAGGAGCTTAAACAGATTTACAAAAAAAAAAAAAAAAAAAAAGTGGGCAAAGGATATGAACAGACACTTTTCAAAAGACATACACGCAACCTACAAGCATATGAGAAAAATGCTCAACATTGCTAATAATTGGAGAAATGCAAATCAAAACCACAACGAGATACCATCTCACATCAGTCAGAATGGCTATTAAAAAGTAAAAAAATTACAGATGTTGGTGAGGTTGTGGAGAAAAGGGAACACTTATACATTTTTGGTGGCAGTGTAAATTACTTCAACCATTGTGGGAAGCAGTGTGGCAATTCCTCAAAGAGCTAAGAACAGAGCTACCATTTGACCCAGCAATCCCATTACTGAGTATATACCCAAAGGAATATAAATCATTCTACCATAAAGACACATGCATGTGAATGTTCATTGCAGCACTATTCACAATAGCAAAGACATAGAATCAACCTAAATGCCCATCAATGACAGATTGGATAAAGAAAATGTAGCACATACATACCATGGAATACTATGCAGCCATACAAAAGAATGAGATCATGTTTTTTGCAGGAACATGGATGGAGCTGGAGACCATTATCCTTAACAAACTAATGCAGGAACAGAAAACCAAATACTGCATGTTCTCACTTATAAGTGGGAGCTAAATGATGAGAACTCATGGACAAAAAGAGGGGAACAACAAACATTGGGGCGTACTTGAGGGTGGAGGGTGAGAGGAGGGAGAGGATCAGAAAAAAGTAACTGTTGAGTACTGGGCTTAATACCTGGGTGACGAAATAGTCTGTACAACAAACCCCTGTGAAATGAGCTTACTTATATAACAAACCTGCACATGTACCCCTGAACCTAAAATAAAAGTTAAAAAAATAAATTGCTGGTGGAAATGTAAAATGATACAGTCACTTTCAAAAATAGTTTGCCAGTTTTTTTGTTAACATTAAACATGGATGTACCATATGACCCAGCAATTACACTCTTGGGCATATATTCCAGAGAAATGAGAACTTATTTTCATGCAGAAATGTACACACAAATATTCATAGCAGCTTTATTTATGATAGCCAAATACTGGAGACTACCCATAGGCTATAAAAACCATGGCACATTCTTATCATGGAATACTACTCAGCAACACAACTTTGATGAACCCAAAGGGAATTATGCTGAGTGTAAAAAGCCAACCTCGAAAGGGTACAGACTGAATGATTTCATTTATGTAATCATTGTGAATTAACAAATTATAGAAAAGGAGAATAGATTTGTGGTTGCCAGGGATTAGGGATGGGAGGGGGCAGAAGGAGTAGATGTGGCTATAGAAGGATAGCAGGAGAGAGTTTTGTGCCTACGGTACAGTTCAGTATCTTGATTGTGGTGATAGTTACCCAAGGCTACACATGTGATAAAATTGCATAGAGCTACACACACACACACACACACACACACACACACAAAATGAGTGCATGTATAACTGTGAAATCTAAATAAGCTCTATGGATTGTACCAATGTCATTCTCTTGCTTTTGCTATCATACTATAGTTATACAAGATGCTAACATTGGGGGAGCTAGGTGAAGGGTGCACAGAACCTCCCTCTGCATTTCTTTGCACATTTCTTTCCTGTGAGTCTATAATTATTTTTAAAAATAGCAATAGTGTTTTTTTAAACCCCAGTAATAACATTTTTTGGATGCTAAATATTTTGCTTTATATGTAGGACATAATTTCTTTGTTTTATGTATTAAAAATACATTTTGGTTCTATCTGTGTCATTTTGTGCTCAAGTATAGTACAGTATATTTAAAAGTACAGCATCTGTTGTAAAAGATGTTAGTTCTCTGGCATAGGGATGTCACAGTGGAAATGGGAGGATTTATGCCACTGGACTTGAAGTTTCCTAGGGTAGAATTGTTGGTGTGTTGTGGCAAACAAGCCCCAAAGTGACCTCAAATGATCCCTGCCTCCTGGTGTTCACCCCTTTGTATAATACCCTCCCCTAGAATGTAGGCAGGATCTGTGAATTTCTGTGACTTGTTTCTAACCAACAGAATATGACAAAAGTTATGAGATGTTACTCCTGTGATAATGTTACTATATGTATCTATATAAACTCTGTGTTGCTAGTAGACGAGCTAGTCAGACTCTCTTTCACTGGCTTTGTAGAAATAAGCAGCCATGAAGTAAGTGGCCATGTTGGAGAAGCCCATGTAGCAAGGAACTGTGGGTGGCCTGTAGGAGCTAAGCATGGCCTGCAGCAAAAAACTGAGACCTCAATCTTGTAACCATAAGGAATTGAATTCTGCCAGCAACCTAAGGGAGATTGGGAGCATACCTTTCCACAGCCAAGCTTTTGATGAGAACATAGCCCTGGAAGATAACTAGATCACAGTCTGGTGACACCTTGAAGCAGAGGACTCAGCTAAGCTGTGCCTGAGCCTCTAACCTACAGAAACTGAGATAATAAATGGTTTACTTTTTAAGCCACTAAGTTTGTGGTAATTTGTTACTCAACAATAGAAATGTAATACATACATGAATCCTCTGCAAGGTCCCACTTAGAGTTGAGGCCACAACCCACACAGATCTACTCCCCATAATCTGTCTCATCATCCTGAGACGGAGAGAGGTCAAAAAGAGCAGCTTCACACATTTTGTTTTTTGGTGACCGTGTCCTGAAATAGTGTTGTTTCTTCTTCTTATTTGTCAAGGGGGTACCTTGACACAGCTGAGCCCAGGGTTTTACAGCCCCATTGTTAAACTGTAATCAAGAAGTTTAATAGGTTTGTTTGTTTAGAATTTTGTAATCATCAGTTCTCAGTTGTGGCATGACTAATCAAAACACATTTATATTTGGCTTTTGGAATGTGTTTTATGCTTTCATTTAAATATAGTTACATAAACCTGAGTGACTTCATATTCCATTCAGAAAATAGATGGCATTATATCTTGGATTCAAGCAAAGTACCCAACTTAAGCAGGGTGCCTGTTATGAGACTTGAAAATGTGCATTTCACATATTTTTTAGCTCTTAGTTGCTCTAGGTTGTTTGTTATGTGAAGAAATGGCCTTGTGAGATTTACCTTGAGGAAATTAATTGAGCATTCTGATTCAAGAAGCCTCTTTTGGGGCTGTAGGTTGCATTAGAACACAGAACTCAACAAGAGGACAAGGAATATTATCTATGAAATTTCTCAAGATCCATTGTTGAAGTGTATCAATGAGACCCTGAAAGCATTTTGGCCCAGGAAGAAGACATAAGATGACATCATTTTTATTTATTTATATCAATGTATTAAAAGGTTTATACTTAAGCTAATATATAGCTACACACACATTCTGTTAAAAACCATATAAATGGCAATAATACAAAATGAATATGGTCTGTAACATACTTTGACATTCTTAGAAATAGATGCTATTAAGAAAATATGACATTTTACTGCATTTTAAACTTGGGGAAGAGAAAGCACTCTCTAAGTGTATCTACTGAGGCAATGAGTTATGAAAATGATAACTTACTTCCTCAATTACCTTTGTGGGACGTTGAAAGGACAAATCAGGCAGAATGTATAAAACATTTTAAGCATCATGGAAAACGTGTGCTTGATGCTTTTTTTCCATACAGTAAAAGGTTTTATACACGGAATTTTGCCTTCCTGAAATCCTTCACTGACAGCTTTTCCTTTAACTACTGCTTCTCTCTTTGATTCTACTATTCGCTCATTCCAGAACTATCTTCTCTCATCCAAATATTCGTGTACCCACCTTAGTTTCAGGCCATCAGTTAGAATGTCCTCTTACCTCCAAACATGCTATTTGGAGAACATTCATATATGGGAATCAATTAGTAAACCACGATTGACCACAGGGATTCCAAGGCACCTCTGAGTCCTTGAATGAGGAGATAGTGTGTGTATGCACTTTATACATTTTGAGGTAAGAGAGACTGTCCCCTTTCATATTTACTTAAAGTTTATGAGGTTTTCAGTTCATGTTTCCCTGTTATTTCTCATTATGTAACTTGCTACTCCTGGGTAAAAATAGTTCAGTGAATCATGAGCCTGGAAAAGAGTTTCACCATGTCTCTAGGTGAGAAAGACCTGGAGAAGTCAAAAAGCTCATCAAGTTAGGAACACTAAAGTGGAAGTTCTGCTCACCAGGAAGCCATGAGGATTGAAGGCAAATGGGTTGTTCCCTTATAGCTAATTTCTCTATAATAAGCAGAGAAAGTTTATTAGCATAAGCTATGCCCACCTACTCTATACTCACTTCCCCACATTAAAAGTTCTTTTGGTTTTCCAAAAGATTTGTTGGTATAGCAAATCTTCAAGTGCTCCTGACAGAATCGAGAACTAAATAGAATTAGCATTTCCTGCCTCTGCATCAAAGGTAAATGGAAGAGGAGGAACTTCTAGGAAAGGTAAGAACAGCCATTTGGAGGGGACAAGTTAACTATACAGTCATCCCATATAGCCATGAGCAAAGAGACGGATTTTTTTACTGTGACACCCACTCCAATTCTCTTAGCTTCCCAAAGGCATGCAGTAAATAAGAAGATGCATTTGCCATTTGTCACTGTATAACTCTACATCTAGACTTTCCTTGAGAGCCCAAAGCACATGAATGACAAAGTATAATAGAATAAGAAAGGGTTGGATTTTTGTTTTAGGCTAAGTGCATGGCAGAAGCTGTTACGTAGTATATAATTGTAGACTTCCAGGTCCTGTCCAGTAAAGTCATAGATGTTACTCATTGGTATGATAAAACCCTGCTCGTCATTGTTGGTTTCGTGGAAAAATGGCCTTGTGATATTTACTTTTATGTCATGTAACTAATTTGGGGTTTGCAAGGTTAGACTCTAAAAGCTATTGCTTTCCTCTTAGGTTATTGGCCCAGAATTACGTTATGCTATGACTAGAATACATTGACACCAGGTGAATGGTGATGCCTCAGTTATGGCAGATTATAGCAGCTCTTGAAACTACGTTTCCCATAACTGTGGCTGATGGAATACAACAGAAGAGGATATTTTCAACTCAGCCCTTTTTTGGGGCCTTCAAAAATTGGCTCGATGTTTTAATAATAAACATTCGAGAGCATTAGATTCGAAATGTCAATGTGCTAAATTTAAAGAGATACAAACACTTGGGTTCACTAATACTAACTGTTCTCATCCCCTTATTCTAACACTGGTTTCTCTTCCAGGCTTCAATAGAGCATTTCTTTCAACACACCTTAAGTCTTCATACCTATCATCAGAAGCCCTTCTGATGTAATAGGTTCTGTTTTTTTCTCTGGGGACCTCATGAGTCCTAGCACTATGAGTGTCTACAGTAAGCACAAATTCTTGCACAGACATAAATTTGATTTTCTATTTATAGTCTTTGTTTCTTTTCCCAGTGATCTTTGATCTGTTACTCATGGGAAGGAAAGAGTCTGTGCTTGCATGGACTAATCCACACAAATCAAAAGTACCCTAACCTCTGGTAGTAAAGTCCTTCTGGGCTTGGACTATTTATATGTAAATTATGCTTCCAAATTTGGGGCAAAACACTAATATCAAATTGAGCCCCCACTACCCTGTTGCAACCACATATACACTTATACTTGACAAGACTTGTGTTCTAATTTAGGGGTCAAAAATATAGCCACCATATTCACAGAAAGAAATAAGAAATATGTATTGCGTTTCTACCTTATACTGGGCACTTTAATGCATTATCTTGATCCCTACTGAGAGTTGAATGCCATTATGTGTATTTTTACAGATAAAATTGCAAAGGTTTTTAAGTTAAATGACTTGCCCAAGGACACACACCTAATAAGTGATGAAGCTGTGTTTCAAATTCGGATTTATCTGAGTCCAAATCTACACTCCTTTTTGCTGTACTATATTGGTTTTGCATAAATATATGTGCTTGGATATATTAATATAAGAATCCTCAGTGTATTTCTTCCAATAGTGACTGGCCTTTAGGAGCCAATTGATAGAAAAATGAATCCAGGAACATTTGAGAATACCTTTTTCATTGTCCTCTCCAGATGTGTTTTCCCCAATTCAATTTCACTTTATAAATATCCATCAAGTGCTAATTATGGGTAAGTTGTGGCACTTTGGGCACTGTGCCTGACAGATATAACTTGGCTATGACACATATTTGTGATTTACCCAGAGAGTTTTATGCTGAGGTTTGCCTTCCTGGCCTGCTCAGTTTTGAAATAATCTCTATTCCTGGGCCCAGGGTCTATCCCCGCAGTGTTAAATTAAGTAGGAGGCTACTTTATGGCAACAGACCTAAGCGATATTAATAGCTTGTTTTTTCTGTTATGCCTTGGCTTCCCTTGATGAATCAAGTGCCAAATTTTCATATCTTTATCCATAGTTCCTAGCAAGGAGATGGCAGCTTGGAGAAGTGATAGGATTTGCTCACACAGCAGGTTACTGCTGGTGGCTAAACTCCATGAAGTTCAGAATCCATTAAGTCCACTGTCTTTCCCAGGTGCCATATTGGTGCCCATATTGTACCTGTGTGCAAATGTTTCTGTGAAGTGGTATTATTCAGGTGTCTCGTGGTTTTGCAAACTATTCACCCTCTCTCACCTCAAACCACTCCCCACTTTCCAGGAAAGAGTGGCAGTGTGTGTGATATAATGAGTAGAAATGTGTCTAGGCTTTGGAATCAGACAAATTTGAGTTCAAAGTCATCCCTCTTTGTAACTGTGTGTGGTCTTGGAGAAGTCTGTTGAACATTCTGAGCTTCAGTGTCTTATCTGTAATATGAGGATGATAATAACTACCTCACATATTGTTGTGACTGTTAGCACTAATGTATACAAAGGGCCTAGCACAATATTTCAGAAAAGGTGTAGATATCAGATGCCAGTCTAATTAGAACATTGCTTTTTAATTATATGCATGGAGGGGTGGAAGGGGCAAGAGGAGGGTAGCTGTGTCATGGTATTTGTGTTTCAATTTTGGGTGTGTACATTGCTGTTAGTGAGTTTGCTTCAAACTGGACTCTCCCCTGCCATCTCCCTTGCTCCTTCCCTTTATTAAGCTTTATTGTTTAGGCCCTGTTTCCAATTAAAAGACAGTTCTTCTCCCCCACAGGACAAATTTGCCCACTGTTTTGCTTTTTTTTTGTGTGTGTGTGATTCAAGACTGGCTGTCCCCCAGATTGCAGCTGATAACCCTTCTCTTCCCAGTAGCCACTACTGCCTCTTCCCAGAAATTTTAAACAGGGAGCAGCACATATGGATTAGGGCACAATCTCAGAGTCAATGAAATGGTGGCTCAGAGATCTTTCCAGGACCAGTGGGAATCCCATGTGTCATTGATGGGAAAATAAGCATCCCTTGTCATCTACAAGTCTATGAGTGTTTGCTGCCACCTCTAGCCCTCCAATGCAACATGCTCATCCTATTCTTATTTATTTCCTACTCCTCTTCCTCCTCCCTTTCCAGGCCTATCAGACTGAGTTATAATACCACTGATCTCTTCCTTCCCTCCCACCCCTCTCTCTTTCTCTCTTATTGCATTTGTACTTTTATGGTCAGCCCTTCTGGATATGCTATCAAGAGTTGAGCAGCACAAAATCCAGATGGTAACAGTCAGCCTTGCTCTAAGCCCTGGCTGGTAGGTGTTAGAATTTGATTACTGTAGTTAGTGGCCATTTAGGATTCAGCAACCTTAATCCCTTATACATAGCCTGGCTAGAGAGGAGTGTAATTTTACCAGGTGTTTGCCTGCAGGGAGAAGTTGGAAAAGGATGCAGATCTGGATGGTGTTTTTGCCTGCAGGGAGAAGTCGGAAAAGGATGCAGATCTGGATGGTGTTTTTGCCTGCAGGGAGAAGTTGGAAAAGGATGCAGATCTGGATGGTGTTTCAACAGGGAAATAAATGGAGGTGAAACACTGTGAAAAAGGTAGCAGTAGGTTCTAGGGTAAAACATCTGAACAAGCTGTGGGAAGTTGCTCCCTGGGAGGGGAGGCAATACTGAGAGCCGCACTCTCAGTCTTTCTCAGTAAGATCCTTGTGTGATGCTTTTGTGCGTAATTGTATGGCCACGTTAATTTTTTTATTACTAGGAGCTATCCAGGTCAGAGGACAATTTCCCTTTGGGTCCAGCGTCATATTACTTTCGTTAACCAAGAGAATGCCTGCCACTGGCACACTTGATTATGTCATACTTCTTTACCAGTGATGATGGCAGAGAGTTTTATTGCAGGATAACAGGAAAGGTAAAACTAGGCTTTGAAATATGGACTACTAATCAAAATGATATCAAACAACACAGAACATATAAAGTGTGGCGATAACAGTGAAAAGAGCCTTGTACTGGAAGTCAGAAGGCCAGAACAAGTTTACTACTTAATGACCTTGGGCAAGTCACTTTTTTGAGTCACGGTATTATTACCTGAAAAAAAAAAAGGCCAATAGCATTACTTACCTGGCCTACCCCTCAGGGTTGTGTTCAGAATCAAGTGAGAATCTTCAATATCTTTATAACCAACAAAGTGCTGTGTAAATTAAATAATTATTACTTTAATTACTTTAGCATTTAAAATTAAAAACAAAAACAAAACTGAACCAACAAGCTGTGATTCATACCACCAAACTCCTGCCAAATCTGCCTTCTTCTGTCGATTGACTTAGAATAGGATATAATTTCCAATAAGACCAGTGGTTTAAACCTTCCTTTTTTCCTTCCACTGAAGGGATAACTAGTTATTCATGTCCTTGTGAAACCTCAAGAGAGATTTTAGCTCTGTCATTTATTAACGCATTAGGGAAACTACTTCATCTCTCCAAGACTCAGATTAGCATGGCGTCTATCTTTCAGAGTTGCTAAAATCAAATGAGATAACCAATGTAACATGATTAGCATAGTCCTTCCCACATAGTCAGGACTCACCAACTGTTAGCACTTCATTTCACTATTATTTCTCCAGGAGGCTTGTCCCTGATAGCCTCCTGTTACCAAGAATACATTCACATTGGTACAGCTTTTCAGCTTTGTTACCTGGCCAGTAATTTCTGTGGAACCAAGGCCCACAACATAGTTTCTTCTTTGACAGACTAGTGTCTCATGCAGTCACTTCTCTTCCCTCTCTTTTCCCTCCAAGTGTGATAGACTGTCAAACTACCATATCTCCTGACTCCATGTGAGGCAATTGTGTTCAGCCAGGGACAATCCTCTGCTCAGAGGCAGCAAGGCTACCCACAGCTTTAGGAATTGAGTGAGGGCTCCCATCAATCTGTCATCACCCATTCTACTCCCAAGCCAATCCAACCCCTGAGGTGACCTTACCTGACACTTTCCTCCTGCTCTCACCTACCACTGGTGGTACAGAGGCATTCTCTCTCTCTCTCTCTGAGTCTCTCTCTCTCTTTCTGAATATCTCTCTCTCTCTCTCTCTCATACACACACACACATACACACACACACTCCTTTTCCCACCACTCATACACAACTCCTAATGAATTAGTGAATTTCATCTTCCCTAGACCACCACTGCTGCAAGAAGCAAACAGAACCAACTGGTCTAGCATCAATTTCTGTCTACCTTCCTCATGATTCTTGGTAATGCCACTTCATAAAACTGAGAAAAAGTAAAAACCAAACCCACACATCCCCTCTTTATAATCTAACCACTTATTCCCCAGAGGACTTTTTAGTGAATGTATTCTTAAGTATTATTCAGGCCTTCAGATGTCTGTCTGCATGGGTCCAGTTTGGCAATAAAACAATTTCCCCAGCTCAGGAGTAAACATGTACTTCCCAAGTATACGTGTTTAGGTGATGTGGGCTCACCATCCCCACTTCTAAGAGGCATTTAAAGCCATGAATGGAAAGAAATGGGTACTTTTAAAAACCAGAGCACAGAAATCACCAAAATTGAGTTTCTCTGTTTTGCTGTTTGAGTGAGTTGTAGCCAAATAAGTTACATACAGGCATGCGCTGCATAACAATGTCTCAGTCGATGATGGACCTCATATACTATGGTGGTCCCATAAGATTATAATATTGTATATTTACTGTACCTTTTCTATGTTTACATACACAAATACCATTGTGTTACAACTGCCTACATTACAGTAATAGGTTGTGCAGGTTTGTAGCCTAAGAGCAATAGTTTATGCCATATAGCCTAGGTGTGTAGTAGGCAATACCATCTAGGTATCTAGGTTTGTGTAAGCATACTCTCTTGTTAGCACAATGATGAAATGGCCTAATGACATGTTTCTCAGAATATATCTCTGTCTTTAAGTGAGGCATAACTGTATTTGCATATTTACAAGCTTCCTTTTTGGCTTTAGGTTGCAAGCACTTTTAAATACCTCTGGGGGCTGAAGTCTCCAGATTTAGAAGCTCCCAAGCATGGTCCAGCATATTGTTACAAAGTTGTATATATGCAAAATTCAGGATTATGACATTTCAGGTACCTCTCTAAAGGACTGTTTTTTTTTTTCCCTGCCTTCTTGTGAAATCATTTGCAGTACATGGTCCCCTTCAAGAAATTCAGCTAAACTAGTGGGAAATCTGCAGATATCACTGGTCCATGGCTTTTCCTGCTGGGTGAAATAGTGGCCCCTGGGGGAAAAAAGAAGTGAACTGAAGTGATCCCCAAGTTAGATCTCACACCCAAGTCAGATCATGATAACCGTCATCATGTAGTTATTTGATATGAGAGTGGGGTGGGGAGAGACAGTAAAGTAAAAAAGATCAGGGTTCAAACCCCAGCTCTGCTATTCACTGCGACTTAGAACTAGACACTTAACCTCTCTGAGCCCCAACTTCTTCACTTCCCTCACAGGACTGTGGCTGCGGGCATTAAATAAGATAATGCATGTAAAGCAAGGGCAAATAGCAGGCATTTGCCAGCCAGAAACAAATCTCTTCCTTTGGAGAAGGAGGGTTGAAGAGAAACTTAGAGAAGAAATTGCTACTCCTGCTGCTTCTAATGAGGGCCATCGCCAGAGTCACAACAGGAGCCACAGCTCTCATAGTAGATGGTTAGGATAAACAGGGCATGTTTCTTGGTGGTGGGAGCCCAGGGTTAGTTAGAAGCAGTGAGGGAAGTGTCCCTGAGAGAATAAACGTCCACGGAATGTTAGCAGAACCTTCTTCTCTGGTAGCTTATGGTCAGGTAAAAGAATGGAAAAGAAGGCAATTGGAAGCAGGCATTGCTTTGTCACTTTTTATGCGATGGCAGCACCAGATAAGCTAACTGATGTCCTGACCTCTGTGATCTTGCTTAGGTTGAGGACCAGGGTCCAAGTTACCCTGGTATCTTTTTGGAGGAACTTTGTGTGACCAAAACGCTTCTTTTCTAGGCAAGCAGCAACTACTGCTGTAGCCATAGGTGTCTCCCATGAAGCTTCCACTTATACTATTCCTTTCACTGGATTTCCTGTTTCTTGGCTTTTGGCTCTCCAATGGTCAGAAACAATCCTCTTTCCCCTACTCAGAACTTTGAGTCTTCCCTGGATTTGTGGAGCAAAGGCAACCTTCTGCAGGAAGGTTTATCATAAGCCACTTTTCTCCTCAAACCCCCAAAGCTCTTACCCAGCCCTTCCTTTTGATCCTACTCTTAGAGTCAAGCCATTTTCCTGCTGGTTTCCTCACATGCCATTCCATGCCATTCCCCTAGAGCCCTGTAACTGTGCACATATTCCAAGAGGCATTCCCAATACAGTGAAATCTCAATGGCTGCAGTTATAGGGCACCTTCACTCACCTTACGGAGGTTGGTGAGGAGTCCCAACACAACTGAAATACGGTGGCCTGAGGCCCAGTGCTCTACAACTAATTTGCTATTTGACTTGAGTAAGCACAGCCCCTCTTGGAGCATTATTTTCATAATCTCTAACAGGGCAGGGAGATCTAAGATTACTCATTACTAAGGTCACGGTTAGCTCAGAAAGTTAAAAGGCCAGTTTTGTGGCATGAACACAGACTTTGAACTAACATAGACCAGAGCTTGTATCTCCATCCTACCAACTTAACAGTAGGCCCCTTGTCGCAGTGAAATGGCTTGTTCAAGGCTGCACAGCTAGTAGGCAGCAAAGCCAGCATTCAAACCTATAAGTAGTTCTGGGCGGGCTCAGCAGAGCTCTTCCTCCTTCCTGGATGCAGCTAGTCCCAGGTCAATTACCAAGGGCCAGGTTACCACTTTCAGAACTTTGTCAGCCTGGGCTCAGATTGCTCACCTCCTCCCCATACCCCAAACAATTAGTGATCCTTACCCTCCCTAGGAATTCCAGTAATAGAAAAGAAGAAGGGGGGAGGGGCAGAGATATTTGAGAAGACACAGGCTTAAAGGCTAAGCTTCCCTTTACATTGTTCCTTTCACTGGGTTTCCTGTTTCTATGTTTTTGGCTCCCCCAAAACTTATAGGTGTTTAGGCTTTATGGTCCCAGCGGACTAGTTTTAAAGTCATCAACTCTTGATATTTATTTTATCAATGTACTCAGACCAGTGCAAAATGACATGTATATACAGAGTTTTTGCAGTGTCATTTGTAATAAAATAAGATTTGAAAGCACTGTCTTTCAATAGGGAATTGTTTAAATAAATCACATTACATTCATTTAGTAGAATGCTATGCAATTGTAAAAAGAAAGGAAACCACTTAATATGTATCAACATCTAAAAGGGTTCATTGTATATTAAGTGTAGAAAGCAAGAAACAAAACATTGTACATAGAATGCTACGATTTACAGGAAGAAAAAAGAATATATGTGTATATATGTTTGCTCACGTGTGTAAAATACCTTTTTAGTGATATGCAAGGAACTGGTTAAAGTTTTTGCCTATTCATAAAAATAAATACGTATAGCATCATTATCAACTTTCTTTTATTTCACTGATAGAGAACAGGGACACAGACGTTCATCTATAGCTCTTCCTTAGCACAGGAAGCAGTGGGAGGAGATTTGCAGATACAGTCCTTGCAGACCTGCGTGGTAGAAAGATCTGGCTTTTCAGTGTTAGGATGACCACGAGGTCTCAGTTTGCCCAAGACCCTCCTGATTGTAGTGCTGAAACTCCTGGGAAAACCAGGACAGTTGGTCATCCTATTCCTCATCCTGCTGCTGCAGCCCTTAGACAGCCAGGAGGGAAGATTCCAGTAGTGGCATGAGCAGAGCGATGGCAGCAGCCCTTGGCTCCACAATCCACAAGTGACAAGGGACTCACAGAGTGGCAGGCACATGCTCTGTAAGGTATTCTCATCTAACAGACAAGGAAATTGAGGCTCAGAGAGGTTAAGTGATTTGCCCAAGGTCACACAGCTAGTAAGTGCTGGAGCCAGTCTGTCTGACTCCTGCCATGTCAACAGGACCCTGGGGAATGTAAAGCTTTCAGTGGAGCAGTGGGTCTGACCTTTCTTAAAGCCTAAAGCACCCGGAGTTGCATTTTAACCAAATCAAACACAGTTGCTTTGAATCAACTTTGGCAAGCGAGTGTTAGGAAACAGCTTTCTTCCCAGCACTCTAACCCAAGCAAAGACAATAGATGTTCCAGGTCTTTGGACTGAAGGAGTCATAGACAGAAAGCTGGCCTTCTCAGTTGTGCCCGTAATAATTCAGTTCTCACCTGGGAATGATAGCTTACTCATCCCCCAACTTGATCCAGCCTCCTACACAAGAGCAACAAGAGAAATTAAAACGGAAGAGCAGCCAACTAATAACAGGTAGTGGTGCATGTCATGATGCTTGTCTACTTTTTGAGTGGGTGGGGGTGGAATTCAACTTGGCTTATAACAGGGGACCCTTTTGCTAGGAAAAGGTAAATAATTCCCCAAAGCCTTATGCATCAAAAACGAACCAAGCAGGCTGAACATGGTAGCTCATTTCTGTAATGGGATTACAGAGGTGGGAGGATTGCTTGAGCCCAGGAGTTCAAGACCAGCCTGGGCAACATAGCGAGACTGTCTTTACAAAAAGATGAAAAAATTAGTCAGGCATGGTGGCGGGCACCTGTAGTCTTGACTACTCAGGAGACTGAAGCAAGGGGATTACTTGAGACAGGAGTTTGAGGTTACAGTGAGTCATGATTGCGCCACTGCACTTCAGCCTGGGTGACAGAACAAGACCCTGTCTCTTAAAAAAAAATGCACCAAGCAACAGAAAAACAGATGTAGCAGATAGTAGAAGCTTTAGGGACTTGGGAGAAGCATAGGAAAAGGTCACAGCAGCAGCTGTACTTGCCCTTTCCCAATTAAGCAGCAGGGGGGTGTTAATTATATACAGGAAATTGGGCTGCTTTACAGACTCTGTTGAAATATTTTATAGAAGATATTTTATAAATATGGATTGAGGGAAATGTTTATCCTCATTAATTTATTAATTTACACATGCTGAGTTGTACAGAGCACCAGAGAGAGATACTACCTGTGCCAGGGTGTGGGAGTTTCTGGGAGCAATGGATTTGGGTATTGGTTTATCAAAGAGGATTCAGAATGAAACTGAAGCAGAGTTTTCCAAAGCTTTAGCCTTCTCTGCAAGGGCTGCCATGGTTTTGGCAAAGACCATTTTGTGTGAACACTGTACACAGGACCTGAATTACGTATGCCTTGGAGTCCTACATTCTTGAATTTGAATGAAGCCAATTGATCTCTGTGGTGATTGAATTCGGGACAATAGACTAATTAGCACCATACTCACTCTCACCACAAAACAATCAGCCTTGAGGGTTTAATAGTAGAAACCATAATGTTATTTGGGTTTTAATGTCTAATAGAGCTGGCAGGAAGAATTAGGAACCCTGCCTGCAGTGTGCTGTGGTTTAAGAAGCGTCGAGTGGTAACATGACATTTCAATATGTACAAGGATTCTACAGCCCTTCCTAAATTATTTCTATCTGCAGCATCACAGATATTGCCACAGAAATGTGGCAGCTTGGACCAGGAGGACTACATGTGTGTCCCTTCTTATGAAATAGCTGTGTGCTTATAAATGTGGCCACCAAGCAAAATTTCCCATATGGAGTCCCATTCCTCATTGCCTTTTGTACTAACATCAGAGATGCGTTCTTCTGACAAATGTTTTAACTCCAAGATGTTGCAAAGTCTCAAAACTGCAAAACAAACATGGGCTATCTTATTTGAGAGGAAAAATTTCAACTATTTCCTCGGGCAAGCCACTTGAAGATGCTAATTTCAGGGTGTCTTTCATAGGACAGAATTGCGTTAGAAAACGCCTTTCACTACCTGCTTCAGAGGGCTGATGAGAAGCAAAAGCACTTTATTAATTACAAAGTGCTGTCAACATGTGAATTCTAATTACTCTTCCAGTCAATCTTGGACTGTCACTTTAAAAAAACTGGAGAACTCCCTTCTCGCCCGCCAACGAATGTTAGGTCTTTAGAAAAACAAGGAATATCATTTGCCACTTTGAGGGAAGCTCATTAAGAGTTCTAGTATGGAATAGTCAGAGCTGTTCATAGAATACTTTTTTGTGTGTGTGACGGAGTCTTGCGCTGTCTTCCAGGCTGGAGTGCAGTGGCGCGATCTCGGCTCACTGCAAGCTCCGCCTCCCGGGTTCACGCCAGTCTCCTGCCTCAGCCTCCCAAGTAGCTGGGACTACAGGCGCCCGCCACCACGCCCGGCTAATTTTTTTTTTGTATTTTTAGTAGAGACGGGGTTTCACCGTGTTAGCCAGGATGGTCTCGATCTCCTGACCTCGTGATCCGCCCGCCTCGGCCTCCCAAAGTGCTGGGATTACAGGCGTGCTCGCCGGGCCGAGAATACATTTTAATTCTTAGCAATCTATGATCTTGTCATTCAGAATAAAGTTTGGCAGGGGGATGGGGTGGGGTCTGTGTTCAACCTGTTGTGTACATACTAAAAAACCAGGCCCTCCCAGTTTTCTCATCACGGGGAGAGGAAGCACAGAGTCCACTAGCATTTTGTAACTGTGGGTACTTGGACAAAGTAAGGGAAACCAAGCCTCAGATTTACTGTCTGGAAGTCAGACGTGATACTGCATAGTTGTGAGGAGGCAATGAGATGATATTATCTGCCAGAGGCCAGGGACCAGGAAGCAGTATGCAAATCTTCTTAGGGGATAGGCAAGGGTTCTCCCTTCAGTGCCTCCCTTGGCAGGATGCATTTGCTTGTTACCTTGCTTCTTCCAATTTTTGCCTCAGGACCTTGTTCAGTTTAGTAGCCCCAAGCGGGTAAAGATTGTTTTACATGCACATAGTTTATCGACTTGGGGCAATCAAGCAATGGATTTTTAGCTTCTGCCTGTTCAAACTGGCTTCCTGGGGCTGCCTATTGGTTTTGGGGTTTTGACAAAATAAACAATGGTTTATTTAGAAACAGTAATTGGGTGAGTAGGGAAGTTTCCCCAAAGGAGGACAGAATTCAGAAGGAAAAGGACTACAGGTACTTTACCTTTTCCAAGATCCAGGTTTGGGCATTTGTGGAAGTTCAGAGCTGATGACACAAAGCCTCTGTTTAGAACTTAAGGAACTCTTATCATGCACCCTGCGAAAGGAGGCATTGAAGGGAGAGCCCTTGCCTATCCCCTAAGAAGATCTGCATTCTAACTTAATTAACAAAAAGTAGGTTTTAACTTCATTTTATCTTATTCAAAGCAATACAACTTCATTTGGTTCCTTCCAACAATGCCCTCTTGGGTCTTTTAACTTGGTGAAGAGGTTTATCTCACTAAACAATTTTAGAACCACAGAGCTTACTTGCTCCCTAGCCTTGACATTCTGTTCTTGTCATGGTTGACTGTGTCCTCCTGTTTCCAGTTTCCAGATGGTAATTTGGCTTTTGACAGAAACAAAGTAACTTGATAGGCAAAAGAAGGACAGTTCCCACAAGCTACCAACCCTGTTCTGGTGCCAAAGGATTATAAACTTTGTGTTGACAAGCCATAGTATCTGCGAGAGTAATTCTAGACTTAATCTAAAATGTGTTAATAATAATAATAATAATAATAATTTATTATTGGAAAGTAGCTCCACAATCTCATCATCCACTTCAGAAATAAATCTTCCTCATCTCCACTGGTAGACACACATTGAAACTCTCCCCTTCTCATACCCTCAGACCTGGGGTATCAGGTATAAAACAGATTACTTCATTTCTGCCATCTCTTTTTCCCTTAAAGAACTCAAACAACCACTCCCTCAAACAGCCAGGGTGCAGACAGAGCTTTTGTTGTATTTTTCAATGAATATTCCACATACTTATGCCCCTGCCATATCACATGGGTATATGTTTATGTTCCTTTAACAATTTTAACATTTTAGTCCCTTTAATTATTTTTTTCATTATTATAGCTTTATACTAGGTTTTAAAACCTAAATAGCAGGTAGTTCCCTCTTAATTATTCTTCTTTTTCAGAATTCCCAGCCTGTTTTTGCTTGCTTATTAAAAAAAATTAATAGACCATTTTTGGCAGTTTTAGATATATAGAAAAATTGGAAAGTAAAGAATGTACCCATATACCCCCTCCCACCCCCTCCCAGTTTCCCCTGTTACCTGCTTGGGGCTACTAAACTGACCAAGGTCCTGAGACAATCATTATTATTATTATTATTATTATTATTATTATTAACGTCTTGCATTAGTGCAGTGCATTTGTTACAACTGGTGAGCCAATATTGATTTTTTATTATTAACTAAAATCCATCATTTACATCAGGGTTCATTCTTGGTGTTGTACATTCTATGAGTTTTGACAAATGTATAATGACATGTAGCCACCATTACAGTATCATACAGGGTAGTATCACTGCCCTAAAAATCTCCTGTGCTCCACCTATTCATCTCTTCCCAACTGCCCTTGAGCTTCTGGCAGCCACTGTGTTTTTTTACTGTCCCTATAGTCTTGCCTTTTCCAGAATATCATGTAGTTGTATTGATATAGTTAATGTAGCCTTTTCAGATTGACTTCTTTTACTTAGCAATATACATTTAAAGTTCCTCCATGTCTTTCCGTGGCTTTATAGTGCATTTATTTTTATTACTGGATAACATTCCATTGTCTGGATGTACCACAGTCTGTTTACCCACTCACCTATTGAAGGACATCTTGGTTGTTTCCAAGTTTTGGCAATTATGAATAAAACTGCTATAAACATTCATATGCAGGTTTTTGTGTGGACATAACTTTTTAATGCATTTGGGTAAATAGCAAAGATTTCAATTTTTAGATCATGTGGTAGAAGTATGTTTGATTTTGTAAGAAACCGCCAAACTGTCTTCCAAACTAGTTGTACCATTTTGCATTCCTACTAGCAATGAAGGAGAGTTCCTGTTGCTCCATATTCTTGCCAGCATTTAGTATTGTCACTGTATTGGGTTTTAGCTATTCTAATCCACATGTAGTGGTATTTAATTGTTGCTTTATGATGTATTAATAATTTTTAAAAGTTATTTTTCTAGTTGTTGCTCTGGGCTTATACATCTTTACTTATCAGAATCTATTTCAGATTTGTATTAATTATGGGGAGATATAGAAAACTTATTCCTATATAGCTCTATTGTCTGTAAGGGCCCCCTGAGTGGTAGAGCTTAATTGGGGTCCCCTGAGTTGAGGGTGGCTACTGGTTTGTTGGGAGTAGGCTCTGAATAACCAAACAGGATGACTTGCTGAGGAAGGGGATGTGATCTACAGGCAGATAAAATAGGAACTTGAACAAAGATAATAATTTCTCCTTCTTGCTCATAGTAATATCATTAAAGAGCTTATCAAATGCATAAGCTAAAATCTGAGTCCTCTTGGGCTATCATATTCACAAGTTATAAATTGAAAGATTTTTGTTTACTAGCCCATGACTTGCAATGCCTGAAAAATAGGTTCTTTAAGGGTAAGTGCTTCTCAGAACAGGCCAAGAGAATGTAGTAGTGTAAATATCTGACAGTCAGAGTTGCAACACTTTAAACTGTGAATGGAGGGAAGGGAAAAGTAGCCAACCAAAAACTGTAAAATGAGCTGGTACAGGGGACATTACATACGACAAAATAAGAAGAGTAAAGGAAGCATTTAATAATTTTAACAGAGCAGAACAAGTTGGGAAAAGGGCAGAGATAATGGATGTTGATTCAGTTGTACAGAATTGGAGCCGTTAAATTTTGGAAATTAAGTCTTTAGCAGAAAGGAGTAAATAGGACTGCCTAGGTATTATGAAGACTTAGTATGGAGAAGTATATGGATAGAGGTGAGAAGGTTAGGATAAAAAAACCAAAAGCCATTTTTGAGAACTGTACTTTAGGCCACCTGGCCAGAAAGGGGAAAGGAACAATATATTATTAATGCTTATAGCAGTTGTTTTCTCTTGGATGACTCAATTTCAACAATTTAAATATAATTTCTTACTCTCTCTCACTGCAACCTCCCTCCTTCCCACAAGATCTTATTGTTCTCTTTGTTCTGACTCCTCAGCACCATTCTTTTGCATCCCAAGGGTGTTACAATAACCTTGAAACTCCCATAAGCTATGAAGAGGGCTCAGGTAAATTGTGACTGCTTATGAACTGACTTTTCAGTTGAGATACAGAGGCTCTGTCTACTAGTACTATCCAATTGGTTAGAGAATTGAAGAGTGTATAAATGTGTGTGTATGAGTACGTGTGTGTGTGTGTGTGTATGTGTGTGTGTGTGTATTTGGGAGAACAGGAATGGCAAATAACTGTTTAGATCAGAGTCCTAAACTCAAATTCCTGCTGGAGTCAGGCACCCCATCTGAAGGGAGCAGCTGGTACTCAGTTTCTGCAGATTGTTGCCATGTGAGAATATAAATGCAATGTTACCAGATGTTCTAATTTTTTTTAAAAAAAAAGAAACAGGAAACCTGAATTTTTATATGAAGTCTTCCACCTTTCAAATATTACCAACTAATTTGAAACTTTGAAAAACACTAGGTAGGCCAAACAAAATACTTCTCCAGCCACCCAATGGTGAATGCTAATTTAGATGATAGAATTCATGGTAGAGCCTTGATGTGGTGATTTTAAACTCAGTCTGGCCCTTTGTCCATTAAGTATGGATTTGATTCCAGCTTGTTGGGGTTGAGTACTTCTCCCAAATGGCAGTCTTGCATGTTGGTTTGTATCCTATAACTTAAGTGAGAACTTCCTCAATGATGAAAATGGTAAGTAGACTCTATGCTTGGTTAGGATCAGTCTGTTCAGCAGGTAACTGAAAAATCAGTGGTTAGACTATGAGATGTAAAGAAAGTAATCAGAAGGTAGTTTTCTTGTGGTTCCTTTTTATGTGCTTGCTCCTTCATGAGATCATGAGTCCGCTGAAGACAAACCATGGTAAAGACTGGATTTGGCTCTAAACGTGTTGAGAAGCTATTGGAGGCTTGCGAACAAGGAAGGAACATGATCTAACTTAATATTCTAAAAGGAACACTCTAAAAGAGCTGACAGGAGAGCCCTGTCTGGAGCTACAATCTGGAGACTTCCAGAAAATCTGCCTTTACAGCCTTTTCCTCTACCACGCATTCTTTCCTAAGAATGCTGTTCTTATATTTATGATGTTCATGTCCCTGCCCTCTACTGCAAATAGAGATATCCTCTGTGGTTTTTGGGCCACATAGTCTGATAAACGTGAAACCTATATCATCCTGAATGAGTAATCCAAGGGTAACCAATGTCTCATCTGATTGAATGAGCTTCACTGTGTTCTCACCTGGCCTTCAGGCCATTTCTCAGATATGTGACAAGATAGAGCCTTCTAGATATCTGCTGTTTCCATCTGAGAAAACAAGTGATATGACCTTATGAATTGATCTAATTGCTCAACACCATGCTTCTATCTTTCAGAAAATATTGAAGGAAGGACCTATGCTGAAGAACTGTAACTCTTTCAAGAGATGGAAGCTTAGATATTTTCTGGTTCAAGGACAGAAGCTCTACTTTGCACACCATCCCGCGGTAATGTATAGCATATTGTCAACTAGATTAATGGGTGGGTGCCAGGAAACCTTTGTGTGGGAAGATGGACTAATAAGTAAAGACATGTCAGCAAACATTAGGGTGGAAGTTGAAGCCCTCTACTCTTTTTTTAACTTGCCCTTTTGGGTCAAATGGGGATACTTTTCTCTCCTTTCTCTTTTCTGTATCCCTTTCCTTTTGTATTTTTCCCAGCTAGCTTCTGCACCCAGAACCAACTATAATTTTGGGGATCCAGTGCAAAATGAAAATGTAGTGCCCTTTATTCAAAAAGCAGGGGGAAGTTGTATTAAAGCTACTAACATATAACGCTTTATGTTTATACTAAAATATTAATATAAAGCAAAGACTTGTCATGGTGTTTTTATTTGCTAATGCAATTCTAAGTAAAGAAAAATACGATTTTAAATAATTAGCATGAATTTCACTATTTATCTGCACACTATACAACACCAGTTTTAAATGCAAATGTAAGAGCATTTAATTCAAATAAAGAATCACTAAAATTATACAATTTGTGTTTAGTAGCTCATACAAGCGTAGTATTTTGTTCTCAGTAGTATAAAAAAACTGCACAAAACTAGCTCAACTGTTCATATTTTACTTCTCGATACTTGCACATTCCACCAACACTTTTTTAACTGAAAGAACTATGGGTTGCCTTATCTTTCCATTTCCTTCCATGTCATCATTTTTAGCAGAAATTGTTGGCTAACACAGGGGTGTAACGAGCAAGAAAGAATACAATAGGGCTTCTTGGTTCTTTGTATTTCTTAGAAACCATTGTCTTTTTCCTATGTCTGAAGCAAGTTCTGGTTCCAACAGAAAGTATGACCTCTCAGGGCTGTCAGCTCCCCTACTGCTTACTCAGTTATAGATGTAACACACTTATCTTGTACTTGATTTGAGTCTTGCTAAACTCCCACTTATCATGGGTCCACTAGAATTCTATGTTCACGGGCATCACAAATGCAAATGGAGCAACAAGACATGGGGTGGAAATGTATAATGCGCCTATCTCCTCTGCTCATATGCATGATCTGTTGTCCCATTGGACTTTACTTACAAAACACATGCTCAAAGACAAAATTATGAGGTAATTTTAAGATGACAACAACAAAGCATTAAACTAAGTGTGAGGCCCTTCTGAACATGGGGCCCTGTGTGACTGCACAGTTTGTATACTGGTGAAACCGGCCTTGCCTGTATCCATGATACTGATTTCCTGCTGCTGGCTAGATGGTATCTACTATGGCCAGTGAATAAGGAGGCACAGGCCTCAAACTGGATGGGACTAGCAACACTGCAAAGGTTGCCACCCAATAAAATAGGAGTTTATCACAATCTGTTTCTCTAGGACTCTAGTTAGACCACATCTCATTATCTTTTCCAGCATAAGCCTTTATGTTTAAATAATTCTGAGCTGACCAACTCAAGCCTTCCTATAATTCCACATAAATGTCTGTAAAAAGTTTATTTTGATTTCATTTTTTGGTCACATGATACATTAACAAAAATCATGTTGCTAAATAAATTTTAGCCCTCAAGCCAAAGAAATGATTGGATCATGACTGCCACAAATGCCTGTCAGTAAGTGTGTGTGTGTGTGTGTGTGTGTGTGTGTGTGTGTGTTTACCTTTTAATGTCTCTTTGCATCATTAACCAGACGGTTCCTTGTCCCTCTCTGTCTTATATCTTTCCAGTTTGCACACTTTGAAACGATTGATCTGTCTCAAGCCACTGTGGCAGAAAGCAGCTGTAGAAACCTTTGCCACAGTTTTTGTGTAAGTAAGATTGGGAATGACTGAATGGGCAGGGGTAGGGGCTAGCTGGGAAGATAGCTTTCCATGACCACTTCTTGCTTCTTTGAACTTCAGGTTTCCAAAGTTTCCTTTGATCCCAAAGTGTTATCATTCATGCAAACATTTTCTAGCAGCCCACTGATAGGGAAGAAAAAAAGTGATGGTCTTGTTCCTTATTACCAGTATAAAGCTAAGCTGATTTCAAGGGGAAGGGAGTATGTGACTTATAAAAATCAGTCCTCCCAGTGAAGGTGATTTAGAAGAGTATCACTGGGAGTCTTTCAAGAGACTGCTAATATGTTATAGAAAATGGCAGGATAATTGAGTTACATGACATCCTCTCCTCTGATGAGGTAGATAAGAGCCCTAATTCAAAGTGAAATCTACCCCATGTTGAGATTACTGATGAAAGTGCCTCAAAGAAAGCAGAAGATTTTCTAGGGAAGTGTCTAGGGCTTTGTGTGACTGAAATGTCACATGGCTTTGGTCATTCAAGTGAATCCAGACCAGAAAACTCACTGAAAAATAGAAAGCTTGGTGGCCCAGGAATTCTCCTACCCACCTCCTTCCAGAATTGTCTTCTCCCAGCCTCAGTGGTGGGATATGGAGACTGGAGTTCCTGCTTAGGCATGTAGGGGATAGTACCTAACAGACTAAAGAGCTGCAGACCCAATATCCTGCTTCCATAGTTGGTTCATGTTCCATCCTCCCTTGAAAGGAGAGCGGCTGGGTCTAAGAAGAAGATTTTGCTTTGTTACTCTCTCATTACATCACCCTGACACAGGGTAAAACTGAGGGCTCTGTTGACCAGTCCCAAAAAGCTGAGTCTTTGGGTGATGAGCCTATAGGGTAATGTTTTTGGTTTCCATTCTACAAAGAAAGAAATCATAAAGGCTAGGCTGCCCCTTAACTTAATTAAAGCACAGAAGCACTGAACATCAGCCCCACTCAAGAATGGGTTTGGACCAAAGGAGTGGCTGTTATCACAATCCCAACTAGCTCCTATTTCCATCGACCACATAATCTCACTGTGTTACATGCAAAAGAAGAAACAAATTCCTTGTTGGTGTGGTGAGCTCTAGCTTCAAGACTTGGGGAGCTTATAGTAAAGGCAAGTAGGGCAATGGAAGCAATGACTGATGCTGTAGCTATCCATGATCCCTCCTGCCCTCTGGGAAAAGATCAAGTCCTGCCCATGGTCTACATCTGCTAGACTCTCAGTGTGGCATTCTTATTATTCCTGCCTGGGTTCTTGTGCCAAGCAGGGTTAAGAAAGACAACTGTAAAATTCTCTTCAGGTTGTCCCTAACCATAAGAAAGAAAGAAACTGGGTTTTTAGACATCTCACTCTCCCACTAAACAGAAACAGGGACACCCTAATGAACCACATACAATTTTACCACTTCAAGTAGACAGAGTAGCAGTAAGCAAGTAGGGTTTTCAGGCAAACTAACTTGAGTAATAGATGGTACATGGTTTAGTATTTAAAAGAATGAATTCTGAAGCCAAAGAATCTGGATTTCAATTCTGGTTTAGTTTTTTACCTGCTGGGTGACCCTGAGCAAATCATTTAACTCTTTTTGTCTTGGTTTTCTCGGCTATGAAATGGGAAAAATAACAATGCCCATCTCACAGGGTTGTAATGAAGATTGAATGAAATCATATGCATAAAGTGCTTTAGAATAGTTCTTGGCACATAGTGAGTGGCATTAAAATGTTAATTATTGCTATTAGCATTATTATTATTTCGGATGGGTAACTAAGGAGCTACGAGTGGTTCTGGGAATGTCTGTCTTATATTCAAGAAGTGGCTTATGTTGTGCTTGGTACATCTGTGTAGTTTCTTAGAGAGTTCACAGACTGTGTTTGAAGGCAAAGTTATGGAGTGGGAACCAGCTAATAATGTGGCTTTTTGTTTAGGTTATTACACCACAACGAAAAATCACTCTGGCTGCACCCAACCGGAAAGACATGGAAGAATGGATTAACATCATAAAAACCATCCAACAGGGAGAAATTTATAAGGTAAGAAAACTAGTAGAGAAGCCACACAATTCTTAATAGGTAAATAATTAATTGCATTAGTTAAGCCACCTTTAGAGCAGGGAAATAATAAGATGGAAGCAGAGACCACCTGTTTAGGAATTATAGACAGAAAACCTCTTTAGAATTATTCATAAATAGGAGTAATTCACTTGGACTCAGACCTTTGTGAGTATGTGGTGCAGATACTTCTATACATATCCACTTGATATGTAGATGTCAATGTATGCCCAATGGATGAGTCACTCAAGATGTATGTGAGCAGCTAATGTAGATGCCCTTAGGTTAGGAAAACCGGAATCAGCAGTCTTGACTTGGGTCTGCTGAATGACTATAGTGATAGCTAAGGAAACTGAGACTCAGAAAGAGGTAGGAACGAGTCCAAGGCAGAATCACTATTCAGTAGTGAAACCAGGATTCTGATGCAGGCTATGTGACTCCAAAGCCTATGTCCTTGACCACTGTGCTCTTTGCCTTTCTGTTTTCTGTCTACTACAAAAGTAATGTAGAGGGAAGAGCAATAAGTATCCTCTCCAAAGCTTAGCAGGGTTCTTTTTTACCTGGTGGTACCAAATCTCTGGCCACTGCTCCCTGCAGTAACTGGTGCAATCAAACTTCAGGAGATACACTCTGCCTGCCCTTCTATAGATCTACCACAGTTAGAATTTATGTAAGTTCCAAGAGGAGAGAGATCTGTGTCACTTATTTACTTACAGCGGTCTCTGGCACATAGTAAAGGCACAATAAATATCTTTTGAATGAATAAATGAATCTGCAGGAAATCTTGGAACCAGAATTTGGACAGAGAATGATACATGGTTCATCTTGAAGCAAAGTTCTGCTGTAAAGGTCTTAGAGATAAAGGGGAAGGTGAATCCAGACTTTAAAACAACCTAATGTCTTAAATAACTAGCAATGGGTAGAAGATTGTTCTAGGCAATTTGGATGGAGCAGTGTGTGAAGTGGCTTGGTGATAATGCAGTTTAGAAATAAAACTAATGCCATAGAGAAGAACCATCCATCCCTACTCCCCGAGGACTTCTCAGGCTTTTGACCACTTAGTCTCATAACTATACATTCTCCTCCCTATAGCAATGATGGGGAACATGACAAGATGGCTGACTTGAGGTCTCTCCAATATCATTAAGGCCTCTCTCAGTCCCATGTTATATATGCTTAAATTGAGAGATCCTTGGCTTAGCATTTGATGGTGATCTTTATATGATTTAGCACTCAGAATTTTACCTCTTTGTTACTTTCTTCTTCCTTTCCTAATGGAGAAGCACATCCCCTTTTTGCCCCCGCCCCAATCAATGAGGCCACTATGGTACAACATTAGAGGCAGTCATAAAAAGTTGTGAATTCCATGCTCCTTTCCTGTCTTTGTCCCTGTGGACCAATATCTTTCCTTCCTATGACTTAACCTCTATTCAAACTGGAGGGTTTCTCATGAATCATATAACATTTTCAATTTGGCATAAAAGGTCGCATAGGATGTTTTGAATTTTAATTATTGTTCTAGGAATGCAAAAACTCCTAGAGAAATTCTGGTGACTACCAGAGAATTGGTGCGCCATCCCTGAATTCATTGAATTAAACACCTAGGTATTGATTACCCAGCACAAACTAGAAAGGAAAAAAATCTCCCTGTTTACTCTCTTGGAAGAGTTGTATCAGGTTGTAATCACAACTTCTGTGGAGCTTCTCCAGGGACCTAAATCTATTAAGGAACACTTTTAGCTGATAGTGAAACGTCTCGGCACCAGCATCTTAGCAATTTGTCTTACTTGAAGCTTAAATAGTAAAATATGCTTTCTCCCATATGTGCCTTATCTCTAATGGTCCCTTCTATCTTCTGTCACCACCAATGCCTGACAAATAGGGCAAGGGAAGATTAATCATGGATTTAGTGGTCTATTAAAGTGGTGACAAAGTAATTGGATAATCTATTGGAAACTAGTCAGTACACATTAATAAGCCATCCCCTACTAGTTGCCCAATTCTGTTTCATAAAGAGTAGAAAAAAAAGATGCAATACTTGCTCCAGGCCTCAATGAGCTTTGTAGGTAATAGGGAGACGCTATATACACAGAAACAAAAGAAACAGTTAAATGACAGTACCCAAGATAAATGACAGTTTTCAGAGATGTTACAAGGCAATGCATGATTGATTGCCAGATGAATGAAACAGACAATAAAGTGGTATGGGAGTTCAGAGGAGAAAGAGATAAGTATGGGCTGGAGTCCTCTGGGAAGAGTTAACAGAGGAGAGATTTGAGACTGACCTTGAAAGATAGATTGTATTTTATTGGTGGCAGGGAATTAGGGGCAGTGGGAGGTCCTGGGCTATGGAACTGGTATAAGCAAAAGCTGAATAACAGGAAAACAGAAACTTTTTGGAATACAGTGAAAGGGAGAATTCATTTCACCAGAAAAGTTTAGGAAAGTGAGTCCAAGAAGTATGTCTTGAGAGGTAGATGGGGCCTGACCATGGAGATTTTTCAATGCCAGGATAAAGAGTGGGGAAGATTTGCAATGTGTTCAAAGTAAAGCCTCAGGATGGATTCAAAAGGGAAGAGAATTGATAAGAGGGATACTTTAGAAATACAGGATGGGTTAGACAAGGGAAAAACTAGAGGCCAGAAGTTCAGAGAAGAGGCTATGATTAATTATGGCAAGACCGTGTTAAGCCCCAGAATGAGGATAGAAAGGGAGGACAAGTGTGGATACTGAGTTAGGGGTGGGGGAGAACCTAAATATAAGAAAGAGGCAAATGAAATAGAAAAGTCACAGACAGATGAAAGGTGTGAGCCTGGGGGATTTAAAGAAAGAATAAAAGGAGAAAGTTAGAAATAAGGAGCTCCTTGGAAGACTAGATTAAAAAGTTAGCTCTTCCTAATGAATTGCCATGGAATCATTGACCGTGGAAACAGAAATAGACCTTAAAAGTTATCTGGACTCCAGATACTAGATTTTAGAGCATCTGGAGATGTAAGTCATGTGGCCTTTATTTGAACTCTTCCAAAGGTAGAGAACTAAGTTTCTTGCAAAAAAGTCCATCTAATGTTCCTAAAGCTCTAAATCTTGGAAATTTTTTTCTGAAACTTTGGTCTAGTTGAAATAACTTTCCAACATTCACTGTAACCTGCAGGAATGACATCAGCTGGCTCTTGAGGTGGACAACTCCCTATCATTGGAAGTAATACAAACAAACAAATTGAACAACTGCTTGTCAGATGTTGTACAGAAAATTGATTTTTTTCAAGTGGGCAAACTAGATGAACTTCAAAATTCCTTTCAACTTGAAAAGCTTATGATTCCAAGATTTCACTTAGCAGATGAGAAAACTGAGCCTCAGAGAGGTTCAGTTGCCTTACCTAAAATCATAAGTTGATTCTGGCAAAATTAATATCTTAGTTCTTTTCATTTTTAATCTAAGTTCTCAGGAGGATATCGTAAATTCCTCCTAATTATCTTCTTTCTGTCCTTTAATTTCCACCCTTTGTGATTATGGGGCAGGAATACTAAGGTAGACAACTGAATCGTATAGATCAACAAATAAATTCAAAGTGGCAAAATGACTCTAACTCATGCATAGTGTGTCCATGGCTAGTGGTTTGCTCAGGCTGAGCCCAGTTTACACTTGTCCCGGCATAAGTATTAACAGCTCCCCTTTCACTGTAGAAAGTGGCCCAATTTGGACAACATGGTCATCCTACCAATGGCCAACCTGGGAGGCCCTAACACTCTTCTGTAATTCCCCAAACCTTGATAGAACTGAGCAGTTTAGTTCACATTAAAGCACAAACCACTGACTTCGTTTTATCTAAACTCAACATTTTATCATGTAAGCCATCCCCAAAAAGGCTCCTTTATGGAATTATATCTGTAGCCAACTTTGTGCTTTGTGGGATATTTCACCTGATACTTTTATGTACTTTGCAAACACTTAATATTACTAAATCCTCACATTTGGAAAGTGCTTTGGAGTCAATAAGCTTTCATTTAACTACTAGACAAATAATTAATACACATATATGACTTCTCGATTATGCTGAAAGGAATTCAGGAGGTGGAGAAAGTACCCTTAGCTGCCCTACATCAGTGATGTCTTAGTTCAGGCTGCCATAATAAAAATACCATAGACTAGGTGGCTTAAGCAACAAACATGTTTTTCTGACACTTCTGGAGGCTGTAGAGTCCAAGATCAAGGTACTGGCAGGTTCAGTGTCTGGTGAGGGGCTGCTTCTTGGTTCATAGATGGGAGTCTTCTGATTGTATCCTCATATGGCAGAAAAAGGAGCAAGAAAACTCTCTGGGGTCCCTTTTATAAGAGTGCTAATCTCATTCATGAGGGATCCATCACTTCCTATAACGTGTGGGGAGCATGCATTCAGTGCATTGCCATCTGCCCCTGCACACCTCCAAATTAATGGCCTTCTCACATGTAAAATACATTCATTTCACCTAAAAATTCCAAAAGTCTTAACTCATTCCAACATGAATTATAAAGTCTAAAGTATCATCTAAATATCATTTACATCAGATATGGGTGAGACAGCCTTGGACAAAATTTATTTCCAGCTGTGAACCTATGAAGTCAAACAAGTTATGTCCTTCCAAAATAGAAATGGTGAACTAGGCATGGGATAGACATTCTCATTCTAAAAGGGAGAAATAGAAAACAAGGAAGAAATGACAGGTCCCAGGCAAGTCGAAAACCTGGCAAGGCAAGCTCCATGAGATCTTAAGTTTGGAGAATACAGATGGTCTCCAACTTACGATGGTGGACTCACAGCTTTTTGACTTTACAATGGTGCAAAAGCAATACACATTTAGTAGAAACAGTACTTCAAAATTTTGAATTTTGATCTTTTCCTGAGGTAGTCATAGGCAGTACCGTGCTGGGCAGCAGCAGCAAGCCACAGTTCCCAGTGAGCCACTCAATCTTGAGGGTAAACAACCCATATTCTACAGTGCACTGTGTTGCCAAAGTTTTGGGAGATATTGTACTTTGTGTTTTTACATCCCATCATGTCTACAAAACGTCCATTTTTTACTTAACAATATTTCGAACTTACTGGGTTTATCAGGATGTAACCCCATAGTAAACTGGGAGCATCTGTAATCCTCTGGCTCAATGCTCTGCCTTCCAGACCTACACGAGTGGCAACATCACCCCCACAGATCAGCAGGGCAGTGCCAATGCTGTGGCTCTCTACAGTGGCCCTATTCATGGCATGATTCTCTGTTAGAACAGAAGCAAGTCCCCAGGGCTCTGCTGGACTCTTCCATCCCCACAGCTCTGCTGGGCATTGGTTTCCACCCTTTGAAATTGACGTGGAGACAGCCTTGTCACCTAGAACTGTGCACTTTGGGCCTGTGGTGGGATGGCAGCTCTATTGATCTCTGAATCACCTTTGGGATCATTCTTTACTTGTCTTGAAGAACTTCACATCCGAATAGTTCTATGGTCCAGTCCTGTAGGGTCTTCTTTGTTTCATCCCATTTTCTCAATTTCCTTTAGTCTCAGCTGACAGTGGTTCTGCTACTATAATCCCATCTCTATTGCTGGCTTTTGTAGAGATAGCTAATTAAGTCTGTGATTGACATCCACACTAATCTCCTTATCAAATAGTGGGTCTTTCACACCTTTTCAAACATATTTTCTTATTTTTTGTAATGTGGACAGACTGAGAATTTTCCAAAATCTCTAAATTCTATGGGATTTTTGCTTAACAATTTCATCCTCAATTCATTTATCTCCTCTCACATTTTTTCATTTTAATAACATTTTATTAACCAAATATATGTACAATATTATAATTTTAACTATAATCAAAATAAAACTGATTAATGAGCTATTTATTTATGTTTCATTTTTTAAATTATTAATTTTGATTGACAAATCATAATTACACAGATTTATGGAGTAAAATGTGATGTTTTCACATATGTATACGAGGTGGCATGATTAAATCAAGCTAATTAACATATCCATCACCCCGATTACCTATCATTTTTTATGGTGAGATATTTGAAATTTACTCTCTTAATTATTTAAAAATACTCTATATAATTCATTGTTATTGACTATAGTTACCCTGCTGCACAATAGATCTCAAAATTCATTCCTCTTGTCTATCTGAAACTTTGTACCCTTTGATATCCCCATTCCCTCCTCCTCTCCCTCAACCACCATTCTATTCTCTACTTCTTTGAGTTCAACTTTATCAGATTCCATATATAAATGAGATCATGCAGTATTTGTTTTTCTGTGCTAGCTTATTTCACTTAGCATAATGTCCTCCAGATTCACCCATGTTGTCACCAGTGATAGAATTCCCCGCTTCTTTAATGCTGAATAGCATTCCATTGTGTATATATACCACATTTTATTTAATCATTCATTTGTTGATGGACACTTAAGCTGTTTCCATAGCTTGACTATTGTGAATAATGCTGCGATGAACTTGGGAGTGCAAATATCCCTTTGACAGAATGATTTCAGTTTCTTTTCACATATACCTAGAAATGGAACTACTGAATCATATGGTTGTTCTATTTTTAGGTTTTTTGAGGAACCCCTATACCATTTTCCATAATGGCTATATTAATTTACATTCCTACCAACAGTGCCTAAGAGTTCCCTATTCTCCACATCCTCTCCAACACTTATTATCTTTCATCTTTTTTGTTAAAAAGCCATTCTAACAGGTGTGGTGTGGTATCTCAATGTGGTTTTAATTTGCACTTCCTTAATGATTAATGATATTGAGCATTTTTTCATGTACATATTGGCCATTTGTATATCTTCTTTTGAGAAATATCTGTTCAGGTCTCTTGCCATTTTTAATTGGGCTGTTTTCTTGCTATTGAGTTGTTACAGTTCCTTATATATTTTGGATATTATCCTCTTATCAGATGTATGGTTTGCAAATATTTTCTTCCACTCTGTGGGTTGTCTTTTCACTTTGTTAATTATTTCCTTTGCTGTATAGAAGATTTTTAGTTTGATGTAATCTCATTTGTCCAGTTTTGCATTTGTTGCCTGTGCTTTGGGGGTCAGAGCCAAAACATCCTTGCCCAGACCAATGTTGGGGAGCTTTTTCCCTTGTGTTATCACAGTAGTTCTAGAGTTTCAGCTTTTACAGTTAAGTCTTTAACCCACTTTGAATTGATTTTTTAATACGGTATAAGGCAGCAGTCTTCAAACTTTTTGGCACCAGGGATTAGTTTCCATGGAAGACAATTTTTCCATGGACTGTGGTTGGGGGTTGGTAGGGGGGCTTCGGGATGAAACTGTTCCACCTCAGATCATCAGGCATTAGTTAGATTCTCATAAGGAGTGTGCAACCTAGAGCCCTCATGTGTGCAGTTCACAATAGGATTCTCACTCCTATGAGAATCTAATGCCACTGCTCATCTGACAGGAGGTAGAGCTCAGGCAGTAATGCTCACTTGTCCACTGGTCACTTCCTATTGTGCGGCCTGGTTCCTAATAGGCCATGGACTGGTACCAATCTATGGCTCAGAGGTTCAGGACCCCTCATATAAGGGTCTAATTTTGTTCTCCTGTATGTGGATATCCAGCCAACATCATTTATTGAAAAGACTGTCCTTTCTCTATTTTGTGTTTTTGGAAACTTTGTCAAAAGCTGTCAGTCAACTTTTGTCAGTTAACTGTAAATGCATGGGTTTATTTCTGGGTTTCCTACCCTGTTTCATTTGTCAGTGTGTCTGTTTTTATGCCAGTACCATGCTGTTTTAATTATAATCACTTTACCTATGTTTTGAAATCAGCAAGTGTGATGCTTCCAGCTTTGTTCTTTTGGTGAAGATTGTTTTAGCTATTCAGGGTCTTTTGTGGTTCCACACAAATTTAAGGATTTTTTTCCATTTGTGTGAAAAATGACACTGGATGATCTTAGAGGAAAGGTGTTCAAAAAATGACATTGGAATTTTGATAGGGATTGCATTGAATCTGTAGATTGCTTTGGGTGGTATGAATATTTTTTACAAAATTAATTCTTCCAATCCATGAACACAGCATATCTTTCCATTTATTTGTGTTTTCTTCCATTTTTTAATTGATCTTCTATAGTTTTCAGTATGCAGGTCTTTTACTTCCTTGGTTAAATTTACGCCTAAGTATTTTCTTTTTTGTTGCTATTGTAAGTGGGATTGTTTTCTTAATTTCCTTTTCACATAGTTCATTATTGGTACAAGTTGAGCATCGCAAATTTCAAAATCCCAAACCCGAATTGCTCCAAAATCCAAAACTTTTTTAGCACCAAGATGATGCTTAAAAGAAATGCTCATTGGGGCATTTCAGATGTCAGATTTTTGGATTTGGGATGCTCAACAAGAAAGCATAATGCAAATACCTCAAAATCCTAAAAAATCTGAAATCTGAAACACTTTTTGGTCCCAGGCATTTTGGATAAGAGATACTCAACCTGTATATAAAATGCTACTGATTTTTGTATGTTGATTTTATATCCTGCAACTTTACTGAATTTGTTTATCAGTTCTAACAGTTTTTTGGTAGAGTCTTTAGGTTTTTTTAAATATATAAGGTCATGTCATCAGCAACTAGAGGCAATTTCACTTGTTTCTTTTCTATTAGGATATCTTTTATTTATTTCTCCTGCCTAATTGCTCTGGTTTTTACATATGACAATTATCAGAATTTGAAAAGAAGTGATGAGAGTGGGCATCCTTGTCCCTGATTTTAGAGGAAAAGCTTTCAACATTTTACTATTTAGAATGATACTAGCTATCAGTTTGTTATGTGGCCTTTATTATGCTGGTTACATTCCCTCTATACCTAATCTGTTGAGAGGTTTTTTTCTTTTTTAAATCATGAAAGGGTCTTGAATTTTGTCAAATGCTTTTTCTGCATCACTGAGATTATCATGTGATTTGAATTCTTCGTTTGTTGATATGGTGAATCACACTTATTGATTTATGTATGTTGCATCATCTTTTTATCTCAGGGATAAATCCCACTTGATCATGGTAAATGATTCTTTTTATGTATTCTTAAATTCAGTTTGCTAATATTTTATTGAGGATTTTTGCATCTGTGTTTGTCAGGGATATTAGCCTGTAGTTTTCTTTTTTTGTTGTGTCCTTGTCTGGCTTTGTTGTCAATGAGCATCAGAATTTATTGGATCACCTCTCTGACACTAGGGTTGGATGGGGCCAGCTGTTCCTCCATGGGTAATCGCTGGCCTAACAGTTATCCCTTGGCCTGGGGAAGAGTTAATCAGAGCACCCAGGTTGTCTGAAGAAGCTAGCTAGGGATTCAAGCCTGGAAGACCCGTGGACCATGTTTCCTGCAGCATGGTGCTATTGGCAAGCTCCTCTGATGTGGCACTTCCATTGGCAGGAACACAGAGCAGCCACCAAGATCTATACATTGATTACTGTGAGCCCCACCCCATTTTTTGTTTCTTACTGACCCCAAGTGACCTAGCCCTGCTGGTACTACCAATGTTTCCCGTGGGACAAGACAGGAGTGGACTTCCTTTGAAGGGTCCCGAAATGTGAGGAAGTTGAATATCTGCCTTCAACTCTCTTTTCCCACTTAGAAACCATAACTCCAGGGAAATTCTCTGAGGCACTGCACCAGCTTGAGGGGGAAGCGGCATAGTCAAAGAGAACCATTACTCTTACCATTTGACCCTGGGTTTTCTCAGTTCTGTGGTCCAAGGGGGTTGTCTCAGCCTCACTCCAAAGTTCTGGGATATTCATAATGGTATTCTTGCCTGTGGATAGTTGCCAGTTGGATTTCTGTAGTGCAGGGAGTGAAGCTGGAGAACTCCTATTCCACCATCTTGTTGATGTCACTCTCTATCTTACATTTTACTATAAGCAGTCAGGAGGAACCAAATATCCTCAGCTAAATATCGAATTTCATCATTCACAAGTTCTACTTTCCATCAAACACTAGAATACAAACACAATTCAGGCAAGTTCTTTGCCACTTTATAACAACAATCACTTTTTCTTTATTGTCCAGTAACATGTTCTTGGCCGGTCCACATTTCTACCAAAATTCTGTTCATGATTGCTCAGGTATACTCTAAGAAGATAGAAGCTTTCTCTACAGCTCTCCTTTTCCCTTTCTGAGCTCTCACCAAAATCTCCTTTAAAATTCTATTCAGAACAATCTAGGCTTTCTTGGCATGTACCTCAAAACTCTTCTAATCTCTACCCATTACCCAGTTTCAAAGTTTTTTCTACATTTTTAAGTATTTGTTATAGCAGTACTCCTCACTTCTCAGTACCAATTCCTGTCTTAGTCAGTTTGGGCTGCTATAAAAAATTCCACAGACTAGGTGGCTTAAAACGGCAAACATTATTTCTCACACTTCCGGAAGCCAGAGAGTCCAAGATCAAGCCACTGGCAGACTCAGTGTCTGGTGAAGACCCACTTCCTGGTTCATAGACAATTGTCTTCTTGTGTCTTCATATGGTGGAAAAGGGACTGAGATGGGTCTCTGGGGTCTCTTTTATAAGGGCACTAATTCGATTCATGAGGATTCCAATCTCATGACCTAATCACCTCCCAAAGGCCCCATCTCCTAATACCATCACCTAGAGGGTTAGGATTTCAACATATGATATGAAGGGGGTACACAAGCATTCAGTCCATTGCAAATGAAGAATCCGATCGGAGCAATGGACTGCATGAATGTATTCACCTAAGTATTTTACAGAGAGTAAAAATCAAACACAAAAACCCAACAACCACACACTGAAAGCTTTAAAGAAAACTACTTTCTTTAGCATTTAGAGATCCGTGGTTTGTGTACATGCCACAGTTTTAAATCTGTCTTCAGAATGGATTTTTAATCTGTGTCAACAAGTAAGAAGACCTGTAATGATATACTGTACTAGTTTCCTAAGGCTGCTGTAACAAATTACTGCAAATTTTGTGGCTGAAAGCAACAGAAATTTATTTTCTCAGAGTCCTGGAGGCTAGAAGTCTGAAATCAACATGTCAACAGGGCCATGATCTCTCTGTAAGATTTAGGGGAGGATTTTTTTTTTTTTTTGGCTTCTTCCTAGCTTCTGGTGGTTGCTGGTAATTCTTCGTGTTCCTTAGTTTGCTGACACATCACTCCAATCTCTGCCTTCATCATCACATAGTATTCTCCCCTGTGTCTGTTCCCTCTGTATCTTCACATGGTGTTCTCCTCTCTGTATGTACCTATGTTCAAATTTCTCTTTTTATAAAGATAGCAGTCATTGGATTGAGGCCCACCATAATATAGTATGATCTCATCTTAAATGTAATATGTCTTCAAAGACCCTACTTCCATATAGAATCACAGTCACAGGTAGTGGACGTTAGGACTTGAACATATCCTTTAGGGGGATACAATTCAATCCACAAGAGTCCACCCTCTAGTCCCCCCCAAATTCATGTCCTTCCAATGTGCAAAATACATTCACTGTCATCTCAACCTCTTCAAAAGCCATAGCACATTCCAGCGTTAAATCTAAGTCCAAAATATCATTTTGTAAATAATCTAAATCAGGTATGAATGAGACTCTGTGTATGGTCCATCCTCAGCAATATTCCTCTCCATCTATGGACGTGTGAAACCAAGAAAACAAGCTATATGCTTCCAAAATACAATGTTGAGACAGGCATAGGACAGATATTCCCATTTTGAAAGGGATAAAATGGCCGGGCGCGGTGGCTCATGCCTGTAATCCCAGCACTTTGGGAGGCCGAGGCGGGCGGATCACGAGGTCAGGAGATCGAGACCATCCTGGCTAACACGGTGAAACCCCGTCTCTACTAAAAATACAAAAAAAAAAATTAGCCGGGCGTGGTGGCGGGCGCCTGTAGTCCCAGCTACTAGGGAGGCTGAGGCAGGAGAATGGCGTGAACCCGGGAGGCGGAGCTTGCAGTGAGCCGAGATCGCGCCACTGCACTCCAGCCTGGGCCACGGTGCGAGACTCCGTCTCAAAAAAAGAAAGAAAGGGATAAAATGGAAGGAATAAAATGGTTGTGGGTTTAAAAAAAAATTGGCAACCCAGCAGGGCAAATTCCATCAGGTTCTCCAGGCCTGAGAATAATTCTCTGGGGCTAGGTGTTCTGTTCTCTAACCCTACTCTCTTAGCTCACTGGAGAGTCAATCCCCCCACAAGCCCCTGCACAACCAAGGAGACAGCCCCACCTTCTGGAACCCAGGAGACAACTCCACCCTCTGGAACCAAGGAGGCAGTGCCTCTGCCCCTTGGGCCCACATTCTTTGGGCCTATGATGGCAACAGCAGCATCTCTGGCCTCTGAGCCTCTCTCGGCAGCCTTGCTGGCCTCTGAGCTACCCCTGGAAGTCATTCTTCCATTTTCTTGAAGGATAACACATGTTCACAGCTGAGTCGCTTTATCAGTGTGTTTCATGCCTATAGAATCTCAGAAGTCTGACAACCTTCCTTCATTTTATCCCATATCTGTACCCTTAAGTCCAAGTTCAGTCCAATCTGACAGTGTTCTGCTGAAGTGGTTAATCGGAGCCAGGTGTCCCACATCTAATCTCTCCAGCAAAAGTTTGTCCAGACACACCCTTGATGTTCTCTGCAGGGCACACTTTCTTGGGTTTTGCAATATGGATAGGCTGAGAATTTTCTAAATCTTCTAGTTCTGGTGACTTTTTGCTTAATAGTTCTGTTATGGACTGCATTGTGTGCCCTCCACCCAAATTAATATGTGGATGCCCTAACCCCTAATGTGACTTTGGAGATAGGACATTTAGGAGGCAAATAAGGTTAAATGTGGCCATAGGGTGGGGACCTAATCTGATAGGATTAGTGGCCTTATAATAAGAGGAAAAGAAAGAGGTGTTCTCTCTCTCTCTCTCTTTCTTTCTTCTCTCTCTCTCTCTCTGCATGCACACGTTGAGGAAAAACCACAAGAGTACACAGTGAGAAGGTGGCCTTCTACAAGCTAGGAAGGAAGCCCTCACCAAGGACTGAATTGATTGATACCTTGATCTTGGACTTTCCAGCTGTAAACTGTGAGAAAATTAGATTTCTGTTTTTAAACCACTCAGTCTATGCTATTTTTTATGATGCCTGAGCAGACTAACACAATTTCTTTCCTCAGTGTATCACTTCCCTATCACATATTACTATAAACAGCAAAGAGAAACCAAGATGCACCTCTTATACTTTGCTTGGAAATCTCCTCAGTCAAATATTCAAGTTTATTGCTCACAAAGTCTACTTTCCACCCAACAGTAGAGCAAAATCAGCCATGTTCTCTGCTACCTTATAAAAGTATTACCTTTCCTTTAGTTTCCAATATGTTCCACATATTCACATGAGGCCTCATCAGAAACACCTTTAATGTTCATATTTTTAGAAACACTCAGTTCAAGGCAATCTAGGCTTTTTCTAGCATGTGTCTCAAAATTCTTCTAGTCTACCCATTACCCAGTTCCAAAGCCACTTCCACATTTTTAGGTATTTGTTACAGCAGCACCCCATTTCCCAGTACCAAAATCTGTATTAGTTTCCTAGGGCTGCCATAATAAAATAACTACAAACTGGATGGCTTAAAACCAACAGCAACTTGCTGTCTCACAGTTTTAGAGTCTAGAAGTCCCAAATTAAGGTATCTGCAGAGCCATGCTTTCTCTGATGACCCTAGGGAAGGATCTTTCTTTGCCTCCTCCTAGCTTCTGGTGATTGCAGGCAAACTTTGGCATTTTTTGGCTTGCAGATGCATCATTCCAATCTCCACCTTCATTGTCACCTGGTGTTCTCCCCTGTGTCTGTGTGCTCTGTATCTTTACAAGGTGTTCTCCTCTTTGTGTGTGCCTGTCTGTGTCCAAATTCCTCTCTTCTTATAAGGATACCAGTCATTGGATTAGGGCCCGTTCTAATCCATTATGGCCTCATCTTAATTTGATTATATCGGTTAAACCCCTATTTCCAAGTAAGGTCACATTCATAGGTACCAAGGGTTAGGACTTGAACATATTTCTGAGGGGACACAGTTCAATCGCCACACATACTCATCCAGGGTGGGAAGCATCAACTTTTTCTTACAGAATAGGATGTACACAAGGAATATAAATTCCATCACCTCAACTGCTGAACCTAAGTAATGTCCATTTTACCTATTCCTTTGTATTCTGTAGGCAATTTAGATGATGAAATTTAATATTATACCCAGGCAGAGCTCTGAATTTCTTCCACGCAGTCCTGTGAAACCTTGCACATTCTAGAAGAGCTTCACTTGTCACTCTATACAGGAATGATCTGTTTTAGAATTTGTTTCCTCCAGTAGACTATAAATTCCTTGAGGGAAACAACTATGGTTTATTCATCTCTGCATCTCCAGTGCCTACCATGGTAGATGATACATAATAGGTTCTTAGTAATTATTGGAGGAGAGGAGACTGGGAGGGAAAAAAAAGATGCTTGTAGAATTACAATCTAGTGACTTGGGGAGTAGAAAGGTTCTAGGAGCTCAAAGTGCCAAAGCCAAGAGTATGTCACTCCCTCAGGACTCTCCATCTTCTATTCTAATCACCCTAGAGCTTTCCAGTGTCTTAATGTACAATAAACATTACAATCACAAAGCAATCCCAGAACATGTGAGCCTTTAGTTCATCAAAATAGCTTTCCCTTCCAGAAGGTTCCAGGTTAAATCAACAGTAGCTTAGCACGTAACCAGCATGCCAGAAGTGGGAAGGAGTGGTCAGAGAGGGCAATGTGCAGGCTATGTCTTGGATATCTAATTCATGTAAATTGATCAAGGATGAATACTTAATGTGCTAGAGCCCTCAGTAGCTAGCTCTCTCTCTCTCTCTCTCTCTCTCTCTCTCCCCCCACTGTCAACTGATGTCAGAAAGAAAATATAGTTCTTTTTAAAGTCTTGTCATGCCTTTACACACCCAACTCATTATAATGTCAAGAATGAAAAGCTCTGTGTACGCCTATGTCTGAACTTCAGGGGAAGGCAGAGAAGGAGAAAATCAGACATTCTCAGGAATTAGTGAAAAGGTGTAAGAGTCCTTGGAGTTTTTTTGGTGCTCACCCTTCCCTTCTTTCAATCTCAAAACTGTTGCTGGTATACCCTTGCTTTCCCTACAGTCATGAAAGTCAGGCTGTGAAATACAAATGCAGCATTTAACAAAAAATGTTAAGGCACATTAACAAAAAATGTCAAACTCAGTACCATGAAAGAGGACACCAAAAAGAATGCCACTCCATGTAGGCAGGGGTTGTGTCTTGTTCACTATATCTCAAATGCTTTGAAAAGTGCCAAGCACAAAGTATTTACTCAGTAAATATTTGTTTAATGGATTATTGGATGAATTAAGCTGATTAATCAGGAAACTGCTGTAGGCAGTCAGAGCGTGGTATTCCTAAAAGAATACTCAAGGGATTCCTAAAAGAATCCCCTGAGATGAAACTGTCGTCCAGGTAAAGCAATGCTCTGCTCACCTGGCAGCCAGGAAGGAAAGTGTATACCTCCAGGAGGTAGTTAAAGCCTTATTATAATATTCCCTAGCCCAGAGTCAGAGCCTTACCTCCTGTCTTTATTCCCTGGCTAGAGAACCAAGGCCAAGGCTAAGACAACACATTTTTGCTTGAACTAAGACAATAGAGTGATTGGCCAAGCAGTATAAAGATCATTACTCCTGGCCGGGCACAGTGGCTCACGCTTGTAATCCCAGCACTTCAGGAGGCCGAGGCAGGCAGATCACTTGACCCCGTCTCTACTAAAAATACAAAAATTAGCCGGGCGTGGTGGTGCATGCCTGTAGTCCCAGCTACTTGGGAGGCTGAGGCAGGAGAATCACTTGAATCCGGGAGGCGGAGGTTGCAGTGAGCCGAGATTGCGACACTGCACTCCAGCCTGGTGACAGATCAAGACTTCCTCTCAAAAAAAAAAAAAAAAAAAGATAATTACTCCTGCCTTCAGCTTCTATTCCAGGGTCTGCCCCTCTATTATTTTTCTTTTTGAAACGACTGGCAAAACAAACAAAAACGCACACAAAGTATCCCAGGTCCCAGGTATTGGCTCCAACTTTCAGTCTTCCCCTTCACACGCTCTGACACCTATACAGCAGGCCATTTTAGACTTAGCAGCAGATTTTCAGGCCCTCTTTAATCCGTCTCTGTGATTCATCCTCCATTCTCTCTTCTCGTTTATTTATTTTAGATACCTGCAGCAGAAAACAACCCTTTTCTTGTTGGAATGCATTGTTGGTACTCCAGTTACAGCCACCGGACCCAGCACTGCAATGTTTGTCGAGAGAGCATTCCTGCCTTATCTAGAGATGCCATCATCTGTGAAGGTACCTTTCTGATTCCTTTAGGAAGTGAAGCTCAGTGGGTAGATATAGGGATGAAGGAACTCATGTGGCTTTAGTATCATTAACTCATACTAGGTCACTGACTCTGGTGTGAGGTTAACCCTGATTGAGGAAAGAAAAAGGGAGGAAACTAACATAAAGGGGATGAAAATAGAAGGATGAGTGTGGGGGGATGGGACTATATTATCACAAGTGTTAAAAAGACAGAAATCACCTCATTCTTACCATCAATTTTCATTCAAGTTGGATAATAAAAAGATTAGCCAGTAAGAATAAAAAGGAACTGGATCCTATTGGAAATAGGTTTTTGGAGGTGCATTAGAACTATTTAGAATGCATCTGTGTTCTAACTTTCAGAGCAGCTTTGGGAAGAGAATTAGAATCCTCACTGTCACCAGATTCACACCCATCTTTTCTCTTCCTCTTCTCACAGTGTGCAAAGTGAAATCTCACAGATTGTGTGCTTTGAGAGCAAGCAAAGACTGCAAGTGGAATACATTGTCTATCACTGATGACCTCCTTCTGCCTGCAGATGAAGTAGTAAGTACTAGCCATGTCTTCCCACAGTCGGCCTCTCCCATGTCCCCTTCAACCAGGATACACAGGGGGAGGAAGACTTCTTCCTAACTCCAGATAAGCAAAGTCCTAGGCTCACAATCCAACTTATCTGGAAGAATGAACCTCCCTCCTCCACTTGTCATTGTTCACTTGCATTGGAGTAGGGAGGGCAGGGTCATTTGGGTCATTTACCTAATGTCCTCCATGGAGTAGTACAATTATTCCAGTTGGCCCTTCCTCTCCTTATGTCTCTAACTTCTACCTCCTGTGTCTTTTTACCCTTCTGCAGAACATGCCCCATCAATGGGTAGAAGGAAACATGCCTGTCAGCTCTCAGTGTGCAGTGTGTCATGAGAGCTGTGGCAGTTATCAAAGACTTCAAGACTTCCGCTGCCTGTGGTGTAATTCTACGGTAAGACTCTTCTCATCTTGATATTTAGAGAACTTAACTCCTGGCGAGGGAGTGGCTTAGAGCTTGACCATGTATACACATAGATAGAAATCTAAGAAACTCTTATCTCAAAACAGGTTAAACAGATTCCATAGTATAAATCTTAGTATCCTGCCTTTCCAGATCTGACTATGGAGCCTTTCTTTGGGAGAAAGATTTAAGACCATCTTTGTTGCTTCTTAATTGGTGAGGCCTACTAACAAATGGGAAAAGCTGAGCTCTCTAATGGCAGTATGGGCAATTAAAAATAAGTTCTGAGTCTGCCTTTGAGAAACCTACTCCCTTTCTCATTCACTATTTCCTAGGAACTTGTAACCTTTATTAATTAAAAATGGTTGATAATATTAACACATTATTATTGCCACTATATACTGAGTGCTTAATATACATGATCTCATTTATTCCTTCCAATAAGCCTAAACCGGGCCTCATTGTTCCCATTTTACAGATGAGGAAGGTGAGGGTCAGAAAAGTGAAGGGGTCCAAGGTCATTTGGACCAATTTCATTTGTCCAAGGTCATTCAGCCAGTAAGCAAGAGTCTTGATTCATACATAATTCTGCAAAGACTATGCTCTTTTTTGTTTTGTTTTGTTTTTTGTTTTTGAGACAGGGTCTCACTATGCCGCCCAGGCTGGAGTACAGTGGCACAATCACAGCTCACTGCAGCCTCAAACTCCTGGGCTCGTGTGAGGTGGGCTCCTCTCACCTCAGCCTCCTCAGAGTAGCCGGGACTACAGGCACATGCCACCATGCCCAGCTAATTTTTTAATTTTTTTGTAGAGACGGAGTCTTGCTATGTTGCCCAGGCTGGTCTCAAACTCCTGGGCTCAAGTGATCCTCCTACCTTGGCCTCCCAAAGTGCTGGACTTATGAGCATAAGCCACCGTTCCCAGCCGACCACACTCTTAACTACAACACTACCATGCCTCTAAACCAGTGGTCCTCAACTGGGGGTAATTTAGCCCCCCAGGAGACATTTGTCAGTGTGTGGAGACATTTTTTATTTTTGCAACTCAGGGTGGAGGGAAGCGCTACTGACATGGAGTGGGTAGAGGCCTGGTATTCTGCTGAACCTCCTACAATGCACAGGTCAGCCTCTCATAACAAAGAACTATCTGGCTCAAAATATCAGTAATGCTGAAGTTGAGAGACCCTGATCTAGATTTCTAGCCTTTTAGATGCTTCTCCAAAACTGAGTTTTCTAGACAAGAAGAAACTGAAGTATGGGCTTCTTCTTAGAAGACTCTGGTTGTCCTCTGTTTTTTTTTTTCAATTGCTTTTGAATAACCAGGCCAGGTTCATTCCCCCTAGAAAATGTGTAATTTTCCAGGAAGTGGCACTTGAAGATGTCAGAAATCTGGAAAGAATGGCCGCTTGTGGGAAAGGCAGCAGAGTCTCAGCTGTCACTTCCCAGCTGTTTGACCTTGGGCAAAACCCTTTACCTCTCTGAGCTTTGGCATCTTCATTTTTAAAATGAATTCAATAGTGTTTTTTCTACCTCACACACCTGTTGTTATAAGGATTGAAGTGTAATATTAGATTATTATTATTAACTCTTTTATACTGCATGTAAGTTCCCCATTCTGCAGGCCACTAAGGTTGTGCCTTAGAACTGGTGATTTCTCAGTGCCTGTAGGTGGGTATCTTCTGAAAGCTACCTTTGAAAGGACCAGAGTTCTGAGGCCACACTGAGAGACAGTGTAGGCTCAGAGTAGAATGGGGGTGTTCAGGTGAGTTAGGGATATATGTATGGCACCAAATCTCAGAAAGGGAGATTAAATACTAAGAATCTAAATCTTGGTATTGGAACTCAAGACTGATCAATGATATCCTTTTCTCTCCCCCTCCTTTTTTTTCTCTGCTCTTCTCTTGTCGTTTCAGGTGCATGATGACTGTAGGAGACGGTTTTCCAAGGAATGTTGCTTCAGAAGCCATCGCTCATCAGTCATTCCTCCCACTGCTCTAAGCGACCCCAAAGGCGATGGTGAGTAGTTAAATCTTAACCTCAGAAGCACATTGGGCATGTAGGGAAGGTGCAAAGGCTGGGAAGAAGCACTGCAATTAAATTATTCTCCTCAACCAGTCAAACATTTTGGGGAAGTAGGACTGTGCATGTGTATATAGATAGCTCCTGGTTCTCTTACCTTTGGGATTGTGAATGTTGTTCTTTCTGGTGTATATGTATGTGGGCATGTTCTCTGTAGCTCGGTCACAATTGTTTCTGATCAGAATTGATTTCAGCTTTTTCATGATTTCCAAACACTGGATAAGTCATTAAATAAGTTTGTGTCCAGGTGGTCAAGGAAGAACTTCATGAAGGCCAGGTTATCTTACTTTTAAAATGGAAACAAACACCAATGTTGTTCCTAAATATGAAACTAACATGATCATTACCCCAACTTCACTGATGCTTTGTCAATTCCTGGACTCTAGTGATTTATTAAGAACTCTGTTCTCAAGGTGTCTGAAGGCTACAGAAAGATCTAAGACATGGGCATTGCCAGAGCTATTGATTATTGTGGATTCAGGCTACTGATATAATACAACAATTAACAATTTGATGTGTCATATGCTAAGTGCCAAGGGAATGGTAGAGACATTTGGAAATGAGAAAACCTTAGAAATATTAACCATTTATAGGAGGTTGAGCGGAAAGGAGGTAGTAATGAAATCAATGCAGCAAGAATAAACTTTGTATAGAGTCTTCTATCAAGAGGTCTAGCAATGTTAGAACAAAAAAAGCAGAAGCCAAGAAGAAGGGTATTTTGTATAGTTTTTGTGTTTGTTTAAGAATAAGTAAGACATGGAGGTATCATGACGTAAGGAAAAAAAACAAGAGCTAGGCAATTATGAGCTTTAGTTACTTACTAGATATGTGATGTTGGGTTAGTCACTTACATTCTCTGAGCTTTGCTTTCCCCATCTGTAAACGGGAATGAAGCTATCTATTGTGAAGATAGATGATAATATGTGAAGGGCCTAAGTATCTAAAAACATAACCTCAAAGGACCATAAAATTAAATCCCTCAACTTCTTGGGCAACTAAATATCTAGTCTCCTAGCCTAATAAAAAGTGCAGACCCCACAGGGATGATTCACTCTTTGGCACCTGCCTTTTGAATTCACCTCTCCTTCCCTACTTTTTCTTTGTTTTTTCTGAGAGACTCTCCTTTTTGCCATTGACTTGTTCATTTACTTCTCCCATTACTCATTATTAAAGAGTGGGAACTGTCAAGATCAAAATCATATATCACAGCTTAAAAGACCTAACCTATTTTACTAATACTAAGAGATTTAGAAATCTAATATACTTACCACTGACATACTACTATTTCACTAAGCCAGGGAAGAGATACACTGCTCATAAATTTCAGTTTGTGTATGATTAGTTTCACTCTATATATGGTCAATTTCACTTACTGGAGGAAAGTTCAAATTCTTCCTGGAATGTTTTAATCTATATTTCTCTAATTTGCTAATTTGTCCATCTCTGACGTGTGGGATATCCACTGGTCCAAGAGTGATTAGTGAGCCCTCGTTTCACTGACTTAAAAATTATCCCCACATAGATGCTAGTTGCTCACTTCACTGCCAGGGAAGAGCCAGCATTAGCTGGAAGCAAAGAAAGGAAAAGAAAGAAGAGTAGATGGTTTCCTTAGAGAACAGAAGGGGGCAAAGATTCCTGTAGCCGTTACAACATAGTTTTAGAACTAGACATACCACATGTGTATGTGCGTGCTCATATATATGTGCACGCGTACACACACACACACACACACACAGCCACTCTAGATCCTTCCGGTTATTTTTCCAACCCTAACACAGATATAGCTAGACCTTAGTACATGGAATGAGCCATTCATACAGGTTTCTGCAGGCAAGTATACTCATATGTCCCCATAATAACATGTAAAGACACAAAACTGAATTTCACTCAGGTATACATGCATATATTATTCTCAGATCTACTCAAATAGTTATCCATATGGAGTCACCCACCAGGTAGTTGACCAAAGAGGTGATGAAATTGATGACTTAGTAAATAAGAGATACTTGCCTAGTTAGGAGAATGAGGGACTAGGGGAAGATGCAGTTGATACAAGAAGAAAAGTAGCAAACTGGTCAGCTGAGCAAAATCAGGCTGGTAGTGAAATCAACCTAGTTTTGAATCTGAGACATTTTGCTCACCCCCACAGGGACCTGACAAAGATGTCTTTAAGCAGATGGCCCACCTCAGCATGCCACAAATGACCCCAAATAGGTGTTAAGAGGGTTGCCGCCTCTCCTTTGTAACTGGGCCAAACATGTTCTGTGCTTCCTGTCCTTGTGTTGGTGTTTTTAAAATTTATTTCTTCCTATCCTATATCACTTCTTATGCTTGTTATAGCTTGTCAAATAATGGCATTGTTACTTTCTTCTTCTTTCCACCAGTGATATAATATTATTGCTTAGGAGCACCTGGGCTAATCTATTCTTTTTGTTTGGTGTCTTATTTAATATCCCATGAGTTAGCTTTTAACTTTTCCTCCTAGTCATCTGCAATCTTGATCCAATTGAATCTCACTCACTGCCAGCCCTTCTTTCTATCATGCATTACTTGTCCTAGAACTTCTTAGAAATGTCTTTCAAACTTCCCTATCTTCTTGACTCTGTCTTCCTGGCTTCTTGGCTGTGGCTTTATGCCCTTTAATGGGTAAGTTTCCTACTGGAAGGTCCCATCCCAGAGGAATCTTTTGCATCTTCCAGTCATAGAATCTTAGCCATGTGAGGTCCTTAAAGATGGTCTGGTTCAATGCCCCCTGGCTGAGCTAGAGAATCCTTTCTTCAGCACCCAGCTGAAGTCATGAGGGCATCCAGCTCATGACTTTCTGAGAAGGCCCTTGCTAGCGTTGAGTCACACCCATCTGTTCACGTATATATTTATTCAGTCAGTAGACTCTAATTTCTGAGAATTCCTTCCAATTATCCCTTTTTCCTATCCAGTCTGCTTGGTATATTCCTTCTCTTATCCTTTAGGGTCCAGCTCAAAATTAAACATTGTCTTCTCTGTTTGACAGCTTCTGTAATGGCCTCTTCCCACTCTCCCAAACAAATCAATTACTTCTATGGCTATAAACCAAGAAGACATATCTCAAAGCACCTAACACATGACATTATAATGGTGTCCATCTTCCACCCCAGACTGTGAGCTCTCTGTATCCTTAGCACTTGACTCAGACCTGGGTATACGGTATACACACAGTCAAGATTTGTTACATGAATTCCTTAATACATTTACTGAATACTGCCTGTATGTAAGGCTCAATGCTGAGCAACGACTAAGATAGCATCACTGGCTCATATGGAGAAAAAATAGTGAAGTGCAGTGGTTGTTGTATCAGAAGCATCTGAAAGGCTTGTTAAAACACAGATTTCTGGGCACTACCCCCAGAGCATTTGATTCAGTAGATCTGGGTGGGGCCCAGGAAATTGCATCTCTAACAAGTCCCAGATGTTGCTGATACTACTAGTCCTAGAAACACACTCTATCATTTACTGTATGCCCCTGGACAAGTTACTTAACCTCTCTGTGGTTAATCTGGCATTTGTTTTCTGCCAATAAGGAATAACAATTGTACTCAGGTGTGTCATGAAGGTTAAATGAGTTGACATTTGTAAGGGAGGATTTTAAAAGTACGGGAAGAGAATGGTAAGCCAACCTATGCCAATTTCGCATCTTTCTTTGGAGTGAACAGAATGAATTTGAGTGGGACTGTTGGCTCCCTGTTTAGGGCACTATGGTTATATTAATGCAGCTCAAAGAAACATGAGCTTTTTTTGAAAGGTTCTTTCAGGCTGTTGACTCATCAGGAGCTTAAAGTCAACTAAGTCCCCTAAGCTCTTTTCACACTTGATGCTGCCAAGTCAAGTTCGTATTGTCCTGTTCTGGTACAATTTATGTCCTTGAGCCTAAAGGGCAAGCTTCACATTTATTCCCTTTACATTTCATCCCTGGACTTTGACCAGTCAGCCTGTCAAGGTCACTTTTCAATCTTGATTCTGTCATTAAGTATCTCTTCCTCCAGCTTTGAGTACTTCAGAGTTCACAAGCCAGACTTCTATGTTTCCATGTGAATTGTCAATTAAAATTGTGGAATAATACTGGGCACTCCCTTATGATTAACATCAGTCTATTCAAAAGCAATCTTGTGGAAAGGATTGCCTGGTTATAAATCTTAACATTATTACATTTCTGCCCTCAGTGGCACCCATCTTTGTCACCTGGTTCACAAGATTCTCTTGACAAACTTGGCCTTGCTGAAATTCAGATATTCTCTTCCTCAGGGGGAAATACTAGATGGAGCTGCCCCTGTAGTCTCCTGGGACTGCCTTCCTGCTGGGGCTATGTCCCACTGTCTTCCCATCCACAGATGAGGTTTGATGTTAAAGTTCAAGTTGCCTTAATTACAGAATTTTCTCCCTAAGCTTCCTATGCTCACTCTAGTTTACACCCTCATGGCTATTTAATTTATAGACAGCATTAGCATAATTCTTTTTTCCTATTTCTTAATTCAATTCTTGTCTAGTTAATATATTCACATGGTTCAGTTTTTTAAAAAAGAAATACATATATACACATAATACTTAATGAAAAGTCTTGCTGCTATCTTTTCTCTGATCTTCTCAATCTCCTACAGCCCCCATATCCTCACTCACAGTTCAATACTGCCATTAGTTTCTTAAATACCTTCCAGTAGTTCTTCATGTATATACCAGTAAATATAAATAGATATTCTTATCCACCCCTTTTAATACTATGCACATTGTTCTGCGCCTTGCTCTTTTTCTCCTTCACAGTATATTTTGGAGACTTTTCCTTATCAACAAATTGCTTCCTCGCTCTTTTTTACAGTTACAAGATATTCTGCTGTATGGATACACCATAACGTACTTAACCAGTCCACTATGATGAATAATTTAGTAGTTTTCAGTCTTTTGCTATTGCAAATAATGCCACAGTGAACAGCCTCATGCATATCCTTTTACATACACGTCTATATGAAAAATTCCAAGAAATGGAATTACTAGGTCAAAATGCATATGCCTCTGTAATTTTCATAGATACTGTCAAATTCACCTCTACAGGGCTTGTGTCACTCAGCACGTCCATTCTTGGTGTATGAGAGTGCCTATTTCCCCATGGCCTCCCCAGTCAAGTGTGTTATCTATTTTTTTTTTTTTTTGCCAATGTTCTAGACAAGAAAAAAAAATGTTAACATAGGCTAGTTTTAATCTGTATATTTCTTGTTATGAGTAAGTTTGACCATCTTCTCATCTTTAGGAGCCAAATTATGAGCATAATGATTGGCTTTTAAAGGTCCATTTTCATCTAAACACTGGGAAACTAATTTAAGTTTTTGAATGATTCATTTTGAAGATAAGGAAACTGAGGCCCAAATAGTACACAGTGGTTGGTCTCACTGCCACTGCTGTCTCACCTTTAGAGAGGAACTACCCCCAAAGGGCCTTTGACACTAAACAAAACAAAAACTTTGGGGGCATAGATAGGTTTATTCCAGGACCTCTGGCAGGGAAAGTGCTTGCTTCCAAGCACACCTCAGAGAGCCACTAGATGTTGGCAAGAAGTTGCTTCCATGAGTCCTTTAATTAGGGTGCATACCCAAAGTCATATGCTCACTTAGAGGGTGTTGACAGAGGGTTGCAGAGTGAGAAAGGGAAGCACAGAGCACAGACAGGTTCTAAAACAAGGGAGAGGTAAGCTTGGGGCTAGGCCATGAATTGGGGCCTGCATTGTTCATTGGTAGGGGAGCAAGCACATAAAAAGTTAACACCTTTTGACTACTTTCTTTAAATATCTTAAGACCTGACTCGTGACGTCTCAAGTCCATGCTGAACAGTCTTCCCCTTATTTTTGCACTGCTTCCTCCAACATCTTGTTGCCATTGGATCTGTCCCATGTCACCTCTCTGACCTCATCTTCTGCCACTCCCCCCCCACTCACTCCACAATAACCATACTATTCTCTTCACTGGTCCTCAGACAGCCCAGACAGTCTCCCTTTTCAGGGTCCTGGCACTTATTCTTCTTCCTACCCCCAAAACACTCTTCCCTGCATTGCTCACTCCTGCATTCATTCAAGTTTCATCTCAAATGTCACCTCCTGAAAGAAGCCATCCCTGACACTCTGTCTAAAATAACACCCCTTCCAATATCTACCCCCTTTCCCTACCTTATTTTTCTTCATGGCAAATTCTTTTTTATAATTCTTTGTTATGGTCTGTCTCCTCCATTAAAATATAAGTTCCACAAGGGCAGAGACTATTTCTATCTTGTCCACCACTGTATTCTCAGGACATAAAGCAGGCACAGAGAATGCCCTCCATACATATTTATTGAATGAAGGGATTAATGTGTCTTAACTACCATTGTGTCAACATATTACTTTAGTAAAAAAATGTTGGAAGGGGTACTACTTTTGGATAATGTATTCGGGGAAAGTAACTACTTCCGAGCTATGCTAGTGAGGGGACCCAGCTTCTACAAGACTCCCCTTGTAGCTGTGAGTCCTGGCAAGTCCTAAAAATTTGGTGCATGACTGGCTAGCTGGCTTAGGATGCCTTCAAGCTCCACTGGCCAGTGAGTGGGAATTGGCCCATAGGGGAAACCTGCCTTTGATTTTTCCAGGCAAACCAGTTATGAAATCTGCTCAAGTAGATTTCCTTCAGGCTCCCTTTCACCCAGGCTAAAACAAATGGGTCTTCTCAACCCACCTCCTCCCACCCCCACTGAGGAGTGAGCCACATGCTTTTTGCCCTGTGTATTTATTTTTGCAGAGGCATCCCTGTCAAGCCACAGCTCCGAGGTCTGGGGGCTCACTATTTGTCTAGCATCTCTTAGGAGGCCATTGCACACTGCCTGTCTCCCTGCCAACAGGCTCTGAGACTCAGCACGAGCTGGCAGGCTTTGGTTATTTAGACTGCTATAACCCTACTTCTCTATGGGTAACTACAATATTGGAGATTATTAAAAGCCTCTCCCTTGTTCAGATAATTTTCCTATAGTCTTGTTTCCCCAGGGAAGTTGGTGAGATAACACAGATTGCTCTGCAACAGCCTTAGAGAAGTGATTAAAGCTCTTTGCTTCACCCCACATTGATACGTTCTGTTATTAGCTCCTGGCTAAATGACAGCCTTTCCTTCCCCTCTCTCCTGACCTGGTATCTTCTCACTATAAGAACTGAGGTATCCTGGGCAGAGAAAGGACTAGTTGTGTGCTGGTCTTCCTCCTGGGTTCTCAATCCTCTCCTTCCTCAGTTTCCTCACAGTTTTACTAATCCTTTGTTGTGGCACCAATTTCTTTATTCCTTATGTTCCAACATACTGTTGTGTATGAGTCTCTCTCCTGAGCTTGAAGGCAGGGACTATACCCCTAGCAGTATCTGGCATGATGCTTGGCATGTGGTAGTGGCTCAGCAAATGTCATTTGTCTGACAACAGCTAGACAAATACAACAAATACTTTTAAGCCCCTCTGGGTGGTATCTTGACTTTTCCTCTGCTCCTCATTTTCAAAAGACTGAGACTCATACTCAAAAAGTTATTGCAAAATGTGATGTTAAGTCATGTCTCGTTTCCATCTCAACGGGTCCGTTCTTTTTTTTCTTCTTTTTCTTTTCGTTGTGTCAGGCCAATTAGTAGTATCTTCAGACTTCTGGAATCTTGATTGGTCATCAGCCTGTTCATGTCCCTTGCTCATCTTCATCAACTCCAAAAGTGGCGATCATCAGGGGATCGTCTTCCTCCGAAAATTCAAGCAATACCTTAACCCATCTCAAGTGTTCGACTTATTGAAGGGTGGACCTGAAGCAGGGTAAGCCTGTATCCCATGGATATGATTGGGTATGTAAGGGAGTCTTCCTTCTATACATTCTAAACTAAAACAGGCTTCTTGGAATCAGTTCTTGTATTTGGGCAGGAAAGGTCTATTTTCTCAAGTCAGGACACAAGCACATAACTCCAGAGCCTTTTGGGTTGGCTGGTAGGAGGGCTCTTAGCCCTCTCCCAGAAATCCCTTCAAGCCCATGTCCAAGCCCCTGTCAGATTTGCTTTATCTTTTTTGGTTGGAAAACGTAAAACTATGCCTCCTAACCTGAGAGAAAGAGACAAATGGATACTGCTGTCTACTTTTCCTGCCACTCTCTTTCCCGGGACCAAATAGATATATCTCCTCTATAGACCTGTTTTATTTTGGGACCATCTGGCTGCTCAGTCCTGGTTCCTGTGAGCCCACTGGCCACCATGCAAGGCATCTTCCTGGGCCTCAGCAAATGGGTCTGTTTAGGTTACTAGTGTTTTCCAGAGGCACAGAAAGAAAATGAGTTGAGGCAAAGCCTGATCTCTGGGATGGTCTATGGTCTTAGATCCCACAGACAGATAAGGGCTAAGGGAAAGAAGGCAGGTGGTCTGTTAGCAGAGTGCCAAAGCAGCAATCCTTGTGTCCTGACACATTGTAGGAAAAGTTACAAAACCCAGCTGTTCATGAAATGACCCCCTTTCCTCTTTGTCCTTCCAGGCTGTCTATGTTCAAGAACTTTGCTCGCTTTCGCATTCTGGTTTGTGGTGGAGATGGCAGCGTGAGCTGGGTCTTATCTCTGATTGATGCCTTTGGATTACATGAAAAGGTAAGTCCCTGGATGACTCAGTTTAGCCATTGCTAGAAAGAGTAGGGGTGTGCAGCTGCCCATCCCAAGAAGTCCCAAGTCTTCGCCCTCCCTGTCTGTAAAATATGTTTCCCCCAGGTTTCATATTCAGCCTGACTGGTAGATTCCCAATCTAAGCCTACTCATCTACACTGTTTTCTGGTTGTCTATCTGTGTGACATCGACAGAAAGAACGAGCAGTGCTCTGTTCCCTAGGCTTCAAAGTGAAGAATTGAAGGGGAGGAGAGCAAACAAAACAGAAGTGGTCTTAGACAGCACTCAACCCCCAATTTCCTTCCCCTCCTGAACCCACTGATTTTCTTCCTTGAGTCTCAAGAGTGGCAGAAAGTTTCCTCTATGTCTCCTTACTGTCCTTAGGCAGCCGCCTTGCTCTTCTCACTCCAGTAGCTTTGTCTCCTGACGTACTTCACCTCCTTGGCCCAGCCCAGATAGAAATTCACAGCTATATTTCTCTTCTTTAAGCATGGCCATGAATATTGTCATATTCCGGCAACTTTTCCCTTTACTTAGTAGGTTCTGTGTTGTTAACACTGGGGTCCAACTCCTTAGGGAAAATTTCACCCAATTGCAAACATCCTCTCATTACCTTCCCCAGAATCTGAAGTCCCGTAAATCCACTGGTTTTAAGACCATAATTCTTCCCAAAGAGTACCCTCTGGGTTCCTTCATGGGTGAAGCTTGGTAGAAAGACTGTCTGAAAAGGGTGTCTCCTTTTGTTCTTGCAGTGTCAGTTGGCAGTCATCCCACTTGGAACCGGCAATGATCTGGCTCGTGTTCTGGGCTGGGGTGCATTCTGGAACAAAAGCAAGTCACCTCTGGACATCCTCAACAGAGTGGAGCAGGCTAGTGTGAGGATCCTAGACAGGTAAGTGGCTGAAAGACCAGGCCCTTGTGCCTCTTCCTGTCCCACATCACTCACATCATCTCAATCAGGAATACTTTAACCTCTCTGATTGATAGAGCCTCATTTCCTTTCTGGCTTCAGTGCAGAGCCATTTGTGGGTTGGGTGGGGCTTGTCTCTTGGGAAGCCAGGGTCTACCATGTATCCTTCAAACATTGAAGCCCCTCTTCAAAACTAAAGGATCCTACTGGGAAGTTAAGGCTGCAGTGGGCCATGATCATGCCAATGCATTCCAGTCTGGGCAACAGAATGAGACCCTGTCTCAAAAAAACCAAAACAAAACAAAAACAACAACAACAAAAACACCAAAAAAACTAGACGATTCTAGAGCAGGGGCCCCATGGATAACGTTCAAGGGTTCAGTGAACCCTCTTCAAATTGCAGAGCCAATGATCTGTTTAAGCATATTCTCTCTTGGGGAAAAGTCTATAATTTCATCAGATTTTCAAAGAAACTAAAAAAGGGATGGAGGGAGAGTTTAGAAATAACTTGCTTACATTGTCACTGCTCTAGAGAAGAGCAAGTACTACCATCCTATCTCCTGAGGAAAAAAAGACTTTCTATGCTGGTGTATATAGGAGCATTTGATTTATTGCTGCCCATAAGGATCTCCTGGGGAGCTTTTTAAAAACATCAACCTGAACCCCACCACAAAGATTCAGTAGGTCTTGGCAGGGCCCTGGAATGTGTATTGTACAAAAGCACCTCAGATGATCTTGATGGTTACCTCTGGTTAAGAAGCACTGCTCTCTGAGAACCCTGTAAAGGGAAGGCAATTCCTTCCATCACACTGGCCTACAGAAGTCATGAGACAGAGGTCCCTCTTATGGTCACCTTGAGATCAGGTGACCAGAGATTGCTTGGACACCCCCTACAACCCACCTCCCCCCACCACATAAACATTTTTACTTCTGTCTTCACCTTTGAAGCACTAATTTTTACCAGTCATGAAACAGACCCTTAAATATCCGTCTTTGAAATTCATTTCAGATGGAGTGTGATGATTCGTGAGACTCCCAGACAAACCCCGCTGCTAAAAGGACAGGTTGAAATGGATGTACCACGATTTGAGGTAACTACTGTTCAGCTGTAATTCAGACCAATATCTTTATTACTCAGTGAAATAATTGGCAAAACCCAGAGAGAAGCTTTTGCATTGTGCATGGATGAGGATGAGATCATTGAGAGTTGGTGACATGTCAGTCAGCAGCTATTTACCAAGAACTATGTTAAGCACTGGGGATATAATTCATTCACTCATTTACTTATTCATTCAAAATATTTATGGAGTAACTACTTTATGTGAGATATTATTCTAGGAGATGTTCTTATATGCTACTGGGTAAAGAAGAATGACATAGTCTACTTGAATAGATGGAAAAATAAATTGTTTTAATCAAGTAGTATGAGTGTTAGTATATAAGGAAGTAGAGGGGGTTGGGAACACATAGCAGGAAGATCTATCTCAGTCTGGGGAAATCAGGGAAAGCCGCTCAGAAGGAGTGCCATTTCACAAGATACTTGAGATCCAGAGGGAATTAACCAGGAGAATAAGAAAGGGGAGGGCTGTTCCACACAGATGGAACAGCGTGTATTGTTCCAAAGGCAAGGGAGAGCATGGAATATTCACGAAACTGAAGTACATTCATAATGGCTGAGGCGTAGGGGCCAGGAAGGGGGCATTCAGGGAGAGTGACTAAAGATGAGGCTAGAGAAGTAATCAGGGGCCAGGCCAGAAAGGGCCTGATAAACCACAGTAGGAAGTTTGGATTTCATCCTAAGAGCAATAAGAATTACAGAAGATTTTTTTCTTATCTTATTATGAAAATTTCTACATTGATGAAAGTTAAAATGGTAGCTCTACTACTAACATTTTCCTATGCGTGCTTTATCACATATCCAGTCATCTATCCAGTCTGCTATCTAAGAGAAGGGGTTTAAGTAGAGGAGTGCCATGGTATGTGGAGAAACAATTGAAGGAATAAAAGACTAGAGGCAAAGAGAAAAGCTAGGAGATGTTGTAATTGTCTAGGCAAGAGGTGATGGTGATTTGGACTGGTGAAGTGGTAGCAGGGATGAGTAGCAGTGGATACATTTGAGACATACTCAAAAAATAGAATTATCAAGTCTTGGTAGATGTTTGAATGTCAAGGGTGATAGAGAGGAAGGAGTAGAAGTTGTAATTAAGAGCACAGACTCAAGAGCCAGACTACCTGGAATTGAATCCTGGCTCTACAATTTATCATCTTTCCCTTCTCTGGGCTCAGCTTTCTCTTCTGTGAAATGGAGATAATAACAGTCTTTATCTCATAGGGTTGTTATGAGGATTATATGAAAAAATATACATGTAGCTTAGAACAGAGCCTGGCACATAGTCAGTACTATATAAGTGGGTGCTGTTATTATTGGTAGTAATATTATTAAAGAAGTTACATTCTGGAATTGGAAAGATGTAGATTCGAATCCAGCTTTATTCCTTACTAGCTATGTAATATGAGATTGTTTGTTCATTTGAAACATGAAAGAAATAGTACCTCCTTCATATGAGGTTTTGATTATTAAGAGAAAATGAAATACATCTAAATTTTTAGAATACGCATAGATCTAAGATCATCTCTGTTGACCTTCAACAAGAATTCTTTGATCATTATCATTTCCAGAGAGGCAGTTGAGTTGCGGGTAGAGTCAGTAAGAAACAATGAGGCTGCAGGGGATGAGGATGGGCAGCACACTGTGTTATTGTACTAAGATTCCAGGGCTAAGAACTCCTTTTGCCCCTAGGCTGCTGCCATCCAACACTTAGAATCTGCAGCCACCGAGTTGAACAAAATCCTGAAGGCCAAGTACCCCACAGAGATGATCATCGCAACCAGGTCAGTCTTCCTTTGGCTCTCATCCTTTGGGGCTGTTCCCAGGTCAGACATGGGGCTCATTTTGATAGCTGAGGGTGTTGAGGCCAAGGAAAATACATGTTTATGTTCCCAAATCAGATTTCTCCCAACTCAAACCCCCTGAATGGAAAGTTTAGGAAAGAAAGATGACATTGAGGTGAAGTCGTCTGCTGCTCCAAAAAGTCAAAATTGCAAGCCAGAGATTTGGGAAGAGAATTATAGTAGGGAAACACAACATTATAGACCATTTAGGAGCATAGCATAGCTCCCTATAGTATAGACACCTTGCTTTCCGTCTTTGACATTAAGAAAGGTCTCTGCAATATCTGCCTATAGCTGCTTTCTCATAACCTGAGGAACACATTCCCCCTTCTAAATATGTGGGTCATTTGTTTCTTCTGGGACTTCTTAGGGGGCTCCTGCCCAGTCGACTACACTCTCCTTTGAGAAAAACTTCCCACAGGGAGAGTCCTCCCAATATAATTGTTTGTACTAAATTAGCTGGGCCCTTGAAACATAGCTGATTGAACCTAGGTGAAAACCTGACCCAAGTTGGACCAAGTGAATTCTCTTTTCTGGAAATTCAGAATTAGTACTAAGAAATGCTGGTCAAGCTCTATTAGGTTCTTGACTTGGGAAGTGGTGTGACACTGAACTAAAGTGGGGATGGAACATATTTCACCATATGCACAGGAAAAAAAAAGCAGAGAGAAAAAGGCTGGGAGCAGAGGGTGAGAGAAAGAGGACAGATCAGGAAAGAGAGAGAGGAGGAGGATGGGGACTGATGACATAAGAGAGAAGGGCTCTGGGCCTCATGGTTCATGTAACATTGTGCCATCTATTTTATCTTTCCAGATTCTTGTGTTCAGCTGTGGAAGATTTTGTGGTTGATATTGTAAAGGCCTGGGGTCAGATAAAACAGAACAACACTGCAATAGTGTCTGTGATTTTGAAAGTAAGTTCCCATTCCTTTTGTCTTATACTCTTTGTGGAGCAGCCAGGGGCCCTTTTTAATAAAAAGCAAACATGCCTCTCACTGGGAATGGTAAAAGAAAGGAAAGGAGGGGCAGCTGTTAAGCCTCCCTGATGAGGAAGGTCTAACCTCATTGAACTTCCATCTTTTGCTAAATGAAGGATGGCGCTCTGCATGCATACACACATACCATGTACATGCCAAGCATCTGCCCACAACTAGACACAAGTGTACATCAAGCAGGTATGTGCATGGTTGTACACCAGAACATGCTTACAAGTATGTACATACGAATACACACTACAAATACATTCACATTTACCTCTCTAACAACAATAGCCAACATTTATATAGCACTTACTCTGTGTCAAGGACTGTTCTGTTTTTAATGTATTAATGTATTTATTCCTCACAACTACCCTAGAATATGGAGGCACAAAGCGGTTAAGAAACTTGCCTCAGATCGCAAACTATTAAGTGATGGAGCTAAGAATCAAGGCCTTAAATCATGCAGCAGATGTAGGTCCCCAAGCCTGTACACATACAAAGACACACACCAAGCACCCAAGCAGGGACACGTTCATATCCAGAGGAGCGTGCCCATGAAAATCCAGAAATATTTGTCTTTCCTCAAGTTTGCATGTTATACATTGTTTTATAGGCCCGTTTGACACAAGAAAGACTCAGCTATATACACTGATGCATGGGGCCACTCAGAAACAAATGATATGTGTTTGATCTCCTAACACCCTTTGGTTATCTCATCACATCTTCCCACCTACTTCTTTTGCTAAGTACTTCATCTTCTCACATGTGGTTTTCTATGCTCAGCATTTATGGACAACTCTTACCCCTCCCTACCCTTCCCCATATCACCACCACTCCTCATTCTGTCCTCTCAAGCATGGGTCCCTCATAACAATGCCCTGTCTCCTTCCTTTCTATATAGAGTGACTTAATGTATGATAGGCTCAGTGTCCTGATCGATGTCCTGGCTGAGGAGGCAGCAGCTACTTCTGCTGAAAAAAGTGCTACAGAATATGCAGACAGCAGCAAGGCAGATAGGAAGCCCTTCATTCCTCAAATAGACCACATAGCCAAGTGCAAGTTGGAGCTGGCTACAAAGGCCCAGAGTCTCCAGAAATCCTTGAAACTCATCATATTTCAAGTTGAACAAGGTAAGGTGGCCAGGGTTGTAGTGACTGAGGTAGGGGAAAGAAAAAGTTCCAGAGGATGGTTTACTGGCCTCACTGACTCCGGGTTTGCTCTCTGACTCTGCTACAAAAAGTCTAGATTCTGCATTCATATTGTATACAAAGTCAGTATTCAGACTACTGATTTGAAAAGCCTCAGTCCTGCTAAGCTGCCCCTTTGGCTCCTCCTACCTCCCAGACAGTCAACTCCTGCTACTCATTTTTGGAAACCAACACTCATCCTATACAATTATATTAATAGATGCTAAGTGACCTGGTTCAAAGCTCTATCAGCTTCCACCACCAGCCATAAGACTTTTTTCCTCCTTCTCCTGTTTCTTTCCAACCACTGAGCCTATGACTATTTTAGAAAGAAAATGGTGTTCAACTCTGCATGTGTTGCACATGATTAATCAGGCACAAGGGCCCTGAGAGTGGTCCTGACAGTTCTAGCATTAATTACCATTGCTCAGAACTCACGACAGTCTGCAAACTTCCCAACTCAGAATGAAAACTCTTCAACTCCCTCAGTTTCTTCATTGAATGTTTTGCTGACCACTTCTTTCCCACAATACTTTGAGAAACAGATCAGAAGGTGGTATAAGAATGAGTGTATTCTAACTGAACTATTGGAACTGAGCAGAAGTCCCATGCAGCAAGGAAGTCCCTTTGGCTGGCCCTTGACTTTTAGCCATGGTGCCTTGCCCTGCCTTGGTACCTTCACGTACAACCTCAGCCAAGTTTCCTAGAAAGAAAGAAAATCTCCCTTCTGCACAGTGGAAGGATTAAACAATCAATTTGCCTCTATTTCTATAATTAGTTTCCAAGCAGTGTGGATCAGATTAAACGGATGTAGCCATAACTGTCGCAACCAACCCTCAGTCTGCTCCATCAACACATATGTTAGATTTAGAGGTGTAGCTTGTGGCTATGAGATAGGAAAATACCTCCCTGGTAGGGGTAGAGATTGAACCTATGAGCTTTGACACAGGCTGAGACTGGGCATCTCAGCTATACAACATTTGGCTGGTGAAAGGAAAGAGACTTCCCAAATGTTCCAGGTGTGGAGTGAGACATTAGAGTGAAAGAGTGGCACAGTCCTAGAGGCTCAATTATAGACAAAAGCCACATAAGTAAATGAACTAATAGAATGGAGGTAGAAGAGCAGAGAGTTTCCCATGCTGATACCCCAATCCACAGCCACAAGCTTCTACTCACAACCACATGTACTGGGTGAGAGAAAAAAGAGTAACCAGTAAAACAAAGAAAGCTCAGGCATGAATATGAAAAAACAGCAACACTGTAAGCAAGCTGAGACTACAAACAGTATCATGGAGGAGACGTGATGGTCGAATGGGAGTCTCCATCATCTACCCACTAACTAAACAAAATAGATGCTCGATAAATGTTCAATAAGTGTAATTAATCTTTCCTTCCTTCCATCCTCCCTCCCTCCTTTCTTCCTCCCTCCCTTCCTCCTTTCTTTTTTGCTTTCCTTCCTCCCACTTTTCTCTATAGCTCTGGATGAGGAAAGCAGACAGACAATATCTGTTAAGAACTTTAGTTCAACTTTCTTCCTGGAAGATGACCCAGAAGATATTAACCAGACAAGCCCACGACGCCGTAAGGATCTTTCTGTCTTCTTCCCTTATTCTAGCCTTCGTCACTGTTGTTTAGCTCCCAAAGAATAAATATGTATTTTTTATGCATCCTCTTTTAGCCATAATCCTGCAGTAGATACCCCTCCGTCTTTCCCAGAAACTCACACTATAAGATCCCATGCCAATGTCCAGAGTAATGACCCCATTAGGAACATTGAAGAGGCTGGCCTGATGAAATACAAGATTTGAAGTTGTTTTCACTGCCAGCAAGCAAGCAGCCCAGCTTTATTCTTCTCTCAGTGGAAGTCCCTATCCATCCAAGAGGATCCCTCTTTGGAATTAGAACCCTTAATATTATCTAGGAGAAAGTCACTGAGCTTGACCCTGCCTCCACAGAGAAAATAGGGCGAAATACAAGTGAGGGGAAAGGGCTTTTTTGTTTGTATCCGTCACCCAAGTGATGTCTTTTGTGTCTAGGTTCTCGTCGTGGCACTTTGTCTTCTATATCTTCTCTCAAAAGTGAGGACCTGGACAACCTTAACTTGGATCACTTACATTTTACACCTGAATCTATGTAAGTATTTAACTCTATCACCTTTTAATGGCTTCTTTCTTTCTCTTGTTAAGAGCACAATCTTAGGATATCCATAGTCAAATCCTTTCTCTTACTTACTAGCTGTGTCACCTACGCAAGTGACTAAACCAGTGTGAGCCTCAGTTTTCTCATATGTAAAATGAAGACCATTGTAGAACTTGCATCATGGGTTTGCTGTATTTATTACATTTATATATGAAAAGTACTTGCACTGAGTAGTGCTTGGCACCCATAATTAAGTGTTATATGCATTTGCAGTTATTATTGTTATTATTATAAATAATTAATAAATGTTAGTTGTTGTTATTACAGAGGACTTGCTTTTTTTCACTGTTGCCCTTAACAGTAAATGGTTGAAGATACTAAAAACTAAAATGGTCACTAGGGGACTAGGCAGCAAATCTAAGGACATCTGTCTCACCAGTTCTCCCTCTTTAGAATATCGGCAGCAGCCAAGTTCTGCCACACTCACTCATTCTGAGTTCCATTAAGAAGATCAGTTTGGACATTAGTTAGAGAAACTCCAATCTCTGGACTGTGGTTGAGGGAGGCAAATCTCATGTGAGAGATGTAAGGTCAGTATGGTAATGAATAAAAAAGTAATCTAAGATTAAACAGCTAAACTGTATCCATTTAATTTCTCAAAAGGACACAGCTAGAAATTATTTATGTTTTCTTAAATAATTTATTTAAGAAAACAATTTTTATTCCTGTCTCCAACCCGCATTCTTGCCCCCACACTTCACCATTGGCTCAAATTTATGTCTGAGCTCTCATGGATCTACCTAATGAATTTTGATCAATAGTGCACTGGCAAAGTGTTTAACAACCTCCTCTCTTGGGGGAGAAAGCCCTGATTCATTTATGGTGTAAACCCTTCCACCATGGCCTATTTAAGTTAGTGATATAATGCCATTGAATCTGGAGTTGGAAAGAGATATGCATAATCAGTTTACATGAGCTGGTGCCAACTGGCTATGGCACACCACTGGTTTTGATGCTGACACCCTAGATGGACACAGGAGACTTGACAAATAATTTGGCTTTTTTGTTATGTACATATCTACCCTCTTTTATCAGTCTTTCCTTCCAAATGTGTGGTCATTTTCCCCTTTGATGTCGGACATCACTGAGAGCAGTTGTGCAGACTTAACTGTCATGGCACGTTTGTGTCTAGGATATTCAAAAGTTCTTTATAGGAGTAAACAGTATTTCCCTTAATACTACATATGAAGAAAATATGGGCCACTCATACATAAGGCCTCCAAAGATGACTAAAATCATCAATGTTGCTTCTTTATTATGAGTTCCAATCCCACTGAAGCTTCCCAACTGGCGAGGCACTCCCTCTTACAGCTAATAAGCTAGTTGTTCACACAAAAGGATATCTACATGTGCCTCTCAAAAATGTTATAGTTAGTGCCCAGTGTGGAGGGGGCCTTCCCTCACTGGTTTTCCATCATGCAGATTCATCTTCATGCCCAATTGATAGCGGCACTTCTTTCCTGCACCAATGTCTGTCCTCTTCTTTGAATAATTTCAGACGCTTCAAAGAAAAATGTGTCATGAACAACTACTTCGGAATTGGACTGGATGCTAAAATTTCTCTGGACTTCAACACCAGAAGAGATGAACACCCAGGGCAATACAAGTAAGGAAAAGAAACTCCCTTCCCTACATGCAAACACACTATCACAATACACATACGTATTCCTACATTCTCTACCTCTCAGACAAGCAACAGAAAGAAAGGGACCCACTGGAAGTAAAATGCATTGGCCCCAAGACTAGTCTAGCGGGACAGTGTGTGCCAAATTTTGGATGACTGCACTGGCATCCTAAACTTGAGCTGCCTTCAAATCCAGACCTGTGGATTTCTGTGTAAACACAGCTACCTGTGTTACTGTTACTGACAACAGATTATGTTGACTCAATTTAGCAAATCGCCCACCTTTGTTCTGTCTGTGAAAGTTTAACCAGGTTTCAGTAGTGGCTTCAGATCTGTTTTCACTTGACAAAGTTGCAAAGTATCAAACATCCCTCTATTTGTTTTTGGTGTTCCTAACCTGGTTCCCCTGAACCCGTTAATTTTACCCTATCCAGTGTTGGCCTGCATGGCACCTTCTCGCACTTTCATACTTCAGACAAGGCCTAAGTCAGTCTCAGAGTTCTTGTGGTACATTGAAGCTATAAGTAAAAAGTGTGACACCCCACCCCACAACACCCCACCCTTGCCACCACCACTAGAACCTCTTTCTCAAAGCAGGCCTGGGCTGAGAAACAGGAACTTTGTCAGATATGTGATTTGCAAATATTTTCTCCCAGTCTCTTGCTGGTCTTTTCATTTTCTTAGTGGTATCTTTGAAATACAAAAGTATTGAATTCTAAGGCGGTCCAATTGATCAGTTTTTTTCTTTATGGACCATGCTTTTGGTGCCATCTGTAAGAAATCTTTGCCTAATCTGAGATCTTAAAAATTTGCTCCTAAGTTTTCTTCTAAAGTTTGTATTGTTTTAGCTCTTATTAATACATTTAAGTGTATGATCTACTTTGAGTTAATTTTTACGTATAGTGTGAGGGTCTAAGGTAAGAGTCTAAGTTTATCTTTTTGCCTGTGGATATCTAATTATCTCACCACCATTTTAATTTATTTATTTGTTTATTTTTTTTATTTTCTTGGAGACGGAGTCTTGTTCTGTCGCCTAGGCTGGAGTGCAGTGGCATGATCTCGGCTCACTGCAACCTCTGCCTCCTGGGTTCAAGTAATTCTCCTGCCTCAGCCTCCCAAGTAGCTGGGACTACTGGTGCATGATACCATGCTTGACTAATTTTTTGTAATTTAGTAGAGACGGAGTTTCACCATTTTGCCCAGGCTGGTCTCGAATTCCTGAGGTCAGGCAATCCGCCCGCCTCAGCTTCCCAAAGCGATAGGATTATAGGCATGAGCCACCGCGCCCGGATCTAGAGCCATTTTTCAAAACAGCTATCCTTTCCCCAGTGAATCGTGTTGGCACCTTTGTCAAAAATCAATTGACCACAAATGCAAGGGTTTATTTCTGGACTCTCACTTCTGTTCTATTTATTTATGTGTCTATCCTATGCAAGTACCACACTATCTTGATAACTATAGCTTTACAGTAGTTTTTGAAATTGGGAGATGAAAGTCCCCCACTTGATTCTTTTTTTCAGAATTGGTTTGTTCTAGGTATTGTACATTTTCATATACCTAAACTCCTATTTTTGTAGATGAGAACACCAAAGTGCCCAGAGAATGAATGGTTTAAACAGTGTCTCAATAATTTTGTGCTAGCCTTCTGACATTTCAAAACTCATTCCATGTGATGATGGCTCATTTCTGTGGCTCTACTTTACAAGCTCCAAGTAAACTATATCCAGCCTTTCTAGTGATCGTAAGTGCCCCACCTATTTCTATCAGAGATTCCACAGTCAACAAGACGCTGTCCTCCCCACCTCCACCTCAAGTCACCTGATATCCTTTCCTGTCTCCTATTTTTCTCCACTGGCTCCTCCTCTAAAATCTCCCTACAAGCTTAGATCTGTTCCATGGCATTGAATTAGGCATTTAGTATATGGATCTGGTGTTTGGAAAAGTACTTCACTTTGCCAGAAAAGTTGCTGCTTCAAAAAAAATTGCACTCTAAGAGTCACGTGTTTCAAATGAAATTGATTCCAAGCAGCTGAAATCTCCTGGAGTAGCACAACTAGGGTAGCTGGTGTGTACCAGCCAGCTACGCTCATAGCTTTTTATGAGCATTGATGTCTGAATATAGCCTGTTTCTTCCAAGTCTGGACCAATATTGGTAGCAAGCAGAAATGGAAAATTTATTTATTGATAGGATACTGAGGCTTCAAAGGGGCCCAGGAACCCATTTCTTCAAGTGTTTGCATTGGATATCAGTTACATTAACCGCTGTCCAGTTGCCATTTAGCATGACTCCTCTCTGTAAGAAGGCATTTGAGAAGTAAGATGGTTTTCCTTCCTGTCTTTTTCCACCATTTATCTATATATCATTCACCCTCTGCTTTCTTAATGCTTACCTCCATGTAGTAGCCGCCTTAAGAACAAGATGTGGTATGGCCTTCTGGGAACCAAAGAACTTTTGCAGCGCTCTTACAGGAAACTGGAAGAACGAGTGCATTTGGAGGTTAGTGGAAAAGCGGGTAGTCTTTCCTGGGTATGGAGAAAGGAAATCTCATGGCCTTGGGAATACCGTACATGCTGATTCTTCCTGAGCTTTAACTCTGTGATCCTCACAGCTCATGGGAGGAAGGCATGAAGATAGATTTCCATGTAATGGAAGAGAAGACAGAGCCCTTTCCCCATCTCTGTAAATGTTCCTTCATGTTGCTATCTAAAGATCCAGCTAATGAGAGCTACTCTTTTCTTTCAGTGTGATGGAGAAACCATCTCCTTGCCAAACCTGCAAGGCATTGTAGTGCTCAACATTACCAGCTATGCTGGAGGTATCAACTTCTGGGGAAGCAACACAGCAACCACGGTTAGTATGGAACAAGGAATGGGGAGGAAGAAAGGCATGATCCCACTAAGGTCTCTCTGAAGGAAGCATTGTGCTAACTGAAGTGAAAAATAGACAATGGGAGAAGAGGAGGTGGTCCGAGAACCTTTATTAGCAGCAGCTGTATGATCAGTTTTTCAGGCAATTACCATCCGAAAGCAGAAAATTCAACCAAAGACCTCAGGATAAGGTCAACTCGTAGGTGTTGCCTGGGCTTTGGATTTTCCATTCCTCGGGTCTGACAGATCCTTTAAAGGCTATCTAGACCATGCTTTTTTTTTTTTTTTTTTTTTGAAACGGAGTCTTGCTCTGTCATCCAGGCTGGAGTGGCAAGATCTCAGCTCACTGCAACCTCCGCCTCCCAGGTTCAAGTGATTCTCCTGCCTCAGCCTCCCGAGTAGCTGGGATTACAGGCGCCAGCCACCATGCCCGGCTAATTTTTGTATTTTTAGTAGAGACAGGGTTTCGCCATGTTGACCAGGCTTGTTGACCTTGAACTTTTGGCCTCAGGTGATCCACCCACCTTGGCCTCCCAAAGTGCTGGGATTACAGGTGTGAGCCACTGCGCCCGGCCAAGGCCATGCTCTTTTCTCCAAGGAATTCTGTCAGTAAAATCTCCTGGGATGCTGACCATGACCCCTTTACTCTGAGTTTACCCAAGAAGGTCATAAGGCCAATAAGACTGGCCTCAGGTATTTATGATGCTGGATTGGAAAAGGAGGGAACTGGCTAAGAGTGCAGTACCCTTTTCCCAGATTGGCTTTCTGACCTCATCTTTTTCCCTTTTAATAATGAAGTGTTTCCACTCTTCATGAGCTAGAAAAATTCTCACCAGGAGCCTTTAAACATGCCTTCTTGTTATAGACAGGGTGTGATTTCTCAAGGGTGGGAGATGTGACACAGTTCTTCCTCCTCAGGAATATGAGGCTCCTGCAATCGATGATGGGAAACTGGAGGTGGTGGCAATCTTTGGTTCTGTGCAGATGGCAATGTCCCGTATCATCAACCTGCATCATCATCGCATTGCCCAGGTAGGCAGGGGCTGGGTGGGCACTGGGAAGGGGCTGAGGTTTTTGACTGCTACCCAGGATGTGGGATAGTCCCAGGAATTAACTGGGTAGAAGAATGCCAGGGTGGAGTGAGCAGGTTATCTGGTGGGCAGTAAAGTGCTGACTGAGGTTGGAGGCAGAGGTGGCAGAAGCCAATGGAGCAAAAAGCCCATAGGAAACAGGCATTTCTTCCTGGGATGATCTGATTCACATCCTTTCCAGTCCTGCTTCAGATACACATTCAAGGCCATAACTATGAGATTATCAGATAGAGTTACAGCAGTTGCCCCATTTTTCTCTCCCATTCTTCCTCATTTTCTCTGGCAGTGCCATGAGGTGATGATAACCATTGATGGTGAAGAAGGTATCCCAGTGCAGGTGGATGGGGAGGCCTGGATTCAGAGACCAGGCCTTATCAAAATTAGATACAAGAACGCTGCCCAGATGCTGACAAGAGATCGGGTAAGGGGGAAAATCTTGTCTTGGGCTCCTATACTGCCTCATCCATAGTCACTTGAGTACTGAATATTTCCACTCAAGCAGAATTCCTCAAAAGGAGGTCTGTGTGCCCCTGGCATCAGAGTCACTTGAGATGCTGGTTATAAATGCATTCTTGGGCCCCCACACCAGACCCACTGAACCACATAGGGTTGCATAGTTCCCAGGAACCCAAATTTGCAAACAGGCTCCTCAAGACACTCTGATATATACTGACATTTGCAAACACTGTCCAAGAGAGTGAGACAAGGAGCTTCCTCCCCTGGTTTTCGACAAGGTTATCCTCCTCTTTCCACTGCAAAGAGAGCTAAAAGCGTCAGATGATTATGGAAAAATCTTCTCCTTCAGCAACAGATTCTGCATTGAACATGGTCTTTAGGTGTCTCTAAGGTTCCTTAAAATGCTGCATTAATACATGTCATCCACTTCAGCTAAAGCTTCTAAAGCTTATAAAGGAGCTATTATTGATCACATATTCAATGCTTGGAGGTTATCTTGCACTCTAACCTGTGAAAAGTCCATGGAAACAGCAATAGAGAAAGGAAGAGAAGTCCAGTTTATAAACTGCCTATTCTGTGCTAGGCATTTTACATTTCTCTCATGTAGGTTCTCTCCACAATCTTATGAGGTGGATACACTTATTCCCATTTTACAGATGAGGAAAATGAGGACCAGAGAGGTTAAATAATTTGCTAATGGTCACACAACTAGTAAATGACAGAAACACGATTCAAAATTAAATTAGATATGTTTGGCTCTAAACTGCATCACCACATATTGCCTACATTTGGCAAAGAAGGGAGCATGAAAGGTGCTCCACTGTCTTGTCAGTCATGATGCCTTCATATGGGAGCTTCTAGAAACCAGACATGTGTATGATCCAAGCCTGGTGTCCCAAAATCCAGCATACTCAGAACAACAAAAACTAAAGGGCATAGTCCAGAAGAGATTGAATAAAATGATGGATACTTGTATAGGTATATAGATGGGTATGACAGGGGGAATGGACAGGGGGCCCTCCTTCCCCTCTACCCACTGTACCCACATACCCATTGCCCACAAACGTCAGGCTCACAGACAGATCTGTCATGTGCACTAGTAGCTACAGCAATCATTAGGATATGCCACTGTATTCATCTCCAGGACTTTGAGAACTCAATGAAAATGTGGGAATACAAGCATACTGAAATTCAAGCTGCCCCTCAACCCCAGCTGGACTTCCAGGACTCTCAAGAGAGCCTCTCTGACGAGGAGTATGCCCAGATGCAGCACTTAGCTCGGCTTGCAGAAAACCTCATCAGCAAGTAAGTGGACTGGCCTAGATACAGGGCTGAGAATCCTAAGAAGGCATAGGGAGAAGAAGCCAATTTGTGTCTATTGGCTACTAGGGAGCCTGGCCTCAGAGAGGAATTTAGCTTAGAGCTCTAAAAATTGAGCGGGACCCTCACAATCCAGGCAGGAAATATTCTCTGTGCTCAGCAATAAGCCAGGTTAGACATCTCTCATTAGACCCAGGGATTAATTTGGATCTCTTGTTGCTAATCCAAACCCAATAGAACTAAGACTGTTTACCCTTGCCCTTAAATATCAGGAGGGCCTTGGAGTTCCTAGAGTCAGCTGCCCTCCTCTGTTCTAGCCTTCTACCCTCCCCAAATTCCCAATATCTAAATTCAGGTGAGACAAGGATGGGTAAAGGTAAATACCTAGAGAAGAGTAGAAACATTTGCTAGCATAGGTGGCTACCTAGAGAAGAGCAGAAATAACAGGAGGGAGTCATGAGTCCAAGTCAGGTACCCAGGGCTTTCACTTCTACCCTTACCCAAACCCTCACCAGTGCCCCAGGCCAGAAGTCCTTCAGAAATCCCAACTCATCTATCTGTCCTTGCTTTATTACAGACTTAATGACCTGAGCAAGATCCACCAGCATGTGTCTGTCCTCATGGGTTCTGTGAATGCCAGCGCTAACATCCTGAATGATATATTTTACGGCCAAGACAGTGGCAATGAGATGGGTGCAGCTTCCTGTATTCCCATTGAAGTAAGTAGAAAGGAGTGAATTAAGGAAAGGAGTCAAACCAGATAGGAAAGAGGATGAAAGGGAAAGAAGTGGAGCCGGAGGCTGGACGGAGAAACTGGGCAAATATGGCAGGAAACTGATGGAGAGAGTGGACGGGAAGGCAGGCATTCCTTGACTTGTTACAGGTCCAAGGTGGTTGCTGGGGGAAAATCACAGCAGATTTCATCAGCCTGAGAGCTAGCCCTCTTCCCTGATAGCCATCCCTCCCACCAGCTTCAAGGGAGAAATGGACAATAAACGAAGAGAAACTTGTACTTGGCCCTTCCTTATCACAAGTAGATCTCTGTATAACCTGATAAGGGAACACCTGTCATTGGAACTAGAACTTCCGGGTGCCTCGGTTTTCCTCTTGAGGGAAAGGTCCATATCAGGCAGGACACTTAATGTTAAATGTGTCACCCCATGGCTTTGTCCACTGCCAGAATTGTTAACTGATGCTTTTAAAAAGTAACTTTAGTGCTAGGCGAAAGATATAATTGTGTCAGGGCCTGATTACAGTTGGAGGAGGCCTACAACTCAAGGCCTGGAGTTGCAAGAAGAGAGATGTTAGGCCCTAATTTCACCTGCCCTGGAATGATGGTTTTGGCCTAGGACAACAAGTAGCCTTAAATTTACCCTCTGGTTTGCATATTTCCTATTTTCCTATACCCACTGCAATCAATCAGTGATGCCAAAGCCAAGCCGTGCTCTGCCACTTCACATAGTACTACACAACTACTGTACCAGCAGTTGTCAGCTGGCACTCGTTCTGATAGTACAGCTCATGCTGTGCTAGTTGTACTATATTTTGAATATTGCTTTTTCACCTATAGCCACATCCTACTAGCCTGCTTCTACCTTCCCACGGAGAAGACAGCTGCATGCTTACTAACCAACAACTCCCCTGTCTTTGTCTTTTTCTCTCCTTTTCCGTTCTTTTCCTCTCAGACTCTAAGCAGAAATGATGCCGTAGATGTTACATTTAGTCTTAAAGGTCTCTACGATGACACCACAGCTTTCCTGGATGAAAAGCTGGTGAGTGCAGGGGGTTGGAGTCTGGGAGGGCAAAGTATTCTATCTGAACATGGTCATGGTCTTGTGCTTGGTCCAAGGGCACTGGAGACCCGTGGGAGCATTTTGGCCAGGTGCTTGCCTGGAAGTCCCTACTGTGTCACCTAGGATTGTTGTTGGTTGTATGACTTCATGGGTTATGCTAATCCACAGGGACTACCATACTCTTGAGAGAAAGTCTCAACCTCTCCTTTGGTAAATGTCTTGTGGGTTCAGACCAGGCCAATAAAAAGTAGAGTGTTACCGTACTTGATACAGCTCCAGTAGAAAAAGGTGAGCTATTTTGAGCTGCTTTGTACCTCCCAAGTTTCTACATGCCTCTTTCACCCTATGAGAAGGTGGTGTGGAATAGTGGGAAAATTGGGAGATTCCTGGGTTCAAATCTCAAATCTGCCACTTACTAGCTATTAATATATTCGTTTCCTAAGGCTGCCATAACAAAGTATCAAGAACTAGGTGTCCTCAAACAACAGAAATGTATTGTCTCTCAATTCTGGAAGCTAGAAGTCCAAATCAAGGTGTCAGCAGGGCCATCCTCTCTCTAAAACCTGTAAGGGGTCCTTCTTTGCCTCTTTCTAGCTTCCAGTGGTTTTCTGGCAAGCTTTGGTGTTCTTTGGATTGTAGATGCATCACTTCAATCCTCTATCTTCACATGATGTTCTCTCTGTGTTTCTCTGTCTTCACAAGGCCATCTTCTTATAAGGACACCAGTCACATTGGATTGGGGCCTACCCTATCCAATATGACCTCAACAACTAATTGCATCTGCAATGACCCTATTTCCGAATAAGGTCACATTCTGATGTACTGGGGATTAGGTCTTCAACGTGTCATTCCTGGGGGGACACAATTCAACCCATAACACTAGCTGTGTGACTTCACCTCTCTGGGTCTTAGTTTCCATATCTACAAGATAGGAATTATAATCCCTACCTCTCCAGGGTGTTGTATATTAAGTACCTATCAGTGCCTAGCCTATACTAGCAGCTTCATAGTGCATTTTGTTAGTTCTAGGGAGAACAGACTGAGGCTCCATTTTTGGGCTAGAAGGCTAGTTGCATGTTTCTCAGAATGCAAAACCCATAGGCATACTTGGTGAGTGTGCTCTGATGAGGTGACTAATTATGATCATCCACTTTAGGGTTGGCTGGTAAGGCCCTGAGGCAGGTGCTGTGCTTGCCTCTCATCTAATTAAGGTTTATTTGAAGAGGGGCTTCAGAGTTGATATTGCAGAAGTGCATCTATTTCCTCTTTTCATTTGCTCATCTAATTGGCACACTGCACAGGAGGCAGAGTGGCTAAGGCAATCAGGTCAGACTGTCCCAACATCTGAGCCCCAAGCTAGTCTTTGAGCCTCAGACAACATCAACAGAAGTACTTTCTATATATAGGCAGAGCTCAATAGCCTTGCCCATTTGGGCAGCAGGAAATAGGTGCGTTTGGTCTCTTGTCGCCACTTTCCCGAGGCTCATGACCTGAAAATTGGTTCACACCAACCAACAACCCAACTTGAGCCCATACCACACTTGAGAAGTCTCCCACCTCATAGGGCCCAGTGAGGACTTAAACACACATACACATCCACACATCCAAATGTGGCCAAGAAGCAGGCAGCAGCTAAGAATGACCATGTATCTCCAGAAAGGCTGTCCTAGAGGTGAGATGGAGATACAGCTTGTTTCATTTGGGTGTTATTCCTCCCCTTGAAGAAGTAGGGCAGTAAGGAGCTCAGAGTTAGTAAAGGGAAGTAAATTGATGACGAAGTGAATCCCTCCCAGTAACTCCCACTTCCCTTACTTGGCACACACATGTCCCGTGCATCTAGGGCAGTTTGTATTGTCTTAAGTTACTAGTTGAAAAGCAAAAAACATTATTTGTCGGCACTGACTTGCTCCTCCCTCAGTATCCCATAGTGACTGACCATAACTTCCTACCCTGTACTCCTCTCATTCACATGCCACCCGTTTGTGACAGCCAGCAAGGCTCAACCTATGGCTGGAGCAGCAAGTGGCCTGTGCACAGCAAGAAGCCACATAAGTGCTAGATTGAAAGTAAAGTGCATGCCAGGGAGTAGAGGTGAGGCCAGGTTAGGTGGGCTGTAAGCATGTGAGGGCTGAAGATATCTTTGCCCATCTGTTCTCCCAGCTCACTACTTACTGGAATGTGAACCATCTCACCTGTGTTGATGTTCTAGAACTTGATTCTTCTGAGTCGAAGATGGTCCCAAAAGAATCCATTTTAAGTCTTCCATGGACTGTACAAAGTTCATCTTGTGGGCGCTGGGGGTTACTAGGGAGCACTTAAATTTGCTTCCTGAACCTGTGGGACAAGCCATCTAGAACTCATTTCTTAATTAGTCATAGTGATAGCTGGGGGCTAAAGCATGGCCTGGGGAGACAGACCCTCTTTTCCAGGAGGAGAAAGTTGAGCCAGCCTCTCTCTAGCTCTCTCCTTGCTTCACAAAACAACCTTTAAATTACAGTAAGCATGTAATAAAGATTCCCTCAGCATCTGGCCTCCCCACATGTCTTTGATAAGACAATGTTGTATAGAGGGCAGGCTATACAGTTAAACAGACCTGGGTTCTGTCTAGCTGTGTGATCTTGAGCACTAAACTTCTTGGAGTCTGTTTTCTCACCCATGGAATGAAAACAATAGTACCTTGTAAGGTATTGTAAGGTTACCGGGAAGATGGGACAAAATTATGTATGTACAGTGCTTGGCATACAGTATGTGCTCAAAGCTAGGTAGCTTTTACTTAGGGGAACACTGAGATGTCTCCAGGGACTGGAGGTCACAGTAGGACCCTTGTCCTCAACCCTAAGCTGTAGGGGTGAAGCTCAGTGTTAATTGATACTAATCAAAAGACCTCTCTGCTTGCAAAACTGTAAGCATGCCCAGCCCCAAGGAGAGCCCCACCATTTGGTTGTTTTCTGGATATTCCTTTTGAGAAAGAAAACAGCTGGCTATGGGCCAAAGGGATACAAGTTGGCACCTTGTGGTCTCTTGGTCACTAGCAGGGACTGGGAGTGGGGGAGAGTGTAAGAGTCTACAAAAGTGCTAGGCATTGGACACTTACTCTTTTTCCTGTCTGTACCAGCTGAGAAGTGCTGAGGATGAGACTGCACTACAAAGCGCCCTGGATGCCATGAATAAGGAGTTCAAAAAGCTATCTGAGATTGACTGGATGAATCCAATCTTTGTTCCAGAGGTGCGTAATCTTGGGAATTGGGAAATAAAGGGAAAGAGGGATTCTTCCTTAGTGCCTTCCCTTCCAGTGTGGGCCAGGACATGGTGACTGTAGTACAGGGGGTCCAGTGCTGGCTTTAAACTGAAGGTTACTGGAGCTTCCTCCCTGCCCACCTCCCCCCAATCTCTTCATCATAAATAGATAGGGTAAGGCAGAAAACATGTAGAAAAATTAGGTGACTGTGGAAAAATAACCAGAAAGAAGGCTCATTCTGTAACAAGAGATGATCAAGAAAGAATAAGCAAGATAGGTTTTTTTGTGTGTTGTTTTCCTGGCTGCAAATTCCCCCTCCCTGCTCAGCACCTGCTGCCAGGACTGAACTTCATCTGGTTCATACCAGTATGGCCATGCCAGTTTACAGCCAATACCTGTTCTAAATGGTTGGTGCCCAGGCCATACTGGTGGTTAAATCTTCCAAATATTACCTCTCCCTGCTGCTTTCCGTCCCTCCCACTCTGGGTTTTCTGACAACAAAGTTAATCTCAAAATTGTGTTTTACTGAGACCAGTAGTAAAACAAGCATACTTTAGCAGGCCTAAGCTGGAATTACAGAGCCTGCATGATCTGCACAGCAGAGAGCCCAAGTTCATAATTAAGAGTTATGTTTAGAGAACTCTCTTTGCATTCCAGACAGGGAAGCAGCTGGCCTGGCAGGCAAGGGTCTTCCCTATAAGAAGGTATTTGGCCAAGGCTCACCAAACTATATGTCTGAAGGAAGAGGTGTTTTTTCCTAATTCATGCAGAGATTCCATGTGAGCTAGCAGTGGCGCTAGCAATCTCATCCTTCTAATCCCTAGCCACATGAGCTCAGGTGAAATATTTAACCTCTCCAAGCTTCTGCTTCCTCATCTCTGATACAGGGATGTTAATAACCACTTTGCAAGGTTGCTTTGAGAGTTGTATGAGAGCATTTATTAATGCTAGCAAAGCACCTGGCATCAAGTAGCCTCTTGGTAAGGATCAATTGCTTTCCTAGGGCATGCGACCAGTGATGGGGGTGTTTCTCATACCTGGATAGAGAGCAGATCTCCCTGTTCTCTGTAGCCATTCTTGTTTACCACTTTTCCAGGACTCCAGCAATTATCTTTGAATATTAGGCAACTAACATTTTGACCTTCCTCTTGTGGTTTCTCAGGAAAAATCTTCGGACACTGACAGTAGAAGCCTCAGGCTGAAAATTAAGTTCCCCAAATTGGGAAAGAAAAAGGTAGAAGAGGAACGCAAGCCTAAATCAGGCCAGAGTGTCCAGAGTTTTATTGGTAAGTCTCCCCCACAGGCAGAGGGGTCATGAAGACTTCCCCCAACAGCCTGGCTACCTCCCAGGGACCTGAAGCCCCCATTAGAAATGTTTGTGGGAATGGTGATGATGAAGCGGGAGGCCATCTGGGAGTCAGCAGTAAGTGATACCAAGCCATATCTTGGACAAGGTGAGAGAAAGTGATATGGACACTGGTAAGGGGAGAACCTGTGTGGTCTCCATAACATATACAGAAAACAAAAATGCAAACAGGCGGTGATTTTTCTGCCTGATTCACTCCTAAGGGTCAGGAACAGGTTCTGTGGCCTATCTAAACACTTTTGTTCCTGTTATAGTAAGTGGTAGAAAAGCAACATATCTGTATATTTTATTGTTTGAATTTTGGTTCCATTTCTTCTTTCTTCAGAATTGGCCTTAAGCACTATTGACATATCAGTAGGATTCAAAAGAAGGTTCTCTTAGAGTTTTCAGTTGTGCCAATTCTGATGTAAATGGTGGTCCCTCCTAAATTTTGGTCCTAGACAACCTGGAAGCTTGAGAGATGCAGTAATAGTGGACATGGAAAAAAAAGGAACAGGTTCACACCTGTAATCCCAACACTTTGGAAGGCCGAGGCAGGCAGACTGTTTGAGCCCAGGAGTTCAAGACCAGCCTGGGCAACGTGGTGGGACCCTGCTGTCTCTACAAAAAATAAAAAATTAATAGGGCATGATGGTGTGCGTTTGTAGTCCTAGCTACTTGGGAGGCTGAGGTGGGAGGATTGCTTGAGCCTGGGAGGCTGAGGCTGCAGAGAGCTGTCATCATGCCACTGCTCTTCAGCTTGGGCAATAGAGTGAGACCTCATCTTGAAAGAAAGAGGAAGGAGGGAAGGAGGGAGGCAGGGAGGGGGAAGGAAGGAAGGAAGGAGGGAGAAAAAAAGAGGAAGAATAAAGAAAGGACGGAAGGAGAAAGAAAGGGAGCGAAATGAAAGAAAGAAGGAAAGAAAGAAAAAAAAGAAAAAAAGAAAGGGACAGAGGGTAGCAGTTTGTTTTCAAGGAACTAAGAGTTTGCACGAATGCCAAGAGAGAATCTCTTGGATCGAGCTGTATTTTCTCAGGTATGGTCGAACTGGTTTGATTCCTTAAGAGTCTGTCAATTGGGAGACAATAGTGTTTGCAAATATTTCTAAAGACTCTGACAGAGTCAATATCAGTTCCATAAATTATCAGGTTCTGAAAATTCATCCCATTTGTCTTTAGCTCACTTGGTTTCAGCTGGTTTTCCCTGATGATTCAGAGATGGTTAGTACAATAGGAACAAACCAGTCTATCTTCTAACAGACTTTTTGCTCTCTTTTGGGTCCACATACTTGGGCATCTGGCATTGTGCTAACCTCATTATTTCTATACCATTTTTTTTCCTCTGAAGGCAATTTATGGCACCGCAGACATCGTGAAGATGAAGCAGAGGGTGATGATCCTCTAACACCATCGAGATCTCAACTGTAGCCCTTGAAAGCTGGAAGAACTCACAACATTGAGAATTCTACTAAAAAAACTCTCAAAACCTCAATACAGGCTAGACTAAATCATTTCAGAACAAACATGAGCACCACCAAGAAAGACCCTCCAATTCTTTTCACTAATGCATTTTCCTGGACTTAATCTGGTCTCCTTAGAGGTTTACATTTCCTCATTGGCCAAAGGTTCTTGTTCCGAGTTGTCTTGTTCAGTTCTCCTTCTCTTTGTGCATCTTGAGCAACTACAGTATTTATTGGGATAAGCTCTTTATGAATGGCCTGGGATCTATAAAGGATTCAAGGGAGTTCACCTCTTCAGGGAGTTTTGGAATGGTTTTCTCTGACCAGCAGAGAAACTATCAATGCTAAGGAATGAATGAAAGACACACAGACTCCCAGGGAGATGAAGAGAAGGGGGCAGGCAGGACAGCCAGACTTGGTTGTGTGTCTCTCCGAATCCCTGCCAACTGCAACTTGCACCTTCAGGAGATCTCTTCTAGTTGGCTCATTAAAATGAGAACTAGATCCTGGGGGCTTGTCCACTTTCCTGTTAAGATGACCATGTGAAATCTCTTTTTGTAGATATGGTAACCTCTCTCTCTCTCTGCAAACCCTTTGCGTTTTTCTATGTGTGCTTGTATGTCTGCATATGTCCAGGTGGTGCTCTGGTGGGCTCATTGGTTGGAACTCACCCCTCATGGCAACCATACAGGCTCCCCTCCTGCTGCCTTGATCCTAGCCTGCATGCCTCCACGGAGTGTTTGCCTGCATTCTTGCTGGATTTTTTAACTAAATGTTTTGCCGCTGTGCTGCAGTATAGATTATGTATAGAGACATAAAGATGTATATATATATACATACGCATATATATTTTTAAGAGCTGAAAATACAACTCGACCTCTAAGTGACCCTATAATTTATTGTGCTAATCCAGGAATCCCTTCCCACTCCCCCTTACTCTACATAACAATAACACATACACCTCTACCAACTGCCCTATTTCTTGGTGGAGCTTCTAAATCTTTTGGTGCATTTTCAGCGTCTTAGAGGTGGCTGGGATCTATGGCCCAGCTGATTCTGACGCCCCCTTAAAATTCTGAGCCAGGCCATGGAAAGGGGAACAAAAACACCAATGCCCTAAAGAAGGGGTTTAAGCTGGCATGCTGCCTTTTTTTGCTCTATCTGTCCTAGACTCTTCATCAGCAACTGTGCCCTTCCCCAATAAAAAGACTATATGGAGCAACCAGGCCTTGAGCTCTGTGACTTAGATGCCTGAACTAGGGACTGCCTGACAATTAAGTCACAGCCTAGGCCCTTCCCCACAAGCTCCATCTTGGCCTGATCTTCTGGACAGGCTGTTGGGTCAGTCCTCAAGTCACCTTCAAATCTCCCATCTTGCCCTTTTCCCTTGAGTACAGAGGGGCATTGAAGTGATCAGAAAAAACATGGGCCTGGAGAAATGAAGGCTAGAAGCCTGTGCTTTCCTGTGGTTCTTCTTGCAAATTTCTCATGAAAACAAACTATTCCTAAATCGCTCCAAATACTAATTCACATTTTTCAAAAATGCCTTCTCCCAGTCAGGGCAAATCTAATCAAACCCCAATGCCCAGAGAGGTTCTCTCTGGTCAGCCTTGCATCTTCACCCCACCCTTGACTCATACCTTTAGTTAACTGTCCCTTCCCACTTATCAAGAGAAAACTGGCCTCTCCCTACTTCTCAGACAAACTTAGCGTGCTCAATTACCTGATTCAGTCCAATGGCTGGTTCATTGAGGTGCACAATTCAGATTCCAAGCACTGGTTCTCAACTCTGGAACTCCACCAGCCTAACCCACTTAAACCAGCCACCTGTGCTCCACCTCCGCAGGGGTGAGGAGAAAAATATTAACAAGGGGATAGTCCCCAAATGTCTGATTGCTGTGCCAAACTAAGTCCTAGCTCTACAACTAGAGAAGAAAGTCAATGGAAAAAGATGACAGAAAACATTTAAAACTTATTTAAGCATCAGAATGTGTTAGCTTGTTGTACATATTTGAGTAGTGAGTGTGCTGTTGTTGTGTCTTTGACTTTCTCTGTTATTAGTCTTTCTTCCCAGGAGGAGGTATTAGATGAAATCAGCAAGCTCACTATTGCAGCCTGACTTGGCTCCTCTATGGCTGCATGCATTGACACCTGCACACACACTCACAGAGTGGGAACCAAGTTGCATTTTCTTCAGAAGAGCTTTTTCCGAAGGGGAAAATGTCCAAATGAGCAAATTTAGGACTACAGAAGGAAGTCCTGGGAGAAGATAGCTTTATCTTGGCAGTGACTAAGCAGGGCTGTGTCTTATAATTATTTTTATCACTGATGATAGTAAACTGTAATAAGACTCCATCTCTTGTGCTTACTTTGCTGCAATAATTAGGTCTTTGTGCACAGTGATGCTGCTGTTGCTCTGTTGTGCCATGTGGATTCCCTTTCACCTACCCTGTCCTCCCACTCTGAGTCAGAATGATATTGACTGAAACCACTAGTATTTGGGGCTAGAGTCAGCTCATGGAGCACAGTTGATAGATGACAAGGCCCAGGAGCAGGTGTGGCTTGCTCAATCCCTCAGTTACCTCCTAAATTGCTAAGTTACCAGTAGTTTCCCAAAAAGGAAGATAGCTTGCCAAGCACCTGTTCTTGCATATGCTCACTTGGAAACAAAGCAAGAAGTGATGCCTCAAGGGAGTTGTCTTAGCTCTGGGAGTGTGAGCTCCTTTAAGGACTTTGTTAACCACTTGCAGTAATTAATACAATTGCTTGGGTGGTGGGACCAAACACCAAATATCCATCTCAATTATGTTCAGACATCATTAAGACCCAAAGCTCTAGGGTTTGGTTGTATCTTTGGTAGCACTTTCTGACGAATTGGTTGGGTAGGCAATTCCTGGCCAGAAGAATAGTGGAGAAGAAAAAGCCGATACATTTGAACTGCCACCAACTGCTTCTGGTGTCAATACTATAGGAGGTAAACAGTTATGGGTCCCCTTCTCCAGAAAGGCCCTGTGCTGTGTCCATAAGAGCAGGTTAAGAATAAGAAAGAGATTTTTTACCTTAATAAAACTGGGCCAGAAGAAACAGTCAGGGTCAACGTCATCTTCCCTCAGGACACAAATGGAAGAATTTTTCTTTCACGAGAGGTGGAAAATAATACCAAAGCAACCAAACCCATTAGCACCATTCCATCCTATATGAGACCTTGCTTGGCTATATGATTTGTGGAATTGCATTTGTCTATTTGTCAGTGAATCTGTAACCCATTGTTGTTTTCTGCTCTGTGTTTTTTATTTCCTCAGAGGCCCCTGCAAATAAGCAGCAGGGCCAGGGGCTGGTTGGGGGAGGAAGCTGGGGTATTTACATGGTAACAGGAAAAAGCAGAAAAAAAAGATCCACAAAGTGTGCCTATTCCTCTCCCCCCGCCAAATGGAACACCAGTCCTCAATGTTAATAAAGTATTGCTTCTTTAAATATTTTAATAAATGGATAAACATAATCAATGCCGTGCCTCATCATTTACCTCAGCATAAAGGGAGTTGAATGGTGGTGGAAATGGGGGGCAGGTGGGCTTGGGTGGCCATCCAAGCTCTAAACAAGCCACATGCAGGTCACGATGGCAGGTGAGGGAGGACAGCAACAGCGCAAACCAAGAATCTCCATCAGGGATGATCATGATACTAAAGGGGTTGCCAAGAAGAACTCTAAAACCTAGCTGCGACTCTGGATGATCCTGTGGGGAAATACATGCCACTGTAATTGCTCCAGGAGCTAATTCTCTGCAGGATACAAATCTCAGTGGAATGCATTAGTTACTGGGGAGGCAAAGTGGGATAGAGTGTAGTCCAGACTGTTAAATAAATGCATAAGGCACCTTGAAATCTGACAATACAATCTATTCCCCCCAATGCATACATCATACACTCCTCTCCTCTCCAGAGGGGTTTGAGGTGGGAAGCCATATTCTGTTCAAATGCAAAATCAGTTCGGCTGAGCATTCAATACAGTTTAATTTCTGTCACACTAATAGTGACCCCAGGGGAGCCAGTTCTTAGTCGTGTTTAATAGGTAGGGAACTGAGGCTATACTAGGCCAGGATTCCACAACATGCTACACCAGAGTGAGAACTTGAGTCTTCTAAATCCTTGATTTTCCAAACTGAAAAGTGTCTTATTTAGAGACAAAACATTTGTGACCTTCGGGACCACATTTCAGTCTACCCCCAAAACTACATTCTTAGGCTTTATGAGGGGAAACAGCCCTGTTGTTGAGGCGCTACCACCGGGGTGGGCCCTGTAATCCATATTAAGAAGTCTGTACTGCACCCTGTAGGCTAGTGAAGCACCATCAGAATTGAATTTTAAGTCTATTTTTCAAATGATCATACAATTGCCCTTTACTTTTGGTGTAGAGCTCCATGAATTTTAACACATGTAGACATTCATGTAACCACCACCACTATCAGGATACAGAACAGTTTCCAGTGCCCCAGAAATCTCCTTTATTTCTTTATAATCACACCTTAACCCTATTTCTAACCACTGATCTATTTTACATCACTATGGTTTTGGGCTTTCAAGAATGTCATAGAATATGTAACCTTTTGGGACAGACTTCTTTAATTCAGCAAAATGCCTTTCATATTCTTTCAAGATGTCATGTGAATCAACAGTTTGTTCCTTTTAATTGCTGAATAGAATTCAATTACATGGATCCACCAGTTTATCCATTCATCCACTGGAGGTCCTTTGGGTGGTTTCCAGTTTCTTTGACCCATGGATTAAAGGTATGTTATTTCCAAGTGTTTGAAGATTTTACTATTGTTTATCTGTTATTCATTTCTAGTTTAATTCCACTGTGGCCAAAGAACACACTCTGTGATTTCTATTGTTTTTAATTGGTTAAAACTTGTTTTATGGCCTAGGATATGGTCTATCTTGGAGAATGTCCCATGTGCACTTGAGAAGAATGTGTATTCTGCCGTTTGTTTGGTAAAGTGTTCTATAAACATCAGTTGGATTCAGTTGGCTAATGGTGTTCATTTCTTCAATATCTTTTCTGATTTTCTGTCTGCTAGCTTCCGTCAATTACTGAAACTATAATTATGGATTTGTTCATTTCTTGTTTCAATTCTATCAATTTTTGCTTCTAGTATTTTGAAACTGTTATTAGGACACATTTAGGATTGCTGCCTTCTTGGTGAATTGACACTATCAATATATAACATCACTATTCCTAACACTTTGCAGTGAAGTCAACTTTGTCTGATGTTAATATAGCCACTCCAGCCTTCTTTTGGTTTTCAAGTGGCATTTGTTTTCAGCCTTTTACTTTTAACCAACCTATATCATCATATTTGATGTGAGTTTTTGTAGGCAGCATGTGGTCATGCTTTTTTAATCCATCCTGACAATATGTCTTTTCATTTGTATGTTTAGACCATTCAATGTAATTACTGATAAGACTGGATTGGGGTTTGCCATTTTAAAATTTTCTGTTTGGTCTCTGGTTTTTTTTTCCTTCTCTGTTTCTCTTTTCCTGCTTTTTTTTTTAAGATTATTTGAACTTTTGGTATTCCATTTTATCTATTGTGGCTCTGACATCTCTCTGTGTAATTTTTTTAGTAGTTGCTCCAGGGATAACAAAATATATACTTTTCACAGTCTACTTAGAATCAACATTTTACCACTTCAATTGCAATGTAAAAACCCTACCAGCATATTGAGCCCTTTGTTCTCTCCACTTTATGCTATTACTGTCTTATGTACTACATTTACATACATCGAAAATCCCATCAAAATGTAATTTTTGCTTTTAATCAACAAATATGTTTTACAAAACTTAAGAAAAGAGTAGTTTATTATATTTAGCCAGATACCAGTTCTGTTGCTCTTCCTTCATTCCGGATGTTCCAATTTCTCTTCTGGTATTTCTTTTTTTTTTTTTTAATTTGTATTAATTTATGGGGTGCAAGTGCAATTTTGTTACAAGCATAGATAGTGCAGTGGTCAAGTTGGGGATTTTAGTGTATCCATCAACCAAATAATGTACATTGTACCCAAGTATTTTTTCATCATCCCACCCTTCCGAGTCTCCACTATCTATCATTCCACTTTCTATGTCCATCATTTCATTTCTATATGAAGAAATTCCTTTAAAAATTATTTTACAGCAGATACGCTTGCTGTGAATTTTCTTAGTTTTCCTTTGTCTGAAATTGTGTTTTAAGTTTTACCTTCATTCCTGAAAGTTATTTTTTGCTAGATACTGAATTCTGGATTGATCATTCTTTCAACACTTGAAAAATTTTGTTTCTTCCTTCTGGTCTACAGAGTTTCTGATGATAAATCTATAGTCATTCAAATTGTTGTTCCTCTATGCAGTACATAATGCATCATTTCTGTTTTTCTTAGTCTTTTTCAGCAGTTTGACTATGATTTATCTATTTATGGGTTTTATTTATCCTGTTGAGGTTCACTTGTTTTCTTAAACCTACAGGTTGGTGTCTTTAACCAAACTTGAGAACTTTTCAGCCATTGTTTCTTCAAAGATTTTTTTCTGCACTGTTCTCTTTCTCCTCTCCTCCTAGGGCTCTAATAGCATGACTGATAGACCTTTTGTTATTGTCCTACAAGTCCCTGAGGCATTGTTCATTTTTTTTTTCAATCTTTTTTCTGTCACATTGCATAATTTCTATTTATCTACCTTCAACTTTACTCTTTCCTTTGTCCTCTCTCGAGTCCACACAGTGAGGTCTTAAGTTTCAGTTACTGTATTTTTCAATCCTAAAATGTCCATTTGGCTCTTCTAATTCCTATTTGATGAGACTCTATAGCTTAACATTTATATTTTAACATTTGTTCCAAAAGTGTTTGCAATTGTTCATTTGAGTTTTTATGGTAGCAGACTTAAAGACTTTGTCAGATAATTCCAACACCTTTATCTTTTTGTCCTTGCTGTTGTCTTTTGCCATGCAAGTTGAGATGTCAATGGTTCTTCATATGCCTAGTAATTCTGGAGTATATCCTGGATAAACATTATAAAATTGTAGAACTGGTTTAAATTTTATGGAAAATGTATGTTTGCTTTTGCAGTCAATCTGATTAGGTTCAGGCCACAGGTTTCCACCTGCCTTCTGTGGGCTGAGGGTCCAACCTCAGTTTTCAAAGCCTTTGCAGTGCTATCTGGATCTGTCTGCTGTGCATGTCATGAAATGGTCAGTCTAGAACCTAGATGAGTGTCTGTCAGCTCAGTTCTCAAATTCTTAGTATGCTAATTAGGATCTGGATCAACACACATACAGGTTGAGGATACACACCAAAGAGCACATTAAAAAAAACTTTATGGGGTCACTTTCCTGAGCTCCTACTTCTCCACATTCTCCCCAGTACTCCCCAGTTCCTAGTACTTCCCTTTCCGTCCGCTAGTCAGAAATTGTTCATGTCTGCAATTGTGCCACATCTGGAGATAAGCAGTGGGAGAACAGAAAGAGAAAAAAAATCAACAGAATGTGGCTTTGCTCTCTTGGGGCCCCAACTCTACCTCAAATAGAGATTATGGGTCCATTCCCTGAGAGTACTGGTTCTCGAAGGCTCCCATTGCTATCATTGTTGCTGATGCTGTATGATTGCCTGAGGGTTGGGGTGTGAGGGAAGAGAGAAATAAAAAGATGGGGATTTCCACCTCCCCAACCCCAAGCTTTAGGAATTCCTTCTCTCACTTCTCAAGCCAGAACTAGAAAGCTTCTTCTGGAGCTTTCTGTCTGTACCATAGTGCTCCCTTCAAGGTTTCTGACTGGATTAAGTTGCCAGAGAAAAAAATGTGGGAAACTCGCCATGAGTTGCCATGCGTTCTTTCTGGGTTTTATGATCATGTTCAGTGGGAAACAAAGGGTAACAGATGCTTAAATATCTTACCCAGAACTGTAATCCTAAAATTGAATTTTAAATAAATCTTTCTGGTGCTTGTATGGAAGGTGAATTTGAAAGGAACAAGATTGAAGATAGGGACATCAGGTGGGAAACTACCACAGTAATCCAGGCAGTAGAATGAGATCTCAAACCTGGGTAGTGGTAGGAGAGAATATGATGAGAATGCCAATCCAAGAAATATCTGGGAGGTAAAATCAGCAAGACTTAATGATGGCACCCTCTTATAAGGCCATAATTGACACATGGAAGTCTAAGACATGAGTGGTCAGCCTTTAAGTTAGGAATTGAAGGTAAAAAATCAGTATGATTGAATAAGAGTTATTAGGGAGGGAAAAGAGAGCCTAGATGAACTCCTGAGTGTCTGGTTTGGGTGACTAAGTGGATGGTGATAAAGATACAGAATATAAAATATAGAACCATGTTAGCAGAAAGAAAAAATTCAGTTTTGGACATGTTTAGTTTGAGGTAACTGTGTGACATTCAGGTAGACATGGCCAACAGAAGATAAATATAAGCCTGAACCTAGGACCACAGGTTTGAGCTGAAGACCAAGCCTCAAAAGTTAATGGCTTGGTGGTACTTGAAACTATGGGAGTAGCTGAGATCACTCAAGGAGATAAATCAGAGAGCCAAAGCTGAAACTAACAGAACACCAACTTTTGAGGGGCAGATGGTACAAAAACAGCCTACAAAGAGGATAGTAAAGGAAGGTCAGAAAGATGAGAGAACTACAAAAATCTAATGGCCCAGAAACCAAGAGGCTAGAGAGTGCCAAAAGGAATGAAAAGACACCAGTGTCAAAGGTAGCAAAAGGGTTCCAGTAAGATAAAGCTCAAAACTGTCGACTAGATTTGCCAACCAGAAAATCATCAATGTTTCTGTGACAGGCCCATCAATGAAGTGCTAGGGGACAAAAGCTACATTACAACGGGTTAAAGGACTGAATGGAACATGAGTTAAGTAGAAACAGTGAGTCAGTGTACTTTAAAAAGAAGTTTAGTACAAAGAAGAGATGAACTGGACAGCAGGTGGGAGGTGGATGCAGATAAAGAGTTTTATTTTGGCCAAGCACAGTGGCTCACGCCTATAATCCCAGCACTTTGGGAGCCTGAGGTGGGTGGATCACCTGAGGTCAGGAGTTCGAGACCAGCCTGGCCAACATGGTGAAACCCCATCTCTACTAAAAATAAAAACAAAAAATTAGCTGGGTGTGGTGGCATGCACCTGTAATCCCAGCTACCTGGGAGGTTGAGGCAAGAGAATCGCTTGAACCTGGGAGGTGGAGGTTGCAGTGAGCTGAGATTGTGCCACTGCACTCCAGCCTGGGCGACAGAGCGGGACTCCATCTCGAAAAAAAAAAATGGGGGGTTTTGTTTTGTTTTGCTTTTCATTTTGTATGCATGTAGCAAGAGTGTCTTGAGCATGTTTTTAAGCTAGAAATGAAGATTACAAAAGAGGAAGAAGATGAAAGTACAGGAAATGGTGGCAGGGAAAAACAAGGGAAGGGCTAAGACGACAGAGAAAAATTGAGGGAGAAAAGTCCCAAGGTAGTTGAGTTGCCTTGAACAGTAGGTGGGTCTGTCCAACCTTTAAAACAGAAAATAAAGATACTTGAGATAGGTGAAGAGGTAAATATGTTTGTGGGGAATGAAGTAGGTAATTGAAAGTGATCCAAGACTGATGGCTCAATCAAAAAATACTTAGAATATACTTAGGAAAAGAAGTACAAAACTTATATACTGAAAACTACAAAAAAACTGTTGAAACGAACTAAACACGACCCAAATAAAAGGAAAGATATCCATGTTCATAGAGAGCAAGATTTAAGATGGTTAAGATGAAAATACTCCCCAAATTGACCTATGAGTTAAATGTAAGCCCTATCAAAAATCCCAGTGAACTTCTTTTCAGCAACTGACATGTTGATGCTAAAATTCATATGGAAATGCAAGGGACCCAGAATTGCCAAAATAAACTTGAAAAGGAAAGGATCAAAAAATTGGAGGACTCATATCTTTTTTTTTTTTTAATTTTAAAACTTACTACAAAGCTACAGCAATATAATTTTTGTTTGTCATTGTTTTTAATATTTAAAGAATTACAGTACTGGCATAAGGCTAGATATCACATAGGTAAATGGAATAAAACTGAGAATCCAGAAATAAGCTCTCATATTTAATTTAATTTTCAACAAGGGTATCAAAATAATTATGTGGGGGAAACATAGTTTTTTTCAACAAATAGTGCTGAAACAACCAAATATCCATATGCAAAAGAATGAAGTTGCAACCCTACATACCATATATAAAAATTAACTTAAAATGAATTTAAAACCTAAACATAAGAGCTAAACCTACACAATTCTTAGAAGAAAACAGGGATAAATCTTCAAGACCTTGGATCAGGTGATGGTTTCTTAGCTATGACACCAAAAGTAAAAACATTTAAAAATGGATAAATTGAACTTCATCAAAATTTGAAACTTAATATGCTTTAAATAACACTATGAAGAAAGTAAAACTTTCAAGACAATTGGTATAATCAAATATTGCCAAATCATATATATGACCCAGAATATATTTTTAAAAAACTCTTACCACTCAATAATAGACAAATAACCCAATTAAAAATGTGCAAACAGGAGCTTGAGACCAGTCTGGGCAACATAGCAAGACCTCATCTCTACTAAAAATAACAATTAAAAAAATTAGTTGGGTGTGGTCGCAAGTGACTGTAGTCCCAGCTACTCAGGAGAATGAGGTAAGAAAATCCCTTAAGCCAAGGAGATTGAGCCTGCAGTGAGTCATGTTTGTGCCACTGCACTCCAGCCTGGGCAACAGAGCAAGACTCTGTTTCAAAAAAAAAAATATGGGCAAAGGATTTGAATAGATATTTCTCTAAAAAGGATACACAAATGGCCAATATGCACATGAGAATATGCTCAACATAATTAGCCATCAGGGAAATGTAAATCAAAATCACAAGATATCACTTTACACCCACTAGGAGGGCTATAGTAGAAATATAATAACAAGTGTTGGAGAGGGTGTGGAGAAACTGGAATCCTCACATACTGCTTATGGGAATGTAAAATGGTACAGCCACTTTGGAAGAGTATAGAGGTTTCTCAAGTTAAACTAGAGTTATTGCATGATCCAGCAATTCTACTCCCAAGTATATACCTGAAAGAAATGAAAACTGAGGCCCACACACTTATACATGAATGTTCATAGCAGAATTATTCCCAACAGCCAAAAAGTGGAAAAACCCAAATTTCTACCAACCAATGACTGGATAAACACAATGTATATATGTCCATACAATGGTATATTACTCAGCAATAAAAGGAAGTACTGATACATGCTACAACATGGATGAACCTTGAAAACATTATGCTATGTGAAAGAAGCCAGACACAAAGGCCACCTATTGTATGGTACAATTTATATGAAATGTCCAGAATAGGCAAACTGATAGAGAGAGAAAGTAAATTGGTGGTTACCTAGGGCTCATGGGGTGTGGGGAAAGGAGATTGATTGCTAACAGGCTGGAAGTTTAATTTGAGGGGTGATGAAAATGTTCCAAAATTAGATTGTGGTGATGATTACAAAACTTTTTTTTTTTTCTTAGAGACAGAATCTGGCTCTGTCACCCAGGCTGGAGTACAGTGGCACAATCTCGGCTCACTGCAGCCTCTGCCTCCTGGGTTCAAGCAGCCTCCACCTCCTGGGTTCAAGCGATTCTCCTGCCTCAGCCTCCTGAGTAGCTGGGATTACAGGCATGCACCACCATGCCCGGCTAAGTTTTGTATTTTTAGTAAAGATGAGGTTTCACCATGTTGGCCAGGCTGGTCTCAAACTTGTGACCTCAAGTGATCTGCCCGCCTCGGCCTCCCAACGTGCTGGGATTACAGGCATCAGCCACCATGCCCAACCACAAAACTGAATATACTGAAAACTTGAATTACACACTTTTTAATTTTTTTAATATTTTTAAATTTTTTGTAGAAACAGGGTCTTACTATGCTGCCCAGGCTGATCTTGAACTCCTGGGTCCAAGCAATCCTCCTACCTCAGTCTCCCAAAGTGTTGGGATTACAGGCATGAGCCACCATGCCCGGCCTGAATTATACACTTTAAGTGGGTGAATTGTATGGTATGTGTAAACCCTGAAGACTCGTCCAAAAAACTCCTAGATCTGATAAATGAATTCAGTAAAGTTTCAGGATACAAAATCAGTGTACACAAATCAACAGCACTGCTATACACCAACAACGACCATGCTGAGAATCAAATCAAGAACTCAATCCCTTATACAACAGCTGTAAAAAATAAAAATAAAACACTTAGGAATACACTTAACCAGGGAGGTGAAAGACCTCTACAAGGAAAACTACAAAACACTGCTGAAAGAAATCATAGATGACTCAAACAAATGGAAACACATCCCATGCTCACAGATGGGTAAAATCAATACTGTAAAAATAACCATACTGCCAAAAGCAACCTACAGATTCAATGCAATTCCCATCAAAATACCACCATCATTCTTCACAGGACTAGAAAACACAATCCTAAAATTCATATGGAACCAAAAAAGAGCCCGCATAGCCAAAGCAAGACTAAGCAAAAAGAACAAATCTGGAGGCATCACATTACTTGACTTCAAACCATACTATAAGGGTATAGTTACCAAAACAGGATGGTACTGGTATAAAAATAGGCACATAGACCAATGGAACAGAATAGAGAACCCAGAAATAAAGCCAAATATGTACAGCCAACTGATCTTCAACAAAGCAAACAAAAACAAAGTGGAAAAAGAAAACCCTATTCAACAAATGGTGTTGGGATAATTGGCAAGCCACATGTAGAAGAATAAAACATATCTCACCTTAAACAAAAATCAACTCACGATGGATCAGAGACTTACATCTAAGACCTGAAACCATAAAAATTCTAGAAGTTAACATCAGAAAAACTCTTCTAGACATTGCTTAGGCAAATAATTCATGACCAAGAACCAAAAAGCAAATGCAACAAAAACAAAAATAAATAAATGGGACCTAATTAAACTAAAAAGCTACTGCACAGCAAAAGAAATAATCAGCAGAGTAAACAGACAACCCATAGAGTGGGAAAAAATATTCACAAACTACACATCTGACAAAAGGACTAATATCCAGAATCTACAAGGAACTCAAATCAGCAAGAAAAAAACAATCCCATCAAAAAGTAGGCAAAGGACATGAATAGACAATTCTCAAAAGAAGATATACAAATGGCTAACAAACATATGGAAAAATGTTCAACATTGCTAATTATCAGGGAAATACACATAAAATCACAATGAGATACCACCTTAATCCAAAAAAGTCAAAAAATAATAGATGCGGGTGTGGATGTGGTGAAAAAGGAACACCTTTACACTGCTGGTGGGAATGTAAACTAGTACAACCATTATGGAAAACAGCGTGGAGATTCCTTAAAGAACTAAAAGTAGAACTAACATTTAATTCAGTGATCCCACTACTGGGTATGCACGCAAAGGAAAAGAAGTCATTATATGAAAAACACACTTGCACACGCATGTTTATAGCAGCATAATTCACAATTGCAAAAATATGGAACCAACCTAAATGCCCATCAACCAATGAGTAGACAAGGAAAATGTGGTATATATACACCATGGACTACTACTCAGCCATAAAAGGGAAAAAAATAATGGCATTTACAGCAACTTGGATGGAGCTGGAGAAAAATGGAGACCATTTTTCTAAGTGAAGTAACTCAGGAATGGAAAACCAAATATCATATGTTCTCACTTATAAGTGGGAGCTAAACTATTAGAATGCAAAGGCATAAGAATTATATAATGGACTTTGGGGACTTGGGGGGAAGGATGGGACTGGGTGAGGGATAAAAGACTACCCATATAGGGTACAGTGTATACTGCTTAGGTAATAGGTGCACCAAAATCTCAGAAATCACCACTAAATAACTTGTCCATGTAACAAAAAACCACCTGTTCCCCAAAAACTATTAAAATATGAAGAAGCCAGGCTATTTCCTTTCTCACTCTGCCTCCAGCAATAGGTCTGGCAGTAACTTTGTCTCCTTCCCAGCTCCAGCCTCCTTTCATCAGCCCTACCCTCATTGGTCCCAACTGATCACTGGTTCCAAATCCAGCTTGATATCCCTGGCATCTGGGGGTCTGGTGACACCACCTCTTGGCTACTGTTCCTCCAGCCCTAAGTATAACAGAAGCTTCACACTGTGTGTGTGACTTCTTAGCTCTTCTGTCCTTAAGTAACCAATTCCCAGCATTAAATTTCCTCTGTTCGAAATAACTAGAGTGGTTTCTGTTTTCTGACTGAACCTTGATGGATACATCTCCAAAATCAAAACTCTTAGTATAAAAACCTTCAACATACCATATAAGCCTTATTATTATTATTATTATTTTTGAGACGGAGTTTCGCGCTGTCACCCAGGCTGGAGTGAGTGGCATGATCTCAGCTCACTGCAACCTCTGCCTCCCGGGTTCAAGTGATTCTCCTGCCTCAGCCTCCCAAGTTGCTGGGACTACAGGTGCCTGCCACCACACCCAGCTAACTTTTTGTATTTTTAGTAGAGATGGGGTTTCACCATATTGGCCAGGCTGGTCTTAAACTCCTGACCTTGTGATCTGCCCGTCTCAGCCTCCCAAAGTGCTGGGATTACAGGAGTGAGCCACGGTGCCCAGCCAGGCCTTTTTCTTTAAAACAAACAAACAAACAAACAGTCTCACCCCTACTTACCTCTGTAGCCACTCTGTGCCCCTTCCTCTACCAGAGAGTACCACCACCATTTATTAGATATTCATGCTATGTGTCAGGCATTTTTCTAAGCATGTCACATTATTTCACAGGCTATGTTTGTTTTACTTATGAATTACCAGGCACATTTCTCTACCAGAGTGTTTTTATGACCTATATAGATGATTTTGTAGTTTAAACTTTTAGAATTTTTTAGTTTTGTTTTTTAAACTGTTATGATCTTAAAGATATAGGGAGACATAAAGTTATATATACATATATAAAGTAATTTGCATTCAGTTAAGAAAATAAAACTGTTAAAAATACATAAGGTTACAAAGAAAGCTAGTTTTATTCATATATAGAGAGACAGTCATCAAAATATAAAAGCAAATTCTTTTTTTTTTTAAGCAGGGTCTTGCTCTATTGCCCAGGCTGGAGTACAGTGGCACGATCATGGCTTACTGCAACATCTGCCTTCTGGGCTCAAGTGATCCTCCTGCCTCAGCCTCCTGAGTAGCTGGGACCACAGGCATAAGCCACTATGCCTGGCTAACTTTTTAACTTTTTGTAGACACAGGGTCTCACTGTATTGCCCAGGTGGGTCTCAAATTCCTGGGCTGAAGTGATCTTCCTGCCTTGGCCTCCCTAAGTTTTGGGACAACAGGCGTGAGCCACCTCACTGGGCCAGCAAATTCCTGATAAAGAATAGATGTGCTTCTTTAATAAGGCACTAAATATTAGGTTGGTGCAAAAGTTATCGTGGTTTTTGCCATTAAAAGGAAAGGCAAAAACCACGATAACTTTTGCACCCACTTCTAACAAGCTCCAGTTCTAACAGCTATCTTAATTTTGAAGTAGTGATGAGTGTGTGCAAAATAAATGTTGAGGCATTGCAAAATCAACAACAAAAATGACTGATGGTTTCATTAGCACCTTTAAAGAACAGGGTTGGTAAAAAGGGGGAAACAATTCAATTGGTTAATTTTTTCCCCTTGATGTAAAGCTCCAGAATTCAAAAGCAGGTACAAGACACATCCTTTTAGTAAGGCTGGAGATTTGCAAGATGGCTTCCAGCCTAATGCTTTTAGCATGTTCATGCAAAGTTGGCTGTGCCAGCAGAACCACTGCTGAGTAGCTTGGACCTCTCTGGCTGTACCCCTTAGTCATCTTGCAATACAGTGGAATGGGGCAGGAGGAAACCTAGTGATGTCTGGTCTCCAAGGCAAAGCAAGTCAGGAGGAAGAATGGGAAACTGATTGGAAGGGAAGGAAAGCACTGAGACACCTAAGGGCTTGGCATGCTCATCCATCTGTCTCTAACCCATCAGAAAAGGTGATGTAATTACAATAGCATGGAGAGTCTTGGGACAGAATTGAAGAGGCATTTTCCCCATAACTGCTTCCTTGATTGTCCTCTCCACCAAATGTCCACCCTCCAGGACTGATATTCAAAATATTTGACAAGTGGTAACAAATGGTCACAGACCAATCAGGATAATTGCCAGCTACAATACTAGAATAGAGTCCTAGAGGTCTCCTGCTGTGGTAGACATTACTTGCTGGATTGTGGGGAGGTCCTGGGGTGAGACTGAGGCAGTAGCTCTTGAACAACTGGCATACTGGATGTTCCACTCCTCCATTAACAACTTAAGTAACTGTCCCAGTACACATCACCCCAAAGGTAGGGCAGAGTGAAAAAGAAAGGAGAATCTCTTAATGCTATATGAATTAAAGACTGGGCAAGTGGTTGATGCTTGCATTCATGGGACACCTTGCCAATTTCAAAGGTAGGAATTTCTTCTCCTGGCAGAAGACAAGGGCCAAAAATGATTTCAGCACATACCACTCCAAGAGTATTTTCAAATTTGTACTCTAAAAAGCTGCCTAACTGAAAGCAAGGCTACATTTGGATTAAAATCCTGATCCCCAACTTTTCACCATCTAGGAAGAAGCAAAGAAAGCATAATACCTGAGATTGAGACCAAAAGGTATTAGCCTACACTGCCAGCTGCCCAGCTCTGAAAAGTGAGGTCTACCTGTCAGGTAAGGAGCTTTCTCCTTGGACTGGGCACCATAATCCTCCTTCTGTAGACCCATCTATCAGTTCATGGTTAGCTCAATTCCTCTTCCCATGAGGAGAAGACTTCTAAACAGAGGAGGGAATTGGGTAATCTAGGCTCTGGGGCCCAGCCTTGACTAGGAAGAAAAAAAAAATTATTGAGCTGTGCATGGGGCTCCTGAACAATAAGAGGGGAAATGAGCCATTTTAACAATAACCATTAATTTTTTATTAAATTTGTAGTCAAATATGACAATATTTTTTCTTTCATAAAAACAAGCAACATAAATATTTATAACATTATCAGTTTGGGAAAAGACAAAGAAAGGAAAAATGAATAAAAGCGATCAAAAGACAAATTCGAACATAGAATAAATATACCCTGTTAACATGCATGCTTAGCCCTGTGGCTGCTGCTAGAGTACCAGGCCCTGAGCCTCACAATCACAGTTCAAAATCTCCTCCAGCTTCAACATATCCAAGGCAGGGATTTTGGCGACTTCAAAGAAGACCCTGCAAAAGGAAGAGGGGTCTCCTCAGCATAGAATAGGGCAAATACAATCATGCTCTATGGAACAAGTGGGACATACAGCCCTTAGTTTCCTATCTTGCTTTAACCCTAGAGTAGAAAGGAAGGTGAAAAGTGCCTGAATCTTTTTCTCTTAAGTGAGGCTAGTCTCGGTCTAGTATTTTAAAGCCTCCCAATAAATGAACACAAACCCAACCTCATCCGGGGCTTAGTACTTACGGGTGAGAATACTTGTAATACACAGCCTTGAGACTATCGTAAGAACTGAAAGTCAGCAGTTTGTTCAGCTGTCTGACCAAGGGGTGAAGCTCAGAGATACTGTAGCCACTGTAATGCTCCAGGAAGGGAACCTGGAAGAAGCAGCATGAATAGTGATTTCTACTATAGGAAGCACACCGTTCCTCCATCTCTGCTATCCCAAGTCTAAGCTTCCCACACATGGTTTAAACAGAGATGACATTCAAAACATTTCAAAGACTCACACCATCTGGACGCTGATCAATAATTATACTATGCTATATAGAAGAATAGATTCCAGCCACAAACTACTGGGATGGCTATATCCATACGTACCAGTTAGATATTAGCTCTTGGCCAGGCGTGGTAGGGATCATGCCTGTAATCTCAGCATATTAGGAGCCCGAGGCAGGAGGACTGCTTGAGCCCAGGAATTCAAGACCAGTCTGGGCAACACAGCAAGACCCTATCTCTTTTAAAAAAATTTTAAATTATCTGGGCATGGTGGTGTAGACCTGTAGTCCCAGCTACTCGGGAGGCTGAGGCAGGAGGATTGCTTGAGCCCAGGAGTTCGAGGCTGCAGTGAACTATGATCGCACCACTGCACTCCAGCCTGGGTAACAGAGCAAGACCCTATCTCTTAAAAAAAAAAAAAAGATATTAGCCCTGGTCACAGATGTTCATGTAAGCAGAAATTCACCAGTCCTAAGGAACGGGACTGATTTTGTAATTTGCTCACTCTCAGGTCCAGAGCTAATGGCCAGGTAAACCCCAGAACAAAGTTTAGGTGCCAACTCCACAGCCAACATGAACTTAAGGCTGATCCTCCTCTCTGGCTCTAACAGCTATCATTCCACAGGTTCATTTTCTCACTCAGCTAAGAATGCCTATTATGTGGCAGAAGCGGTATAGCAGTGTTTAAGAGCAGAGGTCCTGGAGGCAAAATGCTTCAGGTCAAATTTCAGTTCCCCTAACAGCTTGGCCTTGAGCCAGTTAATTAACCTCTTGGGACCTCAGTTTCCCAATCTGCCAAATGGGGATTATTACGGTAATTCCATCATAGGGTTAAATGTGTGTGTGTGTGTGTGTGTGTGTGTGTGTGTGTATTTGTGTATGTGTGTATCATACATAGAACAGAGTCTGGAACATAGTAAGTATCCAAACAATGCTAACTAGGATTACCAAGCCCTATATGTAGGATCCTGGGAACACAAAAATGAATGAGGGACCTGCCCTTGAGGAGTCTGTAGTCTAGTAGAGGAGACAGATGTGCAAACAGCGAGTTAAAAAATGTGTGATAAGTGCTATAATGGAAGTGAGCATAGGACACTGGAGGAACACAGCAGCAGGACCCACGAACTCTGTCAGGAGAGTCACAGAAAGCTTCACAGAGGACAGCATGTCCACAATGGTTGGTTAAGTGGGGAGCTCAACAGACAGAGAAAGGAAGAGGATTTATAAGTCAGTGGTTTCCTCAAAATGTCTTATTTTCCTTGAACTCCTCTTTTTCAAGTGTCTTACCTGGAAGCCCAAATAGCTTACCTGGAAGTGGGGGTGTGAGCTAAGAAGCCCACAAATTTGGATCCCTTTATCTTTTACATGGTCCCTGAGAGAATTCTGCAGGAAACCCAGGGCTCCCCCAAATACTGTTTGGAAACCACCACCACCACCGGCAAAGGGCCGTCATTGGCGTGCTGAGTAGGGGAGTAACACAAGGGGGTAATGGAGTAGACTGGATGTGTTAAATAAGACTAAAAGGCCCCAGTGCCACTGTGTCAGTTCAGACCCTCAAATGCTTCACCTTGACTATGTTACAATAGCCTGCTCACTGGTGTTCCCACCTTTATATTCTCTCTCATTTACTCTACCTTCTCTTTTGCTATACCAGTACTGTTTCTAAAATACACAAACAGGAGCATGTCACCTCCCTGCCTAAAAACCCTTCAATGCCTTAGTGTAAAGTGGGTCTCTCAGCGTGGTATACAAAGCCTTTCTTTCACAATCTGACCATGATCTACCATTCTGGTCTCATCTGTCACTATTAACATCATTAGCACCTCTCCTTTTACCATATTCTCTGTTCTATCCATAGGGGATGTCTTATTCTGCCCTAAACACAACACACTCCCTCCTTAATGCCTTCACGTCTTTTTAATTACTGCTCCCTCTACCTAGAATGTCTCCTCTCACAAGTTCCTGCATACGTTTCAAGACCCAGCTCAAAAGTCACCTCTTCTGTGAAGCCTTCCTTATCTATAGGAGAGGCAGTATACTAACATAGAGGATTGTGGAGTCAGACTACCTGAGTTCAGATTCGGGCTGACATTTAGCTGATATGCCCTGGTTTAGTCACCAAGTGTGAAAACACTGAAATATTTCTATCTTAGTTGGCACACAGTTTGCTTGCCTGAACCCATCAGCTGTCCCCCTCACGGCCCACTGGATTTCCATGGGATCCAAGGGTCAAAGCCTGGTTCAGCATGGGGCCTCCAGACCCTCAGCTCCAGAGCTGTGGCCACGCCCATTCTGATTACACAGTTGGTTTGGATTGTGAACACCACTCCTAGTTTCCAAAGCCTAGCTCCACCTCTCATCAGCTGTGTAAACATGGGAGTTATTTCTTATCTGCAAAACAGGGATAACGGTACTATCATGTGGGGTTGTTGTGGAGATTAAATGAGTTAATACACAAAGTGCTTAGATCACTGTCTAAACACTCAATAAATGCCAGTCATGATTATTATTTATTCTTTTTCATCATCACTATCATTTATTGAATGCTTTCTCTGTTTCAAGAAATTTCAGTATGGCTTCTCCAAGTTCACATAACTACTTTATGTGGTTCTTTCTCAGCCCACAGAGGTTCTTCCCTCAGTGGCTCCAGGATTTTTAGGTAGGAGGAGCTCAGAAGTGGTTGAGCAGAGGGGCTGCATTTGCAAGCATACTCCTGCTACTTGGATTATATATTATACATATCATTAGTAAGAATGCGAAATTATCTAAAGTTGATTTTACCCCCAACTTTTCATAAAATTGAGAAAGCATCAAATATGAGTTTTATTTGTATTGGAGCAGGAGGCTTTGAGAGCCTTCTTCAGAGAAGAACACTATAGTCATGCCCCTGAGTGCCACTTTTGTAGACACAGACAGTTGCTTTCACTACTCTTCTCTGGCTCAGTGCTTTTCAAACCCTGTTCCAACAAGCTGCCTCAGGGGCCAGTCTTGCTGAGGGGATTGCAAGAGGCAAGAGGGGAACAGGGCTGGGGATAAGAAGTAGGGTCACACTACCCCATATGACAACCAGAATACCTTCACAGTAGTCTGGTATGTAATATTGGGCTTTCAGGTGAGCTTTCTTTGGAACAAAGGGTACTTTGATTATGAAAAATGGCATAATTCAAAACCATTGCTGTAGAAGCCCTTGCCCCAAGTTGTCCAGGTGTTAGAGTTCACAGTGGTGAATATGTGTCAGTTTTGTCCCCAAGAGTTTCCCGTGGCCTTAATTTACACCTTCCCCATGAGCTGACCTTCTGCTTTTTAAATCTCTACCCCTATACCCCTATCTCGCAAGTGTTTACCCAGTATCCGAGCTTCTTCATGTAGAGGGCCAGGAGTAAGGAGGCAGCAGCTAGCTTGGAAGCCTTCTCCTGGACATAGTGGTATTCCTGCAGGGTCATCTCGCAGATGTAGCGGGACAAGGTCAGTGTCTTCATGTTGGTGTGGATACACTAAAGGCAATGAGAAGACTGGCTCAGAAATCAATTTAGAAAACTGGCACCAAGCAGAGGACTCCCTCTCCAGTTACATCATCCCGAGCCTCAGTGGCCCTCTGTTTGAGTAATGTGCCTTTCTCCTGCAACCGTAACTCACTTCATCTTCCCTACCCACAAAAACAGACTCTTTAGGGGGGATTCTGAAACAGTCAGTGGGATTTGCCACCTTTAGGATTTTAATCAAATTACCAACTGTGTGTATGGTACTGGCCCACATCCCCCCTTGCTATATGGGTCATTCTTTAAAGAGCCAAAGTCCTCCCACCGTGACTCTGTTCCTGGTCCTCCCTAGAAGGTGTTCCATACCTCAAAACAACCTTTTCCCTTTTCTTATTTAAACTTATTTTTTAAAAATTACAACCTATCACACACACAAAGAGAAAAGTACATCGCACTCATTTGCACAATACAATGAATTATAAAGTGACCTCCCTTGTAACCAATACTCAGGCAAAGAATGAGAATATTGCCAGCATCCCCCCACAAAGTTTTCCATGTGTCTCTCCCTGATAAAAGAAACGTTTCTCCTCCCCAACTCTGGCCTCACTTCAAAACCTTATAGGCACACTGTGGAAATCTGCAACTCACCCCCACCCACCTCCCACTATTTCATAAAGATTGCCAAGCTTTAACCTAGGAGATTGGATGGAAGGAGAAAGCTCCCTGCTGCCTGTTGTCCCTTTCCCCTTTCCTACCACTCAAGGCAGCTACTCTGGGTATAAAGGAGACTAACTCAGCAGTGGGAGAATGAAGATGTGTCTCTTCTCTCTTACCCTAGCATATCTGCGCAGAAAATGGTAGGCGATGGGAATGTTAATGTCACATTTGAGGACGTTCAGGATGTTGATTTCCATGCTGAGTACCTCAGATCGCTGATAATTATCATCACAGATGTACACAAAGTCATCCACACGAGGTGAGTTGTGCTCCTATGGGTGGAGAGGAGAGGAGGTGACAACCAGACAGACAACCCAACCTTTCTGCTTAGAGGTAAAAGTCAGCAGGGAGAAGGGTGAAGGATTTCCTGGCATAAATCTTCAGGGTATCTCTGAGACTCAGCTTCTGGTTGATGTGAGTGGCTCATCAGAAAAAGTAAACCAAAGAAAGGACAGGAGAGGCCTGCCCCAAAACTGTACCACCACCACCACCAGATAGAGGATAGGACCTCCTGGGGGTGGATTCTTACAGTGCCAGAAGCAACATAATGGGGGCACAGGGCCTAGGAGCAGCCATCTGCCCTCTGAGAACCACGAATGTTGAAATCTAAGGCCTTCTCTGGAGGGAGGGACAGAAGGAAGCCACAGAAATGGGAGCTAGAGATAGAAAATAAGCCTGTATTTTGTGTCCTAGTGTAGGGAATGAGTAAGGATGTTTGAGGAGGGCAATACAGGGTACCTGGCAGTGAGAGAAGTGGAGAGGCAGACAGGCATAGAGGGAACCTAAGCAGAGACAAAAGTCTGTGGTGGGCAGAGTGTGCGGAGGCACCCAGAGGTCAGACAAGGAAGGGCCAGGCCAGGCTGAGGGTGAGAAGAACCTCTGTCCAGGGAGCACCTTCCAGGGCTCTGCCCTCTGGAGGTCAAACATTGGTTTGGAGAAACAATGAGGACACAGGAAGGCCCCTAATTCTTCTCCCTACCTGCAGCTTACTGCCCGCAACAGCTTTCTTCCCCCACCTTTCCCCTATTTTTGGATGACAGACAGGACCAACCCTTTGGTTTGGCAGACAAGGAAACCTAGGCTCAGAGAAAAGTGATGTGCTCAGGTTCACACGGCAAGCTAGTGGCAACACCAGGGCAGGAACCTCTCTCTTCCGCTGCTCTGTGCAATGGCTACTGTCTCCTTTCTCTCCTCATGCCATCTCCACACCTCCCCTAAACAAAAGGCTTTCTGTACTTCTTAATCCTGTGAGAGGAAGACACCCCTCCTCCATGGACTTGGTAGGGGCCCTCTGTCCTGGCCAACAGAGGAAGGGTGCTCCAACTCCCAGGATTTGCTAAGAAGTACCCAGAGTAAAAAAGGAAGGGAGAGAGTGGGCAAGGAAGAAAAAGAGGGAGCCTGGGAGGGAAGGACAGAGCCTGGGAGGGAAGAAAGCAGGTGAGGGAGGGAGAGAGCAGGTGAGGGAGCAAGGGAAAGAGAGGAAAGGAGAGAGCAAGCCACCGAGGGAGGGAGGGTGTAGACTAGCCAGGGAGAGAGGAATCTATCCACCAAGTGAGAGAGGGAGCCTGGGAAGGAAGCAAGGAGGGAAGGAAAGAGGGAGCCAGCAGGTGAGGGAGGGAGAGAGGAAACAAGGGAAGGAGTGAGCAAGGGAGGAAAAGCAGGAGGAAGGGAGGAGGGAGCAAGCAAGCTGGCACAGGACGAAGGGACAGAGTGAGGGAGGGCTCAAGTGAGCAGGTGAGTGAGGGGCAACAAAGGAGAGTGGGGTGGTGAGTGAGGGAAAACAATCACTGAAGGGCAGGTGACAGGGAAAGAAGGAGGGGAGGAAGGGAGCAAGTTAAGGAGGGAGAGAGTGAGGCAGGGAGGGAGGGAGGGGGTAAGAGCCAGTATGTGTTTGGGGAGGAGAGGAAGGCAGGAGCTGGGGAGGGAGCCAACACAGAAACAAACCCACAGTTCTAAAGTTCTTTGAAATCCTTGGTAAAAGTTGCCAACTCTCTGCTCCCAAACCCTAAGGCTTCCTACAACTAGCCTAGCTGAAGGAAAAATGAAAGTTGAACAAGATCAGTTAGCACCTAAGGAAGGGGAATCAGAGAGGTTAGTTAGATGGATTATGGTCATGAAGAAAAGGTCAGCTACTCACTTTTATACTGCTACTTCCCAAATTACTATTTCACCTGGACCATTTAGACTCACTGCCATCAACATCACGCCATTTTCTCTTAAATGTCTCCAGCACCCTGGTTAGGCAATGCTTTGTTATATAAGCAGATTGAGACTCCACTAGATGGGGATGGAGTTGGTGGAACAAGAAAATGGTGGAGGCAGAGAATCATGGAGCAGAAGGAAGCTGTAAAAAGAACTGCCCATTTAATTAGTTGGATGCCCACATAATACATCTTCAGACAGAAAATGGAAGAACCTTGTTGATGCCAGGAAACAAATACACCACCATTGCCAACCAACACCAGCTTCTCTGCTTTGGGAAGAGGGACAAAAAATGCGGCAGAAAAAAATTATTTGTATGTATGTAACTGTATGCACACACATATACACACTGATGTGTATGCACATGTGTATATATGTACAAATAAATGTATGTATACACAGTTATGTGTCACTTAACAAGAGGGATATGTTAAGAGAAATGCATCATTTTCATCATTGTGAGAAGATCACAGATAAGAGTGTACCTCCAAAAACCTAGATGGTACAGCCTACACACCCAGGTTATATGGTATATAGCCTATTGCTCCTAGGCTACACACCTATGCACATGTGACTCTACTGAATTCTGTAGGCAATTGTAAAACAATGGTATTTGTTTAGGCTATCTAAACAGAAAAAGTACAGTAACAATACAGCATAAAAGATTTAAAACCAGTACACTTGTATTGGGCACTTAACATGAATGGAGCTTGTGGGAGTAGAAGTTGCTCTGGGTGAGTCAGTGTGTGAGTGAATGGAAGGCCTGGGACATTCCTGTACACTACCATAGACTTTATAAACACTGTACCTGTACAATTAGGCGACACTAAATTCATAAAAAATATTTTTTCTTCGATAATAAATTAACCTTAGCTTACTGTAACTTTATTTTGTAAAACTTTGACTCTTTTGTAATAACAGCTTAAAACACAAACACAGTATAAAGCTGTATAAAAATATTTGCTTTCTTTATATCCTTATTAAATAAGCTTTCTTCTTTAAAAAAAATTTCTTTTGAGACAGGGTCTTGTTCTCTCACCCAGACTGGAATACAGTGGCTTGAACAAAGCTCACTACAGCCTCAACCTCCTGGGCTCAAGGGATCCTCCTGCCTCAGCATCCTATGTAGCTGGGACCACAGGTATGTGCCACAATACCCAGCTAATCTGCTTTATTTTTTTGTAGAGATGGGGTCTCACTTTGTTCCCCAAGCTGGTCTTAAATTCTTGGGCTCAAGCAATCCTCTTGCCTTAGCCTCCCCAAGTGCTGGGATTACAGGCATTGAAATACCATGCCCGGCTTTACTTTTTACTTTTTAAACTTTTTTATTAAAAATGAAGACACATACCTAATGCTAAATGACGAGTTAATGGGTGCAGTACACCAACATGGCACATGTATACATATGTAACAAACCTGCACATTGTGCACATGTACCCTAAAACTTAAAGTATAATAATAATAATAAAATAAAAAAAAATGAAGACACAAACACACACATTAGCCTAGGCCTAGAAAGGGTCAAGATCATTAATATCACTGTCTTCCACCTCCACATCTTGTCCCATTGGAAGTTCTTCAGGGGTCATAATATGCATGGAGCTGTCATCTCCTACAACAATGCCTTCTTCTGGAAAACCTCCCGAAGGACATCCTGAGGCTATTTTACAGTTAACTTTATTTTTTTTAAATAAGTAATAGTATACTCTAAACCAGGTCAGGCACAGTGGCTCACACTTGTAATCCCAGTGCTTTGGGAGGCCAAGGCAGGAGGATTGCTTGAGGTCGGGAGTTCAAGACCAGCCTGGGCAACATGAGACCCCACCCCTACAAAAAAATTTCTGGAAATTAGCCAGGCACTGTGGTGCATGCCTATAGTCCTAGCTACTTGAGAGGCTGTAGTGGGAAGATTGCTTGAGCCCAGGAGTTTGAGGTTATGGTGAGCTATGATCACATCATTGCACTCCGGCCTGGGCAACAGAGCGAGACCTTGTCTCTAATAAAATAATAATAAAACAATTAAAAGTACAGTGAACACATAAACTAGTAACAGTTTATATCATTATCAAGCATTATGTACTGTACGTAATTGTATGTGCTATACTTTTATGACTTGCAGTGCAATAGGTTTGTTTACACCAGCATCACCATATGAGTTATCTTTTGTAACATTACAATGTTACAAAAGATAAGATGTCACTAGGTGATAGGACTTTTCCAGCTCCATTATACTCTTATGGGACCACCATAGTATAAGCAGTCCATCATTGACCAAAACATTGTTATGCAGCACATAACAATGAATATATATGAATATATATTCATTCACTGGGTTGGACAGAAACTTGATTAGTTCTCCAGGCCATAGGGACTCAGACTCACCTCAAATTTTGCTGCAATCATAAAGGCAGTGGCACCAAGGAGTTGTAACTTATCCTTCTTGCATACTGCCTTCATTAGGTAGAGATCCACCAGCTTCACTGCCAAGTACAGGGTCTCATGGGTCATCTCAAAGGACACCTGGAGGAACACACACACGACACAGATCTGCATATTGTCCAGCTCCAAAGTCGCCTCCAGACAGATCTAGCTACCTGGAGTATCTGCAACATCAAGAACAGTCCTGACTAGCTGGGACTCTGCTACGAATACAGAAACTGCTTCAGCTAGGTTCCTGTGTATATCTCCTGTGCCTTTGAGGACACTGGCATTATCTATCCTTACACATTTGGGTAGTTGACCAGCCTTACAAATCAGAGAGAAATGCTCTGCCTTCTCTATGAGAGCCTTGAGTGGACACATCCTCTCCCTTTGATCTCTAATACTTAGGTTCTTGCTTTCTCCATTTGCTGCCAACTTGTACAGTGACCTCCCAAAGGAGATGTTTATTTAGCTCTGAAATATGGAGTTTATTCATGTACTACTTTCTCTTCCCAACTAGATATGCTATCAGAATATATCAATTGGGAGCAGACACCAATAGCACAATTTGGAAGTGAGCTAAGGGACTGGAGAAGCCAGACTGGGATTAAAGTATTAATAATATAACCTCCTTCCCTTCTTTTTCTTTTCTGATTTCATTTGGGTTCTCTCTCATTTTTTTCTTAGTCTAGCTTATGGCTTGTCAATTTTATTTATCTTTTCAAAAAAATCAACGTTTTGTTTATCTTTTGTATTTTTTTTTTTTAGTCTCTATTTCATTTATTCTTGCCATCGTCTTTATTATTTCTTTCCTTCTACTAATTTTGGGTTAAAGCAGTTCTTGCTTTTCCAGTTCCTTAAGGTGCTTTGTTAGATTGTTTGATATTTGTCTACCTTTGTAAAGTTATTTATTTTTAAATTTTTACTTATTTATTTATTTATTTATTTATTTATTTATTTATTTATTTATTGAGACGGAGTTTCGCTCTGTCTCCCAGGCTGGAGTGCAGTGGTGCGATCTCGGCTCACTGCAAGCTCCGCCTCCCGGGTTCACGCCATTCTCCTGCCTCAGCCTCCCGGGTAGCCGGGACTACAGGCATCCGCCACCACGCCCGGCTAATTTTTTGTATTTTTAGTAGAGACGGGGGTTTCATCGTGTTAACCAGGATGGTCTCGATCTCCTGACCTCATGATCCACCTGCCTTGGCCTCCCAAAGTGCTGGGATTATAGGTGTGAGCCACCACGCCTGGCTGATCTTTGTCTACTTTTTAAATAAAATTTTGCTATAAATTTTCCTCTTAGTACCACTTTTGTTTTATCCCATAGGTTTTCGTATGTTGTATTTCTATTTTCATTTGTTTCAAGAATTTGATTTCCTTAATTTCATTGACCCATTTGTCATTCAGGGGCACGTTGTTTAATGTCCATGTATTTGTACAGTTTTCCAACTTCCTCCTGCTATTGATTTCTAGTTTCTTTTTCTTATGTATCCTTGTCTTGCCTTCACCAACTCCAAGAAACCATCTCCTATAGCCCTAGTCCCATGGTTTGTGCTGGCCCCTGCAGTACCTTTCTGCAAATTAGAAAAAAAGTGTCTTCTTTGGGTGAATGCAGCCCTTCAAGCCTACATCTTATCAAGTAGATAATACCTTTATATGAATTAGCCAAAGGTTACTCCTGCCTCAGGGCACAGCAGCCCCACAGCCAGAATGCACAGCTTGGCAAACAAAGTGTGAGCTAGATTCTATTGGTGGTTTCAGCCTTGGCTAGAGACCTTGTGTAGGCATAATTTGCACATCTATACACAAGAGTCCCATCCAATCTTCAGTGATGCTTCTTCCTCACAACCTCTTGGGTTCTTAGGATTCGAGAATAAAATCTGTCCTTATCCAACAACTCAACCAATGCATGAATGTTCTCTTTAACATCTCCACCAAGTAGTTGTTTAGATCCTGCCATACAAACCTCTAAATACAGCCCAATCTCTTTTTGAATGGCTTTAACAGAAAATTCTCCCTTATATTGAGTGACATTACCCTCCCTGTAAGTTTCACTTAAGTGGACCTCCCCTTGTATAGGTTACTCTTAATGACTGGTACCTAGATGATCCAAAAAGTATGTCAATGAGAAGCACTGGAGAAATTGATGTGTATTTTCATGGATGAATGATTATCCGAAGATGGTCAAATATAATGGTTCAGCAATACACATATTAAATTTCTGAATAACAGAAATACCAAGAAACAGTTCTTACTGTTTCTGGAATATGGCCTTGGATCTACTCAGAAACCTGTTCTGTGTTAGTTTCCTATTGGTGCCTGATATAGTTTGGATGTTGTCCCCTCTATATCTCATGTTGAATTGTAATCCCCAATGTGGGATGTGGGGCCTGGTGAGGTGTGTTTGGGTCATGGGGATGGAGCCTGCATGGCTTGGTGCTGTTCTGGCAATAGTGAGTTCTTGTGAGATCTGGTTGTCTAAAAGTGTGTGGCACCTTACCCCACCCCCTTGCCCCTGCTTTTGCCATGTGACATCCTGCTCTTGCTTTGCTTTCTGCCAAAAGTACAAGCTCCCTGAAGGGGCCTCCTCAGAAGCCAAGCAGATAGCAGTGCCATGCTTATATATCCTACAGATCTGTGAATCAAACCTCTATTTTTTCTTTTTTGAGAGACAGGATCTCGCTATGTTTACCAGGTTGATCTCAAACTCCTGGCCCCAAGCAATCCTCCCAAAGTGCTGGGATTACAGGCATGAGCCATCATACCTAGCCAAGCCTCTGCAAAAGAAAAATAAATCTTGGGACCCCAAAATCACTAAGCTAAAGAGAAAAGTCAAGGTGAGAACTGCTTAAGGCAAGTCTGCCTTTCATTCTATTCAGTCATCCCTCTGCTCAATGAGATAAATGCATATCTGATCGGTTCCTTTGGTAAGGCTAATCAGAAACTCGAAAGAATGCAACGATTTGTCTCTTATCTACCTATGACCTGGAAGCCCCCTCCCCACTTCGAGTTGTCCCATCTTTCCAGAGTGAACCAGTGTACATCTTACATATATTGACTAATGTCTCATTTCTCCCCAAAATGCATAAAACCAAGCTATGCCCTGACTACCTTGGGCACATGTCATCAGGACTTCCTGAGGCTGTGTCATGGAAGCAAAATAAACTTTCTAAATTGACTGAGACCTGTCTCAGATATTTTGGATTAACACCTCTTTTTAGAATAAATTACCCAGTCTCAGGTATTTCTTTGCAGCAGTGCAAAAATTGCCTAACACAGAAAATTGGTATCAAAGAGTGGGGCATTGCTATAAAGATACCTGAAAATATGGAAGCAACTTTGGAACTGGGAAATGGGCAGAGGATAGAAACATTTGGAGGGCTCAGAAGAAGAGAGGAAGATGAGGGAAAGTTTGAAACTTCTTAGAGACAGGTCAAATGGCTGTAACCAAAATGCTGATACTGACATGGACAGTGAAGTCCAGGCTAAAGAGGCCTCAGATGGAAATGAAAAATTTATTAGAAACTACAGCAAAAGTCACCCTTGTTATATGCCTTAGCAAAGAACTTGGCTATATTGTTAAGGGAGGAGACCACCCCTCATATTGTCTTGTGACCAATTTCTGCCTCAAAGAAAAAGTAGGAGTTAAAGAAAAGACAGAAGTGAAATCAGTAGTCAGACAGCCTGGCGCTGCATTCCAGGCCTGGTAGTTAAAAATTGACCCCTGACCTAACTGGTTATGTTATCTATAGATACCAGACATTGTATGGAAAAGCACTGTGAAAATCCCTGTCCTGTTCTGTTCCATTCTGATTACCAGTGCATGCAGCCCCCAGTCACATACCCACTGCTTGCTCAATCGATCATGTCCCTCTCACATGGACCCCCTTAGAATTGTAAGCCCTTAAAAGGGATAGGAATTGCTCACTCAGGGAGCTCGGTTTTTGGAGACATGAGTCCACCAATGCTCCCAGCTGAATAAAGCTGTTTCCTTCCACAACTCGGTGTCTGAGAGGTTCTTGTCTGCAGCTCATCCTGCTACATTTCTTGGTTCCCTGACTGGGAAGTGAGGTGATTAATGGACGGTCAAGGCAGCCCCTTAGGCGGCTTAGGCCTGCCCTGTGGAGCATCCCTGTGGGGGACTCCAGCCAGCTTGAGCAACGTGGATCCTGAGAGCGCTCCCGGGTAGGCAATTGCCCCAGTGGAACGCCTCACCAGAGCAGTGCATGGCAGGTGCCTGTGGAGGATCAATGCAGTGGCTGAACACCAGGAAGGAACTGGTACTTGGAGTCTGGACATCTGGAACTTGTTAAGACTGGTCTTTGGAACTTACCCCTCCATTTGAGTGGAAGCGTGGCCTAATCACCCATGACGTGCCTGCACTGGCACTTTGGTTTTTGTTTTTGACTTGACTTGGATTACTTGATACTTTGGTTTTGTTTCTGACCTGGCTGGGATTTCTTGATACTCTGATTTTGGTTTTGATTCTGGTTTGGTATAAACTGTAAAAGTGTGTGTGTGCCCTCTTTACCCATTCTGTTTTGTGGTGTGCGTGTGGTGTGAGCATGGTGTTTTGTCTCAAGGAAACATAGGTCAGGCACAAAGTAAGCCCACCTCACTAGGAACTATGTTGAAAAATTTCAAAAAGGGATTTAAGGGAGACTATGGAGTTACTATGACACCAGGAAAACTTAGAACTTTGTGTGAGATAGACTGGCCAGCATTAGAGGTGGGTTGGCCATCAGAAGGAAGCCTGGACAGGTCCCTTGTCTCGAAGGTATGGCACAGGGGAACCTGTAAGCCAGGGCACCCAGATCAGTTCCCGTATATAGATTCTTGGTTACAGCTAGTTTTGGATCCCCCACAGTGGTTAAGAGGACAGGCAGCAGCAGTACTAGTAGCAAAGGGACAGTTAGTTAAGGAAGGCTGTCACTCCACCCACCGAGGGAAGTCGGCACCAAAAGTCCTGTCCGAGCCAACACCGGAAGAATCATGGCAGGAATTGGTACCAGCAGTGCCTCCTCCTTATCGAGAGGAAGGGCTCCCCATTCCTGAGCCCACAGCACCTCCACTTCCACCAGATATCCATACTCCTAGACCACCCAGAGTAGACAAAAGAAGAAGTGAAGCCATGGGAGAAACTCCTCCCTTGGCAGCTCACTTACGGCCCAAGACTGAAATCCAAATGCCCGTGAGAGAACAGCAATATACTGGGGTAGATGAGGACAGACACATGGTGAAAAGGCAGCCTTTGTGTATCAACCTTTCACCTCTGCTGACCTCAATTGGAAAAATAATACTCCAACTTACACCGAAAAGCCTCAAGCTTTAATTGACTTGCTCCAAACTATTATACAGACTCATAATCCTACTTGGGCTGATTGCCACCAGCTGCTCATGTACCTCTTTAATACAGATGAAAGGTGAAGGGTGCTCCAGGCGGCAACTAAGTGGCTAGAGGAGCACGTCCTAGCCAATTACCAAAACCCTCAAGAATATAGAAGAATTCAGCTGCCAGGAACAGGCCACCAGTGGGACCTGAACAAGGGGCCAGACATGGAGAGGCTAAGACAGTACCATGCGGCATGGATAGAAGGTCTAAAGAAAGAGGCTCAAAAGGATACAAATGTAAATAAGGTCTCTGAGGTCATCCAAGGAAAAGAGGAGAGTCCAGCGCAATTCTATGAACGACTGTGTGAGGCTTACCGTATGTACACTCCTTTTGATCCAGATAGTCCTGAAAATCAGAGAATGATTAATATGGCCTTAGTCAAAGTGTGGAAGATATCAGGAGAAAATTGCAGAAACAGGCTGGGTTTGCAGGTATGAATACCTCGCAGTTACTGGAAATAACCAATCAAGTGTTTGTGAATAGAGATGCAACAAGCCCCAGAGAAAGCCGTAAGGAAGGCGAACGCCAGGCCAGGTGAAACACCGACTTACTGGCTGCGGCCATTAGGGGAATTCCCCCAAAAGGACAGGGAAAGGGGGGTTCCAGGAAGAATACCCAATCTAATCGCCCATGCTGCAATGTAACCAATGCGCCTATTGTAAGGAAATAGGACATTGGAAAGATAAGTGTCCCCAACTGAAGGAAAAGCAAGGTGATTCGGAGCAAAAGACCTCAGAAAAAGACAAGGGAGCTTTGTTCAATCTGGCTGAAGGGCAATTAGACTGAAGGGGACCCGGCTCAAGCGCCCCCAAGGAGCCCACGGTCAGGATTACAATTGGGGGCAAGGACATTAAGTTTGTGGTCGATACTGGTACTGAACATTCAGTAGTGACCACCCTGGTCACCCCCTTATCCAAGGAAACCATTGATATAATCAGAGCAACAGGAGTTTCCACTAAGCAGGCTTTCTGTCTACCATGGACCTTCTCAGTGGGGGGACATGAAATAGTTCACCAGTTCTTGTATATGCCTGACTGTCCCTTGCCTTTGCTGGGAAGAGACTTGCTTAGCAAGCTGAGAGCCACCATCTCCTTTACAAAACAGGGCTCTTTACAGCTAAACTTACCAGAAACAGGAGTTATCATGGCTCTTATGGTCACCAGGGAAAAAGAATGGAGACTTTTTCTGACCGAGCCAGGCCAAGAGATAAAACCAGCTCTAGCTAAGCGATGGCCCCGAATATGGGCGGATGATAATCCTCCGGGACTGGTGGTCAACCAAGACCCTGTACTCATAGAAGTTAAGCCTGGGGCCCAGCCAATTAGACAAAAGCAGTATCCGGTTCCCAGAGAAGCTCTCGAAGGAATCCAGGTTCATCTCAGGCACTTGAAAGCCTTTGGAATTATAGTTCCTTGCCAGTCTCCATGGAACCTCCCCTTCCTCCCTGTCCCTAAGCCAGGGACCAAGGACTACCAGCCAGTACAGGACTTGTGCTTGGTCAACCAAGCTACAGTGACTCTGCACCCAACAGTTCCTAACCTTTACACATTGTTAGGGCTGCTGCAGGCTGAGGACAGCTGGTTTACCTGTCTGGACTTAAAAGATGCCTTCTTTAGCATCAGACTAGCTCCTGAAAGCCAGAAGCTGTTTGCCTTTCAGTGGGAAGATCCGGAGTCAGGTGTCACTACTCAGTACCCTTGGACCCAGCTTCCCCAAGGATTCAAGAACTCCCTTACTATCTTCGGGGAGGCCCTGGCTTGAGACCTGCAAAAGTTTCCTGCTAAAGACCTAGGCTTGCTCCAGTACACGGACGACCTTCTGCTGGGACACTCCACAGCAGTCGGGTGCACAAAAGGGACGGATGCCCTGCTTTGGCACCTGGAGGACTGTGGGTATAAGGTGTCCAAGAAGAAAGCTCAGATCTGCAGACAGCAGGTACACTACCTGGGATTCACTATTCAGAAAGGGGAGCGCAGCCTGGAGTCAGAAAGAAAGCAGGTCATCTGCAGCCTACCGGAACCTAAAACCAGAAGGCAAGTAAGGGAATTCCTAGGAGCTGTGGGGTTCTGCAGATTATGGATTCCAAACTTTGCAGTGCTAGCCAAACCTTTGTACAGGGTTACAGAGGAGGCGACTGGGAGCCTTTTGAATGGGGGCCTCTACAACAGCAAGCCTTTTGTAAGTTAAAGGAAAAACTTATGTCGGCCCCCAGTCCCAGGACTACCAGATTTGACAAAGCCCTTTACACTCTATGTGTCAGAAAGAGAAAAAATGGCAGTTGGAGTTTTAACCCAGACTGTGGGGCCCTGGCCAAGGCCAGTGGTCTATCTCTCAAAACAACTAGATGGGGTTTCCAAAGTCTGGCCACCATGTCTAAGGGCCCTGGCAGCAACAGCCCTGTTAGCACAAGAAGCAGATAAACTAACCCTTGGGCAAAACCTGAATATAAAGGCCCCCCATGCTGTGGTAACTTTGATGAAAACCAAAGGACATCATTGGCTAACAAATGCTAGATTAACAAAGTACCAAAGCTTGCTGTGTGAAAATCCCCACATAACCACTGAAGTCTGTAACACCCTAAATCCCGCCACCCTGCTCCTAGTATCAGAGAGCCTGGTAGAGCATAACTGTGTAGAGGTGTTGGACTCAGTTTATTCTAGCAGACCTGACCTTTGGGACCAGCCATGGGCATCAGTAGACTGGGAGTTATACATGGACGGGAGCAGCTTCATCAACCCACAAGGAGAAAGATGTGCAGGATATGTGATGGTAACTTTGGATGCTGTCATTGAAGCCAAACCATTGCCACAGGGCACTTCAGCCCAGAAGGCTGAGCTCATTGCTTTAACTCGGGCTCTAGAACTCAGTGAAGGTAAGACTGTAAACATCTACATTGACTCTCGATATGCCTTTCTAACCCTCCAAGTGCATGGAACATTATATAAGGAGAAGGGTCTGCTAAACTCTGGGGGAAAGGACATAAAATATCAACAAGAAATTCTACAATTACTAGAGGCAGTGTGGAAACCTCAGAAGGTGGCAGTCATGCACTGCAGGGGACACCAGCGAGCCTCCATCTCAGTGGCCTTAGGAAGCTCTCGAGCTGATTCAGAAGCTTGAAAAGCAGCATCTACCCCTTACCAGGCATTGGTAGCAGCCCCCTTACTCCCTCAAACATCTGACCTGGTACCTACCTATTCTAAGGAAGAAAAAGACTTCTTCCATGCAGAAGGGGGGTAAGTAATAAAAGGAGGATGGATCAGACTGCCAGATGGGAGAGTAGCTGTGCCACAGTTGCTGGGAGCCACAATTGTATTGGCCATGCACGAAACCACTCATCCAGGTCAAGAGTCACTTGAAAAATTGTTGGGCCGGTACTTCTACATCTCACAGTTGCCAGCACTTGCCAAAGCCGTAACACAACAACAGTGTGTTACTTGCCAACAGCACAATGCGAGGCAAGGCCCCACTGTTCCACCCAGCATACAAGCTTATGGAGCGGCTCCTTTTGAGGATCTTCAGGTGGATTTCACAGAAATGCCAAAATGTGGAGGTAATAGGTACTTGCTGGTTCGTGTGTGTACTTACTCTGGATGGGTGGAGGCTTATCCAACACGAACTGAAAAGGCCTACGAGGTAACCCGTGTGCTTCTCTGAGATCTTATTCCTAGGTTTGGACTGCCCTTATGAATCGGCTCGGATAATGGGCCAGCATTTGTGGCTGACTTGGTACAGAAGACAGCAAAGGCATTAGAAATCACTTGGAAGCTACATGCCGCCTACCGACCTCAGAGTTCCGGAAAGGTGGAGCGAATGAATCGGACTATCAAAAATAGTTTAGGGAAAGTATGTCAGGAAACAGGATTAAAGTGGATACAGGCCCTTCCTATGGTATTGTTTAAAATTAGATGTACTCCTTCTAAGAAAACAGGATACTCCCCTTATGAAATACTGTATCATAGGCCTCCTCCTATACTACGGGGGGGCTTCCAGGCACTCCCTGAGAGTTAGGTGAAATTGAATTACAGCGACAGCTACAGGCTTTAGGAAAAATTACACAAACTATTTCAACTTGGGTAAATGAGAAATGTCCCATCAGCTTATTCTCCCCAGTTCACCCTTTCTCTCCAGGTGACCACGTGTGGATGAAGGATTGGAATGTAGCCCCTTTGCGGCCACAGTGGAAAGGACCTCAGACCGTCATCCTGACCACCCCCAAGGCTGTAAAGGTAGAAGGAATCCCAGCCTGGATCCACCACAGCCAATGAAATCTGGGAGGCGAAACCAAGCCTGGACAACCCCTGCAAAGTGACTCTGAGGACGACAAGCCCTGCTCCAGTCACACCCGGAAGCTGACTGGTCTACGCACAGCCGAAGCATGAGGAGGATCATCGTGGGACTCATTTTCCTTATAATTTGGACTTGTATAGTAAAAACCTCCACTGATTTTCCCCACATTGAGGACTGCTGTCAGTGTATACATCAGGTTACCGAGGTAGGGCAACAAGTTAAAACAATCTTTCTGTTCTATAGTTACTATGAATGCCTAGGAACTTTAAAAGGAACATGTTTATATAATGACACTCAGTACAAGGTATGTAGCCCAGGAAACAACCAGCCAGATGTGTGTTATGACCCCTCTAAGCCTCCCATGTCCACAGTTTTTGAAATAAGATTAAGGACTGAAGACAGGTGGGGACTCGTAAATGATATAAGTAAAGTATTAGCCAAAACAGAAGAAAAAGGGTGCCCAAATGCATAATCTTGAAATTTGATGCCTGTGCTGTCATTAATAGCAATAAGTTAGGAAGGGGATGTGGCTCTTTTGATTGGGAAAAAGGCTATATGACTGAAAATAAGTACATTTGTCATGAATTAGGACTGTGTGTAAATGAATGTGGATACTGGTCTTGTGTCATTTGGGCCACTTGGATAAAAAAATGAAAAGGATCCAGTCCACCTTCAGAAAGGAAAAAGTGGCTCTTCCTGTACTAAGGGACAATGTAACCCCTTAGAGCTGGTAATAACCAATCCCCTTGATTCTCGCTGGAAAAAAGGGGAGCGTGTGGCCTTAGGAATCAGTGGGGCCAGACTGAATCCTCGAGTAAATATCTTAGTTCGAGGAGAAGTTTACAAACGCTCTCCTGAGCCAATGTTTCAAACTTTCTATGATGAACTACATGTGCCAGTACCAGAAATTCCAGGAAAAACAAGAAATTTGTTTTTGCAATTAGCCGAGCATGTAGCCCAGTCTCTCAATGTCACTTCATGTTATGTATGTGGAGGAATTGTAATGGGAGACCAATGGCCATGGCAAGCCTGAGAATTAGTACCTACAGACCCAGTTCCTGATTAATTCCCGGCTCAGAAGAATCACCCTGATAATTTCTGCATCCTAAAAGCCTCAATTATTGGACAATATTGCATAGCTAGAGAGGGAAAAGAATTCACTCACCCCGTAGGATGACTTAGTTGTCTGGGACAGAAACTGTATAATGGTACCACAAAAACAGTCACTTGGTGGAGTTCAAATCACACAGAAAGGAATACATTTAGTAAATTCCCAAAGTTGCAAACCGTGTGGATCCACCTGGAGTCCCACCGGGACTGGACGGCGCCCACTGGATTTTACTGGATATGTGGGCATAGAGCTTATGCCAAATTACCCAACCAGTGGGCAGGTAGTTGTGTTATTGGCATTATTAAACCATCTTTCTTCCTACTGCCCATAAAAACAGGCAAACTCCCGGGCTGCCCTCTGTCCATGCTTCCCGCAAAAAGAGAAGCATAGCTATAGGAAATTAGAAAGATGATGAATGGTCCCGAGAGAATCATACAATATTATGGGCCTGCTACGTGGGCACAAGATGACTTGTGGGGATACCGGACCCCCATTTACATGTTCAACCAAATCATATAGTTACAAGCTGTCTTAGAAATAATCACTAATAAAACCAACAGAGCCTTGACTATTCTGGCCTGGCAAGAAACTCAGATAAGAAATGCTATCTATCAAAAGAGATTGGCTCTCAACTACTTGCTAGCAGCTGAAGGAGAGGTCTATAGGAAATTTAACCTTACTAATTGCTGTCTACACATAGATGATCAAGGGCAAGTAGTTGAAGACATAGAGATATGACAAAACTGGCACATATGCCCATGCAAGTGTGGCATGGATTTGATCTTGGGGCCATGTTTGGAAAATGGTTCCCAGACCTAGGAGGATTTAAAACTCTTATAATAGGAGTTATAATAGTAATAGGAACCTGCTTACTACTCCCTGTACTTCTTCAAGTGATAAAAAGCTTCATCGCTACCTTAGTTCACCAAAATGCTTCAGCACAAGTGTTCTATATGAATCACTATCGATCTGTCTTGCAAGAAGACGTAGGTAGTGAGGAAGAAAGTGAGAACTCCCACTAATGAGTGAGGTTCTCAAAGGGGTGGGTAGTAAGGGAGGAGACTACCCCTCATATTGTCTTATGACCAATTTCTGCCTCAAAGGAAAAGTAGGAGTTAAAGGCAGAAGTGAAATCAGTAGTCAGACAGTCTGGCGCTGCATTCCAGGCCTGGTAGTTAAAAATTGACCCCTGACCTAAACGGTTATATTATCTATAGATACCAGACATTGTATGGAAAAGCACTGTGAAAATCCCTGTCCTGTTCCGTTCCATTCTGATTACTGGTGTATGCAGCCCCAAGTCATGTACCCACTGCTTGCTCAATCGATCACGACCCTCTCATGCAGACCCCCTTAGAGTTGTAAGCCTTTAAAAGGGACAGGAATTGCTCACTCAGGGAGCTCGGTTTTTGGACACCTGAGTCCACTGATGCTCCCAGCTGAATAAAGCCCTTTCCTTCCACAACTCGGTGTCCGAGGGGTTCTTGTCTGCGACTCGTCCTGCTACATTGTGTCCATGCTCTAGGGATCTGTGGAAGTTTGAACCTAAAGTAACAACCTAGGATATCTGGCAGAATAAATTTCTAAGCAGAAAAGTGTTCAAGATGGGGCCTGCCTGCTTCTAAAAGCCTACACTCAGATGCAGGAGCAAATAAATCACTTAAAGTTGGGAGTTTATATTTAAAGAGGAAGCAGAGTGCAGAAGTTTGGAAAATGTGCAGCCTGGTCATGTGGTAGAAAAGAAAATACTGTTTTCAGGGAAAGAATCCAAGCAGGCTTAGGAACAACCACTGGCTAGAGAGATTTATATAACTAAAAAGGAGCCAAGTGCTAATAGCCAGGACAATGGGAAAAAGGCATTTAAAGCATTTCAGAGATATTCAAGGCAGCCCCTTCCATCACAGACCCAGAGGCCTAGGAGGGTGAGTGGGGGGCTGCTTCCATGTGCAGACTCAGGACACTGCTCCCCGCATCCCTGAAGCTCCAGCTGCAGTTCAAAGGGGCCCAAAGGGGCCCAGTTACTTAGGCCTGCTGCTCCAGAGGGTGCAAGCCATAAGCCCTGGCAGCTTCCATGTGGTGTTAAGTCTGTAGGCACACAGAGTGCAAGAGTGAAGGAGGCTTGGCACCCTCCACCTAGATTTCAGAGGATGTATGGAAAAACCTGGATGTCCAGGCTGAATCCTGCTGCAGGGGTGGAACCCCCACAGAGAACCTTTATGAGGGCAGTTTGGAAGGGAAATATGGGGTTGAACCCCCTCACTAGAGTCCCCACTCTGGAGTCCCACTAGGCAGTGGGATACTGCCTAGTGGAGCTATGGGAAGGGGGCCACCATCCTCCAGACCCCAGAATTGTAGAGCCATGGGCAGCTTGCATCCTGAGCCTAGAAAAGCCACAGGAACTCAACTCCAGCCCATGAGAGAAGCTACCGGGGCTGAACCCCATAAAGTCACAGGGGCAGAGCTGCCCAAAGCCTTAGGAGCCCACCCCTTGCAGCAGTGTGCCCTGCATGTGGAACACGGAGTCAAAGGAGATTGTTTTGGAGCTTCAAGATGTAATGACTTTAATACATTTAAGATTAAATGACACGGCTTGAGATTTAAACCCTACTGGGTTTCAGACTTATGTGGGGGCCTATAGCCCCTTTCGTTCATTCTCCCTTTTGGAATGGGAGTATTTACCCAATACCTGTACCTCCATTGTATCTTGGAAGTAAATAACTTGTTTTGATTTTATAGGTTCATAGGTAAAAGGAACTTGCCTTGTCTCAGATAAGACTTTGGACTTGATGCTGGAATGAGTTAAGATTTGGGGGGACTATTGGTAGGGGATGATTGTAATTTACAATGTGAGAAGAATGTGAAATTTGAGGGGCCAGGGGTGAAATGATATAGTTTGGATGTTGTCCCCTCTAAATTTCATGGTGAATTGTAATCCCCAGTGTTGGAGGTGGGGCCTGGTGGGAGGTGTTTGGGTCATGAGGACAGATCCCTCATGGCTTGGTGCTGTCCTCATCATAGTGAGTTCTTGCAAAATCTGGTTGTTTAAAAGTGTATGGCACTTCCCCCACTTGTTCCTGCTTTCGCCATGTGATGTGCTTCCTCCTGCTTCACCTTCTGCAATGAGTAAAAATCTCCATGAGGCCTCCCCAGAAGCTGAGCAGATGCCAGCATCATGCTTACACAGCCTGCAGAACTGTGAGCCAATTAAACTTCTTTTTTGTTTAAATACATTACCCGGTCTCAAGTATTTCTTTATAGCAATGTGACAATGATCTAACACAGTACTATAATAAATTACCACAAACATAATGCCTTACAACAACACCAATTCTTTATATTACAGATCTAGAGGCCAGAAGGCCAAAATGAGTCTCACTGGGTTAAAAATCAAGGTGTCATCAAGGCTGTGTTGCTTTCTGGAGGTTCTAGTAAAGAATCAATTTTCTTTTTTTTCTAGCTTCTAGAGGCAGCCTGCATTCCTTGTTTTGTGGGCCCTTCCACCTTCAAAGCCAGCAATAGCCAGCCAAGTTGTTCTCACATTGTATCACTCTCTGCCTCCCTTTTCTATATTTAAGTATCCTTGTGATTACATTGGGCCCACTTGGGTAATCGAGGATAATTGCATATCTTAAATTAAGCTGATAGCAACCTTAATTCCATCTGCTACCTTAATTCCCCTTTACTAGATAAGGTAACATATGTACAGGTTCTATGGATTAGAAAATGGACTTTTTCTTCTGCCTATCACACTGTCTAAAGGAATGTCAAGAGAAAGGGATGGGACGAGCTCATGCATGTGAAAAGTAATGACTACCACGTTAAGTATCAAGAAATTACAGTAAGGTGATTATGAAAAATAAAAAGAGGATAGGAATAGAAAGCAGCAGTTCTCTAAGGATAATGCCTCTGTGAGCAAATGCCATAGCTAGTGCTTGCATAGCCTCCTAGTACCTCACATAGGCACTTGGCCACTTATGCATGCATTCATGCGTGTTGGTATCAAGTGGTAACATCAAAGTGTGTGGATTATATCTGAATGAATGGTCGAAATCTAGAGTCAATAAATATTTAAAACACAAGCTGTGTCAGTTATAGCAATTCTCCTTCCTTGAATGTAAGATGATACCCTTCTAACATAATTCTACCACTTGGAAACACATAGAACAAGTCTAATCCTTCTTGTGACAGCCCTTTAACTACTGAAGATAGTTATTATGTCTCCTATAAATCTTTCCCATTCTAGAACAAATAACTTGACTTCCTCTAACTATTCTTCACATGATATGGTTTTCAGCCCTCTCAGCATCAGGCTCCAAACAAGGGTCTTTGTGCTGGTCAGAAAATAGGGGCAGTGCTCCAGGTAATTTAAAGCAGCTACAACAAATATGGACAAGAAGTCCCTCAGCACATTAGCAAGATTCTCTCCTTTCCTCACAAGTGCTTCTGGTTAGAACACTCTTCCAATTCTTCAGAAACAACTGCTTTCCCTGTCTAGAGATGGGTAAGAAGAAACAAAAGGAAAGTAACAAATAAATCAAAACTATAGAACATATAAAGAGTACTCGTAGTCTTGAACTAGGAGACAAATCTGATAAAATCTGCCTCAAATTCCAAAACTCAAAGATCACCTTCTACAAATACAAACAGAGAAAATCAACCAGATGTATGAAAAAAGAACAAGTAATTTTTAAAGGAGAAAAATCCTGAAGAATCAGAGTAAGTGTCTATTTATGCAATCTTTTTGCTCCAAAGAACTGAAATATACTTTTAAAGAGTACACCCTCAACAAGGTCTGAGAGGACACTGAATCTATGAAAAGACGACATTCTGGAATCCAGAAAGACTGATTTCTGATGAAAAAAAGAACTAATTTAAGCAATGTAACAGAGGCAGTGAACAGCATATTAGATACTGCCAAAACCAAATCAATTATTCCAAAGGCTATCTTAAGAAATTCTCCCAGAATTAAGAGATAAAAGAAAGTTGAAGATAATGAATAAAAACTTGAGGGAATAAATTCTGGAGACACACATACACACACGAAGAGAAAAGGAAGACGGGTAATAATGTCAAAAAATAAAAGATAAAAATTTATCTGAGTCAAAGAAATAATGAACTTTTAGACTGAAAGGACTCACAATATACCAGACAAAATTAAGGAAAACAGGCTCACATCTAGAAATGTCAAAAATAATTATCCATAGGGAAGACAATATATTACATATAATCTGGATCTAAAACCCTAGACTATTTTAACTAAAATCAGAAGAAGGAATGAACTAAAATATGCAAATTATCTCAGCTTACTTGAGGGGAAATTAACAGACCAGGTCTATCAAAAGAGTTGGTTAACAAAATAAACACTATATTCACATAAAAGGATATCATGCTGCAGTTTAAAAGAATGTCATAGATCTATACTTATATGGAAAGATGACTAAGACTTATTCCTAAAAATCAAGGTGCAAAGCAATGTGTACAGCATAACCTATTCATATTATTCATACAACAAAAATATCATATAACCCACACCCATTAAAAGCTATATTTCATGTATTGCTCATATAACTTAGGATTTTAAAAGAAAGGATAATAAAAAAAAAACTTTAAAAAAGTGATGAGACATATAATAAAGGATCTGTAAGGATACACCCTAAACAATTTATAGTTGTTACCCCACAGAGTTAGGAGAAAAGGGTTATTATGTACACACACACAAACACACACACACATATATATGAACATTTGCACATATACACAGTGAACAAATGTAAACCAGAAACAGCCAATCCTTCAGGATGGATCCTCAGTAGCTACCTGGGCCTAAATTTAAAATACAGTCAAGTGACCATTTGCTGACTAGAGGTCACATAGGTGCTCAGAGGTCTGTGGAAAACCCACACTTTTTAAATTTTGAGGTTTTCGGAGTTCACTTGCCTTGGCCAATCAGGGTTCAGCTGTACCAGCCAATGAAGGTTCCACTGTATCAACCAATCAGAACTCAGCTATGTATACCATCTACCAATCAGAACTAAGCAAGTTTGAATTTTTCATTTGCATAAATAGACCAGATTGGCAACCTTGGTGTGAACCTTTGCTGGAAAACCTAAACCCTTAATTTTTTTTCTCAGGAGCACACCTTTGTTTTACACTGAAGGCTGGTATCTCCTAGTTTGCAAACTGTTCACTGGAATAAAGTCTCTTTCCTCAAAATTCCTTTTTGGAATTTTTCAGTTAAAATATTGTATAAGTCAAGGAAGTTAAGGTAGGATGGCAGAGGTGAAGAAATGCCAGGAGAAATTAACTAAACAATAATATTTGTGGGTAGTTACCATACTGCTCTTAGGCTTTGATAAATTAGAAAAAATAAATTAGCATATAAATTATATAATTATTAAGCCAAAATTGATATAATGATCATTGTACCCTATAGAGAATACAGTTCTTCAGTGAATCATTTATACAAACTTATTATACCTGAAACCATGAAGAAAACCTTATTAACTTTAAGAAAGAAATTATCATTCAGGTCACATTTTCAATACACAATGAAATACCTCTAGAAATTTATAATAAAAGGATAAATCAAAGAAAAGGAAATATTTTTAAAATGTTAAGCACTAAAAAAACAACAAAAAACAGGGTCGAAGAGGAAATAAAAATTGCAACTGCAGATTATTGAGAAAAATCAAGATAGCTACAACACTATTTTTCAAAATTAATTGGATATACTCAGAACTATACTTAGAAGAAAATGTATAGCTTTGAATCTTTTGTTATGAAGTCAAGAATAATTAAAACAGACTAAGCATTCAATTCAAGCAGCCAGGGAAAACAACAAAATAAACCTTAGCAAAACAAGAATAAAATAAAAATAAAAGCAGATGTTAAATGAATTTTTAAAACAGAAAAGGTATATATTTACCCATGAGCTGGTTCTTTGAAAAGACAAAGAGGATTTTTAAAAAACTGCTTGTGAGGAAAATTGAAGAAAAGAATATGTAGATATGAATGCAAGCACATGTGAGGAAGATAACACATCACGCAATGAGTGAGAAAAGAAATCATTATAAAGGGTTATAAAATGATATTATGTACAATCTATGATAATAACAATATATCCAAGAAATGGATACATTTTTAGGAAAATATAAACTACAAGGCCAGGCACAGTGGCTCACACCTGTAATCCTGGCACTTTGGGAGGTCGAAGAGGGTGGATCATTTGAGGTTCAGGAGTTTGAGACAAGCCTGGCCAACATGGTGAAACCCCGCCTCTACTAAAAGTGCAAAAATTAGCCAGGCAGTAGTGGCGCACGCCTGTAATCCCAGCTACTCTGGAGGCTGAGGCAGGAGAATAGCTTGAGCCTGGGAGGCAGAGATTGCGGTGAGCCGAGATTGCGGTGAGCCAAGGTGGCGCCACTGCACTCCAGTCTGGGTGACAGAGTGAGACCCTGTCTCAAAACAAAACAAACAAACACAAAAAAGTAAAATATAAACTACAAAAATGACTCAAGAAGGGCAAGAAAACCTTACTAGGCCAATAGCCATTGTTATTATAAAAATTTCTCAAAGAATCACACACAAAAATGGCACTATATATTGATGGGTTCATGGACAAGTTCTTCAAGGAAAATACAATTCCTGTGTTAAATTTAGTACTGCCAGAAAATTTCCCTAATTATGTTAAAAAGCTAGAGTAATCCTTTATAAAGACCTTTATTAAATCTTTACCACACTTAATAATGACAGCATCCTTCAACAGAAACTTAAAAAGGAATCTGATTTATGAGCAAAGATGCAAAAATTGTAAATAAAGTATAAGCATATCAAGTGCAAGAGTAAATTAAATGAATCATGACTAACTTCAGCAAAGTAGATGAACATAAAATACATTAAAAAATCAACTGTTTCCCAATATACTAGTAATAAATTTTTTTTATTATACTTTAAGTTCTAGGGTACATGTGCACAACGTGCAAGTTTGTTACATATGTATACATGTGCCATGTTGGTGTGCTGCACCCATTAACTCATCATTTACATTAGGTATATCTCCTAATGCTATCCCTCCCCCCTCCCCCTACCCCACAACAGGCCCCAGTGTGTGATGTTCCCCTTCCTGTGTCCATGTGTTCTCATTGTTCAACTCCCACCTGAGTGAGAACATGCGGTGTTTGGTTTTTTGTCCTTGCGATAGTTTGCTGAGAACGATGGTTTCCAGCTTCATCCATGTCCCTACAAAGGACATGAACTCATCATTTTTTATGGCTGCATAGTATTCCATGGTGTATATGTGCCACATTTTCTTAATCCAGTCTATCATTGTTGGACATTTGGCTTGGTTCCAAGTCTTTGCTAATGTGAATAGTGCTGCAATAAACATACATGTGCATGTGTCTTTATAGCAGCATGATTTCTAATCCTTTGGGTGTATACCCAGTAATGGGATGGCTGGGTCAAATGGTATTTCTAGTTCTAGATCCCTGAGGAATCGCCACACTGTCTTCCACAATGGTTGAACCAGTTTACAGTCCTACCAACAGTGTAAAAGTGTTCCTATTTCTCCACATCCTCTCCAGCACCTGTTGTTTCCTGACTTTTTAATGATCGCCATTCTAACTGGTGTGAGATGGTATCTCATTGTGGTTTTGATTTGCATTTCTCTGATGGCCAGTGATGATGAGCATTTTTTCATGTGTTTTTTGGCTGCATAAATGTCTTCTTTTGAGAAGTGTCTGTTCATATCCTTTGCCCGCTTTTTGATGGGGTTGTTTTCTTCTTGTAAATTTGTTTGAGTTATTTGTAGATTCTGGATATTAGCCCTTTGTCAGATGAGTAGATTGCAAAAATTTTCTCCCATTCTATAGGTTTCCTGTTCACTCTGATGGTAGTTTCTTTTGCTGTGCAGAAGCTCTTTAGTTTAATTAGATCCCATTTGTCAATTTTTACTTTTGTTGCCATTGCTTTTGGTGTTTTAGACATGAAGTCCTTGCCCATGCCTATGTCCTGAATGGTATTGCCTAGGTTTTCTTCTAGAGTTTTTATGGTTTTAGGTCTAACATGTAAGTCTTTAATCCATCTTGAATTAATTTTTGTATAAGGTATAAGGAAGGGATCCAGTTTCAGCTTTCTACATATGGCTAGCCAGTTTTCTCAGCACCATTTATTAAATAGGGAATCCTTTCCCCATTGCTTGTTTTTGTCAGGTTTGTCAAAGATCAGATGGTGGTAGATGTGTGGTATTATTTCTGAGGGCTCTGTTCTGTTCCATTGGTCTATATCTCTGTTTTGGTACCAGTACCATGCTGTTTTGGTTACTGTGGCCTTGTAGTATAGTCTGAAGTCAGGTAGCATGATGCCTCCAGCTTTGTTCTTTTGGCTTATGATTGACTTGGCAATGTGGGCTCTTTTTTTGGTTCCATATGAACTTCTTTAAAGTTCATATGGAACCAAAAAAAAAAAACTAGCAATAAATTTTAAAAGGGAAAAAGGATAACACTCATAACATTTAAAAAATTCTCAATACTCAAGAAAAACATTTTTAAGTTAGTGAGACCAATATGAAGAAAATTTTTTAAAAATTGAAATTGTAAAAGACCTGGGAAGTAAATAGACACAACATAACTGGCTTAGTAAGTTCGACATTATAAAGTCTGTGAATTTTTCCTGAATTAATCCTAATGGGCTATTTTTGAAAACTCGACAAAATTATTCTACAGCTCACCTGGAAGAATTAATGTGCAAGAACAACCAGGAATATTTTATAAAAGATGAGTAAAGAGGCAATAAATGTATTACAAAGCCATAATAATATAATAATAAAACAGCATGCTACTGATGTTAGAGTAGACAAATAATATATAATAAAAACAGTATACTACTGATGTTAGAGTAGACAAATAGATCAATGGAAGAGAATTGGAAAGACTACAAACTGAAGTATTATGATAAAGGTGTCATTTCAAACCAGTGTATAATGAAAATAAATGGTGTTAGAATAACTGGATAATCATTGGAGAAAGTTGTTTAGATTCTGACACCCAATAGACTAAGGATTTAAAAGTAGAAATGAAACTATAAATATTCTAGAAAAAATTTTGTAGAAATAGTTATATAATTCTGGACTAATGACTTTCCTAAGCAAGAAACAAATCTTAAAGTTATAAGAACTGATAAACTTGACTACTTAAAATGCCAGTGCTTCTGTACAGCTAACTAAAATAACACATTAAAATTTTTCACTTATCAGATGGTAAAAAATATAACTTCTTTTGTTGATAAGATTATGGGAAAATAAGCATTTTCATTCAGTAATGGTAAAAGCATAAATGGTCATGACATTTCAGAAGGATAGCTGTCAACATGTACAAAAATTTTTCATGTGCATCTTTTGATCTAATAATCCTATTCCTAGTCATTTGGTCCGGAGAAACAATAGTAAAATTGTTAAAAAATGCACATTTATGTATATTCACTACAGGGTTATTTCAAAGAGCAATATTTGAAAATAACCTAAATGTCCATTAATAGCAGGATGGGTATGATAGAAGAGAAATACCATACTGCAAATAAAATGGATATAGAAATACATCAGTTTGACTGGAAAGATGATTGCAATCATATAACCATTGTTATATGAAGAAAAAGTCAGAAATAAATATAAAGAAGATATAATAATCCTAAATGTGTATGTTCCTAACAACAGAACTTCAAAAAACACAAAGCAAAAAATGACAAAACTTAGAAATAGACAAATCCACAATTATAGTTGAAGACTTCAGTACTCCTCTCTCAGTAACAGAATTATTACACAGAAAATCACCATGGATAATAAAGAAATTAAACCATAAGCAAGAAGAAAGAAAACTATTTTTTAAATAGTTATAAAATTATAAAAATTATAAAATTATAAAAATTAGAGCAGATATGAAGAATACTAAAAACAGAAAAATAAAGAAAAATGGATGAAACCAAAATCTGGCTCTTTGGAAAGATGAATAAAATTAATAAACCTCTAGCAAGACTGATAAACAAAACAAGAGAAGACACAAATTACCAGTATCAGGAATGAAAGAGGGAACACTATGAAAAACTCTATGCACATAAATTTGACAGCTTAGACGGAAGGGACCAACTCCTTGAAAACCACAAACTACCAAAAGTCACCCAATATGAAATAGATAACTTAAATAACCTTATAAATATTAAAGAAATGATATTCTTCACTGAAAACCTTTTGGGAAAAACTCTCCAGGCTCCAATGTTTTCGCTTGCAAATTCTACCAACATTTAAAGAAGAAATAACATCAATTCTACACATCCCTTCCAGAAAACAGAAGGGTTGGGGATAATTCCCAACTTATTTTACAAGATCACTATTATTCTGATACCAGAACAAAAAACAAACAAACAAAAAACCCAATCAGAACACTACAGACCAACATCCCGACATCCATCATAAACATAGATGTAAAAATCCTCAACAAAATATTAGCAAATCAAATCCAGCAATACCTAAAAAGAAAAATATACCAGGACAAAATGGGGTTTATCTCAGGAATATAAAAATAACGTTGCTCCCATTTTTGAAGATCAATTGATTTAACTTACTATATTAGGCTAAAACAAAAAAAAATCAATAGATGCAGGAAAAAAGCATTTGACAAAGTTCAACATTTATTCATGATAAAAAAATATATTACGCAGGATTAAACTAGAAATAGAAAGTAACTTTCTCAACCTGATCAAAGGTGTTTACAAAAATCCTACAGCTAAAATCACACTAATAGTTAAAGTCAATGCTTTCCTCCTAAGATCAGGAGTAAGGCAATGCTGTCCACTCTTACTGCATCTATATCAACATCATAATGGAAGTCTCAGGCAGTATAATAAAACATGAAAATAAAATAAAAAGCATGGAGATTAGAAAGGAAGAAATAAAACGGTCCCCATTTGCAGATGATTCAATTATCTATGTAGATAACCCCAAGAAATCTACAAAAAAAGAACTCCTGAGTTTTAGCAAAGTCACAGAATACAAGGTCAACACACAACTATCAACCATATTTCATACTGGCAATGTATAAATAGAAAGCTAAATTTAAAAAACATAATTTACAATAGCTTCAAGAGAAGAAAATATTTTTTATAAATCTAACAAAACATGTATAGGATCTATATGATGAGAAAAATAAATCAAAGAAAATTTAAATAAATGGAGAGACATACCATAGGTTGGAAGATTCAACATAGTAACGCGCCAATTCTATCTGAACTCACCTATAGATGTGTATTGGGGTTCCCTAAGACCACCTCAAGCACAATGATTTCCTAGGATGGCTCATAGGACTTAGCATATAGTCATACTCATGACTATGATTTATTTCAGTGAAAGGATACAAAGCAAAATCAGCAAAGGGATAAGAAGCATGGGGCAAAATCTGGAAAAAGCCACAAGCAAGCTTCCAAGAGTCCTGTCAGTAGTCACTTCAGGATGCACTTAATTCCTCTAGCAATGAGTTGTGACAACACATGGAAAGTGTTGTCTACCAGGGAAGCTTACTATCACTCAGTGCCCAAAATTTTATTGGGAACTGGTCAAGTAAACACTCTGTGCCTAGCATGTTCTGAAGTTCCAGACTCCCAAAAGGAAAGCAGGTGCTCAGCCTAAACCACACTGTTTGCATAAAGAGTTTAAGCACAGTAAGCCACAATTAACATTCGGGGAAGTTTTATATCAGTGTGGGGACTGCTTACCGGCCAAGTTTCCAGATTACCAGCCAAGGGCCAACCTTGCAAACAGACCTTTCTAGGGATAGCAGTATCAGGCCTATTATTTTAACTCTTTTCTGCACAAAATATATTTCAATTCCAATCAAACTCCTAGAAATATTTTTAAGATATAATCTGATTCTAAAATTTACATAGAAAGGCAAAGGAACTAGAATAGCTAAAACAGGTGTTTTTTGCTTTGTTGTTGTTGTTGTTGTTTTGAGATGGAGTCTCGCTCTATCGCCCAGGCTGGAGTGCAGTGGCCCGATCTTGGCTTACTGTAACTTCCGCCTCCCAGGTTCAAGCGATTCTCCTGCCTCAGCCTCCTGAGTAGCTGGGATTACAGGTGCCTGCCACCATGCCCGGCTAATTTTTGTATTTTTAGTAGAGACGGAGGTTTCACCACGTTGGTCAGGCTAGTCTCGAACTCCAGACCTCATGATCCACCCACCTCAGCCTCCCAAAGTGTTGGGATTACAGACATGAGCCACCATTCCTGGCCAGTTTTTTTTTTTTTTTTAAGAATAGAGTTGAAAATATCACAATACCCAGTTTTAAGACTAACTATAAAACTACAGAAATAAAGACAGTGTGATATTGGTGAAGGAAGAGACACAGAGATAAAGGAAACAGAATATTGGTATAGACCCACAGAAACTGTTTTTAGCAAGGTGCAAAAACAATTCCATGAAGAAAGTATAGTTTTTAATTCCCACACGTGGCATTAGAACAATTAGACACTCATATGCAAAAAAAGAACCTTGACCTAAATCTCACACCTTATACAAAAATTAACTAAAAATGGACTATAGATTTAATGTAACATGTAAAACTATAAACCTTTGAGATAAAATATAGGAAAGAAGTCGGGCACAGTGCCTCACGCCTGTAATCACAGCACTTTGGGAGGCTGAGGCAGGCGGATCACCTGAGGTCAGGAGTTTGAGACCAGCCTGGCCAACATGGTGAAACTTCATCTCTACTAAAAATACAAAAATTAGCCAGGCAGGGTGGCGGGCACCTGTAATTCCAGTTACTGGGAAGGCTGAGGCAGGAGAATTGCTTGAACCTGGGAGGCGGAGGTTGCAGTAAGCTGAGACCACACCATTGCACTCCAGCCTGGGCAACAAGAGCAAAACTCCATCTCATAAATAAATAAATAAATACATACATACATACATACATACATAAATTTAAATACACACACACACATACACATGAGAGAGAGAGACAGAATATTCCTGACCTAGGTTTAGGCAAAGAGTCCTTAGAAGTAAGTATAATCCATAAAGAAGGCATTGATAAACTGGACTTCATCAAAATTAAAAACTTTTGCTCTGGGAAAGACACTGGTAAGAGAAAGAAAAACTACAGACTGAGAGGATATATTTATAAATCACATATCCAACAAAGGATTTGTATCCAGAATACATAAAGAACTCTCGTAACTTGACACTAAGGAAACGAACTACCTATTTATAACTGGGCAAAAGACTTGAATAGACATTTCATCAAAGAGGATATATGCATGACAAGTATGGTTGTCAACATTATTAACCCTTAAGGAAATAAAAATTAAAACTATGAGGAGATTCCTCTATACACCTATTAGATGGTTAAAATAAAGTACTAACAAAACCAAGTGCTGACAAGAATGCAGAGCAACCAGAACTCTCATGCATTGGAGGTGAGAATGCAAGATGTACAGCCACTCTGTGGCAATTTCTAATTAAGTTAAACATACACTTACCATATGTCCCAATGATCCCACTCCTGTGTGCTGACATTAGAAATTAAAACATATCTTCACATAAAAACCTGTACATTAATGTACAGTTCTTTTCACAGTCATCAAAAACTGGAAACAAACTAAATACCCTTCCACAGGAGAATGGATAAACTGTGATATATCCGAACCATAGAATACCACTCAGCAATAAAAAGAATGAACTAATGATATCTGCAACAACTTGAATAAATCTTAAAGGCATCATACTGAATGAAAGAAGCCAGTCTCATAAGGTTACATATAACACAAACATTTATACAATATTCTTGAAAAGGCAAAGATAGAGAATAGATTAGTGGTTTCCAGGAGTTAGGGGTGGAAGGTGGGTGTGACTCTAAACGGATAACATAAGGAAGTTTTTATGGCGTAGTCAAACTGTTCTATTTCCTAATCATAGTGGCAGTTACACAAATCAATACATATGCTAAAAATTCACAGAACTGTCACACTCTTCAGTATTAATCCCAGAGAAATAAAAACTATATTCACAAAAAAGCTGTATGCAAATATTCATAGTAATTTTATCCTTAATAGCCAAAAACTAGTAACAACCCAAATGTCCTTCAATAGGTGAATGGTTAAACACACCGTGTGTATTAGTCCATTTTCATACATCTATGAAGAAATACCTGAGACTGGGTAATTTATAAAGAAAAGAGGTTTAACGAACTCACAGCTCCACATGGCTGTGGAGGCCTCACAATCATGGAAAAAGGTGAAGGAGGAACAAAGCCACATCTTACACGGAGGCAGGCAAGAGAGTGTGTGCAGGAGAACTGCCTTTTATAAAACCATCTGATCTCGTGAGACATATCCACTATGACAAGAACAATATGGGAAAAACTCACCCCCATGATGCACTTACCTCCCACTGCGTCCCTCCCACAACACGTGGGGATTATGGGAGCTATAATTCAAGATAAGATTTGGGTGTGGACATAGCCAAACCATATTACCGTGGTACATCTGTACCATGGAATACTACTTAGCAACAAAAAGGAATGAACTATTCATACACACAACTTGGATGGATCTCAAGGGAATTACGGTGAGTAGTAAACATCAAGCTCAAAAGGCTATACACTGTATGATTCCATTTATATAACATTCATGAAATGACAAAATTATAGAGATGGAAAACAAATAATTTGTCAGGGACAGGAAGGAGAGGGGAGGGAGATGGTTGTGGCTAACAAAAAGTGGCATGAGGGATCCTTGTGGCGATGGAACAGTTCTGTACCTTAACTGTGGTAGTGATTACAAAATGTACACGTGAACAAATAGACTAAATATTTATTTACAAATGTGATCAAATAGACTATACACACCCCCAAATGAGTGCATGTAAAACTGCTGAAATCTAAACAAGGTCTGTGGATTATAACAAAGTCCATTTCCTGACCATGACACTATACTATAGTTGTGCCAGATGTCATCTTCGGGATAAACTAGGGTGAAGGGTATACAGGCTCTCTTTGTCCTTTTTTTCAATTTCTTATGAATTGATTATTTCCAAACAAATGCTAAAATTTCATGGAACTTTATATCCAAAAAGTCATTATTGTTATTTGGTTATTTTAAAATAAAAAACCAAAGAGTTATAAAAGCACTACATATAACTAAGGTTATAAAAACAATATGGTATTTTCTAGAACTGAGATTCTCTTTCAAGGGGTATACATTGATATAACTTGTGGAGCTTTATAAAAATATGTGTGCCTGGGCCACATCCCCACAATTCTGATTGGATAAGTCTGGGATAGGACCTGGGCATCTGATTCTGAGATGCACCCCTAATGGATAACCACTGCTTAAGATGGGGGGATAATATATGCAAACAAATGAGAACAGCAGTTTGGGGTTGTGGGATCACAGGTAATTATAATTTCTTACTTTGCTATAATGTACATTTTTATGCAATAACAAAAACTTTAAATAAAAAATATTTAGTTCATCATTCCAGCTGGCAGAGATATTTTTTTCTCTGTAAGCCATTTATTTCCTATCCCTACTCCTAGTTTCCTGCCATCCAGGAATTTAATGAATACATCTTCTCTGTTCTCATTTACATTACTAATGAGAATGTTAAGCAGAACAAAGTCCAATGGCAGTCACTAGAAATTTCTTTCCAGCTTGGCAATGATAAGCAATCTTTGGGTTCTGTTTCACTTATTTAAGATCTACCCAAATTTTACTCTTACCTGATTTACTGTTCTCTACCATTTTCATAAGATGAGAGACATTTTCATGTTTTGCTGATGCTCAGATATACTGTGTCTACCACAATTCCTTGGTCTGTCACCCCAAAATGAGCCTGAACCACTCCTCTGATACTTAACAAAGGATATAAAACTATATTGTCTTTTCTTCCTAATTACATACTAAGACTGCTGAGCGTAGACTGACCATGCTGTATGTTTCCTTGCAAACTCCATAGCAATTCTTTCAATTCCATTCATTCAACAAATACTTACTGACCCCCTACTATATGCTATGTACTACTCTGGGCTCTCCTATCTTAGTATAAAATAATAATTAAGTATTCATAGCAGTATTCCCTCAATATCTCACCTTGGACAAACAGCTACCTGCCATGTCCTGTGCCACACTGTCCTTCCTATTATCCATTCCACTCAAAGTTTGAAAGACTTTGTCATCGACCCCAGTCCAAATCACTAGATATACTTTTACAAGACTTTAAGAATGATAAAACGACCATACCGTCACTGCCTTTTCTAGAAAGAGTCTCTCCTTTCAATTAGTTCTCACAGTATCTTATTTGAAACATTCTTAGAGCACTTAGTATATTCTACTTTGTATTACACTTATTTGTCTGCATATCTTATCTTGCCTCCTAAATCATGAGCTCCTTGAGGGCAGGAACCACAGCTTATTCAACTCTATAGACCCAGTACATTTTTACCATGTTTTTGGCCTGGCAGCCCTGAATGAGAAAGAGAACAGCAGCTCCTTAAGGCAGGAGTTGTCAGGCTTACCTGCACCTCCACCAACCAGTCCACAAGAATGGCCCTCATGTCACTGGTGATTTCAATCTGCCTGTTCATGTAATCTGTAAGTATAAACTGTTCCTGGCATTGATGAGAAAGAAATGTTAATAAATAAACTCTTCTTATAGTTCAACATTGTAACTTAACAATTAACTTCTCCCTCATAGTTCTAACTCCTTGTTTTCAACTGGTATTAGAGAGGGGCAGATCAAAGTATCCTTTTCCAGGCAAGTTGCAGTTATGCTTTGGGAAATAGACACGTGATATTCAAGTGTCAGAGTGGATATTGAAGAATCCAGGGGGAAATAAGGGCAGAAACACACCTACAGCTGTAGACAAATGCCAAAAAGGTTCTGCCCTTTCTTTGCAATTCAATCTAAAGCACAATACCATGCTATGTAGAGCAGTGCTTCTCAAACTTTAACATACATATGCACTACTTGGGGATCATGTAAAACTTCAGATTCTGATTTAGAAGGTCTGGGATGGGGCTAGGTTTCTGCATTTCTAACAAAATCTCAAGTGAAACTGATACTGCTGAACCAAGGCTCACACTTTTATTATAACAAAGATGTCCCTTACTTAGGTATGCCAGAAAAAGTGTGGGCTTTGGAATCAGTTAATCAATTGCACTCTCTCTATAAAGAGGATAGGTGGATCTGTAGGTGGGTTTCCATCCTCCCACCCTCTTATACATGACCTGCTAAAAATTCTGCTTGGTAGATAATCTTGGTCCCATCTGTTCTGTTGAGAGAGTTAGAAGAAACTTTGGAATTGATGAATATTAGTGGTAAAGGAGACTGGCAGATTTCAAAGGAGAAAGAAAACTTCACCAGGTTGGAGAGATGAAACAAAGAATACGATTTTGCCTACAATGCCAGAAACATGCACAGGGAAGGAAAAAGATCTCTAAGAACAGCCACTCAGAGACTACTTGACCATTTTTGTGTCTAAGACTGTCTTCTTAGCAATTAGATGTACAGGATTATGGTCTTCAAGGCAATCAGACTTTAGTTCATATCTCAGCTCTACCATGTACCACTTACATGACTCTGGGCAGTTTCCTCTATCTGTAAGAGGGAGATAATAATACCTACCATCATGAAGTTACTGAGAGAATTAAGATAATATCTACAAATCTGTTAGTACAATGTCCAACTCACAGTAAGCTACCAATATGTTAGTTGTTGCTATTATTATTTTTATCATCATTATTACCACCCCTTTCAACTTGCACACTGAAGGATGGAATGATGAAGAAATGAAAACTAGAAATCATTGCCCAACCCAAGCAACCTAAATACCTCTCTCTCTTTCATGTAACTGAAGATTTCCTTGGCATACATTGGGTTGAAACTTGGATCACTGCTGTCCTCATCAATATCTTCCCGTGGGGTTATCTGCTTAGAAATCACCAAAAAGACATATTATGAGAATTATTCCAAGGAAGACTTAGCACATACATATCAATGATTACTCCTTTCTCCCCACTGTCTTCTTCTGCTAAGGTGTCTCAAGCCTTGTATATGTTGGGCCATAACACAGTACTCCTTGGCTGTGCAATCCTCATATGGTCCAGGGATCAAGAAATGCCTAGACTTCATTGTATATACCTTCGCTGCCCTAGGAACAAGGGACCCTTTTTATGGGTAAGCTGAAGATTCTCCAAGACGGACATTCTTATTTTATTATTTCAGCTTTGTTACCTGTCTTCTTAGGTCCCTAATTATGTCAATGCTTTGATCTGGCCCAATTCATCTTGGTAGTCTTTTCCTCCTTTCTATACCTTTACCCAGGATGTTTTGCTACAAAAAGGACATTTCTCCTCCTGCTTGCTAAATATCATCCCTTCATTATTCAAATTTACAACGTAAAGACCACCTTCCTTGGGAGATGCTCCTATGAACTTTGCCCATTTTTTACCAAAGCCCACCGTGATGCAAATTACAATTACTAAGAAAGGCAATTTCCTGAATGAAATTACCTGGCCACTATTGCAAAGCCCAAGTATATAGCACAGTAGTCCAGACTCTTGTGGGTATTACTGGAATAAATACTTTCTGATTGCTTAGATCTATCACTGTGCCAATCAGGAAGTCAAGAGATTGTACAAGGCCAACTTAAGAGAAAAATGCCAAAGAACCTGGGAAATGTATCCCAAATCATGGGTAACCTCAGGCTACAAAAGGTGAGAAGAGATGATTCTGCATCACCTATCATTAAATAAAACCAGAAGTAAACCTAAGAAATATCACCCTCTCACTAGGTAGAGGGATACTCTCAATAACTTACTATATATGGCTCAACTGCTTAGGAAGGCAAAAAAACAACAACAACAACAAAAAACAAAAACAAAAAAAAAAAAACAACTTTGCTAGCAGCCACCTCCAGGATATCAAAGAACAATTTATCTAATTTAAGAAGAAAGGGAGATGAATACCTCCTTTGGTGTTCCCTTGGCCTGTGGTGAGACAGGTTTATCAGAAGCAGATTCACATGCACTGGACTCGGTGGTGGTCCTGGACTTGCCCACGCTGGTCATGGTTGCAATGCTGGACTTCTCTGTTATGGATTCAGGGGTGGTGCTAAACACATATGGGCTGGTTCCAATTTGGGGGATCAAGAATGTTTCCAGAAAGGTGTCTTCCTTGCAGGTGGGACTCTCTTGTAAGGCCAATGGCTCCTTGAAGGACAACTCCTTCCCAGTGGTGGGTTTCTCATTCAGAGTTATCATATCTTCGAAGAGGAATGCCTCATTGATGGTACCAGATTTGCCCACACTGGTCATGGTAGCAATGCTGGACTTGCTGGTTATGGATTCAGGGGCAGTGCTAGACACATTTGGGCTGGTTCCAACTTGGGGGACCAACAATGTTTTGAGAAAGGTGTCTTCCTTGTAGGTGGGACTCTCTTGTAAGGCTAATGGCTCCTTGAAGGACAACTCCTTCCCAGTGGTGGGTTTCTCATTCAGAGCTATCATATCTTCGAAGAGGACTGCCTCATTGATGGTAGACATCTTCAAGGCTAATGGCTTTTTGAGGAGGGTCTCTTTCTTAATGCTGGGCTTCTCTTGCAAGTCCAAAGACTCCTTGAAGATGGTCTCCTTCTCAGTGCTGGGCTTCTCCCACAAAGCTGAGTGTCGCTTAAAGAGGGCCTCCTGCTCAATGCTGGGCTTCTCCTGCAAGGCCAAAGTTTCCTTAAAGTGAGCTTCTGTGTCAACACTGGGCTCCTTGAGGACAGCCTCCTTCTCAGTGCTGGGCTCCTCCTGCAAGGCCAAAGGTTCCTTAAAGTGAGCTTCTGTGTCAATAGTGGGCTCCTTGAGGACAGCTTCCTTCTCAATGCTGGGCTCCTCCTGCATGGCCAAAAGCTTCTTGAAGAGGGTCTCCCCCTCCGCAATGCTGGGATACCCCTCCAAGGCCAGTGGCTGCTTATTAAGGAACTCCTCTTCATTGATGGTCTCATTCAAAGCCAACTGCTTCTTCAGGAAGAACACTTTTCCATGAGAAGTGGACTTCTTCTTTAAAGATAATTGTGTCTGTATGTTTGTGGCTGCCTCAGCAGAAAGCTCCTCCTTCAGAGCCAATAGCTTATTGATAAGGGACTCTTCTTCCATGGTGCTTTTCTCCTGCAAAGCCAACAAGTTCTTCAAGGAATCCTCTTCGGCATCAGTCTTCTCTTGCAAGACCAAAGCCTCCTGGAAGAGGGACCCACTTTTGTTGGTATGCTTAACATGCAATGAAAATAGTTCCTGAGAGAATTCCTCCTCAGTGGTAGCCTTCTCTTGGATGGCCAATGACTCTTTTGAGAGGGACACTTCCTGCAAGGTGGTATGCTTCTCTTTCAATGCAGATGGTTCCTGGGAGAGGAACTTTTCTTCCGTTGTAGATTTCATCTTAAAGGGCAACAGCTTCTTATAGAATGACTCCTCCTCAGAAGTGATCTTCTGCAAGACCAGTGGCTTCTTTAAGTGGGACATCTTCCCCTGAGTAATTTTCTTTTCCTGTAAAGACAACGATGTCTTGGTAAGTACTGTCTCCTCAGTTGTAGGGTTCTTCCTAAATGACATTGGCTCCATAAAGAAAGAATTCTTATCTTCACCAATCATATCCTGAAAGTCCAACAGTTCTGGACAGATGGACATCATCTCTTGTGTGGTACACTTTTTCTTTAAAGACACTTTTTCTTCTTTAAAGGGCAGTGGCTCCTTAATAAGTGACTTTTCTCCAGAGGTGGTCTGTAATATTAGTGGTTTCTTCAAGTGGGACATTGTCCCCTGAGTGGCATGCTTCCTCTTTAAAATTAAAGGCTTCTTGGTGGGGGGTGCCTCCTCAATGGTACACTTCTTTGTAAAAGCCAAAGCCTCATCAAAAGGTGACTCCTCAGTTGGAGACTTTAGCAAGGACGAGGGCTCCTTTAAGATGGAAACCTCCTCCTGAGTGGTGTGCTTCTTTTGCAATGCAGATGGTTCCTGGGAAAAGGACTCCTTCTCAGTAGATGGCTTTTCTTTAATGGACAATGGCTTCATAATGAGCGACTTCTCTCCAGAGGTGATCTCCTGCAATACTAATGGCTTCAGACGGGACCTCTTCCCCTCAGTCATGCACTGCTCCTTCAATATTACTGGCATCATGATTGCCTCCTCAGTGCTAGGCTTCTTCTTAAAGGCTAACGACTCCTTAACAAGGGAATCCTCTTTAAAGTTGGTCTTCTGCAAGGCCAATGATTTCTTCAAGATGGACATCTCATGCTCAGTGGTGTGTTTCTCTTGCAATACAGATAGCTCTTGGAAAAGTGTCTCCTTCTCAGTGGTAGGCTTCTTAATGGAGGACATTGCTCCACAGATGGTTGTCTGCAATACTGGTGGCTTCCTAAAGTGGCATATCTTCCCATAAATGGTACATTTCTTCTTTAAAGATGATAACTTATGGGTGGGGATTGACTCCTCAGTTTTAGGCTTCTTCTTAAAACTCATTGACTCCATAAAGAAGGAATCCTCTTCCATATTGACATCCTGCACAGCCAACGACTCTTCCTGGCAGGACTGCTTCCGCTGACTTGCACACATCTTCTTCTTTAAGGATAATGTCTTCTTGGTGATGGCTGCCTCCTCAGTTTTATGTGTCTTCTTAAAAGTCATTGGCTCTATAACAAACGCATCATCACTGTCACTCTCCTCCTGCAGGGGCTGTAGCTTTTCCAGTAAGGACACCTCCTCATGATTTGAGCACTTTTTTAAAGATAATGACTTATTGATAAGGGTTTCATCCTCAATAGTGGGTTCCTCCTTTAAAACTAATGGCTTTCTGAAGAGAGATGCCTCCTCAGTGTTGGGTGTTTTGGAGGTGGTGGATATGTCTAGAATGAGTGGTTTCTCCATAATGTTTGGTACCACGGTAGTAGAGGCTACTACTGGTGTGACTTCCAGCTTATGCCTGTGAAGGAAACAATGTCTGGGTAAGAAAAATGTAGTTCCTAGAATCCTCACCTACCATTTCCTTTTGTTGCTATATTTACTAAAGGTATGAAAGGGGAAGGGGCTTCAACCCCATAAGACAGATTAGAGGGACAAAATCAGTAGGTACCATGGTCAATCAACTTAAGTAGTACACTGTATAGTTTCTATGGCCTAGATACCTACACTTTTCTATAATTTTTCCATAGAAATTCATGTTATGCTTTCTTATATATGCTTCATTACCTTATATACAAAGGCTTTTATAATACTTATCACATTGTATGAGTTACTTGTTCATACATCAGTCTCCTTCACTAGCTGCATTTGTCTTTGTCTATCAACCCAAGGCAGCTGGTAAACTTCAGGTTGAAATTAACATTGTTTGAAGGCTAATGAGAGAGATGGGCTGGTAATTAACTTTGGTAGAATCTAACTACATTCCCCTCACCCTGGACTATTAAGGAGATGTTTTCCCAATGGAGGTAATAAAAAGCTCAAAATAGAAACTTGTCACATGTGCCAGATGCAAAGCTTTGTTTTGAATAGGATTGTATATTCAATTAGAGTGATGAATCTAGTGAGACAAAATCACAGAAAGACTAAAGTTCAGAATAAGAAGAGAGAGAATTTCAGGCAGATATAATCACCAATCTGAGCAGGAGTAAATACCTTCTAAAGACCAGATATCATATGATTTAGTTCAATATGAAATATGCAAAATGGACATACCCATAGAGGTATATCCACAGCAGAAAGTAGACTAGTGGTTTCCTGAGGCTGGGACAGGGGTAGGAGTAGAAAGGGGGATTAGGAAGGGAAAAGAACTCCTAATAGGTATGGATTTAGTGGACGGGGGGTATTGAAAAAGTTCTAAAATTAGATAGTGGTGATAGCTGTACAAATCCAGGAATAGAATGAAAAACCACTGATTTGTTAAGAAAAAAAAAGTGCTTCAAAAGGTTCTGCTTGACCAGATAGATTCCAGGTCCCTCCTGATAACTTTTAGAGAAGATCTTTAGATAGTCTAGCTATGGTAAGAACATGCATTCTGGAGCTAGACTGCCTGGATTCAAATCCTGGCTCCTCCAACTTACTGACTGGGTGACCTTGGGCAAGTTAACTCTCTGTGCTTCAGTTTTTTTCACCTATAAAATGAGGATCATAATATCTCCTTCATAGGCTTATTGTGAAGATTCAACAAATTAGTATGCTCAAAAACACTTAAAGGCACGTTATGAACAATTGAATGTCAATAAATTAGATAATTGAGATGAAATGGACAAATTCCTAGGAAGACACAAACTACCAAAACTGACTCAAGAAGAAAACAGAAAATCTGAATAGACCTATAACAAGATATCAAATCAATAATCAAAAACTACTCACAAAGTAAAGTCCAGGCCCAAATGGCTTCAATTCCATCCAAACATTTAAACAATAATTAATACCAGTTCTTCATTAACTCTTCAAAGAAACACAAAAAATGTGAAGTTTCTAACTCATTATATGAGGTCAGTATTACTCTGATAACGAAAACAGACAGACACCACTAGAAAACTACAGACCAATACCTCTTATGAATATAGATGCAAAAATCCTCAGCCAAATACTGCAAACCAAATCCAGCAACATATAAAAGGATTATACACCATAAACAAGTGGAATTTATACCAGGAATGCAAAATTAATTTAACACTCAAAATTCAATTTGCATACTACATCACATTAATAGAATAGAAAACAAAAACGACATGATCATCTCAAAAGATCCAGGAAAATCATTTGACTAAATCTAACCCTCTTTCATGATAAAAAGCACTTAACAAACAAGGAATAGAAAGGAGGTTCCTCAACCTGATAAAGGGCATCTACAAAAAAACCCAAAGCAAACATCGTACTTGATGGTGAAAGACTGATACTTTCCCCCTAAGATCAGGGAGAAAACAAGAATGTCCAACTCTTGATACTTCTATTCAACATTATACTAGAGGTTGTAGCTAGGGCAAGTAGGCAAGAAAACTAAATAAAAGTCATCCAGTTTGGAAAAGTAAAAATATCTGTATTCACAGATGACATGATCTTATATAGAGAAAATCCTAAGGAATACACACAGAAAACTATTAGAACGAACAACTTCAGCAAGATTCCAGGACACAAAATCAATATACAAAAATCAAATGTCTTTCTGTATACTTGCAATGAATAATCTGAAAATGAAATTAAGTAAACAATTCCATTTACAATAGTATCAAGAAGAAGAAAATGCTTAGAAATAAATTTAACAAACATAAAACTTATACTCTGGAAACTGTAAAAAACCATTCAAAAAACTAAATATCTAAATAGATAGACATCCATATTCATGAATTAGAAAACTTAATATTGTTAAGATGTCAGGCTGGGCACAGTAGCTCAAGCCTGTAATCCCAGTACTTTGGGAGTCGAGGCAGGCAGATCACTTCAGGTCAGGAGTTCGAGACCAGCCTGCCCAACATAGTGAAACCATGTCTCTACAAAAATACGAAAAAAAAAAAAAAAAAGCTGGTGTGGTGGCCACACACCTGTAATCCCAGCTACTCAGGAAGGCTGAGGCATGAGAATCACTTGAACCTGGGAGGTGGAGGTTAGAGTGAGCCAAGATTGCACCACCACACTCCAGCCTCGGTGGCAGAGCAAGACTCCGTCAAAAAAAAAAAAAAAAAAAAGAAAGAAAGAAAAAAAAACCCATATCAATACTTCCCAAGTTGATCCACAGATCCAAGGCAATTTGTACAAGAATCCCAGCTAGCTTGTTTGTAGAAATTGACAAGCTGATTCTTTTTTTTTAATATACTTTAAGTTTTAGGGTACATGTGCAGAACGTGCAGGTGAGTTACGTATGTACACATGTGCCATGTTGGTGTGCTGCACCCATTAACTCGTCATTTAACATTAGGTATATCTCCTAATGCTATCCCTCCCCTCTTCCCCGACCCCACAACAGTCCCCGGTGTGTGATGTTCCCCTTCCTGTGTCCATGTGTTTTCATTGTTCAATTCCCACCTATGAGTGAGAACATGCGGTGTTTGGTTTCTTGTCCTTGCGATAGTTTGCTGAGAACAGTGGTTTCCAGCTTCATCCATGTCCCTACAAAGGACATGAACTCATCATTTTTTATGGCTGCATAGTATTCCATGGTGTATATATGCCACATTTTCTTAATCCAGTCTATCATTGTTGGACACTTGGGTTGGTTCCAAGTCTTTGCTATTGTGAATAGTGCTGCAATAAATATATATGTGCATGTGTCTTTATAGCAGCATGATTTCTAATCCTTTGGGTATATACCCAGTAATGGGATGGCTGGGTCAAATGGTATTTCTAGTTCTAGATCCCTGAGGAATCGCCACACTGACTTCCACAAGGGTTGAACTAGTTTCCAGTCCCACCAACAGTGTAAAAGTGTTCCTATTTCTCCACATCCTCTCCAGCACCTGTTGTTTCCTGACTTTTTAATGATCGCCATTCTAACTGGTGTGAGATGGTATCTCATTATGGTTTTGATTTGCATTTCTCTGATGGCCAGTGATAATGAGCATTTTTTCATGTGTCTTTTGGCTGCATAAATGTCTTCTTTTGAGAAGTGTCTGTTCATATCCTTCGCCTACTTGTTGATGGGGTTGTTTGTTTTTTTCTTGTAAATTTGTTTGAGTTCATTGTAGATTCTGGATATTAGCCCTTTGTCAGATGAGTAGATTGCAAAAATTTTCTCCCATTCTCTAGGTTGCCTGTTCACTCTGACGGTAGTTTCTTTTGCTGTGCAGGAGCTCTTTTAGTTTAATTAGATCCCATTTGTCAATTTTGGCTTTGGTTGCCATTGCTTTTGGTGTTTTAGACATGAAGTCCTTGCCCATGCCTATGTCCTGAATGGTACTGCCTAGGTTTTCTTCTAGGATTTGTATGGTTTCAGGTCTAACATTTAAGTCTTTAATCCATCTTGAATTAATTTTTGTATAAGGTGTAAGGAAGGGATCCAGTTTCAGCTTTCTACATATGGCTAGCCAGTTTTCCCAGCACCATTTATTAAATAGGGAATCATTTCCCCATTTCTTGTTTTTGTCAGGTTTGTCAAAGATCAGATAGTTGTGACAAGCTGATTCTAAAATTTATATAGAATTGCAAGGAACCCAAAATAGTCAAAACAATCTTGAAAAAGAAGAACAAAATTTGGAGGAGTCACACTTCCCAATTTCAAAACACAACATGAAGCTGCAATAATCAAGACAATATGGTACTGGCATAATGATAGTTAATGAGAGACATACAGATAAATGGAATAAAATTGAGAGTCCATATATAAACACATTTATGGTCAACTGATTTCCAAGAAGGGTGCCAAGACAATTAAGAAAGGTTAGTTTTCTCAACAAATAGTGCTGGAAAAACTGGACATCCACACTCAAAACAATGAAGTTAAGGCTCCTAATACACACCACCAATAAAAATTAACTGAAAATAGATCAAAACCCTAAGTTAAGAGCTAAAACTTTAAAATTCTTAGAAGAAAACAGGTGTAAATTTTCTTAACCTGGGATTTGGCAGTGGTTTCTTAGGCATGACATCAAAATCATAAACAACAAAAGAAAAAACAAATTAGACTTCTTCAGAATTAAAAATTTCTGTACTTCAAAGGACATCATCAACAAAGTGAAAAGATAACCCAAAAAATGGATGAAAATATTTGCAACTCGTATCTGATCAGGGACTTGTATCTAAAATATATAAAGAACTCTTACAACTCAACAATACAAAGACCAACAATTATTTACGATTATTATATGTCAATTAAAAATAAAATTAAAAAATTAAGAAATAAAAGCATAAAAAAATGGGCAAAAGATCCAAACAGACATTCCTCCAAAGAAGTACCAAATAGCCAATAAGTACATAAATGATGCTCAACATCATTAGTCAGAGAAATGCAAACCTAAAAACCACAATGAGATACCACTTCACACCCACCATGATGGGTGTTTAAAAAAAAAAAAAACACTGCCAGCTGGGCATGGTGGCTCACTCCTGTAATCCCAGCACTTTGGGAGGCCGAGGCAGGCAGATCACCTGAGGTCAGGAGTTTGAGACCAGCCTGGCCAATGTGGCAAAACCCCATCTCCACTAAAAATATAAAAATTAGCCGGAGGTGGTTGTGGGCACCTGTAATCCCAGCTACTCAGGAGGCTGAGGCACGAGAACCACTGGAATCCAGGAGGCAGAGTTTGCAGTGAGCCAAGATTGCACCATTTCCTTCTAGCCTGGGTGACAGAGTGAGACTCTGTCTCAAGGAAAAACAAAAACAAAAACACAACACTGCCACCATTCCACAGTGGCTATACCATTTTACATTTCCTCCAGTAAATACACTGCTGGAGGAAATGTAAAATGGCGTAGCCACTATGGAATACAGCTTGGCAGTTCCTCAATACATGGAGCACAGAATTACCATATGACCCAGCAACCACACTCCTAAGTATATACACAAAAGAATTGAAAACAAGTTTTCAAACAAAAAGGTATACACAAATATTCAATAGCAGCACTATTCACAATAACCAAAAGGTAGAAACAATGCAAATATCTATCAACTGATAGATGGGTAAACCAAATGTGTTGTATATATGCAATGAAATATTACTTGGCAATAAAAAGAAATGAAGTACTGACAACCTGCTATGACACGGATAACCTCAAAAACATGCTAAGTGAAAGAAGCTAGACACAAAAGACCACACATTGTCTAATTCCATTTATATGAAACATCCAGAATAGGGAAATCTATATAGAAAGTAAGATTAGTGGTTGCCCAAAGCTGGGCAGGTTGGGGGTATTGAGAGGTGATAACCAAAGGTACAGGGTTTCTTTGGAGTTAATGAAAATGTCCTAAAATTGATTGTCATGGCTGTATAACTGTGAATATACTAAATACCATTGAATTGTATACTTTAAATGGGTGAACTGTTTGGTATGCAAATTATATCTCAATAAAGCTGTTACTAAAAAAAATAAAGACTTAATGATTATACTTCTGTGATCACAGTGAGCTCTCAGTAAATGGCAGCTATTACTAGTTTTCCTACTATTATTAGGGTCCTTTCCACTGAACCCTGAGTGAAGAGAAGAATGTTTATGGCATTTGTGAGGATTGCCCTGCTAAAGTCAGAATGATGGTGGAGACAAGATAGCCAAATAGGAACAGCTCCAGTCTACAGCTCCCAGCATGAGCAACGCAGAAGACGGGTGATTTCTGCATTTCCAACTGAGGTACCAGATTCACCTCACTGGGGAGTGCCAGACAGTGGGTGCAGGACAGTGGGTGCAGCGCACCATGCACGAGTTGAAGCAGGGTGAAGCATCACCTCACCCAGGAAGTGCAAGGGGTCAGGGAATTCCCTTTCCTAGTCAAAGAAAGGGGTGACAGATGGCACCTGGAAAATCCGGTCACTCCCACCCTAATACTGCGCTTTTCCAACAGGCTTAACAAATGGCACACCAGGAGATTATATCCCGCACATGGCTCGGAGGGTCCTATGCCCACAGAGCCTCGCTTATTGCTAGCACAGCAGTCTGAGATCAAACTGCAAGGCAGCAGCAAGCCTGGGGGAGGGGCACCTGCCATTGCCCAGGCTTGAGTAGGTAAGCAAAGCAGCCAGGAAGCTCGAACTGGGTGGAGCCCATCACAGCTCAAGGAGGCCTGCCTGCCTCTGTAGGCTCCACCTCTGGGGGCAGGGCACAGACAAACAAAAGATAGCAATAACCTCTGCAGACTTAAATGTCCCTGTCTGACAGCTTTGAAGAGAGTAGTGGTTCTCCCAGCACGCAGCTTGAGATCTGAGAACGGGCAGACTGCCTCATCAAGTGGGTCCCTGACCCCTGAGTAGCCTAACTGGGAGGCACCCCCAAGTAGGGGCGGACTGACACCTCACACGGCCAGGTACTCCTCTGAGACAAAACTTCCAGAGGAACAATCAGGCAGCAACATTTGCGGTTCACCAATATCTGCTGTTCTGCAGCCACCGCTGCTGATACCCAGGCAAACAGGGTCTGGAGTGGACCTCCAGCAAACTCCAACAGACCTGCAGCTGAGGGTCCTGACTGTTAGAAGGAAAACTAACAAACAGAAAGGACATCCACACCAAAAACCCATCTGTACATCACCATCACCAAAGACCAAAGGCAGATAAAACCACAAAGATGGGGAAAAAACAGAGCAGAAAAACTGGAAACTCTAAAAATCAGAGCGCCTCTCCTCCTCCAAAGGAACACAGCTCCTCACCAGCAACAGAACAAAGCTGGATGGAGAATGACTTTGACGAGTTGAGAGAAGAAGGCCTCAGAAGATCAAACTACTCTGAGCTAAAGGAGGAAGTCCGAACCAATGGCAAAGAAGTTAAAAACTTTGAAAAAAAAAATAGACGAATGGCTAACTAGAATAACCAATGCAGAGAAGTCCTTAAAGGACCTGATGGAGCTGAAAACCATGGCACGAGAACTACGTGACGAATGCACAAGCCTCAGTAAACAAGGCGATCAACTGGAAGAAAGGGTATCAGCAACGGAAGACGAAATGAATGAAATGAAGCATGAAGAGAAGTTTAGAGAAAAAGAATACAAAGAAATGAACAAAGCCTCCAAGAAATATGGGACTATGTGAAAAGACCAAATCTACGCCTAATTGCTGTACCTGAAAGTGACAGGGAGAATGGAACCAAGATGGAAAACACTCTGCAGGATATTATCCAGGAGAACTTCCCCAATCTAGCAAGGCAGGCCAACATTCAAATTCAGGAAATACAGAGAACGCCACAAAGATACTCCTCGAGAAGAGCAACTCCAAGACACATTATTGTAAGATTCACCAAAGTTGAAATGAAGGAAAAAATGTTAAGGGCAGCCAGAGAGAAAGGTCGGGTTACCCACAAAGGGAAGCCCATCAGACTTACAGCAGATCTCTCGGCAGAAACTCTACAAGCCGGAAGAGAGTGGGGGCCAATATTCAACATTCTTAAAGAAAAGAATTTTCAACCCAGAATTTCATATCCACCCAAACTAAGCTTCATAAGCAAAGGAGAAATAAAATCCTTTACAGACAAGCAAATGCTGAGAGATTTTGTCACCACCAGGCCTGCCCTAAAAGAGCTCCTGAAGGAAGCACTAAACATGGAAAGGAACAACCGGTACCAGCCACTGCAAAAACATGCCAAATTGTAAAGACCGTCAAGGATAGGAAGAAACTGCACCAACTAATGAGCAAAATAACCAACTAACATCATAATGACAGGATCAAATTCACACATAACAATACTAACCTTAAATGTAAATGGGGTAAATGCTCCAATTAAAAGGCACAGACTGGCAAAGTGGATAAAGAGTCAATACCCATCAGTGTGCTCTATTCAGGAAACCCATCTCATGGGCAGAGATACACACAGGCTCAAAATAAAGGGATGGAGGAAGATCTACCAAGCAAATGGAAAACAAAAAAAGGCAGGGGTTGCAATCCTAGTCTCTCATAAAACAGACTTTAAACCAACAAAGATCAAAAGAGACAAAGAAGGCCATTACATAATGGTAAAGGGATCAATTCAACAAGAAGAACTAACTATCCTAAATATATATGCACCCAATACAGGAGGACTCAGATTCATAAAGCAAGTCCTTAGTGACCTACAAAGAGACTTAGACTCCCACACAATAATAATGGGAGACTTTAACACCCCACTGTCAACATTAGACAGATCAATGAGACAGAAAGTTAACAAGGATATCCAGGAATTGAACTCAGCTCTGCACCAAGTGGATCTAGTAGACATCTACAGAACTCTCCACCCAAAATCAACAGAATATATATTCTTTTCAGCACCACACCACACCTATTCCAAAATTGACCACATAGTTGGAAGTAAAGCACTCCTCAGCAAATGGTAAAGAACAGAAACTATAACAAACTGTCTCTCAGACCACAGTGCAATCAAACTAGAACTCAGGATTAAGAAACTCACTCAAAACCGTTCAACTACATGGAAACTGAACAACCTGCTCCTGAATGACTACTGGGTAAATAGCAAAATTAAGGCAGAAATAAAGATGTTCTTTGAAACCAACGAGAACAAAGACACAACATACCAGAATCTATGGGACACATTCAAAGCAGTGTGTAGAGGGAAATTTATAGCACTAAATGCCCGCAAGAGAAAGCAGGAAAGATCTAAAATGGACACCCTAACATCACAATTAAAAGAACTAGAGAAGTAAGAGCAAACACATTCAAAAGCTAGCAGAAGGCAAGAAACAACCAAGATCAGAGCAGAAATGAAGGCAATAGAGACACAAAAATCCCTTCAAAAAATCAATGAATCCAGGAGCTGGTTTTTTGAAAAGATCAACAAAATTGATAGACCGCTAGCAAGAATAATAAAGAAGAAAACAGAGAAGAATCAAATAGACGCAATAAAAAATGACAAAGGGGATATCACCACCGATCCCACAGAAATACAAACTACCATCAGAGAATACTATAAACACCTCTACACAAATAAACTAGAAATTCTAGAAGAAATGGATAAATTTTTCGACACATACACTCTCCCAAGACTAAATCAGGAAGAAGTTGAATCTCTGAATAGACAAATAACAGACTCTGAAATTGAGGCAATAATTAATAGCTTACCAACCAAAAAAAGTCCAGGACCAGATGGATTCACAGCCGAATTCTACCAGAGGTACAAGGAGGAGCTGGTACCATTCCTTCTGAAACTATTCCAATCAATAGAAAAAGAGGGAATCCTCCCTAACTCATTTTATGAGGCCAGCATCATTCTGATACCAAAGCCTGGCAGAGACACAACAAAAAAAGAGAATTTTAGACCAATATCTTTGATGAACATCGATGCAAAAATCCTCAATAAAATACTGGCAAAAGGAATCCAGCAGCACAGCAAAAAGCTTATCCACCATGATCAAGTGGGCTTCATCCCTGGGATGCAAGGCTGGTTCAACATATGAAAATCAATAAACGTAATCCAGCATTTAAACAGAACCAAAGACAAAAACCACATGATTATCTCAATAGATGCAGAAAAGGCCTTTGACAAAATTCAACAACCCTTCATGCTAAAAACTCTCAATAAATTAGGTATTGATGGGACGTATCTCAAAATAATAAGAGATATCTGTGACAAACCCACAGCCAATATCATACTGAATGGACAAAAACTGGAAGCATTCCCTTTGAAAACTGGCACAAGACAGGGATGCCCTCTCTCACCACTCCTATTCAACATAGTGTTGGAAGTTCTGGCCAGGGCAATCAGGCAGCAGAAGGAAATAAAGGGCATTCAATTAGGAAAAGAGGAAGTCAAATTGTCCCTGTTTGCAGATGACATGATTGTATATCTAGAAAACCCCATTGTCTCAGCCCAAAATCTCCTTAAGCTAATAAGCAACTTCAGCAAATTCTCAGGATACAAAATCCATGTGCAAAAATCACAAGTATTCTTATACACCAATAACAGACAAACAGAGAGCCAAATCATGAGTGAACTCCCATTCACAATTGCTTCAAAGAGAATAAAATACCTAGGAATCCAACTTACAAGGGATGTGAAGGACCTTTTCAAGAAGAACTACAAACCACTGCTCAATGAAATAAAAGAGGATACAAACAAATGGAAGAACATTCCATGCTCATGGGTAGGAAGAATCAATATTGTGAAAATGGCCATACTGTCCAAGGTAATTTAGAGATTCAATGCCATCCCCATCAAGCTACCAATGACTTTCTTCACAGAATTGGAAAAAAACTACTTTAAAGTTCATATGGAACCAAAAAAGAGCCCGCATTGACAAGTCAATCCTAAGCCAAAAGAACAAAGCTGGAGGCATCACGCTACCTGACTTCAAACTATACTACAAGGCTATAGTAACCAAAACAGCATGGTACTGGTACCAAAACAGAGATATAGACCAATGGAACAGAACAGAGCCCTCAGAAATAATACCACACATCAACAACTATCTGATCTTTGACAAACCTGACAAAAACAAGCAATGGGGAAAGGATTCCCTATTTAATAAATGGTGCTGGGAAAACTGGCTAGCCATATGTAGAAAGCTGAAACTGGATCCCTTCCTTTCACCTTATACAAAAATTAATTCAAGATGGATTAAAGACTTAAATGTTAGACCTAAAACCATAAAAACCCTAGAAGAAAACCTAGGCAATACCATTCAGGACATAGGCATGGGCAAGGATTTCATGTCTAAAACACCAAAAGCAATGGCAACAGAAGCCAAAATTGACAAATGGGATCTAATTAAACTAAAGAGCTTCTGCACAGCAAAAGAAACCACCATCAGAGTGAACAGGAAACCTACAGAATGGGAGAAAATTTTTGCAACCTACTCATCTGACAAAGGGCTAATATCCAGAATCTACAATGAACTCAAACAAATTTACAAGAAAAAAGCAAACAACCCCATCAAAAAGTGGGTGAAGGATATGAACAGACATTTCTGAAAAGAAGACATTTATGCAGCCAAAAAACACATGAAAAAATGCTCATCATCACTGGCCATCAGAGAAATGCAAATCAAAACCACAATGAGATACCATCTCACACCAGTTAGAATGGCGATCATTAAAAAGTCAGGAAACAACAGGTGCTGGAGAGGATGTGGAGAAATAGGAACACTTTTACACTGTTGGTGGGACTGGAAACTCGTTCAACCATTGTGGAAGTCAGTGTGGCGATTCCTCAGGGATCTAGAACTAGAAATACCATTTGACCCAGCCATCCCATTACTGGGTATATACCCAAAGGATTAGAAATCATGCTGCTATAAAGACACATGCACATGTATGTTTATTGCAGCACTATTCACAATAGCAAAGACTTGGAACCAAGCCAAATGTCCAACAATGATAGACTGGATTAAGAAAATGTGGCACATATACACCATGGAATACTATGCAGCCATAAAAAATGATGAGTTCATGTCCTTTGTAGGGACATGGATGAAGCTGGAAACCTTCATTCTCAGCAAACTATCGCAAGGACAAAAAACCAAACACCGCATGTTCTCACTCATAGGTGGGAATTGAACAATGAGAACACATGGACACAGGAAGGGGAACATCACACACTGGGGACTGTTGTGGGGTCGGGGGAGAGGGGAGGGATAGCATTAGGAGATATACCTAATGCTAAATGAGTTAATGGGTGCAGCACACCAACATGGCACATGTGTACATATGTAACAAACCTGCACGTTGTGCACATGTATCCTAAAACTTAAAGTATAATAATAATAATAATAAAAAAACAAAGAAACATAAAAAAATAAAGTCAGAATGATGAAAGAAATTCAAAAGAAAATAACGCAGAGAATTGAGGTCAAAATATGCATGCAAACTCCAGAATTCCATTTCAGCAGGAAACCAAGTAAGGCTAAATGCTAATCTTCTTTCTGCTGGGTAATTAGCACAATATCCTGTGGACTGTGCGTGTTATTTTCTAGAGTTACCCAGTCTTTTTAGCTTACCCTTTGGTGTTCCCAGGAGTGATAATCCAAACATCTCACAACCAGTATGGCACCGCACCAACCAATCACAGTGGAAGCTAGCATCAAACAACCAGTACAATAGTACTGGTATGTGTTGGCTAAATAGCAGCCCTACATGTTTCCAAGAGATACAGGATGTAGTTCTGTGCTCTATACCAGGCCTTCTGGCTAGCAAATAACTGAAAAGATGCTGTGTTAACATCACTCCACCTTGACCTCATAAGATTTTCAGAGGGGAATAAGGCAACATGATTGACTTTAGCCCTGTAATAGCCAGCTATCTAATCTATTCAGATGTAGATTAGTTAGTCCCTGAAGAATAATTCCCACCGGAATGAGGAGGGGATAAAGTCTTCCTAGAGGTAAATTATTTTTCCAATCCTAAATGGGAATGTGCATCTGTACTTGTAGAACCTGTGAACGGTACCTGTAACAGCTGAAAACCACATGTTTTTGCTCTAGGGAGATAGTAATTTATCTCCAGTAACATGGGACAAACCTCCCGTAAAGCTTCTAATGGAATAAGCTGACTGGCAAGCTACCAGTCAGCTGCTGAGAATCCCTGGAAAGTTAAGTTGTCTCCACACTATAAAGCACAGACTAGCTCAAACAGGTACTGAATTACTAAAAGACAGGAAAAGATGAGCACAAGGTCTTTTGGCAAATTTTCCAATGACAAGAGCTCTTTCAATATGCACACACGTAATGAAAGAGGAGAGACAGAAGAGGCTTTTTTTAACTCTTCAGCAACCACAGCTGAGCCCACCTCAGCACCCAGGGTTAATGTGGTAGTCACCATTGTGGCTTGCTAAATATGTTCTCAATGGGGACAAAAGGATGTCACATACTCTACCATCTAAAATAATGCCATCTGAGTCCCCTTTCACTCACCATTTTAGATTCCGCTTATTCTTTTTGGCCAGTCCAAGAGCATGTGTGTTCCTGTTTATCTTCTTGGAAACAACTTTTACAAACTCTTTATTGGCTTCTTTCTTGGGCTGGACAGGTTGACATTGAGAAGCCTGCAAAAAAAAAGGTGGGTTGGGGGGCAGGGGAAGAAGGAGGCAAGAAAATGAAGAAAACCACAAATTACCTAAAAGGTGGCTCTCATAGGAAAGTCCTGACCCACATAAGTTGGTTGGGTGTTCCCAGGAGTGATAATCCAAACATCTCACAACCAGTATGGCAGTGGGCCAACCAATCACAGTGGAAGCTAGCATCAAACAACCAGTGCAGTAGTACTGGTATGTGTTGGCTAACTAGCAGCCCTATGTGTTTCCAAGAGATACAGGATGTAGTTCTGTGCTCTATGCCAGGCCTACTAGCTGGCCCATAACTGAAAATATGCCGTGTTAACATCATACTCCACTTTGACCTCATAAGATTTTCAGAGGGGAAAAAAGGCAGTATGATTGACTTTGCTGTCTGGGTGTGCCTCTTCAGGATATACCTCTAACACTACATACTACCTGTGATATATCTATCCCATCTCACTAAGTGGCATTTATTTAACTCAGGGCTTTGGGGAGTTCCACACAGACTCTAATCCTGACTAACACTATTAAACAGTAGGAAAGATCATGGGACTGTTAATAATGTCAGTAAAAATACACTTAAAGTTATATCTTTAAAATGAAACAAACAGGCTAGTCACAGTGGCTCTTGCCTGCAGTCCCAGCACTTTGAGAGGCCATGGTGGGAGGATCACTTGAGCCCAGGAGTTCAAGACCAGCCTGGGCAACATAGGGAGACCCTGTCACTACAAAAAAATAATAAAAAAAATAGCTCGGTGTGGTGGCACATGCCTATGGTCCCAGCTACTTGGGGGGAATGAGGTAAGAGGATTGCTTGAGTCCGGGAGGTTGAGACTACAGTGAGCTTCAACCACGCTACTGTACTCCAGACTGGGCAACAGAGCAAGACCCTGTCTCAAAAAAGTTTTAAAAATTAAAAAATTAAATGACACAAATGAACCTAATTATATTTCAAATAAGTACCATAACTACATTAAAGGAAAAAATAAAGCAGAATAAAAGACCAGAAATAACCAATCCAAGTCACTTATAAATAGTATTTGACTACCACCTTCAAAGTATACATCCTCAATTAGGATAGGTCTGCAGGAGGTTGTAGATATTGCTAATAAATCTGGAACTCTTTTTAGTAGGTTTGTTTATTACAGTGGTTTGGATGAAGCCATTTTGAAACTCTTTTAGCTGTATTACAGTATTAAGTAAATGTGTTGATGTTCTTGGGAGCCAGGGTTCTCAATATAGAACATACAAATAAGGACTAGTGAATCTAAGAAATAATTTTATGTATTGAAATTGAAGCTGCATGAATTCATGATTTCCTAAATAGGTATATGTGTGTACATATACTAAATGCCCACATCAAAAAGCTAGAAAGATCTCAAATAGACAACCTAACATCATGACTAAAAGAACTAGAGAACCAAGAGCAAACAAACCCCAAAGCTAGCAAAAGACAAGAAGTAATCAAAATTTGAGTGGAAGTGAAGGAGAGAGAGACACAAAAAAACCTTAAAAAAAATCAACAAATCCAGGAGCTGGCTTTTTGAAAAAAATTAATAAAACAGACAGACTGTTAGCTAGACTAATAAGAAAAGAGAGAAGAATAAAATAGACACAGTCAGAAATAAGGGGGATATCACCATGACCCCACAGAAATACAAACAACCATCAGAGAATACTATAAACACCTCTATGCACATAAACTAGAAAATCTAGAAGAAATGGATAAATTCCTGGACACATACACCCTCCCAAGACTGAACCAGTTATACACATATATTTGTATATACAGACGTATGTATAAGTACACATTTGTGTATATAAAAATACAGATATTTCCTAGCTCTGTCTGCAGAATGGGCAGAAAAAGCAGACATCCTAATAGCACATCTAGCATCAATATCTTGGTATCTAATATCACTCCCCATTAAAGGGAACCAGAACTCTGGAGAAATGTTTGACTCCAGGGCTTGGACAAAGGAGACATAAGATGAGTCTGGAACATCTTTTTAAGCTGGAAAGAAAATGCTCAAAAAATTATGAGAGTGTGTCACAAGGACACGTTAGTGAGATTGAAGGTGCTCCTAACTGGCCAAAGATGGGGCAATTTGAGCACCAAAATAAAGTACAATAATGAACAGTAAACCTCTGGAAAATATGGACTCAGGAGTCCATACTGATAATAAACAGTGGAGAAGGGAAGGCTCATGCTTGTACAGTATGTCCTACAGATTCCTTACTAGTTGCAAGAGAAAAAGATAAACAATAATGATACAGTACAAAAACCAGGCAACATCTTGAACAGGTGATCAAAATTAACATCATCAATGAAAGACAGACATCCTGTGCCTCCAGATATACTTTGAGAAGGATAGCAAGAACATAACCTACACAGTATCCTAGCCAAGAATGTATCAATCTAGTCACAAGCAAACATTAGACAAAAACAAAATGAGGACTTTTCTATTTTACAAAGTGGGGAGTTGGGTGGGACTGCATCCTCAAAAATGGCAACGTCATTAAAAAAAAAGGCTATGGAAATGTTCCAGGTTAAGAGGCTAAAAAGACAAGTAAATACATGATCCTAGCCTGGATCCTTTACTGGAGGGGAAAACGTGCTATAAAGGTTGTTATAAGGTCAACTGACAAAATTGGAATATAGATGATTGATTACACAAAACTGCTATATCAATGTAAATTTAGAAAATTGATAAGTATATTGTGGTTATATAAGACAACTTCCCTATTCTTAGGAAATACACACTGTACTTACGGGTAAAGGGACCATGACATATACAAGCAAATGAGAAAGCACGTGGGACAAAATGTCAACAATAAGTAATCTACTATAGGGTATACTGGTGTTCTTTGTACAATTTTCATTTTTGCAACACTTCATAAATTTGAAGTTATTTCCAAGTTAAATGTAGAAAAAAAAGTATGTCTTTGTATCATCAGATCATAATAAACAACTACAGTCCAATAGGAAACTCTTTCTTAGGACCTCAAGTCATCTACCTCTGCTTTTCAAAGAGCTTGGCACAGTCACCATTTTAACTTCACCTAAAGTTTTGCAAACTCCTTATATGTACAATCAAGATTCAGAATGGGAAAAGAGGTGCATTCATGGCAAGAAAGACGTGGAGATCATAACTCCCAAGATGAAACTCTCTACTTGCCATACATACAGGTACAAAGCACTGATATTTTCAAGTTTAAGCTCCAGGGGACCTTTACTTGTACTTCCCCATAATTCTTTCACCATAAAATAGGAAAATAGAAGTGAAGGTTTGGTGTGGTGGCTCACACCTATAATTGCAGCACTTTGGGAGGTCGAGGCAGGAGGATTGCTTGAGCCTAGGAGTTCAAGACCAGCCTGGGCAACATGGCAAAATCCCATCTCTACAAAAAGAATACATAAATTAGCTGGGCATGGTGGCAATCACCTGTAGTCCCAGCTATTCAGGAGGCTGAGGCTGCAGTGAGCTGTGATCATGCCAGCTTGGGCAGAAGAGCAAGACTTTATCTCAAAAAAAATAAATAAAATAACATATATAAATAAAAATAAATGAAAGTCCTACTTACGCAAAACCATTTAGGCAAACATGGATATAGGCCCTATCTCCTTGTCTACTGGCTTAGCACCAGTTCTTAAATATCATAAGTCCTTCCCATGCTAGAAATGATAAGGCAGAGGAAAAGAAAAACTCACAGCAGATTAACTAATTAAAACAGATTAACTCTTTTTGGCAGGCCAGGATCTCACTGTGGCAAATGTTGAGAAGAACACAGGGATGAAGACATGGAGACCTAATAATACTGACTGTAAGAAGCAAATTATCATATAGGGAACCTCCAAAACCCAGAGAGAAAGGAGCCCTCAACTGTCAAATAGATGAGCTCAGATATCTGCAGTAATGCCCAACCCTAGGAATGGCTTAGGTACATTGTAATGATGGAACTGTCTCTGGAAGGCACCAAAGACCATTCAAGGTAACCAAGGTAAATCTTCAGAACTTGAGCGCAAACGGTAAATGGGCTTTCTGAGCAGCCAGAGAGCTAGAAGCAGAGACTCTGCTCAGAGATCCCTTGCTCCCCTGCCCCCTAACCCCATGGGGATATGGCCAAACAGATGCTCAATTCAGCTGGAGAATCAGGAGGGTCCTAGATACCTGCATGGATTTCCCATTATTGATACACTTCATGTATATCTGTTCTTTCTGAATGGTAAGATAAACTCATGAAAAAAGGGACTGAGATGTCACAAGAAAGTTTCTCATGCGCTGTGATACTTTACTGCTGTGATCTGAATATTTGTGTCCCTTTGAAATTCATTATGTTGAAACCTAATCTCCAATGTGATGCTATTAAGAGATAGGCCTTTTGAGAAGTGATTAAGTCATGAGAGCACAGCCCTTGTGAATGGGATTAGTGCCCTTATAAAAGAGGCCCGAGGAAGCTTGTTTGCCTCTTCCACCACATGAGGGCACAGGCAAAAGATGTCATCCATGAGGAACGGGCCCTCACCAGATACCAAATCTGCCAGCACCTTGATCTTGGACTTTTCAGCCTCCAGAACTGTGAGCAATAACTTTCTGTTGTTTTTAAGTTGCCCAGTCTAAGGTGTTTTGTGATAATTGCCCACATGGACTTAGACACTTTCCTTGCACAGTGTCACTGTACTCCCATCAGGGACTTGGAGGGGCCAAGGCAAGTTACACTAAGATAGGCTGCATCTGCTCCTGATTTGTGGCTACCTTATTTCAGCCAAATTCTGTATCCATGGTTAAATAAGTCAGGAAATTAATCTAACCTTACAAGTGTGTGTGTGGGAAGGGGCTCTTTCTACCAATTGATAGTAAATCTGAAATTATGCAGAAAGCTGTAACTTAAAAAACCATGTTGTAATCTGTATAGGGAAGAGATTGTATTTGCAGAAAGGTGGCCATACAGAATCTAAAGAGCAGCGATCTAAAGGAAAGAACCTTACCAATGCTTATCCAATTATGCCCAAGGGAGTAAAACACTATTTAGTAGATACAAGTATTCTGGTAGCTACATAAGTATACTACATAATGCAGGGCAAGAATAGTTCACCAGGATTATCTATAGCCTAGATAATACAGACTTCAAAACCAACATTGGTGAAGTCCTCATCTATAAAGAAGATATTATAGTATCTACCTCATAGGATTACATGAGGATTAAGTGAGCTGATGCAGGATAACATGCTTAGCATAGTGCCTGACACATGGTAAGCACCCAGTAAGTGTACCAGTTATTATTATTTTCTAAGACAAAGATTGCCTTTGGCCTGATTCTATATTCAATTAACAACATTCTATTAATTCTGATTTTTACTGGTACCTTAATAATACCAGAAGGGAGGTTACTTGAGAGAATTCTAGCCAAAATTGAATTTCTAGATCTTCATAAAGACTCGATCTTGGAACTATGGTTCTCAACAGTTCTGTGTATCTGGAGGCATTTTTGATTATCACTATGACTGGGCTGCTGGTGGAATTTAATGCCTGAGGACGAGGGGTGCTAGTTGAGATCAGTCCTACACAACAGAAAAATTGTCCTGCTCAAAATGTCCATAATGTGTGAATTGATAAACACTGCACTGGACTACAATGATTCCACTAAAATACTTACCTCGAAGGCCTGGGCAGTCACCTCTGGACTTTATCTAAATGCAAAATTCCATAGTTCTCATAGTTATCTGCAATTTCATATCTGATAATCACTGTCTGCTGCTTCCAGAGAACTCCACCAATTGTTTCAGATGGTATGTGCCAGGAACAGAGCCCCTGCAGTTTCTGAAACTGGGTCATTGGTCCCAAATAAAATTTGCTGTCAAGATTCCAGAGAGGGTCTGGTAAAGTGGAAAGGTCCCTCAAGAAACAGCATGTCTAAGCCTTATGCAAAACCATAGCAAAGGATTGGACTAGCATACTCACATTAGTGAGATCTTCAAAAGCTGATCTCTTTTTGAGTGCTCCCTGAAGTGAAGATGGAGACTCCTGAAGTGAAGATGGAGATATCTTCGTTTGGCAATTCTCCCCCGTCTAAAAAAGTAAAAGAGGTAAATGAGTATATCCAATTGTGAACAGTCTCTTCAGGGACTTTGGGTCCTCTTTAGGGCTCAGGGGAACTCCAGAACCTCAGAGTAACTGAGGATGCATATAATAAACCCCAATAAACTATAACAAAAGGAAATTATGGCACTCAGAGCTGTTTATTAAGTCCCTAAAGGTGGTAGACATTGTTAATGGGGTACGTCTACAAGGAGGCAAGATGACCTTCAGTGTAACTCACAAAATGAGCAAAGTGTAGCTCAGTAAAGCTCATTTCTCCTCTTACTTCTCTCATACTTACGGTTATCCTATCCAAGGTAGACCACTACCACCCCTACCATTCCTAGTCATTCCTTTAATATAGATGTTTCAGGTAGATCAGTTTAATAATTTAACAAGTATCTAAGTGTCTCTTATGTTAAGCAGCTTTTTCAGGTAGATCAGTTTAATAATTTAACAAATATCTAAGGGTCTCTTATGTTAAGCAGCTTTTAAAACAGCGGTCCCTAACCTTTTTGGCACCAGGGACTGGTTTCATGGAAGACAAATTTTCCACGGACACTGGGGTGGGCTGGTTTTGGGATGATTCAAGCACATTACATTTATTGTGCACATTTATTATTACATTGTAATATATAATGAAATAATTATATAACTCGCCATAATGTAGAATCAGTGGGAGCCCTGAGCTTGTTTTCCTGCAACTAGATAGTCCCATCTGGGGGAAATGGGAGACAGTGACAGATCATAAGGCATTAGATTCTCATAAGGAGCGCGCAACCTTGATCCCTCGCATGAGCAGTTCACAATAGGGTTCATGCTTCTATGAGAATCTAATGCCACTGCTGATCTGACAGGAGGTGGAGCTCAGGAAGTAATATGAGCGATGGGGAGTGGCTATAAATACCGATGAAGCTTTTCTCACTCACTGCTCACCTCCTGCTGTACAGTTGGGTTCCTAACAGGCCACAGACTAGTACTGGTCCATGGCCCAGGGGTTGGGGACCCGTTTTAAAAGACATTACCAGTAAGGATAATAGCACACACATCTAGATACTGCTCCATGGCCCAGGGGTTGGGGACCTGTTTTAAAAGACATTACCAGTAAGGATAATAGCACACACATCTAGATACTGCTCCAGGATCAGCTCTTTACTAACTGTTGACCTTGGACAAGTAACTTAATCTCTAATCCTCAATTTTCTTATCAGTAAAGCTGGATAACTTGCCTTACAGTCCTTGAAGATTAAATAAGACAATACATGTTTTTTAAAAGTTCGTATGAACTGTAAATGGGCAGAAATAGTATTTAAAATAATGTAGTCTGATATGATTGTAAACCTCACAAGGAAAATTTTATATTAAAAACAAAGTTTAGTAATCCAGATTAATCTCTGATTGTTAGTATATATAAAGGAGGGGCCGGGGAAGGGAAGGGGGATGAATATTTTAAAGCAGAAGGGGCTTTTTTCCCACATATTCTGTGTCTGTGCTTGCCTTACCCCATTCCCAAATGAGTAAGACCATCTCTATAGGGTTAGAGGTTAGGGCAAACCACACTATAGGAGTCTTCTACCCTCTAACAACTTTATGTGGTAAAAATCTCCTAAGTCTCAGACTGCCCTTATGAAATTCTGAAAACAAACCCGCCCTACCTGTGTCAGAGAGCTGTTATAATGTGAAGCAGGACACTGGGATCAGACCATTTGCTCTGTTCTCCAGCTGTACCATTAACACTTAATACATGGCACAGTAAGTTACCAGAATTGGATTCATGACACAATAAACCAATCCAGCAGAGAGAGCAATCTTAAAAGAGCTGGAGCCCGACGCGGCGGCTCACGCCTGTAATCCCAGCACTTTGGGAGGCTGAGGCGGATGGATCATGAGGTCAAGTGATTGAGACCGTTCGGGCCAACACGGGGAAACCCCGTCTCTATCAAAAATACAAAAATTAGCTGGGCGCGGTGGCGCATGCCTGTAGTCCCAGCTACTCAGAAGGCTGAGGCAGGAGAATTGCTTGAACCTGGGAGGCAGAGGTTGCAGTGAGCCGAGATCGTGTCACTGCACTCCAGCCTGGTGACAGAGCAAGACTACGTCTCAAAAAAAACAAACAAACAAACAACAACAACAACAACCAAAAAAAAAAAAAAAAAACCGAACTGAGGGCCAGGCACTGTGGCTCAGGCCTGTAATCCCAATCCCAGCACTTTGGGAGGCCGAGGCGGGTGGATCACGAGGTCAGGAGTTCAAGACCAGCCTGGCCAAGATGGTGAAACCCCGTCTCTACTAAAAATACAAAAATTAGCCGGGCATGGTGGCAGGCGCCTGTAATCCTAGCTACTCAGGATGCTAAGGCAGGGAATTGCTTAAACCCGGAAGGTGGAGGTTGCAGTGAGCCGAGATCGTGCCACTGCACTCCAGCCTGGGTGACTGAGCAAGACTCCATCTCAAAACAAAACAGAACAAGCTGAGAAGAATTACTTCCATTTTCTAATTGATTAAGCCAAGACATAAGTAAGCTATTAGTCTTTCATCTAGCTGATGATAAATAATCCCACTAGAAATTAGCCAAAAATGAAACATTATTTTCTCAGAAATTAGCTAAGAAATAAACTGTTATCCAATTCCTATTTAATATTACTGATAGAAATAATTGACCCCAAATAAAATTATAGCTGAAACTGAACTCAATAAAACTTAGATTTGCAAAATGTACTCCAAGAAAGTTGGTTTTGGAAAAATAATTGCCACTAAAGAAAAGTTACAATGGCAGAACACTAATCCGAAAATTTGATGTTGACAAAAATCTGATCAATATATCAAATCTTTCTCGAAAAATTTACATAGGAAAAAATTTGGCACCTCGCTGAAAATCATTTTAGTAAAATAAGCAAGATTAGAAAATGTTTATCTGTGCTCAGAGAAAACCAATCAAGGAAATTAAATTCACCTAATGATGTTTTGCTCCAGGAAATACTCTCTTGATGCCAATTCATCAGTGCTAGTATAATTCTGATTAAAATATGTATGATGATGAACACAGAATATCCTAAGGTTAGAACATCAAACTATCAATAAAGTCAAAACAGCAGAGTCAAAATATACCCATTCTTCAAATTTAATAGCTATAAAAAGCATAATAATATATGTGCTGATATAATCTTCATACTCTCCCCAGAATGTACCAGTCTTTCAGCAAGGTGCTTGGAGCTTCTCAGAGAAAGTAAGAATATAGACATGATCATTAATGAGGACTGAGTGTTGTTCAGTTTTGAGGGTTATGGAGGGTGGCCTTCATTTGAGCCCTGCATTTATGGGAATGAAGAGTCCATACTTTCTCCCCAAGTTCTAATTTGCTGGCATTCTCCAATACAAGGGCTGCCACCCCTCCCCACTTTCTCAGGTTAAACCAGACATATTTCAAAAGACTCACAGGTGAGGATAGGTACTGAGCCAACACAGGAAGAGACTACCAAAGATATTGTTGGGAAAGACAGCTTGCTCTAACCTTTTCAGATGGGTCATGATGACTGGGCACAATTTTGCTGGACTGAGATTTCTTAGGCACAGGTTTGGAGCTCTGGGGTGGTAGTGGCAGTAGCATCACTTAGAGATTCAGCTGCGTCTTGTCCAAGGCAGGGCTGTAATCAGAAAGAGGCTCTTTAACACCATTCACCAGAAACACGATAAATTCTCTGAAAATTCTTGAGAAAACCCAGTCTATCTATAGCATCCCTAGGAGAAAACAGATTTTGATGTTGGGAAGATCTGGATTCAAATCTTGGTTTTATCACAATTAACCTCAGGCAAGTGACTGACTTAAAATCTCTGGGCTTCAGTTACCTCATCTGTAAAATGGAGATAAGTATACCTACCTCTGCAGGGTGTTGTTCAAATTAAATGAGACACTTTATGTAAAAAGCCAAGCACAGTGCCTACCATCCTCTGTGAACGCTGGGATGTTGTCTAGCCCCTAGTTTAGGCCTAGCAACACTGGGGACAAATTACATAGGAGTTTTGCATTGAAAACAAGGAAGAACATGACAGCTCATATAGTATGGAGGCAAGCTGGTAGAGCCAATGTTCTTAAAAGGCATGGGGTCCTGGCAAAGCAATTATGACCCTACAGAGAAAACAATAACTGCACACACATGTATTCGCGATAGGCCAGGCAGTATTCAAAGGCTGCGTTCAATCAGAAGAAACTGTAATCCAGTTCCAGACACCTGGAAGGAACAAAAAATTCAAAAGATGAGATTATAGCAAAATAAACTAACTTATTAAAAAATCATTTGACATAAGAACTTGATCTTGGATTTCCCAGCCTCCAGAACTGTGAGAACTAAATGCCACCCAGTCCATGGCACTTTATAGCAGCGCAAACTAAGTGCTATAGAAACATAATGATTAGTAACTTCACACCAAATGACAGAAGGCAGTGAAACACCGTTTACATAGTTTCTAGGGAAAAAGATTTTTCACCTAGAATTCTATACTTTACCAATTATGCAGATGTGAGGGCAAACTAAAATTACCTAAGGACGAAGATGGTGAAGGAGTAGGGGGAAGAGAAAGGAAGATGGAGGAGAAACAGAAAAATGAGAAAACAGTTGAAAAGTAAGCAGTTGAGCAAAGAAACCAATAAAATATATGGCTAAATCTAAGTAAAGGTTGATAATGTGTCTGTGATGCTTAATATGACTGCTAAAAATGTATTCCTGAAGTATTTTGATAGAGGCAAAATGTTTTTTAAAAAATCCAACTACCTGGAAAAATACAACTAAAATTCTTTTATAGACTTTGTTCAAGGAAAAGGATAGAAATAATGATTAAATCATAATAAAATTTATATGTGTCTGTCATGCCAAACTAAAAAAAAAAAAGAAAAGAAAAAAGAAACATAATGGAAAGCCAGTAATCTTGTTGGGGACAGGGGCTGGAGGAAGGCTTCACAAAGGAAGTAACATGTGATCAGGACTTAAAATGACAAACAGGTTCCCAAGTTGACTGGGAGGTTTCCAGGCAAAGAAAGCCGAGCCCAGGCAGAGGCATGAACATACAGAATTCAGGGATGTCCTAGTTGTCTGGAGTAGGGAGCATAAATAACATGTTGGGGAGGGGTTAAAATGAGGCTGAAAAGCTAGGCTGGGGCCAGGCTGGTAAGAAAAGGAAACAGAAAAGTCTGCAGCTTGAGGGGAAAGTTTAAGAAAGGAGAAAGCCTGATTTGGGTTTCGCTTTGGATGGAGAAGGATGAAACATTTTGTAGGTCAGGAAAAGCCAGTATAAGTATATGCATTCACATGTTACCTCAGTTGATTCTCACAACAAAACCATAAGGCTAAGCAAGGCAGGTACAATTCTATTTTACAGTCTCAGATGAGTTAAGTAACTTACTACCCAGGACAAACTATTAAGGGGCATAGACTGCCCAGCTTTTTCCCAGGCAGTTTCTAAAATACCATGAAGTCTCTTCGATCACACTCAAAAATATTCCAAAACAGTGAAAGGCCATAGTATGAGGAGGTAGAATGAGCACAGGTCTTGGAGTTTGAATAACTGGACTTCTAAGCCAGCCAACTTAGCATTTCTGAGCCTCAGTTTCCTCATTTTCAAAACAGCTATAACACCACTTACTTGCAGAGGACTTGTGTGGCTCAGATGCAAATTTACATGTACAAAACCTGATGCATGGCAGGCATTTAATAAATACTGTCTTACTCCCCTCTTCTTCTATCAAATCCAAACCTATATTCCATCTCATTCCTCAAACCTCAGCCAAGCAGCAATAAAGCTAAATTGGGTGCACCCACTGTTAACTGCACTGTATGAAAATCACTTACTCCACTATTATTATTTACGCCTCATAATTTTTTTTTTTATGGATGACCAAAGACTCACACTCTGAAACATTTACCTTTTAAAAGGAAAAAGAAATACGGAGCCCACAGGCTAGAAAACTCTCAGCTGATAACATACAGGTTAACTAAATCTCAGAGAAAATAAGGTTATTTAAATGATGGTCATATACCCCATTTATTATCGTGAACACTAATCATTTGCATTGAGGGACAGATGCACTGACTTAGGTAAACTAATTTTCCCAGGGAGAAGGGGAGGAGAGGGGATTGACACTATCAAAAAGATCCTTTCATAAAAGGACACTCTCTGCGGAACACTCTCAACTTCTGCCACCTACAGAACCCTGAGCCTTGGGCAAGAAAATTAGAATCCTTTCCCCTTTTCAGACTTTCCATGTCCCCTACATACACACTGGTAAGTGTTGCAGACTCCACTGGACCTCCCAGGGCTGGTGCTGAAACAAACAAAGGGGCAGCAGGGCTAAGCTGATCAAAACAGTCTACAGGAAGTAGTAGCAACTTCATTTTTTATATAAAGGCAGGTTACAGACAGCAAGGCTCTGGGGAGAGAACACAGCATTGTGTCAATAAAACAGCACTGGGCTGGGAAGGATGCCTAAGGTCTAGTTCTGGCTCTGCTCTTAGTTGGCTGGGTGACACTGGGCAAGTCCCTTTCCCTCTCTGGGACCCAGTTTTCCCACCCAATAAAACGAAGCAGTGGAACTAGAGCCTCCTCGCTATTCAATGTGGTCAATGGACAAGCAACATTAGCATCACCTGGAAATTTGTTAGCAATTTAAAACCTCAGGCCCCAAACTAGACCTATCAAATCAAAATCTGCAAATTAACAATATCCCCAGGTGATTTTTATGCACGTTAAGATTTAAGCGCCGCTGTTCTAGGGTCCCTTCTACCTGATCTTCTACGATTCTAAGCGTAGCAGAGGGTGGTGAGAAAGCCAAAGCTGAAGGTGGTTGCCGGTGGGAACAGAAAAGAGCCAGTGAAGATAAAGGGTTAACAATAGAGTGAGGACACGTGTCCATCCTCCCTTCATATCCTTCAACCTGTAGCTCAAAAGACATGCTGCAAGTAGCATTCTATGACTTAAATATGTCTGATCCCTCTGCACTTGTAGATGAAATTAATCCTGCACACTTTCACTTGTGAAAAGACGTTTTGTAAAAGTACTCTGATTCAGGCACGTGTACTAATTGCTCCATCTAAAAGCTGGGACCCAGTCTCATTTGCTTTGCCATCTCACTCCTTAACAAACACTCCCCCTGCCCAATCTTGTACAGAGCTCACTCCACAGGCTGCTGATCGACAGGAGATTGAAAAGTTTCCTTACAGGAACGCCGCGCATCCCAGCAACAGAATTCAGCAAGGGGCTGGAGTGACGCCCAAGGACCCACTGGCAGGCGACAGAGCCGGACGCTGGAGCCAGCAGTACTTGCCCAAAGGCGCCTACCTCACACCGAGATCGAGGACAGACAGCAAAGACCATCGACGCACCCCTAGACCAGGAGAGGCCAAGGAAATGAACGGAGCTCCTTACTATAGCGACTCGAGTCCGTCTCAACCTGACACCTGCGACCCTCCACCAGCCCAGTTGGGATTTTGAAAACTACAGCCGTCATGAAGTGCAGTGGTGATTGGCCAGCAGAGGACCAATCAGCGTGCACAGCTGCGACACGCGAAAGCCTAACAGGAAGGGGTGGAGCTGGGTATTTTAAAATCCAACTCTGCCTCTGAAGGACCTCGCAGTAGGGTGTTGTTTCTGGTATAATTGGTTGGACCAGGCTGGGCTGACACGCAGGGAGTATCGGGTCTCTTTAAAGACGAGTTTTTGGCCAGGCGCGGTGGCCTACTCCCGTACTCCCAGCTCTTTGGGAGAGCGAGTTGGGGCGGATCGCTTGAGGACAGGAGTTGGAGATGAGCCTGGGCAACATGGAAAAACCCCATCTCTACAAAAGATACAAAAATCAGTCGGAGCGTAGTGGCGCGTACCTATAGTCCCAGCCACTTGGAAGGCTGAGGTGGTAGGATCACTTGAGCCCGGGAGGCAGAAGTTGCAGTGAGCAATGATTGTGCCACTGCTCTCCAGCCTGGGTGACAGACTGAGACCCTGTCTCAAAAAAATAAAATAAAAGACGCGTTTTCATTTAAATAACCTTGCCAGAGGATGGGAAGAGCAGAGCAGCTGTATGATGCAGGTACGGGCCTATTAAAACATTAATATTAATAACCACTTATAGAGTCAAGCACTAATTCCTGCAGGCTTCACAAATAGCCTTGTGAAGGAAGCAAGGCAGAAGTTACTGCCCCTATTTTGTGAATGAGGACCCAAAGTGCAGAGAGCTAATAGTAGTTAAGTTAATTCAAAACGTGCTACCTACTATAAAATTTTTTATTGCTTTAAATCCTGTCCTAAAACAAGATCCTTGTATTATTGCCATTTTACAGATGACAAAATTGTACTTTGCTAATAGCTCAATATCTCATTCATTTCATTCATACATTAGTTTGTTTAACAAACATTTATTAATCACCTGATTTGTGCCAGGAACTAGAATATAGGTATATTTAAATCTATATTCTATATATATATTTATATCTATATTCTATACATATATTTATATCTATATTCTATATAGATATTTATATCTATATTCTATACATATATTTATATATATTCTAAAAATATATTTATATGTTCTATATATATTTATATATATATTCTATATATATTTATATATATTCTATATATATTTTTACATATATTCTATATATATTTATATATTCTATATATATATTTATATGTATTCCATATATATATTTATATATTCCATATATATTTATATATATTCTGTCTATATATTTATATATATTCTATATATTTATATATTCTATGTATATATTCATATATTCTACATATATTATATATATACTCATATATTCTATATATATTATAAATACATATTTATTCTATATATATTTTTATATATATACACTATATATTTATATATACTATATATATTTTATATATAGTATATATATTTTATATTTATAAAGTATATGTATTTATATAAATACCATATATATTCTATATATAGTATATATTTACATATATGAATATACATATTCATATATATTTACATATATGAATATACATAATCATATATATTTACATATATGAATATACATATTCACATATATGTTTGCATAGATGAATGTACATATTCATATATTTACATAGATGAATGTACATATTCATATATTTACATAGATGAATGTACATATGCATATACATTTACATATGAATATATATTTATATATAGAAAATATATATTCATATATTTATATATATGAATATATATTCATATATCTTTATATGAATAAATACATTCATATATATTTATATATGAATATTTCATATATTTATATATTTATATATATTTATATATTTATATATATATTTATATATATTTATATATTTATATATTTCTATATGAATATACAAAATATTTCATATATTTATATATTCATATAAATATCCTATATTCATATATATATTCATATATATTTAAATATATATTAAATATAAATATTCATATATATTTATATATGAATATGTATATATTCTCTATATATTTATATATAGTATATATATTCATATATATTTATATATGAATATATATACTCTATATATTTATATATAGAGAATATATTATATTCATATATATATAGAATATATATATTCTATATATTTATATATGAATATAATATATTCTATATATTTATATATGGAATATATATTAATATATATTTATATATGTTCTATAAATATATTCTATATATATTCAATATCTATATTCTATAAATATATTCTATATATAAATATATATATTCTATATGTATTTATATATACTACATATTTACATATAT